>NC_000001.11:5246290-7746290 GCF_000001405.40 Homo sapiens
TCCTTCCCTCCATCCTTCTTCCCTCCTTCTTCCCTTCCTTTCTTCCTTCCTTCCCTCCCTCCTTCCTTCCCTTGTTCCTTCCTCCCTCCCTCTATCCTTCCTTCCTTCTCTCCATCCTCCTTCCCTTCCTTCCTTCCCTCCCTCCTTCCTTCGTTTCTTCCACCCTCCCTCCCTCCTCCCTTCCTCTCTCCCTCCTTCCTTCCTTTCTTCCTTCCTTCCCTCCATCCTCCTTCCCTTCTTCTTCCCTTCCCTCCCTCCCTCCCTCTTTGCTTTGTTTCTTCCTCCCTCCCTCCCTCCCTCTCTCCTCCCTCCCTCTCTCCCTCCTTCCTTCCTTCCTTCTTTCCTTCCTTCCTTCCTTTCCTCCTTCCTTTTTCTTCCTTCCCTCCCTCCCTCCTTCCTGTCTTCCTTCTCTCCTTCCTTCTCTCTTCACCTCTCTCCTTTTCTCTCTCTTTCCTTCTCTCCCTCCTCTTATTTCCCTCCTTTCTTTTCGGTGCTTAGAATATCTTTTGTTATTGATCAAGATGAAATTCACTTAATATAAAATTAACCATTGCAAGGGGACAATTTCATACCATTTAGTGCATTCACGAGATTGTGCAAACACCACCTCTATCTAATTCCAAAACACTTTCATCAACCTGAAATAAAAAGACGTCCCCATTAATCGGTCACTCCCTATTTCCCGTCTCCTAGCCCAACGCAATCACCAGTCTGCTTTCTGTGTTCGTGGAGTTTCCATTTCCAGCTATTTCTTGTAAATGGAATGTCTCGCTTATTTCATTACCGTCAAATTTCCGAGGTTCATCCACATTGTAGCATGTGCTTCATTTTTTTATTGCTGAGTAATATTCCATTGTATTGAAAGACCACATTTTGCTTACCCAGTCCTCTGTTTTTGAACATGTGGATTACTTCTACCTTTGGATATTATGAATCGTGCTGCAGTAGATATTCATGTAAAGTTCTTGCTTGAGTACCTGTTTTCAATCCCTTTGTATGTATACCTAGGAGTGGATTCGTTGGGTCATACAGCAATTCTGTATTTAACTTTCTGAGGAACTGCCAACCTGCTGTTTTCCTCAGTCACTGAACCACTTTACATTCTCACCAGCAATGTATAAGATTTCCAACTTCTACACATACTTGCTGCCAATATTTGTTATTGTCTGCTTGTTTTTAAATTATAGCCATCCTAGTGGATGTAAAATAATTTATCATTGTACTTTTGATTTGCATTTCTCTAATGAACAATGGCATTGCATGTCTTTCCATATGTATATTGCCCATTTGTATATTTTCTTTAGAGAAATGTCTATTGAAATCATTTACTCGCCTTTTAATTAGGCTGTTTGTCTTTTTGTTGTTGTTGTTGTTGTTGAGTTGTAGGAGTTATTTAAATATTCTGGATACTAGGCCTTTATCAGATTTATGATTTGCAGGCTGGGTGTGGTGGCTCAGGCCTGTAATCCCAGCACTTTGGGAACCCAAGGTGGTAGGATTCCTTGAGACCAGGATTTCAAGACTAGCCTAGGCAACACAGCAAGACCCTGTCTCTATAAAAAATAAATAAGTAGCCAGGTGCGATGGCACATGTCTGTATTCTTATCTACTTAGGAGGCTGAGGCAGAAGGATCACTTGAACCCAGGAGTTCGAGGCTGCAGTGAGCTATGATTGTGCCATTGCACCCCCACCTGGGTAACAGAATGAGACATTGTCTATAAAAAAAAATAAACTTAAAAAGATTTATGATTTTCAAATATTTTCTCCCATTCTTTCAGTCATCTTTTCACTTTCTTGATAATGTTCTTTAATGTACAAAAGGTTTTAATTTTAGTAAAGTCCAATTTATCTATTTGTTGTTGTTGTTGCTTATGCTTTTGGTGTTATATCTAAGAATCCAGTGTCAAAGCCAAGGTCATAAAGATTTACCCCTGTTTTCATCTAAGAATCCAAGGTCTGGTTCTTGTATTTAAGTCACTGATTCTTTATGATTTACTTTTTGTAGATACTGTGAGGTAGAGGTTCAACTTCATTTTTTTTGCATGTGGCTATTGTTATTCCAGTACCACATGCTGAAGAAATTATTCCTTTCCCCATTGAATAGTCTTGGTGCTTTTGTTCAAAATTATATTGGCCATAGATATATGGGTTTATTTCTAGACTCTTGATTTTATTCTATTAGTCCATTTGTCAATCTTTATGTCAATACCATACTGTATTGATTAGCATATGTTTGTAGTAGGTTTTGAAATTAGAAAATGTGAGTCCTCAAACTTTGTTCTTTTTTTATTCAATATGGTTTTGTACTTGGGCTTTTGAAGTTCCACATGCATTTGTGGATCAGCTTTCCACTTCTTCAAAAAAAGGTTGTTGGAATTATGATAGAAATTGTATTGACTCTGTAGTTGCTTTGGGTAATCTTAACAACATTAAGTCTTCCAATTCATGAACATGGGATGTCTTTCCATTGAATTAGGTCTTTAACTTCTTGCATCAAAGTTCTTTACTTTTAAGTATCCAAGTATTTACTTTTAAGTATTTAAGTACTCAAGTCTTTCACCTCTTTGGCTAAATTTTTGCCTAGGTATTTTGTTCTTTTAGATGCTGTGGTAAATGCAATTGTTTTCTCAATTTTCTTTTCATATATTTTTCATTGCTGGTATATAGAAACAATTATTTTCTGTGTGTTGTTTTGTACCCTGCAACTTTGCTGAATTGACTTATTAATTCTAGTAGGCTCTGTGTGTGTGTGTGTGTGTGTGTGTGTGTGTGTGTGTGTGTTATTTGGGATTTTTCATATATAGGATTATGTTATTTGCTAATGGAGATAGTTTTGTTACTTTACAATTTGTCTGAGGACATTTTAACCTTGGTCAGTTGTCCTATTTCTTAAATTACCTTCCGACTGGCTCCCACCATGCAGCAGGTCTCTTCCCCTGGGAGCTTCCCCTGACCCCACAGCCTGGGTTAGCTGTCCCTGCTGTATGCCTCACTCCCTACATGTCCCTGTTGCTCACCCTCCACATTGTGTTGTCATTGCCTGTCTACTTGTCCACCTGTCCTGTGTGGCAGGTGTAGTGTTCATTGAGGTTACCAACTGAGCTTACCACAGAGCCAGCATGTGCCTGGCACACAGTAGGACTGTCTGCTGTTGGGTGACAGGGAGAGCTTTGTGGTCTGGCTTCATGACTGAACTCTGAGCATCATCTACAGCCAACCTCTAGTGATGTCTCATCCTCCCAATCCTCTCCCTTCCTGTATTACTCAAAGTCACAGAGTGTTCACTTCTACACATTGGGACCCAGGACTAAGGAACTTAAAGAGCAGTTGGTATGGTTCCTGCCTTCTGGACATGGACAGCAAGAACATCTGAGGTTGTGCTTTTGCAGAATGCTGGTGACTCTAGGGTAGGCCAAAAGATTGCTCTGATAAAATAAAATAGCAGCACAGCAGCCTCTTCCCAATTTGCAGAGGATAAATCATCTTAATGGCAGAATTTTCTCAGTTTTAGCCTTTTATCCAAGAAAAGTTTCTTATACCATTGGGTGTCAGCTACCACCTGCAGATGACTAGGCAGGAACACTCAGGAAAACAAGTAGAAACGAATGCTAAGGGAATGGCTGAAAGTGGCTGTCACACAGGGCAGCAGTTGGAAGTTTTCCACAACATAGGCTTGTGGTTGTGAGCTTATTTATTTATTTTTTGGCATAACTATTCTCATTTCCTAGGATAGAATTTAATATTGTCATGCTTCCTCACTTTCTGCGAGGAGTACTCTTGTGCCCAGGTACACCTACTGAAGCATTGTGGACCAGGAAGCTCTGGCCCAGAGGTTTTCAAATGACAGTCCCCAGACTCAGGCATCATTGTGGTTGCTTGCTCTCCCTGGGGAGAATGAGAGGGGATTGGGTGGTGGCCAAGCTAGTGAGGCTCTAGGTCCTGCCCTTGCTCCAACTAAAATCACTCTGTTCTCACATGCCCTTTGTGCTGGGTTTGTAACAGTCAGGGCCTTACCAGGAAACAGAAACCATGCAAGTATGAATACTGGAGGGATTTAATGCAGGACATTTATTATACAGGCTACAGAAAAGCTTAGAAGCAGAACTACAAAGCCCCCTTTTGTACTGAAGGCTCAGAGGGAAAAGGCTGTGTCCCAGAGCATAGGGGCTGCTTGGGAGAAGCCAGAAGCACATTGGGCCTATCCTGCAGGAGCGGGACACAGAGGAGACGCAGCTGCTGCCTGACACACTGCATTAGGCAAAGAGAGCTTCTATCTTCCCCATCTGCAGGCAGGTCTCTATGGTGCCTCAACTGGCCACACCCAAGTAGGTGTCAGCAACATGGGAGCCTGGATGCTACATTCTGTAAGAGTCAAATCCATGGGCAAACAGGTCAGGACACCCCATGGTTCCAAGAAGAATACCTGATTGAAGGGTTTTGCTACCATCACTCAGTCATTAAATAAAATGAAAACTATGACTGCACTCCAATTCTGTAGGTAATAGATGGGAAGCTGGTTCAAGGGAGTCAGCAACGTGCTAATAGCCATTAGCTGATGCGTGGCCAAGACTGGACAAAGTTCTATTTTTAAAATCTTTTGTGGGCATATTATACACACACACACACACACACACATCTGTGGCGTGCATGAGATGCTTTGATACAAACATGCAATGTGAAATAATTACATGATGGAGAATGGGATATCCATCCCCTCAAGCATGTATCCTTTGTGTTACAAACAATCCAATTATACTCTTTTAGTTATTTTTAAATGTACAGGTAAGTTATTATTGATTATAATCTCCCTGTTGTGTGATCAAATAGTACATCTTATTCATTTTTTTCTAGCTATTTTTTGTACCCTTTGATATGGTCTGGCTGTGTCCCCACCCAAATCTCATCTTGAAGTGTAGCTCCCATAGTTCCCTGGTGTTGTGGGAGGGACCCATTTGGAGGTAATTGAATCATGGGGGCGGTTTCCCCCATACTGTTCTCATGGTAGTGAGGAAGTCTCATGAGATCTGATGGTTTTATAAATGGATTTCCCCTTTTGCTTGGCTCTCATTCTCTCTTGCCTGCTACCATGTAAGATATGCTTTTTGCCTTCCACCATGATTGTAAGGCCTCCCCAGCCACGTGGAACTGTGAGTCCATTAAACCTCTTTTTCTTTATAAGTTACCCGGTCTTGGGTATGTCTTTATCAGCAGCATGAACGTGAACTAGTACACCCATTAACCATCCTCACCACTCCCCACTACCCTTCCCAGCCTCTGGAAACTATCCTTCCGCGCTCTATGTCCATGAGTTCAGTTGTTTTCTAGATTTTCTCATGCCCAGAATGTGAATTTCCCATTGCTTTTTATATTTAAAATAATCCCTCTGGCCCGGCGCGGTGGCTCATGCCTGTATTCCCAGCACTATGGGAGGCTGAGGCAGGCGGATCACGGGGTCAGGAGATCAAGACCATCCTGGCTAACACGGTGAAACTCTGTCTCTACTATAAATACAAAAACATTAGCCAGTCGTGGTGGCGGGCACCTGTAGTCCCAGCTACTCGGGAGGCTGAGGCAGGAGAATGGCGTGAACCCAGGAGGCGGAGCTTGTGCAGTGAGGGGAGATCGTGCCACTGCACTCCAGCCTGGGCGACAAAGAGAGACTCCGTCTCAAAATAATAATAATAATCATCATCATCATCCCGCAAACAATTAAATATCTATCATATATGAGTCCTGGGATGCATGGGGGGAAAGGTTCCTAAATGTGTGTGCTATGTTTTCTAACCATTAGGGAAACCTACAGCCAGATGACTTGGATCTCAGTTTCCAGGTGCACGTCTTCCCAATAGTTCTAGAAGCTCTTTATTATCTTGTTAAAGACAAATATGGTTTGTGCAAAATCCCATAGTGTGTTTCTTTTCCCTTCTGAAACAATTCCCCCTGAAATGTGTATCTGGCCATTATCATTTTGCACACAATAGCAAAAACACAAGCCCTGTGGAATTTATAGAGGATGGCACTTTTAATCATCTTTCATGGTTCACCTTAATTGTATATCATTTTTATTAACAGCTTAAAAAATTAGTTATTCTTGCTGGCATTTTTATGACCTATTTAATATCACAGATCAGGAGTTTTATTGTATTGTATTCTGGGTACTATATACAAACTGGGAAACCGAAGGGGAAAAAAACTTGCCCTCATGATGTTATGGATTGCAGGGAAGAAAAATGCTGATAATGGTCTTATAGTAGAATCGTTCCAGATTACATGGTTTACCCTGGGCTTTTATTTCTGTGTCTGTACAATAATTGTAATTTTACTGCAAAAGCTGAGTGCTGGATAAAGACTTCCCTTTAGGAGTAATTTAATTTAATAAAAAAGCTCTGCCCAGGGTCAGTATTACAAAAAAGCAGGAGACGTTTCAAGAGCTGCCCCCCTATCCATGACAACAGCTACCTTCCCAAAGGGCTGTTGTGCTGGCATCAGCTCTGTTCGAGAATTTGATTACTCAATACAGTTCTGTAGTGCAAGGAATAAAAAAAAATTAAAGAGTCACTCGTGATTAAACCAACAATGTCCTAAGCTCTTTTCAGAGTTTTGAGCAAGGGAAGGAATCCTCAGCAAAAAAGAAAAACTTGCTGCTCTGGGTTCTGGAAGAGGGGTCCCTCCCAAGGCCTGCTCAGAATCTTCGGGACGAGTGGCCCCTCAGTCATACGCCCGCCATTGGGAATAACGTCTCCTTCTTGCTCTCCAGAATCCCAGCTGGGCTTTTGCCCTGCTCAGCTCAGTGAATTTCTTATTAATATTGGCTGCCTCAGAATGTCTTAGGCCTGCCCTTGTGAGGAAGGGGTTGACATGGCTGGCTTGTTGTCTCCTGAACAGCACAGGGCTGACCAGGTCACTTCCAAGCACTCCAGGCCTCTCCCACCTCAGCCAACTGCAGGCTGGCCCCGCACGCCCCTGGAGCTGATGCGGCAAGAATGGGCAATGTTAGCCTTAATGTCTCCTTGAAGCCAACCCCCAGCACCAGCCAAGATCCTGCACATCACCGACCTCAGATTCCTGTATCTCCTTCCACATAGCAGATCATCACTCACCTTCTGGAGTTGGACAGAAAGAACATCTGCGGCTGTGCTTTTTGCAGGATGCTGGTGCCTCCAGGGCATGCCAAATACTTGCTCTGATGAAATAAAACAGCAGCAGCCTCTTCCCAATTTTCAGGGGAGAAGCCATGTTAATGATAGAATTATCTCAATTTTAGTTTTTTATTTATTTCTATTTTTTAATATTTATTTATTTATTTTATTATTTTTTTTTTTTTTGAGACAGAGTCTCGCTCTGTCGCCCAGGCTGGAGTGCAGTGGCACGATCTTGGCTCACTGCAACCTCCACCTCTTGGGTTCAAGCGGTTCTCCTGCCTCAGCCTACCGAGTAGCTGGGACTACAGGCGCGTGCCACCAGGCCCAGCTATTTTTTTTTTGTATTTTTAATAGAGACGGGGTTTCACCACGTTAGCCAGAATGGTCTCGATCTCCTAACCTTGTGATCTGCCGCCCCAGCCTCCCAAAGTGCTGGGATTACAGGCATGAGCCACTGCACCCAGCCTAATTTTAGCTTTCTATCCCAGAAAAGTTTCTTAGACCTTTGGGTGTCAGCTGCCACCTGCACCCAAATGAGCATGAACACTCAGGAAAACAAAAAAGTAGAAATGAATGGTAAGGGAATGCCTGGAAGTGGCTGTCACACTTTGCAAACCTTTATAGGGTTACAAAGTGCCCACTGAGACAAAAGTCCTGATGGCTTTAATTGTAAGCCATCACGACTTTTAATTGGAAAGATACAGTCTTGCCCTGCAAGAAAATGGATGGATGAGTTGGGGCCAGAGAAAGGAGGGAGATCTTCACAAGCAGGGAGGTCCGAAGCTCCTGTAGCCCCAGGGGAGGGTCTGATAGATGGGACATCGCAGTGGGCCCGCTGTGGTTCACAGCTACTCATAACTTCTTTGGTGGTGTGGGAGCTGCTTCCTCACAAGATGCTCCGTGTGGCTTGCTGCTTTTCACTGAGGGCTTAACAGCACCTTAGCGCTTCCATGAACTCTTGTTCTTCAGGATAAATACATTATCTTACCAGAGAGAGAGCTCTGCTGTCAGACCTGGCTGCGTTCACACTACCCTAGTGAGCCACATCCAGTGAGACGCCCGGGCGATGGAGACGCCGGCTTGTTCCTGTTCACACCCCCCATCAGAAGCCAGCTTTCCACAGCTGCTCCAATGAGTGCAATCCTTTCTCCGAGGACACAGCTCCTGCAAGCAGGAAAACGCAGTGACATGGTGCCAGTATACTGCTGTTTGTATCTGTGCATTGCTCCCTGGCGTTTGCCTACCTTGCACTTGCAGGGAAGTCTTGATGCATATGTGTTATCGAGGTGCATATGGAAGGCCTTGTCTGCAGAAATCTGCTCCTCTGTTGGGGGCAGATGGTACTGCTTCCCATTTTCCATCTTTCTTTATCGCTAGGTCCTCGAGAGGCATTGTCCCCCACAGGGCTTGGGGTAAACTCAGAATTACACCAAGAGGCCTCAGAGTGTCGAGGCTCGCTGGCTTTGGGATGAGAACCTTGAAGCATCCTGCCTCCGTGGGCTCTTCCCTTGCTGAAGGATGCTGAGGAGGATCCCGAGGATGCTGAGGTCCAGGTGACGGCATTACATCTAATCTGAACACCCACCCCCACTCCCCCACACAAAAATATCCACACCATTTGATGGTGGCTTATGGACAGCCAGGACTTTTCTAAAAATGTATTCCAGAAAAGGAGCAAGTGGCCATGGCTGGAAACTCCTGGACAGCCTGGCATGTGTGCCCTTTGGGTCTGTGGTCAGCCTCTTCCTCCAGGTCCTACCCTCTTGTCCTCACGGGTGGCCAGACCTGCACCCAGAGAAGGCCTGTGGTGGGGCCTCAGCAGAATTGCCACTCAGTCTTCCTGCCTCCAGTGTGATGACCCTCCAACATTCCAATGGCTGCCAAGTTCAGAGCTTTTTGCTTTGCTTGTGAAGTCACACTCATCACCTCCTGAGGTGTTTCTCTCAGGAGCTGGGCTGCACATCGCTGGCCAGTTCCACAGCGTTACTGAACTCCAAGTCCTCTAGGGTGATGGCGACCTGAACAAGCATTCCTAAGCACTTAGGAATAAATGGGATAAATAAATAGATCCCATTTATTTATCCATTCATCAATGGCACCCATGAAGTGCTGGATCTGTCCTAGGACTTGGTGTACAACTGTGAACAGAACAGATCTCTCTCCCTCGTCCTGTGGAGTTAATGGATTGGAAGAGGGGCAATAAAGAAACAGATGAGTGGATTATATTATCCCCCTTCCTGATAAAGCCAGCAGAGACATAGATAAGGGAGGGGTGGGGGATGGTTAGGGTGGGGGATGGCACATGAGTGGAGATAGTGAGAGAGAAGTGATCAGAAGAGGGTCCCCATGACCCTGGGGCTGTGTTCCAGCCTCCGGAAGAGGAGGCTTGCAGGTGAGGCTGCAGCTTAGGTGTGGCTGTGGAGGAGTGGTGGGGGTGGATCCCAGTGCTCATGAGGAGTGGGGCTAGGGAGGAGCAGAGGATGGAGGGCCCAGTGGTGACAGCAAGGATTCAGGAGGACTTATACATGGAGGGACTTGGGGAACTTCCAGGAGAAGAGTGGAGGGATCTAATTTGTGATTGCCTAAGATCACCCTGCTGCGGTGCTAGGCTGTAAAGGCCCCAGGGCAGAAGCAGAAAGATCTCTTAGAAGGCTACTAAGACAATGCAAGGAGGAGATGGCTATGACGTGATGAGAAATGGATTATTGATTCTGGGTATATTATGACCACACAGGTAACAGGATTGGCAATAGCTTGGATGAAAGAAAGAGAAGTCAGGCAGAATCCCAAAGGAGAACGCTATGGTTTGAATGCATCCCCCAAAGTTCACATATTGGAAACTTAATCCCAATGCAACAGTGTTGAGACGTGGGACATTGAAGAGGTGATCAGGTGATCAACTGTTAGTTACTTTTTACACATGGTACAAGGTATGCATCCAAGTTCATTTCATTTCGCATGGATATACAATCGTTCCAGCATCATGGATTTATTTTTAAAAAGAGTATTTTTTTCTGCACTGAATTACTCTTGCACCTTTGCAAAAAAATATTTTTCCATATGTGTATGGTTCTATTTCTGGACTATTTCATTCCACTAATCTATTCACCCGTCTTGATGCCAATATCATGCTGTCTTGATTTTAGGAACTTTATAATAAGTCTTGAAGTCAGACAATGTTAGTTCTCCAATACTACTCATCTTTACCAAAGTAGTATTGACTATTTTAGGTCTTTTATAGTTCCATATGAATTTTCGGGTCAGTTTGTCAATTTCTACCCAAAATATGGCCTCTGGGATTTTGATTGAGATTATCATCGAATGTACAGATTCATTTGTAGAGAGCTGATGTCTTTAAAATATTTGCTTCTCACCTATGAGCACAGTATATCTTACCATTTATTTTTATCTTTAAATGTCCTTCAGTAATATTTTGTAACTTTCAGTGTATATGCCTTAGACATCTCCAGTCAGACTTTTCCTATTTCCTTTTTCCTATTTTTGATGCTTTCATAAATGACATTTTGTTGTAATTTCAATTTCCAATTGTTTATTGCTAGTGTCATCAAAAAAACGATTAATTTTCACAGGATCTTATTTCTTGCAACCTCTCTCACTACATTCACTTATTACTTTCAGTAGCTTTCTGTAGACTTCATTGGATTTTTTGCATGTTGTCTGGGAGCAAAGACAGACTTGTTTCTTCCTTTATCGTGTGTATGTGCTTTATTTTTTTGTACCTTGTTTTGATGTCAAAAATGTGTCAAATATACATGGTGAGAAGGTACCTCTCAGTCTTGTTGCCATTAAGTATGATGCCAGCTGTATGTTCTCCATAGATACCTTTCATCACGTGTATTAACCATGCCTTTTTACTTTCTGTATTTCTGATCTTTTGACATCTTGGGGTCTGGCTGACCCTGGAGGGACTACCCCTCCCAGGGCTGACAGCTCCTAGAAGCAGGGGTTGTCCTCATTGTTCATGTGAGTTGCCTTTCATATCCAAACAAACCCATCCAGGGATCACACCCCACAATCTCCTTTACAGAGTTCAGTCTCCTGCCCTAACACCTCAGCACCAGGGACCAGGCAACTAGGAACAGTCCCTTCACCCTGGAGCCTACCAAAATTAGCCTACTGTGCCTTGCCTGTTTCTTCCCACATGAACCATGATAAATGCTTGATATGGTTTGGCTGTGCCCTCACCCAAATCTCATCTTGAATTGTAGCTCCCGCAATTCCCACGTGTTGTGAGAGGGACTAGGTGGGAGGTAATTGAATCATGGGGGCAGGCCTTTCCCATACTTTTCTCATGATAGTGAATAAGTCTCAGGAGATCTGATGGTTTTATAAAGGGGAGTTCCCCTGCACAAGTTCTCTTCTCTTGTCTACCACCATGTGAGATGTGCCTTTCACCTCCCACCATGATTGTGAGGCCTCCCCAGCCACGTGGAACTGTGAGTCCATTAAACCTCTTTTTCCTTATACATTATCCAGTCTCGGTTATGTCTTTATCAGCAGCGTGAAAACAGAGTAATACAAGGCTCTTGCCCACATTTTCTGCTCTCTCGCTGGATCTCCTAACTGGCCCCAGTACTTCCTTGTGTGGTCCCGTGGGGCCTCGGATGCCCCCACCTCCTAGGCACTGTGAGTAACAAGCCATCTTTCCAATGACAGTTATCTCCTGAACTGTTAGCCTTGCCATACCTGAATAATAATAAAACCCATATTTTATGACACAGGCTCAGGAAGTTTTCTGTTTCTATTTTTCTGAGAGTTCAAATCAGAGATGGATGTTGGGTTTGGTGTTGCTTATTTTTTAAATTTAAAGGTTTTATTCTGTTGTCTTCTGGTTTGCATGCTTTAGGAGGAGAAATATGCTCTAATTCTTATTTTTTTGTTCCTCTATATTTAAAATGTCTTTTTTTCCCTGGCTGTCAGCAAGATTTTCTCCTTATCTTTGGTTTTCAGAAGTTTGTGATGTGTCCAGTATATTATTTCAGTATTTTTCATGTTTAAGGTTTTCTTTGATTCTTGGAGGTGTGGTTTAATGCCTTCCATTGTTTTTAGAAAAATCTTGGTTAATTTCTTCAAATATTTTTTCTACTTCACTTTCTCCCTCTTCTACTTTTGGGATTCCAGGTGCACATATATTAAACCATGTGATACGTTTCTACAGCTCCTAAACACCCTGTTCTGATTTTTTTCACTCTTATTTTTCTTTATGTTTCATTTGTCTATTTTCTACTGATCTATTATTGAGTTCTAATTCTTTCTTCAGTTATATTAAGTCTGATAATGAGCCTCCTAAACGAATTATTTAATTCTAGCATTTACTTCCATTTGACTTGTATCATTCCTATCCACCTGCTCAAGTTCCTTTTATTCATACATGGTGTCCATCTTTTCTACTTTGTCCTTTAACACAAGTGTTCTCAACCCTCCCCTTCCCCCCAAGGCCATGGACTAGTTTTGGTCTGCAGCCTGTTAGGAACCAGGCTGCACAGCAGGAGGTGAGCAGCAGGTGAGTGAGCATTACCACCTGAGCTCCGCCTCCTGTCAAATCAGCAGCGGCATTAGATTCTCACAGAAGCATGAGCCCTATTGTGAACTGCACATGTGAGGGTTGCACCCTCCTTATTAGAATCTAACTAATGCCTGATGATCTTAGGTGGAATAGTTTCATCCCGAAACCATTCCCCCACCTGGTCCATGGAAAAATTGTCTTCCAAAAAACCAGTCCCTGCTGTCAAAAAGGTTGGAGACAAATGCTTTAATAATTAACTATAGTCATTTTAAAGTCTCCTTCTGATAGTGCCAATGTCTGGTTCATCTCCTAGTCTTGTTCTGTTACCTGATTTTTCTCTTGACAAAGGATTGTCTTTGTTTGTTTGTTTTTCATGTGTCTCATAATTTGGGGCTGAATATTCCATTAGTTTCTTGGGGCTGGCATAGCAAAGTACCACAAACTAGAGCATTTGAACAACAGAAATTTATTGTCTCACAGTCCTGGAGGCCAGAAGTCCCCAACAAAGGTGTCAGAAGAGTTGGTTCTTTCTGAGGGCTGTGAAGGAGAATATGTTCCAGGCCTCACTCCCAATTTCTGATAGCCCCAGATGTTCCTTGGCTTGTAATGACATTCTCTCTATGTCTTTATATCATCTCTCTATGAATCTATCTCTACATCCAAATTTTCCCCTTTTTATAAGGATATGGTCAAATCAAATTAGGGCCCCCACTAGTGACCTTATTTTAACTTGAATACCTCTCTGCAAAAACTCTATTTTCAATTGAGGTCATATACACAGGTACTACATGTTCAGATTTTAACATCTTCTTCTGGGACACAATTCAGTCCATAGGAAATGACAAGCATCTTAAGTAGAACAGGGGAGACTGAGGTGCGTGGTTTTCATGCCTAGAAATGGGCTCGTCTTTTTATCAGCTAGTGGGGAGGTGGTGATCGAGTCAACTTGGGTCTGTGTTTTGTCATTCCTATGGTTACCCTTAATGCATCACAGGCTTCAAGTTCCTCATGATTAGCATGCAGGCTGGGGTGCCAGAGAGTTATTTTCAGTGTTTCGGCTCCATCCTCAGCTTTCAACTTGCTATGTCTGCACCACAGAGGGAGTCCCTCCATGCCTCTGCCCTTGCCTGCTGGTATCTGCTGCTGCATGTTACCCTGCTCTTATTAGGATCCTTGCAGGAAGCAGGGAGCTGCTTTATGGCCCAGCACAGACTTGGGCCAAGGCAGGCCCCATGTGCCTGAGCCTCTGGGTGGGGTTTTCCCAGCGTCCCTGCCCCTCTTCTCTGTGGCAGACAGCTGGACCCTGCCTCGTGTTGTGGAAAGTCTCATATGGGGAGTTTCCTGCTTTTCCCCCAGAACTAGTCTTGGAATGGGATTCTGGGTTCAGGATTGTTTCCTCAGTCTCCTGACTTTCTCCATTCTTTCCCCACATCAAAGGTCTTTTCCTTCTCTGAGGAGCAACAGGTAATGCTGCTTTTCCCCCAGGGGTGTGAGGCTTCTGAGAACAGCTCTGAGGAGGCAGGTGGGCTTTATGCCATTTCCACAGCACAGGCTGACCCCTGGCTCCAGGCCTGCACTGCCAGGGGGCTCTCTCTGGTCTCCTGCCCTGCCCTCTCATCTTTCTCAGGAGCTCCCTCCATGGAGTGTGTGGAAGGCAGCTCTGTCTGTGGTTGCACCTCCCTGGGCTCCTGGTGCTCAGTTGGCCTCCTGTGGTTCACTGAAATTCCAGCTGACCTCTTCCTACCACCTTGAGTGACAGCCCTGTGTTCCACCAGACTCTGCCATGGCATGGAGGGTGACACAGTCCATACAGCACCGTCCATTTGCCCCCTGTCTCCTTGGGGGCCTGTTCGCCCTTTGTATTTCAGGCTAGTTGGTTTCTCTGTGTCCTCAGCTTCCTGATGGGTTCAGGAAGAGTTGTGATCTTACAGTTTTCCCAGCTTTGTCTTTTTGTTGGGGTAAGAATGTCACTCTTTCTCGTTTTCCACATCTGGAATGGAAGCAGAGCTAGTCATTAATGCATTTTGTTTCAGTTCTCCCCATAACCTTTCAAATTATATTATTAACCCATTTGACAGATGAAGAAACTGACGCAGGGTGGGATTGTTTATGCCTCCCGATCTAAAAGAGCTATTAAGCAGCAGGGCTGGGATTTGAACAGTGAAAGTTTGGCTCCAGAACTTACACTCTGAGCCACTCCACTCTGCCACCTCTCAAGCACACAGTGGATCCTTACTTAATATTTGTTCAATTGAATATAAGGCAGGAGCGAGAAGGAGCTCTGCTTAGCTTAAGAAAACCTCTTCAGGCCGGGCGTGGAGGCTCATGCCTGTAATCCCAGAACTTCAGGAGGCCGAGACAAGCAGATCACTTGAGGCCAGGAGTTTGAGACCAGCCTGGCCAACATGATGAAACCCCATGTCTACTAAAAATACAAAAATTAGCCAAGTGTGGTGATGTGCACCTGTAATCCCAGCTACTTGGGAGGCTGAGGCAGGAGAATTGCTTGAACCCAGGAGGTGGAGTTGGAGGTTGCAGTGAGCAGAGATCATGCAACTGCACTCCAGCCTGGGTAACAGAGTGAGACCCTGTCTCAAAAAAAAAAAATAAAAAAAAAAAGATAATTTCACTGTACAGAATTGTAGATTGACAGGTGTTTTGTTTTTGTTTTTTGTTTTGACAGAGTCTTACTCTGTCACCCAGTCTGGAGTGCAGTGGTGCAGTCTCGGCAGGAGAATCACTTGATACCGGGAGGCAGAGGTTGCAGTGAGCTGAGATCATGCCACAGCACTCCAGCCTGGGTGACAGAGCAAGATTCCATCTCACAAAAAAAAAAAAAAAAAAGAAGAATACCACTTCATTCGGGCATTCACTCTGAGATATGTTGCCTGTGGACGCTTCACCATGGACAAGCCTATGCCCTCTCCATCTCAGCCTCCTTGCATGTAATATCAATTTCTCTTGCGGCTGGCCACTCTGGGAACTCTGTAGGACTCAAATAACACCTTGTGTGAGATCCTTAGGCAAAAGCCTTTGTTGCAGGGTTGTAATTGATTTCCATATAGGGAGCAATCATTTTCATAAAACGACAATTATATTGTCAGAAAATTCCCAACCATTTAGATGTGCTAAAAGTTGTATTTTCAGAGAATTTCATGGCTTTTAAATCATTATCTGCCATCTACTGGAAGGGTTTATTTGACTTCTTGAGAGTATACCTTCATAAAGTATCTACTAAATAGATTAGAATTAATTAAGTCTTCCGTTCTTGCTGACAATGTAATTTTATGTTATTAGTTTCAGTGGTTAAAACACAAATCATAAGGCAAAAATGCACTCACACATTTATGAAGCACCATATGATTGATTTTTAGACATCTTGTGAAGTTACTTGGGGAAAGGGGAAAAATCTTGTCATGTCCTATATGCCAGTGGTTTCCTGGGTTCTTCTCCCAATTCTCCTTAATTTAAAGTGAAATGTTGTTTCTTTCCAATTTGCCTTTTTCAGGCTGCAGCATCTAAGAATATAAATGATAGAGTTTGGATGTTTGACAACTCCAAATCTCGTGTTGAAATGTGATCCCCATTGTTGGCAACGGGGCCTGGTGGGAGGCGTTTGGGTCATGGGGGTAGATCCCTCCTGAATGGCTTGGTGCCCTCCCTGTGGTAATGAGTTCACAGGAGATCTGCTTGTTTAAAAGAGCCTGGCTGGCCAGGTGCAGTGGCTCACACCTGTAATCCCAGCACTTTGGGAGCTCAAGGCGGGTGGATCACAAGGTCAGGAGTTCGAGACCAGCTTGGCCAACATGGTGAAATCCCGTCTCCACTAAAAATACAAATATTAGGCGGGCATGGTGGCACATGCCTGTAATCCCAGCTACTCAGGAGGCTGAGGCCTGAGGCAGGAGAATTGCTTGAACCCGGGAGTCAGAGGTTGCAGTGAGCTGAGATCACGCCATTGCACTCCAGCCTGGGCGACATAGTGAGACTCTGTTACCCCCTCCCCTCAAAAAAGAGTGTGGCACGTCCACCTTTCTCTCTTGCTCCCTCTCTTGCCATGTGACATGCTGGCTCCCCCTTTGCTTTCTGCCATGATTGGAGGCTTCCTGAGCTCCTCACCAGGAGTGGATACTGGCACTATGCTTTGCATAGAGTCTGCAGAACCATAAGCCAAGTAAACCTCTTTTCTTTATAAATTCCTTAGTGTCAGATATTTCTTTATAGCAATGCAAACTGATTAATACAATGGATAAAAAAAAATCTTCCTCCAGGGAATTCTCATCACCTCCACTTTCTCCTCTCAGCATGGACACTCCTGCAAACACAGCATACCTAAAAGAGATCAGCCCACACTGCTCTGAAGGGCAGAGGTCAGGAGACCCCCTAACGAGCTGGTTACTTCCAGCAATTGGCTTCTCAGGTTCAACCTCCACAAGCAGGGTTTCTGAGTCTTTCATAACACCATCAATCTGGAGTGGACTCCAATCCTGTGTGTGTGGGTATGCATATATGTGTGGGCACAGCATGTGTGTGTGTGTGAACACATCTGCACCAACAATTGGTTAGTGCCTGATATGATTTGGCTGTGTCCCCACCCAAATCTCATCTTGAATTGTAGCTCCCACAATTCCTGTGTGTTGTGGAAGGGACCCTGTGGGAGGTAATTGAATCATGAGGTGGGTCTTTCCCATGCGGTTCTCATGATAGTGAATAAGTCCCACGAGATACGATGGTTTTATAAAGAGGAGTTTCCCTGTACAAGTTCTCTCTCTTTGCCTGCTGCCATCCATGTAAGACATGACTTTGCTCCTCCTTGCCTTCTGCCATGACTGTGAGGCCCCCCCAGCCATGTGGAACTATGAGTCCCTTAAACCCCTTTCCTTTCTAAATTACCCAGTCTTGAGTATGTCTTTATCAGCAGTGTGAAAACAGACTAATACAGTACCCAATTCAACCAGGATTATCACATTTAAGATTTGTCAAGAGCAGGCTAACCTTTGGATCCTGTTTGGATTTTTCCACACATCATTTGGCTGCTGATTTTGGCTTTCTTAATGAATGGGCAATAAAATCAAAGCAGAGGGGTAAAATAAAATGTATTTGGGAAGCAGGCAACTTAGAACCATCTATAAACAACCACAATACTGTGATGAGTGCTATCTGGGAAAAAAGCCCTATGATCACAGTGAATCCCACATCATTCTTAGAGTTTGAGCACCCTGACATGTTTTTAGATGTCCTTTTTAATGTTTGTTACTATGATTATGACTACGACTGTTATCACTGTTATCATGATTTTGCCTGGAGGATCATCCCAAGCAGCAGCAGCTTGTTCTTGAGAAATTGTCTTGAAATGCCTTCCTGAGAACGTGGGCCTGTCCCTTTCAGCCCAACACTGAGAAGCGTGGGTGTGAATTGGAAATAAAAACCAATTCTTCCACAATCTCTTCAAGGAGACCAGCCTGGCACAGAGCTTCATGGGCATGCCAATATCCAGCCTGACATGAAATATAGGGGTTGGAAAATTGCGACCAGGGGCCAATGGCCAGAAAAAGCACACAATAACTGTGAATCTCAGCCCTGGCAGGGTGCATCAGTTCGACTGGAGCATATCTAAATCTACCAGCATGGATTTCTGTCCATATATCAAATATAGCAAATCAAACTTACAGGATGATAAAAAACCAAAACCATCTCACTGGAACTCTCAAGTGAGCACGTGGCAGCCACGCTGATGGGAAGTCATCACAGTGTGTTTGTAAAATGTGTTCAAAGAAAGATGAGCTGGAATTGAGCTATACAGCATAAGCAGAGCCCGTCTTTCATTTTAGGGGGTTCACCAAATTCAAACACCAGCAAATACACACAAACTTCGGTGGTCATCCCTTAGGTTTCTCATATGCCCTGGTTACTGCCTGGAAGTCTCTCATTTAGGGTAGATTATGCCTGTGACCTTCTGCATAAGCCCTAGCTGGTAGCTGCTGTGCACTCCGGCTGGATTCCCCTGACCCAGGTAGACTTGCTGGGATCAAAGCACCTTCACAAGGTGGGTGGATCACAAAGTCAGGAGTTTGAGACAAGCCTGGCCAGCATGATGAAACCCTGTCTCAACTAAAAAAAATACAAAAATTAGCCAGGCATGGTGGCATGCACCTGTAATCCCAGCTACTTGGAAGGCTGAGGCAAGAGAATTGCTTGAACCCAGGAGGCAGAGGTTGCAGTGAGCCGAGATCTTGCCACTGCACTCCACCCTGGGTGACAGAGCAAGACTCCATCAAAAAAAAAAAAAGAAAATAAAAGGCACCCTCAATACCAGGGCCACCTTTCCAGGTGTGGTGAGCCAGCCAGCATGCAGCATGTTGAATACCCATTCTATCCTTCTTCTAGATGAAGAGCCACTGCTGCACATGCAGACTTACTGGTCTGTCCCCATCAGCCGCAGTTTGTTAAGGGAAAACAGACCCCTGAATGTTCGACTCCAGGCTTCTTGTGCAGAGGCTCCCACCCCGGCAGAGACTTATGCAAAAGCAAGGAAGGATGCAGATTCCATGCATTCCCCAAGCTGAGCATGTCTGCCTGCGAGGGCACCCTGGAAGACGCACGTGCCAAGTCTCATCAGCACTTGGTCCTCCTGTCACATCCCTGGCAGGCAGTGGTGACATCTCACTGATAGCCTCATGGATGTGTCATGCCCAGTTCCTTTGTTGGCATTGCTTATTCCGAGGCAGCTGCTGCAGTGAAGGTGTTTGAGGCCAACTCCTTGCACCAAATTACAGGCAAGACCTAAACACCCAGCACCCCACTGCACCCCGAGTCCTTGGGGTGATGCCAAGAGGGAGAGATTGAACCCGACGATCCAAGAGGGCTGACTCTCCAGCTCTTTCCCATCCAGTTCTCCTCACCGACGTTTCACTGATCTCTGTGACAGATGACGCAGACAGAGCATCCAACAAATACCAAAGCTCTTAGCAAGCTTATAGAACCAGGGAAATTTAGCTCCCAGGTTTTCCGCTGGATCCCAGGATGCGGTGACAAAAGGGTCCTTCCTTCAAGGAGCTCATGGGCTAGTGAAAGGGATGGGCAAATGGGTAGGAAAATAAGAGTATAGCGAGACAAATGGCAGGATGGAAGTAGGAACCAGGGCTGTGGGGGATGTGCAGGGGCCCTGAGATCCCCTTAATTCAGACAGTGTGTGGAGTGGAGTCGGTGGTTTCCTAGAAAGTGGCAGCCCACCCAGAGTGGCGGAAGAGCTGTGGTGTGTTAGGGATCCCGAGCAGAGGTAAGTCCTTCAGGCGGTTCTGCATGGAGGGTAACTTTGTAGGTAAGGACACCACCTAGCCAAAGCTTCCTTGGCTGCAGCAACACTCACCTTGAAGAATCTCCCAATGACGTAAGTGAACAGTGTCTCTATTTCTGGGGAGAGCCATATGAAGAAACGGAGGCTGGGAGCCCCTGGTTTTAAGCAGGCATCTATATGGGCATGTGAAGATATGGGGGGCATAGGTAGTCCCCCCAACTCCCTGCTCCCCAAGCTGTGCCTGAAGCAGAGCCATGCTCCTGATTTATAGGAAAAGAGACATGCCAGGAAATGCCACCCAACCAAGGACCAATGCAGGGCCCTCAAGTCTGAGTGCGTACCTTGAGCATCTTCCAAGGGGAGGGAGAAAGCCCTTTGCAACCACGACAGGCCTGTGGAGTAGAGACCTGGCATCCCTGCTTGATGGTGGCCCCTAAAGAGTCATTCCAGGCACAAGCTTCAAAGCTTGAAACATCCCGACATTGCTAAACAAATGTAGAGTCAGCACTGTCACCAGGCACATCACTTAACCTCTCTGCCTCACCTTTCCATCTATAAAATGGGATGACAACATATTTCCCACATAGGTGCTGTGAGAGCTGAATGTGAGAATGAACAGAAAGCGCAGGGCACAGGGCCTGGTAGGTGATGGCTGGGGGTATTGTTCTTATTTTATTGTTTATTACTATTATTATATTGTGATAGGGCAGGGACCTGCCTTCCACCCTGGAAGGCTAATGAAGAGGTGCTCCCATTTATTCCCTGACTTCTTGAAGCCAGAGGCAGGGAACATGACTTGGACTCAGCAGAGAACTTCTGCCTGCAACTCCGACTTTCACATGAGTGACCCTGAATCTAGGGGCCAAGTCCACGGTCTGTGGCCATGTCCAGCAGGGGTGCCGCATCCAGCAGGCCGCTGTGTCCAGCCTCATTTGTGCATCCTGTTGCCCTCAGTTGCTCCGCTTATCTGTCTGGCTGGCCTACTGATCCTTTGAGCTTCCCAAGAGCCTTCCAATAAAATTCTTTCTGCTAAAGTAGCCAGAGGTGGTCTCCGTGGTTTTAACTGAGAGCCATGAACTGCAAATAAATAGAGCTGGGCCACAAAGTGCTTGCTTATCAAGTCAACAGGGCAGAGGGGCCCAAAGAGACTCCCCCTCTCTCTGTTTTCTGCTCTCTTTCTGTCTCTCTCCACCTTCAAAATCCTTTATCTTTTCTTCCCATCAAATTCTACTTGGGCCCAAAGCCCATTAGGAAACCCGGAGGAGACAGAGCCCTTAGCTGCTTACAGGGTTCTTTTCTGTCCAAAACTCCGGGAGTGTGGTCTACCCCCAAGCCAGGAAGGCACAGGGAAGGTTTTTCCTGCTCGAGAGAGGAAACAGCAGAGCCCCCTCCCTTGCCCTACACCCGGTCCTCCCCACTGGACTCTTGCAGTCCTGCATCCCCGTTTTAAACCTCTTCTCTTTTTCTGATGCCTCCACCCACTGCACCCTGCTGTCAGTGACGGATCTCCTGTAATTCATATGCAAATTGGCATTAGGTTTAAATCCGAGTCTTAATTCTGAACCAGGAGGCTTTGGCCCTGCCAAGGAACTTCCTGCACTGGGGTGGAGGAGTGGAAAGCAAAAGCATCCGGACTTGTGAAAACAGGCTGCCTCCCACACAGGATCCCAGGGCCCGTCCTAGGGACTCCAGGACCCAGCCACAAAAGGAGCCTGGGCTAACCTCAGGCCGAGAGGGCTCCCATCCTAGTTCTGACACTTGCAGGCTAAGTGACGTCAGCCAAGTCCTTCATGCTCTCTGGGCCTCGGTTTTCTTAGCTGTAAAATGGGAATGACGCTTGCCTTATTTATTCAATAAAACTGTTGTGTAGAGCCGATCAGCTCATGAGTGAGATGATGAAACGGGTTAGATATGGGACAGGCTTAGGACACTGCCTCATAAATGCTTGATCTTGTCATTATCACCATGTACATGGACGACCCTGACCATCAGAGTGTACAGGTTTTCAGGTGTACTTGGTTGCTGTCACCATGGGGGCAAGAGCCCGGTGGCCACTTCCCACCTTCCCCGGGGCTGGAGAAGGAGGCTGACATTCTGGGTCCTGGCGGGATGAGGGTTCTTCCCGGGCACTCAAGCTGTTTAACCCAAGGTTAAACAGCTGCAGAACTTCGAATCCATAGGTGCAGGTGGGAGGGCCAAATCGGGAAATGAATTCAACACACTCACCAACACACATTTGAACAAGAAAATTAAATACACATTCACAGAGGGCCCCTCGGAGATTATGTTTGCTTTAAAAACAGGACCATGGCCTCTTGGCCCTCACTCAGCTCCTTGTTACTTCAGACGTTGGGCTGTAGTCAAGTGTGCTGCAATTCTCTACTGCCATTTATTCTGGGCATTTGACTCGTGGAGGAGACAATGGTGATGATAACAATGGAAGTGCCACAGTTTGTGAGAGTCTACCACGGGCCATACGCTTTACAAAGTGCTCTGTATACGTGGACTCATTGTCACAGCAGCAGACTTAAGAGGGAAGTGCTGCTGTTATTGCCAGGACACGAATGGGGAAATGGGATGGCCGACCCCAGGTCCCACAGCTGCTGAGTGGGGCAGCAAGGTGGGGTTCGCCTGACTCCATGGTCATAGATGTGGAGTTGAGTGGTACCAATAATGGAGAAGCAGGTGAGAGCTCCAGATGGTTCAGCACAGGAAGAGGGGTCCCAGCAAAGCAGCTGAGGGTGGTAGACAGAATCGTGCCCCCCTAGGGATGTCTTCATTCCAGTCCCCAGAACCTGTGAATATGCAACTTTACATGGCAGAAGGGGCTTTGCAGAAGTTGTTGAATTAAGGATCCTGAGTTAGGAGAGCATCCTGGATTCCCCAGGCATCCCAGGATCAACACAGGCATCCTTTAAGAGAAAGGCAGGGGGATCAGAGTCAGAGAGAGACTGGAAGATGCTGCCCTGTCAGCTTTGAAGTGGAAGGAGGGGCCATACAGCAAAGAATGCCGGTAGTTCCTAGAAGCTGAGGAGAAAGGGATCTCTCTTCTCCTAGGCCATTCTGGCTGCTTAAAAGAAACACCATTAACTGGTGGCTAACGAAGATGAGAAATGTATTTCTCACAGTTCTGGAGACTGGGAAGTCCAAGATCAAGGTGCTGGTGGAGTTGGTGTCTGGTGAGGATTCGTTCCTCGTAGATGGTGCCTCTCGCTGTCTCCTCATGGTGGAAAGCATGAGCTAGATCCTGGGGCCTCCCTTATGAGGGCACTAACCTCATTCACAAGGGCCCCACCCTCATGCCATCATGACCTCCTGAAGGCCCCACCTCCTAGTGCCATCCCCTTGGGGGTTAGGTTTCAGCATGGGAATTTGGGGAGGACACAGTCAGCCCATAGCATTCTCCCAGAGCCTCCAAAAGAAAGGAAGCCTTTCCCTCATTTAGCTCTAGCCCAGTGAGACCCACGGCAGACTCCCAACCCCAAGAACCACAAGGTGTAAGTGCATTTGTTGTTGTGTTTTTTAAGGCACTCAGTGTATGGTACCATGTTAAACAGCAATAAGAGACCCAGGCACTGAGCACATAGACCCCAGAGGGACACTGATGGTTGGGGCCCAGCTGTGCCCCTTGCCAGTCACATGTCCAAGCACAGGTAGAGTCTGCTTAACAGAAAAGTGGGGAAAATAGTAATAATCCCTCCCTCAAAGGAGCTACTAGAAAGCTCTCAGGGCAGTGTCTGGCAGGTGGAAGTGTCTGTTCAGTCAGAGTCGGCTCCCATCAGGACACAGGGCGGGACTTGTCAGTGGGGATTTGGAGTACCGCATTCTGAAGCCAGCTCTATCTTTCAGAGCCTGCACTCTGTGCTGCCTGTGCCTACCCAGGTGTTAGCAAGGGGTGAGAGGAGGGGGTCCCTTGGCTGCTGGAGACCTTCCTTCCCTTCCTTCCTACCACAGTTCAATGGGCCTACCTGGCAGCCTTTGTCACTGCACTCTGGCAGCTCTTCTGGAGCACACAGCATCATTTGCAGTGATGTTTCAGTGACTTATTTCCTGCCCAGTGGCTCCTACTAGATAGTAAGCTTGGTGGGGCAAGCACCATATCTGCTTTGCTCAGCCCAGGGCATGGCACGCATGTAGGTGTAGGTGTTCAACAGACATGTGTTGAGGAAACGGGTGAATGGACAAATGCATAGCAAACCCACCTGTTTCCCCATTGCATGTGCAACCTGAGCCAGACAGAGACATGGGCGAGAAGCACGGAGTAACAGGATTTCAGAAGGAGCAAGGCTCTCCTCCTGTAGGACCCTCCATGACCCTCACAACCTGATGCAGGAGGAGAAAGAGCGCCCCCACATTCTCTTCTTGTGAAATCATAGCAGGAAGTGAGCAAGACAAGCGAAGAGAAGAAAAGGAACTTTTTAGATGAAGACGTCTCAGACACAAGATGGACAGGGGCATCCTGAGAGTTCCTATGCACAGTGGTGGGGAGAGAACTGGGGTGGAGAACACCATTCAGCCATTAGACCTCACTGGGGAGGAAGAGGCGTCCGGAAGAATAAAGCAGAAAATTGTCCTCAAAAGGTCAAACGTTTTCTCTCACTTTGCAAAGCCTGAGGTTTTTGATTTCTCAGTGGACAACTAATTCACTTTCAGACAGCCCTCTGCTTGTTGAATTCCCACCAAGAGACGTGAACGGCTATTTCAATTTGTGTTTGAATTAATGCCCTCATTCAGGAGAGATGGCAGGTCCGAGGCAGCCAGTGCTAAACGGTGAGAACTAACGTTCCTCCACTGACTCAGTAGGCTGTGCTGTCACAGGTCAAGGTATAAGTTCTGCTGTCTCCAGAGGGTAACAGAACCTTCCAGATCCACCATCCTGGTGTACTTAGGACACAGACTTTGGTGAAACAAATGTCTTGAGTCCATTTGTATTACTGGAAAACCTGGTTGCTACTGGAACAAGAAAAGAAAAATTAAAGAGTAGGGGGCTTAACTAGTCCCCATACCCCCAAGAACACCCAACCCTAGAGGAAGTCCAGTAGATCTACTCATGCCATGAAAGGAGAGACCATGCTGGAGGGTCAGCTCCAGATAGCAAGTCCATATCAGGGCTGGGAGTGTTTGCAGCTGTTATGAACCAGAAGATGGAAGAGTTCCAAACTCTTTGGAGCCTTAAGTGCAGAGCCCACATGATCACCGCAGGTGTTTGGAGGGTGCGTTCTTAGGGAGGCCACTTGCATGGAGCTGGAGTTGATGTCATGAGGGTGTTAACTACCCTCTCTTCCTGCTTAGCTGCTGGCATTTCTCCCTCTCACTACAGTTGGCACCATTGGTTATCACAGAGGAGACACCAAAGGACAAAGAGAAGCAGCTCTTGGTGTGGGCTGGCTCTCCCAACTCTCCAACTCTGCAATGCAGTTCAATTGTTCACATTCTTCAGCTGGGATCTAGAGGCTGCATTCCTAGACAGAGGACTGAGGTGATATGGTTTGGCTGTGTCCTCACCCAAACCTCATCTTGAATTGTAATCCCATAATCTCCACATGTCGTGGGAGGGACCTGGTGGGAGGTAATTGAATCATGGTAGTGGTTTCTCCTATGCTGCTCTCATGATAGTGAGTGAGTTCTCATGAGATCTGATGGTTTTATAAGCGTGTGTCATTTCCCCTACAGGCCCTCATTCTCTCTCTTGCTGCCCTGCGAAGAGGTGCCTTCCGCCATGATTGTAAATTTCCTGAGGCCTCCCAATTCATATGGAACTGAGTCAATTAAACCTATTTTCTTTATAAATTACCCAGTCTCAAATATTTCTTCATAACAGCATGAGAATGGACTAATACATGAGGCAAGCCACAAATTCAAAGCTGCTGCCCGACCATCCATGCTCCCTTCTGGAAAGCCATGGTGGCTTATACGTAACAGAAATCTTAATTAAAAAGGGAAGAAAAGCAGAGTTATTGGAGATCTCCCTGTGCAGTGCCCTGTGTCCTCACCCTCTGAGCCTCACACTCCTTTACTCTTTCCAGTTCTGCCTTTCTTAACTTGAAATCCCAAGAAGGAAGTTCTGTAACTATAGAGTCTTGACGAAGTCATCCACGTCCCCCATAAATTTTCGGGGCCATTTTTCATGCCATGAAGGTTGTTTCATGATCACTGCCTGGCTTTATTGCCAGCTTGGAGTGTTTGCTGGGTAAGAAGGAAGCCAGATAAATCACTGAAGATGCAGCCTCATTACCATGTGACATTTAAGGGTAATTTATCCCCAACATCACACCACTTCTCGCTGTGGAAATAGCATTGTCGGTCATCTCAGTCTTTGCCACTACCACGACTGTGCCAAGAGAATGGAAATAAATTGATCCAGCTGACTTCTCTGTGCATTTTTATTGCCTATTTATCAATGCAAGTGAGGAATAATACACATAGAATTGCTTATGGGCCCTGGAATGGGGGCGGAGCAGGGGAGGAGGGAGAGTTTCCCAAACTTTTAGAGAATGCAGCCTTGAAGAGAGAAGATGGTGGCCTTTGACCACACCAAAGAGGCAACCAGAGTCTTAAGTCCATTTCTTGTTTGACTTTTTATAGGATAGTTGTTACAAACTGTGAGCATGAAACCCCTTTTTCCCAGCTTTTAGGGGGATGCTATCGTCCCTCACACAGGATCAGTCCCCTCCTTGAGATTACCTACCAAACTTAAATGCAGCAGAATTTTTGCTCATCTGACTTTTGTAGCCGATTAGGTCTCCTTCAAGACCTAGTTGTCCACACTTGTGTGTGTGTGTGTGCGCGCGTGCGTGTGTTCCCACAACTCACATGTAATTTTATGACTGTTAATATGCCCCCCTCCAGCTAGATAGTGTGCTCACTGAAGTCAGGAACCAATCTTCATTCCGTGTGTATTCTCCAGGTAAAACTGGTACATGCCATATTGAGAAAGAGGTTTTAGGTTACTTTAACAAACCCTACCAAAAACCTTACCCAAGTGAAACCAGGGCTGCAAACATCCAACAATGCAGAACTGATTGGGAAAGAAAGGAAGAAAGAGACAGTTCAGGAAAGGAGGGGACTTCACTCAGGGGAGAGTCCCAGTAGAGAAAAATGCCAATTGACTGCACCAATTAGTAGAGAATGATTATCTTTATTATAATACAATGAGTCACTGTGTTTCTCTGCAGTGACTCCCTCCAGTGGTTTGGTTCACGTTCAGTTCTTGTCTCGCAGTCACTCATGAGTGGTGGCATTTGTCAGGAAGCACAGCCCAGGTCAGCTTCCTCTGCTGAGCTCCAGGGTGCTTCTTCAGAACTGCTCTGGAGACTCCCTGCTGTCTGTACACTTGGATTAGCCCCAGAGGGCCACGGACTCTACATGGCAAACAAGCTCTCTGGGTATCACAGCTCCTGCTTGGGCTTAAGGTCAGATGATGCTGGATCTGAATCTTGTTTCTTTCCATCCCCACCCCAGGGGTCTTCCAAAAGTCCTGGTCAGTAAGCTCATTAAACCTAGAGCTCCCTCTTCTGTGAAAGGGGAAGGAAATAGCTCCCTCCTGGGGCTACTGGGGAGACTCCAGGAGACAAAGCCTGAGAAAAACACAGGCACAGCAGCCTCCAGAGGACCTGCTCAGCACACAGTGTGGGAGCACCCTTAGGATGCCAGGCTTTGAATCTAAAGCTTGTGTCATAGCCCAGGGTAACTGTCTAACTTACTTCTCCAGCCTGATCTTCCTCTTGACCTCTGTGTAAGAGGCTATTGGACCACTTTAACACCTTGTGATTGCATTTTCCTTCTGTATTATTGGCTCCATTCTTATCACAAATGAGAATTGGCTTAGAGCATCCTTTTGTTGCAATGTGAGGATGGCAGGCATTGCTGTTCCATGGAGCAATCACTTAGGCTGGGTGCTGAGTCAAGCTGAGCACACGGAGATTCAAGGAGTGGGCAAAAAGCCCCAGCTAGTGCCCAAAGCTGGTGGAAGAGAAGCAGGTTACCTGGAGGTTCAGGAGCTGAATGCAGCCAGGAGTGACATGCATTTTTAGGAAGCCCTTATCATCCCCAGACCTGGGGATTTCAGACCAAGTTGGGGGCTGCTACCCAAGAACCAGTAAGAGGAGTCAGCGAATGAATAGAAACTTCCTCTGCCCAGATGCAAGGCACAAACAGCTCCAAGAAGGACTAGTGACAGGCACAAGGAGCCCACAGATGCACCGGACCCCATTGTGGGTTTGTATTTCCAAGGGTGAAATAAGAGTGGAAACCCAGCTAAGGGAAATTAATTAAAACAGCATATCTTTAACTATATTTTTCTGTGGAAGTGGATCCAAGTCCAGGGAGTTATGAAGCGGTAGATAATTGCATTGGGGGAACATGGGGAACTTGTAATTTAATGAAGGGATGGCCAAGTGGGACTTGGGGAAGAGGGGCGGCCCAACACTAGCAAGCATAGAGCAAGGAGCGGGAAATTCTATGCCGAGTAACCCGAGAGAGCCTCAGTCATGTCACAGAGTGACTCATTTGTAAAGCAGTAAGTGTAGACAAGGGATGTTGTCCCAAAACAATTGTTTCCCCTTAATCTCTGCCTGCCAAATTGTCATGGTTTGTGCTCAGTTCCACCCCATCAGCTCAATGTTGTCACAGAATCAAAGACATTTACATAACAACCCAGCATGGGTTCACAGATGGGGAAACCCTGGGAAGGACGAGACCTCTTAGGGTCACCCTGGAAGGTCCCGGCAGCCCTGACAGCAGAACCCAAGCCTCTGGATTTGCATTCGTCCTAGTAATTATTCAGTGCTTGCTGTATCCCCCGACACCATTAAGCCTCAGGGTTAGATGGCTAACTAAGGTATGGCTGATACCCTCGGGGTGGGGACTTGCTTACAGAATTTTGGGGATGACAAATGAAGAACCCGCCACCTGCGGTGCAGCCCTGGTCCTAGATGCAATATCCAACAGGGAGAAGCATGTTTGAGTCCTCAGGGAACCTCACTCGCAGGCCAGGGAAGAGGCAGTGGCCCCACCACAGGCAGATTTATTCACCCTCTTTCAAATAAAAGGACAGCACAGAGCATCCCGGGGGTCAGAAAACAAGCATTAGCGAGTGCTCTCTGGTGGCAAGGAGCACACATATGCTGGCAGCTTGGAGGCAGTGTGATGCCCTGCCCGGGGAGGTGGAGGCAGCACACAGACAGCAGCTCTGAGAGCAAACCACGCAGGTGACAGGGCCCGGGGCAAACTACAGGGTCATGTCTCATGCACAAAGCTGAATTGGTGCAGGAAGAACCTAATACAATATTAACTCCAGGAAGCCGGGAGGTGAAAAAAATTACCCAGAATTACAGACTCGCTTTCCCATCAGCCCTGCCTGGGGCCCTTCCTTGGAGACCCTGGCTGCGTCCACTGCCCTCTGCTGTCAGGTCCACCCATTCCCGGTACCCTTCAGTGCCCTATGGCCCTTGCAGGCATTCCCTAACGGAGCCGATGACTGTCCCCAGATTGAATCTCAGCCTGGCTGGTGATGGCCCAGAGCTCTCAGCTCAGGTGTCCAATCCCAGGTCTTTTTTAGCCAAGCAGAGACCTGCAGGGACTTCTCCAGGGAGGGTGGGGGTTGGGCAGTGGTTAGATTGTGTGCACAGTGGGGCATTCCCAGGTGCAAAGTGCCCAGTAAGGCCTGCCCTTGCTCCACTCTTGCAAGCGTCCTCTCTCATTTTCAGACTGCTTGCCACCGAAGGACAAACAGTGCCTTGGTGCTGGGCCTTGCATGGCTGTGCCCAAGTAAGGTGGGGGTCCCCTGCACGCCCCTCACCCTCAAACCTGGGTGGGCTGCTCACCCTGACTGCTCAAACTCTCTCTCCAGTCAAAGCCGCCCAACTTCATGGGCACTGGCCCAGCCAGCCCTACTGAGCCCAGGCAGCAGGGCTCTCCCTGGGGCTCCTGAGAGGCCGTCCGCACATCTGTGCCAGCCTCACTGCTCCTCTCCAAGACCCCAGGATCCTAGGTCAGCACCACCCACTATGGTGGGTGAGAGGCCTGGTGGCTGTGGCTGCCAGAAACTCCCTCTGTGATGGTTAATTTTATGTCTACTTGAATAGGCCACGGGACCCAAATATTTGGTCAAATACCAGTCTAGCTGTTGCTATGAGAATATGTTTTACATGCAATTAACATTCAAACCAGCAGCCTTTGAGGAAACCAGATGACCTTCCATCATGTGGGTGGGTTGTCCAACCTGTGGAAGGCCTGAGAGCAAAGGCTGAGATCTCCCTAAGAGGACGGAGTTCTCCCTGCAGTCTCTGCCTTGGGACTGCAGCTGCAGTGTCAACTCATCCCCAGGTCCCCAGCCTGCCAGCCTGCCCTGAACACATGCCCTGTGGGGACTTGCCAGCCCCAACATCGTGCGAGCCGATTATTTAAAATAAATCTCTTTCTCTCTCTCTCTCTCTCTCTCTCACACACACACACACACACACACACACACACACACACAGGTATCCTATTACTTCTGTTTTTCTGGAGCTAATACCCTGGCTAATACACCCTCCATTCTTCTTCCCAAGAGCAAAGTCCTTGTGTATCCAGAAGCGTGGGTCATCAGGAGGGATTTTCTCTGAAGGCACATTCGGGCTCCCCCTAGCTTTAGGTTCACTAAGGCCTCTCAGTAAAAGCAAACCATCACCCCTGACTAGGGACCTATCAGGAGCCACCATGTGCACCAGGTGCCTCGTGTGTGGGATTGCACCTGATGCTACAGCAGGCTTAGGGTTGGCCACTCATCACTCCCATTTCACAGACCGGGCATGGATATGGGTGGGGCCCGACTCTCTCCTAAGCAACAGGACACAGCGAAGGAGACGGGGGGGTCGCTTCTGTGTTTACACTTCGTTATGCAAGACCCCCTCCCAGCAGGCCTGTGTGAGAGGCCCACTGAAGCAATGACCAGGTGCGAACTGCCCCTGGAGCGGCCCGTGGGCAGGGAATGCAGGTGTCTCCAGGAGCTGAGTCCCCAGTCCTGACATCCACAGGAACAGGACGTGAATTCTGCCCACTACCTGACTGAGCGTGAAACTGAGTCTTCCCCTACTCAGCCCTTCGGATGAAAGCATGGCCCACCTCACATCTGGCTTCACCCTCCGAGACCCTGAGCACAGGACCGAGCCAAGCCCTTGCTGGACCCCTGGCCCACAGATACGGACAGATGAGAAAGAAGGGTGGTTGGAAGCTGCTCCCAAGCCTGGCATTGCCATGCTGCCCACATGCTTCCCTACCCAACAACTCAGCCCTGGGAACGTTCACGGAGTCAGCAGAATGGCCCTGGGAATGGGTGGGCCGTTGCTTAGTTCTTTATTCTCCCTTCTCCCCAGGGAGAGGGAGGCTTTGTGTCTGTCCTGCTCCCTGCTGCGCCCTCAGACCTAGAAGAGAACTGGCACTTGGAGCACAAGCAATATTTGGAGCATAACTGAATGAAGCAAATCTAAGGGACAAACAGAACCAACGCAGTGTGTGGATGGGGCTTGGACCAGGACCTCAGCAGTCGTTGGTGAGAGAGGAAGAAAAGTGACAGATGGTCACTTTTTTTGAATAAAACCAGCAGAACCCTTTCTGGAGAGGGGTTCAGAGAATGGGCCGGGCCCCTTGTGGGTCCTCGGGAGTGGGGAAGAACTTAGGACGAGTGCCAGGGTTCAGGCCAAGTCGTGTTCTTTGCTACATCCACATCATTAGCAGCTCAGCTTTGAGGCTTCTGAAGAGCTTGGTTTCCTGGAGAAAGGCCCTGCCATCAGTCCAGTTGCTGAGACATCTATCAAGGTCTGCAGCTCTGCTGGGCTCTCCATCCCATTTTGAAATTATTTAAGATGGGAAAAGGGAATACAGTGCAAACATCTTTGGGTAGATTTTGAGTAGTCCGAAAGAAGCAAGTCGAGTCGAAACCTACACTGTCAATACCTCCAGTTCTCACTGCACTGTGTCCACGATGGGATTACCCCGGAAATACCATTTTGCTTTGATGAAAAGCAGGGCTGAGTGCCGGGCCTCTGAACCTCACCTGCCTGCCCGCCTTGCCTCTCCTCTACTCCACGTCGTGAGGAGCCCATTTCTCCCACTCCCGTTCTGATGCTGTCCATGGCACTCCTGGCAACCCAGGGGCAGATGCGGAGGCTTTGCCCGGGGCACTCCTGCATCGGGCCCAGTTTGGACATCTCTGTTCCTCTCTGCCATGTGCTTCCCAGGGAGCGAGCATGAGTGTTCCCTGGCTTCCTCTCAGCTGAACAGGACTAACAAACCCAGCCTGCTGCCCAAACTAACAAACCCAGCCTGCTTAACATATGAGAAGAAGCATCTTTAATGAAATCTTTGCTGCCTGGTCCCTGCCAGTTCCCACTCTGCACAGATGTTGGCCTCACTGTCCTCCTGGAAGCTTCCATCGTGCCCTGGTTATCGGAGCCCTGCCCTGCCGCCTGGCACAGCCTGCCCTCCCACCTCCTGTGGCTTCCTCTTCCATGAAAGCATGTGTCCCAACAAACTGTTCCAACAGACAAGCAAGAAGATCATCGGAAGGATACAATTAAGAGATTAATTCCAACACAGACTGAAGGACCTAATTTTCCTCACTCAAGCATTAAGTGAATGTCCAAAAAAACCCTGTTAAGAGGAGACAGCCAATTTATATTTTAATCAGCTTTAATGAAAAGGATCAAAGATGCACTGAGAGGTACCCAGTTTCCATCAACCTACAAGGTACTCTTGGCCAATTCACCTTTAATGTTCCACCTGGAAAATTCTAAAGTAGAATTTTCCTGTATTCAGATCTTCCTTCCTTTTTTCCCCCACTTCCTTCTCTGGCATAATTTCCCCATGAAATTAGGTCAAGACGTATGCATGTGCGTGTTTGTGTGTGTGTGTGTGTGTGTGTGTGTGTGTTGGTTTATTGCTCATGAAAGCAGATTTGAATTTCTTTTAAGAGTGTAGCCAATTCTCTCATTATCCAACTCAGTTTCCTTTAGAGCCTGCTAAATCATGGACATGCTGCTATGCTAGGCCTCCCAGGTCAAGCCACAAACCCTGCCACTTGGGATTCAGCCAGTTCAGAAGCCTTCTCAAAGCAAGCTCAACCTTAAAGAGCAGCGAGCAATGCCTCCCTCCAGAAGGCAGCAGATCTCCAAAAGCTACTGGTCACTGCTGTCTTGGTTTCTGTCTTGGGGAAGTGAATACAATTCCTCTTTAGAGGAAAAGAAGAGCCAGCCCCCTTGGGGACTGTGGCATGACATAAGTGTTTTTTTTGTTTTGTTTTGTTTTGTTTTTTTTTTTTTTGAGACAGAGTCTCGCTCTGTCCCCCAGGCTGGAGTGCAGCAGCGCCATCTCGGCTCACTGCAAGCTCCGCCTCCCAGGTTCATGCCATTCTCCTGCCTCAGCCTCCCGAGTAGCTGAGACTACAGGTGCCCGCCTCCAAGCCTGGCTAATTTTTTGTATTTTTATTAGAGATGGGGTTTCACCGTGTTAGCCAGGATGGTCTCAGTCTCCTGACCTTGTGATCCACCCACCTCAGCCTCCCAAGGTGCTGGGATTACAGGCGTGAGCCACTGAGCCCAGCCAAGATAAGTTTTTTTGTTGTTGTTTTGTTTTGTTTTTTGAGACAGAGTCTCCCTCTGTTGCCCAGGCTGGAGTGTGGTGGCACAATCTCTGCTCACCGCAACCTCCGTCTCCCGGGTTCAAGTGATTCTCCTGCCTCAGCCTCCCAAGTAGCTGGGATTACAAGTGCGCACCACCACGCCTGGCTAATTTTTGTATTTTTACAAACGGGAGTTCCCCATGTTGACCGGGATGGTCTCGAACTCCTGACCTCAGGTAATCCACCCACCTTGGCCTCCCAAAGTGCTGGGATTCCAGGCATGAGGCACTGCCCGCAGCCAACATCAGTATTTTTTTTTTCTATCCTCTGCTCCTCAGTAACTGTAGGCCACTCATCTCCTGGCTGCCCAAGAAAGCAACCAAACAGAAAAGCTGGAAGATGGGAAGTGCACATGGAAGCTTCCTCCTTGGTGCTATCATGACTGCATTCCACAGCTTGCCGTGAACCACGGCCATGCAGCAGCACCACCTTGGGCATGGCTGGGTATACAAAATGAATCAGACATAAATCTCTCCTCCTGGAGCTCACACACTCCAAGGGGAGATATTAGACAAGCATAAATAATTCATAAGCAGTAAGTGGGAAGTGCTGGAAGAGAGGCCCAGGTAAAGTGCTTTGTAGGGCAGAGGAGGACAAACATGAGGATGGGCCTACTACCTCTCTGGCAAAACCTTCCAGAAGCTTCTTATCACACAGCAAAAGCCAAAGTCTTAAGTGACCTGTGAGGCCACTTGTCCTACTCCCTGTTACTCCTCTGACCTCCCACTACTTTCCCCACACACTTTGGCCTCCTTCCTATGACGCAAAAGCCAGACACATTCCCACCTCAGGGCCTTTGCACTTGCTGCTCACTCTGTAGGGAAGCCTCTTTGCCCTGAGACCAGCACGCCCATCTGCAGCCTCTGCAAACTTTGACTTGGCAAGGCCTTCCTCAACCATCCCGCAGGAAATCAGTCCTCCTGCCAGGCACCACCTCCTCCACCTGTCCCTGTCACACCTCCTCTGGGTCACTTACTCCTGTGTATCTTGCTTCTTTATTTTGTTGGTTGTTTGCCACCTTCTGCTAGAATTCAAACTGTGAAAACAGGGACTTCAGTTTATCCACTGCTGTTTCCCAGTGCCAAGAACAGTACTTGGGGCAGAGTAAAAGCTCAGTGAATAGTTGTAGAATTAATGGATGATCCCTTTGTTGGTTGGGTTGATCACCTCCCAGAAAGGATGCTGGAGGGAAGATGGTTTGCTGAGAAATCCAGATGGAATCTCAAGGACAAATGATAAAGAGACCACATCATCGGCAATATACTGAAGTCTACTTAGAATATAAGCTGGGTGCAAGTACCCACTCAGCCACTGACTGCAGCAGCCATGCAGGTAATTCGGCTTAGCCGCACCTGGGCTTCCTCATCTGTGAAAGTATGGTATTTCGAGAACCAGCATGGTAGGGTTTTATTAGACAATGGTATAAAGCACACAGGGCAGCACTCAACATCAGCCGTCATCACCGTTGACCCTCTAACCAGAGTTTTATTGTCACTTCCATCTCGAGACTTTATTTTGTGCCTTGATGAATGGAAATTACCATGGAGATTGAAACAAATCTACTTTTAAGTGCTGGCCACTGACTGTGCACAGGTCTTGATTGCCAGATCTCTGTGCAGCAAATGCAGATGGCTGCTTTTAAAGGAGATGGCCTGTCTCCTGTGAGGCAAGGGTCCTGGGGGTTAGGGGGTTCCTTGTGTGGGAGAAGCAGAGGTCTGCAGCTCAGGCATCTTTGATTTCTGCAAATTCCATGTAGGTCCATAGGACACATTAGGAAACTGGACAAGAAAGGGACTTCTTGGTCTTGCAGTTCCCTACAGAAATTATTATTCATTATTAGTAGTTGTCGTATTTGTGACTAGCACACCTGTGCTATTCTAGAACTATGTAGGAAAATCTCAGTATTTATATATCCCCAAACCCAAAGAGTTGACACATGGTTTAATATATAAAAATACGTAGACTTACAGGGACAAGAGTAAAGAATATGAAGTTGGAGCTCTAAAAGATTACTTTTATTTTAAAAAACAACTTTAGTGAGCTATTCTCATGTGACAGGGATATAATAAAAAACAAGGACAGACATAGCTCTAGTTGGAAAAGAGAAAGAAAGAGAGAATTAAGGAAGAGACAAAAAGAGAAAAATCAGCAGAAACTGACATATGATGCGACAATGCCGGCAGCTATGCTTGGCCTATGATGGGGCTGGGGGTGCCCCTTTCAAGAGCTTCAGCCCAGATGGGCAGTCAGGGATCACCCCTGCTATGGGGTGAAGTGTGCCCCATCCCTAAATTCATATGTGGGAGTCCTAACCAACAGTACCTCAGCATCGGACATTACTGGGAAATACAATCTTTGTAAGTAGATTGAGATAAGCTGAGTTCATACTGGAGCAGGTAAGACTCTAATGCAATATGACTGGTGTCCTTACAAAAAGGGAGAATGTAGACACAGACACATACACATGGAGGATGCCATGTGAAGACGAAGATAGAGATCAGGGTGACGCGTCTGAAGGTCAAAGACTGTCAAAGCTTACGGCCAAAGCATTAGAAGCTGGAGAGGGGCCTGGACCAGGTTCTCCCTTGCAGCCTGGGGAGGAACCAACACTGTGGGCAGCTTGATCTTGGACTCCAAACCCCCAGAGCCGTGTGACAAGACATTTCTGTTGCTCAAGCCACTGGGTCTGTGGGTCTGTGGGTCTGTGGGACTTTGTTACAGCAGCCCCAGCAAAAGCCAACAGAAGAACCCCCTTGAAGAAGGGGCAGAAGGAGTGTGAGCCGGCAGATGAATGAGCATTAATTAGGCCAAGGAGGGAAGAAATAGGGATATAGTTCCAGAGAATCAGGACTGCGCTGGCCCTACAGAAGGGAGAGGCAGCAGGGACAGGGCCTGGAAAGGAAATCACTGTGGCCAGAACAGGGGGACTAGGGACAAGGTGGGAGAGGTGGTGGGGAAGGGGCCTGGAAAGGAAGTCACTGGCCAGAGCAGGGGGCTGGGGACAAGGTGGGAGAGGCACCTGGAGAGGTTGGTGGGGAGATTTGGTCTTCATCTGGATGCATCATTGAGGAGGTTGAGCCAAGTGCTGATGAGAATGAGTTGGGCATGGAAGAGGCCCCCTCATTGTAGGTGGAGTCACACGGAGAGACCGAGAGGGGCCTGGTGTCGGTGCAGGGACCCCAGTGAGGATCCGCGCAGGACCATGAGTGATAGGCTGGGTGTTTAGACCAAATGGAGAGGAGTGGAGATTTTGGAGGTGTTTGGAGGGTAGAATCAGTACCCACTGACCATGGGTTAGAGGAGGGAATGAGGAAGGGAATGTTTCTGGCCTCTGCGGCACCATTTACAGGGTAAATAAATGAGGATGGAAGGGAGCACCAAGAGTCTGGATCTGGAAGCACTGAGCTGAGGTTGAGGTCACTTGGCAACACCCAAGGAGGCCCTGCAAGGAACGAGTTGGGTAGAAAACCCACAGTCCAGAGGGAGGGGTGGGGTGTTGTGTGGGTGGAAAGTATGGGCACGAATGAGATTGTTTAAGGATGGGGTACAGGGTGAGCAGCCCAGAGGGCCTAAAGGGAACTGAAAGGGACTCCTTTGTTTAATTCTGGCAACAGCAAGCCCAGCCTGCAAAGGAGACAGCAAGTCAAAGAGGACCCAGGAGGAACCTACATCAGAAGGAGGGCGTGTCCAGCAGAGCCGGCTGCCTTGGAAGAAGTCCATGGCTGAGCCCCTGGAAGGACGGAGTGGAACCATAGCATACACAAAGGAGTAAAAAGGAAGGGTGCCCTACAGGCAGGGGTGCAGGTCAGGGCTCAGCATGAGATGTGTCAGGCTCATGCTGCCTGGCATTCACATGGACCTGAGGAGGAAGGGATCAGATGGCAGCTCTAGGGTCAGAAGAAGTCCATCCAGAGCCGTGGCTGTGGAAGACATCAGTTTATAGATGCCATTTAAAGTCAGTGTTGGCACTGAAGAGTGAGAATGAGCAGAAAGGGAAGCTCGCAAGCCTGAGCCTTGGCACCCGCCATGACAAGAGGTCGTGTGGACAGGGAGGAGCCAGGAGAGGAGGTCACTGGGGGAAAAGGTGGGGAAAAGTCAGGTAGTAGTGGGTCCTAAATAGAAAGCTTGGGCAAGGTAAGAGAGATAACCACACCAGTAGGGTCCTAAGAGGGGTAGTGGGGGAAAGGTCAGAGGTAGCAAAACAGCAGGAGAAGACTGATTCTGAAAATCAAGTTAAAAAAGAGTGGTGGCTCTTGCCTGTAATGCCAGCACTTTGGGAGGCCAAGGCAGGCAGATTGCTTGAGCCCAGGAGTTCAAGACCAGCCTGGACAACGATAGTGAGACTCCATGTCTACTAAAAATACAAAAATTAGCCAAACATGGACCCATAGTCTCAGTTACTTGGGAGGCTAAGGTGGGAGGATCACCTCGACCCAGGAAGTCAAGGCTGCAGTGAGCCATGGTCATGCCACTGCACTCCATCCTGGGTGACAGGAGTGAGACTTTGTCTCAAAAAAAAAAGTGTTTTCAGAAGGAAAAGCTCTTCTGTGTCAAACTCTGCTCCCCTGATCAATGAAAAATGATGAAGACTGAAGACTCAACATTGACATCGGTCAGGGCTCTCCAGAGAAACAGGACAAGCTTGAGAAATAAATAAATATACATATTATATGTATGGATGGGTGGATGGAGAGAGAGATTTATTCAGAGTAATTAACTACACAATTATGAAGGCTGAGAAGTCCCACAATCTGGTACCTGAAAGCTGAAGACCCTGGAAAGCTGGTGTGCTGACATCCAAGTCTGAAGGCCTGAGAACCAAAGGAATCAATGGTGTAAGTCCCAGTTCAAAGGCAGTAGACCGAGGTCCCAGCTCAAGCAAGCAGGCAGAGAGAATTCTGCTTCCCCTCATCTTTCTGCTCTACTCACACCCTCAATGGATTGGATGATGCCTGCCACATTTGGGAGGAAGCCCTGCTTTACTCAGCCACAAATTCAAAGGCTAAAATCATTCAGAAACACCCCCACAGACATACCCAGAAATAATGTTTAGATGAATATCTGGGCACCCTGCGATACAGTCAAGTCAATACCTAAAATTTCCTATCCCATTTCTCACTGGGTTTGGCACCATGCTGGTGATTGTTGACCATAAAGAAGCAATTCTAGGGAGCAGCTGAAGCAAACCTGGCCAAAGTGAGTTCAGGGGAAACTTGGAGAAGACAGACTATTGAGAACAAGTGTGCACAACTCTTAAAGGATGTCACTGCCTGAGAAGGAAAGCCAGGGGCAGGAGCATGAAGGGCATTTTGATTAGGAGATGGTTCTTTGTAAGAAGGGAGCCATAACAGCACGTCTGTACACTAACAGGAACAGCCCAGGACATGGGACACATGAGGCTGCCTGACGGAGTGGGGAGAATTGCTATGCAATGTCCTCGAGCAGGAGAGAAGGTGAGACCCAGTGCACGGGAGGGCAGACCCAGTGCAGGCGCTGGGTGGCCATGGCTCAGCACTCAGCATCCCTTCACAGAACAGAGGGGCTTACTGCAGATTCTGTGCAGGAAGGTGGTAAGCAAGGTGGGGTAGATTGTGGAAACTCTCAGGCTTGCTCCTGTATCCTCAGGAAAGTAGGAAGCCAGCGCTCAGCCAAGAATGGCTTTAAGGGGGAAGGCAAGTGCCAAGAGTGGCTGTAGGGGAAGGTGAGGGCTATAAGGAAGAGGGAGGCATGGAAGGGTCGGGAAAGCAGGGAGTCAAATCTTACAGATAGAGCATCTAGGAGAATCCACTACAAATAATCCACTCCAAACCTAGCATAGTCACTAACAAGATGGCAAGAGTCACACTGGGGAGAGTGATGGGAAGCCAAGGCCAGGGGCTCTGCTGTACTCCCAGGGTCAGGTCACGACTACAGGATAGAGGGATGGGAGGGGGTCAAGAAGTTGGCTGACTTGGAATTTTCAAGGAAGGAGGGAGAGAGAATGGTTGGCACGGGGAATGAGGAGCAGGAAGACACAGAGCTATCTTCAGGTTTGGGAGTGAGGCCCTAAGAGGGAGGGTAGCCCCTCATGAGGAGAGTCCTCAGCAGACATCTTAGATCCATTCAAACAAACTTGAAGGGAAGTCTTGGTTCAGAGGAAAAGGGAGGATTCTGGATCTGGCTGATGACTGGTCATGGGCTTCAAAGGCCTGTTAGACAGTCCTGGGCACTGGGGAGGGGTGGGATATGTGGGCCAGGGGTAGCAGGCAGTCCTGAGCTCCTGGTAGTGACTGGCATGAAGTGAAGGGGGCAGTGAGATGGGTATGACAGCCTGAAAGCCAGTGGTTGAAGCTGGGACTTGCCTGGTATGTGCAGAGGTCTGGGGTGGAGATGCAGAGCTGTACAAGGGATGCTCTTATTGGGAGCATGCAGAGTTTTTCCAACCCTTTTGGCTCCAGCTTTGGACATGTGCAGGCTTGGAGTGGCTCCACTAACCCTGAGTGCTGGGCACCAGCTCCACTTCTTCCATCCTATGTGCCAAAGTCACAGTGGGCCAGCAGAGGGCACACTCTCAATGTACAGGCACTGTTTCCACGTATCTGTCACCCACTGCTGCATAACAAATTATCACAACTTAGTGGCTAAAAACAATGCCAGTTGACCAGCTCACAGCTCTTTAGGTCAGATGTGGCTGGGATCTCTGCTCAGGGCCTTATACCGATGGTACTGGTCAGCTGTGGTCAGCAGAAGCTCTGGGGAATAGTTCACTACAAAAATCACTCAGGCTGTTGGCAGAATCTAGTTCCTTGGGTGTGTCGGACTGAGGTCCCCATCTCCTGGCTGACTTTTGCTCTCAGTTCTTAGAGAACGAGCCCCTCCATGCAGCCCCTCCATCTTCAAAGCCAGCAATGGAGAATCTCCCTCCACATCATATTCCTCTCATGCCCTGAATCTCTTATGCTGGGAACAAACCCATTCCTTTTCAGGGCTCACCTGATTAGATCAGGCCAACCAAAATCATCTCCCTTTCTTAAGGCCAGCTATGCCATACCACATTCCCTAATCAGGGGAGTAGAATTCATCACATTCCTGGTCCTGAGACTTCACAGGGTGTGCTCACCAGCAGGGGGAATCTTGGGGACCTTCTGCCCACCACACTTGGTCTCTGCTGATGGGCTCCTGCTATTAGGGAGATGAGCCATTGCCGTCCGATGACTTCATTTTTTTTTTCTGTAAATGAAGAGAAATTGTCTACTGGGAATGACTGAAGTGGGCCTGGAGGGCTTGTTTCTGATGTACACAGCAGGTTTGGGTGGGGTAGGATTGTACGACACAGAAAGTGTGGCAAAGGCTCTTTGACAACAGAACACATTTTGTGCCTGCAGGACCCCGTGGGAGATGGAAGAGTGCAGTCAGAGGTTGGAAAAGGAAGTGAAAGGGATCCCCAGGCCACAATGATCATCATCAGCACTAGGGCCAAAGGACAGTTCCTAGCAATGTTCACGCACTGCACTCGGGGGGCAGGAACCCTGCTATGACTTTCTTTATTTAGCATGAAGAGCACTCAGACAACTCTCCCATCTCACCCCAGACATCAGCCTCGTTTGCTAAGAGGACTTTGCCATGGAGAGGCCCCCCAGACCCCTTCTGGGACAATTCTCCCAGCCTTGTACTCTGGCCATCACCCTTTAGCACCTCTGAGGCCACTTTCAGCCTGAATGTTACCCAGGCTTACCCTAGAGCATCTGGGGACTGCGAGCTTCTCAGCAACACCTTTGCCTGGGAGAAGAGGGTAACAAGGAGGAACCCTGCCTAAGAGCTTTCCCGAGCCAAGAATGTGTTTGTGTCGGTTCCAGATTGATTAAACACCCAGCGTGCATCTTGCCAAATGCCAGCACCTTCATTTTCTGATAACAAATGGCTGGTTAGAATCAATAACAACTCCCTGCTGCTGTGCTAGGGCACCACATGAGGCCGGGAGAAGCGGCTGGGCTTGGCAGTGAGCTGCTGTGCCCACATCCCAGGCCCCATCCAGGAGGATCGCTGCTGCCCAGTCACACTGGACTCACCCCAGCACCCCCTTCCTTCCTCCTTCTGCTACTCGGTTTCTCAGATAAGCCAGAAAATCTGCTGCTGAGCATCCAATCCACGTAAATTGTGTTTTCTGCTTAGAGCGGGCATGCGTCCAAGAGGGGGAAAGGAAGGACAGAAAGGCCGGCTGTCCATGACAGGCATATATGCCATCCATGCTGGAGGCTCAGCCAATTAAGCAGCAGCCAGCAGCTATGGTTGATCTGTTCCAGTTAAAGGAGACTCAGGGTCAGAATACCATAGCAGGTGTGAGGTGAATTCTGGAGCTGCCCTCTGGATTCCAGCTGTGGCTCTTGCCAGCTGTGTGATCTCTGGAAGGTGACTTAGTCTCTCTGTGCCTCCTGATCTCTGTAAAGGGGCTTTACTGTAGCAACTGTCTTGTGGGGACCTCCCAGGTACCCGTGGGAAGTGATGGAGCAGCTCAGGGCACACCAGCTGCCATGATTGCTTCACTTGTTCTCCCAAAGGCATCTGCCACCTGAGCTGTGAGCCCCCCTTTTTTTTTTTTTTTTTTTTTTTGAGACAGAGTATTGCTCTGTTGCCCGGGCTGGAGTGCAGTGGCGCAATCTCGGCTCACTACAAGCTCCACCTCCCAGGTTCACGCCATTCTCCTGCCTCAGCCTCCCCAGCAGCTGGGACTACAGGCGCCTGCCACCATGCCCGGCTAATTTTTATTGTATTTTTAGTAGAGACAGGGTTTCACCATGTTAGCCAGGATGGTCTCGATCTCCTGACCTCGTGATCCGCCCACCTCTGCCTCCCAAAGTGCTGGGATTACAGGCGTGAGCCACCGCGCCCAGCCACCGTGAGCCCCTTTAAATCCCCAGTGGACATTGTGTTCCCACAGGCCTGTCCTATAGCACCCAGCACGGCCTTTGACATAAGAGGATGCTCAGGCTGTGCTGTTTACTGGGCTGCCAAAATGTGGTCACTACAGAGACTAAAATCTTTCCTCTGTACAGTCAACTTCATGAGAGACTGTCCTGCTGCCAAGCCAGAGTGACTCAGGGAGCCCCTCACGGCACAACTCCTTTGTGAGCAGTGTGCTGAGGCCTGTGGGCACAGAGTCAAATGAGTACACTCCTTCATGTGTTCCTGTTTTCTCCAGGTCCACCTAGCAGTGGGCCAACCTCGATGGGGTGGTACAGTAGGGATCATCCTGGCATCTGGCCCTGCCTCCTCTTCCTGGGCTCTTCTTTCTGACCTTTGAATTGGGCCTTGCCTCTCCCCTTGCTCACAAGCTTCAGGGGCTGTAGGCTGACCCAGCCTTGTGTGCCACATTTTTCCTTGCCTGGCCCCACCTGTGCTCCCACCTCAGTACAGGGCTCTTCCCACAGATCCCGGCTGCACTGTAGACTGCCCAGGCCATCAGGACACTGGTTTGCCCTGTCCAAGTTTCTCACCCTTGTTGCTCTTCTCGATCAGCTTCCATAGGTCCTCCAAGGCTCAACTCTGAAGGTTACCCTCTGGTCCTCAAGGAGAAATTGATTGTTTTCTCTTCTATAAGCTCAAAGCACTTACCATTGTTGGTTGTTTGTTGGCAATTGTGTTTCCCTCCAAGGGTGAGGAATGGAGGATGCTGTATTCATTCCCCATCTTTGCTTGGGACAAGCAAAGTGGGACCACAATAAGAATGCATGGATGGATGGATGGATGGATGATACATGGATGAATGGTGGATGGGTGGGTGGATGCATGGATGAATGGATGAATGGATGGATGGGTGAATGGATGATGGATGGATGGATGAATAGATGAATGGATGGATGAATGGGTGGATGGATGGATGGATGCATGGATGGATACATGGATGAATGGTAGATGGATGGGTGGATTCATGGATGGATGGATGAATGGATTGATGAATGGATGGATGGATGGATACATGGATGAATGGTGAATGGATGGGTGGATGGATGAATGGATGAATGGATGGATGAATGGGTGGATGGATGGATGGATGGATAGATGGATGCATGGATGCATGGATGGATACATGGATGAATGGTGGATGGATGGGTGGATTCATGGATGGATGGATGAATGGCTTGATGGATGGATGGATACATGGATGAATGGTGAATGGATGGGTGGATGGATGAATGGATGCATGGATGAATGAATGGGTGGGGATGGCTAAATAGTTGAAGGATACATGAATAGATAAAATATGCCACCCCAGAATATGAAGAATTGTTGAATTGAACCCAACTTGGAAGAAGAAGCAAATACAGGAAAGCTCCCTGACCTCCCTCTATTTGTGTAAAAGCAGGACTTATTTACAAAGGAGGAATGAAGGATGCATCTCCTTCATCTCTCCTCTCTGCCAAGGAGAAAAAAGGTACACTGGAATGAACAAAGGTACAAAGAGACACTGGTAGGTTCTTCGACCTGGAGATGTTCCAGAAGAATCTACATTAACAAGCCTTGGTAACTAACATTTATCTGTCATTTATTTGCCTTTCCACAAGTTGCTGCCTCTAGAGACTCAAGGTCTTTTTCTTTTGTTTTGTCATTTCTCTAAAATGTTACTGTCCTTTGTTGAAAATGTTATATAAGCTGGAATTCCAAGCCACCTCTACTCACTCCTTAGGTGTCTCCCATATATACATGAAATATACATGTTAATAAATTTCTGTTTGTTTGCCTCTTTATAATCTGTTCTTTTTTGGTACAGGGGTCCATCCCAACTAAAAATCTTGGAGGATGGAAGAACAAATTATTTTACTTTCCCTACAGATGGATGGATGTATGGATGGAGGAACGAATGAGTGATTGGATAGATGGGTGGATAGATGGATGAATGAATCAATTAATAAATGGATGGATGGATGAGTGGATGGATGGGTGGATGGATGGTGGATGGATGGTGGATGGAAAGATGGATGGATGGATGGATGGATGGATGGATGGATGGATGGATAAATGAGTGGATGGATGAATGAAGGAGTGGATGGATGTATGGTGGATGAATGGTGGATGGGTAGTGGACGAATGGATAGATAGATAAATGAATAGATTGATAGCTGGATGATGAATGGATGGATAGATAGATGAACCAATTCTAGTATTATTAGCTCTTATGTAAAGCAGTAAGGAATAGAAAAGAGAAAGGACAGCCTCTTCTGTGGGATCAGGGAGACCTTCTAATTGATTTTCAGATTTCACAGGCCCCAGTCCTGCCTTGTTTCCCAGCCCAATCTGTCCTCCCCTTTTCCTATCACTTTAGCCCATGCCCCTATGTTCTCTCCCTTGCTTCTCTACCATTGACTTTGGGTGTCTCTCTGGCTCCCCTGCTCAGCTGGACACTTGACCCTTGTTCTTATGGGTGACCAACCCTGTCCAGTGACCCCATAATTCATAGTGAACAGAGTCTCAGATTTTAGATCCCAAAAATTGTATCCCTGTCTGTCTGGAACTTTGGCACATTTTCCAAGGACAAAGAAGCACTTAATGGGCATCTTAGTAAAGAGGAAAATGAGGAAGGAAAGGGTGGCTAAGAAGAGGCCGTGATTCTCATGCATAAGCCCACTGTCTGCGAGCCAAACCACATTGTCATCTGCGGAGAGGAGAGAAAGCCACACACCCTTGTAAAGATGGATGAAATGTGCTCAGGAATGGTGTAGGAGAGAAAACCAGAGGAAGGACATATTTATTGAGTGCCTAGAATATGTCCTACACACATCTTTCAACAGCTCCTAGAAGTGAGGTACTAGTAGCTTCATTTCACAGACAGGAAACTGAGGCAACCGGAAAGCGATAACACACAGAAGATCTAGCTGATAAGGGGGCTGAGCCAGAGTTTAAGTCCAAGTCTCTCTGACTAAAACCCTTGCCCTTCTTGGAACACTGGACTGCGTCTCCAGAATGATTTGAAGGGAAATAAACAGGGCAATGACAAAAACGGAGGGGGGGATGCCAAAGGCAGGGCAAGCCCACGGCCCTCTTCTCTGGCTGTGCACACAACCCTTTGGTTGAAACTGTCAAGGAACCTGTGAGAAAGCAGCCTGGGGTTGAGCCTTTTCACAGGAGCAGCAGATGCTGGGTTCCCTGCTGCAGTGAGATGATGTTAGCCCAGTAGGTGACAGCGATTAATAGCCTATTTCTCAAATCAGCCTATTAGAAATAATCATGCCAGCAACCATAGGCCATTAATCTGCATTGGAACCCAACCCGCACAGCACAGGCTGACGTGTGGATGAAATCTTTAGAGATACACAGGCGGAGAATTTTTATGCACAGAAAACATTGCTGTGCAGTAGTAGGGAGCAAGGATGGGGATCAGGTAGTATCCCAGGCAGGATCTGAAACTTGAGAGGCATAGCCCTGAGTGACCACATGGGGACGGGGAGCTGCCCTTTCCTACTAAGGTCCAAGGATGACCCCACACAGGAGTGGCAACCTGGAATGCTGTGTTGAGGGGGATTTTGAAGTCCATAATCAGTTGTTGTATTAGTCTGTTCTCACGCTGCTAATAAAGACACACCAAAGACTGGGCAATTTGTTCAAATAAAGAGGTTTAATGGACTCACAGTTCCACATGGCTGGGGTGGCCTCACAATCATGGCGGAAGGCGAATGAGGAGCAGTCACGTCTTACATCGCGGGAGGCAAGAGAGCATGAGCACCGGAACTCCCCTTTATGAAACCATCAGATCTCATGAGATTTATTCACTATCACAAAAAGAGCATGGGAAAAACTCACCACCGCGCTTCAATTACCTCCCACTGGGTCCCTCCCATGACACGTGGGGATTATTACAATTCAAGGTGAGATTTGAGTGGGGACACAGAGCCAAGTCAGATCAGTTGCATTTTCTGCCATGGGAAATGGGTGGGCAAATGAAGGCACGAGTGCCCTGAATTTGATGTCCCTGGACCTAGGGGCATACCCAGGGGCCGGAAGGAGCATCTCCCAGCAGCATGGGATGTTTTATCACTGACCTTGTGTAGAATTGCCAACACATGTTAATGAGAGAAAGGAGATGGACTGTGAGCTGGTGTCACTACAGTTTCTAAATTCTCTATAGGCAAGGCCTGTCTCATTGATGCTCCAGGGCAGGCCACTCCCACTGCCCCTCCCCACTTAGTGCCCGCACATGTGTGTGCTCTGCCATGGGTCTCCCCACCGGTCTCCCAGAGCCTCTGTGTCCTTGGGGGTTCTGGCTCTTCTCTTCCATGCCTCCACTTTTGAGCCTTAGAACTTCAGACACTACAGAGGCCCAGAGGGAAGGAGGAGAGCAGGGCCTCAGCCTGAGATCTGAGCACAAAGACAAACCCAAAGTCTGCAATTCCAAAGGGCTTGCTGGAGCCACCCCACAGCAGCCTCTTCTTCAAAGCCTGGCTTTTCGTATGGCCTTAGTGGACAAGTAAAAGGGGAGATCTTTCCCATGTCTTTTCTCTGAGATTTTAGGACCTTGATTTAGTCAATGAAGGGCCACTTCTGCCTCAGACTCGCTTCCCTGGGTGCTCCAGCCTTCTCTCCAGCCTCTTCTGTGGGCTGCCGGTTCCTCACTGTCTAGCACTCTCCTTCACTGAGCATCAGTGTCACTAGGGTGCCGTTAGGTACCATTCTCTGGCTTCTGAGCCAAAAGCTTCCATGTCCTCCCTCAGAGCAAGGGAACTGAGCCTTCCAGAGGCACCAGCCAGGGGACTGCTCCCTGACAGTCTGCCTTCAACTGTGCACAAGAGACTCTTCCTCGGCTCCTTGCCTTGGTTTGACCCCAGGGTCTCTGGTCTGGACTTGCCCAGTCTCTTCTGAGTCATTCCCTGGCCTCTCACTTGCCTCTCCATGGGGGCATCATCTCGGCTGGACATCTGGGTAGGTCCAAGGTCCCCACGAGGCATTCACGGCCCTCGCCTCATCAGATCATGGCCACGATGCATTGACTTGCTCCTCCCATGTCCCCGTGAAAGTGGCAGTAGCTGCACTTTGGATGCAAATTGACACCACCTTTCACGGCCATCCCCTGGTTCTTAAATAGAAGCCCGCAGTGTGCAGGTGTGCAGAAGGCATAGCTATCTCTGAACAAAGTCATGACAACATAGGAAAGTCTGAACTTACCAAGTAGGTAAATAAAGGGGCAATTACTCACCTGATGGAAGGATTATTTCAAAGAGCACATCTCCCTCAGGCAAACTGGCTTATATGTAACTTTTCAGAAAAGCAACTGCTGTGAAAAAAACACTTCTACATGAAATAGTCCCGTACAGAGGCAGGCAAAATTGAATCGGCTGATTTTTCTGGTGTGGCTGAACTTTTGCCAAGGACTGACTCTAGGCACAGATGTCACCTGAATTGTCTCAGTGATGAGACTGTCATCTGCAGAACTGTTGACTCCCATGCTCATGAGAGGCTCAGAGTGAATCCAGAAACTCATGGTTCTGGCTGATCTTTATTATTATTTTTTAAATTTCCAAGTGTGTGACTCATAGTAGACACTCATTCGGGTGGCTCGGATATTTTCACCTACAGGAGAATATATGGAAAAGAAAACAACACCCCACCTTCAACACCCTCCAGCTGCACAATGTGTGAGGACAAAATTGTCCTCACACCACATGACAAAATAACCAAGCTTCCCTCACCACTCACTGAGAGGCTTCCTGTCGAGGAATGTATGGATGATCACTAATAACTGGTAAGTACTTCCCATAGCCTGTAACACAACTGCCAGCTGCTGTGGAAGTCCCTGTGACAGCCTCTTGTTAGTCCACGCCCTCCTCCCCGCTTCCAGCCCACGCCTGATGTGAAAGGGTCCCCTAATTCCACGTTTCCTCTGAATGTCCTGCTCTCACAGCCGTGCCAGTTCCCCCTTTTACTGCTTAAAAGTACACATTCTACTGTAATATATATTGCTTTGGGCAGTTCAGAGAAAATAATCCAGGGAAAAGCATGGTCTTAGTTGTATCTTTTCAATTCCCAGGCAAAAGAGTTTTTGGAAAATGTCCCTAACTATTCCTTTTTGTACCAAGAACACATTGTCAAAGCCCCCTTTTCTTCTCCTCCAGACGGCCCTTTCTCAAGCCTCACCATTTCCCCATTACTGTGTAAAGGGAGGAAATTTACAGGAGAACGTGATGGTTGATTGCACGGAGCAGGGAAAGCCCATTTTCAGGAGGAAAGCCTGAGATGACACTGTACCTTCTGATCCTGCCAGAGGGTCAGAGCAGAAAAGCCTCCTTTTTTCCCCCTGAGGTTTTTGTTGTTGTTGTTGTTTGGTTGGTCAGTTTTTTTTGAGAGGAAGTTTCGCTCTTGTTGCCCAGGCTGGAGTACAACGGTGCAATCTTGGCTCACCGCAACTTCTGCCTCCTGGGTTCAAGCGATTCTCCTGCCTCAGCCTCCCGAGTAGCTGGGGTTACAGGCATGTGCCACCGCGCCCAGCTAATTTTTTTTTTCTTTCTTTTCTTTTTTTTTTTTTTTTTTCCCGAGATGGAGTCTCACTCTGTCACCCAGGCTGGAGCACAGTGGTGCGATCTCGGCTCACTGCAAGCTCCGCCTCCCGGGTTCACGCCATTCTCCTGCCTCAGCCTCCCAAGTAGCTGGGACTACAGGTGTGTGCCACCACGCCCAGCTAATTTTTTTTTTTTTTCGTATTTTTAGTAGAGACGGGGTTTCACCATGTTAGCCAGGATGGTCTCAATCTCTCGACCTCCCGATCCACCTGCCTCGGCCTCCCAAAGTGCTGGGATTACAGGCACGAGCCACCACGCCTGGTCGGTCATTTTATATCCTTTCTCATTGGAGAGAGTAACGTCTTGCCCATTTTGCATGAAGACAAACATGGAATTCTTCCATGATTTTTAAGGCTAGAACTAGAAAATCCACTGGGGGGAAAATATCCAGCCTCAAATGGAGCCCTCTGTAAGTAATAAATTTATTCCCTGTTGTAGTCAATTCTCCTAAAACAAAAGTGACTGCAGCAAGCGATTTTTGGTATTGCTCATATATTGTTAAAATATTTCAGCTGGCAGACGCTGTGTGAAGAGAGACAGTCGCCGGCCTGACATAAGATTTATTAGAGAAAGTTGGCACAAATATATTTGTAGGAAGCAAAATATGTTTGTAGAGATTATTCCAGATTTACAGTGATTAATAACGGATTGGAAGCAGTCGACGTCAAAGAGCCGCCTCCTGGCAATGTCTGCCCCAGGTTGAGTCGGAATAGAACATGAACTTCAGCGGCGCCAGGAACCTTTTGCTAAAAGAATGAAGTTTTCTGAATAGAATGAAATGAATGCCAAGAGCCCTCTGTAGGCTCAAAAAACCTGCCACACTACTTAATCTGCTTTAAGCACTGACTGGCTAATGGAGTTTCGAGCCAGGCAGCATTCGAAGGCTTAGCACCTGCAGGGGCTCCCTGAGAGAACAGAGGAGACGCCACAGCAGAGGAGATTTGTCTTTGCCCTGTGCATGGGAGGAGGCTGCGGGGAAAGGGAGAAAGTCAGGAGAAGCTGCTCTTACGTCTTTTTTCATCCCCTTTGTCCAGAGTGCGTTTTTTAGGGATGTGCACTTGAGACCCTAACCCGCAGCACGTTATCTCAATTGGAAGGTCAGTGTCCACGTCAACCAGTAATAAAGGATGGATGATACACACAAGTCCCAGCCGAGATGGGGATCTGGTTTCTTATCCACAGAGCTCTGCGACACTGCCTTGAGCTGGCAGAGACCGCGTGGAAGGCTGTTTCCCATCTCCCTGCAGATTCCCAGCACCGGCAGCAAATGGGTGGCAGTTCCACACAGCAGTATGAAGAAGAGATCCCCCCCGCCCCAAAAGCCATTTCCTCTCCTCATAACTGCACACGCAGCTAGCTGTCTCCGAGAAGGAGGATACAGGGATCGCTTGCTTCCGGGCAGCTCGCCTCCCTGATACTATCCATCTTCCTCTGCAAGCTGGAGTTGGCTGGAAACAAGTCTGATTAATAAAACTTGCAAGTAGACCCCAAGGTTGACACTAACAGGCTCCCAATAAACAGCATTTAGATTGAATTGATCACCCTGGAAGGTGAGAGGGCCTTGTTGAGAAACAGCAGCCATGCCCTTCTGCCCTGCTGATGACAAATGGCTTGCAATCTGTCAACCACGATTATGAGCTTTGGCTGGAAGGCACGAGGGCGCTAATGAAGAACCCCACGCCTGCTGCTCCCGTGGGGCAGGTGGGCTCGGGTGGGAGCTCACATCCAGCTCGTGAGCAGGGCTGGTGGGATTCCATCCTCCCCAGTTTGTTGCCATGGAGAAGGAGTTGAATGGCTTTAATACAGCTGTGTGGATGTCTCCCCTGAGATGCGCCATGACAAGTTGGACTGGAAGTAGCAAATGAGCAGCTATAATCTTCAAACTGTATGAATAAGTGATTGATTGGGCACGGGGGCTGTAAACAGCACTCTGTGTTCTGGCAGCATGGGGCCCAGCAAAATGAGATCATCAGTCTGGGAGAGACACGCACAGAGCAGCCGTGCTCCCGGTAGCCTTCCACAGGGCTGTGGCCTGGGCTTGGGAATCTGCCCAGAACTCATGACCACTTCTTGCAGGCCCTGCAGATGTTGGGCCACTCTAGGTCCCAGCTGGCTCCAAACCCGTTTCTGGTTAATCCTGCCATGCGTAGCTATTAATGCTTTACAAATAAAGGCTTCTGTCTGTTTGCCCCTGCCAGCTCCCCAGCCAATTGCTTGGCCCCAGGGCGGAGAGTGGCTGAGTGTCCAAGGGAGGTGAGAATCCACTAATATGAATCCCTGGGGCCTCCTGCCAGGGCTGCTTCTTAGGCGGCTCCTCCCTGCTGCCTGGGGATTCCCCATCCCTTGCCAGATAAGACTGGATCAGAGCAGTCCATATGCAGGCCAGAGAGTGACCAGTGAGGAAAGGTCAGCTGGGCCAAGCTGCATCTTCTCTGTAGATTTTGGAATTGGGGCACTCTCAGAATGGTCAGTGAATAATGGAGTTGAATGACCAAGACATTGGGGACTGAGCCAGCAGGAAGCCAGTGACCATGGAGAACAAAGAGAGACAGAGACAGAGAGACCCAGAGAAAGGGATAAGCTCATCAGCTTCTCCAACTCCAGAGTCTACCCTCACCCCCTTCAGCTTTGATCTCCTGCCAGTCACATGGTAGGATGACACATTCCCATGCCCCTTGCAGTTGAGTGGTGCTGTGTTACTGGCCTGGCCAATGGGCAGTGTCACCACTACGCAAAGCTCTTCATTACTGCTGGGAGGCCCTCTGGCTGTCTGTTCCCTTGACCACTGTAGACAATGAAGCCTCCATCAGACTGCATTCCTGGTAGGGACCACAGGATCGGGGTCCCCACACACAGGTGAACGACATGAGTCAGCCAGACTCACAACATTTTCCACGTGAGGAGACATAGACCTTTGTTGTGCAGAGTCCCTGGGTTGGAGCTCTTTGTAACTGCACCACGACCCAGGCTGTCTAAGGCTGATCGGTACATTTGCAATAAATTCCCTGTGACTTGATCTGGTTCCAGTGAGTCTCTGTACCTTGCATTCAAAATATCTCTGATCCAAAAACTGCACTGAGAAACATAGAAGCTGGGAGGGCAGGCACTGCGGCAGCGGGGCCATGGGGGCTGGGCTGGGCCGCTCAACTCCCTTTGCCTGGGACTCCTCACTTGTACAATGGGACACTGGCTTTAAAGCTGCTGTGAGGACTAAAAAACAGTTCAAAATGCTTGACATGGGTGATCTCAATTACCTGCTATTATTGGGATCATTGTCAACATCGGCATAGCCACTACCATCCAGAATACAGGTAAGAGGTAATAACAGTACTATTCATGATGCAGGTGAGATATAATGGTACCTGGAGCCAGGGGGAGGTGGGGCAAAGCCATAAGTTTCTGGATATGTTTTGAAGATGACAGGCTGCAGATTATATTTTCCAGAGAGACACACCAATATAAATAGTCCCTTTCTTCTATAGTGTGACCTCGCCATGCAGAGGCAGAGTCTAATACCCATTCCATTAAATATGGCAGGCTCATGACAGCTCTGTGTAATAGAGTATGGCAAAAGTGTAATCGAGTATGGCTGTACCACATGAGGCTGGGGCCTAAAAATGATGCATCCTCTCCCCCGTTCATTGGAACACTCAGCTGAGAACCTTGTGAAGCCATGTAAGAAGTGTGACCACTTTGAGACCACTGAGCTGTGAAGAGACCGGGTCACCTAGAGAAACCACAGACGGGCTAGGGGCACCAGTCCTACTCTTTGAGTCATCCTAGCCGGACTCCAGATATGTGCGTGAAGATAGCTCTGGGTGATCCCCGTCCTGGCCACTACAACACCCCCAGGCTTTGAGTCTTCCCAGCTGAAGTCCCAGATACCATGGAGCAGAGAAAAGCTGTCCCTTCTGTGCCGTCTAAATTCCTAACTCATGGAACCTGTGAACATTAGAGCTGTTGTCCTTTTAAGGCAATACGCTGGGGGTGAGTAGTTACGCAGTGAGAGTGATTGGAAAAAAGATAAAGCCAGTAGGATATCCTGAAGGACTGGAGAGGATGAATGAGACTTGAAAGGAGTTGTGGGGTGGGGGGATCTCAAGGTTTGATTGCATTTTAGGTTGAGATGATAGACATCCATGGAGAAGTTCCAACTGGGCAGTTGCAGACAGCAGTTTGCCATTCCAAACTAGAGCTTTCTACCATCACAGGTCATTGTCAGAGAGTATATAAAGCCATGAGATGGGGGAGGTCACTTAGAAAAGAGGTCAAACCCTCGGGTCCTCGGTATGTATTTCACAGAAATGAGTAGCTACATTCACACACGAAAAAGAATGTTCTTAGCAGCACTGTTCATAGCAGCCCCAAGCTGGAAGCAACCTAACTGCCCATTGACAATAGGATAAATGCGTAGATTGTAGTATGTTTATATAATGGTGAAAAGAAGCATCTATTGTTACAGAGAGCAACATGGATTGATGAGATATGTCTAAAAAGTTAGACAGAAAAGGGTACATACTTTATGGTGATCTTTAAAGGAGAAGACAGGCAAAACAAATTGATGGTTGTAGAACCCAGAGGTTGGCAGGAAGGTGGGCGTGCTAATGGCCAGGTGGGAGCACAGGGGGCCTTCCAGGGTACAGGTGGCACTCTCCAGCCTGGTCCTCCTCATGGTGTTTATACAGGTGTGTTCAGTTCATAAACATCCATCAAGATGCACAGCGTGTATACCTTACTGCACGATATATTTCCTTTTAAAAAGCTTACAGAAACACTGCCATATTCTCCATGCAGGTGGCTCCATGCATCACATCAGGACGATTTCAGTGACAAAGCTGGATAGGGAGGCGGCTTTATACCGTCCGTCTTTGAACATTTCTTGAACCAGAATCTCCCTTCCCTGGGACTCAGCTTTCTGTTTAAGAGAGACTTTTCTTGATTTCTTTGCTTGCCTGAATTTAATGGTAATGAGGTCCTAGACCCTATAAATAAAGTGCATGTCCGTTATAACAAGGTCTGTAATCTTTGGTATGTAGTCCTGTGATACCATTGCTGATTAAAATTCATTCAACTGAGAATTAAATACAATTGCTGATGCTCCACTGCATTTTCACAAAACATTTTTCATTTGTATCCATGCTTTAAGATTGGTCAAAATGAGATATTCATTAAAAGATTCTTAATTAGAGTTTCAAGCCATATGTAACTGACTCATTTTCATTACTACATAACTTTACCCCGTCATTTTCCTCACATACCTCACTGTGGCATCTGATGGGAAGTATCTGGTCAGTGACAATGACAGCATCCCACTGACCAGGAGGAAGGGTGTCAGCCAGAGCCATGACTGAAGAATGCGCCAGCTTAAAAGGAGAAGACATGGTGGTTCTTGTCCAATGATTTACACACACTTGAAAATGCGGAAGATAAAATATGACCCTCAAATACGTTTGGTGGTGAAATGACCGGACATGCAGCCAAGACTGCAGAGTCCCATCCTTGGAAAGCTAGAGCATCCCCTCTTGCTGGAGGCATCTTTGGCCATCCCATTCAACCCTTCACTAACGTTTGTGGCACTGACATGAGTTAACAGTGTCTTAGTTTGTTCTGCATTGCAATAAAGGAATACCCAAGGCTGGGGAATTTATAAAGGAAAGAGGTTTATTTGGCTTATGGTTCTGCAGGCTGCACAAGAAGCATGGTGCCAGTATTTGCTGCTGCTGAGGGACTCAGGAAGCTTCCAATTATGGCACAAGGTGAAGGAGAACCAGCATCACATAGCAAGAGAGGAGGAAAGAGAGGGGGGTGTGGTATCAGACTCTTTTAAACAACTAGCTCTCTTGAGAATGAATAGAGTGAGAGCTTATTCATCACTGCAAGGATAGCACCAAGTCATTCATGAGGGATCCACTCCCATGACCCAAACACCTCCCACCAGGCCTCACCTTTGATACTGGGGGTGCACTTTTGACATTAGATTTGGAGGGGACAAACATCCAAACCATATCCAAGGGCATGGAGGCTTCACATCAATGTGGACACACCTGCAGCAAGCAGGGGTCCTTCTAAGGTCTCCTACCCATGCCCAGGCCTCCTGCACACAGACTTCCCACCTGCTCACCCACTGGCCCAGCCATTGGTTCGGACACTCCCATAAGTCCCCCAACTCATCTTGTGTAACATAGCATGGCCCACATTCCTAACATCTGGAAAAAAGGAGACCTCTGAGAACCAAACGTTCCTCTTGACTCAGAAAAGCTGAGATGGTGCCAGAAACAATGAGGTGAAGGCTCTGGAAGGATGGATTTCAAAAGCACATCCTCCCCCTGGGCCCACAGAAACCAGAACTTCTATAATCTACATAGACATGGATCAAAAGGAGCTCCTTTGAAATCAACTTAATTGGTCCTGTTTTCTACCCATGGAGCCTTTCGACTTCATGTGGTGACAACATTTGTCAAATCACTTTCAAGCATCACTGTATTTGTCTTTGTTTGCTTGCTTTAATTTTTGTTGTTATTGTTTTGACTCAAGGATCCTCAAGAAGCCATGACTGTTAGGCAAACCTGAAACATAAATAGATGAATAAAAAATAAATGAAAAAGAAAAGGAAAAGGGAAGGGATAAAGGGAGAGAAAGAAGTAGAGAAGGGAAGGATGGGTGGGCAAGAATAGGGAGAGAAGAAGGAATGAAAAAGTGATAGAGGGAGAAAGAAGAAGAAAGAAGGGAAAGAGAAAAGGATAAAGGAATGGGGAGAGGGAAGGGTGGAGGAAGGAGGAAAGAAGGCTGGTTCCTTTATAGCTGAGGACACTGAGACCCAGAGAGGTCCCCCAACTGTCCAAGTCCACAGGTAGCAGTGGCAGAGCTGAGTGAAGGGCCAAGGCTGCCTGCATGGGACCTAGACCTCCTTCCACTGTGCCACACAGCCTGGATCCTCAGATCTTTCTAGAGTATGTGGACTTGTGCTGGACCTTGAAGAATGTTAGACACCTGGGGCTGAGCTGCTGAGGACAGATCTGGCTGCCATAACTCAGTGTTCTGAAGTGTGGGATGGATATCCCTGGGGGTGACAACATGAGGTGGAGCTAAGTTTTTTTTTAATAGGTGGACATTTATTTCAAAGAGTATTGGAAAAATAATGTGTAACTAGAACACCACAACTGCGAAGTAACAACATTATTGCTTATCCAAAATATATAAGGAACTTCTATAACTCAATAGCGAAAGAGCAAATAACCCAATTAAAAACTGGTCAAAGAAACTAGAGAAGACATACAAATGGCCATATGAAATGGTGCTCGACATCATTAATCATCAGTGAAACACAAATCAAAACTACAAGGAGATATCACCTCACACCTGTTAGGTGGCTATCACATAAAGAAAAGGGTAACATTTTGGCAAGAGTGTGAAGTAAAGGGAACCTTGTGCACATTGGTGCAGCCACTCTGGAAAATAGCGTGGAAATTCCTCAAAAAATTAAAAATAGAACTACCTTGTGACCCAGCAATCCCACTTCTAAGTATATATCCAAAGGAAATGAAATCAGGATCTCCCTGCACTGCCATGTTCATTGCGGCATTCTTCATAATACCCAAGATGTGAAATCAACCTAAGTGCCCATCATGAATAAAGAAAATGTTTTATGATAGATAGATAGATAGATAGATAGATAGATAGATAGATAGATAGATGGATATATAGATAGATAGATAGATACACACACACACACACAGAGCCATGCATCATTTAACGATGGGGATAAATTCATCTTCAGGTAATTTCATAGTTGTGCAAACATCATGGAGTATACTTACACAAACCTAGATGATACAGCCTACTACACACCTAGGCTATATGGTACAGTCTATTGCTCCTGGGCTACAAACCTGTGCAGCTTGTGGCTGTGCTGAATACTGTAGGCAGTTGTAACACAGGGCCAAGTATTTGTGTATCTAAACATAGAAAAGATACAGTAAAGATACAATTTTGTAATCTTATGGGACCACTGTCATAAAGGCAGTCATTGATAGGTATGTTGGCATGTTTACACACTGACTGTTGCATGACTATATACGCACACACAATGGAATTACCCAGCCTTAAAAAAGAAGGAAATCCTGTCATTTATAACAACAAGGATGAATCTGGAGGACATTACACTAAGTGAAATAAGCCAGTCACAGAAGTACAAATACTACATGATAGCATTTATATGAGGAATCTGAAATAGTCAAACTTACAGAAGCAGACAGTAGGATGTTGCTTACCTGGGGCTGGAGGAGGGGAAAATGGGGAGGAAATTAGCCAAAGGGCAAAACTTGTTTCAGTTAAGCAAGGGGAATAAGCCCTAGAGATCTACCGTATAGCATGGCACCTGTAGTTAATTATACTTTATAGCACTTTTAAATTTTTGCTGAGGGTAGATTTCATATTAAGTGTTCTTATCACAAATAATGATAATAAATAAAATGTGAGAAAACTTGGAGAGGTGGTGGATAGATGGGTTTATGGCATATATTATGGTGTTTGTTTCATGGGTATATACCTAAGTGAACAATCAAGTGCCCAGTACCTACCACAGCTCATGGGTATACACCTAAGTCAACAACCAAGTGCCCAGTACCTACCACAGCTCATGGGTATATACCTAAGTTAATAACCAAGTGCCCAGTACCTACCGCAGCTCATGGGTATACACCTAAGTCAACAACCAAGTGCCCAGTACCTACCACAGCTCATGGGTATATACCTAAGTCAACAACCAAGTGCCCAGTACCTACCACAGCTCATGGGTATATACCTAAGTCAACAACCAAGTCCCCAGTACCCACCATAGCCATGGCCATACCAACTAAGAGTTGACAAATTCTTCCTGGAGAGGGCTCAAGCCCTTCACTCCCACTTGATTACTGACCCTGTCCTCCATCCAGCCCCACCCTGACTCTCCCCAAATGCTCACCAAAATCCCTGAAAGGAAAGGTCCCTAATAAACACATCTCTTTTTGGTGATCAATACCAACAGACTGCAAGGAAGTGGCAGCCACTGCTCTTGAAGTATTTAAAATTTGAGTTTTCCTGGATAACTGAGGGATGAGCAGACAATGCTCTTCCTGGGACACTCATGTGCAAGCTCCTGGGAAAGTAGGAAAATGTGCAATGTGATGGCAGGATTCCTTCCAGATGGATCATTTAATGACCTTTGGCTTTCTTCTTTAAGAAAAAAAAAAGCACACAGATAAGATGCATCCTAATTGATAGTGCATTTTCTTCTGAACATTCAGCGGTTTGTGCACTGCCATTCTCCTTAAGCACAAAAGATTCCTTTCTCTGTTTCAAAGTCACCTGCACTTCAGCAGTTCAGAGCAGTATCTGGTGAGTGTTGATAACATGCGGCGTGCTGGGCCACCCTGTGCGGAGCATGCACTGGTGAAATATGTTGGAAGAGATTACAATGGTTTGACAATACTTCTAAGAAGCTTATGTCTTAGTTTCACCTTTCCTCAAACATCTGTTATGAGGATTTAGATAAGATGTCTCTGGAATGATGTCATAACCCGCGTACTGCCACCTCTTTCTTCCTCCTTCTCCCTGGAAAGAGAGGAACAACTTCACTACAGAAGATTCAAACTTGTTTTGAGTGTTAAAAATCTCAACCCAACATAAAAGAGCTTGGCCACATGAGAAAACATCACCCTACAATAATGGCTGAAGTTTTCAGTACATACTCAGGTAAGTTCACCCTTGGCAACAGCCTACATAAATAGAGGTAAGAGAAGGTAGGTCAGGTTGGGAGTGAACTACAGGACCATCCCTGGAAGGCCACTTTCATGCAAGTCCATAATCCTTGGCCATCACTGCGGTACCCTCCTTTTGGGGATGGCACAGTTTCCCACACTGGACTTGGCCATGGGACATGCCTTGGCCCCGGGAATGTTAGTACATGATCTGCAAGCCACATCTGAAAAGCACTGGACTGCTTGGCTCTGACCTTCTGTCGTTATCGTGCCTGCCCACTGTTCCCAAGAAGGGGAAGGTAATGATTGAAGACTGGACCAGCCACAGTGCCTCAGCCAAGCCTAAGAGTGAGCCCAGCCCGCCCCAGACCCACTGTATTAGTCAGAGTTCTGCAGAGAAACAGACCCGATAGAAGACATGTCTCATATGATTATGGAGACTGAGAAGTCCTTGATCAGCCATATGCAAGCTGGAAACCCAGAAAGGCCAGTGTATAGCTCCAGTCCAAGTCCAAGGGCCTGAGAACCAGGTGTCAGGAGAACTGATGGTGTCAGTCTCAGTCTGGCAGCACAAGACAGATGTCTCAGCTCAAGCAGCCAGGCAGAGACAGAATTATTCCTTCCTCAGCCTTTTTATTCTGTTCAGGACCTCCGTGGATTGCATGAAGCCCACCCACATGGGGTGGGGCAACAGGCTTCACTCAGTTCAGCAATTTAAATGCTCATCTCTTCCAGAAACACCTTCACCCACACACCCAGAAACGATGTGTAGCCAAATATCTGGGCATTCCATGGTCAAGTCAAGTTGATACCTGATTAACCATTATACCCGTTGAACTGTGCAGAAGCAGGGGCAATGCATGGATATTGCTCAATGTCCCTGAGTTCTTGTGATCCCTACACAGCAAAACAGAGCAGTCATTGACAATACTCGTCCAATACTCAACACACGGCAGGCTCTTTTCTAAGTGCAGTAATCACCCTGTCTAATTTAATGTTCACGTCAACTTGGGTCAGATGAATATGACTTTTGATCCTTTTCTAGATGAGGACACAAAGGCACAAGAGGTTCAATCACTTGTCCAGTATCATATGGCCAGTAACTCTTGAAGGCAAGAATTTGGATCACGGAACTACACTGTAGAATTTGCTGGCTACTCCGCATTATAAATCAGGACACCACTGTTACTATTACCATTGGTAGTAATAGTAACATTACTGTTAATACTATTACAAATGTTTTGTTTTGTTTTGTTTGTTTTGTTTTGTTTGAGATGAAGTCTCACTCTGTCACCCAGGTTGGAGTGCGATGGCACGATCTTGGCTCACTGCAACCTCCGCCTCCCAGGTGCAAGCGACTCTCCTGCCTCAGCCTCCTGAGGTAGCTGGGCTTACAGGCACGTGCCACCATGCCCAGCTAATTTTTGTATTTTTAGTAGAGACGGGGTTTCACCATGTTAGTCAGGCTGGTCTCGAACTCCTGACCTCGTGATCTGCTCGCCTCGGCCTCCCAAAGTGCTGGGATTACAGGCGTGAGCCGCCACGCCCGGCTTATTGCTAATGTTTACTCTACTATTACTACCGCTATTCTATAACATTACTAATGCTAATACTGTAGTATTACTAATACTATACACTGTTAGTAAAGCTATGACTGTTCCTACTACTATTAGGGTATTTAGATATTACAAACTCCTTCTAGGTAAGCAAAAATCACTCTCTCGCTGACACAGTACAAACAGTTGCACAGACAAGCTGAGGCTTACTTTTCTTCTGTAAGAAGTTATATGTTTGCACTGCTGGTCTGTAAACTTCTAAATGGCGTCTCCGGGATCTTACACAAGTGCTGAAGCACAACAGGCTCTTAGTAAATGCCTTCAGAGTGAGTGGAGGTTTACACCCAGAAGTGCAGATTAAGGCAAGCCCAGAAGTGCAAGCCCTGTTTAGAGTTGAGAAAGTAAAATTGAGGTTCTAGGTCAGGGGCAGGCCTGGGGCGGGCGAGGCATGAGATTTTCAGGGTGAATTGTTCCAGGAAGTGCCCACTCCCAGGGGTGACCCCCTAACTTGCGCTGCCCCAAGAGCAAGTTCTGCCTCGTCCCAGCCCTGCAGGCAGAGGTCAGGCCCAACAGTGCGTGCGGAAGGAGAAGCTACATCCTCAATACTGTCCCCACTTTTGCTTGATCTGGGAAAGTCTCTATGATGTGCTTGCTGCCGGAAGGAGTTCGCATTTCCTGCCTGCTGACAAAAGGAGGTGACCCGGATGCTGAATTGAAAATGGGAAGCCAACCTCCGATTCCTAGTGACCGCAGTTCCACAGATGCAGAATCCGGCACAGGTAACAGAGAGATGACTGACTGCACATAAGCATCGGCCCCAAACTCCAAGGTCACACTCTCTGTAGTAAACTCAACTTCCGTTTGCTGCAAATATTCCTATCTACCCCTGCCACAAAGGACACACCCAGCTGTTCAAAGAAGACCTTTTTCCATCTTTAGACTTGCACGAGAGAACTCAGAGAAGTTTGTAAGGTGATTTCGTGAGTCAAAACTATACTTGCTCTCAAGAAAAAAAAGTTTGCAGCCAGGCGCAATGGCTCACCCCTGTAACTGTAGCACTTTGGGAGGCCGAGGTGGGCGGATTGCCTGAGCTCAGGAGTTTAAAACCAGCCTGGACAACATGGTGAAACCCCATCTCTACTAAAAATACAAAAAAATTACCCCGGCATGGCGACGTGTGCCTGTAGTCCCAGCTGCTTGGGAGGCTGAGGCAGGAGAATCGCTTGAACCCCGGAGGCGGAGGTTGCAGTGAGCTGAGATCGCACCACTGCATTCCAGCCTGGGTGACAGAGTGAGACTCCATCTCAAAAAAAAAAAAAAAAAAAAAAAAAAACAAAAGAAAAAAGAAAAAAAGTTTGCTTTCTATTTCATGATGCTGCACAATGGAGATGAGTGCTGCTGTTATTGTTTAATGAGAATAAAGAATCACATATAGATGATAAAACTGATGACTTAACAGAGAAGATACACAAATCCAAATGGAAAAGCATAGAGCTATTTGGCTGGGTTAAGAGCTGAGAGCCACAGTGCGCTGAGTGGCTTGTTTTGTAATCAGTTGATGTCCTTTGTCTCCGATCTAAATTGCATCTGATAAAGAAACACAGCTAGATGTTCTGTACCTGCCACTGGAGACCAAGACGAATGAACCCAGGAGCACGAGTCCACCAGGGATGACCAAGCTTTGCTGGAAGGAGCAGCCAATCAGGGCAGTCTCATGCATGTGGTTTGGGGTGGGGGTGATGTCACCCCATCAGCTGACAAATACCTCTAAAGCAGAAAGCAAGAGCAAGAAGGTCCGGGCTGTCTGCAAGGTCTGCAGGGCAAAGGGGTGCATCCCCCCAGCAGCCCGCCCACCACAGGCACCTTTCCTCTCTCCCTCTTCCCACATTGAAATGGGCTCCCTCTTTTCTCCCTTCAGCGGTAGAGACCCTGGAGGTGTGAGTTTGAGAGGGATTTTAAACCCAAGTGTGGAACCATAGAATTTCCCACTGCCCATGTCAGAGCTAAACCTACTGGGCTGTATGCCATGCAAATAGCTTTTAGTTTTAATTTTTTTGAGATGGAGTCTCGCTCTGTCACCCAGGCTACAGTGCAGTGGCACAATCTCAGGTCCCTGCAACCTCCGCCTCCCGGATTTAGGCAATTTTCTGCCTCAGCCTCCTGAGTAGCTGGGATTACAGGTGCGTGCCACCAGGCCTGGCTAATTTTTGTATTTTTAGTAGAGACGGGGTTTCACCATGTTGGCCAGGTTGGTCTTGAACTCCTGACCTCATGATCCACCCGCCTCGGCCTCCCAAAGTTTTGGGATTACAGGCGTGAGCCACCACACCCCCCGCCTAGTTTTAATTTTAATGACCCAGAAAGCCTTTATGATATAACATTAGCGAGGATGGAATCCCAGTCACGTATGCATGCAAATGGTGAATGAAGGAAACACAGACAGAGTAATACTGCTCTGTCCTGGGCCGTGGGATGATCACGATTTTTTTTTTTTTTTGACACAGAGTCTCACTCTGTCGCCCAAGCTCCAGTGCAGTGTTGCGATCTCTGCTCACGGCAACCTCCGCCTCCCAGGTTCAAGCAATTCTCCTGCCTTGGCCTCCCGAGTAGTTGGGACTACAGGCACGCACCACCATGCCCAGCTAATTTTTGCATTTTAAGTAGAGACTGGGTTTCACTATGTTGGCCAGGCTAGTCTCAAACTCCTGACCTCAGGCTATCCACTCACCTCGGTCTCCCAAAGTGCTGGGATTACAGGTGTGTGCCACTGCGCCCAGCCGATGGTGAATTTTAAGAAATCACATTAAGGAACTTCAAAAAATTTTTTTTACACCTAGCTGATAGTATTTTTGTAATCCAAAGAAGTGTTGCAATACTACACACTGTATTTAAAGAAAGGGAAACAGCTCACTGGTGTTCTGGCGTCGAATGGTGAAAGAGAGAACACCAGGGGACAGGTGAGGGAAGGCGAGGAAAGAGGGAACCATAGACTTTGAGAAGATTTCTTTATGGAAAGCCTGAACTGGAACTCAGTTTACAGCCAGGTTAAAGTCTTACAAAGCTCACTTTCATTATGTGCTTTAAAAGATTAAAATCTTTTAGTTGATTGATTTAAACTTTTTAAAATTGCAAGTCCTTTCTGTGTATGGTGTCAGAAGAATAAAATGGTTTTTCTAGGAGGAGCTGACAGATAGGTGGTAACTGAGGGGAGAATTATTTATAAACTGGAAGTAAACCAGGCATGCATTTTAAAAGAGTAAAAAGGAAAGCAGTGACCCCTTCAGATGAGGGGAGCCTATGCTGCAGGCCTGTGCCCTAATGAATGCTGGGGTTCAAAATGCTTCCCTTGGTGGCTGCCCTTCCAGGCCTCCCCAGCACTCCCAGGAAAGCTAAGGACCCTCTGACTTCTGGCATGACTCCTCTGAGCATAGAAAATACCACAGTCCGCAAAGGAAGGAACTTTCACTAAGAGCAAGCGGAGAGGTGAGCTTGAAATGAAGACATCCCGGCATCACGGCGTTGCTCAGGGCTCACCAAAGCAGATGCACTGAAAGCCACTTGTGCACCACACAGCTCTGTAAAAGGGTAAGACCATAGACAGAAGAGAGAGAAAGGAGGGAATTCCAATCTGTGTCTTGGTCCATTTGTGCTGCTATAACAGCATCCCTGAGACTGGGTGTTTTAGAAAGAACAGATATTTATTTATTGAAGTTCAAGAGGCTGAGATGTCCAAGGTGGAGGGGCCGACATCTAGCCAGGGACTACCTTCTGCATGGTGGAAGGTGGGAGGGTAAGAGAGTGAGAGAGTGACAGAATGAGAGCGAGGAAGAGGGCTGAGAGGGGTTCAGGAATGGGACCAGATTCATCCTTTTATCAGTAACCCACTCCCAAGATATCTAACCCACTCCCGACCCAGATAATAGCATTACCTCATTCATGGAGGCAGAATCTTCACGGCTTCAGCACCTCTAACGGGTCCCCCATCTCCACACTGTTGCATTGGGGTTAATTTCCTAACTCATGAGCCTCAGGGGCACATTCAGCCCACAGCAGCATGGCTCCCAGGAGTCCCCATAGCACTCTGTAGGGGGCCTGTCCAGTACAACAAGCAGGTTCCTGTCCTTTTCTGGGACGGCTCACCTCGCCATGAGCTTCCTGTTTTCTGTTCATCTTCTGATGAAGAAATCCTATTTCAGAGCCATGTTGTTTGGTCTCTCATCCAAGCCCATGCTTACCTGTGGGACAATTAGCGTCTGTTAACGACTCCTTCCTGGGTTTCACTCTCAACTCCAAAAACTCCTCCTTTTGGTCCACAACAGGTTTTCAGGTTGGAAATGGAGACATCCTCGCCTGAACCTATCCATATCCCTTTGCAGGGGAAATTGCCTCGCCCATGTCCCAAGGACAGGGTGGCAGCGACACGGGGTTCCCGCCTATCCTGGCCCATTCTGTGGGCGACTGGGTAGATGTGGGCACTTTGCCTACATCAGTGCATTGGGATCTATGACCTAGGAGCTATGACTCATGGCCCGGCGTGAAAGGGGGAGCTGGACCCCTGGAACTCCCCACTTGGCACTGGATGTGGGACCCAGTAGGACCCAGGTGGTCATCTGCTGAGACAGAAGTCTTCCTGAACCAAGAGGTTTGAAGAGCAGGGGTTGCGGCAAGTCAGCCCTGGCAAGCCTGAACACCTGCCCACTGTGGAAACAAGGAAGCAGAAACCACGGGCACCAGGCTGGGGAAGGAAAGACAGGCCAGAGACACACAGAGAGTCCGTGAGAAAGAAACGGTAGAGTCAGCGTAGTCAGCGCTGCTGCCCGGAGCCCAGATGACAATACCTTCTGGACTAACGCACCTGTTCATTAAAAATAAACAAAAATTAAAACCCCTACAAATAGGAAATAAGAAGCGCATAGCCATTTTGGGAGTTAATGTGATCAAACAGAAGCAATTTTGCCAGGGGGTTGAGCGGCCTCTCCAAGCCCAGGCCCAGCATGCAGCTCCCTAAGCCTCTTCTGTGCTTAATTAGCCAGGGCCCAGCTAATCTTTCCGAGTCATCCAGGGGGATCCAGAAACAGCAGGCCAAGGAAGCTTTGCGGGAACATAATTACCATCCCACATGAGCAGGAGGCTGGGAAACAGAGAGACATTCGTTGAATGAACACGGAGCTGGAGGGGACATCAGAGTGCAGAGAGCAGTGCGTGAGGTCAGAGGCTCCAAGGGAGTCAGAAGCAGCTCTTGCAGGGGCGGGGTCAGATGCAAAGCAAACCCCACAGAGGCCAGACTCCCACAGAGGAGTATCCCCCACCGCGCAGTTCACCTGGCTCAGCTCTCAGTGACCCCGGACTGGGATCTTGTGTGGATTGTTTTCTCTCTGGCCTCTCCAGCCTGCACAGCATAAATTGCTCTCAGCAGGATGGGCACTTAGGGACCTGCTGTTGCTGCAGTGGCATGGTGGCTGTTGACATTGGGAATAACATGTCCCTCTAACCCCATTCAGTGTGGGTGGCCATCTGCCCAAGTGCCAGAGCAGGGAGAGCCTCACTCCTGCCCACCAAAGCAGGAACGTTCTGACGGTTCATGTTCAACCTGCCAATAAGCAATCGCTGTGTCCCAATCCACCCTCTCCCCATGCTCCAGCCCTCTGCTGTCAGGCCCCTGCCCCTTCCCAGGCCTGGAAGACTGCTTTTTGCTCCTCCAATATCAAGCCCTAACTTTCCCAGCTCCAAGCCTTTGTGCAAGGTGTTCCTGCCACCTAGAGCACTCTTACTGTGTTCCACACCCACGGAGGAATTTTCCATCCTCTAAGAATCACCTTAAAAACTATCTCTTCTGCTGCTCCCCAGCAACGGAGCCCTGTCCCTCTCTGACTGCCGCAGCACTAGGCTCTTTTCATGACAAGTCTTACTCTAAGTACACAATACAAAGACAGGTGCGAGGATGTGAATAGGATACAGGATTCAAAGGCAAAAACCTTTGCTTGAGTCGTGGATATGTCAAACTCTCGCCAGAGCAGTGAGGACAACAGGGTTCTCCCCTGTGCACCACCTGTTACCTGCTGGGCACTGTCCTGAGAACCCTGCATGTATGAATTCAATTCATCCTCACAACACTCCGACAACACAGAGATGATAATTAAGCCCAGTTAAGAGATGGGAAAACCGAGGCCCTAGGCCACACTGCTGTAAGTGGGAGAGGGTTCCACACAGGCAGTCCGGCTCTGGTGCCACAACCCCTGTGCCCTGGGGAGAGGCATCATCAAGTGCTCTTAATAGAAGTGTCTCCATGAGTCACATGAGAAAAACAAACACCACTCATTCGCTCGTGTCGTGTTTATTGGAGACCGTGCAGCCCTGGGTCAGGACAGCTCCAGCTCAGGGAGCTCCGGCGGGCAGTGTGCCTGTGGGCATGGAGCTGTGAGGATTTACGATCCTTAGGGCTGCCTGGGGACATGTTCCCTCCCACGGATCATGGACGAGGACCCCTGGAGAACAGGGAGCAGCCCTAGCTGCCCTCTTTCAGTCCCTGGAGCTGACACCACAGGCACCCAGAAGGCCGGCTGCCCCGGATTTTGCTATCATCACTCTGTGGGAGAGGAGGTGGATTATATTCCTATTCTATTTAATAAAATAGTTAAAGCATGGGTCATCTCTTCAAACGGCTCTCTGTGACAGTCCCCACAATAGGAATCTGCTTCTCTGTAGGTAATCGAGGACACTAATGAAGAGGAGAAACAACAAGCTCGATTCCAGCCCCAGCCCCGAAACCACTCTGGGACAAAGATGGCAGTTCCACCTGTTGGTAAAATCAACTGTTGCAGGAAAGTCACCTGCTGTGGCGGGGAAGCGGCTCACCAAGGCTTAGCTCACAGGTGGACACACTTCTTCATAAAGACCCAGAGAGCAGATATTTTCAGCTTGGCAGGCCAAGAGACAAATTCAAGATTATTACCTACACATTCACATGACAAGAGAGAAAACAAATTCCCACACATTTTTATTGATGGATATCATCATAATTGAGTACTTTTTAAAAATATGAAATATGAGTAATATGAGTCTACTAATAATAAGGATGAAATTCCTGTTTCTAGAATACTGTTTTGTTTCATTGGGATTAAAGTTAGTGTTCCCTTTCATCAAACCAATTGCAATTGTGCATCTAGAAAAGTCATTCTCAGCTCGCGGATGGTGCAGAAACAAGCAGCGGGCTGCATGTAGCCTCTGGGCTGTTGTGTGAGTTTCTTGTGGCTGCTGAAACATATTAGCACAAATTTAATTGCTTACAACACAAATGTATTATCTTTCAGTTCTGAGGGGTCAGAAGTCTACAGTGGGCCTCACTGGGCTGTACAACTGAGGCATCAGCAGGGCTGTGCCCCATCTGGAGGTTCTAAGAGAGTTCCCAGTTCCCATCTCCTAACTGGGGCTAATTATCATCCCTCTGTTTGAGTGTTTCGAGGATGAATTGAGTTCATACATGCAGGGTTCTCAGAACAGTACCCAGCAGGTAACAGGCGGTGCACTGGCGAGAACCCTGTTGTCCTTTTTTGCAGCTCCTAGAGGCCACCTGACTCCTGTGGCTCAGGGACCCCCTGCGGCTCAGGGACCCCCCCCCGCCCGCCCCCCATGAAACTCATACCACTTCTGCCTCTGCCTCTGCCTCTGTCATCATATCTCCTCTGGCTCACCTCTTTCCCCTGGAAAGACTTAGGAGATGAGATTGGGCCCACCCAGATAATCTGGGATAATCTCCCCATTTGCCAAGTCCCTCTGCCATAAAGTGACACACTCACAGGTTCTAGGGATTAGGACATGGACATCTTTGGGAAGGCCATATTCCACCCTCCACAACTGTTTGCCTTCCCCTTTTTTGCTCACTGGTGCTCACCTAAATGCCATGTGGAAGGTAACATGGTAGTCACTTACAAATAAGAAACCTGAGACTATAAATTATTTGTCCAAGGTCTCAGAGCCGGTGAAATCAGACCTGAGTTAAGCGTCAGTTCTCAATCCTCCACCAGCATGTCACTGTCTTAGTCATCATTTAAATTCTCCCTGGTAAGTTCTCGAAGGGCAGGGACCCCCCTCCCCCCCCACAGCTTGCAATACTGAACAGGACATTTCCATTACAAATTCTCAAAGCCAATCAATCCAGTGATCATCTAATTAGCCCAAAGGCTAGGGCTGTCTGACCCACATAGGGGACCACTTCCCAACTCCAGGCATCATGTGGCCAAGAGGCCTGCACAAACAATCTAAGCTCAGTAGCTGCTCTGCTACTCTCTAACCATCTGTGTGATATTCTGTTCTTCTTTTCTGAATCTGTGAGCACTGTGCATTGTGTGTCTCCCAGCTAGAACATAAGACCCAGGCAGGCAAAGACCTTGTCTGTCTTCTACTATCAGTGTCTCCAGCTCCCAGCACAGTGGCTGGCACGTAGCAGGTGCTCAGTGAATACGGGAAGAAGGAAAGGAAGAAAAAGAAAGAGAGAAATAAAGAGAGAAAGAAAGAAAGAAAGAAAGAAAGAAAGAAAGAAAGAAAGAAAGAAAGAAAGAAAGAAAGGAAGAAAGAAAGAGAAAGAAAGAGAGAAAGAGAGAGAAAGAAAAAGAAGGAAAGAAAGAGAGAGAGAAAGAGACAGAGAGAAAGAGAGAGAGAAGGAAGGAAGGGAGGGAAGGAAAAGGAAAGGAAAGGAAAGAAGAGAGGGAGGGAGTGAAGGAAGGAAGGAAAAGGAAAGGAAAGAAGAGAGGGAAGGAGGGAAGGAAGGAAGGAAGGGAAGAAAGAAAAAGAAAGAAAGAAAGAAAGAAAGAAAGAAAGAAAGAAAGAAAGAAAGAAAGAGAAGAAAGGAAGATAAGAAATCTTCTCCTTCCCAATTAATATTGACTACAGACCTAGAAACTACTCTCTGACTCTGATACAGTACAAATTCTCCTGGGAGAGGTAATGCTTTAAGAGGTCCTCAGTTTCACCTGAGTCTGGAAGTTTTTAACCTTCCCAGAGTACCTAAGAAGACATGGAAGGTGGGAGGGAGTCAAAGACCAGGAGGTAGATGATGGCCAAAGGGAACCTCATGATAGTGCTGAGAACTCTTCATTGGTCAACTGTTTGCTCCCAAATCCTGGAAAGACCTCTGTCCTGCTGACCTCAACAGCAGCCCGAGAAGACCCTGGAAGATGCATTCCTGAGGAAGGCGCAATGACTGCCAAGCCTCATGCCAGGTAAGAGGAAAGAAAGGGCAGAAACCATGCTGCACTCAGAAGAATTCAGAGGAAAAGCCATTTGAGGAAAATTAGCTGAACAACACAGTCCTTATGGTGGGTAAAGCAAATTGCAGGCACTGATTTGTTTAATCTGCACAACAGTCTTTGAGATGACTATTATTATTATTATTATTTTTGAGATGGAGTTTCACTCTTGTTGCCCAGGCTGGAGTACAATGGCACGATCTCAGCTCACTGCAACCTCCGCCTCCTGGGTTCAAGCGATTCTCCTGCCTCAGCCTCCCAAGTAGCTGGGACTACAGGCACGAGCCACCACACCCAGCTACTTTTTTGTATTTAATAGAGACGGGGTTTCACCATGTTGGCCAGGCTGGTCTTGAACTCCTGATCTCAGGTGATCCTCCCGCCTTGGCTTCCCAAAGTGCTGGGATTACAGGCGTGAGCCACTGCGCCCAGCCGACGTGACTATTATTAATATCCCCACTGTGCATGTGAGGAAATGAAGAAACTTTTTAAAACTTGAGTAACACCAAAATATTCACAAGAATGTTAGCTCTTGGTTCACAAAGCAGTTCTCAGCTCCATGCGAGGGGTCTACACAGGGTGCTGGGGGTAGAAATGTGGGGACATCTCCCTGGTCAAGGAGCTCATTGTCCACTTCATGGCCAGGTATTTATCATCCGTATGCTTTTTGTGAGGTGCTATTATTTGCTTAATATATTTAGGTAAAACTAATAGCTGAACTATTGCTTGCTCAATGTGTTTACTTCAGTTACTATTATTTTAAAAGGAATTTGGATATCATTACCATGTATGGGAAACTATTATCAGCATACATCAAAGATAAACATAAAGATTAACACAATAGGCTAGGTGGGTGGCTCACACTTGTAATCCCAGCACTTTGGGAGGCTAAGGCGGGTGGATCACCTGACATCAGGAGTTTGGGACCAGCCTGGCCAACATGGTGAAATGCCATCTCTACTCTAAATACAAAAATTAGCCAGGCGTGGTGGTGGGCATCTGTAATTCCAGCTACTCAGGAGGCTGAGGCAGGAGAATCGCTTGGACCCTGGAAGCAGAGGCTGCAGTAAGCTGAGATCGCACCGCTGTACTCTAGCCTGCAAGACAGAGCGAGACTCCGTCCCCCCAATCAAAAAAAAAAAAAGAAAAATTAGCACAATGAAAACAAAAGATAAAACTTTTAAACATACTTGCCTGTGAAGCCCTAGAAGTAATCTCAGTATTTATGACCACCTGTAGAAATCACAGGTCTATTTGAAGGCAAAATTACAACACGTAAATTTAGAAGTTGTAATAACAATACCACCAGCTATTAATTATATGCACCAGACAAGTTTTAGAAGGGTAAAATATAAAAACCAAAATCACTCCATACCTTTACTGAGAATGGATTGAAGTCTTCCCTTCTGTCCCCAAACTCTGGATTGGGAGTGATTTCTTACATTGGGCTTTATCTGGAAAGTGAGTTTTCGTCAATTGCTTCATTTCCAAACACAAGACAGGATGAAGAAGGACATCAGCTACGCATGGAAAACATTTCTGAGCATAAAGCTAATTACTTACAACTTGTACTTAAGATGGAAAAAGTGCCCATTTTCTTGCTCAATGACCCATTTTATGTGCTCTTGTGGGTTGTGGGCCCCCCCACACCACCCTGCGAATGAGCAGACACACAAAGAAGGCTGGTCCAGCTCATGCACTCATGCCTCTGTCAGACTTTCAAAGCCCATAAAAGTCATGCCAAAATGGCCTGAAAGAAAAAACTCTGATCCTCATCCTGGAGGGGATGTAAATCCCAAACCCACCTCGATGGGTGCTGCCACTTGTTCTATTCTCCAAAAATGATCTGTAGATCTGAGAAGTTAAAATGGCCCGTTCATTTTATTTTCCACTCTCATTTTACTTTAGGTGATGTTAATGCCTCTCCTAATGATCCTGAGGACATTTGAAGATGGAGCTCTGGATTCAAACCTCAGCCAAGACAAAATGTGGTGGAAGGGCCATCAAGACACAGGGAAATCAAGAGTGTTATTAGATAAAATCCTATAATGCAGAAACTTGTGCTTAATGATCTAGAGTTATATGCCTGCAACATCCTGAAAAGGAGATTTTTTGCACACATTTCTTCTGGCACAGAGTCAAAATGTACCAGCTGAGAATATGAGGGGACTAAGATTCTGTAACAGCAAGAAGAACCCCAGATCATCCTTTGGAATCTATAAGGCTGGTGACATGATTTCAAATCCAACCCGTTGGATGTACTTCCGTTGAAGTACATCTCCTTCCAAGCTCATATCATTCCTTGAATTCCCCAAATCTCCCAATAGTTGAAATTTCCCAGCCGCCATCACTCTGGAATGAATGTGAAATAATCACGCCAGATGCAGCGGTCTGATGCCAATTCCAAGCTGTCAGCTTAATCAGGAAAGTGCCGATGGATCTGTCCTCCCATTACATTATCCGCTCAAGCTCCCTTCAAGGCATCATCAATTTCTATAAAATACTGTACTCTGCATTGCCCACAGACAACTTTCTGCCGTTTGAATCAAGTGAGAGTTGAATTTCAGCAATGCTCTGATACAGACAATGTCTGCACATCTCCAGCTACTTCGGTGAAAAGCGAAGGCTTCACGGTGAGAGTCACGTGACTCAGGAATGAAGAAAAAATACCTGAACGAGGCAGGGAGATTTTCATGTGTGGATGAAGCTTCTGACGAGGCTTAACAATGAGGATCCAGAAAGGATCAAAATCACTCATTCATAAAGATATTTCTTTAGTTAATCTCTGCCACGCACTACATGTGAAGAGAAGAATATAAAATTTAGGCAGCAAGGATTACTATTATTAGGCTAATAGTTGCTGTGACTGGGAGCTATGTTCCAGCTGCTCTACTCAGCACGCTGTATGGATCACTGAATTCTCAAAATAACCCCAGTTGTTCTGTTACTATCCTTATTTTATTGGTGAGGAAACTAAGGCACAGAGAAATTAAGTAACTTGCCCAAGGTCATAAACAGTGAGTGGCAGAATTGAAACGAGGACCAGGCAGCCTGACCTTCAGAACCCACACTCTGCAGACCACACCCTAAGGAGTAAGGTGAGGACCCTGTCTTCAAGCCATTCACATCTTAAACTGGGGGAGGAGACAGATATGAAAACATTGATAAGAGCCACTATCATGAGACTCTCACTCTGGTGGATAAGAGACAAGATTTAGCTCCCTTTTGACAGAGCTCCCAAATAGATGAAATATGTAACACACTGTATGTCAAGCAATGAAGGACACTGGTCCTGAAAAGATGAAAAAACAACAAGGTGAGCCCTACGATTGCCCCCAGCTCTTTGTATGGTGCAGAGCCCGGCAGACTCCCTGGTTAAGAAACAGAGCTGAGAGACCAGGGAATTCATAGTGCTGGAAATGGTAAGTACATAGGTCAATATATATTTTTTCTTCTTATTTAAATATTATAATAAAATTGATTGTTTAAGCAAAAAACAACAATGAATTGTGTGGTTTATAACATATGTAAAAGTAAAATGCATGACCAACAGGAGCATAAAGGCCGGGAGGGGAGAAAGGGAAGTACGCCATTGTAAGGTGGTTGTGCTATATGAAGCTATGCGTGCAGTTTAGTACTACACAAAGTGTTATAATATTACCTGTAGGCAGACTGTGGGAAGTTAAAGGTGTATACTATAAAGCCCAAACTAACCATGCAAATAACAAAATGAAAAGTTAAGGTGAATAATCCAGTCAAGTACATGAAAGGGAATCGTAAGAAATATTAGATTAATCTAGAAAAAGGCAGATAAGGTAGAAAAAAGAAACAAAGAAGAAATGGCACAAATAGCAAAATGGGAGCTTAATACCTTATCATAGAAATAGCCACATGAAAGATAAATGGTCTAAATGCATCTAATTAAAAGGTAGAGATGGATACATATTGAATAAAAAGCAAGTTCCATGCTTTTCATGCTGCTACAAGAGATACACTTTAACATAAAGACACAAACAGGTTAAGATATGGAATATATATATTATATATGTATATATAAATACATTATATATGTATATATGTATTATATGTGTATATATAAATACATTATATATGTGTATATATACACATATGTATATGTAAATATATGTGTATATATACATCTATGTATACATAAATATATATTGCATGTGTATATACATACATTATATGTGTATATGTAAATATATAGATACATAATGCTAATGAAAATTAAGCTGAAGTGATTATATTAATATCACTCAAAGTTGATTTTAGAGTAAAGAATATTATCAAAGATAGAGGGTTATTTCATAATGATAAAGGGGCTAATTCATCCAGAGGACACAACAATTCTAAATGTGTAGGCACCTAATAACATAGCTTCAAAATACATGAAGCAAAAACTGACAGAATTGCAAGGAAAAATATACAAATCTATATTTATAATCAGAGATGTCATGCCCTGTCTGTCAATAATTGATAGATATAGTAGATAGAAAATAGAAAGAATATGGAAGATGTGAGCAGGACTGTCAAGCAACTTGACCTAGTTAACAGTTATATAGTACTCCACCCGAAAACAACAGAAACATATTTATTGCAAGTACACAAGGAACATGTGTAAAAATAAAAAGAGCCTTAGTACAAGTCTTAATAACTTTAAAAAGAGTGAAGTTATACAATGTATGTTCTCTGACCAAACTAGAATTAAATTACTAAAAAAAAAAACTAATATATCACTGGAATCCCCCCCTGAAGTACTTGCAAACTAAACAATACATTTTTAAGTAGCACATTGATTAAGAAATAGATTTAAAAAGAATTAGAAAATATTTGGAAACGAGGAAACATCAAAACTGAGAAATTATGTTAAAAGAGTAAGTAAGGGGGAATTTATAGCACTCACCTCCAATGTTAGAAAAGAAGGCTCAAAGCAATAGCCTTAGATTTCACCAGTTTAAGAAATGATTGGATGGTGGTGTCTGCAACTGAGATCAAGGACATAGGAAAAGGAAGAGGTGTGCAGATGAGACACACTGAAGGCATCAAGGTGGTTATAAGAATTTGATGATGTATTATTTTCAAAGTAGGGGGCAACCACAGGCAATTATACTAAATATGTAAAGAATCATCCGTATGTAGGAGGCACTTGAGACACTGGAGTAAATGAGATCATCCAGGGAGAATACATAGCACGGGAAGAGTAGTTAGTGGAAGACTGAACCCCAAGGGCCACCAGTACTTGAGGGGTAGAAGGAAAACCAGGAGAGGATGGATTGAACAAAAAATGCAGGATCAGAGAGCAGAGCCACCAGAAAGAGGGTGCAGTGGTGGGGAAGAAAGTATCAGGAACTGAATAGCGTCAAGTGTAGCAGAAAGATTCATTGAGAAAGAGATCACAGTTTCACTTCATTTGGCTTTAGGAAGCTCTTTGCAACCTTCTTAAGATTTCAGTAAAGTGCTGAGAAGCAGAAGCCAGCCCAAGGAGTTAATGGGAGGTCAGGATGTTGAAATAGTCAATGTAGCATTCATTTGAGAAGTTTGGATAAACAGGGGGGAAAGAAAAATTATCTCAAGTATGAAATGTGAGCAAAGAAAAGTTTTCAAAATGGAAAACACTTAAGCAAGTTTATATAAAGAGTATCAGGAGCCCCTAAAGAGGCAGAGGATAAAGAAGGGGCAGAGAGTGTATAATAAGTAACAATTCAGTAAAAAATATCATACAGGCCGGGCGCGGTGGTTCACACCTGTAATCCCAGCACTCTGGGAGGCCGAGGCGGGTGGATCACGAGGTCAGGAGATCGAGACCATCCTGGCTAACATGGTGAAACCCCGTCTCTACTAAAAAAAAACAAAAATTAGCCAGGCGTGATGGCGGGCGCCTGTAGTCCCAGCTATTCGGGAGGTTGAGGCAGGAGAATGGCATGAACCTGGGAGGTGGAGCTTGCAGTGAGCCAAGATCGCACCACTGCACTCCAGCCTGAGAGACAGCAAGACTTCATCTCAAAAAAAAAAAAAAAAAAAAATCATACAGGCTGTGCAGTAAACAGTATCAATGGATTGGTAGATCTTTACCAGGAAGAGCCATGCATTGTTCTTTGAGGATAGAAGAATGCTAATGACAGGGAGGTTGCAGACTGGGGTAAAATTCTCGACACTTAACCATTAACTGCATCTTGTCACTAAGTTGGGGATGGAAACTTTATAAATCATATACGTTTCATGAATTATAAAATATGCATTCTCCAAGTAAATTGACTACACAGAAAAAAAATCTTGGCTATGACCTTGGATGGTTTTATATTTTTAAAATGTCTCTTATAAATATCCTCATGTATGACTTAGGGTTCCCAAAACATTATAAACCCTATAACGTTATTCAGTCCAGTATAAAAATTAGTGTCTGCTTCCTAAGTGTCTACCAGCTGGAAAGATGGGTGGGGCAATGAGGAATTGTGTCAGTCGGTGGAGGTCTATCCACTCACTGGGAAGACCATAAAGAGCGGATGAACTTAGAAGTTGTTGGTACTTTTGCAATAATCAAAAGAGTAGACTTTAAACCAAAAGCAAGATACTCTTCTCTTTTCAAATTGGCCAAGAATCAATAAAGATAATTTATATGCAACAGTAAAAATCTGGCCACGGAGCCAGAGCTTAGGTTTGAATCTTACCTGACCGTCTGCAACTTTAACTCTCTGAGCCTCAGTTTCCTTATCTATAGCATGAGAATAATAACAGTACCTACTTCTTCCAGGGCTGAAATAACACAAGCCAGGATCTTAGGACAGGGCCTAGCACAGGTAAGCATGCAATAAAAGCTACTTGTGGTTACTCAGGCATTGGCGGATTGTGAACTGGCACAACCTTCATGAAAAACAGTTTGGCAATACATGTTAAGAGGTTATAAAAAGTAATTGCTTGTATAGGTATCTATCCTAAGGATGTAATGAAAAAATTATTGAACAAAGAAATCATGTTTGTCATCTTCTCTGCTATTTCTCCAGCGGTTACCACAGAACCGAGTTCAGAGGAAACAGACGATGAATATTTGTTGAACGCATAAACAAAGATTTATGAAGGAAGATGTTTATGGTAGCGTTATTTACGAGAGAAACTTGATGAATGGCTTCATAAATCATGGCAACCCATATGATGGAATAGTATGCAACCAATGAAATGACATTGTGAGGAATATTTAATAAAAGCACAATGTTTTCACAGCATAATGGTACGGAAGGAAAAACAACTAAGATGCAGAAGTCTACGTGCAGTATCATCCCAATTTTGTAATACATGTATATGTACAGACAGAGAAGCAAGAAAGAAAAATAGCCACTAGATTTAACTCTGGGTCATTGGCCATAGGCCATTTCTTTTTGCTCTTTATATGTCTCTGTGTTTTCTTATTTTCTACAAGTATACATTATTTTTGTAACCAGCAGAGGAATGTTCTTTAAACATATATTGGCAAAAAATCATTATGGATAGTTGAAAAGAATTAGTAATCTACAGTCAATAAAGAAACCCTACAGAATTGGGCAACAAGAGTCCACGGGTAAGAATGTTTTATTTCTTAGGGTTTAAAAAATGAACACAATGCTCAGGTTTATGCATGGAATATGGTGAGAGGAAACAGCCAATCAAAACACGTTGTGAAGCATCATCTGAAAGTGTAGAGCCCATCGGTTAATGTAAAAGCAGGTGAGAGTTTTATTCCTAAGGAATGCTCCCTTGAATCATTTATTGCAAGCTGACCTTGTATGAAATGGGGAGCTTTGCAACCTAATTTAAATTTCTAATGTGCCTGGTGCTTATTCTCAGTTATTTTTTATGTTTAAAATCCATTAGTATAGATGAAGAAATAGGCTTCTATTTTATGTACCTAGTTCTATATTATTTTTGTGCATTTATAACTGGCCTCTGGAGCTTAGTCCCCCCTTCATGATTTAGCTATGCAAGATGTTACACTAATTTATTAGAAGAAGGTTGAGGAACAGACTCTGCATATTAACTGTGAAGGTTTTTCTACAAAGGCCTCAACAAGAAAGAAGGGCATCCCTTACCTTGTGCCAGATGCGTGCTTGCAAATAATTTTCATGGTTAACATGTTGGTTCATTAATTCCCAAACTAGACTGGATCTTGTAAAATCTCAGGGAAACTTGTGACTGATGACCGATTTTCATATTTATCGTTTTGAATGGTGTGATCGAATCGGGGCTGCCACAAAACACTCTCTGAGACACGGGGACAGGTCTCTTGGGTGTCCAAACTGGCCCAGTATTCATGAAGTCCCAAAGTCTTAGATTCAGATGAGGATTCCACAGAGAAGTCCACTGCCTTCAAAGGTGCTTGCCTCTTTAGCCAACAATTCCCTAGAATGTAAAGAGCCTAGAGAATGTGTTTCTTTTCAGAAATTTGAGGAAGGGTGCCAAAACAAAGACTAGTGTCCCCCAGGGCTACCTGCCCCGCAAACGGTGGCTCCTCCCTGCATATCCCCTCCCCTTCACACACTCCAAGGCACACTCTGGTGCAAATTATGAAGGAATTTGCTCGTGGAAAAATGATCAGGGAGGATGCTATGCATGGTGGTGGCATAATTTCTCATCCCGTTTATGGTTCCTTTGGGAGATCCCTCCACCCCCTGCTCTCGGGGTCCTAAATTATAGATCCCCATCACCTTCCTCAGCACCTTAGAAGTGGCCCCAGAATCCAAGCTGGCCAATGAGACTATTTCACTCCTTTGGCCACAGCAATTGAGCCAAGGATGGCCATGTGGCCTCAGTAGGGCCAGAGACTCCTGCATTATTGAGACTTTGGAGACAGCTGTCCTCTTCCATTTAGTTGGGAGGGAGAGAAATCTCGGAGGTTGAGCACTTGGGTTCCAGCTGTAGTTCTGTCATTTCCCAAAGTATGAGCTGAGAAAGCTGGTCTTCAGTCTCGCCACCTGTGAAAAGAGCTAATGATTGTACTCTCCCTCTTGGGAGCATGCTGAAGATGGAATGCTGCTTAATGATACCTGCCACATTGCAGGCACTGACCAAGCCTTAGCTCATAACAGTGTCTTCATTATCCTGCCTGCTACATGCAGGGGGTTGCCAGGGAATCAGATCAAGCAAAGATAAGCAGATCTGAGGAATAACAGGGAAATAAGTCATGCACGTGCCTGGATTCCTGCACCCAGCATCCTGTGGAGTCTGCCTACTACAGCCTCTCCAAGAACTTGAATGAAAACATCTGCCTCTGCTTAAGCCAGTGTAAGTCAGGTGTTCTTCACTTGCAATGATCACTATAAAGTAATACACAACCTGATCTTTGAAAACCAAAAATGTTTGTTTCAAGTTATTCCATTGCTTTTGCCTCCATGAAAGAAGATCCTTTTTGAAAAATTTTCTGAGAGAGAAACATTAGGGTTGAATTTCCTTTCTGACACAAGTCCTGGAACTCACCACACTGTGAGTCAACTGGAAGTGATGGAGCTGGTCATCTGGTGGTTTTTCTCTGTTTCTGGAATATATTGTCCTTTTAACAGCAAGTGCTATTTGTATTTGCTGCAAGTAGAATTTTCTATTACTCTTTTGACATTGAGATCACTCATTGCTTTTTATTATGCTCTGGATTTAGAAAGAAATATGCTCCTGATAGCAGCTTTATTTGAATTCTTCTGCTTAGGTTAATAGCAAATAAAAGCCAAGACCACTACCAGATCCAAACCAACAAAACTGAGCTTGTTCTCAAGGAGGTAGCCACTTATGACTCTGATTTCTTTCACCCACACTGTGTTTACAATCTTTATGGCTGGATATTAGTAGTCTTTCAAAGATGTTTGCCTCCGTTGTAACTGAAGCAGTGCCTGGCCAATAGAGATAAACTCTCCTTTATCTGATTCTAAACTAGAAACCACTTCTTGAGTCAGGTACTAGGCCCAGCCCCTTATCTACATAATTTTAATTAACACTTCTCACAACTCTGAGATGCAGGCGATACATCCCCATTTTACTGACAAGCAAACATACACACCTGAGGCTTGGAAAGCTGAAAAGCCAGGCCCAAGGGGAAGAGCAAAGAGACAGCTGCAGGATTGAGACCCAGGCCCATCTCAGCTGGGAGATTCTTCTCAACTCCACCACTGTTCAATATCAGGGTCACGGGAGTCCCCAGACCAGTGTGTTCCACATGAAAACCTGGTAACTAACAGGCAAGTGGCAAGTTCCACTGGCAAGTGGTTCCCAACCCCACTCCTGCATTTTGACTAAGCTTCAAGTATGTAGCGGTGTAGATACAGAGAGCACAGTCAGGAGAATCAGGCAACCTCTGAGTGCAAGAGCCTCTGCAGGGACATTTATGTGCACTTGAGAGGCATTACAACCAATGAGAATCTCTCTCAGTTCCATGCTGCACAACTCTTCCAGGCCCCAGAGCTGTGGCCGCCTCCTCCAGGTGCTCAGATGTGGCTGCACATAAGACATGCTTAGCTACCCAATCTCCTCCTTTTTCTCCTCCTTCCACTTTTCCTTCTCCTCTTCCTCCTTTTTCTTTTACTCAAGCTAACCCTATACCCTATAGGGATCAGTCCTACACATTCAAAGGTTTATTGGGTATTTTCTATTCCCTTCATACAAATCAGGGAGAAGGATGAGATAAAAACCACAGATCAGCCCTTCCCTCCTGTGGCTCAGATACAGCCCTTTGTGCAGTGAATCCTCAATGTCCTCATTGATCCTCTAGGAGAGATCTGGCAATGGCCCTTCAGCAGGCCAGAAATAATGTTGTTCTTGCAGAGGCATAAAAGGTGAGGGTTTCCATCTCTGTTGACAATAGCTCTTAGTTTGAGCTACTCCTCAAACTTAGCAGTGTTCTGACTCCTGGGCCATCTCACAAAACTCTGTGGGGGTCAAGCCAAGACTTTCTTAGACCCAAATTTGGGTAACTTTGGACTCAAAATAAATGTATTGTGTCACTCTTCCTGGAAATATAAATACCCTAACCACATCTAACATACACTAAATAAGCCAAAAGACCAAGTGAGGTGGCCAGAGATAGTGCCAGACCTCAGATCTGGAGAAGAGGCAATACAACTTTGGAAAACCCAGGGGATCACCTGGAGTTAGCCAAACTGCAGGGTTGAAGGCATGGTCTTCTCCAAGACTGTCCTCACATCTGACACCAAATGCACATTAAGGGGGTCTCCAAAACCACCCTCCAGGTCAATAATGCTTTAGAAGGATTCATAGAACTCATTGAAAGCTGTTATACTCATTGTTATGGTGTATTCCAGGAAAAGAATACAAATTTCCACAAGCCGAAAGAAGCACAGAGGGCAGACCAGAGTTTAGGAGTCTCCAAAATGTGAACCTTCTGCTGATGCCTTCCCCTGGCACCAGCACATGTTACTCTCCTGCATGGATGTGTGACCACACACATAGAGTACTGCCAACCAGGGAAGCTCCCCTGAGCATCAGTGTCCAGAGTTTTTATTGGGTCTTCATTACATATACATGATTGGTTGACTGCTTGCCCACACAGCTGAACTCAGTCTCCAGGTCAACTGATGCCCTGATGCCAGCTGCCACCCCAGATCACATGGTCAGTCTTTTTTGACATGGTCATCCTCCACCCTAGGATCTGGTGTGGCCAGCAGCCATGCTAAACAAACATCCTCCTGTCATGTTGTATACATATTACTTTCCAGAAATTGAGGACCAAACCACTCTCTCTGGCCAAGACCAAATTCTTTATGACACAGAGGTGGGAATGTGGTCCTTGGGTTGGTGTGGTATGAGAACGCTGTTGCTGGCACGGCAATGAGTGTGTGGAATGAAGAGGTTGATTTAAGATAAATGACATTAGGTTCCAAAAATGTGTCAACAAAAGTGGCCACTCAAATTCAAGAATGAGTGGGATGGAAACAATCAAAGGGAAGTTAGGGAAGGGCAAGGGGTATCACTAATATACAAAAGAGCAATGTTGAAAAATCCTCAAGAATCAGAATCTTAGAATGGATGGGGTCAGTTGGCACAGAAACAAGTCATTGTTATTCTAGAGTTGTTAATTGCAGCCTCCTCTCCTCTCCTCTCCTCTCCCACATGTGAACTCCCCAGCAGCTGAGGGCTAACCCTGCCACGATTTACCCATCCTTCTCTGCAATCAGAGATAATGCATTCCTAAACACAGTGCTGCAAAGACCAACTAATTATAATGCAGTTGCTTGCCCTTATTTTATTCTCTGTATTTCTCTGCTTATTGAATTGAGAATTGTAACCCTATTATTAATTCATTAAGAAACATAATTTCATGCAAAATAATGTGTTTACCCTCTTCTACTAGGTTAAGGTGGTGTGATTATTAGAGCTGTATCAGGCAATGAGATACTCACTCCCCAGGGGGCTTAAGGAACCACTTAATTTCTCTTCAATCAGATGCATGGAGCCAAGGACAGTTGACTGTAATTCTGATGCTTTGGCACATCTTCTACTAGGATCTAAGCGAGATATGTGCTGGAAGATATTAAATGAGAGGAAGATGCTTGAGAAAATATTGTTTAATCATATTTTTATATGGTTGGTATGAGATGATCTTCACTTCTGAGCCTGGTGTTGCATGAAAGGGTTCATTTACATCTCATAAGCTCTTAGGGAAAGGAGAACCATTGAATTTTCTGTTTTATGAGGATCTCAGTAAAAAACATGAGATTTCATTTTAGATGAATGAGTAACTGATGTTGTAAGGACCCAGCAAGGAAACAAGGTCCAGGAAGAAGTAACTCTGCCATCCCCAGACCTCTAAATAGCTGACCCTCAGGTCTTCCCCAGGAAAGACCCTTACTAAAGGCCCCCCTCCACCTTTTGGAGACTTCCATTTGCATGATCCTGAGCCCAGAATGCTCGGAGGAAATTTCAGGACTCTCAGGCACTCCTGTATGCTAACTCTTCCATGCTAGCCTGGGGTGATGGTACTGTTTCAGGACTTGAATTACAGTCTCAGGTTGGAGGACAATGAGAGGAAGGGGCTTTTTCATTTTTGCCATTTTTCTTCTTAAAAAATATTTCACTAGTTCTTCATAATGTTTGACTTCTGGAGTTGGACATCGGGTCCTTCTGACACAAAGGAGAAAACAAATGGACATGGAAAAACAGCAGAAATGCTCCCGAAAGCCAAATGGTCAGTAAAAGAGAAATGGCTCTCCATGTGCACAAGCATAAACCACAGATGCAGAGAGAGACAGGAAACCGAGGGAGGGAGAGAAAAAGAATAACTTTACCAATTGTACCAAAACAGGAAATATTACAGCAGAGAGTGGTGCTTAGGGCTGTCAAGGAGAATACTTTCTGTTCTCTATTAATGTGCTCTGTTCTCTCTCCCTCTAATGACTAATCTTGTTTTTCCTGTGGATGCTTTTTCAATAGGCCCTCCTTTGGTTTGTTTTCTATTTGTGCCTGTTGATAACTCTTCTGCTTTTTATGGGCCGTCTGTCTCAGGGCAACCTAGGACTCTTTGGATTGGATCCATGGTGTGAATGGAGGCAGCACCCTCTGCTCAGATGTGTCCTAGGCTCAGACTCAAGTTACTGGGCCTCTGGACTGGGCTCTGCACAAAACAGCCATGTGACCCAGGTCACTTCATCTGAGTGTCAGTGTCTTTGCCAGCTCGGGCTATTGTAACAAATTACTGCAGACTGGGTGGCTGAAACAAGAAACATATACTTCTCACAGTTCCGGAGGTTGGGAAGTCCAAGATCCAGGTACCAGCATGGGTGGGTTCTGGGGAGGGCCATTGTCTAGGCTGCAGTTACCCACCTTCTCACTGTATCCTCACATGGTGGAAGGGGAAGGGAACACTCTAGGGTCTCTTTTACAAAGGCACTAATCCCATTCACGAGGGGTCTGTCCTCACAACCTCATCACCTCCCAGTGGCCATCTCCTAGTAACATTGCATTGGGGGCTAAAATTTCAACATATGAGTTTGGAGGAACACAAACATGCAGTTCATTGCACTTCGTTTCCCTGGTACCAAACTGCAGCAAGAAGGTAGGACTAAAGTAGCCTATCTATTTTATAAGGTTGTTGTGAGAAACCTATTTAAAAATCAAACTCTGTTATGTAAACGCAAATGGTATATTTTTATGAGTTAAATCTTGGTGGCCTCATAGGAAGACACTTGGTCATTCTATGATCATTCTATCTCTGGGAGCTTAGGGATATCCTGGGACCTATTGCTTAAGGATGAGTGGAGTTCAGACCCTTGGGGAGGACACTACCTAGAGCAGATGTCACATGAGGCTGGGTGTCTACCTCTCAGAAACCATGAGATCCACATCCAAAGCTTGCCTCCTTCTCCCTTGGAGATGTGCCTACATGGAGCCCCAGGTAATGTCACTCCACTACAACATGAATAAACTAATGAGGAATAAGTTTTGGACGAAGAGAAACGTCCATCAAGTTCTCATGCTGAGTCAGTATGTGTGCTACACTAGTCAGTACGTGTGCCAGGGAGCCTCACCTGTGCACCTATGCAGATCCTGAACCGCCCCTCTAGTCAGTATGTGTGCCAGTGAACCTAGTCAGTACGTGTACTCATGGTCAGGAGTCAGTATGTGTGCCAGGGAGCCTCACCTGTGCACCTGTGCAGATCCTGAACTGCTCACTCTCCTCCTACTCTCAGGGAGCTGCAAGTCCCACTGCAGAAAACCCAGGGCATGCTACCTGTTGGTCTGAGGGGTATGTTAAAATAAGGTAGTAGTGTTGCCTCTAAGATCCCGAGAGACCAGGGTCAGGGAGCACCTTTGGACTGATGGGTGTCTTACCACTTGGGTTTACCCCTAAAGCAGAGCCTTGAACAAGGGCTTGGTGCTGGTGGTTTATTTGGGAGCAGAACCCAAGGAAAAGAGTGAGGGAGTAAGGAGAATGGGACCTTTAAGGAGAAGAAAAAGACAACTTAAATGAGCACTGTTGATGATGCCCCTGGCGACCAATTCTGCCAACCAATAGGGCACCCAACATCTCCCACAGTCCATCGATGGAGGGGGCACCCACCACGACCTCCTGCCCTCAAGCTGTGCCTGTGCCCCTGCTGAGGGGGCACCCTGCCCTGTCACAGCAGAATGTTCCAGGACGAGGTGGAACTGTTCACTCATGGTGGCTGGAATTAGGTGTGGTGGGCATGGCAGGGTGAGGGGACAGTGCTGGAGCCCTGGGATACAGGGAGCCCTTGGGCAGTGATGAAGGAGCTGGGTGAGCTCACAGGGAGGGGAAGCAGACTGTCCAGCTGGGGCAGAGGCCTGGGTAGATGAACTGCTCCCGACTGCCGTCCCACAGTGGTTACTCAGGGGCCGGGGCCCAGCCCCCTGTGTGGCTCCTTCAGCTCCAAAGCCCGTGGTGCCTGCAGGCCTCCTGCATCTGTGGCATGTCCTACTGGGCTACTGGCCTCTCTCTGTTGATCTTTCTGCAGTGGCCAGAGGGCAGGTGGGGCAGCCCCGCAACCCAAGGAAACATCTACCCTCCTTCTGTGTCTCCAGATTCTCCTTGACAAGAGGTCAAGGTCGTTGCAGTCAAGCCCATGGAAGCCTGGGTAACTATCAGCTGGTACCAAAATGTGTGCTCCTTTTTCTCCTGATGTTCCCAGGTATGACCCAACAGTTCCGTTCATTCCAACTCACCAGCAAAGGTTGTGGGATTCTTTTTTTTTTTTTCTTTTTTTGAGAGGGAGTCTCGTTCTGTCACCAGGCTGGAGTGCAGGGACGCGATCTCAGTTCACTGCATCCTCCAACTCCCTGGTTCAAGCGATTCTCCTGCCTCAGCCTCCCAAATATCTGGGATTACAGGCACGCACCACCACTCCCAGGTAATTTTTGTATTTTTAGTAGAGACGTGTTTTCACCATGTTGGCTAGGATGGTCTCGATCTCCTGACCTCATGATCTGCCCGCCTCAGCCTCCCAAAATGCTGGGATTACAGGCATAAGTCACCGTGCCCGGCCTGTTGTGGGATTCTTTATGGCCCCACTTGGAACGCACCCCAAAGCCAGAAAAGAATTCTCCATGAAGCAATCATTTCTGCTTCCCCACCTGTACTTTCAGAAATACTGGTCACATGAATGGCCCATCTCCATCGTCCTCCCCAGCCACAGCGGAGTGTCCACAGAGGACAGTCTTGGATGGCACAGAGTGAGTCTCTGAGGTAGGACTCTGTTGATTTAGTCCCACTGAGGCTGCTCTCCACCACCTGGCACTCAAACATCAGCCGGCTTCACCATTCCAAAAGTGACCAAGACTCTCCCCTGCTCTGCAGTGTCATTCAGAGCTGAGGATGCACAAGATGGTGTCCAGCTGACCCCTTGCTCACTGTTGAGGCTGTCAGCCTTGTTCCATCGTAGGGCACCAGGCTTCTTATAAATACTGGAGGACAGAGCTTGTTTTGTGCTCTCCATGGCATGGACCAGGACAACTCATTGCCATTTACTGCATGAAATGTTGCTTGACTTCACCTGGACATAATCGCTCCCTTCTGAACTTCCATGGGTCTTTGTTTCTCTTTAATGGCACCAATGCTGTCCTACCAGGGTGGGCTACATCTTTTGCAGAGCCCAAGACAAAATGAAAATATGGGGCCTCTTGTTCAAAAGCAGCAAACAAGTGCCATTAAAGAGATTGAAACGGAAAGCGTTTGCCTTTTTTCTGCAGTCTCTCTCTTAATTTGTCACGGTGTGTTCTATTTTCTCTTTAAGTAAAGAATAATTGAAATCTGAAACTATTAATATGAATTTTACCATTCCTCTTTATAACATGCAATGCCAGTTTCTTTCTTTCTTTCTTTCTTTTTTTTTTTTTTTTTTTTGAGATGGAGTCTTGCTCTGTCTCCCAGGCTGGAGTGCAGTGGCACAATCTCGGCTCACTGCAAACTCTGCCTCCCAGGTTCAAGCAATTCTCTGCCTCAACCTCAACCTCCCAAGTAGCTGGGATTACAGGAGCCCGCCATCACACATGGCTAATTTTTGTATTTTTAGTAGAGACGGGGTTTCACCATCTTGGCCATGCTGGTCTTGCACTCCTGACCTCGTGATCTGCCCGCCTCGGCCTCCCAAAGTGCTCAGATTACAGGCGTGAGCCACCCTGCCCTGCCGCAATGCCAGTTCTAAATGCAAAAATAAGAGCATTAAACTCATAGGCAGATTCACCAAACTTACACAATTTGTATTTCATAGTTCATGGCTGCACATGGCACAGACGTGCCATGGCTGTGTGACCTTGTGCCCATCACAAGCACTGCATGTAAGTGTGGGGGGCAAGGAACAGTGGCCTTCATGAGTATTGCAAGTATTTCCTTTCCTTGTGCAGCGCAATGTTGCTCCATTGTCCGGTGATACTTCACCTTAAAAACACAAGCTCAAAGACAAAATTATAAATCATTTCATGATGGCAGCAGCTAACTGACCTTTAGCCTTTCTGCACATGAAGCTCTGGGTGACTGAACAGGTCACATGCCCCTGAAGTGGCCCCACTTCCTTCTGGGGTTGGGTCAAGTATGAATCACCTGATAGTGTGCTCACTGGAGAAAAATCTGGACCTGCTCCAGTGCCTTGTCCATAGTGACTGAGTGAACGAATGAATAACAGCATGAACAGTCAGACACGTGTTCAAAGTCAGGACGAATGTACTTCACACTCAAGCCAGATTTCAGTCTTTCTCCTCCAACCACTTTAAAGAGTGGAGGCTGCTCTACTATAATCATCTCCATGTCTTCTGCAGGGAACAGGGGAATCCATTGAAAAAACTCATGACTTTGAGATTTGATCCGGGCAAGGGAAGACTCCTTGTCTTAGAAGAGATGAGCACTGTTTCAGAAGCACATTAGGAAGGCCCCCGGACATGATTCATTCATTCATTCATTATTCATTCATTCCACAAGTAAATATTTATCAGGTGTCTACTGTGGACAACTGGATATATCAGTGAAGAAAACGGACTCACAAAGCAGGTACCACTGGAGAGAAAAACAACAGACGAAACACACAAGTAAGTAAAACAGAAGACAACACTGTGAAAAAACACAAAGCAGAATGCAGGATGGCGAAGAAGCACAACGCATGATTCAGGATGGTGGAGAAACACAACGCATAATTCAGGATGGTAAAGAAACACAACGCAGAATTCAGGATGGTGGAGAAACACAACGCAGAATTCAGGATGGTGGAGAAACACAACGCAGAATTCAGGATGGTGGAGAAACACAACGCAGAATTCAGGATGGTGGAGAAACACAACGCAGAATTCAGGATGGTGGAGAAACACAACGCAGAATTCAGGATGGTGGAGAAACACAACGCAGAATTCAGGATGGTGGAGAAACACAACGCAGAATTCAGGATGGTGGAGAAACACAACGCAGAATTCAGGATGGTGGAGAAACACAACGCAGAATTCAGGATGGTGGAGAAACACAACGCAGAATTCAGGATGGTGGAGAAACACAACGCAGAATTCAGGATGGTGGAGAAACACAACGCAGAATTCAGGATGGTGGAGAAACACAACGCAGAATTCAGGATGGTGGAGAAACACAACGCAGAATTCAGGATGGTGGAGAAACACAACGCAGAATTCAGGATGGTGGAGAAACACAACGCAGAATTCAGGATGGTGGAGAAACACAACGCAGAATTCAGGATGGTGGAGAAACACAACGCAGAATTCAGGATGGTGGAGAAACACAACGCAGAATTCAGGATGGTGGAGAAACACAACGCAGAATTCAGAATGGTGGAGAAACACAGTGCAGAATTCAGGATGGGAGTGCGGGGGCAGCAAGGGCTGCCCTTCTACATCCGTTGCTTAGAAAAGTCCTCTCAGAAAAGGGGACGTTCAAGCAAAGTTGTGAATGAGGCAGGAAGGAGGGTGTGTGGGGAGCTAACATTCTAGGCACACTTGGACCCTCACACAGCCTCATGAATATTACTGGGCACTTCTGAAAAGGGAGGCTAGATGGGGTTTCCCTACAGGTGGGCTTCTAGCTCTGGGATCTCCCTCCACCCCTTATTTAAAGCCTAACTGGTCCCCCCTTCGCTGGGGAGGTTACGGACGTTAATGCCTTCAAGCGTGAGGTTAAAGGCTGCAGTTCAGTCGACCTTTGGAAGTAATGGGTATTATATACATTTTCTGTGGCTGCCATAACAATTACCACACACTGGGTGTCTTCAGGGCTTCAGCAGCAGAAATGTATTCTCTCCTACTTCTGAAGACTAGAAGTCCAAAATCAAGGTGTTGGCAGGGCCCTGCCCCCTCCAAAGCCTCTATCTGGAAGAGGATGCTTCCTTGCTGCTTGCAGCTTCTGGTAGCCTCACACGTTCCTGAGTTTATAGATACCTCACTCCAATCTCTGCCCTGTCACCATATGGCTGTGCTCTCCCTGAGTGTTCCTGTCTCTTCTGATAAGACTCCAGTCACACTGGATTAGGGCTCACCCCGATGACCTCACCTTAACCTGGTCAAAGACCCCTATTTCCAAATAAGATCACATTCACGGGTCTGGAGGATCAGGACTTCAATGTATCTTTTGGGGAGACCCAATTACACAAGGCAGCCGCAGAAGCTAATTATTCTGTTGACATACAGAAATTGCGCTGTCCTGGATGGCTCACACCTTTGCCTGAGTGAACACGGGCCATCTTTATGTGCAGCTGAAAGTGATATCTTCAAAGTCTCTTTCCTCCCACTTTGGGCTGTGTAGGTAGACACGGGTGTTCTGGTTGAGCCCAATGTTTCTCGTTCATTACTGGCTGCTGTGATTGCGATGGGGAGACAATTACTCAGTTTTGTTCACATAAAAACAGGAAGAATATGCTGCCATCAAAGCGAGGTCTAGCCCCACTCTCCTGGGTAATTCAGCACATCTCACGGCTCCTGGTTTCTCATTTCTGGTTTCCAATTTTCTAATGCCTTTGGTCGGCTGTTCCCTGATGGTTGAATCCTTCTGGCTTCTTTCTTATTGAAAGTCCTTAGATGTTGAATTTAATCTTATTTTGGTATTCATGAGGAACAGACTCAGAGTTCTGCTTGGTTTTGCTTTTCCAAGGGACTAAGAAAATTAACGCCTAAAGACAACTAAGTCATCCCTGTCTCTCATTATACATTCCTTCTATACCTACACCCAGTGGCCACTAGGTTTTGTGTTTTTGAAACAATAACCAAAGCACAACAAATTTTCACTTGAGGTTACTATCTTGGGCAGATGGTCCAGCACTTTCTCATCATTTAGTGGAAGAACAATGGACATAGGATTCTTTTCTTTGCTACCAAAGCTTTCTGTCATGTTTAATTAACGAATCTGCTTTTCGCCAGTAAAGCAAGCAGCAAATTTCCTGATCCCCAAAGTTGAGCCAGAGGACCTATGGGTAAAACTTTCTGCTTCATGTTTCACTAAGCTGTTGAGTCCAAACTCAGAGAGACCAAAGGCCAGGAGTTGAGAGACCTGAACCACAAGATGGACCGTGCTATTCCATCCCTGGGTGGCCAAGGGGGAGGCTTGTAGCCTCTCTGTTTCCTCATTTTCTCCTCTGTAAAATCGGGATCATGCTACCTGCTCTCTGTTTATTCACAGAGTTGTTGGGAGAAGGCAGGGAGGAAATGCACGTAAAGCTACTTTGAGAAAGATAAGGGGCTCTAGCTGAATGAGTGTTTGTCTCGTCCTGTCCATCTCATGGAAATCCATCAGCTGCAAGTCAAGGGCACAGGCACTACACCAGGCCACACATTATTTGGTGACGACTCCTGGGGATCATGAAATACATTTCTCTGTGTCTTCAGCATGACCTTCAAAAGTTTCCTTATAACTAAGGACCAGAAAATTCTGTAGAACCACACCACTGCTTGGGTAAGCTTATGGCCCATGATAAGATAGTCTCAGTGCAGTGACTCTATTTTAAAACGAAAATCTCTCCTTGCCAGGATAATCAAATATTCTTCCAAATGCCAGGACTCCCTAGATAAAATAGATGCAGCAGGGGCCTGGTCAAAGATGCCAGAATGAGGTCAGGCGTGGTGGCTCATGTCTGTAATCCCAACAGACGGAGGCGGAGGCAGGAGAATCACTTGAGCTCAGGAGTTCGAGACCAGCCTGGGCAACATGGCGAGACCCTGTCTCTAAAATAAATATACAAAAATTAGTAGGAGGTGTTGGCATGTACCCGTAGTCCCAGCTACTCAAGAGGCTGAGGTGGGAGGGTTGCTTGAGCCTGGGAGGTTGGAGCTGCAGCAAGCCGTGATGGTACCACTACACTCCAGCCTGGGCAACAGAGCGAGACCCTGTTTCAAAAAAAAGAGATGCTAGAAATGCACCGAAATGGCTTGAAATGGCCTGAGTGACATATGCCTCTCCAATGATGGCTCTTAGGCATCTAGTCTAAGATGTGGCCAAGAAGCTGGGCCACTCACTCACTGCAGAAGAGAGCCACTGCAGTATTAGAAAACACTGAATCCTCAGTCTGTCCTCTACATCCAACCTGATGCACCTGTTCGAAAGCTTGGGGACTGGGGGCTGGGGAAAACAACTACTTCCTCCCACTGAAAAGAAGACAGAAGCATTCACTACCAAGCCCTGCAGTCAGTTGCAGTATTTGCGGAGGCCCGGAGGAGAGCAAATTCATCCCAATGTCACAGGGATTAGAACTGGAAGGAACCACAGAGACCAAGGAGCTCTGCAATTCATCAGCTGTTTGCTCTTCTAGTGGAGGCATTCATTTTCGCTGGAGCTCTTTCCCTCTCACATGAAATCTTACTTGGAACTGTATGTTTGAAAAGAGATAAAACCCCAACCACTCAGGCAGAGACCAGGAGGCTGTGAGGGTTGTCACTTCCCTCTCCTACGACTGCTGGGGCCCCTCGTGGAATCTAATATAACCCCTCATTTTGCAGATCAGGAAAAAGGGTCAGGGGAGGAATTGTTCCTTCTCAAGCTCACACAGCCAGCTAGTAGCAGAGCTGAAACTTTCCCCAGGTCCCTGGACTTCCTGTCTGTAGTGGATTCTAGAATGCACCAGACACACCTCCAACTATTATACTTCACTGAGACACACAAAGGCATCACCCCCATTTTCCTCCATCCTAAGCTTCATAAATAAACAAGTGCTGATACAGTATCCAAGCAACCCTGTTTGGTTACCAATAACGAACACCAACTCAAACTGACTCAAGCAAGAAGAGGTAGGGTGATGGCCCACATGCCTGGACTCTCCACAATTCAGGGTCCAGTGTCTCCCTTTTGTCTCTTCTGTCCCCTTCTCTCTCTTTTTCCTCTCCTAATTCCAGCTCCTCTTCTCCCCTCTCCTCTCTCTTTTTCTTTCTCTCATCATCTCTCTGCCCCACTCTCCTCCAGTTTATTTTGTTCCCAGGCAGACCCCATCTCATGGTGACTAAAGGTCTGTCAACAAGTCCAGGCTTCCACCCTCAAATATCCAGAAAGAGGTTCTCCCTGCCAATTATTCCTACAGAACCCCTGGGCCTGCCCCACATGGCACAGACGGGGCCAACTTGCCCATCCCTGAGTCAATCTTTGGGGCCGAGGAGACTGGGTACCTGATTGGTTTTGGCCAGTAGCTTACTACCCCCAGAACTGGAGTGAGGTCAACTCCAGCCACTGTAGGCAGACATTATGTAGAGGAAGGCTGACCCCAAGAACAGTGATTTTACTGTTATAGAAAAAGGCAAAGGGAGAGTTGGGCAGGCAAACAAAGACCTGTTTATTACAATTGATCTTCAGTTTTAAGTTCTTAGGAAAATGTCAGGATATTGCAGAGATCATTTATTTAAATAAAACAAAAATACCTTATTTAATTTTAAATGTAATCCTTCAAAGAATTAAATAAGAATCAAAAGCCAAATTCCAGGGATATTTATAATAATGCTATTTAAATAGTAAAACAACTGTTCCAACACAGCCGGACATTTAGTTAGGTAAATCATGGTGCATCTTCCTAATGCAACATTATGCAGCTTTCAAAGTGATCGTTATGAAGACTGTAGCAACGCAGAAAATGCCTCACAGAGAAAGCAACGTGAAAACATAAAACAAATGGTATCTGTGCTGCATTTATACATCTACCAAAAAATTCTATGCTTGGGGCAAAAATTGGAATACAGAAAAATGAGAAAACTTTCACTTGTTGGCATGGCAAGTTGATAGGTGATTGTGTGTGTGTGCGTTGTAAGTAACTGAAAAGTTAAAAAAAGCAAAGGAAGGCCGGGTGCCAGTGGCTCATGCCTGTAATCCTAGCACTTTGGGAGGCTGAGGCAGGTGGATCATGAGGTCAAAAGATCGAGACCATCCTGGCCAACATTGTGAAACCCCGTCTCTACTAAAAATGCAAAAATTAGCTGGGTGTGGTGGCACACACCTGTAGTCCCAGCTACTCAGGAGGCTGAGGCAGAAGAATCGCTTGAGCCCAGGAGGCGGAGGTTGCAGTGAGCTGAGATTGTGCCACTGCACTCCAGTCTGGGCGACAGTGAGAGACTCTGTCAAAAAAAAAAAGAAAGAAAAAGAAAAAGAAATCAAAGGAACAATTCCAATCCAGTGTGGCCCTTCATTTGTCTGGTGTGCTTGCTGGGAGGGTTCTAATCAGTTTCCCCCAGACCCCATTCCCTGTGCCTCTCCTCTCCTCCACCAGAAAGATTAGCAGGAGCCCAGTTCCTGTGGGTTTTAATGTGTGAAGGCAGGTGGATTTGGAAGCTAGGTATAAAATTATGAGGTGTCTCTACAGGTGACTGGAATCTGACAGCATGGTGTGTACTAGGTTGGATGGTGTCCCACCAAACTTATGTCCCTCCTGGAACCCAAACTCTGACCTTATTTGGAAACATGGTCACTGCAGATTTAATCAGTTAAGATGAAGTCTTACAGTGGGCCTTTAATTCAATATGTCTGGCATCCCAATGAGAAGAGAAGAGACCAAGAAGCTGATATACAGGCAAGAGGCCACCTGAAGATAGAGAGTGATTGGAATGCTGCATCTCTAAGCCTAGGAGTGTCAAGGAATGCCAGCCACCACCAGAAGCTAAGGAGATTCAGAGGGAGCAGGGCTGCTCATACCTTGATATTAAACTTCTAGCCTCCAGAGCTGTGAAAGAGAAGATCTCTGTTGTTTCAGGCCACCCAGTGTATGGAACCCTGTTACAGCAGCCCTAGGAAATGGATACAGGGTGCAACATTTGGGAATCCAGATGGGTGGGGGCCACTATAGAATCTTCCAGAAGCCTCAGAGAAGGGGCTTCAGGTCAGAACCATGGGTGGGAACTGGCATGGCAGAGTCTGGTTCTGGGGCAGTTGGGTTCCCGGGCAGCTGACTGCATCAGTGACCCAGGCATGGGTACATCCTCGGCCCAGAGCACTCTGTCCCAGCCCTCAAACAACAGGTTCCCACAGGCCCCAGCTCAAATTCACGTCATAGAACCTTTCCTCAGCATCCCGAATGGCTCATCACAGTGCCAGTGGGGCTGCCAGTCCAGCCCCTCCTCATCTTCATCAGCTCCCCAAAGCCACCCCAAATTCACATCAATGTCAGTAAAAAGTATGCATTCATTTGCAAATGTAGCTTGGGACAGATCTCAAACCTTTGCTGCAACCAGAGAGTCACCCCCAAGCCTTTTGTGCCCAGGTGTCTTCTCAGCTCTGGCATCATCATTCTGTACCTTTGCATCTACCAATGAGGCTGCATCCTGGAAGACCACAGCCTCAGCCCCCACTGCCAGCTACCTCGTGCCAGGGCCTGCCAATGGGAGGCGAGGATGGGATGAAAGGCGAGAGGAAGGCAGGCAAGGAAAGGTGATGCTCTGGGTTTGGGCAGCAGGAACAAAGGGCAGCAGGAGCAGTTGCCCCCCGGCAAGGGTTGACTTGGAACTGCTCAGTTCCAACAGCCACCGAATCCATGCCACAGTCATGGTGGGGCTCCAGGAAATGCCACTTCCTTTTTTCTCCTCCAGCCCTAAGGTGGCAGCAGCTTCCAGCTGCTGGAATCTTTGGTCATGTTAGCTTCCTCTGTTTGCAAAACTAGTCCTTCCAATGCCTTTGCAGCCAATTCCTGGATTAAATTCCTTTTGTTTGATGAAATTTCTAGGACGATTTACTTTCCTCTTTGGGCGTGGACAGATCCGCAGTCCTATATTCACATCCCAGAGCCTTAGCTACAATTCCCAGAAAGTGTCCTTCTCCGCCCTTTAAGCCACAACTGCAATGGTCCTGTTTACTCTTGTGCTGGTTTATTTTTTATCTTCCCATTGAAATGTTAAGTGCTCAAGGTCCAGGAGCTTCTCCGGCTTGTTCACCACTATAGCCCCAGATTCATACAGAGACACCAATACGTACTTTATTTTTTTGAATGGAGAGGTCGCTCATCAGATGAGAAGAGCACTGGGGTTGCTACAGCAGCAACACCGAGTCTCAGGATGCAGCCTGGATCTCCTCAGTCTGCCCCATCTGTAGTGAGCTGACATCCTCCCACAGTGATGGGGCTGAGGCTGAAGCTGGCCCCAACGTCCGTGTCCCCTGGAATGCCCCCTTCTCTTCCTCATCCACCTACTTCCTCTCCTCTGTCAGCTCACCCCTTGCCTGCTGGCTCCCAGGCTAACTGAGGACCCAGCCCTGTGCTCCTGTAGTGCCTGAGTCCTTCAAAGTACCCCTGGCCTGTCCCAGGCACTGCCTTCTAATCCCATTTCCCTAGCTGGCCAGCAAGCTTCTGGACCTGCCTGAGCCCTCATGAGCAGGCTGACACATAGGTGGATGCATGAAGGAGCTCGGTGGATCAGCAGGCACAGGAGAGAGGGGCTGGACACAAGAGCCAGGCTGAGATTTAAACAGCCTCCTCCAAATGAAAGAACAAGCCCAGTGAGGAATAACCACTGGGCAGATCCCAGGCCACTTCCCTCTCTCCTCTCATTCAGTGATCCCACCCTCGGGACACAAGGAGGTTGCCCTATGATCCCTCCTGCAGGAAAAAGAGGCCACTGCCTTCCTTGCTTAAAGCCCCACAGCAAGGCTCAGACTGAGACTTGGCCCAGCAGCATTGGCATCCAGGGCCCACGCTGTTCCTCTGCCTCTCGAGGGGCCATGCCATGCTGGTGGTCCAGCAGCTCATCCTCTTCCTGCTCTCACTGATGTGGAAGCTGAGCCCCGGCACAGAGCCAGCTCCCTGGGTGCAAACCCTGCCTCAGCCACTTCTGGAATTCTGAGCCCTGGGCACAGCACTGGACCTCTCTGAGCAAGTTCACTTCTTCATCCATAAAACAGGGTTAGAGTGGCCTCCACCTCATGGAAATGTGGCTTGGATTAAGTACGGTAATGCACTTACAGAAGGTGCAGCAGGCGTAGTGCATTACAGCAACACTGAAAAACGCATCGTCCGACATCAACACGTACTTGAGCTCTCAAGAAGAGGGATGAAGCAGGTCGTAGAGCTCGTGGCCTCACTGCCTAATGCCACCTGAAATCTGCTCCAAGTTCCTGTCCCCAAGGCTGAGTTCTCACCCCAGCCACAGGGCTGCCCCATTGAAATCAGATGTGAGCCACAGACATAATTTAAAATTTTAGCAACTGCATGCTTTTAAAAATTGAAAAAGATAAGCAGATAAAATCATTTTTTATGTTACTAGGTTGGTGCAAAAGTAATTGCGATTTTTGCCATTCCTTTCAAAATCTGGTGTTACATTATACTCTCTTGCCCAACAGATCAAAAGTGTTATTTCAACATAGGATCAATATAAAAATTATTGGTCAGTCATTTTACATTTTTTTGTTCCTACTGAATCCTTCAGATCCAGCGAGTATTTGACACAGCACATCTGGGTTAAGAAGAGCCACACTGCCGAACGTGGCCAGGGGCTGTCAGATTGGATAGTGCACCTCTAGACACTCAGTGGCTCCATTTCCAATCAAGCTGGGAAGATGTGGAATCTTTGGTTCTGCAGGTAGCACTGACTGCAGAGAAGCAGTGCGTGGGCATCCTGTTGTGTCTAAGAAGCCAGTAGCACTGCATGGGCTATGCTGACCAGCATGGGCCGCTGCCGGGACAGCATCCTCGCTGCCAGGAGACAGGCTCCGAAGCCTGGGCACATCCTTCTGGAGGGGAACAGGCTGACTGATGCCAAGGCTGCAGGACCACCGTGGAGCCACGATTTTGTCCTTCACTGGTGCTGCAGGGAACCCGGGGGGAGCCCAAAGCCTCGGGAACTTCATTCCAACCCTGTCCTGGAAAACAGCTCCACATCAAGGGTTGCTTTGATGGGGAAGACTTTGGGGCTTGAATCCTTCTGAACACTCAGCAAAGCCAAGTCCACTGTCCAGGACTGGGTAGTAGGAACCCATGCTCCAGAGGCTGCCAGGGGATTTCTGTCCATGTAGGGATCAGCTTGTGGTGCACCATAGACCCCCTGAACTCACACCTCAGCCCTTTACAAGCTGCTTTCCCAGGGACCAGACCAGCGAGCCCGAACAGGCAAAGCCACAGCAGCGTGACTGCAGCACAGACACAGTCCTGCCTCCCTGAGTTTATTGAACGAGGGTTGGCACAGGAGAAAAGCTCTTGCTTTGGCATCAGGCAGCCTTGGGTCTGAGTCCAGGGCTGTCCACTCCCCAGACCTCGGGCAAATTGCATGGTATCCAGGGTCCTGATGCTCTCAGCTATAGAACAGGATAAAGCGTGTCTCAGGATAAAGGGTGTCTCAGGGTAAAGGGTGTCTCAGGATAAAGGGGTGTCTCAGGATAAAGGGTGTCTCAGGATAAAGGGTATCTCAGGATGGTCCCCGGGGTGGATGGAGCTGTAGATGAAAGCACCAAGCATAGTGCCAGGCGACAGCCTCCACTAGGGGACCCCCGATCCTCCCTGGGTGTTAGGGAGGCCTTGGAGCATGGGGAGAAGAATACAGGGCCCGAGAATCAGAGTAGGTTCAGAGCCCATTTCACCACTCACCAGCAGAGACATGTGGGGCAAATGACATAACCTCTCTGAGTCTGTTTTCTCATCTGTGAAATGGGCATAACCACAGTACCTCCTCCATGGGAATGAGTTAACATAGATGCATGCACTCACTCTATTGCCTAGCTTATAATGAGAACCACATGTGTCAGATATTGTAACGTTCATTGTCAACATCATCACGGCAATGAAAAGGAATGCTAGTTCATCTGGTCCTACATCCTCATTTTAGACAGCAGGAACTGAGGCCCAGAGAAGACAGGTGGTTTTCTCCAGATGTTACAGCTAGTTAGTAGCACAGTCCAGACTTGGGTCTGGGTCTTATGATGCTTGCACTATTCACCATGGAAGTAGAGGAATACCAGTACCCCAGAAGACAACCTATTGATCCACAAGGCCCTGGGCAGGTCCCCATCATCCTAGCCATCCACCAATTTAGTTGAGCCACATATATTTCCCTTTCACTTCTTGCAGTGGCACATTGTGATTACTTAATTGCATGGGCTGAATTCAGTGAGATTCAATTAAGATGGAAATTTACTTTCCTCTCACCACTGTCCTTCAACTGTGCTGGGCTGGCTCTCCCACGTAGACACAGCTCAGGTAGATCACCAGGGTTTTCTGCGTGCTTTCAGGTACTAGAATGGTCAGGGCCGCCCATAGCATATATGATGTTTTTCTGCAAATTTCTAAGACGTGACCTCTGGACAGATGAATTAGACAAAGGGTATCTCTCCCTATGGACCAATGCAGCCCCCTTATTGGGGATGCAAGTTGTGGCACATGAGCTTAGAGTAGGTTTTAGCATCTACTCACTCATTCAGACTCATTCAGACACAGTCAGTAGTAGTAGCATCTACTACTCAATCAGACACACTTGTGCAGGGCACGACCTGTGTGAATGTACTTGGTGTCCCTAAGAGCAGCCTCACTCTCTTAGAGCAGGTAGTTAAAAGTCCAGCTCAATCTAAAGCAAAACTTCCATTTTCTAATCCAATCTGACATTTCTTCTCCTCCCACCAAGTTCAGTTGAGTCAATGAATTCAGCCCACCAGAAGGTAAGTGGAAGACAGTCTATGATTTCTTTCTTTTCTTTTCTTTTTTTTTTTTTTTTTTTTTTTGAGACAGAGTTTCACTCTTGTTACCCAGGCTGGAGTGCAATGACGTGATCTTGGCTCATTGCAACCTCCGCCTCCCGGGTTCCAGCAATTCTCCTGCCTCAGCCCCCAGAGTAGCTGGGATTACAGGCGTGCACCACCCCGCCCGGCTAATTTTTGTATTATTAGTAGAGACAGGGTTTCACCATGTCTGCCAGTCTGGTCTCGAACTCCTGACCTCAGGTGATCCACCCACCTCGGCCTCCCAAAGTGCTGGGATTACAGGCATGAGCCACTGCGCCTGGCCGGTCTGTGATTTCTTAATACCCACTGCTCTAGGCCCACCAGGGCTGGGCAGGGGACTACTGATGGCAGCCTCAAAGGCAAAAATCTTGTTTGTTGGGATTGCTGGGATATGGCCATGAAGCTCTCTGCTGACTGATGCCCAACACTGGCTCTTTCCCTTGGGACGTACTTCTTGTTTGGGATTTTTTAACATTCCCTACCCACAATTATAAGCCTGACTTAAGAGATGTCCTCTCTGTGGTAGGCATTGCCACTGGGCACCAACATGTGATTCTCTTCTACTGTATTTTCCCGGCCCCCTTGAACTTCAGCATGGCTGCACAATGCACCTTGACCCATACACTGGGACGTGTAAATGCTAGTGCTCTGTTCCTCACCGTCCCTTCCCCTGCTGTGCACTCCGGGAAACATGAGGATGCCCAGTCAACATGAAATTGAACCAGCCGGGAAAAGAGGTCACAGAGTGCAGCCACTCTGGAGAGTTGCTGAGCATCTGCAAGAAGTAACCTTTTGTGGAGCCATTCCACTGGCGTCTGGAAAGTGCCCGTGACTCTAGCATAACCAGGCTTGGCATGACTAATTCACCGCCACTGTCTGCTGGGATTGGCTTGTTCATGCCAGCAGCCCTTTTGAACTGGGTCTTCTGAAGACACTTTGAGCCTGCTTATTTTCCAAAATAACCACTAAGCTCATGGGAAAACTGGGTGACTTCATCCCCACCCCCAACTCTGGAAATGAAAGCCACTCCCACTGCTGATCTCTCCCTTCTCTTGGCCATCAGGCAATCCAGCTGGCCCTTGCCTAGATGATGTGACAGGTGAGAGTCAGGCTCCAATCCCAGGCTCTGCAAAGTCTGGGGCTTCGATCAAATCCTCCCAAGCACTCTGTTACCACCAATTGCCGAAATACCTAACAGCTTGGGGCAGCTGGTTGCAGCTCTCACAAATCGAATGAGATGTTTTATGCCCCATTCACGCAAAGCAGCCTTCTTGAAGACTCACTTGAATCAGGCAAAAATCTTACTCTGAGCCCCCGCCCAGGGAAAGGATGGAACTAGGTGGACCCTCCTTCCCTGATCAATCTCTTTTTACTTTCTTATCTTCTCTTATGTGTGCTGGAGGCGGGTGACAGGGTCAGAGAACCAGTTTCACTCTCTCTTAGCAAGTTCTGCAGGTGCCATGGAGTCTTACTTCTCCTTTGAACCTGGAGACATGGGTTATCTATTGATCTCAGCTCGGGGGTTTCTACTGAAATTCCATGGCAACGGGCAAAGTCCCAACAGCAGAAATGTGCTAATCCATATTGCATTGTTGCTTCTGGTCTCTGTTTTGGAATTTAAACTAATGTTTCATGGGAAGAACCAAGGCTTTTCACCAATTTCATTCAGCCTGAAAGACAAGAGGTGATGTCACCTCCACTTAACTGGTAATCACCTTGATGTTTATAATGTGAACATGACAATATCTCCAAAAGTGCTGAGCTGCTACTTGTAAAGAAAAAAAAAAGGAGCAAGACAAAGGCCAAAGGCTTCAATCTCAGCTAGGATCAGTAACCTTACTGCCCCTCAGCATGCTAATGTCTCTTCCCCTCTGTTTCTGACTCATTTTCCAAACATATCCTGTTTCCACCAAGACTCAGAGATACACACGTGAAACATATCTCCCGTTTTTCCTTTTTTTAAAACCCCCTCTTATGTACATGTGTGTGCATGTATGTATGCCTGTTTCTTTCTCAAAATGTGGGGAGAAAATATTCATAAAGGCACCCGAACACTCTTACCTGGACCATGAAGGGGTTGGACTAGATAATTGATAATGATGATGGTGATGATGGTGACAGTGGTGGCAGTGATGATGATAATGATGATGGTGATAACAAAAATGATGATGATTTTGATGGTGGTGGTGAGTATGATGGTGGTAATGGTTATGATAGTGATGGTAGTGGTAGAAATGATGGTGATGGTGGTGGTTGTGGTTGTGGTAATGGTGATACTGATAATGGTTGTGATGATGGTAGTGGTGATGATGATGGTGGTGATGGTAGCTAATATCTATTCCGGACTTTCAGGACTTGCTCTTTGTCACCTGCTGCTGAACCTTTTCCATGGCTAACTTCATCCACCCCATGAGACAAATACCATGGCTAGCCACCTTTAATAGCTAAGGCACTCAGTGGTTAGAAAATTTCTCAAGGTCGTGCAGCCAATACTGAGATCCCTTCTAGCTCTAAAATGTTTTAGCTCTATGGATGAAAGTAAACGCCTGAGTGCCCTTCTAAGAATTCTTGGGACTTGGGTAAAAACACCTGCCCCTGGCAGCATCCACAGGAAGTTCCATGAGAGGTCACAGGAAGGAAGGGAAGAACAAGAGGACAGGGGCTGGAGGGATGGCGGGGGAGACGTGAGGTAAATACTGTAGTAAGCAGGTGCAAAGGGAAAGAGACAGAGACCAGACCAGCTGCCAAAGGAGGCAGAGGGGACCCCCAGCCTCCCTAGGGAGGATTAGGCCTTTGTCAAACGTTTGATGCAAACCCGTGCTCTGGCAGCATTCAGCGGGTAATGTATGCTGCTAACAAGTATCAAAGCCTCGTGGAGGGGTCCTCTGAGGAGATGCTGTGTGAACAGGTCATTTCGTTTTGTGCCATTAGCCACTGTACTTCACTGGAATAAGTGCACCCTGCAAAGCCCAGAACTTCACACTCCAGCTGAGAAACTTGCACACCCACAACTAGAAGACAAAACATAATGACATTCCACCGCTCTGAGCAGGCTTCCACACCCCTAGTCAATGGAGCCCCGGTCCCTGGCACCCCTAAGTGGCTTTAAGCACTTGACGATAGACTGCTGGCCCTATTGCTCAAAAATAATACCCGATGCACTCGGGAGACAGGCTGCAATCCAATAAACCAACAGCCCCAAAGTCAGCAAGATCATAATTTGGAAATTGTTCTCCCCCTGCCCCAGTCTATTCCACAGACTTCAAATTGATCTGTCTAATCTCTTATCTGTAGCTATGAAATTGTATTTCCCTCTTAATAGGCCTACAAATGTTATAGATGAATAGTTCAATAGCAGGCAAAGAGGGAAGCAGCAGGCATACTAAAAAGGGACATTAGCTCCTCGCACCCTTGTTTTTTGAGTCTTGCTCTGTCACCCAGGCTGGAGTGCAAAGGCGTGATCTCAGCTCACTGCAACCTCCACCTCCCGGGTTCAAGCAATTCTCCTGCCTCAGTCTCCCAAGTAGCTGGGATTACAGGCATGTGCCACCCCACCCAGCTAATTTTTGTATTTTTAGTAGAAACGGGGTTTCACCATGTTGGCCAGGCTGGTCTCGAACTCTTGACCTGTGATCTTCCCACCTCGGCTTCCCAAAGTGCTGGGATTACCAGGCGAGAGACACCATGCCCGGCCAAATTCCCATTGTTTTAAGCCACCCAGTTTGTAGTCCTTTGTTATGGCAACCCCAGAAAACTCTTACACACTCCAAGCTGGGTTAAGTCCCTGCACACACACTGCGTGCCCCAGAACCAAGCCTCGCCAGCACTGTGTTGATGCCATTTCCTCCGGCATGTTGACGTCACCACCACCACCCCTCCCCATGCGTCATATTGACGTCACTTCCTCCACCATGTTGATGTCACTTCCTCCACCGTGTTGACGTCACTTCCTTCCTCAGTAAGGTGTGAGTTCCTTGGCAGAGGGTCTGCTTGTCGTCTTCGTTGGACTGCCCCACCCAGAGCCTGGGACACTTCAGGGACACATCTACTCTTGTCCTGTGGGTTGAATAAAATGGAACAGACTGGAATTTCTAGGGCTGCTGGAAGGACCTCCTGTTCTCAGATGCCAAAAGGAAACTTCTGTTCCCCGTGTCCTCTCTTCTCATGGGTCAGGAGCCCAGGCCTCCCTCCCGAAGCTGGCAGGGTGACCCCCCACTCCTTTTGACAAGCTCTCAGTTTTTAGCCCCCGCCCTCCACAGCCACTGGCAGCAACTTCACACATTTATTCCTGAACAACAAATCTGTTTCCCTGGCAGCATCTTCTCTCATCATTACCTCCTCCCACTCCCTGGTCCTCTGAGGACATTCTCAGGCTCCATTCAGGAAGCTCACAGACTCCATGGCACCAGCAACAGGTGGAAAGCATGACAATGGTCACACAGACAGAGGCAACAAAAATACTTAGCAAGCATCTGTCATGTGCAAGAAGCAGGATGAGGGGCTGGGGACAGGAAGTCCAGGGTGTGGAAGCTCATCCCATCCTTGCTGTCAGTCCCCAGCAAGAGTCACCACTAGGAGAGAGCTGTGGTTGTTTACTGACTGCACGGCTTATCGCTGCCATTTCTGCCTTATTATGGAGGGCCCAGCTGGCACCGAAGTCGCTGGAGCCCCAGAGTGCTGCCTGTCAAAGTGTCATCTCATTTGCTGGCTGGTTGCTGAAAAGCATAATGAAAATTATGTTCTGCTCTAGTCTGATCCCCACTGAAAGCCCCTGATGCTGGGAAGACATGGCATGCAAGCAAACATTCACCATCCCCAGGAAAAGCACTTCTAGGCGCACTTCTCAATCTCCGTAACCTGACACTCATCCCCATCATGGGCCATGAAGTCTGGGTCTCACATCCTGGCTATTTCCTGAGCTCCTGTCCTGAATGTCCTCCTGTCTTCCAGGATATTGCATGAGCCCTGTCTGTTTCTACAACCATCAACCAGGATCCAAGGCTGCTGCAGGCTGCAAGCATCACTGTTGACCACCTACAGTGTGTCAGTGACTCTGCAGCCCCAGAAGTCCCTGAGATGCTAGCAGTCCCCTCAGGAACTTGCATACTGGAGATCAGTGAGGAAGGGACCAGAGTCCAACTCCCCCGTCTGGGGTTTTCAGAGGTCAGTGGAAGGGCCAGTGCTTCTATAGACAGCTCAAGGAAAGTTTGGGAGAAAGGTAGATATTTGAATTCCTTACTGAAGATTGAATGAGATCTGGGCACACAGGCCAAGGGAGGAGGGCACCACACAAGGGAAAGAATTAAACCTGAAGAGCCGGGAAGGTGGGAAGAGGCCAGGAGCAGAGGAGAGAGGGATATGTGTGGCTGAAGGAGAAGCCATGGGGCTAAGGGCTAGAGATTTGGCTTCTGATGCCCGGTTCACAGCCCAGCCCTGCCACCTGTCAGTTGTCCAGGTTGCCTAAGATTTCTGCAACTCAATTTCTCATCTGTGCAAATGCAAAGAAACACAGTTGATGAAGGGCCTGGTACATAGCCAAAGACTTCTGAACATCAGATCCTGTCATTTGAAGGAGAAGGTGGAGGGGGAGGGGTGGCTTAAAGGTCAGATTTGAGATTTGGGGCTTTTTCTTATAGAGAAGGGTCTGTTTATGTCATTGCAGCCTGATATGGTTTGGCCGTGTCCCCACCCAAATCTCATTTCAAATTGTAACTCACACAATTCCCACATGTCATGGTTCGTGGGAGGAACCTCATGAGAGGTAATTGAATCATAGGGGTGGGTCTTTCCCGTATTGTTCTCATGATAGTGGATAAGTCTCATGAGATCTGATGGTTTTATAAGGGGGAATTTCCCTGCACAAGCTCTCTCTTTGCCTGCTGCCATCCATGTTCAATGTGACTTGCTCTTCCTTGCCTTCTGCCATGATTATGAGGCTTCCCCAACCTCATGGAACCGTAAGTCCATTAAACCTCTTTCTTTTGCAAATCGCCCAGTCTCAGGTATGTCTTTATCCACAGCATGAAAACAGACTAACACACAGCCTGAGGAAGTTAATGTCATGAGGTTAGAGCTATGCTTCAAAATGATAGATCTGGGGGCTTAAAACGGAGAGAGGCTGCAGGTGGAGAGACCACTAAATGGTCCAAGGAGAGGTCACAAGAGGTAATCCCATGTGCCAAGGACATGAACAGAGGAGATGTTGAGATGAGAGAGGAATTGTCAGAATCTACAGAACTCAGAACCAATGTGTTAGCTTACAGGATGGGGGCACACACAGGGATGTCCAGCTTTTGTTCCTGAGTGAGAGGAGATGGAGATATTATCAGGAAGGAGAAAAAAATGAGGAAAAGAACAAATAAATAAATGAGAAAGAGAAGGGTTTGTACATAGAAATGAGAAGTTCAGTTGCTAACATGTTGGCACCTTGGCTGGGCGTGCATCGAGGAGGCTTTCTGGAAGACAGGAGGACATTCAGGACAGGAGCTCAGTCAAGAGCTAGGATGTGAGACCCAGATTCAAGGTCGCCCTCACCTGGCAGAGAGGAAGACATGTGAGTAGATGGAGGAGACAGGCACCAGAGTGAGTCTTGGAATCCTTTCTTATTTAAAACATACAGAAGGAAGTCTGTTCACGAGGAATGCTTTTGGCTGCACTTAATGAAAAAAAAATGTAAAAATTGGGTGGCAAGGCACTGTGGCTCACACCTGTAATCCCAGAACTTTGGGAGGCCAATGCAGGTGGATCACCTGAGGTCAGCAGTTTGAGACCAGCCTGGCCAACATGGTGAAACTCCACCTCTACTAAAAATACAAAAATTAGCCAGGCATGGTGGTGGGCACCTGTAATCCCAGCTACTCAGGAGACTGAGGCACAAGAATCGCTTGAACCCGGGAGGCAGAGGTTACAGTGAGCTGCCACTACACTCCAGCCTGGGTGACAGAGCAAGACTCTGTCTCTTAATAAATAAATAAATAAATGTTAAAAAATAAAAATTAGGTACTTTCTTTGTTTCCATAAAACAAGAATCTGGAGTTTGGGAGCGGCTGGTCTTGATTCAACATCTCAGTGAGGTCAGGCCTGATATTTCTGTGACGCCTTGTCATTCTGTGGTCTCAAGGTGATCACACCTGCACCCAAGGTGAAAATGAGGGGATGGGGTGCAGCATTTGTCTGCATTATCAGGAGTGTCCCCAGAGGACTCTGATGCATGCTCACTGGTGAGCACCATGTCACCTGGCCACTTTCTGTAGTATTGAAGAAGGCTGGAAAATGAGATTCTCCTATTTCTGCTTGGGTCATAAAGAAGAAGGAAGTTAATGCTGTGTTAGCTGTGTCAGTGTCTGCCATAGGGGGCAGGAAAAATGAAGACAGAGAATATAATGTTTCAGAAACCAAGTTTCAAGATGGGCACAGAAGTCGGGAGTGTTAACTTCTTCATACACTGGAAAGGTGGTAGTGGAGCAAATTCACTGGTGTTCTGTGATCAGTTCTAGGAGGCAAAAGGACCATCAATAGGAGGACTAGGTGGTGAAGAAGTGGAGGAAGCAAGAATAGACCAACACGCGAACACACTTGGCAGGGGGAACAGAATGCATCAGAACAGAGTGAAGCAATGGAACCAAGGGAGAATCAAGCCCATCTGTAGATAGAGGAGAAGGAACCAGAAAGTCTGTGAAAAGAGAGAGAAAATATTGCAGAAAGAGGCAATATTTATCTAGGCAGATGACCAGGGGCTGAGATCAGGGACAGAAGCGGAGAGGTCAGTCTCGGAAAAGAGAAGCCTCAACTTTTCCACCATGACAGGAAGGAGTTGAGCAAATTCACAAGGACATTTTCAGAAAGGGGTTGAGTTGGGGCCATTCTCTGTTCAGCAGAGCTGGAGCCCAGTTCACTCAGAGAAGCCAGAAGACACAAGGCGGAGTCACTGTGGTGAGACCCACTAAGGGCTGGGGAAGGACAACCTGTTTAGGGACCATTCCCACCATCTGGGTTATCTGTACCTCAATTTCTCTAGGGACTCACTTGGAAAGGAGAGCTCCAGTTACTCCAAATTCTTGCCAATGTTTGGTGTTCTAACTGTAATCGTTCTAGTATGTGTGAAACATTGTGTCATGGTAGTTTTTGTTTGTTTGTTTTTGTTTTTGTTTTTTGTTGTTTTGAGACAGAGTCTCGCTCTGTCACCCAGACTGGAGTGCAGTGGCACTCGGCTCACTGCAACCTCCACCTCCCAGGTTCAAGTGATTCTCTTGCCTCAGCCCCCATCTCTGTAGCTGGGATTATCATTGTAGTTTTAATTTGGATTTTCCTAATTACTGATGGCACTGACTAACTTTTCATATCTATTTTCTTTGATGAAGTATTTGTTCAAGTCTTCTCACTTTTAATTGAGGTCTTTGCCTATCAATTAAGTTGGTTGAAAGTATTGTTTAAATCTTATGTATTTGCTAATTGTTTCTCTATTTGTTCTGTTAGTTACTGAAAGACTGGTTTTAGTATTTCTATTATTGTGAATTTGTCTACTTATACCTTTAGTTCTGTCTACATTGCTTCATACATTTTGAAGTTTTGTTGTTAGCTGCATACTCATTTAGGATTGTTCTTTGTTTTTGACAAACTCTGTAATTATCATTGTGTTTTGCACCTCTTTAACCCTAGTGGTGCCACCTTTAGGGAAGTTCACTTTTTCTGATATTAATGCCATACTGGCTGGTTATGCTTAAGGTTTGCATAGTATATCATTTTCTATCCTTTTGACTTTCAGCCTTTTATGTCTTAGTATTTTAATTGTTTCTGGTAAGCAGCATATGGGTGGGTCTTGCTTTTATATCCAGTTTGATACTCAATGTGTTTTAATAATGTGTTTAGTCTATTTACTTGCAGTAATATTTTGGTAAGATTGGGTTTAACACTACAATTTTGGCATTTTGCTTTTATTTACCCTATTTGTTATTAGTTTGCCTCCCTCTTTCTCTTTTTGAGTGAATCACATTTTCCAAAATCTCATTTTATTTACTGTGTTATGTTTTAGCTATATCTTTTTTTAAGTTATGTTTTAGTGACTAATCAGCGATTACCGTATTCATCTTTAAGACAGCATACTTACTTTTAAATAATATTATACTTCTTCAAAAACAGTGCAAGAATCTTACAACAGTATAATTCCAGTTACCCCATCGTTCTTTATGATTTTTTCCATATTTTACTTTTGCATGTATTCCAAACCCCATAATAAAATATTTTATTTTTTTAAAGAGTCAATGGTCTTTTTAAATGTATATATCTATACTAAACAGAGAAAGGTATCTGTATTTACTACTTCCCAGATATTTGCCCTTTCTGGTGTTCTTTCTCACTTCCTGTGGTTCTAGAGTTTTATCTGGTATCTTTGCCCTCAACCTGAATAATATTATTTTCAGCAGTTCTTGTAATATAGGTCTATTGGCAATAAATTATCTCAGCTTTTGTCTGTCTAACAACATCTTCAATTATCCTTCATATTTGAAGACTACTATCTCTAAACATATAATTCTAGATTGACAGATTTTTGTTTGTTTTTCTCCTACTTTAAAGATGTCATTACATTGTCTTATGATAGCCAGTGTTTCTGATGAGAAATCAGCCATAATTCATGTCATTCCCCTGCATAAAATGTGTCTTTTTATCTCTCTCTATTTTTATATTTTCTTCTTTATCTTTGGCTTCCATCAGGTTGAATTTGATATATGTACTTCTTTGTATTTATTCTGTTTGGATTTTTTTTTAGCTTCTTGAATCTGTGGGTTAATGACTTTCATCAGTGTTGGAAAGTTCTCGGCCATTCCCTTTTTTATTATTTCTTCTGTTTTGTTTTCTGTCTTCCCGCCTCCTGGGCTCTAAATACATGTAGTTTTTATTACTTGTTACCATCCGCAGATTGTGAATAGTCTTTTTTATCTTTTATGATTGTTTGAATTTCAATTTGGATATTTTCTATTGATCCCTCTTCAAGTATACTGATACATTCCTGTGTTGAGTTCAGTCTTCTCTTAAGCCCATCTAACAAATTCTTCATTTCTGATATTGTAATTCAAATATGCAGCATTTCCATTTGATTTTTATAGCTTCCTCTTCACTGTTTTTTAATAAACTTTTTATTTTGAAATAAATTTAGATTTATAAGAGTTGCTTCAAAGAAGTACATAGAGTTCTTGTATGCTTATCCAGGTTTCTCTAATTCATTTCGACTAACTGCAACCCATGAGATAAATTTAGCTTACTGACTGCTTCTGTAAATAATGTTTTATTTACACCACCACATTCATTCATTTATTACCTATGGCTGCTTTTGTACTATGATGATGAAGTTGATTAGTCATAACCAAAGCCATATGACCTGTAAAGCCTGCAGTGTTTACCAGCTGCTATAAACTGGATGTTTTGTGGCCCCAAAATGTGTATGTTTAAATCCTAAGTCCCAAGGTTTAGGATTTAAACATTAGGAGATGACATCATTGGTGGGTGACTATTTCATGAGGGCAGAGCCCTCATAAATGGGATTAGTGCTGCTATAAAATAGACTGAGAGAGATCACTCACCCCTTCCACTATGTGAGGACACATGGTGAGAAAATATGAGAAAATGAGAAAATATCCATCCGTGAACCAAAAGTGGGCCCTCACCAGATACCAAATCTGCCAGTATTTTTATCTTGTACTTCCCAGTCTCCAAAAGTGTGAGAAACAAATTAGTGTTGTTTATAAGCCAGCTTGTCTGTGGCGGTTTGTTATAGCAGCCTGAACAGACCAAGACACCATCTCACTTTTTACAGAAAAGGAATTGCCAAGTACTCCTCTAAGGAAGGAGTAGATAAAGGGCTTGCACCTGGGTTGAAATCTTATATAACCATTTGTTTGGTACATTTACAAAAGTAATAAATTAACATTGATACAATACAATTAACTAAACAATAGACTATTGAAACACAGATGTCCTTCGGATTTTACCAGTTTTTCCCCAATTTTTATTTTCTGATCTGGGAACCAATATACCAGAATGCATTGTATCTAAATATATGTATCTTTCACATCCTCTAATCTATGACAGTTTTGTGGTCTTTCCTTCTCTTTCATGACCCTGATACTTCTGAAGCTCATTGGTCAACTACTTTGTAGAATGTCCCTGAATTTGGATTTATTTAACTTTCTTTTTTCCATGGTCAAACCGGGGTTATGGATTTTAGAGAATTATACTACAGGCATGAAGTGCCTTTCTTATTACATCATGTCAGGGGGCATATGTATTAGTCAGTTCTCATGCTGCTAATAAAAACATACCAGAGACCAGGTAATTTATAAAGGAAAGAGGTTTAATGGACTCAGAGTTCCACATGGTTGGGGAGGTCTCACAATCATGGCAGAAGATGAAGGAAGAGCAAAGGCATGTCTTACATGGCAGCAGGCAAGACGTCATGTGCAAGGGAACTCCCTTTTATAAAATCATCAGATCTCATGAGATTTATTCACTATCATGAGAATAGCACAGGAAAAACTTGCCCTCATGATTCTATTATGTCCCACTGACTCCCTCCCATGACACATGGGGATTATAGGAGCTACAATTCAAGGTGAGATTTGAGTGGGGACACAGCCAAACTATATCAGCACATAATAGCAAAATTATTTATTCCTGGTAATGTTAACCTTGATAATTTCACTAAAGAGATGTCTGCCAGTTTCTCTGATGTGCAGCAACTACTTTTTTTCCTTTTTATACTATATTCTTTGGAAGTGAGTCACTAAATCAAGCACATACTCAAGAGGAGTGGAATTAAGCTCCAACTCCTGAAGGGAGAAGTAAAAATAGAATCTCTGAACATATGTAAAACCACCATAGCCATCAACAAACATTTTGGAGAAGGTATTTTGAGGTTATACAAATACTCTGTTTCTCCTTAAAGTTTTACCCATTAATTTTAGCATTTATCAATGGGTCTTGCCAGTGGTAATTATTACTGTGATTTTCTGGTTGTGATTTTCTGTTTCTCTTATTCTACAGTGATTCTTTAGAAATTTCATTATTCATTTTTATTTATTCCATTTGTAGTTCAGTTTTTACCCTGGATCTTTATTATTATTTATTATAATTATTGAAAAGTCCATGTCTGATTATTCCCACATCTGTTGCCTCTATGGGTTTGCTCCTATTGACTGTTCCTTCTCTTTACCAAGGTCACATCTTATTGCTTCTTTGTGTGCCTTGGAATCTTTTATTGTATGTCAAGTGGTCTATATACAACAACATTAGTGACTGAAGTAAACAGTATTTAGGATCAGAAAAGGGTACACCCCTTCTTCTGCCAGCCCACTAGAGAGGTAAAATCTAATCTGTAGTTCAGGTGGGTCTGGGTTTTGCTGTAGCTTTAGTTTGCTTCTGTCACTGCTGAATCAAAATATTTTGAAAGCAGGATCAGGACGTTCTGTTTTGCAGAACTTGGGTTCTGAGCATGGGAAAGATTCCAGGAGTCTCTGTAATTTATAGCTGAGCCACCAGCTTTCCCATCTGTGGAAACTCTTTCTGCTTCCTGCCTGGTGATAGATTTTTGAGTTGTCTTTGTTCTCCAGGCCTGCTGCAGATCTTGAGCACCTGGGAAGGTTACTCTCTTCCTGGAATTCCCCAAAGGAGTTTCTCTCTGCATAATTTCCTATGCTCTATCTCTCAGCAGCTGAAAGTTTTCCAGATGGCTTCGGATAGATTATTCTCAAGTCCTCTGCCTTGCTGCATACCCTCTCCCTGCAACTCTCAGAGGGAAGATTCTTTAACTTAGAGAATGTCCCCTTGTACCTTGGGAGCATATCTCAGTAAAGCACTCTATGAAGACCTGTGTGAAAGAAGGAATGGATTAGTGCAGATTTTTTGGGGACTTTCAAAATTCTAACCTGCCATGCCAAGCCACACATGGCCATTGAAAGTGTGTGCAAGTTTTAGCCAGCTTTAGCTGGGTCCCTCTGGGTCCCTCCAGGTCATAAACCTCCTCCTGTAGCTGCCCTATCAGGGAAGATGGCAGCCACAAGTCTCTTATCTCAAGGGCTCATCACTTTCTGGTGTTATTTTCCCTTATTTTCTTTGCATTCTCAGCTATCTGATGAGTTCAGATAAATTGTGATTTCATCATGTATCCTGCTTGTTTTGGTTGTTGGGATGAAAGCAAAGGTTTCCTGTCACTTTTCATATTCTAGCCAGAAGTGACCTCATGTCTGCATACAACTTAAAGAATGAGCCTAACACCTTTAGAAATGCTTTAAAACTATAGCTTTAGCCCAAATCTCAAGGTTAATAGATGAGGAAAATACAGCACAGCACAAACTGGAACTCAGTCTGGTCTGGAGTGGGGAGTTCATTTTTCTGACAGTGACTCTCTTGCACCTATCCACCAATGCAACCAATACCAACACCACCAACAGAAGAGCTTTTCATTAGGCACAAGCTTTGGGACAGGTGCTAACTACTTATGTACATTGTCTTATTTTCTTTTCACAACAGCTATTTGAAGGGGGTACTATTATAATGCCCATTTTACAGATGAGGAAACCAAGCCCCAGGAAATCTATGTAAACTTCCTGATACGGTTTGCATGTTTGTGCCCTTCAGACCTCATGTTGAAATGTGATTCCCAATACTGGGGGGACCTGGTGGGAGGTGATTGGATCAAGGCAGTGGGGGGACCCTCATGAATGGTTTAACACCACCTCCTTGGTGATGAATAAATTATCACTCAGTTAATTTATGCAAGATTTGGCTGTTTAAAAGTGTGTGGCACCTCCCCCCTCATTCTCTTTTGCTCCCTCTCTCATCACGTGAAGCCCTGGTCCCCCTTTGCCTTCTGCCATGATTGGAAGCTTCCTGAGGTCCATGTGGTGCAGATGCTGGTACCATGCTTCCTGTACAGCAAGCAGAACTGTGAGCCAAAATAAAACTATTTTCTGGCTGGGTGTGGTGGCTCACACCTGTAATCCCAGCACTTTGGGAGGCCAAGGTGGGCAGATCAACGGTTGAGGTCAGGAGTTCGAGACCAGTCTGGCCAACATGGTGAAACCCCATGTCTACTTAACTAAAAATACAAAAAATTAGCCAGGCATGTTGTTGTGCAGCTGTAATCCCAGCTACTCAGGAGGCTGAGGCAGAAGAATTGCTTGAACCCAGGAGGCGGAGGTTGCAGTGGACCAAGATTGTACCACGCCACTCCAGCCTGGGCAACAGAGCAAAACTCTGTGTCAAAAAAAAACCTATTTTCTTTATAAATTACCCAGCAGATATGGTTTGGCTGTGTCCCCACCCAAATCTCATCTTGAATTGTAACTCACACAGTTCCCACGTGTCATGGGAGGGACCCAGTGGGAGGTGATTTTTCTCCCAGTGGGAGGTTCATGAGGGCAGCTTTTTCTCATGCTGCTCTTGCAATGGTGAGTGAGTCTCATGAGATCTGGTGGTTTTAAAAAGAGGAGTTCCCCTGCACAAGCACTCTTCCTCTCTTTGCCTGCTGACATCCACATAAGACGTGACTTGCTCCTCCTTGCCTTCTGCCATGATTGTGAGACTTCACCAGCCACGTGGAACTCTAAGTTCAATTAAAACTTTTTTTTTTTTTGGTAAATTGCCCAGTCTTAGGTATGTCTTTATCAGCAGTGTGAAAATCGAGTAATACATGAGCCTCAGGTATTTCTTTATAACAATGCAAGAATAAGCTATTAGTAAATGGCAGATCCAGGACTTGCACCCAGGTTGAAATGACCCTTGCCTATATGATGTGGCCAAATGTGGTCTCAATTGGTACTTTACTGCTCTCGTGCTTTGCAGGCCTGGGATTTCCCAGCTGAGCCACCTTCTCTCCTGGCTGAGCCTCTTCTCCCTTGCTAAAAGAAAAAAATTATTCACTGATACATGTTAAAGCACAGTAAAGATTTTATTCAGGGCCATTGAAATAAGTGTAGGGACCACTTCAATGAAATTTTGCAGTGCAGAAGACAGATCAGACTCAGCTCCAAATACAGCATAGGCAAGTGGGAATTTACAGCCAGGAGCAGGGTGGGAAGCAGTGGAGGAAAATTACTAAGAGGAAACATCAGGAGTAAGCCTGGGGGAGTTCTGGAGTTTGGGATAAACTGACCTAATAGGATTTTTACTGAAGACAGGCCAAAGTGATCAGACATCACCGAGGGGGTAATGGAGGATAAGGAACCTGATCAGACACTGAAGATGATCAGATATGGAGAATGGCAGATTCTGGCTAAACCAGCTTAGTTGAGTTCTTGCTAAAACTGGATTTCACAAAGAAGTGTGCAGATGAGCCTAGGAGAAGGTTCAGGGGCTTGGCTGGAGTTTGGTCAAGCAGAGAATCTTTTCAGCCCCTTTGGTCTGCTAACCACTCCAGTTCTTCCTTCTTGAAGCAAGAATTTTGAGTTCTGAGAGTTATGGATGGCCCCAAGTTTAAGAAGCTTACCCTCAGGTCTAGCCTTGGCACACAGAGCTGGCAGGAGCCCTTTCCAGAGAGCCACAGGATTATCATGGGGAGGGAGGAACTCGAGCAAGTGTATTGAGATCCATCACTTGAAGAGCCAGATTGTCCACTCATCAGCCTTTTGGACTCTCTGGACATGCAAAGGATGGACAGCAGAGAGAGGAAAGACCCATGCACAACATGACGAGGACCAAGGCCACCTCTGCTCATCTCCTTGTTACCTGCATGAGAGGAAAGAGGAAGAATGGTGCCAAGTTTGCTCAGGAGATTGATTTCAAAGACTTGAATCAAAAGGTGATCAATGATGGTACGAATCAGGTGTTCAAGAAACTGGAAGAACCTTCAGTCAGAGCTCTCTAAGGAGCCCCAACTTTTGTCTGCAGCTACCGGGTTTGGGGGAAGCATCAACCCAGTCAAGAAGACCTGGGTTTGAATCCAGGTTCTGCCACCTACTTGCTGTGTGATATGGTTAAGCTGTGTCCCTACCCAAATCTCATCTTGAATTGTCGTTCCCTTAATCCTCATGTGTCATGGGAGAGACCCAGTGGAAGGTAATTGAATCATAGGGGCAGTTATTCTGTTCTTGTGATAGTAGTGAGTTTTCACAAGATCTGATGGTTTTATAAGGGGCTTTTCCCCCTCTGCTAGGCACTTCTCCTTGCTGCCGCCATGTGAAGAAGGATGTGTTTTCCTCCCCTTCCACCATGATTATAAGTTTCCTGAGGCCACCCCAGCCGTGCTGAACTGTGAGTCAATTAAACCTCTTTCCTTTATAAATTGCCCAGTCTCGGGTATGTCTTCATTAGCAGCATAAGAATGGACTAATACACTGTGTGATCTTGAGTCAGCCCCTTGCCCTCTCTGGACTCCTTTGTCCTAAGGGGTAATATGCCTTCTGCAAAGCACCTATGGGAACTCACCCAGAGAGCACCTGTCAATGGACTCTGCATTGTTAAGCAGCTCAGATTAAGGAAATGTTCTTGCTGACATTAAAAGGGAAGGCTCAGTGGGTTGGATGATGCAAGAATGAGGTCTTCCTCCAGAAGCATGTGCCCTGGATGGGATTCCAAACAAGAGGGGAGGCCTCTTGTAGGGCAGCTGCAATGACTTATTCATCTTTCCCTAGTACAGACAAATTGCTGAGCAAATCTGCACAGAAGGTCACACCAAAACACATGCCTGTATAGGCTGTGCCAGGTAATTAAACCAACATCACTCTCCATTGCTTGAATTCCTCTGCCTCTGATCCAGGAAGTGCGGACCCAGTAGGAAGCTAAGGCAGGCAGCTGTCCTGTCATTTCCATAATCAAATGTTTACGTACCATTTCCTCCTGCCCTTTCTCTTCCCCTTTCCCCTCTTATTTCTATTTGAGCAAAATGTGTTCAAACATCCCCTCTTGCCCTGCTGGGGACAAAAAGTGTCTGTAATGTTGGTGTAACATTTTGGAGAATGAATGCAACATTTGTGTCTATTTGCCGATCAGAATATCGATTTCCTCTTGAAATAAAATGTCACATCCATGAAATTCAAGATGTATTAGAAGAAGAAAGCCAACTTTGACACGTCGTCTTTGGGCAGCTTTGACAGTGCCTTAGCAACCTGCCTTCCTCTGTGTGAGTCCTCCGGTCTAGAATATCAGACGCAGGGGATAACCCATCCCAGATGTTCGCTTCTTGGTCTCTTCTTCCTCCCATGGTTGTCCAGGGCTACTCAGACACTCTAAAAGAACATAAAACAGTAGTACAGTTTGAGAATCCCTTATCCAAAATGTTTGGAACCAGAAGTGTTTCAGATTTCAGATTTTTTCAGATTTTGGAATATTTGCATTACACTTACCAGTTGAGCATCCTTCATCCAAAAATCTGAAATTCATGGTGCTCCAATGAGTATTTCTTTAGCATCATATTGATGCTCAAAATGTTTCAATTTGGGGAGCATTTCATATTTGGGAACATTTCAGATTTTGGATTTTTGGATGAAGAACACTCCACCTGTACTTGTGGCATATCCTGTAGGCTGAGCATCAGGAGCCACTTGCTATTGTGACTGGATAAACAGCACTTGCTATTTTTAAAAGGGCACTGACAGATGAAAGGCAGCAGCTCCATGCCATCCCAGAGATGAAAGCCCTGCTTCCTCCATAGTCAGGAGAATCTACAGGTATAAACTGACAGACATCAGGTGGTCCATATTGAGGTGTAGAAGACTGCTTCCAAAAGAAGTCAAGTATTGGCTGCTAAGCACAGGTGACCACATGGACCAGAAGCAGTGAGAGCAAGCATCTCTCTCCCTGGGCTTCTCTGTAAGTGCTGACAAGGCCATGTGTCCAGGCAAGGAGCATGCACACAGATGTGGCCACATGCTTTGGGTGAGCGTGGCTTACACGTATCTTCAGGAGCCTGTACAGGTGTCTACACAGCAGTGACTTCTAGGAAAAGACCCAAAAGCTACTCTCCTTTGGGGATCCTCATCCAATTTTTCATTCATTCACAGATATTTTTGAGCCACCTACTGTGTGCCAGATGCTAGGCCACACCCAGGTGATGCAATGGTGAGCAGAACTGAATGGTTCCTGCCCTCAGGCAGGTTTCACTTCCATGGGTCTGAGAGAAGACTCCCCAAAGCAAGTGAAAAGGCAAAGGCAATGGCTGCCATCTAGCATACATGCTGTCAAGGACATGAGATGGGAAGCAAGCAGTCATGGAAAACTAGAGTTAACAAAAAATGTATAGGCATAGGCCACGCCCTGGGGGTTTGGGGAAATATGAAAAGATACATGCAGAAGCCAAAAGTGAAGAGCACCCGGCATCTGTTAGGCTCCAGACAAGTCACCGACAGAGGCATCTTACCTCCTCCAGCTCACACTCCTTGGATCAAGTGCATTCCCAAGTAGGGTGTTTGGAAATTCTTCTGTGACACAGTGGGGAATAGGCCGTTGCAAGCTCTTCCTTTTTCTTGTTCTTTTCATTTCCTCTACATCTAAAAAAGCCCGGCAAGCTCTAGCTGCTCCTTGTTCCTGGAGCACATGCACTGCTCACAGCATCAGGTGGTTCTAAAGCCAGAACAGGGGCAGGGACCCTCACGATTCTGAGTCCTCAGCCTCTTTCCACCTGCCCACCCTGGAATTTGCAAAGATTAACTCCTATTAAGCAATTTCTGGTTCTAAAGTTTCCCCTCCTGAGGGCTTATTTAAAACACCAAAGGCAGTGATAACATAATCCCAATAATAACAGTTATTTGTTCTCCAATTATCTATTCTAGAACACTTTTTCCATCTCCATGACAATCTCTTGAAATGCTTTCTACCAATTCCTGCTTATTTGGGGGAAGCTGGTGGGAGAATAAAGCAATCCTGGTGTGAAATACGATTTGTAACCATGTAGAGAGCACTACAGGTCTTTAGAGAATTGGGGAAATAAAGACGCTGACTTCAAATTCAGCCCCCTCCCTCCCTATGCAGTGATTGACACTAGACTTTACTTGCAAAAAAAAAAAATCAGTTGCAAGTTATTAAAACATAATCTGAATAAACTTTAGCACAAAGAAGAGTTCTGCTGCCCCATGGAATCAGAAACTCCAAGGCATGGGGTGACTCCAGCTTCAGCAGCGGATGGACCCAGCTTGGAAATGGTTTCTAGTCTATGTTCCTCTCTGGACCCTGCCTTGCTCCTCCACAAGCTCCCCTCTGCAGGGCTTCCCAAAGGCCACCTGCAGTCCCATACTCACACTTATCCGGTCACACCTCCAACAGTACAAGAGCACCCCTAGGAACGTCCTTGTGGGAACACCTCAAGGAAAGGAAAGAAAAATAAGGGAGGGTGGTCAGCCTGCCTTCACTTTCTGGGGCTGTCTGAGCTGAAATCTCAAGACCAGTTGTGAACTCTGGAGTCAATATCCATGCCCTCAAGTTCACCAATGTCCACACTTTGCCAAATCCAGTGGCGACTGTCAGTCCTCATCTTGACGGCATCTTGGACACAGTGATCACTCCCCCTGCCTGCAAGCACTTCCTTCCCTCGCGGCTTCACTGGGCTGTGGATGCTGCACACTCATATTTCCTCCTGCTGTGCAGTGGTTGCTCCTGGTTCCCTCCTTGGTTGGGTTCTCCCTTTGTTCCCTAAGCTCCTGGCATTGGAGTTGCTCAGCACTGGTGCGGGGGCCTCTTCTGCCCTCACCCCTTGGTGAGTCTGGCCAGGCTCTTGTTTTAAACACCACACACGTGCCAACAACATCAACATTTATGTCTCTGGCACAGACTTGTCTCCTGATGCCCAGACTTGTGCATCCAAACGCTTACTCAGCATCCGCACCTGGATGTGGACCAGGCATCAGCAACTGAGCTAGCACGATGAGGACTTCCCGATGCTCCCACCCAATCCTTCTCTACTCACAGCCTTCTCCCACTTAGCTGATGCCAGCACCATCCTTCTAGTCTCAAAGGCCCAAATCCATGGAGTCATTGCTTTGTATCATCCTCTCATCCAATCTGCAAGAAAACCTGTTGCCTCTACTTTCTAAATGTCCCCAGCATCTGACGATTCCTCCCTATCTCCACCACTTCCAGCTTGATCAGAGCCACCATCATCTGCCTGTCCTGGATTCCTGCAGTGGCCACTGAATTGTTTCTCCTTTTGTTACAGGAAAGGGGTCCAAAAGAGGGTTCTTGGATCTCGCACAAGAAAGAATTCCGGGCAAGTCTGTAAAGTGAAAGCAAGTTGATTAAGAAAGCAGAGAAATAAAAGAATGGTACTCTATAGACAGAGCAGCTCCGAGGGCTTATGGTTGCCCATTTTGATGGTTATCTCTTGATGATATGCTAAACAAGGGGTGGATTATTCATGCATCCCCTTTTTAGACCATAGAGGGTAACTTCCTGATGTTGCATGGCATTTGTAAACTGTCATGGAGCTGGTGGGAGTGTAGCAGTGAAGACGACCAGGGATCACTCTTATCACCGTCTTGGTTGTGGTGGGTTTTAGCCGGCTTCCTTACTGCAACCTGTTTTATCAGCAAGGTCTTTATGATCTGTATCTTGTGCCTATCTTCTATCTCATCCTGTGACTTAGAATGCCTAACCTTCTGGGAATGCAGCCTAGTAGGTCTCAGCCTTATTTCACCCAGCTCCTGTTCCAGATGGAGTCACTCTGGTTCAAAGGCCTCTGACACTTTTGCTCTTGCCCCATAGGGGGTCTCCTCAATGTAGCAGTTAGAGGGGTCATTTTAAATCTGGGTAAGGTCATGTCTCTCCTCTGATCGAAATGCTTCAGTGGTTTTCCATTTCACCCAGAGAGAAAGCCGAAGTCCTTACAGCCTTAGCCCTGCAAAGCCCAGCCCCCTGCCACTCCGGGACTTCTCTCCCAGCCCCACGAGGTCATCTGCTGTGCCCTGCAGGCTCCCCATGGTCTTTGCTGCTCCAGCTGTCCTCCCCGCTGCAGGGAACATTCTTCCATCAGATTCCCCCAGCCCAAATGGCTTTCACCTCCAGCTTAAACCTCTCCTTCTCACTAGGGTCTCTGCTGCCCACTCTGTGGGCACTGCAACCTGCCCCTTCACCCCACTCCAAGCCCTGCATGCATTCTAATATCTTCTATCAGTTACCGACCATGTTTGTCATTTAGTAGTTGTCTTTCTGTGCTGGTGATGGAACATAACTCGTCTCCTCTAGGGCTGGGCTGGGGACTGGGTCTTTTTTACTCAGTGGTATATTCCAGCATCCAAAACACTGCCTGACACACCACAGATGCTCTGTAAATATCCACTGAATAAATGCCAGAGAGCCCAAGACTCACCCAGCCCACCCTCTCACAAGCATGGCAGAAGGCAGGCTCCTGTGGACATGGATGAACAGTAAACCCTTCTGTGTGTGTCAAACCCCATGGGGCACGAAGTTGGACAAGGAAGCTTCTGCTCAAGGCCCTTTGCTGTGACCACAGCAGGTGCCCAGGAGTGAGAAAGAGGAGAGGCTCAACTCTGGTTCTCAATGCCTACGGATCCTGTTTTCTTAACTCTATGTCTTGTCCCATGAAGCCAAAAACAAGACAGGAGCCTTCAGGACAAAGAGGCTGACAAGGGATGGAGCCAACTTAGCTTCATCTCCCAAAAATGTTTCCTGCCTCTTCACCCCCAGCTGCATCTGACTTCATGCCCTAACCCCTGTGCCTTCTAAATAGGAAACCACGAGGGAATGCATCTTCCCAAACCAGGTAGAATGTCTTAAGGTCAACGGTATGATTGGCAATGCAAACTTCTTTTAAGTGGCCTCGCCATCCATTCATAACAGGCAATGCTCACATTTGAGGGTCACTTGTTGGAAGAAGTGATATTCACCTGGTTTTCCATTGAAGGCAGAAAGAGTGAAAGGAGACCACCATGGAGCTTTGATGGATGGCAGAGCCAAGGGCTGAGAAATCCAGGGATGTGGACTAGGTGTCCTGGGACTGAACAGGAGTGCCCTGCAGAAGGAAGGGTGAGGCCCTGCTTGGATTCCACCCCAGGGGCACAGGTGGACGGCTGTACCTGTGGGTGCTTGTATGAGTGTTGGAGACCAGAATACGCTGCTCCCAAATAGGCCTCTTTGGCATTGTGAGCTGATTATTTTGAGGAAGAGCAGACACTGGAGAAGCTCTGGAAACAGTAAAAGGTATCTTGGCCCTGAGGCTAAGCCGCCTCCTTGAGGCAACCATTTCCTTAGGTATCTTTATGTATAGAAACTTCTGTTTGTCTCTCTCTCTCTCTTGATAATTTATCTTTTGTTAAAAGGGTCCCAGCTGAACTCTTGGAAGGGTAAGGGGGAAACTGTTTCTCTTTCCCTACAGCAACATGCCAGCCACACTGGCCTCTCATCCAATAGAGCTGTTTGGCTACAGAAAAGTGAAGCCAGGCCCCGAGCCACCTTCTGTTTCCAACAGCAGCCAAGCTGACCTGCTTGGGCAACAACTCCTGGGCTGGGCTGGACACTACGAGGAGCCCAAGGAGTCCTCTGGGGGAAGCGGCTGGTGCACCATCACTGCGTCTTGCAGCCTGCACAGCCACCACGAATAATGAGATGGACGGGTTTTGTTCTCCAGCCATGGATTGACCCATAGGGAGATCTTCTCTTTCTCATAAAAGAATCAAGAGCTTAAGAGAAAGGAGAACCTGGGAAGGGCTTCCATGTTCCTTTAAAGTTTACAGTTTCTGATATTTGCAAGCACCGAGGTGCCTGAGAAGAGGGGATGAAACAGGAGGTTGTGCTGCTGATCTGAAGCCCACAGTTATCGACCGTGTCCCAGCGGAAGAAGCACAGCTGTGCCTCAAAGGAGGGTTTGTCTCAATCTGCAAGCGCTGATGGAGATCAGGGTTGGGATTTCAAGACGCTAGGGGAGAAATGGAGAATGCCTGTAGTTCCCCTTTTGACATCATAAAAAATATATGTATATATTTAGCAGCTGGTTCCTGGCACAGAACTCCCAAAATCCTTGCAATTTCCTGAGTAGTAGGGGTGCTGGGAGAATCTTTGTTCTAATATTTGATCTTTGACCTGAGTTGCTGACACAGAGTTCCTAAACCCCTTGGAATTTCCTAGGAGACTAGCGCATCTTTTGTTCTAATGAGGCGACTCTTGGAGGCTCCTGGATGGAGACAGAGCCGGGATTAGAAGCCTGGAACTTTCAGCCCCACCCCCATCCTCCAGGAAGGAGAGAGGGGCTAGAAATTGTGTTAATAATTAATTATGCCTGCATGATGAAACCTCCATAAAAACCCCTGAACAACAGGGCTTAGAGACTTCCTGGGTTGATGAACACGTCGGAATGTCTAGAGGGTGGTGTGCCCGGAGAGGGCATCAAAGCTCCACACCCGATTCCCATACCTTGCCCTGTGCACCTCTTGACTGGGCTGTTTATCCATGTCCTTCATCACATTCTCTGTAATAAACCACAGATATAAGTAGAGTGTTTCCCTGAGCTGTCCTAGCAAAGACTCAGACGTGAGCAGGAGGTTGCATCACTCCAATTTATAGCTGGTCCATCAGAAATACAGGAGGTATGGACTTGGGCTTGGCATCTACAGTGAGGGCAGTCTTGTGGGGCTGAGCCATTCATCTGTGGGGTCAGGTAGTTCGGGTCATAATTGAAATTAATGTATCCAATGCCCAGTTTGTGTCTGGAGAGTTGGGGAATTAGTTGGTGTGAAAAACCTCCCACACCACATGTGGTATCAGATATGAATATTATTTCAGTACAGAGAAGAAAACAGTGTGTTTTCCTATCATCCCCCAAACCCTGCCACTGACTTGGAGCTCCTTGGCCTGGGAGCAGCTATGGTTACAGGGAAAAAATCAAATGCATGAGACACCTAGAGCTAATTCCCAAACTGAGGAGTTTGGGGTATAAACCAGGGGCTGCTCTTGGTCCCCCTGAGTGTGTCCTGGCCTGACCAAAGGGCACTAAGGGCTGTCCCTTCATGTTATCAGTCAATTCTTGTATTGCTAGGAAGGAATACCTGAGACTGGGTAAAAATTTATAAAGAAAAGAGGTTTAATTTGTGCACAGTTCTGCAGGCTGTTCTCATGGGAGCTGGGCACCAGCTTTGTCATACCTGAAGAGCCCCTTCAGCCCCTTCTCTGCACAGGGCCCCAAATGCCAACGTGAAGTGCCCTTGGAATTTTCTAACATAGCACAACTTCTTAGGGGTGAATTTTACATCAGCACCCATAAATAGCACCATCATGTCTACAGAAGGCTGGTCTCTGAACAAGGAGACCATGGTATAAAAGCACTGAATTCCATATCCTGTTAGACCACAGATATTTTCCCCTCCCAGTGGGGCAATACTTTTATAGTGCTGGCTGGGGAAGCCCAATTAGGTGTTTGAACTAATGCTTGGGCCAAAACTTGATTTGTCAGCAGTGCGTGTCTAGGCAGGTTTTTATGCCATATCCACTGCTCATGAGATCCATTAAAATCTGAGTCTAACCAGGTGCAGAGGCTCTCACCTGTAATCCCAGCACTTTGGGAAGGCAAGGCAGGCAGATCTCTTCAGCCCAGGAGTTTGAGACTAGCCTGTGCAACATGGTGAAACCCCATCTCTACAAAAATTACAAAAAAAAAAAAAAATTAGCCAGGATGGTGGTTCATGCCTGTAGTCCCAGCTGCTTGGAAGGCTGAGGTGGGAGGATTGTTTGAGCCTGGGAGGGCGAGGCTGCAGTGAGCCAAGATTGCACCACTAAACTCCAGCCTGGATGACAGAGCAAGACCCTGTCTCAAAGAAAAAAAAAAAATCTGAGTCCAACACCACAATGAAAAGGTGAAATGGTCATATATGAATTTAATTTAAATATTTTTATTTCGTTAGAACAGAACAGAACAAAGCTATTCTCAAGGCTGGTCTTGGCTTTGGTTCAGATCAGAAAGTCTGAGCACACTGCTCTGTGCTACTTTCTTAATGTGCTTTTCCTGACCAATCTGGGGCCTCAATCTTCCTTGGAGCCTAGAGAAGGATGGAGCAGGCGATACGAATGATTACCAGAAGGGCTCTGACACCCCTGCTGACAGGCTTTCCAGCAGTGCCTTAAAGCTGTCATTTATCTTACTGGACCCTCTAGGGCTGGTGAGGCTCTTCCCCTCCAGGGGCCTTGGCCATGCTGGGGAGATTGTGCTCAGCCTTCATTTCTCTCCAGCCACAGCCAGGGTTTCAATCTCTGGCTTTGACAGCGCCCCATGGACCAGCCAGTCAATTTCCTTGACTGAGTTTCAGGTGCTGGTGTTTTATGCTATACTCTGAGGTTGCATTCCCAAAAGTTGGTTTGATTATTTTTTGAGACTGAATATGCAAACAAACAATGGGAAGACCATACATAAAAAAAGAGCTCTGACCCGCAATTGCAGCAGCCAGCCCAGGAAACCACGCCCTACCTATACACCCAGCCCAGGAAGCCATGTTGTCATGAGTCAGATTTGAAGAAGTCAGATCACCATCCCTAGAACAGCTCAGAAAGCCAAACAATAACCCCTGCCACAGCCAACCCCAAGTGGCCAGGACTTGATTAGCAGCTGACAGCTTCTCTAATGTTTGTCCCCACTTCCAACTCATAATCCAACTCCAAATAGGCCCCTGTGATGGTTAATATCAGGTGTCAACTTGATCGGATTGAAGGATGCCTAAATAGGTGGTAAAGTATTGTTTCTGGGTTTGTCTATGAGGGTGTTGCCAGAGGAGATTGACATCTGAGTCAGTGGACTGGGAGAGGAAGACCCACCCTCAATGTGTGTGAGCACCATGCAATTGGCTGCCAGCGCAGCTAGGACGAAGCAGGTGGAAGAAGGTGGGAGAAGCTGGCTTGCCGAGTCTTCTGGTTGTCATCTTTCTCCCATGCTGGATGCTTCCCTCCACTCCTTCTTCCCTTGCACATCAGACTCCTGTTTCTTCGGCCTTTGGACTCTTGGACTTACACCAGTGGGTTTGCCAGGGGCTCTAGGGCTTTTGGCCACAGACTGAAGCCTGCACTGTCAGATTCCCTACTTTTGAGGCTTGTGGACTTAAACTGAGCCACTACTGCCTTCTTTCTTCCCTAGCTTGCAGATGGCCTATGGTGGGACTTTGCCTTGTGATTGTGTGAGCCAATTCTCCCTAATAAACTCCCTTTCATATATACGTAGATCCTATTAGTTCTGTCCCTCTGGCGAACCCTGACTAATACAGCTCCCCCTCCAATCCTTCAATACACTTGCTTCTGGTCAGCCACCTCCAGCACACCAAGCCAACAGCCGAGCCTCCCTTCTCCACTCTGAAGTTTCCTACTCCTCTGCCTGCCTTTGAGTCTCTGCCAACGCAAGCAATGGTGGCCGTCTCCCTTGCTACAGCAAGTTCCGAATAATCAGCTTCTGCTTTTCTCATTTGGCTGACCTTCATTTATTTCCACATCTTTCAACTGGGCTTCACCATCCGCCAGACAGAGGGCAAAATGCAAACAGAAGCAACTGTGAGCAGAAATGAATCCAGAGTTCCCTGGCCATTCCTGACTCTCATGCTTATTCGCAACACCTTACTAAGCTTCACCGAGAGATCAGCTCCAGAGATCACCAACCATGGACTTTTTCAAAGCCAGTGATTGTCCTTTCTGCCTCTAAAGGGCACAGCACAAAAACCAGGCATGAAATTAGTAAACCTCACAGCAGCACTGAGGAAGGCAGCCCACGGGGCTCCTGGATTGGCCTCTTCCAAAGGAAGCTATGGTCATTATCCCATTTTGAAAATTACCCTTGAGCCTTTTATCCTGTCTTTCTAAGTAAAAGTCCTTGATCCCAGTCTACCTCAAGAGCCCAAGTTCTGGGAAAAAACATCAGAAGTGTTGCACAGGAATGCAAAAGGGAAGAATGAGGTAATACCCAGCTTTGGCATTCAAAATAGAATTGGGTGGCAAGACAAAAGCAGCTATTTTTTAAGAAAAGTGTACACATTTCTTTATTTTCCATATTTAGCCTATCGGTGGCTGAGCCTGGAGGTCCCAACTTAGAGGTGTTCCTGTTGTGGAAGAAGGAACTCTGTAATTATCCCTCTGTGAAGCAACAGAGCCTTGTGGTAGGAGGAAGTCATGTTGGTAACTGACGTAAGCAAAGGGCAAGGACAGTCAGCAGTTATCCCAAGGGCAAGGGAAAGGCAAGGAGAGGTGGATTTGATCAGAGCTGGTAGAAGTGGTGCCTCATGCTTCTCCTGTCTAGCTCAGAGAGAAGGTCAAGGGAATTGTAGAAGTAAGACTAACACCAAGGCAGCAGGGGTTCTGGTCTCTGTTCCCCACTGAAGACCCTGGAAAGAGACTAAATCTCAGGCCTCCCTACCTGTACCACTGAGGATGACCCCATCCACTAGTTGGTCTTATTCTCAGGTGGAGGGGATGTGATATGGTTTGGCTGTGTCCTCACCCAATTCTCATCTTGAGTTTTAGCTCCCACAGTTCCCACCTGTCATGGACGGGACCTGGTGGGAGGTAGTTAAATAATGGGGGCGGGTCTTTCCCTTGCTGTTCTTGTGATAGTGAATAAGTTTCACGAGATCTAGTTTTTTTCACCAGAGACAGAGTCTTGCTCTGTCGCCCAGGCTGGAGTGCAGCAGTGTGATCTCAGCTCACTGCAACCTTTGCCTCCCGGGTTCAAGCGATTCTCCTGCCTCAGCCTTCCGAGTAGCTGGGATTACAGGCATATACCACCACACCCAGCTAATTTTTGTATTTTTAGTAGAGATGGGGTTTCATCATGTTGGCCAGGCTGGTCTTGAACTCCTGATGACAACTGATCCACCCGCTTCGGCCTCCCAAAGTGCTGGGATTACAGGTGTGAGCCACCGTGCCTGGCCTGACTGATGATTTTATAAAGAGGAGTTCCCCTGCATAAGCTCTCTCTTGCCTGCCACCATGTAAGATGTCTAATGCTCTTCTGCCATGATTGTAATGCCTCCCCAGACATGCTGAACTGTGAGTCCATTAAGCCTCTTTCCTTTATAAATTACCCAGTCTCAGGTATGTCTTTATTAGCAGTGTGAGAACAGACTAATACAGCATGGAACCCAGAAGTGTCTGGGAGTCTGTTCAAATCCAATGTGAGTTAGAGGGACCTGGCACAGGAGGCAAGATGCAAGGAGGACTGCCCAGTCAGCAGAGGACCAGACCAGATGCCAGGGACCACAGCCTGCCCTCAAACGGGTCTGCAGTGGCACCCACAGCCCATCAGAGGCTGAGAAGCCAGAAGGGGCCAGCAGAGAGAGCCCTGAGTCCTCCAAACAGACTGGAGCCCCAGGGACCAGCTGGGTACACATTAGCCAGGCAGACACCGGCAGAGACAGAGGACCCTGTCCCTATAGACCTCTCTCTGCCAGTCATCAGGGAGAGCAGCAAGATGGCAGGGTGACCATCACCTGGCAAATCTGTAATTGCCTGACAGGTTCTTCCGGCCCTGCTGCACAAACAAAACCAGTTTGCTGAGACTGTGGTGTCGCAGTAAAGACAGCGTTTAATGAATGCTAGGCTAGCCAGACAGAAGACAGAGTTGTTACTCAAATCAGCCTCCCTGCAGGCTTGGAGGTTACAGTTTTTCAAGGTGGGCAGGGGACTAGGGAATGGGTGCTATTGATTGGCTGGGAATGCTGTGGACCATGGAAAATGGTCTTCCTGTGCTGAGTGGGGCCACAGCACTGGTTGAATTATGAGCCATTAATCTGTGGTCAGTAGGTCATCAGAATGCAAAAGTATGGAAAACTTCTCAAAAGACCAATCAGGTTGGTATTTTCTATCGAGGAAGTCACAAATAGGAGCAATTGGGGAAGTCACAAATCTTGTGGCCTCTGGCCACATGACTCCTGAGTAGTAAGGGAATATAGAAACTATGCCTACACATTAGGAGACCTCAGGCCCCTCCCATAATCCAAATCTTGTGGCCTTTCATTAATCTCACAAAGGCAGTTTCAACCCCCAAACAAGGAGGGGATCCATTTTAGAGAGGAACTACTATCATCCTTGCTTCAAAGTTAAACTATAAACTAAATTCTTCCCATGGTTAGTGTGGCCTATGCCCAGGACTGAGTGAGGACAGCCAGCCTGGTAGGCTCGAAGCAAGATGGAGTCAGTCGTGCCAGATTTCTCTCACTGTCATAATCTTGACAAAGGCAGTTTCCAATCTAAGAGCATGTGTGTTCCTCTTATCAGATTACCCTGGGCTTTAAGCTCAGCTGGAAAATCCCCACCATTCTCACCCAAGTAACAGGTGCATGGGAGCCTGGGAGGAAACCCAGCTGGCTCCATAAAGAGATCACCTTGTCTCTACACATCTCCACTTGCTGGGAGTTACGTTTGTGAGCTCATTACATCACCATTATGATCCTCAGGACCATCTGCCCGATGCAGCGGCTGCAAGTCAGGAGAGGCTGTGTCAAGGAGATTCATGCGGTGACCTTCATTGAGAGCCTGCCCATGACAGGCACTGGGAACATGGCAATGAGCACAGCATCCCTCATCCTGCTTGCATGGATGCTCCATGCTAATGGAGGGAGGCAGATGATGGCACGTTAACAACCACATAAATATTATTTCCTGTAGTAGGGTAAGGGACTTCAAAACTGCATTTAAAAATGTAGACTAGCAATCATTGAAACAGGATTTATGAGGACATGATCAGAAGTGCCATGGGAATGCAGCATTCAGAGATGCTCGATATGCAAGCATCTTCTCTTAAAGACCTGGTGGTCTAACTGGTGAGCAAGTAGAATGTGTGCATGCACACACACACACAAAACCATGTGTGAACATATGCATATACTTTTACATGCACACACCCCAACATACACACATACACACATGTACATAAACGTGTATGTTTATAAAGTGAACTTGGAATCAGAGCCTGGGCCAGTCTGTCCCAAGCAGCAGATCTGTCTCTCCACACTGACAAATTCTGATCGGTGATTGACACTTACATACACACACAAACACTGAATACACAAGGCACATGCACACACGTATACACATACACACATGCAAGTACATATATACACATGCATGCAGATACTATACATGCAACTATGCATGCATACACATATACTTATGCACACATACAAATACACATGAATATATGCAGACATGTTCATGATCCACATGCATGTGCACAAATATACACACACACATAAGCTCTCACACAGTGCATATGAACATACACATGTGCCTATACCCCACACATGAGTACAGATGCATACAAATACATGAAAATATACATGTACATGGTACACATACACATACACAAATATCTACAAATTCACATGTACACACTTGCACACACAGACATATTTTCATTGCAAATAAAGGGGGATCTATATTTAGCTCCTGGATCATGAATGCATGCTCCAGGGTCCTCTCTTTCACTGTCATTCCACCATCTACCACCAGCGAGCCCCCATCTGGATAAATGTCCTCTGGCCTCTCCCTGGCCTGTCTGCTGACATCTGAGCATCCACACTAAGGTGACTCTAGCTGACAGACAGCCGCCGCTGACAGGAGCTGAGCAGCCCAGGCATCATGTTGGGCTCCGAGTCAACCACCGGTCAGAATTTGTCAACGCTGAGAGACAGATCTGCTGCTTGGGACAGACTGGCCCAGGCTCTGGTTCCAAGTTCACTTTATAAATCCCTGCTTCATAAACTGACCTTTGACTGACAGTGTTATACTGAGTAACTGTGTGGAGATAACCTGCCAAAATATTATCCTTGGCACTGTCCCCCAGAGAGATGAATGTGCCATTTGCTGAACCCTGACTGCTGAGGCAGCATTTGCTCTGGAGGGAAAGTCGCTTTTTATTTATTAGCCTAAAAAAATTATATGCCTGCATTAAGAGGACTCCAAGCAAGCCTGGCAGATTAGAAATGCACGTTCATTCATTTGTCCATCCATCCACCCCTTAATTTATACACTGTTAGTGGTGAGATCATAAATAGACTTAAACACACTTAGATAAGCACAGCCCAAAAAGAAAGAGGTATGTACGTGAAATGTGCGTGTTCCATAGGCTCATTTGATTATGACCAAGCTAACCTATATAACTGTGTGATGTCTGTGATATTGAAAAACAGGACATGAACATTGAAGACCAAATGGCTTGGGAGGCAGGTTAGTGGCAGCTTATGAATCTCCATAGGATTGTAGTTTGTCTCTCTCGAATAATCATCCAATTGGAACTTCACAGCAGCTTTGTCAAAACTGCAGAGACATGGGGGGGTCAGGCCCAAACACAGCACCTGGTATACTGAAGGTGCTTCATAAGTACTCGTTGGATAAATGAAGGGGAATGAAAGAGAAACACCCAAGCTAGGGTGAATTAGGAGAACGCTAAATACTTTATCCCGGATTTCATCTTCAGGGGCTTACAGACTGTATCAGTTTTCCGTCTCTGTAAAACCAATTACCATGCATTTGGAGGCTTAAAACAACACACATTTATTTTCTCACAGCTTCTGTGGATCAGAAAAGCAGAGATGGCTTAGCTGAGCCCTGTGCTGTGGGACTCAGAGGCTGCAAACAAGGTGTCAGATGGGCTTTTTCATATGAAGGACTGACTGGGAATAAACCTGCATCCAAGCTTATTCCAGCTGTGTGTGGAATTTGCCTCCCTGTGGCTGTAGGACTGAGGCCCCAGCTTCTTGTTGGCTGTCGGCTGAGGCCCCGCACTGGTCCCAGAGGCTGCCCACAGTGCACTGCCATGTGGCCCCTTCACAGACTCTCAACACAGCAGACAGTTGGGTTTACCTCTAGACCAATTGTGCAGAAAAGATGACAATCCCAGAACCTGGAGCTCAGGGCCCCACCATGAGGCCCCTAGGCAGGCTAAGAGACTAGGCTTGACATAACCAGGCTCCAGGGAGGCCCCAGACTCATACCTGAGCCTCACACCTATTCCTGCCCTCTAGCCACAGGGAGCTGGGAGCCTCACCTGCAGGGAGGGAGGAGTGATGACAGACAACCTGCGACTGGCCAGCTGCCCTCGGGTCTCACTGTCCTTCCGAGTCCATGTCTGCACCCTGCACCCTTATGAAGCCTCTTATGAAAACAAGGCAGGACAGAGAGTTTTTCAGTTTGGGCGATGGCAATGGCTTCCCCCAGACCTGCTGTGCTGGGCCCTGCCTTTTCTAAGGGTCTTCTCAGACCCCAGCTGCCCACCACCCTGCTACACTGGGTCCTTGGTTCCTGGGAGTACTAAGACAGGTTGGAACTGTCAAAGGGAGCTTTTCTCAAAGGAAAGCCAAACTAACCACAACTATGTTCGCATCTCGTATTGATGGAGCCAGGTGCCATTCCAGGCGCCGAGCACTTCGCTTCTCTCTTCAAACCCATGGTGTTGTTTAATTCACACAACAACCTTGGGATGAAATTTCTGTCCATTTCCACATTGCTCTGGTAAGAAAGCTGAGGCTCAGAGAGGTCTGTGCCACCCACAGCGGGTCACTGTCAGCGCCGTCTCGAGACCACTTGGGGTCTAGAGCCCATGCATGATCCTCATTGCTACTTTGTAAGCTAGAGAAATGCATGTGGATCTTCCAAGGCAGTGGTCTGCCAGGCCCCCTACCTGCCCTACTACCCACCCGTGCCCTCTTCTCTTACCCTCACCCCAAGGGATGCCACCTCCTGTGAGTGCTGGCTGGCCTTGGCACCCCTGACACACTCATCCTCCACAACCCTCACTGAGCACCTCTGAGAGCTGAGCACTCGCAGGGGCGGAGGCTGCTGCTGTCAACACAACGCACAGAGGCTGGACCTCCTGAAGGCTCTCTCGTGAGTCCTTTGTCCCTTCCTTCCTTCCTTCAATGTTTCTTGAGCATCCGTTAGATCCTAGAGTGGAGGGGCCAGTGGCCGTCCTGGGAACTGGGAAAGCAAATGGACAGTGTGAGTCCTGCTCTCAGGGGGCTCTGGCTGGTGGGGAGACAGATGCCAGAAAGGACTCACCCAGGCAGTGTGGAGTGGGGACGTATGAACGGAGCAGGGAGGGGTCTCAGGGCTGGGAGCTCTTGACAGCCACAACCCTGAGCCCTTCCTGAGCTCCTGCTTCCCATTGGAAGGAAAGGAATGATCCAGATGGCATCATGGACACTATCCCTCCAACGGGCACATGGCTCCTCAAAACATGGCCTTATCCCCCCCAACCCCCACCCCCCATCGCCTCGACTTCCCACTGAAGTACTTGCCTACACACCATCCGAGGAGTCCCTGTATCCCCTGCAGACTCCCCACACACTCACTGCTTATACCCACTGCCACTTCCTTTCCTCTCTAGGGACCCCCTTGCTTCCTGGATGGCAGGTATCCAAGAGAGCCCTAGGATCAAAGCCCCACAGCCTTACCGTCCTATCCTTATCCTGGGCAATGGCGGTGGGGATGGCAAAATCCACCTGCTTTCTTGGCCTCCCAGGGAATGCTGCTTGGATCCGAATTCAGGGACAGTCTGGAGTAATTTGAACCCAAATGGAAGAAGGGCAGTCTTGATCTATTATTTTTGCACTCACACTGTATTGCTCGGCTTCCATACTCATTTTACTCACCAGCCTAAGCTCCCAAGACTGTAACTTTTGGAAAGAGCAAAGGACAAAGGTCACCACCTTTAAATTATTCAAAAATCTTCATTTGATCAATATCCATTCACTCCACAAATATTTATTGAGCAAATTATAGCAGCTTCTATGGGCTCTTCCCTAAGAGCAGTTACAAAGTGACTTAAAGCAATGGCAAGGCTTCTAATCACAAATATTCCATCAATAGGTCAAATCGTTCAAAAAACCATCTGTTCACTTTCATAGCTACTGAAAATGCTCATTAAAATCCAACATTCATTTTTGATAAAACTCAGTAAGCTAAAAATGGAAGGATATTTCTGCCTCATGATAACAAATAGATATCTTAAGCCAGTGAGTGTTATATTTAATGCCCAGGGTTTTTTTTTAAAAAAAAAAAGTTAAATATTTAACTAAATATACAGAATTCTCCAAATTTTAACAAATGGATTTTACAAATAAAATCCTATTAAAAGTCAATGGAGAAAACAGCATTCAATTTTTCATTTCTGTGTTTGGGGGTGATAGGTGATTTCTGTACGTTTTCTAAATTATCTTCAGTTGTTTTAAAATCAGCTCTAGATTACTAGCATGTAAGAGACCCTTTAGAGATGGGGCAGTCCAGTCTCTTCACTGCATGGGTGTGAGGGAAGAGGGTGACTGGCTGCAGCAAGGACAGGCCTGGCCAATCGGGAGGGGCAGAGAGGACACACATGTTGGCTGAAGGTTTGGGTCCATTTGGACTCCTAAGTGGCCGTGAGATGGCACCATTCCCTGGCCTGGTCCTCTGTACAAGAGCCCTTCTGAAGGCCAGATCAAGAGTCAATGACCTAAGTGGGCCTTTCCTGTGGAGCAAATATTTCACTCCCTCTTGCCGTGTCCCAGTGACATGCAGAGGCTTTGCGTGTGCAGGGAGTGAGCACACGTCAGCCCCGGAGGCAATTTAGTTAATGTCATTGGATTGCTGTCTCTACGGGATTAATTCCAGGCCTTCTGACAGATGCTCACTCAGACTGTTTCTCACCAGAGTCCTCAGTCACACATCTTGTTATAATCGTGTCATCTGGGTGACACCGTGGTAACCCTGCACTGCGACGATGCAGTTTCCTAGGTCATCGTATTACACATCAGGTCAAATCAGCCAAGCACTGCCCGTGTGTGGTCCATACCTGTGTCCAAACTTAAGGTCCCCAGACTAAAACCTCCATCCCACTCCTGTCCACAACTATGCCATTGAGGGAGCCAGCAGGGAATAAAAGTCCAGAGATGGGCAATGAGGAAGCACCTGGGAATCTGGGAGCTGGGCAGCAGCTCCTCTGAGCACGTGGAGTATCTGAGCTGTGGTCACCATTGGGACCATGATGCCACTGGCTGATTCATCAAAATGACCGGTTCATGGTCAGCCCCTCCCCTGCCTTCCCATGAAGGCTAAATGGAAAAACGAGAGTTAAACAAATGCTGATTCTCCTACCACCCCTCGCCTAGACCCCCGTGCAGCCAGCCAGGGATGCCACAGAGCCAGGTCATTGTTGCTGACGAACATGTGAGCTCTAGACGAGGCAGGGTCTGACCACAGAAACAAAACACATGCCAGGTCTTTGGATTGAGAAAGCTGATTATGGGAGATGGCTGGAATGTTGTGAGCAGAGCTGAATGCACAACTAGAGAAAGAAGCTTGCCCCGAGACTGGCCGCTGTAGGAAGCTGCTGCTACCCCCAGGACTGGATGGACAAAGGCCAGGGGTATTCTTACTGGAGTACAGAGAAGCAGGAGAGACGCCCTGGACCTTCTCTTCTTCCCACCCTCCCATCTCCCACAGTGGCTCTCACTGGACAGCTGGCATCCGGATGACAAGGAAGTCTGGGGAGTTTCGTCTGCAGGCGGCGACTCCCTCCCCACCGCCCAGAGCAAACTCAGAATGAACAGGAAGGGATCGGTGCTACAAGCAAAATGGCCAACACAAGTTACTTAACAATACATTGTTTACCACAATACCCATTAGATTCTAAATGGTGCCATGCTGACTGTAAGGTAACAGAAGTCCAGAGGAGGACAGAGAATTTTACGGGTAAGAACTTTCTGGGGCATTCTCCTAGAGAAGAAGACACTAGAAGACCAAGTCCTGCTGTCAATCAAGAAGAAAAAAGATTAGGAAGAGTTAGAACCCACCCCGCCCTCCAACCTTCATCGGTATCTCCCAAACTGACCTGTCTACTGAACCCAGTAGCAATAGAAGGCCTCCTGGGTTACTTTAGTTTTGGATTAGGGGGGTCAAAATCCTCCTCTTAGAAATTTTCCTATGCACGTTGATTTTCATCTGTGAAACGGAATGATAGCACCTTCAGGAGCCACTGCATACCACCTCATGAGTGAGGAGTCACTGCATACTACCTCATGAGTGCTGCCCTTTGCAACTCCGGGAGCCCATTCCTGAGACTACCCCCAGGTCCAGTGAGGTGGAGCTGAGAGCAGACATAGCCCAGCCCCCTGCAGTCTCCACAGCCTGCTTTGCACCAGTGGGGTGACCCTGACAATTGGGCAAAGTGATGACTCCCTGCTTCCATCACATGAGCTCCCCTTAAAATCAGGACCTAGACTGAACTAGGTGTGCTTACCACCTAGAGGCAGGAGCTGAAGGAGGAGCCCCTATCTCTGGACAGGGAAACCAGAAAGAGAGCCCAGAAGGGCTGGACACCCCAACTCCCACCCCTTCCCCAGAGCTCAACAGTCAGATGTCCTGGAAGAGGGCAATGGCAATGTTCCCAACACATCAAAAAAACAGTAAAATACTGCTATTTTATGGGTCCAACAGGAAGACCGAGAGAAGAAGAAACTGTGTCCCCAGGAGCCTCCTGGGCAGCTCTCAATGACATAGAATGGCCATTCTTCGTCAGCACCTACCTGATAGGTCGAATGTTCTGACTCATTTTTGGCCAAGCTCACCACATTTTAGGAAGTTTCCTCCCTGGATTTCAGGCCTCCTTGGATCCGAGAGGGAGCTGCGTTGCAAGGAAAGATAGCTCGTACATTTGTATCTGCATTTAAAACAACTCCCAAGGGGTTAAAATCCAATTACCGCCTGAATGGAACTCTGCTTCTCCATTCTCAATTAATTACCAGCACTCCCATTTTGCACCTCTTATTTCTTCCCTTCACATTTTCCCAGAATACGAAAATTGCTGTGCAAATCATTTTAGTTGAGAAAAAGAAGTGGGTAAAGATATTTATCTTGGGTTAAGGAGGTCAGCTCCACATCCTGTTGGAGTAGGAGGGATGGTCCATGATCCACAGGCGTGGACGTGGAGAAAATGGGAAGCAAGGAGACCTCAAGGCAGGGACTGCCCTGGTAACAGACCCCGCGGAGATGGGTTTCTAGTCTGTGCATCAGGAGACTCAGAAAGGCAAGGATAAACACTATTGCTCCAGAAGCAGGAAAATGGCGGAAGACAGTGAAGCATGGGCTCTGCTGCATCTCTGTCCTTGGCTTTGGAATGCAGCACCGGGCTGTCCTCACAGACTTCACCTCCTACTTACTCTTTGTTCAAGCTAACGCAAGTGTGAGTTCTGCTCCCTGAGCACACACTGGCTGATGCGTTGAAGCAGGCCACCTGGCAGGGGAAGCTTCTGGGGTGAAAAGTGTGCCAAGAATAGCCCGTCAAGGGCAAGCATCACGTAGAGAGGATCAATAATCCACTGGCCGCAAGTCCCGCTCCTCCTTGTGTCTGCAGAGTAGAGGGGAAGGGTGGTCAGTGAGGTCACAAAAGACAAAGAAAGGATGGGGCGTCTGGGGCAGGTGTGGACGACTTTCCTAAGTCAGGAACATGGCGCTGGTGAAAACTCAGGAGGTTCTCTCGGGAGAACTGACGACCACATTGCCAGGCACTCAGCACACAGGCAATCAGCACCAGCTCTCTGGAACATCTCAGCGTAGGAGCTGCAAGACAGGCATGCCCGGGTCTGTCTTCTACGACAGACCCAGGGCACAGCCCAGCCACATTCAGCCACAGGCACACAGGAGCTCTCTCCTCCAGGGATGGGAGTAGATGGGAAGTGGATTCCTGGCCTTGGGTTTCTCCTTGTCTCTGTGGTTTGAGAACATAAGATTCTCACTTTCCCAGAATCCCTGGCTGGACAACTGGTCTTTCCAAGAGTCTGGATGAGGGATGAGCCAAGGGAAGGAAATGAGATGGAAGAGAAATAACCTCCAGGGGGCCAATCGGATCTAGGATTCTCCGGGGCAACTGTCTGGACCAGATCAGAAGAAGAGGAAGGCAATCAGTGAGCATCTCCTAGGAACTGGACTAAACACCCCTCCACGGATGGCTCCTTCAACGCTCGTGAAGATGATGACACCACAGGAGGGGGGCTTTTAACCCCCCCAAAATGAGGAATCACAGAGGGAGTGCTTGGGAGACTTGTGCAGCCCACAGGTAGGCCGTGGTGGAGGGAGGATTGGAAAGCAAGACTGTGATCTCTGAGCATTTTCTCTACCCCATTCTGCCTCCCAAAGATGTAAGCCCAAGGAGGTGAGGGCATGAGAGCCGGTGTGTGCAGAGAGACCGCAGAGCCACAGGGCTGGGCATTCTTCTTCCTGGACATCCCCTGGCCCCACTGGGAATGGCCTTGGAGCCCCCCAGGGGATCTCCACATCACCCCTGCAGCCACCTGTCCATCTTCAGGTGTCCAGAATGCAGAGGAACCTCAGGGGCAGTCAGTGCCAAACATCAGCCTCCCAGGACTCCAGATCCCAGGGTGGCTGAGGCCTTCCTGAGAGGAGAGAGCCCCCATCAGCGTGGCTCACAGCCCATGGAGCGGCTCCAGAGCCACTGTCCCGAGGACTTGCAGGCTGTTTTTGGTTTTCAGAGTCACTTCTCCAGCTCTTCTGCAAACGCAGAACAAATTTAGAGCTGCTATTTATTGCTTACAATGTGCCCAGACATTTTGCAATTATTTTATTCAATTCTTATGATAATGCTGTGAGTTAGGTATATTATTCCTATTTTATTTTATTATTTTATTTTACATTTGAGGAAACTGAGGTCCAGGGATGAAAAAATAAACTAATAAGTGAGAGGGTGAGCAGTAGAGTCCAGGTCTGTCTTATTCCAAATACATGCCCATCACCATTTGGCCACACTTCAGTACTGTGTAGATCTCTTAAAGATGACATGACACAGGCCAGGGGCAGTGGCTCACGTCTGTAATCCCAGCACTTTGGGAGGCCGAGGCAGGCGGATCACCTGAGGTCAGGATTTCGAGACCAAGTTGGTCAACATGTTGAGACCCCGTCTCTACTAAAAATACAAAAAATTAGCTTGGCGGGGTGGTGCAGGCCTGTAATCCCAGCTACTCAGGAGGCTGAGGCAGGAGAATCACTTGAACCCGGGAGGTAGAGGTTGCAGTGAGCTGAGATCGAGCCACTGCACTCCAGCCTGGGCGACAGAGTGAGACTCTGTCGCCCAGGCTGAAATAAAAAACAAAGATACATAATACATATCATGTGTGCACACATATACATCCATCACATTTGCAAATTGTATAAATATGAGTGTGTATATATTCTATACATACATGTATACTGTATATTCATAAGTATGTATACACATTATACATATCATATAAAATAAACAAATACCTTTTCATTTAGGTATACACGTTTATTTCTCTAGAGATTCAGTTTAGACAGCAGAATGATATTATATTGCTTAGATAGCTTGAGCATTTTAACTCAAATTATTTTTATAATGATGTTACTTCAATAAGCAGAATTAATAAAGCTAGGTATAAACTGCTGATGATTATAGCTCTTATGCAACTATAGAAACAAAATAAATTTACAATTCAAATACAAGCAAAACCATAAAAATAATAAAATTCAAATTAACATCACAAAGGTGACGGATGCTGCTGTTGGCTGAAACCAAATAGCCTGTGTTGGGTGAGAAAGGGGTCTTGGTGTAGCCTACGTTTGATAAATCAGCTTGGGTCTTTTGCTTTTGAGCATGATGGACCACCAATTAATTCATCATTAACATTGTTTTTGCTTTCTTTTTTAACAATGCATTCATTTTTAACCATTGATCTGTTATTTTCATGGACCCATCAATTTAAACAAGGCAACACAACATTCATTATTGAAAGAAGACATCTTTAAATATGGTTTAACTTGGAATTCTTGCTTAACGGAGCCAAGTAGATCCAGGTGAGACTTGTGTTGGCTTCAGAGACGTGCCTAAGAGCCAGGGCAGTGATTTTCATTCCATGGGTCACTGTGAGGCCCTCAATCTCCTGTCTTTCTTTTTTGTCTGTGCTCTTATCCAGGCCACAGCAAGCGGGGTGCCTTTCACTGAACCCTAACGACATGGAAAATGCACGCAATGCAGGAACGGAGACCCCCGTTCAGTGTGAAACTGCCATCCTAGAGGATGCAGATGGCCCTCCTTGTTCTAGGTTGCAATTAATTGAAAACACATTGTTTATAAAGGGCTCTGTGAACTTCTGAGGCTCCTCGGATACCTCTGCAGCCCCTTCTCCTGCACACGCCTGAGTCTGAGAAATACTGCTTTGTGCCGGGAGGCATAGCAAGTTGCGAATTGCCTCAAAGCTTGCTCCAGAACTTCCAGCAGGTGTCCAGGGACAGAAAGAGAACATTCGAAATTCAGCTCCCGAGGCATCTTGCTGGAGTGTTTGTTACAGATGCTTTCCTGCATAACAATATGGCTCTAATTAGACATAAAAGGGGGGTCGCTATGGTGGGCATCCCGGCCTGGCTGTGGCTCTGCTGTCTGCTACTTGGAGTCGCGTCGGGAGACTGGGGTAGGAAGCACAGGCTGGTGAATGGACTGTGGGCTCCATTATCCAACCAAGGAACTTAGCCAACTGACACCTCCCCTATCAATAGGGCTGCTTGGGCTGCTGCAAACACCCTAGGTTGTGGGCTTAGACAAGACATGTATCATCTCACAGTTCGGAGGTTGGCAGTCTGAGGTCAAGGTGCCACATGGCTGGTTCCTTCTCTCCTTGGCTTGCAGACGCCTGTCTTCTTCCTGTGCCCTCACATGGTCGTCTCTCTGTGTGTCTGTGTCCTAATCTCCTCTTCTCATAAGGACAACAGTCCTATTGAGTTAGGGCCCACCCTAATGACCTCAATTTGATGTACTGACCTCTTTAAAGATCCTATCTCCATACACAGTCACATCCTCAGGCACAGGGGTCTAGGACTTTAATACATAAATTTGGAGGGCACACAATTTGGTCCATAACAGTGGGTGACAGACCCCTGACACCTGCTTGACAGATAGCTCCCAACAGCCGACCACAATGTCTCCTTTTGGAGGGGGTGGCTACACTACCGTGTGACTTGAGATGCCATCCATTGGAAGGAGGTGCTGGGTTACGCCTGAGAGGCTCAGAACCGTCCCAGTGAATCAGAGCCTCTTCTGCACACAGTGGCCATTAGTAGTCTAAGCACACGAAAAGGAAATCTAAGCATTTCTCTAATTACTGCAGGTTAATTAGTTCTCCTCACCATTTTAGGAAAGAAGAACCACTTGAGTACAACATAAGTCACTGAAATCCACTCTCTACCTGGCACAGGCTGGTGGGAGGAGGGCTCTCCAAGAGTGAGGATGCCAGCAGTCCCTGCTTCCCTGCTTTCCCCTGAATCTAAAGGGGTTGGACAGTCCTGACGCAGTGTTGACAATGCTGAACACGTGAGGGAAGATGGGGGGGAGCGGGCGGTGGTGTAGCCATTGCCCCAAGATGGGGGCAAGGGGCTTAAACACATTTTTCAAAGCAGATTCCCAAAGGCTGGGTCAGAATTGCCAGGAACAGAGGGAGAAGTTTATTGCTGTTGCCTATTATGCCATCCCCACCTCTCATCCCAGAGCAGGGAAATGAAGCTGACTTGCCAGAGACTGTCTCCACATCCCCACTCATCACGAGGCCCAGGCTGACCCGCTGAACCATGGTCTGGCAGCAGACCCAGTTCTCAATACCAGCTTCCCCTGTCATCAGCTGGTTCCAGGAGTCCACGGGAGCATCAGGGTTTATAAAATGCTCCCCAAGGAACACAAACTGAGGTGGTAGGAGGGGACAGGTGGTGGGGGTTCTGACTCAAGTGCCATAATAAGCTCTCCAAGGTTGAGTAGATTTTCTTGAATGAATGCTTCTTCATTTGCTGTGTGCCCTTAGGACAATTTTCCAGAGCATATGTGTGTGTGTGTGTATGTGTGGTGTGTGTGGTGTCTGTGCGTGTGGTGTGGTGCGTGTGTAGTGTATGGTGTGTGTGTGTGTGTGTGTGTGTGTGTGTGTATGGTATGTGTGTGTGGTGTGTGTGTGGTATGTGAGTGTGGTGTGGTGTTTGTGTAGTGTGTGGTGTGTATGTGGTGTGTGTGGTGTGTGGTGGGTGTATAGTGTGTGGTGTCTATGTGGTGTCTGTGTGGTGTGTGTGGGTGTGTGTGTGTAGTGTGTGGTGTGTGTATGTGTGGTGTGTGTGGTGTGTGTGTATGTGGTGTGTGTGTGTAGTGTGTGTATGTGGTGTGTGTGGTGTATGTGTGTCTGTGTGCATTTCTCTATGTCTGTGTATGTGTGTCTGTGTGTGTCTATGTCTGTGTGTGCCTGTATCTGTGTGTCTCTGTGTGTGTCTATGTCTGTGTGTATGTCTCTGTCTTGTCCCCATGTGTCTGTGTGTGCCTGTGTGTATCTGTGTGTCTCTATGTGTGTGTCTGTGTCTGTGTGTATGTCTCTGTGTCTTGTCTCAGTTGTGCCTGTGTGTGTGTCTGTGTGTGTCTCTGTGTCTTCTCTGTGTGTATCTCTGTGTCTGTGTGTCTGTCTCTATGTGTCTGTGTCTCTTGTGTCTGTCTCTATGTGTATCACTGCGTGTGTGTCTCTGTGTCTGTGTCTCTTTGTGTGTCTGTCTCTATGTCTGTGTGTGTGTCTGCCTGTGTGTCTGTCCCTGCATGTGTATGTGTATCTCTGTGTCTGTGTGTGTGTGTCTGTGTGTGTGTCTGTGTGTGTCTTTGTGTCTGTCTCTATGTCTGTGTGTGTGTCTCTATGTGTTTATCTTTGTGTATTTGTGTGTGTCTCTGTGTGTCTGTCTGTCTCTGTGTCTGTGTGTATGTCTCTGTTTCTTGTCTCTGTTTGTATCTCTGTGTGTGTCTCTGTGTCACTTTAACTTGATTATATCTGCAATTTCCAAATAAGTTGCCATGCACCGGTACTGGCAGTTAGGACTTCAATGCACCCATAACAGACTCAAATCCGAGTGCTAGGAGTTTGGAAATAAATTCTAACACATTCTGCTCTTGGAAACTCACAAAGCTCACAGGGCTCTGGGAAGTTCTAAGTCCTGCTCAATTTCGTTTTCTCCAGAGAACCCCCAAACATGTCGGTAGTTTGGTCCTTCTTCCCGTGACACCCCTGGATCCCCGGAAGAGCTCAAGGCACCCGATGTGCTGGTGCCCTTGACTCTATGGAAGGAGAGGAGCGAGGCTTCGGAGGCCAGGAGGGTTCTTGGAACAAGGAAAAGACAGGAACGTGGATATTTAGGCACAGACATGCGGAGGACTCCCCTCCCTTCCTCAGCCAGGAGCCTAAAACACTTGTTCTGCTCACTCTCTCTTTGCCAGAGAAGCTCTGAAGCCAACGGCTTTGGTCAACAACCCAGCCACGGCCACTTTGGGATTTTTGCTGATAAATCCAGCACTTCTAGGAAACCAGCAAACTCCTAAGGAAAATACAGAAGCCCAGAGCCAGCTTCCCCGGCCTGGCTAAATGGTTCTCCCAAAATGGAGTCTTTTCTGATGGCACTTCCTCACAAGTTGGGCAATCCGTCATTTCTTTGCTGTGATCTCACCTGTGAATGCTCCCTGGAGCCCATTTCTGCAGATCCACAGATCAACAGATGGACCAGCACCTCCAGTGCGGCACTGGCTCCTTGGAAGATTTACTGGAGCTCCAGGAGGAGAGCCATCAAGCCAAAGAATTACCCACTGAGTTAGTAAGATGGCTTCTTAAAGAGAGGTGTCTGTTTAATGCATCTTCCCCCAATGCATTCCATCCCGTCCTTGCAGAACGGATTAGTGTTTCTCGGCGATCCTACAGGCTCCCCAGGGACAGGCTTCAAGGGAATGGAGGAAGGATCGCTCCCTTCTCCTGGTCATCAGTCTGCACCTTCAGCTGAGGAGGCTGGCGTCATCCTGCAGGCATGGGGAGGACATGTAAGGAGGGGAAGTGATGATTAGAGGAGGTGGCTGCTCATTCCCTTGAATCATGCTGTAAGCCTTCTAAAGCAATTTTCTTAAGTTTGGTGTAAAATTTTGATGGAAAAATACCTGCTCCCTGGTATTTTTCTTCTCAACTCTCTCTCAAGAACTTTCTAGTTATTTCCAAAGCCAATGCCTTTCAGACATAGAGAAGATAGTCTCTCGGTAGAAGCTGTTTTTTTATTACCTGCTATTTCAGATATTTTTCCCTTCTCTCTTGCTTTGCCTCAAAGACAGGAAATGGGTTTTGTTGTTGGGTGGGGTTTTTGGTTTGGTTTTTTTAAACCCATCTTTTTACAATGTAGCTTTCATCTGTGACTCATATCTTGTGGCCAAAAAGGTGGCTAAAGGAATGAAGAGTACTTCTTTTCAAAGAAAAGGAAATTAAAATGAACTACAGACTGGAAGAGCGGTGTGTACGGTCTAGAATCCCCAGAGCGGCAGGGAGAGGACATGCTGGCATTGCCAACCAGCACACGCGTGAAGTCCTCGCTGTCCCCTGGCCCACAGGATGTGGGGGCTGCGAACAAAGTGTTTGTGAAAAGGGACCCTCCACCCTCTTCAGCATGCAGATGTGTTCACAAAGAGCTCCGTTCCTAACCGTCACCCACCAGGCACAGATCGTGTGTAACAGCTCCCGAACTTACTGTCAATTGAATAAAAGACCACTATTTTAGGAAATGTCAGTATTTCTCCAAAAAATAAATAAAAGCCCCTTGTTGTGAGCAGCTCTGATTTCAGGCAATCTGACTGGCAAACCGGTGCTTCGGGACACACAGAGCTAGTTCCTTTAATGGCCCAGTCACGCACACCCAGAATTCTGAGTTGGCTGAATGGGATCAGTCATCCCTGGACGCCATGTGGAAGTTGGGTCTGTGGAGCTCATGCTCGTTGGCTCACAAGTTCACTGCATGGATGCCTTGGTCAGGATGAACTTGGAGGCTTGGTGGCTCTGAACTGAGGAGGGACCCTGGGTTCCTCTCTGCTGCAATTCTAGTATGGATAATGGTGATGAGAACATGGCAAGCATGGGGAAATGGTGGCTGCTCACACCTGCCAGTGTAGGGACTGCCTTGGGCTCACTGTCCAGGGTTACAGATTCCCCCACTTCCACTGGGTCAAGCCAGTCCAGCCTGAAGACCCTACTGGAGCCCAACACTTTAACCTGAAGTTGGGACATGGTGACAACCCTGGTGGCCCCTCCTTGGGGTGGGATGAGACCTATTTCCTGCCCCGCCCCCCGCTGGGTTAGAGGATCCCCCACAGCCACAGCCCTGCCTCCGCACTGTGCTCTGGCTACGATGTCCCAGCGAATGTCCTGCTCAACTCCAGAAATCCCCAGGGAATGACGAAGGCTCCTGGACACAGAGGCTTTGTCTGGAGCTGTCACCCTTTGGGTGTGGTGGGGGTAGCCAGACATTACTAAGCATCTAGGAAAAGGCAATCATCTAAAATCAGAAAAGAACCCCTCTTTTCAGAAGTCAAAATTTTTGCAAGCCAGGACTGTATTTCCCAAAAGCACAATTCAACAAATGGTTTGATATCAACTCTTATGTATATCAGCAACTCCAGAAAATAGGTCTTGGACCCTCAGTTGCAGATCTCTGAGTGTGTGCTAATTTTGGTGGGGGTTGGTAACATGATAGATCCTGAAGTTGAAATTACTCCAGATCACTTGGGGTCCAGAGCCAGGGAGCTAGGTCTTTCACTCCCGTCTCTCAGTGAAGCATTTGCAGTGGGTTCCTCTGCTCATGTCTTAAATGTGCAAGAATCAGACATATGGGAATGACTCAGCTCAGCCCCGACCCCAAGCACCTGAGGCCCGGCAGCTGCCCTGGAGGAGTGATTCTGTGATTAGCAGAAGAAAGCTGATGTGCCGCTTCTGGCTGTGGGTGACTATGCTGGGCTCAGGCAATTGTAGACAGCTGGAAGAAAATATGTTTCCCTACCCTGGGCAGGAAAGACTCTGGAAGCCTCCTTGCAGGGACGCCGCAGCCGTGTGTTGGTTCTGACTGGTACTGGGGTGGGAGGGAGACGCCTGGATCAGGGGCTTCAAGCCATTCTTCTCCTTCAAGGCAAACAGACAGACGCTTGACGGCAGGGCACCCTCTGGGCTGGGCAGCCTCAAATTTAGGTCCGGGGCGGGACTGTTTTGAGAAGCAGGATCCTGCAGAGGCATGGAGGAGGGGTATGTGATGGGATGGGGTGGGTTCCCTGCGAGGATGCGGAGGGGTGCTGCTTCATCATGCACCTGCGCGGGGCTCAGGGGAGCAGTGCTGATTGAATCTGGCCGTGGTGCTCCCTCTTTGCTAGGAAATGCACAGCTCTGAGCTTTATTTAGCAATGGACCATTGTGCAGAGATAAAGAGCGTGCCAGACACATCAGTGCAATGGTGTCTCCTTCGCTGGCCACAGGGAACAAGCCCCTGATAAGCCGATCAGTCTTCTGATGGTGACTCCCTGTATCCTCAGCAACGGAGCCAGACACCTAGGTTATCATGCTTCTTCCCCTTGAGGCAGCGTGAGGGCGACATCCTCAGCCTCCGTTGAGGAGGCAAGGGGGCCAGGCATGGGTAACCAGCTTCTCTTTGTCTCCGGGGTTTAAAGGGAGTCTAAGCATCCCTGGTGTGAACCCACCATTGGCACCATCACCCTGGGCCCCTTTACCATCCTTGAGGGCTGTGGCCAAAGACCTGGAGCCCATGGGGTTGGAGCCCAGAGAGGACATGGTTAAGGGAGTCTGCACCTTTCTTACTGTATGGCCAGGTTCATTCCCCTCACAAATACAGTGTGCACACAGTGTGCACAAACATATGCACTCCCACACCCACGCGCGAGTGCACAGGGGCACACATGCATACTCACGTATACGTAGCCTGTATACACATAAATGCAAATATACACATACGTGCATACACCTACATATGTGCATATACAGAGACACACGCATGTGCACACACTTATGTGTGTACATACATGAACACACCTGCGCACACCCACATGTGTGTGCACACAGACATGTATGCATGCACCTCTGCATCACAGCGTGCGCGCGCACACACACACACACACACACACACGGCTCATGATGTCTGAGCAGTTGGGCTCCAGAGTCCAGCTCCTGAGTCTCCCCCTGGTTCTGCCCTGGTGCATCTTTCTGGCAGGTTCCTTCACGTCTGTACATCTGTGTTTTATTCTTTAAAATAGCAACAATCATCCTACGTACCTGAAAGGATTGCCATAAGGATAAGATGCGTAGGGGCATCTAGAGCCTTAAAACACCCCCTGGCACACAGTAGGTACTCTAGAAATGCCAGCTAGTGCCAGTTCTCATGCGGAGGGAAACGCATTCTCAGATGTGGTCTCCCAATCCCCACGCTCTCCTGTGAAGCCACACCAGATATGCCCACCTTCCCGAAGATGCAAGATGTGCCCCCTTTTCTGAAAATGTCAGATGCCCCCGCCTTTCTGAAGATGCTGGCTTCCTACCTGGCGCCTCCCTCTTGTTCCATTCCCGTCTTCAGCCTCAGGGACGCCAGCAAGAGAATGAATTGGAAGCTTATGGGGGTGGACGGATGCTCCTTTGACAAGCTGCAAACCCCAGGCCTGAGGGTTCTCCAGAGCCCGGCTTCACCAATTACCCAAGGGGAAGGAGCTCTCTGCCACAGACCAACACTTCTTAAAACATTTTTGAAAACATTAATCCCTAGATAAGTGAAATACAAGTCCGCATACAAGTAGTCATACAAAAGATAACCTCCAGTTTTTATTATTGGATTCAAAGGCACTCACTGCCAAATGGCTATAAGAGTTTCTAGACGCTTCCTTGGTTTCTGTGCTTATCTCCTCAGAGGCCAGTCATACACGGCCCCAGGAGGGCTTGGACCTCCGACCTCATCATGGAGTGAGGGCATCATTCACTCTCTTCATTAGCCAAGCAAAAACTGAGCACATGTGGGGACCTGCCCAGGGCACCAGTCATAAGGATTGAGGGGAGAGAGCCTGTCCCAGCGCTGCTGGTCATCATTTGGGGCAGGAAGGGGAAGGGCAGCCAGGTGGAGGTCAGGGTGGATCCCATGCTGGAGTTCAGGCTGTTGAAGAGAAAACACAATCGGACCCAGTAAGGAGAGATTTGATTGCAGGGGATTCTTGCAAGCCGGGCAGAAACGATCAGAGTAAGGAATGACTTGACTGGGGGGATTCTTGCAAGCGGGGTGGACAGGATCACAGTAAGGAGAAACTTGATTGGGGGGATTCTTGCAAGCGGGGTGAGGACCATCACAGTAAGGAGAGACTTGATTGGAGGGGATTCTTAAAAGTGGGGCGGGGATGATAGCAGCAGGGAGAGTGGTGTAATCCCAAGGCCTCTAAGGAGCTAGGCAAGAAGGGTTTTTCTTTCACAGGGAGGAGTAAGCAAGGCTAGGAAGAACGGGTGTGGGAGGTGAGATCATGGGTCAAGAATGCTGGACCCTGAGTCCAGCTGGTCTTCGAGGGGCTGTCTGCTGGCTCAGGCCATGGGTAGGCCTGGGGCAAGGAGAGATGCGAAGCCTTAACCAGTTCCTCATATAACCTTAACCAATGCTTAGTAACCAGTTTGGCTAATAAGCATTTGCTCCTATGGTTCTGTGGGGACAACCTGCTCAGCTCAACAATGATGAGGCCAAAAAAAAATTTTTTTAAGGGAATTTGGAGGAGCTGTATCTGGTCGTGTCCCAGGTACAGAAGGCATTATCTGTGAGTCTCATCTAAGGCAAATCAGGCTCGACCATCTTTGCAGAGATGCTTTCCGAGGAACACAAAGGGCTAGGTTTCTTAACTGTCACTATTTCCAGGGATCACACGGTGCACATAACATTCCACATTGCCAGATCCACCTCCCCCTCATCCAGGTTCAAATCCCAGCACTGCTTGCTACCGGTAATATGCCCTGGAGCAGGCACGTGGCTTTCTAATTTTAGATGCCTGGTCTGTTGCTAGGTTGTCAGGAGAGTTCGATGAGATGGTTTGTGTAAAGCACGGGCCACCTGGCCTGGGAGTCCTCAGTCAATACCAGCTCTGTTGTCCTACCTCCAGCTAGCTGATCAGGAAGTCTGGTGGGAAAACTGTGGGAGGAAATGAAAGGTCATCTGTGAAAGGAATATTTGCCTTTGTATGTATTTCTCTTTTGCAGAGGTCTTCCAGGGTCCCCCAAAAATACCTTTGCATAAGGGAGACAGTTTGGCCCAGGGCCCTTCAGCTGCAGGATGGAAAGGATGTGATCAGAGCTATGGCAGGAGGCAGGATGTCATCAGAGAGGGAGCTGGTGGGCAGGGACTCCTAGAGGAAGGAACCAGAGGCAGTCCTGGGTCGTCCCCCTCCAGCATCACCCAGAAGACCAGAGACTCTTAATACTCCATTTCAGAAGACCAAACGAAGGCACCGCCTCCTTACCCTGCAACTAGAGGGCACCACAGCCTCGCTGCCCTTGCACCAACCCTAGTACTCCAAGCAAAGGCCATTGGAACTCCCCGTAGCATGAGAGTGTATTGATCCCACTGACAGAAACAGGTACCTGGAACAGGAGCATTTCAGGTGAATCCAGTCACCAGACGCTGACTGTGATCTGACTGCCCTTGCATTTTGACCATGGCAAAAGCTACTGAGCTTTCCAGGGCAAAATGGCTGTGCTGGTCCCCATAAACATTGTAGTTTTAATTATACAGTTTGCATTCACGTGAGTTATCAGTCTCTTGGGTTTGATCAATCCATGGGCAAAGAGAGAGGGAAGAGGGAGAGGAAGAGAGAGAGGGAAAGATAGAAGGAAGGAAGGAAAGAAGGAAGGAGGGAGGGAAAGAAGGGAGAGAGGAAGAAAAGGAAGGAAGGAAGGAAAGAAGGAAGGAAGGAAAGGAGGGTGGGAGGAAGGGAGGGAGGGATGGACGGAGAGAGGGAGGGAGGGAGATATAAAAGAAAGGGAGGAAGGAAGGAAGATGTGGGGAGCCTTGGCTCCAGCTCTGCAAGCCCAGCACCTGGCAACCATTCCTGCCAGGTGAATGCTTCCAGAACACACAGTGACATCCTTCTTTCCCCTTAACCTACCATGTCACCATCTCACTCAGAGGCCTCCAGTGGAGAGAAAGTTTCTTGCAAATAATGAAGTAACTTTGGTACCAAATACACAAGCAATAAACTTTAAAAAGACATGACCACCCAAGCCCTATATCCTATCATTATCTAGAACGGGCCTGCCAGATCCCTATGGAAGCTTGGTGGCCATTTGACCATGGCCAGCTCCTGCTCCTGACAGCACCTCATCCAGCAGGAAACACCTTCTGCAGGCCCTCACAACTCTCAAATGCACCATTCTCTGTAATCATAATTATATAATAGTAATTGACATTGAGCCATTTCTTATTTCATGCTAATTGAAAATTACTGAATTTCCTCCTGCAAATCGCTCTTCATGTCAATTACAAAGTGTGGTGTGCACCATTTTTTAATGAACCACTCTCCACAGCTTCCTTTAAATCTAGTTGACTGGTTTATCTTGTCACAATTACAGTAAATAATGACCAAGATCTCTAAAAAGGATATTTCATTGTTAATTGCAAGGATTGTAGAATGGGACTTGGAGAAGGGTTTGGTTTGCATTTCTTTGCTGTCTCCAGTAAGTGCTGAGTGAGCGCCCTTGCCTTTGGCTCTCCGGGACCCACTCATACCCTTGTGGCTGAGCCTTGGCCTCTGTTTTTGCCTCATTCTCCAGCGGGGTTGCTTTCAAATGTCATCTCGGTTCTCTGAACTAGGTCTTGACTTTCTCCTCCTAGTCTTCCCAGGGTCTATACTTCAAATACTATGCATACCCAGGCTTACTGTGTACCAGATTTAATTAGATACTCAATTGAGTCCAGTACTAGAATATATTCCACCTAAGACCAGAAGCTATGTGTTTCTTACTGATACCAGGTTTGAGCTTTAAGCCTTTAGTATGCATTTATCCAATGGGTGTGTATTAGTCAGCTAAGCTGTGTAACAAACCACCTCAGAACAAACTAGCTTCAAACAAGGATTTATTTAGTTCACAAGTCTATAGGTCAGCTGGGAAATTCTTTCAGTCTGGACAGGGCTAGGTTGATCTCGGTTGATCTCATCTGGTCTCATGCACACATATGTGGTAAGAGAATGGATCAACAAGAGGCTGATTAAGAATGGTCCCACCTGGATAGTTCTCTCCCAAGTGGCCTCGTGTGTCTAGGCAGGATATCCCAGGCTCATTCTCATGATGGCAAGTTTCCATTTTCTCAGCCCCCTTTGCATCTTGCACTGACCAGTTTTTGGTTTCTGGGTAATCCAGGTGCCACCAGATTCACCTCATGCCCATCACTGTGGAAAGGGATGGAGTGAGGAGCAGAAAGCACAGAGCCGATGCCAATGGTGGGGAGCCCTGCTAGATGTGCATAGGCCTAGTGTCCTACATAGAGCCCATGTCATCCCTAGCTCCACTGGCCAAGACTAGACCCACCTTCATGGGCTCTGAGATCTCTATGGTGTCTGCACTCCACTGAAAGCCTTGGGTCTTATGCAGAGCACCCCAATAAAATGGTGTGGCAAAGAGCATCTGTACTGTGTGTGCACACATGTTTGTATGGGTATGTCTGAGCCCATGGAAAAACTCCCACATACAGCCACTGTGCACCGAACCAAAACCAGATTTTTAAAATGTATCAGTAATCCAGTTTAAGTGTACAGTTAATTCAAAGTATGGGAGGCACCTGTGCGGTTGGGCTGCAAAGGAGACTGGATTAGATGTTAAGACACTCCAAATGTAGGACTTAATGCACCATCAATATGCACTGTGGCTTTAGTTAAGTCCCTTAACTTCTCTGTGTCTTAGTTACCATTTTTACGTGGGAATTCTCAGGCTACTCTGGCAGGGTTGCCATGGTGATCAGAGAAGAGTGCAAATACAAATATAAGTGAAAAGAACATGGCGTTGTATAAATATAGACCATTATTATTATTACTGTTTGTGCTATAAACCAACTGGCAATGTTCTTGGTCCAAATTTTTCAGGAAGACTCAGAAATTAGCCTTCTGCCTTGCAGAGATGCATTCCACATTGCTCTAGTGCATGAGTAAAGGGGCACATTGATATTCATTCATTCAAACCATTGTTACTAAGTCCTTGCAATGTGCACAGCACTGTTATGGACACTAGGGACCGGGCCATTGGAAAAAAAATTCAGAATGTTTATACAAATGGAATTTGCATTTGGGTGGGGAAGATGAAAAATAAGTAATAAACAATGATTTCAGAGGCTCTTAAGTATTATGAAAAAATCACAGAGAGTGATTCAATAGAGAAAAGCTGGTTGGATGCCCTTCCCTGTATAAGTAGGATGGTTCTAGAAGCCCTGTCCAAGGAGGTGACATTTAAGCTTTGTCCCAATGGATGAGAAGGGAATGGACACCAAGGCTCAGAGACACAAAACCACCTGCCCTGGGTCACATAGCTGGTTGGTAACATATATCCATGACTCCAGTGTCTCAATTTCCATTCACTCCCTCCCCTTCTTCTTATCTGAGACCAGATGATGCAAGCTCGATTCATTCTGACATTGACCAGAGGAGTAAAGGCCTTTCGAATTCCCAATCCCTCCACCTTGGAAATAAGGCTTGATTTATTTGGTTACAATCTAGTGATTTCGGCTGTTAATCCTCTGTTCCTTGAAAGCCATCACAACAGCATTGAGACCATTTACAACACCCCCACACTTTAATCCCCTTCTTCCCAACTGGCCCCAGAGCCGAAGGCCCCTGGGAAAGCAAAGACAATGCACTCTCCATCCCAATGGAGAGCCAATGGCACCCAAATTCTCTCTGAGTCACAGGCATAAGCCATGGCTTTTGAGGGACTTCATAAACCCCTCTGCTCTGGTCAGATTCAACCGGCTCAGTGAGCTGGTATTTACATGCCCAAAAAAGCTGAGACTCCCTTCCTCCTCATTCTAAGGCTCTGTTTTCTAGGGGGCTGCAGAGTGTGAATGAAAGTGGAAATAATATCCTGTTCCTAGGAGGCTGAGACAATTCAGCCAGGAGGAAAGAGGTATGACCAAGCTGGGAACAACCTAAGAGGTACTAAAATAATCTGTCTAATGAGAATATTGGGCAAAACTTTAAGGTCAATTTAGCATGATTTAAATATTTCCCACTCATTAGCAATAATTTAGAATGAATTTCCTTTTCTCACCCCAAACTAGAAGTTTTATTTTAATAGCTCTATGATTTTGGACCAGATCATTAAAATTAATGATATTCCAAATGTTCTAGTATGCCTGGTAGAGTCTGATCAGTGTTTCTTCCCTTTATAGATCATCAGTAATAGAACACTTTAATGACCCTAATAGAAGGGCACTCTCTCTGTGTGTTAATGAATAATTCCCATAGCCAGATATGGAACCCCCTAAAGAAAGGGGAAGCATATTTCATTAGGCACGTCAATGCCAGACCCTAAATAATTCAGTCCCCCAGATTAAAATACTTGATGCTCTTTCAGTGTCCTAATGGGAAATAATGAAATGTCCCCAAATGCTGCCATCTTAAAATTAACATCCTTTGAAATTCTGAAATCAATCAATGGTGATGACGAGAGCGGGGTCTAATCCTTTATTGATTTGTGCAGCCAAGAACGGGAAAATGGAGCCTTGCTTAGCCCTGTCCTTCAGGCTGGCTGGTTGTTAGCCAGCACTATTTTTCATTCCGTCTTTGTCCTGGAGGACTGAAAATGCCAGCTGGTTAGTCCCCAGCTTGTGAATGAGAGGCAGCACTGCTCGGCCTCAAATGCCCAGCTCTGGGTTATCACTCAAGGGGTAGGTTGTGACTGGCCCTGTTCTCCACACCCACTTGAAGACACTGTTCACTCCTGGGTGGGAGCATGGATTGAGTCATCTATTGGCCCAGGCTTTAGGTGGCCCTTTTATTGGAAAAAGCAATCTACTCTTCTGATCAGCACCCCTCTGTCCCATTACTCAGTTTTATTTTCCACAGAAGTTATCACCATCTAAAATTGTCTTGGTTACTTTGGAGAGGTCTCATGTCCTTTGGACTCCATCCTCTGTCCTCTTGTTAGCTAATCTTTCCTGTCTTGCCCACCAAGATGAAAGCTCCATGAGAATAGAGACTGTTTATATACTACTATACTCAGAGTACCTGAAAGAATACCTAGTATAAAAGGAATCATGAATGAATGAAAGTTTGGATGGGTGAATGGGTAGATAGATGAACAAGTAGATGGATGGATGAATAGATGGATGGGTGGATGGGTGGATGGTCAGATGGATGGATGGATAGATGGATGGATGGAAGAATGGATGGGTATGGATGAATAGATGCATGGATGGATGGGTGGAAGGATGAATGAATGGGCAGATGAGAAGGTGGATGTGTGGATGGATGGATGGATGGATAAATGAATGGATGGATGGGTGAATGGATGGATGAATGAGTGGAAGGATGGGGATGGATGAGTGGATGGATAGATGGATGAATGGATGGCTACCTCAGATAGATAGATGTGTAGATGGATGGATAGATGGATGAATGGATGTTTGGATAGATGGATGGTGGGTAGATGTGTCTCTTTCTGTGCTCTCAGCACAGAAAACAATGTCCAGCATGTATTTGCTAAGTGGATGAACCAATCTCAAAATCCAACAACACTGATCATTTTCCACCTCCAAGTGCTTGCTATTACCCGTGCTCTAGCCAGAATTATCCTTCACAGAGTCACATTGACCTGTTGGTCCATGATGTTTATATAAATGATCTTAGATCATGTGAGTGTTCTCTGGCCTCACTGACTGTGAGCTTCACGCAGGGCAAAGCTATATTTCCTTCGCTTCTCCCCTCAAGGTTATCTGTACTTGACACATAGTAGGCGATCAGTTTACCATGTAAGTCACACTTCTAGTAATAAACCACCTGGACCAACACAAAGGGAATAATAAAGGAGGCCCTTGAATAATTCAACAAACAGCCTGTGGAATCCAGGTGCCTCACACAAAAGTTATACAACTCCTGTTGGCTGAAACTCAAAGGAAACACAGAAAATGGAAAACCACAAAATGTCTCTGCATAAAGATTAAAATCTCCTGGTGATAAAGCAGCCTCATGTATCAGAGTCAGAGTCAAGAGGAAATAAGAAAATCCAGAAAGTAAATTGGAATTAGGTCAGAAGGAATGGGGTGGAATCACAGTGAAAATACTAGTCCACAAGAAGAAAATAGAAAGATAGCAGCAAGTCAGAAGGAAGCTGATTGCATGTTCCCTAGGAAACGGGATCGAAGCTTTCCTGGCCTTACCTTTAGGTAGTCATGCAGGATTTGTGGTAGAGAGGAAGCCTTTGGCAGGGCTCAAAGCAAGGAGACCCCCACTGAAGAGGACAAGTAGTAAAGAATGGCCTATAAGCCCCAGGACACACATTTGTGTTGGTGGTGCTGTTTGTTTATACACTCTTCAGTGTGGCCATTACTCGGCTCCCAGACACTCTCTCTTTGAAGTCCAGACATTCCCATCTATGCATGAAACAGAATGATATAACTGTCCCCATGTGTCTCTGGGGTCCTTGGCCCAGTGCTGTGTGAGCAGCGATATCCACCTGACCTGTCCCCAGCAGGGTGCAGCTATCCTCTCTTTGCATGCCTACTTGATCTCGGTCAATCCCAGAATCCAGGCTGCAAGGTGGTTCATGGGGTAGTTCGCTTAAGCGAGAAAGACCCCTAAGCCAAGGAGAAAGGTGCCATTTCCTTTTCTGGATACTGTAATAGTCTGTTCTCACCCGGCTAATAAAGACACACCCAAGACTGAGTAATTTATAAAGAAATAAGAGATTTAATGGAGTCACAGTTCCACATGGCTGGGGAGGCCTCATAATCATGGAGGAAGGTGGAAGGCATGGCTTACATGGCAGCAGGCAAGAGAAGTGCCAGCAGGAGAAATGCCAGACAATGCTTATAAAACCGTCAGCTCTCATGAGAACTCATTCACTATTACTGCTCTCATGACAACAGTGTGGGGAACCACCCCCATGATTCAATGATCTGTACCTGGCCCCGACCTTGACACAGAGGATCATTGTAATTCAAGGTGAGATTTGGGTGGGCACACAGAGCCAAACCATATCAGATGCTTTGCCTAAATGTTGAAGTGCCCTCAGGTTTGACCCCAAAGGCCCTTCCTGGCTCAACCAAACCTTCTTTCTGTGAGATCCAATCCAGCCCTCTAGGCCACTAACCCCCACTGTAACCTGTGGGCTCCATACCTCTCCTGAGCCCCAGAGTTATAGTCAACTGTCTCCTCCCGCAGCCACTCGGGTACCTGCTATGAAGTTTATATTTTTATTTTATTTACCTATTTGTTTTAATTTCAACTTTTATTTTACACACAGGGGCTGTTTGTACAGATTTGCTACCTGGGAATATTGCATGAGGCTGGGGTTTGGAGTACGGAAGTCCGACTAGACCAAAGCCGAGGCCTCCAGTTCCCGCCTGCCCCGTGGACTCCTTCCCCATCTCCCTCGCCATGGCTCAAGCAAGTCCACAGTGGTTCAAGCAAGAACCCTGGGGGCCATCCTGGAGAAATCTCTTCTCTCTCTCCATCCCCCATACGTGATAAGTCTTTCAAAGTCCATCTAAATCTCTCTCCTCTCCCCAAGTGCAAACCCCCTTCCTGAAACCCCACCCTCTTCGGGATTCTGGCAATGGCTCCTGTCCCATGGATGCTTATTTAGCCCTCAACTGGGCTGGGAGGCAGCAGTGAGTAAAAGAGAAGCCCCTATCCTTGGGGCCCCAACCTTACAGCAGGGAGGCCAGCCATGAACAAACATTTAAGCCCATGTGCTGTGGTGATAACAAAGACTCTCTGCTTGTCCAAATTCTAGCCAGGTCCTTAAACCCTCTCCTAGGCCCATCTGTGCACTTCCTTGTAAAATCCAGTTTCTTGTACAAGAACTAAAGTCTGTTGCTAAAAGAACCTCCCCTCATCCTCACCCCATCCTTCCCCCACTCCCCCGCCTCCCCGTCCTCACTCTATTCTCAACCCATCCTCACCCCAGCCCCATCCTATCTTCACCCCATCCCCTGGGCTTATTCTTTCTCAACATTCAGGTCTTGGCTCAAATGTCCCTTCTTCAGAGAGGTTCCTTGACCTCTACCACCTCCACTTCCACCATCATGAAGCCCCATTTTATTTGTTTCACAATATCTGTCACTGCCGGGCACTTTTCTTATTGACTTCTCTGTTTAGATGTTCATTTTCTGCACCTACACCCCTGCCCCCCTGCCCTGGCCCACTGCAATGAGAACAGAGCTACCAGGACACAGCTGTTCCCTCTCAGGTTTGCCCATTTGTCCAGCATCTGGAATACGGCCTAGGCAACTGATGGGCACTTGTAAATACTTGTTAAATAAGAATGCTTGAAAACGAGTAAGTGGCCATATCTCCAGAGAACACCACTGGCTCTGAGGGACTGCTTAGGCCAATTGCAGTTTCTATTTGCCAGCGTGTGATTTTCTGAAAAGCAAGAGAGTCCAGATGGCAGGTAAAGTAAAAACCAATACCTTCCTGCTGGTCAGAAATGAAGGCGCTCCACTGATCAGCAGGGCACACACAAGGCATCAACAGAGATGCCAAAATCAAAATAAGTTGCCCGGGAAATGCAAGCTTGGCTGCCTGTGGCCAGAGGGGAGCTGGGGGAACCCACATGAGTCTCCTCACCTGGCACCCGTCCTCTGGTCTGCTGCTGGATCACTAGGCTGCAGCCGTTCCTTGGGACAGCTCTCCAAAGCTCTCAGGGAAAAACGATATTGGCCACAGAAGAGCAACTCATCCTGGCCTGCTCTGAGAGCCTTGATAACGTGTCTCTGTCCAGGGGCTGCCTTGGACAGCTTCCAAGACAAAGAGTCCCAAGGAAGGAGGACCACGCTTGAGCCCTGGCATAGCTACAAAAAAAAAAAATATCTAACGAGCAGAACCAGACAGTGCCCTTGGTGGCTGCAGGACGGGGATGGTGAAAGCTCTCGACCGACCTCCATGCACTTCTCCCACTGGGGTGGTGTAATAGCTTGGGGGCCATAGCAAAATGCCAGACTGAGCGGCTAAATACAGGCCGGAGACCAGAAGTCCAGGTCGAAGGGATATTGGGACCAGTGTCTAGTGAGGCATCTCCCTTTGGTTTGCAGATGGCTGCTTTCTCTGTGACCTCACATGGCAGACAGAGGGGATCTCTGGTGTCTCTTTCTCTTTTTAGGATCCTAGTCCCATCAGATCAAGGCCCCATCCCATGACCTCTTCTAACCTTAATTATCTAAAGGCCCTACCTCCAAAAACAGTCTCACTGGGAATTAGGGCTTCTACGGGAATTTGCAGGAGACACAGTTCAGTCCATAGCAGGTAGCTCCCTGTATCACCCATGGGCACTCTGACTCTTATTTATTTTCTAGCGAGCAGACCCTTCTCCCCAGTGTCCAAAGAAAAGCCCCCCACTCACATGAGGAAACAGAGGCCTGAGAAAAAGAGGCCAAATGAATTGAGGGCTCAAGTGATGTTGAAGGGTTGACAGTGTAGGTAGGAGGAAGGGCGCCAGACGCAGATAGTGATGTCACTCATGGATTGGTGACACTCTGTGCTGGGAGCTGTGCAAAACCCAAGGGCTGCAAATGGGACCAGGATGCTGTCACCGCCCTGAGGCACTTACTGCTTGAGAGGGAGGCCAATCACAAGGGCCCATCCAGACATCTCCCAGCCCAGTGTTGCCCAGAGACACAGGGGAATCTCCCAGGGTCTGGTCCAAGGCCATGAGACCCCTTAGGAGTAAGTGGGTTGGTTGTACATCTGTTCACTCGGGAAGAGAAGCCAGGAGTCCTCGTGTGAATCCCTGAACATGGCAATGGTAGGCCAGCATCCTCCCGTGGGAAACGAGAGACAGAACACAGCCTGAGCAGGGAAGGCCATGGTCCTACGCACTTTGAAGAAAACTCATGCGAGCAGCCGGAGAGCAGCAGCTCAGACACATCAGGGCTCCCAGCACCAGCAGCAGCAGCCCTGCCTCTCAGGTTGTCCCCTCTCACCCCTCTGGACACCTTGCACACCGCCCGAAGCACAGCCCCACTCCCCAGTGCAAAGGCCAATCTGCCCAGGTGTGCTGCCAGTCAAGGTCAGGGAGGAAGGGCAGGGCGGGGCCTCCTTAGCCAGGCTTGAGGGCTGATATCCTCAACCAGAAACCACTTGCCAGCACGGGCACTGGGCAGCTGCAGCCCACAGTTGGCCAGGCCTGGGTTGAGAGGGTCCTCCGGGACCATGCAGATCAGGCTGGGCTGAAGGACCCACCTGCTTCCTCTCCCCTCTGGAGTGGGCTGTTGCCTGTCCCTGCACCCATTCCCTCTCCAGGCATCAGGCTGGAGCCCCTGTAGTAACAGTGACAGACCACAACTCTCCTCAGAAAAGCTCTGTCCAAGGTGCCTCCACAGCTGCCAGCAAATGCTGGCCAGGGTCTCTCCAGGAGACGTCGGCTCCTCCAAATGAAGACCCCCACACTGCCTCAGGTTTTTAAGCCCCCAAACCCACTTTTATTCTACCTCCTGAGACTCCCAAGAAGCTGAGGGAACAACACACACTGTCCTACTGCATCACCCCCTAGGGACCACATTCCACCCTGGTCACCCCCCTACCAGGGACCACATTCCACCCTGGTCACCCCCCAACCAGGGACCACATTCCACCCCGGTTACCCCATGGGGACTACATTCCAACCTGGTCACACCCCCAAGGACCACATTCTAACCTGGTCACCCCCCTGGGCCACATTCTAACCTGGTCACCACCCCCCACCCAGGGACCACATTCCACCCCAGTCACCTCCATGGGACCACATTCTAACCTGGTCACCCCCCTGGGATCACATTCTAACCTGGTCACACATTCCACCCTGGTCACCCCCCTGGGCCACATTCTAACCTGGCCACCACCCCAGGGACCACATTCCAACCTGGTCACCTCCCAGGGACCACATTCCACCTCGGTCACCTCCCAGGGACCACATTCCACCTCGGTCACCTCCCAGGGACCACATTCCACCTCGGTCACCTCCCTGGGACCACATTCTAACCTGGTCAGCCCCCAAGGGACCACATTCCACCCTGGCCACCCCCGGGGACTATATTCTAACCTGGTCACCCTCCAAAACCTCATCCCTCATCAATCACCACCCCCCCCCCAGGAGCCCACCTCACACTGGTCATCCCCATTAAAGCCCCCATCCCACCACAGTCACCCCCTCCTTAGTCCCCACCCAGACTCTGAGTTGGGCGGTCCCTCTGCCTGATCTCTGCCCACACTCCCTTTCCTTCCTATTCCTCTAATTCTCGTTATTCCTCAACCTCACTGAGACTTCTAGGCCTGGCCCCCCATTGCCTCCCAATTGCCCCCTGTCTTCAATCTCCACTCAGCCCAGCCTAAACTTCATGGAACTTCACTTCAATCTCTTTCTCACCCACACTGAACTCCTATGTGCACCTGTGATGATTTATTTACGTGTCATCTTGACTGGATTATGGGATACCTGGGTAGCTGGCGAAGCATGATTTCTGGGTGTGTCTGTGAGGGTGGTTCCAGGAGAGATTAGCATTTGCATCAGTGGCCTGAGTAAGGAAGACCCACCTCCACCCATGTAAGTGGGCAGCAGTCAATGGACAAAGGGCCCAGAGAGAACAAAGTGGTAGAGGAAAGGAGAATTTGCTCTCTTTCTTATGGAGCTGGGACGGTTTTTTCTCCCTGCCTTTGGACATCAAAACACCAGGCTCTTCAGCCTTTGGACTCTGGGACTTGCACCAGCTCCCCTCAGCCCCACTGGGTTCTCAGGCGTTCTGTCTTGTACAGAGAATTACAGCATCAGCTTCCCTGGCTCTGAGGCTTGCAGACTCAGACTGAGCCACACTACAGGCTTCTGTGGCTCTCCAGCATGCAGACGACCTGTGGTGAGACTTCTCAGCCTCCGTGATCACATGTGCCAATTCTCCTAGTAAACCCCTCTCATCTATCTACAGATAGGGTCGGCCCTCCATATCTGTGGGTTCTGCATCCATGGACTCAATCAACGGCAGATTGAAAATATTTTTAAAAATCGTGTCTGTACTGAAGATGTACAGACTTTTTATCTTGTCATTTTGTTCTAAACAATATAGGATACCAACTATTTACATATTATTTACATTGCATTAGGTATTATAAGTAACCTAGAGATTATTTAAAGTATACAGGAGGATGTGCATAGGTTATACACAAATACTATGCCATTTTATATCAGTCACTTAAACATCTAGGAGTTTTTGTATCTGCAGGAGGTCCTAGAACCAATCCCCTTCAGAAACCAGGGGACAACCAGATAGATAGATAGATGGATAGATAGATATAGATAGATAGATAGATAGATAGATAGATAGATAGATAGATAATGGGTGGATGGATCTATAGATGATAGATAGATAGATTGGATAGATAGATAGATAGATAGATGATAGGTAGATGATAGACAGACAGACAACAGGTAGGTAGATGATAGATAGATAGATAGATAGATAGATAGATAATGAATAGATAGATAATGAATAGATAGATAATAGATGATAGATAATAGATGGGTAGATAGATAATAGATGGATAGATAGATAGGATAATAGATAATAGATGATAGATAGATAATGGATAGATAATGATAGATAACAGATGGATAGATAGAAGATAATAGATAATAGACAGATGATAGATAGATAATGGGTAGCTTGGTAATGGATAGAGAGATAGAGAGAGAGAGAATAGATAGATAATGGATAGAGAGAGATAGATAATGAATAAATAGATAATGGATAGATGATAACAGATAATAGACAGATAATGGTAGATAGATAGATAATAGATGATAGATGATGTATAGACAGATAATAGATAAATAGATGATAGATAAAGATAGATGATAGATGGGTAATAGATCAACAGATGACAGATAATAGAAGATAATAGATGATAGATCAATAATAGATAGATACATAGATGATAAATAGATATAGATTCTATTGGTTCTGTTTCTCTAGAGGACCCTGATGAATACAGCACCATTAGACCCTCTCTGCAAAACTCCAGCTTGGGTCGGAACTGCACTTCCGCCCTCCTGATGCCTCACTGGCTGCTGAGCACTAGGCATTGGTCCAAGGACCCGCTTGAGTCCCATCTCTTGAGGCCTTCTACGTTCCCATGCCTCTGTGCTTTGGGCTGCTCTCTCTCCCATTCCAACACTGGTTCTAATCTCCAGTCCCCTAAGTTCCTTTTTGGAGTCTGAATCCAAGTTTCCAGGAACATAAAAAATAATCTCAAACTAACCAAGCATCCTAGAGGTGGCCTGCTCCCAGGAAACAAGAAGCCTCTAATGAAATAAAGGAAACTTTTCAAAGTGAAAAGAGTTAGAATGTACTTAATGTGCAGATGGTAGACATCCGATAGGAAAACAATGTCAGGGCTAATGATAAGCGGAGGAGGAAGCACTATGCAAATCCTGGTTATTAAAGCCCCTCATTAATCTCAGTGTTATGCACACCACTTGCAAGCCGTGTGTCTGAACTCCGTCAGAAAAATGCACACACGAGCAGTATGGTTTCTGCTGGGATTCTCTTTGGAAAATCAAGGAAAGGTCAAGTTCCAAGCTGGAAGCTATTAGTTATTAGACTTTTGCTTTTCTTTTGGAGGGGATTGATCAATACTGCCTGTTTTTGCAAGGCCTTAGACACGTGGCAAAGCTTCCCATTATCACAAGCATATGGGTTGGACCTCATGTCACAGGTGTGGCATGCGGGGCTGGGTTCTTGACATTCTGATTCAGGAGATGAGCAACCTACAGAAAGGGAAGTGAGTTGTGTAAGATCAAACAGCTGGTTCACCTGAAGGCAAGCCTAGGATGGGGCAGCGTCCACTGATTCTCTAAAGTCCTCTCTCCAGATAAGAATACTAGTGACAACACCCCAAGGTGCCTGACACCTCCTCTGGGGCCTGCCAAACACTACCCAGGGTTTCTCCGTCCCCACACTGTTGACAGTGTGGACCGGATGGTCCTGCACTCTGGGGCTGGCCTGTGCACTATTGGCAATCCTGGCCTCTACCTACTAAGTGCTCATATTCCTCCACTCCCTAGGTGTTGTGACAACCAAAAGTGTCTCCAGACATGGCCAAATGTCCCCTCGGGGGAGTTCTTGCCACTTAGAAATGCCACTTTACCTGTAAGCCCATTTTGATCATAACCCCTCATTACTCTTTTCATGAGAACAAAACTGCCCTGAGACACGAAGAAATATACTCAGAGAAGTATCCTTGATTTCTGTGGGCAGACTTCTCTGAATTTGATAATGAACTTGAATCAGTGGAAAAGTGGGGTAGGGAAAAGGGATAAATTCAGAACCATAGCTCAATGGTGACAATCAGAAACGGCCATGGTAACTTTCTCCACATCCCACCCAACAAGACAGACCAGCAGATGAGCAATACTGAGTGCATCACTCAGCATCACCCAGACCTGAGGGAATGGCCCAGCCCAGGGCCTCAGCTGATGGTCTTCAGTACTTCAAGCAGAACAAGGGCACCATTCCTCCTGCCCTCTCCCAGCAGCTGTGCCTGGAGCCAGCAGCTGTGCCTGGCTGTGCCTGGAGCCAGCGGCTGGATGGGACAGAGCCCTGGCTGGGACCCAGCAGTGCCTTCCTCTAGGACACAAGCTTGTAGCAGGAGGGTGCATGGAGGGCACATGGGTGCATGGTGGGTGCTCAGTGAGGCCCCTGAAGCAGAAGCCAAAAAGAGTCCTACCACCATATTCCCTCATGGAAAGTGTGGAAGGCCAGCTGCCTTCCCTTATGGGAAAGCATGTGTGTTTGTGTGTGTGAGTACTCCCTTGATATGGTCTGCCTTTGTGTACCCACCGAAATCTCATCTTGAATTGTAATCCCATAATCCCCATGTGTCATGGGAGGGACCCAGTTGGAGGTCATTGAATCATGGGGGTGGTTTCCCCCATGCTGTTCTCATGATAGTGAGTGAGTTCTCATGAGATCTGATGGTTTTATAAGCGTCTGGCATTTCACCAATGAGTGGCATTGGCACTCATTCTCTCTCCTGCTGCACTGTGAAGAGGTGCCTGTTGCCAAGAGTATAAGTTTCCTGAGGCCTCCCAGGCCATCCAGAACTGTGAGTCAATTAAACCTCTTTTCTTTATAAATTACCCAGTCTGGGTATTTTTTCATAGCAGCATGAGAACAGACTAATACATCCCCCATCCAGAAGTTAGCTTTGTATTTCCAGAAACCAAAACTTCCAGGAAGCACTCACTGCTTCCTTTGCCAAACTTCTGGACAGGTTGTTCTCTACATCTTGTGCTCAGGCCAGCCATGCAAAGATAAACAGCATATGGCCTCTGTTTTCCAGGATGCCATGGTCCAGTGCGAGAACACATGTCCAAAAGTTGTCTTTTCTTCTGCACGTGGGTGACGGGAGGCATGCAGGAGGTATGCATGCACACTTGGAGAACAGCATTGTGCTGTCATTTGCTGCCACCCACCAGACCGCATCCTTGAGTCAGACCAATCTTATTGCCCTCTCAGGCCATTTTGTCTTCTCTGTTGCTAAAATGCAGAAGGAATTCTCCTGCTTCAGTTGTCACAACATTCACAACATTGCAGGCATGGCCAATCTAATCTACAGGAACCACCAGAGAATGAAATTCCATGGCCATTCAAACGGATTCCAGAGCTCAGTATCATTGCTCCTGTCAGTGTCCCTGCAAAGGGGTTTCTTACCAGGCCTTGAAAAGCAGCCACTGTGAGAAGAGGAGCACGATGTGCTGGGAGCATGTCCATCCTTCACAGACAGCAGGGGAGGGGTCTTGAGGGGTCCCCTGACCCAGCCCCACTGCTGTCCTTACCTGGGTGTCTCAGGGTACCTGCTACCCTTCACCAGATGTTTATTCCACATACAAGTCCTGGTCCCATGATGCTCCAGGGGCTATGCCAAGACTCCAAAATTAATAAGACAGAGTCCTCCTCTGACCTCACTACTGCCCTGGGTGATGCCCCCGGCTTCCAAGCAATCATCATCAGAGATGATCGTTTTCCCATTGCGTTGAGTATTTTCTTTCCCCCTCTTCCCACCTAAACTCCCAGCTCGGTGAGATAAGGGACCCTCCCTGTAACCCTAACTCCTATCACAGGGCATGTGGGGCTTAATCACTGTTAATCAAATGAATAAGTGATATATTGTCATCCTTCTCACTGAATTATCAAGTCAAACAAGCAGATGTCTAAAATAATTGTGTAAACGGCCTTGTAACCGGGGCTCTGCAGGGAAGAGCAGGACTCAGTGAGGATGTATAACAGGGATCTACACCTGCCTGGGTCTGGGAGAGGTTTGTCTGAGAGAGCAGCCTTCACCGGAGCCATACGGAAAGTGTAGGAGTTCACTGGAGGAAGCCACATGGGCTGGGGACAGGATGGAGAGAGCAGTCCAGGACAAGAGAACGCATGAAAGAGATTTGATTCCATCTGAAGAGTGATGGAAAGCCATCGAGAGACTCTGAACCAGGGAGGGCCCTGGGAGACTCAGAACCATGTGCCCTCTTGCCTTGGGAGGTGGGCGTCTCTCCCTGCAGGCTACCCCAGTCCAGGCAGACAGGGCAGAACTGGAAGAATCAGCTTCACTCACCATGCAACCCTGTGCCCCACTACCTGTGCTTCCCAGGTGTCATATCAAGCCAGCTGGTTGTGAAATGTCCTAGGTCAGGCAGAGTGACAATTTCACCCCAACTGAGTCCGCTCCAAAGCAGTCAGGACAGCAAATCTGCTTTCTCAATCACCACCCTGAGGCTCTGTAAGAAAGAGGCCAGCTTCTCAGCTTGCTGGTTCTTGCCTTTTAATTGCTTTTACTTCATCTGGCCGCCCTACCCTGAACATACCTTTAAAAGGTGTCAAAGCCTCTACTCCTAACCTGCTCATATACACAATGCCCCGGCTCTCAACCTCCAGCTGCGCAAGGCATGTGCATTATCTTCAGCACCTGTCACTTTCACAGGGACATGAGCCATTGAAGGATTGATTTGGAAACCAAAATCAGCTTGGGGAAAGGGCAATTAAACTGTGGATGACGGTTTGTTGCATGTTTTCTTGCACCTGTGGATTTGGTATAGCTTCATTCGATCCACAAATTTGAGAGTGCAAAGAGAGACTGTGCTCATTCAGACCTTAGCATTTTGATCTGAATGAAACCAACATGATGCAGGGAAAAAACCCTCATGGGTCATACCTAGCTAGTGAAGAAACTGCCCAGTTATGCTTTTTCAGTGACCAACCAAAGGGACAGTAGAGAAGAGGCCACTCCAGGAACCAGCTGGGGAACTCTGTCCTCCCAGCTGTTTCCCCAGGTAGGTTTTCGCATAGCTGTCTTGAGTCTGGTGGCTTCTGTTGGCTAAAAATTAAGGATAAACTTTAAAACACAGTAGTGTTACACTTTATGGTACTGATTGTGTTGGGGTGGAGTTAGAAGTGGTCCAGATACCCAAGAATTAATAGCATAGTATGAATTCTGGATTCTTATCCCAACAAGGGTCACTTTTCACTCATGCAGAAGGTGTTGCTCTTTGAGTAGCTCTCTTCCTGCACGAGGCTCACTTATCTAAAGACGTGGCTTCCTGGTGGCCACAGAAAGGACAGAAAGGGTTGAAGAGTGAATTAGCACTTGTACTGCCTCAGCTCAGAAGTAACACACACCCCAGTCCTCTGGTTACTTGCACAGCCCCACCTAAATGTAAGCAGCTAGGAAGCTGGTCTTCCCTGTACCCAGGAAGTCGAGGAGTACGGGAGATGGTTAACACCGTGAAGGACTGCAATGGTATCGAGAGGCTGACTCACAGAGTGAACATGCTCTTAAAAATACACATCAGGTACCTACTACTGCATAACAAACCACCCACAAATTTGGTTGTTTAGAGCAACAGCCATTTCTCAAATTCACAATTCTGCAAATTAGCAATTTAGCTCAATGAGCCGGTTCTGGTTTTGCCTGGGCTGCTTCCTGCATCTGCAGTTAGCTGCAGATCAGCTAGATGGTTCTGCTGCTGGCATTGGCTGGCTGTTGGCTATGGTGATGGGAATGACTGGGCCACTTGTCTTACCTGCTCCTGCTCTCGTAGTGAAGGCAGGGATCCCTGAGGGAGAGCAGAAACACACAAGCCTCCTTAAGGCCTAGGTTCAGAAGTAGCATGCCATCACTTCCACCATTTTCTATTGGCCAAGGCAAGTCATAAGATCAGCCCAGATTCATAGACTCCATCTGCTGATGGGAAGAGGTGCAAAGGCACATTGCAAAGTTCCTGGACACAGTGAGGCCATTAACTGGGGCTGTCAATGCAATCTACTATGGCATAGGATTCCAAAACAGTCTTCTGTGATCAGGGTACCGTGGACTGCTCAGGACAGCTGAAGCACAATTGTGAGACGTCGTGCAGTGAAAATCAAGACTGAAGAGTGAGGCTGTGACTGACACAGGGAGGACCTTCTGTGCTTCACCAGTTCAAGATTTTCACCTGCATTGTCCCTTCTTCCCAAGGCTCCCTGTAACACCATCGCTGATTGCCATTTGATGGTCTGCTTGAAGCCATTTCTCCTTTCATCACCCATTTGACCCAATAAGACCCAAGACCACTTCTAGCTGGCTCTGAACAGAGATGGGTCATCTTCCTAGAAACAGTCACTAGGACAATGCATTGTCACTTGTCCCTCTCATGAAACAACACTGTTTTCAGTGTTGGCCTTAAAAGCCAGAAGTGGGCCAGGCACAAGAGCTCACACCTGTAATCCCAGCATTTTGGAAGGCCGAGGCCCGAGGATCACCTAAGGTCAGGAGTTCGAGACCAGCCTGGCCAACACGGTGAAACCCCATCTCTACTAAAAATACAAAAATTATCTGGGCATGGTGGCACTCCTGTAATCCCAGCTACTCGGGAGGCTGAGACAGGAGAATCATTTGAACCCAGGAGGCAGGGTTTGCAGTGAGCTAAGATTGTGCCACTACACTCCAGCCTGGGCAATAGAGCAAGATTCTGTCTCAGAAAAAAAAAAAAAAAAGCCAGAAGTGACGCTAGAAACTCTCTTATCCAATTGCTTTCCTTCACAAGGAAGGAAACTGAGTCCTCGAGAGGGGAACTAACCCACCCAAAGTCACAAGGCCACCTGCACCTGGATCTTCTGTCTTGTTACCCACAGCCTTTTCCACACCCCTGCTTGGCCCAGAAAGAATCATTCTGCTGTCTGCCTGACATCTTGGAAGTGAATGCCCCAGCCGGCCCCATTACTCAGTGCCGGAGCGTGCTCTTCAGCATGAGCTGTCTGCAAACTGTTCACCCTCTATTCCTGCAGCAAACCCTGTCATTCTGCTAATGCTGGATGATCAAAACCACAGGCTCTGCTGCTCTGACTGACAGGCTGGAGACGAGCCATGAGCAATGCAGCCTGTCGGGGTCACGGCCCATACAGCCCATCGGCCAGGCAGCGGGTGTTCAGGCCAAAACTCCACGACCTTCTGTCTCCGTGCAGCCGAATGTCAGCCAGTGTTTATCCAGGCTCAAGCTAGGGAGGCCAGTCTCCAGACAAGGGGATCCTGGTTCAGGAGGCTATGGAGTCTTGCTGTACCTCCATCCAAAAGTCCCTGCTTCCTGAGTATCGATGCCTCTGAGCAGCACCCACTGTACATGGCCATTTATGATACTGAGCAGTATCTCCAGCACCCTGGGAATCTGTGATGCTCAATGTTACTCCTCAGCATCTTGGGCATCTATGATGTTGAGTGGTACCCCCTCCAGCATCCTGAACATTTATCATGCTGAGTGGCACCCCCATTATCATGGGCATCCTGAACATTTGTAGTGCTGAATTGTAGCCCATCCAGCATCCTGGGCATCTATGATGTTGAGTGGCAACCCCACAATCCTGGGCATCTGATGCTAAGTGGTACCCCCTCCAGCATCCTGAACATTTATGATGCTGAGTAGCACCCCCACTATCCTGGGCATCTATGATGCTGAGTGGTGCCACCTTCAGCATCCTGAACATTCATAATGCTGAGTTATACCCCCTCCAGCATCCTGGGCATCTGTGATGATGAGTGGTACCTCCCTGAGCATCCTGGGCATCTATGATGCTGATTGATGTCCCCAGCATCCCGGGCATCTATGATGCTGATTGATGTCCCCAGCATCCCGGGCATCTATGATGCTGATTGATGTCCCCAGCATCCCGGGGCATCTATGATGCTGAGTTGTACCCCCATTATCCTGGCCATTCACAATGCTGAGTGTTACCCCCAGCCTGTGGGGTACTTGTGACACTGCTGCATATCTACAGATTTGTGTGTCTGTGTTCTCACTGGGCCATGAGCTCCCTGACAAAAGAAACTGTTGGACTCCTCCTCGTATCATCAGTGCCGAAACCATGCGTCCCTTTGGCAGACGCACACTGAAGGCACGGTGCATGAATGAATGAATGCATGCATGATGCTTGAAGAGCTAAGCTGGAGATCATGGTGTCCTCAGGCCCAGTGTTTACATCCAGCTTCTTCCCTCATGGGAGAGAAGCATAAGGATTGGAACTAGTTCCCAAATCTGGCTCTATATCTGAGCTCGTTGGAGGGCTTTGTAAAATAGTTTCCCAGAAACTTCCCTAAACTTACAGAATCAGATCTGTAGGAGTGCAGACCCCAGAATCTGTAGTTTGAGAAGATTCCCCAGGGAGATGTTCTCAGGCAGGGCCATGGAGCGGCCCTTGGGAAGCCTGGGGACAGCATTGAGCATGCTCCTGCCGCAGCTCAAGCAAGAGAAAACTGGGCTTGGGTCAATGAGAGGCCAGCCATCCCCCAGGGCAATGGCTCCCAGCCGTGGCTCCACAGACCCTGGGGTGAACACTATAGTATAGACAGACAGACAGCACCTGCACTGGGCTGCGTCTGACTCCAAGGCAGGTCTTGTTTTCTCCATCGAGCACTCAACAACATCCAGCAGTGAGAGGAATCAGACCACAGGCCTCACAGTTGCAATCGGCACCGTGACCAGTAGAAGTAGACCTCTCTTTGAGCACAGCTAAATTTGAAAATACATCTCCACGGCAGAAAGAATTCAGTCTATGATGGAGGCTTGGCCTGGGAGGTGGAGTCGCACAGTAGCTGAGAGTACGGAGCTTTAGGATCAAACCTCCCTGATTCCAAGTCCCGGCACGACTGTTTACCAGCCCTGTGACCTTGAGCAAGTCACACAGCCCAGGGCAAGTCACAGGACCTCTCTCAAACTCGGTTTCCTCCTCTATAAAATGAAGTTAATGCTCAGCCCCACAGCCTGGGCTGCTGTGAGGACAGGAAGGGATGAACCCACAGGGCACAGCAGCAGGGGGCTAACAGCATCTTCCTACACACGGAGCACTTAAAACAGGGGCATGTGCATGCGTGGAGTTTGCAAGGACACATCTGCTGTGTATGCTGACACACACTCGTGTGCACTGTGTGTGGTGGAGAGCGTGCCCCCCAGCCAGGAGCCCAGCACACAATCGCCAAGCAGCCTCAAATTCACCAACCAGATTCCAAACCAGCCAGGAAAGAAAAGGGGTTCTGAATGGGCTCAAATGCCTGGTCCATCCATGGCATCAGACAAAGGCCCGGCGTGATCTTGGCTCTGCCGACTCTGTTTGTGCCACTGACTCGCCCTCCTCTGTCTTCTTTGGGCCAGAGTCCCTCTCCATGGTGACCAGTTCCCTGGGGGAAGTTTCAGGCCCACCTTTTGTTCTCCTCCTCCTGTTTCTGGCTCACACAATGAGCTCACCTCCAGCATGAAGGGAGTACCTCAAGCTGCCCTGACAAATCTCCCTCTGCAGGCCAGCCTGGCTCCAAACATCATCCCCACACTCCCGCTTCCTTCAAAGCCAGTGCGGTTGCTCTGCGGATGATCCCAGCTCCAAAGACAGATCTGGGCAGAACTACACAGGAAGGAGAGATGGAGAAGGTTCTGGATACCAAGGCCTGGCAAAAGCTCTGGGACAGCTTCGCAGCTCAAAAATGCCTTCCTTCCTTTCTTCCTTCCTTCCTTCCTTTCCTTTCTTTCTTTCTTTTTCTTTCTTTCTTTCTTCCCTTCTTTTTCTTTCTTTTTCCTTCTTTCTTTCTTCCTCCTTCTTTCTTTCTTTCTTCCTTCCTTCCTTCTTTCCTTTTCTTTTTGAGACAAGGTCTTTCTATGCTGTCCAGGCTGTTCTCAAACTCCCAGGCTCAAGCAATCCTCCTGCCCATCCTCCCAAGTAGCTGCGATTATAAGCATGCACCACTGCACCCAGCTTTCAGAAACGCATTTCTAGCCAGGCACTGTGGCTGATGCCTGTAATCCCAACACTTTGGGAGGCTAAGGTGGTTGGATCACTCAAGCTCAGGAGTTTGAGACCAGCCTGAATAACGTAGGGAGTCCCCATCTCTATAAATGATTTTAAAATTGGCCAGGCATGGTGGCACAGGCCTGTGGTCCCAGCTACTTGGAGACTGTGGCAGGAGGATCACCTGAGCCCATGAGATTGAGGTTGCAGTAAGACATGATCACACCAGTACACTCCAGCCTGGATGACAGAGTGAGACCCTGTCTCAAGAAAAAAATACATTTCTGGCAACCTGCACATTAGCAACAGCGTGTGGTGAGCCTGAGTCTGCCCTCTTACCTCTGCCAGATTATACACTGGTACAGGATGCTGTATGATGGCTGTGGGTACATGCTGGACTACAGGTCACTAACCGGCTACAGAGAAGCCAGGATGTTTGTCAGGAAGCACCCTTACCTTCAGTAGCTGGTGTCAAGGAGACAGCTGCACTTCTGTTCTAGGTTGGTGCAAAAGTAATTGCAGTTATTGCCATTATTTTCAATGGCAAAAACAGCAATTACTTTTGCACCAACCTAATAGCAGACTCCAGCACAGACAGAGTCTTGGGGGCTGCCGGTTGGCCTGGCTAACCTGATGGTGCCAAGGTCTGATGGGGGCTGCTGCTCTGCTGCTCACTCATCCTTGCATTTCTGCCTCAGGAAATACCCAGGAGTAGGGAATAGAAACTTTGTCTGGAGTCCCACACCTGCCTCCTCACCCCGCCTCAGGCTTTGGTTCCTTTTTCCATGGTCCACCATCAAGCTCACTCAACAAACACAGGGTACTTAGGAAATCATTGACAATGGTGGTTTTGGCCTTGCTTTCTGCAAGTAACAGCAGCAGCCTCTACGGTGAAGCATCTCCTGCGATCATGCGAAGATCCTCCTAGGGTCATGCTAAGAGGTCATACTAAGTCCTCATTCCACCTGCAGATATTATTTATTACTGGCCAGGCATGTGGCTCATGCCTGTAATCTCAGCACTTTGGGAGGCTGAGGCAGGCAGATCACCTGAAGTCAGGAGTTCAAGACCAGCCTGACCAACATGGCGAAACCCCATCTCTACTAAAATACAAAAATTAGCCAGGCGTGTTGGCATGCACCTGTAGTCCCAGCTATTTCGGAGGCTGAGGCAGGAGGATCACTTGAACCCGGGAGGCGGAGGTTGCAGTGAGCCAAAATTGCACCACTGCATTCCAGACTGGGTGGCAGAACGAGACTCTGTCTCCAAAAAAAAAAAGATATTATTTATTACTTATTTTATCAGAAAGAAAACTGAGGCTCCAAGAGGTCACTGAAGTCAAACCACCCCAAAATTTAGAGTCTTAAACATCCATGTTTATTAGCTCATGATTCTTGGCTTGGCCCCCTTGGCTTTTCCTCAATTCACCAGGGCTGTAAATGGCTGAGCACAAACTTGAACCACTAACCCCAAAGCCCATGCCCCTCTCCCCTACCCCATCCCACTTCCTAAGTCCTCCTCTTCAAGACTGAAAGAGCCTTATCCCACCCATTCATTTTCTACCTGAGGGGCCCGTGGCCCAGTGAAATGATGCACAGGATGTCTCAAGTTTGCACCTAAATCTGGGTTTGAAATGACAACAACACCCCTTGGTCCATGTCCTTCCCCTGGTCATCGCATCTTTATTTGTCAATGTATTACCCTGATGGGCCTTTGTGCTCTGACACCGCCACCATCTTCCCCAGTGGCAGGGAGATCCAGGAGCCAACGACAGGTCCTTTAAAGACCCTGGTGTGAAGACAATTGCTCCCTGGACCATCTGTTTCCTTCTGTGACTAAACTCACCACCAGTGCACCGGATTGAGTGCTGTGGATCTGTGCAGAGAAGGGTTCTCAGAGGTGAACGGGATTGGCTGGGAGGAGAGACGGAGAATCCTGGCATGTGGCACAGAGCCCGAAATAAACACCACGTCAACATCAAAGGTTCTCAATAAAACACTTCCTGGGCTCCTTGGTCACAGGGCAGTTCCATGGGGTTCAGAAGTAACTCTTCCTTCTCAGTATGTGGAGCTGCCTACCACAACCCCCCCACCTCCAATCGCCTCCTTCTCCCATCTCCTCTGGCAAGCCAGCCTGAAAAGTGCTGAGGAGACCCTCAGCTCCTATGTCCTCCAATCAGCCCCCTCTGCTTGGCCCATGTCATCTGTCCAGCTCAGAGTTCGGGGGACACCTGACACAGGCCACTCTGTGCCAGCCTTCATGCACTCAGCTGCCCTCTCCACTGGCCTGGTCCACCCCACACTGTCACTCAGCTGCCTCCACGGTGACCGTTTCCTAGGGAGAATAACAGGTTCTCTTTCATTCTTGTCCTTACTTGTCTTACTATTTATGGATGCACAATGACTCTCTCCAGCAAGAAGGACCCCCCTGCGGGTGCTTCAGCTTCTTCTGAATGTTCCCTTTTTCCGTGCTTTACCTGCATGTGTGTTGCACGTGCTTCTTCCAAGGAGCTATGTGTGGTCCAAAGAGGGGAACAGTTGGATCCATGTCTGTTCTGTTTGCCTTCATGCCACATTCTCCGAAGTTGACTTCTGAATCTGAAGAGTCTGCACTTTTGAAGATTCTTTTTGGGGAAGGGTTTGACACAACACCCGCTCTTTGCCCCATGCAATATAAAAAAAAGAAAGTGCGCCATGCAGAGATGACCGTGTGATCCCAAATCCTAGAATTCTTGTCCATTTTATCAGCAAAAGATTGGGGAACCTGCCCTTGTTGGTCACAAGGCACTAACTGCCTGAAACTCCGAGCTGAGATGTGTTTCATGTGACTGTTTACTTCTCAAGCATGTGAGTTCAATGTTGTATCCATACGAGTGGCCAGCTTTCCCTGCGCGGTGACAGGCAGACCCAGGCTGCCTTCCTCTGTAGATTCACCATTCTCAGGACCTTGGAACTCCTGCCTCCAGCTTAGGGGAGAACAAGGAGAGTGGAAACACCCAAAGCTGTTTTGAATAGCCTTGACCTGGAAGGGAGAAACATCCTACTCAGGGTCAACTGAAAAGAATTAGTTTCCCAGGCACAAGGGACCCAAGGAGGCCCAAGGAAGGTGTCTTCAGATGAGATGGCTACTTCCCAGGGCCAATTCAGCACTGGGGAAGGGAGAGAGAGGACATGCATTTTTGTGGTCTCTGCCACAGAGTTACCTGCAAATCTTGCTTACAATACAGAGTGGAAATATGGCCTGGGACCTTCCCAGTGCAAACCACAGATCTTGATTTTCATGGAGTTACAACCGGACCCTGTGCAGCCCATTGACTGGGTGCTGCCCAGTGAGGACTCACCTGCCTGACCAAGAAGCCCACTGGGGTTCATCGCCCAGGGCCTGCCTCGGTAGGGATCCTGCCCACCCTCATTTACCTGGTGCCAGGCTGGTCCAAGGCACACCCAGGGCTGGCTAGGCATATGCACTCCCTGGAGGCCTCTGCAGACTCGTGCTCAGTGACCACAAGCTCCAGATGACACTGCTGAAATCCAGCCTTTGATTCCCTGATTCAAGTTCATGGCCTGATCCAGGCCCAGGAAGAATCCACCTGACCCTTCCCCTTCTTCCCTTCCTCAGGGTCCCATCATCTCACCTTTCTGGTGCCTTGTCCTTTTTGTTTGTCATTTGGTCACACTTTCCTCTCACACATTCCCCCAAAATATCAAGCACCATGTGGAAAATCTGAAAGGCGTATCCTCATCGAGAACCTCCCAGCCTTGGGGTTGTGTTCTTGGCCAGAGCACCTCAATTTCCTCCCTCCTTGGGGCAGGCTCCCGACACCTTGTCCCCACCCTCTTTGTACCCACGTAACTTCATGCAGAACATTCTGGCTGTGTTGGGAATGAGAAGCAAATGGCTAAAGTAAGACAGTCGGTGGAAGACTGCACCCAAGTTCTTCCTGTGCTTAATAAAGCTGATTTTTTTTCCTTGCTTGAGCAATAATTGTGTATTGACTAAAGTTTTTCACATGCAGAAAAGTAGGTTACAAAATAAGAAATATATATATTAACTCTAATCCCACCAGGAAAATGTTGATACACTTACTTCTTTACCTTTTGTCTTTTTGGTATGGGTGGCTTTGTTTTAATGTACTGGAAATCATAATGCTGGTAGGATTTTAAAGCATATTACACTTAATATTGTGCTGTGGGCGTGTTACATTCGGTTCTATCATCCTTGGCCACTTATTTTGAGGGATTTCATAATATTCCATGGAGTGGGATTCTATGACTTAGCTACATCTGTCCAGTTTCAGTCAAGAAAACAGAGAAGCCACTCCAGGTATTCCAGCAGGAGGGTTTTCATACAGGAAATTTGGGGCTAAAATAACTGTTGAAGGGGCTGCAGGTGGAAGGTCAGGGAGACCACCACCCCTCTTGGCTTCCTGCAGCAGGGAAGTGGATGGTTTGTGGGGGCCCTCTGGGAAGCCCCTGCAGACCTCACATTCACTGTCTGCCAGCAGCTACTGCTGAGGGCGGAGCCTCCTGCATCTCATGTGGGTGCCTCTCCTGGGCAGATGGTAATCCAGGACCATGGAGGAGGGGGTGCCAGGAAACGCAGCTCCAGGCTATCCCCGCGAGGGTGCAGAGGAGCATGTGGACAGGATGGCAGCAGAGCCCAGTTGACCAATGCCCCTCCTTCATGTGGCCCATTCTCTACTGTTGGACTTGTTGTTTCCTAATGTTCGCTGAATTTCTCTCTCCCACAATACCATCAGGAGTATTTCTCTGGGGGAGTCCCGGTCTCCTTGGTGAGCTTCCATCACTGGAATGCATGCCTCCTTATCATGGAGGATTCCCAGAGGAACCCCTGTTTTCTCTGGTCCTCAGGGAGCCAGCATTCTTGTTCCTGGTGTAGGTGTGCCTAGCAGGTGGGTCCTTAGAGGCAGATCCCAGGAGCACAAAAAGGGACAGGTCCAGGAACCCAAAAGTGTGAATAGCGCCCTCTCTCCCTTCCCTATTTCCCACATCCATAGAAAGCCCATCTGAGGTCAGAGAAAAGACATCCTTGCATGACAGGCAGCGTGGGAGAAGCAGCTGCAGGTTTCTTGGATGCTATTGCCTGGGACCGGCAGTCCTTTCGGCTTGGGATGTTCAGGGTCTCTGCAAACACAGAAAACTCACTGTGAATCGCTGCTCCGTAGATGAATGCAGCAGCCCACAGAAGAGCATTTTTGGGGCTCTTCATTCAACTGTTTAAGTTCATTGCAAAGAAGGGAGAGAAGGTGAAGTTGCAGGAGAGGAAAAAGGCTGACCAGGGCTGGGCAGGTCTACAGTGCAGGTTTCACGGTGTCCTTCCCACAAGGTGTCTACCGTATGGCCCAATCTGACCAGTGGGCAGAAAAGTCTATGAGGGCTGAATAGTCTCAGTATTCACCAGTCTTCAAAGGCTGCACTTTGCTCTGAGAATTAAACCAAAACTCCAGACTCCAAGGCTCTGTGTGAACTGGCTCCTGCCCAGCTCACCCACCTTGTCTCCTGCCACTTTTCCTGGGGTCTAGACGCTCTGGCATGTCCCCAGTTCCTCAGACCCATGGATTCATTGGCACTGTCTCCCACAGATGCTCCTCCTTCAGCCTGGACCGTCTTCTACCGGTCACTTCATTGCTGTCCTTGGCACTGTCTGCCAAGTCTCTGCAGTAAGGTGCCTTCTCTCATGGCCTTCCCCTCCAACCCTGTCTCAAGCAGCCTCCACCCCCAGCAATTTCCTCTTTTGCCACCTCTGTGTTTCCTTCGTTCACAAAATGGGTAATTCCTCTGCTTTTCTAACTTCCCTTTGGGTTGTGTGTCTGTCTTCCCTTCATGACCGTAAGCTGCAGGAGAGCTCAGGTCTTGCTTGTTCTGTTTCTTTTGGACTCTCTAGCTCTCAACCATCCCCAGCTCAGAAAACATCCTTACACAGAAAGGATGGAGATGTGTTTGCCCCCTAGGCAGCAGCCAGCACAAGATATGCCGTCTGATTCAAAACATAAGAGGTGAAATATTTGGGGTTCTGCTTCCTGGGGTGAGTCTGGTGTGCTCAAGGTTAACAGAATGACGTAGCCACTGGTGTGGATTGAATTGTGTCCCCTTGGGGAAAAAAAATATCATATGTCAAGGTCCTAATTCCCAGCACTTCAAAACGTGACTTTATTTGGAAATAGAGTCATTGCAACGTAATTAGTTAAAACAAAGTTGTTTTGGAGTAGGGTGAGCCCTGATCCAATATGACCAGCACCTTTATAAAAAGGGGAAATTCAGACACAGACACGCAAACCTGGAGAACACCATGTGAACATCGAGGCGAGATTCGAGCAATGTGTCCACAACCGAGGAACACCAAGGACTGCCAGCGACCCCCCGAGCTGGAGAGAGGCTTGGAACAGAGCCTGCCTCACAGCCTCAGAAGGAAACGACCCCTGCCCACACCTTGATCTTGGACTTCTAGCCTCCAGAACTGTGAGCAATAAACTGTTAATTAACCACCTCCCCGCACCCCCGCTGTTTGTGTTACTTTGTAAGGCAGCCCTTGCAAACTCACAGAACCCTGTTATTCCCGACATCTGGGAGCACATCAGCTCTGGGCAGCTCCACTCTGGGTCCAAGGTCAGGACTCCCCGTCACAGCCCAGGCCTTATGGAGAGAGGTCAGGACTCCTGTGAGGCAGCACACCGGTGCTGCCCCGCCACCTGCCCTACCCTCTTACCCTCTCCACAAACTGGATCCTGTTGCCAGGCTGTCTCCCACCTGCCACTCCAGAAATGCAGAGAATCGAGAGTGATAGCCTCAAGGCAATCCCAGCCCTAGGTTCCAGAGTAGGGGTGAGCAGAAAGGAAAACAGGGCTGGGTCTCTGAGAGGGAGGCGGGGCTCACCCAGAGGGCCAGCCTTGGCGCTATGCCAGGTCCTCAGCCCGTTTTCATCCATCTACATTATCTCTGGCATGGAGAGAGACCGGGCTGCCTCCCAGACCACGGACAGAAGCTGCTGACTCCTGTAACCTCGCCCACTTCCTGTGCAAACTGCTAACGGCAGCACATTGCCGACAATCGTCCCTGCTGTGCCTGTGGAGGCTGCCCTCCAGCAGATGCTGCTTTCATTCTGGCTGGAAGTGACTGTCTGGCTTGAGTGGGGCATCTCTCCAAGCCATAACCCCATTCCAGAAATGTGATCACATCTCTAAAAGTGGGGCCTGGCAACTGGAGAAGGTGAAGTGAAAAGGAAGGGCAACATTTAGTGCCATGAGGTGTGGACGTGTGAGGAAGGCTTTCCCCAGGTGGGGTGGGAGTGGGCTGGGGGCAGCCAGGTCTGGGGTCTGCAAGTCTCTTTCCAAGTCCTGTTCAGAGGTGGGATCTGGGCAGGATGTCCAGGTGTCGGCAGCAAGGTCAGAGGCCCTGGCTCTCATTCCTTCCAATGTTATGGGAAACCAGTTTCCTACATGAGCAGGGATGGAGGTCAAGAGCCACAACTGCCTTTAACATGAGAAGCAGTGCCGAGGGTGTAATAAGCTCTGGGAACATGACCCAGTACAGCACCCATGTCCTCCTCACCCCGGAAGCCCTTGTGAGCCTCTCCCGGATGCTTGGCAGGAAGACCTCACTCCCCGGCACTCCTGGCCCTCACCTGGGTATGTCCTACGGCCCTCTCCTAATTCCACCATGAGACCAGGAGCCACAGGACAATGACAGCCACAATGGTGATAACCATGATACTTAATCCATCAACAAAAATTGCCAGAGTGCCTAATTAACACCGGACTTCACTCAAAGCCCGGGGATGCAGCAATGGATGGGACAGACACGCTTCCTGTTCTCCCATAGGTGACATTCTAATAGAACTGAGGATAATATCAATAACAGCTGGCTTTCTGGAGCCCTTGCTGTGTGTGAGGCATTGTATTTATAAGTACTTTAACTGCATGATCTCTGTTAATCTTCAAAACCACCTTATGAAGTGAGGGGTACGATTATCACCCCCATTTTACAAGTGAGGAAGTTGGCACACAGAAGTTAGGAGATTGGCCCCAGGTTGTACGCCAAGGATAGCTGGGAGAGAAAAAGGCTAGAATCCCAATTAATTGTTGGGTTATCACCTCTACCAACTGGTAACATGTCATTCTCCTCGTAGCCTCTATCCCACCTTCACAGAGAGAGGTTTTGGGCATGTTTAGAGAATCAACAGCAGTCCTCACCCTGGCCGTGGGTTTTGGTGTAAGTGTCTGGGGCTGGCACAGCCCCTCCTGAGGGAAGAGTAGCCCATTGGCTTCCCACCCGAGGATCAGGGCTAAGGCCCAGCCTAGCTATAGAAGCAGAGAAGGCTGGCATTGGGGCTACAGCAGAGATCCATACTCCGTAAGCATTTTACACATTCCCTCTGAGGAGCTTCTACAGACATTTGGGCTGATAAACCTGAAATCTCTAGAAAGCATCTAATTAATGCGTCTTCCCAAGTAGAATGTTTTAGTAATTGCTGTTCAAGCAACAGAAAAGTTGAGAAAGCTTTTATTACAAGTGCTGCAGGGACAGATAGAGATCCACACGGCTGCTTCTCGCAGGCACTGGCTCTCTCTCCCGCAACCTATTGACATCCATTAACATTCTTCCAGCTAAAAAAAAATGCATCTTATTCTAACACTCTCCGTAGGCAGGAAGCTGGGCATTGAATTACTGAGCCTGAGTAATTGCCCGTAGGCATTGTGATGGAAAATGGCAGAAATCGCAATGAGTCACAGGGTGTTGGAAAGGTAACTGTTTGGTGACGATAATTCTTCAAGGATAATTTCATTAATGGAAGTGGGAGACAAGGCGTGTGCCAGTGAATACTGTATATGTGTATATACATATCCACGGACATACATCTAGTGTTTAAAAACGGCTGAATGTAAACGGGTATGTATGTGTCTGCCTTTTTAATGAATGCCTGAACGCTGAATGGTAAAGCACCATTCAGAAGTGATTTGTGATAATCACACGGGGGAGAAATCCTTTAAGTGAAAGGAAATGGGAACAAGGATATTTCAAGCGTAGATGTGAAAAGCTTCTATTTGATTCGGGGCCACAAAGGATTCAAAAGACATCAAAGCATTGACAGACTGAATAGCTTCCACCAAAGGAAGAAGTTCCCCGCACTGGAATTTAACACGAGATAAACCAAGTACAAATCCCCGTGCTGGAGAAGGTTATTGAGGGAAGACACTGGGTGCCGGTGGGACTGCAAGGGAATCCCAAATCCTGCTCTGCCTTGCCCAGGCTACCCTCAGGTTAGATCCTCTGCATCTGAACCAAAACAGGCTTCTGCTTTGCAAAATGAACAGAGTTGTGTGCTTTGAATGAGGCAGCTACTCTGTGTACCACATCCGATGTGTTGGGATAAAAAAAAAATCAGACTGGACATTTATTTAGGACTAAACTTTGTCCACCTGAAGAGTGTCTTCCCCTTCTCCACAGGTGCACCCCACCTTCCCCAGCGCTCTGCCCTCTCCTCCCAATCAACACAAATGACACAGGGTAGGAAATGACAGTGTCCTTTGCAACATGAGGCTTCAGAATTAGAGTCTGGGCAGTGTTTTCATTGACAACCCTGATAGATTTTTTTGTTTTTGTGGGAGCCAGTCCCAGAGCCAACCCAGCCCAGAAATAGAGATATGGCTTTCACACTGAACTGCACCAGTTCCTATTATACTCCATGTTTTTAAATTGAGGTAAACTTCACATAACACAAAATTAACAATGAACCTACATATGTTATAAGTTCAGCTTTTATTTTAGATTTGGGGGTACATATGCAGGTTTGTTACATGGGTATATTGTGTGATGCTGAGGTTTGGGGTACCATGGATCCCATCACCCAGGCAGTGAGCTAGTTTTTCAGCACTTTCCCCTTCCTTCCCTCCCCGCTTTTGGGTGAAAGTCTAGTATCCAGAATCCATAAGGAACTTATGTACAATGAACCATTTTAAAACATACAGTTTGGTGGCATTTAGTGCATTCTTTGTGTTATGTAACCATCAACTCTGTCTTGTTCTTTTTTTCTTTTCTTCTTTTTTTTTTTTTTTTTTTTTTTTTGAGACGGAGTGTCGCTGTGTTGCCCAGGCCGGAGTGCTATCATGTGATCTTGGCTCACTGCGAACTCTGCCTCCTGGATTCAAGTGATTCTCCTGCCTCAGCCTGCTGAGTAGCCGGGATTACAGTCATGTGCCAATAGCTGGGATTACAGTCATGTGCCAACACGCTCAACTAATTTTTGTATTTTAAGTAGAGACAGGATCTCACTATGTTGGTCAGACTGGTCTCGAACTCCCGACCCCAGGTGATCCACCTGCCTCGGCCTCCCAAAGTGCTGGGATTACAGGTGTGAGCCACCCCACCCGGCCAACTCTGTCTTGTTCTAAGACATTAATGTCATCCCAAAAGGAAACTGTGCACCCATTAAGCAAAATCACTCCCAGCTCCCAGCGCCCATGACCACCAACTTGCTTCTGTCTCTGCGGATTTACGTATTCTGATGTGCCATGTAAGTGAAATCATGCAATACGGGAACGTTTCCATTTGACTGTTGTCAGCTGGCAGCATGTTTTCAAGGTTCGCCCGTGTTAGAGCAGGTATAGCACTTCATTCATTCTGTGGCTGAATAACACTCTATTATACAGTGTGGATAGACTGTACTTTGCTTCTCCATCCAGCCATTTATGGACACTTGGGTTGCTTCCACCTTTTGGCTATTCTGAGTGATGCTGCTGTGAATGTGGGCAGACACGTATCTGAGTCTCTGCTGTCCATTCTTCCAGGTGCGTCCCAGAAGCAGAATTGTTGGATTGTGTGGTCACTCCATGTTCGACTTTTGAGGAACCTGAGCAGAACTTGGACCGCTGCCCGCCCACTGGGTTTACTGGTGGTTTCTCTGTTCCCCTCCCCCATCCTGGTTCTGGTGTACTCCGAATGTCCCTTGCACTCCCTTCCACGGCCACACACTAAATTCAGGGAACATCTCAATGGCCGCATCTGGTCACAAGACATGCACCCATTGGCCCCAGCTCAGACTGTCTCTCTGGGATCTCAGGCTTGTGCAGTGTGAACACATGGCCAAGAGAGGGCAGGCAGAGGCACCAGACCCCCACTTGGTGCTGGTGAGCTGGTCCTCGCTGGATCAGCTGCCCAGCCTGCTGGGCCCAGGCATCCTTGTCCCCTTTAACAGATGAGGACTGAGGGAGACACAGCTGAGTAAAAACCACTGACCTGCCATCTACACATTGAGGTCATTGGAATGATGGCCACATGTCAAGGTTTTTTAGGCCCTTCTGTGTCTCAACAGCTTCTGGAGGTGCTGGCTGAACTAAGGCCAAGCTTAGAAAAGACAGCCCCAATCTCTGATTCCGATAACCCACCAACCTTTCCTAGTCCCGACCTGCAGGCTCCAGTCCCTGGGTCCTGCTGTGTTCTGAGGTTCCAACTGCCTTGTGCAGGGGCCTGGAACCCTGAGCCTTTCCCAGATTCCTCTCCAAGCCGAGGACCAGATCACCAGAGCCTTGAGTCACCTGGACCTCCCGAGCGTTTTCTGTGGAAGGAATCTTTGGCTCCAGCAAGAAGCAGAACAGTTGATTAAAACGTTTATTTTCCTGCGAGGAAAGAGAAAGGAGAGTCTTCGGTTTCTCCTACCTGATACCCTGACTATGGCTCCTGTCCCCACTGTGCCTGCTCAGGATGTGTCTCTGCTGTGTTGTTACCACAGCCCCCTGCCCATCTGCAGCAAGTAAGGTTATTCCCTTGCATTTGTGCAAGGCAACCAAGGAAACTAAAACTTTAAGGAGGAAAGAAATGAGAGATGATAACAGATTAGCAATTTGCAAATTATCCTAAGGAAAAATGTCCTATTAAGAAAAAAATGATGAGCACATGCTATTGAAGGGGGGTGGGGGACCATGGCTGGGGAGAAGAATGGACTCTAGCTCGCTGAAATTATAGTATTGTCCCGTCTCCAACTACTAAGGCTCTGTTCCCTGACAATACACTAAATATATCGTTTATTAAGCCCATTATCCTGCAGACCGCAGTTAGTCACATCTCAAACATTGCCACATTTATGAAAGACAGTTACAGTCATTTGCAAGATAATTACCATTTTAATCTCAAACCAGCCTGCAGGAGCAAATTGCTTTATAAGTAACCAGGTTTTCAGCATATCATGACGGAATGCCGTGCAAGCCCTCAGACACTTCGGGCTTGTTTTGCAATTTTCTACAGTGTGGGGAAACCTGCCCTCCTGGGGCTGGGTAGAGATGGGAGACAGCCTCCTGTTCTGCGCCTGAGGGTGGACACTCATAGTGTCATGCTTCCATATGTCTGCTTCCAGCTCTCATTAACACAGATGGGCGAGAGAGAAAGGGAGAGAGGGAAAGGGTGGGGAAGAAAGAGGAGAAACAAGAAGAGAGAGAGGCAGGGAGAGAGAGAAACAGAAATGGAGGGAGGGAAAGAGCAAGAGGGAGAGAGAGGAAAAGAGAGACAGAGAGGAAGGGAGGGAGGGAGACAGAGGAAGGGAGGGAGAGGGGGGGAGGAAGAGAGAGAGAGAGAGAGAGAAGCTCTCATTAACACAGAGGAGGAAGAGAGAGAGAAGAAAAGATGAGAACAGGGAGGGAGGGAAGGAAACAGGTAACAGAATTACCCTGCTTGAAGCTGGCCTAAAACAGAATCAGGGCATAAGATAGGGACATCGCCAGAAGCAATAAGACCCCCGAAAAAAGGTGAGGACATTGGCATCGAGACTAGTTGACATATCCATAACTTCAGCCCCAAATGCAGAACCTTCCTTGAAAAATGGGAGGACCTTTGTATCTGATGAAACAGCTACAGTCAGTATATTGCAAGGAACCATCCATTTGGGGAAGGAAAAACTGATCTGGAACTGAAGAGGATCAGAAGCTCCTGAGCGGGGGAAGCAACGGAGCAGGGAGGGGCTGAGCAGGGGTTACTGGGAACCACATGCAAGTTGGACGAGCAGATGAGATCAGACCGGGTGGAACCAAGGCCCCTGCTGTGGGGGTACGTCGGGCAGCCCTTTACCTCAGCAAAGCTAAGGCAGGCCACCATTACCTGGGCACCTGTCACAAGGTGCAGAAAGGACAGGTGCGGGATTGCATTATCATGAGTGGTTATGAAGAATGTAAAGGCGAGAGCTGGCAGCCAGTCACTTCCTGATTGGGAGATAACTGAAACTACTAGAATCCAACCACCCACCCAAGGTTTAATATCCTCTGAAATAATCCCACGGAATCATCCAGCTTTAGTCACCTTGACCTGACGGTGCCTGAAATTATCTGAATATGGGGAGAAAAGAGACCAGTCCCGGGATAGGAGGAGGAAAAACAAAAGGGGCAGGGGGTCTGCTGAGGCCGAGCCAGGAGGTGCATCCCAGAGCACAGGGTGGAGGCGGTCACCTGGGGACAGCGGTGATTCTGGCCAAGGCGGCTTCCCAGGAGCGGTTGGAGAGAGGTGGAAAAGCCAAACTCAAGTGAGCCAGGGGCTAAACCCTGGGTGAAGATCACAGCAAGTGTACAGCCAGGCCTTCCCAGCTCTGGCATCTTCTCCTGGAGACGCAGAGTTGGGAACAGAGAAAAGAGAAGTGCAGGTACCGTAATCCCCCTCACTGCAGCTAGCAATTTTGTGTTTTAGAATCTGCAGATTTTCAGCTTCATTTCCCTGAAACCCATGTCTTCTCTGGAGCTTCCTATCTCTGTTCAAGGGGCCAGTCCCTCCATGTATACAACCTGCATACCATGGTCTCCTCATCCATCTCACCTCCTACTTCATCTCCCTGAGGCCCCCTCCCCTTCAAAGCTTTTACCACACTCCCCTCCAAAGCATCTGACACCCACTTGGCTCTCCACTCTCAGTGCTGACTATATCCGCTCCCTGTTCTGCATAACACATCCCCCCAAATTTACCTGCTGGCAAGAAGGCTGACTCAGAGGGCTGGCAGGTGGAGTTTGGCTTCCGTTCCCCTCCAGGCAGCCTCTCACCCTCCCGGGTCTCTCTCCTCCAGGCAACCTCTCACCCTCCTGGGTGTCTCTCCTCCAGGTGGCCTCTCACCCTCCTGGGTCTCTCTTCTCCAGGTGGCCTCTCACCCTCCTGGGTCTCTCTTCTCCAGCAGCATGGCCTAGACTTCTTCCTGTGGCCGCTGAACTCCCAGAAGGAGAGACAACCAGAAAGCAAGTCGCCCCTAAGACGGAAGTGGCAGTTTGTACAACCTCATTTCAGAAGGGTCTGCTGTGCACTGTGGTCTCACACAGCAACCTGGAGCTATAGGAGAGAGGACTGCACACACAGTGAACGCCAGGTGAGAAGCGGGTTATTGGTTCATTGGGGGCCTTCTTGGAGACCAGCCACGGCACTTCCTGATTCTCAATGTAGGTGGTATGAACTTGTACTGCAGCTCTGAAGAAGCAGGGGCTGAGGCGTCCTCATTTTGTACCTTCCAAGATTCCTAGTGTGAGGTCAGAGTGCAAGTAGATGCTCAGCAAACACTTGTTGGAATATAGAGTTTTGGATTCCATGCGAGCAAAACTCACCAGGGGTCTAATGTGCCTGGTGCAGGTCCCCACCATCCCCCCACACCTGCCGATGATCCTGTCTTAGGGCATTTTCTGCCCATTACTTCCTTCTTTCCTCTCCCCGCATGTGTCATGAAGATGAAAGTAGGCGACAGCTGGCAGAGATTGTGTTGACACACTCAAGGTCATGGACTGTCCTCTCATTTGAGCATTATTTACCTAACACAAAGAGACAGACACAAAGATAATGCCATGATAATTTAACGGCTCACCCCTTTTGTAAAACTGCCATCGCTGGTGTTTCTGTGTGAAGGAAGACAAAAGATCCGGGGGGGGGCCCACAAGGACTCTCTCTTTTCTTCTCTGATTAATTCCTGCCTCCCTACCCAGGCTGCTGTTCCCTCCCACACCCACATTTCCAATAACAGGCTGAGGTTATTGCTAGCTTTTCAGTTTTAATACAAATATGAAAGGGAATCAATGAAACTGATATTGTGAGACAATATATTTCCCATCAGACAATTACGGGGGGTTTTTCATTCAGATTTTCGCTATTCAAAATGAAACTCAGAGATTATTTTTTCCGTGGCACATCCTGAAACTCCAATCTCTCTGTCAGTAATGCAGCTCCTGAGGCTGCGTTGTAAAGGGACTTGCTAAAGTAGACTTCTTGACATTAATATAGCAACATGTCAAATAAAAACTCAGACTAAAAGAGATGAACTTCCCCTTAATATACCGTGATCGCCGCCGAGAGTCTGAGAGGGACTCCCGAGTGGCTTGGAATTCCTCTGCTTGGGATTTCACTCTACTGACAGCAACATGTCAGAGTCCATTAATGCAGGACCAGGACCAGAGACAAATATATTTTGAACGTGGAACAAAAAGAAGCTGCCAAGAAAACATGGATTTCCTTGCAACCCTGACCCTGCACCCATCTGCATCTGCGAAAAAGGGTGCACAGTTCCTTCCACCTAAGCTCCTGCTGCAACTACCTGAGCAGTCAGAAAGCTCTCAGAGGACATGGTCACTGGGTCTGGCCCCCTGGCCTGCAGAGAGGCCCTGGCACATACAGGGAAAATGCAGCTGCACCCCGACCTTGCATGCTTTCCTGTGATTTTTGTTTTACACCATCTGTTTTCAGCCTGCTCCTGCACTCTGGGCTGAAATGACTGAATTTGGTCCCCCAAGCTCAACTGATGGCTGCAGGCTCCAGGATCCCTGAGTTGGGTCTGGAGATCCAGGAAACCCTTAACGTTGGATGGCTGTTTTGCATGTGTGGTCTTTCTACCAGGGAGGGGCGTCTCCGCTCACCCCGCTCACCCTCCGGCTCTGCTCTCTGCTTTCGCACTTGTCCCTGGAGATATAAACCCAGACACTGCCCTGCTTGACCACAGGCAGCTGACTGGTGGCCTGCACACCCTACAAGGGTCCAACAGCCAGACCTTCCTTGCTCTGGACCCACTCCTCTGTACCACCCTGGGCCAGCCAGCCTGCCCACCCCAGGGACTGAGCTAAATCCTGGTGCCTTGTGCTCATGGGACAGGAAGGAGAACAGGCATTAAGGGTCCCCCAGGGCTGTCTGTCGAGGCTGACCATTGCTGGAAAAGCAAGCAACTCTACTTCCTTGCAGGATCCCTCACTCCACCTCCTTCCCTGGCCAGCAGAGCTTACCAGGTCAGCCAAGAGTCCCATCAACACTCACGGGAGGTGGATGGCGGTCTCAGGCAGCATCTCAGGACAGCAGCTGGGGCTCGGGCACAGGACACTCAGGTGGGATGTTCCAAATGCCCAGAGATGAGGGGGAGCCTGGGCTGCAAAGCACTTGCTCATCAGACCTGCTGAGTTGATACCATCAAGGCAGGTTCATCTCCCATGGACTTCATGCTGACCGTCCCTGTAAAGACTCTTCAAGAAACAGAAAACCACTGCAGAGGAACAAATGGCCCAGCCGACCATCTGCAGAGCCCCTCTTTGGACTCATCCCACCAACAACGAAAGTCCAGGAGGTAGAACCTATATCTGCCATGTTTGGTATTGCCCCTCCCCAGGCCCCAGCCTGGCTCAGGGCCTCATATAGAGGAAATGTACTACACAAGGTTATTGACAGAATGAATGAGTGAACACACCTCACATTTGCCTAGTGCTTCCTTTGTGCACTCCTCACACGGGCCACACGGAGTCAGCTCTATTATTGTTATTGTCCCCCTTTGAAAAGATGAGGAAACTGAGGCACAGAATATTTTTTAAAGCTGCACCCGCCCAAGGCCCCATGGGTATAGGGTTGGCAGATTTAACTGATAAAAATACGGGAAGCCCAGTTACATTTGAATTTCAGACCAATAATGAATAACATTTAGTATAAGTATATCCCCAATATTGCATGAAATATACCAAAATATCATTCATCATTTCCCTGGAATTCTAATTTAGTTGAGCATGCTGTGTATTACTGTATGATCCTCTGTGCAGCAAGGGGAGGGAACCCAGGTCTGAGTCCAGGTTGAGAGGATCTGAGCCTGTGTTCTCTCTGGAGATGTCCAGGAGCTTCAGCGGAGGCTGCACTGCACGCAGGCATTTGCTCTGGGAGTCCCTCTGGAGGAAACAGAGGGTCCACAGGGAAAAGAACCCATCTCCTTGGCTGTGGCTAAGTCTTCTCTGCTAGGCCAGCCAAAGTAAAAGGATAAGTGGGGAAGGGGGGGTCCAGTTTATATGACCCATGGCTGTAATTAGATTCATTACAAAGCAGGAAAAAGTGACCTCAGAGGAGATCCTTCTGGGTCCAGTCATGGAGAAGAGTACCTGGCTGGGGAGTTGGACTTTTGTCTGTATTACTTAGCTGGTGCCCAGAAAGCTGTATGTGTGTGTGTGTGAATATGTCTGTATGAGTGTGCAAGGGACACTTCTTGAAAATGTTCCTGGCAGGACCATTTCCCAGGTGACAGTGCTCCCGGAGGGCAGGGTGCTGGCTCAGCAAGACCCCCAAAGCTCTGTGCTCCTGAGGCTCCAACAACTTCAGATGGAGATGAACTGAGACATCTTTCAAACCTATCATCAGGTTCCACGACTGAACAGTAAATTCTCCCAGACCTCAACCCCACCAGCTCCTATCTCCATAACTCTGTTTATTTGATCATCTGTTCACTTTTATATAAAGTTTATTATGCTCTTCTGTATTGAAAAAAAACCAGGGCCCTTTAATAGCTGCAGTGATAAAAAATGACTTCCGCTTCTCCAGCTCTGCAGGAATGAAATTAGTCCAATTACATTTTCCTCTCCTGTTAAATTCTCAGCGTCCACTATCTGCAGATCAGCTGAGATGCAGAGTGGTTAAACATGTCCAATTAATCAAAGCACTGTAAGAGTCATCAGAACATTCTAGAGTTCCTCATTGCTGATGACCGGGGTAATTAAAAAAAGAAGGTTTAAAAAATTGACCACTCTTTGAGAACATTCTGACCCTGAAGCAAGGTTAAGGAGGCTTTGGCCAGAAATTTGGAGCAGCTATCAGAAAAAGAACTTCTGGAACATTCTGGTATTCCTTTAATGCCGCTCACCAAGGGTTGCGTGCAGTCTTGCATTATTTGTTAGATGTTCACTCTGTTGTAGGGCATGTCGGGGAATGGCAATATGGACAGGTGGACATAGGGTTCCAGTCTACTGGGCAAAATGTGATGGCCAGCCCTGTACACAGCCAGTGACTTTGTCCTGATGTTGAATATACAACTTCCTTTCTCTTCAACCCCAGTTCAAAGCCAACCTCTTCCAGACCCTCTTTCCAGATGGCTTCAACCATTCTCCAATCTCCCAAAATAATCCTGACCACGACCACCTTTTCAGAAACAAGAAGCATTTTAAATCTGGAAACATGCAAACATAAATCACTACAGGTAGAAAACAAAGGTCTTCTATTAAATTCTCCCAGGACTTGCTTTATTTTTCTCTGGACTCCATCCTGCACCACAGACTTGGTTAAGTTATTTACTCAATGTGTTCTGCCCCTTAATGGAAGCTCCAGGAGGGCAGGGGCTTTGAATTAACAAATAGTCACTAATATTTGATTCACTAAGTTCTCTTCCATGCCCAGATCTTTGCCTGCCACATTACAGGTGTGCATTAGGTAATGCTCAGGTGAGGGGATTGTCAGAAGCAAAATCCTTTACTGAATTCATTCATTTACTCATGCATGCATTTGCCCCTTCATTTATTCAGCCTGAACTCACAGGGCACTCCCTGTAGCCAGACGCTGCTTTTACTGCCCTTTCTGCAGGAGGTGGCATATAATAGGATTTGCAGGCTGGGGAACCAAGAGAAGCTTCACAGAAGATTTAGCCGGATCTGGGCAGAGGGCAGGGTATTCCAGGTAAAGGGTAGCCTGACCTCTAAAAGGCAGAATGACATTTAAGAAAAGAGACTCCCATGGGGATCCTAAATACAACCTATTGTGTAAAGGGGAAAGGCTGCTCATTCTGTGCTTGCAGAAGCGAGCCAAGTACAGAAGTCTTGTAGGAGCTTCCCTCTGGAAGGACCACAGAGACCACGAATACGGCCCCAGCACACAGAGGAGAAAACAGAAGCTCAGAGTTGGTGCAGCCTTGCCCAAGCTCACAACATTGGTCAGTGGCAGGTCCAGACCCAGACTCTCTCTAGACACAGCCCTATGTTCTTCCTCTCTTTTCATCAATTACTGCATCTCGCATTGCCCCAGGGGAGCCGCTGTCAGGGTGGACATGTGGATGGATGGCTCCGATGTGTGTCAGCCCTGGGAGGAGAAAGTGGGGATTAGCTGACTTTCAAACAAGACACACACAAGGGAATATCTCATGGTGGGGAGGGGGTGGGGGGTAGCCATGCCAAAGAAGGAGGAGAAGGTGCCGGAGGAGGAGGAGGCAGGGATGGTTGTGAGTTTGTGCACAAGGATGCAGTGTCTGTGTGCCTGATGCTCAGAATCCATCTCACAGTCCTTGCCTGGAGGGGGTAACCCTACAAAATTCTTCCAACAAAAAAGCTAGAAACACATCCCTTTCCAGCCAGGACAATAGTCCCATCAGCCAGAGGTCTGGCTCAGGCCACCACAGCTCTCCCGAAGCAGAAATGACACCAAAGGGGAGCTGCTGGAAGCTTTAGCCTCCTGCTGCAAAGAAAATTATTCTCTCCCTTCTACCATACCTCACTCATCATCAACATTAAATTCTGAAAATGTGATCCAGGATGGAACTAATGCAGACATGGGCACATCCAGCTGGAAGGCAGCCAGCTTTTCCCTGTGGCTTGTCCTGTTAGAGACTCTAACTCCAGCCCTGATCCCACCAAGAGTCTGTTACATTCATAAGCTTCTCAATCTGGGATAAAGAGAAATCGGAGACATTTGTCCACCTTAGCTTTAAGAAGAAATGTCTCAAGTGCACACGCAGCATAAGAGATATTCTCAGTGACAGTCAAGGTTCCTGCAGAGTTGGCTGGGTGCAGTGGCTCACGCCTGTAATCCCAGCTTTTTGGGAGGCCAAAGCCAAAGTGGGAGGACTGCATGAATCCAGGAGTTTGAGACTAGCAGCATGGTAAGACCTCATATCTACTAAAAGAATCAAAAATAAATATTAACATAAATAAATAAAATATAATAAAATAAAATAATAAAAAACATTAAAAGATTCCTGCAGAGTTAACCATCCCACCACTCTCCTGGCCCCCTTGCACCTGTGGAGTGTGACATCAAAGACCCGAGAACCATGTGCCCCAATTGTGCCCATTGCAGGTGGAAGGGCCGCATCTGTTAGCCCAGGTCCTTCCACATCAAACTCCTGAAACTTCCTACCTGTAGATTCCACAGGCATGATGAGAAGAACTCTTCCTAACCTGGACACAGGCAGGGTGCACACTCCTGAGCCATCAGCCACCTCAGTCTCTGAGGGAGTTTCTCAGCTCTCTAGCCATTGCCAAGCATTCACAAGTAGCCCTGCTCTCTGAGTGCGCCAGTCTCCAGCTGAGTGCTCCCACTCTGCCCTGCAAGTGCTCCTGTTCTGCTCTCTGAGTGCTCCCACTCTGCTCTATGAAAGCTTCCTCCCTGCTCTCAGAGGGCTTTTCCCTGTTAGGAGTGCTCTTCCCTGCTCTCTAGTGCTCCTCCCTGCTAAGTGCCCCCATCCTGCTCTTAGAGTGCTCTCTACTTGCTCTGAGTGCTCTTTCCTGCTCTCTGAATGCTCCTCCCTACTATCTGAATGTTCCCCCTCTGCCCTTTGAGTGTTCCCATCCTGCACTCATGGTGCTCCCGCTCTGCTGACTGAGCACTCTGCAGCTGTTGTTCTGGGAGTGAAGATCAAAACCAGCAGGAGAAAGGACTCCTGCCACTTCATCAAGCTGTGTACAGGAGCCCAGACATTTTCTAACAGCTGAGGGAAAGCTTTCATTAGCACCCCACTCTGCTCTGAAAGAAAAGCACCTACTTTATGGTGTATTGAATGGTGGCTCCTAAAATACATCCACCTCATTACCTCAAACCTGTGAATGTGACCTTATTTAGAGAAAGGGTCTTTGCAGATGTAATTAAGGACCTTGAAGAGAGCTCATACTAGATGTACTAGTCTGTTTTCACACTGCATATAAAGACATACCTGAGACTGGGTAATTTATGCAGGACAAAGAGTTTAATGGACTTAGAGTTCCACATGGCTAGGGAACCTCACAATCATGGCAGAAGGCAAGGAGGAGCAAGTCACATCTTACGTGGATGGCAGCAGGCAGAGAGAGAACTTGTGCAGGGAAACTCCCTCTTATAGAACCATCAGATCTCATGAGACTTATTCACTATCACAAGAACAGCACGGGAAAGACCTGACCCCATGATTCATTTACCTCCCACTGGGTCCCTCCCACAACACATGGGAATTCAAGATGAGATTTTGGTGGGGACACAGCCAAACCACATCATTCCACCCCTGGACCCTCCCAAATCTCATGTCCCTTTCACATTTCAAAATCAATCATGCCTTCCCAACAGTCCCCCAACGTATTAATTGATTTCAGCATTAACTCAAAAGTCCAAGACCAATATGACATCTAAGACAAGGCAAGTCCCTCTGCCTATGAGCCTGTAAAATAAAGAAACAAGTTAGTTACTTCCTAGATAGAACGAGAGTACAGGCATTGGGTAAATACAGCCATTCCAAATGGGAGAATTTGGCCAAAACAAAGTGGCTACAGGCCCCATGTGAGTCCAAAATCCAGTAGGACACTTAAACCTCCAAAATTATCTCCTGTGACTTCATGTCTCACATCCAGGTCACACTGATACAAGGGGTGGGTTCCCATGGTCTTGGGAAACTTCACCCCATGGCTTTGCAGGGTACAGCCTCCCTCCCAGCTGCCTTCACAGGCTAGCATTGGATGTCTGTGGCTTTTCCAGGCACATGATGCAAGCTGTCAGTGGATCTACCATTCTGGGTTCTGGAGAACAGCGGCCCTCTTCTCACAGCTCCACTGGGTTGTGGCCCAGTAGGGCCTCTGTGTGGGGTCTCCAACCCCATATTTCCCTTTGACACTGTCCTAGCAGAGGTTCTGCATGAGGACTCCGTCCCTACAGCAAACTTCTGCCTAGGCATCCAGGTGTTCCCATACATATTCTGAAATCAAGGCAGAGATTCCCAAACCCCAATTCTTGACTTCTGTGCACTGACAAGCTCAACACCATGTGGAAGTTGCCAAGGCTTGGGGCTTGCACCCTCTGAAGGCACAGCCCAAGCCCTATGTTGGCCCCTTTCAGTCATGGCTGGAGTGACTGGGACTCAGGGCACCAAGTCCCTAGGCTGCACACAGCACAGGGACCCTGGGCCGGGCCCATGAAACCCCTTTTTCCTCCTAGGCCTCTGAGCCTGTGATAGGAGGGGCTGCTGTGAAGACCTCTGACACGCCCTGGAGACATTTTCCCTATTGTCTTGAGGATTAACATTTGGCTCCTTGTTACTTATGCAAATTTCTGCAGCTGGCTTGAATTTCTCCTTAGAAAATGGGATTTTCTTTTCTATTACATTGTCAGGTTGCAAATTTTCCAAACTTTTATGCTCTGCTTCCCTTATAAAACTGAATGCCTTTAACAGCACCCAAGTCACCTCTTGAATGCTTTGCTGCTTAGAAATTTCTTCCACCAGATACCCTAAATCATATCTTGCAAGTTTAAAGTTCCACAAATCTCTAGGGCAGGGGCAAAACGCTACCAGTCTCTTTGCTAAAATGTTAAAAGTGTCACCTGTGCTCATCTCTCTCAAGTTCAACATTCCACAAATTTCTAGGACAGGGGCAAAATGCTGCCAGTTTCTTTGCTAAAACATAACAAGAGTCACTTTTGCTCCATTTTCTAACAAGTTCCTCATCTCCATCTGAGACCACCTCAGCCTGGATCTCATTATCCATATCATTATCAGCATTGTGATCAAAGCCATTCAACAAGACTCTAGGAAGTTCCCAATTTTCCCACATTTTGCTGTCTGTTCCAACCTCTGCCTGTTACCCAGTTCCAAAGTCACTTCCACATTTTTGGGTATCTTTCCAGCAGTACCCCACTCTACTGGTACCAATTTGCTGTATTAGTCTGTTTTCACACTGCTGATAAAGACATACCCGAGACTGGGTAATTTATGCAGGAAAAAGGGTTTAACGAACTTACAGTTCCACATGGCTGGGGAGGCCTCACAGTCATGGCAGTAGGCAAGGAGGAGAAGTCACATTTTACATGGATGGCAGCAAGCAAAGAGAGAGAGCTTGTGAAGGGAAACTCCCCCTTATAGAACCATCAGATCTCATGAGACTTATTCACTATCATGAGAACAGCTTGGGAAAGACCTGCCCTCATGATTCAGTTACTTCCCTCCAAGTCCCTCCCACGACACATGGGAATTCAAGATGAGATTTGGATAGGAACACAACCAAACCATGTCACTGGATTATCTGGATGACCCCTAAATTTAATGACAAGTGTCCTTCTAAGAGAAGAAAGAGGAGAGACCTGGAGAGAAGAGAGAAAAGGCTACATGAAGAAAGAGGTAGATATTGCAGTGATGCTGCCACAAGCCAAGGGACACATGGAGCCACCAGAAACTAGAAGGGGCAAGGAAGGATCCTCCCCTAGAGCCTTCGGAGAGCATGGCCCTGACAACACATTGAGAATGGACTTCTGTCCTCCAGAACTGTGAGCCAATCCATTTCTATTAAGTCTCCAGTTTTTGGTCATTTGTTTTGACAGCCACAAGAAGTTCATGTGTGCTCCATGGCTGTCCATCACAACCACACAGAGGCCTTCCCAGGGTGGGGATGGCAGGTCATCTCATGCTCTGCTCCTGCCCCTCATCTTGCTAATGTGGTACTGCAGAGTGCCCTGGGCTACATCCAGTGCACTTTCACCCCCGCACCTGCCTCTGGGCAGCTCACCTGCTTGATGCCCTGCTCATTTGATCTTGTGGGTTGTCAACACTCATATAAAGGAATAGAGCAAAGGGACAGAGGGATTTGAGACAGGGAGGCCACCCTCTGGACCCCAAGTCCCCTCACCTTGACTCAATAGGGTGAATAGTGAGAGTGGGGTTAACAGTCCCTGCAGGTGAAGAACCCATCATTTGCTGTGCAATGCTGGCCTGTGGGCTTGCTGTGAGTCCAGCTGAAATACTGTGCTCTCAGTGAGGCTGGCACAGCACTGGGGGGTCTTCTCCGTGAAACTGCTTTCTTTTCTTTTCTTTTTTATCTTTATTGAGGTATAGCTGATATACAAAAGAATTGCACACATTTAATTTGTACATGTTGTTGAGTTGGACATAGGCATACACTTGTTTTACCATCACTACAACCAAGATACTAAATATCTCCAGCACGTCCACAAATGTCCTTATGTTCTTTTGTAAGCTTGTTTGGGAGAAAAAATGATAAGGACATTTAACATGAGGTCTACCCTTTTTATGTATTTTACAGCACACAGTACCATATTGTTAACTATAGTTACCATGTCATACAGCAGATCTCTATAACTTTTTTATCTTGCATTATACAAACTTTGTACTCATTGAAAAATGATTCCACGCCGGGTGCACTGGCTTACGCCTGTAATCCCAACACTTTGGGAGGTTGAGGGTGACAGATTGCTTGAGTCCAGAATTTCAAGACCAGCCTGGGCAACATGGAAAAACCTCATCTCTACAAAAACATACAAACAAAATTAGCTGGGCATGGTGGCTCACACCTGTGATCCTAGATACTCTGGAGGCTGAGGTGGGAGGATCACTTGAGCCCAGGAGGTCAAGGCTGCTGTGAGCCCAGATTTCACCAACGCACTCCAGCCTGGGTGACAGAGGAAGACCCTGTCTCAAAAAAGGAAAAGAAAAAAAGAAAGAGGAAAGAAAAATGATTCCCCATTTCCCCTTCCCCCCAGCCCCGGCAACCATCATTCTACTCTCTGCTTCTGTGAGTTTGACTATCTTGGATAACTCTCCGTAAGTGGAATAACGCAGTATCTGTCCTGTGACTGCCTTATTTCATGTAGCTGAATGTCCTCTACATTCATTCATGTTGTTGCAAATGGCAAGATTTCCCTCTTTTTTATTTTCTTTGCACCTATTCATTTAGGACAGGGGCCAGACAGGAGCCAGGGGCTCAGGAGCCGGAACTTGCAGGAGACTCAGCAGCAGCCCTGGTGGAGCCTGCAGACCCTCAAATACCAGGTGTCTGGGGATGGAAGGCCCTGACCCAGCCCTTCAGTTGCTAAAAGAGGAGACAGAACTGAGGCCTGGGACTTCATGGGGCATCCCGCCTGCCCACGATAGGGGGTGGAGGACACCGGAAGCATCATCTCTGCTGCTGGCCCCTCCTCCCCTCCTGCGTCTCCTGCCCTTCCCCTTCCTCCAGTCCTCACATTGCAGCAGGAAGCCCCTCCCCTGTGGCCTCAGGGTGCTCTTGTTGTCCTCAGTGAAGTATTTAAGGGGCATAAAACTCACAAGCTCAGCATTCCCTGATGTCGTTCCCCACTGCCCCGTCTGGAAACTGAGGCTAAGAAAGGTGGAGCTGGGAGAGAACAGAGCCAGAGTAAGAATCTTGCCCAGCCAGCCTCCAAAGCCTACTGTCCTGACACCTGCTGTGGCCACTCTCCTGCCCACCCACACCCACTTCCCCACCATGCGGTGCCTTTTTTCTCTGGACCCCCAGAGCCCTGGAAGACCTGATGGAGGGAGGGAGGAAGACCCCACACGAGAGGGCTGCATCTACAGGGCCCAGGGACCCCACGTGAAAACACGGACGAACCCCATTTGAAATCATGCAGAGTAGCCATGAGGCTGTAGCATTCATGGAAAGTCCCAAGGTAAAATAAATAATCTGTCCCAGTGCCTGTGTGGGCAGAATGCCCACCCCCTATCCCCGCCAAAAAATAAAATGTCCATGTCCTGATCCCTGAATCCTAGAATATGTTACGTTACATGGCAACAGAAAATTCAGGCTGCTAATCAGCTGACCTTCACACAAGCAGATGATCCTGCATTATCCAGGTAGGTCCTAAATGGAGAAGGACCCGTGTGTAATCATGAGGGTCCCTACACGGAGAAGAGGGAGGCAGGAGAGGAGCTCAGAGCACATGATGTGAGAAGAGCTCAGTGGCCAGTCCTGGCTTTAAAGATGGAGGAGGGGCCGTGGGCCAAGGAAGATCACAGATTCCCCACGAGAGCCTCCAGAAGGAGCACAGCCCTGAGACACATTTCATGAGACCCCCTGAGACCAGCATTGGACTTCTGGACTCCAGAACCGCAAAATGAAAAATTTGCATTGTTTTAAGCCACTAAGTTTGAGGTCATTTATTCCAATAGCAATAGAAACTCAGGCAGGGTCAAGCAGTACATCACTTAAGACCAGGAGAACTTGTTTAGCTTGGAAAACACAGCCCCATAAGCACAGGGAACTCCGGATAATGGCAGCTGCAACTCCACCCAAGGATCCTGAGCATCATCTGTCAGCAAATCTGGAGTCAGATACACCCAGGTTCTAATCCTGCTTGGCCACGTCCTCTTATTGTGATACTGGGCCATTTTCTTCACCTCTCCGAGGCTCCGTGTCTGCAAAATGAGAACACTGGGAACCCAAGCAGAGCTGCTGTGCACAGTCTAAATAACGTGTGTGTGTGATTGTCAATGTTATGTGTCAACTGGACTGGGCTATGGGGTACCCAGTCATTTGGTTAAACATTATTTTGGGTGTTTTTGTGAGTGTGTTTCTGGATGAGATTAACATTTAAATCAATTGACTGAATAAAGCAGATGGCCGTTTATACTGGGGTGAGCCTCATTCCATCAGCTGGAGGAACAAGAATTCTGACCCTCCTCAGAATAAGAGAGAATTCCTCCCGCCTGTCTGCCTTTGAACTGGGCTGTCAGCATTTTCCTGCCTTTGGACTTGAATGAAAACATCAGTGCTCCCTGGCTCTCAGGGCTGCCAGGTTTCAGGCTGGAGCCACACCACTGGGTCTCCTGGCTCCCCAGCCTGCCCTCTGCAGATCTCCAACTCCTCAGCCTCCGGAAGCATGGAGCCAATTCCTTATAATAAATCTCTGTCTATATTCATGCATCTTGTTAATTCTATTGTCTGGAAAATCCTGACTAACATGATGTGCAGCGTGTCCAGTGCAGTGCCAGGCACAGAGACTTGCTCAGTCACTGGTGCAGGAGACACTGGGGGCTGGATTCTGTGCCCTGCCCACCACCACCGCTGATCAGAATGCCTGACCCACAGGAAGATCCCAAGGCGGCCAGCACATCAAGATGCGGGCACACTGTCCAGTTACTGCCTAGCATGAAGGCTGTTTTACTCCTTGCTCCTCTCACCAGTAAGAGAGGAGGCAACAGAAGCATGGCCGTCTGGGGTGCCCAGAGCTCTAGACAACTGAGCTGGGTGTTCGGTGATCCCACAATGCATCCCTGATGACCATGGTGCATGAAGGTGTGCAGAGTCAGGATCAGGGCTGGACAGGCAGGACTCTTCTCACTGGTCTTCAACCAGGCTTCCTCTGACCCTGGACTTCTAACTTTGAGTTTCACATATGTGTCTCCCTTCAGGCTCTAGGGGAAGTTGGGCTGATTCAGCTCTAGCTGGACAAGGTCACTGGGGTTTTTCCTCTGGCACTTCCCTGCCATGACCCTACACAGCATCCACGCAGGACAGAGCCTCCCTGACTCACTAACCTCTACCCAGGCTGCAGCCTCCCTCCAGAAGCTTGTTGCACTCCCATCCTCCCCAGGAGCCTCTTGAATTTCTGCTTTTGATGGCATTTCAAAATTGCCAGGCCACTAACTAGGGGAGTAATTAAAAGGAAAAAAAAGGAAGAAAGAAAAAGAAAAGCAAAAAGAAAAATTGTAGTTGCTCCCACAGCCATAGGGTTGTGTGCAGGGGGGACCAATCCACAGATGTGCATTAACATACTGGGAAAATAGCATAAAGTACAGCCACCCGCCTGCCCGCCCAGGGTGCTTGGAATAAACCATATTTTTCCTGCTTCCTTCCATGTCAGAAGATAAATTGGAAGGGAAATGTTGGTGCAAAAGGACAGCTCAGAATTTAGCACCAAGCAGATTGTACCCTCAAGGAGGCTGCCAGCCTTCCCCATCCTCAGCTGACAGCTCCTGGGCATCCTGTACTTTGGCAATTTTCAAGGCCACCTGCCCCAGAAAGCCTGCTTGGGCTGCTCCACCATGCGACAGAGGTTGGGCATGCACCTGCTCCCGACCCAGGGCTGGCTCTGGCGTACCCAGGCGTGTTTTGTTTGGCTCACTGTGGCCAGACAGCAATTGCATTTGGTTCAGATCCACTCCACATGTTTCTCTTCCTTCTGAGACCAGTGGGGCCTGGGGCACATGCCAATGCCACACGTAGAAATGCCACACGTAGAAATTTTGTGCCAATGCCACATGTAGAAATTCGCTCTGCCAGCTTTCTCTGTCCAAACCCTTGACATGGCTCTGACTTCACTCCTGCAGAAAAGTTGCAAGGACCACACAAGAAACTCCCATGGGTCCTTCACCCAGATTGGCTGGTGGCTCATCTTTAGTCTCATTTGCTTTGTCATTGCCCCTACCCCGCCATTTTTTCTGAGTACAGAAATATTATCTTGCAGAGCCATGGCCTAATTATAAAAACATGAAATCAATATTGATACACTACAGGGATTGAATCTGTAGGACAAAATCGCATGTCATCTCTGGGTCCAGCCTCAGATCCAGGACCACACATTTCCTTGAGTTTCCCTGTCTGTCTAAGTTTCTTCAATCTAAAGTAGTTTCTTAGAATTGTTTCTCTTTTTCTTTAGACAATATCTCATTTTCATTATGGCAAGACCACAAACTGAGATAAACCCACTTAACAAATGTTTAAGTGTAGAATACATTATTGTTGGCTATAGGTACAATGATGTTTTATAGAGCTTATGCAGTTTTATAGAGCTTATTCGTCTTTCTTTTTTTAAAATGCATAATGAGCAGAATGTATTTCCCCATCATTCTGAAGGCTGGGAAGTTCAATACAAAGGTGCCAGCATCTGGTGGGGGCCTTCTTGCTGTATTGTCCCTGGGCAGAAAGCAACAGGGCCAGAGAACAGAGTAAGAGGGGCCTGAACTTGCCCTTTTATAATGACACCAATCCTACCAATGACAGTGGAGTCCTTATGGTTTAATCGCCTCCTAAAGGTCACACCTTTTAATACTGTTCCAAAGGCAATAAATTTCAACATGAGTTTTGGAGGGCACAAACATTCAAACCATAGCAATGCATCATCAGCATGGGAATTAATGTCCAGCAAACTATAAGAAGCAGCCAGTTGAGACCTGGAAATAATTCCTTCCTAGGAGTAAAGAAAGATCAAGAAAAAAACATACTCAGCATCTACTCCATATAGAATCAACTGAAAATCGCCCAAGATATCACGCTTGGGGGGTGGGGAGTATCCATCCCCTCAGAATTTTCTCTTTCTCGATCTTGACATTTTGGAGTGTCAAGGCCAATTACTTTTGGAGTAAGCCGCAGTGTCTGCGTGTTTGTGTTTTCCCATCACCAGGCTCCGTTTGTGCCTGTCCATCAGGGACGCCCAGGACAATGCCAGGACAATGCTGCCCACTCCCCGTTGCCTGGGATCGGGAGGCGCGCTCCATCCCACACAGGCAGAGCTTTGATCTCCTGGTTAACGTTGCATCTGCCAGTCCCCTCCACTCTGAAGTTACTCTTTGTCTTTTCATCATTCATAAATAATTTGCAGAGATTTACTTTAATTCTCTATAAATACCATGTTCATGGCCAAACTTTCACCCACTGGTTTCAGCCACTATATTAGTCCATTCCCACTCTGCTATAAAGACATACCTGAGACTGGGTAATTTATAAAGAAAAGAGTTTTAATTGGCTCACAGTTATACAGGCTATACAGGAAGCGTGGCTGAGGGAGGCTTTAGGAAACTTACAATCATGGTGGAAGGGAAAGAAGAAGTCAGCACATCCCACATCATTGGAGCAGGAGGAAGAGAGCAAAGGGGGAGGTGCTACACACTTTCCAAACAAGCAGATCTTGTGAGAACTCACTATTATGAGAACAGCAAGGGGAACTCCACCCCATGATCCAGTCACCTCTCACCATGTCCCTCCTCCAACACAGGGGATCACAATTCAACATGAGATTTGGGTGGGGACACAGAGCCAAACCATATCAAGTGCCCATTAATGACGTCCTGCATCCTTTCTTTTCTGTTAAGTGGGATCTTAATGTAAAGAGAGCTTCTCCTTCTCCTCAGTGTGTTTATATATTCACTCATTTATTTATATCAATGTGGATTCATTGGTTTTATTTTATTCATTGGGCTATAATCCATTCCAACTGTTACTTATTTTGATGCTCAATTTGTCCCATATTTGGCCAGTGGCAGCCCCCCACAAGCCAGTTCCTGTGTCCTTGTCTTTTGACAGCTGATCATTCTTCAAGCACTTCTTTACTTTCGAATGCAGTAAGAGATTTCAGTTCACCTTATGCTTCCCTGCCTCAGCCCTGGAATCAGCACACAGACGCAGCAGTGTGCACACCAACCATTGGCAGGACAGAGGGGGTCGACTGACCTTGCTGGCCCGTAGCAAGCTCCAGGTTGAGAGGGGTCCTGCTACGGTATGGGCTCTCTGGAGGGAGCGTTGCCTGGTTTAAATGCGGCCGTAGGGGGATCAATCAATGATATCCTAGGCCCTGCCAGCTCTGACATTTGAAAGAAGTTGGTCCGTCAGTACAAAAAGCCCTTTAAAGATTCATAGCTCTTTGTAGATGTCAGGGCTTATTGTGGGGCCCGGAAAGTCAGCACCCCAGTTTGCACTGCTCCTCCAGGCTGTCATTAGAAAGGGTTCTAGACACCCTGTTGTGTGTTATAAATGGATGGCCGAGGCCAGGAGGGGCGGGAAGGTGCAGCGAGGCTCTTCCTCCACTTCCTCTTCATCTCCAAGATGAAGGAGAAAGTTTGAACTCACAGATCTTGGCTGTGGGTGGAGGAACCAAGAAACTGCATGAATTGCTCTTTCTTCCCACTCTCTGGTTACCATCTGCTGGCTGAGGGTCTCAGTGCAAATCCCAAGTCCTACTGAACTGGAAATGATTTGTTACATAATGCAATATTAAGGCCATAAATCTTCCCAGGAGCGGAACCCATAAACCCTGGTTTTTATTATCCAGTTACTGAACAGATCCTGACTGTTCTTTCATTGCAGCACAATTATCCTACAATTGCTGTTACATTGTTAAGTAAACAGTGTGCCGGGAGCGGCAATTCCAGGGCTCATCAGTACATCAACAAACACAGGAGCGAGGGAGGCCCAGAGCTCAGGGAAGGGACAGGACAGGGGTGCAGGTGGCCGGAGCCTGGATGCTGAAATTCATCAGGCTCCATGCCTGTCTGCTGTGCAGAGGAACCTCCTTGGTGGCCAGCCCCTCTCATCGCAGCAGGGTGGATGAAGCTGTGGGTGGCAGAAGGAGGGAGAATCAGGACCCAGGCCAGCTCTGCAACCAGAACAACACAGAGCATGTGGGGCTCCCCATAGACACAGGGGCACGAGGCTGTCATTCCCATGGATATGGCTGGGGCCCCTCTCATGAGCTGGTGAGCACATGCCTGAGGTGCAGAGAGCCATGCAAACTCCTGTGGCTCTTTTTTTTTAACACAAATGTTCATAGCATCTTTATTTATAACAGCCCCAACCTGGAAATAGCCCAGAAGTCCATCCATAGGAGAATGGATAAACCAACTGCAGTGTGTTCATAAAATGGAACCAACTAATGATGCTCCCACTGGCATAGAGGAATCTCAAACCGACGACGATGGCCCCAAGAAGCCAGAACAAGAGTGCAGGCTGGAGGGGTCCAGTTCAATGAAGTTCCACAACAAGCTAAATGAATCTCTAATTTTAAAAATTCAGGCCACGGGTTCCCTGGGGGATTGAGGAGACAGGGGCAGGAGGGGCTCTCTGGAGTCCTGGCAATGTCCTATGTCTTGATAGGAGTGCCAGTTGCACATTGTCAAAACTCACTAAAGGGCATCTCCTGGATTCGAGTTTCAAAAATGAAGCCGCTGGGGCAATGGAGCAGAGACTGCTTGGCTTCATCTCCAGAATGTTCCCCTCTTGGGCAGTGTAATGAGGCCAAAAGCCTGGAAATGCACCTGTGGGTCCTCGTCCACACCAAGGCACAACTGAAGAATCAGGGCAGCCTACTACAGGGTGAAGGCCAGTTCTTCTCTAAAATGGTCACTCATCCAACATCGCCACCCGAGGGTGGGATTTGGCACGGCAGATGGGAACAGGTGTTTCCAGACCTGTTAGCTTACCCCTGCTGAGTGCAAGTTGGAAGTTGGGCTTTGGGAGCAATGCACTAAAATGACTCGATGTCAGACACTCCAGGAACAAGACCATGTTTTATTTGATAGCATTTGTTCTCTATGAAACATTTGCACATCTCCTTTCTTGTTTTGTTTTCCTCCAGGGTGGCACCATGGGACAGCTGGGGCAAAGAACTTCATGGCTGTGGATGCAGCAGGAACCTGCAGCTCAGCAGAGCTGAGTGGGCCCAGCCCAGGGCTGACCCAGGAGGTAGCAAGAAGCTGAGACCCAACCACAGGCTCCCCGGGCTCCAGCTTCTTCCGTTCCTCTTTTCTTAAAAATGGAAAGATAGAAATGAAAAAGCAAGCTAGATAGAAGCACATTCATATGTTCAAAGGCAAAATGTGCTCTCCATCTGTGGCAGGCAGGATAATAGCCCCCACAGATGTCCACGTCCTAATCCCTAGGACCCGTGAAGGTGTCTGGTTCCATGGCAAAGGGGAATTCAGCTTCCTCATCAGCTGACCTTGAGCTGGGGAGATGATCCTGGATTATCCAGGTGGGCCTAGCACAAGGGTCCTTAAAGGTAGAAGAGGGAGGTGGGAGAGTCAGAGCCAGAGACATGGCAGTGTGAGAAGGACGCAGCTGGTGGTTGCTGGCTTTGCAGATGCAGGAAGGGGCTGCAAGCCCAGGGATGCAGGCGGCCTCTGGAAGCTGGAACAGGTGAGGAGATGGCTTCTCCCCTAGTGGCTTCAGGAGGAACACAGCCCCACCAACAGTGTGGTTACAACCCAGCCATACCCATTTTGAACTTCTGATCTCCAGAAGTATACAGTAATAAATATGCGTGGTTTAAGTGACTATAGCTGTGATCTTCATTACAGCTGTAATTGGAAAATTTAATACTGCATATCCTCCAAAACCTCACAGAGAACCCAGAGCCCCTCTACTCCCCAGCAACGGGATGCTCTGAGGTGTGATGCTTCTGGGCTCCTTCTCCATGGGATGTTCTGTCCCCTATTCAGCCAAAGACCCTGGCATCCCTGGCCTGAGTCCAGAGAGTCCCACCCCATTCCTGACAAAGTCCAGGGAGCTGCAGGGATGCCTCCCAGCTCCACCTCTAGGGAAGTCGCTCATAGGACCTCCTGCCTAAAGGAATTTCTCCTCTCTGATCCCGTGTTCTTGCAGAGAGTTGGAAGCCAGACACCCTGTGGTGTCTGCTTACAATTAATGAAATGATTTCCAAGCACAGATTGCACGAACAACAATATTGCTTCTTATAATAACATCTTCTACCAGGCTACGTTGCAATGCATCTGTTTGTGCCCACTGTTTAAATTGAACATACGCTTTTTAAAAATTCTATTTGCATTATCTTATCGAGCGATCATTCCCTGGAACATCATAAAACAAACATTAATTAGGACTCCAATTGGTGCAATCTCCTCAAAAGCTCTCAACCATACCACAGGCCATTCCATCTTTGGGACTCTCATTTTAAGAAAGTCGGTAACTCTCAGAGCCAGTATCTCCAAGGCAGATCGCAAATGCTCTTCAGTGTCTTTGGTGAAGAGAGGACCGAGAGGATGGGTACCAAGGGTGCTGAGGAATGCCCAAATATATAGACAAGACCTGGCAATGGTTAAGAACAAAACCAGCCATGTGGCAAGAGTATGGGGCGCTTGGCCATGTGACCACCTCCACACACCTGCCACCTACTTCCCAGCCTAACACACCTATGGTCTTGTGCCCAGACCTCTGTCTGGATTCAAAGAATACCCATTGTCCTGATACTCACAAGGTGATGTCTAGTCCCCTCAGCCAAGGGACACTGGAAGGAGCACAAGTTTGAGAGTCAGATAGCTGGAGACTTCTCTGACCATCTGTTTCTTCATCTGTAAGAGTAATCAGGAATTTCATGGAGCGACCACCTCAGCCTGGTTTGCCCAGCAGTTCCTGGCTCGCCTGTTTGCAGCCAGTTCTCCCAATACGTCTCAGCCCCCATAAATGACAACACAAAAATGGGGGCTAGCCCCCATAAATGACAACACAAATCCGCCAACTTCTCTGGAGTCTCTGGGAGTGCATCAGAGTCACTTGTTCAATGCCACTGAAGAATTCAGATAAACGCAAACGGACCATCTTCAGAGCGTGCTGCGGGGCACATTTCTTTGGCAGATGAGCTCATGTTGACCTGGGATCATTGTAAAGGATTGCTGAGGGCACAGCATGGGGGTGTTGGGGAGGGAAAATGACACCTGATCCCAACCTGCCCCGAGGGTCAGACAGCACAGCCCAGGGGCAGCATGTGCGCCTGGGCCAGAAGAAAAGCCTCAGGTTTCCAGAAGACACCAAGGACAGTTAGGAGAACAGGGGTCCAGGCCCAGCAGCTCCTTTGCCCGTGGGTGATGCAATCCTACTGAGACAGCCAGGTCTAAAGGGGTCCCCGGAGAACCTCCAACCAGCCTGTGTGCTGGGCAGAGTGCATGCCGTTTGCAGTGGGGAGCAGCCTGGCCTCTCCTGTTCGGGGTTTGTCACTGGAGATTCAATCTGTGAGGCGGGAAGCCAGCTAGCAGGACCCTTGCTTTGCTGGGACTCCCTGTTTCCTTTTTTTTCCTTTTCACCCAGTACATTCCATGTTTCTCACCCTTCAAAGTGTCTGCAAGCTAATCTTTCCTGGTGTGTGACAAGGACCCTAAGGGGAAAGCCCTACAACACTAGGTGGACGGCTTTCATGGGGACTGGGGTCTGAGCTGAGAGGCCACTTTTCAGTGAATCTCCTGATATTTAAACCTAAACCTACCACTTTGGATGACCCTGGCCACACACTCCGCCCTTGCTTTCTTTACCCATGAGTCCCTACAAAACCCGAGTTCTTTAAAATGTGTATTTTTACTTGAAGGATGCTTGGCTGTTCCGTGGATGCATTTCAGATAGGAGTGGGCGGTGGGGGGCTTTCTGCGGCCCCTCAGCCCTGCCTTCCTTCCCTGCTGCCTGTGCCTGGTGTCAGAGTGAGACAGCGAGTTTAAAGGAGCCCCCGGAGAACCTGTGACCGGCCTGCACACTGGGAGGAGCGCACACTGGGGTGGAACCTCCGGAAGTTCGAGCCATTTGCGACAGGAGGAGCCAAGCCCCTCCTCTTCCTGGGTAGCACCTGGGATTCAATCTGCGAGGCGGAACCAGCTAGCAGGACTCTGGCTTTGCTGAGACTCCCTCTTTCCCTTGTTTTTACTTTTTGCACAATAAATTCCATTTTTATCACCCTTTAATGTGTCTGTGAGCCTAATATTTAACAGCTATGTGACAAGAACCTGGCTTTTACCTGAACTAAGGAGAAAGTCCTACAGCAAGAGAACTATCTATAAGTCATTCTCTCTCTCTCTCCCCACCCCCCCATTGACGAAAAGGGTCAAACTGTAAAATATTTGAAGAGATTTATTCTGAGCCAAATATAAGTGACCACGGCCTGTGACACAGCCCTCAGGAGGTCCTGGGAACAGGTGCCCAAGGTGGTCTGGGTGCTGCTTGGTTTTATACATTTTAGGGAGACATGAGACTTCAATCAAATACATTTAAAAAAATACGTAGGTTTGGCCCAGAAAGGCGGGACAACTCAAAGCGGGGGCTTCCGGCTTATAGGTAGATTTTAAAATTTTCTGGTTGACAATTAGTTGAGCTTCTCTAGAGAAACTCAATAGAAAGTAATGTCTAGGTTAAGATAAAGGCTTGAGAGATGCAAGTTGTTATTTGCAGAGGGAACCTTCAAGTACTAGGCTTCAGAGGGAATAGGCTGTAAAATGTTTCTTATCAGACTTAAAGTCTGTGTCGGTGTTCACGCCAGAGAGGTATCATGAGGCATGTTCAACCTCCACTTGCTGTCATGGCCTGAAACAGTCGCTCAGGTTAAATTTTATAAGAGCCCTGGCTAAGGAGGAAGTCCATTCAGATGGAATTTTATTTTATTTTATTCCTCTCTCTCTCTCTCTTCCTCATAAAGAGGCCTGTGTGAGTCTGGGCTAGAGCGGCCAACCATTACGATTTGCCTGGGACTAAGGGGTTTCCTGGCATGTGGGACTGGCATTGCCAAAACCTAGATAATTCTCAGTGAACCAGCATGAAGGGTCACTGGCTTTAGGGACGGACTCCCAATAGGCCTTCAGGAAAACAGATCCAAGGGACATTAGCCCTTCATTAAACATGAGAAGAGAAATTTTGAGAGCTAGTTCTCTTGATATTTCTGGAAACAGAATAATTATAATAATATCTGTTTAATCACCTCTCAACTTGAAGGTCTAATGAAACTCCGGTGCAGAGCAGCTGAGCTCCCTCTGAAGGGCAGCTGGAAATGCCAGGAGGAAGCACAGATCACCTGGAAGCCCTCAGGGTCACAGAAGCGGAGAAGCTGCTACGTCCCCTCTCCTCAAGGAAGCTCTGTAAATAAATCCTGGGAATGGATTGCAGTCAATGTGGAGCTCTCCACGTTGTGGAGCTGGAAGGAAAACAAATCTTAAACTTTCTCCTGCTAAGTTAAACATTTCATCCTTTTGTTTCTCAATCATCACTGTACATCTCTCCCAAGTTTACAAAATAATAATCATCATCATAATGCAATCCTTCTACCAAAGTCTTCCCCAGGTGGTGGGAAAATTACAAGTAGCCCCTTCCACGTCACAACCACTTCTTAACACATCGCGCCCATCAGCTGAGTTATTTTCATTGCATTATACAGTTTTTTTTAAAAAAAAAAGAGAAGCTGTCACCAGATGGGTAATTGTCCTTGCATGTAATCCTGTCTCGGACAGAGCCAAGCGGCCCTCACTTCATTAAGTGCAAAGCCTCTGCCTGAGAAAATCAATCGCAGCCTAAATCAGAAAGACAAAAATCAATCCCGGCTATGCATTCCAGGCCTCTGCGCACAGGAGTGCATTCAGGGGACCCCAGGGCTGACTTCAGAGGGGCCCAGCCCTGCATCCACCAGGGGCCAAGAGTATGGGCACATGCAGGAAGCAGAGGGCCAGGACAGGGCTTTTAAAAATCAAATCAGCAAAAGCCACGCTAAAGGAAGGGGAACCATGTGGTGCCCTTCAAGTAGAACGTGAAAGGCATAAGGCAACATCCATTTACTCAGACATTTATTAAGCAACTACTATAGCCTAACCCAGGAAAAGCCCAGGGATTCAAGCTAAACAATCCAGTGTCTGTCTTCTAGTTCTCTAGGGGCTTTCAGTGCAGTGGGGAATACAAGCCTGTGGGGACTAAACTTGGCCTGAGCAGGGTTGGGAAATGCAGAGGGCCTCATGGTTGGGGGTGGAGGGAAGGGGCAATTTGATTTGGGTCTTGAAAAATGAATAGGAGTTGGCTAGAAAAAATGTTTGCCTTAATAAGGGGCAATGTAGCAAGGAAGGACTAAATCCCTTTATTGTATGATGCCTGACAAGTTTGCATTCCCCTGAGCTGACACGGAAAACATTGTGGCCAAAACCTAGTTGTCTTCTCTAGAGAGCTCTTAAAGTCAGACTGTTTTCCTACCTCGGGAAAGTGACTGAGTCAAACCAGAAAGAAGCATGAAAGTCCCCTTTACATATTTCCCTTCATCCTTGAGTTGAAATGAGCCGAGTGGCTGGCTCTGGCCTCTTCTCTTCTGGATGCTGCTTGATGAACCCCAAAAGTCCTGGGGCCCCGGTCCTAGTGGTGGTTTCATTCCCCCCTCCCCATTTCTCTACTTCCCTAAACTAAGTGCCTCTGGGAAATTCATCCCTTCACTCATTCTTATTTTGGGCAACATTCCCTGAGTACCCGGTGCTTTGACAGGCGCTAAGGATACAGACCCTCAGGAGAGACCTGCAGGAGCCCAACCATTCAGCAGGCACAGGGGAAGGAGACCCGGTGCGTCCCAGGGGCATGGGGCAGGCTTTCCCCAAAGGTGACTCCTGAGGTCTTTCCTGAGTCTGGGCTTGCCTGGGTAGGTGCGGGTGGTGGGCAGGGCATTCAAGGCAGGTTTCTGACACCTGGCAAGGCTTACACCCAGGCCCGTAACGCAGTGCCCACCACATCATCTCCATTTTTCCGTTTCATCCCTGAGGCGCCCCTGAGAGATGAACAGCAGGGGCATTTCACGAATAAAGACACTGGCTTAGAAAAGTCAAGTACTTTTTCCAGACCTACCCCGTGTTGGCAAAGTCAGGACGGACACCAGAGGCAGGTGCACCTCCGGGGAATGAAGAGGAGCAGTGGGAACAGGCGGGGACCAGGGATGGGAGGACCAACACTGACTGAGCCTCCGCGATCTCCACCGGGGACAGCATCCTCATTCCCAGATGGCCAGCTCCCATCCACCCTCACACCCAGAGCCTGGATCTGCTCTGCTCGCCTCTGAAAGTGGCACTCCTGCCACTGGCTGCCAGGTTACACAGGCACGTACCCAGGCATCCCACAAACATTTTTTGGGCACCGACTCGGTGCTGGCTCTCTTCCAGGTCCCAGGGTCACAGAAAGGGACTTGCACACTGATGGCGCTGATGGATCCAGCCCCGGCCTCTCAGTGTGGGGTCCCTGAGCCAGCACAGGCATCAGCCAGGAATGTATGTTAATTAGCTTGCCTTAGTCATCCCGCAGTAGATGCATATAGCAGAGCGTCATGTTGTACGCCATAAATATATACAATGTTTATTTGTTGATTTAAAAAATAAAGAAAACAAGTAGTATTGTAAAAAGAAAATGCAGAATCCCTGTCAAACAGTTCCAGTCACTGAAAGGAAACAGCTTATAATGTGTGTTGAAGAAAGCGTGTTTCCATTTGCGTTTTAAAGCTCTATATGTAAACCTGTTTAATATGAACCAATGCAGAAAGAAACGTGTTGTAAAAACGCATTCTCAACATTTGTTCCCAAAGGTGTTCCTCTGTAAAATCCTTCCCACTGAAATAAAACAGCTTCTGTGCACATTTAAGGGAAAAAGAGGGGAGCGCTCAGTGCTTCCTGCGCTGGGAACCTTTAATAACCAGTGGACCAAACCCGGTCCTCCCAGGGTCTCACTCCTGCTGAGGAAATTCACACCCAAGAAACAGTTAAGTCAGTTAAGTCGTGGTAAAGACTGTGGGGCGCTAACGAATGCAGATGACCGTAAGAAAAGGAAGCAGAAAGGGCTGTTCTGCAAGCTCCCAGGTTATGGGCTGTTCTGATTGTCAAGCTGGAGAAAGTGTAATTAGCAGCAGCATACAGCTCCTCGTGCTAAATGGAGACTTGAACCTGGGTCTTTGAGTCCCCAAACCTGCACCCTTCCAGCTTCACAGCAGCAAAGGACCTGAGCACATTTCATTGGATGATGTGTGCCCATCCTCCTGCTCTGCCCCTTCCCAGGAGAACATCAGCTCTGAGGGCTGGGACTGTGTGCTCCGCTTACTGCCGTATCTCCACAGACCATAGCAGGCACTCATCAAATACATGTCAAATACACAAATAGACAAGATAGCAAAGCAGCCAGAGGTGACGTCATCACCTCAGCGAAGCTCAAGCCCCATCTACAGGCAGATGCAGATGCCCGTGGAGGAAGCGGTGGGGGTGACCAGCAGGGTCACGTCGGGCCACTGGCTTGAACTTGATTTCTGTCTCCTGCTCTCTTTGCTAAATGGGAAAACAAAATGCCCTGCTCACTTGGCAGGGAAAGTCCTTATGGTGTGAATTGACTCACCCTATCAAGAGGCATAAATGGGTTAGGATGAATAATGAATGGTCAATACCTGGACTTGGCGTGAAAAGCACATCATCAAGTCTGCATGGCCTGGTGACAAGGACAGCCCTGCCTCTTCCCCGGGTCCCGATCCCTAGGAAGCCAACCCCAGTGGGAAGTTATTTGCCTGTCTGGGGTAATTAGCAGCAGAGGCAGACGGAGCCACGCAGTCAGGCGTGGCCCTCTTTCCAGCTTGCTGTGTTCTCCTGTGGCAGATGGCCACACTCCTGGGCTTCAGTTTCCCTGTTTAAGTAGTTAGACTCACCCTCCCTTCCACCACTCATTTTGTTCTCTGTATAGAGGGACCCTGATGAAAGGAACGTCCCTGACCTCCGTTTTCCTTCTCAGGCTCCCCTGTCTCTCCAGGCAAAGGGGGAGTGACTCAGCTGATGGGTGAGTTTTAGTTTTAGTTTCTTTTTTTTTAATTAATTAATTTATTTATTTATTTATTTATTTATTATTATACTTTAAGTTTTAGGGTACATGTGCACAATATGCAGGTTAGTTACATATGTATACATGTGCCATGCTGGTGTGCTGCACCCACCAACTCGTCATCTAGCATTAGGTATATCTCCCAGTGCTATCCCTCCCCCCTCCCCCCACCCCACAACAGTCCCCAGAGTGTGATGTTCCCCTTCCTGTGTCCATGTGTTCTCATTGTTCAATTCCCACCTATGAGTGAGAATATGCGGTGTTTGGTTTTTTGTTCTTGCGATAGTTTACTGAGAATGATGATTTCCAATTTCATCCATGTCCCTACAAAGGACATGAACTCATCATTTTTTATGGCTACATTTAGTTTCTTACTGTCACTGAAACAAATGACTGCAAATGTCGCAGCTTAAGACAACACCAATTGATTGATTGATTGATATTCATTTTCTGAGACAGGGTCTTGCTCTGTTGCCCAGGCTGAAGTGCAGTGGTGTGATGATGGCTCACTGCAGCCTCAGCCTCCTGGGCTCAAGCAATCCTCCTGCCTCAGCCTTCCAACGTGCTGGGATTCCAGGCGTGAGCCACAACACCTGGTCATAATAACACCATGGAGCTGGCTCCGGGCCTGGGCATGACCCAGTGTCTGGGACATTAGAAAGTCCATCTGGCAGTACCTTGGTCATCTCCTTCCCAACAGCCTTGTCTAAAATGAAGACGATTGCCTTTTACGCTTTATTTATTTGATTCTTGTGTCCATTTGCCAAACTTGGGAGGGGAGGGTGTCCTATGTCAACCCACTGAAATTCTCATGGTGACGCCTGTTGCACTTCCAGGAACATAGGAAACACTAAGAATGGGATCTGGGAACACAGAAATGATAGAGATTGAGGTTTCTGGAGTCCTCTAAGCCCGTGGCTTGAGGCCCTGGCACCACCCCACTCTTGTGGGCTTCTAACTTTATGAAAAGTCAATGGTGCTCTATGACCAGGGTTCCAGGGGCACCTGGGTTTTCTGGGTGCAGCCTGGGAGGGCCATGCTAGGGCTGGGACCTGAGTGCAGTTGGGCTCTGCTGGATCTTGACCTTGGAGGGTCACTGCGGCTTATGGAGGCTTTAACCATAGGCTAGGGGCTATTTTGTAGCAAGGGCAGACCTTAGCAGTTCCAGGTGGAATAGCATGGTGAAGGCACAGCTTTGATGATAGCATCTGTGGGTATACAGATTTTAAGGCATTAGGTGATGAAACTTTTTTTTTTTTTTTTTGCTGCTTTTAACTGTGGTGCTCAGTCAGACTGGCAGGCGAGGGAGCCAGGATTTACAACTATAAAAGCGTCTGGTTTCTGCTGGCATCAGGAGCAGGCAAGAGGCTCCAGCTTCAAGCTATCAGAGCTGAGTCCGCAAGCAGGATTGAATCTGCCGGCCACTGTTGTTCCCCTCCCTTCCTCCTTCTCTCCCTCCTTCCTTCCCTCTTTCCTCTCTCCTTCCTCCCTTCCCTCCTTCCCTCCCTCCTTCTTTCTTTCCTTCCTTTCTTCCTGTTCTTCCTTCCCTCTCTCCTCCCTTCCCTCCTCCCTTCTCTCCCTCCTTCTTTCTTTCTTTCCTTCTTCCTTCTTTCATTTCCTTCCTTCCTTCCCTCTCTTCTTCCTTCCCTTTCTCCTTCTTTTCTCCTTCCTTCCTCCGCAGAAGACAGAACTGGCTAGAGGCCGACTGAGACACCATAAGCGACCTTCCTAGGAAGAGGGTGGGGAGGAGACCCCCCCCCTGCAAACCCATGGTCTGGGAAGACAGTGACTGCATGGCGGAGCCCGCACCTTCTGTTTCTGGGAACCAGGTTTGCTCAGAGGGACCCAGGAGGCAAGGGGGTGGCCTGAGAACACGTCTCAGAATTACTCTCAGAAGAGCAGCTGGGCTGTGAGGAAGGCAAAAGAAGCAAGACATGGATTCCAGATGCAGAGCAGAGGCATTTCCTCTCCAGGAAGGTGGAGATCTCAGAAAATGTACCAGGCAGACGCAACGGGGAAACTGAGGCTCTGGAGGCCTATCTGCTCTTAAAGAAGCAGGGAAATGGACAATGCAAGGCCCAAGCATATTAAACCGGTATTAAAGAGGAAAGTTGAATTCAGGTCAAAGAGCTCCAAGGGACAAGAGGAGGTGTCTTGGTTCCTACCGATTGGAGAAGTCGAATCACAGAGGGTGAAGGGCATGACTCCCAGCAGGAGCGCGAGCCAGGACCTGTTTCAAGCTACAGGTGGGAGTTACAGCAAATGTGCCTGGGAGTCATTTCCTCTGAAGACAGTGGCAGCTGCAGGAGGCAGTCGCAGGAAATCTGGGCAGCTCACTGAGCAGAAGGCAAGGAGGTAACTTTCAGGTTGATGAAAGAAAAACTTCAGCCGAATTAAATTTAAAAGAGTCTAATCGAGCAAGGAATGAGTCCCGAATTGGGCAGCCCTCAGAATCACAGCAGACTCCAGGGGTGCCTCGTGGTCAGAACACATTTATAGACAAAAAAGGTAAAGTGACCTACAAGAATCGGAAGTGAGGTACAGAAACAGTGCGATTGGTCACAGCTCGGCGGGTGCCTTATTTGAACACAGTTTGAACGCGCAGCAGTCTATGAGTGGTTGAAGTATGGCGGCTGGGATTGGCCAACACTCAGCCATTAGTACAGGTGCATACTATTAAGTTGGGTTTTCAATTTTGTCTATTAAGCTAGGTGACAGTTCATCCACAAGGACTCAAATACAGAAGTATGGAGTTCTTCTCAGGCTGTATTTGGTTTGCTTTAACAAGGTAGATATCCTCACCGTAAGTATTGGTGCAGCCAGGGTCTGATAGGGAAATTTAGGGATGGGGGCCTAGGGAGAAGTCCAGCAGAAGAGAAGCAGTGAGTCAGGGAGGGCCTGGGCATACCTCTGTCGCACAGCCTAGGTTCAAATCCTGGCTCTGTCACCTAGCGCTCTGCAGCCTTGGGCAAGACACTTCACCTCTCTGTACTTCAGTTTCTTCACCAGTAAAAATGGGGCTGATGATGTTATTTGTGTTGCAAGACTGATTAAAAATTAGACAAGTTAGCATTTGCGAAGCCTGCAGGAAAACTCCTGGCATACAGGCCATGCTACGCAAGTGCTGGCAAATAAACACACACAGAGGCCAGGCAGGATGATAACATATTGAGACCAGGCCTGTGGGGACAGCAGCCCAGGGGGATTAGATGCGGGAGTTGGATTTCTAAATCTGCAAGGTGATGAGGAAAAGATTTGTTTAAACTCTGGTTTTGGCAGACTTAGGTCATATTGATTTTATATTTCTCACTCCTGGATAGAATCTAGAGGAAAATGTCAGAAAAACAAGGGCCTGATTTAGCAAACAAAGGAAGAAGCAAAAGAGGAGGCCCTGGGTGCCAGCAAACAGCCAAACTGTGCATGCCGTGCTGTAAAGCTAAGAAGTGGGTTAAAGGTTAGAAGTTTCCCGCACCATCCACAGGTGCGAGGAAGATTCCAGAGCTACGCGAGTGCTGTGCTGTCCCACACAGAAGCAGGGAGCCTCCTGTGGCTACATCCGTTTACAAAGACATTAATTAAAATGAAATGTACAATGCAGTCCCTTCATCACACTAGCCACATTTCAAGTACTGCTGCTTAAAGCATTCGGCATCTCAGAGAATGTTCCCACCATTGCAGAAGTTTCCATAGGAAAGCACTATTGCAGCATATATGCAATCAGCCCTTTCCGCCCCACTCTGGTAGAAAAATGTGGCCAAGAGAAATGTGTTTTACAGAAAAACGCAAGCCTATGGGGGCAGGAATTGTATCATTTTGTTGCTCATGGCTGTATATCCCAGGCCCAGGGCAGTACAAATGGTGGGCAGAATCATGGCCCTCAAAAATGTCCATGTCTTCGTTACCAGAGCCTGTGAACATGTGACCTTCCATGGCAAAAGGAACTTTGCAGATGTGATTAAGGATTTGGGGATGGGGCGGTTATCTTTGATTATCTGGGTAGGCCCAATGTCTTCACAATGGCACATAGGGAAGATGGAGGCCGGAGTGGGGGTCAAAGCTGTGATGATGGGACTGATGTTGGAGTGATGGGGGGGTCACAAATCAGGGATACAGGTGGCCCCTGGAAGCTGGAAAGGGCATGGAAATGGGTTTTCCCGTAAATCCTCCAGGAGGAACCAACCCTGCCTACTCTATGATTCTAGCCCATTTTGGACTTCTGGCCTCCAGAACTATGAGATAAGAAGTCCACATTACACTCGTGCTAACTTGTTACAGCAGCAACAGGGCACTCATACAGCACCACTTACACAATATGTGCCTCATAAATACTGGATGGATGAACAAACAAATGAACGAGTGAATGAATGGCAACGAATACCACAGAGGTCTTGAACACACAAAATCAGAGGAAATGCAGTCTTTTAGGAGCACTGGGAAGAGGCTCAGCAGCATGGCTTTCCCGGCCCCCATGGCGGCTCAGCTCAGCAACTTGCTGAGGGCAACCCCGCGGCTGAGTAACCATGGGAAGGAGATGGGAACTATCCCCAGAAGACACAGCCTCAGGCCCAAAGGATTTCATCTCAAGAGACAACAGGAACAGGAAGGATGACCTTTCCCAGAGGACACTGCAGGGGCTTTGTGGAGAGACCGAGTTGAAACTCAGCCTGTCATTGAGGCACCCAGAACCCAAGACAAAGCGGTTTTAAGCATGTGGGACAAGAAAAACTCATCTCACATGAGGCATGGTAAGTGGGACTTCCAGCAGACTTAGCCAGACCATGGCATCCTCCCACGGACAGCTCTCTGAAAGACAAGACAGCATCCTGTGGGGAGTTCTCACCCAATTTGACAAACATCACTAACTTCTTAGGGGGAGATTTTGCCCAGGTGAGTGCAAGTTCTCAGGTCCTGGGCTTGGTGCAATGGACAAAACTGAAACCAGCGGGATTTTCTCTGTCTTCATTCAATACCAGAGTCTGCCCTGTGTTTTGGGGGCACTAAGCACTGAGCTCTAGGAACAGAGCTTTGCCTTGGACAACTGCTTCAGGGCTGGGGATGACCTTGTTCTCTAAATACATCAGGGAAAAATACCATCATATTATTGTGTATCTTGGAAACTCTTCACACTCACTCAAACCAAGGCACACGGGAGCCTAATTCAACTTCTGAGGTTCTGAAGAAGACATCCTCATCTCCCAAGACAGGCCAAACAGCAACTGCTACAGAAACTCAGGTCTGGGAGCCCACAAGACCGGGGCCTGAGTAGGGTAAGACATTGTGGGAGCCAGCTTCCAAGATGCCCCCTGAGGATCCTCACTTCCTGGTATCCAGACCCACAATGAGTAGGGCTGAGCTGGGTCAACAATAGGACATTGTGGAAATGACAGAGCATGACTTCCAAAGCCGAGTCATAAAAGTTATTGCAATTGTGGCCTTGCTCTCTCTTGAATATTTCATTCTGGGGGAAGCCATCTGCCACATCAGGACATAGTGGCCCTTTAAAGAGACCCATGTGGTGAGAAACTGAGGCTGCCTGCTGAGAGCCAGCACTACCTTGGTGGCATGAATGCAGCCATCTTGGAAGCACAGCCTCCAGCCCCAGTCAAGCCTTCAGATGATGGCAGCCCCAGCAGACATCTGACCACGGCCTCAGGAGAGACCACAAGCCAGCCCACCTAGGTAAGCCACTGCAGAGTGTCAGACCCACAAACACTGAGAATAATCAATGTTTATGGAAGTTTCCAGCTGCTTCATTTTGAGACCTTCTAATGAGCTCATTAGGATGATGTGGCTGGACATAATTTGGGATGTAGCCTAGAAGAGAGAAGATATTTTCAGCCTTGGAAACAGAGCAGTCTCAGAGTTAATTTCATTCATGTACTCTGTGCCTTCTGGAGAAAATTTTGCACTGCCCCCCTGCAGTCCCAGGAGATTCCCCAAAGGAGTAACTGTTTGTATAAGTTACCACGTGAAAGTGAGAAAGGTGGCCTTGGAAGATAGTTCTTGTCATTTAAAGAGGAAGCTACACCCCTGGCTCATTGTAAGCTTATTGATTAAGGAAACAGTCAGCTTTGGAAGGTCACTTATGATGTTTCCACACAGAAGGACCTTCACTGGGTCACACTCCAGCCTCTCTAGCCACCTTGTCACCCCTGAGCTCAAGGAGAAAGCCCTGGGTGTGAGCAGAGCCTCTTCTGCCTGCCCTTCAGCCTCCTCCTGCCTGCTAAGCAGATGGACTCTGGCTACTTGGCTCTGTGATGTGCAAAGTGTGCTCAGGTAGGCTGTGGTCTCAAGGCATAACCAGGAGCATAGCAGGTAAGTTTCATTAGTGGGGGAGATGTACATTATCAAGACCACCTGGACATCCTCAAGGCACATACGACAAGCAGCTTCCTTAGTGATACAGAGATATGTATTTTCACCTTCCTGTCACCTGCATCTCTTTCAGTTGGTTCCAAACCTGTGGGGGACAAAGAAGATGTTACATAATGAGCATCCTTAAATCAGCATGGAGGGCTCAGACCACCTGGGCAATGGCAGCTCACTGGGAATCCCCAGGAAGAGAAGAGTGCTGTGGACTGTGCCCCCCACCCACCAAATTCATATGTTGAAACCTCAATCTCCAATGCAATGGTATTTGGAGATGGGGTCTTTGGGAGGTAATTAGGTCATAAGGGTGGAGCTCCCATGATGGGATTAGCGCCCTTGTAAGAAGAGCCAGGAGGGGTCTCACTCTCCCTATTTCTTCTCTCTCTCTCTCTCTCTCTCCCCTACCACCCTACCCACATGAGGACACAGTAAGAAGGCAGTGTCTGCAATCCAGGAAACAGACTATATTAGTCCGTTTTCACACTGCTGATTAAGACATACCCGAGACTGGGAAGGAAAAACAGGTTTAATTGGACTTACAGTACCACATGGCTGGGGAAGCCTCAGAATCATGGCAGGAGGTGAAAAGCACTTCTTACATGACATCGGCAAGAGAAAATGAGGAAGATACAAAAGTGAAAACCCCTGATAAAGCCATCAGATCTAGTTCACTATAAGAACAGTATAGGGGAAACTGACCCCATGATTCAAATTATCTCGCACCAGGTGGGAATTATGGGAGTACAATTCATGATAACATTTGGGTTTGGGGACACAGAGCTAAACCATATCACAGGCCCTCACCAGAAACCAAATCTGCCAGCACCTTGATCTTGGACTTCCAGCCTCCAGACCTGTGAGAAATAAATGTCTACGTTTAAAGCACTCTGTCTATGATATTTTTGTTATAGCAGCTTGAACTAAGACAAAATTTAGCGGTGGACAAGTTGAGGGTCACGGGTGTGGCCACAAGTGGAGGTCCCTGTTCTTGCCTAATAGGGGAGGCCCAGCTCAATTTCACCCTGAGTGCCTTGCTGGAACTGTGGTCTTTGCACTGACGGTGAAGCCGTCTGCTAGTTATGTAAGAAAGCCCTCAACGGGCAGTTAGTGATGTGCCTGCCTCATGAATTACTGAGGCCCATCCATTTTCTACAGAGGCTGAGCTGAACTCGGAGACCTTTCATAATTTAACATTTGATTACATTTCCGGCCTGTGGAGTTCGGTGTTTAAATATTTCAGGCAGAAGTCTAGGCTGCTGGCATGCCGCCCTCCTGCTTTGTGCAGCAAAGCTTCCCTGCCTTACTCATCAGCATGAAAGGAAGAAGGGGTCTGGGAAAAGTGGCAGGACTGCAGTTATAGGCTTGTTCAATGCCTTCCACCGCCTGCAGGGAAAGGAGCCGTCCCGCCGCCACTAGTGCCATTACGATGCGGTGAAGTTGAATTCAAGGCAATTCACAGCTCCTCTGTAGGCAATGAGTTGTCCAGGTTGGAGTGTCTGGGCCTTTTGTGGTGAGAGACTCAAATTGTTCACTCCACTCCACGCTGAGAAGCATCCTTCACCCACCACTCCTGCAGGAGAGCACCCGCCTCTTTTTTTTTTTTTTTTTTTTTTTGAGACGGAGTCTCGCTCTGTCGCCCAGGCTGGAGTGCAGTGGCGGGATCTTGGCTCACTGCAAGCTCCGCCTCCCGGGTTCATGCCATTCTCCTGCCTCAGCCTCCCAAGTAGCTGGGACTACAGGCGCCCGCCACTACACCCGGCTAATTTTTTGTATTTTTAGTAGAGACGGGGTTTCACCGTTTTAGCCGGGATGGTCTCGATCTCCTGACCTCGGAGCACCCGCCTCTTTTGGGGAAAAAGCTCTCACTTAAGAAACCCTCCTCTCCGCTTAGGTGTATTGGGCTGATTCTATTTTCCATGAACACATTGAATGTTGTCAGACATGGCTCAGAGCCCCTGAAACAGCTGGGTCTGCTCTCCTGGAGTGCAGCTGGGCCTCCCTTCCAGCTTTCTGTTGGCCACCACCTCAGGAGCTCCTTTGCTCTGGGGTTGGGGTGCCCTCGCTCTGAACCCGAAAGATCGATGTGATAAATTATCACCAAAGCAGTGCCAGCTGTCAGATCAGTTCTTCGTGTTTTAAACATTCATTCAGGTACCCAGTGACTGCTACCACATGGCCCATTAGAGAGGTTCTGTACTAGGGGCCAGAGCACGTAGGCTACAAGGAACAAGTCTGTTTTGTGTTTCCCAAAAAAAATTCATGTTGAAGCTGTAACCCCCAAGGACTCAGAATGTGATTATGTTCGGAGATAAGATCTTTGCAGAGGTGATTAAGTTAAAATGAGGTCATTAGGGTGGGCCCGAATCCAAGAGGACTGACATCCTTATAGAAAGAGGGGATTAGAACACAGACATGCAGAGAGGGAAGATGATAAGACACAAGGAGAAGACGGCATCTGCAAGCCAAGGACGGGGCCTCGGGAGCCACCAACCGTGCCGACACTTTGATCTTGAACTTTCAGCCTGGAAGACTATGGGAAAATAAATCCCTCTTGTTCAAGACCCCGAGTCTGTGGAGCTTTGTTATGTCAGCCCTAGAAAACTTTAAAGCAAAGTCCTTGCTGTCAAAGTGGTTGTGATCTTGAGGGTGAGGCAGACAAGTAACCAGTTGACTTAAAAGTTGATCAGGATAAGTCAATGATGCAGGTAAGGATGGGAGCAGAGGAGGCACAGAGGAGGGGAGCCCACTCAAGACCCAGGGAGTGAGGGCAGGCCATGGGCTCCGTGGCAGACACAGGGGAGGCTCAGGATTAGGGAAAGATGAAACAATTGCTAAACAGCCCTCAAGAGGATACCATTTGTATCAATGGGAACAACACAGAAACAATATACTATAGAAAACGGGTATTGCAAAACAAAAAACTGCAGTAGTCAAAGAGGACTTCCTGGAGGAGGGGGCATGCAAACTGGATTTTGGAGAATGGGTTGCATTTAGGTCTCAGGACTCAGAAGGTGTACACATGCCCTCTGCTCAAATGTTCCATTGGGCTGACCTTTGTCACATGACCACATCCAGCTACAAGGGAGGTGGGAGATGTACTCTGAAGCCAGATAGCCAGGGGCACAGCAGGTATGTGGAGTTCTACTAATAGCAAGGAAAAAGGCAGAACTGTTATCAGATGATTGATTTTCGGTTTTCCTCCATTACATACTTGGTGATTTGTTGAGGTTCATGGGGGGAAAAGAACATCTTCTGGCCTAGGCTATGGCCCCCTCCAGACGGGAAATTGGGAAAAATCAAGAGACCAGTGGGGTGCATGCCAAACCACAGCCAGATGGATGGTTTTGCTTATCACGGTCTCTTTATTGCCTGTGGTGCAGGATTGTCTCACCCTGTGGTGGAGGGAAGAGGAAATGAGCATCAGGTTGTGGTGTGGTTTGAATGTACGTGTCCCTCCAAAATTCATGTTGGAACTTAAACCCCAAAGTGATGGTATTCAGAGGTGGAGCTTTCAGGGAAGTTACTAAATGATGAGAACTCCCCCCTCATGAATGGCTTTCTGCTCTCATCAAAGAGGTTGTAGCAAGCACCCTAGTCCCTTTTGCCTTCCATCTTCTCTGCCATGTAAGGACACAGCGTTCATCCCCTCTGGCCCCACACACATTCTAGCTGTGCGCATGGCTCTCTGGCTTCAGACTGTATCTCCCACCCTCCCTTGCAGCTAGATGTGGTCATGTGACAAAGCTCAGCCCACTGGAACATGAGCAGAGGGGATGCATACAACTTCTGAGTTGTGTCCCTGAAGAAGCTCCCATAGACTCTTTCAGTCCCTGCCCTTTGGGAAGAGTGACAACAAATTGGAGGAACCATGGAAATTAACAACAAATTAAGGGTGACCCAGCCATCTGCCAGCCCCATGTGAGGACACAGCAAAAATGAGCCATGTTAAAAGAGAGAGTAGCCCTGCCCAGATGCTGAATGTGCCAGCCCCGTGATTGTGGACTTCCCAGCCTCCAGAGATAAATAAGAGAAGTAAGCGTCTGTTGTTTATAGGCCACTCAGTCTGTGGTATTTTGTGGTAGCCGCCCAGATAGACTCAGACTGATTGGCTCCTGGTAGATCTGGACACTGACTCCACCTCTACCTCCACATTGCTCTGTGACTTCAGGAAAGTTACTCTACACCTCTGGTGCTCAGTTTCCTTGAAAATATTCAGGCAGAAATGGCAGCACGGAGCCAGGGAGATTTGGTATTGGAAGCTCAATAAAGCGCCAAATACATGATCGAGAAAAATTGAAAATCAATCTTCTGATATCAGTGATGCCTTTTTTCCTTTTCAAACTTAGTAGAACCCCATACACATTCTGGCTGTGCACGTGGTCTGGCTTCAGACTGCATAACCCACCCTCCCTTGCAGCTCCGTGTGGTCATGTAACAACAAGTTAAAGGTGACCCAGCCACCTTCCAGCCCTGGTTTTTCACCCCTGCATGGTAAAATGAGAGAGTGAAAAGATCTGCATTATCAAAATCACTATGGTTGGGTCTCTTTATTTTAGCAGCTTAGCTTCTACCCTAACAGATACAGAAACTAGTGCCAGAAGTGGGGTGCTACCAAAACGAAGAACTAAAATGTACACCACTGGCGTAGCAGTTGGTGCAGGAGGTGAGGGTCTAGACGCTGCAGGTTTGGAAGCTGTTCACCCTTGCTGTGTTTTGCAAATTTTGGTAGACCTGTCCCCTGGGATAACTTGGAAAGCAGACCACTTTCCTATCCACCTTCTCGACTTTGTCTCACCAGGAATCTGCTGGAAAAACTCAGAGTGTTGGCTGCTCTTTGTTGCTTTTAGCAAAATACAAAAGAGAGAAATTCAGGTGAGAACCCATGGCTTTGTAAACAGGTATAGAAGAAAATTGACTTCGGTTAAGAGAAGCTTACAAGCTGAGACCTGCAATCTAAATTGATTTAAAATCCAGAAGTCTGGATTCTCACAAGATTAGAAAAGCCATCTGCTCCTGTATCTCAGGCAGCAGTAGGTGCAAGGGTCTCTAGGTGCCTCCTTAGCTTCCATGAGCTGAGCAAGAGTGCTGCCTCCCTACCAAGCCTACTGTTTCAGAAGGCCTTGGGGAGACATCATGAAATAAAAAGACAGAGGGTGCACCGAGTTAAATAGTGTTGCCTTGTAATTAATGTCCACCTGGAACTTGTGAATGTAACCTTATTTTTTAAAAAAGGGGTCTTAGCAGTTGTAATCAGGCCGTAATGAATTAGGATGGACTCTAAATCCAATAGGACTGGTGTCCTTATAAAAAGGAAGAAACTTGGACACCGAAACAAGAAAGAAAGCCATGCGAAGATGAAGGCGGAGATTTCAAGGATGCTGGCAGGAGCCGAGGAACATCAAGACTGCTAGAAACCAGCAGAGGCTGGATGAGCAAGGAGCGGATTGTCCCCTACAGCCTTTGAGGGCACGTGGCCCTGCCAACACTTTGATTTCTGACTTGTAGCCTCCAGAACTATAAGAGGATCACTTCCTGTTGTTTTAAGTCACCTAGTTTGTGGCACTTTGTTACAGCAGCTCTTGAGAACTAGTGCAGAAGCGTAGACCTGGTCAACCAAGAAATCCTGGAAACAGAAAAGGAGACTTGGTCCGTTTAAGATCATGACTGTAAGCAGATTGAGGGGATGGTTACTTGCACATGGAACAGACAGGAAGCAAATACATTTTGAGGGGCTGTTACTGTCCAAAAATGTGCCACAAGTGGGGCCTACAATAGCCTGTGATGGTCTTCAAAACTATATCTGGAGAAGATGGCTGCAAAATCTGTGTATTGCCCAAGGAGTGTAGCATCCTACGCTTGCTTCAGTTGAGCCATGAGGGGTGCTGCACAAGGAAGGGCCTTCCAGGGCACAAAGCCAGGGGACACGGGATGACAAGCCCGGGAAGTGCTTCAGAGAGCAGGGCCAGGGCTGCCTGTGGGGTCACCAAGGAGCTCACCCTGCTGCCAGGGTGGGGAGTCTTTGTGATAATTCCTGCTCGGAAGGATTTTAAAGGGAGACTTGGGGCATCATGAACTGCTCTGTTTCTCTCATTCCCTTTTGAAGTTGGGTCTTTATGCAGCACCCTCTGCCAGCCCAAGCCCTGCACAGTGGCGATGTATCTGGAGAGGTGTTCAGATGACTGTCCATTGGATGCTTGATGTGATTATTGAGTGTCAACTTGATTGAATTGAAGGATGAAAAGTATTGTTTCTGGGTGTGTCTGTGAGGGTGTTGCCAGAGGAGATAAACACTGGGGTCAGTGGACTGGGAGAGGTGGACCCATCCTCAATCTGCGTGGGCACCATCCAATGGGCTGCCAGCGCAGCTTAAAAAATGTAGGTGGAAGAAAGTGGAAGAAGCTGGCTTGCTGAGTCTTCTGGCTTTCATCTTTCCTCCCACGCGGGATGCTTCCTGCCCTTGAACATCAGACTCCAGGTTCTTCAGCTTTTGGACTCTTGGACTTACACCAGTGGCTTGCTGGGGGCTCTTGAGCCTTTGGCCACAGACTGAAGGCTGCACTGTTGGCTTCCCTGCTTTTGAGGTTTTGGGACCTGGACTGATCCACCACTGGCTTCCTTGCTCCTCCGCCTGCAGACGGCCTATCGTGGGACTTCGCCTTGTGATCCTTTGAGTCAATTCTCCTTAATAAACTCCCTTTCGTATATACGTAGATCCTATTAGTTCTGTTCCTCTAGAGAACCCTGACTAATACAGCCACCTACCTCTGGGCTTTTGTTATAAGAGAAAGAAATAAGCCCCAATTTTGTTTAATCCACCGCTTAATGAGATTTTTTGTGTGTGTGAATCTCAGCCAAACAGCACTCTACCTGGTGCAGACCCCCAGCAGGGAGGCCAGCAGCTGAGGGAGGCCAGCAACTGAGGGAGGCCAGCAGCTGAGGGAGGCCAGCAGCCGAGGCTGGCTCAGCGCCAGGGTGCCCAGAGAGCAATGGCAGATGAGGCCAGGATCAACAACTTCCCCTGTTCACTCTCTCAGCAAACTTTCCACTTGAGTCCCAACCTTTAGTGTACTGCCTGACTCGGGGCCACCCTCTGGGAAGCCCTGGGTGGCATGTGCTAGGGTGCTTGCCGCAGCGCTGAGCTGAAAAGTCCAGGTGTCTCTGGGGGCAGGGCACACACTTTCCCAAGACAAGACATCACTGTGGTCCTGCTGGGGCTTCAGCCAGGCTCTGGGATCTGAAGCCCTCCTAGTTCCCCTAGACTGAGAGCCCCCAGTCACGTGCATTTCCCATCACTGCTTTGGACAGGGCTCCAAGGTCCTGTATGGCATGGGACCTATGTGTCACAGTGGCCACACTACCCCTATAAGCCACCCACAGTTATAGCTTTAGAAAATCATCTGTTCCAAAGCCTCTTACCAATGGGTTCTCCGATGGGTGCTGCTGGAGCATACTGAACCTGAACTCCACCTGAACATCAGCCGTCTGCTTCCTATGCATATACTGGGCCCTTGTTAGTGTTTTCCAGGTCTCTGTCCTCCTCTTTTTGCCCATCAGTGGCCTCTCCCTGGCTTTAGTATGTAGCAGAGGCTTTGCAAGCCTGGTTCTACAGGACACAGGTGGGGTAGTAGCTGGTAAGTCATGATGCGGAGGAATAAGGTTGGTTAATTTAATCAGCTCTCATATATTCACACCTACACTGTGCCTAGCTTCATGCCAAGCATGTTACAGGGATCATCTCATTGCACGTTCCCCACCAGCCTGGGCAGGTGGACAGCACCCTCAGCCCTACCTCACAGATGAGGGAACGAAGGCTCAGATCCGTTAAGAGGGTTGTTGTAGTCACCAGCAGACACGCGGCTGGACCAGGATTTGAGGCAAGCTGCAGCATTTCCTCCTGGTGCTGTTAGTGGTCTTCCCAGTAAGGAGTCTACAAGGGGCTGGGAATTCATTACAACAATATTAATACGTGTCTATTATAGACAACGCAGAAAACACATATATACAAAACACAAAGACCCAGAATAAAATGACGGTAAAATGTCAGTCAAATCCTTCTAATTACAAACATGCACGCACACACACACACACACACACACACAAACACACACAAACACGAATTCATGCAAAGCCAAAGTAAGAACATGCTACATACAGTTTTGCCATCTGCTTTTTCTTCAAATTCATAATATTTCATGTTCATCTTGCCACATCATTAAATACTCTTTTAAGTATAATTTTTATGGTTAGGTCATAAAATTTGGTTTATGGCTAGTACCATAGTTTGTATATATTTCTTTAGAAATAAATTAGGTTCTTTCCTCTTTTTTGACCACGACAAACACAGCCAAATTTCAATCTTTGTACACATCAACAATTATTTTCTTAGAACAAATTTCCAGAAGTGAATATCACAAGTAAATGGTTTTGTGGGCTCTGTAAAGGTTGTGTATCTGTTGTGCCAAATTATCTTCCCCAAAAGGTTTATCAATCTACATCCCCCCCAGCAGTGTCCGAAATTGCTCTTTTATTCCCTCTGATGGAAGCTAAATTTTTTCTCTTTGAATTGCAGTCACCAAACGTGAAGCAAAACTGTGTCTACTTGGGGATTTATTTTTCCTTATCCTGCTCAAGGTGTTGCTTTTCCCATCTGCCTCATGCTTTTCATCAGTTCTGGAACGTTCTCAGCCCTGGTGGCTTTAAATATTGCCTCTTCTGAGTTGCTCCAGGCTCTCCTCCGGGACCTCCTGTCTGGTAGACATTGAATGTGCTCCTCCTTTTGTCTGAGCCTTGAAGCCCCTCTGTCTGATTCCTGAATGGTTTCTTCAAATCACTAACTCCACTTGGCGGTCAACGTGTCCGCTTCGTTTCATTTCGTTTAATTTCTGCGGTTCTACTTTCTTCCCTTTCAGACTCCCCTGCTGTATTTTTCCCATAATGTCGTGTTCTTGCTTTGTGGTGTCTTTTCTTCCCTTTATCTCTTGAAATACTTTAAACACACTTATTTTAACGTTCCGTTGAAGTTGTCCTATTTTCTGTGCTTCCCGGAGTGTAATTTATCCCTTTCATTACTTCTGCTATTTCTTCCACGGGGCCTGAGTCTCGGCTCTCCCCATGGTGTAGGCCAAGCCCGAACCCAGGCCCTGCTCATTGGCCCAGCGACCCCAGGAGCCCCCGGCTTCTAGTGCCCTCACGGCTCCGGTTTCCTCTTGCTTTCTGGGACCCTGGAATTTTGCTTTCTTGCTTTTAGCCTTGGCACGTGTATGTGGACGGTGGTGTGTGTGAGCTTGCACGTGTGTGTGTGTGTGTGTGCACTTTATGGTGTATGCTGTGTGGTGAGGGGGGCTCTCTGTGCCAGCTCTGCCTCCCATCTTAAAGTCTCACTCAAAAATTACTTACTCATCAACTAATAATAGTAGCAATGATAGTAATTCAATGTGTCTCTGAGGTTCCAGGAGACTTTATAGCCCTCATCACAGCCACAGCTCACACTAGTGGGTGTTTAAATAGCACATGTGATCTTATTTAATTCTTTGAATAACCTTTGTCATTATCCCCATTTTACAGATAAGTAAACTGTGGAAGGATGGGAAAAATGAATTGGCACTACTGGAGATTATGCAGAGGGCTGGTGAGAGGGGCAGGCTTCGAAACCCGACCCTGCTCTCTGCCCGAGCGTCCACTCAAGTCCTGGAGTGGGAGGCACTGAGGTGGGCACCTCCAGCTTCTGCAGTGCTGAGGGGAGCCTTGTTCTTCTTCCTTCTCAGGACGGAAGGCCAAGGGGCTGGGATGGCAGGTGCCGTGAACAGCGAGCTCCCAGAGTTGGCCAAAAGCACAGCGGAGGTGCAAATCCAGGTATGTCTGGTTCCACCACCCCCCGACTGCCTGCCAAATGCACAGATGCATCTGTGCTCAAACACACACATTTACAAACACACACAGGTTGCCCCACGGTGAGAGCTGCTCACCTAAGGGAACTGGAGAAAAGCTGTGCTGGTCTCACAACGTTGCCGGCCTGTGGTCCTGTGCCTGTCCCAGAGCCTGGGCTGTGGGCGTGAAGACAGAAGGCATCCCAACCCTAGTACAAAGCATCCTCACACCTCAGTCCCCGGGCTAAGCAGGGCACACACTCCTCTCTAACCAGAACATTGCCAAGCAAAGGGCTGCCCCAGCTGCTCCGAGAAGCCGCACGCACGAAGCTGCAGTAAGCCCAAACCCAAGGCGGGAAAGCCCCTCACCCCGCGAAGGTGTCTGCCTGGTTTCCACGGGCAATGTTGCACAAGGCCATTTTTTACTGGAGAAGTGTTGAGGCTCCATTTTCTTAAGTTCTAATCATGAAAGGAACCAGGACAAGGCAGCAGGGAGCAGCAAAAGATTGGTGTGCCCTGCCCCAGGAGAAGGTGTGTGCTGTGGTCTGAATGTTCGCGCACCCCCTGCCAAAATTTATGCATTGAAATCTTTTTATTTTTGAAACAGAGTCTCACTCTTGTTGCCCAGGCTGGAGTGTAGGGGCACCATCTCGGCTCATTGCAACCTCCGCCTCCTGATTTTAAACAATTCTCCTGCCTCAGCCTCCCAAGTAGCTGGGACTACAGGCACGTGCCACCACGCCCAGCTAATTTTGTATTTTTAGTAGAGACAGTGTTTCACCATGTTGGCCAGGCTGGTCTCGAACTCCTGACCTCATGTGATCCACCCGCCTCGGCCTCCCAAAGTGCTGGGATTATAGGCATGAGCCACTGCGCCTGGCCATACATTGAAATCTGAACCCCGAGGGGATGGTATGACGAAGTGGGCCCTTTGGGAGGTGATGAGGTCATGGGGGTGGAGCCTCATAAATGGGACAAGTGTCCATAGAAAAGAGCCCCGAGAGAGACCCCTGACCCCTTCCACCACATGAGGACACAAAGAGAAGTCACCGTCTGTGAACGAGGAAAGGGGTCCTCGCCAGACCCTGAATTTGCCCGAGCTTTGACCCTGGACTTCAGAGGCTCCAGGATTGTGAGAAAGAAATTTCTGCTGTTGGCAAGCCACCAGTCTGTGGTGTTTTGTTACAGCAGCCTGACTGGGCCAAAACTGTGGCTGGTGATGATGGCAGGTATGCGTCCTGCAACAGTAGAAGGCGAGAGAGGCAGGTATACCGAGGTCTTGGAGGAACACAGCCAGCTGTCAACTTCAGTCCTCACTCTGTGGCTGCCAACACAGTCTTTGAGGTCAGTAGAAAGAATCTAACACACACTCCGCGGCTTTTCTTCCCAGAAACCTCCTTCTTTCAGCCCTGTCCCCCTCATGCCCAGGCATTCCTGTGGCCTCCCTCTCCCTGACTTTTGTTGAGAGATCGTGGTCCTTTGGGATCAACCCCGATGAGGCCTGGATTGCCCTGACCAGTGCTAGATTTAGGGAATCTTTTATCATACCTCACTTTGGGGTCAGCTTGGGATTCAAAGAACCAAAAGGTAGCAGAGGGATTTGAGAAATGCTTAAGGAGTGAAACTGTCATGACTTGGTGATGATGAAAGTTGGGGAGGCACCAGTGGGAAGAAGACTTTGGCTTGGTCTTTGTCTTGGCTAACCACTGCCCCTGGGTGAATTCTGGTGACATTGAAGGCTTTACCTGCCCATGGTCATAGCCGAAGGCCACAGGGCCAAGGTCTTCCTTTGATGCCCCTCCACACCCTCTGGTTCCCTCAGAGAGAAAGTTTCTTCCTCTGGCTTCCCATGAGAACTGGGCCCTTTCTCCGGCCCCAACCAGGCAGCGGGAGCTGATTCCCACATTCCAGCCTTAGGCTAAGGTCCTTCTGATATTGCAAAGATATCCCAGAACTGTGGGATCCCGAGCTGCAAATACCCCAGATGGCTGAAGCGCTCTTAACTGTACTACATTTAACAAATTCACTGGACTGCCCCCCTGCAGACCACACCACCACCCTGTGCTCGCCCTGGCCTTCCAGTGGCCGGCTGCTTGGCAGTCAGCCTGTGCCCTTCTGCTCCCACTGGAATGTGCAGCTCATCATGAAGGGTTGAATAAGACATGGGTCTCATTCAAAAGACCCCTCCAAAAAGATACAGTGAGCTCCTAACCCCTGGAACCTATAAATGGGACCGTATTTGGAAATAGGGTCTTTACAGATGCAAACAAGTTAAGTAGGGTCCTACTGGATTAGAGCAGACCTTAATCCAATATATATGACTGGTGTCCTTATAAGAAGAGGGGAAGACACACACAGACAGCCGCACACAAGGAGAAGGCCATGTGAGGGTGGAGATGGAGACCGGGGTGATGTTTTTACAGCCAAGAAACAGAAAGAATTGTGGTAGACGGACGTGGAACAGATTGCAGCCTCCGGAAGGAACCAACCCAGCACTCCAGGGAACCTCTTCACTTGGACTTCTGGCATCTAGAACAAATATCTGTTGCTCTAAGCCTCCTGGTTAGTGGTACCTGTTAGGGCAGCCCCAGGAAGCTAATGCACCAACCCAGAGTCCTCTGTGTTTTGTTCCCAAACCTGCTTATACCAGTGGCCTTTGTTATTGTAATGAGGTAATTGAGTTAAACATTACATAAGCCCATCGCTCTAAGTATGAAAAGAGAGCTGCAGCTCTGAAAACTGCATCAACTGCTTTGGAAAGAATAGATAAAGGTAAGTTCTTAAATCTATTGCAGTTGAATTAGGTTGGGCAAGTCAACCATGAAAGATCGGAAAATAAATCATATGAATCTAAAAGGATTCTAACCTCAGATTATTTTATATATGACTTCAAGTTCTCAGTCCACCCCAAAGAAACCTAAACTAGAAATGAAAGATTGAATATTACAAGTGTGTTTTATGAGAGGGAGAGAGAGATTGGAATTCCAATCAGGGGAGCTGTGCTCAAAGAAAAGGGCTTTGCCTTATAGCAAATGACTAACAAAATGACATCGTGTTATATGTTTCATGTTAAAACGAAAATATGTATGGCACCCATGTTGCATTTTTTTATCTTTCCCCACTTTGTCCAACTTTCACTTAACCAAATAACCCAGTTATGTCAGTTTAGAGGGTTTTTCTCAACATCCAAGCTCTTTCTCCAAAGTCTGGCTGCGCTTTGAAAAAAATCCTAAGCAAATGGAAGAGGGAAAAAAGATCTTAGATACTTGGCGTCTGTGTATTTGGCCACACTTGTGAGCACCCCATAGCTGTCCTCCAAATTCTACTTGCTATTATTATTTAATGATTCATTCACCAGTTACTGTCATTTCCTGGCTATGGAGATTTCCTCCTCAGCTGCCAGTTCCCTGAAGGCAGGGCCCTATCGCATAGCTTGTTCACATAAGAGTCCTTCCCTGCACGGTGTTTGTAAACATAAGCTGACGCTTTTAGGCACCGTCCCAGGTTCCATCAACCACCTTCATCTCCCCTCTCTCTTGGTTAGTGTCCCCAGCATACTAAGTTGTCCCTCCAAGATAAAACTTGGATAAAATGTCACAATACAGAGTGATGGGTGGGTCTGGCTTCCCCTATAGCTGCTGGAGGAGCAATGACAGCATTCAAGGGATCGTGGAAATTAGCTCCCAATGGAAAATAGGAGGCCAGAGGGACAGATAGGTCCCCACCCCTCCTCCTCTTCACAGACATCCCCAAGGTACCATCTCCCTTTACGAATCTTCCAGAGAAGGCACATGTTCTGAGCAAACACACCTGTTGGCTTCTTCGCGGCTCTTTCTCATGCCTGCTAGTTTCTCTGCGGCTCTTTGTGGAAGATGGAAGAGCAAGGTCACGCACCCCAGCACCAGCTCTGTACTTTCTCTTGCCTGGCCTCCATCTACCCCTCACTCACCACCTTGGGCTTGCACCTTCCAAATCCAGGATCCGCATTCGAACCCTTGCTTCAGGCTCTGCTTTCCAGGTGATGCAAAGACTCATGTAAATGGTTTGATGGATGTTGCAGAGACAAATGCAAGTGCTCAGCCAGGTCTCCAGCTCAAGAAACATCTCAGGAAGGAGTGAAAAGAGGTCACTGTGAGAGCAAATCCAGCTGGTGGTTATGAGAATGTGGAATATGGGGGTGATGGAGCTCCGCTTCTACTGACTCTTCGGAAGGTTCCCAGGAATCCACAGAGTCCCAGAGTCTTTAGGAAAAGAAGGATCTTGTGAGGTCATGTTGTCCAGTTCTCATCTGACAGAAAGAATCCATTCCACCATCCTAGAAACCCAAATACTCATCATGATCAAAAGCACTCCTGAAATCCAGGCATCTCCACCCTACGGCATCTTTCTTTCTGTTGTGATTGAAGTTCTCCCCACTGTCCTCCTGACTCAGTCCCTCCTTATATGTTAAAGCCATGGTCACCAGCCTGTCCTTGGTTTCCATTACCTGGCACACTATGGCAAAGCCACTGCTCGTGGCCACCAGACAGGTCGAGGCAGGCACTGGGGCCAATCCCATTCCTTGTTATGCCTGATGCCCTTCCGTGCCTGATGCCCCTCTGTCATCTCTTTGTTTGCACAGCTGTGACCTGCATTGTCTCCACTAACGACAGCGTCCTTAACCCGGACAGTGACCCAGCAAGTGGCAGCCCACGCTCGCCGGCCGGGTCCAAGTTTTAAGTAAAGAAGCCATTTGTTCCCAGGCTCATTTTTATCAAGGCTCGTCTGTCTTTCCAAATTAAGGCTGAGTCATTTATAAAGCATGTGAGTGTTTGGATGTTAGCAGCAAACATTCATCCATTTTAGAATAAATGATTAAAAGGCACTCATTAAATTCCTCTGTTGACTGATGCCAAGGCCCCGAGAACGGATTGGCCTGTTGGCTTCTGGCTGGCCTGACTGCCATCCCACCTACTGAGAACTCATGTATACTCTGGAGAGAAAATTCCTGCTCGAGGGGACACCCTGATGGAAGATAACAGGAAGGATGGCACTCAGGCCTGTTCCCCCAATATTACAGCACAGTTATCTACCTTCAGAGTGGCCGCACCCAACAGACTCTTGGTGAGTGGGAGGACAACCCCTTCTCCCCTCCAAAGATCTAGGGACAATGTGTGCCATTCCTTCCCATGGGCATGGGGAATGTTTAACTCAAAAGTCAAGGGAATAATTCAATAATGACTCAAAACTAAGTATTTCCAGTCCTGATAAGAATGGCACTCTGTGCCCAACTCCAGGAATACAAGAATTGGCAAGACTCTCCTGTGGCCCCTGCCCTGGAAGGTAGAAGGTAGAAGATCGTACACAGACAGGTAAACCAACTCCCGAACAGAACTGGGAGCCTCGGACCACAGGCTCCGCCCCTTTGCTGGCCAGCAGGTGCAGAGGGAAGGAGCTTCTGCTGTCCTTGCCCCCAGCAAATGTCCATCCTCACCACAAGGGAACAAACCATGCCCAATGCCTCATTGGGGGCACTGGCGCCCCTTGAATGTATCCTCTCTAGGATCCTTTGCCCCACCCACCTGTTTGCCATCTCCAAAGGTCCTTTCTTAATGTCTTTAATTTGGACGGCTCTGACAGCTCCCCACGGCTGGCCTGAGAAAATCGCACACTCCTCTGCATGCCATTTATCAGGTCACAGCATGAGTTTCCCGGGCCCTCCTTCCGCTAAAAAAACATTAAAACATATATATTACAATGGCATTGGTATAAACAGGAATCTATTGATTTATATACTGAAAACATTTTTCCTCAACCTAAAAGTTCATGTGTTTCCTTTTGATTTTAAAAGCAATTAAAACATTTCGGGAGTCCTGAAATCACTGTGGGCCCGAGGCACTGAGCCACCATACCCGACACTGAAGGGGGTCTGGGTCAGTCCTCTCTGCAGCTGTCCAGCCGCAGGTTCCCCCTGGGAGCTGCCCTTCCAGGCCTCCCTGCCTGTGCTGCTGCTGCTGCTGCTGCTCCTGCACCCTCAATGCTGCCCCATCCTTCTCCGCCACGAAACGTCCTGCAAAGGTGTTAAGCCCTGGACCTAGTGTGATGCTCCCAGGCCCTGGAGGCAGCATCTGTGCATCTTCTTTGCCCTCTGCCACCACTCTGACCCCCTGCAAGCCCAGACAGATGACGGTGTCTTCCTGACCAGGTGACAGGATCCTGCATTCCTCCCACAAACGTCTCCTGGGCACTGCCTGTGGGGATGCAGGAAGGATCTAATAAATGGCCTGGCCGATGCTTTGTATGTTCTGGAGACTCTTTGAAGTATTTTGTGTATGCTGTTTCGGTTCATCCCACACTGTAAAACCCCAAGGAGGTCCTTCTGATCGGACATGAGTCACCACCAGGTACCTCAGTGGGTAATGACATCGCTGAGATGCCCACACAGGCATTCTAGGTCCAGGGTGGGTGCTCTGGCCCCTGCCCCGTCCTGCCTCTCACAACTGTCCTCTAAGACGGGAAGTATCACTCCCATTTTGGAAACAGGGAAATTAGGCTGATGAAGATCACACATTCACCTAGCAATGGAGCTGGGTTCAAGCCCAGGACGGTCGGAGGCCGGGCAAGCACGGTGGGTTCTGCTCAAGCAGTGATGAGTAGGCACTGTCGCATAGCGAGATGTCCCAACGTGCGACACGACCTGGCTGCCTCTCCCACACTTTAGGCTTTGGAGGCCTCGGGTCAGAGCCAGAGATCCATGTTCTTTGTGAGCACAGACAGTGGCTGCGAGGACCAGGCTGGCCTCAGACACTAATGGGACTAGACAGTCAATTCAGCGCTGCACCCGGAGGCCCCGCCAGGAAGCTCTGCTGGGCACCTGCCTCGGGACGCTGAGCAAACATTATCTTTCCAACTGTGGTTCTGCTCACATGCTTGAGATGTCACCCTTATTGGTTCTCTGGGCGACGGCCTCCACCAAATGGGAGCTGACGGGCAGTTGGTGGGGCGGGAAGACGCCAAGAGGCCCGCTGGCCCTGGTTCCGTGCCTCCCTCGCAGCATCTGCTCTCCTGCTAGGATTGCTCCCAGCCATTCCAATCTGATTCATTGAAATGAAACCATTTCCACGGAATTTAATTTAAAGACTCGCCTGAAAACATTAGGGTTGATGCTGATGGAAGGTTTTTAGCCGAACGCTGACATGAGATGGGAGAGGGAAACCAGAAATTCTCATTATTGGCTAATGTTCCTGGGGTCCCTGGGGTGAAGGAAGGCAGGGGGGCTTCCCCGGGGCCGTTGCAGGGTGTTCCTCTTAAAGGATGAAACCAGAGCGAGCACAGAAGTCTCGCTGCAAGTGCAGGCTCTGGTCACACGGCCATTTGCCAGCTGTGTCCTCGGCAAGGCCCTCCCGCTCGCTGAGCCTCAATTTCTTCGTCTCTGCTAAGTTAACATGTCCTTACTCCCAGGATGAGACGAGAGGGTGCTTGCCAGGCACAAAGCACAGTGCTAGCCCAGAAAGTCCTCCCTGGAGTCAGTTCTTCTTTGTATTATTATTCCAAGTCCCAACATGGTTTAAGCTCAACATCACCCTTAAAAGAATCACTGGTTTTTAGCTTCGATTTTTAACACGAACCCAGAGACTGCTCCTTGCAAGGATGAAGTGACTTATGCGAGGCAAGACAGAGGGTAAGTGTCCCCGGGCCCGGCTCGTTATTAAGCAGGGAGCTCTCACCGTCCGGAGGTGCAGAGGGCTGGGGATGCTGCCCTGGCTGCCCTGCGCCGAGCCAACTCTGCATCAGGAGGCAGGTGCCGTTATCATCCCATTATTTACAGATGGGGAAACTGAGGCTCGGTGAAAGGTTATAATTTTCCAAGTCCATAGCATTCGTAAAAGTTGGATCCAGAACTTAAAACTGGACAGTTTGACCCCGGTGAGCCTGCTTTTACCACCTCCATTCTCCTGCGTGGCTCCTTCACCACAGCACTGCCGGCGTTTGTGGTTGGGTCATTCTTAGTCATGGGGACTGTCTTGTGCCCCAGAACCATCGGACTTGGTTTGTAACCAACAGGCGTGGTCTACAGCTAGCAGACACTGTCTGTAACCAGTGGGCTTGGTTTGCAGCCATTTATACAGTTTTCCCTCACTCCAGTCATGATTCACAGCACTGGGCAGGGAGAGCTTGATCCAGCGACTGTAGGTTCCGTGGTTGTACCTAGATGATGTGAGAGGCCAGATCTTTGTATTATTATTCCAAGTGCCAACATAGTTTAAGTGGAAACCTCCAGGGCCCCTTTCAGCCTCCACTGCAGGAGGGCAGGGCTGCACACACACAGGGAAATAATTCCCATGGGGGGATTGTATTGTTTGCCTACAGTTTTGCCCTCCCTCCCCTCCCTGGCCACAGCTCTCCTGGGGATGGATACTCTGTCCATCCCACCCTTGTGGGCTTGGCTTTGTGACTTGCTTTGGTCCATGACATGGTGGCAGAACTAACCAAGTGCCAGTTCTAAGCTGAGTCCTTCAGAGGCATTGCATGAGGCCACTTGTCCCTCTAACACCTCTGCCACCTGCCATGAAAGTGTCCTGCTCCAAAGTGCACTGAACCCAGAAGGACAGCCACATGGAGTCAACTCGAGCCTGACCCACACCTCCAGCAGAACCACCTGCAGACCACGAACAAGAAAATTCCGTGTTCACTGTTGTAAGCCTTTGAGATTTGGGGGGTTTTGTTAAGCAGCTTTATTACAAAAATATCTGACTATCCCTCCCCAGGGGAAATTTAGAAGAGGAAGAGAAGCTTCCCAGACAGAATCTCCCACACACGTCCTCTGCCCTCACAACTCACCGTCCCCAGAAGGTATTGCTGGTGACTATCATCAAAAAGAGTCACATGGTGCAAAGCTGTTCACGCCCCTTCGATTCTCCGCAACCCTCCTGGCGGTGGCTCTGAGTGCTGCCGGCATTGTGACAGTGAATAAATGAAACCAAAACCTGTGCCCTTTCCTCTGCAAGCAGCTCCCTCTGTTGGCCTCAGACACCCTGGCCCGAGCCCCTTATCTTGTTCATGCTCCCTGGACACTGCTTGATGCTGAGGGAATGCAGCGGGCAAGCCTGAGTTCCACGGGAGATGAGAGGCCAGGCAGGTGCAGAGCAGAGGGCTTTGGAGCTGTGTGGCCACGACAGTGCAGAAGGGGAGGGTGGGCCCTCTGCCTGTTCACTCTGCCTGAGCAGGCATCACTGGGAGGGGTAACAAGGAGGAGGAGAAGCCAGTTCTGTCATCCCAGAGCCTCCATGCTGCGTGAAGAAACAGCCCCACAACAGCAGAGCCCTCCAGGGTCCACTCCTCGCAACACTCACCACTGTAGGGTGGGCAGAGTCCCCATGTGCTCCACCGCCACCTCGGGAGAGGTTCCCATGGGTGTGCATGAATGGACAACTGGGAGCATGCATCTCCAGGATGGGTGCAGACAGGCACCTCTGCAAGCCTCGATTCCAGGAGCAATAGAGAGGCAGGGTAGCTTCATTTACACCATGTGATATGGTTTGGCTTTGTATCCCCAACCCAAATCTCCTCTCTAATTGTAATTCCCATGTGTTGAGGGAGGGAGGTGATTGGATCAGGGGGGCAGTTTCCCCCATGCAGTTCTCGTGTGAGTGAGTGAGTTCTCATGAGATCTGATAGTTTTATAAGAGGCTCTTGCCTCTTCACTTTCTCCTCTCTCCTGACGTCATGTAAGGCGTGCCTGCTTCGCCTTCTGCTATGATTGATTGTAAGTTTCCTGAGGCCTCTCAGCCACACGGAACTGTGAGCCAATTAAACCTCTTTCCTTTATAAATTACCCAGTCCCAGGTATTTCTTTATAGCAGTGTGAAAACAAACTAATACCCCGTGTATCCGAAGATTCTAGGGAAGAAGACTTCCTCATCCATTCCTAGCTCCGGTGACTCTGGCAGTCCTTCGCTTGTGGCTGCATCACTCCCGTCTCTGCCTCCATCTTCCCACAGCCATCCCCCCTCTGTCTGTGCCTCTTCTTCTCTTCTCATAAGGACACTGATCCTATCTGAATGGAGTCCACCTTAATGCAGTATGACCTCATCTTAACAAAGCACATCTGCAATGACTCTATTCTTAAATAAGGTACACTCTGAAGTTCTGGGTAGACATGAATTTCAGAAGGACATGATTCAACCTAGTGCAGTGACCAACGGAACCAACAGGGGCTCCACTATTTGCAACTCAAAACAGCGTTATGGAGCCTCCAATTTAGCCCCAAATCACCTGCCAAAAGAGGTCCCAGCCACCTGGTTATTCTTCTTCCTGCATCCCTGGCCAACTGTGTTGCCCTGGGACTGCCTGGGACTTCACTGGGTTGGGGTACAGCAGTCCCTGGAGGTGGAGGCTTGTCGACTTTGCACTTTGAGTTGGAGAAATGGGCAGAGATATTTCCTGCCATTTATTCATCACAGAGGACTTGGGCAGGGTTTGTTTATCTCCAGAAAAGATGGATTGGAGAGTCTCTGTCCTCCACAGACTGAGGCAGGCAGTTTATCGCCAAGGAAAATGTCTGAGAAGCAAGGAGCTCGGGCCTTGGGGAGTTCCCTCATGTCATTCTCATGCCGGATAAGGTGCTCCTGTGTCCACCCTCCTACCTTGGTCCTTACTTACATGAGCCCAACTGGGAATGTGCTCCGTGATTCAGGTCCACTTAATTTCTAGAATGCTCAGGTAGAAACTAATCATTAAAAACATGTAAATTAATTTACCCCAGGAGCTTAATAGATTAGCCATCGACTTTTTTCCTCCTTTTGGATTCTAACCTTTCACGGAAATTAATCACAAAGGGCTCAAAATAGCCACCGAGGATTAACATGCTCTGTTCAGTCTTGGTGAGTGGGAACTCAGGCCCAGCCCCTCAGAGAGGAGGAAGGATCCCCGCATCTTCACATTCCCTTTTCCCCTCCCAGCAGTCCTCTGTTGGATTCGATACAGCCACCCCGGGAGTGGCTGGAAGCCCCTGGCCACCTGACTCTTCCTTCACAGCAGTTACCCAGGAGAAGGGAAAAAAAGGTCTGCCACTTGTGACATTGGCAGCCCGCACCCCACTGGGTGGAAAGGTCAGCCACACACATTGCAAAGAGGAGGGCCTTCTAGGGCACACAGAGACATCCCTGCACATTCTTTCATTCATGTATTCACTCTTGGAGCATTTATTGAGTACCTACAATATACCAGGACCTGCATGGGTGCTAAGCACATCTAGATCAACGAGATCCAGTCCCTGCCCTCAGGGGACAAACACGGAATCACAGGATCTCATCAGTGTGGCTGGAGCAACCACAGAGCATCCTGGGAGCCTGAGAAGGGAGGTGTGAAAACTGCCTGGAGCAGGCCTTGAGGGCTCCATGGAGGAAGGGACACTTTGAGCTTTTTCTTAAGCACTAGCAAGCATTTGCCAAGGGGAGGAGATGCTCTCCGGGAGGAATGGAGGACAAATATCATGACGGCTACAGGGACCCTGGGGCCAGCAGACCCGGGTTCAAAGCCAGATGCAGCCTCTGACCAGCTGTGTGATGACACCGTCATTGGGCAAGTCACTTGCCAATGTTGACGGAGGGTGGATTGTGGATTGTGCAGTAAGTGGAGCTCTTAAGGCTGCAGAAATGAACACGCCGGGTGAGGAACGGTGGGCAGAGAGATAAATGAATGAATTAATTAAAAAATGGATAGAAGGATGAGTCGGCTGCCTGGTGAGGAGTTCTGCCCTAGGAGTAGTCACAGGACATGGGAGGGATGTTGGCTGCAGAGCGTGCTCAGATTTGCTGCTTAGAACTGCGTCCCCAGCAGCAGCCCTGAGGGGCTGAGTTGCCGCAGGACATAGCTGCAGAGCCCTGACCACTTTTCTTCTCTAGGTTGGTGCCTTTGTCCACGGCTCTGCTGGGTGTGGTCTTCTGTCTTTGATCTGAGGCCCTTACGGCAGTGGTCCCCAGGTCTGCCCTCACAAAACTGACATCTGCCTGTGGACACTTTGGCTCCTGGATTCGTTTCCTTTGGCTGACATAACCCATCACCACACAGCGCTCCTGCAGAGGACACGTGCTGAGCATTTCCAGAAGAGAGGAGAATCAGCAGCAAGAACCATGGGTGTGCAGCATAGCCAGTAAGGGGGCACGAATGGTTTGATTTTGGAGATTAAAGGAAAGGGCAACTCTGGGACAAGTGTGATATACAAGTTCCAGGTTCAAATCTGTTTGCAAGTTCCTTCCATGACGGGACTGCCGCTGTACTTCTTTCACACACACCTTGCAGCCAGCCCTCACCTGTGCAGCTAGTCCTTATCTCTGCAGTCAGACCCCATCTGTACAGTCAGCCCTCACCTGTCCAGCCAGCCCTTACCTGTCCAGTCAGCCCTCACCTGTCCAGTCAGCCCTCACCTGTCCAGCCAGCCCTTACCTGCGCAGCTAGTCCTCACCTGTCCAGTCAGCCCTCACCTGTGCAGCTAGTCCTTATCTGTGCAGTCAGACCTCATCTGTACAGTCAGCCCTCACCTGTCCAGCCAGAACTCACCTGTGCAGCTAGTCCTCCCCTGTGCAGCTAGTCCTCACCTGTCCAGCCAGCCCTCACCTGTCCAGCCAGCCCTCACCTGCGCAGCTAGTCCTCACCTGTTGTCAGCCCTCACCTGTGCAGCTAGTCCTTATCTGTGCAGTCAGACCTCATCTGTACAGTCAGCTCTCACCTGTCCAGCCAGACCTCACCTGTGCAGCTAGTCCTCACCTGTGCAGCTAGTCTTCACCTGTCCAGCCAGACATCACCTGTCCAGCCAACCCACACCTGTGCAGCCAGACCTCACCTGTGTAGCCAGCCCTCACCTGTCCAGCCAGCCCTCATCTGTCCAGTCAGCCTTCACCTGTGCAGCTAGTCCTTATCTCTGCATTCAGAGCTCATCTGTACAGTCAGCCTTCACCTGTCCAGCCAGACCTCACCTGTGCAGCCAGCCTTCACCTGTCCAAGCAGCCCTCAGCTGTCCAGCCAACCCTCACCTGTGCAGTCAGTCCTCACCTGTCCACCCAGTTCTCACCTGTGCAGTCAGCCCTCACCTGTCCAGCCAGCCCTCACCTGTCTAGTCAGCCCCCACCTGTCCAGCCAGCACATTGTCAGTGCTGGGCTCAGACCCAGGCTTAAATTGGCAGCTGTTGACATTACAAGCCTCAAAGTTGAGAGGAGCAGGCAGAGGAACGGGGCTTCTTTCTTCTCTCTGGGCACCTAAACAGGGGTTACCTGCAGAGGCCTTAGACCAGGTGATGGCAAGAAGCCCACTCTCCGCAGCCTGGGGCTGTCTGCCTCCAGGCCTCTGCACCATGACTTTGCAGGAGCCGTGCAAACAGCAGCTGCGTCTGGCAAGCGCGCAGAGAGTCAGGGCAATGCCAATTTGAGGCAGACGTCTGAAGAAGCTATTTCTAAAACAGCAATTACCAGAAAGGGGAACAAATTACTACTTACTTCAGAGACTTTCACACATGGAGAATCAGGGCCCTACAAAGTAATCAGGGCAATGTGTTTGCAAAACTGCATTATTTATATTGAAATATTTCATGGAGAAAGGTCAGGAACAAAAATTGAAGGTTAGCAAGGAATAAAATACCAGGGTCACCTATCTCCGCAAATTCTGCATGGGGCCCTGATTATGGCCGCATTAGGCACATTTGAAAACTATTACAGAAACCCAGGCTGGTGTCCAACATCAGATTTCTAGGAAAAATGAACTCGGTTGTCCAAACCCAAAGGCAGCCCCATGCCTACAACCCACGGAGGGTCAGGCCAGGCCCTGTGGGTGTCAGGCCTGGGTGCCACTAGAGAACCCGTCCATTCATCAGACACTTGGCGCCCATCTTACTTTGTTGCCAGCCAGTCAACCAGCTCCTCTGGAGCTCTACCCGGGCACACCAGGACACTGATCGCTGATCAGGTACTGGGCAAGGAGGCAAGGTAGCCAGGGCCAGGGCCAGCAGAACAACCAGGCAGGACCCTGGATTTGGGATCTGTGAGAGATGTCAGTAGCTGACTTCCCCAAGAAGGGTGAGGCCATAGGAGCAGGGTCTCCTTCCTCCACCACACCCTCACCCTGCCTGCACCACCAGCCCTCCAGGGCTCAGTGCCTCAGGTTCTCCTTCCTGTCCCCCTGGGCAAAATGCGCTCCCAGGAGAAGACCACCGCTGATGCCCTAGGAATGTGTGTGCACCCCTATTATCTAAGTTGATCCTTGCAGCGCCCTGGCAAGGCTGGGAGGAAGAGGATCCTCGATCTTAGTGGGGCTGCTTTCCAGCCTTGCCTGGGAAGCTCCAGGCCTCTGTGGTGGGTGTTCAGCCTACTGGGGCTGCAGACATTTCCCTCCGTGTCCTCACTTTAGGCACGAGCCCCAGGTCTCTGCAACACTGTCCAGCGCTCAGCTTCTGAGACTCCAAACTGTCCTCATTCATCCTGCACCCAGGCAGGCAGGTCCACCCCCAGCTCTTCTCATTATCCTACAGCTTATCCTGGTCAAGAGCTGCCCACCCCACCCCAACCCTGCATGAAGCCTTCTCGCCTGCACAACGGCCCCCACCTCACTCCTCTTCTCCGAATGCCCATGACTCTCAGAGCTTCTCTCACACCAGGCTGTGCCCAGTAGCACACGGCCTGGTTACAAGTGTTGCTTTCATGCCTAACTTAGGTGAAATCTTCCTGGGGCAGACACCTTGGAGCATTTGCTAGTTTGCTCATTCATTCATTCTCTAGGCACACTTATGCTCCTCAGGGGCAGGGGTTTTGTTTGTTCTGTTCTCTGATGCATCCTCTGCACCTTGAACAGTGTCTGCCACAGAGAAGGCACTCAATGAATATATGAGAGATTTATCCTTCCATCCGTCCACTCATCCACCACCCATTCACCATCCTTCCATCCAAACATCCACCATCTTTCCATTCATTCGTGCGTTCATCCATCCATACAGCCATCCATCAATTAATCCACCATCTGTCCTTCTACCCATTCATCTATCTACCATCCCTCTATTCATCCATCCACACATCCATCCACCCATTTACCACCTAGTCACCATTCTTCCATCCATCCATCCATCCATCTTTCCATCTATGATCCATCCATCCATCCATCCAATCATCAATAAATCCACCATCTGTCTTTCCATCCATCTATCCAGCTATCCATCCATTCATCGACCATCCTTCAACTATCCATTCATCCATACATCCACCATGTATCTATCCATTCATCCATCCATCATCTTTACATCCATCCATCCACACATGCATACATACATACATACATGCACCAAGAGTTCCTGAGTAACTCTGGGGCAGATTCTGGCAGAAAGGTCTACAGAAAGGAGACCCTGGTCATCTGTCTCTTAGAAGCTTCTATGTGGTATGTGGGGCTTTGTATAGGGCTGAGAACAAGCTCAGCCTGAAAGAAACATATGAGAAAAGGCAAGAGGAAGAGGAGTTACTGAGGCCCAGCTGAGGACAACTCCCATCTGCAACCTCAGCCCCAGAACCGCAGAACAGGAAGGTGTGACCACTGCTAGCTCCATCATTGGCAAGGCCCAGTGCAAAAAAGTGCCATTCAAGGTCCTAGCATTACATAGCAAATGAAAATCATCCTGACAAGTTGAGAGAAAAGCAATGGAAGAAAGGCATTTTTACATAGCAAATAAAAATAATCTCAATAAGATGATGATATGCATTTGCTACATAATCCCATAATAAGTAAAGAAAAATTTTACTTGTAAGTCCTTAGTGTGGATTTTACCATTCACCTTTATCCTGTGCAATGCCAGCTTTAAAAGCAAATGTTAAGAGCATTTATCTCATGGATGGAATCACCAAAATTGCACAATTCCTATGGTGCAGCTTGTACATGTATTCCTTTCTTACTAGAACAGTGGAGATGCTGTACTAAGCCAACTTAGCTGTTTTCATTTCCCTTCTTGATCAGGTACACTTACCCTCACTCCCTGCCTTGGGCTTCCTGATGAGCACGGAAGGACGGAAAGGAAAAGGAGCTTGGGCTGCCTCTCTGCCTTTCCTTTTATGTCATATTTTCAGCATAACTGGTTGGCTACACAGGGAGCAACATGAATTAGGACAGATACAACAGGGCTCCTTGGTTGTTTTTGTTTCTTAGGATGCCAGGGCATTCTTTCTGCTTTTGAAGCAAGTTCTAGTTCAAGTGGAGAGAGTAGCTCTCAGAGCTGTCAAGAGCCTACTTTGTTGCAGACGTAGCACGCTGACCTTGCACCCAGTTTGAGTCTTGCTGAGCTCCCACGTATCCTAGAATTCTGCATTTATGGGGCCTCACGAATGCTGCATGCCTGTAGAGTGGCAAGAAACAGTGGACACGTGTCACAGCATCTGCTCTGTCCACGGTCATCCTCCAGGGTCTCTTAGGATGCAGCCCACAAAACACAAATTCAAAAATAAAAAAAATTATTAAGAATGCGGCCAAAAATTATACAAAAAAAAAATCTCAACATCACAATCATTAGAGAAATGCAAATCAAAGCCACAGTGAGATACTATCTCACACCGGTTAGAATGACTATAATTAAAAAGTCAAAAAATAACAGATGCTGGCAAGGATGTGGAGAAAAAAGAACACTTACACACTGTTGGTGGGAGTGTAAATTAGTTCAACCATTGTGGAAGACTGCATGGCAATTCCTCAAAGACCTAAAAACAGAGCTACCATTCAAACCAGCAACCCCGTCACTAGACCTATTCCCAAAGGAATATAAATCATTCTGTTATAAAGACACATACACGCCTATGTTCACTGCACCATGAATCACAATAGCAAAGACATGGAATCAACCTAAATGCCCATCAATGGTAGACTGGATTTTTTAAATGTGGTACCTATACACCGTGGAATATTATGCAGCCATAAAGAAGAAGGACATCATGACCTTTGCAGGAACATGCATGGAGCTGGAGGCCATCATCCTTAGCAAACTAACGGCAGGAACAGAAAACCAAATACCACGTGTTCTCACTGAAAGTGGGAGCTAAATGATGAGAGCACATGGAGACGTGAAGGGGAACAACACACGCTGGGGCCTTTGAGAGGGTGGAGGGTGGGAGGAGGGACAGGATCAAGAAAAGTAACTAATCAGTACTCGGCTTAATACCTGGGTAATGAAATAATCTATACAACAAACCCCCATGACACAAGTTTACCCATATAACAAACCTGCACATGTACCCCTGAACTTAAAATAAAACTTAAAAATTTAAAAAAAAAAAGTGAATTTCAAGATGGCCATAGCGAAGCATTAAACCGTGCCAGAGGCCCTTCTAGGGGCCTTGTGCAATTGCACGGCTTGTACGTCCATCACGTTAGCCAGTGTAACACCGGTGGTTTGATCACAGGTCCTGGAGGGGTCCAAGCCTTTTCTCAGCAGGAAGGACTTGCCTGAGCTTCTAGGTGGCTTGTTCCCCGTTGCCAAATCTGGCTTGGGCCACAAAGTGAAGGCAGGATCCACTTGAAAGCAAGGGAATGAGGTGCTGAGAACAAGTCCCTCAGTTGACTCAGCTCACACACACACACTCACAGACACAAACACACTCACACACACATACACAGCACATCAGGCTGACCCGAGGCCCGCGGCCCCTTTGCTGTCTGTATACAAGGTAGCAAACGAAGCGACAAGTCAGCGCAACAGGAAAAGCGACTGCTGCCAGAAGCTTGCATTTCCATTTCTGAAACACCCAGCCCTGACCCCGGAGGCAGACAAGCATGCTTCAGCAGGACCAAATGTTTCCAGTACGCAGCCGGGCTGAAGGCAGCAAATTGAGTGGAACTGTCTGTTGTATCTTGCTTTCAGCTTCTCGAGCTGTTTTTAAAATCCCTTTTGGGCGCAGGAATCGTTTCACTCTATGATCTGCAGAAGAAAGCTCTTTTGTCAGGACCTCGCTAGCCCCTGCACCCCCAAACACACAGGCATGAGTATACCCACACATGCCCTCACTCACACCTTGCATTAAATGCTGGTGTATGCAGAGCGAGGTGACAGAATCCCGGCTGCTTTGTCCTCAAAATGCCAGAACCTCTGCCTCACAGTGGATGACATCGGGTTGAATATCTTCACAGCCATAGCAGGCTGAATGTCCTCTTTGAAAGCTGCCTTAGAGCCAGGCACATTATTCTGAAGAGCCTCAAATGTGAATCGTCTTCATCCTCTGAGGTTGGGCACAGCTGTTGGAAGCAGCCGCAGGTGTGTGTGTCCCCCAGGGCAATCGGCAGAGCCTCCTATGGTGACATGAGGTGACCTCGGGTCTCAGTCTGCCTGGCTTTAACCCCGAGCTCCACGTGTGTGTTACCTGTGTGATCTTGGGTGCCACGCCTCTGTGCTTGGTAACCTCTGCTTGTAGAGTTTGGATTCTTAGAAGGGTGCTAACTTCAGAGACTCCTTCTGAGGATTAAATAAGATAAAGTTTGTGAAGTACAGAACTAAGAAGTTTCTGGCATATGTGGTGCACAAGTAGTAAATATTCGCTATTTCCATCCCCACTGCTAAAGAAAGTGATACTCTCTTGTGTGACTCACAGAAGGGCCCAGAAAGCACCAGCTCTGGGGGCTGTAGGACTCCCCACAAAGTCTAGTTGCCCAGTCTCCTGTCTTTTCACCTCCAAGATCCCTCTAGAGCAGCACTGTCCAACAGAACATTCTAGAATGATGAGAACATACTGTCCATTTCAGTAGCCACCAGCCACATGTGGGTACCAAGCACCTGAAATGTGGCTACTATGTGACCAAGGAAGTGACTTTTACATTTCAGCTCATTTTAGTTCACTTAAATTTACAAAGCCACATGTAGCTAGTGTCCACCATAGTGGACAGAACGGCTCCAGACAATCATTTCCAGAGTTTCTCAGATTGAGAGAATAAAAGGCTCTTTACTCATGCCAAGAGTGAGAATCATGGATTGCTATTTCCCCCTCCTGAAGCGCTTGAATGCCGGTGAATGAAATAAAGGCTCTGAGAAGTCCTGCAGCATGAACAGACCCTGTTTATCCTCATGTTTTCTAAACTTATTTGACCACAGAACCTCCTTGATGTGCAGATATATAAAATGTCCACGGACACCCTACAGAATAGAAGGAAGGGGCTGTGTCCACTAGAGCAACGCACATCATTTTGGCTTTGAAAAAGCTCAAGAAGAGCCGGGCGCAGGGGCTCACGCCTGTAATCCCAGCACTTTGGGAGGCTGAGGCGGGCCGATCACAAGGTCAGCAGATCGAGACCATCCTGGCTAACACCGTGAAACCCCGTCTCTACTAACAACACAAAAAAATTAACCGGGCGTGGTGGCGGGCACCTGTAGTCCCAGCTACTCAGGAAGCTGAGGCAGCAGAATTGCTTGAACCTGGGTCAGAGGTTGCAGTGAACCAAGATCACACCACTGCACTCCAGCCTGGGCAACAGAGAGAGACTCCATCTCAAAAAAAAAAAAAAGAGAAAGAAAGAAATAGAAAAGAGAATTATTTTAGATCTACTTTTTGTCAGTGCTAATGACTCAGAAACCAGGAGTCAGTAGTAAGTCCCTTATGTATGCATTCAACAAACAGGTGAAGTGCGTACTTACCACATGCCAGAGTTTGTGCCTTACCCACAGCTAAACAATCACTGTCTCCTTCTGTACCAGGCAAGAGGGCAGTGTCCTCTGACGGTCCCCAGACAGAGCAGCCTGGGATTGGCTGTGTTTGTGATGCACACTCCTGGCTTCCCATCTGAAGGACCCAGGTCTTTAAAGCTCCCATTGTGTTGTCACTCAGGGGCAGGAGAGGAACTGGCAGCTGGGAGAAAGCAAGGGCTGGTGGACCTTCCCCACATTCCAGTTCAGGCCAGAATGGGCCTCGCTCCCCACAGCCAGTGCTGCTCTGTTTGAGCAGAGAAGCCAGCTCCAGCCCGCTGAAAACAGACTGGACCCAAAGGAAGAGGAGACAAACCCTACTGTCGGCCTGCCCCAGGCCTTTTCCCAGATGGGTGAGCACCTGCCCTGAAGGCACAGGAGGAAGTGAGCGTGGGGCTCAGGGACCAGGCCTGCCCTCCCAGTTAGTGCCAAGGACACAGAAACAGAGGGGAGTGCCCATCAACCTCTGCCCAACACAGAGCCCCTTAATGACTTTTAGATTAAAAAGCCAAGACACGGCCATATCCTTAAGATGCCTAATGAAGCAATTGGCCCATCAGCCAGTCCAGGCACCCGCATGAAGCCCCAAATGTAGAAACTCAGCCAGTCTTGCCAGACCTGCTTAATGCAAAATTGGTAATGTCATTTACAAGCCTCTCACACGCAGGCCTATGAATAAAAGAATAATGCTGAAAAGCAAGGCTCTCCAATTTCTATACATTGCAAACAGCTCTGAGCAGTTCCTTCTTGTGCACTTGGCACAGACCTTCCACCCTGCCAGGGCTCGCCTTGAAGATAGAGTGCCCCAATCCTGGAGGCACAGTGGCTGGAATTGCTGCAAAGTACCAGGAGGCAGGAAGATTTACCTCCCTGGCCCTGGAGCTCCTTCCAGCCACACAACTCCAGGGAGGCTCAGAGGCCAGCCCTCGGACCCCAAGGCCAGAAGACATGTAAACAGTGACATAAATGCACCCCAACCGCCTCTGTCAAGCATCTTGTAATGCTTCTCCACTCCTGCTGCAAAGGCTGCTGGAATTTTCTGCCTCTACTGCCCCCATTAAATCAGCTGCCCGCGGAAAACATGTCCATCCTGTGGAGGCCAGGCTCAGAGCCACCCCTGCACCCCCGGCACACTCTGCAGAGAACCCTTGCTCCAGGGCTGGCCCCGAGCACAGACTCTCCCCCAAGGCATTTCTGCAGCACATTAAAGAAAGAACAAAGGAGAGAAAGGAGGGAAAAGCCAGTCTCTCCGGATTCCAAATGAGAAGATGATGAAGTGTTCAGAAGGGAGAGAGCCTTTTCAAAGGACTTTTCATCCAGCGCCAGCACGGTGTGAGAGAATCAAAACAGAGGAGTTCTGTGTCAATAGGACGGATCCCTCCAAGGCTGCCAGTATGTTGGAGTCCTGGAAGAGAGAGATGAGCCAGGGCAGTGCGCTCCACAAACCCTGAAAGACCAGGTTGAAAGTTCTCCCACAATGAAGGCTGCTTTTGGAGCACAGGTGGCAGCCTGCACAGGCTCGGGGGCAGGAGCAATTGCTGTGCCAGGGGTCTCTGGATCACAGCCTCTCTTGGGCTGTACTGTGTTGGGGGAAGATCCTCAAATTCCCTTATGATTAAGGGTGCTGTACTGGATGAATTCCCGGGTCTTTTTTAGTTCCAGCTCTCTGGGGTGGTAACCTTTCTTATTTGAAATGCAAAAATATGTACTAACAAATATTTATCAAGCCTCTAGCACAGCCATCCACACAAAGGAGGTTATTCATAAATATTGGACAGTTTATTAATTGATTGTTATTACTGCCGCCTTACAGCTGCTCTAAGGAGCCGTCTGCCACATTTTGTCCTAATAAAGCAATTGGAACTAAATAAAGCTCAGCCTGCCCAGTACACTCTGTTCTTGTCCTATAAAGAAGGGGCTCTCCAAAGGAGATGTGGCTTCCGCAGGTGACTTCTTAGGAGAACATTTATCCAACAAAGTAATTAAATAATCCCGTGTGGCCTCCCAACCCAGAGCTGCTCCAGCTGCCTTAAGTCTGGTCGTGTTTCCTGAAACTTGACAAGTCTTCTAAGTTCTTTAAACTTTTCGTTCAAGGCCCACATTGGAGGGGAGCCGGGGGTGGAAAGTCAATATAAAAGCAAAGATCAAACTCTTTCAAAAGAGTGTTAGCAACTTTTAATGATATTCATCTGTCACAGGGTGCCAGAGGGCAAAAGCTGCATCTGTATCTTAACTGTAATAACTACATATTGAGCAGCCTGAGACTTGATTTATTAACGATGAGATTTTACAGGCAAGACACTATTGACAAATGGCAGCAATTTTCGGCACCCCAGATCAATACCCTTTAATCGAGTCAAATCTCAGCAAATTAAATTAAAGCCAGATTCCAAAATAGCCCCAAACTAAACAAATGAATTTGTGTAAAATTCCCCCACATGGTTGGATGACATGCCAGTGGCTGTCTTGAGTTGGTGGCAGTATTTTTATTTATCTATTTGGAAGCAAGATGCCTGCCAAGGGCACTGTTGTTCATCTGTCATGCTTGCAGTCCTCCCGAGCCCCGTGGTTGGACACCAGCGAGGGAAGGGGAGGTGGGCACAGACACGTCCAGGCCCCAGTCCAGGGCCGCTTTGGGAATAAATTATTTCCCTACCTGTTCGACATCTCCTGGCGCGTTCCTTCCAACGACGAGATGATCGGATCTTACGGCTCATGGCAAAGATCAAACCCAGAGCCCAACTCTGCCCCAGGTGATTCAGGGGATCTTAGATAAATCAGACCTACCTGTTTTCACATGCAAAATAAGAATGATGACCATCATTGTCACCTCCAAAGTTTCCATGACATTAAACAAAATAACAAATTTCAAAGACAAGGTCCGGATCTGGCACAGAAGGAGCACTCAGAGGTTAGCTAAAGCAGGCACTCAGCTGAGGCATGAGGAATGGGGCCGCCTCCCCCTTGCAACGCCAGCACACGCGGCCACCCTATCCCCAGAGCAAACGCGTTCTCCCTGGGCAGTGGGGAAACAGGGTTCCCACAAGGCCGGAGGATGGCCAGGTACCTGGGATCACAGTATGTCCCCTAGCTCTACAGGAAGGCTCAGAAGCATTTCTCTCATTGGGAAGCTTTTACTTTAGAAACTCTTTGACCCCTTGGATTCTCCTTTGTCTCTGGGGAACCCTTGTTTCACAGATTTCAAGAATGAATCATGGCCCCATCTGTAGAAGCTTAAGGAAACGCTCAGGGAGCCGGCTGTTCTGGGCCAACAGTGAAGGACAGGATACATCTTCCAGGCTGCTATATCCACTCTACAAGGAGCAGGTCAGAGACTCAGGAGACAGCCCAGGGCTCGGACAGGGAGCCTGGCTTGATTTAGGTCAGTCTTAAAACATCACTGGAATTGAATGACAACGTCCAGCTGCAGCCTCTGTTGCTGGTTAGAAGGTTATTCACCCAGGGCGGATGGGCAGCGCCACTCGGGGTGAGGCACTGGGGCACCCGTGCTCCTCTGTGTCCCCCCAGCTGGAGGTTAGCAATGACCTGGAGATCAGCTAATGCATCACAGTGATGCTGTTTGTGGGGCTCTCTGTGCCAGACCAAGTGTGTTTTGTAAGTATCTGCTCATCCTGTGCTTGTCACTGACTCCTAACCCAGCAAAAGTTGGGGGAAGAGCAAACATTTCTTGAAGCACCCCCTGAGCTCTGGCAGAGCAGATGGGAGAGGGATCTACCTTCAGCCCAGGTCTTTGTTTTTCATGCACTGTGTTTATCCACAGGCACCTGAAGCTGGAGTCCCTCTCCTTCACCCGGGCCCTACCCCAGCTAGATGAAGGGCTTCTCACTCCACTCCCGGGCACCTGCAAGTCTCCTGTGTCACTTTATTCTAACTGTATTTGAATCCTATGGTTGCCATAACAAAGGACCACAAACTCAGTGACTTAAAACAACAGACATTTATTCTCTCAGTTCTGGAGGATGGAAGTCTGGCATCAAGGGGTGGTCAGCACTGTGCTCCCACTAAGGGCCCTAGAAGGTCCTTCTTCCCCTCTTCCAGCCTCTGGGGGCTCCAGTTGTTCTTGGCTAGTGGCTGCATCACTCAAATCTCTGCCTCTGTCTTCACACAGCATCCCCTCTCTGTCCATATCTGGTCTCTCTGCCTTTTTCTCATAAAGACACTTGGCATGGGATTGGGACCCACCAGGATTACTCAGGATGATCTCATCTCATGATCCTTAATAACAACTTCAAAAACCCTCTTTCAGGATAAGGTCACATTCACAGATTCTGGAGACTGGGATGTGGACATGTCTCTTTGAGAGGCCATTATTATAGAGTCTGCCTTCTCCCCATCACAGATGTCCAATTGATATCTGCAGACTAAATGAATAAGTGAATGAACAGGCAGCTTCTTCCACTGATGCAGGTCAGCCCCTCATCCTTCAAGGGCCACAACCCTTCAATATTCCTGGGGGTCCTTGCCCACACTGGCTTCAAGACTCTCCTCTTGCTATTAGAATTATAACGACCCCTGCCAACACCTGGCCTCATCTCAGACACTTGGAGATGCATGGAAATGCTAAGATTCTCAGACGCCTCAGAATACTGTTTAGGGTCAGTCCTCCAGTAACTATGAAATAAGATCCAACCTCCGGGACTCAGCACAGCAGCCCTTGCTCCTGCCTCCAAAGACCCGGTGAGGCCAGGAGGGTATCTGCCTCACCCCAGCCTCCTTGGACATCCTCAAACATCCCCTGCCTGGCAAACAGTCAGAAGGCAGGAAGCTGGACACCTTCAGCCTCAGCATGGATTCAGGGGCAGAGACGAAGGCCACGTCCTGAACAGCCTCTGCCTAGCGGTGCAGGCACCGTCTACCCGCAGCTCCAGGGTCAGGCTGCAGATACTCGAGGAGCAAGCCCAGGTCCAACTCTGCCTCCTCAAACCAAGCAGCAAACTGGCACCAGGACCCCTTCCTGTTAAGCCCCTGAGCCCCTGGCCCCAAGCCAGCTGGCTGTAGTGCTGAGCTGGGGCACCAGACTCCAGCCAAACCTCAGTGCCCTTCCTCCATCACTGGAGAGAATGCTGCTTAGCAAGCATGGGCAGTATGTGTTTGTGCAAGTGTGCACATGCCTGTACATATGTGCATGTGTGTGCATATGTGTGCATCTGTGCAGGTGTGTGCTTACCCATGCATGAGTGTGCAGATGTATGTTTGTGTGCAGGCATGTGTGAAGTATGCAGTTGTGTGCAGGCATCTGCAGGTGTGTGTTGTGCATATGGGTTTGTCTTTGCATATTTAAGTGGGTGTATTTGTTCCTAATGGAGCCTGTATACAAGTGGACCTGTCTTGAGGATGCTGAGGGAACCTCCTTTAAGAAAAGGATTGTCGGCTCAGAGGCAAGCATCAAGGAACCTCTCCCCTGGCTTTCAGGGTGTCCCCCACATTCCCTCCCCATGCTAGGGTCTCCCAGTGTCTAAGGCGTTCGGGGAGGGGACTAGGAAGGAACTTGCAGTGTCTGAGCATCTGTCAGGTGCCAGACAAGGTGGCACCTTCCTCCAGGGCTGTGCTCCTTTCTCCTCTGAACACATGAGAACATAAGGCTCGGCCAAGCAAAGGCATTTGTCCAAGCCACCCAGCTGGTCCCCAGGAAGCCAAACCAGGATCTTCACTCAGGGCTGGGACCTCAGACCCACGTGTGCTCCAGGGCAGATGTTCCCACCCTGTGGGACGAGAGCCACCTGGTCCAGGGGGTGAGAGGGGGAGGGCGTAGAATGTAAAGCTTTTGTGGAGCAACTGACACCCAGGACTCCCTGAATCCTGGTGGGGCTGGATCTGGGATCTTCATCTTTAATAAGCCTCCTGATAATTCAGGAACAGATAGTCCCCCAACAACCCACTGAATATGCTGCTGATAGGGCTTGCAAGTGGGGCAGGCAGCCAGGGCAGCAGGTTTTTTTCCAAGCCAACCTGCCAAAACTGACCCCAGAGAGGCTGTGCTCAGAGGCAAAGGGCCCAGTACCTGCTCTCTCTCACCTATTAGAGGCCTGAGATGGGGCATCAAAGTGACCCCAGAGCCCCCAAAACAAGGAAGACTCAGACTTGCTAGCAAACAGAGGGCACCAGAGGAAACCAGGAACAGGGCAGGACTTCTGTCTTCCCCAGAAGAACCACATGCAGAAGCTGCTGAAGCAGGAAGACCACATCGATAATTCGTCCTCTAGCCATGTCCAAGTGGTGACTCTCAGGGGACAGTCTGCAGAAGCCATTGGGGGGACACAGATTTCCCTAACAAGTCCTAAGGCATTAGCAGAGTGTCGGTAGCACAGATAGGATTTTGCCTTCTATTATAGAAGGCCCCAGGTTCTCTGATCAGGTAATTGTTGGGATAAAGAACATGCTTTCAATAGGGTGATATATAGATGCATAGATAAATGATGGATAGTGGATGGATGGATAGATAGACAGAGAGACAGGTAGATTAAAAAATAGATGATAGATAGATAGTAGACAGAAGATAGATATATAGATAATGGATAGATAGATAGATAGATAGATAGATAGATAGATAGATAGATGATGGATAGACAGATGATAGATGAGTAATTGATAGATTAGATAGATGATATAGATAGATAGATAGATAATAGGTCTAGATAGATGATAGATAGATAGATAGAAGATAGATAGATGACAGATAGATGATAGATATATAGTAGATAGAAGATAGATAGATAGATAGATGATAGATAGATAGATAGATAATAGGTCTAGATAGATGATAGATAGATAGATAGAAGATAGATAGATAGATGACAGATAGATGATAGATATATAGTAGATAGAAGATAGATAGATAGATGATAGAAGATAGATAGATAGATAATGATAGATGGTACATACATAGTAGATAGATAGTAGATAGGTAGATAGATAGATAGATAGATAGATAGATAGATAGATAGATAGATAGAATAGATAGATAATCTTCCCAGACATGAGTGTGCTGGGAAGCAAGGTTTGCAGATAAGTGTGTCAGATTGTCAAGGGCAGTGAAAGCCACACAGGGGACTTGTGATCTTACCTGTAGATTCATTCTTTTGTTTATTCATTTAACAAGCATTCAGGGAGTACCCACTATGCACCAGGCACTATGTTAGGCGCTAGGATGTAGCTGTGAATAAAAAGGCATTCTCCCCACCTGTCCAAGAGCAGAGCTAGCAGGTTAAACAAGCAAGTAAGACAGCAAGTGAAGGACCCAGGGCCTGTGGGAGCCACAGCAGGGCCTACGCCCCAGGCAGGTGTAACAGGGGCAGCCTTTCAGGTGCAGTGACCAAAGGCATTTGGGAGTAATCCACACAGCAACGCCTGAGGTCCACATGGTGGTAGTGTGGGGAAGAGAGCTGAGCTGCAATGGCCATTAACTTTCACCCTTAAAAATGGTGTCCCCTGGCCCGGCGTGGTGGCTCACGCCTGTAATCCCAGCACTTTGGGAGGCCAAGACGGGTGGATCATGAGGTCAGGAGATTGAGACCATCCTGGCTAACACGGTGAAACTCTGTCTCTACTAAAAAATACAAAAAATTAGCCAGGCGTGGTGGCAGGTGCCTGTAGTCCCAGCTACTCGGGAGGCTGAGGCAGGAGAATGGCGTGAACCCAGGAGGAGGAGCTTGCAGTAAGCTGAGATCGCGCCACTGCCCTCCAGCCTGGGCGACAGAGTGAGACTCCGTCTCAAAAAAAAAAAAAAAAAAAGTGGTGTCCCCTGCTGGGCTGGGCACAAGGAACATTCACACCAGCCGCCAGGTGGTAGAAAGTTCTGTTTTAGATGGAAGAGCCTTGTCCCGTCACCGTGTGTGTGTGTGTGTGCGCTCGCGTGTGTGCGTGTGTGCGTGCATGTGTGTGCGAGTGCGTGCATGTGTGTGTGCGTGCATGTGTGTGCGTGTGTGCATGCGTGTGCGTGTGCGTGCATGTGTGTGCGTGCATGTGTGCACACGTGCATGTGTGTGCGTGCATGTGTGCACACGTGCATGTGTGTGCGTGCATGTGTGTAGCTACTTACACATCTATCTGTCTATCTAGGCATCTAGGTGTCTGTGCACCTGCCTTCCTCTATATACCCATCTGTTTATCCATTATCTATTTAGCTATGCATCTATCCAAGCATCTATGCACTCGTCTATCATCTGTCTATGCATTTATCCATGCATGCAAGTATATTTATGTATGCAAGTATACGTATAATAGACATAGATATGAACATAACATATGGAAAGAGAAGCTGTGGTTAGGCTCTTGGTCACATTTGGATCCCTGTAGCTATTTCTCCAGAGCAGAAAATATTTTGCCTAATTTTATTCTGCTGAAACCGTTTTTTTTAAAAAAACAAATCTTGCAGATGCTTCCTCCAGAATAGCATGTTTTCCCCAAAAATAACTGGGCCAGGGTTATCCTAATTAACTGAGTATTCCGGAAGTTACCTTTGGAAATGATACTATGTATAATGTCAAAATTTTCCAAAAATTGGCCCTGGAGCACAGTGTAAGCCACCCGTCCATTACAGCGCCGAGGTCCCAGCACCCCTGATGTCCAGCGGTCCCAGCCGCCGCCCAGCCTCTGGCAGAAGTCAAGCCTCCATTCCAAGCCTGCTCTTGTTTCAGAGGAGTTAACTGGGATTTACAATAAGAGGCTGACTTGGCAAGCCGGGAAAATGGGTGTTTGAGGCTTCATTTCCCCCCTTTCTTAAGCAACATCTTTTCTGAAGAATTTCTCTGTGCCTTGTCCCTCCTCCCATGGCCTCAATCTATTTTTAATGACATTTCTGTCAGCCTTGTATTTCCCTTCTCCCCTGTTAATATCCAGGTTTTTCATTATTCACGGTGCCATCTGTCTTCCTCCGACCCCACCACTTCCCCCACCCTTCACGTCATTCGGCAGGTGCTGCCTTACTGTCTCTGTCTCCGAGGCTGACATCCTCATTCTCAGTCCTTTAAACAAGCCGGGACCTATTTACCCAGCCACATGAACCCTCTCCTTCCTGGAAGCCAGCCCTGCCTTCCTGAGCAGGCTGTACATGGAAGCAATTGCTCCGACACAGACAGGGACACCGTGGTGCGTCTCTCGGCCCCATCACGACGGCCTGCACCACATCCCAAATCGGAATCCAGCTCATGCATGCGGGGTTGGCCCTAGAAAGTGCCAGGAGGCATCCAACCCTGGGCCTGGCCTCATCCTGGACATTTTCTTGTTTCAGGCATGAAATATGTGGCATGGAGGTTTAGAACATGGGCCTCGGAGTCACAATAACTACGGTTCAAATCCCTGATTCTCTCAAGCAGGGTGACCTTGGACACTTGACTGTTGCTAAACCTTGCTGTCCTCACCTCTGAAATGGAAGTGACTATCCCGATTACGGAGAGTTCCAGTGGGGATGAATGGAGATACTCTGCAGATCCCTGTTGGAGACATAGGAAGCCCACAGCCAATGGGAGATCCAGAAAGATCACAGTGTGTCCCAAAAGGGAAAGAAAAGAGCAAACGTGTTGTATGCAACTAGGAGCCTAAGTAAGACTACAGAATGCGCTGAGGCGTCTCAGACCCAAATCCATCTCCTTCAATTTAGCCGTGTTTGAAATATGAAAGTCACCATTGCAAGCAAGCCCACACTCGCAGCGTTCCTGCCGCCGAGTATTTATGGAGACATCCACCAGTCAAGGGAGACTTATGAGCTACATAAATACAAAGGATAATCCGGCAAATTCCGAGTTGCACTAAAGGGCTACAAATCAGTGTTTGGGCTGGGCTCCAGATACAAAGAGAAAGTGTGATTAAGTGTGACTTTTTTAAAGTTTTGTTTGGATTTATTCCTAAAACTCCTTCACCCGAAGACGCAGATTTCTTGTTGGCACAGATGGCTGCCCTGTCGTGAATCAGAGGCAGAGAATTTGAGCAGTGCCCAAAAGAAGCCTAGAAAAAAGAAAGCACAAAAAGCAGAACGACTTCTAACTTTGGTGCAGAACTAAGATCTGTTCCCACCTGTCAGTGACACTGGGGGTGATCTGCACTCTGGGGCGGGGGCGGGAGCTCTGGGGTGCAATCCCTTGAATGCTTGCTGGGACCTCCTGCTCTGCAACCACCTCCACACTGGCCATAACTAGGCAGAGGCCTTCACAGGCATCTCTCCAGCCCAGGGCTGTGCAGGTGGCTGCAGGCAGGATGTCTGGCCTGAGCCAGCACAGTGGACATGTACAGAATAAATAAAAGGACAAATGGCAAAGTGACATCAGGAGAGACAAAGGACCAAGGGCTTTTTCAGCCAAGACAGCGCTGTGGTCAGAGCTGCAGTTCATCCCAGGGCAGAGGTTTGTACCTGAGAAAAGCATTCTACCACGCAGCATCCTGCCCGGGTGGACCAGGGCAGAAGCACTGAGGTCAGCTCCCCTGGGAAGATGGTGTCTCAGGGTCTTCCTGAGTTGCTCTGAGCTGGGGGCCTTGGGCAGTTCCTTCCTGACCTTCCTTGTCTACAAATTGAGACTCATCGCCTTCCTCGCCGAATTAGCATGCAGGTTCAAAGAGGGGCCCGGAGGCTCCTACACGACCAGCCAACAAACTCTAATTTCAAGACAGTGTCTTCCCCCTGTTCCTCCTGATAACAGCAGCTGCAAGAGGGTTCAAACCCCAGCACACTCATGGCTTCCTCTTGCTCTGCACTCACTCTGGTAGATTAGAAAAAATTGTACTAACCGTGAAGTTTAATTTTCTGTGTTCTGACACTTTGACTTCTAGTGCCTTGCTGATCCTGGAGGGACGGCCCTTCCCAGGGCTGGCCAATTCCTACAGATAGTAAAGGACTGTGCTGGGAGCCCACCTTTAATACCAACCCACCCAGAGCCCACACCCCACGACCTCCTCTACCAGATTCTCCCCCCAGGGCCACCATCCACCTGCCCTAGTCACCCCTGGCTAGGTGCCAGACACCTAGGGGCAGCCTCTCTGCCCCAGAGCCCACAGAAATTATCCACACGAGCCTATCCTTCCTGCAGAAACCACTATAAAGGCTCTGCCCACATTGCCCCCGGCTCCCTCTGCCTCCTGATGGATGCCCCTGCTTTCCCCTGTGGCCCTGTGTGACGTGGCCTGCCCCCTCCTCATGGGATCTGTGAGTAACAAATCCTTAAACAGGCAGCTGCCTGCTGATCTGCTGGCCCACCATGGCTGCATATTAATAAAACCCACGATGGAAAGCAGGAATAAAATAACCAGCCCTGCTCAGCATAGCTCCACCAATCTTTGCCATTGCCTTGTCCCAAAGGAGACTGTGGGGAGCTGCCTGGGCTCAGCCCTGGGGCTGGGGCAGGTCTGGCCAGTGCTGGGTCTGGAATGAGCTGGTGCACTCAGCCAGCACACCTGAGGCACATTCCCACCTGGCCTCCTCGCATGGAGGGGATGTCCTCCCCACTCTTAGTTATATTTCCCAGCCCTTTCAGAACTTGAGCAGCAACACGGTGTTTTCTCTTTCCTTCAGTGGAGCCCTCACCGTTAGGGGCAAAGCCTCACACTGCCCCACATTCTCTCCCAGTGACATAGAGAAGCTTCTGGCAGCAGCTCAGAAATGCTCCCAGGAATCCACGTCTTGGCTCTCCGGTGGCTACAGCTGACCCAGCCCATCCCCTGGAGCCAACAAGGACCAACGTCCCCAGGCCCTGAGCTCGCCACTCAGCCAGCAGCTGAAGCAAGCACTCTTCTTCTGGGGCTGCTCGTGCCAGGGGAGTGATCTCATCCCCCTGGGTCTGAGATTGGGGAAGGTTCTGGGTGACTAAGAGCCGCTGCATATGAAACCCTCTGAAAGGCCAAATCCCAGCTAGAGCTCCTGTTTGGAGATTAAAACTGGAACATCAGTACCCCCGAAGCTGTGAACTAACGTTCAGGGGGATTCCCAGTCCAGTCACTGTGACCTCTTTTCCTGTAGGAGGCAGCTGTCAGCAACAGGTTCGTCTCCCAGACACACACACCGCAACACGCAGCTTGCACTTCCCCGGCCCCTTGAAACAAGAAATGGCCATGCAACGGTCTTTGGCCGATGAAATGAGTGCCACTTCCGGGCAGAGGCATCAAATGGCTGGAGTGAGAGCATCCAGAACTTCCTTCTCCTGCCTTGGTAATTGAGAAAGTGCCTGTTTACAAGGAGGTACAACTCGTAGCCATCACGAGGCCCGCCATGCCATATTCTGAGTATTTGCATCTATGCCCCCAACTCTACTGTTGAAATCCTAGCCCCAACAGTGATGGTATTAGGACATGAAGCCTTTGGGAGGCGACCAGGTCATGGGGGTGAAGACTTTGTGTGAGAACACAGTGAGAAGGGGCCATCTGTGAACCAGGAAGCTGGCACCGAACCAGAAACCAAAGCTGCCAGCACCTTGATCTTGGACTTGCCAGCCCCCGAAGTGTGAGAAGTGAACTCATCATTTTCTAAGCTACATAGTAGCCTATGGTATTTCCCTACATCAGCCTGGATGGACTAAGACACAGGGTCACCCTGAAGAGTGCTCAGCCTTGCAGTGACCCCTGCAGAAGGGAGGAACAGAATGTTGTTGGTAGCTCTGAGATGGGCGCTGTTTGTTACTGTACCATAACCCAGCCCACCCTGACTAACATGGGCAGGCAGAGGAGTCCGTCGGCCCCCAGGGACTCCTGGCTGGTGGCCCCCGAGAGGACAGGGCCTTGGGTGGTACCAGACATCTGCAAACCAAGCCAAAAGTCTCCAACAGGAAAAAAAAAAACAGTGACAGAGAGCATTTCACATGGCTGTATCTGACAGAGAGAGTCAGATTCTAAATATCTGTTATCAAAATTGCCCGAGGAGAGAACGTTTATTAAAAGTTTTCCATAAGCATTCCCCAGCTCTTTAATCACAGGGTGTTTTTTTTCTTTACTGTAACATCTTCAGCACATTTACTGCTTTTGCATAAAGGACTTTTGCTTCTAATCACATCGATTTTATTATAATTAATTTTTAATGTATTTTCCAGGGTGTTTCGTATGTACAGACTAAGATATTTTATCATATATTAACATAGCCATTTCCACTTTTAAAGTGGGTTATTAAATGAGGGTTAATTTATTATTGCTTAAGATGTTACAATGTTAACCCAATTATAATTTGGGTTTTGTCATGTGCACTCTGGAGTGTGATAGGATATTGATAATAGACCCAGTAGGATGAAATTTACTAAATCAAATCCTTAGGGCTCTTGCTGAATTCTCATAATAGCTTGATTAGCTAGCAGACACCCATGCTGTCATCCGGGCGGCTCTCACCTGAGGGCAAAGCAGCCTGCATCGTGGGGCCTGGACCTGGGGTCAGCTGGGGTCAGGCCTGTAGGCCAGGCTTCTTTCCAAGACCTGGGGCTCATGTTTACTTCCACATCCTGCGCCAGTGGACTCAGATTCCAGGCTCTGTCCTCTTGGCCAAGGATCTGGTAATGCACAAGGAAGGTTGAGGACGTGGGTCTGTCAGACTCCCCCAGGTTCAATCGGGGAGACTTTGCCCCATGGCTCGGTGTGTTTGAGAAGAACCACAGGGGATAATGGGTGTGAGCACCTCTCGTGCCCACCAGGTCCAGGATGGGAGCATCAGCCATGGGATGGATCTGGACCAGCATCCTCTATTCATCCCACAAACACTCCCCCAGCCCGAAGCTCTATGCCCATGCCTGCCACGGAGCCAGGAGGATCAGGGCCCAGCCCTGCCCACACACAGCACCTATGCTGGCCAGAGAAATGCAGCAACCACCAACATGAACCAAGAGAGAGGAGGGCAGGGCAGGAGGTGGCGTCCTAGGCTTGCTGACCACGTTGCTTGTGGTGCAAGAGGGAGCTCCAGGTGTCTGGCCTCCAAGGAGCCTTGGGAATGGGTGGATAGCGGAAGGTGAGATCAATGGGGAGGAGGGAGCAAGTCTCACCTGAGAGAGACACTTCTGCTTCCAGAGCACCGAGACGGCTTGTGCTGTAAGGAATCGCCCCCACACCCAGAGCGGGGCCGAGTGCTGAAGAGAGCTGCCTCCCCCACCCTGGCTAAGGTGACCAGCTTGTCCCGCAACACCACCAAGGACAACAAGCCCCATCCCCGGGCAGAGCCCAGCCCCCATGACACAGGGAGATGGCAAATGAGGGACTCAGATGACTTGGGTACTCGCAGGGTCCCTGTGTTGTCAGGAATCTGCTCATCATTCACTCTCCCCCCCTCCCCTGGAAAGAAAGAATCGCACTTTTCTCCTGACAAGCCAGGAACTGTGCCACCTAATTTAAGGGGCAGGAAGAACCACGATAGCACTCAGCACTCGGTGCTCGTCACCAGAGATGTATTGTAGCTGGGAGCATAAAAAACACCTCATTAAATCATCTCTTTCCCTTCATTAGGATAACATCACTTAAACCTGCCGTCTCCAACCTCAGCAAAAGCTGCCCCCTCCTTCTGAAAGCTCAGAGCTGGGGTGGGACGTATGCCAGGCCGAGAGGGTCTGCACACCCGCCCCCAGGAGTGTGCATCTCTCGGTGGCTAATTCACTCGCATTGATGGATGGATTGCACGGTGTGCTTATTTACAATATTTACACTTAGGGTGAGAGGAACGTTCTGGCATGGAGCCATTTATCTCATTCTTTTTGGAAGCTCTTCCTCTTTTTCGCTAATGGGAGTATCACTCACTAGATAATACCCAGCCTCGCTTGGCCAGCTCAGCAACTTTCCACGAAGAAGGCTCACGCGCTCCACCTAAGCCCGTGCCGCACCAGCCCAGAGTGCGGGGCAGGCATGGCGTCTGTCAGGCAGAACTTGCTGCCCACACCCCACTGCAGGCTCCATGTGGGGTCTGGGTGGCCCCGGTCTCTCACCAGCTCTGGTGGGAGAGTGTTCCGAGCCTGACATTGGGCAGCCCATCCACTCTCTCCACCGTGGGCTTCCCGGGGTTCCATGCCATCATGGTAACTGGTGTTGTCAAGTATCTGTCCCTGCCAGAATCCATGTTAAAATGTAATCCCCAATGTTGGAGGTGGGGCCTGGTGGGAGGTGTTTGGTCATGGAGGTGGATCCCTCCTGAATGGTTTGGTGCCGTCCTCATGGTAGTGAGATCTCCCGAGATCTGGTTGTTTGTCAGTGTGCGGTAGCCAGGTGCGGTGGCTCACTCCTGTAATCCCAGCACTTGGGAGGCCAAGACAGGTGGATTACTTGAGCGCAGGAATTTGAGAACAGCCTGGGCAACATGGCAAAACCCTGTCTCCACCAAAAAAAAATACAAAAATACAAAAATTAGCCAAGCATGGTGGTGCATGCCTGTAGTCCCAGCTACTGGGGAGGCTGAGGTGGAAGGATCACTCACTTGAGCCCAGGAGGTGGAGGCTGCAGTGAGCCACGGTCATGCCACTACACTCCAGCCCAGGTGACAGAGCAGCACTCTGTATCAAAAAAAAATAAGTGTCTGGCACCTCCTCAACTGGCTCTTGTTCTCACTATGTGAGACTCCTGCTCCCCCTTCACCTTCTGCCATGAGTAAAAGCTTCCCAATGCCTCCCCAGAAGCCAAACGGATGCCGGCATCATGCTTCCTGTGAAGCCTGCAGAACTGCGAGCCAATTTAAACTTCCCTTCTTGGTAAATTCCCCAGCCCCAGGCATTTCTTTATAACAATGCAAGAATGGCCTAACCCAGGAACAAAGGGGACCCTGAGGCCGCTGGACAGAACCTGGCCAAGGTGGTGGACAAAGTCAGGGTCAACCTGGGACCACACAGTGGATCTTAGGCTCACTTGCCTCAGGCTTTGATGTCCTGCCTGAATCCTACCTGGGGAACGTGGCCTTGACCTTTGCCTTTTGTGTATTCTGAGACGGGGGCTGGGCAAGGTGCAGTTGGAGGACACAGCAGGACACTCCTTGGATGCCCCCACCTCCCCACCCCTGAGCCCTGCTCTCTGTCCGTTTAGGGTCCTGGCATGGCCATGCACACAGGTGCACCCCTGCCCAAACCACGCCCAAGGTGCCTCAGCACCAACCCAAGACCCTGCCCCAAGAGGGCTGACTCTGCCTGTGACCCAAGGGTATCTGTTTCTCTCCTGGGGCTTCAGTTTCCCCCAGATGAAAGGGGTGAGCTACTTAGTGATTCCCAACCTTGGCTGCACATTGGAATTTCCTGACAAGCTTTTAAAATTCCTGGTGCCTGACCACGCCACTGACGGCGGCATTGCCTCCCCAGGTGGGGACCCAGACCTCTGCATGTTCATGTCTCCCCAGGTGACTCCAACCCCAGCCAGAGGTGAGATCCAGCAACCTGTATCAGCGGTTCTCAGCGTGGGATCCTGGGACAGCAACAGCAGCCAGGTTGACAGGCCAACTCTGCAGCCTCCGCCCCACACCTGCTGAGTCAGAAACTCTGGCTGTGGGTGCAGCAGTCTGGGATTTTACCGGCCCTGCGAGGGATTCAGCCTCCAGCATCCCGGTGCGCTTTCAGCTGTGACCCACCTGAGTGCCGTGCAGACAGTGCTGGGAAGATCCTGGCTCCAGGGCCCACTAAGCTTCACTTGACCCTTAGAGGCCCTGCTCTTCATCTGTGAAGCCCCTAAAGATGCTCTTTCCCAGGCACCTTGTAAGGAAATAAACAAGGTCAAGTCCACCAAGTGCTAAGCATCCCAGGCCTTAGCAGAATCTTTCTCCATGGGTTGACCTCGGTGTTGACAATGTCATCAGGCACCGAACAGGCAGTCACAATTCAGAACCCTGCCCTCTTTTGCTTCTGGAGAAAGATGGAAGGAAAGGAAAGGGTTTTATCAAAGGGAAACAGAGACCAAGGATGAGTGTGTGGTGTCCGACAGGCAGGAGGATGAGGCCAGGAGGGGTGTCTTGGAGACTCCAGCGCATCTGGGCTGCCCCGAAGAGGGTACCTGGAGCGGAGCGACCAGGGGGATTGAGGACAGGGAGAGACAACTTGGGGACGGCAGAAGCTCCTGGAGGTGGGCACCCTGGATGGAGGAGGGAGGAGGGAGGAGGGAGGAGGGTCCACCTGCCTGCCGGCCTGGGGCTCCCTGGGCACGGGACTCTCCTGCACCAGCTCACTGGTAGCACAGACACGCATGGGAAGGGACCCATCCCCAATTCACTGTGATGAGTGCCCCTAAAACGACCCAGCCCGTGCGGTTCTGCGGGGTCACAGGTACAGCCTCCTGGGGTCCCCGAGGACAGGGGAGCCTGCAGTGTGCAGAACTGGCCACCAGGTGGCAGCAACACCGTCTCCCCAGGGGTTACTTTGTTACAACTTCGGGAGGATGGAAGGGAGCAGGTGGTTGCAAGGAAGCAGCCCCAGAGAGCTGGAAGGAGGGTACTCTGCCCTGTGAACCACATCAGGGGACGTCCAGTGAATCCCAGCAGACCCAGAAGCCAGACCCCCAAGTATGCCTGTCCAATCTCTGCCCTACAGCCCAGCATTTTCCCCCAACCCGTTTCTCTCCCCAACCAGGTTTAAGGAAGCTTTGCAAATTCCTCAGGACCTGCAAGTTTCTGAGAACGAAATTTTGTGTTTTTATTCAACGAGTCTAAAATACATCCTGCCAGCTCTAGAGGCAAAAACTTTCGCAGAGGTCATTTACCAGGGAAAACGATCTTCCTCAATAAAGGCCTTTGCTTAATCATTACTCCATAAACTGAACTCTGAGGGCTTCAGAGATATTCTCTAGGGTTCAAGAGGAATGGTTTCCTCCAGAGAGATCCATGCATGTACCCAGGTTTGATAAACATCGGGAAAAAGGCAATCGTCATCATAGCTACCTTTTACTCAGTGCTCACCACGTGGCAGGCTCTCTTCTCCATGGAACCCTCAGAAAGAGCCCGGGAGGTGGGTGCCGGTATCACCTCCACTCTGCAGATGAGCAGACTGAGGAAGGAGAAGCCAGCAATGGCAGGGTGGGGATTTGGGCAGGGCGGCCTGACCCATAGCTCCTTCTTAACCTTGGGACCATACTTCTTCCCTCTGGCATCCTGGGACTCCTGTTCTCACCTTTCTCATCCCCTCCTTCCTCCTCACAAGTGGAACTGGGGTGAGGAGCTCCCTCACTGCACAGATTTCCTTATGGAGAGGCAAGACCTGACTCCAGCCTTGTGCTTACGACTGACCATGGCTTAAAGGGCTCTCCCTGCTGGGGACGCATTTCCTTTCCCTGCTTGGCAGTAGCCATGCAGGGCTGATTAGAGCCTCTGCCAAGGGACCACAGCTAACATGGACATTTGATCTCGCTTCCTCCGGAACATAGAGCAAGCCCACAGCAAGGGTCAGTCATCCTGGCTCCCGAGGAAATGTGCACAGAACAGCTCCTTGGCCAGTGTGCTGCCCAGGACTCCAGAGCACCTGGGAGGTGTCCCCGGCCCAGAGGGGATGGGAAAAGGTGGAGAGAGTGGTGGGACGGAGGGGTCCAGGAGCCTGCAAGCTGAGCACCCTAAAGCCTGGCATATCTGCCCGATGTCGAGGGCCCTGATTTTCATACGGGACTGGCTCCTCCGTGACTCAGGCAGCCTATGAGTCCCCATAAATGTGCCCTGTGTGGAATCCAGGACATAATTGTGCGTCTTAGGCAAACAGGGAGAGCTGAGAGACAGGAAACACGGAGCTGATGGGCCACAGAAGGGAAATGAACAGAGAGAATCAACCCAGCTTGAAACAAAAACACATTCCCAAGAGTGGATCTGCAGACTGGTGTCGCAGTGCAAGGCTGGGTGTTGCCCTTGTGTGCCCACACATCACCCTCCTTCAGGAGTGGCAAAAGCACATGAGGCAGAGGCTGTGTGTGTGCGCATGTGTGTGTGAGAGAGAGAGAGAGGGAAAGAGAGAAATGGAGGGAGGGAGAGAGAGAAAGGAAGATCATCTCTTCAAGCCAGGCTCTTAGAAAAAGAGCATCAAAAATATTTTGTGAGGAATTTCCTGAGTTCCACATCTTTAACTCTTGGAATAGAGGCAGAAGGAGATTGTAATTAAAATTGGTAGTGGGGCGGGGGAAGCATCATTATATACAGAATTTCTAAATGCCTGGAAGTGATCTTACGAAGACAAATTGGTTTTCCAACCCCACCCCAGCTATAAAAAGTTATAATTGAGTCATCAGCACCCTGCTGAACTAGGAGTCTGGATTGTTTTTAGGTAGATGAATGAACTTGAGAAAATTCTTCTCTCCAGGCCGCGATTTCCCTTAGTTTTCAAACTGCATCCTAAAGAGTGCGGGGCTTCAGCTGAGAAGCCTCATGGATGGTGGTCTGTCCCCACTCCCCCACTCCTGCCATTCAGGCAGGAGGCTCCCCACACCTTCTCTGTAACCCCCAGCTTCAAGCCAAGCTGCTCTTCTTAAAAAAAAATGTCGTATATCTCCTGAAGGAGGTTTCTTTTGAAAACACTGGAACTTAATAACTTCTGAAGTCCCTTCCAGTTCTGATGCCAGGCAGAACTGTCTGAAATCAGGTGGGGGCCATGAAAACTGCCCTGCACAGCAAAGCAGGCCCAGAAGCTTCCACCATTCAGCTGAGCCCCATAGTGAGTCCATCCTCCTGTGGTCACTCATCCTGCCTCCTCTCTGCAGGTGCCAGCTGGGCCACATGCTGGACTCAAGACTTCTGCCTTTGTTCAGAGCACTTGTCATCTCCAGAGGGCCCTCCATTCTCTCTTCCACCATCCTAGTGCCCAACTATGCACCCTATAAAGACAGGACTATGCTTTTCAGCATGGCATGAACTTGGCATGCAGTAGATGCTCAATAAATATTTGCACAATAAATAAGCAAATGCTGCCTCCAGGGTCATGCTCTACATTTGTGGTAGACAGAATTCTGTCCCCCTAAGGATGTCCCCACCTTCTGAACCTGTGAATATGGTACAGCACATGGCAAAAGGGACTTGGCAGGTATAATTAAGGATACGGGCTTTAAAACAGATTATCCCGGATGAGCTGGGTGGGCTCAAGTTCATCTCACAGGACCTTAAAAGCAGAGAACTTTCTCTGGCTGGAGCAGGAGAAGGGAAGCAGAAGGGGAGGTTAGAAAGATTCAAAGAGTGTCAAGGACTCAACCTGCTATTGCTGGCTGTAAGGATGGAGAAAGGGGGCTGTGATCTGGGGAATGCAAGAGGCCTCTAGAAGCTGAGAACAAGCCTGGCTACAACCAACCAGGAGGCAGACCTCAGTCCTACAGCCACCAGGAATTGAATTCCACCGACAACCCTTATGAGCAAGGAAACAGAACCTCCCTCAGAGCCTCCAGATAGGAGCCCAGGCTGGCCAATGACTTGATGTTGGCCTCCTAGGACCTGGAGCAGAGAAGCCAGTCATGGCCCCAAGCCCCACCCTAGACACTTGCCCCTCCCTTTACCCTGCATGTCTCATCTCAGCTTGGCGTCAGCTTCTCAGAGGACCCAACTGACATAGAGCTTGCGCCGCCAGCCCCTGAGGATGAGACACACAAGCGGTCAGGATCCAGGTGGGCTCTGGGTCCCTGCAAGGTGCAAGGACAAGGCTGAAGCTGTCCTGGGCTGTCTGGCGCCGGCTGCTCCAAGAGCCCTGCTCTTATGATGTCTGGCCCCCTCTGTGAGCATCCCTGCTGATCGGCTGGAGGTGCAGGATGGTCGGGGGCTGGCCCCTGCTGGAAAGGGTCCCATCTGCCTGGGGTGGCCTTGTCCCCATTGTCCCTCTTGTCCCTGTGGCACTTCTTCTCATGGTTCATTTCCATATTGGAGCCGTAAGACCACAAAGGACAGGGTGTGGACCTGGGGATGAAGCCAAGGAAGTATGGTCTTCACTCAGGCCCCAGTGCAGGGAATGGTACACCAAGCCCAATTCAGCTCACCAACGGCAGCCTCAGGCCTCAACCACTGGCCAGTGCAGCCCATGCCATCCGGAGGCTGTTGGAGGGGGAGGCTGTGTCTGTAGCTCCATGGTGGCCATAAGGGGCATGTGACAGTGAGCAGTCTTTTCCTGCAGGTCCAGTGATCTGACCGCCCTGGCAGCACCTGAGGGTCACAGTTTCAGGATCTTGAGCAAACTTTTTGTCTGACAGACAGTATGCCACCCCTTCCAAAATTTCAGTCCTCCTAAGAGGCTTCTGTTTACACACCACAAGAAAGCAGCCGCTCCTCTTAGGCCTGACACTTCTCTTTTTCAAACATTAACCAAAAGCCTGGCAGGCTTTGTGTTTAGAACATAAGGGACACACCCTCCCCCAACCCCTCCCAGTCTCCCTGCCTCCTCCGAGCACCTGCACAGCCAGTCTGCTTCTCCCCTACCCTTCCCGCATCCAATCCTGCACCTGCCATTCCACATCTAGGTTTTCTCTCCATCCACCCCTCCCTCTCCATCACAGCGGCCACCCTAGCCCAAAGCCGTCTGCTGCAGCCTCCTATAGGATTTCCCTCTTCCGCCTCCCCCTCTACCATCCATTCTCTGCAGAGCAGGCCATGCAGAATTCTCAAAGCAATGAGTGTCAGGTCACAACTGGGCTTAAAGCCAACAATGACTTCCCTCTGTGGGTGGATTTAAACAGGAACTCCTCTCCTCTCAGTCCTCCTTTGCACCTCTGTTCCTCCTGCTCTTGTCCTCTCACTGCTTGGACCTCTGGCTGGTCCTTGGACAAGCCTGCTCTGTTCCCTTTATGGTCCCTGGAATGTATGTTCCATGGAGACGGGCTGTTGTCTGTTTCACCAACAGAGTTCCATCACCAAGACCCTGAAGCACAAAACCCATCCATAGTTGTTGAATGAAAGAATGAGTGAGTGAAGCGAGTAAGAAATAGTAACTGGGTTTAAAAGCTAGAGGAGAGATAGTAAAGTTACACAAATGCTAGATGAATATAAATGATCTCAGTGCAGTTCTGCACAGCTGGTGCCTATCAGGTGCAGTGCCTGCAATTCCACTAATGGCCACCGGGGGCGCAGCGAGGCGGCAGAGCTGCCAGGCCCCCAGGCCGACCTTGCAGGAGGCTGGGCTCACAAAGCCAGATTTCAGCGTCTACTCCGGTCTCATGTGCTTTTTCTGTAACAGTGTAACTTTTGATTAAAATAACGATGTGCATTATTCATGTCATTACTATAAATATTGTCTATTATAAAGAGATTAGTAAAACCACAGGTACAAGTTATATCTGTTTCCGAAATAGACTTAACTGTTTGTCAATGAGGAAGTAAGCTCTGAGCTTACATCCAAAGCCCAGAGCCTGGCCTGAGTCCCTTCCTGGAGTCAAAAACCTCCTGGACCATTCCTGCACCAAGCACGATGTCTTAGTCCGTTTGTATTTCTATAAAGGAATACCTGAGGCTGAGTAATTTATTAAAAAAAAAAAAAGTTTATTTGACTTACGATTCTGCTGGTGGCAAGATTGGGCATCTGGTGAGAGCCTCAGGCTGCTTCCACTCATGGTGGAAGGTAAAATGGAGCCAGGTGTGCAGAGGCCACAAGGGGAGAGAAGACACAAGAGAGACAGGGGAAGTTTGCCCGCTCTTTCTTACAACCGGCTCTCATGGGAACTAGTAGAGGGAGAACTCACTCATTACCTTGAGGACAACACCAAAACCTTCATGAGGGACCCGCTCCCATGACCCAAACACCTCCCACCGGGCCTCGCCTCCAACAGTGGAGATCAAATTTCAACAAGAGCTTTGGGGGACAAATACTCAGACCACAGCACAGGACTTCACTTGTTACATCAGCTCACCTGTGCTTTGCATGACCAATTTGCTTTCTCTGAAGAGGATGTCTCAACAGAGCCTCCTTGGCCCTCTAACTGGCTCAATGACAATTCTACTTGATCCCTTTGATGGCCCAAAGGGCACACCCTGAACCTTCGGGGGTGGCCACTGGCCCACCAGGCATCTCATGGCAGCTCACCCTCAAGAGCGGCTACACGCCCCAGCCTGTGTTCATGGAGCCCTAGATCCTTTGGCTCTCAGTCATCTATCTTTAGCCCAGTTGCTGGCCTCGGTCTGCTGGCTGTGCCCTGGAAGCTGGCCTCTGTTCCTTTGTGTCTTCACGTCCATAGATGCTCTTCCTGAACCAAGACCGTGCCCTTCCTACAAACTCTGAATTGACCTGTCTGCTCCCTGTTATCAGGAACTCTCTACCCTATCCCAGTCTGTAAACACCCATCTAATCTCTGGCAAATTCCTGGACCAAACAGAAGCCCACCCCCACCACCTGTGTGGGACTGGGTTATACTTTCAGTAAGACAGAGAACAGCTGAAAGGATGCATACTTACTCAAAAACAAAAGCCCATCTTTCCCCTCAAGCCACCTCCCTACTCTCACCTGAGTTGTTTCGTGGCTGGGCCATTTACTAGCTGTGTGAGCTTAGCAACCTCTCCAGGCCTCAGTCCCCCAACCTGTAAAGTGGAGGGTAATTAAACCTCCCACACCATAGGGTTGTTGCAGGGATTAAAGACGGTGATTGCAGGTGCCTTAGTACTTGACAAGTAATGAGAGGCTGGGAAATGCTCACTATCTTGTCTGATCTTTGGTATAAAAGTTAGTTATTCTGCAAAAGTAAACTGGTCTTGTAAACTCTAGTGGATTAAATTTTGTTTGTTTACATATAACAGTGGTTGTTTTATAACAAAGCACTGCATTTGTTTCTTCAAAAGATCTAGATTTATGTTCTTTTTACAAACACAGTTTATAAAAAATTATTTAATGTCTCCTCACTTAGTTGGATTAGACACGGCCTCGCCTCTCCCCCACAACACACACACACACACACACACACACACACACACACACACACACACACATGAATGGATACAGAAGCCTGAGGCTGTGGTCCACAGTGGTTAAAAGCCAGGAGCCAGCGTCCTCCACCTGGCTCCCATTAGAATCACCCCAAGAGATGCTGCCAGGCCCCCTCTGTAAGCCACAGTCATCAGGGTCTCAGGGTGGGGGCTGGGTGTCATGGTTTTAAGCCTCTCCACGCATCTCCAATGCACTGCCAGGTGAAAAATGCCGCGTTAAGGTCATCGGAGTGGCAACTGAGATGAACCAATCAGGGACAAGGTTCTACGAGATTTTGCTAATGTACCAGGGCCCCTGCCCTGAAATAGGTGATCACAGCCAAGCTGGTGACATGACAAGCCAGGTTCATGATGGACGGTCATTACGCAATTTTGGATCATCAAAGATTCCTTGTCACCCATAGCATTGTAAAGGGCTCAGCACAGCGGGCAGGGGCGGGGGAGGCTGAGAAGGGGAGGGCTGTCTTCTCCTCCCTCAAGGAGGTTGCCCTTTGGTAATAATCAAACGATGTTCCTAGGGGAGGAAAGTTCACCAGTAGCTTGGGCTAAAATTCTTCAGACTAAGGAATTGTGGTTAAAATATTTGGGTTGGGATACTGATTTCCTAGCTGTTTCAAGAGAACTTCACCACCTTTAGAGATACATGCTCCAATATTGTTGGATGAAATGACACAAAGCCTAGGATTCATTTCACAATGATCCCAGGGAGGAGCCAGAAGTAGGTGGGGGTTCAGGGAAAACAGGGCTGGCCATTCATACATTGATGATGTTTGTAGCTGGTGATGAGCACATCAGGGCTTATGTTTGAAATTGTCTACAATAAAACACTTTGTATCCTAATATATATAAGATACAAAGTCTCAGTTAGACTGGAGGACTAAGTTTTAGAGATCTATTGCACCGCATGGTGACTATGGTTAATAATAACATACTGCATATTTCAGAATTACTAAAAGAATAGATTAACATTCTCACCACAAAAAAATAAGTTGGTGAAAGGGATGACTATGTTATTTAGCTTGATTGAATCTTTCTACAACATACACACAGATTAAAACATCATAGCGTACCCCATAATATACAAATTATTTGTAACAATAAATTTTAAAAGATTTTTTAAAGAGATATAAATATAGAAAAGTATAGAGAACCTATATGCCAAACACCAGTATCCACCACCCAGAATTAACTATTGTTCACTGTAGGTCATTATGTTTCTTTGGTTTGTAATAAAGAAACATAATATTTACCCACAAAAAAACGTTTTCAAGAAAAATGGGGCTAAGACCCCAGGACTGCACTCTTCTTCTGGGCATGGTCAGAATCCCTTTCTGCACATCCTCATCCTCACCTTTCATAAGGTGCCTCCTCACTCCCCAACCTCCCTTCCACTCGTGACTGCTTCCTCCACCTGCCAACCCCCAAGAATTATCAACTAAACAGATGTCACATAAGTGGATTGACAATTGCATTATTCCAGATTAGCGTATGACAGATGGGGGTTCCCAGCCACAGAGGCTCCTCTCCCAGGACCCCCTCCCTGTGGCTGTGAAAGTTTCCTCTGTGTATTCCTCAGCTTGGGCTGCATAGCAAAGTATCATAGACAGGGCAGGTTAAACAAAAGAGGTTTGTTTTCTTACAGTTCTGAACTCTGTGTGGAGTATGAATTAGGGAAAAGGCTCATGCAGGCAGAATCAAGGGAAAGCAAAAAGAGAAAGCAGATAAGCCATACATCTGCCTTTCCATGGTCCAGAACACGTAGCCCTTCTGCACAAATAACTCACAATCTTCCTGCGCCCAACTATCACTAGACACACCTGCAAGCTGGCTCACTGCAAACTTGGTGTTATTAGTACCACGCAAAGCCCTCGTCAACAGACAGCGTGAACACTATCCTATACAATCTCCAGCAAGCCTTTGTTTCTTTGCAGTCAGCATCTGCTGACTTGCCCATTGTCTCTCTGGCAATGCATTTTCCTACTTTCTCTAATAAATCTACCTTCCTTGACCTACAATTGTCTTGGTAAATTCTTTTACCGGCCCCTCCCCCCACAGCCCCCCCCCCCCCCGCCCACAAACACACCAATCATCCTTCCCCCATGACACTCTGGAAGTCCAAAATTAAAGTGTGGGCAGGGCTGGTGTATTAGTTCATTCTCATATTCCTATGAAGAAATACCCGAGACTGGGTAATTTATAAAGAAAAAGAAGTTTAATGGACTCACAGTTCCACATGGCTGGAGAGGCCTCACAATCACGGCAGATGGCAAATTAGGAGCAAAGGCACATCTTACATGGTGGCAGGCAAGAAAGCATGTGCAGGGGAACTATCCTCTATAAAACCATCAGATCTTGTGAGACTTATTCACTATCACAAGAACAGCATGGGAAAGACCCACCCCCATGATTCAATTACCTCCCACCAAGTCTCTTCCACAACACATGGGGATTATGGAAGCCACAATTCAAGATGAGATTTGGGTGGGGACACAGTCAAATCATATCATTCTACACCTGGCCCCACCCAAATCTCATGTCCTCACATTTCAAAACCAATCATGCCTTCCCAACAGTCCCCCAAAGTCTTAACTCATTTCAGCATTAACTCAAAAGTCCACAGTCTAAAGTCTCATCTGAGACAAGGCAAGTCCCTTCTGCCTATGAGCCTGTAAAATCAAAAGCAAGTTAGTTACTTCCTAGATACAATGAGGATACAGGCATTGGGTAAATACACTCATCATGAATGGGAGAAATTGGCCAAAACAAAGGGACTACAGGTCCTATGCAAGTCAGAAATCCAGTAGGTCAGTCATATCTTAAAGCTCCAAAATGATCTCCCTTGACTCCAGGTCTCGCATCTAGGTCATGCTGATACAAGAAGTGGGCTCCCATGGCCTTGGGCAGCTCCATCCCTGTGGCTTTGCAGGGTACAGCCCCCCTCCTGGCTGCTTTCACGGGCTGGCATTGAGTGTCTGCAGCTTTTCCAGATGCACGGTGCAAGCTGTGAGTGGATCTACCATTGTGGGGTCTGGAAGACAGTGGCCCTCTTCTCACAGCTCCACTAGGCAGTGCCCAGTGGGAAATCTGTGTGGGGGTTCTGACCCTGCATTTTCCTTCTGCACTGCTCTAGCAGAGGTTCTCTATGAGGGTTCCACCCCTGCAGCACACCTCTGCCTGGACATCCAGGCATTTCTATACTTCCTCTGAAATCTGGATAGAGGTTCTCAAAACTCAATTCTTGACTTCTGTGCACCTGTAGGCCCAACACCACGTATAAGTTGCCAAGGCTTGAGGCTTGCATGCCCTGAAGCAATAGCCTGAGCTGTATGTTGGCCCCTTTTAGCCACAACTGGGATGCAAAGCACCACGTTCCAAGACTACACAAAGCAGCAAGGCCCTGGGCTGGCCCACGAAACCATTTTTTCCCCCAGGCTTCCCAGCTTGTGATGGGAGGGGCTGCCTTGAAGACCTCTAACATGCCCTGGAGGCATTTTCCCCAGTGTCTCTGCTGCGATTTACATTGGGTTCCGCGATTTACATCGGGTTCCTCGTTACTTTTGCAAGTTTCTGCAGCCGGCTTGAATTTCTCCTCAGAAAATGGGTTTTTCTTTTCTATCACATTGTCAGGCTGTGAATGTTCTGAACTTTTATGCTATGCCTCCCTTTTAAACATACGTTACAATTCCAAACCATATCTTTGTAAATGAATAAAAATGAATGCTCTTAAGAGCAGGGTCACATTTTGAATGGCTTGCAGCTTAGAAATTTCTTCCACCAGATACCCTAAATCATCTCTCTCAAGTTCAAAGCTCCAAAGGTCTCTAGGGCAGGGGCAAAATGCCACCAGTCTCTTTGCTAAAGCATAGCAAGAATCACCTTTGCTCCAGTTCCCAGAAAGTTCCTCATCTTCATCTGAGCCCACTTCAGCCTGGGCTTTTTGGTCAAAACCACTCAACAAGTCTCTAGGAATCTTCAAACTTTCCTACATCTTCCTGTCTTCTTCTGAGCCCTCCAAACTCTTCCAACCTCTGCCTGTTACCCAGTTCCAAAGTCACTTCCACATTTTCAGGTATCTTAATAGCAGTATCCCATTCTACTGGTACCAATTTACTGTATTAGTCTGTTCTCACACTGCTAAAAAAGACATACCCGAGACTGGGTAATTTGTAAAGAAAAAGAGGTTTAATGGACTCACAGTTCCACATGACCAAGGAGGCCTCGCAATCACGGCAGAAGGTGAAGGAGGAGCAAAGGCATGTCTTACGTGGTGGCAGGCAAGAGAGTGTGTGCAGGGGAACTGCTCTTTATAAAACCATCAGATCTCATGAGACTTATTCACTATCATGAGAACAGCATAGGAAAAACCCATCCCCATGATTCAATTACCTCCCACTGGGTCCCTCCCAAGATACATGGGGATTATGGGAGCTACAATTCAAGATGAGATTTGGGTGGGGACACAGCCAATCTATATCAGCTGGATCCTCCTGAGGGCTCTCTCTTTGGCTTGTAGATACTGTCTCCTCCCTGCGTCCTCATATGGTCATCCCATTGTATGTGTCTGTGTCCAAATCTCCTCTTCTTATAAGGACACCCACCCTATTGGATTAGGGTACCCCTTCAATGCCCTGTTTTAACTTTAATCACCTTTTCAAAGGCCCCATCTCCAAATATACCACACACTGTAGTACTGGAGGTTGGAACTTCAACAGATAAATTGGAGAGGAAATAATTCAGTCCCTGATGCTCTGCTATCCCCAGATGCCACACAGCACGCTTTTTATCCAGAATAATTGCCACACACATTATCCACCAGGTGAGTGACATTTCCTCTTTCAGTCACTTCTCAAGAGATCATTTTTTGCAAAGCCTTTTCTTTTTAGGAGATTTAAGGTAGAAAAAGAGAAAAACAAACCAACATAAGCCTCTGAGTTTGAATACAATAAATCTCATTAATTTGGGCTTACTGTAGGAAAACATTCTAGGATAGTAAAGGCTTTCAATTGATTACTTCAGAAGATTTCTTTTAACTGGTTGCTCTATCCTTGACGAGCTGAGGAAACCCATCTCAATAAACAGACAAGAATCACTTCCAATTAATAGTATCGTTTGGGTGCAAAGAGTGTGCTAATGATCTTGACTAATTATTCCCCTGATCAGTTAACCATTAACCCTTTCTTTTCTTTCTTTCTTTCTTTTTTTTTTTTCTTGAGACAAAATCTCACTGTGTAGCCCAGACTGCAGTGCAGTGGTGTGATCTCGGCTCACTGCAACCTTTGCCTCCTGGGTTCAAGTGATTCTCCTGCCTCAGCCTCCCGAGTAGCTGGGATTTCACATGCCTGCCACCATACTGGGCTAATTTTTTGTATTCTTAGTAGAGACGGAGTTTCACCATGTTGGTCAGGCTGGTCTTGAACTCCTGACCTCGAGATCCACCCACCTAGGCCTCCCACAGTGCTGGGATTACAGGTGTGAGCCACAGCGCCCAGCCAACTGTTTCTTTTCATATGCATTCCTTGTGGTGCTAAATTTAGTACACCTTGTGAACAAAGGTAAACCTCAAGTCTAACCTACAATCAAAAGGAAACCTTGATAGACAGAAACCCAGACACTGCAGTTTCCTTTTCTCTCTGGGACGCAGTCTTATCAGCTTCAAGGGAAACGGGAGAGCCAGGAAACACTGGCTCCAGGTAACACGTTATACGGAAGCCTAGATTAAAAAACAGATTGTGTAGTAATCAATTCATCACTTCCCTTTGAGGTAAAATAAAGGGAAGTACAATCAGGCAACAGTAACTCAGAAAATATTTTTGTCTTTAAAGTTAATGGGACCCACGGTTTTAAATGGAGCCATATTCAATTCTCCCAAGGTTTTCCTTGCTTTTAAATGAGGTTATCAACTCCCCGTGCAGCAATTAAATGTGTCAGCAAAGCTCCTACTTAGTGCTACTGAAGCACTTAATTTTCATTAAAAAGATGACATTGAGAGCAATTATCAAGGACAATCCACATTCGTGGGTATCTATATTCATAAGGACAGATTGTAACACAGAGATGCATAAATTACCTAGATCTGCTTCTGTGCTTCCTCCTAAGCTAGGCTGCAAACTGGTCGGCTCTAATCGCTTGTTCCCAGTCTCTCCACGACGGCCAGCGTGCAGGACTGTTCTCCGTGCGTTCACACCACCCCCGTCCCTGGAGGCTGAGATGAGTCCCTGGGGTCTGATACTGATGATTTTCCATCATGCACTCATTTCCTCCATCATAACCCGTTTAACACATCCCTTAATTGAAAGAGGCAGCTTGATTCTGTGCTCTGTTCCCCTTCACCGTCTCCAGTCCCATGCCTGTGAGGGTTCAAGGCTACTGACAACAACAGCTGTGGCTGTCTGGGGCCCCTAGAGCAAGTCAGGCACTCTACAGAGAGCACGGCCCAACCTCCTTGTTGTGGCACCCCTTCAGTGCAGGAGTTACCACCCTATGGACGATGGCTAAACGGAGGGTCAGAGGGGAACAAATATCATTTTCTCCAAGGTCACTTGCCTAGAAAGTGACTGAGTCAGGATTTGAACCCAAGTCCAGCCCTGCTCAAAGCTCCTTGCCATTTCTCTGCTGTGCCAGGAGAGCTTCCCAAATTGTATACTTAACGATTGGATCTCAATATTTATTTTAATCTAACACTATTGAAAAATTATTTTGCCAGATACAGTGGCCCACGCCTGTAATCCCAGCACTTTGGGAGGCCCAGGTGGGTGGATCACGAGGTCAGGAGTTCAAGACCAGCCTGGCCAATATGATGAAACCTTGTCTGTACTAAAAGTACAAAAATAAGCTGAGTGTGGTGGTGCGCACCTGTAATCCCAGCTACTCGGGAGGCTGAGGCAGAAAAATCACTTGAACCCGGGAGGTGGAGGTTGCAGTGAGCCAAGATCGCACCACTATACTCCAGCCTGGGTGACAGAGCCAGACTCTGTCCCAAAAAAAAAAAAAAAAAAAAAGGAGAGTTTTGATGGCTAGATAATATTCCCTTTTCTGGGTCAGCCGTGGAGTTGATATAATTTCCATGACTTGAGCCCCTCTGTGGGTTGTCCTAGGTAAGCTGTTTCTCATTCATCCTGTGTGCATTTATGGAGCACCTATGAATGCCCCACTGGGAGCAAGGACTCTGCAGTCTGATGAGCTCAGCCCTATCTGGTGCCCCCTCCCTCCAGCCACCCCCTGAATCTCTGGAGTTGGTCTTCAGGTCACACGGCATCCACTGGAAGCTTCCAGGTGCTTGTCCTGCCCTGCCCTGTTGGGATGCAGAGAGGGGGCCGTCAAGGGAGAAGGTTAAATGGATTCCACATGTCCAGAGACTTCTAGGATTCGGGGGAAATAGGTTTTGGGGGAGGGAGGACAGTACAGTGTGACTCTCGAGTCAGACACTCCTGGGGTCGGCCCCGAGCTGCCCTTCACCACCGTTCTGTATCCTTGGACAACCCTCTACCCTCCGTCTTCTCATCTGTGGGGTATCCCGCAAAGATGAATGACGTTTGCACTCCATGCCAAGTCTACACAGCATCCTGAGCAGAGGAAGGTGTCACAGTGCCTGTTTCTCAGAGTTCTCTAGAGTGAGAGGTGGACCCCACAAAAGATGAGGGAAGCATGGCTTGGTACTGTCAAGACAGTCAACTTCTGATAAAAATGGAATATTCAATATGTCTCTGCCGTGGACACAAATGCATTGCCTGGAGCTATGGCAGCTATCTTGGGATCACAAGGCAACAAGCCTGAGGAGAACACTAAAATCAAGGAAACATCATGCTAAGACAGGCTGAGTGGAGGCTAGACCAATCCTAGGGCTGTGCTGAAATAACTGAGCACCAGAACAGACTCCAGCCACCACCAACCTCCAGATCTCTTGTTACAGAAGAAAAATGAATGGCAGTTATTAAGCCACTGTGGCTTGTGCTCTCTGATATCTGTCGCAGGAGTGTTCCTAGCTATTTCCATGTCACTGTTTGCCCTCAGCTTGTTCTCTCCTGGGTCTCAGAGGAAGAGGAACCCCTGGGAAATTGGTGGGCTGAGTGAGGGAGTGGACTCATGCCTTTTAGGACCATCTCAACACAGCAGCCAAGCCTGTGTCATCCAGAGAAAGACCTTCTACCCCACGCCCCACTCCACCCCCACACGGCCACCCAAATGCTCCCAGTGCCAGAGACTGAGAAGCACAGAGGAAAACTGAAAGCTTTATCCATATTCAGCCTTGATTCCACAGCTCCGCAGTGTCAGGCTCCATGCCAAGTCATGGGATCCTCACAGCAACCATTGCACAGATGAGAAGACGGAGGGCAAAGGGTTGTCCAAGGATACAGAACGGTGGTGAAGGGCAGCTCGGGGCCGACCCCAGGAGTGTCTGACTCCAGGGTCACACTGTGCTGTCCTCCCTCCTCCAAAACCTATTTCCCCGAAACCCTAGAAGCCTCTGGGCATGTGGAATCCATTGCTCCTTCTCCCTCGAAGGCCCGCTCTCTGCACCCCAACAGGGTAGGGCAGGAAGCACCTGGAAGCTTCCAGTGGATGCCATGTGACCTGAAGACCAACTGCAGAGATTCAGGAGGTGGCTGGAGGGAGGGGGCACCAGATAGGGCTGAGCTCATCAGACTGCAGAGTCCTTGCTCCCAGCGGGGCATTCATAGGTGCCCCATAAACGCACACAGGATAGAATGAGAAACAGCTTATCACTGTCCATGTGACCTCCTAGGACAACTCACAGGGGGGCTCAAGTCATGGAAATTATATATACTCCATGGGAGACCCAGAAAAGGGTTATATAGCCATCAAAACTCTCCTATTTTCAAAGAGCATTTTAAGATACAGGAAAAATAATTTTTCAATAGTGTTAGATTAAAATAAAAATTGAGATCCAATCGTAAGTATACAATATTATTCCAATTTTGTGCTATTTAGACTTAATATATATAGAAAAGGATGCAAAAGATAAAAAAAGAAAATCTTAACTGCAGCCATCTTTTGAGATAGGATCAAGGACCAATTTTGATTGCATTTTTATATTCCTTTGTATTTCTCTGAATTTTCCAAACTCTCTATCATGAGCATGGAGTACTTTAAATTAGAAAAAAATACTTGTTGTAATATAACCGCAAGGGGCAGGGGAGCTTGGCGCGGCCGCATGGCTGGTGCCGCCTCACTTTCCTGACAATGCGTTCACTTAGGAACCTGTTCTTAACCCTCCTTGCCTCTAGCTTCATCCTAGGCTGCAGGACAGACAGACGGACCTGCCCAGCATGCAGTTTCCCAGGGGCAGCCGTGTGTGTGCGCGTTAGGACCCATTGTTTCAATACATGCCCTAGGGTGTTCTGGAATTCCATAGCTGTGCCTTAGGACCTGACGCTTCAAAGAACAATTTTAATTGAAATGGTAATGATGAAATTTCTTCTCCCTGAAGATGGCCTGTGCATTGTAAACACCGCGTCCCCTTGTCTGGAAGCTGCCCCGTAGGAAACGGTTGGACACAAATCCTTGCTAATGAGAGCTGGCCCCTGCCTGGGACCCTCCGGCTCCCGTCTGCAGACACCAAGCTGCCGCCAGAACCAAAGGCCTTGCCAAGGTGCCTTTTTCTGGACACGCCGGCAGGGTATTGTCACCCTGGCTGCACCCAGAAGTGACTCTCGCATCTGAGTACCAGCCAGGAAGCCGTTCTCCACGCAACCTGGCACCATCCGCTCGCCTCCAAGAAACCCAGCCAAGATATTTTTACGGTGGGGATGCGGTTGAAGGCATTTGTAGTTTTCCCACTGGGAAATCTGTGGTCGGTGCCGCCTCTTGAGGGGCCTCAGAGCCTCAGGGCCGAAAGGACAGACAGGAAAAGAAGATCCCAGGCCCAGTCCTCTGCCTCCAGGGCCTCCCAGGCAGGAGGAGTCCACAACAGAGGCTCCTTCACTGCTTCAAAGGGTAAGAATTCAGGGCAAGGAAACTAAAGCAGAGAGAGAGGCTAGTAGGAGGGCCATATGCCCCCGGGGGATGTCCCAACAGAGATTAGAGACCTCCCTTCGAAAAATCTCACTGCTCCTCTGAGATGTGTGAGCTCCGGGCCCTGCCTGCACTTTCCTGGGAGAGGGAGCATGGGTGCGGTGGACAGACGGCTCCAGCCTTTAGCTTCCGCTTAGAATCATCCGCTGCAGAGAGCCGCCCTCAGAGGGGACCAGGGAACATCCCTGAGTGGGCACCCAGGGTGGGGACAGGTCTGTCCTCCAGGGACATCTGAACTTAACCCAATAAGACATCTTCCCAGGAAGCCTTCTGTGCTTCTCTACAAAATTAAACTCCCGAGTCACTCCCACACTCAACCAATCCTAGAAGGAAACTTTCACACCCCCCATGCTGCCAGGCGTCCCAGGGCTGATGGGGCTGAGCCTGCTGCCCTGATAAGACAGAAGACTCCAGGGATCCCTGGCAGCCGGTGGGAAAGGAAGGGGCCCATCAGGTCCCAAAGGTAGTTTTTGGCCACATTGGTACCACGCGGGTAACAATTCCTGTCCTATAACTCGGTTTCCCCACTGGGCATTTAAAGTTCCTGTAGTGGACCTGGCCTGTAGGAAGCATTCAATAGACAGAAGCCTCAAGGATGGCTGTCACCAGCCTAAGGCCGCTCACCCTCCAGCACCGTGCGTCACACACCTACTCCAGGCAGTCGTCCACGCTTGCATGTATTCATTCAACAAACAAGTGGCGGACTCATTCCGTGCCTGGCTCTGTGCCAGGGGACAGTAGTGAGAAAGAGCAGATGCGGTCTGGCTCCCACAATGGGACCCTGGAGCCCCGGCTCCCATCTTCTCCAGCACCGCCGTTCCCTCCGTGGCTCCTTCCTGTCTTCCTAGATCCTGAGAACCCCACTCAGAGCCCAGGGGCAGGACGGCAGTGCAGGAAGACTCCTCTGTCTCTAGGTTCTGACCCACAGGATTCGTGAAGGGAATCCTGAAGGCACAGTGACAGGTCACTGAAGGAGGAACGCTCATGGGCAAGGGGATGTGTCAGTGCCCCTGAGAGAAACCATGGGAGCAGCCGCCTGGTGTGGGTCAGGAGACGGAGCTCTAGTCCTGACATCGCTGACGATTAGACTTGAGGCCCTCATCATGCCCCTTCTCTGAGCCTCAGTTTTACCACCTATAAAGTGAGAGACAGTGCTGGACAGACGGACACTCAGCCCTTTCCAGGCCAGACCCTCTGAAAGCCACACAGGCAGGTGGGGGCAGGGGTTTCTCCCAGGAGTTTAAGGAGAAGCACTCCAAAAAAGTGAGCCACCAAGAGCGGTGTCCAAGATTTATTTCTTAAGCAGAATCCCTTTTAATTCCTCTATGAAAATGAGTGGCTCTCTGCATTCCAGGCTGTGCCAGGCTGTCCTATCCATCAGCCGGCTGTGCTGCACCAGTGCCACCCAGCACTAATTCACAGGAGGGGAGCTTAGGGCAGCCACTCTGCAGGGTGATCCATCAAGGTTCCCTCCTGTACCAGAGCTCTTGGCAGCCGGCGGGCACCACAGCAGTGGCAGGAGGCCCAAGTGATGAATGGCCCGCAGACCATACCCCACACCCCTCTACCCCACTTAGAGCTGGGCTTGACAGGACCCCATCCCACTGTGGCTTTCCAGCTGTCCCCAACACTGAGGACTGGGCTGTGGACTCCAGGCCTGCACAGAGCCAGGTGGGAACACACCTGCACATCCACAGGGCTGTCAGGAAGCAGCTGAGGCTGGAGCCGAGAGCACAGGAAACATCAGGAGAGGAGGGAAGAGAAGACAGAGTGCATCATGGCAGGCCTGCCAGGCCCTTAGAAGGATCTGGCTTTTGGTCCTAGGGAGATGGGACACCACTGGAGGCTTCTGAGCTGAGGAATGACGTGATCTGATTGATATTTTAGAGGGTAGCTCTGAGCCCTGCACAGAACACACCCCTGCTGGGAGGCCGGGGAGGAGTCGGTGCAGAATCCACATGAGAGGTAGGATGGTGTAGACAAGGAGGCAGCACTGCTTTTTGGAGGCAGCGTTGGTCAGGTGTACTGAACGACAGGCCATGGGGTACCCGAGAAACAGGGACGGGGTGGCTCCCAGGTGCTGGCCTAAGGAGAAAGGTGGCATTTGTTGTCATGGAAAAGGCATGAGAGAACGGGTATGAAAGAGGATGTCAAGTATGATTGATATGGTTTGGATCTGTGTCCTCACCAAATCTCACATCGAATTATAATCTCCAGTGTTGGAGGTGGGGCCAGGTGGGAGGCGACTGGATCACGGAGGCGGAAGTCTCACGAGTGGTTTAGCACCATCCTCTTGGTGCTGTTCTCGTGATAGAGTTCTCATGAGATCTGGTTGTTTAAAAGTGTGTAGCACCTATGTCCCTCTCTCTTGCTCCTCCTCTGGTCATGTAAGATGAGCCTGCTTCCCTTTAGCCTTCCGCCATGATTGTAAGTTTCCTGAGGCCTTCCAAGAAGCTGAGCAGATGCTAGCATCATGCTTCCTGTGTAGCCTGTAGAACCATCATCTACTTAAACCTCTCTTCTTTATAAATTACCCAGTCTCAGGTATTTCTTTATAGCAGAATGAGAATGGACTAATACAGAAAATTGGTACCAGGAATGGGGCATTGCTATAAAGATACCCAAATATGTGGAAGCAGCTTTGGAACTGGGTAACAGACACACAGACAGAGGTTGGAAGAATGTGGAGAGATCAGAAAAAGATAGGAAGATGAGGGAAAATTTGGAATTTTCTAGATAATTATTTAATGATTGTGACCAAAATGCTGATAGTGATATGGAAAGTGAAGTCCAGACTGAGGAGGTCTCAGATGGAAATTAGGAACTTATTGGGAACTAGAGTAAAGGTCACTTTTGCTATGCTTTAGCAAAGAGCCTGGCTGCATTATGCACCTGCTCGAGGTATCTGTAGAACTTTGAACTTGAGAGTGACTATTTAGGGTATCTGATGAAAGAAATGTCTAAGCAGCAAAGAGTTCAAGATATATGCTGGCTGCTTCTAACAGCCTATGTTCATTTGCTTGAGCAAAGAAATGACCTAACCCTGGAACATATTTTTAAAAGAGAAGCAAAGCATAAAAGTTTGGAAAATTTGCAGCCTGGCCATGTGGTAGGAAAGAAAAACTTGTTTTCAAAGGAGGAACTCCAGCAGGCTGCAGAAATTTGCCTAAGTAAAAAGAAGACAAGGGCTGATAGCCAAGACAATGGGGGAAGGGCCTCGAAGCCACTTCAGAGACCTTCATGGCTCACCCTGTGCAGCCTTGGGACACTGCTTTCTGAATTCCAGATACTCCAGCTCCAGCTATGGCTAAAAGGGGCCCAGGTACAGCTCATGTTGCTGCTTCAGAGGATGCAAACTGTAGGCCCTGGCAGCTTTGACATGGTGTTAAACCTGCAGTTGCACAGAGTGCAAGAGTTGAATCTTGGGAACCTCCACCAAGATTTCAGAGATGTATGGAAAAGCCTGGATGCCCAGACAGAAGCCTGCTGTAGGGGTAGAACCCTCATAGAGAACCTCTACTAGGGCAGTGCAGAGGGGAAGTATACAGTTAGAGGCCCCACACAGAGTCTCCACTAGGGCACAGCCTAGTGGAACTGCGGGAAGGGGAGCTACCATCCTCCAGACTCCAGAATGGTAGAGCCACCAACAGCTTGCACCATGCACCTAGAAAAGCTGTAGGCACTCAACGCTAGCCCTTGAGGGCAGCTGCAGTGGCTAAATCCTGCAAAGCCACAGAGGTGAAGCTGCCCAAGGCCTTGGGAGCTCATCCCTTGCATTGATGTGGCCTGGATGTGAGACACTGAGTCAAATGAGATTATTTTGGAGCTTTAAGGTTTAATGACTGCCCTGCGGGGTTTCGGACTTGATTGGGGCCTGTAGTCCCTCTATTTTGGCTGATTTCTTCCTTTTGGAATGAGAGTATTTACCCAATGTGATTTCTTCCTTTTGGAATGAGAGTATTTACCCAATGTCTGTACCCCACCCCCCTCATTGTATATTGGGAGTAACTAACTTGTTTTTTTTATTTTACAGGCTCGTAGGTGGCAGGGACTAGTCTTGTCTCAGATGAGATTTTGGACTTTGGACTTTTGAGTTAATGCTGGAATGAGTTAAGACTTTGGGGAAGGCATTATTGTATTTTGCAATGTGAGAAGGTCATGAGATTTGGAATGGGTCAGGAGTGGAATTATATGGTTTGAATCTGTGTCCCCACAAAATCTCATGTCCAACTGTAATATCCAATGTTGGGGGTGGAGCCTGGTGGGAGTGATTGGGTCATGGGGCTGCATCCTTCATGAATGGTTTAGCACCATCACCTTGGTGCTGTTCTCATGTTAGAGTTATCACACTATCTAGTTATTTAAAAGTGTGTAGCACCTGCCTTCTCTCTCTCTTGCTCCTGCTCCAGCCATGTCAGACAAGCCTGCTTCCCCTTCATCTTCCTCCCTGATTGTAAGTCTCCTGAGGACTCCCTAGAAATCAAGTATATGCCAGCATCATGTTTCCTGTACAGCCTGTGAAACCATAAGCCAATTAAACCTATTTTCTTTATAAATTACCCAGCCCCAGGTATTTCTTCACAGAAGCATGAGAATGGAATAATACAGTAGGTTAGTGCACACGCTGATTTGAGTATATGATTTGAAACTCTGCTGCAGGGTAATAATGAGAAGCATACCGACTCTTAGCTCACATTATTATTATTACTTAAAAATTTCTACAGACAAAACATCAGTTGTGGCCTCTGCTCTAGCAAGATTATTCCCACCTCTTTTCCCGTGGGGTGTCACTGCTGTGAGGTCTCTGGTAGCCTGTGGAGCACATGGTTGGGTAGCCAAGTCAAAGTTCAAGAGAGTTCTGGGCTGGACGTTCCATTTAGGTGTCATTCCACATAGATGCTATTTTGAACCATAAATCAATATCATAACCAAGTGCTCAAGTGTAAATAGAGACCCGAGGAGTGAGCCCAGGGGTCTGAAAAATTAGGAGGAACAGCATAGGGGACTGAGAAGGAGTCAATAAAGTGAGAGGAAACCCAGAAAAGCTTGACGTCTAAGCGGTATTGCGAGTGACCAAATAGCTCATATGAACCTTCATAGTCCTATGAACAGTGGAAATAATAATTGGATACATAGCATCATGGGTGTCAGTAGTGGTCTTGAGAAGTCTGTTCTGGTGACATTGTAGGGACAAAAGTCTGATTTGAGATGACTAAAGAGAGAATAGGAAAGAAACAGGAGACATCAAGTCTGGACAACAAAGAGCAGATAATTGGAGTTGAAGTCGGAGAGGAATGCGTGGTCAGATATTTCTGTTTCTAAGGTGAGAGATACTTAGCACAATGGTTTATTACAGGGAAAAATTGATGAACAGGAGAGAGAAGATGGGACCATTGAAGCAACAGTCTTGAGTAGGCAAGAAAGGATAAGATTTGTGGATACATTGAGAGGTTGCCCTTAGTAGGCACACGAAGAAGGGAAAGAAGTGGAGTGATGAAGCACAGATGCAGGAAGATGGGGTGAGCTGGCAGCTCAGAGAGCTCCCTTCTTTTTGCTGCTGCTCATAGGCAAAGAGACTGTCTGCACAGTGTTGGGGAGGTATTAAAGGTTTGCAGAGGAGACGGGATGAATCTAGGAGATGCTAGAAAGCATGGATTAAATGAGTATAGTGTGACTATGGGCAGAAGCAAGGGGCCATGGGAAGTTAGTGCTCATGAACTTCAAATAGGACTAATCAGCGTACAAGTGGGTGAGTTATTCTTCAGCCATGGTCAGCTGTGCAGGTAAAGGCTTGGAGACAGGGAGAGAGGGAGAGCTGGACTTAACCAGCACTGAGGTGGAGAGTGCCAGAACAGCAAGATGAAGTGAAGAGCATTACAGAATTTGAGTACACATGCAGAGGAGCTGTTATAACAAAGGACCCTGAGTAAGGAGGCAAGAAAAAGCACAGGTAAGGGAGGTGAGTGTACAGGTGGAAGCACTAATGCACTGCAGGTCCTGGTGGGGCTGAAGATGGTTGGAGTCCAGGTATGAGAGGGGTCAGCTGGATAGACCAGAGTTTGTAGTTGGAGTGTGAGAATGCTTGAACTCTATGTTATGGGGAGACATTGCAATTATTGGTAAGATAAGGTCCAGGGCTTCAAAATGGGAGTAACTGTTTGAGGTATCGTTCCATTTATCTATTGCTGTATAACAAGCCACTCCAAAACTTAGTAGCTTAAAAACAACAAGTCATTATTGTATTTCACAATTCTGTGAGTTGACTGGCCTGACGAGGCTGTTCTCACCTGGGGTCTCTCGGCCGATTGCAGCATATAATGATGGGGGCTGAAGTCAACCAGAGGCCAACATGTTGGCACCCAAGAGGCTCACTCCTATGGCTGGCAGTTGATGGTGGCTGGCAGTTAGGGGCTCAGCTGGAGCCCCTTAGTGATGTGCCTGCACTTGACCTCTCCATGAGGCCTGGGCTTCTCAGGAAATAGCAGCAAGTTTCTGAGGAGAGTGCATTCCAGAAGACCCAAGCAGAAGTTTCTAGGCTTCTTATGGCCTATCTGTGAAGGTCTCAGAACACCACTTCCACCATTTTCTCTTAACCAAGAAAGTCACTGAGATCATTCCAGATTCAAGGGAGCAGGATTAGGCTCCACTTCTTCATGCAAAGAGCATGCAATGGAAGGAATGAGTGGTGGTCATCGTTGAAGACCACACGGTCTTCCTCTGACCCTCCCTTCCTTGTGCTGAGAGTTAAAGTGCTGTATAACAATGCCCTTACTATTCTTAGAAGCTATTTAAGAAGGTCTATGAGGCATGCCTTTAAATATTTCTGAGGTTTTGACAAAAGGCCACACTCTTGGCTTACCTTGAATCCATTTCTTATTTTGAGAATCTTCCTTTGAGAGTCTTGCCAGCTAGAAAGAATGTTCATCTCTCTGTACTAGTACCTTACTAGATGTGGCAAAAATAAACCAGTTTTCACTTTCAACATTCTATCTGGAATCTCCTAAGCCATGTCAACCTAAAATAATCAAAAGGTCAGAATCTAGTTTAAAGAAATTTTTTTCAAAAACAAAGTATGTGGATGGCCCATGCAGGAAGCACAGATTCTTAAGAATGAAAGTCAGTGTTCTGAAGTGTAGATGTTTGGGATCATTTATATACACAAAGTTTAGGGAAGCTTAACAGAATTTCAACATCTTTCTAAATAAGGCTTCATGCATGGTTGCAACGATCTCATTTGCCAAGGTGGTCTTTTTCTTTCAGGAAAGCTATATTTATCACTCCACACTGACAATGTAACAGTCATGGGGTCTTTCACACCATCTGGTCTGAGCTAGATACAGGACAATAAAGAGGCAGTTAATCTATAACAAAGATCAGTGATTGGAATGGGAGCTGGAGGGAAGTCTGGTCTCTAGTCTCTCCTAGTCATTTACAGAACAAGAACAATGAGGAAGACAATTAAGCTATAGTCTAAGAAACAAAATTGCAAATATGCCACTGACTCAGTCTCCAGAGCTTACCTTTCCCCTTGGCATAATAAATTTAGAGGGTCCTGAAATTTTGTTTTATTTTACAGCCAAGTCCAACAGTTCGTTATGTATATTTTCTATTTTTCAGGTGACAATGTCAAACTTTTCAGCAGTACATGGCAGTGGTCTCCTTCTGCAGCCTCTGATAACAACTCCCTCACTGTTTTGCAAGCCTTTCCTCACAGTTCCTCGGGCTCTCTGCTGGAGGCATTAGAGGTTTGTGGAGACAATGGGATGAATCTAGAAGGGTACTAGAGAGACTAGACTAAAGTATAGTATGATTGTGAGCAGAAGAGTCCCAAACCCGGTTCCACATGTTTTAGGGTTTTGTTCCAGCAGCACTCCATTTCCAGGTGCCAACTTCTGTTCGGATTTTCTATTGCTGAATGACAAACCAAGGAAAAATTTAGTGGCTTAAAACTACTTATTATTATCTTTCACATTTCTGTGGATTGACTAGGCTCAACTGGGTGATTCTTGCTTAGGGTTTCCCATATGCTAGTGGTCAGATAGCAACTGGGATTGATTTCATATGAAGGCTCAACTATGTTGGATGACCCACATGGCAGCCATAGATACTGCTGGCTGGGAGCCCAGCTGGAGATGCAACAGAAGGTCCTCACTTGGTCTCTCCATGTGGCTTGAGCTTCTCCCAGAATGGAGGCTGCCTTCTGAGAAGAGTCATCCTGCTTTTTATTCATCAAGCAAATCACTGGGACTAGGATTCAAGGGGCAGGGAATTCAACTTCATCTCCTGATGTGAGGGGCAGCATGCTCATCCAGGGAGAGAAGCAATGGATGGTGGCATCTGTGGAGACTCTGTCCCAGATAGGATGGAGGAAAGGTCATTAGATGAGTGGAGCCCAAGGAACTGAGAGGCTGGGGTGTTGAAAGGAATATCTACATGGATATTGAATACAACAAAAATGAAGAGAAGCAGTGATGTTGGTGAGAGCAGAGAGCACATCCTTAAAGGATATATGGAGTGGCCTTGGGGTTGGTAGATCTCTGCAACAAGGACTGGGAGGGCCAGATGAGTGTCAAAGCTGAAAGCTTAGGTGAGGAGGGAGAAGGATGATCAGAAGAGAATGCCTGCCTCCAGGCCTGTGTCCTGTGGCAGAGGAAAGAGTTTCCATTTGTGGGACAGACAGGGGAAGGCTAGGGCTAGGTTTTGGTTAGTAAATACAATTAGGAGAGCATTACAAGAAGCGACTGAGGACACAGGAACTTTGCCAACAATTGACCTTGGTTTCTGTCAATGGAAGGATGTCAGGCATTGGGGAAAAGTGGGAAAAGGCATCAGGGCAGGGATAGACAGGAGATTCCTGACCTTCCTGTAGTCATGGGCATGAGCAGGGATAAGGAGCAGGGTGAGATTAGTCTCTTGGTTTCAGGGAAAATGATGGTGGAGAGATGGTGAGTGTTGAGAGGGAAGGAGAGGCAGAGTTTTGTTCAGAAGACTGGGCCCTTCTTTGCTCTTTTGGAGGGTGGCATAAATCCAGGGAAGAGGTGGCCTTATGCAGGAGCTTTCTCTCCTCTTGCTCAACAATGCTATCTTGTGTTATTCCACTGTGGCCCATGCTTGCTTGTCTCAGCTGCCCAGTGAGATATTAAGCTTCCCCTGCCATCCTCATAATGACCAGATGAATATCCTGCATGGAGCAGGCACTGCAGAAACATCAGCTGGATGGATGTGTCCCTGGGATGCCCTCAGTGAGTTCCGCTGGGAAGCAGACCTCTTTGTGAACTACAGGACGTTCCAGGGAACAGAAGCCTGTGCCAACGTTGAAAAATGGAATCCACTGAAAGAAAGACCAACCAATCTTATGAATAATCCCATTCAGAGGCAGGCATTCTGCAAGTCTCTTTGCTCTCTGGTTCCAAAGCTCATGGGTTTTGGAGAAAAGAAAACTCACTCTCTGAGAACGATGGCAGCAGCTGGGCACACTGGATGTTTGGCATAGTTCAGGACAACTTCTAGACGTTTCTCCCACCCTGGGATGCTTCATAATGTTTAAAGGATGGACTCCATGGTGCCACCAAATTCTCTGTAAACTCCCATCTCTAGAGAAGGACACATGGGGGTAGAGCAACTTGTTAACCATAAAGGATGGTTTGTCCTTGTGGTCAGGAGCACAGACTCCCTGAGTCAGTCCCAGCCCAGTGCCATTTCACATGTGTGTGACTTTGGATCAGAACCTTAGCATCCGTGCCTCAGTTTATTCACCTGAAGAATAGGGATGTGATGGTAGCACCAGCCCCAAGGTTCTTGTAAGTTAATATTTGTCAAATGTTTAGCATCAGAGTGTTATAGACGGAATACTTATATCTCCCCAAAATTCACATGTTGAAGCTGCACCCCCTCAATGTGATAGTATTAGGAGGTGGAGTCTTTGGGAGGTAAATAGTTAATGAGGTAATTGGATGATGTTGTGAGGGTGGAGCCCCCAAGATGAGATTAGTGCCCTTATAAGATGATATAAAGTCTAGAGCTTGCTCTCCACCACATGAGAACACAGAAAAAAGGCAGCCGTCTGAAAGCCAGGAAGAAAGCCCTCACCAGGAACTAAATCCGCTGGCAATTTAATCTTGGACTTGCAGTCTCAAAACTGTAAGAAGGAAATATATGTTGTTTAAGCCACCCAGGGTGTGGTATTTTGTTGTTTTGGCAGCCAGAACAGACGACAGAAAGGTTTGTGACTGTAACTAGCTGAGAAACTGAGCCAAGTAAGGTCAGATTTTACAGGGGAGGGGACCCAGGATTGTTTGGGCTTGCGGCTGACCTTGGAACAGGGACACAACCTGCAGGGGGTTGTTGTGAGAGTTCTTGAGACAGTCCTCAGGCATCTGGTCTGGCAGGATCTGCACCAGCATTCCTGCATCCACCTGCTGCAGAAATTGCCAAAGGATCCCACAAGATCTATGTTCTTGGATCATAGCTGATGCACGTTCTTTCTTTAGGAAATAAATTCAGGAATAATTTCTCCTTGTTTTTGGACTTGTCAAAATCAGGGATGACTCCACTCTTTGACCTAGGACTTTCTTTGGTTTATTTGCTTTAATCACACAGCAAAAGCCATCCATTCAACAGATGGTTATTGAGTGACCGCTATGCACCAGGCACTTTTGCAGGCTTGAAGATACAGCCCAAGACAGCAGGACAAGCTCCCTCCCCGCGGAAGAGAAACAGAAAATTAATGCATAAACAAACGATTGCCTTCAGCCACTTCAGGAAAAGGTCCCCATTGGGAAGAGACAAGGCTGAGTTGGAGAAAGGAGCTCGCTGGAAGGGCCCCTTTCTGTAAGAGGCTGAGACAAGGCTCTGAGAAGAGGGGGCTTCTGCAAAGGGTTGGGGGAAGAGTGTTTTAGGCAGAGGGAACTACCAGTCATTGCACCTTTACTGTGACTTTATTGACTCCCAAGATGACACTGGATAGCACTGGGATATTCCCTACTCTGCCTCCAGCCTCCTCCAAAGGGAGCCTTGACATGTAAGCAAGCCTGGAGCTGCTCCCTGAGACAAAGCAACTGAAGAGTGGGTTTCCTGCAACACAAAGTCCCACCCCCCAACCCCAAGCATGGTGGGACCCCGCTTCTAGGAAGGTGGTCATCTGTGCCTGACATCTTGCTGTCACTCACTCAGATGCCAAGGGGCAACATGGCCCCTGTCCTGGAATAGAAACAGAACCACATCGAGCAGGAGTCCCTACGGTCCAGCAATCTCATTGCTGGTTATATATCCAAAGAAAATAATATCAATCTGTCAAAGAGTTATCTCCACTTCCATGTTTATTGCAGCATTATTCACAATAGCCAAGATATAGAATCAACCTAAGTGTCCACCAATGAATGAATGAAGAAAATGTGGTATATTTACACAATGGAATAAAATTTAGCCATAAAAAAGAATAAAATCCTGTCATTTGTGGCAACATGGATGAACCTGGAGGACATCATGTTAAGTGAAATAAGCCAGGCACAGAAAGATAAACACCACGTGATCTCACTCATATGTGAAATCTGAAAAAGTTGATTTCATAGAGAGTAAAATAGGCATTAGCAGGGGCTGGGAGGAGTAGGAGGGAGGGGTCAAAAGGTACAAAGTTACAGTGAGATAGGAGGAATAAATTCTAGTGTTCCATTGCACAGTAGGATGACAATAGCTAACAAAAATATATTATATATTTCAAAATAGATAGAACAGAAGATTTTGAATGTTTTTACTAATTCAGGGCAGGCAAGCCCCAAAGTGGGGCTTAGCCCATGAGGATTCTTGGCTTTGCCTAGGAAAGAATTTGAGGGCAAGCTGGCGGTAGAAGAAAACAACTTTATTGAAGAGGTGTTACTGCCCTGGCAGTATTACAGCTCTGTGACTGCTCCATCAGACTAAGGCTGTCCCATAGGATAGGCAGTGTGCTGAAAGTCGCAGCTAGGGCAGTTTGCAGTCATATTTATACCTACTTTTATTTTGTTTTATTTTTATTTTTTGAGACAGTGTCTCACTCTGTCAGCCAGGCTGGAGTACAGTGGCATGATCACAGCTCACTGCAGCTTTGACCTCCCAGGCTCAAGTGACCATCCCACCTCAGCCTCTTAAGTAGCTGGGACTACAGGCGCATACCACCATGCCCAGTTCATTTTTTATATTTTTTATAGAGAAGGGGTTTCACCATGTTGCCCAGGCTGGTCTCAAACTCTTGGACTCAAGCAATCTGCCTGCCTCTGCCTCCAAAGTGCTGGGATTACAAGCATAAGCCACCACAAATGGCCCTACTTTTAACTGCTTGTAGATTAAGGGGAGGTTTAAGCAAAAATTTATAGGGAAGGAGTAGTAACTTTTGGGTCATCGGGTCATTGCCATGGAAAGGGGTGGTAACTTCCAGGGGTTGCCATGGCAATGGTAAACTGACATGGCACACTGATGGACATGGCTTATGAAAAGATGCTTCCACCTTATCCCAGTTCTGGCTAGTCCTCAGTTTGGTCCAGTACCCAAGCCTCACCTCTGGATTCAAGTTCTGCCTCCTACCTCATTACCTCTAAGAAATGATAAACATTTGAAGTGATGAATATGCTAATTACCCTAATTTGATCATTGCATAATGTATACATGTATCAAAACGTCATACCCTATCCCTTAAACATGTACAATTATTGTGTGTCAATTAAAAATCAAATAAAACTGTTTTAAAAGTTTAAGACAGAAAAATATATATTTTTTTTTTAAATCAAGTGTCCTAACCAAAAGGGAGAAAGCAGGAGTTTGGGGGAGCATTGGCCTTTGTCTCCCTACAAGAGCTTATTCTCGAGAGAAGGCTCAAAGTACTTGCTGTGATGCATCTCAGAGCCTACCAATTCCACCCAGAACTCAACAAATGAAAAAACTGTCACATGGTGTGTATGTCAGAGTCCAAGGACCCATAGGGGATTTGATTCAGTGCTCACCAGATCAAACATTGAAGCAGGCACCTCACTAGTCTTTAGCAAAACGAGTTGGCTCAGCTCATAGATTCTTGCCCAAAGGGGTCATCTTAAATTGTTTTCTTGATATGCATGTGTTGAACCATCCTTGCATCCCTGGGATGAATCCCACTTTATCATGGTAAATGACCTTTTTAATGTACTATTGGATTCAGTTTGCTAGTATTTTGTTGAGAATTTTTGCATCTATGTTCATTACAAAGATTGGCTGGTGATTTTCTCTTTTTATTGTGACCTTGTCTGGTTTTGGTGGCAGGGTAATGCTGGCCTTGAAGAATGAGTTAGGAAGAATTCCTTCCTCTTCAAACTTTTTGGAATAGTATGAGAAAAATTGGTTTTAGTTCTTTAAAAGTTTGGCAGAATTCAGCAGTGAAGGCATCTGGTCCTGGGATTTTCTTTGTCAGGAGACTTTTTGTTATTGATTCCATCTGATTACTTGATATTGGTCTGTTCAGATTTTCTGTTTCTCCTTAGTTCAATCTTGGTAGGTTATACATGTCCAGAAGTGGATCCATTTCCTTTATGTTTTTCAATTTGTTAGCCTATAGCTGTTCATTATACACTCTTATGATCTCCTGTACTTCTGGGATGTCAGTTGTAATGTCTCCATTTTTGTTTCTGACTTTATTTATTTGGATCCTCTCTCTTTTTTTCTTAGTCTAGCTAAAGTTTTGTTGATTTTGTTCATCTTTTCAAAGAGTCAACTTTTCATTTCGTTGATCTTTTATATTGCTTTTTAGTCTCAGTTTTGTTTAGCTTGGCCATGATTTTATTATTTTTTTTCCTCCACTAGTTTGGGATTTAGTTTGTTCTTGCTTTTCTAGTTTTTAAGGTGCATCACTGTGTTGTTAATTTGAAGATTTTCTACTTTTCTGATGTAGGCACTTATTGCTATAAACTTTCTTCTCAGCACTGCTTTCACTATATCTCATAGGTTTTTGTATGTTGTGTTTCTATTTTCACTTGTTTCAAGAAATTTTTTTACTTCCTTCTTAATTTTTTCATTCACCCAATCGTTGATCAGGAGCATGTTGTTTAATTTCCATGTATTTATAGGGTTTCCAAAGTTCCACTTATTATTGTTTTCTAGTTTTATTTCATTATCATCTGAAAAGATATTTGATATGATTTTTCTTTTTTTTAGAATTTGTTGAGAATTGTGTTGTGGTGTAATATATGGTCTATTCTGGAGAATGTTCCATGTGCTAATGAGAAAAATGTGTATTCTGTGGCTGTTGGATTAAATGTTCTATAAATATCTGTTAGGTCTGTTTGATCTACAGTGAAGTTTAAGTCTGATGTTTCTTTGTTGATTTTCAGTTTAGGTGATCTGCCCAATGCTGAGAGTGGGGTAAACTCCCCTAACATTATCGTATTTTGGTCTATTTCTTTCTTTAGCTCTAATCATGTTTGCTTTACATGTCTGGTTGCTCCAGTGTTGGGTGCATATATATTTACAATTGTTATGTTCTCTTGCTGAGTTGATCCCTTTATCATAATGTAATGACCTTCTTTGTCTCTGTGTTTTTAGACTTGTAGTCTATTTTATCTGATATAAATATAGCTATTCTTGCTTGCTTTGGGCTTCCATTTGCATGGAATATCTTTTCTTCATCCCTTCACTTTCAGTCTATGTGTATCTTTACAGGTGAAGTGAGTTTCTACAGTGAAAAGTACAAAAGATTGATGAAAGAAAATACCAAAAAATGGAAAGACATCTTGTTTTCATGGATTGAAAGAATTAGTATTGTTAAAATGACCATACCCAAAGTGATCTACAGACTCAATACAATTTCTATTGAAATACCAATCACACTCTTCACAGAACTAGAAAAACAGTTCTAAAATTCATACGGAGCCACAAAAGACCACAAATAGCCAAAAAAATTCTGAGCAAAAAGAACAAAGCTGGAGACATCACACTACTTGACTTCAAAATATACTACAATGCCATAGTAACTGAAACAGCATGGTACTGGTATAAAAACAGAGACATAGTCCAACTGAACAAAATAGAGAACCCAGAAACAAACCCACATATTTGTAGCCAACTGATTTTCAACAAAGTCACCAAGAACATGCACTGGAGACAGGACATCTTCTTCAATAAATGGTTCTGGTAAAACCATATATACATATGTAGAAGTATGAAACTAGACCCCTATCTCTCATCATATACAAACATTGACTCAAAATGGAATAAAGACTTAAATGTAAGTATAAAATTAATAAAAGAAAACCTGAAAAACACATTGATCTATGCAAAGATTTTATAGGTAAGACTTCAAAAGTACAGGCAACAAAAGCAGAAAAAGACAAATGGGATTATATCAAACTAAAAAGCTTCTGCACAGCAAAGGAAGCAATCAAGAGAGGGAAGAGACAACCTACAGAATGGGAGAACATGTTTGCAAACTATTCATCCAACAAGGGATTAATATCCAAAATATATAAGGAACTCAAACAACTCAACAGCACAAAAAGCAAATAATCAGATTTTAAAATGGGCAAAGGATCTGAATAGATATTTCTCAGAAGAAGGCATACAAATGAGAAACAGCATATTTTTTAAATGCTCAACATCACTGATCATCAGGGAAATGCAAATCAAAACCACAATAAAATATTATCTCACCTTAGTTAGAATGGCTATTATAGAAAAGACAAAAAATAACAAATGTTGGCAAAAATGTGGAGAAAAGGGAACTCTTATACACTGTTGGTGGAAATGCAAATTAGTACAGCCATTATGGAAAACAGTATGGAGGTTTCTCAAAAAACTAAAAATAGAATTACTGTATGATCCAACAATACCACTACTAGGTATTTCTCCAAAAGGAAGGAAACTAGTATATCAAGGACATATCTTCACCCCCATGTTTATTGCAGCACTATTCACAATAGCCAAGATATGATATCAACATAAGTATCCATCAACAAATGAATGGATAAAGAAAATGTGGTGTATATATACACAATGGATTACCATTCAGCCATAACAAAGAATGAAACCCTGCTGTTTCCAGCAACATGTATGAACCTGGAGGACGTTATGTTAAGTGAAATAAGTCAGGCACAGAAAGATAAGGACCACATGTTCTCACTCATATGTGGAAAATAAAGTTCATAGAAGAAGAGAGTAGAACTGTGGTTATTAGGGGCTAGGAAAGGTAGGGGAAAGGAGAGGATAGAAAGAGGTTTGTTAATGGATGCAAAATTACAGCTAGATGGGAGAAATAAGTTCCAGCTTTCTATAGCACTGTAGGGTGACTACAGTTAACAATAATTTATTGTATATTTTTGAACAGCGAGAAGAGAGGATTTTAAATCATCCCAACACAAAGAAATAATAAGTATTTGAGGTGATGGACGTGCTAATTACCCAATTTGATTATTTTACATTATATATATGTAACAAAATATCACTCTGTACCCCATAAATATGTACAATTATTATGCATCAATTAAAAATAAAAAATTTAAATTGCTTTATTAATTAACACATAACTGATTTCTCTCAGCCCCTGTTTATCACCTTCAGGATTTTGCAACAAAAGCAATAGGAAAGAGACTCTGGAAATATGACAAAGTAGGAAGCACCAGGAATCTCTCTCCCCACCCAGACAACAATTGCACTGACAGAATCAGTCTGATGTAACTATTTTGGAACTCCAGCAACTATAGAAGGCTTGCAATTTTCAGGGGAAGGCTTGCAGGGTACATTGCAGTTAATTTCAGTCCATTTCAGTTTGTAGAGCAGTAGCAGCTACCCACCCTTCATCACCAGCCCGTTGGTTGCAGGTATGCATGTGTTACTGGAACAGCTTGTACACAGCTAGTGGAAGACAGAGTGAGCAAAAAGGACTCTAAAAATATCAGGAATCTGTGCTCTGATTCCTGATTTCTGCTTCCGATCACAGAGTGCAAAGAGGCCGTGTTCATTATTGCTGCACCTCCCCTGATTAATGTAAGTCCCTCCCGCTCTGGCTGACGTGACCTCCAGGGGATTTAAAGGACTGGCACCCTTTTCTCCCTTAGTTTTCTCTTTTTCCCCTTTTGGGAGCCAGATATTACAGATTAAGTTATTTAAAAACAACTGCATATACAGGATAATTAGAAAGTGACCATGCATTCCCAGGTAAAGGCGATGGCTCTGCAAAGATCTGAGAAGACCCTAAGTTTACACCTCAGGATAATCCTTGGCACAGAGACAGCCACCAACAGTAAAAAAAATAAATAAAATAAAAAAATAATAACAAAACACCAAACCATGGGGAAGGGAGAGAATCTGATTTCCAGAGTTGCCACATTACTATGCTCAAATGTCCAGTTTTCAACCAAAAAAAAAATCAGAAGTTATATAAAGAAACAGGAAAGTACAGTCCACTCAAAGGAAAAAATAAATCAACAGATACTGCCCTTTCCTGAAAAAGAACTGAGTGCAAATCTACCAGACCATCTTTAAGAACTGTCTTAAACATACTCAAAGAATTAAAAGATGTGGAGAAAGTAAAGAAAATGATGTATGAGAGGAAATATCAATAGAGATAGGAAACCTATGCAGCCATAAAAAAGGATGAGTTCATGTCCCTTTGCAGGGACATGGATGAAGCTGGAAACCATCATTCTCAACAAACTATCACAAGGACAGAAAACCAAACACCGCATGTTCTCACTCATAGGTGGGAATTGACATGTTCTCACTCATAGGTGGGAATTGAACAATGAGAACACTTGGACACAGGGCAGGGAACATCACACACTGGGGCCTGTCAGGGGGTAGAGGGCTGGGGGAGGGATAGCATTAGGAGAAATACCTAATGCAAATGACAAGTTGATGGTTGCAGCAAACCAACATGGCACATGTATACCTATGTAACAAACACATACCCTACAACTTAAAGAACAACAATAACATAAAAAATTTAAGAAGAAAAAAAAGGAAACCTAAAAAGAAGCCAAAAAGAATTTTTGGAGCTGAAAATGCTCAAGACAGTCATGCAAAGTGAAAGGAAAATACACTAAACAGTAACTCAAAGCCACATAAAGAAATACCTACTTCAATGAAGGTAAATACATATGCAATTATAAGAGACAGTATTACTGTAACAATGTTTTGTAACTCCACTTTCTGTTTTCTAGGTAACTTAAGAGACTAATACATTTTTTAAAAATTATTAGTCCAAAAGCTAGTTTATTGTAACTTTAGTTTGTAACTCTGTTTTGTTCCCTACATAAGTTAAGGGATTAAGGCATTTAAATTAATGATTAGCTTATATTTTTAGGCACACAATGTATATAGATGTAATATTGTAACATCAACAACCAAAAGGGGTGGAGATAGATCTGTAAGGGCAGAGTTTTTGTATGTTACTGAAGTTAAACAAATAAAAGTTCAAATTAGACTATTACAACTTTAGTACGTAAAATACAATCTTTACAGTATCCACAGAAAAAACAACTGTAGAGTATACACAAAGGGAAGTAAAAAAGGAATTTAAACACTTTCCTGCAAAAAAACTCAACTAAACACAAAAGAAGATAGTGATACAGAAGAAGGGACAAAACAGCTATAAGTCATATAGAAAACTAATAGCAAAATGACATAAATAAATCCTTTCTTATCAGGAATTACTTCAAGTGTAAATGAATTAAACCCTCCAATAAAAAGACCACAGAACAGTAAAATGGATAAAAATACATCATTGAACTATATGCTGTTTACAAGAGACTTGCTTTATATCTAAAGATACAAATAGGTAGAAAGTAAAAGGATGAAAAAGATATTTCATCAAATAATAACCAAGAGAAAGCAGGAGTGGCTATAATATCAGACAAAATATACTTTAAATAAAAAAAATTACAAAAGACACAGAAGGACATCATATATTAATTAAATGTTTAATGCAGCATGTAAATATGACAATCATAAACAATGATTAACCTAATAGCAGACCACCAAAATATATAAAGCAAAAACAAATGGAACTGAAGGGGAAATAGTTCTACAGTAACAGTTGGAGACTTCAATACCTTACTCACAATAATGAATAGAATAATAAGTAGGATGGAAGGTAAGTAAGGAAACTTACTTAAGGGGCTTCAACAACAAAATACCAATTAGATCTAATGGACTTATACAGAACGTACTATCCAACAACAACAGCCTACACATTCTTTTCAAGTGCATATGGGACATTTTCCAGGGCAGGCCATATATCAGGTCAACAAAGTAAGTCTCAATAGATTTCAACAGATAAATATCATACAAAGTATTTTCTCCACCACAATGAGATGAAGTTAGAAATCATAATAGAAGTAAAACTGGAAAATTCACAAATATGTGGAAAAGTAACACACCTCTCAACAACAAATGGATCAAAGAAAAAGTACAAGGTAAGTTAGAAAACACTTAGAAAAAAACATGAAAATGAAAACACAATATACCAAAACTTGTGGGACACAGCAAAAGCAGTATGAAGGGGAAAATTTGTAGTTATAAATGCTTATATTAAAAACAAGAATGATCTCAAATCAACAACCTAACTTTACAACTTAAGGAATTAGAAAAATAAAAACAAAGTAAAGTCAAAGCTAGCAGAAGGAAGGAAATAAGATTAGAACAAAGCTAAATGGGATAGAGACTAGAAAAATAGATAAAAATCAATGAAACCACAAGATCAACAAAATTGACAAAACTTTAACTAGACAGATTAAGAAAACAAAGAGAGAAGACTCAAATTACTAAAATCAGAAATGAAAGTGGGGACATTACTATTCAATCTGCAGAAATAAAAAAGATTATAAGAGAGTACTATGAACAACTGTATGCCAACAAATTGGATAATCTGGATGAAATGAACAGATTCCTAGAAATACACAACCTACAAAGACCAAATAATGAAGAAATTGAAAATCTGAATAGATCTGAAACTAGCAAGAAAATTGAGACAGTAATCAAAATTCTCCTGACAAAGAAAAGCCCTGGAGTTGATGGCTTCACTGGTGAATTCTACCAGCCATTTGAAGAAGAGTGAATACCAATTATTCTCAAACATTTTCAAAAAATTGGAGAGGAGGGAATGCCTCTTAACTCATTCTACAGCCAGCATTACTGAAACTGGAAGTTCTAGCCAGAGAAATTAGGCATGAAAAGAAATCAAAGCCATCCAAATTGGAAAGAAAAAATAAAGTTATCTTTTTTGGGGGATGATATAATCTTATATGTAGAAAACCTGCAAAGATTCCACAAAAATCTGTTAGAAGTAATAGATGAATTCAGCAAACTTTCAGGGTACAAAGTCAACACACACAAAAATATCAGTTGCATTCCTTTATTTCAGCAACGAACAACCTGAAAAGAATTTTTTAAATCCCGCTTACAATAGCATCAAAAAGAATAAAATATTTAGGAATTAAGGAGGTGAAAGACTTGTACAATAAAAACTACAAATGCATTGCTGAAAGAAATTAAAGAAGACATAAATACAGTTGAGCTTTGAACAACACAGGTTTGAACCATACGGGGTCACTTTTATACAGGAATTTTCAAAAACAAGTACGTCAGAAAATTTGTTGAAGATTTGTGATAGTTTGAAAACACAGACAAACCACATAGCCTAGAAATATTGAAAAATACTGAAAAATTAATTAGGTATGTTATGAATGAATAAAATACATGTAGCTACTAGTCTATTTTATCATTTACTACCATAAAATATACATAAATTTATTACAAAAAGTTAAAATTTATTAAAATTTACACATACAAACAGACTTATATGGTATTTACATGGTGCTATTCACAGTTGAGAAATGTAAACAAATGTAAATATGTAATATTCAATCACGACTGCATAAAATTAACTATAATAATACTGTACTATTGTGATAGTTTTGTAGCCACCTCCTGTTGCTTTTGCAGTGAACTCAAGAGTATCCATCCACTTAAAATGTTATGTGACATTATTCATCTCTGTATGAGCAGTTTATCTCTCCAGTAAATTGCATATCTCAGTAAAGTGTGATAATTTGTGGTTCTTACTTGTTTTTCATCTCATTTAGTGCAATACTGTAAACCTTGAATAACACTATGGGACCCATACAACGTGCCACTATGTTAGAAGTGTTCCCAAGAAGCAGAGAAAAGTCATGACATTACAGGAAAATGTTGAATTGCTTGGTAATGTACTGTAGATTAAGCTCTGCAGCTACCGTTGCCCTCAATTTCAAGATAAATGAATTCAGTATAAGGACCACTGTAAATAAAGAAAAAGAAATTCATGGAGCCATCACTGCAGCTAGGCTAGAAGGAATGAAAATCTTGAACTTTTTGCAAAATATCTTTTTATCCTATTTTGAAAATGCAGCTTTTATCTGGGTGCAGGATTGCTATAAGAAAGGTATATCTATACACTATCATAAGTCAAAAAAATGAAGCCATTATACGACAACTTAAAGCAAAAGAAGGTGGAGGATCTAAACCTGCAGAATTTAATGCCAGAAAAGGATGGTTTGATAATTTTAGAAAGAGGTTTGGCTTCGAAAATGTCAAGATAACAGGAGAAGCAGTTTCTGCCAACCAAGAAGCAGCAGACAAGTTCCCAAACACCATTAAGAAAATCACTGAGGAGTAAGAATATATGCCTGAACCAATTTTTAATGCAGACAAAAGTGCCCTGTTCTGGAAAAAAAAATGCCACAAAGGACATTCATTAATAAGGAAGAGAAGTGAGTGGGAGGATTTAAGACAGGAAGGGATAGGCCATCTCTACTGTTTTGTACAAATCAAGTTGGATTTATGACCAGGTCTGCCCTTATCTATAAAGCTGCCAATCCCCCAGCCTTGAAGGGAAACATTAAACACCAGCTGCCAGTCTTTTGGTTGTACAACAAGAAGGACTGGAAAATGAGAACATTTTTTCCTGGATTGGCTTCATTGATGCTTTGTCCCTAAAGTCAGGAAATACCTTGCCAGTAGGAGACTGCCTTATAAAGTTATTTTGATATTGAACAATGCCCCTGGCCACCCAGAATCCCAGGAGTTCAACACTGAAGGCACTGGAGTGGTGTACTGCCCCCAAACAAAGTGCCTCCCCTTCAGCCTCTAGATCGGGAGGTCATAAGGATCTGTAGGCTCATTACACACAGTACTCTATGGAAAGGATTATCAATGCTACAGAAAAGAATACTAACAGAGGGAACATCATGAAGGTCTGCACCATTGAAGAGGCCAACATTGTTATACAAAAAGTTGTGAAAACTATCAAGCCTAAAACAATGAATTCTTACTGGAGACAATTGTGTCCAGATGTTGTGCCTGACATCACAAGATTCACAAGAGAGTCAATCAGGGAAATTAAGAGATTGTGGATATGGCAAAAAAAAAAAAAAGTAGGTGTAAAGGGTTTCAAGATATAGACTTGGAGAAATTCAAGAGCTAATAGACATCATGCCAGAGGAATTAACAGAAGTCGACTTGAAGGAGATGAGTGCTTCTGAACCAGTGCCAGACCATGCAGAAGATAATGTAGAAGAAGTAGTGCCAAGAAACAAATTAACATTGGACGATCTGGCAGAAGGGTTCTGATTGTTCAAGACAGCTTCTGTTTTTTTTTTTTTTTTTTCTTTTTTAAGACCTGAGCCCTTCTATGATACAGGCACTAAAACTAAAGCATACGGTGGGAAAAGGATTGGTACCATATAGAAACATTTTTAAAGACATGAAAAAGCAAAAGAGTCAGATAGAAATTACAACGTATTTCCATAAAGTTACACCAAGTGTGCCTGTCTTTCTTCTCTTGCCTCCTCTTCCATCTCTTCCATATCTGAGATAGCAAGACCACCCTCTCCTCTTCCTCCAGCTCCTCAGCCTACTCAACATGAAGACAAGGATGAAGACCTTTATGATAATCCTCTTCTACTTAGTGAATAGTAAACACATTTCCTCTTCCTTATGATTTTCTTAGTAACATTTTCTTTTCTCTAACAGCTTACTTTATTGTAAGAATGCATAATGCATACCACCTACAAAATTTGTGTTCGTTGAATGTTTATGTTATCAGTAAGGCTTCCACTCAGTAGTTGGGTATTAGTGGCTAAGTCTTTGGGAAGTAAAAAGTTATGCATGGATTTTTGACTGCATAGGAGGTCAGCACCCCAACTCTAATGTTGTTCAAGAGTCAATTGTAAATGGAACACATCTCGTATTTATGGATTTGAAGTCTTAACATTGTTAAGATGTCAGTACTACCCAAAGTGACCTACAGATTCAACATAATCCCTATCAGCGTCTAGATGATGCTTTCTGCAGAAATAGAAAACCCCATCCTAAAATTAAAATGGAATCTCTAGGGACCCTGAATAGCCAAAATAATCTTGAAAAATAAGAGAAAGCTGGAGGACTTACATTTCCTGTTTTCAAAACCTATTACAAAGCTACAGTCATCAAAATAATGTGGTACTGGCATAAAGACAGACATATAGACAAATAGAATAGAGAGCCCAGAAATAAACGCTCACATATATGATGAAATGATATTTTACAAGGATGCCAAGACCATCCAATGGGGAAAGGATGGTCTATTCAACAAATGGTGTTGGTAAAACTGGATATTCACATGCGAAAGAATGAAGTTGGACCCTTACCTATAACCATATACAAACAATAGCTTAAAATGGTCTAAGACCTAAATGTAAGACCTGAAAATACAAAACTCTTAGAAGGAAACAGGGGAAAAGCTTCACAACATTGGATTTGGCAGTGATTTCTTGGATATGACACCAAAGGCACAGGCAACAAAAGAAAAAAAATAGACAAATTGAACTTCATAAAAAATTTTGTACATCAAACGACAGTATCAACAAAGTAAAAAAAAAAACAACTCATAGAATGGGAGAAAATATTTGAAAATCATATATCTGATAAAGGATCAATATACAGAATATAGAGAGCTCCTAAAACTCAACAAAAACACAACAACAAAAACAAAAAAACCTAACTCAAAAATGAGCTAAGGACTTGAGTAAACATTTATCCAAAGAAGATATACAAATGGCCAATAAACACATAAAAATGCTCAACATCCCTAATCATTAGGGAAATGCAAATTCAATGAGATACATCTCACACCCATTAGGATGGTTACCATCTAAAAAGCAGAACATGAGAAGTGTTGATGAGGATGTGGAGAAATCGGAACTCTTGTGCGCTGTTGGTGGGAATATAAAATGTTATATATATACTATGAAAAACAGTATGATAGTTCCTCAAAAAATTAAAAATGGAAATAACATATAATCCAGAAATTCCGTTTTTTGTTACTTATTCAAAAGAAGTAAAAACAGAGCCTCTAACAGATATTTGACACCCATGTTTATAACCGCATTATTCATGATAGCTAAAATGTGGAAGCAACACAAGTGTCCATGGACAGATGAATGAATAAACCCAATGTGGTGTGTACATGCAATGGAATATTATTCAGTCTTAAAAAGGGAAGGAAATTTTGACACATGGTACAGCCTGGATGAAGCTTCAAGACATTATGCTAAGTGAAATAAAACAGTCATAGGCGGAGAAATTCCATTTATATGATATCTCTAGAATGCTCAAATTCAGACACATGAAAATCCAGCTACCTGTCAGCCCCAGAGGAGTGAGGGCCAACCTTAGTGCCCCAGGGCTCTGGTGTTTTCCCTAATCAGTACCTCAGGGCTCTCCAAGAGCTGTTGTAGAAAATGCCTCTGGAGGTCTCAAGAACAAACCCCCTCCAGGATCAGAAAAGCCTGGGGCGGTACTCCCCACAGGGCCATTGTCTGGCTGTGCAACAGTAGGTAGGTGACTAACCCACTCTGTGCCTCAACTTCCTCAGCCGGTAACAGGGTGGTAACAGCACCTGCCTCCTGCCACGCTGAGGACACTGAGATGAGCAAGTGCAGTGCTTGGTCACCGCCCCGTCAGTGTGACTTTTTTTCATCATCCACCCTCATCTCCTGGCAGGCAGGGACCCCAAGGGTGGAGGATTACCTTGCTGAAACAGGAACAAACATTCCCTGCATCTGTGACTTTGCAAACGTATCAGGAACCACAAGGACCTGGAATTGTTCCAAGTGCTACAGTGAGTGAGTCATAAAAAGCAGACATAATTCTCCTAACACCTGCCTGCTGTGTGCTCTGCACGTGCCAGGAGGGGCTGGAGGAAGAGGAGTGTCTACTCACCAAGGAGGGGCCAGTGTCTCTCTGTTTCATGAGCTGGGAGTTTTGAAGGCTGAGATTGCAGAGGAGGCGGGAAACAGTGTCAAAAAAGGAAAATGGACATTATAGTAAAGTGCTGGACAGTTTCCAAGGCTTTTCACGCGCTTGTTCTCCTTGATCCTCGCCCCATGCTCAAGAGAGGAACAGCATGGGTGTCCTCATTTTGCAGAAGAGGAAACTAGGGCTCAGAGACTACCAGAACAAAGCTGACTGGTGCTGGGCTCCTACCATGCTCCATGACACTTTGATGGGCCTTCATCTTTCTATCAATAGTTGGCCTCTAACAGCGCCAACTATTAATAGAAAGGGCCGAGCTAGATGGAAATTTGCTCTGCTCAGTGGTACACATTCAGATGGACTCTGCAGGCTCAGAGATTGGACCAAGAAATGGGGAGTGGGGGTCTGGAGGTGCTACCCCATCCATCACTGTTCCCAAAGCAGTATGTTCCAGAATCTTCTGCTTGGCCCAGCCACTTGCCAGGCACCTCTCTGAGTCCTATCTGAAAGGTACTGGGTCTTCCTGTCCCCAGAACAGGGAGGCAGGGATGGGATGGTTTCTGTTCTGAAACTCAAATCCTTGGCCCTTTACACTCAGTTGGTTACTGATACAACTGCTTCGCCAAGCCAAGCAACCAGCTGAGTCTTCACCCCATTCAGAGGTTGGGAAGCTGGCTCTGAGTCACCTGAAGGTTCAGAAATCATCTGGGAGGAGGGGATGTTGTGGGTTCATTCTCTAGAAACAGGCCCTGAGATAAAGGGTCTGTGTGCTTTCAGGAGAATGTGGTCTGGAAATAAAGGTGGAGAGGGGAAGCAGGGTAGGAAGGAGTGCTGGTCCAGCATGGTGCCCTCTCAGGCACAGCCCCAATATCAGCAGATCATACAAGGAAGTTTGGAGTGGAAGTTATACCTCAAGAGGTTGTTACAGCTCAAGATGAGGGAACTGGGCAGGTCTCCCTCTCCAGCTGTTGGCCATTGGAATAGGGCCACCCTGGGGAACATGTCCTTCCCGGTGTCTCAGGCTTCTACACCTGTGGCAAGGGGCTCCCAGGGCCCAGGTGGAGAGGAGAGCCCAGGGCAGGTACATGGGGCCAGGGACACCCACACTAGAACAGTGAGGGTATCTGAGGGCCCTGGGATGAGCAGACTCTGCCTCCCCTCCCCAGCTGCGCTGACTGGGACCTGTTCTCCAGGGGTAGGGTTGTTCTAGAGTCCCTTGATCCAGAAAAAGTAGATGACAACACCCAGTTGCAAAGAAGGAAGAGACAGCCCACGCTCACACTTGAAGACAGAGACTGAGGAAGGATTGGACCAACAACAAGTGACCAGACTTTCTCCTCCACCCCAGCTTCACAATCTTCAACAAGCCTGGTTAAGAGACCAAAATGTGAGTGAAACCCAAACCCACCCACTTAGTCTCATAATAGCTCATTCCATCAATATCACCAGACACTCACTATGTGTGTAATGTCAGGGCATCATGACAGATACAATGCAGCTATCTGTAAAGGAAAAAAATAGTTTTAAAATGTTTTTAAAGTACATTTTAAAATAAGTGAAAGGGTGCCATAAGATTATTTGTAACTCAAAAAACAAATGCTTGAGGGAAGGGATACCCCAATCTCTATGATGTGTTTATTTCACATTGCACATCTGTATCAAAATATCTCATGTACCTCATAAATATATACACCTACTACATGCTGACAAAAGTTTAAAATTAATAATTTTTTACAGAGAAAAATAAAAGATCCTAAAAATAAAAGCAATGTTTTAAAATGTTTGTTCTTGGTTTAAGAAGTAGCATGCTTGTATCAGTCCGTTTTCATACTGCTATGAAGAAATACCTGAGATTGGGTAAGTTATAAAGAAAAAGAGGTTTAATGGACTCACAGTTCCACATGGCTGGGGAGGCGTCACAATCATGACAGAAGGTGAAGGAGAAGCAAAGGCACATCTTACATGGCGCCAGGCAAGAGAAGTGCTGAGCAAAAGGGGGGAAAGTCCCTTATAAAACCATCAGATATTGTGAGAACTCACTATCATGAGAACAGCAGCATGGGGGTAACCACCCACATGATTCAGTTATTTCCCACTGAGTCTCTCCCACAACATGTGGGGATTATGGGAGCTATAACTCAAGATGAGATTTGGGTGGGGACACAGCCAAACTATATCAATGCTAGACTGAATTTGTATCATTCTACAATTCTACTGACCCAGAGCAAAATCAGAACACCATCCTGTTATCCAAATGGAAAAAAACCTTTAGCCTTTTGGGACCCTTGGGTCAAGCCTGTGAATTCAGACTCCATCCCTGCAAAGTGCCTCTACTCGCCAGAGTCCAGCACCCAGGAGGTAATGCAGGTGGTAGGCACACGCCCTCCACAGCATGGGGCCTGAGTCAGCAGCAGGAACCACGAGCTCCTACCAAGGACAGAGGTCTGGCCCTGCCCTCTGGGCACTCATTGAAAGAAAGGGCACAGAGGGAACAAGCCGGAGGAGAACCAGAATTCTGGGGCAAAGGGGTCCCCGTGGGCAGTGGAAGTCAGTGGAGGATTCCTGGGGAGGCAGGCCTCAGAGGGGCTGGAGGGTTGAAGAAAACCTAAATAAAGGTCGGGATAGGGTGATGTATTGATTTCTAGTGGCTGCTGTAACCATTTACCACAAACTTGGTGATTTAGAACAACCCAAATGTATCATCTCACTGTTCTGGAAATCAGAAGTCCCAAATGGGCCCCACAGGACTAAAAACCAAGTTGTCACAGGGCTATGCTCTTTTGGGAAGAACCCATTTTCTTTGTAGTTTATTTTATTTCAGCCAGGTTTTTTTTTAACCATCTACCGACCTAGAATGACTATAAGTCCTATTTATTATTTCAGAAGTATTCTTCTTCGCTTGATTCTTTTGAGCATTCTAGCACTCTAGTTTAGCCCCTACTCCAGAATTAGGAGAACGTTGACCCCCAACAGGCATTTCCCCCCTCAACCCATTTCCTTGGTTTTTCCATCTTCCAGAGACCACCACCTTCCCTGGTTCATGGCCCCTCCTCTATCTGCAAAGCCGGCAATGACCGGTCAAGTCCTTCTCATATTGCATCACTCTGACCTTCTCTCCTGCCCCACTATTCTCCATTTAAGAACTCTAATGACTGTATTGGGCCCACCTGGATAATCCAGCATCCTCTCCCCAGCTCGGGATCAGCTGATGAACAACCTGAATTTTAACTGCAACATCAATTCTTCTTTGCTACATTAGCCGGGTTCTCCAAGAGACAGCATGAGTAGGATGTACATAGATACATAAATGATTTAGTATGGGAGTTGGCCCATGCAATTATGGAGGCTGAGAAGTCTCATGTTATGCCATCTGCAAGCTGGAGAACAGGAAAGCGGGTGGGGTTGTCCAATCTGAGTCTGAAGAGCTGAGAACCAGGAGGACACTAGTGTAAGTCCCGGAGCATGAAGGCCCAAGAACAAGGATCCCTGATTTCCAAGGGCAATGGAGGATGGACATCCTGGCCCAAGAAGCGACAACGAGAGAATTTACCCTTCCTCTGCCTTTTTGTGCTATTCAGACCCGTGACAGATTGGATGACACCTGTTCCCATGGGTGAAGGCAGATCTTTTTTACTCATTCTACCCATTCAAATGCTTGTCTCTTCCCAAAACACCCTCAGAGACACACCCAGAAATAATGCTCTACCAGCTATCTGGGTATCCCTTAACCCAGTCAAGTGGGAGGTGATGCATAAAATTAACCGTCACACCATGTAAGGTGATATTATTTACAGGCTCTGGGGATCAGGTCATAGACATATGATAGGCATTATTCTGCTAACCACAGGTTGCCAGTAAAGAGGAAGACATCCAGCCCAGGAAGAAGAGGAAGTTGGGCAAAGGAGTGAGGATCTGTTCCAACTATTGCTTCTGACTTGAACTCAATATACACATTCTATAAGTGGGTCTGAGAAATTGTCCAAAGCGAAGAGAATACTATAAAAAGGAGGAAGATCATAATCTAGCATCCTAATCAAGAGTGGGCTTCAGAATATATCACTTTACATGTGTACAATTAAAGGTAACAACACTAATAATAAGGACGGACCCTGTGCCAGGCACTGTCCCCGCATTTTGCCTGGCCACGGCCAGTGAACCTTTAGGTGATATCAGAGTGGACAGCCACCAGTGGAGGCTTATGATGCCTCCAGAAAGGATAACCAAATAAAAAATTTTCCTCGCAAAACTAGACTCAGCCAGCGGACAGAAGCTTGGGAGAGATTGATGGGGATGAAACATTTGCGTTCAACTAATGCGATCGGATGAAGTTCAATCTTTCCACAAAGGGGTAACAGGGTGTTCAAACAGCCGTACTTGGGCACTGATTTACTGCATTTCATAAAAGCTGGCAAACCATAAAAGGTGCTATCTGTATTGAATTTCACTTCCATAAAGAGATATAAAACTGATACCTGTCTTTACTGGCACCCAAGATAAAGTGTTGTTAATGCACTAATTCTGTTTCCTTGAGATTACGAGAGGTTGAATACCGAACAAACATCACCGCATGACCTGCCTTCCTCTCTGGATTCAGAACAAACCCGCTGGTTCCTTCAGATGCTGGGAGCCATGGGGCAGGGAACTGGTGGTAGCCTCTCTGGGGTGACGGTGAATGCAACACACAGATTTTCACCTAGGTATCATCCTGCATCTAGGCAGGGGTCTACAGCCCCACCTGCAAAAGGCTCAGGTGCCCCAGGTTCATGAAAGGAAGTCAAGAGACAGTCCTCCCATTTCCCCTCCCCCAATTAACAACAGCTGGCATTTAGGAGAATCTACCTTGTGCAAGCAATTACACTATTCATTTAATCCTCTCAGTGACACAGCAACATAGGGACCCTGATGATTGCCATCTCTGTTTCATCTAAGGTGAAACCAAGACTCAAACAGATGCAGCTAAGATTTGATCTCAAATTTTTCAGTCTGCTGAATTCAAGTTCTGCTGATAATCCTGACTTGGCTGAAGGGTGCAGCTGCCTGGCGTAGCACTTCTTAATTACAATGTTTCAATGTGTTTGCTAAGTGATGTTTGCAGAGGAAACGTGTGCCCCTTCTATTCAATAAATATGTGTTGCACCCCCACTATGTGTAGCCATGCATCCTTCTAGGTTCTGGGTCAGAATGGCAAATAGGACAGACATTTGCAATCATGAGCCTTTCATAGAAAATTATGCCACCTAACATTTGTCTCTCAGTGGGTCCTTTTGCTGTACCCCTTTTACATGGTCGTCAGTTCAGTTCAGTATGCCACTGAATACTTATGAAGTGGCATTTGTGAAGCACTTGCCATTGGCCAGGCATTGGCTATGATTAGCATAATGACTCCTGTCTTCATTTTCTGGATCAAGGAAATAGTAAAGTGGATTTCCTAAGGTCATACAGCCAGTCATACAGCCAGTTAGTGTGGAAGCTAACAACCTCTATGGCTAGGTATCATTTCTCAAGGATGTGCTATGTACTACTATGATAGTACTTTACACCTCTGATCCTTTCAATAATCCTTAAGGTAAATGTTACTGACCCATTTTACAGGTGCAGAATTGGACTCTGTGGCATAATGGGGCGTGCAAGGCCATACAACCAGGGAGTGGCAGAGCCTGGGATGGCATTAAAACACAGCTTGCCTAACTTCTACTTCTACCCTTGATGGAGAAACCAGGCTAGACATGGCCTACAGTCATACAACCAGGAAACACAACAAAACGTATAAAACAACGGTTATCAGACACTGGAAAATAAGCAGAGCTGACTATGGTTCCCAAAAGAAAGAAAACAAATAAGGTGAGCCCTGTGGTTGCCTAACTTTCTTTTTTTTTTTTTTTTTTTTTTTTTTGAGACAGAGTCTCACTGTTGCCCAGGCTGGAGTGCAGTGGTACAATCTCGGCTCACTGCAAGCTCTGCCTCCCGGGTTCACGCCATTCTCCTGCCTCAGCCTCCCGAGTAGCTGGGACTACAGGCGCCTGCCACCTCGCCCGGCTGATATTTTTTTTTTTTGTATTTTTAGTAGAGATGGGGTTTCACTGTGTTAGCCAGGATGGTCTCGATCTCCTGACCTTGTGATCCGCCCACCTCAGCCTCCCAAAGTGCTGGGATTACAGGCGTGAGCCACCGCACCCAGCTGCCTAACTTTCTTTTTAGCTTTATGGAGGTACAACTTACTTAAAGGAGGGTCCAGACAGAGCACAGTGAGTTTCCTTCGCTCAAAAAGTGGAGATTGGAGCTCAGGGAGATGGACGTGGCTGGGCTTTGCTGGGTAAAGTAGTGGAGAGTCATGAAGAGGAGGGTTCCAGAAATCTGCATAAGAACCTCCTTAAGTGTTTAAAGTTAGAACTAAATTCTGTGCGTGGAATGAAATTCCACAAGGATAGGAGCTGTTAGATGAATGATTCTCAGAGCCCACACAGGGCTGAGAGACTGTAAAGCTCCAATTAGTAAGAGTATAGAGACCTTGGAGAGGACCTAGAGCACTCTGTAGAGAACCACAGAGGGCCACACCTTTGTAGTGGGGCTGAACTAGCCACATAGTAAAAGGTATTCTAGACGCCTTCTGCCCTCAACACTAACAAAACTTAAAAATAAGCCGTTCAAGGATCAAGCTGATCTGCAAACAACTATCTACCAAGCAAAATTATGCATTCTTTAAATGAAGATAGCAAAATCCAGACACCCAAAAATGTAACATGCAAACAATAAAAATTATAAGATATGAAAAGAAGAATTAAAATGTGAATCATAATCAAGAGAAATATCAGCCAATAAAAACAGACACAGGAATAACAGAGATGTTGGAATTGGAAGACAAGGACATTAAAATAGCCATTGTGAATACATTAAAGAACTCAAAGCAAAACTAAAACATGATGATGAGAGAAATGAAACTCTAAAAATGTACTAAAAGGAAGTTCTAAGGATAATATATACAATGTCTGAAAAAAAGAAATTACCTGAACAGACTGAGATACTTAAAAAAACATCAGATCAGTGACTAGACATTCAGGGGTCTATGGGAAAATAGCAAGCAGTCCAATATATGTGTAACTGGAGATTACAGACTGGGGAGGATAAAATATATTTGAAGAAATATTGGCTGTAATTTTCCTAAATTTGATGAAAACTGTGAAGTCACAGACCACCATGGTCAAAACTTGAAGCAGAATAAATACCAAAAAGAAAAACAACAACAACTACAACACAGGGCATTTTATAATCAAATTTCTGGACTACAATTCAACACTGGGGACTATGGTAAAGGATAAAATTGTAAAAGCAGTAAGAGAAAAAAGAAGATTAAACAAAGAATTTCTGCTGACTTCTCAGAAACAATGTAAGCCAGAAGACAATGACATGGCATTTTTCAAGCGTTCTAAATTCAAAGGTGGGGAAAAAAAGTCTCCCAAGCCAGAATGCTATATCTATTATAACAAAAACATGACAAAAGCAAACTGAAGACATTTTTATTTTCATTACATACAAAAACCTGGATCTGTACAAATTAATATAAAACATGTGGAATAATAAATATTCGGCTAAACATAAAAACATTCTCATTTTTAGTTTCTTTAGATGATAATTTATCATCTAAAGAAAACATAATATTGATGATTTGCATGGCTTATAATATATATAACCATTCATGGTATGGTAACAATTGCTCAAAGGAATTTAGCAAGATCATGAGATACAAGATCAATATACAAATATCAATATATTTCTATATACTGGCAGTGAATCATTGGGAAATGAATTTTTAAAAATATAATTTACAATAGCATCAAAAATCATTAAGTACTTTCAGATGAATTGTTTTCATTTCTTTTTCTTAGCTTTATTGTGGTATGACTTGTATGAAATAAAACCCGTCCATTTTAAATCTACAATTTGTTGAGTTTTGATGGACGTACATGGTCATGGGAGCACCATGACAATGAAGACACAGAATGCTTCCTTCACCACAGAACATTCTTTGGGCCCCTGTGTAGTCAACTCACTTGCTCCCAACTGTTGACCTGTGAATACCAGTGACTTGTTTTCTATCACAATTGTTTTGCCTTTTTACAATGCTGTATAAATAGAATCATATATTAGAAGTCTCTGGGTCTTGCATCTCCCACTTCACATGATGATGTTAAGATTCATCCGTGTTGCTGTGTGTATCACTAGTCCCTTTGTATTGATGATGAGCGGCATTCCATTATGTGAATGTAGCACAATCTGTTCATCCATTCATGTGTTGAATGATATTTGGGTTTTTTTTCTGGTTTTGGCAACTGTAAGTAAAGCTGCTATAAATGCTTGCATACAAATCCTAGATATATGTTTTCATTTCTTGTATTAAAACCCAGGAGTACAATAGCTGGATTATATAACTATAGCCAAACAGTTATCTGGATAACTGTATTTCAATATCATTTAAAAAACTGTAAAACCATCCTTCAGGTATCTGTATCATTTTGCATTCCCACCAACAATTCCAAACCACCTGGGGAAAAAAAATGTATATATGACAAAACACTTTTATCTAAAATATATAAAGAACTATTGCAACTTAATAATAAGGAAAAAATGACCCAATTTAAAAACAGGTGAATGATTTGAACAGTCATTTAGGAAAATAATATTTATAATATTATTGTATATAATATACAATAACATGTATATATACATAAAATAGAAGTGTAACTTCATAAACAAATGGACAATAAGCGCAAAAAAAGGTGTGCAACACTGTCAGTCATCAGGGAAATGCAAATTAAACCATAGAAAGATGCCACAACACATTCAGTAGAAAGGTTAAAATTAAAAATACTTAGAATACTAAGTGCTGGTGAAGATGCGGAGTACCTGGTACTCTCATACATTGCTAGTTGAAGTGTTAAATATTACAGCCACTTTGAAAAACACTATGGAGGTTATCATAAAGTTAAAAATACCCTTATCATTGGGCCTAGCAATTACTTCCCCTGATGGTTTTCCAAGAGAAACCAACTCCACAGAAATATGTATATACAAATGTTTATAGCAGCATTATTAAAAATATTCTAAAACTTAAAACCACTCAAAGTCTATAAAAGGAAATAGATAATCAAATTGTGGCATACTCATACGGTGAAATAAATATTACTTAGATGAATCTCAAAAGCATGATGCTAAGCAAAAAAAAACCCAGACACACACAGGAAGTCTATATGGTTCTCTTCATGTGAAAGTCTAGAACAGACAAAACTAACCAACAGTGAGAAATTTTTGTGTAAGTATCCATTCTTTCTAATCAGGTACTGAGGTCTCTCTCTTGAGAGTGGCTATAAAATCTAGCCCTGACCACGAAGGAAGTTAGGTTCAAGTGTGTCAGTCGAGTGACACACAGGAGGCAGCACAAAACATGAAATAACAGAAGCATTTTATAACTTACAGACTACGAAGAGAAGAGGGTAGCACACCTGGCAGGGCCAATGGGAAGGGGAAGCTGTCTGGGACACTCATGCTCAACCAGTGGATGAGGAGCAAGAGAGTCAGAGAGAGACCTGTAATCCAGAGCCTTTACTGAGATTCAGGGCATTACCTAAGCAGATTTCCCACAGAGAGCTGTAGTTGGTGGGTTTAAAGCAAGCAGATGTGAGTTTCATGGGTCATGCTGTACTGAGAGGGAGTCATTGTAGCATACCTGTAAAGTCCCTGTGGGCTTCAGGGAGCAAGAGAGGCAAATCATATGGGTTGTGTCTTAGCCCATTCTTGCACTGCTATAAAGAAACACCTGAGACTGGATAGTTTATAAGAAAAGAGGTTTAATTGGCTCACAGTTCTACAGGCTGTACAGGAAGTATAGCAGCTTCTGCATCTGGGGGTCCTCAGGAAACTTACAATCATGGTGGAAGGTGAAGGGGAAGCAAGTGCCTCTTACATGGCTGGAGTAGGAGAATGGTGGTGGTGGTGGTGGTGGTGGTGGGAGGTGTGGAAGTGCCACATACTTTTAAACAACCAGATCTTATGAGAACTCTATCATGAGAATAGCACAGAGGAGACGGTCCTAAAGCATTGATGAGAATTTCGCCCTCATGATCTAATTACCTCCCATCAGTCCCCATCTCCAACACTGGGGACTACAATTTAACATGAGATTTGGGTGAGGACACAGATCTAAACCAAATTATTTCACCCCTGATCCCTCCAAATCTCGTGTCCTCCTCACATTGCAAAAGTACAATCATGACTTCCCAATAATTCACAGTCTTAACTCATTACAGCATTAACTCAAAAGTCCAAAGTCCAAAGTCTCATCTCAGACAAGGCAAAAGTCTCTTCACCTATGAGCCTGTAAAATCAAAAACAAGTTTGTTTCTTCCAAGATACAATGAAAGTATAGGCATTGGGTAAATACTCCTGTGCCAAAAGAAAGATATCAGCCAGAAAGGAGCTACAGGCCCCAATCAATTCTGAAACCCAGCAGGGCAGTAATTAAACCTTAAAGCTCTAATCTCGTTTGACCCCATGTCTCATATCCAGGCCACATTGATGCAAAGGGTAAGCTCCCAAGGCCTTGGGCACCTCCACCTCTGTGGCTTTGCAGGATTTAGCCCCTGCAGCTGCCCTCAAGGGCTAGCATTGAGTGCCTACAGCTTTTCCAGGTGCGTGGTGCAAGCTGTTGGTGGCTCTACCATTCTGGGGTCTGAAGGATGGTGGCCCTCTTCTCCCAGTTCCACTAGGCAGTGCCCAGTGGGGACTCCGTGTGGGGGCTCCAACCCCACACTTCCCCCTCTGCACTGCCCTAGTAGAAATTCTCTGTGAAGGCTCTGCCCCTGCAGCAGGCTTCTGCCTGGACATCCAGGTTTTCCATACATCCTCTGAAATCTAGGCAGAGGCTCCCAAGCCTCATGTCTTGCATTGTGCATGCCTGTAGGCTTAACACCCCATGGAAGCCACCAAGGCTTATGGCTTGCTCCCTCTGAAGCAGTGACCCAAGCTGTACCTGGGCCTCTGAGCCATGGCTGGTGCTGTAGTGGCTGGGACACAGGGAGCAGAGTCCTGAGGCTGCACAGGATGGCAGGGCCCTAGGCCTGACCCACGAAACCAATCTGCCCTCCCACACCTCCAGGACTGTGATGGCGGTGGCGGTGGCTGCTGCAAAGGTTTCTGAAATGCCTTTGAGACCTTTTCCCCACTGTCTTGGCTATTAGCACTTGGCTCCATTTTACTTATGCAAATTTCTGCAGCCTGCTTCGATTCTTACCTTGGAAATGGGGTTTTCTTTTCCACCACATGGGTGGGCTGCAAATTTTTCAAACTTTTACACTCTGCTTCCCCTTTAAATATAAATTTCAGGTTCTGGTCATTTCTTGAACCCGGGACGCAGAGGTTGCTGTGAGCCGAGATCACGCCACTGCACTCCAGCCTGGGCGACAGAGTGAGACTCCACCTCAAAAAAAAAAAGAAAGAAAGAAAGAAAGAAAGAAAGGCATAATAGAATTTTGGGGGGATGATGGAAATGTTCTAAACTTAATTGTGGTAGTTACATAATATATACATTTATTTTAAAAACTTCGTCAAACTATACACTTAAATTTAGTGCATTTTCTTGCATATAAATGAATTCTTAATAAAGATGATTTTTAAAAAACAACTCAGTTTGCCCAGTTCCTAGGCCCCTTCTGCATCCAGCGGCCCACTGCACCAGCAGCAGGGGTTACCGGTCTAGGCTGCCACTGCCTGATAGTTTGAGCCACTGCTCTCATCACTTCCTATTCTGGGGAACACAGGTGCCCACTCATTGCTGGTGAAGACACTGGTCCCCTTTTCACTGGGTTTCTTAGCAGAAAGATCCTTTCAAGAAAAATACAGATCTGTTCTTCCAGTTCCCATTTCCCCAACATTCATCTCAGTCTCTCCTAGGAAAAATGTTCACAATGCCTCGTTCTTCCCCAGAAGGGATTCCAAGTGGAATCAGGATGCCTGGGATATGTGGCTCCAGCCCCAGGTTGAGGGGTGGGTCTCTTGGGCTTTGGGACCCAGGTGTGGCCCTTCAGTCGGGGTCAGATGCTGGAGACCCTCTCAGGCTTCTTAGTGGGATGGGGTGGGGGTAGGATCATCCACAAACACCAAGGTTTGGCAGAGCAAACACCTCCTGTTCACAGGAAAACAACCAGGTGGGCTTCCCGGAGGGCGGAACACCCAGCCCCAGCATCCAGGGCTCACCTACCACGTTTGTGACCTTCCTTCCATTCACGCAGGAGGCAGGGGCAACGCCTGTGACCACCACGCTGGACCAGGCATTACCAGACACCACACTCTTTCCTTGCTGGAGTCCCAGTATTTTCTTACCATAATACCCTTATCATGATTTTTAGATGAAGGCTGAACCATCTCTATCATGAATCAGACCCAGATGGTTACACATGGCTTTAAGATCCCCAAGAGAACGGGGCCGTCCTCCTTCAAGTTTTTCCCATTGCGCTCCTCCTGTCTGTCCCTCTCAGTGCCTCCTTGTCTGTCGAGATCCCCTTTCCAGGTTACTCAGTTACGCGTGGGGCCATCATTTCTTGTGCCCATCAGACACTGGTGCTCCCTCTGGGGCCAGGTACCTTCCCCCTTTACTTCAGGGATCCCTGATGGAATCCGAATGTGTAGGCAAGTGTGGGGGGCCTGGGGAGCTTTAGGAAAACTGGAGGGAATGACGGAGGAGGAGACAGGGAGGGAACTCCCGGGAAGGAGGTGCCGCTAGAGCTGGTCTCCACCTCCTGCTCTTGTTCTCCACCCCTCAGCCGCTGTCCTTCACCAGGGCCTCCTTCCAGCCACTGTGCTTGGGCTGCTTAAGTCAGGAGGTCAGAGGAAGCTCAGGCCTGTGTCCCCTAACCCGTGTCATGAGGAGCCGTCCTTGCAGGCAAAGCATGGAAGACACTGGTTGGTACCAATTTCTCTCTTTTCCTACAGCATTGCAATCACTATTCAGAGAACACTGGGCTCAGAGAGGTTAGGAGACTGGACCAACGTCACAAAGCAAGCAACTGCTGAGCAGAGCCTCCCTACAAAGCCCATGCTGTTTGTGATGATATTGCAATAACCACAAGCCAGCTGAGTTCTCCCGGTGAGACTGAGGCCCACAGCTGGGACATCCCCAGTCCACACCCCCCATACCCCATGCATGCCCCCAATGCAAGGCCACCTGGGAGAATGACAGGGTGACTCTGGGCTGCACCAGAAGCTGCATGTGGGGTTCCTCACTACCAAAGAGAGAAAGTCAGTTTTCTGGGGACCTCTGGTGACCATCAAAAGCGTTAATGAAATTACTGGCAACAACCCCCTAAAACCATGACCGAAACATAACCACCTAAGGCACATTCGATCTGAATCGTTTCCATGACTCCATAACAAGAGGAGACAGCAAGAACATAGCTTCCACTGCCCCCAGCTCTGGGTTCCCCTCATGGTCATCCCCCCTCTTTACTGGTGACACTCACCCTGCTCTGGGGAGCCAGGAAGGAGCCTGCATGGATTTCCCTTTTAACATTTCTACCTGGCCTGTCTGTCTCAGGTCACCATCCAGCCACCATCAAGTTCCAATTAACTTTTTGCCCCAAATTAGACAGGGAGACTCAGTGAATGAGCACCGACGGCAGATGATGCACGGACACACTCAGGGCCATTGAGGAGAGCGCTGCCCTGGTTAACTACACTTGCTGATTGCTATTTAATTGCCCAGATGCGTCAGGAAGGCACCACGCTTCCCTCATTTAGTCCTGACATCTGTGAGCAAGATGTAACGGTGTGAGATTCAATCAACAACGAGACATAGGAGCTTCTCCGTTTTCCCAACTTCACCAGCTGAGCCTTGCCTGCTTCCTGCCTCTGGGTCGTCTCTGAAAGGGACTAAGGGACTAAAAAACTAAGAGGGACAGGGGGGCGTTTCCATTGTCTCCCAGCTCTGTCGTCTCCCTGCATCTCCTAACCACGCATGCCAGATCAGGGAGCAACATCCGGGCACCAATGGCAGTAGCTGTTGCTACTTAAATCCACACAGATGCTGAGTTCAAGCTTCTGCATGCGGCACCTCAATTTGTTCTTACAGGAGGCTCCAGATGAGGCATTAGGAGTGTCCCTCGTTTACACCTGGGTAAACTGAGGCTCGAGAGGGGTAGTGACCTCTCCAGGGCCACGAGCTAGAAGCTGGGAGTGCCACAATTTAAACCCAGTCTCTGTGGCTCTGAAGCTCAGATTCTTCCAATAATCTCCTACCCTGACCCCATCCCATAATGAAAATAAATATTTGGGGACTTTATACTTATTAGACCTGCACACACATTATCTCATCTAACCTCATGACAGCCCTGTGACAGGGGTACCATTGCTGTGGGCACTTCACAAAGGTAGAGGTTGAGAATTAGACAGGCTACACATACCAGCCCAAAGTCACACAGCCGGGAGGGGGCAGAGCCAGGATCAGAACCAGGTAAGGGATTCTGAATTCTGCTGAATCTGCAGAGGCAGCATGTCTTAGTCACCCACCAGGCCAGCATAGTGTTTAAATACACAGAAGTTTAATGCCCAGGGACTGTCTAATTAGCTTACAGAGAATATGGAACTGTACGGAGCTGATTTCAAGTCTCAGATTCCCCCTTAGATGTAGGTAATTTTAATCTCTCTGGGCGTCGGTGTCATTATTTGTAGGATGGGGACAATTGTATTCACTCGGTGTGAAGATACATTGAGAAAACATGTATGGAGAATATGTACACAGTGCCTGGCAAGATACAAACTCAAAAAATATAGCTCATACTTTCTAAGGAAAAAAAAAAAACAGAAAATCTAGGTTCTATTCAGAAAAAAAAATGATCCCCAAATCTAAGTCCACCTGTTGCAATATTCAGCTCTCTTGCCATAAATAAAGTGAGCTTGGTTTTGAGACTGTGGTTCAGAAACCATCCTACAAGGCAGTACCCAGAGGGCACATATTTTCAGAAGCCTGGCCCAGGGCTTTGGGCAGCCGGGCCTTGGATCAGAGGTACCAGGTTTCAGGCAGGGCCCTGTGCTGACCTACAGGACTAGGGGTCAGACCCTGCAGGGCTGAGGGCCGAGGGTTGCATGGGGATGCCAGGGTAAACCTAGACTCAGGCTGGAGACCCTCAAGGGAGGCCAAGCCAGCACCCCCTGTTAGGCCAGAAGAGACATACAGGTCCCTGCAGGCGTGGCAAATGCAGCCTCCGGAGCTTTCTGAGCCTGGATTACATCCCACCTTTGGCAGGAAAAGTCCTACTCCTCTGCCAGGCAATGGGTTTGTAGCAGTTTACCATCCGAGCAGGCTCCAGCCTGACCATCTCCAGCCTCCTGCCATACCATATCTGAACCTGGAGCAGTGAGGCTGATGCCCAGGCTCCAGGCAGCTGGAAGGAAGCCCTCAAGCTTTCTTCAGGATAGAGAGAGCCCAGGATCCAAGGGAGGCAGCAAACCTAGTGTGGCATCAGCATCCCCTAGTCACCAACCTGCCCTGCAGGTCCTCATCCCAAAGCACGGATGATGGAATCTTCCAGAATGAACAAGAGGGTCAAATGGGATAATGTGCCACCCATGACCACATGCCCAACAGTGGGGATATGGTTTAATTATATTGCAATCATAAAATAAAATGCTCTCCAGCACCCAATATAAGCTTGGAGGAGAATAATGTCCATAATAAATATATTTTTATTTTTAGTATTTTTCTATTATGAGATATATCATACATGCAACTAGACTGAATTTTATATTAATCTCTCCCTTTTTCTCTTGTGGTTTTTCCACATTAAGTGTGTAATCCTAAACAATATGTTCTTTCATTTTCTCAGCTTCCATCTTAATATAAATGGATTATATTTATGTTCTCCTGACTTGCCTTTGCAGACCAATATTGTTTCTAAGAGTCATGCATCCTTCATTAAGTATCGATATTGGATCTGTGTCTCCACCAAATCTCATGTCGAATTGTAATCCCCAGTGTTGGAGGTGGAGCCTAGTAGGAGGTGATCATGGGGGCAGATTTCTCGTGTATGGTTTAGCACAACCCTGCTTGGCACTGTCCTTGCAACAGTGAGAGAGTTCTCATGAGATCTGGTCTTTTAAAAGTGTGTGGCACCTTGCTCTCTCTTGCTCCTGCTGCAACCATGTAAGAAGCCTGCTCCCACTTCACCTTCCATCATGATTGTAAGTTTACTGAGGCCTCCCCAGAAGCAGAAACCACTATGCTTCCTGTACAGCCTATAGAACCATGAGACAATTAAACCCCTTCTCTTTATAGATTACCCAGCCTCCTGTGTTTCTTTATAGCAATGTGAGAACAGACTAATACAAGTATGCAGTCTAGTTCCATCACCTCTGCACTGGGTGTCCCCGTGTGTTTATGCATCTCGATTTCTTTTGCCATGCTATCGAGGGTGGCATTTGAGTTATTTCCTTTATTTATTTTTTCTATTAAAAATAAGACTGATGTTAAAGTACACGTATCCTGGAGTTCCTCTGGGGTGACATATGAGGACGTGGAGTTGATGGCTTGTAAAGTATGTGCATCTTCAAATGTATCAGATGGCACATTGTTTTCCAAAGGGCTTGTACTCATCTACACTCCCACCAGCAATAAATGAAGCCTGTTTGTTTCATTGCCTCCTCGATTTCTGGAGTCACTGTCAGACGTATTAGTGAGGGTTCCAGCAGGAAGCAAGTTGTTCCACGAAGAGGCCTTGGTGAAGAGACTACTTCCAAAAACAGCACCAAATTACCAGACAAACCAGAGGTGGTGAGAGATTCTGGTACCACTCCTGGGGTGAAGGGAGAAGGGAGTGTGGGTATTGCCAGAGACCAGAGGAGGACTGCTCTGTAAAAGCTGCAGAAGTGGGGAGAAGCAGACACACAGGAGGGGCCAGGGGAGGACTCTGAGCTCTCTCTTCCCACCGCATAATCTGTGCTAATCAGAAACCAGCAGCCATGAGACCCAGGTAACTTAGCCCGTGGAGGGTAGTATAAAGCACACAGAGTGGGGAAGGGAAGCTTGGGGGACAGAGAATAGCCAGTCCATCAGATGTTTATGTTTGTACCTACATGTCGGGGGTGAGATGATTTCTTGTTTTTATTTTAATTTGCATTTCCACAGTTACCAGTAAGAGTGGGCACCTTTTCATAGATTTTATTGGATATTCATAACTCTCTCTAGGAAATGCCCACTTGTGTCATTTGCCCATTTATTGACTTGCAGGATATCTTTGCGTCTTCTAGATACAATTACTTATGAGTTACATGGGCAGTAAATAACTTCTCCAGTTGGTGGTGTGCCTTTTGCCCTCTTTATGGTGTCTTTAGATATGTAGACGTATTTAAATATTGTCAACTCTATCAATGTTTGCCTTTATGATTTATTTTATGGTATGTATGTGGGTGTCAGTTTGTTAGGGATGTGGTTTCTCCTAAGCCTTGTTTAGGAAACCATTCCCTCCCTGAAGTCATAACATTCATACCTTCTATGTGCTCTTCTAAAAGTATTAAAGTTTTGCTTTTCATTTTAAGTGCTTGATCCAACATCATCAATGAATGTGATGAGAGAGGGGAGCATGTAATTTTATTTTTCCACAAGTATAATTATTTCAACATTTTTGATTGATTACCCCTCCTTGTCTTCTCTTATCCATAAATATGCAATATATCTAAATTTATTTAAGTATTTAAAGATGTCTTCAATAAAGTTTTATAATATTCAGTACAAATACCTTGCATATCTTTCATTAGATTTATTCTCAGTTTACTTTTATTGTCATTGCTCTTTGTAAATTGTATTTGTTTAAATTAACTGTTAAGTTGATCATTGCTGTTGTATAGAAGTACAATTAACTTGTATATTGTCTTATGTCTACATAAGGTCATATAAGATCAATATAACCTTTAGTAAAGCTTAATAACTTTACTCAACTCTCTACTTATTTCTATAGTTTGTCTCTAGATTCTTTTGAATTTTTCTAAGACAGGCATATTATTCTGCACATAATGACAGTTTTATTCCTTCCTTCTGATTTATGTATCTTTTATTTATTTTTCTTGTCTTATTGCACTGTTTAGTTCCTCCAATACAATGTTAAATAGCAGTGGCTTGAAGAAATGCTTTAAGTATTTTGCCATTGAGTATGACATTTGCTACAGGCTTTTAGAATCTAAATGGCTGTTTTACAGTTTGAGTAAGAAAAATTTCTGTCATAAATGAACATTGATTTAAGTAAAGCTTTCTTTTTCTATTTACCTGCTCATAGCTTTTTGTTCATTAAGCTGTTAATGTGGAAGAAATAAATTTAGATATTTTCTATTTTTGCTTTCTGGAATAAAACCAACTTAGTAACAACAGGTTATCTGTTTTATACCTTGCTGCTATATTTGGCTAACATCTTTTTGAGATTTTGCTGTCCATGTTAATGTTTGAGATTAGTCCATAATTTCCCTTTCTCAAATTTGTTTTGATATCAAAATTATATACTTCTTATACATTGATTTTGTAAAACTATTCTCTGAAAAAAAATGTGCAGGAATATTGTCTATTCCTTGAATAGTAAAACCTGAATTTAAAACTCACTGGTACTAGTGTATTCTTTATAGGAATATTTTAAATTAAATTCAATTTCTGTAACAGTCATAGGAATATTCAGGTTTCTCTTCAGTCAGTTTTGGTACTTTATACTTTCCAAAGATTTTGTCCATTTTGTCTAAGTTTTCAAATTCACTGGTTTAAAATTGTTCACAGTGTTCTCTTATGATCTGTGCCTATGCTGTATCTAACCTTTCCATGATGTGGTATGGAAGAAAGTAAGTCAAAACGTAGCCTATAAAATACCAAGTTACACAGTAAAAGTGTAAGACTGTTTATTGCCGTGTAATTATTTTTGAATTATTAATGATATTTTTTTCCTTCTTTATCCTTGTGTACATTTTTTTAATTTTCTAATATAAGCATGTATAGCTTTTAAAACCAGGGAAGAGACATACATATCATTTGATTCCAAAAAAGATAAAAATACTTCAGAAAAATAAAGCTGAGACTATTATTAAACAGCATTTGCTCAGCCTTCCTCTCTGTTTTTAACTCTCCACCACAGACCATGCCTGTCCTCTGGGCATTTTTCTTCCTTCTCCAATCCAGACTCTTCTGTTGGCTGTCCCGTTCTCCTGGACTCCCTGAATGACTCACAGAAACTTCACATTGAACAAACAAAACGACTTCCTTCTCCCTCCCAGCCTATGAGGCAGGCTCCTTCCCTCCCCTTCATGAAATCTCCAGGGAGCTCCAGACCTGGCCTGTTCATTCTCAGAAAACAAAAATCTTCCAATCACATTTGGTCACAAAAAACCTGTCAATTCAGAAATTAAAATGTCCAGTGTGATTTCCTAGTCAAAACTCCAAACATCGTTTATGTTAAGGACCGCCACCCTGCCATTAGACAAGTTGAGGCTGGATGGCGGAGCAGAGGGAGGGGCATGGCAGCCTCTTCGAGCACCGCCCCATCCCCCTGAGTCCCGGCTGTGCCTTTAGACCTAACACTCCTCTAAATGGAGCAGAGACTTGGGTGACACCAATGCCCCCAAGCCTTGATCTCCTCTGGCCGTGAATAGCCTCCAAAATGATAGAGAACAGCTGGGATCCCTGCTAAGCCCCACCCTTAAGCCTGGACCCACAGCCCTAAGTCAAAACAGCTGACTCCATTTTTCCACCCAAATGTTGCCTTTTTGGCCTGCCCTCCCACCCCCATCCTGTGCCCATAAAAGACTTCAGCTGGCAGAGCAACACCAGCAGCTGAGCTGTGAGCCAAGAAGCAACTGAGCATCGGAGACCACGGGTAGACATGGCTACTTCAGACAGTGTGGCTTTGGAGAGGGGCCCAGCCAGAGACGCTAGGCTTCAGGGAAAGATCACCTTCCCATCCCCTTTCCAGCCTCCCTTTCTGCTGAGAGCCACCCACCACTCAATCAAGTCTTCCGCATGCATCAACTTCCAAACAGTTCATGTGACCTGATTCTTCCTGGACGCCAGACAAGAACTCGGGTGCCAAGAGGGCAGGGGCTGCCACCCTGACCCTCCATTGAGCTGATTGGCATTGGCCATCCCCAGACAGCAGAGCTGAAAAAGCACTGGTTGTAACATGCTTGGACACTGCTGTGGGGCCCACACAGAGCCTGCTCCAGCCAGAGAAGAGTGACTGGCCAGTTCCCGCGTTCATTTGCTCCAGTTCCCACACTCACTCGCTCGCATGCTCCCTACTGTGAGGAGAAGCCAGCGTCCGGCTGAGTGAAACAAGCCACTCCATCCCCACCCCCCGACAAAGGGGATCAAGGGAACTATCCCATCTCAGGATCATCAGAACCAGTGCCCACTATTGGGATACACTGTGGGTCCTTCGTGTGCCATCAGGGGAACAGGTACTAATGTGATTCATGGAATTTACATAGTTCAGAAAATGTATTTTCCTCTCTCTGGCCACTTCATTTTCTCCTCCATCCCTGAGAATCTGATTGTCCACCCCATCTTCAGCTTTCCCTGCATCTCCAGGAAGTTGTCTTGGGCAGTGATATGGTTTGAATCTGTGTCCCCACTCAAATCTCATGTCAAATTGTAACCTCCAATGTTGGGGGTGGGACCTGGTGGGAGGTGAATGGATCATGGGGGTGGATTTCCCCCTTTGCTGCTGTTCTCATGATAGAGTTCTCATGAGATCTGGTTGTTTAAAAGTGTGTGACACCTCCCCCTGCCATTCCAGCCATGTAAGACATGCCTGCTTCCCCTTCCGCTTCTGCCATGAATATAAGTTTCCTGAGGCTTCCCCAGGAGCCGAGCAGATTCCAGCATCATGCTTTCCGTACAGCCTGCAGAACTGTGAGCCAATTAGACCTTTTTCTTTATAAATTACCCAGTGTCTGGTATTTTTTTATAGCAGTGGCAAAACGGACTAATACAGGTGACATTTTCAGCATCTCCAGCCTGGCTCTCTCTGCAGTGTCTGCATGGAGTCTTGGAGAAACACTGACATGTCCATTCCCAGGTTGTGGTAGTTGGTGTTGTGGTGGCCCTCCTGCCCCTAAGATCCAGGGCACTTGCCAAGCTCTTTAAGTGGTCTTCTTGAAGCCCTGTCACTACATGCAAACTGAGGACTAAGAGACCTGCCACCCCCACTTCCTGGGGTTTGACAGCACCGACAACTTTTGGGTATCTTTACACATTAAAAACTCAACTTGTCCAAAATGAAGCCCATATCTTTGCTGACAAATACCAGCTCTATGCATAGCCTGCCCCTTCTCAATTGACCATGTGCCTTCTCACTTGGGGTAGGTTTTTTTTTGTTTTTTGTTTTTTGTTTTTGTTTTTGTTTTTTTGAGACAGTCTTGCTCTGTCACCCAGGCTGGAGTGCAGTGGCGTGATCTCAGCTCACTGCAACCTCCACCTCCTGGGTTCAAGTGATTCTCCTGCCTCAGACTCCCAAGTAGCTGGGATTACAGGCACCCACCACCACACCTGGCTAATTTTTGTATTTTTAGTAGAGATGGGGTTTCTGCATGTTGGCCAGGCTGGTCTTGAACTCCTGACCTCAAGCGACACCCCCACCTCAGCCTCCCAAAGTGCTGGTATTACAGGTATGAGCCACCATGCCCGGCCTTGAGTAGGTTTTGGAGTTGAAGGGGTGGACTGCCCCTCCACACCTGTGGGTATATCTCGTCACATGGGACGAGAGACTGAGAAAAGAAATAAGACACAGAGACAAAGTATAGAAAAAGAAAAGTGGGCCCAGGGGACCAGTGCTCAGCATACCAAGGACCTGCACTGGCACTGGTCTCTGAGTTCCCTCAGTTTTTATTGATTATTATTTTCACTATCTCAGCAAGAAGAATGAGGTAGGAGAGCAGGGTGATAATAGGGAGAAGGTCAGCAAGAAAACATGTGAGCAAAAGAATCTGTGTCATAATTAAGTTCAAGGGGAGGTACTATGCCTGGATGTGCACGTAGGCCAGATTTATGTTTCTCTCCGCCCAAACATCTCAGTGGAGTAAAGAATAACAAAGCAGCATTGCTGCCAACACGTCTCACCTCCCGCCATAGGGCAGTTTTTCTCCTGTCTCAGAAATGAACAAATGTACAATCGAGTTTCATACTGAGACATTCAGTTCCCAGGGGCAGGCAGGAGACAGTGGCCTTCCTCTATCTCAGCTGCAAGAGGCTTTCCTCTATTACTAATCCACCTCAGCACAGACCCTTTACAGGTGTCGGGCTGGGGTACGGTCAGGTCTTTCTCATCCCATGAGGCCATATTTCAGACTATCACATGGGGAGAAACCTTGGACAATACCTGGCTTTCCAGGGCAGAGGTCCCTGCGGCTTTCTGCAGTGCATTGTGCCCCTGGTTTATTGAAACTAGAGAATGGCGATGACTTTTACCAAGCATACTGCTTGTAAACATTTTGTTAACAAGGCAAGTCCTGCACAGCCCTAGATCCCTTAAACCTTGATTCCATACAACACATGTTTTTGTGAGCTCAAAGTTGGGGCAAAGTGGCTGGGGCAAAGTTACAAATTAACAGCATCTCAGCAAAGCAATTGTTCAAGGTACAGGTCAAAATGGAATTTCTTATGTCTTCCCTTTCTACATAGACACAGTAACAGTCTGATCTCTCTTTCTTTTCCCTACATGGAGTCATCCTTGACCCCTCTCTGTGCCTCACAATCTCACTTCCTAGGAACCCGAGCCTCAGACCACGTCTGGAATCTCCCCCACACCTCTCCTATCCATGGCTGCCACCTGGCCCAGGCCACCTGGACTCTCATATGTTGACTGGGCTCCATGTTTCTGTCTTTCCTGCAACTATTCATGCACAGTGCTCGGGGTCCCCAGTGCCAGCTCTTCAGGGCTCTCTGACTCAAGCCTGATAATGGTTCCCCATTGCATTATGCAGGGGAAAAGCCAGGACCTGCAGTGGCTCCCAAGCTCTCCTTGTGTGACCCCCTCCCCAAGAGCTTTTTTGTCCTCACTCTCCTCTGCTCCACCTGTGGCAGTCCCACTGACTCCTCGTCCTCCCTTGACTTTGCCAGGCCTACTCCCAGCTGGGGGCACTTGCATGTGATGCTCTCAGCCTGGAGCAGCCTTGCTCAAACAACTACAGGGCCAGTTTTCTCACTTCCTTTGTGTCTTCCTGGAATCATCACCTTCTCAGAAACTTGCATCCTTGTCCTCACCCACACACACATGCACACACACCAGCCCTCCCTAACTCTTTTACCCCAGCCCTTACTGCATCATCACACACCAGGCCATCTGCCTTCTCATCATGCTCATCATTAATTACCATCCTCTCCCCCTGTGGAATGTGGGTCCCAAGAGGCAGGGACCTTTGTCTGCTCTTCTCACAAATGAATTCCTGGTACACACAATGCCTGGCTCATGGGAGACACCCCATTCATGTTGGAATCAATGACCTCTCCCCAGAGAAGGCTTTGGAGTTCCCATCAGCAAAGGGCTGAATACAGGTCCTCAGGGCTTCCCCTGCATGTCCCACTCAGTGTCAGCTGTCACCCGCTTTGTGATGTGGCCATGTTTGGCAGCACCATTGCAGTTTGGGGCCTCCACTAAACTCAGCCAGGAAGAGTCTCTGGGATGGGAGGAGGCTGGCTGTGGATGCTGCTTCCGTACAGAAGCAAAGCCATGCACCAGCCAGGAAGCTGAGTCTGAGGAGCGGCAGCTACCATGGGGGCAGAAGTTGCAGATGAAGCCCCTCTGTTGGTCTTCCTCTTTTTTCCTCCAGGTTCCTTGTCTTCTTCCCCACCTCTGTCCCCATGCACAGGGGCACTGCCTTCCAACACAGTCTTGCAGAAAGCCACACCAGGGCTCCAGCTTCAAAAACGCCTGTGGGCTCAGGAGATCTTAGCCCCGAGAGAGGAGGAGTTTGGAAGTTTTCCACCACTTACCTGCAGTTGTGGGGCCTCTGCCAGGCATCTCTTCCCCAGATTGGAAGAAGATGCACCATTCCCCTTCCAGGCTTAACTGTGTCATCAAACTTGTTGATAGAAAGCCGACTCCCACCCAGGCTGATTCAAGGCTTGCTTGACGAGTCGCTGCTTCTTGGAAATAAATCTCAGTGATGGATCTGCAGCAGGGCTGGGCATGCCTTCCTGAGAAACATTGGCTCAGATGTCGTTCATCCAAGTCCCCTTAATCCCCAGCCCCAAACTGCCTCTCGCACCTGCTTCTGACCAATGCAGGGTCATCAGTGCCATCACCCAGTGGTCACCCCCAAGGCTTCCTGGTGGGACGGAGCCTATGTCCAGGCAGGAGAATGAGCTCCTGGAGCACCTAGACCCTGAAGAGTCAAGGATGTTTCAGGAACTGACCAATCTCTCCAGAGGGAAATCACAGCCTTTGTCTTACCTTTGCTAATTCAATCAGGAGAAAGGATCCCACCATAAGGCTTTCCCACCTCTTCCTGGAGCTCCGAACCCAGAGGAGGCCCTGCTAGGCTGGGGAGTGAGGAATGAGGGGGGCTTGGATTGAAGCCACTGGGGAGAAAGGAGCTGTGAAGAGCACAGCAAAGGAGCTGTGCAAAGAAGAGTTCACAGTCCACTGCCTTGGTCTGAGTCCCAGCTGCACCACACGTGCTGGGCGACCCCCTTCCCAATCTGCAGTTTTCTCATCTATTCAATGGGATAACACAATACCTACCTTATAAGGTTGTTGTGAGAAATAATTAAGATACTCCGTCTCAATAAATTAAGGTCTACTGGTGGCAAAATATGATATCTGATTCTGGCCAACATGAGCACAGATTGGGAAGACACAGAGTCATTTGTCCTTATACAATGAGAGGAAAAAGAGAAGCATGAGATTTCAGAAAGTACGGGGACCAGATGGGTTCCAGGCACCTGCACCGCAGAAACGGTCGGTCTCCTGAGGGCATCCACAAATATCTTCCATTTCTATGCAAATCACATTTCTAGGGAGTCGATTGAGCCTGGGTCACATGTGTAGCCCTGTACAGGTGAGGGGGGAGCCTCTTGATTGACAGATCCACCAGCCTGCATGCAAGTCCAGTGGAATTGTCCCCCAAAGCAAAGTTAAATTTACTGGAACTTAGGGGAATGGATGCTTGGGGGGAAATGGAGGCAGCACCTGTACCTCTCAGAGGTGAAGCTCTTTCCATGGTGACCAGAGCTTTGTGAGCAGTCGACGCAGGTGAGCAATTCTTATTGCACATGCCAAGCTTTTAAGCCAAGCTTTGGCAAAACAAGACAGACTTGGGGAGAGGGAAGGGTCAGGGTATGAGCCATCCCTGTGTTCAGCAGCAAATCTACCAAGAAACTTTGAACAACTGCCCACATCACCCCTGAGAGGCAAGACCAATAGACCAGCATCCTAATTCTGTCTTCCCACTGTGCACCCCTCTGACTTCTCAGAGCTTGTTTGCATCATTGTTTCCTGTGATTCTCTTCCATTCCCTCCCTTCTACTGCTCCTGCACCCACGGAGATAACCCAGAATCTCAGTCAGTCCAGCCCAGGAGCTGTTATCCCCATCTATGTTATCCCCATCTATGTATGAGAAAGTCCAAGGCGGGTATAGACATTGGGTAAACATTCCTGCTCCAAAAGGGAGAAATTGGCCAAAAGAAAGAGTAGCAGGCCTCAGGCAACTCAGAAACCCAGCAGGACAGTCTTAAACCTTAAAACTCCAAAATTACCTCCTTTGACCGCATGTCCCACATCCAGGGCACACTGGTACAAGGGATGGGTTCCCAAGGCCTTGGGCAGCTCCACCTGTGTGACTTTGCAGGGTGCAGCCCCCCACCCAGCTACTTTCACAGGATGGCATTGAGTGCCTGCCGCTTTTCCAGGCACAGGGTGCAAGCTGTCGGTGGCTCTACCATTCTTGGGTCTAGAGGATGGTGGCTCCCTTCTCACAGTTCCACTAGGCAGTGCCCCATTGGGGACTCTGTGTGGGGGCTCCAATCCCACGTTTCCCCTTCAGCACTGCCCTAGTAGAGGTTCTCTGTGAGGGCTCTGCCCCTGCAGCAGGCTTCTGCCTGGCTAGCCAGGCTTTCTCAGCAGGTAAGTAGAGTTGTCACCCCTGGGGCCATTTGCTGCCTGAAGCCTATTCTCTGTCTCTGTGTGTGGGTGTGTGTGGGTGTGTGTGGATGTATGTATGTATGTGTGTGTGTGTCTGTCTGTCTCGCTGTCTGTCTGTCTGTCTCTCTCTCTCTGTCTCCCTATTTAATCTCTCTCTGGCTCTCTCTCCCCACTCCTGTCTCACTCATCTCTCTCTCTGTCTGTCTTCCTTTCTAATCTCTCTCTCTGTCTTTCTCTCCCCCCTCCTGTCTCTCTGTCTCTATCTGTCTATCTCTCTCTCTGTCTTTCTCTTCTCCTTGCTTTTCTTCTCCTCTCCTCTTCTCTCCTTTCTCCCCTTTCTGGCTTTCCATCTCTCTATTTTTCTCTCACCCTCTCTCTCCCCCTCCCACTGTCTCCACTCTGTCTCTCTCTCTCTCCCCTTCTATTTATCTCTCTTTTCCTCCCTTCCTCCCACTCATCAACATTCATGCCACACAGCAGCCCAAGTTTGCCCCTGGATTTAGTGAAGGGAAAACCTTTAGAAGAAGCAAAATGAGGCCTGCCAGCAGAACCTGAGCCATTTAGGTGACTCTTACACTCCCATTAGCACATAATGGAAGAAACAGAACATCCCCCGGATCCAGGTGGGTCATGGCAACATCAGGTCAGATTTGCTTTGAAGGGAAGAGAAAATCTCATGGAACTCGAGGTTGGAGGCTAGGTTGTTTTCGGTAGAGTTGATGCCACAGAAGAACAAACGTCCCCTTCCTGGTGCCTGCTGAAGTATCCCTTAGGATTTTACCTCAGCGGGAGGGCTGCTTGAAATCCATTCATCTCCTCTATATTAGTCTGTTCTCATGCTGTTAATAAAGACATATCCGAGACTGAGTGATTTATAAAGGAAAGTGGTTTAATTGACTCACGGTTCTGCATGGCTGGAGAGGCCTCAGGAAACTTACAATCCTGGTGGAAGGTGAAGGGGAAGTGTATTCGTCCGTTTTCATGCTGCTGACTAAGACATGCCTGAGACTGAGAAGAAAAAGAGGTTTAATTGGACTTACAGTTCCATATGGCTGGGGAGGCCTCAGAAACATGGTACTTCTTACATGGCAGCAGCAAGAGAAAATGAGGAAGAAGCCAAAGTGGAAAGCCCTGATAAGCCCATCAGATCTCATAAGACTTAGTCACTATCACTAGAATAGCACGGGAAAGACCAGCCCCATAATTCAATTACCTCCCCCTGGGTCCCTCCCACGCTCCCTTGCTCATTCTGCTTTCCAGATCTAGACTTTCATTTATTCATTTATGTATTGATATCAGTTTACAAATCAAGTAGGCTTTACCGGGCAGCCCTTTGATTTTCATTCCAAGAAACTCATGATCAGTTAATAGCACCAAAGACCTCAATTAGCAAGCTGATCGTTATTCTTAATGTATGGCCACTCCCTCACTTTCTCTGGCTGTTAAGAGTGGCCACCCAGCCTGTATTTCTCTGGAATTCCTTTCTGAATTCTGGGAATTCTGGGAGATACAATTCAAGTTGAGATTTGGGTAGGTGCACAGCCAAACCATATCAGGAAGCAAGGCACCTTCTTCACAAGGTGGCAGGAGGAGGTGCTGAGCGAAGGGGGAAGAGCCCCTTATAAAACCATCAGATCTCATGAGAACCCACTCACTACAGGAGAACAGCATGGAGGAAACTGCCCTCATGATTCAATTACCTCCACTTGGTCTATCCCTTGATACGTGGCAATTATGGGGATTATAGGGATTACAATTCAAGGTGAGGTTTGGGTGGGGACACAGAGCCTAACCATATCATCCTCTTTTAAGAGTTAGGCATGATCTCAGGTGCTAGACTCAGACCACCTGGGCTTAAATTCCAGCCTTATTAGCTGTGGGACCTTGGGCTGTCTTTTAAATGTCCTAAGCCTCCATTTTCTCATCTGTAAAGTGGGAATGATAATAGTGCCTCCCCTGGAGACATGTTATAAGGATTAAATGAAATAATGAGTGTACAGTGTCAGCTTTCACCAAATACTGGCTCTCACGGCGATGGTGGGAGTTATGGATGGATGTGACGAGCATCACCTTGATGGCCTCCTTCAGGTCTCTGGTTGTCATGCCCCACCCCCCACCCCCCACCCCACCAAAGGCTTCCTAGATGCACTTGCTTTTGCCTTGCTACTTGGATGTGAAGATGAAGGCTGGGGCTCTCACACTAGTCCACCCTTGCCTTAGAGCCCAGATTCCATGGCTCTTCGTGATTCCTCTGTCAACATGAGCCATGAGGAGATCCCATCTCTTACTGAGGATACCAAGTGTTCACCCTGGAGCTGGGGAAATAACCAGTAAGTGGACTCAGGATTGAGCACACAGAGGGGCTAAAAGATCTCACCAAGTCACCACACCCCCACTTGACTCCATTTCAACTAGGGGACCATGCGGATGTGTGAGCCCAGAGCCAGTGCCCAAGAGTCCACATTGCAGGTACTTCCCCTTCCTCTGTGCGCAGTAAAGCTATGAACAGCATGGATCCCTTGGGAAAGGCTGGGGGAAAGGTCCCTACTGTCCACCTAGGGCTCCTTCCCTCTTCCTTCCAGGACCCCAGATCCCCCTTCAGAGGGCTTTGAGTCTGAGAACTAACTCAGGTGTGGAAATTCTCAGGGCTCATGACTCTACCATGGAATTTTACAGTCATGATTCTGTTTTCAAGATCTAGATGTTAATTTATTCATTTATGTATCGATATCAGTTTACACATCAAATAGGCTTTGCCGGGCAGCCCTTTGATATTCATTCCAAGAAACTCATGATCAATTAACAGCATTAAAGACCTCTGATTAGCAAGCTGATCGTTATTCTTAATGTATGGCCACTCCCCCTCTTTCTTTGACTGTTAAAAGTGGCCACCCAGCCTCTGTTTCTCTGGGATTCCTTTCTGACTTCCACTGTTGTCAGAATTTTACAAACACAGCGAACGTAAGTTCAGTTTCTACTGGTGCTTCCCTCTCCATCATATGTGTCAAGATCTTGGTAAAAAGGAGTGTGGCATTGGCCTTCTCAGGGACATGGCATGGGTGTTTGTGCATGCATGTGTGAATGTGTGTGTGTGTGTGCGCGCACGTGCATGCATGTGTGTGTGTGTGTGTGGTTGACTGGGTGTTAGTAACATGAAATGAGCATCATAGATCCACTCCATATCTCTACCTCCTTTAGTCTTTAAATCCATCCTGTATCATGCCAAGAATTTGGTACCTCATGTTCATTTATGGAGGGATATTTTTGAGCCAAGGCTTGCAATAACCAGCAAGAAAATGATTTGATCCCCTTTTGGCTGTCAGGCTGCCATCTTACATTACATCTATATTGTGTTGGGCTTTACCCCCAAATAAGATGTGTCCCCATTGTCTGTGAATGTGACCTTATTTGGAAATAAGATGTTGTGGATGTGATAAAGTTAAACTGAAGTTCTACTGGAGTGTAGAGGACCCTAACCCAGTAACTGTGGTCCTTATAAAAAGAGGAAACGTGGGGGCAGAATGCCAGGGAGAACAGGACCACACAGAGAGATTGTCATGTGACAAAGAGAAAGTTTGCAGCGATACGTCTGCAAGCATGGAACACTAAGCTGTGATGGCGACCACCGAGCCAGCAAGAAGAGAAGGAAGCTTCTCTAGAGCCTCTGGCATGCGTGGGCTTGCCTGCAGCTTGATGATGGACTTCTAAGCACCAAGAACTACCACCGGAAAAGTATCTGTTGTTGAAGGCACCCAGGGTCATGGCACTTTATTACAGCAGTCCCAGGAAACAAACACAACATCTAAAGCTCATGATCCCCACCTTTGTATTCACAAATTATACCCAACACCCAACGTGAACTGTGCTCCTCCTCCCTAAACAGGCTTTCCCACACACATGCCCCCAGGTATTTTGTGATGAAAATTAGCAAAAGCCTGCAGCTCTTTCATAGCACAAAGTCTTCTGCTGCCTTTTCATTTTGCAGTTGGTGCCCTAGGATGTGCCAAGGTCCGACTCTAGTTACCAGCCTGAAGACAATGCAGGCAGGCAATGAGGGAGTTCATCTTCTCTTACAAGGAAGCTTGCTTTAGCTAGGGAGGAATGTTGCCCTCAAGGAGGACTGGACTAGCTGCCTCAAACAAGGATGGAGCCTGCCTCCTCAGTTTAGTACCAAGGCAGGAGCATTAACAAGAGGAATGCAAATTCTCCCACATATTTCTACTTTGATTTTTAGGTTTCCATTCTTTCTTGATCAGTGTCCTCTATTTTACATACAAGACTTGGTAAACCTGTAAATTCAACTGATAGTGTAATTCAGCATTGGAAAGATAAAACTTAGAGGGTTCTGTGACTACTGTATTTTTTGTTTGTTTGTTTGTTTGTTTTGCTATTTCTGCCAGCTGAACGGTAAGAGATTGTTCAGCATGGTCATAGAGCAATGTCCTTGAGCTTTATACTATGCCTCAAGCTGAGTATTTGGAGTTTTGAAGTTGGCATTCTCTTGCCTGTAGTTATTTCATATAGCAGAAATGGCCGATTCACCACTAGAGTCTAAATTGTTCATAGGTGCTATGGTTTAAATGCATCCTTCAAAGTTCATGTGTTGGAAACTTAATCCCCAGTGCAACAGTGTTGAGAATGGGGTCTTTGGGATCTTTAGGAGGTGATTAGGTCATGAGGGATCTGCCCTCGTGAATGGATTAACAGAGTTATCTTGGGAGTGGGCTTCGTAAAAAGGATGAGTTAGACTCCTGTCCCTCCTCTCTGTCTCTCTGTCTCTCTCTGTCTCTCTCTGTCTCTCTCTCTCTCTCTCTCTCTCTGACTTGCCTTCCCGCCTTCCACCATAGGATGATGCAGAAAGAAAGCCCTTGCCAGATTCAGGCCCCTCAACTTTGGACTTTCAGCTTCCACAATCGTAAAAAAATAAATCTCTGTTCTTTATAAATTACCCAGTCTCAGGTATGCTGTTATAGCAGCACAAAATGGACTAAATCAATATGTCACACTGCTTTATGGTGGCACCAGCATGGTTCCTCCCTCTCCATGTCTTTGCTGCACTGAGTACTGGACTCCAGGTCATAACAGGCAATGATTTAGTTAGCTCCGTGCTAAGGGCCACTACAATTCCATCCCAGAATATTAATTGCACCTTCCCCGCCTTTCATCCCATCCTGCAGCTGTGATCGCAAATGGCCCCAGCTATTCAGTCTCTTCTTGTGATGTTAGAATGCCCCCACCCCATGCCAGGAAAGCACAGGGCTGACCTGCTGGAGATCGACTTCCCAGCCTCCATGGTGGCTAAACGTGGCAATGTGACTGAGCCCATGGGATGTCAGCAAACGCAATGTATGCGACTTCCCAGTCACGTGCCCCAAAGGAAAGATGACTTTCCTCTAGTTCTTCCCAATGTTTTGGAAATATGTCAGTTTCTAGGTAACAGCCGCTCACAGAGAACAGCACCGTCTTCCCAAAACTCAGACTATTGTGCGAGAAAGAAACAAACATTTACCTTGGTTTAGCCACTCCCACTGGGATCTCTTTGTTATAGCATCTTAGAGCCTCTCCCTTTACTGATACAAATCCCCAAATCCTCCCTCTGTCCTTGAGTGTCTCTTGTCTCCACTCTGTGCCTGGCATCAATTTGTGCATTAGAATTCTTGGTTGCATGCAAAGAAACTGGCTCTAGATAAATTCAGTACATACAAACACACACACACATACCAGAAAGATATAAAGTGCTTTACCCATGTATAAAAAGGGAGGCCGGGCACGGTGGCTCATGCCTGTAATCCCAGCATTTTGGGAGGCCGAGGCAGGCAGATCACAAGGTCAGGAGATTGAGACCATCCTGGCCAACATGGTGAAACCCCGTCTCTACTAAAACTACAAAAATTAGCTGGGCATAGTGGTATGCGCCTATAATACCAGCTACTTGGGAGGCTGAGGCAGGAGAATTGCTTGAACTGGGAGTTGGTGGTTGCAGTGAGCCGAGATCGCCGTGCCACTGCACTCCAGCCCGGCGACAGAGTGAGAGTCTGTCTCAAAAAAAAAAAAAAAAAAAAAAAACAAAAAAAAAACGGTGGGTGGGGTGGGGAAGGACCAGGCTTTAAAATGGATGGGAACCAAAGGAATTATGGAGGAGTAGGCAAGAAAATTCATGAATCGCAGTTACTTGACCCACATGCCCCACCATGGCCTCTGCTGAAATGAACACTGAATTCTCCCTGCAAGCCGCATCATTCCCTACAGATTCACAAATCCGTGGAAGAGCATCTGAGGTATTGAGTGTAGGCCACACTGCATCTGCCGGCTGACTGTGTGGGGCAGGGAGGGGACTGCTTCCCATTCAAACCACATTCAGTGGGGAACCCACAACAGAGGAAAAACAGGGTTTGTATCAGTCTGTTCTCACACTGCTATAAAGAAATGCCTGAGACTGGATAATTTATTTTCTAAAAGAGGTTTAATTGGCTCACAGTTGTGATGGCTATACAGGAAGCATAGCTAGGGAGGCCTCAGGAAACTTACAGGCATGGCAGAAGGCGAAGAAGAAGAAGGCACTTCTTCACATGCACAGAAGAGGAGGAAGAGAGAGGCGGGGAAGGTGCCACACACTTTTAAGCAACCAGATCTCATGAGCATTCACTCACCATCACTACAACATACCCAAGGGAAACCCACCCCCATGATCCAATCACCTCCCACCATGCCCCACCTCCAACACTGGGGATTACAATTCAACACAAGATTTGGATGGGGACACAGATCCAAACCATATCAGGGTCCCACGGAGAAGGTCATATCTACACACATTATTTATTTATTTATTTTAGATGGAGTCTCACTCTGTCACCCAGGCTGGAGTGCTGTGGTACCATCTCGGCTCACTGCAAACTCCGACTCCCAGGTTCAAGCAATTCTCCTGCCTCAGCCTCCGGAGCAGCTGGGATTAGAGACGCCCACCACCATGCCCAGCTAATTTTTGTGTTTTTAGTAGAGACGGTTTCACCATGTTGGCCAGCTGGTCTCAAACTCCTGACCTAAGGTGATCTGCCCACCTCAGCCTCCCAAAATGCTGGGATTCCAGGCTTGAGCCACTGCACCTGGCCTTATATCTACACAGTTTAGAGATGTGTCTACTCCAGCACCCAGGACTTCATTTCGTACCTGAGATCCTGGGTGACTTTGGGAAACACGAAGCCTTGCTTTAGAAAAGTAGGAAATGTTGAAACCTCACAAATTCGAACCGTTATATTAAAAATTCAAAAGAAGAAAGTTTTGAGGTCTCAGCAAAACAGCCATTCTGAGAGGAGCCTGCTGTCAGGAGCAAGCCCCATAGCCTCTTTCCCGAGAACTTCCCTAGGAAACTGTCATCATCTCAGACAGTGCACTGGACCTGTGGTCTTCTTTCCCAGCCAGCAAGCTAAGAAACAAAGAGCATGTCCGTCTTGCCACTGTTTGCCCTCGTTTATAAAGCTGGCGAGCTTGTTGTATAGACCGTTAACACCCACGTATTGATTTGCAGGGAGAAATACACAGGCATTGGAATCAGAGGACTGGCATATGCAGAGCCGGTCCATTCTCCCCCCTGGAGGAAGACTGACAGAGGGGGCCAGTTGCAATCAGAATGCTGTTTGGTGAGCATGGAATCAGAACAAGGACAAATATTTAACTTGGGAGAACCTGATGCTTACATCTCATTGCAGAGATGGTCCTTCCAAGGCCCTGGAATATACAAAATCCACTGTGGCTCCCTCTCCCCTGGACAAGACAGGGCATAAGACAATTCAGTTATTTAGAAAATAATTTTGAGGGCACACCATGTGCTACACTGTATTAGCCCTAGGGATCAAGTGATGTGTTCAAGAGACATAAAGGAACCTGTGTGATAGGCACACATCGAGATAGCAGCAGAACAGTCAGCAAGGTGGGTGAGACAGAGGGAGGCTAGGGCCTGTGTGGCCTTTATGCCCAAGGAAGTAAGTTTGAAATTCACTCTAAGTGAAATAGGATCCCACTGTATTTGATTTACATGTCAATAGTTTGAGGGAAGGAAAAGCAGGAAGTTCCACTGGAAACAATTGCAGTAATGCCAAAATGCTGGGTCCGCCTATAGAGGAGGCCATAAACGTGGAGAGAAAAAGGGAAGTTTGAGACAAATTTGTGGGGAGGAGCTGGCAGGACATCTGACAGATTGGATATAGGATGAAGAGAAGGAAGTACTGGAGGGCGGCTGGCATTTCAGACTTGAACCACAGGTGGACGATGGTGCTGTTGCCCAAGATGAGAAACGCTGGGGTCTCTCTCACCTGAGTTCTCAACTTATTGAGAACTAAGACTGAGAAAGGGCAGATGGAGGCCAAAACATCACCTCTGATGGAGGACACATCACAGAACTGTGTCCTTGAGGGCCGAGGGCTTCCACCAGGAAGGAAGGGGGTTGCTGAGTGGGTACCATGCTGAGTTTTTTTCCAGATAAGTTACTCCCCCTGCCCTGAGATCAGACCAAGTGAAGGAGGAGAGTTAGGAAGTGTCTGGTCAGCAGAGCTTCCCCCACCTGGAGGGAAACCCCAGGACTGGAGAAGGAGCATCAACCCCAACAAGGAAGACTGAGTAAGGAAAATAGGTCTGAAGAACATGAGTCCGATGTTGGTCAGACATCCAAGCACAGCCATCAGGAAGTGGGTGGTGTTAGTTGGAGGAGACGTCTGGGAAGGAGTTACAAATCTGGACTCATGCATGCACCTGTGTTGCTCCAAGCTGTGAAACCAAATGGGATCACCAGAGGAGAGATGCCCAGGGAGAGAAGAAGATGGCCCAGGACCAAGGTGCTGGTGAGGGGCAGAGGCTGGGAGTGAGGGTCTTGCCTCGTGTTCCCTTCCATGAAGAGCATCCTCCATGGTGTGTTCTCTGCCCTTCTCGGCTTCCCTCCTGGCTCCTCCCCAAGGGACAAAGAGTACCTTGTGTGTGAGTCTGCAAAGAAGAACAAACATGTGCTTGCTATGGTCTGAATGTGTCCTCCAATATTTATATGTTGGAAGCTAACGTGATGGTATTAAGAGGTGGGCCCTTTAGGAGGTGATTAAGTCCTAAGGGTGGAGCGCTCATGGATGGGATTAGAGTCTTATAAAAGGGTTTGAGGGAGTTCAATTCTCTTACACTATTCCACCTTGTAAGGACAGAGTGTTCATCCCTTTTGTCCTTTCTACCCCTTCTGCCATGTGAGGATGTGGCAAGAAGGCCCTCACCAGATACCAAATTCCAGTGTCTTGATCTTGGACTTCCCAGTCTCCAGAACTGTAAGAAATAAATAATTGTTTTCTTCATAAATTACCCAGTCTCAGGCATTTTGTTATAGCAGCACAAATGAGCTGAGACAGTGTTGTACAGTCCTTCTCTTTTCTACTTTTGTTCCCTCTTCTCTTGGAAGCAAGTCCCCTACTTCCAGGAACATGCATTCTCCCCTGCTCCTCTGCTCCTCCAGGTAGTCAGTCTTGCAAAGAGTCTGCCCCGCATGGGAAGACTTCAGGGGTCAAAATAGCCTGGGACATCCAGAAAAGATAATCTGTTTAATTCTGGGGCATCCAATCCAGAAAAAAATCAGGTGGCTGTGATATCAGCCACATCCTCCAGGGACTAGCTATATCCATAACAGAGACAACTTGGGATTTTCATCTGCTTTATTCAAAAAGCCTTATTTCTCAGTTGATCCATTACGAAGGCAGAGAGGAGTGCTGCTGTTTATTGGGCCAACTTAAATTCAAACACAAGCCCTGATGAAAAGCACCCTGAGACAGGTGCAGCCCCACTGACCCCTGTGAATCTCCTTTCAGTGCTTCTGTGGCTGATAAGCCCCAATACTGACCAGCTCTGTATTTTTAAAATTCAATCCATCAAACTCAGGTTAGAGGACAGTGTAGGGGCTGGGATCCATTCTGTTTCTTCAGCCACTTGCATATTTTAATCCATTGTTTAACATTAAAGATAAAGTCTTATTTCCACATTGCTGTGGGGATGCCTCCCTTTGCCTTGAAGTATCAACTCTCACGCTTATCTAGAACTTGGATTAATTATCATAAGGACTAGGCAGGCATTTCTTCTGTCTCCAGCAAACCACAGCAAAGTAATACCATTGACAGACTTGTAAGTGGATCCTGATAGGTCTTAAGGCTGGTCTGTTAAATGTCGCAGAAGTGAACTCTGACATCCACAGAAAGAGCCAATTACAAATAAGTATTATATTCAGTAGCACAGTTTGAATTGCTGCACATACTTGGAAATAATAATTTTTTTAATTGGTTAATTTAAGAAAAAAGACATTCTACACTAGAATTTTATTAATGTCCCTTGCTCTGTTTCCCATCAAGTAGCCCAAATTGGTGAAGTCAACTATGCACCCTATATATATATAACATATATTAATATGTATTGAGTGTGTGGGCAAATTGTTCTCTGCTTCATGAAAGGATTCACTTTAGGACAAGCCTGGTGTAATTATGGACTTGTTTACACCCTGATAAACTTTCAGTCAAAATGTATCATAAGAGAAAAAGAGAGTCACTGTATAATGATAAAGGAGTCAATTCATCAAGAGAATATAACAATTGTAAATATATATGCACCCAAAATTGGAACACCTAAATATATTGAGCAAATATTAACAGAACTGAAAGGAGAAATAGATGAAATACAATAATGGTAAGAGACTGCAATACCTCACTTTCAACAATGGAGAATCATCAGACAGAAAATCAGTAAGGAACTAGCAGACTTGAATAACACTATAGACCAAATAAACCTCACAGACATATACAGAACATTCCATTCAACAGCAGTAGATTGTACATTTTTCTCAAGTGCACATGGAACATTCTCCAGGATGAATGATACTTTAGGCCACGAAACAAGTCTTAACAAATTTAAGAAGATTGAAATCATATCAAGTATCTTTTCTGACCACTGAGATATGAAGCTAGAAATCAATAATAGAAGGAAAATTGGAAAATTCACAAATATGTGGAAATTAAACAACATGCTCCTGAACAACCAATGGATTATAGAAAAAAATCAAAAGAAAAATTCAAAATATCTTTAGACAAGTGAAAATGGAAACGAAGCATACCAAAACTTATGGGATTCAGCAAAAGCAGTTCTAAAAGAGAAATATAGAGAGAAAAATGCCTTGATTAAGAAAAAAGAAATATCTCAAATAACCTAACTTTATACCTCAAGGAAATAGAAAAGTAATAAACTAAGCCCAAAGTTAGCAGAAGGAAGCAAATAATAAAGATTACAGCAGAAATAAATGAAACAGAGCCTAGAAAGACAATAGAAAAGATCAAGAAAACTAAGAGTTGTTTTTTTGAAAAGATAAAGTCAACAAATCTTTAGCTGGACTAACCAAGGAAAAAGAGAGGACTCAAATAAATAAAATTATAATGGAAAAGGAGACATTACAACTGATACCACGAAGTACAAAGGATCATTAAAGAGTATTATAAATAATTATATACCAACCAACTGGATAACCTCAAAGAAATGAATAAATTCCTAGAAGCATACAATCTACAAAGACTGAATCAATGAAGAAATAGAAAATCTGAACAGACCAATAACAAGTAAGGAGATTAAATCAGTAATAAAAAAAATCTTCCAACCAACCAAGAAAAGCCCAGGACCAGAATGTTCCATGGGTCAATTCTACCAAGCTTTTAAAGAAGAATTAACATCAATCCTCAAACGGTTCCAAAAAATTGAAAAGCAAGAAACACTTCCAACTACAAAATTAGACAAGGCTACTATAAGAAAAAGAAAATTACAGGACAATATCCCTGATAAACATAGATGCAAAAATTTACTACTAGCAAACCAAATTCAATAGTACATTGAAAGGATCATTCACCATAATCAAGTTGGATTTATCTCTGGGATGCAAGAATGGTTCAACATACACAGATCAATAAATGTGATACACCACATTGACAGAATAAAGGTAAAAATTGTGATTAATTCAGCAGATGCAGAAAAGGCGTTAGACAAAATCCAACATCACTTCTTGATAAAAACTCTCAACAAATTAGGTATAGCGGGAATGTGCTCAACTCAATAAAGGCCATGTATGCCAAGCCCACAGCTAACATCATTCTCAACAGTGGAAAGCTGAAAACTTTTTGTATAAGATCAGAAACAAGATGAAGTTGTCACTTCTATTAACACAGTATTGGAAGTTCTATTGAGTCAGAGCAATTAGACAAGAAAAATAAAAGACATCCAAATCAGAAAAGAATTTAAATTGCCTCTATTTGCAGATAATATGATCTTATATATAGAAAACCTTAAAGACTTCTCAAAAAAATGTTAGAAATAATCAATGAATTCAGTAAAGTTGCAGGACACAAAACCAACATACAAAAATAAGTTGTATTTCTATGCACTAACAAGAAACTACCCAAAAAATTAAGAAAACAATCCAAATTACAACCACATGAAAAAGAATAAATTAGAAATAAATATAACCAAGGAAGTGAAAGATCTGTACACTGAAAGCTATAAAACATTGATGAAATAAATTGAAAAACACACAAATAAATAAATATATTCCATGTTTATGGAATGGATGAATTAATATTGTTAACATGTCCACATTTCCCAAAGCAATTTATGGATTGAATGAAATCTAAATTGCAATGGCAACAGCCATTCCAATGGCACTTTTTCATAGCAATCAAAACTCCAATGGAAATTTTATAGAGATGAAAAACATTCTAAAAATTTTATGGAACCACAAAAGACCCAGCCAAAGCAACCTTGAGAAAAAAGAACAAAGCTGTAGGCATCATACTTCCTGATTTTAAACTACATTACAAAGCTATAGTAATCAAAACAGCATGGCACTGGCATAAAAACAGACACAGAATGGAACAGAATAGAGAGCTCAGAAATTAACCTACATATACACAGTCAACTAATCTTCATCAAGGGCACTAAGAATACACAATGGGGAAAAGATCATCTCTTCAATAAACGGTGTTGGGAAAACTGGATATTCATATGTAGATGAATGAAACTGGATGCTTATCTTACACCACATACAAAAGTTAACTCAAGTGGACTAAAGACTTAAATGATACTTTCTGATCAGAACTTCATGCTTGTGAAGCTGTCATTCATGAGCACCTTTCCCATAGGTAAGCATCCAATAAACTAAAACCTGTACCTCCTTCATCCTGGAACATTCTCTTACCCTCTTGTGGGCTGGCCTTATCACCTCAGCTACCTTGTAACCTTCTTGCTCAGAAGTTTTGCCTTTTATTTCTCCTGCATTTCTAGCAACACCTGAGGTTGCTGAGAGATAATTAGTATCTAGCAATGATTTCTTTTTTTCCTTTTCCTGCTTTTGAGACAGAGTCTCACTCTGTTGCCCAGGCTGGGGTGCAATGGCAAGATCTTGGCTCACTGCAACCTCCGCCTCCCAGGTTCAAGTGATTCGCCTGCCTCAGTCTCCCAAGTAGCTGGGATTACAGGCACGTGCCACCATGCCCAGCTAATTTTGTATTTTTAGTAGAGATGGGGTTTCACCATGTTGGTCAGGCTGATCTCAAACTCCTGACCTCAGGTGATCCACCCGCCTCAGCCTCCCAAAGTGCTTGAGATTACAGGTGTGAGCCACCGCACCCAGCCTGTAGCATTGATTTCTATTAGTTGCTTTCTTGGAAAAGTCCAGAGAAAATGTTTTGGAGCCTGGACTCTGGAGCCAACACCTGGGTTGAGAATCTTGGTATCACACTTACCACCTAGATGTCCTTGGGGAAGTTGCTCTGATTGTCTATGCCACAGTTTCACCACTTATTAAAGATAAAAGAATAATGGTGTCTATTATTACAGAACATATTATTATAGAGTTATAAAGATACACATATGTATCTATACAGACAGATATGCATCCCACATGTATACACACACACATATACATATATACACACACATACACACACACACACATACACACACACACATATGGTAGCAAAATCATGCTCCCTGTACCCAACCCACCCCTACCCCTGCAACAGATGTCCACATCCTAACCCTGGGAAACTGTGATTAGGTAACTTCACACAGCAAGAAGGTACTGTGCAGATGTCACTAACAAGGATCATGAGATGGGAGAGAATCCTGGATGATCTGATGGGCCCCACGTGATCACATGGGTTCTTATAAGAGGGAGACGGGAGGATCAGAGTCAGAGGAGGATACGGGAGAATGGAAGCAGAGGTCAGAGAGACTTGAAGATGCTGTGTTGCTGACTTTTGAAGATGGAGTAAGGGGCCACAAGCCAAGGAGTGTGGGCAGCCTCTAGAATCTGGAACTGGTGAGAAACAGACTCTCCCTTAGAGCCTCCAGAAAAGAGCACAGCCCTGTCAACTTCTTTTTTCTTCTTCCTTTCTTTTTTTTTTTTTTTTTCTTGATGGACTTTTGCTCTTGTTGCCCAAGCTGGAGTGCAGAGATGTGATCTCAGCTCACTGCAACCTTCGCCTCCCGGGTTCAAGCAATTCTCCTGCCTCAGCCTCCCAAGTAGCTGGAATTACAGGTGTGTGCCACCACGCCCAGCTAATTTTTGTATTTTTAGTAGAGACAGGGTTTCACCATGTTGGTCAGGCTAGTCTCAAACTCCTGACCTCGGGTGATCTGCCCACCTTGGCCTCCCAAAGTGCTAGGATTACAGGCATGACCCACCATGCCCAGCCTGCCAACTTCTTAATTTTGGGAATTTTAACCTCCAGAACTGCAAGGTTGTATTGTTAAGCCACTGTGTTTGCGGTAATGTGTCGTGGCAACCATAGAAAACTAACATAGATTTTGATGCTTGCAAGCACAGCGGCAATAGGAACTGACGCAGTGTTATTATAAACGACCCAGAACAGGACCAAGAGCACCATCAGCACCGCGCAGGTCTTCATAAGTGACCAACAGAAAGTCCTTCTGAGCTGAGGGTGAAACACAGCTTCCTGAGTTGCTGGAGCATGAAGCTGGCCTGTGGCTCCCGGGGCGATGAGCATGGCAGCTGCCCAGAGCAGCTGATGAGGAGCCAGAGAGGCTGAAGTTCCCCCGAGAAAACACAGCACCAAGCAGTTAGAATGGACGCACGCACATGCTGACCGAGCCGCAGTGCATTCCTGACAGTCTCCAAATTCCCTCCCCAAAGGACACCAAGATGGCTCTACCTGTGTGGCTGAGGGAATAATTCCAGTCCAGTTCTGCGTGGGGAACCTCTCCAGCTGCCAGAGCAGAGATCTGGGATTGCTGCATAGGCACCTGCTCAGGGTTTGCTCTTTAAGGAGGGATTCTCTCTCTCTCTCTCCCTCCCCCACCACCCACCCTTCCCCAACTTGTCGTGTGTCCCCCCACGACATTCCCCACCTTCGTCTCCCCATAAGCCAGAGCATCACATGCGTGGAGAGGTGTCTCTTTACATTTCAGTCGGTTTAGACGGGCTGGTATGATGAGCATGTCTCTAGGTCTCTGGGTGGAACAGAATAAATAGGATGGTGGCAGGCACAGGCTGCAAGTGCAGCTGTTAAACATGAAGGGGTGGGGGCTGGAGCACTGTGGTTCTGGGAGAATGGGGAGAGGGACCTGGGGATCCATCTCATGAGGATGACCAGGACAAAGGAGCAACAAAAGACCTTAAAATGCCAGTCTCACCAGTCTCAGTGAACGCAAGCGGCATCCTAAAAGGGGCCAGCGTGGACGGAATATTTAGAAAACCTTAGTTTGGTAGAGAAAGGAGGAAGAACAAGAGAGAGTGGGAGGGAGGAAAAATAGAAGCAAGTGATGATCCCCTGTTACTGTTATAAATGGGTGCTGTTTGCAGTGACAGAGACAAAAGTGTCCACAATTCACTCCTGGCCTTCACAAAGTGGAATGGGGAGGAAAAGGCAGCAACCACAGCCACAGAATTCACTCCAACCAGAGCAAGCCCAGTGCACAAGGCCCAGCTTGGAGGCCCCTAAAACTGCCCTTAGGGAGTCGGCCCCCCAGAAGGAATGATCCTAAGCTCTTCTTCCCAGGAGTGTGGGGTCACATGCTCAGATCCACTCCCTCCACTTCACAGCCCTCATTCTGCAATGACGGCCTCGCCTGGGGCCCAACTGTATTTACGACTTTCACATGGTGTCAGGGAGCTGCCCTCCCCCAAAGAGTAAGGTTTACTCAGCAAGAACAGGTGCCCAAAAACCCCTGTGTGCCTGAACCCATGAGCAGCCTGCAGGACCCCTGCCCTACATGCCCGTGACTCAAATCCCACCCCTGCCAGGGAACAGACCCCAATCAGAACAGAACCTGGCGTGAGAGAGGGTGATTTTCATGGAACCTCCCACACACACACACAGAAAACACTCCCCGTCCTACCATCCAGGGAGTAAACCTCCTCCACTCAAAAAAGCATCCTCCTCTTTCTCCTCTCCTCCAGCTCCAGCTCATCAGAAAGCACCCACAGCAGACAGTGACACAAAAGCAAAGAGCAGGTCCCACGTCTCCTCGAAAGGTGCAGAAATGCGATATCGTCAAGCATGCTTGATCTCGGTGGTGGGGACAATGGCAACTGAGGTGAGGCTGAGACCGAACAGGACACCATGGGCATTTGCCAGGGGTTCACCGTGTGCCCCCAGCACTGTGCATTTTCTCGTTTATCCCAGCAACAGCCCTGTGAGGTGGGATGATGGTGATCTTCATCTGACATCTGAGGAAACGGGGTTGGGGGATCCTACATGACTCCCCCAGGCCCCACCAGGGAGGGGCAGAGCTGGGATTCCAGGCTGGCTGGGGCTGCAGAGCCAGGCTCTATGCTGGCGTGGCCCCGTCTCTCTCCACCATGACACCATTGGACAAGTTGGCTTAGAAAAACTAAGACAAAAGTTTTTGAGGAAGGAACGTTCAAACCAGAATGTTTGCATCCAGGACTCAAGATACTCAGACAGAAGAGTCTTGAGGATTGTTGAGAGCAATCCCTCATTTTGCAGAGAAGACACATGGCCTTGTGTGGTCAAAGCTCACTCAGCTTCATGGCAAGGCGATGATGACCACTTTGATAATGGCTGTGGGCTTTCTCATCTCAGAAACCTACAAATGTTACCTTATGATGCAAAAGGGACTTTGCAGATAAAATTCAGTGAAGAATCCTCCAGCCTGGGTAACATGGCAAAACTCCATCTCTACCAAAAATACATAAATAAATAAATACAAAAATTAGCCAGGCGTGGTTGCATACACCTATAGTCCCAGCTCCTTGGGAGGCTGAGATGGGAGGATTGTTTGAGACCGGGAGGTTGAGGCTGCAGTGAGCTATGATTGTGCCACTGCACTCCAGCCTGAGCAACAGAGTAAGACCCTGTCTCAAAAAAAAAAAAAAAAAAAGTGAAGAATCCTGAGCTTGGGAGATTATCCTAGATTAACCAGGTGGGCTCTAAATGCAAGCACAAGTGTCCTTATAAGAGGCAGACAGAGGAATATTTGACACAGAAGCAGAGAGATCTATGTGACCACAGAGACAAAGACCGGAATGATGCAGCGATGTGGCATCAGGCCAGGAAACACCAGGAGCCACCAGAAGCTGGAAGAACCCGGGAACAGAGTCTCCCCTGGAGCCTCCAGAAGGACCCAGCCCGGCCAACACCTTGACTTTAACCCCTTCAGACTGAATGGAGATGTCTGTCCTCCACAACTGTTTTCCACCACCAGGTTTGGGATAATTTGTTACAGCAGCTAGGGGAAAGCAGCCATGACCGAACTGGGCTGGAACCCTTGTCTCCAGATCCTGTCTTCAGGGGCCAACAAAACCCACAGACAGAAGAAAGCGCATTTCCAGACGCAACCTTGCTCATGTAGGTAGAGAAGCGAGTCCACATGGAACTGGATGGAGCCTGGAATGCACCAATGGGCAGCTCTCCCACCTTCACGGATGCAGCAAAGGCGATGGACGGGAGGGGTTGCCGTCCGAAGGGAGACGCGGAAGGCCTGCGGCTTTGCAGGGAAGTTACTTGCTGATATATCATCGATTTAATTGTTTCTTTTTCCCCAGAGAGCTCCCCCAGCAGGATTTTGCACACATTTCATCCCTTAAAAAACTCACAGAGGCCAAGGGCCGTGGGTCACGCCTGTCATCCCAGCACTTTGGGAGGCTGAGGCAGGCGGATCATGAGGTCAGGAGATTGAGACCATCCTGGCTAACATGGTGAAACCCCATCTCTGGTGAAAAAAATTACAAAAATTAGCTGGGCATGGTGGCGGGCGCCTGTAGTCCCAGCTACTCCAGAGGCTGATGCAGGAGAATGGCATGAACCCGGGAGGCAGAGCTTGCAGTGAGCCGAGATAGCACCACTGCACTCCAGCCTGGGCAACAGCGTGAGACTCCCTCTCAAAAAAAAAAAAAAAAAAAAAAAAAAAAACTCACCGACAGGCATTTTCTTGCCCTCCCCACACAGCTTTTCCTGTTAGTTAAGGAAACAAAGAATGGACGCCCTGGGCTGACCCCACACCACATTCAGCCCAGGGGCTGGCTCTCCAAAATCAAGATCCAGAGATGATTTGGAAGGGTGATCTTCTTTCGGACAATTACTGGTTTCTCATTCGAGGTCAGCTGGTTGAAATATTAGCATTTGTAAAGCAGGAAATTGGATAAGGCGACCCTCCTGCCGGCTGGGGACTCTCTTGTGGAGTCCATGTGTGGAGACCAGTGAGCAGGTGCCCCACATGCCCTGAACCCCAAACTCAAGCCGGGTCCATCACGAGTGCCTGGGCAGGGCTGGTGCCTGATGTCCCCTGGGAGCAGGTGCGGTGGAGCAGGGGCAGCCCCCTCAGTGGAAAGGAGGTTGGGCAGACAGAGCTGAGCCTGCTGCAATCCTAGACCATCCCTGCTGGAGGAAGCCCTGCGCCAGCACACTGGGCCATGAGACAGGCCCCAGGTCCCTGTTAGTCTGCTGGGCCTACCACGATGAAATACCACAGACTGGGCAGTTAAACAACCGACATTTATTTTTACCTATTTGTGATCTCAAAGTAAAAGATCAAGGCGTTCGTGGCTTTGGTGTCTCCTGGGCTTGCAGGTGGTCCCCTTCCCACTGTGGCTTCACATGGCCTTTCTTCTGCACGAGAGCATCCTTGCTGTCTCTTCCTCTCCTTATGAGGATATCAGTCCAATCAGACAAGGGTCCCACCCTTATGACACTGTTTAACCTTCAATCTCCTGAAAGGTCCTGTCTCCAAATACAGTGACATTGAGGGTGAGGGCTTCAACCTATGAATTAGTGGAGAGGAGGCGCAACGGAGCCTGTAACAGTGCCCCGGCCGGTTTGTCTAGGCAGCTCACCCAGCCCGGGGAGCCCTGGAAGCATTCTTTTCCCTACATCCACTTGCAAGCTTCTACTTGACATGTGTTTTCTCTCACCCTGTTATCTTTCAGAAGAAGGGAAAAGAAAACAGAAACAGACATGAAAGCAGAGTGGAAATTCAGTCACCCAGGATCCAGCTAGCAACACTCTTCAATTACCTGGGAATGGTTTCCCCATCCTGCTCTGGGGAGAGAGAGGCGCTGACAAGAAAGGCTGACTCATGCCAGAGGGCTTGTTTGAGAAATGAAAGAGTTTGAAGGGTTCATCCTGGGGCCAGAAGAGAAGCCGCGCAGCCCCCCGCACCTTGCACACCATCCCTGGATAACCAGGTGCTGCATGCGGAATGCAGGCTTGACAACTGCCCCCGCCGCCCCCAGGCTCCATCTTGGGCCTGCATGGGCTTCCCAAGGCAAGGAGGGGAAACCAGGACTCGGTGATTTTCCACAACAAATTCTGCAAAACAGAGATTTTTCCTCTCCCCCCATTAACCCCAAAGTGCCCAGAAAATTAATGAAGCAGAAATCCCTGCTCCCTGGACATTCCAGGGACCAGAAGCCAGACTCTAATATGGCGAGAGATAATAGGAGGGCCACGGATTAGCTGTGCCTCTTGATTCAGCTCCCCCAGGCACCCTTTGATGCTGCTCTTCAATTCTTCTCGGCACAGCTCCTGACTCAGGCCCCAGCCTCTGTCTATCTCGCTGGCATCTCTCTCAGAGTGAAGCCAAGGATTAGCTAATATTTGCAGATAGAAAGGGCTCCCTACAGAATAAACATGAATACCATTATAGCTGGGTCTCTGGCCGGTCTCAGATCTAATTGCAAAACCTTGTTGCCCTTTCAGGCACAGCCAAGAATAACAGAGAAGGCAGAGAAGGAACTCTGGTTCCAACTCCAGAGCCAGCGCACACAGACGTCTCTGCACAGCACAGGGAATGGGCGTTCATCCTGAAACCAGTCCTCAGTGCAGAGCCTCCCACGGGTGAGAGACCAAGCCCAGCAAATGGTTTTCAAAGTTCAACCAGACAAAGATGAAACCACCCTGGAAGGTGTCACCCTTGAGCCTCCTCCTGCCATGTGACCCTGAGGGGAAGTTCAGGGGCAGAGGGGAGACATCTGGATTTGGGGTTGGTAGGTTCCCACAACTGGACACTGACCTGGCTTACGCTCAGATGCACAGGGCTGCAGTTGCCAGCTGTAAGTCCCAAGTCCCAGAAAAGGAAGAGAAGGTGCCTCATGCATGTTCATTTCATTCCTTCAGTCACCTGGCAAGCATGAGGCCCGCACCTAGCATTGGCAGGCCTAGGGCAGGAGCCCCCTGGAGGCCCATATATAAATCACACTAACAAACCACTCAATAAAACATGTTCTATCCTCTGACCTTGACAAATATACTTCCTGATGACCCAGAAGGCAAGGTCTAAATTTAGAATTCTCCAACTCCGTAAAGTTAAGCATCAGAATACACGTGGCAGCAGGAATTGTGATGCTTAAGAGTGGGTCCACGCTCTGGCTCTGCCCCAGCTCTCCTCACCCCATCTCTATCCTGCACAAGGACACACCCTGTCCTGGCGGGAGTACCCGAGGCCATACGAGCCCAGACCCAGCGCTATCCGCATCCTCCACTAACAGCCCCTTTGCCACTGGTTTGTCCCAGGAAGGTGGATTCAAGTAGGCCCTAAAAACAGCTCAAGATTTAGATCTGGGAATCCTGGAGCTGCAGATACCGGAGCATGAGCTAAAGAGAGGGACAGTCACAGACTCTAGATTAACAGGTCCCCTGGTCATGCAGACTCCCACTCAGATGCAGGAGGTCAGGGTGTGTCTTCAGGGCCCAGCCACTCTGAGGCTGGACACAGCGCTGGGCCCAGCACAGATGCCATCCCCCATCAGTCTCCTCTGCTGATGGCCACTAAGCCAAGAGGGACAGGGAGGCAGCCACCTCAACTCCCCACAGCAAACCCTTTGGGTACAAAGTGAGATGTAAACAAATTAATAATGAGAGTAATGGAAGTGACACCACCACATCTCCTTTGTTCTAAGACACTCATTCTCGTTTCTCCGTTTAGCTTGTCTGGAACTGGGACATATTTTATAATTATGATGAATGCTAAATATAATGGGGTTTCACTTGCTCTCCCTGGGTGCTGTTGTTAAGTCGATGTTGCCCCCTACAGGAAAAGGCATTTTAGAATTGGGGGCTCTAGGAGATCGCAGTGGGAGCCTGGTCTTTGTTCTCACTCAGCAGGGCGGAGATCTTCCGTGAGTCCGGGAACCAGAGGTGTCAAGTGGTGGCCCACTGTGGGCCGTGCAGGAGCTCAGGAGCTGAGGACTGGGGGGCATGTGCTGGAGGGTCAGGGTAGGGCTCCCTCCTTCCTCACCTGGGTGCAGAAAGCTTCTTACCTGGAGCAGGGCACCTGCAACAGATGGGGAATCCTGAATCCTGGGCTTCAACCCCAACCTTCCCTCCCACTGAGTAAGTAATGGAGCCTCAGGTCTTGCCAAAGCCACATATTTTTTTTTTTTTTTTTTTGAGACGGAGTCTCGCTCTGTCGCCCAGGCTGGAGTGCAGTGGTGCAATCTCGGCTCACTGCAACCTCCGCCTCCCAGGTTCACGCCATTCTCCTGCCTCAGCCTCCCCAGTAGCTGGGACTACAGGCGCCCGCCACCACGCCCGGCTAATTTTTTTGTATTTTTAGTAGAGACGGGGTTTCACCATGTTAGCCAGAATGGTCTCGATCTCCTGACCTTGTGATCCTCCCGCCTCGGCCTCCCAAAGTGCTGGGATTACAGGCGTGAGCCACCGCGCCAAAGCCACACATTTTACTCATATTTCCCTGCATCGATAGCACAGACATGGAGGGGAACCCTGAGGCCCGGGCTCTGCTAGCTCAGCTCAGCACCGCTTCTCCACCAAAGGTGACTTCTGGCAATCGCTCCTCGCTCCAGCCATTAAATATTCTAGAAAGAGAAGAAGTTCATTTCCTCAGAAGCAGGCAGGAGCTGCGACTCGCCCTTTCAATCAATAACTGATTATCTTGCTTGCAAATTCAATTCACTGCCTGAAACCAGTCTCTCCTGATGGATCCTGACAAGTGCAATTGTTTTAGCAGAGTCTGTCAAAGAGAGAGGCCTCCCAGGGCGGGCAGATTCCATTCTGGTCCAGGCTTTTCAGGGAGGGGGAGAGGAGTCACCTGCTCCATGTCATTCATCTTCCAGGATCCACCAACCGTGAGCCCCCATCTCTGGAAAGCAGTGGAGCGTGGGAATTGCTTTATCTAAACTCACCCGTCTGCTCAAAAGCATGGGCTGTGGGTGGGGGAGCCCCTGGTGCCCCCAACAGAAGAGGGGATGACAAACGAACCTCTCACGTATGTGGGTTCCTCTAAGCACTTAAGCAGGAAAGGATGCATGAGGTTTGCAGATGACAGATTATGCTGGCTGGCTTTCCAAAGCCAAGCTCCGGGCAATGTGGGTGACAGGACCAACTCCCTTCCCTGACAGGGCTGCATGTTACAATGGCACCAGGAGTCAAAGAGTCTTTTCTATTCATTCATTTATTCATTCATTCACTTATTCACTACCATCGCCCAGGTTTCATGCTGAGTCCTCTGGATACCACAGAATGAAAGTTCCTTGTCCTTGAGGGGGACCATACATTCATTCAGTTCATTCCCCATGTGTTAAGCCTGAACAATGGCCCCAAACTTTTTAAGCCCTACTTAAGAACACAACTCAGTCTCTACATCCAGAATAACTCCTGACTCCTAGCCATAATCCAAAGCAGAATGAGATTAGGGTCTTCAGAGACACACATGATGAGATTTCAGACCATGTAGCCCAGAACCCCTCAGAATTTGTTCAAGGATTCCAAAAATGATTCTACAAAATTTCACTGTAATTAAATTTAAACTATTTTTAGAGGTAATGAAAAATCAACACATTCCCAAAGGTGTTAAAGGAAAAGTTTCACACGTCACAGACCAGCAGGCTGTTTCCTGACTGACAGGCCACCTCCTTCCTAGGGCGAACCTGGAACCAAGGCTCTGGCACTCTTCCTGAGGATTCGGGATTGATTAAGTGTGTCGTGGATAAGGAGGGCTGAAGGTACACTCTGGCAGCACTCACACCCTGGGCTCCGTTAATGCTGGGCAAGGGTCAGGCTCAAGTGCATAAAGCTCATTCTCATTACAAGGGAGAAACCAGCAAGCATGGGGTGCGGAGACGCAGCATGGGGTGTGGAAGATGCAGATGTGGTGTGGAGACGCAGTATGGGGTGCAGGAACGCAGCATGGGGTGCAGGGATGCAGTATGCGGTGTAGAGACGCAGCATGGGGTGCGGGGATGCAGTATGGGGTGTGGAGACGCGGCACGGGATGTGGAGACGCAGCATGGGGTGTGGGAGACGCGGCATGGGGTGTGGGGACGCGGCATGGGGTGTGGGGACGCAGCATGGGGTGTGGGAGACGCGGCATGGGGTGTGGAGACGCGGCATGGGGTGTGGAGACGCGGCATGGGGTGTGGGAGACGCAGCAGGAGAAGCAGGAGATTCTGTCACTCTGGAATCAGTTTAAATGGTTACTTAAAACCTGAAGGATTCCTATCGAACTTTCATCTTAATCATAAGGAGCATAAATCTGTCTTCCAAGCCTTGGTACCAATTTAATTGGAAAGAATCTTGGGATTGCAAGGTGGACTTTTTAAAGATTGTTTTTCTTTGTAGCCACATTCTAGGAGAATCGAGACTTTCCTGGCATGTTTCAACTGAAAAAAGCTTTGGAAATAAGGGGGATGCTGAAATGTCTTTCATAATCCCGAATTTTAAAATGTCACGTGCATCAAAATAGCTTCATCGTTTTGCTGTGATAAGTAGATGCTATGCATCTGAACTATTAAGACTAAATTGGATGCCAATACAATACTGATTTAATCTCCCTTAATTACTTTTTCTTATGTTTGCTGTGAAAAACCTTCAAACATACAGCAGAGTACAGGGAAGAGTATAATGATCTCCCACATGCCCACAGTCCTGGGTTTAACCCCCTGTGTGTGTGCTCGCAGTGAGACCAGACTGCATGGATTATGTTCACCGACATATCCCCAGCAGTTTAAGTTCACAATGAGTACTTGCTTAATGAGTGAATGCACTTATTACCAATGTATGAGGGAAAGTTCCTGTATTGGTCTGTTCTCACACTGCAATGAAGAAATACCCAAGACTGGGTAATTTATAAAGAAAAGAGGTTTAACTGACTCACAGTTCTGCACGGCTAGGGAGGCCTCAGGAAACTTACAACCATGATGGAAGTCACCTCTTCACAGGGCGGCAGGAGAAAGAATGAGTGCCAGCAGGGGAAATGCCAGATGCTTATAAAACTATCAGATTCCATGAGAACTCACTCACTGTCACGAGAACAGCATGGGAGAAACCACCTCCATGATTCAATTACCTCCCACCGGGTCCCTCCCACAACATGTGGAGATAATGGGATTACAATTCAAGATGAGATTTGCGTGGGGACACAGGCAAACCATATCAGTGCTGTCATGGCCACAAATCAGGCTGGCAGGGTTCAGATCCTGCCTCTGCTGCTTCTTGGCTGTGTGACCCAGGGCAAGCTCCCTAACTTCTCTAATGGCTCCGTCCATTGATAATCTTTGCCTGAATCCATTATTCCAGTCAGGGCTTAAAAAAATGTATTTTCTAACAATACTTTCCCATTTATTAGCTAAGATTCTTCTCTTAAGCACTATCCCACATCAACCAGGGCTATATATTTCTGATCAGTAAAGAATAATTGGCTAATTCTTTCCCTTTAATTGTTTTTAACAGTAAGAATTTTGTGTTTCCAAGGGCTGTCAATGGATTATTCTTTTCCTCTCTCTCTCCCTCTCTCTCTCATATCTATCTCTTTCTCTTATCTCTCTCCCATCTTTCTCTCTCTCATCTCTATCTCTTTCTCTCTCATCTCTCTTCCATCTCTATATCTTTCTCTCTCTCATCTCTATCTCTTTCTCTCATCTCTCTCCCATCTCTATCTCTTTCTCGCTCTATCTCTTTCTCTCATCTCTCTCCCATCTTTCTCTCTCTCTTATCTCTATCTCTTTCTCTCTCTCATCTCTCTCCCATCTCTGTCTCTCTCATCTCTATCTCCTTCTCTCTCATCTCTCTCTCATCTCACTCGTCTCTATCTCTTTTTCTCTCTCATCTCTCTCCCATCTCTATCTCTCTCTCATCTCTATCTCTTTCTCTCTCTCATCTCTCTCCCATCTCTCTCTTTCTCTCTCTCATCTCTCTTTCTCTCCCTCATCTCTCTCCTATCTCTATCTCTTTCTCTCATCTCTGTCTCTTTCTGTCTCTTATCTCTCTCCCATCTCTCGCTGATCTCTTTCTCTCTCTCATCTCTGTCTCTTTCTTCTCTCTCATCTCTCTCCCATCTCTATTTCTTTCTCTCTCTCATCTCTCTCCCATCTTTCTCTCTCTCATCTCTCTTACATCTCTATCTCTTTCTCTCTCTCTCATCTCTATCTCCTTCTCTCTCTCCCTCTCTCTCTCCCTCTCTCTCATCTCTATCTCTCTCTCTCATCTCTGTCTCTCTCTCATCTCTCTCCCATCTTTCTCTCCCATCTCTCTTACATCTCTATCTCTTTCTCTCTCATCTCTATCTCTCTCCCATCTTTCTCTCTCCCATCTCTCTTCCATCTCTATCTCTTTTTCTCATCTCTATCTCTTTCTATCTCTCATCTCTCTTTCATCTCTCTCCCATCTCTATCTCTTTCTCTCATCTCTCTTTCTGTCTCTCTCATCTCTCTCCCATCTTTCTGTCTGTCGTCTCTCTTTCTCTCTCTCTCCTCTCTCCCATCTGTTTCTTTCTCTCTCATCTCTATCTTTCTTTCTCTCTGATCTCTATCTCTTTCTCTCTCTCATCTCTATCTCTTTCTCTATTATCTTTGTCTCATCTCTCTCTCATCTCTCTCTTTCTCTCTCATCTCTGTCTTTCTCTCTCTCTCTCATCTCTCTCCCATCTCTCTCTCTCTCTCTCTCTCTCTCTCATCTCTATCTCTTGCTTTCTCTCTCTCTTATCTCTGTCTCTTTCTCTCACACTTACCCCACTTTGTCCTACTCTGTTTTCCTTTTTTGGAATATCATTATGAATTTATGAGGTTTTCCAAATCCCATGTGTTGTAGTCATTATTTTTTATGCTTAAACTCTCCCATTTGAATAATGGGTATCTTGTCACATTGGTTCCTGTGCTCTTTTGATAAAACTCCAATGGCCTTTGGTAGCTTCCTAGCTTTTGGGGAACAAGATGTTTTAGGCAAGCACACCTTGTATATTTCCTACTCAGGCCTGGAATCAGAATATTTTTATCCCCAGAGTTCCCTGGTTCGTTTTCATGATGAATGAAATTTGGAGACGCCAGTCTGGGTGCCAAGAACACTTTTTGCTTCTGGGCATTTTTAGTGAGCACCACCAGCACCTGCATTTATTCAAAACACAAAGATATCATGAGATCGTACTGACATTCCCCGTTCAAACTTACCTTTATATGGATTTTATTTCTTTGGTTTTATAATGGTATCTCTCTTTTTACACTAAAAATCTGACACCTTAGCAATATACACATAATTAATGAACTTGCTTATTTTTTATAGAAGACTTTTAAAATGTAATAAGACTTTCAAACAAAATTTAAGATTGCTTTGCATCACTACTTGTGCTTTGAATGTGTTGATAAAGGATAGTCAGTGAAATAATTCTATTTGCTATGTAATGACCTCACTTTGTTTTCAATTATCATTTATCTTGGGATTTTTAAATTTTACTTTTTTATTTATAAACTTAATTTTATAATTTACATGATGCCAAAGTAAAAACTGTAAAACGAGATAAATTCAGAAAAGTGTTGCTTTCATCCTGTTTCTTGCTCTGTCTTCCTTCTAGTCCTTTAGGGTTTTTTATTCTCATCAAAAAGTAACAAACTAAATACACAAACACTCCTTCATTGGGTCCATTTAACAATATATTCTGGAAACCACTGGGTTTTTTGTTTGTTTGTTTTTTGTTTTTGTTCGTTTGTTTTTGAGACAAAGTCTTGCTCTGTCGCCCAGGCTGGAGTGCAATGGGGCCATATCAGCTCACTGCAACCTCCACCTCCTGGGTTCAAGCGATTCTCCTACCTCAGCCTCCCAAGTAGCTGGGATTACAGGCACCCACAACCACGCCTGGCTAATTTTTGTATTTTTAGTAGAGATGGGGTTTCCCCATGTTGCCCAGGCTGGTCTCGAACTCCTGACTTCAAGCGATTCACCACCTCAGCCTCCCAAAGTGCTGAGATTACAGGCCTGAGGCACTGCGCCCAGCCTACTTTCTGTTTGTGAACAGATATCCCTCTCATGCTTTTTAATTGAGGAAAACTTTGAATTCAGTAGTTTGCACAGATCTTAAGTGTAAAATTCAATAACTTCTGACAAATATACGTACAGAGTTGACTCTTGAATTATGTAGGGGTTAAAGGCACACAGCCCCTGCACAGTCAAAAATCTGCACATAAATTTTGACTCCCCAAAAACTTAACTACTAATACCCTATTGTCAACCAAAAGCACAGTGGTTTGACACACATGTAGTATGTTCTATGTATTATATACTGTATTCTTACAATAAAGTAAGCTAGAGAAAAGAAAATGTTATCAAGAACTCATGGGAAAGAGAACATATATTGACCATTCATTAAGTGGAAGTGGATCATCATAAAGGTGTTCCTCATGATCATCTTCACATTGATTATGCTGAGGAGGAGGGAGAGGAGGGGTTGATCCTGCTGTCTCAGGGGTAGCAGAGGTGAAGGAAAATCCATGTATAAGTGGACTCATGTAGTTCAAACCCCTCAAACCCATGTTGTTTGAGGGTCAACCATGTATATATATTTTATTGGGATATATATATATATCTCCCAGTGAATATGGGAATATATATATATATATCCCAATGAAACTAACACTTCAATCAAGACATACATTTATTACAAGATATCAATCAAGATGAACATTTAGATCATCTCAGAGTATTCTCTTCTGCCTCTAAGTCAGTCTCTGCAGGCAACCACAGGTATGAATTCTATCACTACAAATTATTTTTGTCAACTTTGGGACTTTATATAAAATTAAAAATCAGGGTGAGCTCTTGATCAGCATAATGTTTTTGAGGTTCAAAACATGTTGTTTCATGTATCACTAATTTATTCTTTTTTATTGCTGAAAGGATTTCCAATATATGGATATACCACAATTTACTCATTTATCTATTAATGAATACTTAACCTACTTCCAATTTGGGGCTGTTATTAATGGAACTGAAATTGACATTCTTGTGCATATCTTTTGTGGACATATGTTTTCTTTCCTCTTTGGTAAATGCCAAGGAGTGGAATTGCTGGGTCATATAGTAAGTTTATATTTAACTTTATGATAAGCTACCAAAACGTTTTCCAAAGTGTCTGTAACATTTTGCATTCCTACCAGTAATGGATGAGAATTCCAGTGGCTCTACCTCCCTGCTAACACTTGGTATTGTCAATATTTTTTTCTTTTTACTCATTCTAAAAGATATATAGTGGTATCTCACTATAGCTTTAAATTGCAGCTCCATAGTTATTAGTGATGTTTCTCCACATGTATTTTTTAATAAAATGTCTGCCCAAATATATTGCCCATTTTTAACTGAGTTGTTTACTTTTTACTGAGTTTGAGAACTCTTTAGGTATTGTGAACGCAAGCCATTTGTCAGATATGTGATTCACAAATGTTATCTCCCAGTCTGTGGCCTGTCTTTCCATTCTTGTGAAAGAGCCTTTCACAGAGCAGAAATTTTTAATTTTGATAAAGCCCAAATTATCCATATCTTTTCTCATGCAGATCATGCTTTTAGTGTCATATTTGAGTAATATTTTCTTAACCAAGGTTACAAAATTTTTTCCTGTATTTTCTTCTCAAACTGCATTGTCTAAGATGTTAGCCACTAACTACATGTGACTATTTAAATTTAGATTAATGAAACTTAAATGAAATATAAAACTCATTTCTTCAATCACACTAGCCACATTTCAAGTGCTCAGCAGCCAGATGTGCCCAGTGTCTCCCATACTGGAAAGCACAGATCGAACATGCCTGTCGTTACAGATGGGTATGTTCTGTGGAAGAGCATTTTTGTAGAAGTTTTACAATTTTAGGCTTTACATTTAGAAATCATAAGGAGTAAGTATGGGTTGAGGTTATATATTTATTTATTTATTGGTTTGTTTGCTTAAGTATATCAATGTTCAATTGTTCCAGCATCATTTTTAAAAAGAATCTGCTTTTTCCGTTCAGTTGCTTTTGTACCTTTGTTAAGACCAATTGACCATATATTTCTTGGGCTTATTTCTAGACTCTGTATTCTACTGTATTCTTTTACCAACACCGTGCTATACTAACCATGGTAGATTTATAGCAAATCTTGAAATCAAGTCATGTGAATCTAAGTTGGGAAATGTTTTCTCTGCTTTTATTTTCTGGAAAAGTTTGTACAGAACTACTGTTACTTGCGTGTTAAAATATATTGTAGAATTTACCAGTCAAGCCCACGATGGCCGGAGTTTTATAGAAAGGTTTTTAACTACAAATTCAACATCTTTAAAAGGCATAAGACTATTCAGGCTATCTATTTCCTCCTGAGTGAACTTGGGCAGTTTGTGTCTCTCAAGGAATTGATCCATTTTCCTCTAAATTGTCAAATGTATAAACACAAAGTGGTTTGTAATATGCCCTTATTATCTTTTGATGATTGTAGTATCTGTATCAATGTCCTCTTTTACATTCAAGATAATAGCTGTTTGGGTCTCTTTTGTTCTTGCTCAGTCTGACTTGAATTTTATCAATTTTATTGATCTTTTTAATAAAAAGCTTTTGGTTTTACTGCTTCTCGCCATTATTTTTCTATTTTCAATTTCATTGTTTTGAGCTCTTTATTCTTTCCTTCCACCTGCGTGTTTTCCTTTTAATTTGCTCTCTTTTTCTATTTTCTTATGGAAAATAGAAAATAAGGATACAACATATTAGAATCTGTGTGATGCAGCCAAGTAGAACTTAGAGGGAAATTTCAAGCATTAAGTGTTTACATTAGAAAAAAGAAAGGCTGCACATCAACTTTTTTTCTAATATAGACATTAAAATGCTTGAAACTTCCCTCTAAGTTCTACTTGGCCACATCACACAAATTTTGATATGTTGTTTTCGTATTTTCACTCAATTCAAAATATTTTTTAAGTTTCCTTTTGGCTTCCTCTTTGCCCCAAGGGTTATTTAGAAGTGCAACGTTTAATTTTCAAGATTTTCTAGCTATCTCTCTGTTATCAATTTCTAGTTTAAATCTTATATAATCAGAGAACATACTTTTCATGATTTCAATTCTTTAAAATTTTTGAAATATTTTAATGTTTTCCATGTGTCCCAGAATTTGGATTATTTTCATGAATCCTCCTTCTGAATGTTCCATGTGAATTCTGGTTTTTAGTAGAATGTTCTATAAATGTCAATTAGGTCATATTCATTTAAAGTGTTGCTCAGGTATTCTGTATTCTTACTGATTTTCTATTTGTTCTATTGATTACTGACAGAGGAGTGTTGAAGTCTCCAAGTAGAATTGTGAGTTTGTCTGTTTCTCCTTCAATTCCCGTTTTTGCTTCACATATTTTGAGGCTCTACTGTCATGTGAACAGTGACATGGGATTGTTAGGTCTTCTTGGCTAAGTGACCACTTAAAATTACTCACTGTCTCTCTTTTTTTTCTGGAAGTGTTACTTGCTTTGAAGTTTACTTTGTCAGATTAGTATAGCCACTTCAGCTTTCTTTTTCTTGGTTTTTGCATGAAATATGTTTTTCTATCCTTTACTTTTTACACACACACACACACACACACACATATTTAAGCAGATTTTTCATACATAGTATATACATATATTTTTATCCAATCTGACAATCTGTGCTGATTTGGTATATTTAGACCATTTACATTTAAAGTGATTACCCATATGGTTGAATATAGGTGAACTACATTTTCATTTATTTTCTATTTGTCCCCTTTATTTCTTGTTCATTTCTTCCCCATCCTTGCCTTCTTTTGTCCTAGTTAAATGCTTTTAGGACTCCATTTTAATTTTTCTTTTGGATTTTTGGCTGTATCTCTTTGTATTATTCTTTAGAATTTGCTCAAAGGACTACAGTATTCATACCTAACCTATCATCACATACCTAGAGTTAATATATGCATGTAAGCCAACATGGCACATGTATACATATGTAACAAACCTGCACATTGTGCACATGTATCCTAGAACTTAAAGTATAATAATAATTTAAAATTTTTTTTAAATAGATATACATGTAAGAGCTACTCCTCCTCCTCACCAACATTTGGTATGATCAGTCCTTTACATTTTAACCAGTCTGGTAGATGTATAGTGGTATTTCATAGCAATTTTAGTTTTCCTTTTTGTGTCTAATGATGTTGAACATCTTCTCATGCATTTGTTATTGGAATAACATCTTTCAGAAAGTGCTGTTCAAATCTTTTGCCCATTTGTATTGAGTTGTTCATTACTACTGAGTTGTAATAACTCAGCCTAGTGCAGTGGCACATGCATGTAATCCCAGCACTTTAGGAGGCTGAGGCAGGCAGATCACCTGAGGTCAGCAATTTGAGACCAAACTGGCCAACATGGTGAAACCCTGTCTCTACCAAAAATACAAAAATTAGCCAGGCATGGTGGTACTTGCCTGTAATCCCAGCTACTCAGGAGGCTGAGGCAGGAGAATTGCTGGAACCCAGGAGGTGGAGGTTGCATTGAGTCAAGATTGCATCACTGCACTCCAACCTGAGCAACAGAGCAAGACTCCATCTCAAAAAAAAAAAAATCATTATATATTCTCGGTGTACAATCTTTAGCAGACATACTCTCATAATATCTTATTATCTATCTAATGTTTGAAACATCTGTAGAGTTGTTCCTATTCCCTTTTTCATTTCTGTTGTTGATAATGAGTTCTCTTTTTTGTTCTTGATGAGTTTTATTAGGAGTCTGTCAATTGTATTGATCTTCTCAAATAATCTACTTTTGGGGTTCTTGTTTTTCTCTATTGCATGCTTGCTTTCTATGGCATTTATTTTTGCATTGGTCATCATTTCTTTCCTTTTATATTTTTGAAGTTGGCTTGGTTTTCTTTTTCTTGCTTCTTGAAATGAAAGCTTAAGATATTTATTTTTAGCCTTTCTTCTTTTTTATATATAAGGCTATAAATTTCTCTCTAAGCACTACTTTAACATACTAGTATGATATGGTGTACCTTCATTATCGTTTAAAATATTTTCTAATTTCCAAGTTTCCCGTGTGATTTCCTTTTTGAACCACAGGTTACTTAGAAGTGTGTGGTGTGTGGCTTAATTAATAATCAGCTGGAGATTTTCAATTATCTTTTCGTTATTGATTTCTAGCTTAATTGCACTGTGGTCAGAGAACATACTCTGAATTATTTCAATCCTTTGAAAATTGTTAAGGCTGCTCTACAGGATACTATATGGTCAATTTTGGCAAATGTCCCATGTTCAATTACTCAGGTGGAAAAAAGGTGCATTCTGTCTTTGTTGGGTGCAGTGTTTTATATGCCCATTAGGTCAATTTGATCTATTGTATTGTTCAGATCTTCTATATCCTGTATGATTATCCTGTCTGCTTGTTCTATAAACTATTGAGAAACATGTCTTGACATCTCCTAGCAAGATGGTTATGTCTTTGCAACTTTCCTATCTTTATATTTTCTGAACTTTTGTTCTGTATTTTAAGTATAAACTTATAGTGTCATCCTGACCAGGAGTCTACTTTTTGATCTGCTTTAGACATTGGAGTAGCTGATGAAATATTGAATTTGCGGGGGAAATCCCACTTCTGATAAGGAAAAAATGTGTGAAAATTGGCAGAGAGGAATTCAAGAGAGGAAACACTGTTGGGTACACCCTGATGGACACTCTGCAGCCTAATAATCAGGAAGAATAGTGTAAAGCCCTCCATGCCTTTAACTAGCTCTCCCCTCTAACATGCCAGCCCTTGAGAAACATTCCATTGACACACCCAAGACTTTGAGCTAGAAGCCTTTCCCAAGCTGCTGAACTGGGAATTAAGATACAAATGAGTCACACACTAAGCTGACTTTCTGTTAGTTGAAATCAAGATAGAAACCTAAGCAGTCTGGAAAGACACATGGAGTTCCAAGGACCAGAGCAGGGAAGAAAAAGCTGCCAAAGGCAAAGGAGCATGACAGCGTTACATTTCCCATGAGCTTTGGAAGAACGGGGACATGCAGGGTGGAGGATCAGTGGTTCTCCTGTACTTGCAATGCTCTCCCTAGGGTTCGCCCAGACTCCTGTATGTGGTCTTTGGGTCTTCATGCAGATAGACACTCCCTCTTAAAGAGATGGACTTCTCTGTGTAAAAGCAGCCCTGACTCACGGTCATTATGGGTAAGTGACACCATGGCTCAGTGACTCACATGAGGAAACAAGTTACATGCTTTTGTATATAGCTGTCCCCAAGGGGCAGGGTGATGGCCAAGGATGTCTCCTCTTCAGTGTGACTGTGAGTCAGATTCTCAAAGGTGTCCTGGGCACAAACCACATGTCCGCACCACAGGAGCTGCAGGAAAAGGGCTCCATGGCCCCTGCCCTGGAAGAACTTGCAGGCCAAGTGAAAATGTGACTGAAAACCACCTGAGAACACAGCAAGGTGACTCATGGAGACTCAAGAATCAAACTCTTGGTGACCCATGGAGACTCAAGAACCAAACTCCTGGTTGCTATAGAAGTTCAGGGAAGTAAGGGCTCAGGGAGTACTAAAATCACCCAGAAAGACTTTAAGAAAGCAGTGGGGCTTGACTAGACCCCAGGGCAGTGGTCAGGACACAGGAAGTATAAGAAGGGACCATTCAGCAGCAGGAACAGTGTGATTAGGGCACCAAGGGAGATGAAAGAGGCTGTGGGCCCTAGTCAAAGCAGCAGCCAGGGCAGGCTTAAGCCAGCCCTGGGGATGCCAGGCAGAAATCCACAAAGAAAACATTCCTATGCTTGGATGTTCAAGTATCATTCTTAAACAGCTTTATTGAGATATAATTTATACACCATGTAATTCACCCATTTAAATTGTACAATTCAATGTTTTTAGTGAATATACTAATATGTATTAGTATATATGACCAGTACCACCATTAATTTTACACTTTCATCCCCCCAAAAAGAAACTTCATATGCATTAGCAATCCCTCTCCTTTTCCCACCAATATCCCTAGCTCTAGGCAACCACTTATCTACTTTCTGTCTCTATAGATTTGCATATCCTGGGCATTTCATAAAAATGACATCTGTTATGGGTGGAATGCATTCCCCCCCTCATCAAATACATATGTAAAGGTCCTAATCCCCAGTATCTTAGAATGTGGCACTATTTGGAACTAGGATCATTGCAGATGTAATTAGTTAAAATGAGGTCAGCCTGGAGTAAGATCATCCCCTAATCCTATATGACTGATGTCTTTATAAAAAGAGGACATTTGAACATACAGACAGATGCATGCAGAGGGAAAATGATGTGAAGGCACAGGGAGAAGGCAGACACCTATGAGCCAAGGAATACCAATGGTTGCTAGCAAACCATCCTAGCCCAGGGAAGAAGCTGGGAGCAGATTCTTTCTCACAGCCCTCAGAAGGAAGCAACACTGGACAACACCTTGATTTTGGACTTCTGGCCTCCTGGGCTATGAGAGGACAAAGTTCTGATGTTGAAGCCACCTGGCTTGTGGCACTTAGTTACAGAAGTCCTAGCAAATTAACACAGAATCATACACTTGGTGGTCTTTTGTGACTCCCCCTTCACAGAGGGCCATGCCTGATGCAGTGTATGTTGGTACTTCTTTCCTTTTGATGGCTGAATAATATTCCATTGCAGGGACAGACCATATTTTGCTCATTCATTTACCAGCTGTTGGGCATTTGGGCTGTTTCCACTTCAAGGTTATTATGACTAATGCTGATATGAACATTTGTGTGCAAGTTTTTGTATGGACATGTGTTTTTATTTCTTACAGGTACATATCCAGAGGTGGAATCTCTGGGTCACAAGATGATGCTATGTTTAACATGTTGAGGAACTGCCAGGCTGTTTTCTGCAGCAGATGCACCATCTTCCATTCCCACCAGCAGCCTATGAGGATTGCAATTGCTCCATATCCTCACCAACACTTGTTATTGTCTTTTTTTATTGTAGCCATCTTTATGGGTAGGAAATAGTATTCAAGAATCTGTTTTTAGTCTTTTTGTAGCCAGGCGACACATAAACAGCCATGATTTTTGAGATAAACCATGCTATTTGCAAGCATAAAAGGAATGTCCCTTCTTATCAATGCTACTTTTTTCAAACTCTAAGATCCTCTCCATCCTATCTGAAGACCAACCAAGGTGACACAGCATCTTTGTCACCTTGCCTGGGAGTTCCCAGGCCTGCCCCCCAGCAATTAATTAGGGGTGTGGTGGGACAGCACAGACCTCACCAGCTGAGCCTCACATCCTTTCTCCTGTACAGTTACTATGGAGACTGTCGTGGCCACAGGCTCCCTTTTGCCTTCTCAATGTTAATAAACAGCCTCATTATTTCGCAGAAATCACTTCGGAAAATCAGCAGCTCCACAGTTTCATGCGGTCCAAATTAATGAGGAAAGAGTATGGGGATTTTTTTATTGCCTATGAAAGGAAGAAGAGTTATGGCTCATTTGTGCACTTTTGCTGTATTTATGTTTTATGCATTAGAAAGCGATTTCCACCTCCATTACACATCACTAATGTCCTCGTTACATTAAAGGTACAGACCAGGAATCTTTTTTGCCCATCAAACCACCAAATAAATTGTGGCAAAAGATGTGAGGATGGAGAATGCCTAAAAATCAGCTGGGCTGGGCTGGGCTGCAAAGGGGGAGACAGACCTGTTTCTCGGTCAAATGTCATTGAGGGCTGGGCACAGTAGCTCATGCCTGTAATCTCAGCACTTTGGGAGGCCGAGGTGGGCAGATCACCTGAGGTCAGGAGTACAAGACCAGCTTGGCCAATATGGAGAAACCCCATCTGCCCTAAAAATGCAAAAATTAGCAGGGTGTGGTGGCACGCACCTATGGTCCCAGCTACTCAGGAGGCTGAGGCAGGAGAATCGCTTAAACCCAGGAGGCAGAGGTTGCAGTGAGCTGAGATCGCACCACTACACTCCAGCCTGGGTGACAAAGTGAGACTCCATCTCAAAAACAAAAACAAAAACAAACAAAAAAATCATTGAAAAGAGAAAGGTCTAGCAGCTTCTTTGTAAACAGGGAATCATCCAGGGGCATGGAAGCCTCACAGACTGAACTTTAAATCTGAGCAAGGTCACAAAATAGCTGTGAAACACTGGCCCCAACTTACTTACCAGTGAGTTGAGACCAATACTAGAAGGTAAAAGGTAGCATGCACTAAATATTAGTGAGCCTCTCTCTCTGCCAGGGAATATAGCAGGATGAAGGTGAGAGAAAAGACCCCCGTTTTAGGGAGCTTACAATCAGCTGCCACATCAGAGGGTCACTGTGGGGACTGAGTGACGTGACAGGCTTCAAGCTTCTGCCACCCAGAAGGTGCTGAGCAAATGGTCAGTAGTTCCCTTCGGCAACCAAAACACCGCAGCCCCAGAGGGTAGAGACAGGGAGCTGGGGGCAGGACCTGACTAGCTATTACCTCTCTCTGCAAAAGGTGGGGAAGGAAGAAAGGATCAGAAGAACAGGAGAGGGTAGCCCAGTGACAGACCACACATGAAAGATACAATGGCTGCAGGCCAGGGACCCAGACCACCCGGGTCCAAGTCACAGCTCCACCACTCCAAGCAGGTTCCTAACCTCGCTCCTTCTCAGTTTCAATATCAACTCAGTGAGAAAATCAATGCACAGAGCTTGCACATGATGACTGCATGGACATCTAAAAAGGGCTAAGGAGCAGTGTTAGCAGGGGTCCACAGGTGGCTTTCAAGACAAAAGAAACGAAAGCTGAGTGTCAATCATATCTGCAGCAGTTGAGAGATTGCCACGAAAAGCTGGTGCTTCCACTGAAGGCCGGGACAACAGGTGCCACCGTAGCTCTGACAGCTCCGGGAGTTGAAGATGCCTTGTGTGAGAGAGGGCATCTTATGCTCTGTCCTCAGCTCTCATGTTCCTAATCCTGGGATCCTGACATTTGCAGGACACAGTGCTTTCCAGACCTGCTAGCCTGGAAACATCGTGTGATTAAGGCACCAAGAGAGCTGAAAGGGGCGATAGACCCTGGCCAAAGCGGCGGCCAGGACAGGCTTGAGCCAGCCCTGGGGCTGCCGAGCAGAAATCCACAAAGAAAACATTTCTGTGCTTGGATGTTCAAGAGTCATTCTTGAACAGCTTTATTGAGATATAATTTATCTCAATGTAGATACAGTGAAAGAAAAATGAGCAATCAGTATGTATATACAGTGAGAGAAAATGAAGGAACTAAGTTTCCAAAGTGGAGCAGGGAGATTGCGGGAGGATTGCTCCCACACCTGCTAAAGGTCGAGCCACAGAATGTTCCCATAGACTTGAACAACAGCTGAAGTCAGTGTCCACCAGCCTTCAGCATCTCCCATCCGGGAGTACCCTCACGAGCTGACCAATCAGAACGGGTTTGTCATTTAGGATTTCTGCCTGACCAATGACGGCCTCCGAAAACAACTTTTTGCAGATATCTCCAATGAGAAAAACTCTCCGGCACTGGCTGTTAGGACCCTCTTCGGAGCTGCCCTGATCCAGTGTACCCGAATTGCAATTATTTGTTTTCCGGATAAAAACCATTTCCTTTAACCTCCATGCGAACCTCATCTTAGGTAACAATATCCAGCCTAAAAATGCTCCTATGTTTTCGTCCAACTTCAACAAACTGCTTCCTGGATATTCCATCCTGACGTCGCACAACAGCCGCTGGAGGGTGGAGCTGCACAAGTGGGTGGGAGTCTGGGGGAGACGTACTCAGAGGCTCCTTACCAAGGACTGCTGGGGTCAGCGGCCACCCTGAAGAGTCAACGATAAGGAGGTGGTGCTGGAAAAGAGGAAACCAATTCAAAGGTGAAGGCCAGCCAGAAGAACCAAGATGTTGGAAACCATTAGATGTAGCAGTAAGCAAAAGGGAAGATTCCAGAAAGATTCTAACTTCCAGCCTGGGTACTGTGGGGGGTCCATTCACCAAGATCAGGGGGAAATAGCAGCAGGGAGGCTGAGTCAAGCCGAGGCATCCTGAGATTGAGCGGCTTGTGGGGAATCCCAGGGAACAGGCCGACTTGGAAGTGGATTCTGTGGACTCGGCTCTCAGGGCTGGGCCCCAGGATGGTTTCAGAGGAGGAACACAGAGGCTGATGCACGGTAAGGTGAGAACGTCTGAGCCAGGCGGCCCTTGCAGGGAGCTGGGAATGAGTGGCCACCGAGAAAGGAATCGAGTCACAGCCAACAGAGTAAGCTGTGTCACGTGATCCCAGAACATCAACCGCAAACAAGAAGACAGAATTTTTCCATTGATTTTGGCAACAACGTAACAGTTATTTGTGTCTCCAGCTGAAGAGTCTCCGGGATGGGAGAGGAGCCCACAGGGAATCGTGGGGCAGCCTGAGCAGAAGGCAGGGCCAGGAGACCAAGAGGAGACACAGCCCTGTGTCTATGCTGAAGAGGAAGAACCAAGATTGTGGAAGATTGAAGAGGCCCTGAAGGAGAGGTGCACAGTGGAGGGTGGGTCAGGCCCCCCAGCCATCGCCTCAGGGAGGCGCCCCTAGAAGGAGTGTGATTGGAGTCCCAGAGAGAGTTAGAAATGGGTTACAGTCCACGTCCGCCAGGGACCTTGGGAGGCTGTCCACGTGTGGCTTGACCCACTGCAAGACAAGGACAAGATACCAGGAATGGGGCTGAGGCCATCTGCATGGCTTGCAGCCACTCAGCACAGCTGCAGGAAACCGACCCCCAAGACATCCTCCCTGGGAAACCACAGCGGGCAGACACAGCATAGTTACAGATCAGCTAATGGAAGAGAGGGGTCCCACGGGGTAGAAAACGGCCAGACGCTGGGACAGAGTCTCTGTCCCACACCCCTGCCCACCAGCAGCGCCTTCCCCAGAGTCTCTAGCAAGCGTCCACTTGGTCTTCTCTGCCCATCCCACCTCTCCCACCCCCTGCCCCCCCGGGGGCACACTAATGAGCAGTGATACGGTCAATAAAGACCCCAGCAGGGGGGAAGCAAGCCCGAGCAGTCCACAAACCAGCCAACCATCCTGACTGTCGTGGGAAATTGCTGCGACACGCTCTCTTTCTACTCCACCGCCTTTCTGTCACAAGCAAGAGAAGGATCTAACAGCTGTTTCTACGCGTAGGCTTTTTTCCTCTTTTTTCTTTTCCTCAGCGGCCTCCTTAACCCCGCCAGGCGCCAGCCCGAATTGGTGCTGGCCTTGATGTGACGCGGTGTGCTGGGAGACGTTCCGCATAGGAGCGAACACCCTGTAAAGCTGTTCATTTGCGAAAACAGCGACAAATACAATCATAAACTTCTGTGGTGGCAGCTACCCTGGTGCCATCTAAGTAGGAAGAGAGAGACTGACAGAAGGCAGAATTAGCAGCCTCGGTGAGGTATTAAAGTGGGTAAATCCTGAGCCACCGGGCACAGAACTAACATCAGGCCCCAGGAAACCCTCAACTGTACATGTGCTCTCTGACTGGAGACTTCTAGTCTTTTAGTCTATTTTTATATGCGTATAGACATAATAGGTGTATAATGCATTAATAATCTGTGTACACAAACTCCTTCTATATATAGATATATTAAAAATGCATGCAATTAACATGCATAAATACTGCTCCTAAAATGTTTGCATGGTTATCGTGTGAGCCTCAAAGACCAGAGGCTGCCTTCCTTGAGACGGAAGCTGCACCCTGATTGCCATTAGGGTTGATCTACCTCTCGGGGCCTGGTGTGGGCTCGGGAGCGTGTGGGGGTGAGCCTGTCCAGAGCAGGAGAAAGCCGTCCTTTCCTTCATTCAGTGAACCTCCTCCTGTGCTTCACATACACCAGGGGAGCAGCGCAGATGGCCTGCCCCAGCAGACACAGCCAACAACAGAAGAGGTCTCATGTCAGATGCTTTGGGAAATAAATGAATTATAGTAAGGAGACCAAGAGAGAGAGAAATTTTGAATGGGGCAGTCAGGGTAGCGTGCCTGAGAAGGCACCTTCTGTGCAGAGACTGAAGCAGGATGAAGAAGTGAGCATCTCAGACATCCAGGTCATGAGGGTGCAGGCTGAGGAGCTGTCCCTCCAAAGGCCCTGATGGGGAGGGGGTCCAGATGGCTTGAGAGGCAAGGGAGGGGTCAGTAGGACAGAAGTTGGGCTGAGCAGGGAGGGTTATGAGAGGTGACTCCAAGAGCCGCAGGAGAAGCGGGGTGCTGTGTGGGGTCTTGAGGCCCTTGGAAGGTTTGGGCTTTTCTCTAAGTCAATTGGAGATTTATAAGTTTCCTGCGAATACTGTAACAAATTGCCACAAACCAGATGGCTTAAAATAACAGCAATGTACTGTCATTGTTGTGGAGGCCAGAGGTCCAAACTAAAGTACCGGAAGGCCATGCCCCCCAGGTGGACCTGGGGAAGAATCTTTCTCTGCCTCTGCCAGCTCTGGTGGCTCCAGCAACTCTTGGCCTTCCTGGGCTTGTAGACATCTCACTCCAGGCTCAGCCTTCCTCTTCACGTGGCCTTCTCTCTGCATCTGTGTCTTCTAAAGATGCCAGTTATTAGATTCTGGGCCCACCCTAATCCAGTGTGTTTGTATCTCAATCATGAACTAATTGCATCTATAATGCCCTTATGTCCAAATAAAGTCATATGCTGAGGTTCTATGTAGGGTTAAAAAACTCTTCCATGATACTTGTTAAAGTACAGTAAGGAAGAGTTCACTGAGGACCATTGAGATAGGCACAGGGATCACAGCAATAGGATTTGCAGTGGGAGAAAGAGATTGGGCTCCACTCTGAACACAGCCCAGGCAGGGGAGGATTTATAGCCAAAGAGCAGGGCGGGGTCCATGGATGGAAAACTGCTAAGAGGAAACATTAGAGGTAAGGGGGATTCTGGCTAAACCCACCTAATAGGATTCTTGCTCAAGGCAGGCCAGGGTGACCAGATATTGCTGGGGCATGATGGAGAGTGAGGAACTCCATCAGACATAGTTGAGGTGGTCAGATATCAAGGTGTAGGGGGCTTTTGTTAAACTGACACAGCATGGTTCTTTGCTAAAACTGGATTTTACAAGAAAGTGTACAGAGGGGCCTAGGAGATGGTTCGGGGACCTGGCTAAAGTTTGGTCAAGCAAAGAATCTATGTCGGTGGACATGAATTTGAGAGGGACATTACATTAATCCACTACAGGGAGCCACAGGAGGGCTTTGGGGACAGGCAGGACATGAGCTGACTTGGGTTTTAGAAGGATCCCTCTGGCTGCTGCAGAACAAGCATGGAAGCAGAGAGGCAGAAGTTCAGACACTGCTGCAGTGACCCAGACAAGGGAGGGTGCAGCCTGGGCGGGGCGCTCGCCATGGAAGTGGGAGAAACAGTTGGATTCTAGCACAAACTTGAAGGCAGAAACAAGAAGGCTTGCTAATGTGCGGGACTCCTTCACCTGCTAGCCAGGCTCCCCCAGACCCTCCCCCAGACCCATTTCTGTGCTTTAGTTTCAAATTATCCCCCGCTGCAGCCTGGCCCTCCTCCATGTATATTGTAATGCCCTTAGCCCTGACCCATCTTCAGGCTGCTGTGGTCTGGGAGAGCTATTTCCAGCCACAACGGCCTGTGGCCCACATGGCCCCAACCCCTCACTCTCTTTGGGGTGTGTGTGGTGGTGGTGGGGTGGGGGACAGCTTCTATTGGTCAGGCCAAGGCAAAAAAAAAAAAAAAAAGCGGATGTGACTCTTAAGACTAGATTGAAGTGCTGGTCCCTGAGCCCAGGCCACTGTTGCCTTTTCTGGCATGGTGCAGAGAACAGTCAGTCATAGGTGCACATGGTAGCCCCCTGGTGGGGACAGTGGTCCCTCTGCATCTTCTAAGCCCCCATGGTAGCTTCATTCCTGATACTTCATGTCCCCTAAAGAGTCATGGGGCATAGGGCAGAAAATATTGCATAAAAACGCCTTCCTCTGGGCCCCTTCAAATGTCGCAAACTGTGGAAGATGTGTTCATTAGAGGCCACTAAGGAGCCCTGAATAAGCATAGTTCCTGCCCCACTGCAGAGGGTTTTGATCAGGAGCTGCACCTGGTAAGGAACAGAACGTCCTCTTGAGAAAAACACTGGATTTATTTTAAGGAAAATCAGCTTTAAAGCAATCACTGACACCATGGAGACCATCTGTGTTCCAGAGGTAGGCATAGAGTGATTAGGGGGAGACATAACAGGCAGGACCCCCCCCGAGTAAGGCAGCTTCCTAAATATTCAATCCCGGGGTTCAGGTGAGGACTAGGGAGAGCCTGTTTCATTCCTTCTATTTTGCATGTCTCTCCAGGGTAGACTGAGCCAGATCCTCAATGCTGGGAGCTGACCAGCATGCAGTCAGTGCTGAGGCTGAATTCATTTGATCTGAGCCCAATGTCAAAGCAAGGGGAGAGGGGGCAGCCTTTGGGAGCTGCACTCCCTCTGCTGGGCCACCTAGGGAAATTCAGGAAAGGCCCTCCCACCTCCAACCAACCTCCAACAATGAAAATTCTCTTGCGATTTTCAAGACTCTCAATTAGAACTGAATTTCCTACTTCTAGCCCAGATGTGAGGGCTGAGTGAGGGTGTCTGGAAAATGGGCATCTGAACCTCATCACTCACAGGCTGACGAGGGAGCAGCTCCAGAGACTCAAGAAGTAGCCCCAAGCCAGGCAAGGTGGCTCACGCCTGTAATCCCAGCACTTTGGGCGGCCGAGGTGGGCAGATCACCTGAGGTCAGGAGTTCAAGACCAGCCTGACCAACATGGTGAAACCTCGTCTCTACTAAAAATACAAAAATTAACCGGGCATGGTGGCACCCACCTGTAATCCCAGCTACTCAGGAGGCTGAGGCAGGAAAATCACTTGAACCCAGAAGGTGAAGGTTGCAGTGAGCCAAGATCACGTCACTGCACGTCACTGCACTCCAGCTATATGACTGGAAGAAGAAGTAGCCTTGGGAGAGGATCCTGCAGCAGGTCTCCTGCTATCTTCCACTCTAACGGGAGTGGGGCCACACTTGCTGCCAGGCGGCCTGGCCAAGAATTAGATGCCCTGGCCGAACCCGCTGGGTGTGGGGCATTATGAGCCTCTTCTCTCTGGTACAGCATCCATGGGCATCGTTGGGCAGGGGCCAGGTTCCTCTACAGGTTCTTGGTGATGTACATGTGGGCACAGGCCCTGTTCACCACAAGAACCCAGAGTAGAGATGTTTGTGGTTTCTCATCTCAGCAGACAATGAATTTCAAACCCTGTCTTCACGTCCAGGTCTCTAGGGGAGGCAAAGGACGCCCAGAATCCTCTCATTGCTGTGGACAGTCAAGACCTCACCTAAAAGAATGATACTGACTTTTCCCACATGCTACTTGGGAAGGAAGGGAACAATCATGGTTTTTTGTTTAGTATTTTTTCAGATGTCTGTGACTATATACATATTTGTACCATTTGTCTTAAATTCCTTTTGGAACAAGACTGGGTTTAAATAAATAGCAAAATAATAATATATGCATATAGTTAGAATCATAGGCTACTTATATTTTAATCCTCCTTTCACGTAACATTGTAGCATAAGTGTTTCCCCACATTATTGTAGATTCCCAAGTCTCATTTTTAATAACTGTTATGTTTTTTCAAGGACGGTAATTTACCAAAGTTTTTTCCTGTAGTTGGTCACTTATTTCCAGTGTTCCTGGGTTGTAAATGTTTCAGGGAACATATGGACCAAATTATTAATCGTCAAAGCACTCACATTTCCTGTTTATACAGCCTTGTGCAACAGGGGTTGCAGAATGAGGAGCTGGCATCATCGCTGTCCTTGAGGAATTTGCTATTTATGGGGTGGAGAGAGAGGGTGATACATATTAAACAATGATGGGGCAATGCAACAGCACATATAAATACAGGGAAAGGTGGTGGTGCTAGAAAAGACTTTAAACATACAAATAAAAATATTTTAAATGGTAGTGCCAACCGTAAGTCAAAGCGCGCGTGTGTGTGTGTGTTCCAGAGAAAAAATGTGTGTGTGTATGTGTGTGTGTTTTCCAGAGAAAAATCGAGAGACATTGACTTGTCGTAAACGTTAGTAACAATAGAGCCACTGAAAAGACATTCCTGACCACACTTTGTGGCGTTGCGAGGAACTGGATCCAAGATGCGCTGTTTGTGTTAAGCTTCTGGCAGCCAGGAAGGCCTGGAAGAGACAGAGGAAGATCAGGTGTGGTCCCATGGAGAGAGAAGAGCCAGAGAAACCAAGGCTCTCTCTGCACCTGTGTCTGATCCCCTAAGAAGTTGTCTGACCCGGTGAAGATGGTGGAGGTGTTTATCAGCAGATACAGACTCGCTCCCCTCATGGGGTCCCCACAGTGCAGGAGCTGGTCCATATCTGCAAGCAGTGCTCCTGTTCCCAGATGCCGAGCGGGTTAATGCACACGATGCGGGACAGGTTGCCCTCCTGGCTGTTAAGTTCCACAGCTGTAGATGGAACACAACAGGCTGTGAAATGCCAATAAATCTGGAGTTGCCTCTCAATTTCACCAATAAAAATTAGCAAATTAAAATGGAAATGTCACCATAAACCCATAAAAATTCTTAAGTGCAGCCTGGAAAACTCTCTCAGGAGCAGAAATGGTTTTAGCCCATGCAAGACGCAGGGCAGATGTGCTGTCAGATGTTCCTCAGGACAGCCATCGCTCCCAGAGAGCTCAGCTCAGGGCTGATTAATCACAGGGCCGCTGTCTTTACATGTCAGCAAGCTAACACAACTGTGTAATCAAGCCTGCTTTATGGGGCCTGAAATATGTGGGCAGGGGACAGAAGTCATCACTCTAACAAGGCAGAGGGGAGAGGAAAGCACGCCAGCCACACCCCGATTTCTCCATGGCCAGCACCCTGGCTGCTGTGCAACCATTTGGCCAAATGAAGGGAGGATTGGGAAATTATGAGCAAATTGTGTAGCATCTGGCTTGCATTTCAGAGAGCTGGAACCAGGGAATGTCCGCATGGCACAGCAGACCTTAATCGTGGAAATCCACTCAACGGCCAACCAATGCTCTGCTCCTGAAGGCCAGTGATTTCCCCTCATGGTGGCCATGAGTCCCCCCACAAGAAAACCCAACCTGTGAAAACCCAAACTTCCTGAATCAATGAATGATGGAGAAATGATCTATGTTGCACAAAATGATTCTTTGTATCCATACAGATTGATATATTTGGCACTCCCTCTTCTGAGCAAAATGGAAGGACAGGGACCAGATTGATCCTCCAGCCGGAAGCAAACAAGTATCTCTATTCTTCAGAGATTTCCAGAGACACAGAACCAATATGATGCATATATCAATATATACTTATGTAGAAAGAGATTTATTATAAGGAATTGGCTCACGGGATTATGGAGGCCAAGTCCTAAGATCAGCAGAATGTGTCAACAAGGACCCAGGGGAGCCAATGTGTTGGTTCAAATTTTTTAAAGGGACCAAATAAAAGTGGCCAAGACATGTTTGGACATCAGGCAATGAAGATCAGTGACCCCCCTGAGAGATGGGAAACAAAAGAAGCAAGCCCCAAGATCGCCCCATCTGACCACCTCCCATTGCCTACTGTGGCACAGACGGAGCACAGAGGATGGCCTCAGCTAAGGAGGCTTAGCTGAGTCTTGGGAGACCAAGGCAGCAAGAGTTTGCAAGACTGGGGACCACGGAAGAGAGCTACATAGAGACAGAGAGGGCTCTGGAGATTTGCAGGTGGCCCCCTTGAGTATTCAGCTGAGAAGTGACTGGCACATGCTTGGGAGAAGATGACTCAAGTCTATAGAAAGACTCACCCAAGGATTAGAGAGAACAGAGCCCACTGGTGGGTATGCTGCCTGTTAACACCAACTAGACTGGAAAACCTCATGATTTGTGGGACTTTGAGTCGACTACCCAGAAGAGTCTTGCTTCAATCATGGGGAATAATCAGTCCTGGACTGAGTGCCATCAACAACTTCAGCTTCCACCTTAAGAAACTAGAAAAAGAAGAGAAATCGAAACCCAAGGTAAATAGAAGAGAGGAAATTATAAGGATCAGAGCAGAAATCAGTAACACAGGAGAAAAGTGGGGAAAAAATCAATGAAATCCAAAGTTGGTCTTTGAGAAAACCAATTAAATTGATCAACCCAATCTGAATAGCCAGACTTATCAGAATAGAAAACAGAAAATACACAAGTTACCAAAATCAGGAATGAGACAGATTCTACAGATGAGTGAGTTTAGCAAGGCTGCATAACACAAGATCAATAGACAAAATTTAATTGTACAAACAAAAAAAATGAACAAACAATACACAATTGTGTGTCCCAACACAATTGTAACAACAAACAATTGGAAACTGAAATTTAAAAAATAAAACCATATATAATAGCATCAAAAATAAAATATTTAAAGATAAATATTATAAAAATGAATATTTAGGGATAAATCTAATAAAAGATGTGAAATATCTGTACACTGAAAACTACAAAACATTGCTAAGAGAAATTAAAGAAGACTTCAATAAATGGAAATATATACTGTGTCCACGGATGACAAGATGCATTATAGTTAAGATGACAGGTCAGGTGTGGTGGCTCACACCTGTAATCCCAGAACTTTGGGAGGCCAAGGTGGGTGGATCACTTTAGGTCAGGAGTTCAAGACCAGCCTGGCCAACATGGTGAAACCCCGTCTCTACTAAAACAATGCAAAAATTAGTCAGGCATGGTGGCACATGCCTGTAATCCTAGCTACTCGGGAGGCCGAGGCACAGGAATCACTTGAACCCAGGAGGTGGAGGTTCCAGTGAGCCAAGATTGCACCACTGCACTCCAGCCTGGGCAACAGAGTGAGACTCTGTCTCAAAAAAAAAAAAAAAAAAGGTGACAGCTTTCCCCAGGGGTTCTATAGATTCAAGGCAATCCCATTCAAAATGACAGCAAGCTTTTTATGTAGAAATTGACAAACTGATTCTAAAATTCATATGGAAATGCATGCTAAGGACCAAAATAGCCAAAACCGTGTTGAGAAAGAACTAGCTGATGTCAAGACTTATTGTAAAGCTATGGCAATCTTGACAGTATAGCACTGATATCAGCATCAATAAATGATCAATGGAATAAAAGAGAGTTCAGAAATAGACCCACACATATATGGATAACTTGTGGGCTTTTTTTTTACAAAGGTGCAAAGACAATTTAATAGATAAAGGATAATCTTTTCAACAAATGATACTGAAATGATTGCTTACCCACATGCAAGACAAAATAACCTTCAATCCATACCTTGCACAGCCTATAAAAATTAACTCAAAATAGGTCTCAGTTCTAAATATAAAACCTAAAAGCATAAAACCATAAAATTCCTAGCAAGAAGGCTTTGTGACCTTAAGGTGGGCAAATATTTTTTGATTTGACACCAAAATCACAATTCATAAAGAAACAAATTGATAAATTGGATTTCACCAAAATGTAAAGCTTCTGTTCTTTGAAAGATGCTGTGAATAAAATGAAAAGACGAGCTGCAGTCTAAGAAATTACAGTTGCAATGTGTCAAAGACCTCGTTAGATAGGTCAGATATTAGACACAGGCCTTGTCTCCAGAATATATAAGAAGAATATACTTTCAAAAATAAATGACCCGACTTTTTAAAACTGGAACAATATTTGAAGTGATACTTCACCAAAAAAGATGTCCCAATGGCAAATAAGCACATGAAAAGATGCTGGAGCATCATTAGTCACTAGAGAAATGCAAATTAAAACCACAAGGAGATCCTACTACACATTGATTGGAATGTCTGAAATTGAAAAGATTGATCATAGCAAGCATTTGTGCATATGTAGAGGTACTAGAACTCTCATACGGCACTGGTAGAAATATAAAATGGCACCACTGCTTGGGAAAAAGGTTTAGAGATTCTTAAAAAGTTAACTCTACACCTACCATACGATTTAGCCATTCCACACCCACATACTTACATTTACCCAAGAGGAAATAAGTCTTAGGTGCACATGAAGACTTGTGTACAAATATTCCTAACAGCTTTATTTATATTGGTCACAAATTGGAAACGATCAGAATGCCCATCGTCAGGTGAAGTGATAATAAATCCTGGCATATCTGGAATACTACTCAGTAATAAAAATTGAACTACCGATACATGCCGCAACATGAATGAATGTCAGAATAATTAAGTTTAATGAAAGAAGCAAGACCTACCCCCAATAAAAGAGTGCGTCCTGTATGATTCCAGTTCTATAAAATTCTACAAAATACTAACTAATCCATAGTGACTGAAAGCAGATCAGTGGTGGTGCCCAGGAAGAGTGAGGGAAGGGAATGTGGGAGGGGCTACAAATGACCAGGAGGAAGTTTGCAGGGATGACAAACATGTTCATTATTATTATCATTGCAGTAGTGTATTTGTTCACAAGGGCTGCCACAACAAAGTACCTCAGACTGAATGGCTTCGACAACACAGATTTATTTTCTCTGTCTTGAAGGCTAGAAGCTCAGAATCAAAGTGTCAGCAGGGTTGGTTCCTTCCGAGGCCTCTCTTTCTGGTGTATAGGTGGTTGTCTTCTCCCATGCCTTCTCATCTTCCCTCTGTGTGTGTCTGTGCCCTAATCTCCTCTTCTATGAGAACATCAGTCATATGGGAAAAGAGGTCTACCCAATAACCTCATTTTAACTTACTTGCCTCTTTAAAGACCGTATCTCCAAATACAGTCACACTCTCAGGTACTAAGAGAGTACCTGAGACTCTCTTTTTGTCTCAACAGATGTCCAGGTGGGAGGACACAGTTCAGCCGTTGTACACCTTGAATATGTGTAGTTTATTCTATGCTAATTACACCTCAATAAAGCTTTTTTTAAATTAAAAAAAGATTACTTTCTAATTGTTTTATTGTGTTTGTTTAATAAGGAACTCTTTCATTGCATGGGATTTGGTTCATCAAAGTATGGTTTGAACATAGTTGTTAAGGAATGAAATTGCTTCATATAAAAGCCTGTCTGTATCTTTTCCCCATTTCTTTGTAACTTCTCATGCTTTGTTGTACTATCTTAACCCTTGGAGACTGAACGGCGTTCTGTTGCATATAGAAGACGAGGATGGTCAGAACTCTCTGTGGTCCTGAAAAAGAAGAGATGGAGGAGGAAGGAAGCTGTTTCTGCACTCAACTTGGGCTAGCAGGGCTGTCTCTTGCTAAGGCCTCAGCTTTGCTTCTCAGATGCCATGGTAGCTAAACAATCTCCCTGAGAGTCTTCACTGGCCCAAATCAAGGATGTATAACTCCCCTGCTAGTGATTTATGATTCCTAGAAAGGAGAGCTAAGCTCACCATCATCCTTAATTGTTTTCTAAAAATGCCCACCTTCAATCTGTCTACAAATGTCCAGAGGTGCCTGACATCACAATCATTTTCAAGAAGACTGGAAAAGGTGTTTTGCAGAGTTTGCCTCTTCTATCAGTCCTTCCCTGAAGAAGTCTCTGCTTTCTAGTTTGCCTCAGGAAACACAGGGCATTTAAGGACCTCCTTTCAGGTGGTGCTAGGTCTCAGAAAAATGAGTGGGCCTGGGGAAGAAGGGCACCATCAAATTCAGATGGGTAAGTCAACAAGGACAGCCCTTTCTGCAGCAGCCCCTACCCTGTGGCTCCATCTCATTATGTTGTTCATTTCCTGCGTGACATGTAGCAAAATATGCCAGTGTCACGTGCTGGAATCTAAGCCCTATAAAAACAGGGACCTTGTTTTTCTCATCTGTTGGTGTATCCCAAATACCTAGCAAAACCTGACATATGGCAGACACTCCATAAATGTTTGTTAAATGAGTAAATTGGGCTGTAAACTCTTATGGGAAGCCCTGAACCACTGGTATGCTGCAGCCTGGACAGAGTCCATTTGTTGTTTCCCCTTTACTTATAGCAGGAGGCTTAAAATTTGCTTTAGAAGATGCCTGGGATGTCCAGGGGTGGATACATGGGCCCTTGACCCATAACTCATTTCTCCCTGTTTCATAGATGGCGGTTCCATGAAATTTTTTGTCTCAAAGAAGGTATATCACTATTTTTGAAATATCTACAACCCACCAATCTGAACTTGAGAAAGAAATCATACCCTTTTAGATTGTATTTACTTGCAAAGCTAAAGTGACGGCAACCTTCAAGATGGTATTCTCTTCAAGATACTCACAAATGCAGTCTAAAAACATTCTCAGTATTACTCCACGTTAAGGAAGTTTTACAAATCAATGGATTTCTTGACTCTAGAGTCTGAGGTAGGAGGTTGGACAAGACAGTCTCCAAGTTCTTAAATTTGTTTGTTTGTTTTTCTTATTTCATGGGAACCTCAGTCACCTCCTCTGCTTTCATCAAAGGCTGTGTGAGACAATTATAATGCTGCCCAGATATAAAGCAAATGAGAACAAAAGAGGTGGCAGAGGCAGCTGAAAGGAAACGTGGCTGCCTGCAGAGAATGGGATGGGTGGAAGTTGGCAGTGATGACAAGGTAGGTGCATGGTGCTAGAGAGCCAGGAATCCATGAATACAGAGAACAGGGAGAGACAGCTGGCTTCATGTTCCAAAAGCAAGTGGCTCCTTGTTTTCCCATGCTTCTCCTCTGTAATGAGCAATTTGAAATTTTCCCAAGAGCCCGTTTCATCTCGTAACAGCTCAGATCATGTCTCCTTTCTGGTTAATAAAATCCAAGGCTACTGCACGATGTGGCATCTTTCATGGGACACACTACTCATCCAATATCTCTGTGATGATGGAGTGGAGCTGGGCTACGCTTCTCTCTCTCCCACTCAGTCCTGCTGCAGGGCGGTACATGTTTGTGGGACAAGATGCCCCCAACACAATACACAGGACAAGATTCTAGCATTGGCTCCTGGACCCTCTAAACATTTGAAAAGTAGAATATTTGGTGCTGAAAATTGGGCATGAGCAGCCCTCTGAGATGGGCCAAGTCCCCACCATAAAGGCAAGGGTTGTTGTGTCCAGATGGGAGCTTAATCTCTGCAAATATAAGATCTAGTCTTCCAGTAGAGAATGACTGGCTGACTGCTGAGTTTTATCCCCCACGAGCATTATTCTTTGTAGTCCCAGTAAAATGAGAGAGGCCAGTAATTACCAGCAGGCAGAGTGGCACATGCAAGATTCCTGTTGGGAAAATGCTGAAAGGCTGCCCTTGAAAACCCTCCCTGAAGAGCTATTCTGGTGCCAACCCTCCTAAGACCTCAGATCTTTCAACACAACTTGAGTACTATTTGATCTCATCCCCTCCACCGCATCCCAGACCCATCTGCATGAGTCCTGCCTAGGCTGACCCAGCCTCTACTGGGACAGGCCTTGTTGGGTGGCCTATTCCTACTTTGAACTGTTCAGACTTTGAGAAATCCCTTCCTTTTGACAGATGGAGGTCTACTTCTCTGAAACCTCTAAGGTCACACATAGAAATGGTTTATTTCCTGTCTGTAAAAATATACACCCAACATTCAAACAATCCTACTCTTCTGTTGCAAGATAAACATGTCTTGCTGCTTCATCCCTTTTTAGAACCTAATCAGCTTTATAAATGACGTAGTTAAATGTGGTATTAAACACTCAACAGGTCACAAGTATGTCTGACCCATATGAAATACAGTGAGACCACACACTCCCAGGTTCTGGATGCTCCAATTCAAGTGCTTTCTGGCCTGTCATTTCCAGAATCTGTTTTTTTCTCTGATTTGAAATTGAAATATTCTCTCTCTCTCTCTGTTTTTTTCTAAGTTCTGGGGTACATGTGCAGGTTTGTTACATAGGTAAATGTGTGCCATGGTGGTTTGCTGCACCTATCAACCCGTCACTTAGGTATAAAGCTCAGCATGCGTTAGCTATTTTTCCAAATTCTCTCCCTTCTCCAGTCCCTCAACAGGGTCCAGTGTGAGTTGTTCCCCTCCCTGCGTCCATGTGTTCTCATTGTTCAGCTCCCACTTATAAGTGAGAACAGGCACCGTTTGGTTTTCTGTTCCTGCATTAGTTTGCTGAGGATAATGGCTTCCAGCTTCATTCATATCCCTGCAAAAGACATGATGTCATTCCTTTTTATGGCTGCATAGAATCCCATGGGGTATATGTACCACATTTTCTTTATCCAGTCTGTCATTGATGGGCATTTGTGTTGATTCCATGTCTTTGCTATTGTGAATAGTGCTGCAATGAACATATGAGTGAATGTATTTTTATAATAGAATGATTTATATTCCTTTGGGTATATACCCAGTAATAGGACTGGTAGGTCAAGTGGTATTTCTGGTTCTAGATCTTTGAGGAATTGCCACACTGTATTCCACAATGTTTGAAACCCAAAACTATAAAAACTCTGGAAGAAAATCTAGGCAATACCATTCAGGACATAGGCACAGGTAAAGATTTCATGACGAAATTGCCAAAAGCAATTGCAACAAAAGCAAAAATTGACAAACAGGATCTAATTAAACTAGAGAGCTTCTGCACAGCAAAAAAAAAAAAAAAAAAAATCAGAGTGAATAGGCAACCTACAGAGTGGGAGAAAACTTTTGCAATCTATCCATCTGAAAAAGGTCTAATATCCAGAGTCTACAAGAAACATACACAAATTTACAAGAAAAAAACAAACAACCCCATTAAAAAGTGGGCAAAGGACATGAGCAGACACTTCTCAAAATAAGACATTCATGCAGCCAACAAACATATGGAAAAAAGCTCAATATCACTGATCATTAGAGAAATGCAAATGCAAATCAAAACCACAATGAGATACCATCTCATGCCAGTCAGAATGGCGGTTATTTAAAAAGTCAAGAAACAACAGATGCTGGTGAGTTTGTGAAGAAACAGGAATGCTTCTACATTGTTGGTGGGAATGTAAGTTAGTTCAACCACTATGAAACATTTTCTTATCTCTATTTTTCTGGAACCTCTATTATTCCATGATTCCTCAGATCTCGAGTGCTGTCTATAATTAAACTGCAGCCTCTGTGCTCTAATGTGACTGGCTGAGAACTCAGAGGCATAAATTGACCCAAGCAAAGCACTCAGGTGTTCTTTCTCCTGCTTAAGTCAAAGCATCATACACAGGTTCCTTTTACTTTCAAATGAAATTCATCAGGACAAACTTTCTACTCACCCATTTCACTGATGATAAAAGCAGGTCACAGCATCATAGCAATTCCCAAAGGCCCGAGGCCAGTTGGTAATGGACTCTTTATCATAACCCAAACCTTCAAGCTCCCAGCACTGAGCCTCATCACTAGGAAGAATGATCCTTCACCATTCAGAAATACCCCTCCCATGGGGGCTGCTGCAGACACAGAAGGCAGCTGTCAATCATGATCACTATCCTTGGTGGGGAGGGTGAATGATGTGGCCCCAATAAGGGAACATTTGGAGATTGCAGGTAAGGACTGAGCCTGGGGTGAAAAGGGGGCTTCTGCTCTCTGAACTCTCCCAGGCCTCCCGGCTCTGCCCCAGGGGTCAGGAAATATCACTCCTCGGGACACAGGGAGAATATTGTCTCTGGATAATACAGTTCTAAAAGACAGCCCCTAGTTGGTCCCTCCCTGTGCCAGCACTGGGGCAGCAGCCTCTGAAAACAAATGAGTCATACCATGCAGGCTGCAATGGGGCCCGAAGGTGACAGGAACCAGGACTTTCCAGTGACTTTTATGTCCCCTTTCAGAATGGCTGTAAAGAAAACAAGACATAAAATGCCTCCCCTGTATAATTTGCTGGTTTATAGGTGGTTTCGTCACTTTTTAAATGGCTACCCAAGGTGCTCTTTACAGTCCCCTTATGACTGGTAATGAAAGCTCCAGGAAGAGCCCAGAGAGCCCAGGAAATAAGGAGGTTCCCACTCCCTGCTGCCCTGTGGCCAGGCGGCGGTGAGGGGCTGCAGGGTGGGCCCCGTCCTCAGGGCATGCAGTTCTGCTCACCCTGCATGCTGCCTGCAGTTCTGCTCACCCTGCATGCTGCCTGCAGTTCTGCTCACCCTGCATGCTGCCTGCAGCTTCTAATATACGGTCCTAGGGTTCAATCCGTTCCCATCCCACAAACCCCCAAAGGAAAGACAAATGAAGCACCCTCAAAGGTGAATTTAGACCTGAAAGGCTGTACACGTGTGAAGATGCACATCTATAAATACAGCAAGGCGGATAAAGAGATGGTGGTGGAGGCGGCACACACTCCATCCTGTGTCACCTTGGCTTCCTCCTCCTTCCTGACGCTCCGTGATGTGCCTCTTAGCACCTACACGAAGGCACCATCGTTTTGCTGATTTGGTGCTTGCGTAGTTATTTTTTATATATATAAATAGGGATGGAAATCATTGAAAAATTTTACTAGTAAGTAATTTAAATATTTAGGCCACTGGCAAGGATTTGTCATTATTTTTATGTTTATATTCATTTATTACTATATTAAATTTAACTTATTTTAATAGCAATTAAATTCAATTAATACTAATGTCTTGTGTCCCCAGATATATTAAATGGTAAACTATTAAATTACTTTTACATTTGAAAAAAGGGTCGGCTCATGGGAAGTTGCCAAAATAGCAGAGAGGTTCCAAGTCCCCTTCCCCCAGCTTTTCCAGCGGTTTCACTGTTGATCATTATAATCCAAAGCTCAGCACAGGAAACTAACACAGGTGCCATCTGCAGACCCTTACGAAGATCTCACCATTTTCTCCATACACTCTTGTGTGTGCATGTGTGTCTATGTGCACATGTGCACACATGCATATGTGTGTGCAGGTGTGTGTCTGTGTCTGTGTGCATGTGTGTGTCTGTATGTGCTTGTGCACACATGTCTATGTATCTGTAGTCATGTGTGTACATGTGTGTCTGTGTCTCTGTGTTTGCATGTGTATGTCTGTGTGTACTTGTGTGCAGATGTCTATGTGTATATCTGTATTCATGTGTGTACATGTGGGTCTGTATTTGTTTCTGTGTTTGCATGTGTGTGTCTGTGTGTGCTTGTGTGCAGATGTCTATGTGTATATCTGTATTCATGTGTGTACATGTGGGTCTGTATTTGTTTCTGTGTTTGCATGTGTGTGTCTGTGTGTGCTTGTGTGCAGATGTCTATGTGTATATCTGTATTCATGTGTGTACATGTGAGTCTTTATTTGTTTCTGTGTTTGCATGTGTGTGTCTGTGTGTGCTTGTGTGCAGCTATGTGTATATCTGTATTCATTTGTGTACCAGTGTGTCTGTATGTGTCTCTGTGTGTGCATGTGTGTGCATGTGTGTGCATGTGTGTGCCTGTATGTGCTTGCGTGCACATGTCTATGTGTATATTTATTCATGTGTGTGGACATGTGTGTCTATGTGTGTGTACGTCTCTGTGTCTGTGTACACATGTGTATATCTGTGTCAGCATGTCTGTGTATATGTGCTTATGTGTCTATGTGTATTTGTGTGTATGCACACACATGCATATCTCTGTGTTTGTACATGTGTGCCTCTATGTGTATCTCTGTGTGTGTATATGTGTGTGTGTGCATGTTTTTATCTATGTGTGTATGTCTGAATGTGTATGTGTCCGTCTTTACATATGTGTCTCTTTGTGTCTACGTGTGTCTCTGTGTGTACATGCATGTACCTGCATGTGTCTCCATGCATGTTCACATGTGTCTGTGTGTTCATGTTTGTATTTCTATACAATTTCATCATATGTGTAGACTGCTAGAACTGTCCCAGTGCAGCTACAGATGGTTTCATCACTCTAAGACTCCTCCTGAGACATCTGGCTGTACTTTGTGTGTTTGTTCACTCAGATGCCCTTGAGGACCCGCTCACCTGCCTACTCATACCACATGGCCAGCACTCATGTGGCGCTTCCGCAGGGCAGGGCCCACCATGTTTGTTGAATGAATGATCCTCTACTTAGACATGGACAATCTGAAGGTAACACTGTGAATGACAAGCCAGGTTCCTCCCAAGGCTGGTGCGTAGTGTGAGGCAAGGTGAGGGTGGATACTGGACTCCCTGACCTCAGAGCAGCCCCCCAAGGCCCATCCACTCCACCTCATCCCACCCCCATACAGGATACGACAAGAGGGACATTTCATGATTGGGGGACAATTTCCTAGGGCCAACTAACTCTCAGGTACAGAACATTACGATGACTTCCAAGTAACCCATCCCTCTGGGGGCCTCTGGGCTTCCGAAGAGTGATGAGGAGGAAGAAGTGCAGAGCCCTGCAGACAGCCTGTGCTCTGTTCCTAATAACTGCCCATCTCCACATTCCCAATCAAGCAGCCCCTGGGGAATGTCTTCAGAGCTGCTCTAGGTGGGGGTCCCATCAAAGCAGCACCACTTGGACCATAGTGTTGGAACCCCCAGACAAACATCACCCCTCCGGGCCTTTACCCAGGTCATCTGTAAGGGGACATAGCCCTCTTATCAGGGTCCTGGACCAGAATCCCTAGACATGGCCTGACCCTCTCAGTTCCGTTCCCCCCCTTTTCCTCCTTCTCCAGCCTGCCTACTACCCTGATTCCTGTCCCACTATGGCCTGGGCTTTCTCCAGCACCCAGAGACTGGGGTACATGGCTTTTCCCTGTGGCTCTCAAACCAGTTGATGGTTTTCAGATCTCCGTGGCCATCGTGTCCATGGCAACAGCAGCTTTCAGCTCTCCCACCTCAGTGGTTCTTTCTGATAATGGTTTCCAAAAGGTACAAAGACCACTGGCCTTTTCTGGGCCTCAAATGCCCCCTGAGATCCCAGCTGGGCCAGGCAAGCAGAGGCTACCCTTAGAGACACCATCCAGCCCGGGACCCTAAAATGCACCAAAGCTTGCCAGAAAAAAACGCCAGTCTCCAGGGTGAGGCAGTGCAGTGGGGGCTCCATCAGTGGGCAGGGGCTGGCTATTGGGATTTCCTCACTCCTGGTGGGAGGGAACAGATCTGGTCCTGATGGTCATTTCTAGGGTGGCCTCTTTGACTCTAGCTGCAGATGCCAGAGCTGAGAAAGAGCTAGACCCAAAGTGCCAAAAACATCAGTGAGGGTTCCCCTAAGTTCCACCCCTAGAGGAGGTCAGGGGCGATCTCTGATCTGCAGCCCACAGCTCTCTGCCCAGCCCCGACAATGGCACCTGACACCTGAAGCTTCGTGAGTGCTGAGACCACGTTCTGTTTGTGTTTGCACTCTTGTCACCCAGCCCCTCGTCGGATATTCACAACATTCAGAAAACTAGTTGTTGAATGGATGAAAGCATTAATGAGTCAACCAATTAGTGAATGAATTCACAGAACATTGGGACTAAAATGACCCCTGTGGATATTAAGTGGACATTGAGGCTGTCCCCCTACCCTCCACATCTCCCCTCCCCCGGACCCTTCACAAGAATTCCCAAGAACTTGATCTTCGCTATGTGGGAATCTCCAATCTCTGCAGGAGGGATTTGCTGCCTTCCTGTGACACTCACTCCATCCCGGGGACACTAAGCATTATAAAGCTATTCTTTATGCTAAGCCCAATCTAACGCATTCAGACTCAAAGCCACTGAAGTTCAGGGAAGACATAATTGTGTCGTTTGATTTGTTCACCAAAGAGCAGGTCAGATGGAAAGGTTACTGTCCTCTTAAAAATATTCTGACAACAAATTTTTTAAAATTTTAATGTTATCATTTTGCCTTTTTGGAGAAAGGGTTTCTATTTATCAGCGATGATTAAACACTTCTGAAATCTGGAATTACTGACTTTGACCTTTTCTTTATCGGCAGGTAATAAAACGAATGGGCAGATGACAGAAATGTAATTTGAGGATTACAAAATTTATGAGGAGGCAGCACATTGGGGAGGAAAGTGACTATGATTTGAGTGCTAGCAAGGGATGTGGAGAAAGGGAAGATTTAACCAAAATTGTTTCCTTGGACTCTCAGCTTTAGAAATGAAGATGTCAGTGTTTGTGCCCCATCCACTGCCCGGCGCAGTAAAGAAGAGCTCACTGGATGTTTGTGAATAAGGAAGGGGAGAGGGGAATGACCCCATTGTAGGGCAACAATGGAGAATAAATGAGATGATCCCCATAAAACATTGAGTTCAGACCCGACATGGATCCAGCATTCAGCAAATATTGGCTATTATTATTTTTATCACACCATCTCGTGAGTCTCATCATCTCATGAAATAGTGCATGAGAACAGGAATACTGTATGTAAACCATATGTGTGGTGCTGCTTCACATTCATCCTTTTGGTTCAAAACTGCAGATCCCTGATGCGAAGCTGGGCCCCTCTCTTATTCCTAATTTTGCATCCATCAGTGTTGTGGGTTACGTTGGGTCCCCCAAATGATGCGTTCAAGTCCTGACTCCTGGTAGCTGTGAATCTAATCTTATTAAGAAATAGGGCCCTGACAAATGTAATCAAATGAAGATGAGGTCACATTACAGTGGGGTGGGCCATAATCCAATGACTGTGGTCCTTATAAGAAAAGAAAAATTTGGACATAGGCGTAGAGACACGGAGGGGAGAAAGCCATGCAGAGAAAGCAGCAGAGATTGGAGAGATGTGGCCACAAGCCAAGGTATGCCAGGGGCTGCCAGCAGATGGCAGAAGTGGCAGAGGCAAGAAAGGATCTTCTCCTGGAGCAGCAGTCCTCAATCTTTTGGGCACTAGGGACTGGTTTTGAGAAAGACAGTTTTTCCACAGAGAGGTGAGGAGGGGTTGATTTTGAGATGATTCAAGCACATTACATTTATTGTGCACTTTATTTCTATTATTCTTACTTTCTAATACATAATGAAGTAATTCTATAACTCAGCATAGTGTACAATCAGTGGGAGCCTTGAGTTTGCTTTCCTGCAACTAGACAGTCCCATCTGGGGCTGATGGGAGACAGTGACAGATCATCAGGCATTACATTCTCATAAAGAGAGGTGTAACCTAGATCCCTCATATGCACACTTCACAGTAGGGTTCTTGCTCCTATAAGAATCTAATGCCACTGCTGATCTGACAGGAGGTAGAGCTCAGGCTGGTAATGTGAGCCATGGGGAGCAGCTGTAAATAAGATGAAACTTTGCTTGCTCACCCACTACTCCCCTCCTGCTGCGCAGCCCAGTTCCTAACAGCCCATGGACTGATGATACCTGTCCATGGCCTAGGGGTTGGGGACCGCTGCCCTAGAGCCTGCAGAAGCAGCACAGCTGTGCAGATACTCTGATTTTTGACTTCTGGCCTCCAGAACTGTGAGACAATAATTTCTGCTGTTTTAAGCCCCCCAGTTTATGGTTATTTGTTAGGACAGCCCTAAGAAATGAATACAACAGGTGCATTTGGCCCACAGGTATTGGTGTTTCCTATGTTCAGGTGCTCCGGTAAGCAGGACGCATACAGTCCCTGCCCTTGTGCTCATGTGTTGCCATGTGCCAGGCATACAGGGTCTCCCGATGGACACAAGAGACAAGGCCTCAGACATCACAGACCCCACAGCAGAGGGCAGGAAACCAGCACAAATACCCACGTGATTTGGGAAAAGTCCTGCCAGTAAGAAGCACAGCTGAGCTGTGATTGTGTCAGAGGCCGTGACTTAGAGGGGGATTCCATTAAGGAAACAGACCTGACTCTCAGCTGATGGAAGATGGGTGGGGCACATGGAGTTTATTCAGCTTGGTCAATAGGAAGATCTTGTGTTATGGGAAAGTCCATTTTTTTATTCCTTATAGTAAATTAGGGAAAGTAAGGCTCAACAAAGTCCCGTTAGCTTGTACAGAAACAAAAGATAGCGGGATTTTCCCCAGGGGCCTGGCACCAGGAGAGGGTCTCTCAGGAGGATGCTCCACACAGGTAATGAGGCGTTTATGTTTTCCAAAGCTGTAAACAACTTTGAGAAATACTGTTCACTTACGGCTGCAGTTGGAGCTGCATGGAAGGAGGCTGGCAACAGGGTGAGTGCTGTCCTTGTCCATTCTTAGAGAAACCAGGAGCCCTGAGAACCTGTGTCCAGCACAAAATGACTGACAGCTGGTCTCTCCAATCAGAAGATGGCTTCCCCACCCCCAGCACCTCCTGGGTCTCAGGGCGATTTCAGAGATGAACCTTTCTACCTTCTACCAGGTGGGTGGGTCAATGTGAAAGGGGCAACAGTTTTTAATTTGTAGGGTGAAGGTCAATATTAAAAACATGTTTTGCTGGCCATGCAAGGCTCTCCAAATATTATCTAACTTCGGGACCTGATCAGAGAAATGCCAGAAAGTCACCACTACTCTTGTGGAAAGCAGAAGAAGGAGGCTACCAGAGCGGGGACTATAGGAGCACTGACTTCGGGCCACCCTCTCCTGCAGCAGCTCTTCTGGAACACAAGCCTGGGAGCCTTGGCTGCACTGTCCTTGGTGAGCTGGGAAGTCCTGCTCCACGGGCCCCATCTGCTTTCTGGGTGAGCTTCTCATCACTGTTGTCACAGGATTCATAAAGCACACAGCTCAAAGGTTTCCAATGTGTAACACAATTTCTCCAGGCTCATTTAAATATTTCAAATCAGAAGGAGTTGGCTGTTACATTTCACCTCCCAAAGCTTAGTGAAACACATGGCCAGGCTCGTGACCATGCTGTCTTTGGCTACAGTGGCTCTGTTTCCAAGCAGATTTCTCTTATTCTTAGCCAGGAACCAGTGTCTCATGGCTTCAGGGCAGTAGACTCTGCTCCCAAGACCAGCCCAGGCAGGGGTCTCAGGTCATGGGGAAGTTGTGTGACCCTCAATCAGGACGGGGAGGGGAGGTAGGGACAAGATGGCATTGCTCAGGGGCGTACATGATTGACTCTACAGAGTGTTTGAGCACCTACTATGTGCTGGGCATGCCTTTGGGTGCTGCAGATGGAACAGTGAACAAAGCAAAGCCAGCCAGGCACAGTGGCTCATGCCTGTAATCCCAATACTTTGGGAGGCCGAGGCTGGCGGATCACTTGAGGCCAGGAGTTTGAGACCAGCCTGGTCAACATGGAGAAACCTCGTCTCTACTAAAAATTAGCCGGCATGGTGGCATGCACCTGTAATCCCAGCTACTTGGGAGGCTGAGGCACAAGAATCACTTGAACCTGGGAGGCAGAGGTTGCAGTGAGCTAAGATTGTGCCACTGCATTCCAGCCTGGGAGACAGAACAAGAGACTCTGGTTCAAAAACGAAAAGAAAAGTCCCTGTCCTCATGAAGCTTACCCTGGAGGATCAGTATCCTTGACATGGGAGCCATTTTAAATTAATGTAAAGGAAATCAATCTATATTACCCACCACAGAGCAGAAGGCATACCACATGATTTCTGCTGCTAAGACTAATGAGGGGTGAGCTTCAACCTCAAAAGCATTTCAAAATATTTGGAATGAGGGAGGGAATTATCTTTCTGTTTCTCACAAAGAAGCATGGATGGGTGTGTTGCTCTTATTGTCTACTTTGAATGGGCCATGCATGCATAAGGGACACGTGGCAATGGAACTGAAGGGAAATATGAAGAGGGAGCTCCTTGTGTGTTATTCTAGAGACAGACTGTGCCTCTGTAAGCCTGTATGCCTATGTGTGTGTCCCTCTTTAACACAAAAGGGGCCTGCCACAGGACACAGCATCTGTGAAGACTGTACTGGATCCATGTGTCTGGAGCTGCCTGTCTTTGCAGGCGGCAGAGTGAACCACCACAAGAATGTCAGGTAATGGATGGATCCAGCCCTCTTGTATTCATCCGTTCTCACACTGCTATAAAGAAATGCTTCCTGTGACCAGGCGCGGTGGCTCATGCCTGTAATCCCAGCAATTTGGGAGGCCAAGGAGGGCAGATCTCCTGAGGTCAGGAGTTCGAGACCAGCCTGGTAAACATGGGGAAACCCCGTCTCTACTGAAAATACAAAAATTAGCTGGGCGTGGTGGCCCAGCTACTCAGGAGGCCGAGGCAAGAGAATCACTAGAACCCAGGAGGCGGAGGTTGCAGTGAGCCGAGATCACTCCACTGCACTCCAGCCTTGAGGACAGAGCAAGACTCCATCTCAAAATAAATAAATAAATAATAAAAGAAATGCCTCCTGAGACTGGGTCATTTATAAAGAAAAGAGGTTTAATTGGCTCACAGTTCCACAGGCTGTACAGGAAGCATGGCTGGGGAGGCCTCAAGAAACTGTCAATCATGGCGGAAGGCAAAGGGGAAGCAGACAGGTCTCACATGGCTGAAGCAGGAGGAAGACGGGGCAAGGAGGTGCTGCACACTTGTAAACCACCATCTCTCATGAGAACTCTACCACAACACGTCACTAGGGGGAGATTAAACCATCAGAAACTGCCCCCATGATCCGATCACCTCCCACCATGCCACTTATCCAACATTGGGGATTACAATTCCACATGAGATTGGGTGGGGACTCAGATGCAAACCATATCACTGCCACTGGTGGACATTTGGATCTTTCTATGTTCTGCTACCCTGAGCGATGCTCCCGCAGGTGCTCCAGCAGGTGTGCCTGTCTCTGTGAGCACGCACAAATCATCTGTATGATCAGCTGCTAGATGCAGACTTGCTTAAACAAAGGGTGTGTGCATTCTTACATTTGGACAGATCTCAGAAAATTGTCCTCCCCCCCAAAAAAGTTATTCCAATTTACATTCCCACCAGAAGAAGAATTATTTTCTTACTGTCTTTGTCAATCTGATGGATCGAAAAAGTGCTCATCACAGAGGCCTCAGAAATAACGCCACACATCTACAACCATCTGATCTTTGACAAACCTGACAAAAACAAGCAATGGGGAGAGGATTCCCTATTTAATAAGTGGTGATGGGAAAACTGGCTAGCCATATGCAGAAAGCTGAAACTGGATCCCTTCCTTATACCTTATACAAAAATTAACTCAGGATGGATTAAAGACTTAAACGTAAGACGTAAAACCATAAAAACCCTAGAAGAAAACCTAGGCATTACCATTCAGGCCGTTGGCATGAGCAAAGACTTCATGACTAAAATATCAAAAGCAATGGCAACGAAAGCCAAAATAGACAATTGGGATCTGATTAAACTAAAGAGCTTCTGTACAGCAAAAGAAACTATCATTAGAGTGAACAGGCAATCTACAGAATGGGAGAAAAATTTTGCAATCTAGCCATCTGACAAAGAGCTAATATCCAGAATCTACAAAGAACTTAAACAGATTTACAGGAAAAAAAACAAAAAACCCCATCAAAAACTGGGCGAAGGATATAAGGAAGCCAAAGGAAGACATTTATGCAGCCAACAAACATGAAAAAAAGCTCATCATCACTGGTCATCAGAGAAATGCAAATCAAAACCACAATGAGATACCATCTCACACCAGTTAGAATGGCGATCATTAAAAAGCCAGGAAACAACAGATGCTGGAGAGGATGTGGAGAAATAGGAACACTTTTACACTGCTGGTGGGAGCGTAAATTAGTTCAACCATTGTGGGAAACAGTGTGGCGATTCCTCAAGGATCTAGAACTAGAAATACCATTTGACCCAGCCATCCCGTTACTGGGTATATACCCAAAGGATTATAAATCATTCTACTATAAAGACAAATGCACATCTATGTTTATTGAGGCACTGTTCACAATAGCAAAGACTTGGAACCAACCCAAATGCCCATCAATGATAGACTCAATTAAGAAAATGTGGCACATATACACCATGGAATACCATGCAGCCATTGAAAAAAAAGGATGAGTTCATGTCCTCTGCAAGGACATGGATGATGCTAGAAACCGTCATCCTCAGCAAACTAACACAAGAACAGAAAAACAAACACTGCATGTTCTCACTCATAAGTGGGAGTTGAACAATGAGAACACATGGACACAGGGAGGGGAACATCACACACCGGGGCCCATCGAGTGTGGGGGGCTAGGGGAGGGATAGCATTAGGAGAAATACTTAATGTAGATGAGGGGTTGATGGGCGCAGCAAACCACTATGACACGTGTATACTTATGTAACAAACCTACATGTTCTGCACATGTATCCCAGAACTTAAAGTATTAAAAAGAAAAAAAAAGGAAAAAAAAAAAGCATATTGTGTATGCCAAGATAAGCCTTTGAAAAACACTGGGCTACAACAATGAATTAGATATCTGCCCTCAAAGCACTTTTATATGCTAAACATAAACCACAAACATTTACTGGACGCATACTATGTGCAGAGTAAGTTAATCCAAAAGAGGGAATAATCATTTGAATTTCAATATGAAAAAAAGAAAAACACTGATTGCAAAGGCATAGTATGATAAAAAGAATGTAAAAATCTCATTACATGCTGAAATGATTAAGTTTTGGATACGTCAAGTTAAATAACATCGTTAAAATTAATTTCATCTGTTTCTTTATCCTTTAAAAAATATCCTAAAAAAAATAACATCATTAAAATTTTAAAAAAAAAAGAAAGAAAAAGTGCTCATCATTAGGACAAATAGCTAATGCCTGTGGGGCTTAAAACCTAAATGCAGGTTAATAGGTGCAGCAAACCAGCATTGCACACGTGTGTACCTGTGTAACAAATCTGCACGTTCTGCACGTGTATCCCAGAACTTAAAGTAAAATAAAAATAAAATTTTTAAAAAAGAAAAAGTGCTCATTTCAGGCAGGATTTCATATGAAGGGTGAGACCTCCCTCCCATAGGTTTAAGGGCCCTGCTATTTCCTTTTCCTTGACTTGTGGGTTTGTGACCTTGGACAAGGTGTAAGGAAGCTGAGAATACCAGTCTGATCTCCCTCCTCCGGCCGCCACCACAGTTCTCGATTCAGGTTTGTGGGCCGGCCCAGTAGCTACTGACTGCCCTCCTGTGTCCAGAAACCAAGGGGCACATTTAAAAAGTAAATTGGAAGAGATTCTGCTGTGATGATTTTGTGCCCTCCTCAAGACAGCTGATAGCCCATTGGCATCTTTCAAGACCAGGGTTTGAACCAAAAGGTCTGGAAACCTCACAGAGCTGGAAGAGGAAGGGCGGAGGCACAGGGCACTGACCGAGGAGCAGCCCCTGCCTGCCACGCTCTGATGCCTGCTCCCCCAGCCTGCCCCGCGAGCTCACGGTTGGCTCATGAGCTGCGTGTCCCTGGGCCCACAGCTGTGCATTGCTAGCAGAGTGCTGAGCCATCTGCCGTGCAGGTAGGAGCCCTGAGCCGCAGAACCAGAATGAGAACTTCTGTGTGCTGCTGGGCCTGCCACAGAGATCCCAGACTCAGGCTGGATGGAAGCCCCAAAGGTGGCAAGTCTTCTGCACCCTGGCCCAGTGACAGACAGCACCCCACGCTACTGGGTGGATGCAGAGAAGTGTTTCCGAATGCCCCACCAAGAAGGCTTTGGGGGTGGAAAATGGCTTCTCTCCCCACTGCACACAGCCCTGAGTTTGTGTTTCAGCACCAGTCCTGTCCTGCTCCTGGGGTGAAGATGAAAAGACCCAGGAAACTACAACACAAAGCAGGAACCCTAGCGTACACCCTCCTTTTAGGCTTTTGTTAGTTACAATGTATCAAAATTGGTTCCTCAGCTGTGATAAATTCACGCCCTAATGCAGGATGGTGACAGCAGAGGAAGCCGGGAAAGGGCAACTTTTCTGTAAACCTAAAACTGCGCTAAAACAATAAAGTCTAAAAGGTGCTGACCCAAGACCTAAGACAGGTTTTTGGCTCCTATCTGGCATTTGTGGCATCGTGGAGGCTGTGCCGGGGCACTTAGGCCCTCCTTTGGGGCACTGGAGAAATTTATTTGGGGATGGAGCAGAAGCTGGGATTCTGAAGACAAGAACTCTCAGGACCATGTGCCAAGCAGGAGCAGACTGAGCAGAATTAGCTCAGAGTGGGGTAGAAGCAAGGAGACATAGGAGTCCAGATGGAGCTCAGGAGCTCAGACCTAAGCCAGCCACCTGGCGGAGAAGCAACACTAAAAAGGGCCCAGGAGGGCTATGGGGTTGACACCTGGCACCCAGAGCCCCCGTTCCCATGTCTGCTCAGTCACTCAGAAAGGACAAAGGCCAGCTCCTCTGCCAGCCACCACCTCCATCTCTCCCATCCCATCACCCATCCGGCAAGCCTGGCTCCAGGACCTCACAGGCATTCGGAAGGAAGGGGCTTTGGAGCAGGGCTCAGCTGCTTCTCTGGGGGTCTGGTTACCCCTTTCCCTCATCCATTCTGCAATGACTGTCAGGTGCCCAGGATGCACCAGGGGACCCAGTGCTGTGTCCCTGCTTAGTGGCATTCAGAATCCGTGGCTTTGAGCAAGGGATCTGTCAAAATGACCCCGTCTGATGGCAAAGGTGGGTAAGAAAAGGCCTCAGCCAAAGGTGTCAGCAGCCTCCTGAGGATTCCCACTGGGATTCCCGCTGGGCAGGTGACGACAGACACTGTGTTGGGTCCTGCCCTCGTGAGGCCTGAGCACCCTGCCTTCCGGGAGCCTGAGAAGTAGGCGGGAAACAGAGGAGACCTTGGAACCTGAGCCAGAGGACAGGCAAGAGGCCTCACGACCTTGTCTTGAGGATGTCCACCCAGGGATGGAGGGGAGGGCCCAAAGTGGAGACACCTTAGCATCCAGGTGGCACTCACTCTCATCCTGTGGGATCAGAGAGTCTTCATCCCAAAGGGCAGGGAGTGGGGAGGGCGCTTCACTATTCAAGGTCATCCCAATTCAGCTTTCCATTTTGAAATGGTTTGGCTTTGTCCCCACCCAAATCTCATCTCGAATTGTAGTTCCCTTAATCTCCATGTGTCGTGCGAGGGACTCAATGGGAGGTAATTGAATCATGAGGGTGGTTACCCTCATGCTGTTCTTGTGATATGAGTTCTCACAAGATCTGATGGTTTTATAAGGGGCTTCCCCCTACCCTACTTTGCTCTTATTCTTCTCCTTCCTGCCGCCGTGTGAAGAAGGACAAGTTTGCTTCCCCTTCTGCCATGATTGTAAGTTTTCTGAGGCCTCCCCAACACTGCAGAACTGTGAGCCAATGAAACCTTCTTTCTTTATAAATTATCCAGTCTGAAGTATGTCTTTATTGGCAGGTGAGAACAGGCTAATACACAGCTGCCACAGGAAATGCCCCCTTCCCACCCCCACATGCCCCAAATTCTACCTGTCCCCAAGCTTTATTTGGGAACAGACAGCAAAATCTGTAGCCAAGAATGACAGCTGCCCAGAAGAGTCTCATGGGCAGCCTCAACCTCCAGTAGCGCCCACTGGGAGCCAGAGACTGGGGAGGAGGAAGGGAGTAAAGGTTTCGATGGGGAAGGGGAGACGTGACTGCAAATGGAATGTCCCAGGTGGATAGAGCCAGCACCTGTCACAGCCATGGGAGCCCACCCAGTCCCCTGTCTGTCAGCCACACTGACACTGCCTTCTGCTGCCTCCTGGAACTTGTTCACTCAGGCTCAACCACACGCGGACACTCCAGGTCTCCCTCCCCTGCCAGGGACCAGAGGCTTCTTTTAGGTAGGGAGAGAGCAGCGTCCACTTCCAGAGAGGAGTTTCAGGGGCTTCCAGCAGAAACAGCACAGCTGGGCACCTGCTAAGACATCCAGCTGCTGCCCCCAGCTCACCTGGGCACCACTGGCCATGCCTTGCCTTTGGTTCCCGAAGCATCTGGCTTAATCTCTACAGAGCTCTTCACCTTACCCCACCTTACTGGGACCCCTCGGAACCAGGACCCGGTTCTAGCCGCCTGCACCCCAACAGTGCTCAAATCCTCTGCACAATGAACTGCATCTGAAGGATTCCCCTAGTCCAAAGCCCTCCCGTAGTCAAGCTAAAGCCCCTGTTTTTGACGGCTTAGGTCATCACTTCCCCACCGAGGTAATGTCACATGTTTACGCTCTTGATGACTCATCCAGCCCTTGCTGGCCCCTACTCTGTGCTGGGAGCCCTTCCAGGCCCCTGAGAAACTGAAGTGAGCAAAAGAGTGATTGCCCTGCCCTCCAGGAACACCTAGTCTCGCTCAGGGCTGCCCACCTTCCCTGGAGGACTCAATGCAGGTGCCCTTGGTCTCCAGTGCAGCTGAGATGACTTGCAAAGGCTAAATGGGCCACAGACCTGGCAGGAGAGAATGTGTGGGAAAGGAAGGGCAGCTCAGCCAAGACAGGGAGCCTGGCAGGAAGGCTGGTCAGGCAGCTGGGAAAGTGTGGTGAATGTGGCCAGGAAGGCTGGACTGGGGCCCTTGGCCCAGGGAGGGGTTGGTACAGTATTTCAGGCAATGAGATGGGATGGCCCAGTGGAACACCAGGGTTTATAAGATGGACGTGGGGAGCAGGAGGAGGATTATGCATTCACAGGTTGAAGCAGCTATCAGGCAGGAGGAGGTGACGGCACTGGTTAACCAAATCTGGGAGAACCCCCAGGGAAAGGCTGGACCAGGAGAAGGATAAATGCAAAGGCCCTGAGACAGACGCTGTACTGGGTTTGGAAGGTAGGAAGTGTGTGTCCTCAGAGTGTAGTCTTGCCTAAGGAGAGGTCTGGCCTCTGCCCTTGGCTCCTCAGAGGTGATCTTTAAGCTTTGGAATGTCCTGCCTGATAAGAGGGTCTTTGTTTATGTGGGGGCCTTGGGCCACACTCGATCAGGTCACAGTGTGATTTAGGGTGGGGGCTTTGGGTCACATAGCATCAACGCGACCTCGGAGGGGCTGGAGACTGAGGTCAGCCACATGAGCAGTCAGCCACATCTGTGTCAAAGGGCCCAGTGAAGCCTGGACACCCAGGCCCGGTGAGCTCCCTGGTTGGCAGTGCCGTCACACACACATGCTGCGGGGAGAAGTTAGCACTCCTGCAGCTCACACAGGGAGCATGGTTGGAATTCCTGCCTGTAGAACTCCCCTGGACTCTGCCCCACACTTCTCTTCGCTCAGCTGATTTTAATGTGTGTCTTTTCGTGGTAATAAACCCTAACAGTGAGCATCACAGATTTGGGGGAGTTCTGTGAGTCCTTCTTGCGAATTATCAACCCCGAGGGTGGCCTTGGGGACGGTTCTCCAACCTTACAGCATGGAAAACGAAGTGAGTTCCAAACTTGGGAAGCCGGAGGATGCTCACCGGCAAAGAATAGCAAATACAGTGGCAGCGACTTCCATTTGGGACATGATGATGGGTTTGAAACACCTGTGGAACATTCTAGAAAAGATAGCTAGGAGGGGACGATGAGCCATTCATTCACTCTCTGTCGGTCCATCCAAAATCTGTGGGAAAAACAAGATGTATCTTCGAGATCCATGCCACACACAGGACTGACGTGGGAATAAAATGAACATGGCGAGTTCTCTGTAAGCATATGAACAGGCAGGCTCAAAGGTGCACTTGGAAAGAGAGGGGACGAAGGAACAGGATGGGGCTTGATAACAGAGAACAATAAGCAGGGCTAGTACCCGCTGGGGTGGCAGATACCGATGGCGTCTTAGAGAAACGGGCATTTGAACTGAGAGCAGAGCTAGCCAGGGGAGGAGCAGGCTCAGAGACCTCCAGGCCTCTGATGAAAGGGTGGCCATGAAGGTCCTGGGGCAAGGGGTGCTCATGTCTTCACAGTGTGGAAGATCAGTATTCTTGGGCCTCATAAACAAGTGTTTCCAGAAAAGGCCAGAGAGTCAGTATTTTAGGCTTTTCAAGCATGCGGTTTCTGATGCCATGAGTCAGCTCTGCAGCTGTAGCATGAAAACGGCCAAGACAACATATAAACAATGGACATGACTGTGTGCCAATAAAACTTTATTTACAAAAGCAGTCACAGGGCCAGGTCTGGCCTGAGAGCCATTGTTTGCAAACCCCTGGTCTAAGTTCAAAGCTGATGAGTAGCTTTCCTGGAACCGTCCCTGTGAGTTTTACCCAGGGGTCCTGACCCTATTTCCTCCCCAGGGAGTTTTGAAACCACAGCTGGCACTACCTTGCCTTCCATTCTTTAGGCTGACACCTGCTGGTTCCTCTCTACTGGCTGGAGTGAAACTGCATTGGACAGAGGCCAATGGTTAGCTTATACTGAGGCCTGTACCAGCCCCAAAAAGCCGCATAGCCTCCATCTCATAAGTGTTGATTCAGGGACCCAAGCTCCGGACCTTACATTTTTCCCTGTTAAATTCCATCCTGCTAGAATTGATCTTATCACTTGAGAGTGCCAGGGCTGTTCTCAATCCTGACTCTGTCACCTGAAATTATCTCCCCATCTCGAGCTATCACAGGAGGCTGTGTGACAGAGGGGTGTGGAGTGTGGACTCAGGCAAGACCGCCTAACTCAGTTGCGGTATATGACGAGTGTCATGACCTTACATGAGTCACAGGGCCCCTCTGGGCCTCGGTTTCCTCAGCACGCAGGTGGATGTTAACAGAACCTCCCTCACATGATTGATTGTGAGAGCATTCAATAAGGAACTACATCTAGAGGACTTACACCAGGGCTTGGCTCTTAGAAAGTGTCCTCTAAGGACTAACACTGATACTGGCATCCAAAAAGCCTGAGTCTATGCCTGCAACCAAGACACTGAAGAAAAACAACTCTCAAAACAAGGCTGAAGGTAGAGCCCCGGGGGACCTCACTAGAGACCCCCCTGCCCAGGATTCCAAGCAACCTGCTCACACTCCCTGGACACCACCAGCCATGACCCTATTTCCGGCCAGCAAGGACTCCATCTGAGTAGGGCCCTCACAAAGAAGGCAAGGAAAGGAGGGCAGGAGAAAAACAGAGGACAAACTTTGAGCAAGATTACTGGGGAAGGACCCCACCTACAACTGTGACACTGATGATGCCCCGAATCCTTGGATTCCACGGGTTAGGCCTGGCCTCTCCTTCTGGCCTCTTTAGAAGGCAAACACATGGTGAGCCTCCAGGAGCTTCACTCAGCTAACGCGAGCGCACGCTCACCGCTGACTTTACATGCCAGGCACAGGTCAAGCGCTTGGCTAACGTGAATTCACTTAACTCACTGCTCTCCAGGAGCTAGGTCCCACTCATGCCTCCACATTCAGAACCTCAGTTCCCCCATCTGTAGAGTGGGGACGATGCAATTCCTTCCTCCCAAGGGTCTCATGAGGGTAAACTGAGTAAACACAAATCAAGTACCCAGAGGATGGCATCTCACAGCACAAATACCACCTGTTACCCCACATTGCAACTGCAGAGGCCTTGGCACCTCGGAGAGACGAGGGGGACTTCCAAGATTTCCCCACTGGTGGGGGCGGAGCAGGGATTTGACCAAGAAGCTCAGCCCTGACCCCGCATTTCACCACTGCACCCTCCTGCCTCTCATGAGCAAGAGGGTCCCTCTGAAGACCCCCTTCCCTGATGCTGAGGTCACCACATTTCTGGTGGGCTGCAGTGCTGGAACAAGGAGCTGGTCCTGGGACCCAAACTCCGTGGCCACCTCCTCACTTTGATCCAGGCTGAAGCAGCATCTCCAGTCCAAATGAATCAGATAATCAATACACTCTCTAGAGCATCCAGGCAGTAAAAAACCACAAAACGTCTTTATGTCTAGAGAACTCAGTAATTAACCCAAGCCTGAAGGCCGGGGTTTGTTTGTCCGGGCATAATTGGCTTTTGGAAGGAGAGGTGGAAGTACTGATGGATGTCCCCAGCTCTGCCAGCCTGGCTGGGGAGAGAGGTCTTTGTGAGGCCCAAACAATCAGAGCCCCCATCTTCTGCAGGTCTGAGGTGCCCGGAGCCTGGGAGACAGACTTTGTCCCTGCTGCGGCAGGCACCGGCTGTGCTGGATGAGTGATCCGCCTAGCGCTCTGCACACACACCATTAATCTAGCAGCTAGCGGGGCCTGGGGGAAGATGGGGAGGCTCAGGACAGCTCAGGTCACCTTTCCCATCACAGAGTGCTCAGCCAGCCTGGGCGGCTGCCACACACACCGGGCCACCTCTGGTTGAAGGTCAAAGAGAACACAACACGTATGAGAGCAGGATGGGCCCTGAGGGTGCAAAACGGGATCTCCGCTGGGTCTAAGAAGGAGAAAGGGCAGGAGTCGTTTCAGCTGGAGATCCGGCCTTCCTCGCCCCAAGCCCACCCTAGGCCTGAGGACAGAATGGGAGGGTGGAGAACACCAAGGGTAGGGACGCCCCCTCGGCCCCCACCGGCAGAAGGGAGGCACGACAGGGTGAGTGAGTTCAGGCTGCAGGGTGGGCCAGGAAAGCCCCCAGCTAACCTTACGAGTGGCGATGACCTTGGAGTCAAACAGACCTGAGTTCCAATCCAGACCCTGAGCTCGCTAGCTGGACAGAACACTGGACTCCCATCCCCAGGTTCCTCTTTGATAAAGTCGGGCAAGGAGAGAGTAACAGTGACCCTGTCACAGGGCAGGGCTATGGGAACGGAGTAGCACGGTGCAGTGGTCTGGTGCTTCAGCGGCCCCTACCCTTCCCCCAGTGCAGCCCCTCTGCACGTTGCCCTGTTCTGGGCACACAGGGAAGGAGGAAGGAGAAGCGGGAGGGTAGTTACCCACATGACCCAGCAAGGGAGCTTTCTAGACAGAGCGGGCGTAGGCTGGGTCTTACAGGAAAATGCAGAATTCGAGTTGACAGAGGGGCTTAGAGAGGGCGTGCTCAGCCGGACACCTGTGCCTGCAAGGGTGCGGAGGTGTGCACAGGCTGGCGTACACCCACTTGGTGGAGAAACCAGCCAGGATAACCCCAGGGGCTCCACCTGATGGGCTGGGCCACTGAGGAACCAGAGCTGGAGGAAGGAGCTGCCAGTCACAAAGAGCCATAAAAGCCGGAACGACTTCAGAGTCAGAAAGTTCCTTACAGGTGTAAGACTCAGTTTCCCCAATGGTCTCCAGAGAAAAGGACTCAAAGACTCAGTTTCCCCAATGGTCTCCAGAGAAAAGGACTCAGGCATCAGGTTCATGCAAGGAGGCTGGCTCTAGGAGCTGGGGAAATGTCCGTGGGAATCAGGACTGGGATTCAGATGTCAAAGTCGGGTGTGACCCCGGAACACCCACAGAGGTGGTGTGGGTGATCGCTGCAGAGGGGCGCCTTCCACGTGGGCACAGTGATGGGACACCTTCATGAAGGTAGCCACCTTTTCTTGCGTGTTGACTGTGTGTCGGGCCCCAGGATGAGTGTTTTCTGGCCGTGACAGCAACCTTGCAGGCAGGCACAGTTATCCTTGTTTTGCATGTAATAAAACAAGTTCAGAGAAGTTTAGTCACTTGTCCCAGGTCACTCAACTGTTAAGTGGCTAGGCAGAGTTTGAACCCATGGCATCTGATCCCAAATATCACAGAGGGTTTGCAGCCAGGCAGGTCCTTCTCTTCCCAGGGCATCCTGGCCCTCTGCTCTTCTCTAGGACACTGACAACAACTAGGCAGAGGCCTCGCCCCATACCTGAGACCCATGAGAGCAGTCACTTCTGGCTCCTGTGAAGAGGGCTGACTGAGAGCCAAAGATCAGTGTCGTCACCTCCCAGTATTGTATCATTTCCTTCTCATAACAGCCCTAAAACTCTAAGCATCCACAGCTAGCAGATGAGGAAACTGAGTCTACGTGTGAGGGCACCCAGCTAGTCAGCAGTAGGGTGCCTGCCCATGTCCCCAGGGGATGAGTCCACAAGAAGGCAGGAAAACTGAGCTCCTTCCTCCTGGAGCGCCCAAGCCTCCGGGTCCTGTACTCACAGAGGCAGGAACCGGCAAGAGCTGACACGTTGTGGGAAAATGATTAATGCATCCAAGGCCATGGAGATAAGGTGAATAATGCACTGTCTGAACACCCTGTACCCTGCTGGCTGCAGGGGCACATCCAGGCCACAGGACACCAGGGATGCGCCCCACTCCTCAGGTCCCCGCAGCTCCTCACAGCTTGTCTGGGTTCTGGACAGTGCCAGCCCCGCTTCTGCCAAGATAATCACCACAGTGGGGACTTGCTCCGGAGAGGCGAGAGTGCCCTGCGGAGGGAGGCTGCTGGAAAGTGTTGCTAGGAGACAGGAGGGGGCAAGGGCATTGGGACCACGGGGCTCCCAGTGCATCGGCAGGCAGCGAGGCGGCTTCCAAGGGGCCAGAGGATAAAGGAGACAGACGCCAGTCTCTGGATGCCCTGTATCCTACCTAACGTTGACAGAGGGCTCAAGGGGTAATTTGAAATCTAATTGCTGAGTGTTTTCATTTGGCATTAGGGACATTCCACTTGGTAAATATCAAGGAGCTGGAAGCCTTCCCTGATCCTCTGGGCAAAGTTTATTGATGCTGCCCTGGCCATGAATGAAGAACTTGCAAAAGCCAGAGGAGAAAGAGAGAGAGAGTGAGACAGAGAGCGAGAGAGAGAGAGAGAGAGAGAGAGAGAAGAGAGACTGCACTCCCTGGAAGCAGGGAGGGGCAGGTGCAGGAGGGGAAGGAAGTCACTGGGCCAAGCCCCTCCAGGGTGCCTTGTCTGCAGTAGCTGCCTTCTATGTCCCATATGGGAAAGGAATATTCCAAGAGCCTGGCTTTCCTGGTGATCTCTGCATCAGCCCCGCTCTCTGCTGACCCCAACTCTGCATCCTAGAGCCCACCCGCCCAGACAGAAGGACAGGGGAGACCCTGCTGAGGGTGAATGTGTCACTTCGTGGGCAGCCAAGAGTATGAGGGTGGAGACGGAGCGAAAGCAGCAGTGATGGGGTCAGCTTTATGCCCTGGTAACATGGGGGCTAGGTGGCGGGAGAGTCAATGTGTCAAGATGTGTAGTAGGAAGTAGCTCTAAATATAAATGTTCCTGAAAAAAAAAGAAGGGTGGAACCTTACCTCCACCTTATACCAAAAGAAATACCCGATGGGCCAAAGATTTAAATGGAAAGAAATAAAGAGGAAAACCAAGGGAGAGAGGAAGGCAAAGAAAGCAAAACCATTCAAATATTTGATGAAATCCTGACAAAAAAAAAGAGGGAATAATCTCAGGGTGGGGAAAGGCCCTTCTAACAAAGATACAAAATCTAGGAGCCACGAAAAGATAAATGTTAAACCATATTTATGTTTAACATTCAAAATGTTAAACCACATTTGTGTTTAACATTTAAAATGTTAAAGATAAATGTTAAGAAGACAAAATTTTCTTCCGGGTAAAAGCAACCATAAACAGAACTTTCTGTTTTGTTTTGTTTTATTTTGTTTCGTTTCCCTAAGCATACACCACAAAAACATCTTCAATTTCTATCATATACATAGACTTAATTTCTCTATTAAATAAAGAGCTCCTACAAAAATCAGTAAGAAAAAAGCACAATAGCCTTAAAGAACAAGAGAGTTCACAGAAAAGGAACTGAATGGCTCAGTAGATGAAAACATGACCAAACTTGTCATAAGAAGAGAAGAAATCTGGCCATCAGAGAAATGCAAATCAAAACCAAAATGAGATACCATCTCACACCAGTTAGAATGGCGATCATTAAAAAGTCAGGAAACAACAGGTGCTGGAGAGGATGTGGAGAAATAGGAACACTTTTACACTGTTGGTGGGACTGTAAACTAGTTCAACCATTGTGGAAGTCAGTGTGGCACTTCCTCAGGGATCTAGAACTAGAAATACCATTTGACCCAGCAATCCCATTACTGGGTATATACCCAAAGGATTATAAATCATGCTGCTATAAAGACACATGCACATGTATGTTTATTGTGGCACTATTCACAATAGCAAAGACTTGGAACAAACCCAAATGTCCATCAGTGAGGATTAAGAAAATGTGGCACATATACACCATGGAATACTATGCAGCCATAAAAAATGATGAGTTCATGTCCTTTGTAGGGACATGGATGAAGCTGGAAACCATCATTCTCAGCAAACTATCACAAGGACAAAAAACCAAACACCTCATGTTCTCACTCATAGGTGGGAATTGAACAATGAGAACACAGGGACACAGGAAGGGGAACATCACACACCGGGGCCTGTTGTGGGGTGGGGGAGTGGGGGAGGGATAGCATTAGGAGATATACCTAATGTTAAATGACAAGTTAATGGGTGCAGCACACCAACACGGCACATGTATACATATGTAGCTAACCAGCACGTTGCGCACATGTACCCTAAAACTTAAAGTATAATAAAAAATAAATAAATAAAAAATAAACAAAACAAAACTACAACAACATAACATTTCCACCCACCAGATGTGCAAAGACCAAGTTTGGTAAAGCAATGCCAGTGAAGTTGTGGAGTTTGAAGTGGTACTCACATCTTGTTACTGGGATTATAAATTGGTACAAACTTTATCAATTGTGATTAAACAACATCTACCAAAATTATAAGTGGAAATACTCTCTGATTCAGCGATTTCATTTCCAGAAATTTACCAGGAATTATGTATGTATTTCATTTCCAGAAATTTCCAGGAATTATGTATGAATGGGAGAAAGTATTATACCACCTTTTTAATTAACAAAAGTATGGAAATCACTTTAATGTTTATCAATCACATTAATGATTATCACTTTACTGCTTATTGAAATTATGGTTATTCATATGATAGAATACATGCAGCTACTTAAAAAAAATAAATTTTAAAAGGATGCTCAAAAATGATGTCCAAGATATGTTATAAAGTAAAAACCCTGGGTGCAGAGCCATGTGTCTGAGCCATGTGTCTGATATGCCTCCATTCCTATAAAATCAGGGTGTGTATAAATGCATAGAGTATCTCTATTAACTGGTAACTGTTACAAAATTCAAAGTTAATGCAGGCAAGACCTCTCTTTTTTAATGCTAAAACTCCAAGGAACTGCACAACGTTTGAGGATTTCCAACACATGCCAATCTACCTTCGAGCCTACAGATTTTAGGAAATGAGGCTCATGAAAAATCAAGCATTAATATTCCTAGCTACAGTTGTTTGGGACATAATTAGAATGATCATTCTTTGAAAGTTTGTAAAATTTGCTCATAAAACCATCTAGGCCTAGTCTTTCCTTTGTGAAAGATTTTATTTTACTAGAGATTTTATTTTCTTCATGTTATAGTACTTCTTAGGTTTTCTATTTCTTCTTGATTCTTGAGTCAATTTTGGTACCATTTAGTACCCCACAGGGTGCTTGGGCTCAGAACACATCAGTCAAAGAAAGAGAGAAGAAAGGAAGGCAGGAGGGCAGTGAGAAAGGAAGGAAGGAAGGAAGGAAGGAAGGAAGGAAGGAAGGAAGGAAGGAAGGAAGGAAGGAAGGAAAGAAAGAAGGAAGGAAGGAAAGAAGGAAGGAAGGGAAGGAACAAAGAAGGAAAGAGAGAGAAGGAAGGAAAGAATGAGAGAAGGAAGGATGGAGGTAGAGAAAGATGGAAAGAGAGAGAGAAAGGAGAAGGAAGGAAGGAGAGAGAGAAAAAGAAAGAGAAAGTAAGAAGGAAAGAAACAAGGAAGGAGGGAGGGAGAGAAAGAGAAAGTAAGAAGGAAAGAAACAAGGAAGGAGGGATGGAGAGAAAGAGGAAGGGAGAGGAAGGAAGGAAGGAGAGTGGGAGGGAAGGGAGGAGAGAAGGAGGGAGAGAGGGAGGGAGGGGAGGGAGGGAAGGAAGGAAGGGAGAGAGGGAGGGAGGGAGGGAAAGAGAGAATGAGAGAAAGGTGAAAGGTGGGAACAGGAAGGGAAGAGAAGCCAGCCATAGGCTGCAGGCTGTTTGTTCACTCTTTTACTTGACCCAGGCAGTTCTGCGTTTTAAATATTCCACCTTCTGCCATGAGTTACACTGTTCAATATTCATTTCTCAGAGCATTCAAAGGTCTATGTGTGCCCTGCCATGATAGACCATGGCTTCAGCTCTCAAATACAACTCTCAGCCAAAATATTCATGACTGGTCCTTCCCATATACTCATCAATCTCCCATGCTATGATCTGCATGTGTCCCCCAGATCTCACGTGTTGGAAACTTAATCCTCTATGTGACAGTGTTGAGAGGCAGGCCTAATAAGAGTGATTAGGTTATGAGATTCTGCCCCCATGCATGGATTAATGTCATTATCTCAGGAGTGGGTTCGTTATCTTGGGGGTGGGTTAGTTATCTTGGGAGTGGGCGTGTATTAAAAGCAAGTTCAGCCCCTTTTTCTCTCTTTCTTTCTCAAACTCTTTCTCTTCTGTCTTCAGCCATGAGATGACACAGCAAGAAGGCCCTCACCAGATGCAGACCCCTCATACTTGGACTTCCTAGCCTCCAGAACGCTAAGAAATAAATGTCTTTTCTTTATAGATTCCCTAGTCTATGGTATTCTGTTATAGCAGCACAAAATGGGTTAAGATGCCCCATTACATGGAGACTGCTGACCCACAGGGTTGAGATCATTGACTTAGGGTTTGGAGTCTTATACAACATCCCTATGGGAGTTGGCCTCCATATTCCCTAATTTCCAGGAATCTCAAATGATGACCTCAGACCAAAATATAGCCCAGATATTTTGCCTTTGGCAATATTGCCCACTTTTCCACAACTTTATCATGGCAGGTTTGATGTGCTCACTTTTATGATCCCTGAAAGGATATGAGTTAAAGATCCTGCAAGGTTACAATCCAAGGATAGAAGATTGACTTGGAATAGGAAGTTGGATGAATCTTTGGTAATCTTTCATTTCAGGATTTATCTTCAGTCTTGGGCTATGGAGGGGGCACCTTTGGTCTTCAATTTTGTTAAGCTTGTAAGAGAAGTGCCAAGGCTGATTGGCACACACAAATGTCTTTTCAGTTTACAAAAACCGTCCTCCTTTCCAACGCGTCCCAAAGGGTGTTAAGGGAGATGCGGACCAGGCAGTGGGTTCAGCAGAAGTCACAACAGAACCGTTCCTAAGGGGACCTGTGGAGAACCTAAATGTGGGACAAACCCACGTGGAGACCTAGGAAAGAGAAGGCAGAGACAGACAGTACAGACAAGAGTGGCCATGAAGGTGAATCAAAGTCCACATGGCAGAGCTGCTTTTTCATCCCCAGTAAAGGCAGTGCTGGGTTTTTTGAAACCTCAAAATGTTATGGTTGAGTAAATGACTGTAGGACCAAGTGACCTGGGTTCAATGCTGTCTGGGCCCCTGCCTAGCCAGAGAAACTTGAGCAAATCATAGGACTTCTCCATGCCTCACTCTGCTCATCTGGAAATGGGACAATAGCACACCAAGCCAGCGCTCCACAGGCATAAACTTGTGGAATCCTCACAGCACACCTGTGAGACGGGAGCCATCATCGGCACCAGCTTCCAGATGAGGAAACTGAAGAAAGAGAGGAAGTGAGTTTTACAAAGTCACAGAGCCCAGAAGAGGCAGCATGTTGGCTCATGCAATCTGGTGCCAGGGTCTCTGTTCCTCCACCAAGCTGCTTCCCCTTGGCACAAGGATTAAACAAAATAAGCATTTAGGACCAGGCCTGGCACACACGGAGACCCCCAAAATGGATGGCAATCATTATCTTTTTTTATTGCAACAGAGTCCGCCCTCTGCCCTTCAGGGGAAATTCTTTTTCTTCTGTCTCCACCCCCTCAGGATCTTCAAGGGGGTGTAGGAGCCTTCAATGGGCTGATGCACAGAGCAACTGCCAACTCAGAAGACCCAGAGGGCCCTAAAGAGGCCTGCTTGGTAAGAGGTGCATGCAATTACCCAAGGAGATAGCATTGATTAACACATTAATAAATAACATGACTATTAAAGTCAGTCGCAGAGGCGGGAGATAATTGCCTTGGACAGGAATGGCCTCAGCCTCTTCTATGAGCTGCCTTCCCCACCTCCTTCTCCCAGTAAATCTTCACTGAAGGTGCTCTTTGGCCCAGTGCTGGCCTGAGCCTGGGAGGCAGGAGCCCTGAGCCAGGCCTGTAATGAGAACCTCAGGACCAAGGGGCGGCTGACTCCCAGGGGATAACCTGGCATCCTGACGCCAAACCCTGCAAGAGGAGCTTCAGGCATTTCATTGGTCAGCTCTGGCTGGGTCACGTTGCAGTGACAACCACCAAACCTGGTGGCTTATGACATCAAGGTGACATCTTGCTCTTGCTGCGTCCTTGCCAAGGTGCAGCTGGGGCCCTGGCCCACGGTGCTCTTCTCTCTGCCATCCAGGCTGCAGGTGTCTCCCCACCTGGAACACTTCCCCAACCTAGGACACACCCCCTGGAACATGTCCTCCCTTGGACACGCCCTCACCTGAAACACACCCCTCCTAGGACATGCCCCCACCTGGGACAGCCTCCAGGACACGCCCTCTCCTGCAATATAGCCTCCTGGGACTCACGCTCTGAAACATACGCCCACCTGGGATAGCCCCCAGGACACCCCCCACTCCTGGGACATGCCTCCTCCTGCATCACGCCCCCTGCTTGGACACACCCTCCACCTGGAACATGCCCCCACCTGGAACATGCTGCCTCATAGGAGAAGGAGAAAAGAACAGCATGGAGCCCTGACACAGTCCTCAGAGCACCTGCTCAGACGTGGAGCGTATCTCCTGGCTTCCCCACAACCCTTCACTTGGGCCCATCTCCAGGTAAACCTTCTCACAGCTGCTCCAGATCAGTGTATTTGTGTCCTGGGGCTGCAGTAACAAAGCACCACAAACTAAGTGACTTAAAGCAGCCAAACTTTATTCTCTCTCCGCTCCGGAGGCCAGATGTCCAAGATCAAGGTGGGAGCAGGGCTGGTTCCTTCAGGGGCTGTGAGAGAGAATCTCTTCCACGTCTCTCCCAGCCTCCAGTGTTTTGTTGGCAACCCTTGCCCTCCGCTGGCTTGAAGAAGCATCAGCCCCTCTGCCTTCACCTTCCCGTGGTGTCCTCCCTGTGTGGGGGTCTGGACCTTCCTTCCCCTTTTTGTAAGTATACTGGTCAAATTGCATTAGGGGACCCTACTACACCAATACAACCCCATCTTAATTCATTATAACCGCAAGCACCTTATTCCAAGTAAGGCCACATTCTGAGGTCCTGCAGGTTAAGACTTCTACATATGAATTTCAGGAGGACACAGTTTACCCCATAGAAGTCCGTAACTTGGGATTTGGCTTCAGACTCACCTGGGGGTCAGCCCTGGTGGCCCAGGGCTTGCTCTTCCTATGGCTGTGACCCCTCAGCCCTGCTCCACCCACCCTGCCCCCTTCCCCTCAGGAGTCTCCCAGCAGCTGGCCTTTGGCTCAGAATCCCAGTCCCTGCCATCTGCCATCGGATCCTCCAGTCACCAGCTGCTTCCTAGTACCTGCTGTGGTCAGATGTGTCCCTGCAGGAAGTGAGTGACATAGTGTGAGAAGTTTACAGACATGAGTTCAAATCTCAGCTCCTCCACTTAGAAACTGTGCGACACTGGGCAAGAATTCTACTTCCCTGAAGGAAGTCCTGCTGGCACAGGGCAGCTGAGGCTTTGGCAGGGTAGTAAAAAGCCCCAAGGCCTAGCACTCACCTCCTCCTCTTCCTGACAGTTTGCTAACCTCCCAGGAGCGACAGCCTTGCTCCATCTAGGCTTAAGAGCCTCTGACCCTTCCCTAGACACACGGGAATATTCCTGAGCTCCTGCTGTGTGCATGGCAAAGCCCAGAGCAGGCTCTCTCTCTCCCACTTCTGACCATGTCTGAACCAGCCGTCAGGGCCCTGTGGTGTTGGAAAGAAAGGAGGAGCCTTTGCCTGAGAATCTCGTATGTATTGTAGTATTCAGTGGCAGTGCATACACGTGCACAAACACATACACACACGTGCACACGTGCTTTGTCATAGCCTGTTTCCCCAACCTCTGGGGAAAATCAGTCAACACTTCCTCCTCTCCAAGCCACATTCTTTGTAGGGCAGCCTTGTCCCTGCCAGAAGCCACCTCCTGCCCAGGATGACTGAGCACTATTTAATCACCCTCAATCAAGAGTGTGACTCCCACAAAATGACGGCTCGTATATACACACACATTAAAGCAAATGAACTTCCATGATTATTGTTATTACCATCATTATTAGGGAAATTAGCGATCATGAGCTGCCCGGAGCCCCATGCTGGAACCCATGTGAGGTCTGGCCTCGGCTCTGCCAGGCCCTTCTCCCCACACGGAGGCAAGAGCCAGGCCCTCAGCTCCAGCCCCCTTCACCCCTCACCCCTCTAGTCCCTAGACATTTGGGACATTGGGCATTTTGCCCTGACTTGGAACAAAACTCATCCTGGCTTCCATGTGATGAGTACTTAACACCAGCCTGGGAGGGAGGAAGGACCATCATCACTCCCATCTTACGGAAGGGGCTACTGGCCCTGGGAGGTCAAATAGCTGCTAGGGGCAGGACCCAAAGCTCTGTATTCACCGAAGACATAACACTCTCATCTTACCCCAGAGGCAGGGGCAGAGGAGGCAGAGGTCGGACCCTGGTGCCAAGGAAAGGATCATCAGAGACTATTTTCCAGGGATGTGCTTCAAACCCACTGGTGTGGCCCCAGTCTGGTCCCAGGCCCCTTAACCTGAGCCCATGAATACAGTGACACAACCTAGCCCTGCCTCCAACAACATATTAGAAGCGAATGGGCCATTCATTGGTTTTTGGTTTTGTTTTGTTTTTTGTTTTTTTTGCTTTGTGTTTTCCAAAAGCCTTCAGCTTTGTTTATTGCATCCCCACCTGCAGCCTGGCACCATTCCTGGGGGACCTCCTTGAGCAGGTTCCTGGGCTCTGAGGCCAGCCACGTAGTGGAGACGCTTCCACGCACCAGCACCTGCCACATGCCAGGCACTGTCAAGACAGCCCCGAGCAGCAGGTGTTCAACCCCCACCTTCCAAAGCAAGGGTGAGGCCGGGCAGGTGACTGACCACCCAGAGCAGATCACTGGGGGATCCAAGACTGGAACGGGGGCTGCCTCTCTCCACTGTCTGGACCTTTCCACGCTCGTGCTCCTGGGACCATAAGATGCCACCACCCTGGCCGATGACCTCCACGCCTGGCCAGCCCTTCACGGAGTCCTCCCTGGCCCCGGGCCAAGGCTGCTTTGCCAATCCCTTTCCCTTTGTACTCACCGACCTCAGCCTCCGGAGGCCCGGAATCATTCAGTTATGCCCATCTTCTGGGTGCTTAGAACCACATATGAGGGCTCTTTCATCCCTGTCCAGCCCTAGAACCCCGAGGGGACTTCAAAGCTCATTTCCAGTGGCCTTTGACAAGGCACAATTCCTGCCACCCAAGTGCTCGTCTCAGCTGGAGCACAGCCATTCACACGCTGGGATGGAGAAGCCCGGGTGTGGGATTTTAATCACTCACTTGCAGTTCTCCTTATGCCTGGGTGGCCAATGACCGGGCGTCTGGCCAGAGCTGGTGGCTGCCCCTCTCAGGCTCTACCCGGGACAACCTAACAGTAGGGCCTTGACCTTGGTGGGAGAAGAGCCCACGGGTGCACAGGGCTTTGGCCGACCAGGAGTGGGGCTGGTGGGAGGTGGAGGCTGAGGGCCCCAGGCCAACAGACCTCCATCCTCCCCTCACCCCACCAGAAGCTCAGTGGGGATTAGACCCCTTCACCCCACCAGGAGCTTACTGGGCATGGGACCCCCTCACCCCACCAAGACCTCGGTGGGCATGGGACCCCCTCACCCCACCAGGAGCTCGGTGGGCATGGGACCCTTCCTGGGCCCGGCAGGGCATCTTGTTTGGTTTCTTTAACCTGTTTATTTTCAGAATCTTAGGTTCCCATCTCCCATTCAAGCAAGCAGTGTCGAAGGAATGTAACCTTCTCCTTATTACCCACCTCTCTGACAATTTGCAGAGCTGTGGCCCTCATCCCTTGAAGCCCTGTGATCAGATGAGCTGAAGACTGCACAGGGAGTGGGCAGGGCTGGCCACACGGGGGTCACAGTGCTCCCTCTCCCACCCCAACACAGTCCCCGCCACCCTCTCCTGGGGAAAGGAACGCGGCTTAGCCAGGACCACCAGGCAAATGCCCTGTCACGGCCCCAAGCTCCTCAGTCACTGCAGGAGAATAAACAGGGAGGCAGCTCTGAACTAAGGGACCCTCTAAGGTGTTTGTCCAGCATGGACCTGAATTTCAGACAGATGAAGATCCCACCCTGGGCCTCCAGCAGCAGCAGAGGGTGGGGGCTTCCATCATTTCACCCCACCCAGACTCAGCACCACTGCACAGGGCAGCCTTCCCAGCAGGGGCAGGAGGCAGGGGAGGGGACCCGCAAGGAGGGGAAGGACCTGTCTCGTCAGCTCCACCTCACAGCTGTGGGGCAGAGGTTCACACTGACTGCAAAGCCAGCTTCTGCTGAGATCAGCCTCTCCACTCCTTCAACAGCAAATTCCGAGACTCAGGGGGCTCCAGCCTGGTACTCTCCTGAGGGAGGCCCCAGTGTCCACATATGTGGCACCCACCCACATCCAGACATGTCCCACCCAGCACGTCACCCAAGAGTGTCCTCCCTCCACCCACACCCAGGCCAGTCCCGCCCACCATGTCACCCCCATGAGTGTTCACCCCTCTAGCTGCTCATCCTTCAGGCTTCTCCAGAGGGAGTGGCGCTTACAAACCAGAGACAGCCCCAGGTATGATGGTATTTGGGGAGCTCACACCCTGGCAAGGGGTCAACCCTAACCAGCCTTCCGAGGCAGAGCTTGGTAGGAAGCCCCTTGTTTAAGAACTTCAGGATCCAGTACATTCAGGTTTCTGTCCCCACAGCAAATAGACTATGAGGTCTGTGGGCTCCACATGCAGGTCTCTCCATGACAGCAGAGAGTGCACACGTGGTGTGGTTTGCAGCCCTTTCTCAGGAGACCAACCCCATCGAGAAAACCCTCCCCCAAAGGCAATCATTACACCCCAAAGGTACCATTGGCAGACCCTCTGCTGCCCTGCCCTGGCCGGGTAAGCAGATAGCTTCTGAGCAGTGCAGGGTGACAGGAGCATCTTACCACTAAGCAAACAAAGACGTGCTCAAAAGCTGGGCCTGTGCAAGGAGAAACAGGTGTGTGCACCTCCAGCACCTCCTGTCCATCAGGAAGCAGTGACTAGAAAAGAGGCTGGAAGTCCACACTGAAGGCTGATGGGAAACCAATTCTAATAACATTAGATGGAGGGACAGGGACTGGGCTCCCCTGGGAGAGCTATGACCTACAGCTGCCTCTGTGGAGCATGGCGGACTCCACGTGCACTGCCTGTTTCCAAAGTTGATGCTGAGAGTCCCCAGTGCTGTGGGGAAACCACGTTGGGGTGTCGACTGTTCTCTTGGGTGCCGACTGGCAGAAGACGCATGGACAAGATTAAGCCCACCCAGGGAGCAGACTTGTACCACAATGAAATTTCAGACATGGAGATGGAGACTGAAGAGGGTTTAAAGAAATAAACACCATCCATAAAACCTTGTGATGTCACCCCACGAGGAAAAAAACCTTGCAGGTTCCAAGGTGGCCTTGCCCTGTGACTGCTTCTTGGGAAACCAGAGCCTCTGCCAATGTCAAGGGGTATGAACCGCAGACATCTTTGGAAGCCAGTGCAATGCGCGGTGGGGGAGGGAGATCCTTGGCGACAGGCACCCATGAGGCCTGTCTGGGAAAGTCCTGCCTGGAAGAGCAGGACCCTTCACTAAGGGCCCAGCATGTCAGGGCTGCTCCCCACACAGCAACTGAATGCCCTGTTGGCCCTTTCCATGAGCCAGGCACTGATCCAAACGCTCCATGTATCAGATCAATGTATCCAAGACAATGCTATTGTCCCAATTTCACAGATGAGCAAACTGCCCAAGAAGGTTAAGTATCACACCCGGGGTCTCCCAGCCAGGGCACAACAGAGCACAGCAGCAGATCCCAGCGTCAGGGCCTCGCCAAGAGACCAAGTGTCCAGTCCAGGGTGCTGGAGGCATCCTCAGGGGCTGGTTATGTGGTTTCCAAAAGGCCTTCTCTCCCCTCCCAGAGAACAATCCAGAGCTCACTCCTGCTTCTTCCTATAGATACTCCTTCTTAGAGCCCTGCTGTCCTGAGCAAAGACTCAGTGTGCCTGGGGCAAAGCTGAGGGGCCTCGCTCCTAGGCAGGGTCCTGTCACTCACAGAAAAGGAGTATCATGGTACCCTCCTGTGGCAAGCAGCTGGTGGCTCAGCAGACAACACCTTCCACCCCTCAGGGTCTCAGCTCTAATGCAGGACTCAGTTCGAATGCAGAAACCTCATAAAGGGGTCAGCCAGACGCAGCAGTCCTCTCCTCAGACCTCAGAAACTACGTGTGACAGCTAACTTAAAAACAGCCCAGGAAAAGGAATATCTGCCTGTAAAACAGAAACAAAAGGTTCCATAAAGCCTGGGACCACGCAAAGTGCTCTTGCCCACCTGGTGGTGGTGTGGATAGAGATAGGAAGTGGCCCAGAGGAAAAATGACTCTCAAGAGCCAGCCCTCCCTCCACCAGCCATGAGCAGGGCTGTGCATTGGTGCATGCATGTGTGCCATGGAAGCACATGCTCACGTGTGCATGTGTGTTCGTGGCCATGTGTTTACACTGTGTGCAGCGTGTGTACACTTCCTGCACACATGTATGCATGCCTATGTATGTGTAAACACACCTTGGGTGCATGCACCTGGGCTCACATGTTGGGGGTGGGCCTGTGTATCATGTGCTTCCTTCTTTTCTTTCCCAAGTATCTGCTGAGCACCTGTTCAGTGCAGGCGCAGGACAGCCTGGGGATCTGGAGCTGAAACCTCCCCTCTGCAGGGGAGAACCATAAGCAGCCAGTTGCAATGCAGTATGAGCCTGCCCAGAGGTCTGTGAAATCTTTCCTCTGGGGCTGGAGAGGGAAGGCTGCCTGGAGGAAGGGAAACCTCATCCTGCCTACTGAACCAGAGGCAAAGAGGGAACCCTGTTCAGCTCTGAGGCTCAGCGCCACAGCCTGTGCATGTGGGCACTTGGTGGGTATTTGTTGAATGAATGTCTGCACAGCAACAGATCCAAGCATTTCTGTGCCCCACGAGCCCCCATCACAAGGCAGCCAGCACCTCAGCTGGCTGCTCAGAGGAGCCAGAGGGCAGGCCAATCACCCAATCACTGATGACAATCTCAGGTTAACCTGTTTGGCCCTTTTTCCTTTTCAAATACCTTCTCTTGCATCCTCCCGCTGGGAACTCCTGGCTGTTTTGACCAAAGGAATGTGGAGTCACCATCCTTTTCCTACCCCTGAGCCAGAAACACTTCCACAGCCATTCGATGAGCCACACATCAGTTCCCGACAGGCAAACAACAATGACAACTTATTTTCATCCCCACTTCAGTCTTTGAGGTTAGACAGACCTGGATTCAAATCCAAGCTCCACCCCTTGCTGTGTGAGCTTGTTCGTGCTACTAACCTTTCTGAGACTTGAAGAGTCTCTTCATTTGTGAAATGAGGATAAAGCCCCTTCTCTCAGGGGCTGTGCCAAGGATGAAATGAGTCATGCATTAGTCAGGACAGGTGATGCTGTGTAACAAACAAGCCCACAAACCTCAGTGGCTTCAACAGCAAAGTTGACTTCTTTTCTTTTTTTTTGTGGGGTGGTGGCGGGGATGGAGTCTCGCTCTGTCACCCAGGCTGTAGTGCAGTGGCACAATCTCAGCTCACTGCAACCTTCACCTCCTGGGTTCAAGCGATTCTCCTGCCTCAGCCTCCTGAGTAGCTGGGACTACAGGTGTGTGCCACCACGCTCAGCTACCTTTTTGTATTTTTAGTAGAGACAGGGTTTCACCGTGTTAGTCAGGATGGTCTTGATCTCCTGACCCCACGATCTGCCTGCCTCAGCCTCCCAAAGTGCTGGGATTACAGGTGTGAGCCACTGCGTCCAGCCTTGACTTCTCAATTGATTTCATGTCCACCACGGGTCAACAAGGGGGCTCTGGTGGTCATAGTCATCCAGAGACTCAAACAGATGGACCCTTATCCCAGAAGATGATCCCACAGTTCCAGAAACAGAGCAAAGAAAACACAATAAGCCATGAGCCCCTTCTTAAATCCCCTGCCCAGAAGGGATACACATCTTTTCTGTCACAGCTGTCGTCCAAAATGTCTCAGGCGGCCGGGCACAGTGGCTCACATCTGTAATCCCAGCACTTTGGGAGGCAAAGGCAGGCAGATCACCTGAGGTCAGGAGTTCAAGACCAGTCTGACCAACATGGTGAAACCCCATCTCTACTAATAATATGAAAATTAGCCAGGTGTGGTGGTGCACGCCTGTAGCCCCAGCTACTTGGGAGGCTGAGGCAGGAGAATCACTTGAACCCGGGAGGTAGAGATTGCAATGAGCCAAGACCACACCACTGCACTCCAGCCTGGGTGACAGAGCGAGACTTCGTCTCAAAAAAAGAAAAAAAAAAAAGTCTCAGGCTATGTCTGAATTAGAAGGGTAGAAAGAATAGTCATTTTTTTTTTTACCACAAACCATCAAAACAAAGTTGCAGATCACTGATGTAAAATTACAGTTAGTTCCTTCCCACTCCTTTTCAGCTTCTCTTCATTGCTATGAGCCAGTGTCTTCTGTGTCAGGTTTCAGTCTGTTGCCTCCCAGCTCCTAGTGCACCTTTCAATATGTGCACTGTGATAAACTGGGAAGCACTTTTCAATATACCTCCTGGAAGTGAACATTCTGCAGGCATCTAGGTAGAGCATGGAGAGACATTGCAGAGGGCAGGAGCTCTCTGGCTGAGCCTTGATCGTGTTCAAGCCACAACCACAGACCTAGGCGTGGTCCCTCAGTCACCTTGCAGCCTTGGCCTGCAGCATCTCGACACGGAAACCAAAATGCAGCAGGGCCAATGTGATCTGAAGTTTCCTGAAAAGTTTCTCAGACCCCCTCTTTTACCCCTTGTGCAACCTGCACACAGTGACCTGTATTCCAGAGGGTCCGCACAGAGCTGCCATTCCTTCTGCCAGACCCTGCAGGACTCACGCATACTGGAGGCTTCCTGCCCTACAAAGGCAGCCAGACTCCCACCATGCATCCCTGCACCAGTGGCTCACGGCCAGCTCCCTCACCTGCACTCCAGCGGCTCACCTTCGGCTCCCTCACCAGCACTCCAGTGGCTCATGGCCAGCTCCCTCCCCTGCACCAGTGGTTCAGGGCCGCCTCCCTCCCCTGCACCCCAGCGTCTCACAGCCGTCTCCCTCCCTGCACCAGCGGCTCACAGCCAGCTCCCCACCTGCACTCCAGCGGCTCACAGCCGTCTCCCTCCCCTGCACCAGCGGCTCACAGCCAGCTCCCTCACCAGCACTCCAGTGGCTCACGGCCAGCTCCCTCCCCTGCACCAGCGGCTCACGGCCAGCTCCCTCCCCTGCACTCCAGCGTCTCACAGCCGTCTCCCTCCCCTGCACCAGCGGCTCACGGCCAGCTCCCTCACCAGCACTCCAGTGGCTCATGGCCAGCTCCCTCCCCTGCACCAGCGGCTCAGGGCCGCCTCCCTCCCCTGCACTCCAGCATCTCACAGCCGTCTCCCTCCCCTGCACCAGCGGCTCATGGCCAGCTCCCTCCCCTACACTCCAGCGGCTCACCGCCGGCTCCCTCACCTGCACTCCAGCGTCTCACAGCCGTCTCCCTCCCCTGCACCAGCGGCTCACGGCCAGCTCCCTCCCCTGCACTCCAGCGGCTCATGGCCGACTCCCTCAGCTGCACTCCAGTGCTGCCTAGTGCTTACGCAAAAGCTGCTGACTAGCTCCAGCCTGGCCAAATCCGCAAACGTCTCTTATGTGATGGCTGAACCACATTTTATGACATCTGAACCCCTTTCAAATCTGTGCTTCCTTGGGTACCTCCCTCTGCACTAGGGCACCAGGCAGAGTTGCTTTATGTCTTACAGTGACTCTTTTATCATAGTTGCAATCCTTTATACTACACTTCCCCGTTAGACCCACTGTGTGGTTTCTATCTCTTGATGGGACCCAAGCTGCTACACACCCTAACCCGTGCACATTGCACTTCATTAGTTCCCCACCATTGGCCCAAGATCATGCTCCACCACCTCTCCCTGCCCCCTGACCTTCTTTCCTTAAGTGAGTCCCCTAAATGCGATCTTTGTGCCCAAAGCTTACCTGCTCTTCCTTCCCTATATTCTTGGCCAAACACAAAAATCTGATGCTGTGGCAAATGCAGAAATGGGGAGAAGGCAGGGGAATCATTTCTCCTCCCTTAGGTAAGCACCGAGGTTAATGTCATTCCACTGTGTCAGGAATAAAAAAATGAGGCCTAGAGAGGTGCCGTGATTTGCCTGGGCCCATGAAACTGTCATGGCAGAAGTGGAACAAAGGTTCAGGTCTCCCAAATGTCAGTCCAGCTCCTATGCCTTCAGAACGTGTCCTGGAGGGAGACACCAGCTTTGATCTGACAAAAGAGGCTATGAATAAAGTTAAAAGACAAAGACAGTGCACGATATGGTTTGGCTGTGTGTCCCCACCCAAATCTCATCTCGAATTGTCCTCCCATAATTATCTTGTGTTGTGGGAGGGACCTGGTGGGAGATAATTGGAATCATGGGGGCGGTTCCCCCATACTGTTCTCCTGGTAGTGAATAAGTCTCACAAGATCTGACAGTTTTATCAGGGGTTTCCACTTTTGCATCATCCTCATTTTTCTCTGGCCACCGCCATGTAAGAAGTGCCTTTCGCCTCCCACCGTGATTCTGAGGCCTCCCCAGCCATGTGGAACTGTAAGTCCAATTAAACCTCTTTTTCTTCCCAGTCTGAGGTATGTCTTTATCAGCAGTGTGAAAACGGACTAATACAGTGCACAAAGAGGGAAAATATATTTGTAAGGTATTTGGCCAAAAAAGCATTGATACCCAGATCATTTAAAAAAAAAAAATAGGCCAGACGCAGTGGCTCATGCCTGTAATGCCAGCACTTTGGGAAGCCCAGGCAGGCGGATCACCTGAGGTCAGGAGTTCAAGACCAGCCTGACCAACATGGAGAAACCCTGTCTCTACTAAAAATACAAAATTAGCTAGGCATGGTGGCACTCACCTGTAATTCCAGCTACTCAGGAGGCTGAGGCAGGAGAATCGCTTGAACCTGGGAGGCGGAAGTAGCGGTGAGCCGAGATCACGCCACTGCACTCCAGCCTGAGCAGCAAGCACAAAACTCCGCCTAAAAAAAAAATAGCACTTACAAGTCAGCAAGGAGAAACCAAAGACCCAACAGACAAATGAGCCAGGAGCAATTCACAGAGGAGGAGACCCGAAGGGCTGGGAAACACAAGGCACACGTTCAGCTGCACCGCAACATCCAGGAACAATATTAGAAAGTACGGTAACAAATATTGATGAAGACGAGTGAAGACGGGCGTGCACACTGCTGGTGAGGGGCATTGTGAGGACTCCAGCCCCAAGGTCATCTGGCTGTGCTTCCTAGGAAGGGCTGACAAGGGACCTGTCCCAAGACCCCAAGCCTCACCATGGTACGTGCAGGCCTTGGACCAGAACATCAGCATCACCTTGGAGCAGGGGGTTGGGTGGGGGGTGAGGGGGGCGCATCCTCTGCTGACCAGAAATACACAATTCTAGATTCATCTGGAAGATATTGTTGAAGGGAAAAAGCAACTTTCAGGAGAGTATGTATGGACTGCTATTTGTATAAAATTGCAAAAACAGATCAAAAAACACTATCCATTCTTCATGGACATGCACACTAGGTATTAAACATGGATGGGAAGACACACATTGACTTCAGAATAGTGGGGAGGGAGGCGGTAACTGGACTAGAAAAGGGGCATATAACTCGAGCGTCAGCTTGAACATTATGGCTGAATCCGTAATGTTCTCTTCCCTTAAACTCTGGAGCAAATGCATCCAAAAGCTACCACGTGTGAATTTTAACTGGGAGGTACATGAAAGTTTGATATCATTATCCTCTACACAGTCCTGTGTGTTTGTAATATTGAGCCATATTTTTTAAACACTTGATACGGCATGAAAGGAAACTTGCCTACATGGTAACAATGGTTATCTTTAGGTAGCAGAATTCAAGACTGCTTCTTTTTTCTTTTTTTCCTACTTGTATATTATCTCTGTTTCGCTGTGTGAGGGTTTATGACTGCTGTGATGAAAAGGCTTGTATTCTAACTCCCTGCATCACAAGCACACACCATGCCCTGGCTGGCAGGACGGGGAGGAGGGAGCATGTCTGTTCACCTGGCCAGCCCTAGGCAGCTCTGCAGAGAAAGATACGGGCACTTCCCCTCTGCAGCCAAAGAGTTAAGAAGGCTCGATGTGAAATGAATCATTCCAGGGAAGCTAAATCCTGGCCTTATCTAATTCTGTATCCTGAGGCTGATTAATTTAAACTCAAAAATAAAATAAACATCAGCTTTAAATAAGGATTAAATACTCAGCGGGGTCCTTAGTTGAACAAACTGACATTATACATTTTATGGTATGGATTCAGGGGGCCCGGGGTGGGATGGGGGTATCTGTGGGGATGCTCTCTGAGCTAAGGGGAGAAAATCGCCAGTGCTCCTGGATTCCGGAGTGCATTCACCTTTAGCCTCTTGTCTGGATACCCACAGAAAACCCCAGAGCCACACTGTGGCAGGATCTTCACACAGAAGGGGGGCTTGTGCCCTGTGTCCCGGCTGCCCTGTGTCCCTGAGGGAGAAGGGATTACTGGAGGGAGTGGGTGAAGAGTTTGGAGGAAGCCCCTGATGTTCTTAGAAAACAGTAGGGAAGAGATTCCCCTGCCTGGGCATTGTTCCCAAATAGAAGACAAGAGCATGAACTAAAAACAGAGACCCCTAGCTCCCTCCATGGTCCCTGTGTTCAGAAGGGAACCCAGGAAAGTGGGGCAGATAAAAAATGGGGTGGGCTGTCTGACATGTGCCTGGAGGGACACACGAACCTGAGTCAGGCATGAGAGTGGGCAGCTGGTGGATTCTTCGAGGCCTGCAGCACAAAGCCAGGCGGTCATCCCAAGAACAACCCACGTCTGCAGAGGCCTACTGCATCCCTGGCCTCATGGCCACAACGTCACAGAGCAGAATCACATTATGTGGGAGGCCATGTGCAGTGTGAGTGTCATACTGGAGCTGGACCCTGAAGGTCCCAGACCCAGGTCCAGCTACGTCTCTGCTATAGTCAATGTTTGTGTGCCCCTAAAATCCATGTGTTGAAACCTAACCCCTGAGAGGTTAGGTTTGAATTAGGAGGGAAAGGCTTTAGGAAGTGATTTCGTCCTGAAAGCGGAGACCCCGTGAATGGGATTAGTGGCCTTGTAAAAGGAAGCCAAGGGAGCTTGTTCTCTCCTTCCACGATGTGGGGACACAGCTAGGAGGTGCCCTCTATAAGGAACAGGCACTCAACAGACACCCAATCTGCCACCACCTTGACCTTCCACTTGCCAGCATCCAGACCTATGAGACATAGATTTCTGCTGCTTATAAGCCCCCTGCGCTAAGGTATTTTGTTACAGCAGCCCAAATGGACTAAGACAGCCTCTGACAATCTTGAGCAACTCACTTATCTGCTGAACTCTCCACAGATTTAACTGTGATGAAATCCCTTCAACAGATGTATATTGAACACCTGCTTTGTATAAGGACACACTGTGTTATTGGATAGAGTATAAAACAAATCACAGTTCCCCAGAGGTAGGCACTGCCATAGCTGAACTGCAAAGCCAAGCTGCTGTGGCCAATGGGGGAAAGGGTGGGTGTCAGAGAAGAAGAGAACGTGCTAGAGTCCATGTCTGCAGCAATATTGGAATGTCTAATGGATGGTTCCCAAAGTGGTGACTTCTCATCTTCCTACAAAAACTCATAGTTGTCCCTGTGTAAAGTCTTCCCAGAAGTGCAGGGCGGCTGAGAATATGCAGATCAGAAAAGAGGAGAGGACAGAGAGAGCACATTCTTGGCATCAGCAGCCACGGACTTCTTGCAGGAAGGAAAGCAATTCTCCTGGATCCCTGGGTAGCAGATAAACGTACAGAAATACATTTGTTGGCTGTTTGGTTCATGGACTTCGAACATTTGCAGACCAAGAGGCTGAGAATCTTCTCCAACCAGATGGTGTGGGGCGTGGAAGTACAGAAAGGGATCAAAGGAGGAGGAAAACAGAGCAATGAGAAGGGAGCTCTCAGCATGACCAACACAGAGACCTGGGTCTCTGCTACCAACAATAAGAGCTAATATATAATGGTTGCAGGTCTGCAAACAGCAGGTTTTCTACATCACATGTGGCAAGCTCTGATGACAAGCCTGTGTGACAGGTATTGTTGTCTGAGGCAGAGAGTTGCTAAATAATCACATGCAATGGGTGGAATGCCGGAGAGTTTGGTTTTAATTGATCATCTTGCTGCTTGCTTTCTATCTGTCCCATCTGTAGTTTGTTCTCCTTTTCCTCTTTCTCTGACTTCTTTTGAATATGTTGAGTATTTTTATTTCACTTAATCTTCTTTGTTGGCCTTTTACATATAACTATTTTTGCTTGGTTTGGTTTTGAGTTTTAGTCATTGCTCTATGGTTTATGGTATATCATATGGTTTGGAACTGTGTCCCCACCCAAATCTCATGTTGACATGTAACCTCCAATACCAAACATGGGACCTAGAGGGAGGTGATTGGATCATGGAGCCCGTTTCTCATGGTTTATTTAACACCATCCCTGCTTGGTACTATATAGGAAGTGAGTTCCCATGAGATCTGGTTGTTTAATAGTGTTTGGAACCTCCCCCTCTCTCTCTTCCTCCTGCTCCAGTCACATAAGATGCGCCTGCTTCCCCTTTGCCTTCTGTCATGATTGAAAGCTCCCTGAGGCCTTCCCAGAAGCTGAGCGGATGACAGAATCACGCTTCCTGTATAGCCTGCAGAACTGTGAGCCAATTAAACCTCTTTTCTTCATAAATTACCCAGTCTCAGACTTTTTTTTTTTTGAGATGGAGTCTCACTCTGTCACCCAGGCTGGAGTGCAGTGGTTCGATCTCAGCTCACTGCAACCTCCCCCCTCCTGGTTCAAGCGATTCTGCTGCCTCAGCCTCCTGAGTAGCTGGGACTACAGGCACATGCCACCACACCTGGCTAATTTTTTTGTATTTTTAGTAGAGCCAGGGTTTCACCTTGTTGGCCAGGATGATCTCAATCTCTTGACCTCGTGATCCACCTGCCTCAGCCTCCCAAAGTGCTGGGATTACAAGCGTGAGCCACTGTGCCCGGCCCCAGTCTCAGACATTTCTTTAAAGCAGTGCAAGAACAGACTAATACAGTATATGTATTTAACTTAGCATTGGCTGCCATCAACATTATACCACTTCGCACAGAGGATAAGAACTTTAAGACAGTACCCATTCATTTCTCTCCTTTTGGGTTTGTGTTATTGTTTTCATGCATTTTGCTTCTAGATGTGCTGTAAACCCACATTAATTTGTTATCATTTTTCCCTTAAACGGTCGATTATCTTTTTAAAATGTTTTTTAATGTTGCATTGTTGCTCACACATTTGCCATCTCCGGTGCTCTACTTTCTTTTATGTAGATCTGGACTTCCATCTGGTTTCACTTTCCTTCTGCCTGAAGGATTTCTTTTAATATTCCTTGTAGTGAGGACTTGCTGGTAATGAATTCTTCAAGCTTTTCAATGTCTGAAAGTCTTTATTTCACTATCATCTTTGAAAGATATTTTTGCTGGGTGTAGAATTCTAGACTGACAATTGTTTTATCCTTAAGTATTTTATAGAAGTTACGGCACTATCCTCTGGTTTGCATTGTTTCTTTCTTTTTTTTTTTTTTTTTTTTGAGGCAGTCTCGCTCTGTCACCCAGGCTGGAGTGCAGTGGCATGATTTCAGCTCACTGAAACCTTTACCTCCTGGGCTCAAGCAATCCTCCCGCCTCAGCCTCCCAAGTAACTGGGACTACAAGCATGTGACACCACACCCAGCTAATTTTTGCATTTTATGTAGAGGCCAGGTTTTGCCATGTTGCCCAGGCTGGTCTTGAACTCCTGGGCTCAAGTGGTCATCCTGCCTTGGCCTCCCAAAGTGCTGGGATGACAGGTGTGTGCCTTCATGCCTGGCCTTGGCCTTGCATTGTTTCTAACCAGTTGCCTGCCATCTTTTTTTTTTTTTTTTTTTTTTTTTTTTTGGAACAGAGTCTCACTGTGTCGCCCAGGCTGGAGTGCAATGGCACCATCTCGGCTCACTGCAACCTCCGCCTCCCAGGTTCAAGCGATTCTCCCTGCCTCAGCCTCCTGAGTAGCTGGGGTTACAGATGCATGCCACCACGCCCTGCTAATTTTTGTATTTTTAGTAGAGAATGGGTTTTGCCATGTTGCCCAGGCTGGTCTTGAACTCCTGGGCTCAAGTGATCATCTGGCCTTAGCCTCCCAAAGTGCTGGGATTACAGGTGTGAGCCATCACGCTCAGCCCATTTTTATCTTTGTTCCTCTCTGTATAATGTCCTTTTCCCTTTGGTAACCTTTCAGATTTTCTCTTTGTCACTGGTTTGGGGCAATTTGATTATGATGTGCTTCAGTGTGTCATCCTCATGTCTCTTGTGCTAGGGGTTCATTGGAATTCTTAGATCTCTAGGTTTACAGTTTTTATCAAATTTAAAATTTTTCAACCACAGTTTTTTCAAATATTTTTTCTTCTACTCCTCCCCACCTTCTTCAGGAACTCCAATTACACAGATATTAGTCCTGTTGGTGCTGATTTTCTGTTCAATTTTTTTCCATTTTTTTCTCTATGTTCCATTTTTGAGTTTCTACTGCTACATCTTCCAGTTGACTAATCCTTTTTTGTATAACATCTATTCTATTTTAAATGCCATTTAGTATATTTTTCATCTCAGACATTGTATTTTTCATCTCTAGAAGTTCAGGCTGGGTCTTCCATGTCTCTGCTTCCATGTTCAAGCTTCCCTTTACCTTCTTGTTGTGGAATGTTATCATTATAATAACTGTTTTAATATCGTTGCCTACTAATTCCATCATATGTGTCATTTCTGTATCTATTGTTCAAGTTTTCTTCTCATTATTGAAAAATTTCCTTTTTCTTCACATGCCTGGTAATTTTCAGCTGGATGGCAGACAACATGAAATGTATCTTATTGTGTGTTGGATATTGTTGGGTTCCTATAAATATTACTGAGCTATGTTCTAGGATGCAGTTAAATTATCTGGAAAGATTTTGGTTCTTTGAGGGTTTTCTTTGAGGTCTTGTTAAGTAGGACCTTAGCAGCCTTGGCCTAGATCTAATCTTCCACACTACTGAGGCAATTCTTTTCTGAGTGTTCCATCCAATGGTCTGGGAAGTATGAGATTTGTCCACTGTTGCTGGTGGGAACACCAAATATGCCTGGTTCTGTGGGAGGTTCAAGCATTGTTCTTTCTGTTTCTTTCTGTTTTTTCAGGTGTTTTTTCCCCAGACTTGGGTAGTTTACACGCATACATGTGCTGATCAGTATTTAGCTGAAGACTCTGGAGATTTTTGTTTTGTGACTTTGTCCTTTTCATGCCCTGAATACTCTGCCCTGCAGAGTTTATCTGAGCTTCTTTGGTCTCCCTGGACTCTCAGCTTCATCTCCTCAACTCAGGACCATCACCATGCTCAGCCTGGTTTCTCCCTCCCTGAGCTGTGGCCTAGAAACATGTGACCCAAGCTATTCACCATTGGGCCATACTTGTCCCTCATCCTACCTTGAGGGTTTCATCAACTTTCTAGTGAGGAGTAATTGGTGACTGTTATCAGCACTATCCTATCCTATATATCATTATTAGTTGCAGGGTCCTTATGTTACTAAGTTGCCTATCATTCACTCCATAGCATGCATCCCATCATTATTAACTAATCCCAGTCCTTCATTCGAGTCCTCCAAAGGAGCTGAGCTAGATCCGCTCAAAGTATTATTAGCAACCAAGATCTCTATGTCTAGCAATTACAGTCAAGGTGTGATGCTCTGAGCCAGCACATCAGCAAGACATCCCCCATTAAAGAGGAGGTCTTAGGAAGACCACCTTGAGCAAGTGCTTCACACGTTACAAGTCTGGTCTTGAGGGGCTTGTAGTATTGAATAAGGGAATTGAATGTGGTAGTTTTTCAGACCTTCTCCCTTAACAGCCATGAGTTTATAATTATCCACTTTCCCTCAGGGAAATAAAAACCATGATTCTTGATTCACTGACGAGTTTAGGAAGAGGAGGTGGAGAAGACTGGATCAGGCCTATTCCTGGAATACGCTAGACAGCTTCTGGAGATTAAAATAATGACCACTAATGGATATACATGTTTAATGTTTCAGTTACTGGTAAAATTAATCTCCTGTTTAATATTAATAGAAGCAATGTACGTCTCTAGGGTTGTTAATCTGCTACCTTTCCACTACGTCAGATGTAAAAATAGCTCCCCATGATCAGCCAGGTGGGCACAGACAGGCGGACGTTGGGGAGGGAGGAGGGAGAAACTGAGGAGCAATAATGAGATGGTGACAACAACGTACATTTTCAATGCGTTACAGCTCATCAGAATTCTAAGGGAGAAGATTTTCTTCCAAGTACAGATACTTTTTCAACTTCATTCATGGGTTCATTCATATTCAACAAATATTTATTGAATGCTTTCCACATGACAGGCACTGTGCTAAGCTTCTTACCACTTACCTTATCTAACCCTCACAGCGGCCCTTGAATGAGAGCACTATTAGATTTCCATTTTAAGAATGAGAACATCGAGGCTCAAGGTCCTACAATTAGGAAGGCAGCAGAGACAATACCGGAATCCAGGTCAGTTTGACTTCAGAGCCAGCACTTCTAATCCTAACCTTTTAGGTCTTTATTCTTCTCAACCATCTTTAAGTTTATAATTGCATAAAAACTGAAAGAAATAGGTGGGAAGGTGGAACAGGAGGTGAAAGGGCCGCAGTCCAGAAGGTGCTCAGGCCCTGACTCCACAACCCAGGGAAAGATTTTGGGAGAATTTTCTTCCTTGACGGTAACTTCAGATTTTCATAATAATTAAGCAAATGTGTGTTAAGCACCTACTATGTCCAGGCACTGTGCTACACAGTGAAAAAAACTGATCAAGATAGACACAGCCCCTACCTTCAAGAAGCTTATATTTTATATTCTACTAGGAGACAGAGAGACACAGAAATATGTAATGAATAAAAACCAAAGAAGTACATAGACATAAATGAAGTAAACACAAGGGATGGCACATATGTTGTCCTAAAAGCCCACAGGGTACTCATGGTACAAGGCTCCTCAGCAAATGAACAGACACTGTGAACTATCTGGATGGCCCAGACATCCTGCTCCCTTCCTTCTCTTACTTCCTGCAGCTCCAAGTGTTGATTGCTACTAAGAAAACCGAAGGGAAACTGAGCTGGTGGGGGACCACCTTCAATGAGGGAATCATCAAAGTCCTCTCTGATGATGTCTATCTTGGAATCCTTTGCCAGGGAAACCATCTCTATGACCCTCATTGTAAAAGGAATTGCTAGAGGGGCAGTGAGTAATCTGGAAATGGGTGAGGTGCTGGAGCCCAGAGGAAGTCAGGATGGGGACCTCTAGGCATCTGGCAGCGGAAACCACTCCTGGTGAAGCTGCTAAAATAAACACCTTCTCACTATTTGTTCTCACTTCCTTCTCTCCCTATACTCAAAACTGAAATCTTGAGAAGTGGGGTGAGGAAGGGGAAAGTTCATTTGGCCTGGCTTAAACCACATGCCCATTTCTTGGCTGGGAATAGAGCACCTTAATTTTTGCTACCCCACTGAGGCTGTTCATAATAGGGGAGAGGAGATTCTAAAACAACAACCAAAAAACAAGGGTACTGTTAGGAATGGAGAATAGATGCTGCATAGCCAGAAAAGTTAATCACAAGAAGAGAAACGGACTAGAATTGAGATTTAAGGATAAAGAGAAGCAAACATTCTAGTGTGGAGGGTAACAGTCTAGGGAGTAGGGATAGCATGTGCCAAGGCCCTGAGGTGAGAATTTATGTCAGGTAAGAAGAGATGAACTTCATTATCTACAGGAAAGGGAACTAATCTGTGTATAAAGATACACAGTGCAAATATATGTGTGTGAATTGATAGATGTTGGGAAGGTAGGTAAGTAGGTAGGTAGGTAATAAAATAACTAAAAATATAAGCTTCCTGAAGTTGGTAGGTGGAGGCATGGATGGATGGGTGGATGAATGGATGGATGGATGAGTGGATGGGTGAATGGGTGGATGGATTCATGGATGGATGGATGGATGAGGGATGAATGGATGGATGGGTGGATAAGTTAATGGATGGATGAATGGATGAGGGATGGACGGGTGGATGAATGGATGGGTGAAATGATGAATGGATGAGTGGATGGATGGATGGATGAATGGATGGATGAGAGATGGATGGGTGGATGGATGAGTGGATCAGTGGATGGATAGATAGATGAATGGATAGATGGGTGAATGGATGGATAGGTGGATAGATAGGTGAATGGATGGATGAGAGATTAATGGATGGTTAGATAAGGAATGTATGGATGAATATGATTAGATGGGTGGATGAGTGGATAGCTGGATGGATGGATGGATGGATGGATGGATGGATGGATGGATGGAATAATGAATGGATGAGCGGATAGGTGGATGGATGGATGGAATGACAGATGAATAAGAGGATGGATGGATGGATGGATGGATGGATGGATGGATGGATGGATGCAAGGATGGATGGAGAGATGGGTAGATGAATGAATGGATATATCTTCCTGAGCTGGTAAGATTTTGGCCTTATCCTCAAGTCTGTAATTCTTCAGTATCACTTTTCTAACACATTGGCTTGAATGTCATGGCTGGGACAAAGGTGAGGTGAGAGAGGCACCTTAGGCACAAACCATAAGGAGGTGTTGAATCTCAAGAGTCAAGAGTGCCCTACAAGTCTACAAGTAGATGCCTCCATGAATCGCACACCCTAGGCACCTCACTCTTGCTTCCCCCAGGCTGTCCCTGTTGGGTTTTATACATGCACCTCTCCTGATAAGGAAACAGACCCTCCAACCAGAGACAGACAGCCTTGTCAGATGCCATGCTGCAAACGACTTCAGGGCCCAGGGTGTTCCTAAGGGCTGTTCCACCTTCTGATCTTTGGCCCTTTGCTGAGACAAAGTGATGTGACAGAGCAACCATTTGCATAGTTCTTGTCCCAGATCTATCCCATCATCTTGCTATGTAAACTTGAAGAAGCCTCTTACCCTCTCAGAGCTTCAGTTATTTTCTTTGTAGAACAAGAGAGGTTGGACTCAACTCTGGAATGATTTGGTTCAAAGAAAGAGTGGAAAGAAAGGTGAGAGGCTCCCAGAAATCTTCAAGGCAACCCCTTCTTAGAAGGTTTTGCACTGACCACTTCCCACTCCCCCAATATTTTCTTCACTTATTGACCTTTCAAATATTCTTCCTACATACCCAGCTTTGGGACTGATGCTTAGCACAATGATCCACACAGACACTGTCCCTGGACAGTGTCTTGGAGCTTAGAGTCCACTGAGGAAGTCAAAGAGTAAATCAAGAAGGAGGTCAATCACAGTTGTAACAGCTGCTCTGACACAATCCAGGGGGCAATAGAAACCTGGACAGTGAGCCTAACCCAGCCTGCAGTCAGAGAGGCTTCCTGGAGGAAATGGCTCCCACAGATGAGTAGGAAGAGATCAAGCAAATAAAGAGGAAGAAATGACAGTGCCCCCAGAGTCTCACTCAAAGATCTGGGGAGGTGGGCCAGGCCCCAACACTGCGAACCCCTCATCAGGTCCCAGGGACCTTGGTCATCTGCAGTAGCAGCACTGCCTCCAGATTAGCGTACACCATCTTGGAGTCCTTAAAAGTCCTTTCCTCTGTTCTTCGAGGTTGCATCTTGCTGAGCACACAGAGGAGATTCTAAGCTGTGACTTGTTGAAAGAGAAGCAGCAGAGGGTGTCATTCTTAACACACATGCCCTGTGGCAGCCTGGCGTGAGGCCTTGGAAAGATGATTAGGGTGTTTTTTCAAAGGATGTGATTGCTACATTTTCTTTTCCATTTTTGATGTTTATGACTCTCTTTCTGTCTTCTGGCTAGATCCTGAGCCGCACAGAGCTCACTCTTCAAACCTCATCTCATTATCCATTTTCACCCCCAATTGCATATTTTAGGGGCTGGTAATAGGGCTGCCTACGGTGCTATGTATTACAGCTGAAGGATCTGCAAGACTCCAACACCCCCACACTCTCCTGCCATGCAAAAGAGACAAAATATTTTCATTTCTAAGCCTCTAAGCCTGGAGGGGAAAAAAGTTATGCAACCGTGTGACAACTGTGGCTTCTTAAAAGTCTTTGGTAGCTGGAGAAGGGATCCGGTCTCAGCTGGGGAAAGGATCCAGTCTCAGCTGGGCTTTTTTTAAGTAACAAGTGACTGGGCCACTGACATGTAAAGAGGGAAGTGAGGTGCTCCTGGAGCTTCTGCCTCTGCGTCCAAGTGCCTGCTTGGAGGCCTTGCTGGAGACAGGCAGCGTCTGGGGTGAGGTGAGGATGGGGCCAGAGCTGATTCAGCACCTGCTATGCAGAAGTGCTGAGCCCTCCATTTACACACATCTTTCAGGTTGCACAAACTGGCATGTGTACTAGCTTTTTGTGCTGTGTAACAAATTTTCACACACTTAGCAGTTTACAACAGCACAAATGTGTAATTACACAGTCTCCGTGGGACTAGGTGTGGGTTAGCTGCACATGTGCTAACCAAGGTGAAATCAAGGTGTCAGCCAAGGCTACAATCTCATCTGAAAGACTCAGGGTCCTCTTCCAAGCTCACTGGTTGTTGGAAGAACTCAGTTCCTTGCAGTTGTAGGACTGAGGCCCTTACTCCCTAGAGCACCCAAGATTGCCTTCCATATGGCCCTCTCCACAGCATGACAGCTTGCTTCTTCAAGGCCAACGGGAGAGCATTTGCTACCTCAAATCTCTCTGGCTTCCTTCTTCTCTAATTTCTAGGCTATTTTTAAAAGGGTCAGGCCCACCAAGGACAATCTCCCTGATGATGATTAGGTCAGGCCCACCAAGAACAATCTCCCTGATCATGAGCTTAAAATCAACGGATTAGAGACCTTAAACACATCTACAAAAATTCTTCACCTTTTCTTATCATGTGACTTACTCATTTGAATGTCACCCCATCATAGTCCCAGCCCCACCCACCCTCAAGGGGAAGGGATTATACCAGCCCTGTGCCTCAGGGCCCATCTTAGAAACCAGGCCACCGCAGCTCATGTTTTCCATGGCACACACAGTGCCTGGCGTGAGTCAGCTTCCACTTGGCACATACATGAGTTCATTCGGGGGAGCAGAGAACAGGCAGTGTGGGCTTCCCAGGGGCTACAGCTCAGGCAACCTGGGTTGAATCTCGGCTCTGAGTCTCACCAGCTTGTGGGAACTTAGGCAAGCCACGTGCCTCCATTTCCTCATCCTGGAAATGAGTTCCATAATAGTACCCACCTGGTAAGTTGTTTAGAAGCGTCAATGACAAAGGCCCATAGCGCGCTTAGCAGAGCCCTGCATGCAGGGATTGCTCGGTGATGTTATGATTCTGCCTAATTCTGCCATCCTTCCTCAGTGCAGTGCCAGCACCAGGAGGCTCTTTCCCCCAGAGCACCACCCCTCCCTCTCCCCACCTCCAACATCCCCCTCCATCCCAGGAGCAAACAGAGACGGAGTGATTAGCCCTCAGTAATAAAAGTACACAGGGCTGTCAGCTGGCCTGCCAAAGGAATTTATGAACTCAGCAGAAGCTTGTACTGCTACAAGATAGTTTGTCAGGGGACCACTTCCCAGGTAAGAACAAAAAATATCCCATCTGTCACTGCCAGATCCTCCCTGTGGCAAGATATTAAAGCGTTGCTCTCCCCTTCCGCATTTTCCAAACCTTCTACAGTGAACCTGCATTATTTTTATATCAGATAAAAAAAAGGTAATAGACTTGATTTTTCACAGAAAATCTTTGCAGTTAGAAACACCAACTTCTGCCAGGTTGCGTCTGCAAGTACAGCATTACCAGAGTGCCTGAGAGCTCTGTTTTGTTCTTTTCTTTTTTTAAAACAAAGATCCATTATGCAAATCGATTGTAAAATTTTTAAAGCCTCTTGTCCTGTCTCAATTAATCACAGTCTTTGTGGGCCCGGTTTCAGCAGCAACGAAATCCTCGTCATGCATGGAGGGTGGCCAGAGAAGCAATGGTGCTGGCCTTGTCCTGCTCTGGAGACTTCTCTTGTCCCTTCCACCCAGGCCTGCCTTTCCTGCCATGATGACCTAGGCATCTCGCTGGTGGCTGGCCACCACCCTTCACCACGATCATCGCGCGCATACACACAAAAAATCCCTGGCAGTAGCCACTGTTCCATCCTCCAAAAGGGTCCTTCTCCAACTGGAGTGAAACTAATGGCCTGTAATTTACTGCTCAGCCCCTATGCTGCCGGCTAAGTGAAAGCAGCCGCTTGGCTTAGTTCCGCCCAGAGAAGAGAAGGGAATGAGGCAGGCCTCCATCAGCAGCAGCAGTGACGCTTCTGGTCTTAAGCCCGCCCTTCTTGCCCCTTCCTCCCCTTGGAGGAACTTTCAAGTTTCTCCACAAACCCCCTTCTCTGCCCCGACAGCTATACCGAAGTGGCTGAACAACTACCAACAGCCACACTTGATCAGCCGTCCCCAAATCATCGTGGCCAAGCATTCCCTGAGGACCAGCCTCCCATTTCTGCACGTCCCCACCACTCACCCCCAGGGCCCTTGTTCTGCCCATCTCAAGCACCTTTTCTGAATCGTTCCATTGAATCTCACTCTCAAGAAAGGAACCCAAAACTTATTCTCACTCAGGTATAAGAGGCCAATAAACCCTAAAGCTGTTGGCTGAGCATGAAGCTTTTAAGCTCAGAACCTCAGTAGGAAGTTTGGGAGAACTACCCCATCTCCTTGGTGGGAGCTGCAGCCCATATCAATGCTGAGTAACCCACAGGAAACACAGGCTTCCTGACCCATGAAAGAGTAGTAGGTGCATTACATTCTGTGGCCTGTGAATCAGAGCCCAGACCTCACACCTTCACAATGCCATTAGATGGATACAATTCCCGTGGTGCTGGGGAGGGAACACTAGCTTCTCACTTTGATAAGGCACCAGGCCAGACCTGCCAGAGACCCTGGTGGCACAGACAGATGAAACAGGAAGCTGCAGCTGGTGGCAAGATGCAACCTCTGGCCCAAAGAATACAAGCCCACCGTAAGTCCTCACACTTTCTCACTAAGGCAGTTTCCACTCTGCTCATGCAGTGCCCAACCTGAGCAACCTGACAGCAACCTCACCTGCCATCATGGGACTGCAGTACAAGCAAATAAGCTAGAAGGCAAAGCCACAGGCAAAGAAGGAAACTCAATTCCAAAAGCATGAATTCATCAATCGCTCCATCTCAGGCACAGAGGTTAAATGAATAAGACCTGGCTTTGCTACTGCAACACGGAGAAGGCAGGTGATTCAATCACTAAGCAAGAACTCACCATATTCTCAGGCCAAGTCCTGGGGTACCAGGATGATGGAGATACAGTCCCATCCCGGGTCTGCATGTACAAAAGGAGGAAAGAAAGCATGCCTGATGAACCGCAGACAATGTGGTAAAGGCTCAGGCAGATGCATGAAAAGAACATTCTGGAAGCCCAGAGAACCCTGCAGATGGGACCCTGCCTGTCCCCACCTGCACTCTGCCACAACCATAATGAGCTGTGTGCACCCTACACCTTCAAAGCCTTTGGTGTCTCTTTTTGCCCCCAAGCTTGCTACCTGTCTCCAACCTTGTGCTCCTCCAGCCAGCAGCATCAGCCTCACTTGGAGGTTGTTGGGAAGGCAGAAGCTCAGGACCCACCCAGACCTGCTGAGGCGGAACCGCCCTTGACCCAGACACCAGAATGGACGCGCACATATTTGAGAAGCACAGTGTTGAGGGGGCACACCCACGTGACTCTTCTCCATGCCCCATGAGTCCTGTGCAGCCCCTCCTGAGATTCCAGAGAACTTCAGCTGGTCTATGACACCCTCCATCCCCCAGGCCCACTTCATGGAGCCTGCTCACCCTGGTGCAGATAGGCACTGAGCCACCTCTCCCCATGGCCAGACTGTGTGCCCCTCAAAAGCAAGGACTGAGGTCCCCAGAGTTAACCCCTGCCAGGCACACGCCATGTTCCATGTTCAGGTGCAGTAAAGATTTGCTGAATGAATTAATAAACCGTACTTCAACTGTTTTAGACATCACACACTTAGTATATGAACAAGAGGAAATGCGAGGATGCAGGGTATAACTATTTAAAAGCGATCTGATTCATTCACCGCCTTTGAAAACGTCCAGAGAAGCGAAGGCCATGGCCTTTCGTAAAGAGCCGATTAATGTCAGAGGCCTGGGGCTGGCTGCACGCACTGAAGCCAGGAGGGAGGCTGGCAAAAGCCTCCCTGGGTACCAAGGTCGGGACGAGGGATTCAATTTGTCATTTTTTTCCTTTGTCCAGGAGATTAAAAGTTGCTCAGAGCTGGCTGCTCTGGGAACCTTGTGGGGCTGGGTAGGGAGCAGGGAGCACTTGGCAGGAAGCAACCCACCCCGACCCCCACCACCTTCCTAGGAAGACAGCCCCAACCCAAAAGGAAGCATCCTCCTTCGTTTTCATAGAGAGTCTCAGAGACCCAGACACCTTCCCAGCTGGTTTGGGGTTTGAGCGTGAGTTCTGTGCCCCTACATCCTTCCAGTTCCAGCAGCTGACCTGAGGGCTCTCAGGCTGTAGGGAGAAGCCCGGGGGTTTGGGGAGTGGACACCAGCAGAGGAGGGATGTACAGGAGGAAGACGTGCCACAGGGATGGGCTGCAAGGCTGCAGTTACTAATTCATTTGGATGAAGCTGCTAAAGTATAATTAAGGAAGAATCTCTCCAAGTTTGGAGTACACAGAACAATAAACAGCTGCCCGCTTTGATTAATAGCCAGAACATCACTGAATCCGTGCCCAGCAGCCATTCCGGCAGGAGCCTGTGGACTCAGGAAAGCTTTCTCCTCCGGGCCGGGCCAGGCACTGGGCACTCATTCCATCGACCTGGATGGCGGGCAAGAGAGGGCTCTCTTGTCACATAGGTTGAGGGAACACCAAACTGAATGAAATCACAAAATCAAAATTCAGTTGGTGCCTCAGAGCCGGGGCCAAGCTCCTGTTAGCTGTGACTCTCCCAGAGAAGCAGGAAGGCCGCAGTGATTAATCACAGAACCCTTCCTAGGTGGGGATGGGGAGTGTTGAAAGGGAAAGGCAAGAGAAGGAACCTGGAAGGAAGTGTCCTGTCCCCTGGAGACACAGCCCTCGCTGATCCTCACACTTTCCCTTTTCCCCCTTCACCATTAGGAGGGTGGGCACAAGACATGCCCAGCCTTGTTCTTGACTTTCAACAGCACCAGGTCCCAGTTTCTGAGGCTACAGTAAATGTTGATAATAGCTTGTAAGCAGCAGGGTAGGCAACTGGAATGGATCCAGAGCAGGCTTGGGAACGAGATACAGTTGAGGAACTGTGTTTAGATGGCAGGAGGAAAGACAGAGGGGAAACCATTATTACTTAAACCCTACAAGAGACTGTCATTAGAGTTGTTCCTAACATCTAGAGTCTCTCCTTCTGAGTAGAAGATCAACTTCTCCCACCTTTCCTGGAGTTAGGTATGGTCATGTGACTTGCTTTGGCCAGTGGAACAGGTGTAGAAATTGAGTGTGGTCATGTGACTTGCTTTGGCCATTGAAACAGATGTAGAAGTTGAGTGTGGTCATGTGACTTGCTTTGGCCAATGGAACAGGAGTAGAGGTTGGGCAGGGTCATGTGACTTGCTTTGGTCAATGGCAGACGTGTGTAAGCTCCCATACTCCCTTGACTCTGCCATGGTGCCCAAGGGTCACTCTAGATGGTGAAGGCTGCAGATGGGGAAGCCTAAATCTCAGGCAAGGACAGTGTACTTCAGAGCTGTGTTTTTTAAGCCACTGAAATCAGGGTGCTAATTGTCACCTCCTCAAAATCAAGCCTGGTTTAACTAATACAGAGGCTTATCCCAGGAGTGAGTTGCTGTAGCAGAAACCCAAATATGTGGCTTTGGCTTTGAGATCAGGCAACAGGAGTTTAGAAAACTGATACCAAAGGCTGGAAAGATGGTGGTCATGCCATGCAGTGGCCAGATTTTTGTAGAACTGTTGCCTGAGGTGCCTTGAGAAGTCGATCAGCCATGTGGTGAAGAAACGAATCAAGGGAGTGGGTGCTACACCCAGAGAAAAACCAAATGGATTGGGGGCGTCTCAGGATAGCAGCTCAGACAAAGGTGTGGTATCCAGAGTAGCCCAGATAGAGGCCGGACAGAGCAGCCCAGGGAAAAGAGCCTTCCTGTGTGACGCTCTCGCTGAAGCTGGACATCTCGAGGGCCTTGAGAGTACGTCTGACAGGTCACATGACCACACCCAACTTCTTCTTCTGTTTCACCAGCCAAAGCAAATCACATGACAAGGCAGTCACATGACTAGGAAAACAGAGGGAAACATAAGGATGAGACAACAAAGAAATTTAGAAATGAGGATTACACCTCCCAAGGAAGGGTGGCGTGGCAATTGGAACATGGAGCTGAAGAGATGAAGCCCTCACCACATTTTCAGAGCATTTCAAGGCCACAAGGCCCCCCGCCCAGCATGCACAGCAGAGCACAGAAACACATTAGGCAAAATGAGCCTGGGCCTGGCCCAATTGTCTACAGCCAGGAGTGGGCTGGGAAGACTGCTCTATCCCCAGGAAGAGCTGTCCCCATGCCTACTTCACATGTGGCTAAGAAGAGAACGGAGAAAGCAAACCCCCCAGAGAATGGAGCCAAGGGCTGCAGAGGACCAAGGGAGCTGCTGCCGGGGCGTAGAATCAGCACTAGATTAAAGAACATTCCCCACCCAGCAGGAGAGTCAGGCCTGGAAATGTTTACCTAGCCGACTGGTGAGTGCTGTGGGCCCCTGCTCTCCCCCTTTCTGAATGGGGTGGCCACCCTGTCCCTTTTCTGTACTTCTGGGGGCCGGGAGTGCAGGTAATTTGTCTTTTCAGCTCCTGGATACCTGAGAAGGAGGTGCCATGTCCAGACCCAATGCAGAGGCCACTGTGCCTCACTAGAGATCCCGGAGCAGACCCAGCCAGCAAGCAGGAGGCTCCTGGGTTCTTCCCCAAGTGGGCTAGTAGCTGGCACAGCCTCTTTATATTTATATTTGGAAATATAGCATTTGCTGATTAAAAATAGAACTAATGATATCTTTGTTCAACATAAGAAGACAACGGGTTAGAGAAATTATAGTTTCCCTCCCTTTCAAATTTTCTGCAATCTATGGCATTTTCAAGTATTATAGAATTTTTTAGAATATCTCTAAGAATAGCTTCTCCCAGGACCCACACAGAGGGCATGAGATTTACCCTTTTCAATAGAAGGAAAACTATTCCCAAGCCTTTAAAAGCATCTCCCTGTGTCTGAAGCCACATGAAGTCACCAGAACAATCGTTCCTGAAAAATGTCTTTTTGTCACCCTGCAGTGGGAAGAGTGTCCTTTTAGAATCCAGATCCAACAGGGAGCTCCAGATCCCCACTGCCCTTCCCTCCCCTTGCCGGCCTTACCACCCCGTTTCCCCTAGCCTGTTGTGAGAGGGGGTGTCGCCACAGATGCCCTAACCTGTACAGGCCACGGCCAGCCCCCATGGTGAGGGGCGGGGGGGCTCCTGCAGGCTCCAGCAGCCAAGACACCCATGGAGGCCTGCTCTGTGTGTGTGTGTGTGTGTGTGTGTGTGTGTGAAAGAGAGAGAGAGAGAGAGAGAGCCAGCACGTTCCTCAGAAACGATTCGCAGTCACCAGTAATAGAAACACATCCAGAATAAGGCAGTGAAAAATAAAGGGAAAAAGAGAGAATTGTACAGTGAAAGCACATGAAACTAGAATAAAAAAAGAAACAACAGACTCGGGGAAATAACAGCATGGAACATGACAAAGAGTCAATATCCGGATGCGATAAAGATCTCGGCCTCGCCTTGTCGTCTCCCAGACAGTCATAAACCGTGGAGAGGGCCCAGCAGAGCACCTGCCTACGCGAGCGTGGGCGTCCATGTACAGGCACGAGTGTGTGTGTGAGTGTATGTGAAGGCATGTGTGTTCCCATGAGTGTGAGAATGTGTGTGTGCACATGTGAGTGTGAGTGTGTGAACATGTGTGTGCACGTGCACCCAAAGTCAACTGACAGTACCGAAGCAATGACCTGAGACCAACACTGTCCCCAAAGGTGACCCAGTGTGGAGAGGCAGCATGGGAGGAGGCAGAGACTGCTGAGCTCTGACCCCGCCCCACACTGGCTCACCGTGGGGCCTTCTGCACAGTGACGTGGCATCTCCAGCTTTGTTTCCTCGTCTAGAATGGGAAGAATCCCACTGTTGCTGCACAGTTAAAGGAGGGAATGCGTGTGGTGCCCAGCACACCTCGGGGCTCAGTGCACTTTCACTGTCATCCTTCCACATGGAAACTCACTCTGTTGGAGAATTCACCTTCTGGGTAGAGGTGGCCAGACGGGCCCTTGGAGTGCCCAGGCTATCAGGGTTTTCTCTCTGCAGATGCAAATGCTCTAGAGATCTGCAGACCCCAACCTGTGGTGCACCAGGGAATGGCACCAGGGAAGGTCCAGGCCAGGACAGGCAGTGTCTTGGTGAGGGATGGGACCCTCCAAAGACAGATGCTCTCAGTGCCAAAAGAGCGTCCCTCCACCGCCTCCTTTGTAGACACCTCCCACACACATAGGGAGGCAGGAGGGCTCCAGGGTCCAACAGCCAAGGCCCAGACCCCAGCACTGATAGGCCCTAACGCATCCTGTTGGCCAAGTTACTCCTGGCTCCAGTATGAGGTGCCAGTGAGATGGTGCCTGCACACCACGCTCTGGTACTCAGTAAGCTGTGTTGTCATCCCATGAAGAGGAGCCCTTCCAAAGGCATGGGCACCTCCACCAGGCAGGGCAGGCACCCATCCAGTGCTGCTTTTAATTTGCCTATACTCTCCCTCTCCAATCTTGGAAGGATGGTCCCCCTTCACAGCAAACTCCCTGGGTCCTTGGGAACATCCCCGAGACCCCTGGCGGAAGGGATGATGCGGTGGAGCACTAGAGATGTGAGCCCTCCCCAATAAAGAGCTGCAAAGTCTAGGACTGATGAAGGGTCGCTTTCACTCAGCAGACAAACATTTGTATAATAATTAGGTTGAAGGAGGCCAACATTTTAGAAGACCGTGAATATTTTTACAATCATTCAAACGTCCAATCCTGGGTCAGTGGTTAAATAAATAACTATTCGAGGGAATTCCAGGTAGCAATGAGTGATTGTTGTCACATCCCTACATGACTATGAGTGATTTTTGTCTTATTAGTTCTACTTTTTGGTGTTTTCTGAATCATCTGTCTCATACAATGAGTATGCATCACTTTACTGAGAGTAAACAAATTAATTTTTTAACATATGCCTAGGGTGAAGAGGTACAACATGTTTGGAAAACAGTTGTATAAAGTTATTAAGGACATAATGGGTGCATTTGGGCCTTTGGAGAATTTCCTCTAATACTTAGGCTATCATTTTAACAACAAAGAGAAACGGAGGTTGAAACTCTTCTGAGGCTGCAGGGGAGATCATTTTCCCGGGACTCTTAAGTGGACCCCATTGGGCCCAGGGGACCCAGGCCCCACCCCAGCCAATTCCATCACCAAGTTCTTTGACCTCCACTCCTGACATTGAACCAGATCCCTGCTCTTCCTCCTGCTATCCCCATTGTCCCCTGTCCCAGCCACTCTCAGCACATACCTGGGTCATTAGACAGATCCTGTCTCCCGCCTCTCCTGCCTCCCCTGCTGGCCTTGTTACAGGAGGAATTGCCTCTCCCAGAAAAAGGCATGTTAGAGTCTGAACCCCCCAGGACCTGTGAATGTGGCCTTATTTGGAGGCAGGGTCTTTACAGAGATAATGAAGCTAAATGAGGTCCCTAGGGTGGGCCCTAGTGCAAACGCTGGTGTCCTCACCAAAGGGGAACTTTGGCCACAGGGAGAGGGAAGATGCATCTGCGAGCCAGGGAACACCTGAGGCTCCCGGAGGCTGAGAGAGGGGTCTGGGCAGGTCCTCACAGCCTCAGAAGGAGCCACCAGAATTAATTTTTGTTTTTAAAGTCCCCAGTGTGTGGCACCTTGTGATGCCAGCCTCAGGAAGCTTGTGTAAACCCTTCCTCCACAAGGCAGACAAGGTGATTTAAAAAAAAAAAAAATCTGAGCACATCATAGCAGGGCTTAAACCCAGCTAGCCACTTCCAAATGGGCGTAGACTTTGAAATGTCAGCATAGCTGGCAGGCAGGCCGGTCCCCACCTGGCTTCTTCCTCCCTCTAACTGCAAAGCAGTTCAGCGCCCTGGGCTCCTCCCGATGCTGCACCCACCTCGAAGCTCCGCCACTCTCACACACGACCCGAGACACTCCTGTCTGTCTCCCTCCTCTCTCCTCCGCACAGGCACTCACGAAGCCACACCGCCTCCCTCCCAATTTCTCCAGCTCCCTTGTAGGGTGTCGGTTTAAATAAGACCACTTATTCTAAGTGAAGTAACTCAGGAATGGAAAAACAAACATCGCATGTTCTCACTTGTAGTTGGAAGCTAAGCTATGAGGACACAAAGGCATCAGAATGATACAATAGACTTCGGGGACTTGGGGTGGGAGAGGGGTGAGGGATGAAAAACTACACATTGGGTACAGTGTACACTGATCAGGTGATGGGTGCACCAAAATCTCAGAAATCACCACTACAGAACTTATCCATGTCACCAAACACCACCTGTTCCCAAAAACTGTCGAAATAAACAATATATCTATAATGTATCTCAGCAAACGGGGCACATCTCAGCACCCAGCTGAGAGTGGCTGGGACAGGAGACAATGGGGACAGCCCCTGTTTTTTCCCAGTGCCTCCCTCCTCTTCCTCCTGCTCAGAGTGACTCCTTCCTTCAGTCCGGGGTTGATCCAGTTCAACGCTGTTGACATTTGGGGCCAGATCAGCCTTTCTTATGGGGGGCTCCCCTGGGAATCTTAGGGTGCTTAGCAGGATCCCTGGCAGAGCCCCTCCCCAACCAAAGTGATGCATTGCCAAGCATCCCCTGGGGACAAAATTGCAAAACCGCCCTTGGTTGAGAGCTGCTGCTCTAGCGGTAAAGGCCTTGAAGGGGTGGACAGTGCCCACCTCACTCCCCACTGCACCTCCTCCACTTCAATCCCCACCGCATCTCCCCACCTCACTCCCCACCACGTCATGTGATGGTCAAAAGGATGGATGGGTGAATAGGAGAACCCACAGACACATTTCAGTTGCCGGTGGCTCGGCTGCAGCCAGACCCTCGCTCTTGCCCCTGGTGTTGGAATAAGCCCTGCATGACTCACAGATGGCCTGGGGGCCGGGGGTGGGGATGGCCTCGTGAAACGCAGCCCCCATAGTGGCCGTCTCCCATCTCCTGTTCCCCTCCTTTGGCATATTTCAAATGCACCAGGGCTTTGTATAAACCTGTTATCCATCAAGGTGAAAGCCAGATAAATAAAAATGAACCGACAGAAGTGTGAATAGCATCAGATCCCTCCTGGGCAGAGAGATAATACGCTGATACTCTAATGGTTGTATTAACAATTTAATAGAGCCCGAGTGCCCAGGGCCAGGCAGGTCTCCCAGCAGCCGGCAGCATAGCAGATGTCTGCTCCCACGCTGGGAGTGAGGGCCAGGCCCCGGACTCCCAGGTGTCCCTGAACGGGTCAGGGTGGAGGTCTGGAGGTCTGACTGAGCCTTGGTTTCCTCCAGTTCCCTGGGCAGAGTGAGCCTTGCGGTCGTTGCAGCTTTGGGAGAGGAGCTGGGCACTGTGCCTATTCCTGCAGTTCAGGGGTTCCCCCACCAAGAACAGCTGACATTGACTTTGACCAGGGGCACAGAGCCCAGGGCCCCTGAGGGCTGGACCACGCACAGTTGCTTCCCCTCTTTAAGACCCTGCCAGCACAGAACTTGGCATGCAGTTAGTGCTCAATAAATGTTTGTTCAATGGAGGCAACACGGGTGGGAGGGGTTGGGGAGAGCTACTACGTCTGTGGCTGGAAAAGACCAGTGGTGGCTGCAGGAGGAGGCTTAGAGCCTGAGAACCCAGCTGCCACTCCCTAGCAGTAGCCCCGTGGCCCGCCCTGTAATCTCACTGAGCCTCACTCCTACAGAGGAGTTCACGGTGCTCCCTCATGATGTTGACCTTGAAACCAGGTGAGAGAGCGGGTCTGTGAGCACCTTAGAAAATGAAACAGTGTGTGATTCAGCCTTGTTCCTCTGCTCACTTGAGCTCCCAGATGGGGGATTTGCCATAAACTCAGCTCCAGCTTCTGAGGGGGTAGGGCTGAGCCACTGGCTGGCCCTGGCAGCGTTTCCCAGGAGCTGAGAAAGCTCCCCTGCCTTACCTTGCATGGAGCTCGGCTGTCTTCCCTATCCAGAGCGCCTGCCTCCTGAGCATAAATGGGTTTTTGGTGCCTTGCTGTTTCCTTTATCTTTCTCTTCTACAACAGGCTTTGAAGGGATCCATGATTACTTTTCTGTAAACATCCAGGACTGGGCCCAAGACTTTCCAAAATATTTTCTGAAGTTATCAAAAACTGCACACACGCGCACGCCCATACACACACACACTCACGCATACGTGCACGTACACACCCAGGGGCCTGGGATCATGTTAATAGCATTCAGCTTTTCTGCTCTTCTGGGAAATGCTTTAAGAAAAGTCAAAAGCCTCGTATCTCAAAAATCAAATCAATGGGCACTTTTGAAAAACAGACACATATAGAAAAAAGGAAGAAAGAAAAAAAAGGCTTCTTTCAGATGCCTCACCCAGAGTTCGCTGCATTTCCGCTCAACTTTCTTTATGTCAGAGCTGCTGCGCATTCTGCTGCCTTCGCTTGCTGGTTAGAAATCATAGTCCGTATTTTTAAACTAAAGGAAGAAAGTCCTCATGTAATTTAGTGGTGGTTATTTGTCACCTATTCCCGAAAACAAATGCCCGTGGCAGTGAAGGCCAGCAGATTTACCGGGAGGGAAAAGATCTATATTCCCTGGAGCAAAGTGACGTTACCAGATTGGGTAATTGCTGCATAAGCAATAAATTACACGTTGATTAATTGTGCTTCTAGGGCTTTCTGGAGTATTTTTCATGGGGACAGTTGTGTACATGCTCACAGTGAATTGGAAAAGGCAAGGCCTGGCCTGGGGACCCACTCCAAACGGGAAGAAACAAAGACCATCAACAAGATTTCAGAACTTCCTACCTATTTCACGAAGGCGTCCCTCAGCAATGAGGGATTCCTGTGCACATCAGATACACGCGTATTCTCCACCTATAAAAATAGACTTGAAAGTAACTTCCATGAGATACCACTACACACTTTTAGAACGGCTAAAGTCTTAGAAGAATGCTGACAAGGACACAGAGCAACAGCCACCCTCCTTCATTGCTGGTGGGAATGCAGAATGGAACTGCCACTATGGAAGGCAGCTTTGCAGTTTCTTACAAAGCTAAACATAGTCTTACCATACAAACCGCAATTGCACTCCTCTGCACTTACCCAAATGAGTTGAAAACTTATGTCCACACAGAAACCTGCACAGGAATATTCCCAGCAGCTTTATTCATAATTTCTGAAAACGAAAAGCAACCAAAATATCCTTCAAAAGGTAAATGAATAAGCAAAGGGTGGCACATCCATCTAATGGAATACTATTCAATAATTTAAAAAGAAATGAGGCTGGTGTCATGGCTCACACCTGTAGTCCCAACAGTTTGGGAGGCCAAGGCAGACAGATTGCTTGAGCCCAGGAGTTTGAGACCAGCCTGGGCAACATGGCGAAACCCCTTCTCTACTAAAAACACAAAAATTAGCCAGATGTGATTGCATGTGCCTGTGCTCCCAGCTACTTGGGAGGCTGAGGCAGGAGGATCACTTGAGACAGGGAGGTTGGGGCTGAAGTGAACTAAAATCACATCACCGCACTTCAGCCTGGGCAACAGAGCGAGACTGTCTCAAATTTTAAAAAAAGAAAAATGGGCCAGGCGCAAAGGTTCACGCCTGTAATCCCAACACTTTGGGGGGCTGAGGCGAGCAGATCATTAGGTCAGTAGTTCGAGACCAGCCTGGCCAACATAGTGAAACCCCGTCTCTATTAAAAATACAAAAATTAGCCGGGCATGGTGGCACACGCCTGTAGTCCCAGCTATTTGGGAAGATAAGGCAGGAGAATCGCTTGAACCCAGGAGGCAGAGGTTGTGGTGAGCCGAGATCATGCCACTGCACTCCAGCCTGGGCAACAGAGTAAGACTCTGACTCAAAAAAAAAAAAAAAGAAAAATGAAATGAGCTTCGAGCCCAGGAGTTCAAGACCACCCTGGGCAACATAATGACACCCCATCTCTACAAAAAAAAAATGTAAGAATTAGCCAGCTGTGGTGACACGTGCCTGTGGTCTCAGCTATTTGGGAGGCTGAGGCAGAAGGATCACTCTAGCCCAGGAGGTTGAGGCTGTAGTGAGCTATGCTCATACCACTGCACTCCAGCCTGGAAGACAGAGCAAGACCCTGTCAAAAAAAAAGCTATGGAGACATGGATGAAAAATGTCTTAAATGTGTATTGCTAAATGAAAGCAGTCAACCTTAAAAGGCTACTTACTGTACGATTCCAATGGAAAACGCAAAAGAATAGAGATGGTAAACAGATCAGTGGTTGTCAGGGATTTGAAGATGGGAGAGACTGAACTGGTGACGTGAGATTTTTTAGGGCAGTGAACTAATTCTGCATGATACTGGTAGATACATGACATTATGCATTTGTCAAAACCCATAGAATTCTACAACACAAAGAGAGAACTTTATATGTGAAATGTTTTCAAAAAATCAGTTAGGAGGTCAGGGGATCCCAGGATGGGATGGAGATGATGATAAAAGGATCTGTACTACAAATGCATGACATTGCCTTACTGAAGGAGGTAAGAGGTAAAGGTACTGACCTCAGTAACTGTGGAAGTGAATAGAGACTGTTAGACTAGAAATGGATCTTCACATAGCACTGGGCTCTAGTTGGTAAAGTTGCTTCCTATGGGCATTCAGGTTAACGATTCTATACTTATACACAGAGATCACATAAATAAGTAAATGGATGGAGAGTAGTGAGAAGCAGGTTACGGATAAGCAAAGGAGGAAGCTAGAGTGAACCTTGTGGAATAGGGTTAGAATTGGAGACATCAATATGAACGCATAGTTTGCTTAATTTAGATACAGATGGAGAGATAGATGATAGATAGATAGATAGATAGATAGATAGATAGATAGATAGATGATAGATAGATAATGCATATACATGGTTCACTCTACATACATATACTTCCTAGCTCTACCCACTGAGACAGCCCTGTAGCAATGAGCACACACAGCACCGGACCTTGGTTTCCAAATACCATTCTCCAATTAAAAAGGAACCAAGGCTCTATAGAGAAATTGCTGTTTCTAGTGCTGAGACATGACATGTATGAGATGAGCCCAGAGCATCCTGCAGTGACAGAAAGTAAGGAAGTGCTCAAAAAACAAAATAATGGGGAAAATCTCAAAATTGTTCCAGCGTTGGCCGTGGGAGCTCTTCCAGTTGACTGCAGTGAACTGGAGAGCACCCCAGCTCCCATGGGCAGAGATGGAACAATTTAAGCAAAACAGTAAGTATAACCCAAAGTCTTTTTTTAAATCCATGATTCTATACTGATATAAATCAATGATGATTGAATAAATCAATGCATAAGTAAATAAATGCACTGCACTTCAGCCTGGGCAACAGAGTGAGACCCTGTCTCAATTTTTAAAAACAGAAAAGATATTTTATTATAGCAGCACAGGCAAACAAAGACAGTCCCCCAACATACCACAGACTAGTATATGAGAATAGACTAGTCTCCAATACAGAAAAATTCCAAATAATTTATGTAAATAACTACCCTCTCAAGGAGGTGAGGTACAACTCCCCACTCCTTCCACATGGACTGTGTTTGGTGACTTCGTTCCAAAGAGTACAGTGTGGAAAGAGGGGAAAAATCACTAACTTTCTCATGGAGAAATCTGACAGACTCAGCCAGTTGATCAAGGTCAACATTAACACTGGTAAGTCATGTCGATAGTATGTGCCCTTGAGCTGATGGGATCAAAATGGCACTTCACGTCTGTGGTCTTCTTCCCAAGAACACATACCCCAGTCTAACTATGAGAAAAACATCAAAGTTCCCTCTGACAAACATTTTTAACTACCTGACAAGTACCCCCCAAAACAAAGTCATCAAAAACAAAGTATAAGAATCTTTCACAGCCAAAAAGATCCTAAGGAGAGATAACAAGTTAACATGATATGGTTTCCTGGGTGGGATCCTGGAAGGGAAAACAATATTAGGAAAAAGCCAGTGAAATCTAAAGAAAGTGCAGCGTCTAGTCAATAATAACGCATCAATATTGGCTCATTAATTCTAACAAATGTACCATACTAACGTAAGATGTTAAAATAGGGGAAACTGAGTAAGAGGCTTATGGGAACTCTCTGTACTATCATTGCAAATTTTCTGTAAATCTAAGATGATTCTGAAATAAAGAGTTTATTTAAATATCTGTGGTGTGTGTGTCTACATTTTCACAAACAAACCTGGGCACCAAGACAAAGCCCTCTTCTGTCCCTGCCATGGTTTGAGTGTAAGTGGCCCTCCGAAATTCTCATGTTGGAACTTAGACTCCAATACAACAGTATTAAGAAGTGGAGCCTTTTCGAAATGATTATGTTTTTTAGAATGGTTATTTAGAATGGGATGGGCAACCTTATGAAAGGGCTGGAGGGAACTCGCCGGGCCTCTCTGCCCTTCCGCCTTCACTCTGTGAAGATACAGCCTTGGTTCCCTCCAGAGGATGAGCAACAAGGTGCCACCTTGAAAGCAGGAATGGGACCCTCACCAGACACTCACCCTGATGCTTCCTTGATGTTGGACTTCCCAGCCTCCAGAACTGTGAGAAATAAATTTCTGTTGTTTACAGATTACCTAAGATACACTATTTTTTTTTTTTTTTTTTTTTGAGACGGAGTTTTGCTCTTTTTGCCCAGGCTGGAGTGCAATCACACGATCTTGGCTCACCGCAACCTCCACCTCCCGGGTTCAACTGATTCTCCTGCCTCAGCCTCCCGAGTAGCTGAGATTACAGGTATGCGCCACCACACCTGGCCAATTCCATTCCATTCCTAAAGATCAGCGAAGCACTTTAATCTCCCAGGCCTCTGGCTCAGCTGTTTCTGAGCAGAGAACTCCACACATCCTGAGGAAGGCCAAGTCTGGGGAAGGAAGGAAGATCAGCAGATGGGGGGAAGCCCTGCAGTCTCCTAGTAGAGACGGGGTTTCTCCATGTTGATCAGGCTGTTCTCGAACTCCCGACCTCAGGTGATCTGCCTGCCTCAGCCTCCTAAAGTGCTGAGATCACAGGCATGAGCCACCGCGCCCGGCCACCTAAGATGTTTTATTATAGCAGCACAGGCAAACGAAGGCAGTCTACAGGGCAGAATTCTGACAACTTCCACCAAGCGGAACAGACCAAGCCTGGAGGCTCAAAAAGAGAGCCCTCAAAAACCTGAGCAGCAAAGCACTTTAATCTCCCAGGCCTCTGGCTCAGCTGTTTCTGAGCAGAGAACTCCACACATCCTGAGGAAGGCCAAGTCCAGGGCAGGAAGGAAGATCAGCAGATGGGGGGAAGCCCTGCAGACTCTGCCCTCACTACCACAGCCAGCAATCCCACTCTTGGGACATCTCCACCCACAGCACAGTGGGCTTTGAGGGTCGAGGCAGCAGACAAGGCCACTGTATTCATCACTCTTTGCTCCCTAAGGCTGGAGCCATCTGATGTATTTCAGAAATTTTCCATCAACAGCTAGAAATTTTCTTAATGCTTTGTTCTTAAAGAGATAAACTTTTATTTTCTGAATGTTGTAATTATGTTAAAACAAAATTTACTTCTGCAAGAAAAGGAATTACATTTGGTTGTACCTACTGTGAGATACTTTGCATGTACTGTTTCAACTGACCCCACACCAAGGCCGTAAGTATTCTCATGGTTCCCATGCTGTAGGTGAAAAACCAGACTTGAATAGATTAGAGACATGCCCAGTTTCCAGTGCTGATCAACAGAAAAACTCAGGAATCCGGTTCTTCTTCCACCTTTCACTATGCTGGCAATGGTGGATAAAGCAGGGTTTGCTTTCCTGTAGCACTGGAACAGCCAGCTTGCCCTGCTGTGAGCCTTGCACAGCATGGTCCCTCTCCCTTCCATTCCTACACAAAGCACTGGAGGCTGCTCTCAGCAGAAGGGATCTGAGGCCCAGGAGCCTCCAGTCCAGCTCTAAGTGACTGAGACCAAAGCTGCAGGTTCCCACCCACAGCTCCAGACACCACACCTGGCACCCACAGCCTTGAGCACAGAGAAGCCTGTAGAGTCAGCTGCTGTACCCCCCCACACCACTACATAATAGAGGGGTGGCCCCCAGGCAGGCAGAGCTGCCTCCAGCCTGGCACCCCCACCAGGTACGGCATAGCAGATGGAAGCACAACAATTAAACCGAGAGGCCCTCCAAGGGGTAAGGAGATGAGAGTGAGTGGGAAGGAAAAATGGTAGAGATTCAGTTCCACCCATCAGGAGACAGGAACATGGTGCTCTTTGGAAACACAAGTGGTTTGCCTAATCTCACTTTGGGTTTTATTTTATTTCACTTTTTAATATGTGAAAAGTCCTAGAGGCCACCCACAGAGCTTGCCAAGTCGGTTCCTCCATCTCCAAAACACATTCCACAGTGGCCTCTTATTGCCATGGCAACTGTCTGGTCCAAGCCTCCTCTCCCTCTCTCCCTGGGAAAAGTAATCCACCATATTAACAGGCTAAAGGAAAAATATGACACAATCATATTCATCAAATCAGAAAAAGCACATCTCAAAATCTATACAGTCGTCCCTTGGTACACATGGGGTATTGGTTCCAGGACCTCCCACCCACCTGCATATACCCAAATCCACACATACTCAGGTCCTGTAGTGGGCTCCATGGGATGTATACATTTAAAAAGTCAGACTGCTGTATACCTGGATGTCAAATCCCAGGAATCCTGTGTTTTCCATCAGCTTTGGCTGAAAAAAGCCACGTATACGTGCACCCACACAGTTCAATCCTGTGTTCTTCAAGGGTCAACTATACTCATTCATGATAAAACTCTCAGAAAAATAACAGTGGGGGAAGGATTCCCTCAATTTGATAAAGGGCACCTACAAAAAGCCCACATCCAACATTTAACTAAATGGTCTAAGACCGAATGCTTTCCCAAGAGACTGGTAACAGGGCAAGAAAACCCACTCTCACCACTTCTGCTCTGGTAGTGCTAGCAGCTCTAGCCAGTGCAATCAGGCAAGAAAAGTTTTTTAAAAGCATCCCGATCAAAAGGAAGGGAAGAACTCATCCCTATTTGCAAATGACATGATTGTCTATGCAGAAAATCACAAAGAACCAGCAAAAACGCCTGTAGAATTAACCAGTAAGTTCAGCAACGTCAGAGGATACAAGATTCAAAAATCAATCTTACTTCTACATTCTAGTAATGACCATGTGGATAATGAAATTAAAAACACAATCACTGGGCCAGGTGCAGTGGTTCACACCTGTAATCCCAGCACTTCAGGACCCAGAGGCGGGCAGATCACTTGAGGTCAGGAGTTCAAGACCAGCCTGTCCAACATAGCAAAACCCCATCTCTACTAAAAATATACAGAATTACCCAGGCGTGGTGGTGGGCACCTGTAATCCCAGCTACTCCGGAGGCTGAGGCAGGAGAATTGCTTGAACCCAGGAGGAGGAGGTTGCAGTGAGCCAAGATTGTGCCACTGCACTCCAGCCTGGGCATCGGAGTGACAGACTGTCTCAAAAAAAAAAAAAAAAAATACAATTGCCACAACCAAGCTAATTCACATATTCGTCACTTCATAAAGTTACCTTTTTGGTGGTAAAAACACTTAAGATCTACTCTCTTAGCAAGTTTTGAGTATACAATACATTGTTGCTAACTATAGTTACCACTTTACAATGTATATGTATATCAAATCATCAGGCTGTATACCTTACATATACACAATTTTTACTTGTCAATTATACCTCAGTAAGGCTGGTTTTTAAAAATACCGTTTACAATCACTAAAACAAATTAAATCATTATAAATCTAAAAAACGTATAGGGTTTCTATGCTAAACAGTACACCACACTGATGAAAGAAATCAATAAAGATCTAAATAAATTGAGAGACATATCATGTTCATGGATTGGAAGACTCAAAATAGTAAAGATGCCATTTCTCCCTAAGTGGATTTACATACAGGCTTAACACAATTCCCATCAAAAGCCCAGTGAGACTTTTTATAGATATAGATAAGATTATTCCAAATTTAGCCGGGCATGGCTGTGTGTGCCTGTAATCCCATCTACTCAGGAGGCTTAGGCAGGAGAATCGCTTGAATCCGGGAGGCAGAAGTTGCAGTGAGCCAAGATCACGCCATTGCACTTCAGCCCGGGTGACAAGGTAAGACCCAGTCTCAAAAATAAATAAATAAAATAAAATTGATGTGAAAAGACAAAGGTACTAGAGTAGCCAAAACAATTGCGAAAAAGGAAAATAAGGCCCGGTGTGGTGGCTCACACCTGTAATCCCAGCACTTTCAGAGGTCAAGGCGGGTGGATCACCTGAGGTCAGGAGTTCAAGACCAGCTTAGCCAATCTAGTGAAATCCTGTCTCTACTAAAAACACAAAAATTCACCAGGCATGGTGGCGTATGCCTGTAATCCCAGCTACTCGGGAGGCTGAGGCAGGAGAATTGCTTGAACCTGGGAGGTGGAGGTTGCAGTGAGCCAAGATCGCACTATTCCAGCCTGGGCATCAAGGGCAAAACTCTGTCTCAAAAAAATAAAAAATAAAAGAAAGAGAGAGAGGGAAAAAAAGAAAGAAAGAAAGAGAGAGAGAGAAAGAAAGAAAGAAAGAAAGAAAGGAGAGAAAGAAAGAGAAAGAGAGAGAGAAAGAGATAAAGAGAGAAAGAGAGGAAGGAAGGGAGGAAGGAAGGAAGGAAGGAAAGAAGGGAGGGAGGAAGGAAGGAAGGAAGGAAGGAAGGAAGGAAGGAAGGAAAGTAGGAAGAATTCATCTACCCAATTTCAAGACTTGTATAGTCACAGTCGCTAAGAGTGTGGGATTGCGGGGAGACAGACCTATAGGCCAATGGAACAAAATAGAGAACCCAGAAACAGACCCACACGAATAGGCCCAGCTGGCTTTTGACAAGGGCACCAGAGTCATCACATGGAGCAAGGAAAGCATTTTCAACAAATGCTCTAACGGAGCAATTGGATGTCCATAGGCTAAAAAAAAAAGAAGAAAAGAAACTCGTCTTTTTAATTAAAACATCAACTCAAAATGGATCAAATACATAAAATAAAACATAGAACTCTAAAACTTTTAGAAACAATTGGAGAAAAACTTCAGCATCTACAGCTAGGCAAAGGGTTCTAACACTTGATACCAAAAGCACAATCTGTAAAAGTAAGAAATTAACTGGCTTTCCTCAAAATTTAATATGTGTGCTCTGCGAAAGATCCTTCAAGAGGATTAAAAGACAAGCTACCAAATGAGAGAAAATATTTGCAAACTATATATCTGAGAATGAACTCTGAAAACTTAGTAAACAAGCAAACGATTTCTCAATCATGTTCTGTATTTTTGGGGTGGGCTACAGTTTTCACATCGTGATTCTCTCCTTTCTCTCAGAAAACCCTCCTGTCAGCCTTGATTTGTATAACGTCCTTGCTTTCTGGATGAGGAAATGGAGGCTTCAAGCCTTCCCTAAGCTTACAGTTCCTAGGAGATAGACCTGGATTTTTTCTTTTTTTAATTCATTTGTTTAATTGTGTACAATATACCTAACATGCTTTTTTTTTTTTTTTTTTTTTTTTTTTTGAGACGGAGTTTTGCTCTTGTTGCCCAGGCTGGAGTGCAGTGGTGCGACCTTGGCTCACTGCAACCTCTGCCTCCTGGGTTCAAGTGATTCTCCTGCCTCAGCCTCCTGAGTAGCCAGGACTACAGGCGCCCGCCACCACGCCTGGCTAATTTTGTATTTTTAGTAGAGACAGGGTTTCTCCATGTTGGTCAGGCTGGTCTCGAACTCCCTACCAGAGGTGATCCACCCATCTTGGCCTCCCAAAGTGCTGGGATTACAGGCATGAGCCACCGCGCCCAGCCCATTTTAACCATTTTTAAGTGCACAATTCAGTGGCATTAAGTACATTCACATTTTATGTCACTGTCATCACCACCATCCGTCTTCAGAGCTCTTTTCATCTTGCAAAACAGCAACTGTACTTATAAAAAATAATTCCCATTCCTCCCTCTCCCCAGCCCCTGGCAACCACCATCCTACTTTCTGTCTCTGTGAATTTGACAACCCCCGGGACCTCCTACAAATGGAATCATCCAGTATCCGTCTTTTTGCGACTGGCTTATTTCACTTAGCACGGCATCCTCAAGGTTCAGCCACGCAGGTATGTGAGTTTCCTTCCTATTTAAGGCTGAGTCATATTCCAGTGGTGGACCTGGGTTTGAACTGTCACCCCAAAAGGCAGTCTGGGCTGGGCAGTGGCACTAACCTCTAAGAAGCTGTCCTGTCCCTGGGCATTCCCCTGCATCCTTTGTCCTGAGCCTTCAGGCACCCGTCAGTCCTGCCTCCCTCCAGGGGCAAGAAGGGGCAAAAACTTTGTTCCAAAGCTGTACATATGGGGCCTGGAGGAGGTACCCAAGATTGATAAGGAGGATAAAATTGAAGTCAGTTGGCCAAGAGCGGTGGCTCATGACTGTAGCTCCAGCACTTTGGGAGGCCAAGGCAGGTGGATCACCTGAGGTCAGGAGTTCCAGACCAGCCTGGCCAATATAGTGAAACCCCGTCTCTACTAAAAATACAAAAAGTTAGCCAGGCGTGGTGGCATGTGCCTGTAGTCCCAGCTACTAGGGAGGCTGAGGCAGGAGAATCGCTTGAACCCAGGAGACAGAGGTTGCCGTGAGCTGAGATTGCACCATCGCACTCCAGCCTGGGCGACAAAGGCAAGGCTTTGTTCTCAAATAAAAAATAAAAAAATTAAAATAAAATAAATTGAAGTCGGTTTTAGAAAATGCACGTGGAGGCTGGATGCAGTGGCTCACGCCTGTAATCCTAACACTCTGGGAGGCCGAGGTGGGTGGATCACGAGGTCAGGAGATCGAGACCATCCTGGCTAATATGGTGAAACCCCGTCTCTGCTAAAAATACAAAAAATTAGCCGGGCGTGGTGGCGGGCACCTGTAGTCCCAGCTACTCAGGAGGCTGAGGCAGGAGAATGGCGTGAACCCGGGAGGCGGAGCTTGCAGTGAGCTGAGATCGCGCCGCTGCACTGCAGCCTAGGCAACAGAGCAAGACTCTGTCTCAAAAAAAAAAAAAAAGAGAGAAAGGAAAAAAGAAAATGCACACGGTTATGGGATGCCATGTGCAGGCCAGGCAGAGCTAGGTCTAAGGCCCTCCGGGGACCTGCTGGAGCACAGGTGGCTGGATCCAGAGGGCGGAAAGGAGGCTGCAGAGGGAGGTGGGTGGGGAAGAGAGGACCGGACGCCCAGGCTTGCGTTCCTCTCACCGCCAGGTTTAAGGCGGTACAGCCATGCAAACACCGCTGGGATTGTCCAAGAACTAAGGAGGGGTTAAATATTTTATACAAAAACTCTTTTCATCTAATTTATGTTGTGCTTTTGAAGATGAAGAGGCGGCGGGCTTCGGTTATCAGCAAGAAGAAGGGAGAGAGGGACTACAAACATCTTAGAATAGTGGAAGACGGGAGGAGGCTCTCGCCGTCCTTGAGAATATCAATTCCAAAACGATTCTATTCCACCACATAAAGGAGCCAGGCCTTTCAAAGAAAATCAGCCTTTCATAAAATTTCTTGGAAATCTAGTCAAGAAAGTGTGCGTGTCTCTCTCAGATAACACTGCTGTATTATAGGCATTTAACTAGATCCGCAGGCTATGACAAAATAAAACAGCCATTTAAGTGGAGTGTCTGGAAAGGCAGCCGAGACGGGCTGAGAAAGGTCTTGGGCCTGTGGGCTCCAAGAAAAACAGGATGGGGGTTGCCATGGTGACTGTGTATTGCATTCCACCCCTAAGGACAACCAAAAGTCCCTGCAGGACCCCCAGCATCAGCATCAGCTGGGGTATGGGGTCAATGCAGGTCCCCTGGCCCCATAACAAACCAGCTGAACCCAGTCTCTGGAGGTTGTCCCCAGGAACCTGCATTTTAACAAATTGCTCCGGTGATTCTTAGAACATCACAATGGGGCTCCTGACTCAGTCTCTGCTGGAGGCCAAAGTCGAATGATGCCAGCAGCGACTCTACAGTCTGCAGCAGGTGCACCTGCACGTGCATGGCCCCCGTGTGCCAGCCCTCAGCCTCACCCACCTCGAGGGCTGAAGAAGCCAAGAGGGCAGCTGGAGATTGTCAAGCTGGTTTCTTCTTTAGAAAGAGGCTGTGAGGCCCCTGTATTCCTCCCCTCCAGGGAATGGGTGGAGGCCCTTACTCTCACCTCATGGAAGGGAGAGGAGCTTGAAGGAGCTCCCTGTGGGGGTGGGCAGAGGGACTGTTGTCTGTCCCCAGGAGTGCACAGGACACAGCCTGCAGGGACTCGCTCCCAAAGGCCAGTCTGCACCCAGGCTGTGGCTAGCCCTGGCTCCCAGCGGAAGAAGGAGGAGAGGGCTGAAGGGAGATGCCTCCCCACCAACCACAGGGGCCAATCTGTGGGTCTCCTGGTAAGGATAATGGCCTGGGGTCCCTTTAAAGAGGACCCTCCTGGGAGGAGTAGATGGATCAGAGCCCTCAGCACCTGTGGGAAGTGCATGGCCAGGTGCCCTGGGGCCAGCCAGGAAGCCCCAGCAGTGCAAGGAGAGGGCTGGCCTCCGTCGAGACAGCAGCATTCCAGGGACTGGATAGGAATCATTCTCCAAGAAGCCCCCCAAATTCTTGGTGCCGAATTCCCCTCCCTGTCCCCTTCCTCATACCCTCCCCCTCCAACCTGGAAAGGACCATGCGCCTTGGGACCCAGCAGGAAGTAGAGGTCCAGACCCGTGGGACTAAAGACAGCAGAAGGCCCTCACCCCACTCCCCACTGCAGGCTGCCAGCCTTGACCGGGCCGGGCTGGAGGGCCAGACACACAGGCGTTGAACAAAGATCTGGGTTTTGATGATTTTGCTCAACCAGACACGTTAAAGAAAAGGAAGATGACGTGTAACTAAAAACAATAATAGGACTTTTCCTTTCCTAAGAAGGACCAGAGCTATGACAGGGCCTGGGGGAGACTTTATCCCAGGGTGATCCAGTGACTGCACAGAAGACAGACTGTCCCGTGTGCCTTCTTCATTCACCCGAAGTGCTAAGCAGCCTTGAGGTGAAGAACCATGGACTGTTGGAGTGCGGGGGTCAGAAACCGCTCTCCTGACCCCTGGAAACCTCTTGAAAGCTGAGTTGACCATTTGGGGAACTCAAGCCCCTCACATAACTAAAATAAATCCTTTAAGACAGCCCACTCCAAGGACAGCAATGTGGAACATGGTGCTGTGGTTCCGTGCCTTTTCCTGCCTGTCCCCAACACTGTGCTCCCTGAATCCACTCGGCCTGCCACCCGGAGAGGTGGTCAGACAAGACTGTTGGCAAATGTGGAGACTCCCAATTGCCTGATCAACATCCATTCTTGCTATCTTCCTTAGAACCCAATTTCTAGCTGGACAACAATGTGCTCAATTATTACCACAATTACTTTTGCACCAACCTAATACAAAACTATGTATCCCAGCCTCCTTTACACTAGATGTGATCATGTGATTCCGTTCTAACCAATGAGATATCAGCAAAGTGTTGGATGGTACTTCCAGGAAGTCTCCCTAAGAGGGGACACCTGCTTGGGACATGGATGAGATGGCTGGAGTTCTAGCACCCATCTTGGACCATGAGGATGAGGACAGACTAAGTATTGATCCCTAACAGCTTCCTACAGCCACCCACCTCCAAACTACTGTTACACAAAAAGAGACATGAAGGACCCATCCTGTTTTGACACTGTCACTGGGAAGAGTTCTGTTAAATGCTGCTGAACCTACACTTGGCTGGTGGATGTATGCAATGATCCTCTCACATTCTTCATCCCACTAAATGTGCTGCCAGCTCAGGGTACGGTGGGCACTGCAGCAAAGGTTAGCTCTCCTTGCTGTATGCTTCTGGTGGGAAAAGCATGCTTGGGAGTTTTGACCTTAACTGTCTATACCAAGCCAAGGTGATCCATTGGGTTGACTGGAACCTCCTCCTAATGGGTCTTGGAGGCAGGTGACAGCTGGCATTTGCTGGCTGAAGTGATCAGGTTCCAGGCCAGGCATGAAGCTGGAGCTCTGACTGGACCTGACTCTCCCGGTTGCAAGTTGCTCTTCAGCACAGGCCTGGGAATGGTCCAACGTGCTCTCTGGGGGAGATGAAACACAGCTGGTATTACAGGTCGAAACGTATCCCCCGATCTCCACATGCTGCAGTCTAACCCCCAGGACCTCAGAATGTGATCTTACTTGGAAATGGTGGCATTGTAGATGTAATTAGTTAAGAAGAGTGAGCCCCTAATCCAAAATGACTAGCATCCTTATCAAAAGGGGAAATGTGAATCAGAGACACACACACAGAGGGGACACTGTGGCCATGTAATGATTGGAGTGATGCCGCCACAAACCAAGAACTACCAGCAGCAGGAGAGGGGCCTGGCACAGACACTTCCCTATCACCTTTGGAGGGAACACAGCCCTGCCTGCACCTCAATCTCAGACTCCTGGCCTCCAGAACTGTGAGGTGATCAATTTTGGTTGTGTGACTCACTCAGTTTGCAGTCCTTTGTCACGGCAGCCCGAGCAGGCTGATACAAGCTCCACCCACACCGCCCCACCCTCCAGGAGCGTACATTCTAAGCACCACAGGGAACCAGCTGCCTGGTACTCAGCAAATGGTCCTGAGGAAGAAGGACAGGTGGGTGGGTGGATGGATGGACCAATGTTAATATGAGTGCATAGACGGGTGTGTGGGTAGGCAGATGAATACATGAATGCGGGAATGAATGAATCTGGTGACACACACAGGAACCACCAGATGCCAGAAGGGTTCTGCAAAATGCATCACTCGCCACAAGGACACACATCAATCCAGCATCTGCAACCAGAAGAATGAATGTGTCACGCCCCATGGAGTCCACAGAGATCAATGCAACCTCAATACCAGGAAAAAAACAGGTCATAATTTTCTATAAAACTAGTACACACTGCCCCGATTGATGAATACAGCCATCTGTTTTACTTTTCACACTGTCTATTTGTAATCCTCATGAATAACAAAGGGGTTCCAAAGGAAACCAGAAGTAGGGGTTTGCCGCAGTGGGCAGGGGTGCCTATCTACCAGGGAGATGACGGATGGGCCCTTCCATCAAGGATGACCTCCCGCAGAATCTCTTTGCCAGCTGGGCCAGATGAACAAAGAGGTGGCAGTAACAAGAAGAGAGGCCTGCGCCTAGGTATCGGCCGCCTCCAGAGTTTCAATATGGACCTCCGAAGGAGGCACCTCCACCTCCATGCCAGTGCTGGTCTCCTGACAAGAGAGGGTTCGCCTACTAACTGGCATTAGGTGGAACTGTGGCACAGAGGACACGGCCTTCTGACAAGGTTCAAAGCTGGACGTGAGAGAGAGAGTGGCAGATACACCCTCACTGACGTGAGCCCCTGGCAGGCAAACGTTTTCCAAAGGCTCGGCTTGGGGAAGCTCCCTTCCTATTGGCCTTGGCCCTGAGTCTGAGAGAATGGATGCCCAGTGGCTCAAGAAGGGGCATACAGAGGCAAGGCCTAGGAGGAGAGCAGCCTGCCCTCCCATTTCAGAGCGAGGCCCCTGCGTCTTGCCAGCCCTCCTAAGCCCTGGGTGTGGCGGGATTGAGTGCGAGAGCTGCCAGATGAAACACGTCAGCCCGGCCGGTGTCAGGTACCTCCGAGGCACCAAAAACTTAACTGTACCCGTCCCTAGTGCAGAGACCACTGGGTTTCTCCCCTCCAAAAATAATAACTACTGGAGAGAACCCTATGGGCGATGAGAAATCTCTGGAAGCGGCTGCCAGAAGAAGCCGTCAGTTAATCTTCTCTCCGAAGCTCTGGACTCATCTGGCTGTGCTTCTGGGGCGCTGGTTGCCAGCGCAGCCTCGGCTAATAAGTAATTAGAAGATAATTAGCATTCGTAACATACATTGGGAAACATCTGGACCTACTGACTTATTAAAACCTAAAAACCTCATTCATCAATTGTGTAGTGAGATAGAGAACAGGCTCAGGTTGGGGCAGGTGGGCTTGGTTCAAAGTCAGCCCCCACTCAAATGTGGATTCTGTCCACCCTGGGCAGCCGCCCCACCACACCTCTCCGTGCTTCCTGCCTGCCCCACCATCTCCAAAGAGGAGAGGAAAGCAAAGGGCCCAGCCCTCTCGCACCGGCCAATTTCTCCTGGAAGAAATAGAACAGCCAAGGATATGGATGTGGTGGCAGCTGGGTCCTCACCCCCACCCCCTTCTCTTGCTGCTTCTTGCCCTTCCCAGGTGAGAAACCTGGAGCTCAGAGAGGGAAGGGGCACTGGATATGTCCCCCAGCTGAGATTCACTGCAGCTCAACCTGGAAGGGCCCGTGACTCCCAGCACCTCACCCATCCCACACTCACAGAGAGGGAAGGACCATAAACAAGAGCAAGATCCCTGCAGCCGCTGTCAGCTCCAGAGCTGAAGTTGTGCCTGGATGTAGCAGTGCCCAGGCTGTGTGGTCAGCCCTGGGCTTCTGTCTCTCTGCTGTTTCCCCTCCCACCTCCCATCTTCCCTGTCATCAGTGGGCACAGGATGGGTGGGAGCATGTGTTCTGCAGGAGCTGGACGCGCTCCCCAAGTGCCTTGGTTTCCAGCCAAAACATTAGGATGTGGCTCTACCAGCTAATCATCCTCCCTCAGACAGGAGGACACTGAAATAGAAAACCCGGTGCTCCTGGGAGTGTGGGAAAGCCAGTTAAGGCTGCGGCCATTCTCTCCAGGGAAGCTGGGAAGAGTGAAAATTCTGAGGTGGCCACTTGTGCAGCCATTTCCTGGGGGATGCTTTTGGAGAAATCCAGGACCAAGGCCCCCTCTGTGTCCCCTTTTCAGCCAGAAGGAGAAATACTTCAGAAGATGCAAATAGAGAGGTTCCTGGCCTTTCTGGGTTCCCCCCACTCCTCCCACTTCCTTCCTCTTTCCTTTGGGGCACCTGCTCTGCACAGGGTCCAATTACACAAGGCAGTGGTGCTGTCAGTCATGGCATCTGAACCCTCGGGCCACAATGATTGGTTCTAAGGGTGGGAAAATGATGTGAGCAGAGCCAATGAGAGGCCTGCCCTGGGATTTTTCTTCCTCGAGCCAAGGGAGGAGGTCTTTCTCGTCTCTGGCTGAGAGACTGGAAAGAAGGAGGCCAGTGGCCATTTGCAGCCCTGGAAAGGCAGCCTGCATAAAGGACAAAGCCAATGGGCAGGGAGGTGGGACTGGGAGTGGTGGACGGGGCTGCAGGAGCTGGCAGACAGAAGTCAGGCCCCTGTTCCCTGGGCCAAGCTCCACGTGGATCCTTCTCCAGGTTCAATTTAGGAAGCCAATGGATTTTTTGGTTTTTATGTAAGGCATTTTGAGCTGTGTTCCTACTATTTTGAACCACAGTATTGACTAATGCAAATATACTTGGTTGTTTCTGGGGAAGGGCAGTCACTCAGCTGGAGAGATGAAAAGAAAAGAAAAGAAAAAAGAAAAGAAGAAGGCAGGCAGGCAGGAAGGAAGGAGAAGGAAGGGGAAGGTTGGAAGGAAAGGAAGGGAAGAAAAGGGAAGGAAGGGAAGGAAGGGAAGGAGGGAAGAGGGAAGGAAGGAGGGAAGGAGAAGGAAGTGGAAGGGAGGAAGGAAGGGAGGAAGGAAGAAGGGAGGGAGGGAGGGAAGGAAAAAGATAGAAAGATAGAGAAAGGAAAGAAAGAAAAGGAAGCAGACCTGAAAAAGCCTGAAAGTTCATATGACCAACAAATTAGTAGGGAAAGTTTAGTCTATTTCTCAAAACAAGCCATTATAAGTACTTTTTAAACGCCTATGGCTCCCCTCCTTAGCATAGAGCCCATAAGTATTTTAAGCAGAAACCCTGTGGCTTGGTTGGAGTGTGTAAAGCAGAGGATATAGACAGGTCTCCAGAAAAGATGGAGACTTCAGTGGAGGAGAGAGAAGGTGCTCAGTGCAGAACCTCCAATAACACAAACGTCGGCCCCAGGACTTAGGGAGAAGGGAGAGCTCCTCCACTTTGAGGGCTGACACTGCCTCCACCCCAGGCCTAGAGTCCAGAGACCCTGGGCATGATGAGTCGTCAGACAAGGGACCCACGGTGTCCAAGCCCTGTGGCCCGCCCTTCCCCTTGTAGTTTCCACAACTGCCTGTAAGCGTGGGAATCACCAACCCTACCACAGATGGAGTCTGAAATCACTGCTGGGGAGTGGTGGACCTGGATTCGAACCCAAGCCCACCTGGCTCTCAAACCTGTGATCTTTCTGTGACCTGCTCTGGGTCACAACCCCCAGCCCTGACCTCCCTCATCAGAGTCCCATCCCCTTATTTTCAATCAAAACAGAGTAGGCTGTAGGTCCCTCTCCCAGGGCCCTCACACCATGGCAGTTCATTCAGACTGACAAGAACAATCTTGGAGGGTCTCAGCCAACCCTTTGAGGGAAACTGGCCAGGAGAGAAAACTCAGTCACTTAGGGCCACGAAACTACTAGGCAACCAATTTGCAAAGAACTTGTCCTTAACTTGTGCCACCGGCAAGGTCTGCATGGGCAATTTGGGTCTATCAGCCTTTAAATTATAGATGGCCACATCACTCGTCAGGCCTGCCGCAGAGCCAAGATGGAGAAGCCAGGGGTGACTGACAGCTTCAATAAATGCATTCCTGCCAGGAAAATAGCATTACCACACGGAGGTGCTTTGGAAAGTATTGAACTTCAGGAAGAAATAAAATAAAAGTAAAATGGCTCCGGCACTCCTGGGCGCTCCATCATTATTGCCGGACACAGTGGGGAGAAAAGGAACCCATCATCAGATAAATACCGCACTGTCCCCCACCGGGGAAGGCACCGTCACAGCTCCCGCACAGCCGGTCACCGCACCGTCCCCCGCCGGGGAAGGCACCGTGTCACAGCTCCCGCACAGCCGGTCACCGCACCATCCCCCGCCGGGGAAGGGACTGTCACAGCTCCTGCACAGCCGGTCACCGCACTGTCCCCCGCCGGGGAAGGCACCGTCACAGCTCCCGCACAGCCGGTCACCGCACTGTCCTCCGCCAGGAAAGGCACCATCACAGCTCCTGCACAGCTGGTCACCGCACTGTCCTCCGCCGGGGAAGGCACCGTGTCACAGCTCCCGCACAGCCGGTCCCCGCACTGTCCTCCACCGGGGAAGGCACCGTGTCACAGCTCCCGCACAGCCGGTCACCGCACTGTCCTCCGCCGGGGAAGGCACCGTCACAGCTTCCGCACAGCCGGTCATAAAGCGGGTGTCTGGCACGAGTGGGGAATCATTGTCCAGCAAGGAGAGCCCTCGGGGGGCATGTAGGGCAGCCTTCTCCTTCACAGATGGGGAAACCAAGGCCAAGGCCATGCTGTAGATCAAGGTGATGGACCAGAAGGTGTTCAAATGGGCAAGCAGGCAGCAGCATCCCAGGCAAGTCAGGCACAAGACGGCCCCCTAGGTTCACTCTGAGTGGCGGCACTCAGCGGTGAGAACCCTCCAAGCTGCCAGGCAGCCTGTGTAGGACACTGTCTATGCCCTCAAGGAGTCATAAAGGGCAGGTTAAAACCAGAGCAGTCCCTCGTATCCCCAGCCTGCTTCTTACTTCCTGCTGTGGCTGATGTCCAGAAGCCTCCAGTAACGGGCTTTGACTCTGAAGGCAGTGGTCTGTCCTTCTGGTCTACCTGCTGTCCTCCCCACAGTGTGCCCTTGCCCTTCCTGGCAACTGAGAACTGTCCAGGCCCTCACCCTGCTCCTTGTCTCTGAACCAGGCTGCTGGGAAGACCACAGGGTGAGCTCAGCAAAGGCAGGACATGGTCTCACCCACAGCTCCTTCCCCAGCCCCTACAACAGCACCTGTGATGTAGCGGGTGCAGACTGGGCCAGGGATCCAAGAATAGACCAGACTCAGACAAGAATAAAGGCTGCTTCCCAAATCTTTATCTTTGTGCTGGCTGTACCTTCCCCAGGGACATCCTTGTTGCCCCCCACAAGGAAGACCTAAGATCAGGCAACCGGCCCTCCATGTGATCACCAGGCCAGCACCTGGGGGCCTGGTTCTGTCCCAGACACTGCCATCCTTCACACTCTCGTCCTACCGCACTCCCAGAGGACATGGGCCGCCTGGGAACCCCTCCTATCTGTGTATTTCCTTCTTTGAAAATCAGAATGGAACCAGAGAAGGGCTAAGGCTCAAGAGGGCTGGGGTGACTCCATGCATGTCCCCAGAGTCACATGGGGTGTGACTGGGCAAGTCGCTTTGCTCCTTGAGTCCTGGCTGCAGCTGCACAGTGGAGGTAACAGCCCGACCTTGAAGGAGTCAAGTGTGGGAGGAGGAAGGAAATGTGCTTCTGCGGGGACCCGGAAATCGCCCGCGGGGGGCTTAGCGCTCCGTTACCGCTGAGGGTTGGATTCTGCGGGGACCCGGAAATCGCCCGCGGGGGGCTTAGCGCTCCGTTACCGCTGAGGGTTGGATTCTGCGGGGACCCGGAAATCGCCCGCGGGGGGCTTAGCGCTCCATTATCACTGAGGGCTGGAGCTCCTCCCGGATGGTCTGACACCCCATCCAGACTCCCGGGGATGCCAATCCGAAGCTGCAAGCGTCTGTCTGGTTTAGATTTCTGAAAATGTGCTTTTTGCACTTGGCCTCTCATAACGCTTCCTCCCTTGATTTATCTCCCCACGCTTAACATGCAAGACTCCTCTCCGGCGATGTTTTACAGCTCCCTTTTAGAGTTAAACAACTGAAAGTGATACTTGAGGCCTCAAGAGTGTGGGCCCAGATCAATGCAACAAAGAATTTCTAAGATGAACTGTAGACTTCTTGGGTAGGGAATGTTTCTGAAAAAGCATTTTTAACTCACTTCCCTGACTCTGGGTAGGCCACGGTTCACACCAATCCAACTCATGGTAGCAATATCATGGCTCAATGTCACGGGAAAGCCATGTTAATTTGAGGAACAGACTTGCTCATCTGTCTTAGGTGGGAGGGTGCTGGCCAGCCAGGGGCAGGAGGTGACACAGCGGAGGTGAGAAGTAGGAGCTGGGCTCTAACAGACAAGCATCTCAGGCCTCCGAGAGCCATGTCACTAACCCCACAGCTGTCTGAAGATGGCTGTCCCCCTTCAGTCACATGCACAGTAGCATCTAGAGGCAGCCTAGTGTCTCCAGACACCACCACCCTGGGACTTGGCGGTGGAGCTGACTGACTTTAACCTGCTGGGCTATCCTGGAAGCTCCAGCTCTGGCCTTGGCTCCCTATCTGTCACCTGAGGACTATGGACTAGATCTGCCACCTCCCTCCATCCTCCAATAAGAATTTATCCACAACATTTTCATGGAGACCCTGTGTCCTGAGCAGGGAAAAGACCAGGCCTTTGGTTCTAGGTCTCTATCTAAATGTAGATAATAGTAATATTTATATACAGACACATTTCCAGAGAAGACACACATGCAGCCAATAATTATATGGGAAAAAAAGCTCAACATCACTAATCATTAGAGAAATGCAAATCAAAACACAATGAGATACCATCTCACTCAATGAGATACCAATCAGAATGGCCATTATTAAAAAAGTTAGAAAGCAACAGATGCTGGCAAGGTTGTGGAAAAAAAGGAACACTTTTACACTGTTAGTGAGAGTGTATATTCGTTCAACAATTGTGAACGACAGTGTGGTGATTCCTCAAAGATCTAGAACCAGAAATACCATTTGACACAGCAATCCCATTACTGGATATATACCCAAAGGAATATAAATCATTCTGTTGTAAAGATACATGCACACATATGTTCACTGCAGCACTATTGACAATAGCAAAGTCATGGAATCAACTTAAATGCTCATCAATGATAGACTGGATAAAGAAAATGTGGCACATATACACCATGGAATACTATGCAGCCATAAAAAGGAACAAGATCATGTCCTTTGCAGGGACATGAATGGAGTTGGAAGCCGTTATCCTCAGCAAACTAATGCAGGAACAGAAAACCAAACACCACATATTCTCACTTATAAGTGGGAGCTGATGGATGAGAACACATGGACACATGGAGGGGAACAACACACACTGTTGCCTGTTGGGTTGTGGGGAGGGAAGGCATCAGGAAGAATAGCTAATAGATGTTGGGCTTAATACCTGTGTGATGGGATGATTTGTGCAATAAACCACCATGGCACACATTTACCTATGTAACAAACCAGCACATCATGCACATGTACCCCTGAACTTAAAAGCTGAAAGAAAAGCATTCTAAACTAAGGCATTCAACAAGTTCTCCACACGTGTCAGACATAACATTAACAATGACATGAGCTGGGATGTATTCTCATCCCCACCTTACAGATGGGAAAACCAAGGCACGGATAGGTTAGGTAATATCCCCAAGGTCACACAGACTAAGACTCTCATCCAAGGCTATTGGTCCTCAGAATTAGAGCTTGTACCAGCTATTCTGCACTCAGAACAACAACCAATAGCCTGAATTAGTTTTCTGTTTCTGCTGCAACGAGTTATCATAAACCTAGTGGCTTGAGACAACACATATTTATTCTCTTACATTTCTAGAGATCAGAAGTCTGAAATCAGTGGTATGGAGCTAAAATCAAGACATCAGCAGAGTTAGAGATTCTGGGGGCTCTAGGAGTGGGGAGAATCTGTTCCTGTTTCTTCCAGCTTCTGGAGACCGCCTGCATTCCTTGGCTTGTGGCCACATCACTCCAATCTCTGCTTCCATGATCACTTAGGCAAAGGAGGTGTCTCCTCTATCTGTCCTTTCTTCATCTCTGTCACATGGATCATTGTGATGACATCAGTCCCACCTGGATAGTCCAGGATAATCCCCCATCATGGGATCACATCTGCAAATTCCCTTTTGCCTGATAACATAGCTCTCATAGGTACTAGGGATTAGGATATGGACAGTTTTGGGGGTCATCCCAATAGAAGCATGCCTTGTGCATTCATGGATTACTCCCCATGGGTCTATGGAGGAGAGTTTGTCCCCAGTTTTCCAGCTGGAAAACCAAGGGTCAGCAAGCTTCCTCGGCTGGCCCAACATCTCCCACCTGCTGAGTGCAGCCAGGATTAAAGTCCAGGTCTGGCTGAGTCCTGGGGATCCCAGGAGCCCCTGTTCATCCCCCCTCACTTATCCCCACCCCACTCTTCTCCGGAAGCACACGGCCCCCTGCCTCCTGTGGGATACACTTCGGCCCAGAATTGACTCATCCTCAGAACGCCCTGGCAGAGCCTGCCTTGGGCTGGCCCTGAACTGGAGGGTGGATTTGCAGAAGGTAATATCTCGGGTGCTCTTCCCCAGACAGCCTCTCTGGCCACATGTTTTAAAGGTCCCCAGGATGTGTTTTCCCCAGGTATGGTAAGACACATGTGTAAATGAGCTATTATGTTACCAGTTCCCTAGATACAGAAGGCAGGGCACCCTACACAGGGCCACACGGGGAAGCACCAGGGCTGGTCAGGAGGCAAGTGGGGAGGAAAGGTGGGCAAACCACATTGATTGTGGTTTCTGCAAGAAGGAACGGATTGGCTAGCTTGAATCATTACAGCAGACTCTGGCGTGCCTGTCCCATGCCCGGCCCTGGGATGATTAAGGCAGATAGCCGGTAGCTCAGAGTGTCAGAGCCTAGTAAAGGAGATGCTTGGGGGCTCTGGATTGGTTGGTTTGCACTTGAAAGGCTCTCTCCAGAGCTGTTTGCGATCTCTAGAAGTTGGCTCACCCTGGGAAGGGCAGCTTTTCCAGGGTCAGCATAGTGTCTGAGATATGAAAGCATCAGAATACAGAAACAAAAGACACAGTTAATACACATTTCCTTTGAAATCAGCCCAGGCAGATCCCAGGACCACCGCTGAACTATACAGACGCTTTTGTGCAAAGAAGAAAGTGCCCCTTCCTCAAGGCAGGCACAGGCCTGAGCCAGGCATGAGTCTGGGAGAGCAGATGCAGGCTGGATTTCAGCACCTGCTCAGCTGTTAGGCCAGGTGCCCTTGAGCAGTGCACAACCCACACAACCTTTCTGAGACCCTAGGGGGCCCTGCCTTCCCTCTATGCCAGGGGCCTGATCCAAGCCAGGGCCAGCCCAACCATGTCCCTTGGGGACAAACGGCTCCACAGCTCTGAGGGTGCCCACTGGACCAGAACATCCCGGACTGGCCGGTGTCTTATTGGCTCGTACTCTGTACACAAATCTGAAGCCCCTAAGCGAGGCTAAGTTCTGCTCTAAAACCCCATGGGGGTAAACATCCTGCTCACAAAATAGCAGCAGGATGGAAACCTCCAGAGAGGAGCAAACGGTCTCTCAAGAGAAGTGCGTTCCTGGCTCTGCTCAAAGCCCGGGTCTGCCCCTCCCCAGCACTGCAGGGCCAGGGCTCCCATGGGGGACCCCGCTTTGAGCCTTCTTTCCCTAGTCAAGGGGGAGACTTCCTTGGAGAAACAGCAGCCCTCCTTGGACAGTAGAGAATAAACCTTCCTCCCTTCTGGAAAGAGGAGAATAAACCTTTTTCCCTTGGATTTTCCTCTGGAAAGATCAGGATGAATATTCTGTGAGCATGGCCGCTGGGTTGTGGCCGAGTCGTCAGGGTGCAGACCCTGCTATTGAGGAAGTTTGGGTTTGGTTTATTTCCCCAGCAAAGAATGAAGTGAAGCAATGTCCTAACCTCGGGGTGTGACGTGCTCTGTGGTGGGCAATTTCAAAGCGGAAAGGTCAGCTAAAAGGAGAATCACAGAAAAGCAACGCCAGGAGGCGGCTCGGGCAGCATTCCCTGAATTCCAAGGAGGCCAGGAGCAGGAGCAGGTCATCTTCGATGGGGATGTGGAAATGTGCCTCCAGCCGTATTTTAGTTCTGGAAGTCATATTCATCAGTGCCAACCTCTTAGGGTCCAGTCAAGGGGGCCTCTCTCTACCCACCCAACGCCAGCCTTCGGAAGACCCAGGCGCAATGGCCCTGACTCCAAAGCTTCTCACTTCCTGCAGCCACGATGATTCCCAATGCTGGCCCCGGGTGCCACATCTGGAGACAGGATCACAGCTGGCAAAGAGGACAGGCCCAGCCCCGGGAGGACCTGGGACCTCACCTTTCAATGTAGGAGACACTGCCGGCAGCTCTCCTTCCAGAAGGGGCGAGCACCCCCTGGCCAGAGTCCCAGCCCAGGTCCAGTGTGAATGTCTTAAAAACAGTCCCCCACACCTGTAGTCCCAGCACTTTGGGAGGCCGAGGCAGGTGGATCACAAGGTCAGGAGTTCGCGACCAGCCTGGCCAATATGGTGAAACCCTGTCTCTAATAAAAATACAAAAATTAGCCGGGTGTGGTGGCGCTCTCCTGTGCTATCAGCTACTCGGGAGGCTGAAGCAGGAGAATCACTTGAACCCAGAAGGTGGAGGTTGCAGTGAGCCAAGATCCTGCCACTGAACTCCAGCCTGGGTGACAAAGTGAGACTCCGACTCAAAAAAAAAAAAAAAACAGTCCCCACACCAAAGCCCAGCAGTGTCTGTAATAAACTATGGTTTCAAATACACATTCAGAAGAAGTAAAGAGGTAGCGGCAGGAGCTGATTAGGAAACTCAGCTTTGAACAGAACCAGAGAAGTCCCCTAGTCCCACAACCCATTTCTGTGATGGGGAGAGGCACAGACAAGAAACAGTTCTCTCCATGGTCACCATGGTGACAGGGGGACGCAGGGCTGGGACCGCCGCCCTGTCCTGCCCCTAGTCCTGACGTGTGACTCCCAGAAGGACCCGCCACCACTGCGTGAACACACATCCATCTCCGAAACTGCTGGGTTCCCAGAGCCGGCAGAGCGGCCGGCCTTTCAAACCCTGTGTTTTAAATTGCCCAATTAGCCAACCAGAATTGCCCTGGTGACACACACTGTCCCCAGCCTCCTTGGCCAAGAAATAATTCTGCGATCGTTAATACTGACTCTGCTTCTGCCGCCCGCCTCGCCCAGAGACTGACCAATCGCTCCCAGGAGGCTGACCGGCCCCTCAAGTGGAAGGAAAACTAAGGGCAGAGTCAGAGGTCGCCTCTGTGCCGCAGCGGTCCCTGAGGAGCCGGGTGCATGGGTGGGAGTGAGCGTGTGGAGAAGCCAGGCCATTGGGAAGACAAAGGGGCCATTGGAGCCCCCGCTGCTGCCACAAGACACCGCCTCCGCATCCATGGAATCTTCCACTGGGCGCCGCTGCCGCTCCTGCCACGGTGGCTACTGTCACCACCAGGGCACAAACCAAAGCCAATACAGGTTCAAAAAAGAACAACACATAAGCACATCAGCCTCGGAGCCCCAGCTCTAGAAGGAGACAGGCACAATCGGACCCCACCTGTGGCTTCATGGTCCCCAAAGCCTGGGCTATGCTCAGGGCTGGAGGAGGAGCGAGACCTAGACCCCAAAGACAGCTCAATGCTCCGGGGATGCTCCGAACTAAGAGAGGCAGAAATATGCCTGGAAAGGCAGCTGTTTCATTTGGGGCATTAAAAACGCCTTTGGTTGGTAGGTGGAAGGCCGACTTCTTGGTCAGGGGTTTCAGGAGGATGAGAGGTAAATAGGAGACACTCAACGAGCTTCAGGGGAAGTGTCGGCTAGGCAGTGGGCAGGAGGAAGCCTCCCTAAAAATCCACCAGGTGCTGGTCCCCGGAAAGGCATCTTTCTTGGATTATCTCACAAGGATCCTAAGAAATAGGTGCAACTCTTCCCACTTTAAAGAGATCAAACGGAGGTCCACAAAGGCTAGGAGCAGTGCCCAGGGTTGGCCAAGATGCAATCCCAGATCTGTCTCCCTCAGAAACCCAAAAAGAGGCAGCAGTGGTGTTGCTTCTGGCAATGACCTCAAGTGGTCTCACAACCTTCTCTACACTTGGCCTGGGGTCAGAGCCCAGCCCCCCGACTTGTTTGTTCCCAGACTCCCCTAGCACATCCTCTCTCTCCGTTCCCTGAGGTAGGAGCCCTCCTTCCCCTGATGCCATGGAGGTGCAGGCCCCACATCTCTGTCAGTTCACGGGCCAAACCCCTGCTCCCCAGGGACCCTACGTGACTGAGTTCCCACTGCAGGGGGACCACAAAGTCAGTAGGAGGCATGGCTGCTCCGGGAGATGGGGCCACAGCTGGAGGGTGTCCCACGCTCCTGAACCCATGATGATTTCACACAACCCGGAGATGAAACAGGCTCAGTCTGCAGCCTAAAGAGCTCCAGCCCCCGATCCCAATGGGAACAGGGGAGAGGTGGCTTCTCATGGCAGAAGAGACATTCATCAGCACCTCCTCCAGGAAGCCTCCCCTGACTTCCCTCCACCAAGAGATTCAGCCCGTCTCAGTGCTCTCACAGCACCTGGGCTCATCACAGTCCAAGCCCTTGACACAGCGGAAGGTATGTCAAGATAAAATGGACCGCCTTAATCCCATTTGAAGCAAGACAGCTGCAAAAGCTAACATCACCCTGAATCGTAATTGTCTATTCACTTGTCTCCCCACAGGCAGAGACAGCGTGTTTGTCTTTGCATGCACAGAACTTGGCGAGGTGCCTGCCCGTCGTTAGTACTGAAATAATAAATGTTGCAGATCTAATAATAACAATAATAATATCTAACATAGATGTGGGCACTGGGCCAGCTCTGTGCAGACAACACCTCTCCTGCCCTAGCCCAGTCCTCCCAAAGGGCCCCTGTGACTGCCAGTTCTATACCCACACTGTATGTGATGATGCACCATTTAGAGGGGTGAAAACTCTTGTCCAAAGTCACCTAGCTACTCAGGGTCAGAGGCTGTTGGATCCCAACACCCAACACCACAACACTTCAGTGACAGCGCAGCCCAGGATAGGAGCACTGGAAGAAAAGGGGATTTCAGTGGTACAACATTGAAAGATGGTGGACAGAGCCTGGGGTCAGGAGGCCTGAAAACCGGCCTGACTAGAGAGAAGTCACATCCTCACTCCGCCCCAGGATCTGAGCTCACCATCCATCAAAGGGTAGAACATGAGCAGACATGATGAGAATCACAAGATTCTCTTTGGAAGCCCCGGAAACTCTCCCAAGCTTGGGAAGGAGGAGGTAGGGGCCAAGGGCTCAGCTCAGTGGCCAGAGGACACAGTGAAAATGTGGCAATGTTCCTTTCAAATCTAGGAACCCCAAAGGTGGGAGGAGGTAGAGGGTCATGAAAAATCACACACAGGGGTTCTCTGAAGGTGAGAACAAGCCCATCAGCCTTTCCCCACCCGTCCCCTCCCAATCTGCATCTGTGCCTTGCCCTGGCAGGCACCCAGAGTTGTCTGACTGCGGTGTCAACAAATTGCTCCTGGCCTGTGGCTTGTGTAGATGAACTGATTAAGTCTCATTAGGTGTTTTTAAACAATTAATACCTGCAAGACCACAGGAAATCATGATAATTAAGTCTAAATTAAATGCCGCTTTGAAATTTCACTTCCAGGACTAAACTAGCTATAGTCAATTCTACCAGATTGGACTGAACTGGTATTTAAATCTGAATTGTACCCAGGGATGGGGTCTGAAAACTCAGGTGGGTGGGGTGTGGAGAATGACCCACAGGTTCAGAAGCACAGTGGGGTGTGTCTGTCTGGGGGACTTGGGTCTTTCTTGGTTGGTGGTACTGCCTTGGGTGCTCACTGCATCTTCCGGCTGCTTTGTTCTCGCCCCTGCCTTTTGATAAGTGTTCTCTGATTTCTCCTGGGAATGCCCCTCGCCACCACTAGACATTTAGTTTGGGTGGTGTCCTCTCCCACCTTGATCCCAAGAAGGGACATGTGATTCAAAACTGACCAATCAGAGCACTGCATTTCTCTGGCCATAGTGATTGGTCCAGCAATGGGCATGTGATCCAAGCTGAGCAAATAAATGCCATGGGACTTTTGCAGGGGCTGCTGGGAGAGAGGCTTGGAGGAAAGTGTTGCCAGAACTGAGGCAGCATATTGCCACCATGAAGGCACAGCCCATAAGAAAACCAGGCCAATACAAAGGAGCAGAGATGAAGCATGAAAAAGAGAAAGTGGGCCTGGAGGACACTGTCTGAACCCCCGGATGAAGGGACTAGCGGCAAAGATGTGTCTCATGTATACATGTTTTTTAAATAGAGATGAGGTCTCACTATGTTGCCCAGGCTGGTCACACACTCCTGAGCTGAAGTGATCCTCCCGCCCCAGCCTCCCAGAGTGCTGTGATTTACTGATGTGAGCCACTGTGCCTAGCCTGTATCATATACATATATATATATATATATATATATATATATATATATATATATATATATATTTCTTTTTTTTTTAAAAGACAGAGTCTCGTTCTGTTGCCCAGGCTGGAGTGCAGTGGTCTGAGGCTAATTTTTGTAATTTTTCAATAGAGATGGAGTTTCACCATGTTGGCCAGGCTGGTTTTGAACTCCTGACCTTAGGTGATCCACCCGCCTCAGCCTCCCAAAGTGCTGAGATTACAGGTGTGAGCCACCGCTCCTGGCCGTTCTCGCGTATTTTTAAAGGAGATTTACAGTGAGTTGCGTTGAGATTTGTTTTGATGTATTTCATGATATGCGTAGACTCTAGGCAGTGCCAGCACCCCAGGCCAAGTCCTGTTTCACCAAGGGGGAATTTGGAGTGCCTGGGGGCTGACTGAGCAACCCCCAGCTTGCATCTTCCTTCACTTGCACAGACCAGAGTCGGGAATAGAGTGGGGCGAGGCAGGCCCTTGCAGGGCCCTGAGAGTAATTCCTCTTTAAATGTTACCCCCTTCGGTGCCCCATCTACCTCACTGTGGTGCCAGCCCTGGTGTGGACTGTAGCCCGCCAGCTCAGAGCTGGGCAGCCAGCCATAAGCACACACTGGAAACTGTGACTCCTGAGTTGTTGTTGTTTTGACCAAAAAGATTGTATATATTTATCCTGTACAACATGTTGTTTTAAAATATGCAGACACTGTGAAATGGCTAAATCGAGCTAATTAACACGTGTATCACCTCACATACTTATCATTATTTTCTGGTGAAAACACTTAACATCTGCTGTCAGCACATCTTCAAGACTGCAATACGTTGTTATTAACTATAATCACCATGTTATGTCATAGATCTCTTGAACTCATTCCTCTCTTCTAACTGAAATTCTATGTCCTTTGACCAAATTCTCCCCAAACATCTCTCCTCCTCCCAGGCCCTGGTAACCACCATTCTACTCTGCTTCTGTGAGTTCAACTGTTTTAGATTCCACATATAAGTAAGGTCATAAGGTATTTGTCTCTCTGTGGTATTTGTCTCCTGCTTCACTTCACATAATGTCCTCCAGGTCCATCCATGTTGTTGAAAATGACAGGATTTCCCTCTTTCTTGTTGTTTGTTTGTTTGTTTTGAGACAGGGTCTCTCACTCCCATAGCCCAGGATGGAGTGCAGTGGCATAAACTTGGCTCAACTTCTGTGATGGTTAATACTGAGTGTCAACTTGATTGGATTGAAGGTTGCAAAGCATTGTTCCTGGTTTGGCTGTGTCCCCACCCAAATCTCACCTTGAATTGTAATAATCCCATGTCAAGGGCAGAGCCAGGTGGAGATAATTGAATCATGGGTGCAGTTCCCCCATACTGTTCTTGTGGTAGTGAATAAGTCTCATGAGATCTGATGTTTTATAAAGGGCAGTTCCCCCGCACACACTCTCTTGCCTGTTGCCATGTAAGATGTGCCTTTGCTTCTCCCTTGCCTTCTGCCGTCGTTGCAAGGCCTCCTCAGCTCTGTGGAACTGTGAGTCCATTAAAACTCTTTCCTTTATAAATGACCCAGTCTCAGGTATGTCTTTATTAGCAGCATGAGAACCAACTAATACAACTTCCCAGGCTCAGGTAATCCTTCCCACCTCAGCCTCCCAAGTAGCTGGGACTACAGGAATGCACCACCACACCTGGCTAATTTTTGTATTTTTAGTAGAGAGGGGGTTTCACTGTGTTGCTTAGGCTGGTCTTGAACTTCTGGGCTCAAGTGATCCACCTGCCTTGGCCTCCCTCTTTTTTATGGCTGAATAATACTCCATTGTGTATCTCTACCCCATTTTCTTTATCCACTCATCTGTTGATGACACTTAGGTTGCTTCCATATCTTGTCTATTGTGAACAGTGTGGCAACGAACATGAGAGTGCACCTATCTCTTGGACATACTGGCTTCATTTCCCTTGGATTTACATCCAGAAGTGGGGTTGCTGGGTCCTGTGAATCCTGATCTCTAATCTCAAGTTTCCCACCTACTGTTGGCCCTGGGCAGCCCTTCTGCCTTCTTAGGACCTTGCTTTTCTCATCTGTGCAATGGGAGAGTTGGATCACTTTCCTTGGGCCTGATCAGCCCTAAATTGTAGAATTCTTCTAGCGCTTTTGCACAAAGAAGACCCAAAGGCCCTCGCACGCCTGTGCCTGGTCAGCCCACATTAGCCCAAACCTTCCTGGCTAAGTAAAGCTGTGAGCTGTAGAAGGAGAGTGGGCCAGAAGCTGATGCTGGCTCACCTGTGACCCCAGCAAGATGGAACATGCTGTTACTCTGTGGCTCCTCGTGTTGGCTGTGCTGGGAAGAACATCCCAAACAGAGGGGAAAATCATTTCTGGCACTGAATAAAAGGAACATCCTCTACTGAGGCACCTGGGGACACAGCAGCCCCTTAGGTCTGTGGCTCCCAGTCTGAGAGAGAGCACTGTTCTTGTCCAGCCTGTTCAGATAGGGACATTTCTTCCCATCCCAACCTCTGGGTCACGTAGCTGTCCTCCTTTGCCCCTGGGGCTGGGCGCCACAGTTCCCAGGCCACATTAGCATGGAATCGAGCCCATCTCCCAGCCTAAGTGCTCACTGAGCAGCAGCCAATTAATCCCTGAGCAGTGCGTCCGACACACGCTGTAAAACAGAGACGACTCAAAGCCCAGAATATGAGCCACGGTCAGTACATTTTGAGTTGCTCAGCCATGAGCAGCACAGATGGTGGCACAGTGGCTCAGCCCCCGGCAGGCAAGGGAGGTGTCCACCTCTGGGAGACAGAGAAACATGTGCACTCTCTGTCCCCTCCACCCTGCTGCCAACTTTGCAACGTAGAAAGTGTCCCAACATGAAGAGGAGAAAGAACAGAGACCCTTGAGAAATTCGAGCAACATTTTCCTGGACCTCGCACGATTGCCACCTGCCTGGGTCACGGGGTACCCCCTTAGCTCTGGTCATATCAGCATCATCGCACATGGCCAAGTCTTCTTTGAGTGCCCACCGCATGCCCACAGCTGTTCCCGGGATGCACGCCAGACGAGGTACCCCTTTGTACTGCACGATCGGTAGCAGTGTCTTCTCCTCACCAAGCCTCTGCTTCTCATATGGAAATCAGTCAAGATGACAGCATCGTCACTCATGAGACTGTTGTGACCACACAGGCAGAGCACTTGGCAGGGGACCTGGCGTGCAGAGCGTCCTCAACACATTATACTCACTGCACGTGTGAGTCTCTGGGAGGGGCACGTGGCTCTGCCATCCTGCAGCTTGCAGCTGGTTAAGGAGGCAGTGCTTCCAGAGAGAGGTCATCTGAAGACCGAACCTTGCAATGCGCCCCATTAGTGCCACAGGATGGCAAGGGAGATTGAGCATGGGCTGGGGGTGGGAGGGCTCTGGAGGGAGCTTGAAGCACAGATAGGACTTGGGGTGGCGTTATCTGGGAGAGGGGGGCAGAGAAGTCCAGCGGTGGAGACAGTATGTGTGGTGCATCCAGGCAGTGGCTGGAGCATCCAGCGGCAGGATGGGGGGTGTTCCACCCTCCCTCCCTTCCCTGGTTCCTGCTCCACAAGGCCGTGTGGTCCTCAGAGCTGAGGGAGAGCAAGGCCTGAGAGTTGGGGAGACTTAGGGAGTGCACAAACCCTGCCCTGAGTGTGGCCACCCTGGACTTGATCATCTGTGCTGGGCAACAACCAAAAGAGCGTAAGCAGAGTGGGACTTGAACGCTTTGCCCTGCAGATTACCCTGCCCTCCCCTACTCCTAGGGCCTCAGGCCAGGCTGCATCCTGGAAATGTGAGAGAAAAAGGAGCAGGCTGCTTTCTGAGGCCAAGCGCTGAATTCTCAGCGCCCAGGATGGGGTCCCTAGCCAGCCAGGCATGGCGGGGCCTCCCTGCAGTCTGTCAGCATCTGGGGTGTCAGGGCTATCAGGAAAAAACCCAGCAGAGGCAGCTGCAGGAGCAAGGGGCAGGGGAACACAGAGACTGTCTGCTGGGGGCTCCTGAGCCTGGCCGTGGCTGCGTGCCGGCCTCCTGGCCTGCAGCAAGGCTCCAGGTGAGCAGAAAATTGAGATTGGCTGCCACTGCGCAGCTGCCCACCACGGGTCCAGCCCAAAGCCTTTGACACCCCAAGCAGCATTGGTGCAGCATCCTCAGCCTCGTCACTATTGATATCTCGGGCGGGACAAATCTCTTTCGTGTCAGGTGGCCGGGGTGGGCCACCTGTGCATGGTAGAATGTTTAACAACATCTCTCACCCCTAACCCCGAAGCCTACCCCTTGTAACAACCAAAATGTCTCCAAGTATTGCCAGATGTCCCCCGGGGTGATGGGGCAAAATATGGTGCTTAGGGTGTGAGAGGCTTTGGGCTGGACCTGTGGTGGGCAGCTGCGCAGTGGCAGTCAATCTCACTTTTCTGCTCACCTGCAGCCTTGCTGCAGGCCAGGAGGCCGGCACGCAGCCATGGCCAGGCTCAGGAGCCCCCAGCAGACAGTCTCTGTGTTCCCCTGCCCCTTGCTCCTGCAGCTGCCTCTGCTGAGTTTTTTCCTGGTAGCTACGACACCCCAGATGCTGACACCGCATATTCTCACTCATAGGTGGAATTGAACAATGCGAACACATGGACACAGGAAGGGGAACATCACACTCTGGGGACTGTTGTGGGGTGGGGGGAGGGGGGAGGGATAGCTTTAGGAGATATACCTAATGCTAAATGACGAGTTAATGGGTGCAGCACACCAGCATGGCACATGTATACATATGTAACTAATCTGCACATTGTGCACATATACCCTAAAACTTAAAGTATAATAATAATAAAATTAAAAAAAAGAACCACTGGATTCAGGAGAGGAGAGTTAAAGTCTTCTTTTCAAAGTAGAAAATAATTAATGGTCTTTCACTCATTCCACAAATATTTATTAGGCAATTGTGTTTTGCTAGGCACTGAGGACACAGTGTTCACAGTCTGGTGTTCATGTACAGCAGACAAGGTACTCACATGTACCTAGATGTTTACTTCCTTTCATTCTTGCTCCAAATATATTCATTATCTTCCTAAATAGGAAGTATGGCCCTTAGGAAGCAGCATGCCATCTCCTCCTGGAAGTCTTCCCAAGCCCCAAGGTGGGGGGCCAAATGCCTCTCTGTGTACCCCAGAAGCTGTTTCTAGCTGCCCTCTCTCTGCAAGACCCTGAATCTTCATTCTAACTCCCCCTCCCAAACTGTCTCCTCCTGCAGGGCACTTAAACCTATGCTAACTCTCCCCGCTCTCTCCTTAACTTTGCTGCCTGGATAAGCCATTAGCCTTATATGGAAATGTAACTTCTAAGAACTCAACTGCATAGGATCGGGGCTGCAGAGTGGGGAAAATAATAGCAATCTCTGTATTAGCTTCCCTCACAGCCGTGACTCCTGTCCAAACTAGACGTTGTCCAGTGTGAAGGACACTTCAGCAGGGAAGCCACAGCTGGAATACACAGAGGAATGAAAGAGGAGATCCTCAGGCCCTGCACTTCCAAGGGCCCACATCGAGATCTGGCAGCAAGTTCAGAGTGATTTTTAGTATGCAATTTTTTTTTAACCTATGTAGACCTTAGAAGCTAAACCCACCCACGTCTTGCCACGAGGCTCTTCAGATCCCAGGCACTCGGCAAGGTGCCCAGCACATCATAGGTGCTCTGCAAAGGTTCATGGAGCTGAAATGAGCTGAAGCTGATACTATTGCTTTGTTACTTCTATGTTCATTCTAATTTCATAGAGAAAGCGCAGGCACCATGATCTGCACTGAATGGCTCCCTGCCTAAGGGAAGCTATTGTTTGCACAATGTCCTCAGCCAGGAAGCACAGCTCAGGTGGCAGCAGTTCCCCAGACTGCAAGTGTGGCACCAGAAGGCTGACAAAATGCTCCTGGCATTGCCGGCCTGCAACCCCAGCCCCTAAGGACACGGACCCGATCACCAAGAACGCACAAACTCTGATGAGGACAAGTGTCTCTCCGAGTCCCTACCTGGCAGCAGCGCCTGCAAAGCAACCCCTGTCACCCTCCAGAGGAGGCTCGTGGGAGCCCATCAGCCGTGTCGGGACCTTGGGACCCTCCACTCAGACACCTGTTCTAAGAGCTTCCCCCGAGAGGGGCCGAGGGAGGGTACTACACGCAAGGCCAATATGTCAATGAAGTACCCTGTGCTGTTCATTAAAACCTGAAAATGAAGCTTGGGAATTTCATTAACAATCCAAGTGCAAAGAAGAGAGGTTTTTGGGGATATTTTTAACACATCTATAATCTTTCATTAACAGCTAGAAATTTAGATTGCTGTACATAAGTGATAGACAATGAAACAGAAAAGGGATTTCTGAGAGTCTCTCGGCTGTCAGCATTGTGAGCAGCTGGGAGGGTCACTCCGTAGTCATCTGTCACACCTCCCTGGAGAAGGCCTTGTGAGCCAGGGGCACCTCAGGAGGCCAGGGTGCAGCACCAGAAGCAGGGGCCCTGGCTCACCAGGGCTAGAAGGAGCAGCCAGCCCCAAACAAGCAGCAGGGTTTACAAAAGGACAATAAATTGATGGAATCGCCCAAGTCTGCAAAGCCCTGCTCCTCCCCCCGCCTCCCCATCCCCACCCCTGGATGGGCAAGGGGGTGGGGCAGGGACTAGAGGGGGTAATGGAGGAGGTAATGGAGTGGCCTTCTGGGGTGGACACCACTATTGTGTCCCCTCCTACAGACAAAGGAAGAAGCTCAGCAGGGCTGAGTCACTTGCTCCTGAGACACAGTCTTCTGGGTCTCTGGTGGTTCTGCTCATCTTGGATATAGCCATCTATAGTGTTTGCTCCGGACTATCTTTCCAGGAATGTTTGAATAGTGAACAACCTTGGAAGATAGAGGCTCTCTCCCTCCAGGGCAGAGGCAGGCTTGTTTGGACTCCAGTGTAATAAAGATAATGTCCCCCTCAAGGGCAAAGGCCAGGCAGGTGTGCTTGTAGTCCACTCAGCAAGACAGGGTTCCCTCAGATGGGGTCCTTGGCTGGGACACAGACCCCCTACATATGCAGCATCCACCTGGGCCTCTCAGTATCACAGCCATGGGGTTTAGAGGCAGAGGGGATCCATGAGGACCATGAAACTTGGGCTGCCTGCTGGGTGGCAAGTAACAACAACAGCTGTCTCTGCCCCAGGAATTTCATGTCTTCTGCCAGCATCAAGGGAAGGGTGGCAGGCTCACCTGTTAGCTTGAAAATAGGGTGAAATCACAGACAGTCCACAATTATTGGTGCTTGCCCAAGCCCACACAGTCACAATGGCAGGCTAGGATTCAATCTCAATGGACTCCAGCACCACATGTTTCCCAGGCTGTGATCAGGGGACCATCTGCATCAGAAGGAACTGCTGGGCTCCTCCACTGACCTACAGAGTCACATCTTCAGAGAGAGACATGGGGTCTACGCTCCCATCAAGTCCCCATCTCAGTCCAGAAGCATCCCCAAGTCTGAAAGGCTCACCCTCCACGGCAATGCCCCATTCTCTAGTGTGCACAAGTCACAGACATCTGGGCTTGAAGAGCTCCTGGCCAGCCTGGGGGTTGGTGAAGCATGCAGGACAGACAAGAGAGCCAAGAAAAGATGGCAGATCAAGGCAGGCCCACACTGCTTAAAGTGTGGAGTTTCCTGGGCCCAGACTCTAGGAACTGCTACATGGGGTCCTGGGCCGCCCAATCCCGGGTCCCCTCCTGGTAGCAGGGACAGTGGGGACTTGACTGCTTTGTTTGCTGCTAAGCCACCCCTCGCCCCCGTGCCTAGAATAGCACCTGGCACATAGGAGGGATTCAAAAGTTACTGAAGAAAGGGACAGGAGGAGAAGGCAGATATGGGAGCAGGGAGAGAGGGAGCAAGGAGAAGAAAGGGGATCAAGGCAAGGTGCCCTTGAGGGCTGAAACTGGGATACTGCTTCCAAGTCCCAGAGTCCGGAAAGCTCAGCAACAAGTGTGCCGCCTGCAGCCTGCCGGCCAGAGACTCACTCAGAAGCCCCAATGCCAGATCGGGCCTGTACCACACACCTACCCAGCAAAAACATGTTGAAGGAATGAGTGAGTGAGTGAGTGAGTGAGTGAGTGAGTCAGTCAGTCAGTCAGTCAGTCAGTCAGTGAACACCTCACAGTGACATCCTGTACCTGGACTTGCAGGTGCAGGCGCCAGACAGTGCGGAGGCTGGAGACGGCTGCTGTCCCCAGGACTGTGGGTGTCACTGTGCAGAAAGGACACCCATATAAAAAGTGCGTAGCTCTTAACTACACCCGATGAGCGAGGAAACAGGCTCAGGACCCCAAGGAATCTCACCCCAGAGCAAACTGCTGGAAAGTAGGGGAGGCAGGAAGCTGCCAGGAGCTCTCCAGACTCCAAATCCAGTGCTCTTTTTCCCTGAGGCTGACGGCAAGGGCACAACCCACCCCACAGTGCCCCTCAAAGAGCCAGGGCCCCCAGATGCCTGCAATCTACGGCATCCCAGTGGCCCACCCCGACCAGAAGAGGCTCCGGACGGTTGGCCTGCCTGCTGCCAAACAAATGGGGTCTCCAGCAGCCACCTCGAGGTGCACCATTAAGCTACAGAGGCTGCAGCTCAGGCTGAATGTCACTTTATTAAGCTTTTCTGCTGGCATTAAAGGTTAGCCACATCCAATCTCACTCATGCCACCTGCACCCCACTCAGCACGCGTGCTGAATCATTAAAGGGAGAACAAGGTTTCTGAGAAGAACTGCTGTAGCCTTCTCCAGGAAAACAGCCTCTCAGAAGCCGGGGCTGGGGGCAAAGCCTCTGACAGAGAGGCCAATGGGACCCAAGGGTCCAGGTCCCCACCTCTCCTTGCCCAGTGGCCTTTTCTGAGCAGCCTGGGGCTGGCCGTGGGTGTGGAAGGCAACCAGCTCTGTGTCTCCCAGGCTGGCATCTGCTCTGCTGAAAACATAGCTGTTTGTCTAGGGATTGTGTTTTCCTTGGAAAGTTTTTTGACGGGTTTGCTTTGGGGTTTTGGAAAGAGAAAGACTGGGTTTTTGTTTGGATTCAGGGGGCACACATGCAGGTTTGTTACGTGAGTATATTGCGTGATGCTGAGGTTTGGCCTTCTAATGATTCCGCCCCCCTAGGTGGCGAACATAGAACCTGATAGGTAGGTTTTCAGCCCTTGCCCCCTTCCCTCCCCTGTCTAGAAACGCCCAGTGTCTGTACTTCCCATTTTTGTGTCTGCGCATACCCAGTGTTTAGCTCTCCCTTACGGTTGGGAACATGTGCTGTTTGGTTTTCTGTTTCTGCATTAATTAGCTTAGGATAATGGATTCCAGCTGCATTCATGTTGCTGCAAAGGCCATAATTTCATTTTTTATGGCAGTGTAGTATTCCATGGTGTACATGTACCCCATTTTCTTTATCCAATACACCCTGATGGGCACCTGGATTGATTCCGTGTCTTTGCTATTGTGAATAGTGCTTCAATAAACATTTCAGTGCAGGTGTCTTTTTGGTAGGACCATTTATTTTCTTTTGGGTATATACCCAGTGATGAGATTGCTGGGTCGAATGATAATTCTGTTTTTTGTTCTTTGAGAAATCTCCAAACTGCTTTCCACAGGGGCTGATCTCATTTGCATTCCCACTAACAATGGATAAGCATTCTCTTTTCTCCAAAGCCTCACCAACATCTGTTATTTTTTTACTTTTTAATAATTGCCATTCTGACTGGCGTGAGATGCTGTCTCACTGTGGTTTTGATTTGCACGTCTCTAATGATTAGTGATGTTGAGAATTTTCTCATGTGTTTGTTGGCAAACTTTATGTCTTCTTTTGAGAAGTGTCTGTTCATGTCCTTTGCCCACTTTTCAATGGGATTATTTGGTTTTTTTGCTTGCTGATTTGTTTAAGTTCCTTATAGATTCTGGAAATCAGACCTTTGTCAGATGCACAGTTTGCAAATATTTTCTCCCCTTCTGTAGGCTGTCTGTTTACTCTGTTGATATTTTAATAGTTTCTTTTGCTGTGCGGAGGTCCCATTTGTCTATTTTTTATTTTGTTGCATTTGCTTTTGGGTTCTTCATCACGAATTCTGAAAGACATTCTTTTATTATTTTTTTTTTTGCAGTGGGATACATATTTTTATTATTATTACTATTATTATTATTTTTTTTAAATTATACTTTAAGTTTTAGGTACATGTGCACATTGTGCAGGTTAGTTACATATGTATACATGTGCCATGCTGGTGCGCTGCACCCACTAACTCGTCATCTAGCATTAGGTATATCTCCCAATGCTATCCCTCCCCCCTCCCCCCTCCCCACCACAGTCCCCAGAGTGTGATATTCCCCTTCCTGTGTCCATGTGATCTCATTGTTCAATTCCCACCTATGAGTGAGAATATGCGGTGTTTGGTTTTTTGTTCTTGCGATAGTTTACTGAGAATGATGGTTTCCAATTTCATCCATGTCCCTACAAAGGACACGAACTCATCATTTTTTATGGCTGCATAGTATTCCATGGTGTATATGTGCCACATTTTCTTAATCCAGTCTATCATTGTTGGACATTTGGGTTGGTTCCAAGTCTTTGCTATTGTGAATAATGCCATGAACAGACACTTCTCAAAAGAAGACATTTATGCAGCCAAAAAACACATGAAAAAGTGCTCGTCATCACTGGCCATCAGAGAAATGCAAATCAAAACCACTATGAGATATCATCTCACACCAGTAAGAATGGCAATCATTAAAAAGTCAGGAAACAACAGGTGCTGGAGAGGATGTGGAGAAACAGGAACACTTTTACACTGTTGGTGGGACTGTAAACTAGTTCAACCATTGTGGAAGTCAGTGTGGCGATTCCTCAGGGATCTAGAACTAGAAATACCATTTGACCCAGCCATCCCATTACTGGGTATATACCCAAATGACTATAAATCATGCTGCTATAAAGACACATGCACACGTATGTTTATTGCCACATTCTTTTAAAAACAAACTCTCAGGCATGCCAGTGGCAACTGTGCCCCTGAAGGGGTGGTGGCCCATGCACAGCTTCCGTCTCCCATCAGTCCACACACAGCTTCCGTCCCCCATCAGTCCACGCACAGCTTCCGTCCCCCATCAGTCCACGCACAGCTTCCGTCCCCCATCAGTCCACGCACAGCTTCCGTCCCCCATCAGTCCACGCACAGCTTCCGTCCCCCATCAGTCCACGCACAGCTTCTGTCTCCCATCAGTCCACGCACAGCTTCCGTCTCCCATCAGTCCACGCACAGCTTCTGTCTCCCGTCAGTCCGGTACTCCAGCAGCGGTGAAAATCTCCTCAGTTCTTGTCTGTTCCATAAGGCCAGCCCACCATCTGAGCCCCAAACTCGAGTGCTCACCCTGCAGCCCGGGTTGGGATGTCTGTGCTCCAGGCTGGAGACCACAGTGAACCTCCGCACAGATGTGCCTCCACCACCAGCTGTGTGCCTGCTGCTCTGTAGCCCCTGGGATTCACAGGTAAGCCAGGTGCAAGGTTTGGTAAAAATGAATTCCAGCACCCTCGCTTGTGCCTGTGGGGTGCCCTGTGGCTTCCCCACGATTTCTGCAAGCCCTGGGGCCTCTGCCATCCTACTTCCATCTGCTCCAGGTTTGGCATCCGCTGAGCTCTCTTGACTCACTGTCTCTCACTCAGCTGTCTCTTCTCTTGTCTCTGCGATGAAGCTTCTAGCATTCTCAGCCCTGACTCCCAACACCTCCCCACATACTCTGCCTGCATCAGACCTGACAAAGGTTTCTTCAGGGGGATTTTATAGTCAGAATGGCAGAGTAGAGGAAGGCAGGTGGGAATATTGGCAGCCCTTTGGCCATCCAGCCACTTCTCAAAGGCTGTGCTTTCTGGAAGGTTCTCCAATTAGAAGCACCCACCAATCGGAAAAATTAAATCAAGGAAGTTCCTGGAACAAAGAAGGACTCAGTGCTTTAGTTCTGGATGCTCGAGTAGCAGGCATTGTGGAAGGATCTTCACACCAGCTCCTGAGCCTGCATTCCTGTGTCAGCAAAACACCATCATAGTATCAGCATCAAATCCTGTAACCGGCTGTGAGAGGCTCTGGGCCGGGTTCTGTACACACAGGACCCCTGAGACGTCACTCCACCTTTGGATGTGAAATGTCCAGGGTTCAGCCCTCTGCGAACTGGAGGGGGACCCCAGGCACCCACCCTGCCTTCTCTAATGAGTCCATGGCCCCCTATCTCTTGCACCTTAAGGGACCTGGAACCTTAACGGTCCCCACGCACCCTCCCCTGTCTCTGTGAACCTGCCACTGAAGCCCTCTGCCGGAGCTGCTTCCTCTCACAGGCCAGAGCAATTTACCTGAATCATTTATGGTGGCATAAAGGTGGGGGAACGTTTGGAATCCCGAGTGGCCCCTTGGGAACCACTGCCACTCTGCAGCATTCCCAGGGAGCCCCCAGCCCTTACCCAGGCTCAGGGGGCGGGGGGAACCATCTCCCTGCAGCCAAATCCCACTTCCCATGGCTCTCCACTGGATTTTATTCTAAAGCACATTTACTCCTGGAAACTAATTCAACATGCCTCAGAATGGTTGAAATCATCACATAAGCAGCTGACCTTTAAAGACGGGGCCAGAGGTGGCAAGACACAGTTGCATCGGCTCGGGGTAAGGAGCTGCTGCAGGGGACAGGCCTGTGCCCGCTGCAGGGGCTTTGAGTAGAAACATCAGGAGGCAGAGCCTCCAACTCACAGCACAGGCAAAGCCGGAGTGGGGCACACAGGGACCCCACCTGGCCCCCGCCACCCACCTGCAACGTGGGAGACCAGCAATAGAGGTGTCAGTGAACTGAGATGCAGGATAGGATGCACACATTGATAAATCAGACTTGGCCCTATGCCTGCCAGCCCGGCAGAAGCTGCTGACCAGGCACTGGGCATCCTGAGCTCCCTTTACTCTGAGCTGCCCTTCCCTGCCTTCACTGGCCCAATCCCCTCCACCATTTGTAAATCTGCTTTTCACCCAGCAGTGAACCTCCACCCCAGCACCTTTCCATCCCATATGGGAATTTCCTTCCCAGCACTTTGCACACCTGAAACTTGAGCAGAACACTGATTTCTTCCGGGTAGAGCTAAACTGAAGAGACTGCATCTTACTCACTGTTCGGTGTTTCCAGCACATAGTAGGCACACAGCAAAATGATAAAAATGAAGAGCAAATGTCTATCACACATACGTTCAACCTCCCTACTAATCAAAGAAATGGAAATTAAAATGAGATTCCCTTTCACCTTCAAACTGATTTTTTTTTAAATTCATAAATGAAAAGATACAATTCCAGGCAGGTAAGGTTAGAGGAAGACAGACCTTCCCAAACACTGAGGACAGGGGATATAAATGGGCATAGGCATCTAGAAAACAACCTGTCACTTTATGTCTATCAGCTAGACTAGGCCAAGTTATGCTATAGAAACAACAATGGAAAATCTACCAGGGCACAGCAAAGTTCTGACCCTTCCTCACACCACATGTTGGGAGCAGTGGGTGTTAGGCTGCGGGGAGTGCTCTGGGCGTCATAGTGTTCCTCACTCTTGGACCCAAGCTGATGAAGCAGAAAACATCTAGAATGTTGTTGCAGAATATGGAGGAGGAAAAGAAATGTGGCATAACAAGAAGTGGCTCTTAAACTTTTGCCCACTGATGGCACATCACTTCTGCTCATATTTCATTGGCCAAAACAGTCACATGGTCATGTGCTTTGACTTCAAGCACAACTATGTGATGAAGGAAGGAAGGAAGGAAAGAGGGAAGGAAGGAAGGAAAGAAGGAAGGAAGGAAGGAAGAAAAAGAAAAGAGAGAAAGAGAAAGAAAAAGAGAGAGAGAGATGGGTGGGTGGATGGATGGGATGGATGGATGGATGATGGATGGACAGATGATAGATAGATAGATAGATAGATAGATAGATAGATAGATAGATAGATACATACATACATACATACATACATACATACATACATACATACATACATAGATGAATAGGTGGATAGATGAATGGATAGATAGATAGACAAAGGCATAGCTAGGTGCATAGATAGATGGACAGGTGGATGGATCAATGGATAGGTAAATAAACAGATGATAGGTAGATGCATAGAGAGATAAATAGATAGGTAGATGAATGGATGGATAGGTGGATGGATGGATGAATTAGATAGATAGAGTAGGGGGGAAAGAATGGATAAACAAATGTATGCTCCATGAGAGCATAAATTTTTTTTTTTTTTTTTGAGACAGAGTCTCGCACTGTGGCCCGGGCTGGGGTGCTGAGGTGCAATGGCACAATTTCAGCTCACTGCAACCTCCTCAGCTGGGATTACAGGCTCACACTAACACACCCAGCTATTTCTATGTATTTTTAATAGAGACAGGGTTTCGCTATGTTGGTCAGATGGGTCTCAAACTCCTGACCTCATGATCCGCCTGCCTTGGCCTCCGAAAGTGCTGGGATTACAGGCGTGAGCCACTGCACCCGGCCGACTTTTGTTGTTTTTAATGGCAATGATTTTTATCTGTTTTGAACAGCACTTCGCACATACTACCTTTTTGTTAGCTGGATGGATGATGGATAGATGGATGGATGGATGGATGGATGGGTGATGGGTGGATGATGAACGGATGATGGATGGATGGTGGATAGAATGATGGGTGGATGATAGTTGGAAGGATAATGGATGGTTGGATGATGGATGAATGATGGATGGATGGTGGACGGATAATAGATAGATGGATGAGGGATGAATGATGGATGGATGGATGATAGAGGGATGAATGATGGATGGATGGTGGATGGATAATGAACGGATAATGGATAATGGATGATGGATGAAGGACGGATGGATGGATGAATGGTTGACAGATGGATGATGGATGGATGAATGATGGATGGATGAATGGATGATGGGTAGATAATGGATGAATGGATGATGGATGATGAACAGATGGACAGATGGATGGATGATGAATGGATGATAGTTGGATGGATGGATGATGAATGGATGATGGGTGGATGGATGAATGAATTAAATAGATAGAGTCGGGGAAAAGAATGGATAAATAAACATGTGCTCCATAAGGGGATAGACTTTTGTTGTTTTTAATGGCAATGATTTTTATCTGTTTTGAACAGCTCTTCACACATAGCACCTCTTTGTTAGCTGGATGGAGGATGGATGGATGGATGGATGGATGGATGGATGGATGGATGGATGATGGGTGGCTGATTGTTGGATGATATATGAATGGATGGTGGATGGGTGATGGATAGATGGATGGATAATGGATAATGGTTACATGGGTGATGGATGGATAATGGATGAATGGATGATGGATGAATGGATAATGGATGATGAATGGATGGACAGATGGATGGATGAGATTGGATGATAGTTGGATGGATGGATGATGGGTGGATTGATGAATGAATTAGATAGATAGAGTCGGGGGAAGAATGGATAAACATATGCTCCATGAGGGCATACACTTTTGTTGTTTTTAATGGCAATGATTTTTATCTGTTTTGAACAGCACTTCACGCATAGCACCTTTTTGTTAGCTGGATGGATGACAGATGATGGATGGATGGATGGATGGATGGACGGTGGATGGGTGGCTGATAGATGGATGATGGATGGATCATGAGTGGATGACGAATGGATGATGGAGACAGATGGATAATGGATGGATGGATGAGAAGTGAAAGGGCACTAGCAAGAGCAAGAGTGAAGGCGGAACTAAGAGCAAGCCCATACATGGAAAAAATCAACCTACATGGCCCATAAGGAAAGGATCTAATCTCTCCATGGCTGAATGGTGTTGGAAGAGAAGTCTTATTTTTAATATAAATTCAGTTGTGTCCCAAAAGTATACATTTGGGGCATTTGGGGTGTTATGATCTTTGTTTTGTTACTGTAATTTCAGAGAAATGCTCAAAGACTCTGAGGAGTTTTCTCTCTTCTCTCTCTGTCTCTTTCTCCCTCTAGCTCTCTCTCCCTCCCTTCCTCCCTCCCCCACCCTTCTCCATAGCCTTCCTTCCTCCCCTCCCGCTTCACAAGAGCACATTGAACACCACCTCTGTCATGTCCCAAGCCAGGCACCAAGGTCACAAGCATCTTCCACTGGAAGAGAAACAAGTAAACAGGTCTTCAGGACACAAGAGACACAGCACAATGACAGAGGTAAATCCAGGGAATGGGGAACCAAGATAACTGGCATCTGATGATTCAGGAGGATCAGGGAAAGTAACCCAGAAAATGTGGCACCTGAACTATCTCCTGAAAGATGAGGAAGAGTTGGTCAGGTCAACGCTGGGCAGCAGCTTACAGGACAGGAACAGTGCAGACACAAATGAGACTTAGAAAGTGTATTCATCAGCTCAGACCAACTGCCATAACAAACAATCCCAACACCTTAGTGACTTCATAAAATCCAAGTTACATCTCACCACCAGGCAGCCATCCAAAACTTGTGTTCCTGGACAGATGGTGCTCCTGGCTGGCTCCCTCCCAAGCAGACCAAGGTCCTTCCATCCTCTAGGTCCTTGGAGTCACTCTCCCTCCATCCAGAGTCACACTGTGAGGGTGTCATGGGCCAGAACCAGAAGGGGTGCACTTTGCCTGTTCCTCCCACTATCCGTGGCCAGAAAGTAGTCACCTGGCTGCCCCTAACTGCAAGGAGGTCCAGGAAATGTCATCTGGCTGAGTACCAGGAGGATAAAGGAAATGTCTATCCAGTTTGGAAATAATCGTACTGACTCCCTCCCCATCACCCCCACCCAGGCCTGTGCATTCTGGGCGATTCCCGTGGCCATCCGCACAGATCTGCAGCCACCGGTGCCCACTGCACTGTCCTCACAGGGGTACCGTGGCTCCCTCCTGAGAGCCAAGGCACAGATTCTGGAAAGGACTTTACTCCCTGCTCCTGGCTTCTAAGCAACAATAATGCAAATGAACAATCCAGAAGACTTCATTCTGGGTGTTTTCATATCAACTCGCTAGCCCACATCACAGAAGTAAAAGACATGAGGCAGAGTGAAAGGGACAGAAGATGAAACAGGAAGATGAGATTTCCATCCTCAGCTTTCCTGGAAGTTCATCCATTTGTCCATTCAACACACAGACAGTGTGCGCGTCCTCTGTGCCCAGCTCTGCCAGCAGCTGGGGATGTTTCGTGAAGATGGGAGGATTCAGTCCTGTTGGGGAAACAGCAGTGAAAACCCAGTGTGATGGGCAACAGTGGTGGAGCTGAGGGTGGGGAGTCCAGGGAGGCTGCTGCCTCGAGTGGGATGGGGTCTGGGATGGGAAAGGCCAGGGCCATTCGCCAGCTAATAGGAGAGGGAGAGCATCCCTGCCAGAGCCTACAGCCTGAGACAGACCCCAGGGCAGACAGAAGCCAGGCCTGAGAGTGGCCTCCATGCAGCAAAGCAGGGGGATAAGGACAGAGAGGAGGGAGAGAGATGGCTTGGGACCAGGAGCCCCTGAGGACTAGGAGGCCCCATAGGTAGGAGCAGCTTTGAGGGGCAGGAGGCTGAGCTTCCAGTGTCTCTGAAGGAGGGGGAGAAGCATCATGAGTCTTGCACAGTGGAATGACTAGCGTTTCTTGCCCTACCAGTTAAATAGGAGGGCAAGAGAATAATTCTGTCCAAGCATAGGAATGGGTGTGGTATCCTGGTGAGGAAAAGACCTGAGACAAAAAACCAAAATGATTACAGAAGCCAAGCTAAAGCAGTTAAGTCTCCCTAAATCTTTGTGTCCAGAGACAAAAGGTGTGTGGCCAAAGAATGGAAATTTAACTAGACAGAAAGCAGTTACCCTTCAAAGGCACACCAGTGACCACAAGACTTCCTTGAGGCTCAGAGGAGATGGTTTTAAAACAAACCACAGAATACTTGATGTTCCGCCCATGAGAAAGGGAATACCAATGGGAACCCAAAAAGATTCCAGAGATGCTAAGATTTCTGGATGGGGGGAAGGGAAGTCCGTGATACAGACATTTGGGTAAATCCCTAATTTTCCAGGGTCAACATCTTGGAAGACAATTTCCACAGGCTTCTCAACCAGGTTTCTCATCTGGACTGCTGACACAAAAATGATGTAAGTGACTATTTTCTCAATTGTCCCAAATAGCTAGAACCATTCTGGATGCAAAGGAGAGAAGTTGATTCATCGCAACAACAGATGCTGTCGGCCCTTCGGGCTGAATTCCCGGGACCCACATCTCATCCTGCTTGTCAAACCTCTTGATTCAGTGAATCCCTGGTTCATTCAGAAAACAAAACTCATCACTTTCAAAGCCAAAGAATCATCATGAGGAAGCTTCATGTAAATTTCCAAAATGTAAAAGAAAATATTCCAAGAGCACTGGTCTTCGAAACAGACCGCGGAGGGTTAAAAGCCAAGGCCTCCTCCCACAAATAAAAGAAACCCAAAATGTTCTACCTGTTTTATCTAAACAACGACGCAATAAACAGCTTGAAAACTTATCAGGTATTGAGAAATACGTGGTTTATCAAGGAAACCCAAGATAAGAGGAAGGCAGAGAAACAACCGCGGTCAACAAGCAGGGGCTGTGGCGCCCTGGGGGCTCCGCAGTGGGTTCCTCGGGCTGAGCACTGAACGTCAGCACTGCCTGGGGGAAGCTCGTTGACTACAGCATCTTAGGCCCCACCGAAGAGAGGTTGGAGATGCAGCCAAGGATGGCATAATTGTAACAAGTTCCCCAGCTGATCCTTATAAAGAGGCAGATTTGGGAACCGCCACTGCCACCCAGCACAAATTCAGTCCTGACTCCCTTCCTGGGGCTTCAGAAGGCAGGAGCTCTTCCCAAGGACGCTGCCCAGCTCCACCTGGAGCCAGGTGAGGGTCCAGAGGCACAGCGCCCAGCCCTTGTCTCACAAATGTACTACATACACATGTGCACACACACACATTAATGTACATATGCATACATGTGTATTCATGTGTATGCACACATGTGCACACATACACATACGTACACACGTGTGCACACATGCATGTACAAATGTACTTCCACACACACGTGCATGTCAGCACACATATGCACACATACAAATGCACACGCACACATGCCAGCACACACCATGCATGCCCAGGCACAATCCTCCATTCCTGAGGTGAGGAGGAAGTTGGGGAGTTCTGGCAAAACCATCCGCCTCCTCACCGGCTTCCTGCCAGGCCAGGGGAAGGGCTCTCTGGTTCTGCGCTCCTTTGGTGATGAGCAACCAGCCCCTTCCCCAGATGAGCCCATGCCTCACATAAGCCTGGGAGCTCAGGTGGGCTTGCACAGGTGCCCAGGATCAACTTCAACTGCTGCTCTGAGCTGTGCAGGGCCTGATGAGGTCATAGGAGGATTGACTGGGGACTGGGGGAAGTGGGCAGCAGGGGCAGTGGGGTCAATGCCCCTCAGAATATCTCTGGCTCCGTCCACAGCAGTGTGGGCCCCACTGATGTGCCCACCTCTTGCCTGGGCAGGGGGGTGCTTCTGGCTCATGGACACCTTGGAGAACCTCAAGAGTCACCCCATCTCTGTCCCTTTGGTTTCCTGGATGAGGCAGACAGCATGCCCCTGCACATACCTGTCTGCCCTGAGCCCACTCCTCACCTTCCCACCTGGCCCTGACGGAGGAACAAGCTGAGCTGGAAGCTGCACCTCAGGCTTTGGAGTCCCTCAAGAGACCTCACCCCTGCTGCAGGTCCCTAGTCCAGGGAAGAGGGATGAGCCCATGGGGCCAACCCAGGCCCCCGCCCCACCCTACCACCCACTTCCTGATGTGCCCGGTGCTGTTTGGGCCCCAGGGAGGAGGAGGAGCTCCTTGAAAACAGTGGTTACGGCTCCCGTCACCCACGACGTGGGACTTTGGACAAGTTATGTATGCCTGGCGCCTCACCTGTCTGCTGGGCGCCTCACACCTGCCCACAGGGCCTCCATGAGGATAATGTGAGGAGCTCCATGCGCTGCCTGGCACAGGGGGAGCCTCATAATGGGTGAGGTCATTGTAAGAATTAAATAATGGAAACACACACACAACTCTCCCTCTCAAATAAGCACAGCAAAAAAACACAAAAGCAGTCCAAGCTTCTAATAAACTCTCCCACCCTAAATCCTTAAAAACTCTCAGTCCATAAAAGAGTGCGCTCTGACCTAACTCAGCCAGCCGCCCCTCTCAGGTTTGTTTAAAATAAACCTGTCCCTGTTGACTGTACAGCCACCCTTCGTGTTTCTCTCCTCTTTCTTTAATTATTACAGTCATAGTCTCTTGCCGGGCAAGACAGGCATGTGTCTTCAGGAAACAACATGTGTGCTGGGTAGTGTGACTTCCCCGAGTGCAGGAGCAGTGACCCAGTCCCCTTCTCCCCACAGCGCCACCTCAGTCCCTCAGTCACATCTAGGTGGCTTATCTTCAGCAAGGTGTAAACTGGCCACAACCACCAGCCGCTGAGGACCCCTCTCCCCTCTTGAGAGATGTCAGGGTCCCTTTCCCAGCGCCCCTGGCTGTGCAGCCCTGACGTCCCCGCTCACAGCAGGATGCCCACCACGGCCCCATCAGCCAGGCTCCTGGCCTTCACCAACCACCCAGCCGGGCTGGCTCTGTGACGTCAGCAGCGAAGAAGACACAGTCCCTGAACGTGGAATCACAACTGAGAGGGAGGGACCACTGGCCACGTGGGCTGCCTGTGGCCCCTCAGAGCCCTCAGCACCCGCGGCATTTCCAAGCAAGTCTGGCTATAGCAGTTGGAAGCTATGCTCTGCCTAGCCCATCGCATGACCCCTGGAGGGGCTGCCCCCTCCTCAGCCAACTCAAGGCAGGCTGGCACCTCCCTCCAAGGCTCCTGCCCTCCAAATCCAAGGACACTGCTTCCTGGGAAGGACAGGACCTGCTCATCCCCTCCCCATGGAGGGGGCTTGAGGAGCCAGGTGTCTAGAAGGGGCTGAGGCTTCTCAAAGCTGGCACTGACTCCTCCAGATGAGCTCCCCTCTCTTGCTGCCTCCCCTCAGTGCAGAGGTGCAGGGGTGGTGAGGAGATCACAGGCTCACAGAGAGCCCAGCCGACAGCCCCTTCGTCAGCCCCTGCACATTGCGGATCACATCACGGGTGCAGAACATGAAGCTCTGTTCAGGGAGGCATTCCTCGCCTAGCAGCAAAGGCAAGCCCGTCCCCCAGGTGTGGATGCAGGGTCCTGGGGCAGCCTCCCCGTCTCCCTGCCCATGTGGTCCTAGGCACTGTGCATCCATTTTTGCTACCCACCCTAGCCCTGGGGAAAGGAGACCTGGACCCAGCCAACGACCACCGTCCCCAAGCCCTGAGGTGGCCCAGGCCTGGGTGCTGGACCCCAGCAAGGCTGGTCCCACCCTTCCATGAGATCTGCTGTGTCCACACTACCAGCAAGAAGCTCTGCCCCTTTACAGAAGACATCCAGCTCCAGCCCAGCCACAGGGCTCCAAACACTTTTCTGGAGAAAGTCGGGCCTGCCACGCTCACAGAGCCCAGATCCAGCTCTGAGTGAAGCTGGCTGGGCCTCGACCCTGGGTAACTGGGCCCCAGCGCAGAGTCTCCATGTGCACCTGGGGGGGTGTTCTTTTTTTCTTTCTTTTTCTTTCTTTATTCTTCCCTCCCTCCCTCCCTTCCTCCCTCCCTCCCTTCCTTCTTCCCTCCCTCCCTTCCTTCTTCCCTCCCTCCCTCCCTTCCTCCCTCCCTCCCTTCCTCCCTCCCTCCCTTCCTTCTTCCCTCCCTCCCTCCCTTCCTTCTTCCCTCCCTCCCTCCCTTCCTCCCTCCCTCCCTCCCTTCCTCCCTCCCTCCCTTCCTTCTTCCCTCCCTCCCTTCCTTCCTTCCTCCCTCCCTTCCTTCCTTTCTCTCTTTCTTTCTTCCATGTATTTATTTAATTTTACTCACGCTACTTTGACCCTTTCAACTGAAAAAAGTCCCAGCCAATCCCCACATCCAAGAGCCGGCCCTCCTTCCAGGAGCTCCCAGTGCTGACACGGGGGTAGGCCTGATGCTGACTGCATCTGGAATTCAGAGAAGCCAGAGGTCAGAGTGAGCCCCCAGCTCTGCTTCCAGCTCAGCCCCTCCCTGGACCTCAATTAACCCCAGGCCTGAGCTGAGTTTAGAATCCTGTAGCCTGTCTGAGATTCAGCTTTGATGACCAACTCAAGCCCCCAACACACACGCACGCTCACAGATACAGAGTCACTGGCACAGAGACACACACACGTACACACAAAGAGACACACAGACACACACAGGAAAAGACACACAAACTGAGAAAGCGACACAGATACACACAAACACACAGACACACACAGAAATACACACAGACACACACAAGCACGACACATACACAGATACACAGAAAAAGACATACAGACACACAGACAGACACACAGGAACACAGAGAGACACACACACAGATACACACAGAGACAACACACAGGCACACACACATCTGTGACGCTCTGAAGACTCAGGCAGGGCTGTCCGTCACCCAGCACAGCCTCATCCTGCCAACCAGGCTGGACAGGGCCCCTGAGGCCATTGCGGGGGCAGAGCAAGTTTGCACGGGGAAACCCACGTTCGTTCCCTCATAACGCTGGCTGCAGCATCCCAGGCAAAGGCTTCCCAGGCTGAAGGGGGCTCCGTGCAGGAGGAGGGGCCCCCACATGCCACCCCATGCCCCACTTTCCTCCCTCTCTCTTCCCACCTGCCACCTCCGGCTCCGCGGCAGGGAGTTCTGGTAACAGCTAGACACACGGGCAGAAACCCACAAAAAGACTCACACACGTGTGTGTGTATTCCAAGGAAGAAGTGAAAGCTCTGCTCCCGTTGCCATGGCAACCCCACCCGGAGCTACAGCAAGAGCTTTAATTGGCAGTACTTATTTGGCTGAAACCCCAAGAATAATCAACAGGAGATTAGAAACATTAAAAACCAGCAGGAGCATCCTGGAGAAGACGATGACAGACAGGACGATCCCCCTGAAAACTCTATTGATGACAGTAATGACAATTGTACGGTTTATTGCGTGACCGTGTCACGCCAGCCTGTGCTAAGTTCTTTGCATGTGTTATTTCGTTGGATCCTTCCAACAGCCCTTTGATCATTTCTCCCATTTTGCAGATGGAAAGTTCTCTGAGGCTCAGAGAGGTAAAGGAAGTGGCCCAAGGCCACACAGGATTTAAAGACTGCTTGGAATGACTCCGAACGCCACCTTGGTCATGACGGTCATGAGCACTGAGCTTTGCCTGGGGTCCCCCAGAAGGCACCAGCGTCAGCAACTGGGACCCCTGTAGCTCTTCCAAGGCAGCTGACACCCCCTATGCCCCCAGTGGCTAAAGACCACAGCTCAGCCAGCCAGAGGGCCTGGCCAGGGTTGACCTCCAAGACACCAGCCAATGCCTGCGTCCAGGTTGCTGCCAGCTTTACCCCTCAGAACTCCCGTCCCTGCCGCTCCTCCGGCCACAGCATCCACCCTGCAACCCGCCATGGGCCTGCTGACCCCTGGTGGCAGCCATGGGGCATGGCACCAAGACGTGGACTTAACTCCCAGACCCTAAGGAGGAGGGCGCTGGTCCAGGAGCTCCCCATGCTTGGGAGAGCCCCTGCGAAGGGTTCTGGGGGGGGCCAGAGCCAGGCAGGCAGGGCAGCGTGGCCAGCACCCAGCACCTTTTGCAGGCGCTCAGAAGGGAAGAGGGGGCTCCGGGAAAGGCTGCCCTGTAGTTGCTCCCTTTTCTGCTCAGGCAGCAGCTGACAGGGGAGGCCAGTTAGCACCAGGGATCCTCTGGCCATGACAGTCCTGCCACCAACGACAAGCAAGTGAATGAGGACTGTCCTGCCCAGAGCCCAGCCAATCGGCACTGCAGACAAGGGACGCTGACCTGGACTGGGTCCCTGGCCAGGTCCTAGACCTGGAAGGGCTCTGCCATCCCATTCACAGCCCCCAGGCCACTGATGGCAGCACCTGGACCTTGGACCCTGGACCCTGAGCCCTGGTCTCAATCATGACGTCTGTGCCGGTGCTGTCTGAGCGTGGCTCCCCGGGGAGCCAACATCGCACCAAGTGCCAGGACCTCCGGCTTTGTCTGTTGCATGATTTCTGGGAGCAAACAGCCTGCAGCCGCTGATCAGCAGCCATTGGACAGGCACGGAGCAGACCCCACCACGACGGCAGCAGCAAGTGGGCTTCCCAGGCTTCCCAGGCTTCCCAAACGTGTATCCACTAAACAATTTAAATTGCCTTTTTTTTTAAGCAACTGGCATTTACTCTGTTGGCATCTTATTAAACTTCCCCCTCTTGAGCTCCTCAAATATGCAAGTCACTGTCATTCCAAATAAGGGGACTAACAGTTGAAATGGTGAGGCAGCGGTGTGCACTGTGACCCGCCTTCCCGGGAAAGTCAGAGCACAGAAGCGGGGTGAGGACCGCACCTGCCAAGCTGCCGGTCAGGAGCACACCAGGTGCAGCAGCCGGCTTGCTCCTCTGCCTCCCTGAGCGGCAGCCCAGACCTGAGCCAGCAGAGGAGCTCGGGGTGGATCTGTGCAGGGCTCAGCAGGACCACGCTGCCCACCTGGTGCTGGGGCTGAGTAGTTCCAGTGTGGGGCCAAGGCCCCTGCTGGAGGAAGCCATGGGCCATGATCTTCCACAGGGTTCTAAGACCACATGGGGTAACATCAGCAGGGAACTCTGAGGAGACCAGAGACATCTGAGGAGGCCACTCCCTTACCCAGATGTGAGGAGCCAGGGCCACCTCTGCCACGGGCCTGCCTTTAGGAAGCAGCACTCAGTGACCCAGTGAATTGGATGGGGACCAAGGGCTCCCTCTGCCCCTTCTCACATCCCTAACAGAGAAGTCAGGTAACCTGACACAGCCTGTCCCCTCTCACTGGCCTGTGTGCAATCCAGGGGGCACAGAGAAAGAAGAACCAAAGGCTCTGGGGCTCAGAAAGCTTCAAGCCCCTATGCAGGCCTGGAAGTGCCAAGGCAGAGCCTCTTCTCCAAGCAAGTGCAGAGAAGGCTGTGCAATAGACTGACAGCAGGAAGGGAGGAAGGAGGGGGGAGGAGGGAGGAGGGCAGAAAGGGAGGGAGGAAGAACGGTAGGAGGGAAAGAGGACAAAAGGGAGGGAGGGAGGAGGAGAGGAAGGGAGGAGCAGAGGGAGGGAGGAAGAGAGGGAGGGAGGAGAGGGAGGGAGGAGGAGAGGGAGGAAGGAGAGGGAGAGAGAGGGAGAAAGAGAGGAGGAAGAAGGAGATGGAGGAGGGAGAAAGGAAGGGAGGGAGAAAGGGAGGAGGGAGGGAGGGAAGGAAGGAGGGAGGGAGAGAGAAAGGAGAAAGAGGGAGGAAGGGAGGGAGGAATGGAGGGAGGGAGGAGGGAGGGAGGAGGGAGAAGGGAAAGGGGAGGGAGGCAGGAGGGAGAAAGGAAGGGAGGGAGAAAGGGAGAGGGAGGAGGGAAGCAAATGGGCGTTGGAGTCAGAAGAGCCTGGAGTAAACCTAGCCCTGCTGTCTACAAGTCGTACCACTTTGGGCAGGTTCCTTACCTCTGGCCTCCCTTTCCCCACATGTAAAATGGGCTCGGTAGCAGCTCTTCCCTGGCAGGGCTGTTGGGGAACGAAGCGGGGCTGTGTGACATCAAGTGCTCAGCACAGCGCCTAGCACAGCGCTCAACAGTTACTCCCTTCCTGCTCGGTGTCCATTCAGGGCCCCCCTTTCCCCTCCAGGTGATGCGTGCTCAGCGGGTGAGGCCTGTGAACCCCTGGGGACCTAGAGAGGCCAGACAGTGTTCACAGGACCCCGGAATACTGAGCGAGAGGCTACAGTGTCCTGGAGAGCCAAGGGCCAGGGCCAGAATCACTCGTGCTGGGGAGAGCTCCCTGTGCACGCTGAAGACAAGGGAGCGTGCAGTTGGCCCTGGGCTCACATGCTAGTCCCCAAGTGGCAAGTCTTCCAAATGCAGCAAAGTCCCCTATGTGGCCAGAAAGTCCCCAACAGCACAGCACTAAGGAGCTCAGAACCTGAACCCGAGGACCGTTCGCCCCTCGAGGTGGATGAATGACTCCCATGGGCAGAAGACCAAGTGGGAGCCTCTGGGAGTCTGTCCGTGGAGTCCTGGGCTGATCCGCAGGGCCGTCGATTCTGTCTGATGCCTGCAGAGAGGGGCCTGGGCAAGATCCATGTTCTTGAGCAATGGACATTGTCCTCTCTGGCTCCAGCAGTGCCCTCGCCCAGCCCCAGCAAGACTCACAACTGCAGTGTGGACAGAGATAATAGCTGCGGTTCACGGAGGGCTGCAGCCACCTCACTTCATCCTCCATGAAGCCCACGTGAGCCGGCAGCACTGGGGTTCATATTGGCCCTTTCTTACAGATGAGAACATGATCGCCACTGGGAATTCAAACAACTGCCCAGCCCTGCACCTTCAGGAGCAACTGCCCCATGGTGCAAACTCAGACCCTCCTCAGCCCAGCGTCTCTGGCCTTTGCCTGGGAGAAGGGCCTCGGGTACTCCCAGTCCTGCAGGCTGGGGCTGTCCTCCAGCAAAACCAATTACTGGGAGACGTCTCTGGACCTGGGATGGGCACTGCCAGGAGGGAAGGCGGGGGCCGCCAGCAGGAACACGGAGCTGCCAATGCACCAGGATTGGGACAGGGTGCCAGGGGCCAGTCCCTCCCTCCCATGGTGTCCTGGGCCCCTGCCACAGCAACCAATGTCCATCAAGCCGAGCACAAACACCACGTGGGTGGGGACGTCACAGGCCCAAAAGCTCCCGAATCCACGGGAGGAAGGAGTGGACCCCACACAGCCCATCAATGTGCCGGCCCCTCAGGGCACAGCCTCATGGCTCAGTCACTCAGCCCAAGGTACGGCAGCTGGGCACCTAACAACACTCCATGGGCATTTATTGAGCACCTGTGGTATGCCAGGTGCATGCGTCAGAGGGAGCCATGAATAGCACAGACTAGATCCCTGCCTTCCAGGGGCTCCTGGCCCTGGAGGAGATGCACAGTGAAGAGAAGAGGAAGAGATGAGGAGAGCAACGACCCACAGAAAGGGTAGGGCAACAACCCCAGAGAGAGGGCAGTGCCGCTCTCAGTACGTGGAGAGACAAAGAGATGGGAGACAGAGAGACAGACAGACAGAGAGAGATGGAGAGACACAAAGAGACAGAGACAGACAGAGAAACAAGGAGACACAGAGAGACAGACACAGAAACAGAAAGAGATGGGGAGACACAGAGAGACAGAGACAGAGAGACAAAGAGGCAGACAGAGAGACAGACAGAGACAGAAACAGAGAGAGACACAGGGAGATACAGAGAGACAGAGAGAGATACACAGAGAGACAGAGAGATACAGAGAGACACAGAGAAACACAGAGATGAGAGACTCTATCTCTCCCTCTGTGTGTATGTCTCTGGAGAGATAGATACAGAGAAAAACAGACACAGAGAAACAGAGACAGAGAGATATGAGACAAACACAGAGGGAGAGACAGAGAGATGCAGAGACAGACAGAGGAAGAGACAGAGACAGACAGAGATGGAGAGACACAGAGACAGAGACACAGAGAAAGAGAGAGAGATGGAAAAAGAGATAGAGACAAACAGACATAGAGACTGTAAGGTAGAGACAGAGACATAGACAGAGAGAAACAGATAGAGAGATACAGATACAGAAACAGAGGGAGACACAGCTAGAGATAGAAACAACGAGAAAGAGAGAAAGAGACATAGATAGAGACAGAGACACACAGGAGAGGGCCCAGTTTGGGATGGGCAGTAGGGGTCAGATGGGGCCAGCACTGGCGGCATCTCTGCACCCACCCGCAGCCTGCGGCTGACCGCTGCTCAGTCCTGGCCTCTGGAGACAGCCCTTCACTGTCTGGGGTGTGGCTACCCCCAGGTCCAGGTTAAAATTTTCCTCCAGCAGTGCATCCCAGCTATCGTGGCCTCTGCATTCCAGGATCTCCCTCCAGTCCCCGCTCTGTGCCTAGAGGGCCCCAGCTCTTGTTCACCAGCTGGCCCCAGAGAGGCTCATGTGTTGAGACCTGGGCCTGGCCTGCCTGGAACTCCATCTTCTGTTTGTCTGTCTGTCTGTCTGTCTGTCTGTCTCTCTGCCTGTCTGTCTCTCTGCATTGCAGACTTCCTTGCCTCCCCCTCCCCAGAGTCTCCCCTCGTCCCCATGGAGCCCTGTCCTGTGGCTAAGGCGGCACTTCCTTCCTTCCTGTGGAGGGAGGGGGCTGTGGCGGAATCCCATGCCCCCACCTGCCCCTGGAGACTGGGACTCTTCTCCTTTATGTCTTGAAGCAAACAAGAGAGACCCCCACCCCACCAGGGCCCAACAGTGGTTGTGGCAGTCCCTGCCCCTGGTTTCTGACGTGACCCTCGTGGCTCTGCCCCCACTCTGGGCTCTGTCTCCCAATGCTGGGCCTGTGACAGCTGAGGCCCCCTCAGAAAAAGGGCAGCCCAGACTGAGATCCCAAACCCCTCGCTAAAGGAGTCTTGCTCCCGGCGGAGCCCAGGGTGCCATGGGGTGCAATTAGCTGGGACAGCATGGGCCGCAGGGACACTGAGGATAACGCTGAACACAACAGCCCCAGGGACCCAGTGTCTGGAGCCTGGGGAGGGTCAGGCACATGCTGGGAATTGCCTGCATCTTCCCCTGTAACCTCAGAAAGCCCTTCTTTCACAGATTGAGGGAGGGAGGGGCTCAGAGGTTAAGTCACTTTTCCAGAGTTACACAGCAAGTAGGCGGCAGAGCTGGGGTTTGAACCCAGGCCCTCTGGCTTTGCAACCTGAGCTCACGGCAGTGTTCCGACACCTGCTTCTGCACTCTGCGTTCTGCCTCCCAGCCCTCTTCCCTCTGAGAAGGACCCCTCCTCTGTCTGTAGGAAAGCAACAGCAGTCCATGAGAAAGCGCGGCTGGCAGAACGCCCCGCACAAGCACCACTGGGAAACAGTTCAGCCCGGAAATGCTTGCCGTCATTTTCCTGCTGGGGACAAGCGCTCCTTCTAGAAAGATGTTATGGGTGAATTGTGTCCCCCAAAAGATGTTGAAGTCCTCACCCCCAGCACCCAAATGTGACCTTATTTGGAAATAGAGTCTTTGTAGATGAACAAGTTAAGATGAGTTCATTAGCACAGGCCTTAATCCAGTAAGACTGTGTCCTTATAAAAGGGGGAATTTGGACAGAGACATGCACAGGGAGAGGCCTCGGACAGTCTTCACCACACCTTCATCTTGGATTTCTCCAGAATGATGAGAAAATCAATTTCTGCTGTTCAAGTCTCCCAGACTGGGGCACTCGGTGATAGCAGTCCTAGCAAACCAATAGCCGACCAGACCAGAGTTTCTAGAACCAACAGAGTCCAGTAGAATAACCAGCAGCCAACCCAGATGTTCTCTGAAAACCCTGCCAGCTCCTGGCAATGCAAACCCAGTCCAGAGATGCCAACTCTGACCCCTGACCTCAACTAAAAGAGTCGCTGTCCCCAGCCTGCATCCTGCGGGGGAGGAGCCCAGAAAGCATGAAAGGGCTGAAGGGGAGAATCCTGAAAATCAGCTTGGCCCTGGACCCGTAACCCTGAGACCTTCAGGCAGGAATGTCATCTCATCTCCTGCCCCCGGGGGACCGTCCCAGGGCAGCAGGGGCTGAGGGCAGGGACAGTGGGAGGCAGACATCCCCACAGACATCCACCTCAACCCAAGCTGGGAAACAATTTTTCCAAAACAGAGTGAGGTTGAGATGTTTCAAGCACAGGCACTTACCGGGTCACAGAGCTGTTTATCTGGAATTATTCTAAATAAAGGCTCACGTCGGCCACGCGGATTCCGTTTGTGCCACTCCTAGAGTGAGAACAAATTTCCGTTATTAAGAGAGAAAGCTCTCAGAGCTGAAGGAGCATGAATATTTGCAAATTCCATGCAGATTCCACCTCTTTCTCCCCACAAGCCAGCTACTTAAAGAGCCACTTGGGTAGAAGGAACATTCCAATTAGAAATGCTTATTCACTTATCTCCATTCTAGGGACAAGAGCTCCCTCCTTTGTCAATGGCAGGCCACGTGCACAGAAGTGCCTGCTGTCACCTTGCAGGCCTGACCTGCGGGAGCACCCTGAGCCCAGACTCACCACTGGCCCTGGTAGGAGGCCATGAATGGGGTGGGGGCCCTTGGATCCCCCTAGGCCCTCCAAGCACCCTCCCTGAGACAGTGTAGGTGGGACTGGGTACAGAGACAAGAAGGCACAACCCCTGCTCACAGCATGACAGGAGACCACATGGCTCAGGAGTGCCAAAGTACTGGAGACAGAGCAAACGTCCCCGGGACCCCAGAAACCAGGGTCAACACACCCGGGGGGCCCACGAACACAGGCAGAGATACCCAAAGCTGTGGGCTGAATTAAAGGGACCCGCTGAGCCCAAGAGGTTAAGTAAGGGAGGAAAATCCTGCACAGCAAAGCTCGCCCACCGGACAGTTAACTCAGAGGCGGTTGCTGATGGATCCCTGAGTCCCTCACCCAGCATCAAACATTAGCTAAATCCTGAGCCATTCGTGTCTTGGAGCCTCTGGGTCTGAATAGGGCCCCTGCAAAATGACATCCGCCTTCTAACTTGAAAGCAGTCACTGGCTGATTACAAATTGCTGTGTCCTTAGTGCCTGGAGTTGACATTTCCCATCTGCTGCCAGGACACCCTAGGCTTGGGGCCCTGAAAGATAGGCAGACAGGATGAAGAGATGCCAGGGAGGGTTTGATTAGAACTAAACATCGGACACATGGAAAAGAAAAACTAACACTTCCTGAAAAGTTTCCATTTAGATTAAATATGCTGTGGGACCACACCACACCCTAGAGCTAGGAATGATCACTAGCCCTATTTTATAGTCAAGAAAACCAAAGGGAAAGGAATTGTGTCATTTCTCCCAAGTGTGTAGCGGTCTGGCCAGGAGACAAACCCAGCACCCCCGGCTCAGAGGCTGCCCACATTCTCCTGAGTCCTGAGCCTGCTCTGATCACACCCCCAGGTCCCCCGCTGGAGCCCCTGCCCCGCAACCCCAGCTATGGCTGGGAAGTGGTTTGGTGTAGCCAGAGAACCAAGGGCACTTAGAACTCTTGTAGACAGAGACAGCCTCTGGCTCAATCCCCATTTCACAGAGGAGGAAACTGAGGCCGGCGAGGAGAAAGCATCGCTCAAATCCGCAAATGTGGACTCCTGGAAGATTCTCCACCCTTGCGTGTCTACGCAGGACCAAGCAGATAATCCAAAAGGAAATCCCGCTGCTGCCCCAAATTTTAGGGGATGGGTGAGCCAATAGAACTGGCAAGCCCAGATTGCCTGGGGTCCTGGGATCTGGAGGAAATGCTGGTGGGTCACAGGCCCTTAGGCACAACCCCGGTAAGGGGACTGAGCCCTGTCCCAGAGCTCAACCACAGCCCCGAGCACCCTTGCCGCTGGAGGGTGAGCCAGGACCCCGGCAGCCTGATTTCTTGGTTTCTTGAACAGGCCACTGGAACTGGGGCTGGGTGGCCATGCAGTGACCGTCTACCTGTGACCACACAGCCCACTCCTCAAAGAAAGATCTGGGGCTACTGGAGAGTTGATTTACGGAACATAACCGTCCTCCCAGCAGGGATTCTGTTCACTGAGTTTCAGACTCGAAAAGAATCTTCCTGTGCTCACGGAGGAAATCTCTCTTCTCTCGGACACTGAATCCCCATGTGGAAACCGCCCCCGAAAGACCATGGGGCCAGGCCTAACAGACACAGAGGAGCAGGCAGGCAGGGAGAAGGGACAGGAATACCGGGAAGGCCGCCTGCCCCCACCGAGAACTCCACTTTCCCAGGGGCTTCTGTGCCAATTCAGGGTTTGGTGTGGCCTCCAGAGAAACTCCAATCAGAGGTAAATGGCAGGACCTTAGACACTCAAGGTGCCCTCCCCCAGGCGGTCTCCAAAAATTCAGCTTGTCTTTTTTTTTTTTTTTTTTGAGATGGAGTATCGCTCTGCCACCCAGGCTGGAGTGCAGTGGCACAATCGTGGCTCACTGCAACCTCTGCCTCCTGGGTTCAAGCAATTCTCCTGCCTCAGCCTCCCGAGTAGCTGGGATTACAAGCGCGAGCCACCATGCCTGGCTAATTTTTGTATTTTTAATAGAGACAAGGTTTTGCCATGTTGGCCAGGCTGGTCTCAAATGCCTGACCTCAGGTGATCCACCCGCCTCAGCCTCCCCAAAGTGCTGGGATTACAGGCATGAGCCACCGTGCCCGGCCCACCTTGTCTTTAATGCTCCTGTTTGACCTTTAAAAACGTCAGGCTGATTTTACATTTCGTTCCTTATATGTGTACACTTTTTAACGTAAAAACAATTCCATGCCCCTAAATCCTGGAGAAACATGAAAGCTGCACGAAGATGCCTCTTATTCAGCCTGATGTCACCATAGAGCAAAACTCACCCTTCCAGCCCCGGCACGTGGCCCTGGCCAGTGTGTACAGAGGCGGTGGGCGTACAGGTGCCAGAGTCCGTCTGCCGGAGCTCAAACCTTGGCTCTGCTGCCTTCTTGCCTGAGTGACTGTTAGAAATTAAGTTGACTCTCTGTGCCTCAGTTTGCTCATCTATAAAATGGGAACAATAGCAGTGCCTACTTCACTGAAAGCTGGGATCGTTGCCTTGTTTAAAGCAGGAAAGGTGCTCAGAATAGTGCTGGGCCTGCTAAGAACTCAACGGTCAGTATAGGAAGGGTCAGCTTGGGACACCCAGGGAAGTGGGGATGGCTGGGAAGGGGGCCTCAGGTGGCTTCTCCACACAGCTCACAAAGCCATCAGGGTCCTAGCAGGCCACCATGAGGATGCCCCTTGGCCCGGCTGACCCACCACATGGAGCTGGAGCAGATGGGGTGGCAGGCAGGGGAGAGGCTATGATTCCCACACTGGCTCCTTCACTGTCCTGGCTCCCAGAGGGAGCTTTCTGTCCCTGCCGCTTCCCGGCAGCACTTCTGAAGCTGGGATTTCACACCAAAACAGGAGCTTTTAATGACAATGGCTGCAAACATCTTCCCGTTCATGGCAAGACAGCCCACACTCATCAGAGATGTGCATCTGAGCAAGCTGTCCCTGCCGAAGGCTCTCCACCGCCGGGGCTTAAGATTTCCCAGCATTCTGGAGACGGAGACTCAGCCTCCCATCAAGGGTGTAGCCTGCTCTGCACTTGGAGAAAGTGGGAGACGGGCTTCCGCCCTTTACACGTTCAGGAACCCCTGGGCACAGGTGGCAGCTGGGAGAAGGCAGGGGCAACAGGGTCGGGCCCCAGAAATCAGATCCATTAGGGAAACCAGGTGGGTCCTGCCCTGACAGCAGGAGCTCCAGGGCCCCCTCCTCAAAGTGTCAGATCCCCCCCCCCAGAACCCCATCCCAGCTGGCAGGAGAGGAACCTGCATCTCAGGTGGGTAAGGGAGACCCACAGCTCCGACAGATTCCAGACACAGCTGCCGGAGGGGCACCGGAAGCTGCCAGCCCCCCGACCCTCAGCCCTTCTTCCACGAGAGGAGCTGAGAGCACCCCTGGATTGGCTTCCCATCGCTGCCATACAAATTATCAAAAACCTGGTAAAAACGACACACATGTTATTATCCCACAGTCCTGTGGTTCAGAAGGCCGCAGCAGTCTCACTGGGCTAAAATCAGGAGGTGAGCAGAGCCACGCTTCTTCCAGAGGCTCCAGGGGAGAAGCCATCCCGGGGCCCATTCCAGCTTCTGGGGCCGCCTGCATCCCTTAGCTTAGGGGCCCTTCCTCCGCCTGCAGAACCCACAGCACAGCACCCAGATGGCTCCATGCCTTCCTCTGATTCTCTGCCTCCTTCTCCCACTCTTCAGGCCTCTGGTGATCACACTGGGGACACCCAGAGAGTCCGTGCTCACATCCCTGTGTTAAGGCCGGCTGATCAGCAACCTGAATTCCTTCTGCGCCCTTAATCCCCCCACTCATGCCTTCGTCCGCTTGTGCCTCTCTAACAGAATGCCGCAGACCAGGTAATGTGTAAAGCACAGACATGTATTCCTCACAGCCCTAGAGGCTGGAAGTCCAAGTTCAAGGCATTTGGTGTCTGGTGAGGGTTGCATCCTGGGGAGGGAAGGAACGTGGTGCTTTCACATGGCAGGAGGCAGAAGGACACAAGGGTCACGCCCTTTATCCGGGCGCCTGACCCCACTCACAAGGGAGGAGCCCCCACAGCCTGATCACCTGCTAAGGCCCCACCTACTCATACATCACATTGGCAGCACCTGAATTTGAGAAGGGACACATTCAAACCACAGCACATGTAACCTGACACAGTCACAGGTCCTGGGGGTTAAGACATGGGTATCTTTGGAGACCGTCATCTTGCCTGCCGACATGCCTGTGGCACAGATCATGACAACAGTAAACATTCATTTAGCGCCTGCTTCTTGCCGGGAACTATTCCACGTGCTTTAGATGTGTCTTGCGTCGCTCGATCTCTCACCAGCCCTGTGTGGTAGACGATATTATTATCCCCTTCATGTATATACGAGGGAGCTGAAGCTCTGAAAGGCTAAGGGATCTGTCCAAGGTCTCTGGCACTCACACACATGGCCCAGGAGCCCCGTGTCATAACTGCTCCTAAACCCAGGCCCTGAGAAACAAGGGATGCACCTGAGCGCCCAGAGGCTGCAGAGCCGGAGCCGGGACCCCAAGACCACATGAGCCCCGGGTGGAAACCAGCCCGAGTTCATGCTGTAGGGCCTTGGGGAGAGTAAATGGGTTCCGTGACGAGTGCTACCGTGAAGGGCCAGCAAAACCCACGCACCCCAAAAAGACAGACACTCCGATGCCATGGCAGTGCGAAGGTGGGAGCAAGAAGCCTTCAGGGAAGCTGCTTATTATCTCCGCCGAGCGTCCCCCACCATCTCTGGGCACCCACAGAAGTGAGAACATAGCACGCCCGGGCGGCCGCTCAGAAGGCGGCTCATCTGAACGCTTGTCACAGCTCCAGGCCAACTGTTAAAATAACTTTTTGGTTGTTATTACAAAGTAATAGATGTTTATTGTAGAAATGTTAGAAAATGCAGACAAGCCAAAAGAAGGGAATAAAAATTACCCAAAATCCCATAACTGCAAATGCACCACTTGACATGTTTTTGTATATCCTTCCAGTAATTTTCCTAAGCATTCATTGCTATGTTTTTCTAAAATGAGCTCTCTAAAAATGGGCTCATACTTTTCTTCCTGTTTGGCAAAATGCCTTTTCTCCTGAATATATCTTGAATATGTGGGGAAGAAAGCGCTCTCCTCCTCATCCCTCCTCCACCTCAGTTCCTCCACAAGAAAGGGAAGCTGACGGGAGCCAGAATCCAGATCCCAATAGGGCCACATTTCCTAATGGGCAAGGTAGCTGTGTGTTAGAGGATCTCTCTCACACACACACACACACACACACACATAAACACACATGCACACATATACACACATGCATGTACATGCACACATATAGATACATAGACACACACATGTGCACAGTCACACACACACAGAAGCACTCATGCACACACACACACATACACACACACAGCACAGTGTGGCTCTGTCCTCTCCTGCCCAGGGCTGCCCCTCGGACCGGTCTTGTTCTGCCTGCCCTCGCCCTCACACGGGATGTGTCTCTCACACCTGGTGCTCTCATCCGTGGCCTCTGCAGTCTGGCTGTGGGTGGACCTGACCCTGAGAGCAGGAACGAGCCCTGCTGCAGCCTGGAGTCCCAGCCCTGCCTTCTGGTTGCTCTTCAGAGCACCTGCCGTGGCTGGCTCAGCCCAGACCCAGCCAAGAAGACTCCGTGCACACTGCCTGGGTCTTCCTGGTCACTGGCACGCACCCTCCTGGGGCCCTGAGTGCCCGGCCCAAGCCACCTGAGAAACCTCAACCACCGTGTCTCACAGGGTTCCCCTCACACAATGTCCCTGTGGGAAACTGCACGGCACCCTGTGACGATGCAGCCACCCTCACTCATAGACAAGGGACAGCTCCCAGCTGTCCCCATTTAGTACAAACAATACTGTGAGCAACACCTGCATATCCATGGTTGTTTCCAGAAGACAAAGCCCATTCCAGCAGAAGAAGGGCCAGGCTGAGGCCTCAGAGCCAGTGTAGACTAGCAGGGCCAGGGCAGCCAGAGCCCGGGATGAGGAGAGTTGAGGAGACTGGTGCAGAGAGGCCGGGCGATGCAGTCCCCATGGCCTGGGGAAGACTAGCACACTTCTGGAATCTTCTTCACGTGCAGGAAGAGCCTCTGAAAGTTTCTAAAATGATGAGTATGGCCATGTGGGGAGAGATTTTAGGAGGACTTCCCGGCCTCACTCATCCCTCCAGTTACTCCCAGTCTCCTCCTGAGACAGGCAGCTGTGCAATGCCAGCCTTGCTGGGTCAGAACCACAAACTACCCTTCCATTCTTCCCTGGGAGTTCCTGCCTCAGAGAAGCGTGCAGGCTCCCCGTGGGCAGGGCCAGATCTCCTGTGTCCACCCATGCCCAGCACAGGGCAGGGTGCAACCCTCGTAGCACCGAGCAGGTCAGGGGGTCCTTGGCTACATCTGTGTACCCAGGCCCAAGCCTTCCCCCTTCCTCCCGCCAGCCGCTCTTGGGGGGGCTTCCCAGGCTCTAAAAGGAGGAGGAGACACAGAACAGCCGGAAGCCCAACAGAGGAAATGCTGTGAGAAGAAGGGGGATGAGGCGCCAGTGCTGGAGTCTGGCAGCTGAGCGGCATCATCACCAAGAACACGGGGACAGGAAGGGGCGCCACAGCCGGGCCTCACCCCAGAACCTGAAGGGATGGTGCAGGGATGGCCCTCCCCTAGAGGACACAGAGCATGACACAACCTGCTGAGGGGCAGAAGGCAAAACGGGGAGACCAGATGGGTCCCCAGCAGGACCACTGTGCTGAGGGTCTGACTCCACTTGGTGATGTTTGCGGACAGCTTTGATTGCTCCCCGCACCTGGGCAAGCTGTAGCAGAAACCTGGCACTGGTGGGAGACTCGAACCACAGCAGCCCCTGCCCACGTGGGAACTCTCACCCCTCGTGGGGTCTGTGTCAGGCAGAGGGCGAGGGCATCACCAACCCTGACATCAGAATCACATCAGGTGAGGATCCCTCGTGCTTCTGCAGGTGACCATAGCAACCACCCACTGACCTAGGCAAGCTGGACTCTGCCCTGCATGCCCACCTGGCAGGGAGCCCATGCTTTGGAGTCTCCTTCCTCGAAATTGTCAAAGTCCCCTATCAGTGCCCAGGACTAGGCAGGGTACCCCGAGAACAGACCAGGGTCCCAGTCCCCATTTCTCTCCTTTTGGGCATTCTCTCCCTTGATCTTCCACCTGGAGCTCAGGACCAACTTGATGCTCCAAGAAGCCCTGAGACTTGCTGCAGTGGGGTCATCCGGGGACCCCATGGCTGGGCCCTGCCCTGCTGACTCTTCCCTCTGGCCAGCATGGGACATTGGTCATGGGAGATGCCTCCCAAGAGCTTTTTGAAGAGTCAACACATCCTTATTTAGCACTTACTATCTATAAGCACTAATGCTGCACACGAAGTTATTATGTAATTACGTAAATTGCCTTCGAAACGTAACTTTCATTAAACTTTTTATTTTAAGATAATTATAGATTCAAGTGCAGTTGTAAGAAATAATATAGAGAGATCCATGGACCCTTTACTCAGTTTCCCCCAGTGGTAGCATCTTGCAGAACTGTAGTGCGATATAACAAACAGGATATTGACATGGGTACAGCCAGGATACAGAACATTCTGCCTCCACAGAGTCCCTCCCGCAACCCTTTCATAGCCACACCCACTTCTCGCCCCTGCCCACCCCTCTTTAACACCTGGCAGTCACTGATTTGTTCTCCATTTCTAGAATTTTGTTACTGATACGGTTTGGCTCTGTGTCCCCACCCAAATCTCATCTCAAATTGTAATCCTGATAATCCCCACGTGTCGAGGGAGGGACCTGGTAGGAGGTAATTGGATCATGGAGGTGGTTTCCCCCATGCTGCTCTAGTGATACTGAGTGAGTGCTCATGAGATCTGATGGTTTTGTAAGTGTTTGACAGTTCCTCCTTCACATGCTCTCTTCTCTCTCCTGCCGACTTGTGAAGAAGGTGCTTGCTTCCCGTTCACTTTCCATCATGATTGTAAGTTTCCTGAGGCTTCCCCAGCCAGATGGAACTGCAAGTCAATTAAACCTCTTTCCTTTACAAATTACCCAGTCTCCAGTATTTCTTTACAACAGTGTGAAAACAGACTAATACAATTACATAAATGGAATCATACAGCATGTTTCTTTTGTACAGATGTTTTGTACAGATGTTTCTTTTGTGTCCTTCAACCTTGCTGAACTCATTTACTAGTTCTAGGAGACTTTTTTTAGATTCCTTGGAATATTCTACATAGATGATATCATTTGGAAACAGGAATAGCTACATTTATTTCTTTCCAATCTGTATGTCTTTTCATTCCTTTTCTTACCTTATAGCCCTGGCTAGAATTTCCAGCACTAAGCTGAATAAAAGGGGTGAGAGTGAGCATCCTTGCTTTGTTTCTTTCGGGGCTGGCTTTCTTCATTCCATGATATTCTCTGGAAATTCATGCGGGTTGCCACGCACATCAATAGTTTTATTGCTGAGTAGTATTCCATGGTTTGGGTGTGCTACAGTTTGCTAAACCATAGACTGTTCAAGGATGTCTAGGTGTTTTCAGTTTCTATTACAAATAAAGCTGCTATAAACTTTCGTATGCAGGTTTCTGTGTGAACACAAGTATTCATTTCTCTGGGATAAATGCTCAGGAGTGCAATTGCCAGGTCCTATGGTAATTGAAAGTTTTTTTTTTTTAAGAAACTACTAACATATTTTCTACAATGGCTATAATATTTTATATTCCCTCCAGCAGTGTATGAGGAATTCTGTTTGGACACCTTCTCACCAGCTTTTGTTATAGTCAATTTTTCCCTATTTTAGCCATCCTGACAGATATTTAAGAATATCTTATTATGATTTTAATTTGCATTCCCCTGATGGATAGCCAAATTGAACATCTTTTCATGTGTTTATTTGCCATCTGTATATCTTCCTTGGGGAAATGTCTGTTCATGCCTTTTCACTCATTCATGCCATGTTCTAGTTGAATGACTTGCTTTTTTACTATTGAATTTTGAGCATTCTTTATATATTCTAGATACTACTCCTTTGTCAAATACGTGGTTTGCAAATATTCTTTCCCACTCTGTAATTTATATTTTCAGCTTCTTAACTGGGTCTTTTGCTGAGAAAAAGTTTTTATTTTGATGAAGCCCAACTAGTCCATTTTTCCTTTTATGGATTATGCTTCTTGAAACAAAGTCTAAGAGCTCTTTGCCTGGCCCTATATCTCAAAGCTTTTGTCCTAGGTTTTTTCCTAAGTTTCATAGTTTACATCTAGGTTCATGATCCATTTTTAGCTAATTTTTGCATAAGGTGTGAGATTTTGTTCAAGGTTCAACTTGTTTGCCTTATGAATGGCTAATTGCTCTGGCACCATTTGCTGAAAGGCTATCTTTTACCCATTGAATTGCTTTTGTACATTTGCCAAATCCGTTGGGCATATTTGTGCAAGTCTGTGTCTGGGTTATCGATCTGTATGTCTTTCCTTCACCACTGCAACACAATGTTGATCATGACAGCGATATAATAAGTCTTGAAATCATATAGATTGACTCCTTCCACTTTATTCTTCTTTTTCAAATTTGTTTTAGCTATTCAAGTCCTCTTGTCTTTCCAAATAAATTTTAGAATAGTCTTGTTCATATTTACAAAAAAAAAATCTTGCTGAGATTTTGATAGGAATTGGGTTAAACTAGTGCATCAATTTAGGGGAAAATGACATCTTTACTATGTTGAGCCTTCCAGTAAATGAACAAAATATATTTCTCCATGTATTTAGATCTTCTTTTATTTCTTTGATCAGAATTATGTACTAGTAAACATGCGATCCTGGCAGGGCTTGGTGGCTCATGCCTGTAATCCCAGCACTTTGGGAGGCTGAGGCAGAAGGATCACTTGGGGCCAAAAGTTCAAGACTAGCCTAGGCAACATAGCAAGACCCTGCCTCTATAAAAAAATTAAAAATTAGCCAGGTATAGTGTAACGGAGCTGTAGTCCCAGCTACTAGGGAAGATGAGGTATGAGGATCCCTTGAGCCCAAGTGGTCAAAGTTGCAGTGAGCCATGATCAGAGCACTGCACTCCAGCCTAGGTGACAGAGAGAGACCCTGCCTCAAAAAAATAAATAAAATAAATAAATAAACATACAATCCTATACACATTTTGTTACACTTATAACAAAATATTTCATTTTTAAGCAGTTGTAAATAGCATAGTGTTTTTAATTTTGGTGTCCATGTATTCATTGCTAGTATATTGAAGTACAATTGGTTTTTTGATGTTTCTTTTGTATCCTGCAAACTTGATGAACCCATTTACTAGTTCTAGGATATTTTTTGTAGATTCCTTGCAATAGTCTACAGAGATGATATCATTTGCAGTGATAGCTTCATTTCTTCCTTTGCAATCTCTATGTCTTTTAATTACTTTTAATTATGTCTGTATATCTTTTAATTATGTCTTTTAATTACTTTTCTTACCTTATAGCCCTGGCTAGAATTTCCAGTGCTCAGTTGAGTAAGCGGTGAGTGGACATCCTTGCCTTCTTCCTGATCTCACAGGGACAGCATTGTCTTTCACCATTAGATGTGAGGTTAGCTACGGGTTTTTTGCAGATGACCTTTGTCAAATTGGGAAAATTCCACACCATTCTTATTTTTCAGAGTTTTTCTCATTAATGGGTGCAAAATTTCCTGCTCAATGTCACCTCATCAGAGGAGCTTCTCCCGCCTACCCTCTCTAAGTTAGCCCACACCGTCCCTCCCTGATACGGTTCAGCTGTGTCCCCACCCAAATCTCATCTTGAATTGTAGTTCCCATAATTCCCACGTGTTGTGGGAGGGATATGGTGGGAGGCAATTTAATCATGGGGGCAGTTATCTCCATGCTGTTCTTGTGATAGTGAGTGAGCTCTCATGAGATCTGATGGTTTTGCAAGGGGCTTTTCCCCCTTTTGCCTGGCACTTCTCCTTCCTGCTGGCATGTAAAGAAGGACGTGTTTGCTTCCCCCTTCCACCATGATTGTGAGTTTCCTGAGGCCTCCCCAACCATGCAGAACTGTAAGTCAATTATACCTCTTTTCTTTGTAAATTATCCAGTCTCAGATATTTCTTCATAGCGTGAGAATGGACTAATACGCTCCCTGACTCTGCCTGATGTTTCTCACTCTGTCCAGGGACAACAGAAAGCAGCACAGGCATTCCACACTTGCAGCTGGGGCAGAAATGGACCTCACCCAGCCAAGGGGAAATGAGGCCAGCTGCACACGCACACCCTCCATCCCAGGCAAAGACTAACATACAAAACACAGGGAAGGCCGAGCCAGAAGACACAGCTCAGACTCAGACCAATCTACACTTCTTCCTCCTTCCCCCTGCTCTGAATCGTGGCCTCAGCCCCCTCACAGGAGGACTGGGCCAATGGGTAGCCAATGCCCAGCCCAAGGAGGGAAACTGGAGGCCCACTGAGCAGGAGGACGGCCCAGATGGGGCAGCCACACTCCAGGTTATGGTGGCTGCTGGGCCACTTCTGTAGAAGAGGCTTGGAGGAGGGATAGAAAAGGTGCTTCCCCCAAGAAGAGGAGGGCAGGAGGGTCAATGTCCTTTGCTCTGTCCCCACCAGCCCCTGCAGCCCACCCTCCAGCTGCTTAAGCCCGGTGCTTGGGGAGTGGGGAGTCAAGTATTATTCTCCGGTGTTTTGCTGTGCTTTGTCTGTTTGCAGGGGAGAGAGGGTTGGGATTTACTTTTTATTAGATCCCCACTTTGCGTTATAAACGTGCATATTATAAAAATCAGAAAACGCAGAAAAAGGGAAAAAAGCACTGATCATTCTAAAGCCCTGATAAAAATATAAAGTAAACTGAGTAATAGAAAGTGCAGAACACAGAAGAAGGGAGAAAACTCAGAAGCTGACCTGGGCTGAAGCAGACGCTTCCTGCATTCCAGCTTGAGGCATTTCCTCGCCCGAGCAGCCGCTGCAAGGCAGGGGCTGGAGTTCAGCCCATTTCCTGATGCCTTTGCTGTTGACCCCTAACCCCCTCATGCCCTCACACCCACCCTCACCCCTGGGCGGCTACTAATCTCCTCCCTGTCTCTGCAGATTTGTCTCTGCTGGACATTTCCTATAGATGGACTCAGCCCATACGAGGTGCCCTGTGACTGCACGGCATCATTTCTGTGCCTCGGTGCAGGCAGATGGCACATTCTGCTCGCAACAAAAGCTGCCTCTTTAGGTCCCTCTTGCATATAAAATCTACCATCCTTCCACAGATAAACCCAATACTAGGCCGTACCCAGACTTCTGAAATTAATAAATCCAGAGACTCCTAGAGACCACAAGTGGGACTGTTGGCGCGCAGACAGGCCATCTGAGGTCAGGGCTGGTCCCACTAGGACAGGGTTCCTCCACTGTGCACCCTGGGGGTGAGAGCCCTTCGTGGTGGGGCCATCTCATGTGCTGTGGGATGGTTCCCCGCACCCTGGGCTCCACCCTCGGAGGCAGAAGCGAGAGTGCTCTGTAGAGAGGAAGCAGAGCACCCTATGGGCTCAGACCGCCTGGGTGCGAATCTGGGCTCTGCCTCTGAGCTGCTGAGTCCCCTGTGCATGGTGCACAGACTCAGTTTTCCCATCTCTAAAATGGGGCTTCTGCTTCCCAGGAGTGTCGTGTGGGTCGGATGTGAAAATGAATAGGAAGCACTTGCCAATTTATATGTTTGGCGAAGGATCCAGCATGCGCTCGCTCCTCCCCAGAAGTCAGCTCTGTTATCATTCTCAGTCTTGCCTGAGGGGCTCACATTTCTAACCATGCTCCTGCCTAGGACCAGAGCAAAGTGGGCTCACTACTGGCTCAGATGCTCATTGAGACCTCTGCCAGCCCTGAGAGCCCAAGACCCCTGACCATCCCCCACCCTGGAAACAGCCGTCTGCAGACTAAACTCTGCCCCACCTCTGGCAACGGGACCTGACCCTTTCAGCACAAGTACATTCAATTAGAGGAAGAAGCTCCCACGGTGGCGTGGTGGAGCAGCTGTGCCATTTAACAAGCCACACCACCCCCTGGCAGCAGCCCTCCAGGACGACTTCCAGCCAAATGTGTGCTTATTTTTTCAAATGGCAAATAAATGGGTCAGAAGCCAATGAAGGGAGCCAGGAGCTGCCTCTGGAGGTAAGTTCCAAAGGATAAAGTTAGAGGTTCCATTAAAGAAGATTTAATGAGTTTGAAAGAGATCAGAAACAGGACAAACTCAGGGTGTAAATCAAATATTAATCATTGTAAAGGCGAGCCTCACTAAGACATAAATCAATAGCACAGGCAGACTGGCAAACATCTGCCTCTCAAAAGCGCTTCCAGAAATCTGGGGCTGAAATGTCAGGGGAACAGGAAGCTGGAGGAAGCAGAGTCTACCTGGGCCAGGAGGTGACAGAGGCGTCCATGTGGACTGCCAGGCTATCCCTGGGAGCTTATCTTCCCCAGCGTGCTGGGCTGGGAACTCAGGAGGAGGCTCTGCCCTACTGCCAGCTCCCAGGAGGTTCTTCCACTTCATCTTTCATTCTGCGGATGAGCCCTCTCCCCCAGGCCGGGCCCAGTCCTAGGCAAAGATGGGCACCATCCCTGGCCCTCAGTCCCACAGCCTGTGTCACTGCACTCGTGTGCTGCCAGGAAACTGAGGCTCAGAGATGCAAGTTAGCAGGGGAGGCGGGAGTTCAGCCAGGGCCCTTGGGTTCAAACCTCCCCTCCTCCCGGGTCCCCGGCTGCCCCAACCCTCCCCAGGGCAGCCCTCCCACAAGCCAGGGAGGTGTGGGCAGCATGTATGCACAGGGCAGTGGGTGGGGCACCTCCTCCCAACCAGTCAGCCCTGTCCTGGCCCCAGCTGTCAGCACCCCCCTCCTTGCCCTGTCCACTGCCCTGACCAGGACACCAAGCCCATTACCCCCTAGGAGAGGGCCTGGCCCACCTTGAGCAGGATGGGAGCAGGGGTCACAGGGCCCACTCACCTCGCCTCAGTGCTGACTGCTTCTGGGCAACCACCCAAAGGTTCTCATCTGCCCACACCTGGCCCCTCTACCCACTTGTGCCCCCCTGCCAACACCTGCCCCCTCTGCCCATACCTGCCGCTTCTTCCCGCACCTGCCGCCTCTTCCCGCACCTGCCACCTCTGCCCAAACTTGCTATCTCTGCCCGTACCTGCCCCCTGCCAGCACCTGCCTATCGGGGGAAATTCACCCCCGATATTTCACATAGTTCCTTTTCTATTTTCCCTAAGTGTCGGCCAGTCTGAGAAATAAAGGGACAGAGTACAAAAGAGAGAAATTTTAAAGCTGGGCATCCGGGGGAGACATCACATGTCGGCAGGTTCCGTGATGCCCCACAAGCCGCAAAACCAGCAAGTTTTTATTAGTGATTTTCAAAAGGGGAGGGAGTGCACGGATACGGTGTGGGTCACAGGGATCACATGCTTCAAGGGCGACAAAAGATCACAAGGCAGAAGGTCAGGGCGAAACTAGAATCCACTAATGAACTTCCATGTCCCGCTGTGCACGCATTGTCAGGGTTCAAGAGCAGAAAACAGGTCTGACTAGAATTTGCCAGGCTGGAATTTCCTAATCCTAGCAAGCCTGGGGGCGCTGCCGGAGACTAGGGCATGTTTCATCCCTATCTACATCTGCATAAGGCAGACACCCCCAGAGCGGCCATTTCAGAGGCCCCACCCTGGGAATGCATTCTTTTCCCAGGGCTGTTAATTATTAATATTCCTCACTGGGGAAAGAATTCAGCGATATTTCTCTTACCCGTTTTCAGTAATAAGAGAAATATGGCTCTGTCCCACCCAGCCCACAGGCAGCCAGACTTTAAGGTTACCTCCCTTGTTCCCTGAACATCGCTCTTACCCTGTTCTTTTTTCAAGATGCCCAGATTTCAAATTGTTTAAACAATTTGTGCAGTTAATGCAATCATCACAGGGTCCTAAGGTGACATACGTCCTCAGCTTATGAAAATGACGGAATTAAGAGGTTAAAGCAAAGACAGGCATAGGAAATCACAAGAGTATTGACTGGGGAAGTGATAAGTGTCCATGAAATCTTCACAATTTATATTCAGAGATTGCAGTAAAGACAGGCGTAAGAAATTATAAAAGTATTAATTTGGGGAACTAATAAATGTCCATGAAATCTTCACAATTTATGTTCTTCTGCCACGGCTTCAGCCCATCCCTCCGTTCGGGGTCCCTGACTTCCCGCAACACCTGCCACCTCTGCCAGCACCTGCCACCTCTGCCCACACCTGCCACCTCTGCCCACACCTCTGCCCAGGGCTTTCTCTGGCCACTCCAGGGTCAAGCGGGATGTGCCAGTGCATTGACACCCCCAGGACCAGCACCCTCATCCCTGGGCTGGCGTCCTGGTCTCTGGGGGCTACCGCAGCAAGTCACCACAACTGGGTGGCTGAAAACAACAGAAACTGAGTAGCTCGCAGCTCTGGAGGCCAGAAGTCAGAAATCAATGTGTCGGCTGGCCAGGCTCCCTCTGCAGGCACTAGGGAAGGATGCTTCCCGGCTTCCTCCGGGCTCCTGCAGCTCCAGACATTCCTCAGCTTGTGGCAACAACACTCCAATCTCTGCCTTCTTCACATGGCCATCTTCCCTCCATGACTGTATCTCCTTTCCTGTTCTTGAAAAGACACCAGTCATTGGACCACGGCCCACCCTAACCCAGTATGCCCTTGTCTTAACTCGATCACGTCGGCAAAGACTCTGTTTCCAAATGAGGTCCCATTCCCAGGCACCGAGTGTGAGGACTTCAGCATATGTTTCAGGGGGACACATTTCAACCCCAATAACGCAGTACCTCTGAGGTGCGTTCCAGTTGGAGTGGACCTTGGACCAACAGCACCTGCATTGCTCCAGGGGTCTCAGGCCACCCCAGACCTGCAGAGCCAGAATCTGCACTGGTCCCGGGGGCTTCAGGACACTGCTCTACACCATGCCGCTGTCGTCCCCAGAGGGACTGAGCCCTGATGGCCTCAACTCATCACACCCCTCATCGTCTCCTTCCAGGCCCTGTCTCATGCCCCTGTTCCCATAGATGAATCCTGGAATCAGCTTCTGCATCAGTGTTCCTGTTCACAGTGTTGTCTCAGTGTCAGCTCTTGGGAAACCCAACCTGAGATGGGGTGTAGGCCCAGAGCTGCCTGTTCAGAGCACCTGGTCCTCTCCAGAAACAATGACCCATGGTTGCCGGCTCACCCGGGACAGCAAACACTAGGGTCGTTCATTGATTTACTGCGTCCAAGCAGGCTCAATGGATGGAAGAGAAGGTCGAGAGACAGGGTTTCATCTGGGGGAAGCTCCCTTCAAGCCCCAGCACTGAGACTGCCTTCAGGGACAGACACACGGGGCTTGGTGTAGAAGAGACCAGGCAAAGGAACAAGCGTTTGGCATCAGCTACAAGAGAGCCATTTACCCCCCAGCCCACCGCCCTGGGCCACTGTCCAAACCAGCTCCACCTCCCCGGCCCTCCCCACAGCCTGGTTAAGAGGAGGAGGGGACCCCAGGCTAGATGGAAGCAGAGGTGAGTGGGCCCCCCAACAAAGTGGTCACCAGTCCCTCATCTGCCTCCCGCTGCCTGACGCAGCTCCATCCTGATTCTGAAGGACATTTTTGGAGATGAGATCACTTTTGCCGACCTTGGCTTTGAGCCTTTCCAGGCCAAGGAACAAATGCAGCGGCCTCTGATCTTTTCCAAGTGGCTCAGAGTTCACCACACGGAGACGAGATTTGCAACTTGGTTGCTTTCTTCAGAACATGCCTCTGGCCTTTTGTAAAACTTCCCAAAGAACAGGCTGACCTGGATGTTCCAAGCCTCTCTCTGTTCCCCTCAAACAAGAAAATCACTTCTAAAGGGGAAGGAGAAGTCTGAGGCTCTCTACAAAATATTTTCTATCTGAACTAATTTTATGGTGGTCCAGCCCATTTCCAACTTTCAAAAGCTTCATAGAAATTGTTCTGGGAATGAGTTTAAATGCCCAGAGAGGCAACATCACGGAAGCATCAGGGCTTGGCTGTGAAATGTCCAGTCCCACTACGTCATGCCACGCTGAGGTGCCCGGTGCCCAGTGCCCACAGCCACAGGAGAACCCCACACCTCCCAGGAACCAGAGGCAAAGGCTTCAGGCACAGCCAGTGAGAGACAAAAGCTCCAAAGGGAGAGGAGTGGAGTGAGCTCCCAACAGCCAGGAGAAGTTTAACTCAACAGACACTGATTTAATGCCTGGGACACGCGGCCAGGCTGGCTGGGCCTGGCAGGCAGGGTTCCGTGGTGTTCGCAGCTGTGGGCTCTGAGGGGTATTGCTAGGGCCACCTCCCAGCTCTGAGCCTTCCCAGCCACAGGAATCACCCTGAGCAGATTCTGTACCCTCTCAGTCTCCATCTTCTCATCTGAAAGCAGGAATAATAAGAATATTTTCCCCTTAAGGCTGTTATGAGAATCAGAATTCATGGAGCATAGGATGTGTTTGAACAAGAATCAAAACCTTGCCTGAAAAGGAAGGGCCGAAAAGGGGAGGCTCTGGATCCCGTGACTGGGACACTCGACAGGTGGGACTGAGGGTGTTGGGATGTCTCCCTGGGCACCCAAAAGATCTCCAGGGTGGGCGCAGTGGCTTACACCGGTAATCCCAGCACTTTGGGAGGCTGAGGTGGGTGGATCACTTGAGGCTGAAAGTTCGAGAACAGCCTGGCCAACATGGTGAAACCCCATCTTTACTAAAAATACGAAAATTAGCCAGGCATGGTGGCATGCGCTTGTAGTCCCAGCACTTTGAGAGGCTGAGGCAGGTGGATCACTTGAACCCGGGAGGTGGAGGTTGCAGTGAGCCAAGATCGCCCCACTGCACACAGCACCTGGGTGACAGAATGAGACTCCATCTCAAAAAAAAAAAAAAAAAAAAAAAAAAAAAGGAAGGATCTCCAGCGTATTCTGGGGACTCTTAGGCTGCAAAAGGCTCACACCCCCTGGACATTTAGTTAGAATTTCATGTCTCTGTTGAGTGTCCCTTTCTAACAGCCCCCATGGACCCCCGACTCCTCCAAGTTCAGAGCCAGTCTTATCTGGGATGATGAACTAGACACCTCTTCTACTCCCCCACTTTTCTACCTGCACACCCCGAGCCTTCATGCTTTTGCTGGGGGACACCTGACACTCCAGACCTCCTCACCTCCCCAGGAGATCGGCACAACTACCATCCAATTCAACAGATGAAGAAACCGAGGCCAGCAAGGCAAGGCCCTGGCCCAAAGCCACAGAGAAGGCTCTGGTCCAGCTCAGTTCGGCCCCTACTGCCTGTCTAACCACCGGGCCACACCTCCCCAGGCACTCAGGGACCTGGCCCAGACTCCACTTCTTTCCAGCTGGCCTTGGGCGGAGTAACAAGAATGTGCAGGGCTATCTCTGTGCTGGCTTGGGAGGAAGGGGCCTCGGCTGAGAGGCGAGGGGCAACTTCTCCCTTTCATGTGCTGTCTCTTTGCTGCACTTCAGTGGGGAAAGCAGAAGTGCTTGCTCGCAGTGAGCAGGAATCCGGCCAGTGAAGTTGCACGCAAGCTCTGCCATCTGCCCGGCTCTCTCACCAGCCCCTCAGCCCTGGGGGGGCAGCGAGCCTCTGAAAGTAACGCGAGACTCGCACTCGACTTGCAGTACGTACCCTCAGGTTTCAAAAAGCGTGTCCGGCGTCAGATCTGTGAATTGTTTAACAGGATTAGCCCAGCTCACCAGCAGACGGCTGTCGCTTTGTTCCTGGCAAGAGGAGCTCTGATAGGAAGTTGCAACAGCAGGTTGGAAATCCAAGGATCATGCTCAGTGCATCCTGCTGGAAATTCCCATAGGCAAGAGAAATCACCTAATTGTGTTATCACTGAGGATGCTGTCAGGGGCTCGGGGGCCTGGCTGGAACAGAGGCCAGATGGCCCGGCATGGGGGCCAGTGGGAACCAGAGGTGGGGCTTCTGCAGAAGATCACAGCTACTCAGGGTCTCAGCAGGCTTCTCCAAGCATCCCCAAGCTTCTGCTGCTTTACCAGCCCCCGCACTCCACCCAGTCCCAGCTCATTCAAGATGGTCCAGAAAGACCAACATCCAAGACTCACTAAAGCTGCAAGAAGACTGGGCTTGGCTTCTCCCTGGGGATAGCATCAAGCTTTAGATCTGCAGCAAAGGTTGGCCTGGTGGCGTATTGAAGGCACACAGCTGAGTGCCAGACAGCCTGCATTCCAATCCCAGCTCTGCCACTTTCTAGTGGATGACGGTCAGGCATCTCAACTTCTCTGGGCCTCAGTTTCATCATCTGTAAAATGGGGAGATGATGCCAATAATAGGCTCTGCATCAAGGGTATGTTATAAGGATTCAATGCATTGCCATGTGCCAACACTTAGAACAGTGCCTGCATAGGAAATACACTACCCATGCTGGCTGTTGTTGCTGTATTATAATTATTATATGATATGTTATATTGTTATTGTGTATATAATGTTGTTATCTTTCTAACATATAGCAATATTACTATTACCATGTGACAGGCAATAGACTAACCCTGCTTCTTCACATGAATTATTATCTTGCTAATGCTCCCCATAACTCTCTAGGGTTGAAAGCATTGTAGGCACTGCACACTTGAAGACCTAGTGGCCGGCCCACAGTGCCCTGGCTGGCTGTCAGTAGAACTAGAGTCTAGACTCAGGTCATTGGACTCCAGGGTGACCAACCTTAGCCACACTCCACCACACGGGGTTGAAAACTCAAATGCCCAAGGAGCCAGACAAACAGCCCAGGGCTAGTGAAAAACAGCAACAGACGTGGGCTCACTGTTGGGGGTGCTATAGGGAGCACTGGTGATTGTGGCAAACCTGAGCGAATGTCCTGTTTAAAGGGATCAGCTAGGCTGGGTGGCTCATGCCTGTAACTTCAGCACTCTGGGAGGCTAAGGCAGGAGAATGGCTTGAGACCAGAAGTTCTTGACCAGCCAGGGCAACATAGTGAGACCCTGTCTCTACAAAAAAAACAAAAATTTAATTAAAACATTAGCCAGGCGTGGTGTGCATGCCTATAGTCCTAGCTACTCAAGAGGCTGAGGTGGGAGGGTGGCTTAAGCCCAGGAGTTTGAAGCTACAGTGAGCTATGATCATGCCACTGCAGTCCAACCTGAGTGACAGAGCAAGATCCTGTCCTTTAAAAAAAAAAAAAAAGCAAGAGGCCAGCCACTTCTCAGATCCAGGTGACTGGAAACACGGAGGAATACAGGTCTAGTGTAGCCACACCAGCCTGTTTTTCAAAAGAAAGATAGACTTTGACTTAATTTTTTAAAGTTAGAAAGTTACTTTTAAATTTGAACACAGGCTGGGCGCGGTGGCTCACACCTTTAATCCCAGCACTTTGGGAGGCCAAGGCAGGTGGATCACCTGATGTCAGGAGTTCAAGACCAGCCTAGCCAATATGGTGAAACCTCGTCTCTACTAAAAATACAAAAATTAGCTGGGCATGGTGGCAGGCACCTATAATCCCTACACAGGAGGCTGAGGCAGGAGAATCACTTGAACCTGGGAGGCAGAAGTTGCAGAGAGCCGAGATCGCACCACTGCAGTCTACCCTGGGCAACAGGGTGAGACTCGCATCTCAAATAAATAAATAAATAAATAAATAAATAAATAAATAAATAAATAAATTTAAACACACAATGACTCAAAACATGTTTGTTTGAAAACCCTCTAGGAGCCAGACCCAGCACACAGCCCCAGGCCCAGGACCCTTGCAGTGGGAGAGGCACTCAGAGAACCCCAGTCCCTCCACGGGCCCATGCACCTCCCTAAAGGCCTCCTCAAGGACCAAGTCTCCAATAGGAAGCCCAGTTTTTCCTGCAGAAAGAAGCAGTCTTGGAATAAAGATCCAGACTGGAGAGCAGGGGTCACAGAGCCACCTGTACCTCACCAGACCTGGGAGCCTCACCAGGAAACAGAGAAGTCTAGAGTCTGCCGGATTCCAGCACTCATGAAACCCAGGCCTCCCATTTCACAGATGTGGACTGAGGCCTAGGAAGGAAGGGCATTTGCCCAAAGTCAGGCAGAGGCACAGCCACAGAGCAGGTCTGCAGCCCGGCCGCTCTCTGTCCTGGGCCACCCCCTCATCACAATTGGCTCTGACTTGTCAAAGAAGGCCTGCTTTTTCCCTACCCCCTGGTCTGTACCCGTTATGGCTCTCACCCTCCCCAGGGAAGCAGCCTGGACTCCACGGAGGCCCGTCTGCATGCCAGCCCCCGTTGCCCGATGCCAAGCCGCCCGTCGGATCGGATGAATGCACCGCCTCTCATCAAAGACCATGAAAACACTTTGAACTTGGTACACTTTGAAGCTCCATTTGACTTTCAATCCAGGCCTGCAAAATATCTTTGCAGAAAAATAACCTAGATTTGTCATGGCACATTTTGACACATTTGTATGGTCCCTTGATCTATCCCTCGGCTAACAATAGCTCCCCGGTTTCACTTTAAATAAGAACATTCACAACACAGACAAGAAGAATGGGGGTAAAACGGGCAATTACTTTTAAAAAAAATAACTTGCACAAATGCGGAGACAAATTCAGTCTGCTGAAAATGAAGCCGCGTTTCCAGCCAAGTGACAGATTCATAACCAAGCAGCTCTAATGGCTGTTGACAGGCCCCAACCTTAAAGGGAGAGAAGACAGAGAGGTTGAGATGGCTATGGAGCAGATAATGGGATTTGGGGCCCTTCATTTGCAGGTCGCTGGTTTTAATTTAGCCCAAATGCCCTGTCACTAAGACTTGCCACTGTCTGGCCACCGATGAGAAACAGGCAGGCCCGGGACATTCATGGGAGACGGAGGGGGGTCCACAGGAGCTGATCCCGACAGCGCTGTGGGGAGCACAGAGCTGGAGAAGGACAGACACCAGGGGCTCTAGTTGGAGCTGGAAGTCCACCTGCAGCTGGAAATGCAACAGCAGGTCCCACTTCAGGGACCTTCCATTCTCTGCTGCCACCACTTCCAATCAACAAAGTCCAAAATGGCCAATCCCAGCTTTCCCTCCTTTCGTGGCAAAAATAGCTCCCTTTAGTCTGCTATGCAGCCATTGTTGGATCTTCACAGTGGCCCCAGGCGGTGTACCAGCCTCCGCTCCCATTTCTCAGGTCTCAGAGAGCACCATGATTTGCCGAAACAAAAGGAAGAGCAGAATTTGAACCTGGCGAGCTCGGTGCAAAGCCCCACCTGCTCAGAACACCCCTGAGCTCAGCGACGCCCCCACCTTCTCATCCCATTCAGACAGCTCAAACAGTGCATTTCAACCCATGACCGAATACTCCTCGGCCTCAGAGAGGAAGGGAATTCCAATACATGCTTTAGCGTGGATGAACATTGAAGACATCCTGCTAAATGAAACAAGCCAGACACAAAAGGACAAAAGACTGTATGATTCCACTTCTACGAGGTCCCTAGCATCACCAAGTTCACAGAGACAGAAAGTAGATTCAAAGTTGCTGGGATTGGGGGAGGGGAAAAATGGGGAGTGAGTATTTAAGGGGGACAGAGTTTCCATTTCGGAAGTTAAGAAAAGTTCTGGAGTTGGATGGTGGATTAGGCCATGCTTGCATTGCTGTCAAGAAATACCTGAGACTGGGTAATTTATAAGAAAAGAGGCTTAACTGGGTCATGGTTCTGCAGGCTGAACAGGAAGTGTAGTGGCATCTGCTTCTGGGGAAGCCTCAGGAAGCTTTGACTCATGGCGGAAGGCGAAGCAGGAGCTTGCACGTCACGTGGCCAGAGCAGGAGCGAGACGGGGAATGAGGGGGTGCCCCACGCGTAATTGGGATGCCCCAGATCTCCCGAGCGCTCACTCCCTATTGCAAGGACAGCACCAAGTCATGAGGGATTGGTGTGGTGCCCCATGACCAACACACCTCCCACCAGGCCCCACCTCCACCGGAGATTACATTTACACGTGAGATTTGGGCAGGGACACATATCCAAAATTTAGCAGGTGGTGGTGATGGCTGCACACCCATGCGAGTGTCCTGAACTGTACACTGTAATGTGGCTGAAATGGTCAATTTCGCTATGTATGCTGCACCCCACACACACGTGCATTTCAGGGCCTGAATGGACAACCCCCACTGTCCCTCCTGCAGTCACCTCCTTTGTCAAACAATCATTTATTAAGAACTTACTATGTGCCAGGGTCTCTGCTGGGCACTAGGGCTGGAGATGAAATAAGTTTACTGCCGTGGAGACTTGAAGCCCAGTGGGGCTAAATGGGCCAGAAAACAGGCAGCTACTCAGGGTGCACAGGGCCGGGGATGCTCCAGAGGGGAGAGGAGCAGCTGTCAGGAGGCACCGCAGTGGGCGAAGACAGCTCCAATGCACCACTGCTATGAAATTAAAGTCCATCACACAGGCCCAGAACCTGTTCTTGCCATTTCTCCCAGAAACCTCTGGGGCCCCATAGAGGAGCTAAGGGTGTGGGCAGCTCCTCTGCCTCTCCCTCACCAGGTCACCTGTCTTCATCTGGGTCTGTGTCAGAGCAAGCCAGAGCCCTGCACTCTTGGGAAGTGAAGGATGTGATGTTTACTCATTCCCTCCCTGGCCATTTCTCATGCTCTGTCTTCAGGAACCGGGAAAGAGAGATGGATGGGCCCAAGGCCGCCTCGCATGCTGCACCGGGGACACGCACCCAAATTTCGCTGCGACGTCATCCATCTCAGCTTTATTATGTCCTGACAATGACTGTTTGAGGCCTTTGTCATTTCCCAGACCGAGGCTTATTTTTTATTTTCAGCAACTTGTCAAATGTGGTTTTCGTGGAGTTGTTTCCTTCAGCCCCTTGGTCTGGCTGTGATGGGGCAGTTCAGAGAGTTTGCTCATGTTGGGGAAAGATTTTGTGTCTGATCATGGACAGCTCTGATCTTAAAAGAATCCATTCTTGAGGCCGGTTGCACCTCGCTGGGCCGTTGCCATGTAATAGACTGGGCCACACCTCTGATCCTTTTCCAGGCAGACAAGGATTTACCCGCTAGGTGAGGTGAGTCCTCTCTCACCGACCAGCTGGGGAAAAGGGACCAGACTAGGGGATGACTAGCCCCCTGGCTAACAGCCAGGCTTCGGTGAGGAAAGTCTTAACTTTACCTTTAAAAACTGCACAATTATTATTTGTCAGGGCCAGGCGTGATGGCTCACACCTGTCATCCCACCACTTTGGGAGGCCAAGGCAGGCAGATCACCTGAGCTCAGGAGTTCGAGACCAGCCTGGCTAACATGGCAAAACTTCTTCTCTACTAAAAATACAAAAATTAGCCAGGCATAGTGGGACATGCCTGTGATCCCAACTACTAGGAAGACTGAGGCAGGAGAATTGCTTGAACCCAGGAGGTGGAGGTTGCAGTGAGCCAAGATCACACCAACGCACTCCATCCAGCCTGGGCGACAGAGCAAGCCTGTATCAAAAAAAAAAAAAAAAAAAAAAAAAAAAAAAAAAAAAAGCCTGCACAATTTCTCAATTTAAATTTTTTTTATATAAGAAGTGGTTAACTTTGCAGCCTTCTGAAAGTCAAACAGAACCTAAATCCGAATCTGCTGAAGAGCCTTCTGGAAGGGGCATGAGCGGAAGTCAATCGTGGGCTGCCCCAGAACCTGCCAAAGGTCTTTGAAGCCACAAGATCCGCACATGGGAAGAGGAGGCCCTGAGGAGCCCAGAGGGCCCAGAGCTAGGACTCAGGAACACAGGTTCAACCCTTTCAGAATAAGACTTTAAAGTTTAAAAAGCAGAGAGAATAAATTATTTAAAACCTAAACTGACTATAGCTACATACATCTAACTTCTAAATGAGACAGCATAATTTATATCACTATATTCCTTTGCTCTTGCTGCATAACAAATTAATACAAATTTAGCGGCTTCAAACAACAGAGTTTCATCCTCTCAGAGCATCCACGGGTTGGGAGTCTGGGCACGGCAAAGTTGGGTCCTCTGCTTGGGATCCCACAGGCTGAAACCAAGACAGCAGCCACTGCCTTCTCATGCAAAACTCAGAGCCCTCTTCTGACCCCGTTAACCTTGTTGACAGGATGTACCTGTAGGACTGAGGTCTGTAGCTCCCACAGGCCCCCCCTCAGCTCCTGGGCACCTGGCTTCCTCACAATATGGAAGTTGGCTTCTTCTCAGCAGGAGAATCTCTCTCGTGCTTTGAACCTCTGACTTCAAGGAGGCCCTTGTCCCTTTTTTAGGGTTGACATGGTTTGACTGTGTCCCTACCCAAATCTCATCTTGAATTGTAGCTTCCATAATCCCCATGGGTCGAGAGAGGACCCAGTGGGAGGCAATTGAATCATGGGGGTGGTTACCCTGGTGCTGTTCTTGTGATAGTGAGTTCTCATGAAATCTGATGGTTTTATAAGGAGCTTTTCCTCCTTTTGCTCAGCCCTTTTCCTTGCTGCTGCCATGTGAAGAAGGACATGTCTGCTTCCCCTTCTGCCATGATTGTAAGTTTCCTGAGGCTTCCTCAGCCATGCTGAACTGTGAGTCAATTAAACCTCTTTCCTTTATAAATTACCCAGTCTTGGGTATGTCTGTATTAGAAGCATGAGAATGGACTAATACAAGAGTTCAGCTGATTAGGTCAGCCCCACCCAGGATGATCTCCCTTGTGGTTGACTAGAGGTCAACTGATTTGGGACTTTCATTGCATCTTTAAGATCCCTTCACCTTTGTCCTATAAGTGACATAAAATCTATCACAGGAGTGAAATTTAACTCATTCCTAGTTCTGCACATGCTCAGGCTGAGGGATGATACACCAGGGGTGGGAATACTGTGGGCTCTGGAAGGTAGAACAATGGCTCCCAAAGAAATCCACATTCTAATCTCATGTGACCTTACAGAGCAAAAGGGACTTTGCAGACATAATTAGAGTCAAGAAACTCCAGGTGGAAGATGATCTCAGATTATCCACGAGGGCCCAAAGTAATCCTATGAGTTCTTAAAAGCAGAGACTCTTTCCTGGCCGCGGTCTGAGGCACATGTGGCTATGGAAACAGGGTCAAAGAGATGCTGCATGGCTGGCTTTGAAGATGGAGGAAGGGGCCAGGAGCCAAGGGATGAACGTGGCCTCTTGAAGCTGCAAAAAAAAGTCAGGGAACAGATTCTCTCCTGGAGCCTCCAGAAGGAACCAGCCTGCAACACCTTGATTTTAACCCAGTGAGGCCCTTCTGAGACTTCTGACCTCCAGAACTGTAAGATAACAAATCTGTGTGGTTTTAAGCCAGTAAGGTTGTGGTGATTTGTTACAGAAGCTGTAGCAAATTAATATGGGGCTATATGAATTGCTCAGAAAATTATAATACCACTAACTTGGAAACGTGTTTGAAAGCTTAAAACAGCAGAAATTTATTGTCTCACAGTTCCAAAAGCCAGAAGACTGAGATGAAGGTATCAGCAGGGTCCCACTTGCTCCGGAGTTCTTGGCCTCTCCCAGCTTCTTGTGGCCCCAGGCACTCCTTGGCTTGTGACCGCATCACTCCAGTCTCTGCCCCCATCTTCACGTGGCCTCCCCCTCTTCTCCACCTGTCTCTCCTCTGTGTGCCTCTTATGAGGACACTTGGCACCGGGTTTACAGCCCACCTGGATAATCCAGGCTCGTGCTAGCTCAAGACCCTTCACCTAATTACATCTGCAAAGACTCTTTTCCCGGTTAAGATCACACTCACAGCACGTGGATATATCTTTGGAGAGGCCACCATTCAGCCTCTTACAAGGACTTCTCATAATTCTTCCTGCCACAGTTAGTAAGAAAAAAAAAAATCCTACATGGATATTGGTAGGAAAGAGAGAAAGGAAGTGGCCAGTGTCCCGTGGCCTCTTCCACCTTCTGGATTGTTGAAGCTGGGGCCTGGAGGGGATGGTCCTGCCACTCAGCAGGGGGCACTAATGGGACCAAGCTAACCTGTCCAGTGAGAATCCTGCAGGGAGACCTGAGGGTACCAGGAAAGTGCAGGGGAAGGCCCGGGAAATGGAGAGAGCTGGTCTGGAGGGGAGGAGCAAGCCGCGTGGGGCAGGCCATGTGCCTTTTGCCTGGGGGAGTATTACTCATTTGGAGCTGTGCGTCTGGAACGCCTGCCTCACACACAAAGGACTGGGGCAGATGTAAGTTCTCTGCAGCAACGAAGCGCAGCAGCTGAGAGTAACTTAGAAAGCACCCAGCTAATGCTGGCATCCCAGATCGACCCCCTCCTCGCTGAATGTTGGCATCTCTGTGCCTCAGTTTCCTCATCTGTAAATGGGGGTGATAAGAAATGTGTACACACCTCCCGGGCAGTGGGGAGGATTAAACTGTGCTCTGACACGATCCGGGCATGTTCAGGGTGGTATCTGCAGTAAACCGCGCTCGGAAAATGGCGGCGCATCAGGGCCAGCGGTGGGAGCTCTCCGTGCTTGGCTTGACGCCATTGTGGAGGTGGAGGAGGGGCTGCAAGACTCTGAGCAGGAAGACCCCGCAAAGCAGGAAAGCAGAGCCAGAGTTGGGGGCCAGCCGCAGAAACGAGAGCCCCCGTGACTTTGAGGCACCCTTTGGAGAGGGCAGGAAGCAGGAAGGGTAAATTTTCTCCAAAACCCAAGAGGCAGAGTGACCCCACATGATAACTGAGTTTCTCGAGCAATTATACTGGCCTGTTTATCTAGCACTTACCACTCCCAGGAACTATGATAGCAAATTTACTTAGATATGCCTTTGCTCCCCAGAGCCCTATGGTATATTACTATCCCCATCATACAGAAAACGACACTGAGGGTCATAGTGGAGCAGTAGCTTGCGCAACACCATAGTGGGGCAGTAGCTTGCTCAACACCATAGTGGGGCAGTAGCTTGCTCAGCATGAGAATACCCTGGACTCCAAAGCCCAGGCTCTTAACCAGTGGCAACTCCCTCCTCGGGGCAACAGCAAGGACTGGAGCCTCAGGGGAGGCATGAAGTTCCCATGACTTTGGGTGGAACTCTTCCCTCAACTCCTTCCAAGGAAAATGAAAATAGAAGTTCCTGTCCTTGGCCACCCAGGCATCTTAGAGGACTCAGGTGAGAGGGCCCAGTGGGCAAGTGAAGCCACATCCCCTCGTAAAAGGCACCCTCAGTTCTGCAGAGGGGGCTGCCCCCTTGGTGAGGGCAGGGTGGGGAGCAGCACAGCTCAGGAAGGGGCCCTGTTCCATCCCCACTGCAAGCAGAGCTCTGCCTTTGATGTCCTCTCTGGGCACCTGAGTCCTATGTGTCACCAGTCCAGACCTCTGTGTGTGACAACTGTAACCTGGGCCTTTTGCAGCAACCCACAGGAGGCGTGGTTTGTAACATGGTCAATCCCATTCTGCGCAGGTTCCCTGCTGCAGGTCTCAATTCAGTCATTCCTGTGAATGGAGGAAGTGAGAATGGCTTCCTGGAGGAGGAGGCATGAGCAGGGCCTGGGGTCAGGAGGGTCCAGGGCACTGCTCCCAGGCAGTGCAGACCTCAAGGCATGGACCGTGTGGCCTGGGCTCTCTGGGCCCCTGGCATCCCCAAGTGCGGAGAAACAGTGACCTCCACTCTCCATTAACAAGTTTCCTGTCCATGTCCCCTCCGTCCCACCCACGCTCAAGTCCTTGAATCTTAAGAGCAGAATTGGGTGAACTTTACAGAGATTTCTCATCAATCACAACTTCAGGCACCAGCAGAAATGAATTGAACTACTTGGAATTATCTGCTCCTTGCATCCTCGCCTTTGAGGTGGGGGGCTGTGATCGGGACCCGCTGCAGCTTAAGAGTGGACCTGGTGGCTTGGCCTCCAGCCAGGAGGAAGCAGCTGAGTGATCACTCTAGCAGCCATCCCCCATCTCACCCCCCAAGGCTCGCCTTGTTTTTTTAATACATGTTTTGGTTTCATGAAGATGAGATTGAGACCAAGCTTAAAAAACTTCAAATCCTGATCAGCACCTCTGGTTTGCAACTTCCAAAGCAATCAGCAGCATCTCTCAAGAAAGTTATTTATCTCGATCTCTGCTTTTATGTAGTTAAAATATGCCTAGGTGTATGGTCTTTTGTTGTTTGTTTGTTTGTTTTTGAGGCAGAGTTTCACTCTGTCACCCAGGCTGGAGTGCAGTGGCATGATCTTGGCTCACTGCAACCTCCACAAAGGAAATAATGTATACAGTAGTCCATTTCCAAGACAAAGTGCCTTGAATTGGTTTAGGTCAGCAAACTACAGAATTAAAGTATACTAGGCCCCTGCTTGGATAGCCAATGCCTACTTGTTGGGCTCTCCCGTCCACACCCCCCTTAGTTGCCCCCATCCAAACCAAAGAAGTTTAGTCTAAGATTAAATTTACTAGCCTGCAAAATAGCTCGTTTTGTCTGTTCTTATCACCCTGCCCAGCTACTTAGGTCATAAGTCAAATACTTGAAGAGCCCCTGAGCTGACCAGGATTGCAATGCATTGTGGGCTGCAACAAAATGGAGCGGGACAACCCTAAAAAAAAAAATACCTAAAGCCCCAACCCAACAATCAATAGGTGACGTCCAGGAAGATTGTGACCCCATAGTACTCACCCTATGAGGAACTGAGGGAGGGGCCTGTGCACTAGGGGATAAATTGCTTATTGTGGCAGTTGGGTGTGCCTGCCCATCAGACACCCGATCTTGCAAAACTGTCATCGAAAGTCTCACTTTCACTGTTCGCCGGGTCTCTGAGTCCATTCTTTGGGTTTGGATGGGTGAGTTTGTTTCTCACACTCCGCCTCTCAAGCCTCAGCCTCCCAAGTAACTGGGATTACAGGTGTGTACCACCACACTCAGCTACTTTTTGTATTGTTAGTGGCAAAGGAGTTTTGCCATGTTGGCCAGGCTTGTCTCGAACTCCTGACCTCAGGTGATCCTCTGGCCTTGGCCTCCCAAAATGCTAGGATTACAGGCATGAGCCACCACATCAGACTGTTTGTTTGGTTTTTGTACCAGATGATGCTGGAAGTCAGGAAGCCGGAGCAGCCCCTACAGCCAGAATCCACACCCCAGCTATAACCCACAGCTGAAGGCAGGGTCCGGGGGGAGGAAGGAGGGAACATCATCAGGGAAGGGGCATTTTGAGGGACCCAGCCTGATGCCAGACATTTCACAGTAGAAATTCATTCCTTGAAACAACCTAAGACTTATGAATGGATAGACAAAGTATGGCCCATCCATATAATGGAATATTACTCAGCCATCACGGAAGGAAATTCTGATGTGTCTTGGATGAGCTTGGATGAGCCTTGAAGACATTATGCTGAATGGAAGAAGCCAGTCACGAAAGGTCGCATATTTTGTGATTCCATTCATGTGAAACATCTAGAATAGGCAAATCCATAGAAACAGAAATCGGATTAGTGGTTGCTAGGGGCTAGGGGAGGGGAGAAATAGAGAAGGACTGCTTAATGGTTATAAGGTTTCTTTGTAAGGTCTCTGTTACCTCTTCATCCCAAAACTGGAAGACAAATGAGGAGAGTTTGCTTGGGATGGTGGAGCCTCATACTTGAGTGCCGTCTCCAGGCAATATGGTACCAGGCTCCGGCACTGTCCTTCCCCTGGTGTCTGTGGACTCAGGGAAGCTTACAGAAACCTTACCCCTCTGTCTCTTCATCTACAAAGTGGTGTAAATAATAGTACCTGCCCGCTGAAGAGGATGTGGAGAAATAGGAACACTTTTACACTGTCGGTGAGACTGTAAACTAGTTCAACCATTGTGGAAGTCAGTGTGGCGATTCCTCAAGGATCTAGAACTAGAAATACCATTTGACCCAGCCATCCCTTTACTGGGTATATACCCAAAGGATTATAAATCATGCTGCTATAAAGACACATGCACACATATGTTTATTGCGGCACTATTCACAATAGCAAAGACTTGGAACCAACCCAAATGTCCATCAATGATAGACTGGATTAAGAAAATATGGCACATATACACCATGGAATACTATGCAGCCATAAAAAAGGATGAGTTCATGTCCTTTGTAGGGACATGGATGAAGCTGGAAACCATCATTCTGAGCAAACTATCACAAGGACAGAAAACCAAACACCGCATGTTCTCACTCATAGGTGGGAATTGAACAATGAGAACACATGGACACAGGAAGGGGAGCATCACACACCGGGGCCTCTCGTGAGGTGGGAGGAGGGGGAAGGGATAGCATTAGGAGATATACCTAATGTAAATGATGAGTTAATGGGTGCAGCACACCAACATGGCACATGTATACATATATAACAAAGCTGCACTTTGTGCACATGTACCCTAGAACTTAACGTATAATAATAATAATAAAAAATAAATAAATATAAATAAAAAAATAAATAATAGTATGTGCCTGGTAGGTGGAATGGAGGATTAAGTGAACTAACATGTACCTAGGACGCTTGGGGCAGTGCCTGCCACATGACTAGCTGTTTTTATTTTTATTCATGACTTTTAATTGAGAGGACCTGGGAAGTACCACAAGGAGACAGGCCAGTAAACTGAGTCATGAGGCCTTAAAAACCCAAATCCCAGACAAGCCTACATGTCAGACAAGTTTGCTTGTTTGTTCCCCAAAAAGAATCCCAGCCTGGCCAATACGGTGAAACCCCCTCTCTACTAAAAATACAAAAATTAGCCAGGCATGGTGGTGCATGCCTGTAGTCCCAGCTACTCAGGAGGCTGAGGCAGGAGAATCACTTGAACCCGGGAGGTGGAGGTTGAAGTGAGCCGAGATCTCGCCATTGCACTCCAGCCTGGGCAACAAGAACAAAACTCCCTCTCAAAACAAAACAAAACAAAAACTAGCTGGGTGTGGTATCAGGTGCCTGTAATCCCAGCTACCCAGGAGGCTGAAGCAGGAGAATCACTTGAACCTGGGAGGCAGAGGTTGCAGAGAGCTAAGATTGTGCCACTGAACTCCAGCCTGGGTGACAGAGCAAGACTCCATCTCAAAAATAAATAAATAAACATAAAAATAAAATAAAATCCCAACCTCTGAGTTCTCTTGTACAAGCTAGAGATGTGGTGCCACCAGCCCACCCTCCCACAGGGCCATCAGCAAGAGAGACCCAACAGTTGCCCTGGTCCCCCTGGCCCCACAGTGCCACACGGGCACTCTCACCTGGCCACATCATCACCCACTTCACTGGCACAGGCACTGGCTTTGTGACCCCTGGCCGGCTTTCCAGTCCCGGGAACCCAGAAGTGTGTGTGTGGGGGGGGGGGTGGGCGGCAGCGTGGTCCTCAGGAGAGCCCCAGCCACTTTCAGGGGCAGAACATGCCTGGCCAGTGTTCACCACATCCCACTGAAATGCCTGCAGGGCCAGGAGCTCACTGTATTATTAGACAACTGTCCTTACCAGGCCAATTGTCCCATCTAAAATAAACATATGTCTGTCTAGGTCAGACCAGGCCACTCCTTTGGCTTAACCCCCAGAGGCTTCCCTTTGCACCTGCAAAAAAAAAAAAAAAAAAAAAAATCCCATGGCACTTACTGTGATGTTCAAGGCCTGGCCCAGTCTGGCCTCACCTAATCCCACAGCCACACTGCATCCCACCCAAGTGCCTCGTGCCCTCTCTCAGCTTCCTGAACACACTTCTCTGTCTCTTCCACCAATATGTCCTTCCCCAGATGCTCATGGGGGTGGATCCTTCTCACACTCCGGTCTCAGGCTGAAAGCCATCTGCTTGGATAAGATTCTCCAGCCATCCAGTCCAAAGTCAACCCACCACCCACCATTCTCTCTCCTTCATAGCTCTTAGCACAAAGCGCAACTATGGCTCTCGATGACTTGCCTGGCTGCCCTCCTCCCCAACCAGGATGTCAGGACCAAGAGGGCAGGAACTGGTATGCTTTGTCCACTGTTACGTCTTCAGCCCTTAGAACGGCGCCTGGACCATAATAGATATAACAGGTGCTTAATAAATGCTTAAATAATAGATGCTTAAATAAATGATGGAGGAACAAATGGATAAATGAACAGATAGATGATGGATGGGTGGATGGATGGACGGAGGGACGAAACATTCATTATTTATTAATTCACACTCACATTCAGTACACAGTATTCATTAATTCACATTTTCATCCTATGAATATTTCTAAGTGTCTTCTGGGGACAAAATTCTAACTACACACAGAATTGGTCAGCCCTTCCCAAGACAGCCTTTCAGACATTGGAAGATTTGAAGTCACCCCAGGTGTTAACGGACCAGCTCCTACAGCAGCTGCTCATGGCCTGTCCCCAAATCATCCCTTTCACCCCCATTCCCTTGGCATCCTGTTTTAGCCACCATCTAGGGCCACAAACATGCCCTAAATGTTGTCCAGTGTAAACGATATAGTTCTTGAAAGCACCGCTTATCAAGTTATCTGTGATGAAGGACACTTTTTTTTATTTTCAATTTGTCACAAACCAGTACTTTTGTAAAATACAACAAAAATGAATGACTGGAAAAAGAAAAAGAAAAGAGACACAAAACACAAGCCCAAATTTTTCTATTAGATTCAACAGACATAAAATTACCCAGAAAATTGCTACAAAGGTTTCTAAATGCTTCTTCTCAGTTTCTGTGCTTATCTTGTCTCAAACGCGTAACCATTCAGGAACCACCCTTGGCACAGCTGCACCAGAGAAGCACCGTGTGCCCGTGGGAATTTCGGAGGGGTGAGGTGGTGTTTGCACCTGTGAGCAGGTGAATCAGAGGTCCCCGGCTACAGGCAGGCTATGAGCAGCACCCCACTTCCCACGACCCCAGTAATGGCCCAGTTCCTTCCACCTGTCCGGGGTCAGAACCCAGGCGGCCCACGATGAAAGCAGTCAAAACACCTGCCTTCAGAAAGCTTATGATCTAGTTGGTAGGGGGCAGAAAATCATTAGTATTAAATATATGTGGATGTGAGCTGGTATATGTGAGCAGGGATGGGCTAGAGGGAAGACAGTTTTCCCTGTGGTGGTTAGGGTGGCAGGAGGGAGCCACACAAATCCCCAGGTGAAAAATGTCCCAGGCAGCAAGAGCAGCAGGTGCAAAGGCCCTGAGGTGGGAGGGCGAATGGAGCGTTCCGGGAACCCTCGTCCAGGAAGCCTCCTGGATGCTCTCACCTGGGGCTGAGCTCAGGGCTCCTGCTCTGTGCTTCTAGGACACCAAAGCACACACGCATGACAGTGTGGGTAGGATCTGTCTCCTGCCTTCCTCTGCACACCAGCAGCCCCTGGAGGACAGGGAAAAGGTGGGGACGGGGGTTACTGCTAAATCCCCAACACATGGAGTGTTCGGCAAATGGAAGGAAGGAGGGTGAGAGGGAGCAGGCAGGTAGAGAAGGAAAGAGGGAAGGAGGGAGGGAGGGTTGAGTGCCGCCAGTTCACCCTGGCCAAAAGTCCTTGGCCTAGAAACTGAGGGCGAGAAGCAGCCACACCTCGCTCTACAGTCCCAGGCAGGGCTGGTGCGGAATTCAGGCGGGCAGTTTCTCCCTGGTGGGACAAATTCAGAAGAAATCACTGACCTCCCTGATCTTCGCCTGCCTGGCCTGTGAGAGTGATAGGGACACACACACATCCCCCAAGGAGGCTGTAAAAATTTAATCAGACAAGTCACAAAAGGAATCTGACATTGAGGCTGGCTCATGGAAGGACTCGGCAGACATTAAAAAGCAAGAAAAATGGAGCCTTGGAGGAGACACACAGCCTAATCATTCATTTCCACTTTAGTGAAAAGCAGCATCCCAGTCTTTCCCTGGGACCTCAGGTGGGGACTGGAGTGCTGAGGGGGCTGGGGGTGCCATGGCTAACTCTGCCAGGTACCCTCCTCCCAGGATTTTGACAGTATCTGAGGAAGCCATGCCTCCTCAGAGCAGGAAGGAATCTTAGAGGTCAGCCTGTCCGAACTACCTAGGGGTCTCCTCTGGACTGGAATGCCCCCAGGGATTGGGGACACACTCTCAGATGAAAGGAATGGCAGGTTCACGTTACTGACAATCTGTTCTTTACTCCCAGAGACATTACATTAAAAATGTCTGTGCCTATTTTTGGCACACGCTACACAGAAAGAATTTGTTTCTTTTTTAACCCTAATAAATGACTGCTCTTGCAGATGGGTGAAAAGCACCCCAGCACTGAAGAGCTCTCCACAGCAGCCTGGATGCGACTCCTCTTGCCAATGATCAGCTAGTCCTTCACATAGCCTCTTACATGGACATTCATGTGTGCATGCATGCACACTCATGCATACACACAGGCACACATGCCTATGCACTCATGTGCATATATGTACACACATGCACCCATGCACATATGCATGTGTGTACATGCACATACATGTGCATATATAATATGCATGCAGCCACACATATATGCCATACACATATGTACACACACAGACACATAAATGCTGACTGAAAAGGAACCCAAAGGATTAGCCAATGTCTGCTTAGCATCTGTGGGCAGGAGACTCTGCAGGGATATCCAGAGCCTACAGAAAACCTAACAAGAATCTCTGCCCTTGGAGCAAGAGAGAAGACAGGGAGGGAACCATTGTTCAGCCCCTGCCATGCTGGCTACACTGTGCAGGCATCGATTTGAAAAGCGCGGTGGCTTACGCGTGTAATCCCAGCAATTTGGTAGGCCAAGGCGGGTGGATCACCTGAGGTCAAGAGTTCAAGACCAGCCTGGACAAAATGGCGAAACCCTATCTCTACTAAAAGTACAAAAATTAGCCAGGCATGGTGGTGCATGCCTGTGATCCCAGCTACTTGGAAGGCTAAGGCAGGAGAATCTCTTGAATCTGGGAGGCGGAGGTTGTAGTGAGCCGAGATCGCACCACTGCACTGCAGCCTGGGCAACAAGAGTGAGACTCCATCTCAAAAAAAGAAAAAAAGAAAAGCTGCTTCTTCTGTGAAGAAGGATTAAGTCAAACATGGATGCACTGTGGCCAAGTGTTTACCCAACTTAACGGTTTCAAGGCAGCTTCATCAGAGTAGAGTTGGTGTTTAACCCCACCATGCTCCAAACCTGAAGACAGAAAATATAGATCCTATATATCCTATATACACACACAAACACACACCTCCAAAAGACAAAATTGCCAATCTCCACCAACATGGGCTATTAGAGAGACATCCATCTCAGCCCATGAAGATCCTGCACTGAGGTCCCAGGTCCCTGAACTGTGATCAGTATCTGAGGACCCAGAAAAGTCTCATCAGCACTTCCAGGGGAAAGCAGGGTGTGGGACAAGGCTGGAAGAAGGCAGCACTCACAGGGGGTGCTAAGCTGTCAGAAGGGGTCAGGGCCAGCTGGAAGGGGCTCTCCAGAGCCAAATCTATAACAATTGGAGCAGAAAAATAAATAACATGGATTATAGTCCATCAAAAAAAGAAAACTGTAAGTCCATACATATATAATATGAATGATAAATAAATTTAATAAATGAACATATTAGCAATGTTGTTGCAGGAAGTCAGGGACCCCAAACAGAAGGACCGGCTGAAGCCATGGCAGAAGAACGTGGATTGTGAAGATTTTATGGACATTTATTAGTTCCCCAAATTAATACTTTCGTAATTTCTTATGCCTGTCTTTACTGCAATCTCTAAACATAAATTGTAAAGATTTCATGGACACTTATCACTTCCCCAATCAATACCCTTGTGATTTCCTATGCCTGTCTTTAATTTAATCTCTTAATCCTGTCAGTTGAGGAGGAGGTATATCGTCTCAGGACCCTGTAATAATTGCATTAACTGCACAAATTGTACAGCATGTATGTTTGTGCAATATGAAATGTGGGCACCCTGAAAAAAGAACAGGATAACAGGAATTGTTCAGGGAATAAGAGAGATAACCTTAAACTCTGACTGCCAGTGAGCCGGGCAGAACAGAGCCATATTTCTCTTCTTTCAAAAGCAAATGGGAGAAATATCGCTGAATTCTTTTTCTCAGCATGGAACGTCCCTGAGAAAGAGAATGTGCACCTATGGGAAGGTCTCTGAACTGCCCCCCACCCCTCCCTGGGGCATACCTCTCTCTTATGGTCGAGATTGCACAGGTGAAATAAACTCCAGTCTCCCACAGCACTCCCAGGCTTATTAGGAAGAGGAAATTCCTGCCTAATAAATTTTGGTCAGACCAGTTGATCTCAAAACCATGTCTCCTGATAAGATGTTATCAATGACAATGGTGCCTGAAACTTCATTAGCAATTTTAATTTCACCTCGGTCCTGTGGTCCTGTGATCTCGCCCTGCCTCCACTTGCCTTGTGATATTCTATTACCCTGTAAAGTACTTGATGTCTGTCACCCACACCTATTCGCACACTCCCTCCCCTTTTGAAAATCCCTAATAAAAACTTGCTGGTTTTTGCGGCTTGTGGGGTATCACGGATCCTACCAATGTGTGATGTCTCCCCCAGATGCCCAGCTTTAAAATTTCTCTCTTTTGTACTCTGTCCCTTTATTTCTCAAGCCAGCCAACGCTTAGGAAAATAGAAAAGAACCTACGTGATTATCGGGGCAGGTCCCCCAATAAAATGTTAGTAATATTATTATTATTTATAAATAAATTTAATAAATATGATTTAATTGGTGGAATAAGCAAAAGTAATAAATACTAATATGATAAGTTTAATAAAGGAAAGTCCTTCCTTGGGATGGAATGCCTGCTAACTAATGCAGAAAGAATGCCAGAATCAGGAAACCAGATGTCCAGGCACAAGTTTGCTGCAGGGGTAGAGCCCTCACAGAAAACCTCTGCTAGGGCAGTGCAGAAGGGGAGCCCCTGCACAGAGTCCCCACTGGGGCACTGCCTAGTGGAGCTGTGAGAAGAGGGCCACCATCCTCCAGACCCCAGAATGGTAGATCCACTGACAGCTTGCACCATGTGCCTGGAAAAGCCACAGACACCCATCACCAGCCATGAAAACGGATGGAAAGGGGGCTGTACCCAGCAAAGCCACAGGAGTGGAGCTGCCCAAGGCTGTGGGAGCCCACCTCTTGCATCAGCATGACCTGGATGTGAGACATGAAGTCAAAGGAGATCATTTTGGAACTTTAAGTTTTAATGATTGTCTTATTGGATTTCAGACTTACATGAGGCCTGTAGTCCCTTTGTTTTAGTCAATTTCTCCCGTTTGGAACAGGTGTATTTGCCCAATGCCTGCACCCGCATTGTATCAAGGAAGTAACTAACTTGCTTTTGATTTTTACAGGCTCATAGGTGGAAGGGACTTGCCTTGTCTCGTTGAGACTTTGAACTTGGACTTTTGGGTTAATGCTAGAATGAGTTAAGACTCTGGGGAACCATTGGAAGGGCATGATTGTGTTTTGAAATGTGAGGACATGAGATTTGGGAGGGGTCAGGAGTGGAATGATATGGTTTGGCTGTATCCCCTCACAAATCTCATCTTGAATTGTAGCTCCCATAATCTCCACATGTCATGGGAGGGACCTGGTGGGAAATAATTTAATCACGGAGCAGTTACCCTCATGTTGTTCTCATGATAGTGAGTGAGTTCTCATGAGATCTAACGGTTTTATATGGGGCTTTTCCCCTACTTCGCTCGGCACTTCTCCTTCCTGCCACCATGTGAAGATAAATGGGCAAGACGTGTTCGCTTCCCCTTCCTCCATGATTATAAGTTTCCTGAGGCCTCCCCAGTCCTGCAGAACTGTGAGTCAGTTAAGTCTCTTTCCTTCATAAATTACTGAGTCTCAAGCACTTCTTTATAGCAGCATGAGAATGGACTAATACAGGCAGGGAGCCGGAAGGGGTATGCACAGGGCACTTTGGCCCGGCCTGGCAAGGGGCAATGGGATCACTGAGAATGCCCAGGAGTGGTGAGATCAGCAAACCTCAAAAGAGGGGGGTCTCTGACTTTTCCTCAAAATCTAAGCATGTCCTCCCATCCAACCTTCCAGTCAATAGTTACTGAGCCTTGGGATGCACTGAGTCTAGGCACAGTGGAGCTTATGGTCTAAGGGAGAGGCAGGCAATCCATGTGGAATCAAACCAGACAAAATAACTGCACCTGGCTGTATTCTGGCTTTTCCATGTGGAAGGAGCCACTCTCCACATCTTGCAGCCTCCCCCAACCAGTTCTCAGACGGAGGAAGATTCAGGAGGGCTCCATGCCCTCCCTGCTTCACACCATCACTGTGTCTTCCAGACAATACCACAAGAATTGAGTCCACTTGTCGATTCAAAACCAAGCTTTGATAGCCAGACATGAGCTAACTGCAGGGTTGGGAGGGGCTGGAGGAGGAGAGCTCTGTGCCCCCATTGGTCCACCTGACTTTGCCATCCTCTGGGGTTCACTAGTTCATCCCATCTGTGGTCTTTGTTTCCCCCGCAGGACCCTATGAACACCAGTAGAATTCCCTTCCTGTGGTGGGATTAGAAAGCACCAAGCTGGGGGTTCAGGGGACTGTCAAACTGTTCCAGAATGTTCCATCTGTAGGACGCCCACTACAGCCGCTACCCCTCCTGAGCAGCTTTAATAAACAGATGCCACCATAGGGTCTTCCTGCTCATCCTAACCTCCATGGGGTAGAAAGAAGATACCTATTTAGCCAGGGCATCTCTAATCTTTGTACCTAATACTTGGAAACCACATATTTGTGGTATCAGCTACTGCAAATACCATGGAATGGTTTCAAAGAATCACAGCAGTCTCTGTCACCTACTGAAAATCCCCATGGATTAATTACCCAATTATTAGGATCCCCATTTTAGTGGAAGCCAACTGAAGCCCAATGATGGTGAACAGGGTGGGGTCAATGACCATGTCACCTCTTCCCCTCACAGCCGCCTTCATGCAGCTCTTTTGGAGCAGGTGTGCAACTCCTGTGAGCGCTGTTTGCAGGCCTGTCCCCTCCCCTGGACTATGAGCTTCCTGGCGGCTTGGACACCCACCAAGTGCTGCACCTGCAAGGTGCTACAGGCACTGAGGGGTAAAAGAGAGGCACTGTCCTGTCCTGTCCTGTCCTTGTTTTCAGAGGGCATTATGGTCCAGTCAGGGAGATGGTTGTCCAACAAAACACGCGAATATGTTTATCATTTCAAGTTGCAATTGCAGTTCAAGCAGCCTTGGTGTTGAGAAGGAAATAAGGCAGGCTCTAGAATTCAGACTGTGGCCAGGGAGGGTTGTGCCTGGAGAAGTATCTGAGCAGGGAAGCCACACACACTGAGGACTCTGTTGGGGCTCAAGAGGGGACCAAGACATGGTATTTCCTCTCCTTGGCCAAGTCTGGACCAACTGAAAACAAGACGAAGGAGCAGGCAGGAAGGCAGAACTCTCATTGGCATTCCTAGAAAGCCTGGGCCAAAGGAAATGGCCTCAGAGTGGAGGGTTCCCAAAGCAGACACTGGTGACCTCCCCATCAAAGGCGAAGGTGGTCCCTGGGAGAACATGAGCAGGGTCTTCCCACAGGAGGCAGGGAGAAGGAAGGCTGCTCCCTCTCTGCTTCCAAACCCCAGGGTAAGTGTCACCCCACTCTTGGGCAGGGGCCCTGTGTGAACTGCCTCCCTCCCCTGGAAAGGCCACATCCAAGCAAAAGCCGTATGCCCCAACTTCCATCTCCAACAGCCTGAGGCTGGCATCCAGGGCAGAAGGGTGAGCATAGCATCCAGGGCAGAAGGAAGGAACACCACCTCCCTCCAGGTAGCGCATGGAAGGGGTGAGGGTAGGCTGGCAAGGAACAGAGGCCAGACCCAGCGGGACCAGGCAGCCCTGGGAAGGAGCTGGACTGTCATCTCCAGAGCAATGGGAGCCCCCTGCCCCCTTTAAGGCAGAGCTGTCAGGGTCCCAGGTACATCTCGCTGATGTGTAGGGAATGGGTTGGGGGAGGGGGGTGCAAACAGAAGCAGAGAGAGCATTTGGAGACCGTTCTGTGGCCCAGGACAGTGGTGGTGGTGGCCAGATGGCAGGAGGGAAGCAGGCTGGGCGTGGACCAGCCTGGCCACTTCATTCCAAGGAGGGCAGCTGTGCATCTTCCCACTGCTATCAGCAGCAGCCCAACACAGTATTTAGAGTGGGGATTAAAGGCAAGAAAGGAAATCTTCTTAATGATGTGGAGAGCATGAGCACCCCACACCCCAGGCTGGCAGGTGCACAGTGGAAGATTCCAGCAGCTCATCTCACAGGGCTTTATGCCGCTGGCCACCTTGGGAACAGACCACAAGATTTCTGTCTCACACACAGAGGCCAGAGCCCCATGCAAATCCGAACTGACACTGGAGAGAGAAATAAAAGGAAAACTGGTCTTTCTCAGTAAGTATGGCAACACCTCTCAGAGTTGCTTTGGGGAAGACTAAGGAATCTGGAGGGCATTTAGCCCTTACAGTGTAAAATATCTATTAAATTACTAAAAGGAAAGATTCAGGTTTCTTTGAACCTGAAAGATATAGTAATTACTGAACCAGAACTCACAGCAGGAGATGTTTTATGGAACCTAATTAGAGCTAAATGGAAGGAGCAAGTCATCACAACTGTGGAGAAGGATACATCACCAAGAACCAAGTGGGCAGAGCAGAAGGGGACAAGAGGTGGCCATCCAGATGCCCAACACATCCCACACAAGAGGGGCTCTGAGCAGGGCAAGACGAGGGGACAGTGCTGTTCTGGAGCCCCACGTGAGGCCAAGGCTCCCAAAAGATGCAGGGCTTATGAGTACTCTCCCCTTTGCAGCGTGTCCTCTGAGGGCAGGTCATATGCACCTGCACACGTGCACACACACACACACCTGCACATGTGGGTCACAAACACACATGCCTACATATATGCATATGCATGTGTGTGCATGCACACATGTACATACATGGGTGCAAATATGCATGCAAATACATATGCATATATGCACCTGCGCCCATACATGCATGCACGTGTATGCATGCATACACATGCACATGTACCTATACATGTGTATACACAATATACATGCCATACACGCATGCATGCTCACCTGCAAGGGCATGCACACACACAAATAGCTCCTCTCTTTTTCAAGTGGTTACAGGGAACACAGCTCTCTGTCTTTCTGAGGCAGCAACCAGAACTCTTGGGGTCCTGCTCACCACCAGCAGAAACACAGAAATGAACAGATGGTTGCCTCTGTTCCGTGGTGCCTTGAGCCCTCTGCTGTGAGCTAGACTAGGGTTTTGTATCAGCAGATCCCAGAAGAAACCAGAACAAAGCAAAACCCCCTTCACCCCAAGCCAGACAAAAATAATAGGCCTTCACCTGCATTTTCTAGCAAACCAAGCCTGAGGCAAGGATTCAAGGGCTGAGATTTTATTCATAAGGTACAAACCACAAACCCAGGCTAGCCAGGGTGAGGGAGGGAGAGGAGGGGCAAAGGTGTGTGCTGCCCCACAGGGTGCTGCACCACAACCTGCCGCCAGCCCTGCAGGTGCCCAGCACATAGCACTGCTCTGACCAAGCTACAAGGAGAAACTCAGCTCCCAGGGATTCAGTGCTAAGGAGCGAGGAGGAGGAACTTGTCAGCCCTCAGGGCTCTGAACCCCAACATCTTGTAAAGAATGTCACATCCCACGCCCTGAGGTGGTGGGTTTTGTCTCAGGTCAGAGCGGTGGAAGGATCCAGAACTCTCCCGCAAATATCTGGTCAGCCTGGTTGGTGACAGCAGCCAAAGGGGAGCCCCACTTCCAAGGCCAGTGACCAGCTGTCCCCAAAGATGGCAGCACCATCCAGAGCTGGTAAATATCACTGAGGGAATCCAAGATTTGTGTGCAATACAAATAGTCAACCCAAAACATGTATGAGCCCTCTCTGCACAGCATATCACCAGGGCTCAGTCACTACCAGGGTTTAATCACCATCAGGGCTCAGTCACCACCAGGGCTCAGTCACTACCAGGGTTCAGCCAGCACCAGGGCTCAGTCACTACCAGGGCTCAGTCAGCACCAAGGCTCAGTCACTACCAGGGCTCAGTCACCATGAGGGCTCAGTCACCACGAGGGCTCAGATGCCACCAGGGCTCAGTCACCATGAAAGCTCAGTTGCCACAAGGGCTCAGTCACCATGAGGCCTCAGTTACCACTAGGATTCAGTCAGCATCAGGTTTCAGTCAGCACCAGGGCTCAGTCACCACTAGGGTTCAGTCAGCACCAGGGCTCAGTCAACATGAAGGCTCAGTCACCACAATGGCTCAGTCACCACCAGGGCTCAGTCACCACCAGTACTCAGTCACCGCTAGGGTTCAGTCAGCACCAGGGCTCAGTCACCATGAGGGCTCAGTCACCACTAGGGATCAGTCAGCACCAGGGCCCAGTAACCACCAGGGCTCAGTTCCACAAAGGCTCAGTCACCACAAGAGCTCAGCTGCCACCAGGGCTTAGTCACAACCAGGACTCAGCCACCACCAGGGCTCAGTCATTATTAGGGCTCAGTCACCATCAGGGCTCAGTCACCACCAGGGCTTAATCACTACCAGGACCCAGTCATCAGCAGGGCTGAATCACTATGACAGCTCAGTTACCACCAGAGTTCAGTCACCACCAGGCCTCAGTTGCTACCAGGGCTCAGTCACCACGAGGGCTCAGTCACCACCAGGGCTCAGTCACCACCAGGGGTTAATCACTACCAGGACCCAATCATCACCAGGGCTGAATCACTATGACAGCTCAGTTACCACAAGAGTTCAGTCACCACCAGGCCTCAGTTGCTACCAGGGCTCAGTCACCACGAGGGCTCAGTCACCACCAGGGCTCAGTCACCACTAGGGCTCAGTCACCACCAGGGCTCAGTTATTACCAGGGCTTAGTCACTATCAGAACTCAGTCACAACGAGGACTTAGTCACCAACAGGGCTCAGTTACCACCAGAGCTCAGTCGCCACCAGGGCTCAGTTGCCACCAGGGCTCCCAATCCACACTCAGGCACTCAGGAAGGTGGTCCATGCTCTCAGGGAGCCATTGCCACGCTGGAAGCTCCCGACTCCATGCAGAGACAACAAGGTACACTCAGCCACATGTCACCACTATGGGACCTTTTCTGATGCCCCTCCTCTGTGGCCCCTCTGCAAGTCTCACTTAGGCCACCTGGCCCCTATCCTGGCTGCCCCTCCCCGACAGAGTCTGTCTTCAAGCATCTGACTATTCCTGGAGACCAGCACTTTGTAGACGCTCAGGAAAATAAGTGAGAGGAAGCGAGCAGAGGAATGACAGGTGGAGGAAGGAAGATTATTGGAGTGTAAATGATCACAGGTTTTCTAGGAGACACAAGGCAGGGAGCGGGAGACATAGCACAATGGCAGCCCTGTTCCTGGCTGAGCCTCGGAGGTTTGCCTTGTGCTGAGGTTTCAGCTAAACTGAAGCCTTTCCTCCACTAGGGCCCCGTGAACCAAAAAAATCACTTGCATTAGAAACTGCTGGGTCAATTTGCTAAATATGCAGATTCCCAGGCCCTGCAGATTCTAAATTTACTGGAGTGGCCCAGGAAGCCGTCTCTCCCAGGGGATCTTGAACTCGAAATTCTGAAAGCTCAGCCCCAGCCCCTTGCTCCCTACTCAGAGACCACAGAAAAAGAATCTAGAGTCCCGTTTCTTCCTTCAAGAGAAAAGGTTCATTAAGAGTCACAAAAGTGAAATCCATAAAGACTGGGATTGTTTTCAATAGAGAAATTAAATTAAACAAGAAAAGTCATAAGCTTGAAGTTCAGCCAGGGGTGAGGAGGAAATTGCCAGAACTTGCCTGTGGTTCATGGGGTCAGCTCGTTTGGTGAACTTGCCCCTGCTGACCGAGGCGTGGACAGGGAGGACGCTTGCCTTGCACGCAGAACACTGTGCAGGTGTGCAGGGCCGACCCTCAGACTTCACACCCGGCACCAGGCAAGGTGGGCTCCATCCAGCGAAGTCTAGAAAGTGAGGTGCTGGGGACAGCATCTATTATTTCCATAAAATAGAAACTGCCGCCTGGAAATGCAGGGAGGGGACCTGGGGACTAACCCAGGTGAGATCTGCAACACGGCGCCAGGACCAGGACAGCAAAGGAGAGCAGCCATGAGAACCAGGAATATGGCCTGCTTGAACCACATTTCAAGCCCAGGAAGGTGCAACTACAGCTGGCTTCAAGAGTCGGCTTGATGTGCTTCCCTTTCCTAACAGCTGCCTCTAATGGGTATCTGACTTGGAGAGAGAGTTTCCTCCAGGCTTTCCTGCTGAACACACGTCCTCCTAGCCCACCTGAGCTGCCAGCATCAGGCAGGGGCTTCACTTTTATTGAAAAGCTCAGTTTCCACCAGCGGTGGATTTTCAAGCCACAATTAGCAGGAAATAATCCAGTGAATGCAGAAAGGTTCCTCTCTCTGTCAGAAAATGGTAAAACTCAAACGAAAGGTTTAGGAGGTCCACTGGGAGCACAGCTGATGGGGAGAGAGGAGGTGGAGGGCTGGAGATCCTGCTGAGTCTTGGACAGGCCTCCCAGGGCTCACTTTCCCCTGCAGGGCCAGCAGTGGCCTAGGAGAGCCCGATGAGGTCAGAAGGGGCCTGATCCCTTTGCAGCTGCAGAAAAAACAGTGCCTGTGTTGGGTGGCTGCCAGTGAACCAAGGGCACGGGCATCCCGAGGGGCTCCGCCAAGTCCAGCTCTACACTCCTTTCCCAGCTGCCCAGAGCCAGGACTGACCTTCACATATAGAGGCCACGCCAGGCTCCCTTCCCAGGGAACTATGCGTAAGCCCTTTGTTCTCTGGGGCTTGAGGAATGCAGCCCTCTGCAGACACTGAGTGTCAGGCAGGGCCCTGCCAGGCAACATGGTAGGGAGGCCTCTTCTCTCCCTGCAGCCAACCGTGGCCCTGGGTGGCCGTGGCCAGTTGTCCACGGACCAGGCAGCAGTTGGAAGTCCATGGAAACAAGCACCTTCGGGCCGTGTCACCTCATAGTATATTCAAATCCTGTGTCTCCAGAGCCCAGAACCACAGATCCCCAACCTCCAGCAGGTCCCAACAATCCTCAGGCCGGCTCCCCCGGAGCCTCAGAATTCAGGGAGAAGAGCCAGGCAGCGGATGCGGGCGCCTGCCACAGGGTGGGCAGTCTCTCTGCACTTGCTACCACCGCTGATGGCAACATCCCAGGGTCTGGGTTTGCCCCACACAGCTTCTCAACAAAAAGACACAACTCGGCAAGCATGGGAAAATGGGAGTCCAGGGCTTAGGGAGGCCCCCTAAGGGTAGGGTGACCACACAATGTATCACCCAAACAGGGACCATTAAAAATCAAAGGGAAGGAAAACAGGTATTCAAATAAAACCTTGTACATGGATGCTTATAGTAGCATAAGTCACAGTAGCCAAAAGAAGGAAACGACCCGACTATCCGTCAGCGGATAAGTGGATAAGGACATGTGGCAGAGCTGTGCAAGGGAATATTACTCAGCCATGAAAAGGGAAGGGAGTTCTGACATGTGCTACCACATGGTCAACCTCGAAAACCTTATGTAAGTGAAAGCAGCCAGATGCAAAAGACCGCATATTTATATTATATATTCAGAATAGGTAAATCCAGCTGGGCGCAGTGGCTGACACCTGTAATCCCAACACTTTGGGAGGCCAAGGTGGGTGGATTATGAGGTCAGGAGATCGAGACCATCTTGGCCAACACAGTGAAACCCCGTCTCTACTAAAAATACAAAAAATTAGCCAGGCGTGGTGGCGGGCGCCTGTAGTCCCAGCTACTCGGGAGGCTGAGGCAGGAGAAGGGCATGAACCCCAGAGGCAGAGCTGGCAGTGAGCCGAGATCGTGCCACTGCACTCCAGCCTGGGCGACAGAGCAAGGCTCTGTCTCAAAAAAATAAAAAATAAAAAAGAATAGGTAAATCCATAGGGTCAGAAAGCAGACGAGTGGTTCCCAGGAGCTGGGGGTGGGAGGGCATGACAAGGAGAGACTGCCTCATAGGTCCAGGGTTTCCTTTGGAGAGGATGAAAATGTTCTGGAACTAAAGAGAATCAATGGCTGCATGGCATAGTGAATGTACTCAATACCACTGAATTGTACACTAAAATGGTTAATTGTACATTAAAATGGTTAATTTTATGTTATGTGGATTCACTTCAATTAAAGAAAAAAAAGGAATCAAAGTGGATATGCCAAAGTATGGCAGATGCTGACTAGGAGAGAACAGCAGGACAGCAGGTGTAACCCAGACCGTCCCAGCAGACACGGTGCGTGGTGACCTGACTATGAGGAGGGGTGGCCCAGGGACCCAAGTTTGTCTAGAAGCTGCATGCATCCTTGTCACAGCCCCAGGCCCCAGCCCAGCAGGTGAGGTGGGGAATGCACCCGGGGCTGCCCAGAGGCTCCACCAGACAGAGAGCAACGGACCCAGACCCCCAAGATGCTGGGAGCAGCCATTTCCAGGTGGATCCACACAGCCCCCAGGAAGAAGGGGGTGGGCCCAGTGGGATCACTAGCAGGCCTGAGGCACAAGAGCCTTTGGGAGGAAGCACAGCTGGATGGAAACTTTTTTTCACGCCTATGAAATAACAAGTAGGAGAAGAATGGAAGGCTGCTGGCCAAGGTGCCTCTTCTTGGAGCTGGTGAGAACACCCAGCCGCCAGCCCTCAGCCTTCCACGTTCAGCCAAAGCCAGCTGGGCTGACAGTGGTCAACTCTGACTTAGCAAATGAGGCTTTTTAAATGCACCTGTGTGAGAAGCCCCACTATCCCCAGCATCCCCAGGTTAGGTGAAAGGAGGTCTTGCCTGTGAGAACAAAGCCCAACTCTCCTTCCTGCCCCTCTCCTACCAGGAATCCTATCTTTGGAAAGACCCTTCTCTCCACAAAAAAAAAAAAAAAAAAAAAAGAAAGCAGCAATGTATCTGAGGGTACTTGGAATCTCCATTCACTCCCCCTCCCAGGGCTGCAACTCAAAAACATTTCCAAGAGACGCCAGGGCAGGAGGGACACTCTCTCCCTCTTAGGCCATCTGAGGCATGCTAATTGATGCTGAAATCAAGTTCCTAGAAGTAATTACAGCATGTGCTGGACAGAGACAACATGGGAACATTTTTAAATAGGAGACGTTCAATGCATCAATGTACAAGTCAGCACAGAGACGGGCCAGGGAGAGACTTCAAAGGAATGATCCCGAGAGGCCACAGGAGTGGCATGGACTAGATGGGCAAGGTCCATGTGCCAGCAACACCCATTACTTAAAAAGCAAATGTCCCCCCCACCCCCCACCACAAGGGAAGAGGAAAAAAAATCCAACACTTCTCTCTTCTGTTCTGTATCTGCTTTCCTTGTACATTCAAGAAAACCCTAGGGGAAAAAAAATTGTATTCCTTGTATTCGCCCCATGGGAGTCAATGGGAGGCTGAACAATGACACAAAAAGATATGTTCATGTCGTAACCCCAGAACCTGTGAATGTTTAGGAAACATTCACACGTTGTTTGGGGAAACCTTATTTGGGAAAAGGTCTTTGCAGATGAAGTTCGAAATGAAGGATCTTGAGGTAAGATCATCCTGGACTCTCCGAATGAACCCTAAATCCAATGACAAGTGTCTGTGTAAGAGACACACACATAGAGACATGGGGAGAAGAGGAAATGCCACATGAAGATGGAGGCAGAGATCGGATGATGTGGCCACAAGCCAAGAACACCTGGGGCCATCAGAAGCCAAAAGAGACAAGGAGGAGTCCTCCCCAGAGCCTCTGGAGGGAGCACAGCCCTGGTGGTTTCTTAATTTCCTACTTCTACTCTCCAGAAGCGTGAGAGAATAAGCTTCTGTTGCTTTAAGTCATGCAGATTGTAGTCATTTGTGATGACAGCCCTGGGGAACTAGTGCCCAGGGAGCCTGACTTTTCCAGATCCGACCCCGGCCCTCACCTGCTCGGGCACCTACAGACCAGATTCCTCAGGAGGTCTCCAGGGCTTCTGTGGCCTGGCCCCTGTGTGGCTGCAGTGAAGTTAGCTCTCCCCAGCCTCACTGCCCTCACCACTCTCCACAAGCCGGGGTGCCCGTAGAGGGGGCAGAGTCTGGGCCCCTTCAGGGAGGCTCCTGGATCTTGAGACTGTGAGGCAGGTCTCTCGTGCAAAAGGTGGATGCTGAGTTTGCAGGTGACTCTGTACTGGATGAGCTGTGGTTTTGGCCCCCCACCCTCAAGGCCTGGTCTGGCCCCATGTCTGAATAATCTGGGGTTAGGGGAGGGAGGTGGTAGCTGACAACAGCTCTGTGGCCAGTCTCAGTGGATCACAGAGTCATCCCCCTGGAATAAAGCCACCAGGGCTACAGCGACACTACCTACCCTTGGCTGACCCCATGGGCTGCACTACTGAGCCTGTGAGAGTTGGGTCTAGCCAGCAGCTTCCTGCCCACAGCAGCTTCCTGATGAGCCCAGCTCCCCACGAGCTCAGCCCATGACGCTTTTCTGCAGAATGGCAGAGGCCCAGCCACAGTGCTGATGCATATGAGGGGCAGCCCCTCCTGAGACCCTCTCTGCCCACAGCTAGCCTCCAAGTACCAGTGGCCAGAAGATTTGGGCCTCAGCTAGGTGAGGCCATGGCCATGGGCTGCCCCTTGTGTGCTGCCCTGGGGAACTCTCTTGTCTTGCCCAAGAAGTGGGCAGAGGGGAGAACATGGGAGGCAGCAGTCAGCAGTTGCTACTCATATGACTCTGAGCCCCCACACAGCCCCAAAATGCAGCCTGCCCCCATCACTGCAGCAGAACAGCGTGACGTAGTTGTGAGCAGCTCACACACCAGGTCTGAATCCTGGCTCAGCCACTTACCAGCTGTGTGACCTTGGGTAAGTTACCTGCCCTCTTTGTGCCCCAGTTTCCTCATCTATAAGTTGAGAATGAAAGTGATAATAATACGTATCTCACAGGGTTGTTGTGGCAGTGAGTTAATATTTATAAAGTACATGAGTCAGTGCCAAGCACCTAGTAAGCCACATAAATGTTTGTGAAGTTAGAAATAAATAAATAAGCTCGCTGTGAGCTCAGCTTCTCCATCTACAAAATCAGAGAATTATCCTGAGGAGCACATGAAATGAGGTATGTCAGCTATTAAGCACAATCCCTAGAACACAACCCTCAGTAAAGAGTAGCTACAATCCATCATCATCACCATCATCAACACTGTCATCATCACCATCATCATCACTGTCATCATCACCATAATCATCACCATCACCATCATCACCATTATCATCATCAGCATCATCACCATCATAGTCATCTCATTATTTATATGCAATGGGGACAGGATGTCTTTCCTTCACTGGACTGGAGGAAGGCAACTGAAATTAAAGATGCCTCAAAAATGCATTATTATTATTGTTTCTAATCCCAAAGAAAACTGAGTTAGGCTTCTTTCAACCCAAACACATTCTACTAAAAACAGATTCCAAGTTTCTGAATCATAGTTATTAGGGTATTTGCTCTTCAGATATCACTTTAAATCCGGAAATATCATACTTCCTCAATCCAACGGTTACTAATCTCTTAAGGCTTGGGGCCTATCTTTTCCCCAGGAGCCATGCAGTCCTTAGACTTCCTTAGCCTCCAACCAACCACTGTGAATACACAAACACACAAACACACACACACACACACACACACACCATTTCTTTGCCAAGGAACCCAGGAATGATCCCATGAATAATTAGGGAAATGACCTAAAACCTGCTCTTTCCCAAAACATCTTAATATCTTACCCTTTCTCTTGCCTGCCTCAACCAAATGCCACTCAGGTCTCTGGCCTCTCCCTGGCAAACCTCTCATGGGTGACATGCATTTAGACATCAACTGACTTCACATAATACTCCTAAAAATGCCAAGCCCACTGGGTCAGACATGAACAATTTAAGAGAAGCCCAGTGAGTCTCATTCAGAAGTCTCCATTCTCTGCTGGAGCCTCCAATAAGCAGAGAGAAAAAGATGTCCCTCCTGGGACAAAGGCCAGCGCTTATCAAGGTACCAGTTGTACCTCCCCCACTCCAGCAAGCTCTTGCCATGAGCAAAAGAGAAACGAAGAATGGGGCAAAATGCAGGGGCCTACAGTTCTTTGCCAGAGCCTGGGGATGTAATATTGTTACTATAGTCTACCAAAAAATTCATTTCTTCTTTCCATCCACCAACCTACCAACCTACCCACCTACTCACCCATCCACCCATCCATCCATGCATCCTTTCTCTTCTATCCACCCTTCCTTCCATCCATTCATTAATCCATCCAACCATTCATCTACCCATGCATCCTCTCCCTTCTCTCCACCATCCTTCCATTCATACACTCATCCATTCATCCATCCATCCACCCATCTATCCATGCATCATTTCCCTTCTATCCACCCATCCTTTCATTCAACCAACCATTCATCCAACCATCTACCCATTTGTTCATCCTTCCATCCATCTATCCATGCATCCTTTCTCTTCTATCCACCTTTCCTTCCTTCCATTCATTTATCCATCCAACCATCCATCATTATCTTTCATTCATCCAACCACCCACCCAACCATTCACTCATCCATTCATGCATTCTTTCCCTTCTATCCACCTATCCTTTCATTCATTCATCCATCCATCAATCCACCCATCTACATCCATCTATCCAGTCATTCACCCACCTATTCATCCATGTATCCATCGACCCATACATCATTTCTCTTCTATTCACCCATCCTTCCATCCATTCATCCATTCATCCATCCAACCATCCATGCATTCATTCATCTATCGATGCATTCTTTCCCTTCTATCCACTCAATATTCCATCCACCTACCCATCCACCCATCCATCCAACCATCCATCCACGCATTCATTCACCCATCCATCCATCCATGTATTCTTTCCCTTCTATCCACCTATCCTTCCATCCATTCATTCATCTATTCACCTATCAATCCAACCATTCACTCATGCATCCCTTCCCTTCTATCCGTCTATCCATTCAGTTCTTTGGTTCACTCAGAAGTGATTCCTTCCCAAACGGTTTTGACAGCAGACTGGAAGCTCCCACAGCACCCCAGTCCTTGTAAGAGAATCACCCCAAATGTAGACATATCAACCTGCTCTACGTACTTGGGAGGTCAAGCTACAAATGATTCCAGAGGGCATTTTTAAACAATGATAAAAATGTAAGACTAGGCCCTGTGGCCTAGTCTTTTTTTTTTTTTCTTTATTTCAGAAAATCACGGAGTGTTTTTACATATCTCAGCAATAAAATGGTTGTTTGGAGTCTATGAATTTTGTTTCTATTCAGCCCAGCTCTTAGAAGGTTATCACAGTATCTGGAAAAGCCAGGTCTTCCTGGGGGCAGATTATTAGGAAAATGCTAAGATCTGCTCACAAACCTCATCTTCTTTGACCTCATCTTCACTGGGATCCCACCAATGCCTGAACTTCAGAGGGTAACATTCCATTCCTTCAAATGGAGCCACCTCACCAGCATCCACGTGGCCTCCTCACCACTCCCAGCATAGCAGCAGACTGAATAATTCTAGGGAGTGAAGATGTTAGTCACAATTTTCCCCCAGGAATACAACAATAATTCAAGCAAATTAGGGAGGCAGGCATCAGATGTTGCTGTGTATAGACTTTTTTTTTATTATTCTGAGGTCAGGTAACCAAACTTTGCACATCTTTTAACAAAACATCAGCATAAGTATCTGTCAGGTTGCCTCTTTAGTTTGGCCAGGCTAGACTTTGCAAGAGAATATTAAAATAAGGTGGCCTCTGTGACACCCCGTTCCTGACATCACCCCAGAGAAAAGAGTAGTCCATTTTGAGAGACGATAATTAGTCAAACAAACCCACAACAAACCTCATTTTTCATGAGTACACTCTCTCCCAAATGTAGCAAAATCGACGGGCCCAAATATTTTGACTATCTTCATCTCTCTTTCTGCAACTTGGATTGACTTCAAGAGTCTTTCAGAATTGATTTGATATAATGCTGCTATTTCATCATCGATTTCAGTTCCAGTGTAAAACAAGAAGTTTATGTCCACATTTAGAACATAAATGCTACCAAGCTGTCTAAATATTGTGCCTCACTGTCATGGTGAGACAATGAAGCATAAACACAGTTTGAATTGACCTCCAGTCACTTACAGTAAATGAAATTCACAGTTAGGTGAGGACTGGGCCCTCCTTTCATTACTAATACCATGTCCTCCGGCCAGGCAAACACCGGCAAACAACCTCTCTGTATTAAAAACCAAAGATGCCACACCAGGCATGGTGGTGCTAGCCTGTAATCCCAGCACTTTGGGAGGCTGAAGCAAGGGGATTGCTTGGGCCCAGAAGTTCAAGGCTGCAGTGAACTATGATCGCAACACTGCACTCCAGCCTGGGAGACAGAGTGAGACTCCATCTCTTAAATAAATGAACATATATATACACATATGTGTGTATACACTAAAAAAGTATATATATGTGTGTGTATTTATGTGTGTATAATGCTATTATACACATACGTGTATATGTGTACCCATACACACACACACACACACACACACACACACACATACTTTTTTTAAGCAAAGACATATGGGATCCTCCTTCAACAGGAGCCACCTGTGCCACTTCACTCTGAGGACAGTGGAGGGACAGAGAACACAGTAGTGTCCCCTCCCACACTAAGGCCCTGCAGGTTGGTCTTCCTACACCTTGGAATCTGGGATATTTCTCTCTGGTAACAAACATGCTTTCAACGAGAGCCAGTCAAGGTTGTCCAGGCCCATGAAGAGCCCTGGCCTCACCATCCATCAAGTTTCCTACAGGGAGAAAAGTTTTAACTGTGTATCCATCCATTTTCTTCCAGAAAAAGAAAATTATAAGGAGTAAGTTAAGTCTGAATAAGACACTTTGTTCACATTCAATGTGAAACCATTCAGCTCCACCATGGTAACACAAAAGCAGCCACAGACAGTACGTAAGGAAGTGGGTGTGGCTGCGTCACAATAAAACTTAATTTTGAAAAGCAGGCAGATTTGGTCTGTGGGCTGTAGTTTGCTAACCCCTGTGTTCAGGTAGTAGCAAAAGTGCTGAGAAATGGGCATTGTCAAAGAGACTCGAGTTCTAGAATATCCCTGATTTTAGAAAGACAGCGATTGGACATCCAGGCCGTGACTCGACAGAGAACTTCTCTTCTTGCTTAAAAAGGGATAAGTTCATGTCCTTTTCAGGGACATGGATGAAGCTGGAAACCATCATCCTCAGCAAACTAACACCGGAACAGAAAACCAAACCCCGCTTGTTCTCACTCATCAGTGGGAGTTGAACGATGAGAATACATGGACACAGGGAGGGGAACATCACACACCGGGGCCTGTCAGTGGGTGGGGGAAAAGCGGAGGGAGAGCATTAGGACAAATACCTAATGCACGTGGCTCCTAAAACCTAGATGACAGGTTGACAGGTGCAGCAAACCGCCATGGCACATGTATACCTATGTGACAAACCCGCATGTTCAGCACATGTATCCCAGAACTTAAAGTAAAATTAAAATTTAAAAAAGAGAGAGAGATCGGCCTTGCATCTCCTGATACACAATCAGGACATATCAACAAACATTTTTTAGTTTCTCCTGCAATTTGACCTCCTAACATTTTGCTTCACAATCTCGACAGTTAGAATCAAGCACTGAAACAAGGAAGATTCCACGAAAGGTCATTCCAGGAGGCCTTCTTGGGGCCGGAGATATTTTATAAATATTTATAAATATTAACTCATCGCCGTTTCCAAGGTGAGTGGGGCAGGTTGGTGCTGCACCATCACCAGGGACACTAGTAAAGGAATCAGGGGGCTGAGTATCAACTCACCTTCTTCCCAGTGGGGAAGGAATCACTTCTGAGTGAAGCAAAGAAATAGATGGGTAGGAGGAAAAGGATGCATGGATGGATGGTTGGATGGGTAGATGAATGGACTAATGAATGGATGGAAGGATAGGTGGCCATTCTCTGAAATGGCACAGATCTAAACCCAGGCGTGAGGGAGGCAGGCTCTTTGGAGAAGACAACTGGGATAACTAAGGGAAGAGCAGACACCTGGGCTGAGACGCTTCCCCAGGAAGTCTCTCCTTGCTGGTAGATCTGAGTTTTTCTCCCATAATTAAACACCTCAGCAGCTAATTGACTTCAGCAATTTTTAAGAAAAGCCTGGATTCAATTTCCACTCCCTTAAAATGCAATCTAGACAATTTATGAAAAGAAACCGAATATACTGCAGCAGTGAATAGATTTCCTCTTGCCATCACCTTCCTTAAAAGCACTTGGAGTAGTAAAAATATTCCTAAATCAAAGGGAATGCCATACTTAATAAAATGGAAGTTGGCATAATTAATTTAGCGGCTCCTTTAGTTATCATAAAGGACAGATAAAGAGACCTGTTCTAGCTGTCAGGGCTCTTGCTAGATGAATCCACAGCCAATGCTCCCTTCAAAAACGAGGAGGGTCAAGTGTCCAGAGAGACCTTCAGCCCCTGTGCAGAGCCTCCTGCTAGGGAGAAAATGTACAGGGCCCGAGCAGAGAGCACAGATATCGAAAACAGGGAGGCTCAGAGCGACGGCCCCTGCCAGGACTGAGAGACAGCAAGAATGACCAGCGTTTATGGAATCAAGTGTGAGGCTGGGGCGGAAGTTTCTAGAAGAGAAATAAAGAGTGTGAGAGAAGATCTGTAAACTGAAGAAGCTGAAGGCACTGGGGGGAGGCAGTTTGGGGTGAGGGTCCCTCCTTGGGAATCCCCACATATATGAAGGCTTTCTTATGAATGCAAATGAGCATGCACACACACAGCACACATGCAGATACACAGACACGCATACACAGAGACACAAATACGGACACACACCCCACACAAACATACAACTACATACATATGTACACACACAGAGGCACAAACACACAGGCAAGAAAAGACAGGCACAAGACATACAAACACACACACAGACGCACAGGCAGAGACACAGACACAAATAGACACACCTCAAAAACCACATGTACACACAGAAGCACACACAGACATGGAACAGGCAGAAATACATGCATTCAAAATACACACGTGTACACACCCTTTCATGCCAACATAACACATACATGCCACTCACATGCCATCAACACACACACCACTCACTTGCCACTCACACTCATACCACTCAACACACACATGCCACTCACATGCCACTAAACACACACGCCACTTACATGCTATCAACACACATGCCACTCACTTGCCACTCAACACACCTATGCCACTCACACACACGCCACTCAAACACACATGCCACTTACATACACATATGCCACTCACTTGCCACTCCACATGTGCCACTCACACATACACGCCACTCAAACACACACACGCCATGCAAACACACACGCCACTCAAACACACACACGCCATGCAAACACACACATGCCACTCACTTGCCACTCAACACACATGTGCCACTCACACCACATGCCACTCACATGCCATCAACACACACATGCCACTCACTTGCCACTCAACACACATACGCCACTCAACACACACATGCCATTCACATGCCACTCAACACACATATGCCACTCACATGGCAATCAACACACACGCCACTCAACACACACATGCCACTCAACACACACATGCCACTCACATGGCACTCAACACACACATGCCACTCACATGGCAATCAACACACACATGCCACTCACACACATGCCACTCAACACATACACACACTCAACATACACATGCCACTCAACACACACGTGCCACTCACACACATACTCAACACAGACATGCCACTCAACACACACATGCCACTTACATGGCAATCAACACACACGCCACTCAATACACACATTCCAGTCAACACACATGCCACGCAACACACGTCATTCACATGCCACTCAACACACACATGCCACTCACGTTATTCAACACACACATGCCACTCAACACACACATTCCAGTCAACACACACATGCCACTCAACACACATATGCCACTCACATGCCACTTAACACACACATGCCACTCGCACACATGCCACTAACATGTCACTCAACACGCACATGCCAGTCAACATACACATCACTCGGCTGAAGACAAATACATATTTGCTTCCAGGCCCACATCCCTTTCATGCACTGGCTCAAAGATCTCACAGAGTCTAGCATCACCATCCTATTTTTTATAACCACTTGCCACTAATATCCCAGACTCAGCTTTTTTCCCATAGTAATAACACCTTCTGATCTATTATGTAATTCACTAATGTATTGTAAAAATCTTTGTCTTTAATGTTCACGAATGGATTCCAAGGCCTGAGAACAATGCCTGACAGATGGGAAGCAATGAGGAGCACTTGAACAGATGAATGAAGAGCAGGTGGATCGGATGCCCACTGTGTGCTGAGTGCTGTCCCAGGCCTGGGAGATCAAAAGAGCCAGAACGGCAGGGTCAGGTGCCCACCACCTCCCTTCAACCCCTCTTTCTCTGTTTCCACAACAACCTTGTGTGATAAGAGACTCAGATACTTGATTCACCCATTCTACTGGCTGGCCCAAGACTACTCAGCTCAGTAACTGGCCGAACGAGGAGTCATAGCCAGGACTCTGACTTCGGGGCGGGGGGCTTCACACTTTAAGCCACTTTAGAAATATCGAGGAGAGGCGATCCCGCCCTGGAAACGCCCGGGCGCCGCACACACATTGCTGCAGTACTGAACACTTGTGATTCTCCATCTCCGCACGGTGGGCCTGACAAGCAGGAGCTGTTTCGGACGGAAGCAAAATCAAAGGCGAGGAGCCAAAATGAGTTTAAAAGCCTAAGTAGAAACATTTAGATGAATTATTCACCTGCTCATTCTCCTCTATTTTTCATATTCACCAGAGCAAGGTACATTGTTTAAAAATTTATTATGAGCGCAGAGAAGAATAAAATCCTAAATCTAGGAAACAGAAGACACTTGTGTTTTAGTCTAAGTATGGAGAGAGTCCTAGCCTCCAAGGGGCCACTGGGAGCCTGGGAGCGTGGGAACCCCCTCCCTGCAGCACAAGGTGGGCGCTAGGAGGTGGGCTGGTGGCTCCTCCCTCCACCAAGATGGGCTGAGCTTCCCCTCTTCTTAAAGCTCTGGAGGAAATCCGCTCTATGCCCAGGAGTCTTTTACTGGAGTCTCTCCTACTTTAATGTAACCTGATGTTACCTGCATTGCTTTTGGCCCACAGAGAAGCTACCCATCCCCCATCATAACATCCCTTTCCACTGTCACCTCCATTTAAAAGCCCTGTGGCTCTGGGCAGGTCACCTAACTTCTCTGAGCCCCAGTGTATTTCCCCAGCTTTGTCCTGGGCTTCTGAAACAATCAAATGGGAACAGGTCCAGGGGGCCCTCCTCAGTCATTGCTCAACTTTCCCGACAGGCAACCGACGCCTGTGCCCTTGGCCTCTCCGTGGAGAGCCCTGGTCCAGACCTTAGGCTGCTTTTCTGGGATGGCTACTTGCTGTGGTTTCCCCTGCTGTGCACACACACGCATGCACACACTCACACTCCCATGCACACCTATGCCCACATCCAAAACTATACACGCTCACACAGGCTCACACGTTTACACACACCGTATGCACAATCTCTCTGACAGTATCTTGTGTGCTCTAAGGTTCAGGAGTTGCTGCAGACTACCCCTCCAGAATTTGTAGCATCTGCCGGCACAGCCAGCTGTGAAGGTTTGCTGCATACCCCCCACCCCCCGCCCATCAGCACCAGCACGCCTACCAGACGTTTCTGCCTAACAGGTCTTAAAACCACGACATCTGCTTTCTGATTGTACCACATTTGCAAAGGCTTTCCTCCCTCTGGAGGGTAGACTGACCCTAAGACTAATCAGCTGGATTCTTGCCCAGCAGGGACAGGGGCTGGCTAGCAATCCAGAGAATCGCAGCTGCTTCATGGCCAGGCACAGGAAGGAAGGAGGAACCCAACTCCCTCTCGGCCACTGACTCCAGAAGTACTCCTAACAGGTGTTGGGGAGCAGGTGGCCAGCCCGCGTCACAGCCTCCAGCAGGATCGGTGGACAGCGGCACAGCTGGCCCGGAGGCTCCGGACCTGTGCCATTGGCCACTTCAGAACTATTGCACTTCCCAAAATGCAAGCCCTCCTTCCGTGGGAGGCAAGTACACTCTGGAATCCTCCCTGAGTTGGAAATCTCTCATAAGCAGCAGACGGGAGGCATCTGCTACAGCAGTGATGCTCCTAGACATTTTCCACATGTATTTGCCTTCGCCCAGCCGTGCAGAACTACTCAACACCCACCTCAATAAAGAAGGATCCCCAGGGCTAGGCATGGTGGCTCACGCCTGTAATCCCAGCACTTTGGGAGGCTGAAGTAGGCAGATCATGAGGTCAGGAAATGGAGACCATCCTGGCTAACACAGTGAAACCCCATCTCTACTAAAAATACAAAAAAATTAGTGGGGTGTCATGACACACACCTGTAGTCCCAGCTACTAGGGAGGCTGAGGTGGGAGAATCACCTGAACCCGGGAGGCAGAGCTTGCAGTGAGCCGAGATTGCACCACTTTTCTCCAGCCTGGGCGACAGAGCGAGACTCCATCTCAAAAAAAAAAAAAAGAAAGAAAAAAGAAGGAGCCCCAGGAGTCCTGGCAGGATCACCAGGACCAGAACCAGCCCCCATGAGGGAATTCCAATTCCACTAGCCTCCACTGGGTCAAAGAGGGTGGGGACACCTTTTCGTAGGTTTGAGTTGGGGAAGTTATAGTCTTTAAGTGAAAGCAGCCCAAAAAGAGGTCAATCATTGCACAACTCTAAGCAGACACATCACACAACTGTGAGTCTAGCCTGCCTCCCCAATACACAACCCCCATGCCATAAAATGAGCTCATTCAGCTGGACATGCCCTCCGGAGCCATTTTCAGATTGAGGTGGTATGGGGCATCAATCAGATCCACTAAAGACCTGAAACTCTGCTTCATCAACTCTGAATGTGAAATAAGATGAAAAGGAAGCAAGGAAAGAAACCAGCTCTAAAAATGAGCTAAAATCTTCCCTGGGAAAAATTACATGTGAGATTGGCCGAGAGCAAACTCAGACTTCAGAATGGTGTTGCCCACAGGGGATTGTACGTTCTTCGTCAGTTGGGATAATCTGGTAATACTTCAGATCACCAGAGCAGATGCCAAATTGAGGAACAGTTTACCCTGAATTCTGCAGAGCCCTCTGCTCTGATGCTTTTCTCACGCCCTGGCGTAGGCACCTAGAGGATCGACCAATAGTACACATTTACTCTTTCCATCAAAATTCCTCCCTGACATGCCCATATTAAAAGGATCAATATATCTAGCGTGGTGAAGAGAAGATACGCCGTGTGGTCAGACGGAGCTGGGTTCAAAGTCCAGCCCAGCTCTCCCTACCTGTGTAAATCTTATTGAGCCCTAGTTTCCTCATCTGTAAAACAGATACTAATGCCCACACCTAGTCCGGTTGTGATGGAAATTGAACAAAGCAATGTGAGAAAGCATGTATCACAGTGCCTGACCACCTAAGTGCCAAATAAATATTAATTACTTGAATGAAGACAGCACCCCCCACAGTTCCTCCATCTTCATTAACAATGATTATTGGAGAGGGGTGTTTTCTGGCTAATGGGACCCTCTGGCTAAGTGGACATACGTGGGTAATGAACACTGGCTGCCACAAGAAACAATGCCAGGATCTCAGTGGCTGAGCATGATCACAGTTTACACTCCTCTCATGCTATAGTCAATGTGGGCCAGGGGACCTTGTGGTTCTCCTCCAGTCGGTGACTCAGAACTCCAGGCTAGTACTATTCAGCCATAAGAAAGTATGAAATCCTGTCATTTGCAACAACATGGATGGAACTGGAGGTTATTGTGTTAAGTGAAATACACCAGGCACAGAAAGAGACGGAGGAGGAGGAGGAGGAGGAAGAGGAGGAGGAGGAGGACGAGGAGGATGAGGACGAGGACGAGGAGGAGGAGGAGGAGGATGAGGAGGAGGAGGAGGAGGACAAGGACGAGGAGGAGGACGAGGAGGAGGGAGGAAGGAGGAAGGAGAACAGAGAAGGAAGGAGGAGGAAGAGAAAAGGAAAAACAAACCAAAACAAAGACTGCTCTCAGGTAAGAGCCAGCATTTGCTACAGTTAAAAAAAGTCTGTTTTATCGTCATTAAGTTTTGTTGTTTTTTTTTTTACAAGTTACCTTCTATATTTGGAAAAGAAATATTTCTGGTATCTCATTTAGGACAATAATACATGTTCCTTTTGAAATAAATGTACTTAGCTAAAAAGCTGGGTCCCTTTAAATAATGATAAGAATCACATGATACAAGCAGTAAGAGGGTGAGGCTGAAACCACGGGAGGATGAGGAAGGACTAGGGTTTGGGCACAGCTGCCCTGAGGCGGGGGCTCCCTCTCCCCTCCCCTTCACCCTCAGGTGGGGGGCGGGACCCCGGGGAGCCTCGTTCATTCACACACTTTATGCCTCTGGCCACAAACATCCCTCCGAGGAAGCCCCCGCGCTCACTCCCACTCCCAGCGACACTGGCCGGCGTGGCTTTTGTCACACTCAAGTGCTAGGATCTGAGACTCAGGGTTGGGGTTTGGGGCGAAGAGGGAGCTGTCAGCCTGCTGACCACAGCAGTGGCTTTCAATGAAGCCTGGTTCCGCTTGTCTCTGCCTCCTCCAAGCCTCTCCCCGATGGCTTTGCAGGGGGCGGGTGGCAGGCTGGGCCAAGGCAGAAGGCAGGGCCTCCGGGCTCCCTGAGCAACACGGAGTCCTAAGAGCTCCCCATCCCCTGAACTTTCACACTGCGTGACCCGCCAGGTGTTAGACGCCTTCGTGCACATCTCCATTAAACATGGCCAGATTCTCCAGAATGCGTTCAGGCGGCCTAGGCGTGCTGGGAAAGGGGCCGGTTTGGTTGGCAAGTTGACCAGGAAAGAAGAAAGTTGAACCACATACCTCCTTCCTCTGCCAAGACCTTCTCTCCCCCGAGAGGTAGCCAGCACCAGCCACTCTAACCTATCAGAACCAGGGGAGTTGTTAACTCTGCCCAGGGGTGACCGATGCAGGGTGCCCACCTACACAGAAGCCACCCTTTATATTCAGTTGATGCAAAAGTCATTGCAGTTGTTGCCATTACTTCTAATGGGAAAAAAACACAATTACTTTTTTTTTTTTTTTTTTTGAGACGGAGTCTCGCTCTGTCGCCCAGGCTGGAGTGCAGTGGTGCGATCTCAGCTCACTGCAAACTCCACCTCCTGGGTTCCCGCCATTCTCCTGCCTCAGCCTCCTAAGTAGATGGGACTACAGGCGCCGGCCACCACGCCCAGCTAATTTTTTGTATTTTTAGTAGAGACAGGGTTTCACTGTGTTAGCCAGGATGGTCTCAATCTCCTGACCTCGTGATCCGCCTGCCTTGGCCTCCCAAAGTACAGGGATTATAGACGTGAGCCACCGCGCCCGGCCACACAATTACTTCTGCACTAACCTAATAGTACCTTCTCCCTTCTCTCCTGGGTAAGAGCAAATCCAGAAGCCCCAGGGCATGGGTTCCATGTGAAGGCAGCAAAATCAGCCGTCATCTCATAGGGTGTTTCCCCTATATCTTTAAGAGGAGTAGGAACTTCCTATATACACATCAGTAATAACAAATGTATCCCAAGCCTGGGAAAGGGGAACAAGCTGATCTCTTGCTTCCCTGATGCCCTTGCTGCTGGAGCATTTCCTAATAAGCCTGCCTCAGCAGCTGACCATCGTGGGGAGTGTAGTTTGTTTCCCTTGCCAGGGAAATGCCCAGTGGCTGAGAGCCTGGCTGTGCTGCTGCCTGGAAGGTTGAGGGTTTTAACCCACAGAAACTGGTAATGGCTAATGTTTTCATAGCCCAGTGGAAAAGATGTCCCCAAAGGTTACAGTCATATTGCCCTCTGAGCCATTAACCAGTTTTGAATCTAACTTAGCAAGTTCGATTCCAGCATGCCTTTCCCAACTGACTTATAAACCCATGGACTTGCTCATCAAACCAGCTATTTTTAACTTCCTGCTGGTTCATTAATTCACTGGTTAGTGAATTAAACTTTAACGTGCTCTCGCTATTTATTTGCAGGAGACTTTTGTTTTAAGCAACATATTGATGTAAACCATTACTCCCAGGACAGTTCCCTTAACATTAGCTATAGGTTGGTGCAAAAGTAATTGCGGTTTTTGCCATTGAAAGTAATGGCAAAAACCGCAATTACTTTTGCACCAATCTAATACAAATGATAATTAATAAACAAAAATCAACATTTATTAAATGCTTATTCTGCACCAGATAATGTGCTAGAGGCTTTATAAGCATTACCTACTTTAATCCTCATAATAGTCCTGTAAAGTGTGTAATATAATTACAACCATTTTACAGAAGAAAAATTAGGCATAGAAAGGAAGTATCTTGCCCAATGCCATACGTTCAGGAGTGACAGACTAGGACTGAAAATCAGGCAACATGCTATCCTCTGCCCCTGAAGAGACTCAGATGTACTCAACCCAATGCAAGTAGCAGAATCTCATATCCCGTTGTCAAACCACAGAAGGATGCAACAGATCAGAGAAACTCCAAGAAGCAGAGGACAAATCGAGCTCCAAGCAGTAGCCACAGAGGTTGACGCCAGCCACCACTTAACCAACTCTCTCAGGATCAGCTGCAAGATATAGAGGCCAGCACTCCCCTTCTCCAACAAGGGGGAGACTAGGGGAACATGTGGGGAGTTCATGCTGCCCTTAGGACAGTGGCAGTGTCCAGAGAATTACTGGGTGTGTGGACATGGGGGATTCCTGGTGTGTGGACACAGGGCATTACTGGTGCGTGGACAGAGGGGATTACTGGTACGTGGACATGGGATTCCTGGTGTGTGGATACGGGGGATTACTGGTGTGTGGACAGAGGGGATTACTGGTGTGTGGACACAGGGGTTTACTGGCGCGTGGACAGAGGGGATTACTGGTGTGTGGACAGAGGGGATTACTGGTGTGTGGATACAGGGAATTACTGGTGCATGGACATGGGATTCCTGGTGTGTGGATACGGGGGATTACTGGTGTGTGGACACGGGATTACTGGTGCGTGGACACAGGGGATTACTGGTGTGTGGATACGGGGGATTACTGGTGTGTGGACATGGGGGATTACCGGTGTGTGGACATGGGGGATTACCAGTGTGTGGATACGGGGGATTCCTGGTGTGTGAATACGGGGGATTACTGGTGTGTGGATACGGGAGATTCCTGGTGTGTGGATACAGGGGATTACTGGTGTGTGGATACAGGGGATTACTGGTGTGTGGACACAGGGGATTACTGGTGTGTGGATACGGGGGATTCCTGGTGTGTGGATACGGGGGATTCCTGGTGTGTGGATACGGGGGATTCCTGGTGTGTGGATACGGGAGATTCCTGGTGTGTGGATACGGGGGATTCCTGGTGTGTGGATACGGGAGATTCCTGGTGTGTGGATACGGGGGATTACTGGTGTGTGGATACGGGAGATTCCTGGTGTGTGGATACAGGGGATTACTGGTGTGTGGATACAGGGGATTGCTGGTGTGTGGACAGAGGGGATTACTGGTGTGTGGACAGAGGGGATCACTGGTGTGTGGATACAGGGGATTACTGGTATGTGGATACAGGGGATTACTGGTGTGTGGACAGAGGGGATTACTGGTGTGTGGACAAAGGGGATTAGTGGGTGTGTGGATACAGGTGATTACTGGGTATGTGAATACAGGGGATTACTGGGTATCTGAATACAGAGGATTCCTGGTGTGTGGACACGGGGGATTACTGGTGTGTGGATACAGGGGATTCCTGGTGTGTGGACACAGGGGATTACTGGTGTGTGGACACAGGGGATTCCTGGGTATGTGGACACAGGGGATTACTGGTGTGTGGATACAGGGGATTACTGGCCCTCTCCATCTGCTCCACCGTCTTCATTCGAGTGTCTTCCTGGACCAGGTAAGCTGGAAATCCTAAAAGCTTCATTTCCCAGAATGTCTTGCACTGCAGTTCCACATGGGATGGGGTGTCTGTCCTCCAGCCAAGTGAACCTGTGTGGGAACTAGGCTGGGTGGCAGGTGGCGGCACTTCTGGCTCCGGGCAGCTTCCTGACCTTCACAGGTAGCAGCTCCCTCATCTGTCCAGCTCCACAGAACTGCTTTGAAAATCTTTCCTGGAAACCCAGCCTCAAGTTTGTTTCTTTGGGCCTCCCAATGACTCCTTAGGCCATGCAATACCCTACAATGAGTCCCTGTGGACTTCACTGAGAATAAATTCATTTCTAGTCCACTGAAATGTGCAGTTTCACAGAAACTGGCACCAGGGCTGCTCATGGGCAACACACTGAGGCGGTGGAGGCTGGGACTGGTTATCTGCTTGACCAGACCTGAAGGGACTACAGGCATCCAAGGATGGAACTGGGGGTTTACTCATATAGAGAGGTGAAGCAGTCACCTGGGCTTTTGTTACAGTAGGTAGCTAGCCAGACATGAGCAGGGCAGGAGATGGCTCCCCTCACCCCCCAACACCCCAGGAATATCAGGTGACCATCAGGTGATGGTCAGGCAGTTGTTAACTGTCCCTTCGAAAATAATCACTGGTCTCAGCCAACATCAGGGAAACACAATCTCCCAGTAGACAGGAAAAACCTGAAACAGGTAGCTTCCTGATAAGATCTCAGGAGTTGGGCAAGTGGGGGCTCAAGCATAAGCACTGATATGGTTTGGTTGTGTCCTCACTCAAATCTCATCTTGAATTATAACTCCCACAAGTCCCATGTGTGGTGGGAGGGACCCAGTGGGAGTTAATTGAATCATGGGGACAGGTCTTTCTCATGCTGTTCTCTGAATAGTGAATAAGTCTCATGATATCTGATGGTTTAAAAAAAAAGGAGTTCCCCTGCACAAACTCACAAACTCTCTCTCTGCCTGCTGCCAGCCATGTAAGAGGTGACTTGCTCCTCCTTGCCTTCCGCCATGATCGTGAGGCCTCCCCAGCCATGTGGAACTGTAAGTCCAAAACTCTTTCTTTTGTACATTGCCCAGTCTCAGGTATGTCTTTTTCAACAGCGTGAAAACAGACTAATACATGCACTAAGGGGCAAAATGGTGGCGTTTAACTGGTATATGACCTTCCTCTAGGAACACTCGACTGTAAGGAAAGAACGCCTCAAGCGAGCATGCGCACAACTCCAGTAAACACACTGTGCGTGCTCCCCTCCCGAGCACTGGCAGCCACTGCGCATGTGCACGGCCCACTCCAAGGAAATAGTCAGGGGAGAAGGGACACAAGACCCTGAACACCTGCTGACATAAAAAACCCCAAGTCAAAACGTCAGACCACGCACTTGATCTTTCAAGTCACCCGCTTGGCCTTCTTCCAAGTGTACGTTCCTTCCTTTCATTCCTGCTCTAAAGCTTTTTAATGAACTCTCACTCCTGCTCTAAAACTTCCTCATTCTCTCCTTCTGCCTTATCCCCCTTCAGTTGAATTCTTTCTGCTGAGGAGGCCAGAATTGTGGTTGCTGCAGACCTATACGGATTCACCACCAGGAACAATTTCAGAGCAGCAGCACCTGCCAGAGGCCAGGGGGACGGTGGCCTGGTGAGCAGCCCAGTCCAAACGCTCATCAGAATGACCAAGCTCAGGGAACTTTAGCAGCCATCAATCAGTCATGGAGCCCCTGGGCCTGAAATAGGTGGGCAGCCCTTTATGGTCCTGCTCAATGTGTACAACTTAAAAAAAAAAAAATCCTCCAGGCCTGGAGAGCAGACGCCTGGCGTGAGACACCACAGTGAAGTCCCAACTCCTCACCCAATTCCGAGATGCGAGTCAGTGTGTGAAGCCTGGGCCCTCAGAATAAACAGGTGCCGGGTTCCCTGGGTTCCCTTGGGATCCACCCTAGGATGCCACCTGTATCTGCTTGCTACTGCATGCACGCCCACATTTAGCAGCTGGAAACAACAGTCATTTATTATTGCTCACACATCTGTAGGTCAGCAGGTAGTTCTGCTCACCGGGCCAGCTCAGCCAATCCTGGCTGGCCTCTCTCACATGCTCTGGAGCCACCGCCAGGCTGTGTCTGCCCCACATGGTCCCGTCCTCCAGCAGGGCTGGCCTGGCTTGTTCTTATGGAGCAAGTGGGGATCCAGGAGAAAGAACAGGTGCAGGCAAGGCTCTTGAGGCTCAGGCTCAGAACTGGCATGATGTCACTTACACTGCATTCCTTGGATCAGATGAGTCCCCAGGCAGCCCCAGATTCAAGGGAAAACAGACTCCACCTCTTGAGGGCAGAAGCTACAAGGTCACCTTACACAAGGTGTGTGGAGACAGGGAGAAGCAGTGGCCCTTTTTGCAAACAGCCTCCTGCAGCACCGCAGGTGTGGCAGTCAGCCTTGCTCCTCGCTGTCCTCCGAGGGACCCATGGCCCCTGCTAGTGAGCTGCCCCCTGCTAGTGAGCTGCCCCCAGGGGAGGGAATGCCCAGACCTTTGGAGATTGTTAGACCCTGGCTGTGCGCTGACGCTGATCCCTGAGACTCCGGATCCACCATGGGCTTGTCAGATGGAGACTGTAGAGGCCAGATGATGTTGGAACGTGAGCCTGAGTTTCTCACAGCAAAGCCAGTGGGCTCCCGAACTCACATGGGGTCATCGCTGCAGTTCCTAAGCGCCTGGTTGTAAGACACAGGCTCCAAGACTGACAGAATCCTACACCAGCCTAACCCATGCAAGCGTCATTATGATGGAAAGGAGCAAGTAGAAGTCTCTGGAACTACCCATTCCTACCACATTGGTAAATAAAAGCAACCCAGCCTCCCCCGGGGAGATCAAGGTCTCAGTGTCACTTCAGATTTGGGAGACTAGAACTTTTCTGCCACACGAATGCAAGAGGCAGATGGGTCTTGGGGAGTGTCTGGGATCATTACAAATGGACTCAGGTGGTGGCTCCAATGGGAGCCCCTGCTGCATGTGCGGGTCTCTTGCTGGAGCACCCGGCACTCGGCGATGGAGCTGGCAGGTGCTTTTCCCCTGTCACATTTAGAGACACTTTGCTTAACCCTGACAAAGGCAGCCAGGCAATCCCATACTCGCACTCTATAGCTGTGTCAGCTCTATCTAGGAGTCCTAATTCCACCTATAGGGACCTTCATCACCCCAGCAAACCATGTGGCAGTGTGCTGCTCCACCACATGGAAGACCCCAAAGTGAGAGGATCTCAGAGCACGAAGTCTCGGGCAGACATACGGAAACCTTGGCAAGACCCAAGTGCGCCAGAGGGTGGGAAGCAAACTTGAAAATTCAGGGGCCTGCCAGGACACGCCTGTAATCCCAGCACTTTAGGAGGCCAAGGCGGGCGGATCACTTGAGGCCAGCCTGGCCAACATGGTGAAACCCCATCTCTACTAAAAATACAAAAATTAGCTGAGCATGGTGGCATGCGCCTGTAGTCCCAGCTCCTCCGGAGGCTGAGGCAGGAGAATCGCTAGGACCTGGGAAGCAGAGGCTGCAGTGAGCCGAGATGGTGCCACTGCACTCTAGCCTGGGTGACGGAGTGAAACCGTGAGAAAGAAAGAAAGGAAAGAAAGGAAAGAAAGAGAGAGAGAGAGAGAGGGAGGGAGGGAGGGAGGGAGGGAGGGAGGGAAGGAGGGAAGGAAGGAAGGAAGGAAGGAAGGAAGGAAGGAAGGAAGGAGAGAGAGAAAGAAAAGAAAGAAAGAAAGGGAGAGGGAAGGAAGGAAGGAAGGAAAGCAGGAAAGAAAATTCAGCAGCCTGATCTGGGGTATGGTAGGATGTAGGATTTACTCTCCAGAAAACAAAAATAAAAGTTGCTACATCTTGCAACTCGTCACTAAAAGAGAGGCACAGGCTCCCACCCCTTCATCAAGGAACCCCTAAGCCTGCCTACTCTGTGGGCACCCGAGCAGGAGGCTCACTGGCCAACCTGGGCTGCAGCAGATGCCGCTTGGCTTCTGGGCACTTATCCCTGACACCCCGCAGGGCTCACAGCATCTGGACAGATGGGGAAACTGCAGACAGCCTGTGACAAGTTGCAATGGAAGAATCACCGTGCAGTTCCCTTGGGTTTTGAAGCAAAGCCACAGTCTCTTCAGCAAACAACTATTTCCTTTAAAGACACAGTTCAGGAGTTGCTTCTGGACCTGATGGAGAATGTGCTACTAGTCATAGATCCCTAAGGGATACCAAGGGGCCAGGCATAAGTGGACAGGAGATGCTCTGCCAGGCCAAGCCCGGAGCTACGCCAAGCAGCAGCGCTTCCCTCCCCCAACTCCCATCTAAGATGCACGCAAGAAACCGGGTCCAAGCAGGCCCTGAAAACATAGGTAATCGCACCAGCAGGGGACTTGCACCCCAGGCACCTACTGCAGTGGCCCAGCCACCCCTCTGTCCACCCCCCGATCATCCATCTCTTGGGGTTCCCTCTGACCCACTCACTGGGGAAGAAGGAAGTTGAGCCTGGTTTGTGGGCTGTGTACAATATGCTGGCCCCAGCCATAAGCAGCTGCTGCTGTATCACAGCCCCCACCCTGGGGAGGCCTTGATTTAGACTGGAAAAGGCAAATTCTCCCAGTAGGCAGAACTTCAAATGGCACAGCTGATTTTCCACTGGGGTCTGGAAGGAGAGATGGGGACACATATGCAAACGGGAGGCTTGTCTAAAGGTCTGGCCCAGCGGTACCGCTCGGGAAGAACAGGACTGGAGGCTGGGGATGGGCCTCCCAGGACGGGCCAAGCATGTGAGGACATCTGGCCCCCCCAACAGAGGAGGCTCTTGGTAGCTGGTGGACAAGCTGACCCACTCTGAGGAGGCTGAGGAGCCTCTTTCCTTAGCCACTCCACTGAGTGCTCAGTGAGTTCATGGACACAGTGGCATGAGGCTGAGACAGAGATCATGGTGTGAGCTCAGCAACCACTCTCCCCTCCCCAGAGCAGGTCTGGCCACCACCCTGGCCACACACAGGAGAAACAGAAGCAGATCCCCCACAAGGGTGCCTGCCTGCCCTGAGAGCCGGCCTCTTTCGATCCAGGGGAGTGAGCCGACTGGCCTCATTGGAACGCACGTTGACTTTGAGTGCGGCTCTGCCCTCCGTCCTCACCATGCTTCTGCCCGTCTGCGGAACTGCAGACTGTTTTCTTCCATGGCACCTCAAACAACATTGCTCCCGGCAAAGAAATTCACTTTCCAGACAAAGAAGGGTGGCCGCGGGGTGAGGCATGGAATTCACTGGTCTTGCCATGCACTCATCACCCGGAATGGCAGAAGGACCATGAAGACTCCACTGTGGTACTGGATGGGAGCCAGTCGCACATGGAGTGGAGAACTGTGTTATTCACATGGTAGACCCTCTGAGCCACACACGCCACGCCATGCTCTTTCTCCCACAGGCAGAAACGCGGGTCAGGGGAACAAGTGATGCTGTCCCTAAGGACTGATTGCAAAATTTCTAATTCTTGCTTCCCATCCCCACAACTTTAGAGAGAAGACACAACCATGGTACTGTAAATCAAAAATAAAATTCTAGGCTGGGCGTGGTGGCTCACACCTGTAATCCCAGCACTTTGGGAGGCCGAGGTGGGTGAGTCACCTGAGGTCAGGAGTTCGAGACCAGCCTGGCCAACATGGTGAAACCCCGTCTCTACTAAAAATACAAAAATTAGCCAGGTGTTGTGGCGGGCGCCTGTGGTCCCAGCTACTTGGGAGGCTGAGACAGCAGAATCACTTGAACCCAGGAGGCAGAGGTTGCAGTGAGCCAAGATTGTGTCATTACACTCCAATCTTGGCAACAAGAGCAAAACTCCATCTCAAAAATTAACATAAAATAAAATAATTCTAAGGCCCCCAACCATCTGAATGGACCCCTCCTCTCGGCCAAGGGCACTCCAAAGTCAACTGAAAAACCAGTTTCAGGCCACGATGGGAAGGGGAGCTGGACACGCCTCATTATCACCTTCTCACTCTTGGAATTACTGAGAGAACAGACTCTTTAAGTCTGATAAGAAACACTTACAGTCTATTCTCTGTGAAGCCTGCTACCCGGAGCTTTCATCTGCATGATAAAACCTTGGCATTGGCCGGACGCAGTGGCTCACATCTGTAATCCTAGCACTTTGGGAGGCCGAGGTGGGTGGATCACCTAAGATCAGGAGTTCAAGACCAGCCTGGCCAACATGGTAAAACCGTCTCACTAAAATACAAAAATTAGCCGGGCATGATGGTGGGTGCCTATAATCCCAGCTACTCGGGAGGCTGAGATGTGAGAACCACTTGAACCCAGGAGACAGTGGCTGCAGTGAGCCAAGATCACGCCACTGCACTCCAGCCTGGGCAGCTGAGCAAGACTCTGTCTCAAAAAAAAAAAAAAAAAAAAAATCGTTGGTGTCCAAAACCCCTTATTGTAACCCAGGACATTCATTTCTATTGATAATATAATAACTCTGTCAACCAATTGCCAATCAGAAAATCTTTGAATCTGCCTACTTGGAAGGTCCCACCCCATTCCAGTTGCCCCGTCTTTCTGGACTGAACCGATGTACATCTTACATGTATTGATTGATGTCTCATGTCTCCCGAAAATGTATAAAAGCAAGCAATGACTTTCTTCACAGAATTGGAAAAAAACTACTTTAAAGTTCATATGGAACCAAAAAAGAGCCCACATCGCCAAGTCAATCCTAAGCCAAAAGAACAAAGCTGGAGGCATCACGCTACCTGACTTCAAACTATACTACAAGGCTACAGTAACCAAAACAGCATGGTACTGGTACCAAAACAGAGATATAGATCAATGGAACAGAACAGAGCCCTCAGAAATAATGCCGCTTATCTACAACTATCTGATCTTTGACAAACCTGACAAAAACAAGCAATGGGGAAAGGATTCCCTGTTTAATAAATGGTACTGGGAAAACTGGCTAGCCATATGTAGAAAGCTGAAACTGGATCCCTTCCTTACACTTTATAAAAAATTAATTCAAGATGGATTAAAGACTTAAACTTTAGACCCAAAACCATAAAAACCCTAGAAGAAAACCTAGGCATTACCATTCAGGACATAGGCATGGGCAAGGACTTCATGTCTAAAACATGAAAAGCAATGGCAACAAAAGCCAAAATTGACAAATGGGATCTAATTAAACTAAAGAGCTTCTGCACAGCAAAAGAAACTACCATCAGAGTGAACAGGCAACCTACAAAATGTGAGAAAATTTTCACAACCTACTCATCTGACAAAGGGCTAATATCCAGAATCTACAATGAACTCAAACAAATTTACAAGAAAAAAACAACCCCATCAAAAAGTGGGTGAAGGACATGAACAGACACTTCTCAAAAGAAAGCATTTATGCAGCCAAAAAACACACGAAAAAATGCTCACCATCACTGGCCATCAGAAACATGCAAATCAAAACCACAATGAGATACCATCTCACACCAGTGAGAATGGCAATCATTAAAAAGTCAGGAAACAACAGGTGCTGGAGAGGATGTGGAGAAATAGGAACACTTTTACACTGTTGGTGGGACTGTAAACTAGTTCAACCATTGTGGAAGTCAGTGTGGCGATTCCTCAGGGATCTAGAACTAGAAATACCATTTGATCCAGCCATCCCATTACTGGGTATATACCCAAAGGACTATAAATCATGCTGCTATAAAGACACATACACACGTATGTTTATTGTGGCACTATTCACAATAGCAAAGACTTGGAACCAACCCAAATGTCCAACAATGATAGACTGGATTAAGAAAATGTGGCATATATACACCATGGAATACTATGCAGCCATAAAAAATGATGAGTTCATGTCCTTTGTAGGGACATGGATGAAATTGGAAATCATCATTCTCAGTAAACTATCGCAAGAGCAAAAAACCAAACACCGCATGTTCTCACTCATAGGTGGGAATTGAACAATGAGAACACATGGACACAGGAAGGGGAACATCACACTCTGGGGACTGTTGTGGGGTGGGCGGAGGGGGAAGGGACAGCATTAGGAGATATACCTAATGCTAAATGACGAGTTAATGGGTGCAGCACACCAGCATGGCACATGTATACATATGTAACTAACCTGCACATTGTGCACATGTACCCTAAAACTTAAAGTATAATAATAATAAAATAAAATAAAATAAAAATAAATAAAAGCAAGCAATCCATGCCCCGAACACCTTGGGCACATGTCAGGCCTTCCTGAGGATGTGTCATGGGCGTGTCCTTAGCCTTGGCAAAATAAACTTTCTAAATTGATCGAGACCTGTCTCAGATACTTCTGGGTTCACAGTACCATGCTGGCTGGGTAATAGATGGTGAATATCAAGGGGAAATGGGGCTGCTGCCACTCAATGGACATGGAGGGGGTGTTCTGGGGCCCACGCAATTTTGGAGGCTGCTTCTTTTCATTGTAGTATTTTGTGTCAGTTTTGATGAAAGTCTACAGTAACCCCCCACAAGCAGGATCATGAAGAGCTCATACCCAGCAGGGGTAAAAGTGTGAGTCAATCATCTGCCAGGTTACAAACTCGGACCAGCTGAAGTGTTAACTTGAGGACAAAGATGACGGAATAATCAGTGGAAGAGAGAAAGTTCCAAACACCAGTGGATGGCCCGCTGCCAGGTAAATACATAAGGAATCTATATTGGATTTCCTTCCCGCCCCCACCTTTCCCTACTACTTTAAATCGGGTGTGCAGTAGGTGGTTGGTTTTAGAATCTGGGTCATAGTGATTGATGATATTTCGGGCCCTTCCTTTCAGGGAAGGATGAGGACAATTGTGCCTCTCTGAGGGATGGTTGTACTATATTAGGCAGGAGAGCTTGTTGCTAATGTGATTGTTTACAAGTTGAAGTCTGGGGAGGAGGGGGTGTGGGGGAAATTGACCGGCAAAGGGTGGCCTGTGAAGGGCACCCTGCCTCGGTGGGCCTGGTAACGACTCCAGCCTCCTGGGACACCATCTTACTCTGTCGAGGCTGGTGGTAAAACCGCATCTCCCAGGCGCCCCTGCAGCTCAGGCTCCAGCTGTGCTTGAGGCTTCACCGTCAACAGAATGCACCCCTGCGAGGCCCGAGGAAAGCGGGAGGAGAAGAGGGAAATCCACTTTGCTCAGAGCAGAGGCATCTGTGGTTCCAGAGCCTGCGGCTGTAGCGGGGCCTTCCCCTGTTTAACAGAAACGACTTTCTGACCATTCCTAGAAGCTCAGACTGGAGTTTGTTTCACCCTCCCAATAGTTTACAAGCCATTTAATGTCCTATCATAAACTCCTTTCTGCAAAATGTCTAGAATGAAATCTGTTCTCTGCAAGCGACCCCGACCAATCTACCGAGAACTTTCTGCAGGAACTTACAGCTTGAAAATCTAAGGGTTGAGTTCCATTCAGTGATCATAGATTTAGGGATCGTGAAAGAGGAAGCAATAAAAACAGATTTAGATAATTTAACTCCCATTTCCCTACTTAGGATTCCTTTCTTTGGGTTCTCTACGTATATTTCAATCGTAATTCATGAGTTTAAACGAAAAAAGTAATCTTCAGACTAAAAAAACTTAAAAACAAATTTAAGCTTGAGCTCTTGAGCTACAAGGTTCCTGGATATGGGATTCACAAGCCAAACCAACTTGAAATTGGGAACAACAGGCTTTCCCTGCCCTCCTCCCAACCACCCAAACTCCCCAGCACCAACTGCAGGTGCCATGGAACCTACCTGCCCTGAACCAGGCCTCACCGACACCCTGATCTCTAGGCTCCCCCTCTAACCCTGCCTAGACGGTCACCAGGCTGGGCAGGAACACCAGCCCCAGAGCAAGAACAGAAGCTGTGGAGGCCGCTTTGGAACACGAAGGGTAATTCTCTCAACATCCCAAGGCTCTTTCCTCCAAATGACAGTGATTTTATACAGGCTGGCTTAAGGACTCTTCTTAGTTGGCTGGAAACACAACCCAAACTTGCTCGAGCGTGCCAGGGGACATTTTTGGCTCGTGTAACTGACAATTCCAGGACAGGCCTAAGACAGCTGGTCCCTGGCACTCAAACGATGTCACTGGGACTCAGTTTCTCCATTGTTCCACTCTGCCCTCCCCCCACTGCTGGCTTTCTTCCCAGTCAGGCTCACCGCTCTAGACCGCCCCTGATGCTGGAGGTTGTGTTCTCACAGCTTTAGGGCCAGAACAAAGAGATTTTCTCTTCCACACAGTTCTAAGCAAAACTCCCAGGACAAGACACTCCTTAGATCAACCTGGGTCACACATTTACCTCTGATTGGCCAGGCCCAGGTGCTGGAGCGGTCACGAGGCAGGGAGGGGCTGTCCAGGCCATAAGACCCACGTGAACTGAGAGTGGAGGGGGGGTTCTCCCCACCTAAAGGAGATGAGAAAACAGAGTCGTTATTACCAGAAGGGGTATCAGACACCTGATAAAAAAACAGAGGAGCCCTCACTGGCTGTGGCGAGCAAGCCCTGCTTCCGAAGGGGCTGCCAGAAACCAGAGCTCCGCGAAGTCCAGGCAGAGCGACAAGGGGACGGCAGGAACCCTAAAAAACAAACAGGGCTGGGAGGCTGCTGGGAGCGGGGCTGCGCCGTTCACAGCCAAGCACTCCTTGGTTCGTAGTCCCAGCTCTTTAAGCAGCTGTAGAGAAATCACTCCACCATTTACAAGACCAAAGAACTCTACAGCGTTCAGCTGCTCAAAATCAGCACCACAGAGCCCACTCAGCTGTTAAAAATCTACAGATGGGCACCATGGTCCCCCAGCAGGGAGAAGAAGAAATTGCGTCATCCTTCTCAGGCAGAGATGATCTTCCTGACCTGCGGGGAGGAGGGCCGCCTTTTCGGCTTCTTTTGCCAGGAGTGGGGATGGCTGAGTGCTCAGTCATCCACATACACCCATCTATTCCATCCTGGTCATGCAGCTTAAGTGTGAGAGCCCAGAAGAAGCACCCAGCACAGGGCAGCCCACACCTCTGGGGGTCTTCTCCATGCTTGGTGTTGGAAGGTGGTGTCACCCGCTTCTCAGGAGTCCCTTGAGGGGTATCTCAGAAGTTCCCACAAGTCAGTCCCTGGGGTAAGAGAAATTGCAACGGAAATGCCTAGGTCAGGCTGCTTGCAGAAATCCTTTAGCAAGTTATCTTGTCCTGTGAGAAATCATCTTTTTGTTTTGTTTTGTTTTGAGATGGAGTCTCACTCTGTCACCCAGGCTAGAGTGCAGTGGCATGATCCTGGCTCACTGCAACCTCCACCTCCCAGGTTCAAGCAATTCTCCTACTTCAGCCTCCTGAGGAGCTGGGATTACAAGCACGCGCTACCACGCCCAGCTAATTTTGTATTTTTGGTAGAGACGGGGTTTCACCATGTTGGCCAGGCTGGTCACGAACTCCTGACCTCAGGTGATCTGCCCACTTCGGCTCCCCCAAAGTATTGGGATTACAGGCATGAGCGACCGTGCCCAGCCACACCTTATTTGTCTTTGTGGTTAGCATTTATTTTCCCAAGTGGAACCTCAGTTTATTATAAAAACCGCCATTACCAAAAAACATTGCCTTTTGTCTACTACAAAAGACTTTTATGCCATTTGAAGCTCAGAAATCCTATCAGATAGAAGGTGGCAGTGGTAGTCGTGGTGACTGATGTGTAATAGGTAGGGTTGGGAGACCAGGTAGTGACTGTGCCGAGGGTGTGGTGGTGGTAATGACTGGGGAGGTAGTGATGAGGAATGGGAATTATGGTGGTGGCAACATGGTGTCAGTGGTGGATAGTCATGGCAGTGGGAGGTGATGATGGTGCTGGTAGTGATGGGTGATGATGATGGTGGTGGCTGATGTCAGAAGTGTGGTGATGGTGGTAATTATGGTGATGGTGGTGACGGTGATAGTGGTGATGATGGTGATAGTGATGACGGTGGTGGTGGTGATGGTAGTGGTGATGATGATAGTGATGGTGGTGGTGATGATGATAGTGATGGTGGTGGTGATGGTGATAGTGATGATGGTGGTCATGATGGTGATGATTATGTTGGTGGTGGTGATGGTGGTGATGGTGATGGTGGTGATGGTGATGGTGATGGTGGTAGTGATGATGGTGATGGTGATGGTGGTAATGATGGTGATAGCGGTGATGATGGTGATGATGGTGACAGGGATGGGCTCTTAGGCCAGGAGGAGTTAGAGGGATGTAAGCCATGTAGCCCGTGAGACAAAATCAGGGAATTCAACATGGAAAACATAAAGCCAAACCCAAGGCTGAAAGGAACATCTCCCAATACCAGGATGGAAAGGAATCAAAGCTTGCTCAACTACCCCATTTCCCAGATGACAAGACCAGGTCTGAAAAGAAAAGGCCACTGTTCCAAGGTCACCAGCCTGCAGCAGAGCACAGGCCCAAAGCCTCCCAGATCCTAGTGAGGAGTAAATCACCAGTCTCAGAATCCAGGGCTGGGAGAGAACTCTCCATGAGGAGCCTGGTACCAGTCCCATGCCAGGCCAGAGGAGGGCTTCCATTCCTGTGTGCCAATGCCTGTCGACTCACAGAAAACCTTCTGTGGGCATCCTAGCAGAGATCAGAAGTCTGGGAGGACAGCAAGCGTGCAGCCAGCAGAGCACCTGGCTCAGCTCTTCCTCCAGGGAAGGCTGAAGGGTCCCCAAGGCCCCGGGAAAGTTACCCTGCAGGAGGCAAGGCAACTGGAGGATTGAGCCTTCCCAGCCAACTGCAGGTACCATTTCAGGGTAGAGCAACGGAGAGGGTCGGACTCAGACTACCCAGGTCTGGGCCAGGCCAACAGCTGGACCACAGCTATGAACCCCATGCGCCGGCCTGCCCACCCATCATGACTCCCACCCCAGCCACAGAAAGGTCCTGGGCTCTCCCACAGTGTCCGCAAAAGCAGGGCTCCAAGTGAGAAGAGAAGCCGGAGGCTGGAAGAAAAGCCAAAGCTGCTGGGTCCCCAGCCAGGCCTGCCCACTCCCTCCCTGTCCCCCAGACCTCTCCCCTGAGGGTCTCCAGGCCTCTCTAGTCCTCTTGTCATTGAGGAAGGCCAAGACCAGGGACCTCTAGGAGACTCTGCGGCAGACTTGCCTGGCCAGTGGAGCATCTGGACAAGAGAGGTCTGCTCCCCCTCCCCTCCCTCCACCCCTCCCTCGCTGGCCCAGGAGGCGGCAGAGCCTGTGCTTGCCTGGGCCCTGGCGTGAGCCAACAGCGCCACCATCAGCTGCCAGCCGGGAAGTCCTCCCACTCCACCAAGAGCCATGCGCTGAACAGAGACTGAGACGGGACAGGTGGCCCCTGCCTCTGGGAACCACAGGCCTAACAAAGGGCACCTTCTGGAGCATGCCACAGGGCTCGGCAGGAGCCTAGAAGCTTCCATCAGTCTTCTTCCTCCACAGGAGCGCTCAGGCTGAAAAGGGGGTCTGAGGCTGATGGTGCCCAGAGCAATAATTCATTCATCTAAAATCACCAGGAACCTTCAACGTGCCAGGACGCGTCCAAGCCCTGCGGATGCGCTGATGGTGAAAATAAGAAGCAGTGTCGCCAGGACTCAATGGGCTCAAAGCAGGCTCGTATGCAGTCCTCTCTGCCAGCGTCTGAGGTGGCCACTCTCTCTGTCCTTGGGTCACAGAGGAGGAAGCCAAGGCTCAGAGGTGTTCAGCATACCTGGCTCCTGGAGCTGGTGAGGCCAGACCCGGGCAGAGGGGGAGCCTGTGGGCAGCCACTGAGGGCGTCACTCCCCACCGTCACTGCCACCGTCACTGCCACATCTGGTGGCCACCGAGAGTGTCACTCCCCACCATCACTGCCACATCTGGGTGGTCACCGAGGGCGCCTGGGTTGACACCATCCCTCGGAGAGAGGGAAGATTCTGACATCTTCCCTAGCCTTGGCCTTTGGATTGCCCCCTTGCCATCCTCAAAGCTGATCAGGGCTCTGCACACCTGTCATGACTGAACTGATCTGCCGGCCCTTTTGGGTGATAACAGCGAATGAGTCAGCTTCCAGATGGCACAGCTCTCAGCTCTACCCATGCTGGCAAGAGCCCCAGGCCCTTGCAGAGGTGCTGGTACCAGGAGAATGGCACCTGGCACAGAGCCTAACACATAGAGACACCCAACACAACACAGAGAACACGGGGCCTCTCCACCCCAAGGAGGGCTGCCTGGGAGACCCTGGGAGCCACATCCAGGTCTGCCCACTGGAAGCCCAGACGGGGATGTGAATGGAAGCTCACAAGGCCACGCAGGGACGAATGCCCCAAAGTAAGCACCACAAGGATTTCACAGCCCGGGTCCAGACCTTGGGCCTGGGGGACCTGGCCACTGAAGAACAGAGGGGCCACCCTAACACGTGCTATAATGAAAACTGCACCTGGTCTTGTGTCTGGTTCCAGGCACAGAGCTCCTAAAACCGTGGGCACGTCCAAGCTCAGGAGTGGCTTTTGTCATTCACAAGCAGCCCCTTTCCCCCTTACCTGAGCTTATGCTAATGAGGCAATTCAGTAGCTCCCTAGATAGCTGTGGGCTGGGGGCTGGAGGCTGGGGGCTGGGGGCTGGGGGCTGGGAACTGAGGGCTATGGGCTGGGAGCTGGGGGCTGGAAACTGGGGGCTGGGAGCTGGGGGCTGGCTGCCAGAAGCCCAACCATGTGGTTACAGGGTGGGAACTTTCAGTCCTCTCCAAACCCCTCTGCCCCCAACCCCCTTCTCCAGGGAAGGGAGAAGGACTGGAGATTGAGTCAATCACAATAGTCAATGACATAATCAATCAGGCCAACGTAATGGGACCTCCATAAAAACCCCTAAATGACAGGGCTCAAAGAGTTTCTCTCTGGTGAACTCATGGAGGTGTGGGAGGGGGCGCGTCTGGAGGAGGCATGGGCACTCCCAGACAGCCCCGTGCCTCACCCTGTGCGTCTCTTCCAATCAGCCGAGTTGCTGCCTTTATAAGAGACTGCTTGCTGTGAGTAAAGCACTTGCCCGGTTCTGTGAGTTGTTCTAGCGAATTATCAAGCCCAGACAGGGCGTTATGGGAACCCCAGATTTATATCTGGTTGGACAGAAGAGGGAATGGCCCAGGACTTGCAACTGACATCCAAAGTGGGGACTCTCCTATGGGACTGAGCCCCAGGCCTCATCGGATCTGACACTACCCCCAGGTAGATCAGTTCAGAATTGAATTGCATTGCTGGACACCCAGCGGTGTCAGCAAATCCCACAGGTAATAACGAGTGCTTGATGCCAGGGTAGAGAAAGCTGTGCATGCCCCGACCTTCATTCCTGACCTGCAGATGGCTCCCTCTGGGTGGCCGGCCGAGAGCTCCTGAATTGGGGTGCATCTCCATGAAAGAAGAGGGGCTGGGGAGCAGCCAGCCGCCCACCTGCAGCCTCGTTTTGGGTGACACTCTCGCCACGGCCCGTGGGCTGCTCCAGGAGCCTGCCGAAGTGGAGCAAGGTCCACCCGGGTCCAATCCCCACCTTTCCACCCGGGTTCAATCCCTACCTCTCCACCCGGGTCCAATCCCCACCTCTCCACCCAGGAGCCCAAAACAGGCTTCAGGGCCCCCCAGGCTCAACTGCACACAGCAAATCAGCGAGGCACACAGGAGGCGCGACTCGAATTGGGGATGGGGGATGTCTGGGCTCCCTTCCCCTACACCCTTGCTTCTCACGTTGACCATCCCCGTGACTCTGAGTTTTCAGTTGGAACCCCAGGGGCACAGTCTGAACACAGACCCCGGACCGGCTGCTCCTGCAGGACATCTGCTGAGTCCAGAAGGAATCAGTGCACGACGCCCGCAGAGCCCCAAATGCCCTGGGAGATCAGCAGGACTTCAAAGACAAGCAGGGGCCTCGGTGGCCACCTGACTTCTCCCTAGGCGGCCTCCACTGACCTTCATCCCAGCTGCCAGCACACGCTTTCCCATGACGAGGAGGAACCACGGTGCCTGCAGCCCAGCTGGGTAAAGGCCCCAACCTGGCTAGCCTGGACACCACACTCGGGAGGTGGCAGAGCCTACTGCCACCCGCGGAGAACATCGCTCAGTCCCCTAAATTTCAGGTAATGGCGTCCCGGGCAGGCACTCCTGTCACTGCAGATTCAGAGTCGGGATGACAGCGCTCAAAATTTAGTTTCAAATGCCTTCTGCCAACGTCACTCAGGAGCGTTCCCATGGGAGTGGGACTCGAGGTTTGAGAATTTTCCTCCTGGGCCTTCCCAACATGTCCCTGCTCCGCCACTGACCACAGCAGAGGGGACACTGGGCAGAAGGAGGACCACATTCCTGAGCAAGAGGAGGCTGGCATCACACTCTGGGTCCACTCCGTGCAGCTCAACACAGGGCCTCGTCCAGCCTTACGGCCCAGTGCCCCCACCTAGTGCCCCCAACATCCGGCCCGTCCATGCCGAGGGAGTGAAGGCAGAGCCCGTGGGCGCCGCCCTCCAGCTTTGTGGCTCTGGAATAGAGGCACGGGGGGAGAAGCGCCTCCCGCACAGGGCAGTCAGGAGAGGCAGGCCACACACCCCAGCCTGGGCCCCCTGCCCCTCCCCAGTTCTACCCTGGGTATCATAAGTTCTGGGGTCACGTCAGAGTGAGCCCACAAACCTGCCCTTTGTCCCAAGTCTCACATTCTACCCAGAATCCCAGCAGACCCCTTAGAAACAAATGGGAGGGGTGGAGAGAGGAGGGGTCCCCCAAGTCCACATCCAGTCAGCAACAGGGGAGCAGCTCCAGCCACCTCCAGGTACAAAGGACAGCAAGGTTTGAACACCCCTGGGTGCAGCCTGCAGGGAGGAGGACTCTCAGAAGGCCCACAGCCTCAACTCCTGCCTGCAAAGCCGGAGTGCAGAGCCCGGCCTGCTCCTGCCCCCGCCCCTGCCGACCAGCCGGGCCACCGTCTCAGCCCCCGAGCCCTCTGTGGGCACCATCAAAGCTGCACGGCCGGCCGTGATCCACCTCGAGGGGTGGGTGCTGAGGAGGGGGTCGCAGGCGCCCACCTGGTGGGGTGGCATGGAACCCCCCAGTGACCACCCATTCTCAAACTCCCTGGGGACAGCAACCTGCCTGGTGTGTTCCTCATTAGCAGCGCCAAGGAAGCCTTCGGCCGTTCACTTGGTCAATGAACGCAGGGCACAGGCAATCACTCTGGGGAATGCGGCTTCCAAAACATTGAGGAGTGAAGTGGTCCAAGAAAAAACAGGACCCGGGCCCAGATGATGAGTGCACGTGGGTGCGATGCTGCTGCGGGAGCAGCGAGGGTCTGGAGCCGCCCAGGGTGACTCACCGCTAGGACAGGGCAGCTCGGCTTCACATCTTCCCAGAGGCCAAAAAGCCGCTCCATGCAGGGCCGCGATGGGACGGGTGGCCGTGTGAGGGAAGGAGAAGGTAGAGGGAGAGGCCCAGGGGAGTCTCATCCAGCCAGGAACCACCAGAACTTCTAGAAAACGCCACTCCAAGAGACAGATGCAGGAACCTTCCTAAAGAGAAACCCAGGGGTTTCTGCAGGTGACAGGATTCCCCAGAGAGGGAGGCAGGATCTTAGGCATTAGAGGGCTGCTGGCACTTGCTCTGCCCTAGGACTGCTCCCATGCCGTGCCTGACAGGCAGATCCCAGCCTGATGCCCTGACCCTGACTCCAGGCTGCCGGGGAGGGAGACGCTAAGGATGTCAGCCTCTCTTCCATCGGCATCCTGAGCACGACGTCTGTCAGGCTCTCTGGATAGTCACCGTCAGACTTAGGCGCCAGAGCCTCAGGAACCTCTGGGACCTGACCCAGGCCTGTGCCCAGCCTGGGGTCAAATTCTACCCTAGGCATAGTCACTCACTCCTGTTTTTTTGTGGGGCTTTTTTGTTTTCATTTTTGTTTTAGAGTCTCACTCTGTCCCCAGGCTGGAGTGCAGTGGCGCAATCACAGCTCACTGCAGCCTTGACTTCCTAGGCTCAAGCCATCCTCCTGCCTCAACCACTGGAATAGCTGGGACCACAGGCGAGTGCCACCACGTCCAGTTAAATTGTTTTCTTGTCTTATGGAGAGACAGGGTCTCATTATGTTGCCCACTCCCATTCTGTTTTTTCTTTCAGGGTCTCACTCTGGAGATACACAGTGAGCTATGATTGCAACATTGTAATACTAGAGTGCAGTATTGCAGTCATAGCTCACTGTAACTTCAAACTCCTGAGTCCAAGCTATCCTCCCACCTCAGCTGGGACCACAGGTGCACACCACCATGCCCAGATATTTTTTTTCATTTTCGGTAGAGACGGGGGTCTCACCATGTTGCCCAGGCTAGTCTTGAAATTCTGGGCTCAAGCAATCCTCCCACTTCGGCCTCCCAAAAGGCTGGGATTATAGACATGAGCCACCGCACCCGGCCCACTCCTGTTTTTTCACAACACAGTTCATCTCCTCTACTCCCAAGAGTTTGATCAAGGCTTTGGCTGAGACTGGAGAAATGAGACATGGAACAAGGGAATGGAGTCATGTGGCTGACACTGCACTGAGCTCGGGGTCCCTGTGTCTCAATCACTGTAAACACCCAGCCCACTCCTGTTTTTTCACAACACAGTTCATCTCCTCTACTCCCAAGAGTTTGATCAAGGCTTTGGCTGAGACTGGAGGAATGAGACATGGAACGAGGGAATGGAGTCATGTGGCTGACACTGCACTGAGCTCGGGGTCCCTGTGTCTCAATCACTGTAAACACCGGCTCCAGTTGGCTTCAGTATCCCCAAGTGCCTGCTTGTTCCAGCTCCCACACCTCTGACTCTTCCCGAGTGTTTTTAAGCAAAGTCTCTGCAGACTTTTTGAGACCAAGGAATCTTCCCACATGTAGCCCCAAATCCCTTTTCTGGGTTTGTACAAAGCGTCTAAGGTGTTGAAGCCCCCATGGCAGCTGCAAGGCGTGTTTTGAAGTCTCCTCCCAGGAAGCCCCTGTCCTGAAGGACGGGTTCAATTCCCTGCCTCCACCTGCTTAAGAGAGAATCTCTAAGCACCCTCTTCTCCTTCCTCCTAGGCAGCGAGAGCCCAGGAGAGTTCCTGAGACGATGCAATATTGATAAAGCCCATTGTGCTGTGAAGTTCAGACTGAGACCCCCAGCCGGCACATTTGGGGTGCTGTTCTTAGTGAAAACAGAGCTTTCAGCGCCCCACACACCCTGGCTGAGAGCGTGGCCCAGGGGTGGCGAGACTCCTCTTTGAGCTGGGCTTGATCTGACTGGCTTTTTTCCAGGGGTTGCAGCCTGCCCGGGGCCCGGAAAGCTAAGTCTAGCCCCACACCTTCCCAGCTCCAGGGCAGAAAGCCAGCTCAAACCACACGGGAAATCAATTTGCTTTCTGAACTAGAGGTGGGCGGCTCTCTGATCTTACTCCCTCCTGCAGAAGTCCTGGAAGAAACAGGGCCTCGCAGCCCCTCCCCCTCCTCCTGCCCACCGGCAGCGGAACCGGGGCTCATCCAGGTTTTGTCTACATAGGTGCCAACCGGGCAAGGGTGTGAAGGGCTGAGGGCAGTGCCAGGGCAGTGGCAGTCTCAGAGGCCAGTGCGCCTGAGGCTTTGCCACACCAGGAGCAGGAAGAGGAACCCTGATCCAGCCTCACCTCGGCCTCCATGGCTCCTAGTTCTTTCCAGAGCCTTCCAGGAACAGCGTGCCCAAACCACCAGGCTGAGGCTTAGCCCAGGGGTCCCCCTACCTGGGGGGAGCACGGGGGGCCATCATGAGCGAGGTCTCCACCAGACCCCTAGAAACAGGGTAGGAACGCTATAGAGAGCCGTTTTTCATTCAAGCAAATGTATTCGGTGAAAGCACTGTCTCGCATCCTTCCTAGGCTGGAGGGCTCAAATGTTCCTTCTATTATGAAATGATGATGCAGATGGAGTAGTTTGGGTTTGGAAGGAATTCTTTTAATGCCCTTACTTGGCCAATAAAAAGCTGGCAATTCAGGCCGGGAGCGGTGGCTCACGCCTGTAATCCCAACACTTTGGGAGGCCGAGGCGGGGGGATCACGAGGTCAGGAGATCAAGACCATCCTGGCTAACACAGTGAAACCCCGTCTCTACTAAAAAAAATACAAAAAAATTAGCCGGGCATGGTGGCGGGCACCTGTAGTCCCAGCTATTCGGGAGGCTGAGGCAGGAGAATGGCGTGAACCCAGGAGGTGGAGCTTGTAGTGAGCCGAGATCACGCCACTGCACTCCAGCCTGGGCGACAGAGCGAGACTCTGTCTCAAAAAAAAAAAAACCGCTGGCAATTCCACATTATCTGATTTTTTTTCTTTCTTTTTTTTTTAAAAATTGACCCATGAAATCCAAAAGTTACCAATGACGGTGAAATGCATCACCCCGAGAATCATCCACCAAGGAGCCCCTGAGTCGCTGAGCCCGGGTTTGCCTTGCTAACATGCTTAATCATTGGCTAACAAAATGCAAATTAGGCAAACAGCAACCAGGATCATGCAAGTCCCAAGTGGTGACACAAGAAGGTGGCTGGGAAGCCGAGGGGGACACTGATTTCCAGGAGCCGAGCCCCTCTCAGATCAATAAAACTAAACTTAGAAGAATTATCTTCAGATGCAAACAAGAGTCAAACACACGGTTATATTGTACTTTATTAGGTCTGGGCAGCTAAAGTGCCCCGTCCATGCTCCAGCTCTCCAAGGGAGGCCAGGTCCTGCCAGGGGACATTTATCAGGGGCTCCGAGCGCTACTCCCTGGCGAGGCACCGGAGGAAATTCAGCCCCCGGCCCAAGCGCTCGGCTCCATGCTTGCGTGAGCCCCGCAGACGCTCCCCTCCCACCTGTCCTGGGAGGAGGGGGCTGGATATCCCATCTGTGAATTCATTTGATCATTACCAAAACATCCTTTTCCTAGTGATATGGAGAAAATGTTAGGAGAATAAAGAGACAGGCAAGCGGGAGGCTGGGGGCAATATGAGGGTGGTGTCTTACTGGGGACAAGCTCACCAGCCCACCTGAGCAGAATAGAGATCTTGCAGCCTCCTTCCAGGACTAGGGGGAGACTGGGTCTTTCCCAGGGAGCTGCTGACCCCTGGATTCCATAGCTGGTGCATCTCCATTATCCAGCATTAACACCAGGGACGTGGAATGCTCCAAGACCCCAGAGCCACTGCCCTGGAGTCTCCCTTGCAGTTTACTCTGAGGCCACAGCCAGAGGGGGCCCAGTCAGGACCCTGTTTGGCATCTTAGACCCCGAAGCTCCGAGGGTAGATGTTACAGGGCATCTACCCACACAGCTGCCCCTCGACTGAGAGCCAGAGATGGCCTCACTCCAAGCCTCCAGTAACAGATCAGAAGACACAGCCTGCAGAGTGGAGGTGAGGCAGGAGAACAGGGAATGAGGGTAACCCAGGGTTAAGGCAGAAGCAGAAGAACAGCAGGTGCAGCCAGTTCCAGGCAGGATTGGGCAGCACACAGGCCACATCCTCACCCCTGCAATCACAAGACACAAGTCTCCACTCCAGCCTCTGATTGACCTCAGGCCGAGTCTCCACACTCCAGCCTCTGATTGGCCATGGGTCAAGTCTCCACTCCAGCCTCTGATTGACCTTGGGCCAATCCTTCATAGGGAGTAACCAACTGGAGGCCTCTAAAGGGCACCTAGGGTGCCACCAAATTCTTTTGGCTTAATAAAAACCCTAAAGAACAATGGGGCTCCTGAGCCACTTGCTTGAGCCTGCTCCCCCTCTGTGAAGTATACTTTTGCATCAATAAATCTAAGCTTTCACTGCTCTGTTCTTTTGTTGCTTTTTTATTGCTTCATCCTTTTGTTGCTTTGTTTGTGCATTTTGTTCAATTCTTTGTTCAGCGCACCAAGAACATGGACAACTTGCCATCAAGACCTTCCACGTGGTAACAGAGGGTCTCCCAGATATCCTAGGAGCCCCCTGAAGCGAAGGACTGACTTAGCACTGGATTCCCTCCTTCCTGATACATGCCCTCATTCCACACCCACCTGACTTGAATTCTGCCATTCAAGGTCACAGTGGAAATCCAGGAGAGGGCCCAGCTGAGCCTGAGCCGTCTCAGTGCATCCATCTTCCCAGCACAGCACTCCTGCCCTGCCTGATGCGAAGCTTTAATGATTGTTACAATATTGCAAAACCAACTTCCTCAGCTTCCAGCATTCTAAGATTAAAGTATTTGATATAAAGCATGCATGCACACACACATTCACACAGGCACACACGCACACACATGCACATACATGCATACAGGCACATGCCGGCCAGACACCTCCCGGCTGCCTCACAGTCCATGCAATTATATACATAGAGAATGAGAGAGAGAGAGAGACCCTGCTGGTTGGTTCTGTTTCTCTGGAGAACACTGACTAACGCACTAGTTAACCACCACTCTATTTTCTGTCCCTGTGGATTTGCCTATTCTGGACATTTCATATGGCTGAAATCACACAATATGCAGTCTTTTGGTCTGGTCAGACACAGAGCTGTGCTGGGCCTGGCAGGGGGCAGAGCTGCCCAGGAGGGAGGGAGACTTGCTGGCTGGACAGTGTTCTCCTGGCCCCAGCATCAGTGAATTCCACCAGACCAGATTTGACAGCCCACCAGCTGGGGCAGGACTGTGAGGACCTCAGAGGCAAGGCTGCCCCCACTCCCCGGCTCCCCCCGGCTGCTGTGGTGTAGGCAGCCCCCGATGCCTACCTGGGAAGGGGACTGCACAGGGCAGATGAGGTGAAGCTGGTGCTTCCCGATACGCACACGTTAATACACTTTGTATATTCAGTCAGGGCCTGTTGGGTCTCAGGCACGGGTCCCTGTCCTGGAGGAACCCAGGACTGACAGCAGACACTGATGGTGAGCATGCAGAATCAACCTTGGGGGAACTGACCCCAAGGCCAGGGCGCCATGCATCATTGACAGAATTTCCGCAGTGGTTCCAGCCCCTCCATCCCCTCCTGCATGAGGGACAGCCGAGGGGAGAGCCGCCGCCTCTCCTGTACACAGGGACTCACGGCCGGCGGCGGCTGTGAATCCAGCCTCCATCCTTTCTGTTCATAGCTGCCATGTGTGTTGATGAGAACAGATCTCTCTAATTAAAGCTGTCACATCGTTGCCTTAGGATCTCGCCCAAGCTCTGCACAACAGCAAGGGCCTTAACTGCCTGTTACGCCGGCCTAGACTTTCCCGGAAAGCCAGAGCACCCAGCCGCACCCAGCCCCCTTGGGTAACAACCCCTGCACCACCAGGATTCAGGGGACCCAGTCCCCGGGGCAACTGCCCTCCCTGCTCAAGGACAGCCCCCTGCCCATGGGCCCTGGGTCTCCAACCCCTTCTCTGGGCCTGGACATGGCTGGCTTGGCTGTGCTGGGCAGTGGGCACCCTGTGGGTGACAGGGCCTGCCGTTTCCTTCCCATGGGACCCCTGGAGCCCCACACGGTGTCCCCAGGAAGCTTGGCTGAATGAATTTGCTGGCCTGGGCTGGCTCCTTGCCTGGAATGCACTTTCCCACCCCCAACCCATTCTCACTCCGTAAAGCTCAGCACCAGCTTCTCCTCCAGGGAGACCCCAAGAGGCCAGGCCAGCAGCCCCTGCCCCCACGGTCCCCACAGCCCTCATGTTCATCCTGGGCACCTTGGTCTGATGCCAAGGGTGCGTGTCTGTGTGTGCATATCTCCCACCTGCTAGTCAAAAGCAAGTTGGAGGCTGGGCACGGTGGCTCACGACTGTGATCCCAGCACTTTGGGAGGCCAAGGTAGGCAGTTCACCTGAGGTCAGGAGGTCGAGACCAGCCTGGCCAACATGGTGAAACCCCATCTCTATTAAAAATACAAAAATTAACCAGGCATGGTGGCAGGTGCCTGTAATCCCAGCTACTCAGGAGGCTGAGGCAGGAGAATCGCTTGAGCCCGGGAGGTGGAGGTTGCAGTGAGCTGAGATCGCACCACTGCACTCCAGCCTGGGCAACAGAGCGAGAATCTGTCTGAAAAAAAAAAAAAAAAAAAAAAAGCAAGTTGGAGCAGGGGCCTGTCTCAGTCTGTCCCCTATGCCCCAAGCACAGAGCATCCCTCAAGGACATCAGAAGATTTCCGGGAATGGCCCTGGCCAAAACCAATGTTGACCAAACCAAAGACCCGGTGGTGGAGTCCTCAGCAGCCGGCAGCGGCAGCACCACACAGCCCAGAGTGCGTTCACTCACTCCCTGACCTCAGGTGCCGAGACCTTTCTAAAACATTCCAGAAACCCAAGCTTGACTCTCGTGTCGGGCTTGAAGGGGTCCACACCAAAGACCCCCTGTGACAGCTGCCCTGTCACTCCCACTCCTTCCTCCGTCTTTGTGACAGGGCTCTGCCTGCATGCCCTGTGCCCTGGGGCCTTGTAGAGCCTGCATGAGGGTCCATCTACCCCAGCAACTTCCGGCTTGGCCCGAGGAGTGTGAGTGGGTGTGGTGTGAGCTGAAGGGTTCCTGTGCCTGGCAGTTTGACTTGCCTCTTGGCGCTCCGGCCATCCTTAGGAAGAGGCCCTGGGAGGCTGTGGGTCCAGGGTGAGACTCTCGCAGAGCCAGATGGACCCTGACCTGCAGCTGGAAGCCGAGCCTCCATAGCCACACTCAGGATCGTGGGCAAAACCCAAATGCCTGTTGTAAGCCACTGAGTTTGGGGGAATGCATATTTTGGAACATGACTGCAGCACGGAGCTGCCTAATCTGCCCCTCTTTTACCCAGCAAGCTCTGAACCAATTGAGACAAAGTGATTCTAATCCCATCCCATCTCCACACACCCTTGGAGCCATCAGTCCCACCCCGACCCGGATTTAAGGTCTGTGTTCTCACTGGAAACGTCATTTGCTCTGCAGCCTAAACGAGAAAGCGGACCCACCTTTGGACATTTTTGGCTAACAGTAGCTAAGGAAAGACCAGGGCCCATCCATAATCCTTAAGAAACATTATTATTCTATGGAAATTATTCAGTTAATCTACTTTAATAACCCTGCGCAGGACCGTTAATAGACTGTGGCCTTCACAGCATCAATTTCAGAAATATGAGCTGTGACTTCCATCGGTGGCAGCAGCACCTAGCATGTGCCCTGATGGATGCTCATTCGTCAGCTTAATGTGCCGTAAGGAGCAGTGGCACTGCCCCCCTTGGGGCGTAAATCTCTCCACTCCCAGCGCAGGCTTTGGGGGTGCGGGAGGAGCCGTGCGCAGCTTCTACCCACTCCCAGGGTAGGAAGAGACACGTGCCACCCTGTCCATGATCATGGCCTCATCAGGCCCCTCCACCTGATTCGCAGGGAAGCTGGGGCTCTCCTCCGTCAGCACACTCACCCCAGGGACTGCAACTGAGGGGTGGCACAGCTGTGCTCAAGGGCCACAGAGATGGTAGCGTGTGTCTGGGACAGACAGACATTGCCCCGCACATCAGAGATGCTGCTGATGAGTGGACGATTGAACAAAGAAATAAATGAACCAACCGACACAGCCTCCTAGTAGGGCCACAGATCCCCATGTGCTGGTCTGCAGGGCCAAATGCCAGGGGTGACTTGTTGAGTGCTGGGAGAGTTGCCCCCTCCCAAAAGTCCCTTTCACCATCCCCAGGGGCTCCCAACCTTGGGCGGCCCTCACTGTAGCACCTACTGCCATGGCCACCCAGCCGAGGACCTGGTCCTATGGAGCAGGAGGGGTCAGGGAGAGGTCCTGGGGAGGCAACTCCCCCTATAGCCTCAGGGCACCTCCCTTCAGTCTGGCCTGGCTCTTGCTCAGGGCCTCGGCTCCAGATCTTGTTCAGGCCACGCTGCTTTTAGAAATAAATTGTTTCCAGCAGCCTGTTTCCAAATGTTCATTGATTTTTGTCTCTGTTTTCCCAGCTTCCTGTGACAAGGGATTATTGTGGGTGACGGATTGCACTCGCCCTGTACTAACCCACTTCTTGAAAGCTGTCCACGGCAGAACTGTGGCTCGGTGGGCCACTGAGGGCGTTGGGAGGGCCAGGGGGTGCAGGGGGCCTCTCCCTTTGTTCCTCGAGGCAAAGTGAAGGTGCCGTGCGTGGAGCTCCATGGGTTGAGAAGTGGGTCTGCCTGGCTCAGGTCCCACCACCTCCTCCCACTTGCTCTGTGACTATGAGTAAGTCACCCAAACCTCTGGCCTCAGTCACCTCCCCTGCCCAGCTCCAGGGCACTGGAGGACTAATCAGGCTCGAAGTGTAGTCTAGGGTGGCCGGGCAGCCCCTGGTGTCAGGACAGCTTCCCTGCGCCACCCTCCCCAGGGTGGCCCTCAACCTCGGGCTCCCAGATATCCTCTGCATTCATTCCAGGCTTCCAGAGGAGGAAATGGAGCATCTGGGAAACGGAGCTTATATTCTGGGTGACTAGTGACTGGCAGACCCCTCTCTCCTGCCCCCGTTCCCCCAGCAACCTGTAGCAGGGACATGCGCCCCTCACCTCCTGCCTGGCAGCCCAAGCACCTGCCATCTGCTGGCCTGAGCCCCACACCAGCACCTGCCAGGGTGCCTCAGCCCATCCCAACGGCCCCAGTGTGATGCTAACGAAATGCCAACCTCTCAGCTCTCAGCCTTCCTAGAGGTTCCCCTGTGTGCAGTGCAGTTCTCCGTAGGAGGCAGAGGGAGGGGGCCCTTCTCTTCCAAACGCCTCCAGCCTCCAACTCATCAAGGGCTGCCTCCCCTCCATCCCATGACACTGCAGTGCTGTGGTAGTCAGGGGTCTCTGGAGAAACAGAACCCGAGGATGAGGCGAGGGAGAGAGGGGTGGGGGGCAGAGAGAGAGAGAGGCGGAGCTGGTGCGTCTGAATTCTGCAGCCCAGGCGAGCAGGCTGGGACCCACAGGACTGATGCTGCAGTCTCAAGCCTGGAGGCAGAATCCTCTCCTCCTCTGGGACCTCAGCCGTTCTGCTTCAGCCCATCAACTGATTGGGTGAGGCCCACCCACACCGCAGAGACCACCCGCTTCATTCCAAGTCTCTGATTCACCCGTTAACCATGTTAAAGAACACACCTTCACAGCAACATCCAGACATGCTTGACCAAATACCTGAGCATCACGGCCCAGCTAAGGTGATACCTGAGATCAGCCGCCGAAGTGGTGGGGCTGGAGTTCCGCCTCCCCCGGGTCTCGCCTTGGGTTAAGCGTGCCCTCCTCTTGGGTCTCTTTAAAAGCCACTATCCCACGGGTCACAGAGTGAGGGCACCCTGCCCCTTGCCATGGGCACTGCTCAGAGGCTAGGCCTCCACAAGCAGAGAGCTGGCAAGATATGGAGTTGGGACCTGCGGCAAGGTCACCAAACTCGAGAAAGGGGACCTGGGTCAGATGTGGCTTTCTGTGCCTGGTTCCAACCCAGGGGCCCAGATCCCAGGGGCCACTAGAGGGATGTGTTAAGGGGAAGCTGAGCTCAGGACCCCAGGAAGGAGAGACCCCACGGTCTCAGGAACTGTGGAAAATTCCCATCTCCACCCCCGTGTTCCCAGCGGGCAGCCGGATCTCAAGATGAACCTGGTGGCCAGGCCGCCAATGGTTGAGCTGTGTGCCTGCAGGAGCGGGGAGGTAACTGGTGGCCACCTTTCACCGGGCACTTCCCCGTGTCCACTCGGCAGCAAACACTTGGCAGGCAACCTCATGAATCCTCCCAGCGCCCCATGATGTGCAGTGCTCTTATACCCATCATGCAGATGAAAAAGTCAAGGCTTCAAGAGGAGCAGAACATGCAGAGGTCACCCAGCGGCTGGGCAGCGGACCTTGAGGCAGTTGAGGCCACTTGGTGTGATGATGATGCTGTCTGGGGAGGCACCAGCATCATGTGAGCTTCCTCCCATGGCCTGTGATGTTGCTGAGCTCACCCGTGGTTACTGATGAGAAAACTAAGGCTTGGAGAGGTTGGTGAGTCACTTGGGTGGGACGTCAGTCCATTTGACAACAGCACCCAGGGCCTCCCTCCCTGCACCATGCTGGAGATGCCTGTCTCCACAGAACCTGCTGCATACAGCAGCTCTGTGGCCAGCAGGGGCAGTGGGGCCAGGTGCCCGCTGAGCTGTCACTTGCTGCCACCCAAACCATGAGCTTATGTCACCAGGCCAAAGAAGAACGGGAGATGTGCCTCTGGGAAGAGCCCAGGGGAGCCCCTCTCCTGAGATCTGATTCACAGATCCATGTTGACTAGAGAGGTCAGAGCCCTCCCCTGGCCATCAAGGGGCTCCTGGGCCACAGGTCCCAGGAAGTGGCAGTTACATTGCTCGGAGCCATCGAGCAGGGCAGAAGGGGGCTTCAAGCTGCCCCCAGCTAGAGCCTGACCACCTGCATCCGGGCCCCCAGTGAGTGTCAAATAAGGTCCTGGACCGCACGGCACCTGCCTCATGCTCGGGAAGTGACCAAACGTGATGGTAGGAGATAAAGCCAGAGACATGGGGTGACAGGTTTGAACAGGCCTGAGCTGGCGGCTGGGGGGCTGTGCTCATCTGCTGGTGAAAGAGGGGGACACACCTGCCCTCCTCATTCAGCGCCCCACTCTTCCCAGGTCCCTGGCACCACACTCTCCAGCACACCCCGCTGACAGGGAAGGGCCTAGGATATGCAGATGACCTGTCTAGGCTTCCAGCTGTGTGGCTAGGAGCCAGTCACTGAGGCTCTTTGGCCTCAGTTTCCCAACTCATTGAGCAGGGTATTAGCGGGGCTTGCCTAGTCCCAGGCTGGGTGGGAGTCCCAAAGAGAGGGTGCGGCCGGAAGCAGGGCACTGGAACCCCACCAGCTGTTCTGAGTAGAGGAGGCCTGGAGCTTGAAGAAGTGTGCTTTTGCCTACTCAGAAGGTGGCCACGAGTGGAAAGGGGATTTCTAGCCAAGCCAGATGCGGGTGGAATTCGCATGCAGGCCTTGCAGTGTCAACAGGAGGCCCACCTGCAGAACAGCCCATCATGACCATGTCATCATGGCTGGCCTAAAGGGGTCCAAGGCCAGGCAGACCTTGGCTTACCCCTTCAAATGCTGAATTCCTGAGACTTTCCCTTAACTTGGGCAAAGAAAAGACACTTCCTGCATCTGCATAGATTCCTGGGACTAGAGGCTAGGAAGTCAGGACTGCCAGGTACAGTTGTCCAGGTTGCGCACCTGCTGTAAACAGCGCCCCTGGAGTAGTGTGGGTGGGGAAGGTGCTAAGACCAAACTAATCCCGAGGTGGCCTGACATCATGGAGAGCTCCTGGGCTCCCAGCTCAGCACCTCTTAGCTGTGCCACCCCAATGCTACTTAACCTTAACAAGCTTCTGTCCTTCGCCTGAAAAATGAGCACCGAGGCACCTCCCCTGCACAGCCGCTGAAGAAAGTAGATCCACTAATATCTGAAAAGTGCCTGGGACCACGCCTAGCACAGAGCAGGAGCTTAGCAAACAACAGATCTCATCGCTGTGGTCCCGGAATCTCCAGGCCTCATTTACACACAGAGCTGCCTCAGCCCCTGCCAGAGCCCTGCAGCACGCTGGGCTTCTCTGCCAGCCTCACCCTCCACTGCTAAGCCCCAGAGTCTGGTCGAGCCGCTCCACGCCCAGCGCTGCCCACAGCACAGCCGCCACTGCCTGCATCGCCCCCTTTCCTCGTGACCCAGAATCAGCCTTGTTTAATCCAGAAACCATCTCTCCAACTCTCCGAGAACCCAGACTAGGGACAGACATCAGGACAAAGGCGACTCTCGCCTCTCACCCCCGAGCTGGTTTGCGGAGAAAGTCCTTGAGAAACAGTGCTGGGCAAGGAGCGGAGCTTCGGTGAACCGCAGAGCTCCTGATCAGCACCATGGAGAGCGTCGTCGCCTGCAGCCCGGCAGCCTCAGCGCGCACAGGAGGGTGGGTGTTTGTGTCGCCTGATGCTGCTTCTTGGGGGTCATTGGGAAATGAACTCCAAGGCCTCTCAGCCAGGTGGGGATTGCAGGGCAGAAGGGGCCTGAGGAGGCACTGGGGAGGAAACGGGTCCTCCTGTTTGGGTCCCCCCAAGATTCCTATGCTGAGACCTCATCTCCGGGGTGATGGTAGAAGGGGGAGCCTTCAGAGGTGAACAGGTCACAAGGGCTCTGCTCTCGCGAATGGGATGAGTGCCCTCATAAAAGAGGCCCCAGGCCAGGCGCGGTGGCTCAGGCCTATAATCCCAGCACCTGGGGAGGCCGAGGCAGACAGCTCGCTTGAGCTCAGGAGTTCGAGATCAGCCTGGGCAACATGGTGAAACCCCGTTTTGCAAATTTTTTTTTTTTTTAGATGGAGGCTCGCTCTGTCACCCAGGCTGGAGTGCAGTGGCGTGATCTCCGCTCACTGAAAGCTCCACCTCCCAGGTTCACGCCATTCTCCTGCCTCAGCCTCCTGAGTAGCTGGGACTACAGACACCTGCCACCACGCCCGGCTAATTTTTTGTATTTTTAGTAGAGACAGGGTTTCACCGTGTTAGCCAGGATGGTCTCGATCTCCTGACCTCATGATCCGCCTGCCTGGGCCTCCCAAAGTGCTGGGATTACAGGCGTGAGCCACCACACCCAGCCTGTAAATCTTGTATCTCTAAAAAATACAAAAATTAGCCAGGCATGGTGGTACATGCCTGTGGTCCCAGCTACTCAGGAGGCTGAGACAGAAGGATTGCTTGAGTCCAGGAGGCAGAAGCTGCAGTGACTTATGATTGCACCCACTGCACTCCAGCCTGGGCAACAGAGCAAGACTCTGTCTCTAAAGAAAAACAACAATTAAAAAATAAAGAGGCCCCAGAGAGTGCCTTGCCTATTCTGCCACATGAGAACATGGCGAGAAGCCACCAGCTGTGAGCCCTCCACTGACACCGAGTCTGCTGGCACCTTGGTTTTTGACTTCCCAGCTTCCAAACTGCGAGCAATAAATGGATGTTGTTTATAAATTACCCAGTCTAAGATATTCTGTCACAGCAGCCCAACAGACTAAGACATTGAATGAAACAACAGCCATAGAAGATGGAAGGATTTGTTCCGGCAAGAGTCCTTTGACAAATATCAATTGAGCATCTACCATGATCCAGGCCCTGGGTGCTCGGCCAGTAGCACTTTTGAGATTGCTGAGAATTGCAGAGCTGCGTGGAGTTCTGATTCACCAACCTCGTCCAAAGGCTCAGTCTCTGCTTTAATTACTCAATGTGTTTGGGAAGGAATTGGCGTGTCTGGGAAACAGCCAAGCTCAATGACGGGGGCCCCGGACTTGCCCATCAAGCCTGCCTGGCACTGCTTCCAGTCGCACACTGCATGTCAGTGGCTTGGAGGAGCTTTTGTCACTGTCACTTGTGTGAGAGAGCCGTAGCTGAGGGTGGTCTGAGTGCTGCCTCTGCAGCCCCAGAGATGGAGCCCACTAGCACGGTGGCTTGCAGGCCATGAGACGCACTGGAAGCTTCCTCCCTGGCATGGCTATCCAGGCCCCTGGCTCTCCTGCTGTAGTTGTAAGTTAAAAGGAAACAGAAAGATCACAGCACACTCCATCAGTCCCCTTTCCAAACCCCCGTGGCACCCACTGTTTCGGTCCAGGCCAGCATCCCGCCAGGGAAGCCTCCCCTCACCATCCAGGGTTCTCCAGCCTGCACGAAGGCCAGCAGCATCCAGGGAGCAGGAAGGCAGAGGACACCTCCAGGAGCAGCCAGTTATGGAGCGAGCTGGAGGATAAGACCCAGCCTCCCCGTACTCAGGGGCCCACTGCAGTGTCCACATTGCCCAGAGCTCCCATGGATGAGACAGACCCACTGCCCAGAGCAGAAGCAGCCTGAAGACGTGCCCTCCATGCACTCCCTTCCCTCCACCCCTGGTCTCTACTTATGCTTCCAACCCATCTTCCAAATAATCTGCTTCTGGGAAACCCAACCTGAAACAGATGGTTTCCTAACAGGGCAATCTTGCTTACAGGAAACTTCTAGAAGAGGCTGAGCTGCAGACACACAGGAATGGATCCAAGGAGAACTAGGGGAACTGAAACCCACCGAGAAAAGTGTGATGTCAACACACACACTCACACACATAAATGCACACTCATGCATTCTCGCACACACACTGACACACACAATACACTCACACACTCTGACACTGACACACTAACACATACACACACGTACACATTGACACACTAACACTGTCACAAGCTCACACACTGACACACATTCACACACACACACAGGCATCACATGGCAAGGGCTGAATGACCCTGAGGACAATCGTGCATGCTCACTTTCTTCACTATTTAAAAACAATCATTCTTTAAAAATAATCTCATTTCTTCCTTTTAAAAACAAAGTTGATCTAAAATAACTGATCCTCAGGCTAACTGGTGTGATGATCACTGACAGGTGACTAACTAACTGAATTCATCAGCCAGGGTAGAGGCAAGCCTAAATATTTGTTTAAATTGTTGACCTGAACTAATCCCTGCTTGGCGTGTCTGAATAAAGCAGCAACATGCTCAGAGAGGAGGGTGTGCAGTGGCGTCCCCAGTGGGTCACGCTGCCGTCGCCAACAGTGGATAACGAGGCCGGGGTGGGGGCGCAGCGCTGTCGACTCCGTGGCTCTCTCAGATCATCCACTGGTTAAAAGTAAAAGACAGCTGAACCCTCATGGGGCCATTCATACAAGTCCCTATTTAAGGAACAAGTGATTATGCTACCTTTGCACAGTCAGGGTACCGTGGACGTTAAACACATGTCACTGGGCAGGCAGGGCCTCTAATACTGACAGTGCTAGAGGTGATGTTTTCGGTAAACAGGCGGGGTAAAAATTTGCCAAGTTCCTTTTTCCATGTCTGTGGATGGCCTCGCCTCAGGAGATGAGCACCCAGGAAAGAAGTGAGCTCTGTCCCCAGCCCTGCCACAGAAGCCTGGGCTGCACAGGTCCCACCCCTTCCCGTGCATTTACTTCTGGGCCTCCCTCTTCCCAAGGCCCCCAGGTCTCTGGGCCACCAGAGGCAGGAAGCCTAGGGCCTGGAGCCAGTCATGGGCTCTGGAATCCAGCCGTGGGTGTCTGGCCCTGTGTTGACCTGCACCGATGCCACACGCCCCTCCAGAAGCCGCAAAAAAAGCACCAGCATTCCACTTCAGAGTCAGAGCCATGTACTGACTGGGGGATGATGAAAAGATCAAAACAAACACTTAGTTTAGCAAGGAACGAACATGTAAGAATCCATATTTCTAAAATTACACGTGAGCACAACGTGTCCAGCAGGAGATGACGCTCTATGGCTGGCTTGAATGAATCTCCCTGAGGGACGCCCTTGTCGCAGGAGCAGAGCTGGCCCGGCCTGGAGCGAGGCCCTGCAGGGTTGGACTCTACCTGGCCTCAGCACCTCAGGATGACGGCAGCAGCTTCCCGGGGCTCAGCAACCCCAGGCCATCCCCACGGTCACTGCTAATTACGTTTTTATCTCCATAAAAAAAAATCTGATGACCTCAGAACAGAAACATTCTAATTGTGAAAACACTTTGTATTCCACATCTAATTAGGAGAACTGCAGGAGTGCCCCCCAACCAAGGTTACTGGAAGATTCTGGGATAGAACTGAGAGTAATTTTGAATGACCCCTGCTCCTGGCCCCCTTCCGCCCTACAGGGAACTTCTGTGGGCTTCCTTGCTAGGGAGACAGTGAACATTTCTGCTCGGCTTAGAGGTTCAGGCCAGACGCCTCTGCGGGAGTCCCCGATTTCAGTTCTCCTGGCCAATGTCAAATGGCTCGAGCTGTTCGCTAGTTGAAGTTGCTGAAAGTCCAGTTTTGCTGTGGGAAGAGCACCCTAGAGAAAAGACCAAGTGTAAGCCTCAGGCCCTTCTGCTCCAGATGGCCTGAAGATGGGAGCCTGGGGACAGAGCCCCTGCCACTCCCAAAGGGCAGCGGAACCTTCAGGAAGGCATCAGTCTGGCCAGGGAGAGGCACATTCATTCATTCATGCATGCATGCATCCATTCAACTTCACACCTAGTAAGTGCTGATATGGTTTGGATCTGTGTCCCCGCCTAACTCTCGTGTGAAATTGTAATCCCCAGTGTTGGAGGAGGGACCTGGTGGGAGGTGATGGCATCATGGGGCGGATTTTCCCCCTTGCTGTCTTTGTGATAGTGAGTTCTCAGGAGATCCGGCTGTTTCAAAGTGTGTAGCACCTCTCCCTTCACCCTCTTCCTCCTGCTGCAGCCATGTAAGACGTGCCAGCGGCTTCCCCCCATCTTCCAGCATGATTGTAAGTTTCCTGAGGCCTTCCAGCCATGCTTCCTGTACAGCCTGTGGAACCGTGAGGCAATTAAACCTTTTCTTTATAAGTTACCAGTCTCCGGTAGTTCTTAATAGCAATGTGAGAACAAATGAATACAAGTACCTACTTAATAAACAGGTTGACCCATTTATTGCCACTAGAGATTAAAATATTAAATCACAAACAGAGCAAAGCCTGGTGTATTGTAAATCTTTAATAAATGTGAACTCTTATTATTTGTTTAGACGCTAGTATTGTTGAGATGCAGTGGTGACAAAGATCAAGTCCTCTTGAATCTGATATTCTAACGGGGAAGACAGATAGTAAGCAGGTAAGTGAATCAATGTAAATTGAGTTTAGAGCAATGGAAGGCAGCGTGAGCCACCTGAGGCTGGGGCAGCAGTAGCTCTTGCTGTGTCATTAACTACCCCAAACCCCAGCGGCTCACAACACTGAGACATTCATTTAGCTCATGGCTCTGTGGGTTGGCATCTGGGCTGGGCTCAGCAGGGCAGTTCTTTTGGCCCAAGACAGGATGTGGCAATGATGGCTGGACCCCTCACACATGTGTAATCTGCAGGGGCTGATACAGGCTGAGGGGATGGCCGGGTCACCTGGGACTCCAATCACATGGTCTCTCATCCCCTGGTAGGTTCTTGTGGGCTTATCCCCATGGTGCCCTCAGGGTCCTGAGAGCTCAAGAGCAGAGCAGCAGGCAGAGTGGGCCGAGCCCAGGCAGGGCACCATGCCACCCCCGCCGCATCCTAGTCATCCTAGCCCCAGGGGTAACACAGACCCCACCATGATGGGAGACTCCATAGAACACCACACCTACATTCAGGACTTATCCCAGGAAATGTCTCCCCTAGCCAGGTGCCCGGCAGCCCTCTCTAGGAGGCACCACCACAGAAGGAAGAGCCAGCCACGTGGGCGATTCCAGGCAGAGTGCAGAGAAGGCCCTCGCTCTGGCTAGGAGTGGCCTGCATGGGCTGGTGGGGGAGGCTGGTGGCAGCCAAGGCCGACGGGAGGGGATTCGTGGACTGTCAGGCAGCAGAGGACTCCAGGCAGGGGGGCAGCTGAATTGGCAACATTCAATTCTTCCAGGAATATTCTTGGAGAGCCTCTGGCAGGGAACAAAGACAAACTCCATGTGTGGCAGGCGGACAGACATGAAGGAGCTGAGAGGTGCTGTGGAGAACGGGAGTCCCAGGGAGGGTGATTTGGGGAGTGGGATGCAGGGGAGGCCTCTCAGATGAATGGGCAATCAAAGCTCCTTCCCCACTGAGGCCGGGGAGTGAGCCACGTGGCTACCTAGGAGAAGAGCATTCCAGGCAGAGGGAAAGGCATGTGAATGCCCCGAGGTGCAGCCTGCTGGACACATTTGACAAGCAAGGAAATGTGTGGCCAGAGCCACAGACCAGGGGAGGAGTCAGCAGAGGGGAGGTGGGAGCAGTGGCTCGGGCTTGGGGCCATCCCATGGACTCCAGCTGAATGATGTGGGAGCCACTGGAGGTCCTGCCTGGACTGGTGTGTTCACAGGGTGCTGTGTCTGCCATGGGGTGGGGGGATGGCAGGAGACAGTCAGGAGCCATGGCAAAACCTCCAAAGACAGCAGCAGGTGCAGACCACCAGGAGGCTGATCACCAAGGTGTATTTTTGCTGAGCATGGTGTGCAAATCTCCAGCAGGATCAAGAATGACCCAGATGAGCCCACATGGCCAGCTCTCCAGCCTGTCCAGCAACCAGGAGCATCTTCCTGAAACTGCACTTGCTTAGGCTGCACGAGGGCCCAGCTCTGAGCAGAGATGTCTCCTCTCGAAATCTCACCCTTTTGCAGGCCCTACACCTTGAGAGTCTGGGGAAAGCTACGGATCCTCCCTCCATGAAAATTCCTCTGCACACAGAATTCTGCACGTGATTTCACGGGTTTCAGAGACTCCTGACTGAAAGGGGAAAGGATGGGAGATCCCCCTGTATTAGTCCATTTTCACGCTACTGATAAAGACATACCCAAGACTGGGCAATTTACAAAAGGAAGAAGAGATTTAATGGATTTACAGTTCCACGTGGCTGGGGAGGCCTCACAAGTAGGATGGAAGGCAAGGAGGAGCAAGTCACGTCTTACATGGATGGCAGCAGGCAAAGAGAGAAAGCTTGTGCAGGGAAACTCCCATTTTTAAACCATAAGATCTCGTGAGACTCATTCCTTATCACGAGAACAGTGCAGGGAAGACCCACCCCCATAATTCAATCACCTCCCACCAGGTTCCTCCCATGACATGCAGGAATTGTGGGAGTTACAATTCAAGATGAGATTTGGGTAGGGACACAGCCAGACCATATCACCCCCTTTCCCCACAGAGGAGAGCACAGGGGAGTCTGGTGCTTCCTCAGGGCCCGTGTGCACAGGGCCCCACATCACCCAGCTCCTGACATGGCCAGCAGCATCCGGCCAGTGTGCAGGCGATGGCTGTGTGGCGAGGCTGGGATCTCCGAGCCTGTAAGTGTCCACAGGCTGTCTTTGTTCTGCCTGCATCTCACTCCATGACAGCAGTGGCCCCTCAGGGGCAGGGATAGTAAAGGAACCAATGACAGACATGGCATCTGCTCTTCTTCTGGGGGTGGAGGCAGAGAGGTGAGTCCACGAGGAGACCTCAGCCACCCTGTAGCACACGCCACCCCTTCCAAGCTCACTTCAGACCTTGGTGGGTGTGGTCTGCCCAGCATTCCCCCATTCCCCCAACCCCCTTCTTCCCTAACAGCCCCCAGGGAGCAGCCTCCCCCAGGCTCTCTAACCACTCCAACCAACCCTCCTGCTCCGGGGCTGGAAAGCCAGAGCCACAGGTTCAGGGCTGGACATATAACTTAGCCAGAGAGAGGCACAGAGTAAAGCCTGGGCCCTTCACTCCAGAAAAACATAACTAGGAGTTTGAAGCTAGCACTGTCCTTGCACTGAGGGGAGAGCCTGTCTGAGAGCAGAGCTGACACCGAAAAGGCAGAGTAAAACCATGGAGGGGCATGGGCTCCTGGCAACAGAATCTGAGCAACTGGATCCAGCCATGCCTGAAGACGGAGTTTCCCCAGAAGGTATGAGAAACCATCACAGCTGCCTTCTGGCTTATGCTGGTTTGAGCTGGGTGTCTGTCCCTTGCAAACAAAAGGCGCCCAATAGCATTGGTCCAGTGAAAGTCCAACAAATCCAGTGTGCAAACAGAGGACCAGTTCATGTGAGCTCCCAGCAAGCAGAATTAAGGTGGACATTTTAAATGATGAATCATTTAGGGGACCACTGTGGGGGGTCAGCAATGTGAACAGAAGCCTGACAGCTACCCTCGAAAATCCCAAATTTCATAGCCCACTGCACAAGGCTGACCCCTCCCCTGTCCCGAACTCCCCACAGACACGGGCCAGGACTCGCTGCACGGGGAGCTGCCCACGCGGCACCCTGACCCTGGCACTTGCTCTTGTTCCAGAGGCAGAGGGAGAGCACTGAGAGAGGACGCCACCCACCCCGGAGCCCAGAGAATCGGGGCACCTCCATGCAGGGCCCAGCCACATGGAGCCTCCCGCAGGCTGATGGCCCAACAGAGGGAGGACAGGGTCCCCCCAGGAAGGAAGGCTGGCTTGGCTGGAGAAGAGAATGCTAATTAAAGATCCCCCATTCTCAGCTCCCTGCAGAGACAGGACCCTATGGGCAGAGGGAAAAGGCCTGCTGAGGCAAGGCCGGGTCACTTCTGTCCACATCCCATCGGCCACACCCGCAAGCCGCAGGTGGACACCCCTCCCATAGCGACACTGCCAGTCAGATGGCGTTGGGCAGGAGGGGCAGCAGATGATCAGGGACAGTCCTGCAGCGCACCACAGGGGACCTGCTGCACCCAGCTCTTACCTGGTCAGCTCAATGCACCTTCATGGAGGAGACCAAGGCACAGAGAGGCTTCAGAAGCAGGAAACAGCCCAGCCCTGCGCCCTGAGCAGGGCGAGTGGTTAGAGAGGGTGGGATGGAGCCAGGAGAGGATGGGCCTGCAGGCCCCAGAGAGGATCCTTGCCTGCGTCCTACCCTCTGAAAGGTTTACGCAAAAGAGGCGACAGGATCAGGTCTGTGTTTCCTGACAGTCGCAGCAGCTGCCATGAGCACTGGATGAGAGGGCGGCGTGAGGGCAAGTGAAGCCCGGGGTGGCCCAGGAGGGTAGTGTGGACAGCACTGACCCTGGTACCAGGGCCCCACATGCCTTGGAGACCACACTCCTTCCCTCAAGCCCCTACTAGCTGTCTCAGAACCTGGGTCCGTGTTGAGTCACACACACAGGGGCTGTTGCTTCTTTCCCTTAAATGTGGGTACAGCCCCCACCTAGAGGTTCTGCCTCCAGGAGAAACTCACACTGGCGCGTGGCTATTTCAAGGTTGAATTCTTGTGATAAAGTTTACCTTGAGAACCTGGAGTCCCTACTCAATTCAGGACGGCTGACCAGCCAGGATGACGCGGCTTCTTCGTGGCCAAGGACGGCCACCCAAGGGGCTTCTCTACACGCACCAAGGGCCACCCTGTCGATGGGGTCACTCCTTAGACTTACACCAGACCTTCTCTCCCCAGCACTAGGGACCTTCATTTGCTAATTATGTGACTATTTAGGACCTCCAGGGAGCTGCAGGTCCCACGACTCCTATGTTCGCTTCCTGAGGCTGCCGTAAACAACTGCTGCAAAGTTGGTGACTCACAGCAGCAGGAAGTTATTCTCCCACAGCCCTGGGAGCCAGAAGGCTGAGATCAAGGTGAGGGCAGGGCAGGTTCCCTCTGGAGGGTCGGAGGGAGAATCTGTCCCAGGTGTCTCCAGCTTCGGTGGCTCTGGTAATCCCTGGTTTGTGGCTCTCTCTAGCCTCTGCCTCTGTCGCCACGGAACCATCTCTACGTGTCCCTTTCTGTCCCATACGGACACTCTCCCTGGGCTTAGGGTCACCCCAATCAACATGACTTCATCTCAAGCCCTCGTTTCATCTGCAAAGACCCTCTTCCCAAACAGCCGGATTCTGAGGTTCTGAGTGTATGTGAGTTTTGCAGGGACAGTATTCAACCCCTGAAGTTGGGGTGACTGTTCCTCAGTCATCCATTCTCCCACCAGCAAGGGGTTTCCCAGGACCCCCTCGGAGAGGTGAGGGGTAGTGTTGAAACCCAGGGGCCTGGCCCGAGGTGGATCTGCCCAACCTGCAGAGAAGCTCCCGGGCGCTGCACAGCCTCCTGTGGACCCGCTCAGGCGTGGTTTTGGCTTGGGGTCAGGAGAGCCAGTGGGGCCCACGTGGCATCACCAGCGGAGTGCGGCAGGTGGAGCGCCAGCGTCCTCCAGGCAGGAAGGGTCTACATTCTTCATTTCCCGTCTGTAGGGTGGCATCCTGCACAGGGCCAGAGAGACCCACTGTGCTTGGGCCGTGCGAGACAGCGACCCACCTGAATACCTCCCGTGGGCACGCCACCAGCTGCTCCTGAGCCCTCTGTCTCTTTCTCTGTCAAGGCCTCAGCGCACCTCCCGGTAAGTGCTACCCGAGGTTGCTGGGGTGAGAGCGGCAGCGCCTCCGTCCACAGGAGAAAAAGCGGTCATCAGGGAAGCAATAATGGCTGTTTCCCCACCCTCTTAGAACCTGAGGCAACAATTTTAAAAAGTGTCTTATTTCTAAATACAGACAAACATAGCATTAAATCATTATCAAACATGAGAAATACAAAGCAGCTCATCTGGCTTGCATTTGACTCCATTTAGTGAAAAGTAGCTTTCAACAGGGGCAGGAGGAGGGAGGAGCAGGCGGGAGAAATGAAATCACAGCTGAGAAATGCCCGTGATGGGAATGATAACGGCCCCTTTGAAAGGCATGCGGCTTTGCACGGAGAGAGCAGCAGCTCAGCGTGGTGCCCTCATCGGGGGAGTCCCAGGTACCCCGTCCCCATAGGCAAGCGCTGCAGGGCCCAGCTTCCACGTGGGCATCCCGGCTCTGCCCAGCTGGACCTGCGACTGGCAAGAGGGGAGTGGGGAGTGAGTGAACACGCCAGCCCACGCCTCAGGTTTCGGCACAGGACATTGTGGGCTCATAAAGGAAGAGACAAGGCTGGTGTTTTGCAACCCAGAGCACACAGCAGGCTTGACCTGGGGTTTGTGCCCAGCAGAAGAGACCCCTCCCCGAGATGCCTCTTCTCGTGGAAGGCCAGGGTACACCCAGGAACACACCCAGCTGGAGGCCAGCAGCAGAAGGCATGGGGTCCTGACCGGCTGGCCGAAGCCCTCAGGCCACCCCACCCTGGGCGGAAGGAGCCCTTTGGGGTGGGCAGCTGTGGAGGGGTCCCAAGCCTCAACCCAGCCCCACAGAGCCAGCAAGAGGCACACGCGCCACAAGCACTGAGAGTGGGGTCTGCGGGATGGGGGTGAGGCAGCCACGGCATCGCCGCCCCCCACGAGGACTGGGCTCCATGCTGACGGAGGGCCGGGATCAGGGCCGGAGAACTCACGGGACATGGCACCTGTCCACTCCAGCCCACCAGCTCCTCCCCTGGCCCACTCGACCCCCTGCCCTGGCACAGCCCTGCAGGCCCCTCGCCAGCCTCCCCTGCCCCGCTGCCCCTTTGCAGGGCCCCTGCCACTCCATTCTCTCTCAGCTGCCTCCTACGCAGAGAGGCCCGATCTCCAAACTAAAGTCCCTCTTCACACCATCCCCCTGCTCCCCTCAGACCCTCAGCGCCGCCCGACAGACCGTGACGGGTCCCCATGTGATCATCTGGGCCCCCAAGAAAGCCAGGTACTGGGCGGGCAGCATCCATCTCCCCCGGCCAGGGGGACCTCTGTCTACACTCGGGTTGAATTGAGGGCGTGAGGAGCACGTGGCAAATAGAGCTTCGCTGGCTGATGGCGTCTCTCTTGCCAAAGGCCAGGCCGCTTTCTCCTCGTGGGCTTGAGGGATGCCCCTGTGTCCTCCAGCCCACAGGCTAGCCTGGTCCCGTCCAGAAGGGCACACGCTGCCTGCTCCTCGAGCCTGGGCGGCACCTCCTGCATCTGATGCTGTGGTTCCCTCCTGTGCCGTGGGGGTGACAACGCAGACGTGAGAGCCCGGTAGGCTGGGGTGGTGGCCACGTTACCAAAGCACCTCGAACAGGCGGGAGCCCTGGAGGCTTGGCCAGCTCTCTGCTGTCGCCTTGTGGGGCATCGGAGCAGCTGAAGGGCCTGAGTCCTTGCTTTACAGACCAGACACGGGCAGGGAGCGCCGCGGGCCCCTCTGCTGTGCAAGGACCGAATGGACTCGGGGGATCCACCTCTCCAGGAAAAGCAGCTGCTTCCTGGTCTTCCAGGGGGAAAACCCACGTGACGAAGAGCAGGCCCCTCAGAGCAGGCAGCATCTCTCTGCAGGGGCCGGGGAGGCAGCCAGCTCTTGGGCGCATCTGGAAATGGAGGGGGCGGAGATGAAAGTGTCCCACACCCCTCCCCAAGGCATCTGATGAGGCCTCCAGAGCCCCCGCACCATTAGGAGGCACCCAGGGCTGCGTGAGTGCCTTCTCAGAGCTCTGCCCGTCCAGCAGGATGTTCCTGTCTAGGGTTCGCCAGCACCTCAGGTGCGGGAGCTGGGGCAAAGTCCAGGAGGCATCCTCAGCTTGGCCACAGTGGAGGAGATGAAGGCAGCCTGGGAAAGCAGAGGCGACAGTGCCCTCCCTGACAGACTGAAAATCCCAAACTCCTCCTGCAGCTTCGCAGCAGAGACGCAGGAGCTGAGGGATGTGGCCCGCGCCGAAAATGGCAGACAACAAGGTGTTGCTACCTTTAGGGAGGGGCCTCCTTTATCCCACGCATGCCCACATCTGTGGGGTGTGGAGACCTTTTAGGAACACAGAAGGACCCGTTTCCTTATCCACGATCTCGAGAAGTCACCATGGACACCTACGGCATCGACTGTCCCCACGGAGGTCTCCCTTCACTCCCACCCTACTGTCTGCCCACAGATGTGGCCGTGGGACCAATGGCTCTAAGCATATCCCTGCCTGAGGCACGTGGGGTCCCGCAATCAGAGCGCTGGGGCGGCTTCTGTAGCATGACGGGGTGCCCGGCCCAGGCCCTCGCACTGACCTGCAGCCCAATAGCCCAGAGGCCTGGGAAAGGGACCCAGCCCCAGACCCTCCTGCCTCGCCCACCTAATTCTCCAGCACCGGAGTCCTCCCTGGCTCATCTCAGGCTTGGGCCTCATGTCTGAGCAGTTGAGACCCTGCCTCCCCTGCAGTACAATGCATCTGACCGAGACTTTCTGCAAGGGAAGGATAAAATGGTCCCGGTCACCCTCCCCAGCAAGACTGTAGGAACAAATGGGACATAATAGCTTCATAATCACATCCATCAACATTACTTTAAAGGCACCTATTAGGAGAAAGTCTGAGCCTCCTGCCCGCACGACTCAGCACCCATCACAGTGGCTCATTCCCCAGACCCTTAATGAGAGTGCAGCGGCGCTGCGGAAGCAGCAGGCTAACGGGGCAGGCCTTGCCCTCGCGTGGTACGACGGGGAACAGCAGGAGCAGGGCGAGAGCCAGACGGAGTGGACAGGGATGGGTGGGCTGCCCAGGTGGTGCCTGCAGTGACAAGACCCAGTAAATCACAGCTGCACCTTCTCCACACAGAGCTGCCAGGGAAGTGACCAGGCACCTGGGTTACTCGGAGGCTCTGGCCAGGTGACGCTGTGACCAGAGGCCTGGACATCCGACTCGAAGAGACGGCTCCGTATCATGACTGCACACGTTTGAGCCAGCATAGGGTGTGGACAAGCTGGGATCCCTGGCTGTTCAGCGTTTGCCCTGAGGCAGGCGTGCAAATTCAGAGGCCGCCTTCAAGAAAAAGCAACATGGAGAATCCCAACCCAGATGACAACAGGGACAAGCCAGAGAGATATCATTACTCCGCACAGGTACATGTTGAAAAGACACAGAAACACCTTAAGTGACTCCTTCCCCCCTGGAGTCCAGCCTCCACCTCACTCCTTCAGTCTTTCCAAGCCAGCTCTGGCGTGGACAGAGGCCAACCTAGGCAACCATAGGAAACGAACACAAGGATGCAAGCAGAGAAACGGGTCCAGCTTCCGGACAGTAACTTTTCAGAAGGAGCTATGTGCCTCACCCCAGCTTCCAGCTGACTGGAATGGAGCGGTGATGGCAGCGGCTGCAGCAGCCATCTCAGGATACAAGGTGGAAGCAACGTGGTAAGAACAGCACAATGGTAAGACAGAAAAAGACGGGAGCACAGTGATGGTGGAGCTCCACGCCAGCCCTACACCAGCTACCTGGATTTTTAAATGTGAGAGAAATTAATGGCCATCTTGTTTAAGACAGTGTTATTTTGGATTTTCAATCACTCACAGCTGAACAAAATATAGCCTCTTCTGTCCATTCTCCCATCATCTCCCTCCCAACTACTGCAGCAGCCTCTCATTTGCCTACATCTGGGCCCACTCCAATTAATTCTCCACATTACTGCCCCCATCTTACCCAAATACACCCATCCTTGCATAAAACCTTTCAAAGGCTTCCTGACGCTTTTTGATACAGATAAAAGTCCTCCTCATGGCCTGAAAGGACCTTGTTTTGCATCAGGGATGGCTTCTCAGCCTGGTGGCCTTCCTTAGGACTCTGGGCACACCATGCCGCTGGCCCCGGGCCTCAGCTCCCATGGCCCTCTGCCCAGGTCTCCCCTCCCCTATTCACCCACTCAGATCGACTCGTGGGAAGCCCCCGCCAACCTCCATCCTCCTGTGGGAGGCTGCACCTCTTCCTTCCCACTCCGGGCTGGCAACAGCTGAGTGTCCCAGGTACCATGGGCCTTCCCTATGTTCCTGAGCCTCTGAGAGGGTGGAGACCACAGCAGGCATGTGGTACCAGATGAAGGAGTGAGGGAGTAAACCAACGACCGCCATGGCCTCCAATGGATGTCTCCAGCAGCCCCTAGAAGGCAGACACTCTAAAGCAGGGAGAGTGCAGCTTTACAAACGCTGAAGGGACACGTCCACAGGAGGTTTTCTAGCCCATGGATGGATCTCCTTTGCTGCTGTGGTTTCCGCTTCTGCATGGACATCCTGCAAGCACAGGCCAGGCACTTTCTTGCAGTCTGTAGGCCCACCCAGCCTGCAGGGCCCACGAGGACTCTCCACCCCACAGGGCAGGGCTGGATGGAACCCACATGTGGCTTCCTGGACTCCCCGGAGCCTCTTCCATGAGGACTGAAGGACTGGACATCTTACAATTGTTCCCTTGCCTAGGACTCAGCCTTGGGGCCTGTGAGAAAATCCAGCTCCCTCAAAAGAAAACTGTGTCAGCCAGTCCTGTCCAGCTGGAGAGTCCGTGGGAAGGGAGGGCAGACTGTCTCGTGAGAAGCAGCACCAGGATACAAACACACTGCCCGAGGAGGCATCTCCACTCTCTCTCTGCCCCTGGCACAGACGCAGGAAAAAGCCACAGCTCTGACCTTCAGGGTCCAACTACAGTGCCAGTGAAATTTCTCTCTGAAGGATGGGGACTGCGTCAGGATCAGAGCATGCAGACGCAGCAGAGACCACCCACCGAGACTGATCTCTGCAAACGAGGACCGCACCTCACTGCAAGGACCAATGGGGCCACGTGCTCTCTGCAACCACCGCTGGGTGCAGCCCACCCTCCGCTCAGGGGCACAGGACCCTCCGCCCCTCGCACTTCTACCCGACTGCTGCCGTCTCAGAGCCGGGGTCTCAGCCCCCACCCAGGGCAGGCTTGAGCGGCCTCTCCATGAGGACACATGGCATGGGCTGCCTGACCGGCCCCCACCATGTCTCCTCAAGGAGAAACCGGGCTTGTGCTGTAGACAGGAAGCCTCTGACACTGCGCCAGCAGACACTCAAGAAAACTGCCAAGGGAAGACGTGTAAAAGTTTAGTATTTTGTTCAACAATTTAAAAAACAGATATAATACCAGCATAAAATATTGCATAGCAAATAATAGATTATGTTTGTACAAAATCCAGTAAGAAAAACATAATTTTCTCATTTAGGATGATTCATAAAATACATTTTGAGCAACAGCGATAACGAGGGTCCCACATGCGTAGATGGCAGCACCAGAGCCAGACCCACCACCACGGAGTTCGCGCTCACGGAACCCAGGCCTGCTGGGTGTCAGCAGCAGCTAAGCTGGATGCAGGTACTACAAAATGACCAGCGCTCGGTCTCTGCTTCCTCAGCCAAGTGCACAGGTCAGCCAGGTGGGCACTGAAGTGAAAGGCTGCAGAGAGGCGGGGAGGACAGCCTGCAGGGCAGGAGGGGCACAGACAGGCCCCAGCTGGGTGCCGCAGGAAGGACGTCACCCTCAAGCCCTCACTGGTAGATGACCTTCACGCAAAATGCCTCTTCGTTTTTGTCCTCATGGTCATTGATGTAGATCAGGATCTCCTCCTCACCCACTCTCTGACTAGGCGCAAACTGCAAGCCGATGGTGTAGGTCTCTCCACCCCCGACCTGGAAATAAGCATCCAAATCCCAGCATCCACCCCCGGGCTGTCCCACGCTCTCACCAGCAACCTCTCTGCATGGTCGTGTTTATTTCCAAGGGGAGCTGACAAGGCAGGGGAGCCCTGCGGGTGCATCCAAGGCCTGCCTTTGACTTCAGCGCCCGGTACAAGGATGGGAACCAGTGCTCAGCCAGTGTGACGCGTTACTTGGACTCGAAGGCACACTTATTTCCGAGACTGAGCTGTCTAACATTACCATGAAAAGCCCTGGGCACAACACCCTTTCCCACACTCAGGAGAAACTTTGCTAAATCTCCAGCTACTAAAGATACAACGGGCCCACCCAACTATGGGATGGTACCTGTCACCGCCCTGGGGCTTTTGGAAGACTGCTGGTGATTTGAGGAACTCGCTCCTAAATGCAGGCTAACTGCCCTCCATTCAGGTCCCCGGGTCTTCCCCTAGGAGTCCCAGGCACAGCCCCACCACACCTGGAAGGAGTCCTCTCTGAACCGCAGCAGCTCCGGGTGGTCGCTGTGCAGGTGGAATGTCCTCCGGGAGGGGTAGGGGTTGGTGTAGGTGATCCTCTTGTTGACACCCTTCCCTTCGCCCGCAGCCAACATGATCTCAAAGGCCTGTGGAGGGAGGGGACAGGGAGACGCTGCGGCCACTCACGGGAACAGCCACTGGCCCTTCCTCCAAGTATTCCCTGAGTCTCCTGTGCACCGTGCACGGGGACCCCCACAGAGATAAGACAGACGCTCTCTGGAGCTTCCATCCGGGAGAGACACAGCACAGGAGCAAACACTCATGCACCCGGCCCTGCTGGGTCAGAACACTGTATCCAGTGGTCCGAGTCACAGGGCCGAGGTGGGGGTCCTGCAGTGCCCTGGTATTGAGCCCCCATCCCCTCAGCCTGTGCCTGCCACACATACAGACCTTGGAGATGAGCGGCTGGCGGCAGCAGAGGCACACGAGCCAGGAGGCCACCAGCTGGTGGCAATCCACGTCCACCAGGTTGAGATGGACAAAGCGGCTGCCGGCCCTAAGGGGCCTCACGCCAACATGCAGGTCCTGCACCCCACGAGGCGGCAGCACGAAGACACCTTTGGGGTCTGTCTTCAAGAGCGAGAGAGGCGGGTCAGAGCACAGCCTCTCAGGATGTGCAAGCAAGGGGCTCCTGGGCGCCTGCAGCCCAATCAGCCAGGGGAGCCCAAGGTCATGGGTGGTTCCGGGGCGGCCAAATCTGAGGCCACAACCAACCCTGACATGACTGTGGCCGCGACTTGGGTCCACACCAGGCAAGTCCCTCCTCTCACACGGCGACTATTCCCTAAGCGCTGCCTCCGCAGACAGAACTGAAGCCATCTTGGGCTTAAAACCCCGGCCAGCTGGTGGCACCAGGGGCCGCCCTCCCACCCCGTCTAACTGTGGCTTCACTAACACCAGAGCTCCTGTCACTGTTCACCTTGCCAGGAATTCTGAACACCGGCCTTTGGGGTTGGTGTGTACGTCACTCACCCCACAATGGCACATCTAACGAAAGGCAACTGCCGAGAGGCCTCTGGTAACAGCGTCTGCGCGCTGGAGGCGCTGGAAAAGCTGCTGTCAGGGCCACCCACTGTGCTCCAGCTGAATGCCCACTGCCCGTCTCCAGGCTGGGGTTGGGGAGAGGCTCAGAACAGCCCCCAGAGAGGCCGTACCTTCAGCTCCTGGGGATGAGAGGTGAAAGCTCTCACTTTCCTCACTGTCTGTGTCCCCCGAAGGACAAGGGACAGGCGGGTCAGCTGGCCTGCGACGCAGGAGACATCCACGCGCTGCAGGGAGTGGAGGTAGACCTGCCACGTCTGTGTGGGTGTCGCCAGCCAGCGATCCCTGCAGTGGGATGGGAGCCATCTGCACTTGTCCCGGAGGACTCAGCACCGGCCCACGAGAGGCCAACAAGGGCTGCCAGGAGCGTGGGCAGACAGGAGGCTGTGCAGGGAAAGCCCCAGAGGACCAGGCCACAGGAGGCAGAGCTGGGGCCACGCAGGGAAAGCCCCGGAGGACCAGGCCCCAGGAGGCAGAGCTAGGGCCTGGTGGCTCCACCCCTGGCTGCCCATCTCCCACCCACAGCAGAGGCTCTCAGGGCGCAGCAGGGCTGCTTAGGAACCACATGTCAAACAAATGACAAGGCACGCTTTGGCCAAACACACATCCTGGACAAGTGTCCACCCCCAATAGGGGTTCTGAGGCTAAGCCAAGGGCAGCGCCACGCAGGAGACAGGGTGGGGCTGGAGGTCATGCCGGCCTGAGCACGGAAGCCCCTGTTAGCATTTTAGGGCCAAGAGCCTGCTGCTTCACAGTCAAATGGGGCTGGGTGAGGCATCTTCATGGGCTCACGAGGAAGCCACTCTGAGACGTGGTCACGTGGCCCCTCTGTGGTGGGCACTGAGTGCAGGTTAGCCCCTGCCCCATCCTCAGAAGCACTGCAGGAAATCTCCGAGCTCACACCAGTTTGAAAGGATTCTCACAGGGCTTGGGGATCCGACTTAGGAGGGGAGGGGAAAGGGGCCGGGTCATTTAGCCTGGAGGAGAGAGGGATGGGCATTTCCACCACAGTCCTGCCTCTCCGCAGGAGGGACCACAGCTTCATTCATGCTGTTCAGCCTAGGGACTCAGCAAGAAAAAGGTAATGAGGGGCTTCTGGGTGGCCCTTGCCACTATCTGGGGACAGAGGCTGACTGGTGTCTCTCCTTGGTGGCAGGAGCTGCATCCCAAGTCCCTCAGGCTGCACGTGCCCCTCCAAGGTGCCTTCCCTAGACCCCTGCGGGCCCTGAACTCGCAGCAGAATCCCGCCTCACAAAGCGAAGGCCCGAAAGCTCCCCCAATTTTAGGAAGGGGCCAAGCCCACTTTCAATCCACCAGCAGCCCCAGGCCTGCCTCCTCCTCTCCTCCGCCACCGCCTCCAGGTCCCCAAAGCCTGTGCACTTACGAGTAAATGATGACAAAGAAGTCTTTGATCTCCGGGCTTGGACCACTGGCCACCTTCAGAAATATGTCCCGTGGTTCCCCGGGGCCCTGCCAACCAGATGTGCAGCACATCAGGGCACACAGTGCTCTGCCGACCCCAGCCTGGCCCCTAAATCTGTGACTAATACACGCAGCGAGTGACGGCCAGTCCCTCCCAGAACGCATCTGTTCATGTTCTATACCAATCGGAATTCACTATTCTGTTCACTGCCAAAGAGAAGATCATTAGCTTCCTGATTTTACATGGATCTCAACAATTAGATTCTACAGGAGATTTTATCCGGTTTCCTAACTGGTCATAACACAATTATTGCCTTATCCTTTACATAATGGTAATTAATAAGTGCCTTAATTACCATCCACTTTATTAACTTTGCTTCGTGCCTTTTTAAAATTTAAATTCAGATGATCAAGGAGCTGATCTGCTAGTAGAAAAAATAAAAACACACTCATAAAGCTCTCATAAGGATGTCAAAATAGCCCTTTAGTACCTTGGGAAAGAAACCACTTAGCAGAAAACCTAAAATGAAGAGGATCCCAGGATACCCGTGGGGAAGCCGACAGGGGCGCAGACTCACTGGGAAGGATCTGCCTGAGCTGGGGCCACAACACAACCTACCACATTCTGGGTCTCACAGATGACGTTCGGGTCGCTGCAGCGAACATGGACTGGGGGGTCCTCACCAAGCATTCCCACCGGAGCACCTGGAGCAGGGGAAATGTCAAAAAGAGTCTTCTCCACAGCCCCAGCCTGTGTGGAGAAGGCCCCACACATTACACACTATAGGACAGGACAGGCTCGTCACAGGTGCTCAGCAAGACACCTGCTGGGGAAACGGACGCCGCCACCTTTCCCAGGACAGCATCCAAGCACTGTGTTCCCTGCATGGACACCGCCCATCCAGCCCACTGCGGCTCGGCTGCAGCCATCTCCACAGGGAATAATCGAGGGGGCCACAAAAAAGAAAACACAGCTCCCTGGAGCAGGGAAGCCTGCACTCTGCTGTAAGGGGCACCTACCAGAAACACGCGGGCCGTCAGGTGAGGAGGTAGGTGTTCCTCCAGGCACACCTGGACCTGGGCCGCGGGAGCTGGGATTTTTTAGAAGGGCAGACTCAGCCGGCAAATGCGCACCTAGTCATCTCAGAGGTGGCAAGAGGGACACCGTTTCAAACCATAAAGGCAGGAGAGAGAATTCCCCAGGCCCCACGTGCTGCTCTGACAGCACCAGGGCATGAAGCCATGAGGCCATCTGTCACCCTCAAGAGGTATCTACTTCCAACAGGTGAGCCTGCAACATGTGGGCTGCAGGGTCAGTGCAGGACCTGCCTGGAAATGTGTGCCAGGGCGGCAGGCGGATGGCCTTCTTCAGGAAGGAGAGCTCCGGGTGATAGAAGCGGAAGACCTGGTCCACCACGTGGGGCTGCAGCTCCACAGTCAGGCAGAGCACGGCGATGGGCTTGCCACCACTCGCTCGGAACAAGACCTGTGAGGAGGCCACGCTGAGTGTTGGGATGGGCACGAGGCTTGTGAGCAGCTTCTTGTCCCTCCTTAGACAGCACACGTATCTCCACTGTTGCCAAGACCCCCTCACCCTCCACTGCCATGAGCGGGGAAGGTCGGGCATCGTCAAAGGCAGGGACTGAGTCTGCAGCAGCAGGTCTCCACCAGGAGGGGACCGCTAAGCAAGGTCTGGGCCGGCACCCACACAGGGCACCCAAGCAGCCACACTGCCATTATTCCTCGCGAGTACAGCACACTTCTTAAATGCCAGTGGAGAAGGTCTGCAGTCCCAAGTCAAAACTACTCCTGCCATGATCCCACCTCCCGACACCCTGTGTGCATGTGCGCAAGTCAGGCCAGGAGGTCCTGGAGTGGGTGGTGGCAGGGCCAAGTTCGCGGTCAAGCACGTCAGCACAAGCTCTTTGATTCCAGATGGCAAAAAGAGGCTGTGCCTAAACCAAAGGGGTTAGAAATAGAAACTTTCCTGGTTTCAAAAGAGCTACTCATTAAAAACCATATTGTCTGAAGAGGTATTAATTGGGACAACTGATAAAAAGGCTATATTTGTTTCAAGATACACACAACCACAGAGACATGCATACTCACACACACGCACCCACACACACGCATGCACTCATGCACCCACACATGCACCCATACACATACACATACATGCACACCCACATGCATGCAGGCACACGTGCACACACATGCAAACATGCACCCATGCATGCACACACGCATCCAGCCACAAATGCACACACATGCATGTACACATATACATGCACGCATGCCCCACACACACACATGCACGCCCACATGCATGCACCCACACATGTACACATATGCATGCACCCACATGCACACACGCACACAATGCACACATACATGCACACACATCCACCCACACATGCACACACGCACCCACACACGCATGCACACACATACATGCACACATGCCCCCACACGCACACATATGCACGCCCACATGCATGCACCCACACATGTACACACATGCATGCACCCACATGCACACACACACAATGCACACACACATGCACACACATCCACCCACACATGCACACACACGCACCCATACACACACACATGCACACACATACATGCACACATGCCCCCACACGCACACACATGCATGCCCACATGCATGCACCCACACATGCACACATGCATGCACCCACATGCACACACGCACAATGCACACATATCCGCCCACACATGCACACACACGCACCCACATGCACACAATGCACACATACATGCACACATATCCACCCACATGCATACACATCCACCCACATGCACACACACACACACACACATGCACACCCACATGCATGCATGCATCCATACATGTACACAGATGCACAAATACAAACATGGATGCACATACACACACACCACCCACACATGCACGCACACACACACATGCATGCACACACACATGCACACACTTCACACCTGCACACACTGAGAAGGAGAGAGTGGGGCAGGGCAAGAATGGAAACAAGATCCTTCCAAATATATCTTGCTTTATAGTTTGATTTTTGACTTACTTGTTTTTAATTTTGAAAACTAAAATAAATAGAAGTGTTAATGTATTAAAAATAAACAAATCTAAGCTTCTATCAAGTTGGTGCTGTAATTATCCAGAGAAGAATTCTTTAAGTAAATGTAAATCACAGGACACAAAGGACCTAAAGACAAATGCACCTTCAGAAATCTTGCACTGACAGATAGTGTCTAGCCCTGGTTGGTACTGATGTTTTGAAATATACACGTACATAAAGATGGCCAGTGGTATTGTAGCCAAAGGGATTTGGCCAGTGTGGTCAGCAGATTGGTTATATACAGAGGAAATTAGGCAAATAAGTAAGCCAAATGCGAGCTAGGTTTCTCATGAGCAGAAATGAGAATTACAAACATGGAAAAAAACAGGAAGAAACCCGTGATGTTAAATTGGTGTTGGAAGAACTGCTGCAAATTCATGGTCTTCAGCACACTAGAAACAGTAGTCTGTGCACATACACGCACATATCTATACATCATATATGCATGATATGCACATATTGTGTATGTATGTATCTGCACCCACAGGCATACACCTCTTAGGTCTCTGCTGAGAGGGACTTAGCAGCAGTGACATCCCAGTAGTACTGAGTACATCTAACGCTCAAATCTTGGTTTCTAAATATCATTCTCCAACCAAAGGAACCCGAGCTAAATAGCTGACACTCCTGAAATGCAAGCTGAGCCTGGGGCGTCTTGCTGTGCTGGGCAGTAAGGAAAGACTCAAAGGAGGACAGGGGTGAATCAACAGGACGCAGGAGCTGGCCTGAAGAGGCTGCCCTGGTTAGTCAGGGCACGAATATGAGCAACAAAATAAATAATGATAGTAACAAAATGAATAAAATAGAAATTCATTGTTCATAAGGATATAAAAAGTAAATAGGTGAATGGGGTGAAGGCACAGCTCTACCTTACTTAAAATACCAGTAATCAACAGAGAAGGAATGATGGAATTGGAAAATCCATGGCAGGCAAGCATCCCACTACCAACCAACTCGGGCCAGGTCATCAGTGCACACTGACACCTAGTGCGTCAAAGTCTGATGAAGAATAGGGTATTTGAACGGCCTCAGTATCTCCCAACAAGATACTTACTCATGACTTTCTAATTACTAGACATTTCCTGATATTACAGGAAAAAAGCATGGCAGATGTCATCTTAACTGAATGAAAACAGTAACATCGCCAGTAACAGGACAAAGCAACACGGTGTCCCTCACAGTATGATGTTCGTAGAGGACACGGCAAATGTCTGTGGAGGTCCTGCCCCAAGTGCATAACCTGGGTCTAACTGAAACGAACACCAGACCAGCCCCACTGGGCACGCCCTGCAGGATAACCGCCTGTGCACTTCACAACAGCTGCAGCCACGCCAGAAGGACTCCATGGGCAGCAGGCTGGTGGGGGCCACTGGACGGGCCATCTATCAAGTGCTGGGACATTTGTGAATGTGAATGGGGCCTGTGATGACAGAAGAGGAGCGTCAGTTCCCTAATTTTCATGGCTCTCCTTTGACCACAGAGGACAGTGGCCTTATTTTCAAGATAACCCAGCTCGAAGTGTCATGGAGTAAAGGGCATTACCTGATAATTTATTCTCAAATTGTTCAAGAAAAATGCACAAACAGAGAGTGGCGAGGCAAACATGGCAAAGGTTAGTGACCGGGAAGTCTGGGAAAACCCTATGTGGGGACTCTGCACTCTTCCTGTAACTCTTCCCTAAGTTCTAAATTATTTCAAAATAACTACTTGTTATTTAAAAAAGGCACAGGAGTTAACTTGAAAAGGATGGCGGTGGCCTGAGAGAGGGCAGTTCCAGCGTCTAAGAGCGGTGCCTCCATGGGATGAGAAATACAAATATAACGCCTCGGTGTCCATCATGAGACGCCGCAAACATGGACTGTCTCTGGAGGCTGCTAGGACGCAGCTCATTTATTTGAAAATTGATAAAGGGAATGATTCTAACATTCATCCTCACTTTCAAGTACAAAGTATATTTTAGGGTAACCAAACTGCTGATCGGGAAAGTCCTTGTTTGTAGAAAGATCACAGGAAGAATGACAGGACTGCAATTTCACCATTTTCCACCCTGGATGGAACACGCAGTGGGCCAGGAGCCTCAGCTGGATGCGAGTGAGGGAGACACGGGTGATGGCATCAGGCCATCAGCACCTGAGCACGGTGACAGCCAGCATGGCCTCTGTGGGTGGCCTTCATGGACAACGTGGTCTGCCCACTGAGCAACTCCAGAGGCGGAGCACCCCAGGACAGCGGGTCCTGATCCAAACGCACCAGTGGTAGAAAGGCCCGTGGTTACAGCCCCAGCAGACGATGCCGAGGTCTGCGTTGACTGGGGGCAGCAACAACAGCATGCAGTCATGATAAAAAGAAAAGTCCTTATCAGTCAGAGATACACACTGCAGTAATTATGGGTAAACTAACACAGTGTCTAGGATTTCCCTTCAAACTCCAAATTCATGTGAAGAGATCATATTTCTGACGTAAAGATTATTTTAAGGTGAAAAGAAATCTTACCTGAACTTTCCTTATCTGACTAGTGCACAGCCACCTGAAAGTGCAGCTGCCATTAAACCCCTATGTGAAAGTGTAAGTGAAAGCATCCTGCAAATTCCAGGAAGGTCACAGACTGGCCATGCTCACAGCATAAAGAGACAACAGAATGTCCCCGTCTTCCCACGGAGGCCCTGGCCCTCGCCCCCTTTGTGCTACATTGGCACAGAAACCTCGACCTCTGGGCATTTGGCAAGCTACTCACTTCCCAATGCTGCCACGGGCTCACAACGGTAAGGCCCGTCTTTGCTGCTGTCCCTCTGTCTACGGTCATCCACCTGCAGCCCTTACCATTCAGACCTGAGCTAGCAGAGGAAAACCTTCCTCCCAACGGTTTTGGCAACAGGACGCGATGGCTGGGACTTCCCACTCATGTAAGGAAAAAGCGTTAACCTAGAGCACTCAATAAAGATCAGATACATTCCTTAGATCAAGGCAAAGCTGTGGCTGCACACTTAAATAAAATAAAGCAAGTTTTCACTGGTGATGGGGCCCGGTGGACACAGAGGGCCAGGCTGCAACCACAGTGAGACCCGGGCCACGGGAACGCCACAGCCTCACAGGACTGCGCTGAACTCTGAATTCTGTCCTCCAGGCAATGTGTAAGAAAGACCAAAGCTTTTTAATTTTGTTTTTCACTTCCCAACTACTACAAAAGGCATGTTTCTACCGAATAAAAAACAACCTTCAGAAACTGCCATAAAGCAGCAGTGTCTCAAGCTCCTCCTGAGAATGTCTCAGCCAGCTGTTGAGAAGCAGGTGCCTTACTATACGGCCTTCGCTTAGCAAGGGACGTAACCAAGGACTACGTCTTATTTCCAGGAAGAACCACACCACACACTCACACACCAGGGAATGCTCTGCGTGAGGCTCAAGGAGTGGCCGCAGGCTGTGGCAGCCACCACGGGAACTGCGGCTTCACACCCGGAGAGCCCTGGGCTGTGAGAAGGCGGCCACCAAGGAGGCATTTCCGACCAGATACCATGCAGGCTGTGCCAGCGCCCAGACGGAGCTGCCCTGCCCAGCGAGGACACGGAAAAGGCCATTCCCAGGCCCACGCCACCCCTGCCCTGACCTGGCCCCAGCCCTCCCCTCCAGGAGGGGAGAGAAGGACACAAGGGTCAGGCCCTGGGAATACCCAGGAAGCCCCGAGATCAGTTTGTCCTCCGTTGCCCCTTTACCTTGGCGTGTTTAGTGGGCACTGCGCTGGACTTCCAAGGTGACACGGCGTCCATGCCCTTCTCGTTGCTCAACCCAGGAGAGGCCTGCAGGAACCGAACAGCACAAGCAGGTCAGGAAGCAACACCATTAGGCGACCAGCACCTGTGCTTAGAGACACCACTGCCACCCAGCTGGGAGCCACCAGCCTCCTCTCACACTGACTCTCCAGGCAGCAACCATCACCAACCGGCCTCACTGTGCCAGAGAAGGCTGAGGCTGCCAGGAACAAAGGGAACAGCAGATCCCAGGTGGAAACCCGGCTCTGCCTGAAGCCAAAGGCCTGAGGTCCCACCTGCAGTCCTCACAGCCCATCCCAAGAGCCAGCATGGCATCCTGTGAGTGAGCCTCTAGGGACATCTCAAGTCCACCTTAAGCGATGACCACCACCCTAGAGAGCTGACCCCAAAAGGTCAAAAGCTGAAACACACACTCCACACCCCATGCCGGCCTCACGCACCCGGGCATGACACACCCCCTGCAGGCACACCTCACACACCACCCCCTGCACACAAGTGCACACCTGCACACACACCTCACATACTCCCTGCACACACACAACTGCATGTCTGCACACACCTCACACACTCCCTGCACATCTCACAGACCCCTACACGCACAACTCCTGCACGCGTGCCTCACACACACCCTGCATACATGCCTCCTGCACACACACCTCACATATCGCCCCTGCACACACACCTCACATACATCCTGCACACATACCTCTTGCACATATACCTGCTGCACGCACGCTCCCTGCACACATGCTCCCTGCACGCATGCTCCCCGCACACATGCCTGCAAAGCTGCATCTTGCATAGAGCAGACAGTGCTGCAGTCGGAAGGGACCAAACAACATTAACTGGAAAGAAGATGCTAGAAAACGTCAATCCATTAGATTCACTGGGCTTTAAGAAGCCCTTCCAACCAACTTAGTAAAGAAAATTAGGAGGAGATGGTCCAGCTCGACACCCATCAGGCTGGAAAAGAGAAGGGGCTGGTTGCCACTTGCAGTGTACATGCCAGGGCTCTTGTTGAGCACCAAGGGGAGTGGGCGGCAGCCCCAAGGCTAGTCTGTCTGCACAGGTAAGGGAGGGACACTGGTGGAGACTGGAAGCATTCTCAATTTCCCACCGTCATCAGCCAAATGCAACTTCCCTGTGTGCCTGACACCCGCACCTGCACCATGGCCAGCTGCCCTGCAGAGAAGCTCTGGAACTTGAAGGGGACGTGGGCGGTCTCGTGGGGGCGCAGGTAGAGCTGGGGGGCCAGGCTGCCACGCAGGTGGAACATGTCCTCCTCCACCGGTGTGTGCAGGCCAGCAGCACCCTTGAAGTCCCTCCACTCCTGACTGTCCACGATGACGCTGGGGGAGGCAGTGTCCAGGCGTCAGGGCAGTTCTTCCCAGGAGGACCCACAGGAGGCTGCGGTCCCACCCACCGAGAGCGGTGCTCAGAGGAGTGGGAGAGAGAAGTCAAATCGCCCCGGCTCTCGGGCAGAATTCGAGCCAGCTCAGCAGGGGTGCCGGCTGCACCCGACACAGATCTGGGCTGGGGCAGGACGGGCACCACTGAGACCTCACCTGAGCTCGGGGTTGTCGATCTCCACAGTCACCGTGTGCTGTGTGTTGTGGGGGTTCTTAAGCACAAACTCAAAGAACTCGGCGACCCCCAGCGTGGCGTGGAGCGTGTGCTCCGTGGTGATGGCCAGGCTCAGCAGGCTGGCGATGCTCTCGGCCTTCGTGCGTTCCCGGTAGGCGGCGATGACCTGTAGGTCCCGCAAGTGCTGTGTGCGGACGCTCTGCTGCGCCTGCAGACAAGAGGACATGGGTGGACAGGGTCCCAGGCACACTCTCCTCCACAAGGGGCTATTGCTGGCTGCCCACCACCCGCGATCTCAGAAGAGGACATTTCTCCACAAGCATCGCCACCACCACCCCCTTCCTTGACCATGTGGTCTGGGTGGAACTGGCCGGCCCCGCCCAGGCATGGATCTCAGGCAGTGCTGGACAGAGATCTGCTGGCTGTGTCCCTGACACGGAGGTCCACACAGCATCCCTGCCTATTCCTGAGAGACTCTTCACAGACACGAGTCTGGCCCCCCGCACGGTGGAGAATCAGAAGTTTCAAACAAGAGAAAAGAATGGCCTCAAAACTATGGTGACAGGCCTCACCAGCCAGGTCCCCAACACAACTTTGGGAGCCCTGCCTGGGCCCAGCGTCCACAGGAGAGGACATGCCCCCGGCCTGCTGAGTCTCGGTCACACCGGGTCAGAGTCCAGGCAAGCAGCACGCTGCCTCAGCAAGGCTCAGCCACCCCCTTGCTCTGATGCCGCAGGGACTCAAGGGGCTTGGCCAGCACACATGGGTTCTACAGGTTGGAGACTGGCCTGTTTTTCCTGTGGGACTTACAAGAAAAAGTAAGGCCCACTAGAGGCTGCCTTGCAAGATCTCAGGCCTGGAAGGGGCCACCCCCATGCCGGGGAGTCAGCCAGCCTGCAGCTACTCCAAGAAGCCGCTGCGGCCGGGCGCTGGGAACCTTCTGTCTAACACAGAGGAGGCTGAGGCGTCAGAGAGATGGGCTGACTTCAGTGCTTTCAGGATTTAACTCAAAAGGTGAGGACAAAATTTGATTTCTGGCTTAAATGACTTTGGACATTCACTTTCCAACATCCAAGGCTCTGGCTGTTCCTTTGCAGGGGGATTGGAGCTGGCCTTTCACACTTGGGGCCTCCATCAGAATTTCATCCTCAGAGCTTTTCAGGAGTGGAACCTCTGACAGGCTGTGCTGGACGATGGGGCCAGACATGAGTTAGGATGAGAAACAGGGATAGGGCTGAGAGTGGCTCCTCAATTCCAAGCTTATGCTGACAGAGCTAAGGTTATCCAGGCTAGGGGCCTCCAGAGGCCACAGCTTCAAGCCCTGCCAGCTGGGAGGGAGGGAGGAAGGGAGGGAGGGAGGTGGGGTGGGTGTCCTGAGGCCTGGGAGGAGGCCCCAGTCATGCCCTGGCCCTGCCCTGGCCTCCCTCTAGTCCCTCCCTCCTCCCTGACCACTGAGCCCACCAGTCCTGTGGGATCAGGCCAGGCCTCCTCACCCCGTGTCTTCTCACCATGCCTCTTCCTCGCCCCATCAGACTGAACTGAGCCTAGGGAGGGACCGAGGCGTCTGCATCCACCTTTGAGCACCAACGCCTTGCTGGCAGGGAGGCTGAGTGGCAGCCCTGCTGAGTTTACTGTCAGGAAAAGGGCCACCTCTGTTCAGACCCCGGCCTACCTACATGCAAGGGGGAATCTCAGGAGATCTTTCTCAAGGCCCCTGTGGTTCCCGACTTCTATGAACCCAGGAGGTACAACCATTCTCACCTCCCATTTCTTAGTAGCAAAATATTAAAAGTTCTATTTAGATTTTCAGCCAAAAAGGGGAATTTTTCTAGCCAGAATGATTACATTGACAACCCAGGATATGTCAGTTGTTCACAGCTCTGGTCCCCAGACCTGGGAGAGCCTCAGAATCACCTGCAAAGCTTTCTTCAAACCCAGGCTCCAGGGGTCCTGCCCACACCAATCAGTATCAGAATCTCCAGGGGTGACGCCCAAGAACTGGCTTTTATTAAAAGCTCTCCAGATAATTCTCACTTAAAGATTTCCCCCGGTGGCTGAAAAAGTCCGATTTTCTTATATTCTGTCCCCAGGATTTGGGAGGAAGGTAAGAGAGAATCATGTGGGAGGCAGGGAAAGGATGTGCACAGTGACTCAGTCTGCATGGAGATCCCAGGACAGTGACAGCTGAACAAACCCTTACCAACACGCTCGTCCCGCGCCGGCCCAAGTCTCCCCCGGCCTCCTGCAGGCGCACAGACCTCATCCGCTCCAGCTTACGCCTGCGGGTGGCATCCGACTCGCGGCTGACGTCCTGGGGCCCCTTGCCCTGCCGGGCATGGGTCAGTAGCATGGCAGCCAGCTCACTGTCCACGTCCGCCAGCTTCTGTGCTTGCACCACGTGTTTTCCTGCGAAAGGGTCAGAGCGCGAGTCAGGTAGACGTGCAGTGTCTGCCTTCCAGGAGCAGACACCAGGGCAGGCCTCCCAGGACCACCTATATAGGGAGGGAGCTCAAGAGTGCGGCTCATGCTTTTTGCAGCTCCAATCTGCAGAGTTCTGAGATCCAGATAAAGATGATAACTTTATACCCTGGTTTCCACAGCATCCCCTCCTTTCCTCAGCCTTCAAATTAAAAGCAATTCTGACTCTGGCCCTTAGATCCAACGCTGTCAACACACCACCAGGGGGTTTTCTAGGGAAGAAGGCCACGTTCTAGAAGCCCATGCTCTCGGGATCTTAAAGGGCCCACTAATGCCTTCACCCAGGGCTGCTGGCCTCAGCCCCTCGGATCAGGAATGGGGGTAAGGGGTTGTCCCCTTGGCAGGAGGCCTTCAGTGAGTGGGGGGCAGGCGATGAAGCTCAGAGCAGGCCTGGCCCCCAAGCTCCTGCTCTCAACTCCATCCCAGCTGACCCTGGACTGCCTGGCCCCCAGGACAGCCCGCCTCCTCTGGGGTGGCCCTACTCAAACCAGGGACACACAATGACTCATTTAGCAAACCAACAGAAGCTGAACAGGGTCAAGCACTGGCAGGCAAAGGCTCAGCCACTACTGGATGGGCCAGGCCCTTCCTTCCGACACAGAGCAGGGGCTTGGGGTGTCGGGCGGGGCTGTGCTGGGTGACCAGGCCACGCCAAAGGCTGACACATGAGGCTCCCAGAAAATCGCTCAGCCCGGCACAGGCAGGGCAGCTGAGAGGCGCCCCAGCTTACCAGCTTAGGGCCTGGGTCCTTCCTCACTCTCTGGCACCAGCAGAAACTTCCCACAGGAAACCAATGCCAGCCCGAGCTCTCCCAGCCTGGTTCCACTTGTATGGGGCATGGGCACCCCCTGCAGAAGCCTCCACACAGTGGACAGCAACGTGACCCCCGCCTCCTTCTCACAAGGAAACAGTGCCACTGTCAGGTCCCTCACCACCATCCAATTTTAACGCCGGCAAACTGCTCTGCAGATGCCCCGCGTGGCTCTTACAAGTCTCCGGCACAGGCCTGGTCTGAGCTACCTGCAGCCACGGCTGTGAGTGGAGGGACCTGGGGCCTGCGCAAGTTGGGGTTTATCATGAGCTCAAGTTTTCAGATTGCATCACCCCAACAAATACCTCTCGTGGTCCCAATGAAACCAGAAAGAAAGTTACAGAGTGACCGTGAAACTGCACTTGGGGTAAGGCACGAAGCACTGAGAACCTTCTTAAAATTTCGTGCAACTTGCTAATTGCAGAGCCTTGCCTCATGGGTGAGACATGTGCTTTTAAGGGACACCTCCTGTCCTGGTCCTGAGCAAAACAGGGTCTGGAGGATCACTGACCTCAGGGCCTCTGATTGTCTCAGCAAGGCCTTCTGGGTTCCTGCTCCCTGACAGCTGAGCTCCTGACCTGCTGCGCCTGGAGGCAGGGTTTTATCAATAACCTCAGCCTGGCTCCTGGAGCTCAGGGACTTCTCTCTAAGGAGCTGGCTCTCCACCGTACTCTAGGTGGTCTGTGGGACCAGCTGAGGATGAAGGGCACTGACCCCAGGGCAGGGAATCCAGATTCTAAGCCAAGTTCACCCCTTAGCCACGGCACTGGCCAAGTCACCTGACCTCTCTTCGTCTCAGTTTCTTCAAAATTACAATGAGGAAGCTGGCCCAGAACAACAGACTCTATCTGCCTGGATCATGAATCCCTTTGAGCCCCTCATGTCTGCTCCCAGGGAGAACATACAAGTTTACCCAGAGTTTCAGGGGCCTTGTGGGATCCTGGAAGCCTTGCAGGAGGGAACCCAACGGCCCCTCCCACCTCTAACTGCCCCTCCCACCTCTAACAAGCCACAGCTCCAAGGCCCAGCAACACACAAAAGCGCACGGCAGCTGTGAATTCACACAGATGATCTGCAACCTCTGGGGAAAATGCTCCTTAAAGAGCACTTCCCACTTGTAATTCAAATGACAAGTACTTTATACTCAGGTCTGTGAGGCCTTACATTTTAAGGGGATAGAAAAACTTCAGAGCCTCCCTGCTGTGAAACACATTTTCACCAAACCCAGGTCTTCCTCTCCAAACCAGGTCTTTCTTTCCCAAGCTCCATAATTGGCTTCTTTCTTCTGTTCACAACATAGGGTACTTCAACTTGTTTTGAAAATCAGTCTATGTTCCTCCTGACCTTCTCTCCATTTCTCCTTCCCTTGCAGATGAGCAGCCAACCAGACACAAATGCCACTGGCAGGGTTCCCACTTCTCCAAACAGCACAGTCGCCTGCAGAGCCCAGCCTAGAGCACCAGGGTGTGATCAATGTGGTGGCTCGGTGGGGCCTGTGGGTCCACAGGGGCATCTAGCCAGGGCACCGAGCTGCATATGGACAGCACAGTCCTGCCCTAGATGCAGATGGGCATTAACAGCACCACGAATGGTGCGCACACACACACACACACGCAAACACACACACACACGCAAACACACACACACACGCAAACACACACAGACACGCACACAGACACGCACACACACATGCACACACAGACACGCACACGTGCACACATGCAGCCTTCCACCTCTCACACGCCATTCATGACCCACCTGCACATGGACAGCACAGTCCCGTCCTAGACGCAGAGGGGCACTGACAGCACCACGAATGGTGCACACACACACACATGCACACACGCATGCACACACACACACACGCAGTCTTCCACCTCTCACCCACCACTCACGACCCACCCACACATGGGCCCAACAGTGTAAACTCACGCCTTGAGCTTCCAGTCGTGAGGAGGCTGCCTCCAGAGAAGCGGCTGGCTCCATCGTTTGAGATGACCCGAGATCTGGACGGTGGCAATGTGCTACAACCTCTCACTTTCTGTTCACACGGGTGACCTACATGAAAAACATCCCAACATAAGACATGAACCCCAAATGAGAATCTGATGAAACAGATCAACCCACCACATAAGCGGCTGTGGCTTTCAAATGGCCTATCTACACCCTGACACGCTAAGGCCCCACCGCCTCTGTTTTGAATGTTTTGCAATTGAGAGACAGGTGGGAGCTCGTTCTGCTGCGAACTTTCAGCTAGGTCTTCATTCTCCTGCCGTGTCAGTGGCAGCCTCCGTTTCCTGGTGACGAATGAAAGCGTGTGGCACTCACAGTTCGCTGCACATGGATTCTTACTTCTGGATCTCTGGGTCGCAAGGCGGGCTGCCTCACAAACTCTAACCTCGGCCTCTCGATGGCCACATTGATCAAGGATAGGCCTGTGTGCATTTACACGTGCAAATGTCTGGCTCCACACACACCCAGGGTGAAAGAGCCCCCATAAACTGGAGCCTTCACCAGAGTTGTGTTCATAACAGAAGGCTTTGGCAAGCAAGTGGTGTGGCCTCGGGACAAGCGTGTCTCACGGCCGGTGGGTGTGGCACCCTACAAACTTGCAACTTGCAAACCTGAGTGTCCTGGGGGAAGCCGTGCTTGCCCACGGCACACTCTCCTGCAAGGATGGGACCCACAACCTCGGTGTGGCCTTTACTTCCCCAAGGGGCGAGGCAGAGCACCGCCAACGAAGCTGTGTCCCAAAATGAACCACCCAGGGTACGCACAAAATGCTTGTGCCATCAATTTCCTTAATTCCGACGAGGCAGTGTTGAGTGCCCTCGGGCCTGGGATGTCCTCACCATTTTCCCGGGAGCTGTTAAAAACGGGAACCCCTTCCCCTGGGCTTCCTGCCTCTCTGCATCCCTTCACTCCTGCCTACCCTCAGCCCTAGGGGAGGGAGGGACTTCCACACTGGCCAGGTCCCTCCTTGGCTGCAGCAGATCCACCTGCTGCGCCAGGTTCCTTCCCCTCTTGCCCGTCAGAAGCTGCTGTTTTCAAGGACGAGCCCAGTGCTGGGAGCACGCCCACGTGCAGGCACCTGTGGAGGTGAGCCATATCCTCCGTCCAACCCAGGTTCTCCTGGTGACAAAACCAGAGCTGGCTGACGGAGGTGTCTCTCTAGAATGGGTCTGAGCTGAGGCTGGAAAGGGAGTGCCCGTCCTACCAAGGGAGCCAGGCAGGTCTCCGAGCTGCTCTACCTGAGTTCAGCCCCTCTACATCCCAGGGAACAGCGCCTGGATTTTGGAAAGGACCTGAAAGCCAGATACTGAATCGCAGCTGGCGACACCAAAGACATTGGCGGGACAGCAGACCAGCCCCCAAAAAGGGCTGTTGAGGGCAAAGGCCCCGATGTGGTGGTAGAGAGAGGCTAGATTTAGAAATCACAGACTGCCTGGAATCAATCTCTAGAAAACTTCTAGAAGAGCTTCACTTCACAGACAGATGGAAAGCTGGTGACGCAGCAGCGAACAATCCCTGCTGCCCTCAAAGAACTCACATTCTCCTAATTCTTAAGTTCCTTTGGTCATCTTGAGTGCTCTCTCCGGATCTCAGTCCAAGCCAGGCTGGCCTTCCTGCCACCTCCTGCAGACGAGCTGTTCTTGGTCATCTGTCCCTGCTTCAGTCTTTGTAAGCTCTTTCAAAACTGAAGCTCCAAAAGCAACTATGGCAAAGGCACTGGCACGTTGGCCGCCTCCTACTGTCTGCGCACGAGCACAAATGCAGAATTCCCTGGCTCAGCGCCATCCCTGGAGGCAGCTTGAAAGCTCACTCTGGGCAGCTGTAGGGTCAAGCCGCCTGCTCACCTGTGCTGAGAATTCGGCCCTCAAGGCCAGGTTCTGACGGCCACGCTCACAGCCGTCACTGCGAAGGATGGGAAGGCTGGCTGCCTCCTCCCACGCCCTAGGTGGCAACCAGAAAGGCCAGTGGTGCACTTACCCAGCCATCTCTCAGTGGCGCGCTTACCCAGCCATCTCTCAGTGGCGCGCTTACCCAGCCATCTCTCAGTGGCGCGCTTACCCAGCCATCTCTCAGTGGCGCGCTTACCCAGCCATCTCTCAGTGGCGCGCTTACCCAGCCATCTCTCAGTGGCGCGCTTACCCAGCCATCTCTCAGTGACGCGCTTACCCAGCCATCTCTCAGTGGTGCGCTTACCCAGCCATCTCTTTCCAGGGGAATTAATTTCGTTCTTGCCAATGTCCCAGTAGCTGACACCCCCCGCCTCTTGTTCTTTCTCCTTGACCTCGACGTCAGCACCATGCTGTGCAGCAGGACAGCCGTGCTGACTTCCCCCTCGGCCCAGGTCCCTGCTACATCCCCATAAAGACGCAGCCTCCATGTCGCCCACATGCCCTACACTGTGCTTCTGCCTTCGGGCTACCAACCGCCTCCTGGCACCTGCAGCGTCCACTCAGTCCTCACTCCAAGCCAGCTTCCTGGGAACGAGCACCTAGAACAAGGGCTATTTCGGTCCTCTCCCTGTTGCTCTCAGACCCTCCCTCCTGTCCTGCCCGCCATGGCCACCTCTGCTCCCACATGCTTCGCAGGGGTCTCCAGCTTCCCCTCAAGTTAAAGCCTGCACCCTCCCAGTGGAGGCTGCAGAGCCTCTGCCCAAACACCCTCCTCTCGCCTGCCAGGAATCCGTTTTTGGCCCTGACAACTCGTGGTCACAGGATCAAGATCCTCGTCCCTAAGAAAGGAACCCAGATCAGCGCTCCTTCACACGAACAGATGTTCATGCCCCATGATGGGCTGTATCTTCTGAAGCCCAGGAAGAACAGGGCTCCCGGTGAGAAGGGCACTCAGGCTTCTTATCAACGCTTTCATCACTCTCTCCACCACGGCGCCAGGTTCAAGGGCAAACACCACTACAAAGAAGCCACGATCAGGGTCCTCAAAGACTTCCCAGATTCATGTGGGAAAATGGCAGACAAACAAGCAGGCTGGGGCGAGGAAGGGACGGCAGCCTGAACCAGCCCAGCCTGCCTGTGCCAGGGCCAGAGCTGCGGGCACCAGCACTGATGTTCACACTCCGGGCCACGCTGCCCTCCACATGACGAGGAGAAAATGCCACCGATGTTCACGCTCCGGGCCACGCTGCCCTCCACATGACGAGGAGAAAGTGCCACCGATGTTCACGCTCCGGGCCACGCTGCCCTCCACATGATGGGGAGAAAGTGCCACCAGCCCCAAAGCCTCAGTTTCCCACTCACAAGCTCAGAGTTGTCCCAGCTTCTTGCTGTGTGTTTCTTCCCACGGGAATTCACAGCAGGGGCAGCAGCTCACGGGCTGGCAGTCCTGGCAAGCTCTCTGTCACGTCCCGAGGACCTGCTCCAAGAAGGAGGGGCCTCCCAGGCACCCAGCACCTCCATTCACTGTGGGCTGCAGTGGGTTCATCCTCCACCCGGCACCTCCCTTCACTGTGGGCTGCAGTGGGTTCATCCTATACCCGGGGCAGCCCAGAATGCTCCATAGCTTTCTCGACCACCTTCATCTGATAGCGAATGGTTCCCTGAATCGCAGACGAGGCCTCTGGTCCACCCACATCTGACTGAAGTGGGCACTGGTCTATTTTAAGCCTGTACTATGCACCACCCTGAGAAGTACTAAGAGACCAAGGAGAGTGTGGCAAGGCCAACTGGGCCTGGGGCAGGCGACCAGCATTCTTGGAGCTCAGACTCGAAGGACACCTAATGATGACAATGGCTGCAGCGGGTGTGACCAGCAGGACACGGAACCCTGCTGGGCTTCATGACCGTTTCCTCTTACTATATTTCTACTTAGGGCACATGGGAAAATAAACCAGGTAAGCTGAATTTACACTTGCATGCTCACTCAAGAAGGGAACAAGCGGCAAAGGCACTGCATTTCATCAGGGCACAACTTGGATGTTAAATTAGTGCAGGCTTTCTTCACCTTCCATGAAACAGGTTACACCCGCACCAACACGTTTGCTGCAGGGGCAGGAATTCCCTCCAAACACACAGGGCTCCCGATGCAGCCCTGCAGCTGGACCAAAGCCCGCCACCGCCAACCGTGTGACCCCACAGCCTGGCCATCTGTCAGAACCCATCACCACCCAGTTCTCCTAGGATGTCCTGTGAGAACACAGACGCTTAGCCTGTGGGGCCATCTGTCCTGACGCCTGCCTCCCCCAGGAAAGGTCACAGAACACAAGTAACACACAAGCTCCCAGCCGAACCCCCGTCCTACTCGACAACCAAGATCACTGCCCAAGCTCCCAGCCGAGCCCCCGTCCTACTCCACAACCAAGATCACTGCCCAAGCTCCCAGCCGAGCCCCCGTCCTACTCCACAACCAAGATCACTGCCCAAGCTCCCAGCCGAGCCCCCGTCCTACTCCACAACCAAGATCACTGCCCAAGCTCCCAGCCGAGCCCCCGTCCTACTCCACAACCAAGATCACTGCCCAAGCTCCCAGCCGAGCCCCCGTCCTACTCCACAACCAAGATCACTGCCCAAGCTCCCAGCCGTCCTACTCCACAACCAAGATCACTGCCCAAGCTCCCTGCCAAACCCCCATCCTACTCCACAACCAAGATCACTGCCCAAGCTCCCAGCCAAACCCCCATCCTACTCCACAACCAAGATCACTGCCCAAGCTCCCAGCCGAGCCCCTGTCCTACTCCACGACCAAGATAACTGCCCAAGCTCCCAGCCAAACCCGTCCTACTCGACAACCAAGATCACTGCCCAAGCTCCCAGCCGAACCCGTCCTACTCCACAACCAAGATCACTGCCCAAGCTCCCAGCCGAGCCCATCCTACGCCGCAACCAAGATCACTGCCCAAGCTCCCAGCCGAGCCCCCGTCCTACTCCACAACCAAGATCAGTGCCCAAGCTCCCAGCCGAGCCCCTGTCCTACTCCACAACCAAGATCACTGCCCAAGCTCCCAGCCGAACCCCCATCCTACTCGACAACCAAGATCACTGTCCAAGCTCCCAGCTGAACCCCCGTCCTACTCGACAACCAAGATCACTGCCCAAGCTCCCAGCCAAACCCGTCCTACTCCGCAACCAAGATAAGTGCCCAAGCTCCCAGAAAAACCCCCGTCCTACTCTACAACCAAGATCACTGCCCAAGCTCCCAGCCGAGCCCATCCTACGCCGCAACCAAGATCACTGCCCAAGCTCCCAGCCGAACCCATCCTACTCCACAACCAAGATCACTGGGATCAAAGAAAGCAATCTGGTGCTTGCTGTCCCTGGACGACAAAAGCTGACCGAAAGACAGTGCAAAAGAGGCTGCCAAGGAAATCAGCTGTGTGAAGCAGCCACCAAGCATGAGGGCAGTCCTCTCCCCATCATCAGAGTCCCAGGGCCCTGGGCCCAGCTGGCAGACACCCATGTCCCCAGCCATGGCACAGGTTTCCTTGCGTGGCCTCAGACAGGAACATGCACTGTGAATGCAGCTGGCCCAGAGCAGAATCCAGGCCGAGGCCGAGGCTCAGGTTCTGTCCCGTGCGGTAACCCTGCAGGCTTCCATGGCCAGCACCCACGCTGCTAGCAGAGAGACGCCTACTGTACCACAGAATAGCCAGTTTTATGAAGAAAGAAAAGCCATAACACCTTTTTTTCCAAAAAACGCAGAACTGACGGAGGAGAGCCAGGCTCGCTGCACTGATGCGCAGAGTGCTGCGGGTGGATTCGACCTTTGTGAAAACCTCTCCCTCTCCCGTCAGCGCCGGAGTCTCCCAGGCTGGCTATCTCAGCCTCCCCTTCCTATGAGCTTATCTCTCTCTTGCAGGCAAAGTATGAAAATGACAATTGGAGATAACATATAATGGAGGCAATCTTTCTTCTGAAGATAAGATTTTAAAACCTGGAGTCACTGCACATTTGGTGGCTGGAGAATTAAATATAAAAACAACCAACTCGGTCTCAGAGCAGAACGCTTCTTGCAACTCCCTTAGTTGCATGAGCCTTTGAATAATGCCTGCTCCTCACATGTGGCTCATTTATTTCTCCAGAACCTAATTGAGTTTTGCTGTGTCCATATTGTCTATTTACCAGGCCGCCTCGGATGTACATTCGTAAACAGGCAGGCAGAGCCTCCAAGTCGACTTAACGAGCTGTGCACTTGAGCCCCTCCGCCAGGCCCCCCACCAACCTCTGCGCTGCCAGCGTCGGGTGGATGTGGCCCATGGGGCTCTGGGGTTTACAATCAGGCTGGGTTCTAAGGAGTGGAAAATTCCCTAATAAAATAGCAGACAAGTCTGAATCTCATGCAGACAGACACAGCTTCAGAAACATCACACGGCTTAGTTTTATTGTGTTTTCAATTCTGCCCTGAAAAATCCCAAACGTTCCAGAGGACCCTCGGGAGGTTCAGTGAGCTTGTCACTGGCCCTACAGGGTCCCATGTCGGTCCTCTGCCCTGAGGTGCGCACAGGCAGGCACCCAGCCTTGTGTCCCTTGACACCCCATCAGCAGCCCCTATCCCAGCATAGGCCTCAGTCGAAGCCCCTGGAACGTCCCAGGTGGGACCCTCCTGAGCCACCCAACCCACCTGTCCCACCCACCACAGTCCTGGACGTGGAGTGAAGTCCAGGGCTTTGCTCAGGCCCTCTAACGAGCAATCCCGGGGCACCATTTTCTACAAAGTCATGGTGCTGGGCCGAGAAGAAATGCGCCTCTTCACTCTCCTCCTCCCGGGCTGCAGGGAAGTTAGGAACACTTCCCTTGTCTGTCCTCCATCATGAGGCACAGGGAAGTCTCTCCTGGAACCCAGTCACTGTATTTGAGGACTGTCCCGGAGATCCTCCAGGGATAGCAACAAACAACAACATGCAGGAGAGCCCGAGATGACTGATGACCTCTAACCCCAATCAGAAATTCAGAATGCAAACAACTGGGTCCAGGACAGACTCAGCGGCCAAGGACACAGGCTCCATGGCCAAGCTGGTGAGAATTCTCCCGGTTTCCTCCTGGGCCCGTGAAGCCCATGATGTGGCCCCTGCCCGAGGGAGCCCACACTCTACCAGAGGGGTTGGGCGGCCGCTGGAGAAATGGCACAAGGCTGGGGACTCTTACCCACGTTGGCCAAAGTCAGGTGCAGCCGGCCCTTCACCACCGAGTGGACGCCGATGGGCTTGACGCGGCCAAACCCCAGCATGTCTCCACTCACCACCATGTTGTCCTGCTCGTATTCAGTTGCCACGACCTCAAGCTCGTGGGAGGCCTGCACAGCCGGCCGGCCTTGGCGGAGGAGATGCTGCAGAAGAGAAAAGCGCGTTCAGAGGCTGGAGCCGGCCCTGGGCTGCTTCCACCAGCCCTGCAGGTGGAGGCTGCTCCCCAGCCCAGCAGGAAAGCCACTGTGGGCGGGAGGGGGTGTGCGCAGGATAAGACCCTGCACCACGCTGGGGGGTGAGGGGGCGGCGAGCCAGGCGCCAACGTCTTAAAGCAGGACTCCTTATTACTGGGGTCTTTTTCACAAAGTCTTAAGTAAAGTATGACTGGATTTACCCACTGAATAAATACCACTGGGCCCTGGGAAGGCATAAGTGGGTCTGGCAGCTGCCCTGGAGGATCCTCCCCTCCACAGGAAGCAAGAGCAGGAAAGAGGGCAGCCAAGCAACGCAAAGGACTCTTAGCCAAGCGTGTCTGGGACAGCGAGGAATCCAGGACGGAAACCCCAATGGGACTCCAGGAGGAAGACAGGCCATGCACAGAGAGGGCAGGGGAGGCAGAGAAGGCCGGGGAGGCAGGCCAGGCCAAGGGCACAGGGCACAGGGTACAGGGTACAATGCCTCCCCCGTTTCCCTGGGCCAGGAAGCATGGCTGGGGTAGAGGCCCGTGGGGCCCAGGGAGGGGCCATGGGGCACGAGAGGCCCGCCGGGAGCCCTGGGCTGGGGTTTGGCCCAGTTCTGCATGCCAGGCCGAGGCTGCTCGGGGCAGGGTGGGAGCAGGAAGCCTCAGACCCAGCAGGGCCTCAGCAGGACTTTCCTGACCACGGGCTCTTCTGCTGATCAGATTCCACGGCTCAGCACTCTGCCCGAACGCCAACACTGTGAGGCATGTGGGGGATGACAACGGCCTCACGGCTGTGCCCCAGGCGTGGCTGGGACACTCTTCCCCCGTGCCCTCTCTGCTCTGGTGCTTCCTCTCACATAAGAAGCAGTGTGGGAGCAGATGAGGTTCCGGATTTTGTAATTCTCCAGTTTCTACAGCAACAAAAGTGCCTGTCTCTGGGAGTGAGACGCCAGACCTGACCCTTCCCTTGTGGGTCTGGGGGCTTCCGGTCGCCGCAGACCCTGGTCGCTTTGCCACACTCGTCTACACTGCATACGATCACTGCATAGACATCGATGATTCCGGAACCTCAGTCACTGGGAGACTGAGAAGATATGAGAAGTCTCCTTTAGGGAACAGCCAACAAATACAAGAAACCATGTCAGCTTCTCCAAGAGGCAAGGAAATGCGAATGAAAACAAGGCACCATTTTCCTCCCAAATCATTATCAAAATGGCCACTGGCGACTGGTTTAAAGGCTGACACACTGTGAAGCCAAGGACATGGGACACAGTGCCCTCTGTCTTCAGGAAGTGCAGGCCTGGCTGAGCCTTCGGGCCAAACCCCCATCTGGCTCTGCATGCCTGCGGCCCTCACGGTGGCACCATCAGAATTCTACTTCCGGGAACATGTCATTAGGGAGAAGAGGATGGTAAATAGCACAAGCCCCGGAGACAGAATTAGGCTAAGACTCTGCCCTGATGATCATCAGTGTGACCCTGGGCCTCTGTTTTCTCCACCAGAAACAAGGATAAAAACAGAACTGCCCCAGGGCTGGGCTAGGGGTCACACTGAAGGCAGCACAGGAGCCGTCCGTCCCTAGAGGAAACTCTTCTCATCGTCGTAGCAACGTGTTACGGCCAGCACCCCCAGGAAATCAACTAGAAGATGGGGGTAAAATTGAACTTCAAGAAGTCCACAGCAGTGATTAGCAGAAGGAAAAGCCACTGTAGTGACCCGCAACAGCAAGAGCTCAAACAAGATGAAAGCTGGCCCCGCCTGCAGAAAGTAAGTCCACCAAAGGCTAACCGGAGCAACCTAACTCTCCCAGGATCTGGAGTCCAGAGGATTCTCTCTGATCATCTCAGTTTTTCACGTTTTCTACCTAAGTTTTAAAGTTACAAGATTTTATTTTAGAAAAGTGAAGCTTTAAATTTAATTTATTCAAGTCTATGTCAACAAGCGTAACGGCACTTGTTTAAGGGGCTCTTCGTGTAGGGGGAGATCAAATGGCTTCCGTCTCCAGGTGGCACAGCAAAGAGGGGGCACAAGGCTCGGCTGGGCACGACAGGGGAGCCACTGCCACCCCACACATGCCCAGCGGGACCCGGCTCTGCCTCCCACACCGCCTGCCTCCTTTACGCCTCCCCACCATGCAGAGCCTGCTGGGGCTGAGGCCTGTGCTAGAGATGCTGTGGTGTCGACACACAGTCCTGCCCTGGGGACATCAAAGCCAGCATGGGAGACGGACAAGCAAGGGCCACGATGACCCTGTGGGGCCCTTGCCATGACCCCAACAGGAACAGAGGCCCAGGGTGAGGCATGAGAAGAGCAGCCAAGCCCTGCGGAGTCCCTGCCACCTGCAGACCCCACCCTGAACGTTCTGTGCACAGCCCACCACCCTGGGGGGCATCCCCCTCCTCTAGAAGTCACAGGGAGCAGGGATGGAGCCTGGATCAGTCGGTCACACGGGGAGCCAAGAGCAGACCATGCCTCAGAGGAAGAGCAGCTGGAAAAACTCCCATACCCCATCCCCCCACCCCGAGAGCACAGCGCAGCTGAAGGAGCAGAGGAGCCGTGCTTCTCAGGGGTCAGCAGCTGCTGGAGAGGACAGGAAGCCCCGGGGGTTCAGCCGTGTCAGGAATCCAGGAGGAAAGCAGCTATGCGGCACTCAAGAAAAGTGGGGAAATCTCAGAGACTCAGGGGCTGCAATAATGACGCCACATCCTCTCCCAGCTCCGTCCCGTGGCCTGAGAGAAGTCTCAGGACACCATGGTAGCGTGTGAAACTGGCCCCAGTCCTTGGCCCAAGAGTTGTCATGGGGTCCCCTTCATACAATGGAGAAGGCTTGGGAAGAATTCCAGGGAAGACGAGTGAAAGAATCCATGGATTTAGGTTTTAGTATACAAGGAGAATGGAAAAGGACAATTAGTAAAAGAGATTCTAATTTTCACCAGAATGAGAAAAGAACAACACGTCACTGACCTTAGGAATCAGGTCACACTGCACACCCCAGTCATTCGCGTATCCATTCATTCATCCTCAACCCACCTCGGATGCACCTGCCCTCACCACATTCACCACATGGGAGGAGATGAAGTGACACTGCCTGGTAGGTCAGTTTGCAGGAGAAATAGATAACTGAGTTTGATCTTAAGAGTTTCTTGAGCAAACAACTAGCATTATAGAATTCAGACAGTGAAAAATCTTTTCCTTTCAAGAAACAGAGAATGCAGCACTATTTTTAACGAGTGAACAAAGAAGGTCAAACAAGTCCTGTGCGGGATAGCGCCCGCTCCTTCCAAGCAGACAGACGCTGGAAGCGTGACTCGTCCCATGAGGGACGCAGCACCCACTGTGCCTGTCCTTCCAGAGAGCCGCTACCTTCATCTGGACGGCAGCAGATCCGATGAGCAGCAGGGAGTCTCCGTCCCAGACGTCAATCTGCAGGGTCTGCACGGCCAGGTAGCGGGCAAAGCAGCGCCGCTCACCTGGCTTCAGGAACCCAGGGCCCACCATGTACCTCAGCTGGAAGCCAGGAGACCCTGTCAAAGAGGCACCAAAGGAGGCCAAAAGTAATTGGAGTCATTCATCATCTTTACACTTGGAAGAGATTTCAGCTCTGGTCATGATTACTAATTTCTGCTTCTGTCATAGCTACAGTTAATAAACACATTAATCAAAAACATCATAAAATATTCAAATTAACAGAATGAAGAGTCATGTTCAGAAGACTACATTTCTTTCGCATAGAAACAATAAACTCCTCCCAAAATAAGATTTATGGTTTCACCAAGTCCTTGTAACAGCCTAAGATGGATGGGAACAAATGTCCTTATGAGGCTGGCTAGGGAGTTTATTATTCTGGGCGTGTAGAATTTAAGAAAAAATGTAGTCTACATCTGCTGTCAAAACTGGCATGTTCACACACACAGGCAGAGCTCAAACCGAGATCAGGCTTAGAATGATGTGTGGGACACCCAGCAGCCCCTCTCCTGGCCCTAAAGCAGGACGGCACCTGCCCCGTGGGTATCCCGGGCTCCTCCCGTGCGGTCTGCCCTGGTCATCAGGCTAAGAGATGGGAACTGGACTGCGGCCCCTGCCTTCATCTTCTTGAAGTGACATTATCATTAATTCTAAATTGACAAAAATGCCATTCAAACCATCCTTAGTTAAAATTCGAGGAACAGCAATGGTGAGAAGCATTTCAAAACAACATTATTTCTCTTTCTATCAATAATGGTGACAACATTCCCACAGCCCCCAACGAGCAGAGGAAGGAGCGAAGGTTTACTCAGCACCTCCAGTGCCAGGCCCCAAGCCAGGCTGAAATTTGGCCACAGGTCCTCTCCACCCAGGCTCCAGCCCCACAGGATGACCACAGACCACATTCCATCTGCGTTTCTCAAGACCAGAGGACAAGGAGTAAGCACAATGTGTCCGGACAGGGGACCTAGGGGGAGCGAAGAGTGCAGGGCCCAGGGTGGGCCCCAAGGGGGTGGAGCAAGGACCCACTGCTCAGGCCCGGCGCTGGCCACAGCAGGAGCTCACGGGGGCATCTTGGGGCAGAAAGGCAAATAAGGAATCTGGAGGAAGACCAAGGAGGAGCTGGTGATTAACATCACGCAAGGGCAGGCATGTCCCCAGTGTGGCACCTCAGAGGTGACCAGCCACACAGCCCCCACCCCTGCCTGGACTGTGGCATCTAGTGAGAGCTCCCAGCATGAGCGACGCAGAAGATGGGTGATTTCTGCATTTCCAACTGAGGTACCGGGATCATCCCACTGGGGCTTGTCGGACAGTGGGTGAGAGTTGGGAGGCTGGTCAGAGGAGCCTAGACCAGGATGGCCCCGTGCCTAGCATGCTCCTGCCCCCCACTCCAGGAGCTCTCAGCATGCTGTCAGCTCTGGGATCAGTGTCTCCCTGTTTTGAAACCCAGAGCTCCTTAAGGGTGGGGCCCTGCTTGTCCAGTTCTCCCAGCACTACCCTGTGCAGGGCCTCCCACATGGTGGGGGCGCAGTTATTTGTTTGCTGAGTAAGTGAATTAATGGTAGCATTGAAAGGCCCTGGCAGTGCTGGGGTATAGTGGTGACAGAATGGGGGCCGGTCCAGCGGGGCACTGGAAGGAGCTCCCCAGGAGACAAGACAGAGGGTCCCACTGGGTCGAGCTGTGTTTGGGACGCGCGTACTCTCCCCACTGCAGCCTCAGACCTCTCCCCTCCCTGTCCAGCTGAGACAAGTGGCTCCTCCGTGGCCACCCCTGAGGTCCAAGCTCCCCACAGTCCACCCTGTGTCATTTCCATCCCACTCAGAAGTCCAGGAAGCTGGCCTCCAACTGAACTAAGAAGACTCCCAGGGGCAGTGGCCCTGTCCTCCCCAAGCCCACCTCCTGCACCCCCTTCACAAACACCACGCCCCAGCCCGGCTGGAATCCTCACTGCTTCTGGGGTTGAGGAAACAGAAAACACAGTAATGGTAGAAACTAACCACTCTCCATTCAAAGGCAGATCCAGGCAACGATGAATGAGTGACAATCTAGAAGAGCAGAGTGGCCAACTCCCACGGTGGCAGGGGTGTGGGGTGCAGGGATCGACCTTAACGCAGCACCCCAGTGACAGAAAAAACAACTTTTCAAGTGTATTTGGAACATTAATAAAAACGAACCATGTATTAGGCCACTGTGGGGACCAGCCTCACAGGGTCGGTGGGTCTCTCCCCGTGTGCGGCAACGAGAGAGTGTAGAAATAAAGACACAAGACAAAGAGATAAAAGAAAAGACAGCTGGGCCCAGGGGACCACTACCACCAATGCGCAGAGACCGGTAGTGGCCCCGAATGTCTGGTTGCGCTGTTATTTATTGGATACAAAGCAAAAGGGGCAGGGTAAAGTGTGTGAGTCATCTCCAATGATAGGTAAGGTCACGCGGGTCACGTGTCCACTGGACAGGGGGACCTTTCCTGCCTGGCAGCCCAGGCAGAGAGAGAGAGGAGACAAAGAGAAAGACAGCTTACACCATTATTTCTGCATATCAGAGACTTTTAGTACTTTCACTAATTTTGCTCCTGCTATCTAGAAGGCAGAGCCAGGTGGACAGGATGGAACATGAAGGCGGACTAGGAGCGTGACCACTGAAGCACAGCATCACAGGGAGACGGTTAGGCCTCCGGATAACTGCAGGCGAGCATGACTGATGTCAGGCCCTCCACAAGAGATGGAGGAGCAGAGTCTTCTCTAAACTCCCCCGGGGAAAGAGAGACTCCCTTTCCCGGTCTGCTAAGTAGCGGGTGTTGTTCCTTGACACTTTTCGCTACCGCTAGACCATGGTCCGCCTGGCAACGGGCGTCTTCCCAGACGCTGGCATTACCTCTAGATCAAGGAGCCCTCTGGTGGCCCTGTCTGGGCATAACAGAAGGCTCACACTCTTGTCTTCTGGTCACTTCTCACTGTGTCCCCTCAGCTCCTATCTCTGTATGGCCTGGTTTTTCCTAGGTTATGACCGTAGAGCGAGGATTATTATAATATTGGAATACAGAGTAATTGCTACAAACTAATGATTAATGATACTCATATATAAACACATCTAAGATCTATATCTGGTATAACTATTCTTGTTTTATATTTTATTATACTGGAACAGCTCATGTCCTCGTTCTCTTGCCTCAGCACCTGGTTGGCTTGCCACCCACAGGCCACAAAAAACTGCACTCCATAAAGTAGAAATACTACAAATAATATTCTCTTAACATAATGCAATAAACTAGAAATTAATATGCCAGCCTGAGCAACATGGTGAAACCCTATCTCTACAAAAAACACAAAAACTGCCCAGGCATAGTGGTGCATGCCTGTAGCCCCAGCTACTCATGAGACTGAGGCCCATCACTTGAACCCAGGAGGTGCAGGTTGAAGTAAGCTGAGATCACGCCACTGCATTCCAGCCTGGGCTACAGAGCAAGACCCAGTCTCAAAAAAAAAAAAAAAGGTAAAATTTTTTAAGAAACAAATTTGCAACTTACTCATAAATAACTTTCTGTCAAAGGGAAAACACAATCAAAAAAGATTTTCTGGAAACAATAATAATAATGAAAATACTACTTATCAGTATCAACAATCTTAAGGCAGTAATCACAGGAAAATTCATAGCCTTGAATCCTGGTATATCCACACAAACAAAAGAATTAAGATAAATGAATTAAGCAGCTCAAAAAAAAAATAGGAAGATAGTAAAGAATACCAAAAATCAAGGAGAAATGAGGGGACGGTAAAGATAAACACAAAATTTAATCAATTAGAAAACAAAACAATAGCAAAACCCATATGACATAAACTTTAAAATTCTTCAGAAAGACACACAGTAGAAATGAACAGATGGAAAGGCAGCCTTGTCTTGGACCGTCATCTCCTCGCTCTTGTGGCACTGTTCACAATAGAAAAGACGTGGAACCAACCCAAATGTCCATCAATGATAGACTGGATTAAGAAGATGTGGCACATACACCCCATGGATTACTATGCAGCCATAAAAAAGGATGAGTTCATGTCCTTTGTAGGGACATGGATGAAGCTGGAAACCATCATTCTCAGCAAACTACCGCAAGGACAGAAACCAAACACCGCATGTTCTCACTCATAGGTGGGAACTGAACAAAGAGAACACATGGACACAGGAAGGGGAACATCACACACCGGGGCCTGTCGTGGGGTGGGGGAAGGGGGGAGGGATAGCATTAGGAGATATACCTAATGTTAAATGATGAGTTAATGGGTGCAGCACACCAACATGGCACATGTATACAAATGTAACAAACCTGCACGTTGGGCACGTGTACCCTAGAATTTAAAGTATAATTAAAAAAAAATACAAAAATTAGCTGGGCATGGTGGCAGGTGCCTGTAGTCCCAGCTACTCAGGAGGCTGAGGCAGGAGAATCACTTGAACCCGGGAGGTGGAGGCTGCAGTTTGCCAAGATCGCGCCACTGCACTCCAGCTTGGGCAACAGAGTAAGACTTCGTTTCAAACAGAAACAAAACAAAACACAACAAAAAAACTGCATTAAGATGGACTTCACATCTATGGGACTGTAAAAATACCACCCGTTAACGCCCCATTTTGACGGTGAGCAGGAGGAAACCAGCAGCCCCACGGATTGCCAGTGGCCCCGGGCAGCGGCACCCGAGAGAGGGTGTGGGGCAGTGTCTGTCAACACCACTGAAGCCTGTGATTCCATTATCCCCTTTCCAGAACCAGAAAGAACCAAGGTTACTAATTGCTGAGATAGCGAAATACTAGAAATGACACAAACGTCTATTAGGAGACCGGCTGAATAAAGAGCAGCATAACCACCCCACAGAGCATGATGCGGCTACCGTAGAAACGGGCACAGGCGACATCTATGCAGCCCACAGAGCATGACGCAGCTACCGTAGAGACGGGCACAGGTGACGTCTGTGCAGCCCACAGAGCATGACGCAGCTACCGTAGAGACGGGCACAGGCGACGTCTGCGCAGCCAAACTTGGGCTATGACATTAACTGAAAAAAGCAGGGAGCAGAAGAGTGTATTTGGTATGTTACCACTGAATTAGAAAACAGGGAAAATAAAATGTAAATGTTTGCTTATTTTTGAAAAAACAAATCAGTAAAAACACTGGAAGGGTCAGCCAGAAACGAAAAGTCTGGTTACTGTTGTTAGGAGGCTGGGCAGGGGGAGGAGCCCACAGGGATGAGGGGAGCAGGGAGGCCCGAGCACACACTGGGCTACGGTGTTCAACTTTCAACCATGTAAATAGTCCAAAAAAATTAAAAAGGAAAGCAAACATAAAAGTGAAAACAAATTAAAATAAATGAATCATACTGAATATCAAACTGGAGCTAAGAATTATTTTGAGGGCTTTTGGTCACACTAAACCAATTCTGAACCCTCGGTGGGACAGAGGCCAAAAGGAGCTGCGAAGAATCTGACTTCAGCAGGACACGCACTGTTGACATTAAGTCAACAATTAACATCAGCAGTGTCATTGTGAAAATGCATTCTATACGTTGTTAGGCAAGATAAATAAGTAAATACATGATGAGAAACCATGATTTTCTGTGTAAGACACATACAAATAATAGAAGGAAATTTATGAGAAAAATTCTAAATCTGACTTAGGAAGATCAACATGAACTCACATTTTACATTTTCCCAGCTCTTCCTGGTGAAAGGTTTTGAAGCAAGAAGACCCAGAATCAAAGCACCCCATATCCTGATCTCTGAAATGTCATCCCCATTCAGGCAGACCAGGCTCCTCAGAGAAACGGGCCCTGGCTGGCGGCAGGGAGAGCACAAGATGAGCCTGGAACCGGCACTGCTCCAGAAAGCAGGACGCGCTCAAAGTCCAATCAGAGCCGGTGAAAGGCCGGAAGGGCTCCCGGAATAATAATGAGTGCAACCCCATGCATCGATGAAGATGCAGGAGACCGCAGCCACGCTCCAAAGACAAAGCAAAACAGCCGGACACCTAACACTGGGATCCCACTGCTGGGCTAACTATTCCACCGACTTCTCACTCTGAAAACTGGCAATTAAAGGGAAAGAATTAAACCTTTGTCCTGTCTTTGTGGAGCATGTATATGTAGTTCATCGCTTATCGGTAGGGAAAGTTCTTTTTTAACAAAGAATGTGAGCTAATAAAGGCAGAGCAGACCAAATGATAGAATTAGACAAATTACCATTTCAAAAACACCAATTAAATAACTGACGCAAGCAAAGCTCAGCCCAGGGTGTTAAAACAAGAGGTGGAAGGTTGCTGGGGACCAGATATTTGCATGAAGCCAAAAAATGTCGCCAAGAATTCTTCAGTCAGTTCAAAGGGAAAAAACTCTCTTTCTACAGGAGAAACCTGGGGGTGGGCACCTTAACCAAGCAACCGAATCAGCGTCGTAACAATGAGATAGTCTGACATTCGCGCCTCCTGAGGTGGTGGGCTGTGAAGCACACAGCACTGACAATGAAGTGTTCATGCTGAGATCCAGAATCAAACAGCTTTCAGCCGTCGCTCCCGGCATTCAAGAACTACGGGGGATAAAGCAACAAGTTCAACAACATGAAGAAGCAACCAGGTAAGCCCGGAACACGGGACGTTCTGCAAGACAGCTCACTTGGTCTCTCCTGAAAGCCAGTGTCACTGGAAAAGAATGCAGGCGACTACGAGATTAAAGTGATAATTACAAATACAATACAGGAAACCGGGCTGGATCCCAGATCAAAAAAATACACATGGGGGACAAATGGGGAAATGGTACTATGAAATTTGTGTTATCTTAAATGTGATACTAGAATTGCACATATATAAAAGGGTACCTTATTTTTAAGAGATGCACGTTGCTTATTTAGAGGTAGAGTGTTACCATGCATGTCAACAACTTACTTTCAAATAATTCAAGATAAACAGTTAAGCAATGTTCCAAAACATGGCACGGTTTCTGCAGGTGGGGACATATGGGATTAGGGCTCTCGCAGAAGGCCCGGGAAAGAGGAGATCCACTAAGGAAGAGACGGCAAGGCTGTGCTAGGTGGCCCGGAGCAGGACTGGAGGCTGGTCTGATGGAGATGCCTCTCGGCTGGGACAGCCCAGGGAGAGGAAATGGACCGCGTTCTTTGGAAGAACAGATGCTCTTGGCTGATCCAAAATTCAATTACTTCAGCTCTCACACTGAGGAGGGCCCCCACAAGACAAAAACACCAGGAGGAACATGTTAGGAAGCAAAAGGCCAGGACAGGAGCGAAGAAAACAAAAAGGGTTGAAGGCACCAAGCCCAGGGCCAAGGAGGGAACCAACACACGCAGGGGAGACCACGCCCTCGGCAGAGCCCCCCAAAAAGTGTAGGAAGAAGAGGTGATGAGAAGAAAGGCCACTCACAGCTCCAAACACCCAAACACGGAGAAAACCACTCTCGGGAGCCCTGGGCTCCTTGGCTCCTCCAGGCTCACGGGCGTGGCTGCCGGAAGCTTCAGTTCAGTAGGACCAGCGTGCAGGGCCTTGGCACGAGCCCCCCAGCGGCTCTGCCGGGCAGACAGCCACGCCTCAGATGCCGCTCTCTGAGTGGATCTTCCTCCTGATCGGGACATGGCAAAGGCCTGGGAAGCTGGAACCAAGGCATTCTCCCATCTACGCGCATTCACTCAGACACCTGAGTCTCTGGCAATGTCAAATTTTGGATTCTGAGAACATAATTTTCCTTAGGACAACTATTCAGGGCTGGGAATTGGCTTGTCTAAATTTGGTGGGTATGGGGCCAGTGCTTTAAAATCTTACATGTCCTATTAACTCTGGTGACGGGATACGGAAAGAATGCCTATCAATTCAAACCCACACATGCACACACACACACACACAGACAACACACTAGAAAATGGGCAGGGGACCTGAACACATGCCTCATGAACGACGATACCCCTAAGGCCAGCAGGCCTGTGAAAGGCACTCGGTATCATCAAGGAAGCTCCAACCACGAGATGCCTCTACATCAGGATGGTTCAAAGAAACAAAGAAAACCAGCGATCACCACGTGACTGGCGAGGACATGGCGCTGTCTGGGCTGCCTGTCTCCTGCTGATGGATGTGGAAGCTGGCGCAGCACGAGGGAAACCTGCTTGGCAGATCCACTAAACCTAACAACAGGTGCTGCTCCACAACCCAGCCGTTCACTACCAGGCATATCTCTAACACAACGGCCGTGCGCACCAAAAGCACACTCGCAGCAGCACTATGCAGAAGAGCCAAAAACTAGAACCCATTCCAACGCCTGTTTGAATGGAGAAGCATCACAGAATCACCCGACACTGGGCTTCTCTACAGCCAGGAAAACAGAAACGCTACTGCTATAGACAGAACAGGGACCCCACAGACAAGAGGCCAGCAAAAGAAGTGGGATTCAAAACAGAACATAAAACATGATCCCACCGAAGTCCAAAAAGGGGCAAAACTGATGTACAGTGGCAGAATTCAGAAGGGTGGTTCCCTTGGGGGAGGTGAAGGACTGCGGTGAGGGAGGCCTCTGCATCCTGTTCCAGAGCCCCTTCCGGGCTGGGAGGTGGTTACGCAGGTGTGTTCACTTGGTAAAATTTATACCTTTTATAAAAATTAGCTCAAAATGGATCACAGACCTAAATGTAAACCACAAAACTATACAACTCCTAGGAGACGACACAGAACAAAATCTAGGTGACCTCAGAGATGGCTTTTCAGATACAACCCATGCACAATCCATGAGAGAAATAACTAATGACCTGGACTTCACTAAAATGAAAAACTTCACTCTGCCAAACATACTGGTAAGAGAATAAAAAGACAAGCCATAGATAGGGAAAAAACATTTGCAAAATACGTATCTGATAAAGGACTTGCATCCAAAATATAAAAAGACATCTGTTCAGGTATCTGAGCAGAAATCTCAGGGAAGAAGATACACAGACAGCAAATAAGCACATGAGAAGATGCTCCACATCATAGGTCACTAGAGAACTGCAAATTACAACAACAAGACACCACTGCACTGCCTGCTAGAGCGGCTAAAATCCAAACCACTGACAACACCAAATGCTGGTGAGGATATGGAGCAACCAGAATCCTCATTCACTGCTGGTGGGAATGCAAAATGCCCAGCCACTTTGGAAGACAGTATGGTGACTCCTAACAAAACTAAACATACTCTTACCACGTGATCCAGCAATCACACTCCTTGGTATTTACCTGTGAGTTGAAAGATTATGTACACACAACACCCTGTACACAAATGTTTCTGACAGCTTCATTCAAAATTGCCAAAAACTGTAAACAACCAAGATGCCCTTCAAGAGGTGAATGGAAAAACAGGCTGTGGCACATACGTGCAATGAAGTATCATTCAGCAATCCAATACGTGAGTGAGCGAGACACAAAAAGCCATGGAGGAACTAAATGCACAGTGCTGGGGGGAAGAAACCAGTTTTGAAAAGCTACATACTACATAATTCCAGCTGTATGACATTCTGGAAGAGGCAACATGGAAACAGTCAAAAGAACAGTAGTGCCAGGGGAGGAGGGGAGGGCTAAATAGGTGGAGCGCAGGGGAGGTGTAGGGCCATGAAGCTATTCTGTATGATCCATCATGGTGGATCCATGATGTCATGTATTTGTCAAAAATCACAGACTGTATAATGCAGAATGAACTTTAGTGTAAACTATGAGTTTAGTTCATAATAATTTTTTAATACTGGTTCATCAATTGTAACAAATGTTACATTTGTTACATGGTGGCTCACGCCTGTCATCTCAGCACTTTGGGAGGCTGAGGCAGGAGGATCACTTGAGCCAAGGAGTTCAACACCAGCCTGGGCAACAAGGCAAAACCCCATCTCTACAAAAACTACAAAAAAAATATTAGTTGGGCATGGTGGTGCATGCCTGTGGTCCCAGCTATGTGGGGGCTAAGGTGGGAGGATTGTTTGGGCCCAGGAGGTCGAGGCTGCCATGAGCCATAATTGTGCCACTGCACTCCAGCCTGGGTGACAGAGTAAGATCCTGTCTCAAATAAAACCCAAAAAAAAACAAAAAAGAATATGTCACACCAACGCAAAATGTTAGTAATAGGGGAAACTGTTGGGGTGGGGGGAGGTCCTACGGGAACTCTCTGTACCAGCTACTCAATTTTTCTGTAAACCTAAAACTGATCTAAAAAAATAAAATTACTAATTTTTAAAAATAATGGAACCATGCACTGGCAATCTGTCTTTACCGTACGCATGTTACAGTTCAACAACAACAACAAATATCTTTTAAGTGAGGCTTATGAGAGGCTCAGTCCTGAACTGATGCAACTACCAAGGCCCTAGGGAACCATGCCCGTCCAGGGAGAACCCTCCCACAAGCTGCGGCTGCTGAAGGAAGCCCAGACCTGCCCAGGCAGAGACTCAGATATGTAAGAAATTGAAATCAGTCGGGTGGGGTTTTTTTGGACTTCAACTTAAGAATTTTGGACTGTGAATTTTAATTCATAATGACAAGAAAAATTTGATTTTGGAGTTTCATTTCTTTGGACTTCAACTTGCAAGGAAATTTAATTTGGGGACTTTAATTCCTCTCTGGGAAATTCATCATGGAAAGGGGTTTATATTCAAGTCAGGAGCATCTCTAAGTGGTTGGCCTTTTTTATTGAATGGTCTCAACGCTATCATTTAACTTCGTTGCAGAGCCTCTGATGAGCTGTGCTGGATAAAATGACTGGATGGAATTTGGAATGGGAAACAGAGTGGGGAATGAGTCTTCAGCAGTGGGTACAGAGGAGCCTTGAGACAAATGCATTAGTCTGATCCATTTTACAGCCTTCTGGGGACATCAGTTGGACTGTCTACCAAAGGCCTCAGGAGGACTGAAAAAGGAAAGGTGGTTGGCTTAGTTGAAGTGATTCAGGAAGGTTGGAACCGCCCTGGTGGTGACCAGCCCCCTCCCCCAAAGACAAAGGCCACACCCCTGGTTGGCCATAAACGTAATGATGAAGGCCAGTGAGTTGAGAAAACCAAACCCTGGAAATGCTGTAGGAGCACAGCCTTCCCTGGCTTCACACCTCTATGCAAAGGAACTTCCTGTGGCCTCTCTCTGCCCAGCCCCCATGCCTCTCAGGGCAAGAGCAGCTCAACTGACTGGGGATGGGGAATAGCCTAACTGAGCTAACTAACTAACTAGGCTGCTCACTCCTCCTCCCCACTCTCTTCTTTTCAGATCTGCCCACAGGAGAGAATGCAACAGTCCGAGATGTGCTTCCAGGCATGCAGAGAGGCGAGGGCTCACCCCAGGTGCAAAGCCTGCTGCTGTCTGGCCAACCTCCACCTGCATCAAAGGCCATCCACATCAGGGGCTGGCGCCAGTGGGCACAGCTGGCTCTCAGACCAACCAAGTCCTACACCCTCTTTATCATGAATAAATGCATGATAAAGAAAGTGATATTTTCATCTCCGCCATCTGCCTCTCTTGACCGACTGTGCCCATGGACAAGAAACAAGAAGCATGCCCTGTTGTACCTGGTGACCCTGGTGCCCAACTGTTTGGTTGACCCGTTCTATTGTTTTGTCTTCTAAGCATTTACACTTATCAAATTTTTTTCCTTCTACTTTTACTGGGTTTGTTCTGTCTTTCTCCCCAAAACTTCTTAAGTTGAACAATTAAAACAATATCTTAAAGAGTACCTTTCTTCTTCACCAACATAGGCATTTAAAACTGTAAATTCCCCTGTAATTACAATTTTACTTGCATCTCCTAAGTTTTGATATGCAATATTATTTTGTCATTCAGTTTTAAATAATTACGCATTTCTATTTTGAGGTCTTCATTGACTCATGGAATAATTAGAAGCACATTTTAAAATTAAAAAAATAAAAGCAGTTCAGAGTGGTTGTAGGGGAGGGAGTGACTGACTTCTGATCTTGTGGCATTATGGCCAGAGAAAGTTATAAAATTAGATTTGATACCGATTCTCTCAGTATAGGGTGATGCCTGCTTGGTGAGCTAAAAAATATATATGAATGATGATCAGTTTTTCTAAGTTTCAAAGTATGCTTTAAAATAATGCATATTCTCTAAACGGGATGTACAGGTTTTCTCAGATCACCTTTTTAAACTGTATTTTATAATATCCTTATTAACTTGTTTCTGTTTGATCAATCTACTGAGAAGTATGTCTAGAACTCCCATGATTGTGGAGGTTTGCCAATTTCTCCTTATAAGTCCATCAAGTTCTCCTCTCTATCTTGAGGCTACGTATGTTAGAAGATCGCGGATTCAGAACTGTTTCTTTTCCTAGTGAATTACTTTCTTGGTTATTGTTTACCAGCCTCCTTGATCCCTAGCGCTGCATTTGCTTTGTGTCTCTGCTGTCAGGTGCCACTGTTAGGCTACTTCATTTGAGGTCAGCATTTTAACATCACTTTTCCCATCTGCCACTTTCTACCTCGAGAGGCGGCAGTGTTTCAGACCCCAGCTGGGTCCCTTATGAGCTGAGTCACTGACCAAGATGGGGAAACTGACCATCAATAAAAATATCAACATGTCAGGTGTGTTTCTATTCAATGTAGCTTCAATCTATTCGTTTACAATGATACCCGAAGAAAAAAAAAGTCATTAGTCCCCATCCTTGAAGGATGCCAGGGAATCATGTAATTACTTCAGAAATTGGCAAATAAAGGGAAGAATCAAGTATTATCCAGCCTTTCCTATACAAACTGCACCTCAAGGTAAGCAAAAAGTTGATGCCAGGAAGTTTCTGGTTTTGGAAGCATCCCAGCTAACAAACAAGGGAGGTGTTCTAGAAGCAGAACGTCACCTCTGCACAAATGACACAGCGGTGGGCACAATGGCTGCTGACGCAACACAAAGAGAAGCAAGCAGACGCCAAGGGCGCAGCGGAGGTGCAGGAGGTGGCGCAAACGTCACCTGCTACAAAGAACTCTTGCCAAAAACAAAAAAAAGCATCTAATCATGCATCTAGATCTAACTCCCAATTTACAGCTAAAGAGGGGACAGAACAACACCTTTATGTTACCACCAGGATACAAAAACAGAATCCAGACTGTGGGGTGGACGCTCTACAGTACAATGTGGCTTCTTCAATAAATACATAAAAAAGAAACAACAGAGACAGGTACGGTGGCAGCAACTGCAGACAGAGACTGAAGAGTCACACTGCTCCATGACCAGTATGGACCTTATTTCTGGACAAACTTAAAAAAATGTTATGAGGTTACTAGCAAAATTTTAACATTGGCTAGATATTTGATGATATTAGGAGTTATTATTTTAGATGGGCTATACCCCTTAAGTTTATGTTTTTCAAATGAGAATTCCTAATTTTTTAGATATACATAAGGAAATATTCATACATGAAATTATATAATGTCTGGGATTTGCTTCAAAATAACCCTGGCTTGGGGGAGGACGCTGGGTTGGGAGGCAGCTGAGAGCTGCTGGGGCTAAGTGTTTGCTGCACTGGTCACCGTATGATTCTAATGTTGCATATGTTTTAAACTTTTCATAGTACCACTTATTTAATAACACTGACAATTTACACACACAACTCAGTACAGAATGTCTTGCCTTTGCCATGCACATGAGTACTCACCAGCATCAAAGGTGCCATCTCTGCTCACAGGCACGAGGATGTGGGTCAGGGCGCCAGAGCTGGGCTGGCCGGCCTCATCCAGCTGGACCAGCTGCAGTCGTGGCGTCGTTGCGGGTGGGAAGCGGTAGAACTGGAAGGTGAAATACACAGTCTTTGGCCATGATGTTCCTCGGCAGTCCTGGGCCACTCTGAATCCAACAACAGCTCTGGGTTAACTGAGTATCCATGGCACAGAACCTGAGGGGTCTAATGTGTGTTTGCATAGGGGATGGTCCAGGCACCTTAGTCGCTGGGGAACAGTAAAGAGGCTGCCGTGGTCACCAATGCAACCGCTTTGCTGTGCTCTCAGCAAGCCGGCCAGACAGCAGCATTCTCGAGTGTAAGGACACTCCCGGCTAGAGAAGCTGCCTTTGGAGCTACACTAAGATCTAAGACCTGGACAACCCACCGTCCACATTTTAATGAAGGACCACAAAAGATGGGGTAAAGCAGCTTTCACAGCATTTAGCATGCTGTGGGTGGGTCCTAGCCAAGAGAAGATAAAAACAGATGGCACTCCCGAATCTACTAAGACCTCAGCACAGACAGTTCTGCCAGGTCAGAACCTCAGCGAAGTTTCTCTTCAACACAGGAAATGTGAAAGCCAGATGAGTAACAGAATATTCAAGGATTTACCTGCTAAAGGCAAGAAACTGTAGCACCATCTCGTTGCTTTGTAGACAATCTGATTCTTCCTTCTGAGGGTTAAACGTCACAGGTTCTGTAGCGCTGACAGCCTCGGCTGGCTGTTTATTGGCATCCAGAATCTCGGGAAAGCCGGAGGACTGCAGGAGCACCATGGAGGCTCTCGAGGGCTGCCCTGCAGAGCTGAGACACAGAGACTCCTCAGGTAGCCTCCCGGGAAAGGGGGGACCCATTGATGCACCTCCCTGTGGAAACCCTGGGGTTCACAAGGTCCAACAGTCTGACGGCACAGCACGTGACTGGTTCCATCCCACCCAGACCCACACCTCACCTCCTGGTCTGGGTTCCCACAACAATAGGGGCATGCAAAGGCGTGAACGGCAGCTCCTGTAACTGTTCGGCAATGGATGTTTCCAGGACCAGGGAGGTCTGGCTCAGGTCGGCTTCCAGGTGGGAGATACCGGCCTCCAACGGGAACTCCTGCTGAACAAAACGAGGGCTTCCAAGTGAGGCCACCAAGGACCCCAACCCGTAACAACCAACGGTGCTCAGATCTAAGGGGATTCATCGATTAATTGCCTCTGGAGGGTTGCCAGCTCTAGCAAATACAAAAGGTTCAATTACACTTGAATTTCAGGTAAACAACAAATGATTTTAGTATAAGTATGGTCCCTACGATATTTGGGATATACTTACACTAAAAAATTATTTGTTGTGTACCTGAGGTTCAAATTTAACTGGGCATCCTATATTTCACGTGGCAATCCAATGTGTGAGTTGAGAAGCGGTGAGGAGGGAATCCTAATTTTATGAGCAGGTCAGGACCGTGGGAGATACCTGACACCTGAGATGGTAAATTCATATCAAAGCATGTTTATAGAACAGAAAGATGAAGCTTCCTCAATACTCCAAGATAAACTGTGGCACCGAGCCCCTGGCTGGCGTGTTTGGACAGTCTCTTGTCCCCACAGCCCCTGAAACTTCTTGTCATTCACTCGTATTCCACCTCCACTCCCCTCCAAGGCCGAGGCAGGCCTCTCAGAGAGGAGCTGGCTTGGGAGTTGGGAATGTGCTCTCTCAAGCTTCATTCCCAAGCTTTCTGTTTCAGCCCAGAGGAAACCAGGTCACCCTCACACCATGTCTCATGCGCCAATAATAAAAAGCTAGGCAAGCTCTTCACAAACACATGAGCCCCAGAGATGCTTTAGATAAAGCAGCAGAGACTCATGGTGCTAGGAGTGTTTTCAAACAAGGAATTAAAAGAAACTATTTTTCCTCAACATAATTCCAGTTAAGACCAAAGATGCAGTTTGCAGGTGAACCAGCCGACTTTGGAAACCAAACTCCATAGGAATTCCCCAAGGCCAGTGGCAATGCCAGTCTTAGCCAGGAGCACACCCTGAAGCCAGGATGGCGGGCTCCACTCACCTCCTTTAGCTGCTGATAGCAAGGAGGGTCCTGGGGTGCTGGGTGCCTGTCTCAGCCTGTCTATAGATATAGCCACACCTTCCTTTTACTTTCACGTAGAGACCTAGGGGTAGCTTAACTTTGTTTTCATGGGTAGAGCACAATCTGAGTCAAGCGCTGTGGTATGAAGAACTCATGGGCCACATTCTTCTTTGGTCTCCAAGACAGAATGGTGACAACTGTCTGAGGCCTCAGAGTAAGCAATGCCCCACTCCCACCCACATCCCAGGTAACCCGCCAAGGTCTCTGCCACCTAACTAAGGACAGGCACAGTGCAAAAACCCAAAATGAGGAGCTGTGGAGCCATTCCTTGGTGGAAGGCAAGGCGGCAGGTGGGCGGCACTTACTGCCTGGGCCGGGGAGGCCTGAGAGCCATGGGGTAGCTGTGAAGTAGGCCTGGCCAAGCAGTGCTGAGTCGGGGACCGCGGGGAGGCCGCCAGCTGGGAAATTGACAACTGGAAGGAAAGAGAGCACAGGTGAGGGGCTCAGAAGCTTGCCAGTCCGTCCACAAAGCTCCCAACATGCACTGGCCACACCGGGGAACGGGGTAGCCCTGGATCCAGCCACGGAAGGGAGTGATGCCTGCAGCCTCCTGGCCAGGGCAGCTCTGGAACCTGGGACCGCTTCTCAAGTTCCTTTATTTAATGACAGAGAGGTGATTCCATGATCTCCCCCAGATCATAATATCTGAATAAGAATATTATTAACAAGGAAAACAAGCAAGAAAGGAGAAAGCATCTCAAGCTACAGGGGCGGCCTGGCCTCTGCCTCTCTGTCCCTTGCCAGCACTGGACTGAGCACCTCCAAGGCCCTGCCAGTTCTAGCCGCCTGCGTTCCTATCGAACAAACCTCCCTGTTAAGGCAATGACCATCTTGATGGCCAGCGCGGGCTCTGGAGACAGCTGTGGATAGAGTGCCCGTGCCAACGTGGCATTACCGTGGAGTGCCCGCACCAATGTGGCATTACTGTGTAGCCTCAGGCAAGTCAGCTAACCTCTTTTTGCCTCAGTCTCCTCACCTGTAAAATGGGGGTAATAATAGTACCTAAACTGCAGGACTGTTAGGAGAATTAAATGACAATCCTGGCTAGGGTTTGGCATAGTACCTGGCACACGGTGAGCCTTCTATAAATACTGCAGATATTTGGAAATGAGTGCGGCTTAAAACACTGATGCGGAGGGCTGGGGGCCCACGCACTACTGAAGACACAGATCTCAAACCCGGACTCTAACTCCAGTACACACAGCCAGCACCTGAGACATTCACTGTCAGCAATGATGGCTGGCCCACACCAGGTGCTGGCAGAGAGGCCCCAATGTATGAAGAGGCACTGAGGAATGAATGGGGGGCGGGGTGCATGAAGCATCCCCAGGGGACCCTGGCAGCATCTTCAGGGAGCAGAGGAGATCTTTGGGGCCTACCCAGCTTCCCTCAGACCCTATACGGTATCGTGACCACTCGGGGTCACGTGGAAACTGCTCCAGGGAAAATGCCAGGTTGGGCCAGCAGGGAAGCCTGGGAGGCCGTCCACAGACTTGCGCCTTTAGGTGAATCCAGTATTCTTCACTCCTGATCCAGTTTCCCACTGCAGATGACACACTAAAGCTGCTTCCTTGGAGACAGCCATGGATACTGAATTAGTCAACTTTTCTAGAAAGTCAATTTCCAGGATGATGCTGGCAGACAAAGTCATCAGCAGGAACAAGCCACATCTGACCTCACTGCAAATCACATAGCTAAGGCCAGCCTTGGAGCCACAGGTGAGCGCCACGGGTGTCTCGGGACTCCAGAACGGCAGCCAAGCAGGAGCTCAGCTCAGACCGCTGGCGGGCAACGGCCCAGCGGGAAGGCGCCTCTCCTCCCACTCAGGAAGTTCCAGCGCCACGGGGATCTGTGCGGTCGGACGTGCAACTGCCAGCAGCTTGTGGTTCTCAGCAGTGCCACTGTCTCCACCAGCATCGGCTGCTTGGCCGACAGGGCCAGGGGACACCAATAGCTGCCAGGCACCGCTACTGGTGGAGTTAGTCTGGGAGAGCAAAGAGGGTGAGGACCACACCTCGATGTCTCTCAGAAAAAGCAAAGGCCGTCCAGTCCTGAGAGTTGCCACCATGAGATGCAGCTGCCAGGGAGATGTGGAGACGCCCCATACAGCAGCATAGGGGTTGCAAGCAGCAGCCCCACTAAAAGCCCGCACTGGGAGTCAGAACATCAGGGACAGGCTGCACAGACAGGGTAGGAGGGGACAGCCCCGCCGCCGCCAGCAGGCCCTCCCCAGCCACGCAGAAGCACGCAGGGATCCACTGTGCTTAAGGGGGGACAGAGGGTTTTCTTGCAAGTAATTGACTCTGGAATTCTGAAGGAGGCCGTGGGGGGCCTGGACTTACCCCTGGTCCCACAGGTGAGTTCTGCGGGGCAGCGAGAACTCGAGGTACTGGCGCTGGCGGGCCTGGGAGGAAGCACAGTGGGGTAGGAGAGGGAATGTGTCAGCCTGTGTTGGGGGCAGTGGGCCCCTGAACCCCCACGCAGTCAGGTCTCCACAGGCCTCACCACCTTGTCTGTAACAGGGGCAGCCGCTGGTTACCGTTCAGGGGCAACAGCAGCAAGGGTGCCACCCAAAAGTGTCGCTGTCTATCTAGAGCCCTGGCATGCACCAGCAGCCAGGAGAGGGGGTACAGCTGGCCTCGTCCTCACTGTTCTTCCTGGGCCAGCAGGTCTCACAGCTTGGGGTGCTTGGAGCTCCCTAACACGCTTCTCCTCACTAGTCATCTTTGCATCTTCCCTGCCCGGAAGAGCTGGGGTCTGAGGTTGCCCCAGTCTTGCAGCTCCCTGACTCCGGCTGTTTTGTTAACCGAGAAGCTCCTGAGCAGACACTGCCAACCTGGCTTGCGGCCTCACGAACACCCACTAAGCACAAGCTGTCCGCCAGGTCCTGCTGAGGATTCTCCATGCAGGCCCGGTAACACTGGGAGGCGCACCTGGGGGAGGCAAGGCCAGCCCTTCATGGGGTCCCCCTGGAGCCAGGGACTGAGAACTGCCTTGGCCCTTTATAAGGCCACAGCTGCCTCCCAAGCATCCAGGGGCTGCCTAAAGAGCCAGCAGCCTCCTCCCAGGGCCACCTGTACCTGCCCAGCCCCGCCTCAGCCCAGCTGGCATTTGTGCTGCTTCTGCAACCCCTCCCCAGGCCACATGGACACCTCATGGCCCAGCAGACCCAGGGCTCTCAGCCCCTGCACCTCAGCAGGAGGAAGCCCCAGCATCGCTGGAGTCTCTGAAACCCACCAGGCTCCTGCCACAGCGGTGCTGGAGCGTCCATAGCCACTCGTCTCTTACGGTCATTTCACATACACTGCCATTTGCCTTTGCCCACCATGAAACCACCAAGCCAGACCCCAAGCCCATCCTGACGGGGCCACCTCTGCCCACTCAGAGGCCAGGGTGGGAGCCCTGCACACTGAGTCATCTGCCTGGCTTCCCTGAGGCCCACAGCCCAGTCTCCAGCCCATGTCCTGTCCCCACCTGGCTCATGACAGCCTCCTTCACGGTGACAGGACTCTCCACTGCAGCAGACACTACCACTCCCCATCGGACTTCCAGGATAACCCAGACCTCCGGAGAAATCAGGCTTCCCCCATGGCCCTGTCCCACCTCCCGTCACCCCCATGTGGCCCACATCTTGGGCCCAGCAGCTCGCCTTCCCTCCCTCTCCTGTGGCCTCTGCTGCCATGAAGGTTGGGCAAACGAATCTCCTATATGTCCTGGTATCCTGAATTCCTATGGCACAGAGCACAGGCCGGCACTTACGGGACCTACGGACCAAGCACACAGCACAGAGGCCTGTGACGTCAAACGCTGGGCACTCTGGATAGAGACTGCTCAGCCACTTCGTGTTCCGCTCTGAATCCCAAAAAAACAAAAACAACAAGGAAAATGCTGTCGACCAAGGAGAAACCAAATCCAGAAAGTGCCGCCCTAACACCAGAGCTGCACGACCATCGGAGCCAATCCCCGCCGTGCCTCTCCCAGCAGCTTCCAGAACCCATCCAAGGAGGTGCTTCCCCAGCTGCAGGATCTGGTGGAAACCCTGCTAAGGGCCTGTGGATGGGTGGAAGGCATTGGGGCAAGGCCAGAGGGAGCCCCCAACCCTCAGAGGATCCAACTGCCCAGCCTGGCGGGCACAGCTCCCAGTCCAACTACCTCCTGGGCAGCGCCCATTTGGCCCGCGCAGCTCCTCTGTAACCAGCCACAGTAACGTGGCTCCAAGGAGCACAAAGACTCTGGTCAGAGGAACCTGCCCTTCTATAAATGAGCTCACGTGCTCGGAGGGAGTTAGCAAATGATCTAGCAAGCTCTGCTTCCCCAGGAAAATATCATCTCACTAAAAGCAAAATGCAGATGAGGATTCTGCAGGGGCCCAGCTGTCCTCAAAGCCGATGCCTCTCCCCAGATTCCCTGAGTGCCTCTTACAGTCCATTTCAGAGCTCCGTACGGCAAACCCCTGCCCACCTCCTCCCAGAAAAAGCCTGAAAGATGACACAGCAGAGTGGTAAGTGAAGCTCCACGCCGTTCCTCCGTAAATGGGAACTCGGAAAACTCCGCAGGCTGATTTTGATAATGAGGACAAATTGCCAGAAATGGCTCCATTATCTTCAGCAGAGACAGCGGGCACTCGGGGGCCAGCCCTCCGTGCCTGTGTGCGTCCTCTTGGGGAGGAAAAGCTGGATGAAAAGTTAAACCTTCCAAGCACATCTGAACTTCTCGCATGCATTTTATTTCCCCATCGTCTCAAATTTGCATACAGTGTGGAAAGTTTTTTCAAGTAACTCTTTATATCATGACTTATGCAATTTTTTCTTCCAAGAGAGTAAACCTACCTACAAGGCCATTTAAAAAGGCCATTAAAGGTGGCCATTTAAAAAGATACCTGGTGGGAAGCCCAGACCCCCAGGGCCCAAAACTCAGATCCAACCGGTGAAGCAGAGCAGGAAGAGACACACCAAGGCCACGAAATAACTCAGTTTCGAATCTCTTTGTTTTAATGTTCGATGTGGTTATGGGTTAAGGTGCTTCCCAAACTATACTCATAGTCCTGCCCAGAGGACAGCGCGGCCGCCAGGGAGCACCCGCTGTACTCCAGGCCCCAGGAGTCTTCCAAAAACCACGGTGGAGTCTGGGAAGCCTGACTTCCGCCACATAACAGGACTTGGCTGACAAGCACCTGGGCCAGCAACTGAACCGGGAGCAGCATGCGTGTGCACAGGACACAGGTAGGAGCAGCTGCGGTGAGCAGACAGACGAGCACAAGGCTGTCTGGGGCAGCGCTGCGACAACAGCAAAACATTAGACACAATCCTGGTGCTCCTGCAAATGGAAGCTACCTCAGCAGAACCCGGCAGATCCTGCGTGGGGCAGGGGAGCAATGGGATGGGAGGAGACCAGCCGGTGTGTGCAGAACTGGGAAGGCAGCCGCGGCAAGTTAAAAAGTGACGATAGGCCGGGCACGGTGGCTCACGCCTGTAATCCCAGCACTTTGGGAGGCCGAGGCGGGTGGATCACAAGGTCAGGAGATCGAGACCATCCTGGCTAACACGGTGAAACCCCATCTCTACTAAAAATACAAAAAATTAGCCGGGTATGGTGGTGGGCACCTGTAGTCCCAGCTACTCAGGAGGCTGAGGCAGGAGAATGGCGTGAACCCGGGAGGCGGAGCTTTCGGTGAGCCGAGATCGCGCCACTGCACTCCAGCCTGGGCAACACAGTGAGACTCCGTCTCAAAAAAAAAAAAAAAAAAGAAAAAAGAAAAAAGAAAAATGAAAGAAACCCACAGTGTATACGGGTGTGCTGGCAAACTCGTGGTAACCACACCCATGAGACATGCTAGGAAACGCGTATTCCTACATTGCCCATAAAACTTAAAGTAAATTAAATGTTAGTTTAACAGTCATTATAAGACACACCTGTAGGTCCCTGATGGAGCCTGAAGTAGTAACACAGTCAGCACAGAATGGAAAGCTGAGACCTCCACGGCAAGCAGCATGACCAGGTGCCTCTCCCAACACGGAGCCCCTCCGTTCTCACCCCTGCGGCAGAGGCCTGGGCTCCCTCACTGGGAGGGGAATCAGCGTCTGGCTGAGCCACCACAGGACCCTGGTTTCAGGGAAATAACCTGGCGTTAAGAAGAAGAGCACAGAGCCTGGCCAACGTGGTGAAGCCCCGTCTCTACTAAAAATACAAAAATTAGCCAGACATGGTGGCACGCGCCTGTAATCCTAGCTACTCGGGAGGCTGAGGCAGAAGAATTGCTTGAACCCAGGAGGCGGAGGTTGCAATGAGCAGAGATCGCGCCACTGCACTCCAACCTGGGCAAAAAGAGTGAGACTCCATCTCAAAAAAAAAAAAAAAAAAAAGCACAGAGACTCAGCTCTTCCACGGCTGCTCCAAGAAGCTCGTGGCCAGCGGGGCCCTGAGATGGGGTTGCCAGCACACACCTCTGGCCCAGAGCCAGATCTGAGAAGAGCAGGAAGAGACTAAGTCACTGGTTTCCCAGGACACCAGAACCAACTGTGATCCAGAAATGGTCCACATGGATTGCTAGAGACAAAGAAAAACTTAGACTTCCCACCACGGCAGGTTTCTCCACCTCTCTGAAGATTCCTTTTCCCTGACGCTCTATCACTCTCCAATCAGTCTCCACTTGCTGAAAACCACAGTCAACAAAATCTCAAATGTCTACTTTTCTGTCAATTTAGCTTCAAGAAACTCAAAAGCCCTGCACTCAACTACAGCACAGGCCTCAGGAGGCAAGGCAGGGCCTGCACTCTGATCCCAACCCCGGGAGGCCACGCATCCCACCTGGTCACTGCCAACGTCTTCACACTGCCTCTGCACTCGCCTGGAGGGGGCCCTGCAAGAGGATGCAACCCACACACATTCCACACGCAAGAGAGACAGGCATGCCCTCAAGCCCATGGCTCTCAGCACTGTGGGTGAGTTGAACTGCAGAAGTTGTACAGTGAACAAATAATGCTCAAATATACTCACAGGGACAATATTCCCCAGAATTCCTCCTTCCTCCACCCCGAAGGAGATCATTCTATACATAACGCAGAGAACAGAAAAGAACATTGTTACCCAGAGTAATAATACCACTAACATCACAGCCCAGAACAGAGGAAGGAGCTCTCCAGCCAACCCCATGGCCGCCAGGCACGCAGCTCCCCGCAAAGTAAGTACACTGGGCTTCGCTTCTTCATCACGCACGCGGGCCAGGACATGAACAGGGATAGGGCTGGGGCAGGAGGCGGCCTCCCCACCAACAACCCTCTCTCACTTCCAGCGTCACCTCACCAGACAGATTAAAAGTACTGACTACCAGCTGGACATGGTAGCTCATGCCTATAATCCCAGCACTTTGGGAGGCCAAGGCAGGAGGACTGTTTTGAGTCCAGAAGTTCGAGATTAGCCTGGGCAACATGGCAAAATCTTATCTATACAAAAAAAAAAAAAAAAAAAAAAAAAAAAAGGCCTGGTGTGGTGGCATGCACCTGTGGTCCCAGCTACATGGGAGGCAGAAGTGGGAAGATCACTTGGGCCTGGAAGGTGGAAGCCACAGTGAGCCGTGACTACGCCATTGCACTCCAGCCTGGACAACAGAGTGAGATCTTCTCTCAAAAAAATAAAAAGTACTGACTACACAAGGGAGTCCCGGCACTGCCAGGCTGCGGTGTCCATGTCCTGACCTAGGGTTTCACTGAGCAGCTATCTGTCGCCTCAAGCCACATAACTTTTCAATATGCATGCGCATTGCCAATTAAAAAGTGAAAATAGAAGCAAGGGGAAAGGAAGGACATGTTTTCACCACCTTTACTTTCCCACGTCCATAGATTCATTTTCCAACAAACATTTTATCAGATGCCTGCGCTATGACAGGACCACAGAAAGAAATGAAGATAAGGAAACAGCTCAGTGGAGGACGGGGCTGTGGTCTTCATTGAGATGTCTTCCTAGGCTGAAGGGAGCAGGGGCCTCTCAACATCAGGACACATGCATGGAGGCCAACGTGTCCTTTCTGGAAATGTGAACGGGGTCGTGAATGCGGTCCCCACAGCACCAGTCCCCTGTGGCCCGACTGCCCCAGCAGGTGCCAGGTAGACCTCCCCCCCGCACCCTGAAACGCACCTGTCCTCCTGGGCCTAGCTGTGCTGCCAGCCTGCCACTGAGCAAACAGGGGTCAGCAGAGGGCTGGATGAGGGGTCCTAACAGAGGAAAATGCTCATTTCGCTGAGCAACTGCCCAGCTGAGCAAAGCTGCCTGCATTTACCTATGGGGTCAGCAATTCCGTGGGAGAGAGAAGTCCTGAGGGAGGAGGGAGAGGGGGCAGCACGCAGAGGCTGTTGCTTAGCAACTCATGGCAGCTGGTGGAAGGCAGGGACGGGCCAGGCCTTGGGCCTTGGGCCTTGGGCCTTGGGGGTAGACTGTGGCCCTGTTACAAACAGGGGTAAACAGATGGCCCCAAAAGGCAGGGGAAAGGAAGGACCATCGCTAGTAAAGATGCAGTCTCTGGGGTTTGAAGAAGGGTTGCAAAAAGTAGCTTCCTTTCATCAGGCCGTGAAAATAAAGGATGAGTCAGTATCTAGTGGTACTCTAGACACTAAGAATTCACATGGCAAACCCACTTGAAAGGCCTTTATTCCTAACTATTTGTAGGTAAAAAGTCATTGTTCCTAAGAGTTTGAAAACAGGAATGGGAAAATGAACAAAACCTAAGCAGAGATCAAGGGGCAACTGGATGATGAGTGAGCACAGGACTCTGTGCTGCAGGAGTCCAGATCCCAGGCAGCCCAGGACTGCAGGAGTCCAGATCGCAGGCAGCCCAGAACAGGAGCTGGTTCAGCAGGCCCAAGCCGAGTGGGGAGTTCCGTGACTTGCCAGAGCCCTGAGCTGGGGTCACCTCCAGGGTCAGTTTCAGAAGTGTCACCTCCCTTGTCAAAGCCTTGCTCTGACCCACTGTCCCACTAATTCTCCAGCAAAATGCACCCTTACCACCTGCACACGAACTTCCATTCCGTGGTTGGAGGGTGGCCAAAAAGCTGCTCCATGGCCTTAGACTCTCCCCCACCACCATGTGATTGACTGAACCACCCTCACCCAGGACAAGGGAGCTGCTGTCTGTCGGAGAGGATGTTCCAGACCAGCTAGCAGCACAGCAGGCACCACGGGGCAGGAATCTAACTCCACGTGTCCTGGGAAACACCACAATTACATGTTTGCAATGACCCCTTCTACATGGCTGTTTTCAAATCTATTAAGCAAACAAACCAAAATTCTGACACCACCAGAGGAACATTCAAAAGCAAAATATAGGTCAGGGAAATTCCAAGTTACAAAAAAATAAAGACTGAGTGCCCTCTAGCGGCTCAATGCACACTCTTCTGTGGTAAGTGATGAATGAAACTTTGCTCCCTTGCAATGTTACAGAGAAAATAAAAAGGATTATTCATAACCGAGAGCCAAAGTACCTCACTTAAAGTGACAGCCGCATATCATTAAGATCTCCAAAGGAACCATATAAGTTGGTGAAATACTGAAGTATGAAAAGTTTCCATCATAAGTTAAACACTAGTGGGTATTTAAAAGTCTCTTACATTGGGTTTTGAGAGGCAATGTCTTCCAATGCTTGGAACCTGGGCTGAAGGTAATCATTTAATGTGACATGAATGCAGCCATAAATCCAAATTAAATAAACTCAGTGAAATCAGGGTCCATCCATGTAGATTTGCTGGTCCCCAAACAGTGACTGAGAAGTAGATTATGCTGCTACAGCTCATTTGCACCACCGTTCAACTCCTGGTCCTTCCAGTAACCAAGGCACACTCCTCTCTGCCAAGGATATGACAGTAAATCTTCTGGTGAGGAACTCAAAGCATGGTTCCCCACAGCTCTGCATCTTAAGAAGTCAAGCTAGGCCGGGTGCAGTGGCTCATGCCTGTAATCCCAGCATTCTGGGGCCAAGGTGGGCGGATCACCTGAGGTCAGGAGTTCAAGAGCAGCCTGGCCAACATGGCGAAACCCCATCTCTACTAAAAGCACAGCAGGCTTCTAGAAGGAGGACAGGCTGCTTCTTACCTGTCTTCGTCCTTCTCAAACAAAAGAAAGAGTCACAGGAACTACTCAAGTCTATGCATTCACTGACGGCAAAATGCAAGAATAGCTGGGCAAAGCTGGAATGCAAGAGTGCAGCCAAAGCGGCAGTGGCAGGGAAAGACCCTGGACTGGGATCGGGAGACCAGGAGCCCCAACCCAGAGGCAGCCACTATCTGTCAACTTCACCGACCCTGAATCCGTACTCTCTTCTGGTGGTTTTCCTTTAGGGAATCACCCTCCCAGCCCTTAACCATACAGTCAGGGGTGGCCCCAACCCCCACACCAAGAAGGGTGTGTGACCAAGGCCAACTGTCCCCACCCCCATCCCCATCAGGTGTTACACAGTAAAGACAGGAGGACTCCCACTGGAACAACTGAGTCAATCAGGGCCTTTCTGTTGGGATTCCTAAGCCCAGGATTACCTGGGAGCTCCTGGGCTCACCATGTGGAGAAACTCTACCCGGAAAGAAGCCAACACTGAAGAAAGGAGAGCTTAAAGGGGAGGGGAGGGGGTAGGGGCATGAGGGAGAGAGACGAACAGATGGAGTCTTAATGGCATCCTTTGAGTGCCGGGATCCAGCCATGCCTAACATCAGCTCTACCTCTAGGCTTTTCTGACACATGAGCCAATACATTCTCTCTTGTTGAAGCTATTTTGAGTCAGGTTTCTATCCCTTGTATACAAAAGGGTTTTGATTAATTCATTCACTCTACAAATATGTACTGAATGTTTTACTGTGGGCCAGGACTCATCAGGCAATGTACAGATGAATGAAACAGTCCCCACCGTGAGCTGCTTCAATGATAAGACTCTTCAGTGTGGAGCAAATAAATGCACCAACTATCTGCACCTCTTTACCTTCCAGGCATACGATGAGTCAGTCCCCAGTCCCCTTGTGACTTGGGAGGCCACGTGGCTACTTCTAACCCGGGAGGGGGAGAAGTGACGTGTGCCATTTCTGGGCCAGAGCCGTAACTGATGGTACAAGATCCTCCCCAAGGCCTCCCCTTCCTACTGGCGCAACCCAGCAATATTCAAGATGGCGAACACCCTCTGGGACCAGGACGAGCAGAGCCACCACCAACTGCAATGCGCACGCAGCGAGAGTGAGAAATAAACCTTTTTATTTTAAGCTACCGAGATCTGGAGATTATTTGTTACCATAGCAAATTCGACTAATACCCTCTAAGAACAGTAGCAGGGAAGGAAGGAATCAGACAACACACAAGGATATAAAATAAAAGGTGGTGTCTGCAAAGGGCTGTGGGATGCTGAAAACAAAGCTCTGCCATGGACAAGACCCTTAGGCAGGGCTTTACAGATAAGTACAGGTTTCCATAAGAGAGGGCAAGGAAAGTTTAATATATGCCTTTTTAAATGTGGGAATATTTAAAGACATTTTCAAGTTGTAGGTAAAAAGGAAATAAAAATGGAACTCAACAATGTAGGAAATAACATTCCAAATCAAAACCTATGAAATGGGGTAAAAGATGTACTTGGAAGAAAATTGCAGAATCTTAAATGATTTTATTATTAAACACGATGAGCAAATAAGCTAAGAATTCTGCTTTTCAAAGAGGATGAATAAAGATAAAATATAGAATTAAATTAAGATTAAAGAAAAAATTAATAACTTAAAAACAAGAGAACCAGTAAGTAAAAGTAACAGCTGATTCTTTGAAGAGACTAATGAAATATACAAACCTCTCATAAGCCTGACCGAAAAAGGAAGAGTCCTCCCAAGATAGAAAGCGAAGGAAGGAATCTAATCACAGGCGCATACTGAATGTTTAAATTAGTTACAAACTTTATCACAGCATCCTTGTAAACTAGAGGAAATTGGCCATTTTTTTTAGAGGATGTGTATCCCAAAAGTTAACACAAGATGAAGTGGAAAACATAAATAGACCAATAACCATGAAAAGAAATGTAATTGGTTGTCAAAAATCCCTTCAGTGGTTTCACAGAGAAGTTTTATCAGACCTTCAAGAAACAGGTCTTGCCTTTTGTTTAAACTATTTTAAAGCCCAGAAAAAAATGGGCAGCTTCCTCTGGATTATGACATAAGAGAAAGCTGCAGATCAGGGGTCTGCAAACTATGGTCCACAGGTCGATTCAGCTAACAATCTGTGCGTATCAACAAAGTCTCATTAGAACACAGCCACGTCCATTCATTAACGTATCGCCTATATATACCAGCGGAGATGAGTAGCTGTGACAGAGACCATCTTGCCCACAAATCCTAAAATACTTACTATTTGGCCTTTACAGAAAAAGTTTGCTGACCTCTTCTATAATTGGGCCTCAATTGTAGAAACAGAAATCCCAAATACAAGTTAATCACATCAAGATGGACATAACTGTAAAACTCCCCACAAGTCATTCTCTCTTTTTTAATACTTTTTTTGAACAGTTTTTTAGGTTCTCAGCAGTACTGAGCAGAAGGTACAGGGTGTTCCCACAGTGCCCTGTCCCCACATGCAGCTACCCTCACTAACATCCCAGAGCAGATGGCACGTGATTCTTCTTGCTACCTCACGTATTTGGTAGTTTGTTTATTGTCTGTTTTTAAAGCTCCACTGGGACAGGAGCCTAACCAAGTGCCTGGCACATCACAGACTCTCCGCAAGTCTTTGCTGAATGGAGAGTGGGTAGGAGAAAAGGAGGACCACCTGAACAAGCCCCATCTGAGTCAGCATGCCCTAAAGTGTTTGCAGAATGGCTAAGATAAAATGGTAGAGGCATAGCCAACACTGAGCTTTCTGGGCCCACCCGGAACCTACTTTCGTGGATGCAGTCAGGGCCAGCTGTGTTTGTTTGTTTGTGGGTTTTTTTTGTTTTTTTTTTTAGAGGCAAAGTCTGGCTCTGATGCCCAGGCTAGAGTACAGTGACGTGATCATAGTTCACTGCAGCCTCGAATTCCTGGGTTCAAGCAATTCTCCTGCCTCAGCCTCCCAAGTAGCTGAGACTACAGGCACATGCTACCACACCCAGCTACTGCATGCATTTATTTACTTATCTATCTATCTACCTATCTATCTAGAGACAGAGTCTCACTCTATCGTCCAGGCTGGAGTGCAGTGGTGCAATCTCGGCTCACTGCAACCTCTGACTCCCAGGTTCAAGAGATCTCTTGCCCCAGCCTCCCGAGTAGCTGGGACTACAGGCGCGTGCCACCACGCCAGCTGATTTTTTGTATTTTTAGTAGAGATAGGGTTTCACCATGTTAGCCAGGATGGTCTCAATCTCCTGAACCTCATGATATGCCCGCCTGAACCTCCCAAAGTGCTGGGATTACAGGCATGAGCCACCGCGCCCGGCCTTAAGTTTTTTGTAGAGTCAGGGCCTTGCTATGTTACCCAGGCTGATCTCGAACTCTTGGCTTCAAGCCATCCTCCCACCTCAGCCTCCCAACATGCTGGGATTATAGGCATGAGCCACTGCGCCCAGCCGGGGTTAGCTGTTTTCACCCATCAAAGACTCTGGGGTCCAGAGGAGCTCCGTAGAGATGTGCTCCAGCTGCTCCTGCCCTGGCGGCCCCGTGTTAATTGAACCAGTAGTTGAAGGGGTACGTACATGTGGTCGCTTCCCTCAACGCTGCCAACCAGAAGAACCACAATGGCAGTGGCATGGGGACAACGTTAATGATCGCCCGACAATCGCTGGGCATCTGCTCCACGCCAGGCAGCCCCGAGCACCTGGACATATCTTTACTCATTTCATCCTCCCCCCAATCCTTGGCTATCCTTTGCCCATTTTTCTTTTCTGTTGTTTATCTGCTTCTTATTGATTTGGAGGAGGTCTTTCTGTAATCCTTCTTTCTAATCTTCTCATCTTACTTCCTTCATTAATTTTTAATGGTCATATGTATTGCAAATATCTTTCAGCCTGAGGTCTGTCTTCTAACTTTGTTTACAGAGTCTTTTCTCACACAGAAGTTTTATATTTTAATATAATCTTATTTCTCAATCGTCTCTTTGGTTTATGCTTTGTCTATCTTGCTTAAGAAGGCCTTCCTAACCCAAAGGCCATAAAAATATTCTCCAATGTCTTTTTCTAAGATTTCTCAAGTTTGTTTTTCATACTTTAAGTATTTAATCCATCCCATTTTACAGCTGAGGAAACAGGGACACAGACATTAAGTAACTGCTCTAATATTCAATAAGTATGCATTCATAAGCAATACATGCAATTGTTTTGAAAGTTACTTAAATGCTACCACATTGTTCATTTCCTTTCAGAACTTGTGTTCATTCAACATGCCTTTGTGAAGGTTTATCCACCTGATACGCATAGATCTATTTCATTCATTTAACCGACACACAGCATTTCACTGTCCAAGTAAGTCAGTTTATCCATTCCCTGACTGGGAAACCAGCAGCTGCTGTGATGCTGAGCCCGCCCATGTCTCCTTATACACATGAACCGGTTGTTCTCTCTAACAGTCGTCTGGAAATGGCACTTCTGAGTTGTAGGATATTAACTAAATATTACAAAATCACTCTTCAAAGCGGCTGCACACATCCCATTCTTCCCACGGTGGTAAGAGTTCTGCTTTATCCACATCCTCAGGAACTTTTGCACTATTAGACATCTGGATTCCTCCAATATGAGGGGAATAAAACGGTTTGTCATTTTATTTTCATTTCTCTGATTACCAGTAATACTGAGCATGTTTTCATTTGTTTATGGTTATTGGTTATTCTGGTTTCTTCTCTATAAATTCCCTCTTCATATGACGACAGCGTTAGCGATCGCCCAGCAACTGCTGAGCACTGTCCATTTTTCTTTCCTGCTGTCTATTTCTTATTGATTTGGAGGACTTCTTTCTATAATCTTTCCTCTTTCTGATCTTCTAATTCTAACATTTCTGAAGTTTTGGTTTTTAGGCCATCTGGAATTTATTATTGTACATGACATGAAGCTAGGACTGAATTTTATATTTTCCATGTGGGCAAGGGATCACGCCACACCATTTACTGACTGCTACTCCTTGCGGTAAGCGGAGTAACTGCTGCCACCCCAGAGATACCCACGTCCTAACCCCAGAACCTATACATATGTTCAATGCCAAGGGACTAAGGTGCTCATCAGCTGACCCTGAGATGGGGGGATGACCCTGGATTATCCAGGTGGGCCCAATGTACTCACAATAGTCTTTGTAAGTGAAAGGCAGGGAGGCAGGAGGGTCAGAGTTCAGTGACAACTGGAAAGTGCTACATGGCTGCCTTTGAAGATGGAAGAAGGAGCCAAGGGACGCAGGTGGCCTCTAGCAGCTGGAAAAGGAGAGGAAATGGATTTTCCCCTGGAGCCTCCAGAAGGAGCACAGCCCCGCTGAGCCCTCGATTTAAGACTATAGGACCCACTTTGGACTTCTGACCTCCAGAATTTTAGGATAATAAGCTCCTGTTGCAACGTCACTAATTTGTTGTAACAGCAACCAGAAACTAATATATTCCTTCTCTTCAAGTTGTCACATATCACACTTTATATTTTGTCCCATTATCTATTTATCTCTCTCTGTATCAATGCTATACTTGTTCTAGAAATTAGAACATTACAGTAAGTCTGAAAACTAAGAAAGGTGAAGCCTCCCTCCTTCTTCAAAATTGCCTTGGCTATTCTTGACTATGGTTTTTTTTTTTAATTAAAAAATAACCCCAGCATTTTGGGAGGCCAAGGTGGGAGGACCACTTGAGGCCAGGAGTTCAAGAGCAGCCTGTACAACACAGCAAGACCATATCTCTACAAAACAAAAAACTTAGCCAGGCACGGTGGCACTGTCTGCAGTCCTGGCTTAGCCGGGCACGGTGGCACTGCCTGCAGTCCTGGCTTAGCCGGGCACGGTGGCACTGCCTGCAGTCCTGGCTTAGCCGGGCACGGTGGCACTGCCTGCAGTCCTGGCTTAGCCGGGCACGGTGGCACTGCCTGCAGTCCTGGCTTAGCCGGGCACGGTGGCACTCCCTGTAGTCCTGGCTACTCAGGAGGCTGAGGCGGGTGGATTGCTTGAGCTCAGGAGTTCAAGGCTACAGTGAGCTGTGATTATGGCACGCACTCCAGCCAGAGCAACGAAGTGAGAATTTATCTCTAAAAGCAAAACAAAACAAAAACCCTGGAATATATCCTAAAAGAAAATAAATGCAGCGTATGGGAGAAAGACACACCAGGCGGAGAGCATGAGCCAAGACTCAAAAGTCCGGAAAACACGCAGCATGGTGAGTGAATCACAAGTAGCACACACAGCTAGAAGACGCTTTCAAACCCCGGGATGATCGGCCCCGGTGGGGATGATTTCAGCAGCCAAGAGACTATTAACAGGACTTCTACTTCTGGCCAAGAAGAGTAACAGTGATCAGATTGACCCTCCCATCTAAAATACATTTTCTTTTAAACACAAAATATGTAGAACAGTGGTTTTCAAGACAGTGGACTTCAGGCAACAAAGGAGAGTGATCCCAAGGGCTGGGAAACAGAAGAGGGAAGGCCTACCCTGACCCCAGCTTACTGTGTTCAGTGAGTTTGCACCAGACAGGATGAGCAGCACAGAGAGAGAATGCCAGCCATTTACAGAGGGTCCCACCCTAGCATTCAGTAGAGCGCGGATCAGGAAACTTCCTAAGGCCAAAAGAGAAAGAACCACCAGAGAGGATTACAGGGAATAGGGCCTGGTCTTCACAGGGCAGGCAGACATAGCGCTGTTCCCTCCAGCCACCTGGTAATCCTCATTCTTCATGGGACACCGGGCAGAGCCCTCTGGGGGCACCTGTCATCTCAGTGAGGAATAATCAGCCCTAGATGAAATGCTGATCTGATCTCACCTAACCAATCTTAAGAGCAAGACCCAAAAGGATCTAACAATTTTCAAAGCTTAAGAATATTTATCAGATACAAAAACATTCAGTATCCAGTAAGAGAAAATTCTCAGTATCTGGAGCCCATCAAAAGTTATCAGACATCCAAAGAGGCAGGAAAACAGAACCCAATCAGGACAAAAATCTATCAATCAAAACTGATCCTGAACTGACAAAGATATTAGAATTAGCAAGCCAGGATATTAAAGTAGTTATAACTGTATTTCTTAAGTTCAAAAAGCCAGAGGAAACACTGAACATGTTAAGTCAAGACACGGAAGAATAAAACAAGCCCAGACGAACTTCTAGAGATGAAAACTATAATATCTGAGATGAAAAGTATACTGAAAAGGATAAATGGCAGATCAGACACTCCAGAAGAAAAGAACTTGAAGTGAACTTGAAGACAGAAACTATCTAAAATGAAACACACAGCAAAAGGAGGTTATGAATAAAAGTGAACAGAGTATCAGCGAGCTGTGAGGCAATTTCTGGCAGCCTGATAAACACGTAACTGGGGCCTCTGAATGAGAGGATGAGAGAGAAAGACAGAAGAAATATGTGAAGAAATAATGACCACAATTTTTCCAAATGTGATGAAAACTATAAATCTAGAGATCTAAGAAGCTCAAGGAACCCTGGCAAAAAAATCAGTTAAAGAATCATTCTGGGCAAGCAGAGGCAGTGGCAGACTGGTTTTAAAATCTCCTCCAAACGCCTCATGAAAACAGGGCAGCCAGGGAAGTAAAACCAAAGCCCACAGATGGCATCCACAAATTGATCCAGCCCAAAAGCCCGACAGCAGGATCAGCCCATCAGAGTTTATAGTTAATTTGATTAGAAGGTCTTCAAAACATAACTAGCTGCTCTTTTCCAGTGCCATAACTATATCTTTATTTACTTATTTATTTTTGAGACAAGGTCTCACTCTTTTGCCCAGGCTGGAGTGCACTGGCGTAATCACGGCTCACTGCAGCCTCCATCTCCCGGGCTCAACCAATCCTCTTGCCTTGGCCTCCTGAGTAGCGGGGACTAAAGGTGCACACCACCGCGCATAGCTAATTTGTTTTATTTTTAGTAGAAATGGGGTCTTGCTATGTTGCCCAGGCTGGTCTTGAACTCCTGAGCTCAAGTGATCCTCCTGCCTCAGCCTTCTAAAGTGCTAGGATTACATGCATGAGCCACCATGCCTGGCCTGTATCATAATTTAAACACATGAAAATTTCTTTCCAGAGAAGGTAGTCATATTTTTCCTGAAAGCTAGCTATACAGGTTCATTCTCTGTTCAGGCATTTCTACAGACATGGGCAAACTATGTTTATTATGTATTACTACTGTACTTCTAAGTAACTTAATCAAAAATCAGAGTACAGAGTGGATCCATGGGTTCTGCATCCATGAATTCAACCAGCCTTGGATTGAAAATATTTTTTAAAAAATGGATGGTTGTATCTGCACTGAACACGTACAGACTCTTTTTTTCTTGTCATTATTCCCTAAACAGTACAATGATTTACATAGCATTTGCACTGTATTAGGTATTGTAAGTAGCCTAAAGATGATTTAAAGTACAGAGGAGGATGTGCGTAGATTACAGGCAAATACCACACCATTTTATATAAGGGACTTGAGCATGTGGAACCAGTCCCCCACGGATACCGAGGGATAACTCTAATCATGTTTGTATTTAATTACAAAATATACCCAATTTATAATCTAAGGTCCTCCGTTTTTCATAATTATGTTTCTCAAAGGTTGATAGGTATTTTATTTTTAAAATATAACTATATGTCAAAGAGTGTATGTCAAAGAAGGAAAGATATCAGATGTAAGCAGGGAATGGGTTTTTTTTTGTTTGTTTTGTTTTGTTTTTTGAGACAGAGTCTTGCTCTGTCGCCCAGGCTGGAGTGCAGTGGCACAATCTCGGCTCACTGCAAGCTCTGCCTCCTGGGTTCACGCCGTTCTCCTGCCTCAGCCTCCCAAGTAACTGGGACTACAGGCGCCCGCCACCACATCCAGCTAATTTTTTGTATTTTTAGTAGAGACGGGGTTTCACCGTGTTAGCCAGAACGGTCTCGATCTCCTGACCTTGTGATCCACCTGCCTCGGCCTCCCAAAGTGCTGGGATTACAGGCGTGAGCCACCGTGCCTGGCCAGGAATGGGTTGTTTTAAATGATCCTTTATTATGACCCTTTGTTTAGTTTTTTGAAATTATGTGTCCTATGCCTTGAATGCATTCAATTTTATCAAATGAAATTGGAAATTCATTCTAAACCGACTCTGACAGGAAATGCATGCATGCCTACCACCCACCACCACAAGGGATTCTAGTACAAGGGGGACTGTACATTTCAGTGCCGTTTATAAAGATGGGATTATTAATGTACACACTGGTGGTAAACAGAAATCTTGAGAACAAGCTGTTAGGCACAAAATTCAAACACTGAAAAAACAAAACAATTAAAACCATCAAATGCATCACCTCTATGAAAAGAAGGAAAATACTTAATGATGTAGTTTGTCCCAAAGAAATCAACTATTAAGTTTTGGTACCGGAATATTCTTAGATAGCTCAGAGAATCCTGAAAGACCATGTTTATTATGTATTACTATTGTACTTTTAAGTAACTTAATCAAAAATCAGAGTACAGAGTAGGTCCATGGTTTCTGCATCCATGAATTCAACCAGACTTGGGCTGAAAATATTTTTTTTTAAATGTGTCTGCACTGAACACGTACAGACTCTTTTTTTCTTGTCATTACTCCCTAAACAGTACAATTTACATAGCATTTGCACTGTATTAGGTATCTCAGAAAATCATCAACTTCATCAAATTCATCAACTTAGAAATGCATGTGCTGCTTCCACCAACTGTAAAATCAAATTCAACAAGACCAGTTCCCATAAATTAGAATCTCAATCCATGAAGAAAACCCCTCCTGAGTGATGGAAGCACCAGCAGCTTTGTAGCAGGACTTGGGGCCATAGCCGAGCACAGAAAGCAACTCCTCCCTCGACACCCGGGCATCACCAGCTGGAGCCCAGAGGAACACAAAGCTCCCTCCCGGGCTTGCACGTTTGCTCATTCCCTATCTTGCCATCTGGAACAGGCAGAAAGAAGGAAGTCATCACCTGCGACTAGGGATCCTAGAACCTTCAGTGGTGAGAGCTCCAGACGCCTAGAGCCAAGGCCCCATACTCATTCAGGTGGACTACTCCAACACTCCCTCGTACCTTCCGCCCCTCACTTCAGTATAGGTGGAATTCTCAACCAGGACATGGGTCTAAACCAAGAGGCTCTGAGCACAGGGTACTGCCTCAGCAGAAGCAGCTAGGCTGACGGCCAATAAGAACTCTTTAACCTCCTAACCATGTGGACTTGCTGCCACCCACAGGGCCAGGACTCTACCTCTGCTGGCAGCCCTTGCTGCTTGTAGCCAATTGTGACTCCTTTTCTTAAAGCCACAGACTCAGATCACACACTCCTAACTTTCGGGCAGGGCTTCAAGGTGAGTAGACAGACGGCTACTTCAACAGTGCAAACGCAAGGTGGCGGTCCTCGGCTCTCGACCACCCTCTAACTCTCGGGTCCCACATTTGCAGGGCATCCATGTGACGTGTCCTTTTAAATGCTTAGTTGGGGAGCTGTCAAGTAACTGAGCTGACTCTGGGCTGAAGCACAAGCTTCTGGGCCACACTTCATCACTGTCCAATTCTACACCTTGGTATTAAGCAAAAACCCAACTAACAGATTCCATTAATGCAATCTACGACGATTATCTTACAAATGTGGTGATTACCGTACTAGACTAAGTACCTTTCCCCGGGAAGAGATGGAAGTGCTGCCTGCCATGTGCCTGGCCAGTCAGCTCTCTGGAAACACTTACTCGAAGGGGACGTGGGTGGTTTCCTGGAAGGCCGCCGCTCCACTTTGGGGCCACTGACAGGCTCCGTGGGTGCATCCAGGTGTTCTTCTGAGCCCAGCGAGAACTGGAACCGGAGTGTACCCGACTCCACCTGCTTCACCTGCAATGGACCAGAAGAGCAGTGATGGCCACTCCCTTCATCAGCACGCCTATCAGAACGATCCAACCAGGAACAGCAGGCTCTGCCCTAAAACAAAGTCTACGTGAAATCAGAGGCTTCTTGATGCCACATGTTCTCAGATTATAATCAAGTAGTTTGAGCAAAAAGCAATTGGTGTGGCATTAAAAGCCCTGCAGACCATATGATCATGGAATGACCCTTACCCAAGCAGAAATCGCAATCTCTCTCGAGTTGTGAATGTTGTCATTGACCTATGTGAAACTGACATCTTTATTCTGGGTATGGCTCTGTGGGTTTTGGCACATGCACAGATTCACATAACCAGCACCACACCCAGGGTGCAGGCCAGCCCCATCCCCCCAGGGTGCTCCCTTGCCCTGCCCTGCCCCTCTGCAGCCACACCCAGCCCATGCCTAACCCGGGCAATCTATGACTGCTTCCCCAGCACTGTCATTTCGTCTTTTTGAGAATGTCAAAAAAATGTCCAACACATGGAATCACATAATGTATAACTTTTGAGACCAGCTTCTTTCATTTAGCATAAGACTGAGGAGATTCATCCAAGTTGTTACATACACATCAAACTGTTTCTTTTTTTATTACTGAGTGATATTCTATTGTACGGATGTACCAGTTTATTTATCCATTCACTCACAAACATTTGGGTAGTTTCTGGTTTGGGTGATTATAAACAGACCTGCTACAAACACATATGTTTGTGTGAATACAGGTTTCATTTCTCCAAGAGTAGGACTGCTGGGTCATATGGCATATTTAATTTCATAAGGCACTTCCAAACTTTATTTCTGGACTCTCTAGTCTGTTCCATTAACTGAATTCCTTGATACTAATTATATTAATCAGTGTAGCTGTACAGTAAGTGTTTAAACTGTGTAGTATGATTCCTCCAACTTTACTGTTCTTTTTTCAAAACTATTTTGACTCTTCTAATTCCTTTAGCTTTCCATATAAATTTCAGAATCAGCTTGTCTATATCGCCAAAAAAATCCTGCTGAGATTTTGACTGAAACTGCATAAAATCTCTAGATCAATCTTGGGCAGAACTGACAGCTTTACTATGTTGAGTTTCCCAAGACATAAACATGTTACGTCTCTCCAATTATTTAGGTCTTCTTTGATTTCACCTAAGAATAACCACAATGACAACTAGCAAAAGGACAGTTTTATTGTTTTCAGCATACAGATCCCCTAACTATTTTGTTAGATTTAGTTCATGGAGGGCAGGCTTTGTAAACAATACTGTTTCTGTATTTTGCTTTCAATTTTTCAGTGCTAGTATACAGAAATAGGATTGATTTTTCATGTTGACTTCCTGTGTTATCCTGCAACCTCACTAAACCCACTTACTCATTCTAAAAGGACTTTTTTGTAGACTCCTCAGAATCTTTGGCATAGACAATCACGTTTTCTGCAAATAAGGACAGTTTTGTTTCTTCCTTCTAATGTGTAGGTCTTTTGTTTTCTTGACTTACAGCACTGACTACAACTTCCAGTGCAATACTGAACATGACGTTGAATGCTAACAGTGGACATCCTTTACTTGTTCCTAATCTTAGGGGGAAAGCAATCAGTCTTTCACCATTAAGTATGATGTTAACTAAAGAGTTTTTGTAAACATCACTGATTATGCTAAGGAAGTTTTCTTTTATTGCTAGTTTGCTCAGTTTTTAATCATAAACTGATGCTGAATATCGTCAAATGTTTTTTCAGTATCAATTGCCAGGATCATATGGTTTTCCTTCTTTAGGCTGTTACTATAATGAATTACATTTATTGATTTCCAAATAGAAAACAGACTTGCATTCTCTGGATAAAGCTCCACTTGGCTATAGTGTATTATTCTTTTTGCGTATTGCTGGACTCAATCTGCTAATATTTTGTTGAGTATTTTGCACCTATGTTTATGAAGGATACGGGTCCACAGTTCTGTTTTCTTGTTATTATTAATATTATTTTTCTGGTTTTGATATCAGGGTAATGCTGGCTTCATTTCATGAGTTGGGAATTGCTCCCATCTTTTCTGTTTTCTGAAATAGATTATATAAAAGTGGCATTATTTCTTCTTCACATGTCTAATAGAATTCATAGTGAATAGGCCTGAATATTTCTTTTTCAAAAGTTTTTAAACTATGAATTCAACTTACATATTAGTTATAGGACTACTCAGGTCATCTACTTCATCTTGGCTGAGTTTTGGCAATGTGGAGTTTCATATTCATTCATCCATTTCACCTAAATTGTCAAATTTATGTGCAGAGAATTGTTTGTAGTATTCCCTTATTATCCTTTTAATACCCGTGAGGTCTGTACTGATATTCCTTCTTTCATTCCTAATATTAGTCATTTGTGTCCTCCCTTCTTTTTCAGTCTTGCTAGAAGTTCATCAGTTTTACTGATATTTTCAAACAGGTTCTTGTTTCACTGGGTTTTTGCTATTTTTTAATTTTTAATCTATTGTTTTTGTTTTCAATTTCATTGGTTTCTGCTGTTATTGACTTCTGAATAGCTTTGGGTTTATTTTACTCTTCTTTTTCTAGTTTCTGAAGACAAAGATCAGATCACTGAATTAAGATCTTTTTTCTGTTCTAATATAAGCACCTAACGCTAAGCATATTTGAGCTGCATCCTACGAACTTTGACATGTTGTATTTCCATATCTGTTAAGTTCACAATATCTTCTATTTTCCCTTGAGATTTACTCTTTACTTTATGGATTTTTACATATTGTTTAATTTCCAAGTGGTTGAAAATTTTTATTATCTTTGTTATTGATTTCTAGTTCAATTCCATTATAATCTGAGAATACATCCTGTATAATCTCAACTCTCTTAAAACTGAAGTTTGTTTTATGACCAAGGATATTGTCTATCTTGATGAATGTTCCATGTGCACTTGTAAACAACGTGTATCCTGCTGTTGTTGGGGAGAGTGCTCTATAAATATCATTCCGATCCAGTTGGTCGATGGCGATGTTCAGTCCTTCTGTATCATTGCTGATGGAATAGCTAGTTGTTCTTTGTTTACTTAGAGAGGATGCTGAAGTCTCCAACTCTAATTGTGGATTTGTCCATTTCTCCTTTCAGTTCAATCAGTTTTTGCTTCATGTATTTTGAAGCTCTATGTTAGATGCAAGCAATTTTAGGATTGTTATGTCTTGGCAACTGACCCTTTTATCATGTGTACTATCTCTCTTAATTCCTGGAAATTTCCTGTATTCTGAAGTCTAGTTTGTCTGATAGTGTCAATAGTAATATACCCACTCCAGTTTTCTTTTAGTGTTTGAAAAGAATATTTTCCATTCTTTTAATTTACGTTATATTTATTTAAAGTATACTTCTTATAGACAGTATATAGTTGGGCTTTGTCTTTCATTAAGCCTGACAATATCTTTTAAACTGGTGTGTTTACACTATTTACACGTAATGTAATTATAGGCATACCTCAAAGATACTACAGGTTCAGTTCCAAACCACTACAATAAAGCAAGTCACTGAATTTTTTGGTTTCCCAGTGCATTTAAAAGTTGTATTTATACTATACTGTAGTCAATAGGTGTGTAATAGCATATGTCTAAAAAAAAAAAAAAAAAAGTACTGTACCTACCTTAATTTAAAAATACTTTATTGCTGGCCGGGTGCAGTGACTCACATCTGCAATCCCAGCACTTTGAGAGGCACACAGATCACCTAAGGTCAGGAGTTCAAGACCAGCCTGGCCAACATGATGAAACCCCATCTCTACTAAAAATATAAAAATTAGCCAGGCATGGTGGTGGGCACCTATAATCCCAGCTACTTGGGAGGCTGAGCCAGAAGAATCGCGTGAACCTGGGAGATGGAGGTTGCAGTGAGCTGAGACTGCGCCACTGCACTCCAGCCTGGGTTACAGAGCAGGACTTCATCTCAAAAAAAAAAAAAAAAAAAAAAAAACTTTCTTGCTAAAAAAATGCTAACCATTGTGCCATTATAGGTATGGTGACTCACGCCTATAATCCCAACACTCTGGGAGGCCAAGGTAGGAGGATCCCTTGAACCCAGGAGCTCAAGATGATCCCAGGAAACACAGCAAGACCTCAACTCTACAAAAATTAAAAAATTACCCAGGCATGGTGGCACATGCCTGTAGTCCTAGCTACTCAGGACACTGAGGTGTGAGGATTGCTGGAGCATAGGAGTTCAAGGCTGCAGTGAACTATGATCGTGCCACGCACTCCAGCCAGGGCAACAGAGTAAGACCCTGTCTCAAAAAAAAAAAAATGCTAAGGATCATCTAAGCCTTCCAGAACATTGTAATCTTTTTGCTAGTGGAGGGTTGTGCCTTGATATTGATGGCTGCTGCCTAATCAGAGTAGTGGTTGCTGAAGGTTGGGATGCCTGCAGAGCTTTCATAAAACAAGACCACAATGCAAGTTTGCTCCATCAATTGACTTTTCATGTCATAAAAGAGTACCATGCAATGCTATTTGACAGTATTTTACCATAGGCAGAACTTTCAAAATCATAGTCAATCTTCTCAAACCTTGCCATTGCTTTATCAACTAAGTTTAGGTAATATTCTAAATATTACATCTATATACCTTTAAAATCTCACCAAACACTGCAGCCGAGCAGAAACTCTGCCACACCTCGGAGAGCCCAACGGACTCTAGCCATCTGCCAGAGCAGGGTTTCGCACTGTCTGTGGTGCCCTGGGTCACCGCTAACCATCCTCCAACACCGCCAATGGGGCCAAGGAGGCTGGGGATGAGACCCTCATACACACTTCAACCCACTTCGCTCTACTTGTTTTTGCCGTCTTAATTGGGGTGCAGAGAACATTTCATTTCAGAATTAAAAAAAAAAAAAAAACCTGAGAATCTCTGCTGTGGTCCTACCCCTTGGTACACACCCAAGGTCCAACAAGCATTAGTGATAAGTCACAAAGATAAGCCAGGGCTAGAAACCAGAACCGGCTCCCACCTCAGCACTCATCCACCAAAAAACCTACTGGTAAAGGCCACATGAGGCCCAAGCTCCAATGCTCCAAACGTGCACGCCACACAGGTGAATCTTGCTGCAAAGTGTGTACACATCAGCTGGAGGTTCACCAAGTCATCCCAGGAAATCAGTATGTGAACAGCAATAAAACCCATGATAAAACTGGTCTTATCAGGTTTACATAAAAACATCATACTAATCTTTCTAAAGGCATACCCATGACATGAAAAAAATTCTGTAAATGAAACATCTGCAAACATATTTGTGAACTTTTGCTTTTGAAAATGAATGAACTTGCTAGAAGCTCACCGGAGATGCATAAGAAATACCTAATAATTTACCTCTTCAGAGCTCATGCTGGCTGAGGGTACCTTGTAGACCAGACAGTGCGAGGGGTTGGGCTGGATCCCACCCTGCAGAGGCAGGGTCACCCTTCCAGAATCAGCTTCCAGCAAGGGGTTCCAAACAGCCCAGCGGACCATGTGCATGCATGCCAGGTTGGACAGAGAGGTGACCGAAGCTGCCTAGAATTAAAACAAAGCACATCGGTGTATGAGTTATCACAGAAGTCACCTGGAGAGGGGAAATCAACAGTGCTTTCATGTGTAAAATTCAACGAGAGCTCAGTGTAGCAAGGGGCAGGGATCATCAGTTGCATTTTATAAAAGGAACTAGGGCAGGAGGAGGACATGGCATCCACAGTGCAGACAGTAGGGCACAGATAGTCTTCAGTTACATGACCCCACCGACCCAGTCAGGACCCCTGCCCACCCATGAGTCTCCTTTTCTGGCCCAAGGTAGTGATGGCTTCCCCCTTAGAGACCAGCACTGTTTTATGAACCCCTGTTCCCATAAGGATCTTTCCATAGGTTTGTAAACACTCTGCACCTTGCCAACACCAACTCAAATCCGTCAGGAAAATACTAGGAACAGCACTTTGAATTCCTAATCAGAAATTTGGTAAAATAACGAAGAATGCACATGTATATTCAACTCAGCATTATTAGCACACATTTTCTCCACAAAGCTCCAGCTTACAATAGCACATTTCGTATCTGTAGCTTTCAGGAAATTGGGAAATCGATCGGGTCAAATTCCAGGCATTGTTCCTTCTTTCTGCTTCTCTCTGGCTGGCCAAATGGAAGGAATGAGGACACTGTGAAAACCAATCCCTTGGGTTACAACCACATTAAAGTCATTGTCACAAACACGGTTTCACGGCTTGACTGAGTAAAGAGTTTTAAAATTACCAACTTTCATCCATTTACTTAAAAAGAAGTAGGACTAAAGCTAAACCCCGGTCTTTTTTGGACCCCAAAGTCCAGCAGAGCCACCTTGTTGAAGAGGACTCCAGAGGTGATCAGCTCTGAACCAAGGCCCTGCCTGCAGATCCTGCAGGCTCCCCTGGTGGGTGGAGCACACTTAAGTCACCAGGAAGCCGATTAGCCAGAGGCCCATGGGGTACAGGCAACAGCGGGTCCGACCAGGAGCCCCAGTTAGAGCTCTTTCCACTCCTAAGATCACAGCTGCACTGATCAGTAAGTGCTGCGGAGCGCTGCCTAGACCAGAGCCACCGGAACAGCCCAGAGGAAGGAGGAGCAGCTGTCCACTTCCACCTGGGACTTCCAGCCTCTGTGTCCCATGCGCAGGAGAAACAACCCCCAAGCAGGAGGTGGTGACTGGACCATGAGCACAGTGCTCCACTTCCTACAGTGCTCCACTTGCTACGGCTTCCCCCCAGCCCTGGCTAACAGAGACAGCTGCACCCTTCAGGGGTGACAAAAGTAAAATGGGGTGGCTCCCCACTGCTCCCAGTCCCGGGCTTGGCTAAGGCAGCCAAGGGCATCCCTCTTAACACTGCTGCCTGAGGGCATGAACCCAGGCAGCATCGCAAGCGCAGCCATGGTCACAGCGAGGAGGTGGCCCGGAAGGAGGACGCGTCCCACTCTTGGTGACGAATGGACGCCCATGCCCTGCCTAGGATGGGTGGAGCACAGCATCCACCAGGAACAGAGACACCCAGAGGATCCAGGAATTTGCGCTGCCCTGGGAGCGAAGGAGGAGGCAAGACTCCAGTGGTGGTGGCCAGGGGTCCTAAGGGACTTTGCTTATTTGGCTGGACATGCCAGTGGGGAACAGCCACACCAGTGTCACTGCCCAGACTGCACTCAGGTCCCACACAGATCCCCGCATGCATGCGTGCTCTCAAGGCCTCTAAAATCCGGACACAGATGGCCCCATGGTCTCTACTGGGCTAAACCACAGCCAACTTCATATACAAGCAGATGTGAATACAGAAAAGAAAACAGTTCTTGTTTCTTCCAAGTTAGCCTCTTCCAGACTGTTCCTGCCAGATGATATCCCATCCTGTTATATCCTAATAAAAATTTAGAATCGGCATCTTGTTTCACATTAATCTCTTTTCCCATCACAATCGGACTTCAAACCATCCACTTCTGCAGAGCCCTTTGCTGCAGCTAAATTCCAGATCATGGGCCAGGTTACTGCCACATTCACGCCCCCGTCACAGGGTGAGCGGGGATTTGGGTGGTCCCTGGCAATTCAATGAGAAAACACCCACACCATGGAAGGACATAGAATCAGAAAAGTAAGAAATGGAAGCATATGACTCTAAGCCACACTTTCAACATTTGCCAAATACAAAAACAATGTCTTCCTGTTCCCCATCCAGTTAGCTGACAACAGATTATAAAACAGTGCTGAGCAACTATAGCATACCAACGACATGGTGATTATAACTCCACTGCTTTTTAAAAATCAAATTACAGCCAGGCACGGTGGCTCACGCCTGTAATCCCAGCACTTTGGGAGGTCGAGGCGGGTGGATCACCTGAGGTCAGGAGTTCAAGACCACCCTGGCTGACATGGTGAAACCCCATCTTTAGTAAAAATACAAAAATCAGCTGGGCATGGTTGTAGGCACCTGTAATCCCAGCTACTCGGGAGGCTGAGGCAGGAGAATCGCTTGAACCTAGAAGGTGGAGGTTGCAGGGAGCCAAGATCACACCACTGCACTCCAGCCTGGGCGACAGAGTGAGACTCCATCTCAACAACAAAAAAATCAAATTACTATAAATGTATTAGGAAAACTTGTCACTATAAGGATTCAACAATGTCTAGACTACTTTTGTAAACAGTTATCATTATAAAATACAGAAGTGTATTATTACAGGATCAAAAACAAAATAAAGTAAAATATGTATCTACGTTTTCATGCTATCTATACAACTTCTAATTTTCCACTTAGGGGATTCCAATATCTAATTTTCCAATTTCACAGTTCTTTTTGGTTCTCCATCAGTAGATGATCTCCTCTGTGCAAAGTATCTGTCAGTTACATAAACATGCATTTTTCCTCACTTTTCTGTTTAACAGCTTTAATAACAACAACAAAAAATCTGTGTAGCCAATTATTGATCATTCTTTCTGAGACCTCAACAGGCGAATGGGGGCCTGGTGGGAAGCCAGTCGCCATGTATTTGCCCACACTTGCTCACTGCCAGCCCACAGAGGGACCGGCAGACAGGAACTGCCCGAAAACCACCTGGCTCTGCAGAGAAGGCCAAGCACAAGCAGAGTCACAGTGAGTCTAACACGCTCCTACAGCCAGTGGATCCTAGTGCTTGAGATGACATCCACTACTTCATCATTCCTTTTCCTGCCCAACTTGGGTTTGAATTCACACAAACTGAAAAGAAAAAAAAAGCCCCAAATACACCGAATTGCTCCCATTTAGACTTTTTAAGTATAACAGCACCAAATACACAAGTACAAATACACAAAAGACAAAATACACAATACACAAAAGACAAATGAGGAATACACTTGGATTATGAGTCAGGTTTTGTTGTGGAACAGAAGTGCCACACTTGCATTTACCACGCAAAGCCGCTCACAGAAAACAGGCCCTTGGCCTCTGGAAATGCTACAAACCAGAGTCCCTGTGGCGGGCTCAATGTGTCCTCCAAAAAGATGCTCTCAGCCTAATCCCCGGAACCTGTGGCTGTGGCTTTGTTGGAAACAAGGGTCTCTGTGGATGTGATTAGTTACAGTGTTGTGGGATGAGATAATCCTTCATTATCTAGACTGGCCCTAACTCCAATGGCAAGCATCCCTGTAGGAGCAGGGGAGAGAGAGACAGACACAGAGGGAGACACAGAGAAGAGGCCACATGACGAGGGGGCGGAGAACGGAGTGATATGGCCACAGGCCAAGGACAGCTAGGAGCCCCAAAACCCACAAGAGGCAGGGAGGCCCCATCCCACAGAACCTCCGGAGGAACTCAGTCCTGCCACACCTGGGGTTTCCTCGGAAGGAGCTCGGCCCGCCACACCTGAGCTTTGCCTGAGGAGGATCTCGGCTCTGTCACACCAGGGGTTTCCTGGGGAGGAGCTGGGCCCCACCACACCTGGGGTTTCCTGGGGAGAAACTTAGCCCTACCACACCTGGGGTTTGCCAGCAGAGCAGATTGTGGACCTGTGGCCTCAGAGCTGTGAGAGCACACATTTCCGCTGCTTTGAGCTGTGGAGGGTGTGACACTTTGTTACAGAAGCCACTGGAAAGTCATACAGGCCCTTGATGGCTTCTGTCCTCAGATCAACCTGAACTTACTTAGACGAAGGTGAAAACATCACATTACTTCACGAGCTTCATTTTGTTTAGATTTTCAGTGAGACCTTTTCACTCTTGCCTAGGCACCCAGCCTCTGGCCCTGGGCCCAGTTCTGCTGGGACCTCCAGCCCCAGGAACTGGGAATGCACAGTGAAGGGGATGGCGGCCGTTCTCTGGGTAATGACAGGGTGGGGTCCCCGCCAAGCAGCGCACTCACGCTCCACTGTCTCAAGGCCTTATCCAGATAGAGAGCTGGGCCCAGGGGAACTGCCACCTCGATGGAGGTGACATGTGGCACTTGGCTGAGGACAAATTTTAAAAAGACAAACTACTGCGTCAAAACATCTCTGAATGTTCCTAGTATCACACAAATCACAGAGGACATAAAGAAAAAAGAGAGAGAAATGTAGGTCTATAATTATGCAGACGAAGGAGACAGGGAGGCCTAAGATAAGTGTGAGGAAAGCAGCTCAGGCCCTGGGCTGGGAACACGCGCAGTCACACTCACGTGGTGTGAGAGCCACAGCAGGGACAGGGCTGACCCCTCGCAGGCACCATCCACCCTGTGCACCAGCTCCCACCCTGTGAAATGACCACCATACAGGCGCAGGAAACAGAGCAACCAGCCGCACACGGCGGGTGGCACAGACCCAGGAGCATCCTTGGAGGTGGAGCCTGGTGTCCCCCAGCAGCATGACAGGTGGGGCACACAAGCGGCGGGTGGCTCCGGAACTCAGAGCTCAGGGCACGGGCTGAGGGCAAGTCCTTCCCGATGGCTCGCTCGCTGGCCGGCATTCTCCCTGAAGGACACGGAGCTCTTGGCCCTTGAGGCGAACTTCACAAGGCCAGAGAGACTGAGCCCCACCAGGTGAAGAGCTGGGGGTGGCAGGCAGCCAGGCTGGCGTTGGTGCCTCTACCTCCTGGCTGAGCAGCAGGAAGAACCAGGAGCCCAGAGGTCACAACAGCAGCACAGCCACTGCCAGCAACAGCGGAGGTTCACAAGCCAGATGCCATCAACCAGAAGCTACTCAGTCCTCAAATCGGATCCAGTACATGCAGAACTGAGTCCAAACGAGACGGACAGCAAACCCGGCAGTGGCTCCCAGACATTCCTGGGGGAAAGGAATCCTAACCACAGGCAGTTAAAGTCATCTCCTCCAACCCTCTATGACACAGGCTGTGCGCTGTCATTTAAAAGCTGAGTGAAATTTAACCCTTTTCCCATTTAGAAAAACAAAGCGCAGCTGGCTGCCAGCACTCATTTAATTTTACATAAACGTGCTCTTTGAGGCTGAAGCAAATCTGACTGATTTTCAATGTGAAAATAAAATGTAAAAACTGTTCTTGGAATTATTTCTAAACAGAACATCAGAATCGTCTGAATCATCAGAATCGGCTATTTTGGAAAAATCGGATTCATCAAACGAATCTTCGGCCAACAACTGTTAGAGAACGATGTTAACACCACGCATAGGAATGTTACATTTTCTAGAATTTGACATTTTCATTGACGGAAAATTACTGTATCTTGTATATGGAAATACCACTACTAAAAACATAATGCTATAAATAGAATGATGTCTTTTGTTTCCAAAGTCAATATACTCGAGCAATGCAAAAATAATAATAAAAGTGAGATACTTCATGGCAAAGCTGCCGCAGGATAAACATTGCAGCCACAAGTGCCCCCAGTATTCTCGGGGCAAACTGGAAAAGGGCTAACAGGCAACATTTTCATGTTATTCTACTGAGTGCAGTAATTATTTTTAAAAATATACATGAATAATGAAAAAACTGTGGTATGGTTTTAAAGAAATTTCCATAACCTGGTGAAACTCTTCACACAGGGTAATAGGTTCATAAAGCCTTGGTCCTCTGCAAAACAAGCATCAACTTGACAATGACTAAAAGAAGCAACAGCAAAACTGTCACGCATTTGGAGCCATGGCCTGGGTTGGGCCGGTGTAAAGCTCTCCGCCCTCTGGAGCAAGTCTGGGCCCCAGCGGCTGGCATGTGGGCACTGCAGGGCCTGGGTTGGGCAGGTGTGCAGCTCTCCGTCATCTGAGCCTAGTCTGAGGCCTGGTGGCTGGCACGTGGGCCCTGCAGGGCCTCTACTTCTCACCCCAGCTCCACTTCCCTCCCTGCCCTCACTGGGTCTCACAGAGCCAATGAACACTGGGGTCAGATTCAGGGCCCAGCATCCACTGCAGTGGGCACTGCCCTTCCACAAGGCCTGGCTCCAGGAAGCAACCCCCACCTCAGCCACACAGTAGGGCAACAGGAAATCCCATTCCCCCATGCCAGTGACTACACCAGGGAAGGGGCTCACGTGAGGCTGGCCCCAGGCCTGCTGTGAGACCGCGTTGTCTATGAGCTTGGATTTAAGGAACTTGGGAGCAAGAAGCTTTCTTTCATTACGGGCCACCAGCAGGGAAAAAAGTTAGCCCAACGCAGTTGACAGTCACACCCCCACCAGGACCCCAGGGCACAGAAGGAGGGAAGAGGACAACAGAGGATGAGGTGGGGCCAGCAGAGGGACAGAGAAGAGCTGCCTGCCCTGGAACAGGCAGAAAGCATCCCACGTGCAAGAAAAAGTAGGCCAGCTAGACTTAAAATCAGAACTACCGCTCATCAAAAGATAGTGTAACATTTGGGGTGCTATAATTTTAACATGTCCCCCAAAAGGCATGTGTTGGAAATTTAATCCCCAACAAACCAGGGCTGGGAGGTGGAGCCTCATGAGAGGTGGTGAGGCCATGAGGGTGGAGTGAATGGATGAATGCCATTGTCTCGGGAATGGGCCTCTTCTACAAGGACGAGTTCAGCCCCCCTTTCTCTTGCTCACCCTCTCTTTGCCCTTTCGCTAGGGAGTGACGTAACAAGAAGGCCCTCACAAGATGCTGGCACCTTGATCTTGGACTCCCCATCCTCCAGAACCATGCATGAGCCAATAAATTCTATTCACTATAAATGACCCAGTCTGTGGTATTCAGTTACAGCAGCAGAAAACAGACTCAGACAGGAGCAACCAGGGAAAGGGGACACAAATCTCCCCGCTTTACTCTTCATAACTGCAATATGAATCTACAATTACCTCAAAATACAAAGCTTAATTTTAAAGACAGCATGCGGTATATAATAAGAGCTACATAAAATGCTAGTAAAATTGCTTAAATAATAATGACTGTCTACAAAAACAAAATAAAAACACAGTGCTAATTCAGACAATATAATGAAAGAAAACATCCCATTTACAACAGCAGCACAAAAAATTAAATACCCATGAAAAAATTTAATAAGAATTGTTAAAAATCTACATTTTAAAACCATTTTTAAAATCATTCCTGAAAGACACAAAAATAGACTTGAACAAATGGAAAGACATCCTGTTCTTGGTTAGGGCAACTAAACATCCTTGAGATGTAAAATTCTCTCTAAATTCAATCATAAATTTACTGCAATCCCAATTTTTAAAATGCCAATCAGCATTTTTTGGAGCTAGACCTCTTGATACAAAAGTTAATCCAGAAAATAAACATGCAAGAAAAGCTAGAAAAGCAAGGAAAAGAAGAACCATAAAGCTGAACTTGCCTTACCAAATGCTAAAACACACAACAGAGCCTCCAAAATTAAAACAGTATGGCCATGGTACATTAACAGACAGGGCAGCCCATGAGAGTAAAAGTCCAAAAACAGATGCACTATCCATAAAGACAGAGTATGTGATAAAGACAGCACATTAAGTCACCATGGCAAAGGGGGACTTCTGAGTAAGTGGTAGTGGGACCAGATGGCCACTGGGAAAAGATAAAATCAGATCCATCCCTCACACCACAAACAAGAGATCTAGACAAAAAAAAAAAAAAAAAAAAAAAAAGGGCAGGAGAAACATTGCACGAGGAGAAAATATGGGTGAATTCCTCTATGACTGGGGAACGAAGAAAGGCTTTTTCCCTGACTCAAAATCCAGATACAATAAAAGAAAGAACTTATATATCTGACTACATTAAAAGATGTTTTAATGTTTACACAGCCAGGAAAAAAAATAAAAAGATAAATGACAAAATGAGGAGAAAATATCTGCACTATTTATCACAGATAAAGAGCAAATATCCTTAACATACAAAGAACTTTTAATATTTGATGAAAAATGCAAAAACTACAGAAAAATGGGCAAAATAAGTAGAGATGAAGATGAGCCTGAAGCATCTTCTGAAGCCAGAAAGTACTCAAACACAAAACAGGACGAAGGATGCCATAGGACACAGGGGCCAGCCTCAAGGACTCCATCCGGCCAAATCTGGGACAATTTGTACCAAAATAATCAGAAGCAGTGACTTTGAAAACAGGGATCCCTGAGTCCAGACCCATGTGCGCTTGATGGACAAGTCAACCATCTACCCACCAGTGAGGAGACAGGGGGCCCTGGGGACAGGAGGTGCCATGCCAGCTGCAGGTCTGTGGGAAAGCTGGGCTGGGGCTCCTCCTCCTGCAGGAAGCATAAACGACGCCAACCCAAGGGGGACAATCGGATGAGGAGCAGATACCCACGTGGTCTCAGAGTCTCCCCACAGATCACTTATTAGCTGCATGGAGGAAAAAAGGTAACTCTACAGTGGAGATATCAGCAAAGATCACCACAACCAACCTCGCCCAGGATGAACACATGCACGTCTGGATGTGGGACCCAAGGACTGCCCCTTGCTCACACGGACCACTACCAGGAAGGCACAACCTGACTCCAACTATGAGGAAGCATCAGATGAACCCAAGCAACATACGCATTAAAAATTTTTTAAAGAAGGGAGACTAGGCCATGCACAGTGGCTCATGCCTGTAATCCCAGCACTTTGGAAGGCCAAGGCGGGTGGATCACAAGGTCAGGATATCGAGACCATCCTGGCTAACATGGTAAAACCCCATCTCTACTAAAAATACAAAAAATTAGCCGGGCGTGGTGGCAGGCACCTGTAGTCCCAGCTACTCAGGAGGCTGAGGCAGGAGAATCGCTTGAACTCAGGAGGCGGAGGTTGCAGTGAGCCGAGGTCGCGCCACTGCACTCCAGCCTGGGCAACAGAGCGAGACTCCATCTCAAAAAAAAAAAAAAAAAAAAAGGAGACTAAAATATTAAAAATAAAATCATAAATGACAAAAAAAAAAAAAAAAAGCTGAGGAACTGTTCCAGAATTAAGGAGGTCAAAGAGACACAGAAACCAGACACAAGACATGATCCTGAACTGGACACGGTACTGGAGGAAAGGCCATCAGGGACACACATGGATCAGTTCAACAGACCCTGGAACATGGGCCATTGATTTTGTTCCAAGAATATGAGTTAATACATAAACAATAAATCAGGCAAATCTTCACCCCTTAGAGATTTGGGGAGAGGGTTATTTTGTCATGTGACCCACAGAAAAGGACTGTATTCACCCCCAGAGGCTCAGGAGGATGCCCGCTTATTCAGACATGAAACGCAGCCAAGACACCGGATCTGGTGATTTTTGCAGGTTTGCCCCTGTTGCATTTCATGCTCATGTTACAGGGAGTTTGCTCCATCACTCATTCAGTCAGCAAACATTTCTGGAGCCCACACTTGCATGCATAAGACATTTCAAAAGAGGCAGTGCTGTGGCAGTCAAATGAGGTTGCACTGTCCCCAGGATCCTGGGAAGAAAGTGGTCTGGACAGGAGGGACTACTTCTTTGGTAGTTTCTTTAGCTTCTTCACAGCTAACCCAAACATAAATTACAGGAAAAAGGTTTTAGATGCTTTGGTTAACTAAAAAATGCAAAAAAATTAACAGCAGATTAAAGTCAGTGAGTGTGTCTTGGCAAAACTTTTGTTCCTAGTTTGTTTCCAATGACTACAAAATACTCAGGACCCAAAGAATACATGCAGACTCCAGTGCCTGGGTGTGCCCTGAACACAGTATTTGTTCCATGTTCTCATCAGCCCAGGTAGCCTCCTCGTCTGTGCATACCATTTACAGATGAATCCTTCCACAAAGGGCCCCTAGACACCATAGCTTTTGCCTCCTGATCTGATGCATGAGGCCAAGTGAAGCAGCTGCCAAAAGCCTGGTGCATTTTGGCTCTCCCAGCATTACGAATGTGTGATGAAGGCAGCAGGGCCACAGGGAGAGCAGATCCTCCAGTCAAAGGCAACATGAGGAAGCCACTGCCAGGGAACAACAGACAGGCCGCCCAGCTCATGCAGGAAGACGGCTGTCACAAGTCACTTTCCAGGGAAAAGCACATTGCTGGGGTTTGTCCGTTTCTTATTAAGTAAAATACTTAAAAAATGTACACCCAGGCTGACTGGATGTTTGATGATACTAAGAAATGCAGTCAAGGTTAGGTGTGATGATGGTGTTCACAGTGACACTCCAGAGCCCTGTCTTTTGGAGAGACATGGTGAGCCATCTGTAGATGAAAGGATGCAATGTCTAGGATGCGGTCTCCAATAGCCCAGGTGGAACGGGACGGGAGAAAGAGATGAGACATGAGCGATAAATTGGGGGTTGGAGGTGGGTGCAGGGAGCGCACCACATGCTTCTCCACTGTTAGCTTTGAAATTTCCCAAAATAAAAAAGTTTTTAAAAAAAAAAGAAATGTTCATGCCAAAAGGTTTACAGATGAAATAAAATGATGCCTGGAATTTGTTTCAGAATAATTCAAAACGGGTTGTGGGAGAGGACATAGAAGAAGCAGATTGTCCAGGAAGCTGGCAGCCGGGGAAGCTCCGTGGGGCCCATCGCACCAGCCAGCCTGTTTTCAGCTGTGCTTACAGCTTCCACCACGCAGGGTCCTCACCAAAGACAAGGAGGAGGACGCTGCAGCCGGAAGGCACAACCACACCCAGCTGAAAAAATCCCCACCCAGCTGAAGAAGGCTGCTCTGGGAGACACTGCTGCAGACGGGGTGGCTGAGGTGGGAGGGCCCTGCCACAGCCCGCCCTGGGCCTTCCAAGGAGCGCGCTGGGCTCCTCTACCACAGCCACCGTCACAGACGGCCCCGCCATTGTGCCTTTCTCCTCTCACGTCCCGCTCAATTCCAGTTTCACCCGGTGGATGCTTAACCCACTTCCAATGGTTCCGCACAGGAAGCAATTTTTGTGTGGAAGGTCATTTCACACACTGCAACATTTCCATTCCAGATTTCACCCAGGAAAGCGCACTTGATGACAGTAAAGTGGAATCCAGTATTCCCAGTTACAATCGACCAGCACATCGGAAAGTACCAATGACTGGCCGGGCGCGGTGGTTCACGTCTGGAACCTGAGCACTTTGGGAGGCCAAGGAGGGCAGATCACTTGAGGTCAGAAGTCTGAGACCTGCCTGGCCAACGTGGGAAAACCCCGTCTCTATTAAAAATACAAAAATTAGCTGGGCATGGTGGCCCGTGCCTATAGTCCCAGCTACTCAGGAGACTGAGGCAGGAGAGTCACTTGAACCCAGGAGGCGGAGGTTGCAGTGAGCCGAGATCGCGCCACTGAGGGGCGACAGAGTGAGACTCTGTCTCGAAAAGAGAAGAGAAGAGAAATCAGTGACTCCATAGCCTCACCCGCACCCGCACCCCAGACGCCCATGAAGCGGCCACCATCGAAACCACCTGTTGTCAGGAATTTCAGATGAGGGTTAAAAAAGAATAAAGTATCGCTAAGACATCTTGGTTTCAGCATACAGATGTCATAATCACAAGTAAATTACAATTAATATTCTCTAGAAGACACTGAGAGTGAGGCGCCAGCCCTCCTGCTCCTCCCCACCTCCCCCCACAGCCCCTGGGAACCACACATCAGCCATCAGGCGCTGCCAGGACACCCTGAGGCCATTTCTCCTCCGCTCACTCCCCAGCCTGGGCAGCCCCATCCCTCCCCATGAGCCACACCCACCCCAGAAGACCCCTCCCACCCAAGGGTATTCACAAACAGCTGTATTTTAGCTGAAATTTCTGGTCATAAGTAAAGAAAAGCAGAACTGGAACAGTTTCATTAAATGACTGTGACTGTGTCAGTCCACAGAACGCTTGGCACTTCTGGATTTCTGCACCTAATTAGGACTCGGAATCATAGGGACCGGAGGCATGGACACTGGCAAGGTCAACTCGCCGCTACCAGAAGAGATTAGAAACACCAAATGGCAGCTACACCCCGACACCCTGCTCTCCGGCCTGAGGCACACCCTAAGACCGTCCTCAGCACCTCATGCTCCTTCACAGGCTGTTCCTGAGAGAGCGGCCCAGTCGCGATGGCAGGCCAGATCGCCATGGAAGATGTCTTGTCAACCGTTTTTTGGTTTCTGATTTACTTGTTAAAATGATACAGAAGTACCCCGATCTGCAGTTTCAGTGACCCTCAGTCAACCTTGGTCTGAAAATATTAAACAGAAAACTCCAGAAGAAAACAATCCCTAAGTCCTAAATTGCGTGCCACTCTGAGCAGTGTGATTAGATCTGGCATTGTCCCCCCCCAGGGCGTGAATCATCCCTCCGTCCCGCATATCCACACTGTAGACACCACCCACCCATTGCAGTTGAGAGGTAGAGAGAGAGAGACTACGTTCACTTTTATTACTGTATATTATAATTGTTCTATTTTATTGTTATTGTTGTTAAATATCTTACCGTACCTAATTTATAAACTGTGTCATAGGTATGTATATGCAGGACAAAACCTAGTATGTACCGTGTAGGGGTCAGTACTACAGAGGTTTCAGGCCCCCACTGGGGTCTTGGAACAAACGCCCCATGGAAAAGGCGGAACTGCATTATTGACTTTTTCAAACAGAAAACTAAATCTTAAGAACAGCAGGATTTGGGTTTCTCAAAGAATCTACATTAATATAAATGATGTCCACATATTTTATTTCTTTCAACTGAACCTATAAATTCTTACTCTTAGTGTTCTATAGGTATATATAAAGTTCCCTATGAGAAACCATCTCTCATTTGTGCAAACTCAAGCTTTACCACACTACTGTCATATAAAAATACATTAAAATGGCCTCATTTTTCAAAATAATTAGCGATTCAATAATCATGAATTAACGCTATTATGATACATGAAACTTACTGACCTATGCATTACTCCCAGCCAGCAGAATGCACCTGTGATTTGTGAAATATGTATTTGATCTTCGTCCAGTTTCCTGGTATACAACTCCTGAAACCCCCGGAATCTCCGAAGTGCTATCTTTTGTGTGCTAATGAGATGACTGTGGCTGGTAGCCCCTAGGTGGCTTCAGGATGGGGCTGCTCACAGAAAGACCAAGGCAGGGGGAGGAGAGTGACTGAAGGTTACATTGATCATCAATGGCCAATGTTTAATCAATTATGCCTACGTAATAAAGTTTTCATCAAAACCCAAAAGGACTGACTTCAGAGAGCTCTGGACAGCTGAACCCATGGAAGTGCCCAGAGGGCGGTGCCCAGGAGGGCATGGGAGCTCCAAGTCCTTCCCACATTCTTTGCCCTCTCCATCTCATCTGTATCCTTTGTAACATTCCTTACAATCAGCTGATAAATGTCAGTAAAGTGATTTTTACTTATTATTTATAATAATCATGCCTGTTTTTAATGGAAAAAGCATTCATGCCCACTACATTTATCCTCACACACAGAGTTCACCACCAGAGGAAACCGAGTGCAAAAGGGCTGTTCTTACATTGCCGTCCACTCCTGCAGGGCTGCTGAACACGTACTCCAGCTGGAAGATGACCGCAAATGCAGGGTGGCCGACCATCTCTGGGAGGCGGAGGCGGCTTCTCAAAACCAGAGCTTGGCTCCCGGAGCTGGGTCAGAAACACAAACCAGGGACACATTAGAGCTCGAGCTCCCATCCTTCCCGCATCCACGTCGACCACTGTCAGAACAGTCAAGGGGACACCCTGGGGGACACAGGGGTGCTGCTGCAACAGCAAGTCCACCATGTAACACTGCACGCTCTCCCAAATGATTCAGAAATTCCCCAAAACGCTGCTTTTTAAGAGATGGGGGTCTCACTAGGCTGCCATGACTGGTCTCAAACTCCTGAGCTCAAGCAATCCTCCCGCCTCAGCCTCTCATTGCTCTTTCAACGCATTTCCAAATTACCAAAGCTTGCCTGCAGGCCTGATACGGCCAAGTTACCAGGAAATGCCACAGAGGATGGAGGCTCCTTCCTCAAGGCTGGCCTACGGCAGAGGACACCTGGCCTCTGCCTGGCACCATGAGAGAGGAAAGGCATGACGCCCTGCAGTGATGTCTGTGACACCTGATTTGGGAAGCACTGGATTAAACAGAGCAGCAGGTCTTGCTGCCCCCTGACTCTCCGTCCTATGAGAAACTAATCACAGGGCACGCCTAGAAGGCAGCATGCAAGGCCTCCGTAGACCCTCAGCAGCCGCAGCTGGAAGCATCCATAATGCTAACCCCCAAATTGTCAGAGCACAAAAGGAAAAAAAAAGGGGGGGGCTTTTTCCAAACTTCCAACTCCAAAGTTTGTTCCTAATGGGCACAACTTCCAAGAGGAAAGAAACACAAGGAAGAACTCCCACGTGGGTGAGTCAACACCTGACATGCACAAATGACCTCATTTCATCGTGATCCCTTGCACATCCCCACCCATCCCTGGGGACCCAAGAGACAATACCTGGTCTTGGAAGAGGAGACCACTTTCCTGCTGAAGCTAGCTGAGCGCGTCAAGGCCACATCCATCTCAGGCACCAGTACAACGACCTGCGGCCTCTGCACGAAGCCCAGACCATTGTGCACGCCCACACGCAGGCGCCGCTCCAGGATCTCCAGGGCACCACCGTCCAGTGGGCCACATCCCTGGAAGAGGCACAGAAGGAATGAGCCCCGGCACAGACGGAAAGAGGGAGCTCGCCAGAAGTCCCTGGGGGAGGCGAGCAGAGAGAAGAAACTGGAGCAGAAGTTGCAGATAACTGCAGATCAGATGATGCTTAGTCAAGATGAGTGCAAGCAAATGACAGATACAGCACCCAATCCCAGCCACTGGCCTTGGGGCACTGCCCGGGCAGTTTTGGCATTTCCAACACAGCATGATCCTCTCAGCAACGCACACCCTCAGATGCCTCGATCCCCAAAACCCGACACTAGCTTTCCAAGGCTGGGCTGACCATTCTCAAGATGCAGCAAACTCGTACTTGGCTCCTTCAAGACTCCTCCAAGGTCCCACAGCCCACTCCCCCAGAGCCCCCCTTTCCCAGAGGCTGCTTCCCCAGAGCCCCCTTCCCTGGGGCCCAATTCCCTGGACGACGATGGAGAGGTGCTCAGAGGCAGAGCTCATCACATTTCAACTCTGTCTACCCAGAGACCTGAGACTGGGTGTACAAAGGGAAACATGTTTAGGCACTAAGTCATAAACCAATAAAAACAGAACCAGCCCCAAAGTGGTCACTCGATATTAAAGTGTTTCATCTTAACAAAAATGTACAGGCGCTATAACAAATGAACAAGGATATTCCCCTGGCTATTAGTGTTTATTAAATTATGTGATCTTTGCAAAATGATCCTCAAATTTTCAAGTTTTCTTTACTGTCCATTAATCAAGCTGAACAGACCTAAATTCAGCCTATTAGTCTTTGGATAACGAAAATAAAACTATGCAGATAACTGAGTATCTGCCAGTTGGATTGGAACAAAAATACAAAGATAGTAAAAATACACAATAAAGTGATTTTTATGGGACTGTATAAAATTCAACAATGATATTCCTAAAACAACTCTACCCTCACACAATCCGCCCTGACAAACAAGAAAACAGCAGGAACTACACCAAGGAAACGGATGTTGGTGTTTCAATCCTATTCTCTGCTTTGTGTTTACATAAGACCATATTATGTAGAACTGCATTTTCAAGAACGGGTAGGGAGCAAACAAGTCCAGCTCATTCACATACATACACACACACACACACACACACACACAACTTGCTAACTTCATAGACTACTAGGATGAGCACCTGAATCATTCATTCTCACAACTAAATAGTACAGCCCTCCTATGTGCCAAACACCGTTCATGCACATCACGTGTCATTGTAAACAAAACAAAGTCCCTGTCCTGGTGACACTCACCACAGGAGACCGACAATAACAGATAAGAAGGCCAGCTGCTCCCAGGAAGGGCTGAGCACCCGGGAGGAACGCGGGGTGACAGCTGGAGACACGGTGGCAAGGGCGGGGAACAGCACCCCCGCAGGACAGTCAGAGGACCCCGTCCAGACCTGAAGCCTGAGGGGAAACAAGCAGAGATGTGCAGGAAGAACATTCAGGAAAGTCAGCTACATGCTCCAGGACCCATGCAGGGACAAGCATGAGTCCGAGGCCACCTAGGCAGAGGCATGCCTGAATCCGGGACCACAAAACAGGCCCAGGAAGCAGCACACAGTGAAGTAGGGAAACCAGCAAAGACCAAACCATGACCAGGAGGCAGCACATAGTGAGGCAGGGGAAACCGGCAAAGACCAAACCACGTGCATCTTGGAGGACCAGGAGCCTAGGTGTCAGTCCAAGGGCAATGAGAAGCCAGCAGCAGGTTTTAAACACAGAAGAAAAATGGCTGAATTTATGTGGCCTCTCCTGTGGCAGCCAGTCTGGGCTTGCTCTCATGGAGGCAGATGTTTAAGAGAGGAGTTTAAGAGAGGGTCCCTAAAAGTCCAATTACACTTCATCTTACCCAAAAGGCCGAGAAGCAATGAATTTATGTTTTTAAAAGACCTCTTTGACTACTGAGTGAAAAAAATGTTCTCTGGGACTTTCAAGTGAACATGAGGGACACTTCCTCAGAGAATTTCCTTCCCCCAATACCTAAGGAGCAAAATATGCCACCAATCAAGGATGGCAGCATAACAGACCGCACCAGCCTTCAGGACCTGGCACCAAGGCAGGACCCAAGCCTTGAAGCTCAAAGGGAGGAGGGCAGGCACCATGCCCAACTCCGCCTCCACCCCCAGGAGCTATGGCCGAGTTGGCAAAATCCTGGGAATTCCACCAAACCCTCATGGTAAAGGATTCATCTGCAGCTCCAGGTAAGGGATCTTTAAAGCCATACCCTTTGTCCTGTAACCTGGAGTCCCCTACCTCTCTGACTCTGGACTTGGCCAGTGACCTGCTTTGGCCAGTGGGAGAGTAACAAATTTAATCCAAAAAGAGGTTTGAAAATGTCTGCACATTTCCAACTCCTCTCTTAAACATCTGCCTCCACGAGAGCAAGCCCAGACTGGCTGCCACAGGAGAGGCCACAGGAGCCACGCCACCCCAACCAAAGTCATCCTAGACCAGCAGCCCCCAGCGGACCAGCCAACTCATTGCAGGCCCATGAAGATTTTCCAAAAAAGTCCCTTTTACTTCCTGCTCGAGATTCTACTAAAAGTCAGGATACACATGGAAGAATGCTCAGCCCCAACCTGAAAATAGCCCAAAAGTCCATCAACAGTAGAATGGATTTATAAATCCTGGTGCCCTCACACGGACGACCATCCAGCAAAAAAAGTGAGCAAATGGAGCCACAGCCACTGCAGACAGCCTCCCACGGGAGCATGGTCTTGAGCAAAAGCAGCAAAACAAAACAGAAGAAAAAAGTACGACTTCATTTAAAGATAGGTCAAAAGCAGGCAAGCCTATACTGTTTAGAGATGCATCGATAGGCGGTAGAACCAGAACAGAAAGCCAAGATGTGATTAGCACAAAGGCCCGAGGGAATGGGCGGGGAGGAAGGTGCAGCCGGAGGAGACCCGCGAGGCTCTGAGGGTGCCTCTGTGGGTGCCGGGCCCAAGGCCTCCCTCTGCCGTCCTTCCTCGTGTCGCGCAGTCACACAATTGCATTCTGTGCGCTTCTGCGGGACTCATCACGAAAAGGGTGTGACGTGAAGAGGACTCGACGCAACAGCAAGATGTTACCCACACCAGTCTCTTGGCTCTCTGCAATTAAAGTTTCTTTCTCTTTGTTTCTGAAGTTGAAAGTGAAGACTCTCTCATTCTAGGAGGGGGAACAAGGAGTGGTTTGCCCACAACCCAGGTCTGAGGGCCCCTCCTTCCAGAGTTGAGAGCAGCCAGGGCTGACCCCTCTTCTCCCTACTCCATCTGGTGATCATCAGCAAAGGCGCAGGCAAGGGGGCTGAGCCCAGGGCTCCAGCAGAACCAGGCAATCTCCGTCCCACATGCCTGTTCCCCCTGCTGCTGGCGACAGAAGAGCCAGGGCGGACAGACCTCATTCCAACACTATTTGTGACAGTTCATCAGGCCCAATTTTTCTAGACCAAGGACAGATTATCGCCTAGAAAACATAAGCAGTCCCCAAACCTGCAAAGGCTTTTCCAAGTCTTGTCTGGCATACAAACAAGCTTCTACACAGAAAATCCAAGACAACTTTTGCTGTCAGAGGTGACAGGAGCTCTAGAAACAACCTCCCTGGCCCTGGTGTTTTACAGCTCGCAAGCCAGAGCATCGCTGGGACGGAGCCGGAGAGGAAACCCCAGCGCATGCTGCGTACTAGGCAGGCTGAGCTCCACGCACCTGCACGACGCAGACATCCCTCCCAGGGGCCACAGGCAAACAGGCTCAAAAGCCTCTGCCTAACAGATGGACAAGCCCTCCAGACGCCCTGCCTGGGCACCTGGACAAACCCATACACTGAAAAGCAACAGACAGGAACAGCAGGGAGTGTGAACAGGCTCTCAGTGACCAGAACACAATGACCTGTGACACGGGCAGGCCGAGGGGACAGTGAGTCTGGGGGCGCCTTCCCAGGGGCCCAAGGTGGGTGAGATGACCGAGGCTTCCAGCCACCTCCGGAAACGAGCCCCATGTCCCCGCCGACGTCCTCTGAACATGGGAAGGGTTCTATGGGTTTCCCTATGCTCATCTGGTGATTTAGTTTACTTTAAATGAGGACTATTTCATGATCTACCAGAATTAACTTTAGTTAACATCTCAGGCCAACAGCACCTTCATCACTGTTGAAGTTAAAACAACTGGAGGCTCTGTGGGGGCCTTGGCTGTGGAGGAAAGGGGTCCCTAAAGATCCAATTCACCTCCAGAAAGAGGGGAAAAGACAGAACTACATCCTTAGGGCCACAGGGCCCTCCTCAGCAGCATCAGATGCGGGGTCTCCCCTGCCCCACCCACCCCTACCCTGCCCCACCCACCCCTACCCTGCCCCACCCACCCCTACCCTGCCCCACCTCCTCCCTGCCCTACCCGGGTCCCACCCCTGCCTGGCCCCACCCTGCCCCCCATCACGCTTCTGACTCCACACCTCCTGGAAGTGGTCCTGGACGTGGAGCTCCAGCAGCTCTTCCTCAAACTTCTCCAGGGAGGGGTACAGGGTGAAGAATAAGTCATCCAAGTGCCCCGTGATGGGCTTCTGGAGGCGAGGCTTTCGGAGAGCGTCGCCTGAAACAGTGAGGGTGCGAAAAGGGTCATCCTTGGGAATAAAACACCCACTGGCAGCCACCGAGGGTCCCTACCCACCCCAGCCTCAGCCGGGGCCTGCAGCAACGAAGGGTGCTCGGGACTCCCAGACAGAGCACAAGGCCCAAGCCAAGCCTCCACAACAATTAAGCAAATACAGATTTCATTGGCAGTCCAAAATCTACCCCAAACCTCCTCCAGGAACAGTTTTTCTGTTGTTTTGTTTTTCATTTTTTTGTTTTTCTGCTTGTTTGTTTGTTTGTTTGCTTTGAGACGGAGTCTCGTTCTGTCGCCCAGGCTGGAGTGCAGTGGTGTGATCTCAGCTCACTGCAACCTCCGCCTCCAGGTTCAAGCCATTCTTCTGCCTCAGCCTCCCAAGTAGCTGCGATTACAGGTGACTACCATGACGCCCAGCTAATTTTTGTATTTTTAGTAGAGGCGGGGTTTCACCATATTGGCCGGGCTGGTCTCGAACTCCTAACCTTGTGATCCGCCTACCTCGGCCTCCCAAAGTGCTGAGATTACAGGCGTGAGCCACCACACCTGGCCCAGGAACAGTTTTTATAATTCGACAACTCAAAGAACACAGATTGGAGAAGGCAAAGTGACACGTGCGGCCCTGCAGCCTGCTGCCCGGCATGGCTTCCTTCCTCTCTCCAGCAGGAACACGGCCAGCCACGCCGCTCCTTACTTTACTGTGTTACCTTGAACCATCTGCAAACACACTGAGCAGGCATGAGCCTGTCAAGGCAACCAGCAAAATACAGCCTGAACGGCACCACGAGAAAAGGGTCCCATCCAGAGGACAGTGGCCCCAGGGACCCAGCTCACGGTCTCGTGCAAAGCAGGCCCATGAAAAACCTTGGCTGAGAGAGGGAAGGACCCTGGGCTGCCTGGGGAGCCTTCTCCACTTGCTCTAGAGCAAAGGCTCATCCAGGAGGAGGAAGGATGAGCCAACCGTTTCCCAACCTACACACACCTGTGGACTCTGCCCCTTCTTTCTCCACCATCGTCATCTTCTTCTGGTCCTAGCTCCATCTCTTCCTATATTTTAATGATCTTTTACTTATGTAGATATGTAGATTTTTAAAAGCTAATTTCAAAGTTGAAAAAAAAGAAAACACTGAGGTAACACTCCATGCTGATGAAACTGCCGTCAAAAGAGCACTCTACTATCCTGCTGAAGATTATGAGTCAGTATCGCCTTTGCCTTTGAGTATGTCAAAAGCTTTAAAATATCACTTTCTGCCCCAGTAATTCCACTTTTTGAACCTATTCAGTGAAAATAATCAAAGACAGAAGCAAAGATTTATGTGCAAGAATATTCATTGAAACTTTATTATAATAGAGAAAAATCGAAGCAACCAAATGTTCAATAGGGGAATGTTCACTAAACTATTATTCATCCTGCTGAATAAGAACAAAAAAAATCATACTGTCAAAGATTTAATAAATTGAGAAATAATCGTAATATTGTAAGTGAAAAGAATAGTAACATATGAAACTATTACGATTCCATCTGATAGCGATGGTATTTAAAAGCATGTGCACTTACATGTATACATGTGGATCTGCAGGCAGGAACTGTAGATTATTTTCTTCTTTATAGTTTTCTATATTGTCCCCATCACAAACTCACATTAGGTTTGCCCAATGGAACAGAATAGAGATTCCAGAAATAAATTCATGCCACCTACAGCTGACTGATTTTTAAAGAGGTGCCAAGAACACGCACTGGGGAAAAGGCAGTCTCTTCAATAAATGGTGCTGGACAAACTGGACACCCACATGCAGAAGAATGAGATGAGACGCCCTACCTCTCTCCATATATAAAAGTCAACTCAAAATAGATTGAAGACTTAAATGTAAAACCTGAAACTATGAAACTACTAGAAGAAAACGGAAGAAGTGCTTCGTAACACTGGGCTGAGTAAGGATTTTTTTAAGTAACATTGGGCTGTGAAAGGATTTTTTTAAATAAAACCGTAAAAGCACAGGCAACAAAAGCAAAAAGAAACAAATGGATTATATCAAAATAAAAAGGTCTTACACAATAAAGTAAACAATTAACCGAGTGAAGAGATAACCTGCACAATGGGAGAAAATATTTGTAAACTATATATCTAACAAGGGGTTAATATCCAGAATACATAAGGAATTTAAGCAACTCAACAGAAAAAAAAAAAAACTAGTAGCTTGATTTTAAAATGGGCAAAAGGCCTTAACAGACATTTCTCAAAAGAAGACGTTCGAATACCTGTAGGCACAGGAAACGATGCTCAGCCTCACTAGTCATCAGGGAAGTGAAAATTAAAACCACAATGAGATACCACCTCACTTCAGTGAGAATGGCCACCATCAAAAAGATAAAAGAAAATAAGCATTGGTGAGGACGTGGAGAAAAGGGAACACCTATACAATACGGGTGGGACTGCAAATTACAACAGCCACTATGGAAAACTAGACAGAGGTTCCTCAAAAAGTTGAAAATAGAATTCCCATATAATTCAGCAATCCTACTACTGAGTATATAATATCCAAAGGAAATGAAATCAGTATGTCAAAGAGATATCGCCACTCCCATGTTTATTGCAGCACTATTCACAACAGTGGAGACACAGAATCAACCTAGGTGTTCATCAATGGATGAATGCATAAAGAAAAGTAGTGTATCTACACAATGGAGTACTTACGCAACCACGATCAAAGAATGAAGTCCTGTCGCTTGCGACAACACAACATGAATGGACCTAGCAGACATCAAGGTTAAGTGGAATAAGCCAAGCACAGAAAGACAAATACCACATGATCTTACTCATATGTGGGATCTCAAAAAGAAGAGTTGGTACCATAGAAGCGGAGCACAGAACAGTGGTTATCAGAGACTGAGGAGGGGAGGGAGAGGTTGTCAAGGGGTCATGGTACAAGTTACAGTCTAAATTCTGCTGTTCCTGCACAGCAGGGTAATGACGGTTACCAGTAAGTTCCCGTAAAATACAAAAGAGCTAGAAGAGCAGCTAGAAGAGCGGCTTCTGAATGTCCTGACCACACAGAAATGATGAGTGTGGGAGATTACAGTCACGCTAGTACTCTCATTTGATCTACTCTACAACACATACGTGTACTGAAACATCACACTGTTCCCCATAAATATATACAATTACAGTAAGCCAAGAAACATTTTAACAGAATGTTTCAAAAAGCTGGGGGGGGGGGGTGCAGGGAGGGATGACATAAACTAAAATAACGGAGGACAAAGGCCATTTCCCAGACCGACTTCCTTTAGGAAAGATCACTTGTGTGCCATGGGTGCCCCATCTCAAGAGGCAGCAACTCAGTGGAGGGATCAGGGTCACCAGGCATCTGGGAGGGGGCAGAAGTCAGTGCTCCTGGAAGTGGCCCAGGCTGGGAAGGAAAGAGGTTCTGTGTGGCCACCTCATGACCAGGGTGCACACGCACCCCCAGGAGCAAAAGCCATTCCAATAGTTGTGACCCTGGTCTGCACAGAGAGCTGAAGATGCAAGTCCCACGCACAGGAAGTCATCAAGGGAGGAAAGATGGGTTCCCACCAGGACAGCCAGACTGAGGAGCTACATCTGCAGTGAGTAGAAACTTCCAGATCCTGGAGGGCCCAGGGAAGCCAGAGAAGCCTGGGTATCCTCATTCAGCCGGCTTGGCAGGCCACATCTTGCAAGCATCATGGGCTCTGGAGTAAAGCACCTGAGCCCAAGCCTGGCTCAGCCACCAAGTTACTCTGTGACCTTCGAGAGGCCAGGCCTGGACAAAAACACAGCTGGGCCCGGTGCTGAGTGTTGCCTTCGCACATCTGAAGGGCTAGCTAGCAAAGGGCAAACAGATCAGACCTCCCAGGACGCTCTACTGTAGGAGGCTTGGATCTGGGCTGAATTTAAGACACAACTTTCATGATGAAGACGCTAGTGCTTTACCAATCCATCTCATTTTCTCCCCAAATACATCTTTATGAGCAGGCCCTATTATTGTCCCCAATTTATAAAGGAAAAACAAAAGCAAAGACTTGGAGAGGCTGGGAAACCTGCCCCCAGCTCACATCGTGGCTAGACGTGGAGCAGACAACCGCCACAGGTCTGTCAGCCTCCAGCATAACCCAACAAGCATCCTTTTACTACCTGAAATCATTCACTCTTTCACTCACTCATTCAACTAACCAACCAACAGCAGCAACCACGGCAGACATGAACCCCACCGTGGCAGAAGTGACCCCCACTGCAGCAGAGGCGTTCTGCCCTTCATGCTCTGTAGCTTGGCCTACCTTTAATTTATCTGTTGCCAAGTCTCTGGCTAGGAAAGGAATTCCCAATAACAGCATTGCTCCTATGGAAAAACACACCCCACTCTACAACAATCCATTTTATTCTGGGACCCCCATAAGCACACTACAGAGAAAACAGGGATTGCCAGCAAACCCTTCACAAGCAAGAACCCCCTTCCCACTGACATACAGTGGAGAGCCCCTGAGATTCCCCTAGGCCCTAACGGGCTCCCACAGCCCACAGCCTCTTGGGGACACAGCTCTTCTGCTAGGGATATTTAATTCAGCAGAATGCACCTCAGAAACAAGACCACTGCAACAGTGGGATATTTAATTCAGCAAAATGCACCTCAAAAACAAGACCGCTGCAACAGTGGGATATTTAATTCAGCAGAATGCACCTCAAAAACAAGACCGCTGCAACAGTGGGATATTTAATTCAGCAGAATGCACCTCAAAAACAAGACCGCTGCAACAGTGGGATATTTAATTCAGCAGAATGCACCTCAAAAACAAGACTGCTGCAACAGTGGGATATTTAATTCAGCAGAATGCACCTCAAAAACAAGACCGCTGCAACAGTGGGATATTTAATTCACCAGAATGCACCTCAAAAACAAGAACGCTGCAACAGCGACAGCAGAATGAAAACTACATTTAGGAATGATTTAAGCAGGAATGAAAATGACTTTGAGCTAGTCCAGGTTTATTCTAAAACACCTATTGCCTTTGGTGACTGTGGTTAGATTTGAGGTCTGCCCTTACCAAAATCCATTCAAGAGAGACCTATGACCTCCCTCCTAAGAGTGCAATGTGACATCCTCAGCACCCAGCCCAGGGCCTGCTTCACAGTGTCTACTCAATAAATATTTGTTGAATAAATCAGTGAATAAATGAATGAATTAGTGAATACGTAAAAAGTATACACCAAACTATGATCAGTGGTTTTCTCCACGGAGTTAGACTAGAAGGGAAGACTTTCAGTTTTCACTAAATGTACTGAACACACATGAACTTCGTGGTTTTAAAACGCTCTTTAGCATATTGTATAAAAGGGGCAAACAACTGACAAGCTGCATTGGCACTGGCCAGGAACAGCCGTCAGAAAGCAGCCTCAAGGCCAGGCACAGTGGCGCATGTCTGTAATCCCAGCACTTTGGGAGGCCAAGGCAGGTGCATTCCTTGATGCTGGAGCTCAGGAGTTTGAGACCAGCCTGGGCAACACGGAGAAACCCTGTCTCTACAAAACATACAAAAATTAGCTGGAGGCCAGGCGCCATGGCTCACACCTGTAATCCCAGCATTTTGGGAGGCCGAGGTAGGTGGATCACCTGAGGTCAGGAGTTCGAGACCTGCCTGGCCAACGTGGTGAAACCCCGTCTCAACTGAAAATACAAAAATTAGCTGGGCATGGTCGTGAACACTTGTAATCCCAGCTACTCGGGAGGCTGAGGGAGGAGGATCACTTGAACCCGGAAGGCGGAGGTTGTAGTGAGCCGAGATTGTGCCACTTCACTCTTGCCTGGGCGACAGAGCAAGACTGTCTCAAAAAAAAAAAAAAAAATTAGCCAGGCATGGTGGCACATGCCTATAGTCCTTACTACTCAGGAGGCTGAGGTGGGAGATTGACTTGAGCATGGGAGGCAGAGTTTGCAGTGAGCCAAGATTGTGCCACTACACTCCAGCCTGAAGAAGAGCCAGACCCTGTCTCAAAAAAAAAAAAAAAAAGAATTAGAGAAGAATCTGGCTGTCATTACATACATAATTTAAAAAGTTTAAAAAGTAAAATAAAAAGAAAGTAACCTCAGGGCCCACACGGCACTGGCACCCCAAACACAACAGAAAGGCTGGGCAAATTGTGTTTCTCTCCCAAAACAACTCTGAGAGTGGGGGCGGGGGGCGGGGGGGCGGCAGGTGTTGCTGAGATACCTATCCTTTCTCTCCGAAAGGCGCATACGACCCTTACCTGGTGGAGTCAGTCAGTCCCCCTCCCTCCCTCCGGACACCATGGCGTGTGCTCACCCTGCCCTCAGATCCCCTGCTCACTCGATTTTCAACACCAGCAGCATAAAACGTCATTAATTTTGCAATGTTCTAGGCACTGCCAGCATTCGTTTGGCACCTTGGTGACGGGCCGGCTGCTCCACACCTGGAAGGCCGACTTGAGGCCAACGGGCCAGACCTCTTCCGAAGCATGGCTTTTAAGAATGAGGAGCAGGAATCATGCACCCCAGGCTCAAGCTCTTTAATCCAAAACTCTGTCTCCCATCTTGTGGTCCCCTTGGCCCCAGCTTGACACAAGACACTAGGAACAAAACCAGGCCTGTCCTCTTGGGGCACCACGGCTTCTCATTTGCAGTCCTAGTCATGAGGCTGAGCCAGTCCAGTGACCTGCAGGTAATTCTGTTGGTCTGCAGTTCTACTGACACCCACGGGCAAGTCACAAAGTGATGACTACCCCTCCGGCTCCAAGACTCCCAGGTAGTAAGACTGACACAGCTGACTTGAAAGCAGCACACAGCTAGTCCCAAGATCAGTATCCACCAGGCGACATCTCACAGCTAGTCCCAAGATCAGTATCCACCAGGTGACATCTCACAGCTAGTCCCAAGATCAGTATCCACCAGGTGACATCTCACAGCTAGTCCTGAAGATCAGTATCTAACAGGCAACATCTCACAGCTAGTCCCAAGATTAGTATCAACCGGGTGACATCTGAAAGCTAGTTCTGAAGATCAGTATCAACTAGGCAGCAGCACACAGCTAGTTCCAAGATCAATATCAACCAGGCGGCAACTCACAGTTAGTCCTGATGATCAGTATCAAGCAGGCGACATCTCACAGCGGCGCCTACAGGGCCCTCCCTGGCCAGCAGAACAGGGGCCAGAAGGACAAGCCACGGACCAGGTCTCAGAGCCAGACACAGGTTTTCATGTTCTCTTTGCTCAACTCAACAGCAGTGACAATGAGGCCTTCCCTCTGTCTCCTTCTTCCTTTCAGAGGATTGCAGGCAGATTACAGGGTAAGACACCCCGAAGTGGGCGTGGAGAGCACTTATAGCTCAGTGAGCAGGACAGACCCAGACTGCGACCCCACGCTTGCTCTTGTTCAGAGTTCATTCCTCCCTTCTCATTTCTCACCCTCTCCTCCCTGGAATGCTGGAAAAACAGTGACTTCACAATGATGATGTCCACCATAGACCTATCCAAGAAATTAATTAACTCAGATAATAACATCTACACCCCAGCACCAACCAGAATGCCTGTACGATGCACAGGGCTGTCATTGCCAACAACCAGGGACCTGCGCCGGAGCCGAGCTGCATCCTTTTCTTCAGGGTCCAGAATGAGCCAAACTCTCAGCACAGCACTGCTCTCGGTCCCCGCCCCTCACACACAAGGTCAAATCCTGCTCTTCCTGGAACCCAGCAGGGAGTCAGTCACCCAAGACACCCGAGGTTCTGGTGGTGCCAGGACATCTCCATCACATGACAGGTAGAAGGAGGCTGGTGTGTCCCTTCTCCTGGAGTCCTCAAGAAAGCCACACAAAAGTCTCCAGAAGTGCCTGGAAGAAGCATGCAGCCCAGGCCATGAGGACCACCCAGAAGATTCCTACAGCAGAGCACACCCCCAACACTCCCATGGCTGCTGGGGTCGACCCAATTCCACCACCAGAGAATCAACTTCTGAAAACCACACCAAGACAGAGCCCTTGTCCTTTAACACGAATTTCAGTTTCCAAAAATCCTCAGGTCACTGCACACCCATGTTCACAGCAGCCAGAAGGCGGAAGGCTCAAGTGTTAACTGATGAAACAATCAGCAGAACATGGTCCATCCATAGACTGGAATATCATCCAGCCTTAAGATGAAAAGGAAGGAAACTGGGACACACACTATAACATGGATGAACCTCGAAAACACTCCACTCAGAACTTTGAAGACATTTCACTCTTAGGATGAACTAACAGAGCAATTCCCCTCTCTTCCTAAAGAATGCCGGCCACTGAAGGACAAGGACTGCATGATCCCAGTCCTATGAGGTCCCTAGAGTCACTGAAACCATGAAGACAGAAAGCGGAAGGGTGGCTGCCAGGGGCTGGGGGAGTAGGGAATAGGGAGTCAGTGTGGAAGGGGACGGAGCTTCAGCCGGGGAAGAGGAAAGAGCTCAGGGATGGATGGTGCTGCTGGCTGCACTACAATGTGAATGTACTTATTGCCACTGAACTGTACATTTTAAAAGGGCTAAGACGGTCAATTTTATGTTATCCTTATTTTACCTTAATTTAAAAATCATCATCATGATCATCAGGTCACTGATATGATGCCACATGGCTGAGATCCAGCCAGTGGTCTTCCTAGCTATGGTCACAGAGACTTGAACTCTGTCTCTCACGAAAGCATTTTCCCAACCAAAGCAGCCAGAAATGACTCGAAGGATGTGAGACACTATTTAGGAGGGAAACGGAAACTAGACTGCCATTCCATCCTCCTCCACTGTCCCCCACAACCCCCGCCAGGCCGTGCTGCTGAGCTGCAGAGGGGCGCTCGGCCCACGCTGCCCCCAGAAGAGCCCAGTGCCTTCAAGGTTTCACTGTGAACTAGGACAGACTCACCTCACCAAGTGGAGAGAATCAAAGACGCCCTTACCGGATTCTCCATGAGCTGGAAGCAGGCCAGGTATCTGCTGCAGACCAGACACCAGAAGGTTCTCAGGAAGAAGGTGGAACGCAGGCTCCAGGGCCGGGTGTGGCTTCAGCGTGTACTGCAGGCTGCAGTTCTCAATGAGGGTCATGTGTCTGTTTTCTGGTGAAGAAAACACAATGTGATCAACTGATAGCTGAAAGCAAAGGTGCTTCCAGTCAAACCAGCCAATTAACAGAGAATGTTAGAAACACCACAAACAGGAAAAGGACTTTTCTAGGGAGAGTGAAGTGGTGCTCTGTTCCGCCTCAAGTGAAAGGCATTGATCTTTAATAACCTTCTCTGGTAAAGTTACAATTTAAAAAATGTTTTAATTTTTCTTTTTTGTTTGTTTGTTTGTTTGTTTTTAGAGACAGGGTGCCACTCTGTTTGCCCAGGCTGGAGAGCAGTGGTGTAATCATAGCTTCCTGAAGCCTCAAACTCCAGGGCTCAAGTGATCCTCCCACCTTGGCCTCCCAAAGTGCTGGGATTACAGGCATGAGACACCATGCCCGGCCTGGAGGTGCAGTTTTTAATCCAACATAAAATCTCTCCCACCCACTAATTCCCTCAGTCTCCTGAGAGCACAGACAGGCACAGACTGTGCAGTTTCCCCAGGTCTCGCTGGTCCCTGCCATCAGAGGGGCCTGGAGGACACCCTGGCCCGAGGCCTGCCTGCCTGCCTTTGTGTGTCAGCACTTGTATCCACCAAGCCCCAAACGGAGGAGGGCAGCACTGGAGGGAGGCCAGCAGCATCAGAGACAGAGCCCTGTCCTCAGGGAGGAGCCACTTTCCTGGAGTGATGGCTAAGACCAAACACGTGGATACCCATAACGCACGGGAGAACTGGATCCGAACCACGGGACAGATGTGGGTAAAGCACGAGGGGGAACGTGAGGAGGAAAAAGGGCATGAAGGAAAGACTCTGGAGAAATGACACCCGGGAGGAGTGCGGCTACACCGCAGGGCGGGCAGGCCCTGAAGGTAGAAGGAACAGCATTCCCAGAAACGGGAGTGCGGGGAGAGGCACACCCCCGAAACACAGGGCCTGGGCTGCCCTCTTCACATTCCCACCAAACGGCCAATCTTGCTCGGGCCTGATTTTCTCCAGTGACAGGAAGTCCACCACATCCCGAGGCACAGGGCATGCACGTGGTCTCAGGCGGCTCAAGTCCCAGCTGTGGCCGGGCCAGGGACAGCTGCTGAGAGTCACAAGTTCAGCTCATTCATGTTCTGATTTCATAAAGAAAGAGCTAAATATGAACTACTGTATTATCAGAAAAAGAAATTTGTGAAAAACTAGGTCCGCCATGGGGGCTCACGCCCATAATTCCAGCACAGGTGGATCACCTGAGGCCAGGAGTTTGAGACCAGCCTGATCAACATGGTGAGACCCCATCTCTACTAAAAATACAAAAATTACCCAGGCGTGGTGGTGCATGCCTGTAATCCCAGTGACTTGGGACGCTGAGGCAGGAGAATCGCTTGAACCCGGGAGGCAGAGGTTGCAGTGAGCCGAGATTGCACCACTGCAATCCAGCCTGGGTGACGGAGATTCCATCTCAAAATAAAAAAAAAAAGAAATTGGTGAAACACTGTATTTTTTTTAGTACCTAACCACTTCAAACATGGAATCTGCTTACTTTAAAATTTAAAATACTGCTAAAGGTATTTGACCTGAGTGGCTAGTCAGGAGTCACAACCTCTCTGGGGGCGGGGCACACAGGAGAAATAGGAAAAGACTCCAAATGCTCAGACCTCAGACCCAGCCACCAGCTTCAGGATTTTGCCCTAAGAATTCACGCACATGCTCAGGGGAAGGGCGGACGCCCACTGCAACGGGGTTTCCAACCTTTTCTTTTCTTTTTTTTTTTTTTTTTTGAGACAGAATCTTGCTGTCACCCAGGCTGCAGTGCAGTGGCATGATCTCGGCTCACTGCAACCTCCGCCTCCCGAGTTCAAGCAATTCTCCTGCCTCAGCCTCCCCAGTTGCTAGGATTACAGGCACCTGCCCTCACACCTGGCTAATTTTTGTGTTTTTAGTAGAGACAGGGTTTCACCATGTTGACCAGGCTGGTCTCGAACTCCTGATCTCAGGTGATCTGCCTGCCTTGGCCTCCCAAAGTGCTGGGATTACAGGCGTGAACCACCGCTCCTGGCCCAACCTCTTCTTACAGAAACCCCTAAGGGTCGGTATGCAGGTCTATTCAATCAATCATGAAACATCAATTCCACGAAACACCACAGAGCTGTAAAAAGAGTGAGTGCTTTCTGTGTACTGATAGGAAACATTCTTCTAGACAAATTGTAAGGGAAGAAAGCAAGGTGTGGAACAGTGAGTAAGAAGAGGTCAAGAATCAGATGCAATACTGGACAAGCGCATTAGCTTCTGTGTCCGTAAAACGACCCCGGAAGGGTCTGTTACCAGGGCAGCCCTGATGAAATAACAGCAAAAGTTCCTTTTTCTCACTGTTTTCCTTCAGTCCCTTTATCTATGGGTACAGCTGCTTTAAAGGAACCAGATGGCAGGGATGCCACCAGAGCTTCTTGACCCCTGACCAAATACCAGAGAGAGATGGAGCCCCACGAAACTGCTGCAAACTAGAACAGGTGAGCCCCAGTTGCCTTTAGACCATTAGCATATCATTATAATGCTAAAGACCATTCTCCAAGAGAAGACCACCGCGTGTTCTGTACAAGCCATGCCTGGAGAAGCATGTTATGATCTGCGTCAATGTGCCTGGAGTCCCACCCTCCCGGCCTGTACCCAGTCCTTCATCTCCATGCCTCCCACTGTCCAGGGAGAAGGTGCCTTTAAAGTGAGGGCTCCCTTCTCCACTCCCTGGCCAGTGAGTAAAACCTGACTACCTTTTCCAATTGGATATTCTTTCTTTGCAGCCGACACAAAGTGGGAAAAGAACTCGGTTCTCCAGTGACAGATCCACAAGAACCCAAAGAGAGAGGTTACCTGGTAGCAGGTGAGGGGATGGGGAAAGGAGACCTCACTCTCAACTTTTTATATGTATATATTTTATATATATATAACACACATATAAATATACTATATATAAAATATATAATACATATATATTATATATATATATATATATATATATTTTTTTTTTTTGAGGCAGGGTCTCACCGTCGCCCAGGCTGGAGTGCAGTGGTGCAATCATGGCTCACTGCAGCCTAAAACTCCTGGGCTCAGCAATCCTCCCACCTCAGCCTCCCAAGTAGCTATGACCACAGGGGCGCACCGCCATACCCAGTTAATGTTTGTATTTTTTGTAGAGATGGGGTCTCACTATGTTGCCCACGATGGTCTCAAACTCCTGGCCTTAAGCAATCTGCCCACCTCAGCCTCTCAAAGTGTTGGGATTACAGGTGTGAGCCACTGCACCCGGCACTTTTTTATACTTTTGGATTCTGAATCATGTGAGTGTATTGCCATTACCAGCAAATTTTGGGAAAAGCCCACTGCAAGGATGAGTGAAGGGCCCCGCAGCAGGTTCCTCCTCACAGCCTCCACTCAGGGCCAACAGCTTCCACACAGACGCATGGACATGTGGACTGTGGACGTGGAGCGAATGTGGTGGCTGTCTACTTTGTTCTCAGGATACTTCTGGACAGAAAATCCCAGCATATGACTAATTAGATTCAGTTGAAAAATAACCTAAAAGCCAATCTTCAGCAACGAAATGAAGTTCCTGACTGGTTGTTCTCAGTAAACTAAAAATAAAATCCTGAGCCCCCAGTGGACTGAAGGGACCTCCTCTTGGCCTAGAGGACTCCAGAGCAGCCTTGAAAACTGAGTTCCAGGAGTGACAGGAGGGGACCAGACAGGCCTCCACATGCCCCGGCCCATGCTAACCACCGTTAGCCTTTCTTCCCTCAGGACTGGAACCAGCCCTTCTAGAGACTCCATCGCTGCTGCTGCCCAGCGATCACCCACCGCTCTCCCTCTTCTGGATAGTCTACGGAGGGCATGCAGGGAGGGCTTTCGTGTCCCCTGCTTCACCTTTTGACATCAGAGGCCGAGAACTTCCCCTCGGGTCCTGCCAGTGCCACCACGTTTTGAACACTGTGTCCCATGAAGCGGCATGGGACTCAGCTGCGCACGTGCACGCTTCTCTCATAAACACGCAGGACTCCTCCTGGGCTTATTAAAATAAGCAGGCTCAGCCCCCACTCAGCAGAAATTCCTCTTCCCTCTGCCCCTCTCTCGAAGGGTCTGTTTCTGGCTTCTGGCTGGAGGCTACACTTCCCAGCCTGTCAGAAAGGCCACCTGCAGGCTGCAGCCCTTTATGAGAAATGAATCTCTCCTTTCCAGTCTCAGGAACCTCATCACTCTTCAGCTGACATCTCCTATCACGAGATTGTCACCAAGACCAGTGAGGGGCAAAGGGAGTGGGTTTGACGTTTTGTTTTGTTTTGTTTGAGACAGGGTCTCACTGTGTCACCCAGGCTGGAGTGCAGTGGTGCAATCTCACCACACTGTAATCTCTGCCTCCTGGGGTGAAGTGATTCTCCCACCTCAGCCTCCTGAGTAGCTGGAACTACAGGCACACACCACTACACCTGGCTAAATTTTTGTATTTTTTATAGAGACAGGTCTTACTATGTTGCCCAGGCTGGTTTCGAACTCCTGAGAGCTCAAGTGATCCACCTGCCTCAGCCACCAAAGTGCTGAGATTACAAGCCTGAGCCACCGTGTCTGGCCAGGTTTGACTTTTAACACAAGCCACGAGGCACACATGACATCCCCTTCGAGGAATCTGGGCAGCATCTCACCTCGAAGAGACAGAAAAGTCACCCTCCCCAACAGATCCACCTCCGGCCACTCTTCCCCACCCACACTCCCCCAACTGCTAGGCAAGCACAGCCTCTGTGCTCTGAGCCTCCCTGATGTCCTTCTAGCCCACTCCCACCCCTCCCACCACACGCCCTTCCTGTCATCCTCCAGGCAGGCAGCAGCAGAGCAGACCGTCATCCCCATCCTTCCCAAATGGCTCCCTCTGGCTGCCTGGGAACGGCTGGTCACTGAGGAACAGCAGGAAGCTCCCCGCCGACCCCTGCTCTGCTCTAAGGCGGCCTCTCAGCCATGGGGCCTTGCCATGCTGGAGATAACCGACGGCTGTGCGGTCAGAGGTTTGAGACAGCCGGTGGCTGGTGACAGAGAGCTACTACTTCATCTGGTGAGCAGAGCTGTTCCCCTCCCTCCAGGTGGCTCTCACAGGCGCTCCCGTGCTCATCCCCACAAACCAATGCCCTCCCTCAGGGCTGGTGTGTTTCAGTTCTTTACTTTCTGCCAAAAGTCCAAGGCCACGAAACATCTGCCAAAACCTCTTAGATAAATTAGCTAAGCAGATAGCAGTTTACACTGAGAAAGATCCCATTCAGAGCTAAAGGTGGGGAACACTCAGGGAAGGCACGAGAGCAGTGAGTGCTGCCAAGGCCAGGTCTGGCTCTTACGCTCTGCGGGGTCCTGGAGAAGCGGGTGCAGGAGGGCTCTGGGGGTGCCATGGTACAGCCGCAACCTGGAAGACAGGACCCAGAGAACAGTCGTCAGCCACGTGCGCACTTCTCAGAAGGAAAGCACATGGAGGCCTCAGCCACCACCACGCCCACTAGAGCTTTCTAAACTCCACCAGTCCCATCCTCTGCGGAAGGCAGAGGCAGCTGAGGCCAGCAGCAGCTCCCCAAGCCGTTGGTGCTTGTGGCCAAGCATGTCTGGCACACACGCAGCCCCAACCAAGGCAGCCTGAGAATTGAGGAGCTTTCCTGGAAAACACCATGGAAATTTACAAAACTCTGAAATGTCTCAAGACAACATCTGAGGAATTTCCACAGCTGTATATCTGGAGCAGTGGTTCTCAACCAGCGATGATTCTGCTCCCTAAGGCACATTTGGCAATGTCTGGAGACATTTTTTTTCGTTTGTCACAACAGGGCCAGGGAGCAGGGAGGCAGTGCCCTGGCATCTAGTGCGTTGCCAGGGATGCTGATAAACATCCTACAGCACAGACGACAGCCCCGCGACAGCAAACAATTATCCATTCGCAAGTCAGTGGTGTCAAGCTTGAGAAACCCTGACTTGGAGTAAACATGTAGGCTTTAACCCTAGCTGAAAGGATGATGCGCCAGCCTATCCACCCGTATGCCCGGCTCCTACACAGAGCCTGGCACGCGACAGACACTCAGCCAGCGTGTGCTGAATGAACACCTACTGCCTGCCAGGCACCTGTGAAAAACACATCGCTCAATATTCAAGCAGAACTTACGAGATATGCATTATCATTACTCCTCATATACAGATGAATAAATTCAGGGTCCAAGAGCTCAAATCACTTACCTGAAGTCCCACAGAGAATCAGTGCTAGAGTACAACTTTGGCCCATATCCATACTACCTCAAATCCATCACTGGTGGTCAAAGCCAGCCCTTACTCCGGCCTAAAGAACAATTCCTTAAGTCACTTAGAAATGGCAAACCCAGCCGGACACAGCGGCTCACGTCTGTAATCCCAACACTTTGGGTGGCTGAGGCGAGCAGATCTCTTGAGCCCAGGAGTTCAAGACCAGCCTGGGCAACATAGGGAGATCCCGTCTCTACTAAAAACACAAAAATTAGCCAGGCATGGTGGCACAGACCTGTAATCCCAGCTACGTGGGAGGATGACACACAGGAATCGCTTGAGGCTGGAGGCGGAGGTGGCAGTGAGCCAATGTTGCACCACTGCACTACAGCCTGGGTGACAGAGCAAGACCCTGTCTCGAAGAAAAAAAAAAAGGCAAACCCCCAAGCAAGACACATCCCACACTATGCTATTATGGACACACAACTTTAGATGACAAATGTACAGCCTTCTACTGCCACCATAAGACGAGCAGTTAAACCACCATAGAAAGATGCTGGAATCTGGCCAGGCGCAAAACCCCATCTCTACTAAAAATACAAAAATTAGCCAGACATGGTAGCAGGTGCATCACTTGAGGTCAGGAGTTCGAGACTAGCCTGGCCAACATGGCAAAACCCCGTCTCTACTAAAAATACAAAAATCAGCTGGGCGTGGCACCTGTAATCCCACCTACTTGGGAGGCTGAGGCACGAGAATCGCTCGAACCCAGGAAGCGGAGGTTGCAGTGAGCCGACATTACACCACTGCACTCTAGCCTGGTTGACAGAGTGAGAATCTGTCTCAAAAAAAAAAAAAAAGACAGACGCTGGAAAACCCCAGGGTTGTAGAAACAAGGCAGGTACCTTTTGTCCTGGGAAGCAGAGATAGGAGAGTCCGGCTGGTTGCTGAAGATCCGAAGAATTCCAAACCCACAGGACAATGTCTGGAGGCTCCCATCCCGTTTCTTGCCCTCAGCGACCACTTCCACCACAGCCACGATATGAGGGTGGTTTAGGGATGTGTGAAAATACAAGGGCTGCAGAACAGAAGCCAGAGGATGGTCTGAGTGTTCAGGACACACACAAAGAGGACATGGGCGCTGTCCCCACCCCCGAGACCGCCTTCCTACACGTGCCACAGCATCCGGAACCCTCTACCATGCCCTCATGTGGTGTACCACATCTCTGCAGGATGCCAGGGAAGCAGGCACACTGAGGTAACTCCCTCAGACTGAAATGTTGGTGTCGGAGCTCTTTATTCCAGAGCACCCAACAACCAGGGCATCAGATGTCTGCTTCCGCTCCAGGAACTTTCCATTCCCTAGGAATTCCACCACAAGAAACACCAACAGATCCCAGGCCCACTAGAGCAGAATGGGGCTAGAGCAGCTATGCACCCAACCCTGCAGGGGGACACACCAGGTAGGACCATGGTTAGATCAGCCCAAGACGTAACACATCCACCACTAAAAAGACACGCACGTGCTGATCAATTCATGCTCCTAGTATCGCCTGACACTCAACACAGACAACTTCGATCACACCTTCCCAGTGCTGCTTCGTGCGTAACCATTTTGAGTTCCATCTGAACTGTATTTAAACTATTAACAAGAAGAATCCTTGAATTTCTTTAGGTGCTAAGTAATTATCCCCGGTTCAGAGCCCAAAAGACTAAAGTCTTTTTATGCCGAAAATCACCTTGAGATCATTTTATTAAAAGATTTCTCAAGATGTAAGCCAAGTAGATGATATTCAAATTGATCTTAAAAGGTTTTCCACTCACACCTTCCCATTCCCAACATGCAAATGGCCAGCCTCTGCCTCCGCCTTCCTGCCAGGCCCAGGGAGAGGAGGCCTGGGAAGACAGCACAGGAGACTCAAACCCCTCTCTGCATCTCATACGGGCGCTCCCACTTGGGAATGAAAGCACCTTCACTCTGCTGCTGCTTTTCTATTGCGTTAAATTCAATGCAGTTGTTTTTATTTAAAATAATTAAGGGGCCTGGGGTGGTGGCTCGCACCTGTAATCCCAGCACTTTTGGGAGGTCAAGGCAGGAGGATCACTTGAGCTCAGGAGTTCAAGATCACCTGGCAACATAGCCAAACACCATCCCTATGAAAAATACAAAAATTAGCCAGGCATGGTGGTGCACACCTGTGGTCCCAGCTACTTAGGAGGCTGAGACAGGAGGATCACTTGAGCCTGGGAAGCAGAGGTTGCAGTAAGCCGAGATCACGCCACCGCACTCCAGCCTGGGCAGCAGAGTGCAACTTTGTCTAATAAAAAGAAAGAAAGAAGGAATGCCGTAGCACAGTAGACAGAGATGAAGACACTGACTGAGTTTGCTAATCAACAGGGAATGCGCATCCCCAGGCATCAGGAGTGGTGCTGAGCCCATACCCCAACACCCCAGCTGGGGGGCAAAGCACAGGTCACCAGCTGAGCACAGAGACCGCCCCCATAAGGCACAAAGAGGTAAGGAGAGCCGAGGCTGGTCTTCCGCTCTATGACTTAAACTTGGAATAATCCTCCTATTAACGAGTCATTACCATGGTGTCACCGAGAAAACGTTTACTGTAATCACAGACTGTCAGCCCAGGATAACAGAGAGATGCATTAAAACATCAGCCATGAGATATAAATCGTTATTCTATTATCTTTTATTGCAATATGATGAAATAATGACCACTTACAGCTGACAGGTGGTTGGACTAAGAGAGAATTATGTTTGTTTCCAAGACTCCAGAACCGCTTTTAAAAAGCCCCACTGCAAAGTCGAGTTGGTCATTAACTCACCTTTTCTATTTATACCTGTGCTTATCAGTCTTACGAACACTACTCACTTTTTCTATTGGCAATAAACATTTTCAACTCTGATACCCAGCAACAACAATCTGCCAGCCTAGAGGTCACCCTGAAATTACTCTACCTGAACCGGGTGGAACCTGCCGCTACGGGCATGTCCCAAATACAAGTTTATGGCTATGCCTCTCCCTTCTGTTTACCACTAAAAATAATCACTCTGAGGCCAAAAACAACAACAACAGCAACAGAGCCCCAGAGCTGCTTGTCTCAGCTGATCCAACCTTAGAATCTAAAGAATCCATCTTTAATCAGAAGAGTCAGCCGCTCCAAGTGCAGCATGTTTGAAAAGTTCAGATGGTTGTACCAGTACAATTACTGATTGATAAGGACATATGTTCTTTTCCAAAAATCATTTATTGACCCTCCAGTGTGGGAACAGCCCCAAGCTAAAGAATTTATAACGAACCTGGAAAACACAAGTCAGCTTTCAAGAAGCTCGAGCCTCGAAGGCTTCATAAACGACAGATGAGGCAGGCACAAAACTGCGAGCAACAGAGCCACATGGCTGCACCCCTCGGGTCACCCCAGCAAAGTCATATTCGACCAGGTCACCGGTGCCTGACCACCCAATTCCCGCCTCACTCAGCCAGGCAGCACCCAGCTGAGGAATACCTGTACACACATCCTTCAGTCTAGGGAAACTTAACGAGCGCCACTGCCATACATTTGGAAAGGAACATTCTCTACATCAACTGAAACTGCACTATTAAAAGGTTAAGTCAAGCCCATCAAATCGCCTGCAGGGCAAGGTCACTGGAGACAGAGGGAGACGGGCTCTCTGTCACCCCTGCCTCGCAGCTCACTTATCTGCACTGGTCAAGTTTCCTCCTTGACAGCATAAACAGATTAATAAATCATTTAAATGCTCCTGTCTTAATGCCTTCATCTTCAAAAACACGGACACCATTTTGCCTCGGGGCCCAGTTTCCATTTTTCACCCGCAGTGATGGAAGTGGAATTGGGCCTCTGCCGATGTGCCTGGATGAAGAGGCCGCAGCCGGGCACCCCCCATGGCACGGCCACATGACCTGGCACCTGCATGACATGGGCTCCTCAGACAACGCTGGGCAGCAAGGCCAGAGAGGAGCTGAGCAGGAACAGAATGAGTCCCTTCCAAAGAACTGTTTTAATAAGCCTTTAACAGGATATCTTCAGCCAGGCAAACAATGCAGAGACTTCATGCAGTTCCTACCCTCTGGCTCAGACTCACACTGCGGGTTCGGAGGGCTTCCCAGACACTACCCCTCAAAGACAGCAGGGATCGGGGGAGCCCAGATTTCCACAGCAAAGCATCATGACAGGGACAGGGACAGCCCCCTGCCCCACGAATTATCCAGCCCACAATGTCAGCAGTGCCAAGGTTGAGAAACTCTCATTTGGAGTAAAAATGTAAACTTTAATCCTGGCTGAAAGGATAATACAACATCTTATCCATCTCTGCACTTCCAGCTCCTAAACACAGCCTGGCACACAGAAGACCCTTAACCAACATTTCTTGAATAAAAACTACTGCCCACTGGGTCCCTGCTTATGGAAAAGCACATGACTAAATACTCCAGCAGCACTTAGGGGATGCACACTCTTTATCTCTCATGAGCAAATGAATCAAGTCAGGAGGAGCTTATTTTTTTCTTGCAAATTAATTTAATTTCTTTCTTTCTTTTTTTTCATAGGTTTTTGGGGAACAGGTGGTATTTGGTTACATGAGGAAGCTCTTTAGTGGTGATCTGTGAGATTACGGTGCACCCATCACCCGAGCAGTATCCACTGAACCTAATTTGTAGGGTTTTTTTTTGTTTGGTTTTTCTTTTTTTTGACAGAGTCTTGCTCTATCACCCAGGCTGGAGTGCAGTGGCGTGAATCTCAGCTCACTGCAACCTCCACCCGCCGAGCTCAGGTGATTCTCTAGCCTCAGCCTCCCAAGTAGCTGGGATTACGCGTGTGTGCCACCACGCCCAGCTAATCTTTAAATTTTTAGTAGAGACAGGGTTTCACCATGTTGGCCAGGCTGGTCTCAAATTCCTGATCTCAAGTGATCCATCCACCTGGGCCTCCCAAAGTGCTGGGATTACAGGCATGAGCCACTGCACCCGGCCTCAATTTGTAGTCTTTTATCCCTCACCCTCTAGGATCAAGGAGTTTAAAGCACTTGTCTGAAGTCCCACTGGGATCAGTGATGGAGTAGGACACTAGCCCATCCTACCTCAACTCCGACGCCCATGGCGAAAGCCAGTTCTCCCTCTGGCCTAAAGAGCAACTCCTTGGCTTACTTAGAAAAGTAAGTGAGCAGACATGATTATAACCCAAAGCAAGAAATATCTAACCCCAGCTCTACCAAAATAAAAACATTTAGCTGGGTCTGGTGATGCATGCCTGTAGTCCCAGCTACTTGGGAGGCTGAGGAGGGAGGATCACTTGAGCCCAGGAGTCCAAGGCTGCAATGAGCTATGATCGCACCATTGCACTCCAGCCTGGGCAACATAGTGAGACCCCATCTCTTAGAAAAGAAAGATCCCACACTATGCTGCTGTGAACACACAACAACAAAATTGACAAACTTACAGCTTTCCATTGTCCCCAGATGACTGACAGTTCAATCACTGTACAATTAAACACTGGAAACGTCACAGAGACCAATCATTTCTCCTTCTGAAAACCATTTTCTTTCATCCTCTCATTTCAGGTTCCAAGACTACGGCAGTGGTTTCCATTGTGCCAGAGAGGAAATCAGCCCTCCCCAGCTGCAAACAGACAGGCACACAGGGCCCGAGTTGGCCTCCTAGAGCCATAGAGCCTCCCTCTGTGGAAGCAGCTCGCTGGGACACGAAGCCAGCTTCTTGCTTTTGTTGTGATGATGTTCAGGACATGCCTGCCCTCTGCCGAGCAACAGCAAGAGCACAGGAGCAGCCATCGGGCTCTGCAGCCAGGGCTTCCTGCAAGCTCCAGAGCCAGGCCCAAGAATCCAGGCCCTGGAAGGGCTCGCAGGAGTTTCACGTGGGTTATGCTGATACTCCTTGACAGCATCCACTTTTCAATGGGAAATTATAGCACGCTCATTGCTCTGACGAGTAAGAGCCGCTCAAGAGGGGCTTTCTCATGGCTGTGATGACGGGAAGAGACACAACCCAATCACCTGCATCCCTCTACCAGGGCAGGTGACTGCCCCGCTGCTTTGGCGACACTGGGGCTGGTGCGCTCTGGGAGGAAAGATTCCCTTGATGGGGGTTTAAGCTGTTGCTGGAGAATCACGAGGATTCCTGCCCAGTAACTCCCCCCAAATAAATAAAGGAGGGAAAAGAAGCCAGTCACACTACACCGGCCACACACAGTCATTAAGGAAAGAATCCAAGGGAAAAGTATGTCCACCTCAAAAAGAAAACTGAGAAACTGCACAGGACCGTGGCCTCCAGCATTATTTTTTAAAAGACACTTTTTTAGAAGTTGAATGAATGATTCGCTGGCTCAGAGGAAGTGGAGGCAATTCCTCCCCACCAGGAAAGGTCTCAGAGAACACAGAATTCTGAGCTCAGAGCTGAGACGTGTCTGGGGACTGCTCTCCTGCATATGGGCCCAGTGCAAATAATTCATCATTTGCAGAAAAAAAAAAAAAAAACCACCCAGCTCTGGATCAAGACAAGCCTTCTGTGTTCCAAGTCTCTTTCAGGACATCGTTGTTTGCAAAATCATGCCACAGCCCCCTCTCTCGGGGTCATGTGTGACATGGGCACTCCACAAAACCTGAGCATGCAGGGTCCATGCGCTACCACGTGGGGGCTGGACAGCCACGGGCGCTCCAAATGCGGTCCCCTGCTACCGGCAGCTCACCAACCCCAAAGCAGATCCCCCCAAACCAATGCTGATAGGCAAAGACCAGAAAAACACAGGCAATTAGTAAAGCCAGAGAAAGATCTCTGCCAAGTCTCAGAATCACCCCTAAAAAGGGCAAAGGGTGTTTTACGAACCTCTATTTCCACAGGGGTGTAGACAGAGCAATTAGCAGACAGGGTGCGAACATGCTGCCACACCCTCATGCCTAAGAATGCCCACTCCTGGGAGCACTCGGTGCTTCATCCACACTTGGGAGCACATACATGTGTACATGGATGTGCACACATGTTTGCACACACAGTTAAATAACTAGTTAACTAAGCTGGAACAAAACCTTTGCTCTGTATGAGAATGCCAAGCACATGGAGGAAACTGCCTGGTACAGAACACGCTGCTCAACAGCTTGGCAGGAGGGATTCATTCCTGGGGCACCACTGGCCTCTGCTGCCCACACGGGGCATAGCAGCTGCAGACAGCAGGCTCCATGAATAGCACGGGGGCTTCAGCATCACCCTCACAGCTGAAAGTGCCCTGGCCACACCACACTGTCCTTGCTGCATTCCCTTCTTCAGCGATTCCAAGTCCAAGGGTGCAGATTTTTCCAGAGGTTTTAAGGACTATGTTCCACTAGTCCCCCGGGCCCATCCCCAGCCTCAACAGGAGACGCACCCAGATGACAGGCCAAGGCTGAGCCACGTGGCTCCCACAGTCGGCTGCCCTTGGAGCCACCAGCACAGGTATTCCAGACTCCGAAAAGCCACCAGCTCCTAGTCTCCCTAACACATCTGAATTGTGAACTGCACAGGCAGCATGACACGCAGCTGCCAGGATGTGGTGAAATGCAAGTGCTGCCCAACTTCCGCCGCAACGGAAGCCCTCGGAGTGCATGAACATAATCCCGAGAAGGGCAGAGAGAGGCATCCATTCCAAAGATCGTCCTACCATGTGACTGGAATTCTACAGGGATCAGGATTCTACAGCCCAGAGAGTAGGGAGATGGAAGCCCCCGCTTCTGGCCTGCGCAGCACGGATCCTTAGGAAGGTCCGAAGCCTCTCTAAAGGGAGAGCTGAAGTCAGAGGGGTTGAGGGAGGAGGAGGGAACTGGCCCCAGCACCTCGGTGACTGCAAGGCATCCCTGGTTTCAGAGCATACTCCATCCCTCAGCATTCTACAGAACACTTCAGAACAAAATGCAGGGCTCCTCAGAAGCAGGAGGTCACGGAGGCCACAGCAGGTGGAGCCGTCAGATGCACAGGGCCGTCGCTCCCACCCCCACCCGCCACATGGGAATAAGCTGGTGGAGTTATTCCATCTCCATGCACCTCAGTGTCCTCCTCTTTAAAATGGGTACACAGGATACTGACCTCCACAGGAGGATGACAGGCATGAAATGACGGCATGCTTCTGAGCCGATGCCTGGCCACGGGAAGCGCCTCCCGGTGAAGGATGGCTAACTTCACCACCCGCCGCATGGCTGTCACAACACCAGGTTTCGGGGGGCTCACTGTGCACATCTGAGAAAGCTAAAGCTAAACAGCTCTATCCCCAGCAGTTGGTCTGGCATTGCCAGCACCGGGAACTCATGGCGAGCCTCCTGCCACAGCGCAGGCCCGAGGGGACCCCCTGCCCGCGCTGAAACAGCACTCTAAGGGTTCATCCGCAGTCACACTCATGAAACCTTTCCTGACACGGCTGGCCAGAGAGACCTCTGAGAGGTATTTGCATTAGCTGTTTGACAACCTTAATGTCAGACACATCCTTAGCTGTCCAGACATACACTCTAGCAAGGCTTTTTATTGAAGCTTCGTGACCTCTGGGGTCATTCTCTCCCTCTACTACCCATGGGAGGAAGGGCAAGAGTCAGGACCCATCCATGTCAAGACACACATAATCCAAGCGCTGGGTGATGGTGGGGTACGGAGAGCAACGAGCTCGTGGCCCTAGGTGGGGGTGCTGACTGGCCAGAGCAGGCCCCCATGGGAAAGGCACACCTGGGCAGTGGTTACCTAGAGTAACGTCTCAAAGGACGGCCACTGTCACCGCCACTGTTACTCATCATACAAACTGTCCCAATACCAGGCCTCTTGGGGCCTCCTTCTATATACCTAAGATCAAACCAAGACAGCTGAGACCCTCTCATCACCTCTGTTGCCTCCACACTGTCCCTGCTGCACACCCGTCGTGCTCAGACACCATCCCTCTCAAACTCCCCCCACTCGAGTTCAGCTGTGAAGCAGCAGCCAGGCATGGGAAAGGCCTCCATGACATCGCCGGCTGTTAAGAGTCAAACGTCAGCGTCCCTAAGAAGACCCTGTAGGACCCAGCCAGAAGGCACGACGGGGCCACCCTGCCAACCCCACCCGTCAGCAAACCTGGGCTCTCCTCTCGTCCTAACACCCCTGGGTCTCCCTGCTCTGCTTGAAGCAGCCTCGTCCCTGCTTGTCACGGAGTCAGTTTCTTTCTCATCCTGTAAGTCCCAGCTTAATCAGCAGCTTCGCAGAGAGGCCTCCCTCGTCACCCACCTAAAGCAGGTCTCCACGTTCTCCTATTGGTCTCCACGTTCTCCTATCGGTCTCCTCCTGAGAATTTAACACAACTTGCAATTACTCTGTTACCTGCTCAGTGCGTCTCCGAAACAGTCTGCAGTTCTGTTAGGTGAGCGCCATCATCACCCTGAGCCTAGCATGATGCCCTGCAGAGAGCAGGTGCTGAATGGAATGTATGCTGTGCAGTGAACCACAGAGACAGAGCATGCCGGCCCGCAGGGTGGCCAGCCGCAAGACCACCTGAGTGAAAACACGCTGCTCAACCAGTGCCCATCCACCTGCCGGTCTCAAGACAGAAGGCACAGGTGTGAGTCCAGGCTCTGATACCTGCTACCTGGGCAAGTCACTTTACTAAATCTTAGTTTGTCTATACAGGAGGGAGGGAAGAAAGGAAGGAAGGGGACGGTGAAAGGGAAAGGGAGGGGGAGGGGAGGGGGAAGGAGAGGGGAGGGGAGAGGAGGAGAGGGAGCAGTAGTGGCAGCAGCCATAGATGAGGTCAATCATTTCCCAACTTATTCCCAAGAACTCCAAGATTCCTTGAAGGTGACAAGACCCCCATTCCCCTGACCCTTCAACCAGAGCAGAGCAGAGCTCTCTCATCTGTTTAAGACAACTGGCTTCCACATAAGATTTTGTTTGGTAACAAAGCGCTTGCCGCTAGACTAAGCTCTGTGCTGCCTGGACCCACAAGTCTGAGACGCGCTGTGAGGTCTCGGCAAGGCCCCAGTCTCTGGGCTGCCACCCAGGACCACCCGCACACACACCCTCCGCCTTGGAGCAGCCCCTGCCACCATCACCAGGGCCCACCTCATTAAAGACGATCCTGGACGGCGGTCTCTTCGTCGGCTTCACTGTGGTTTTCCACGTCCTCCCAAAGAAGTGCCGGTAGGTGACATCAAAGAAAGACACTCGCAGATGGCATTCAACCTCTGACAGTACCTCCAGCACGCCCTAGGAGACAACGGGGAATTGACCCTCAAGAGTCTGAGCACCATGAGCCAGGAGGTCACTGGCAGGCCATGTGGGTGCATATGGGGCCACCTCGCTCAGATATCAGCACGCTGGTTTCCTTATTGGGAGGCTACCTCTCTCCCACAGCTACTGGTCTTGGTGGGGTTATAAACCAAAGCATTTGGCCCTCCCCTGGCCAACGAAAGACTGCAGTCCCTTGGAACAGACACAGGCTTCTGACTCAGCCAGAGCCCAGGACGCACAAGAGGACATGACCACAGGAGACACATGCGCCTGCCAGGATGAGGCCCAGGGCTCCCAGCAGCCAACAGGTGAGAGAGAACAAGTCCAGGGGACATCACCTGAGACCTCGCTCAAGCCACACCTGAAGCTTATGCTGGCTGTGGATTTGCTGTGAGTCAACAAATCGCCTCTCACGTAAATCATTTTGGATGGGTTTGTTAATCATTTCCAACCAAATGAGCCCTTCCTGATATAACCAGAAACTAAATCCTCAACTTCCCAGATTTTGGGGTGACATTGGCAAAGCAAAAAGCAGATCTTTGAGAATTGAGAAATCATGGCTACAAATACAGAACAAAGCAGCCAGAGTGTAGACAGGCAGGACCCTGCCCAGAGCGGCAGCCAGAGTGTAGACAGGCAGGACCCTGCCCCGGAGCTTTACCACTTACAGCAAGTATTGCTTTAGCCTTTTCTCTTCTGTGACAGGTTCTTACCTGAGACAAGAGTCCTCCACCTTTCTTTCACCTATTCACTTAGTAAACGTTACTTACACATCTATTCTGCGCATTGACTCTCTGCCAGGCACATTTCCAGGCACTAGGGAAACAACAAGGAACAGACAAAATCTCTGCCCTTACAGGGCTTACATGGTGAAGAACGGGGAGAGAGGTGGGTGGGGCGGGGCAGGGCAGGGCAGGGCAGGCTCTCTGAGATGATCCTTGAGCTGAGAACAAGGGGGGCATGAGAAGAACCACAGGGAGTTTGGGGAGAGGGAGCCAGGCAGGAGGAGCAGCAAACTCAAAGGTCCTGAGAGGAAGAGAGCACACGTGCTCCAGGAGCCAGCGAGAAGTGCAGGAACTATATTTAGCTATAGTACCTGTGTTTTGTTTTTGTTTTTAAGAAAAGGGTCTCGTCTGTCACCCAGGCTGGAGGTCTGGCCACTGCAGCCTCCACCTCCCAGGCTCAAGCAATCCTCCTGCCTCATCCTGTCAAGTAGCTGGGACCACAGGTGCACTCCACCACACCCGGCTAATTTTTGTACTTTTTGTAGAGAGTGGGTTTTGCCAGGCTGGTCTTGATCTCCTGTCCTCAAGTGACCCGCCCGTCTCGGCCTCCCAAAGTGCTGGGGTTACAGGGGTAAGCCACCATGCCCGGCCTGTATTTTCTAATTTTCTGTATTACTGATGCTCTGGCATCTGGGGCCTCAGTGACGAGATAAGACTGTCCCCCAGAGCCGGTTAATTCCTAGGGTGGCAAATGGCAGGCCTATCAGAATGTGTCTGACATGAAAACCAACCCGTCCAGAGACCACATGCCCCACTACCTCTGTCTGGCTCACACACCCCAGGAGTCCCACCCTCTGCCATGGTCTCTCAGGGTCAGTGACCAGACACCTCGGGCCATCCCTGCACCTCAGAGACCACGACATGACTCTCCTTGGCCAACGCAAGCCCGTCCAGCTGCCCACCCTCCCTGGCCCAGTCCTCCCACAAAACCATAATCAAGTCTCTGCCCATGCCTCCCTTCCACCCTCCTGCCTCCTGACCAACCCTGCGCTTCCCCAGGTGGCCTGTGGGACATGGCCTACCCCTCGTCTTGGGAGCCCTGAGTAACAGACAGGGTCTCAGCTGAGTTGTCTCCTGATCCGCTGGCCTCACCACCCCTAAATGGAAACCAGTCCCAGGTACATTCTAAGCAGAAAGCCCACCGGACTGCAGCAGGCTGGGCCAGGGAGGAGAGAAGGAATGAGCGCCAGGCGCAAGAGCGTTCAGGCAGGCCTCACGGCGCGAGGAGAAGCTGGGTTCTCACTCCAATCATGCAGGGAGGCCAGGGAGAGATTCTAAGCAGAAATGACACAATCTGGTTCGGGATTTAAGAAAATTCCCGCAGCTGCCATGTGGGGGCGGGAGTGGAAGCAGGGGCCAATTAGGAGGAGGCGAGACAGGGAGGGGCAGGGAGGGTGACAGGAAGCAGGCACCGCTGGGCTCTGCTGCTTTGCAGGAGTGGCTGCGTGGTCATGAAGGGAGAAAAGTGGGAAGGGCCAGCTGCCTAGGTCGGCCCAGCCCTCCCAGGCCCAGTACTGAATCTCGCATCTCAAGTGAAGCAACGTGGAGGGAGGTGGTGTTATCCATGAGGACAGGGAAGGTGGGCAGAGCAGGTCTGAAGACTCCAAGCCCAGCTCCCATCACCACGCACCGGGGCCTGGCCCCCAGCTCCCATTACCACGCTACCTCCCTGTCCTCCTCCCTCTTCCCCTCAGTCTCTCTTCCTCCTCAGCTCCTCCCGCATCCAGACCTGCCCTCTGAGCCTGCCTCATCTCTCCCCAGAGCAACCCCCTGGCTTTTCCATGTTGACTGTCTGCTGCCCCCATCTACAACGTGAGCTCTCTGAGGACACAAGCCTGAAATAGTCTGTTCCCTGCTCTGTCCCTGGGGCCTAGGCAAAGCTTCTGCACGTGCCCCTCCTCACCCGGGACTGCCTGGGTTCCCCCAGCACCGCCACCTCCTCCTCCTCCTCTCCTGCACTCTCAGGAGGCCATTCTCAGGCAGGATCCCGTGGCTCCCAGAACCGTCGCTGGCTTGGGCTTCTTTCCAGAATGCCAGATCCTAACCACCCTCCCACCACCTCTATGCTACTTCACATCCAGTCTATTCAAATAAGAATCCACTGAGAGCTTCCTGAAGACACAGTATAGGGCAGAGTCAACTCTGTGTCATCTGCACGGTTCCTAACATATCGTGGTGCCCAATACATATCAAGCTGAACTGAAATACTCATCCCAAAATAAAGAAATATAAGCAATGATCATGGTAAAATTAAACAAAAAAAGTAAATGGGACAGTAAAAGAAATATACTAAAATCATTAATAAAGTGCCCTGAATTCAAAACAAGCATGTAATATTCTTCAGCCAACACCTTTCACAGGGAAGCAAGCTTTGGCCATTATCTAAAGCTATCAATTCTCAAAACAACTAAAATTATACAAACTTATAAGACTATCTATACCAAACCATCATCTATTTCCAAACTCTATTTATAGAATTTATATGAATTCTATTTATCTTCTTTTAAATACTGTATTTTGATTGATCTTTGTAAATAAAACAACGTTGCATTCCTGCAGTAAGCCCCACTTGATCCTAATACCCCATCTTTTATACATATTGCTGGCTTTGCTGTCTTAATATTTTCAGGGCTGCTGTGTTAATATTCATGAGGGATACAAGTCTGTACTTTTTTTTGTAGTGCCCTTGACTGGGTATCAGAATTATGGTGGCCTCAAAAAATGAGCTGGGAAGTGTTCCCTCCTCCTCTATTTTCTGAGTTTGTCTAGAATTCGTCTTATTTCTTCCTTTAGTATCTGATAAAATTCAACATTGTATTTTTAACCTCTGTAGCGTACGTTATCATGATGCTTCTTTCATTTTAATACTGGTAGTCTGTGTTTTCTTTTTTTTTTGTCTTGATCAATTTTATCAATCTTTTCAGAGAATCAACTTCTGGCTTTGCTGATTTTCTCTATTATTTGTCCTTTATTGATTTCTGCTCATATACAGTCATGTGTAACATAATGACATTTCGATCAGCAACAGACTGTATATATGACTGGCCCCTTAAGATTGTAATATTATATTTTTACTGTTTTTTCTATGTTTGATATACCGTTGTGTTACAATTGCCAATGGTATTCAGTACAGTAATGTGCCATACAGGTTTGTAGCCTAGAAGCAACAGGCTATACCATGGAGCCTAGGTGTGAGGCAGGCTCTACCCTCTAGGTTTACGTAAGTACATCCTATGATGTTTGCACAATGACAAAATCACCTAACACCATTTCTCAGAATGTGTCGGCACTGTCAAGGAACCATGCATAACTGTATTTACCATTTCCTTCCTTCTAGTTACTTTGTATCTAATTTGTTCCTTTATTTAGGTTTGTATCTAATTTGTTCCTTTATTTAGGTTGTTAAGGAGGAAACAGACGTCACTGATTTTATACCTTCTTCTTTTCTAATATAGTCATGTAAAGCTATACATTTCCCTCAAAGAACTGTATTAGTTATATCCTATAAATCTGTATATTTTCTTCCATTACTCAGTTCAAATTATTTTCTAATTTCCCTATTAATTCTTCTTTGATCCAGTATGTTAATTTCCTATTTGAGGATTTTCTAGATCTCATATTATTTATTTCTAACTTAAAAGCACAGTAGTCGATAAACATACTCTATAATTTGGGTCCTTTGAAGCTTATTGGGACATTTTAATGGCCCAGCATACGGTCTATCTTGGTGACTGTTCCATATGAACTTGGGAAGAACGTGTTCTCTAGCTTTGTTGGGAGTGGTGTTTAAGAGATGACAGGGTGATTGATGGTACACTTGGGAAGAATGTGTACTCTAGCTTTCTTGGGAGTAGCGTTAAGAGATGACAAGGTGATTGACGGTATTCTTCAGAGCTTCCAAATCCCTATGAGTGTTCTGATCTATCTGTTTTTTCAATAATTGAGAGAAGAAGAGTTAAAAGTCTCCAACCATGATTATGAATCTGAATATAGTTCCCTTTAGTTCTGTCCAATTTTGCTCTTTTGTACAAAAGAGTTATCAGAACAGACCTTACTGTTATGCTTTGAAAGACCAGCTTAGAAGTCTGCCCTTTTGCTGGAGTCTGGGAACTTAGATTTCAAGAGAGTTCCTACCACCTAACTGGTAAGAGGAGCTCACTGTGCCTAAACTGTTTATGTACTGTGGCTTATGCTAAACACGTGTTTCCCTTCTGAGAGTCTGGAATTTTGGACATGCTACACAACATTTCACGTGTGTTGTTACAATTCATTGCTGGAGGAATCAAACGCATCCTGTGTGACTCAACTGAGAGAGGACTCTTGGAAGCTTGTACCCTCTTCCCTCAGACATCCCCCATATGCCTCCTCCCTTTGCTGATCTTGCTCTGTATCCTTCTGCTGGATCAACCTTAGCTGAGAGTATGACTACATGCTGAGTCATGTGAGTCCTCTTAGAGACTCTTCAAACCTGGGAGGTGGTCTTGGAGGCCCCTAACACAAGTGCATACACATTTAGAGATTGTTACGTTTCCTTGATGATCACTGTCTTTATGAGGTGCCCCTTTATTTCTGGGAATACTCTTCACCTTGAAATCTACTTTTTCTGATACTAGTATAGATGCAAAGCTTTCTTTGCTTAGTATGTACATGGTTTATATTTTTCCACCCTTCTACCTGCAACCTGTTTACGTCTTTATGCTTAGAGTGCACTTTTTTGTAAACAACATGTAATTGGGTTTTAAATAACTTTTAACATACGACTTTGGATCAGGAATTCCACTTCTAGGAATTATTCTACAGACATATCTGTACATGAAAAAAATGAGGTTATTCACTGTAGCAGTGCCTATAATAGCAAATGACTGGGAAAAGTCTAAATGTTCATCAATCACGGCCTCACTCAATAAATGATGGCTCATTCATATAAAGAAACACCTTGCGGTCTTAAGAACAATAAAATTTTCTTCATGTAATAACATGAATGATCGATAAGACATACTGCCTGAATTTTTTTGAAAAGCAAGGTACAGTGCCGGGCATGTGGCTACACCTGTAATCCCAGCACTTTGGGAGGTAGAGGCGGGCAGATCACCTGAGCTCAGGAGTTTGAAACCAGCCTGGCCAACATGGTGAAACCCCGACTCTACCAAAAATACAAAAACTTAGCCGGGCATGGTGGCGCACATCTGTGGTCCCAGCTACTTGGGAGGCTGAGGAAGGAGGATCACTTGAGCTCAGGGGGAGGAGGTTTACAGTGAGCTGAGATCACACCACTGCACTACAGCCTGGGTGACAGAGTGAGACTTCATCTCAAAAAAAAAGAAAGAATGGTACAGAACGGAATACAGGAAGTACCATTTGCATTTTAAAAAGGAAAAATAAATGTAGGTATATTTACTTGTATTTGCTTAGAATTTAAGAAAGTTGTACGAAAACACACTGTATCTAGGGTGATACACCAGGTGCCTGGGGATGCCATGGGATGATTCACTTTTCCTCTGCATCCTTGTCAACTTTGAACTACGTGCATTACCTTTTCACAAATAAAAATAAAATGAAATGGGGAAATAAAATTTCCTTTGCAAAACTCCTAGGAAAGAGGGAAGGGCTATCAACTATCCTGTGAGCTTCTGGAAGGCGGCTGAGCCAGACCAGGAGGGTGGCATCCCAGCTAAAGCCGTCGCCCTGGGCAGCTGGCTTCACTCTTAATTAGCAGGTGCTGCTGCTCGTCTATAAAACGGGAGTAAGGTGGTGGCAGCCTCATAGAGCTGCTCTGAGGATTAAGTGAATGAACACAGTGAAGTGCTAGAAGTAAAGCTACAAAAGCAGCAGCCACCACAGTACCTACCACAGTGGCAAAGACACAGCAGGTGCTCAATCCAAGGGCTTGGAATTGAACGATATAGAACATCAGTGATTTAATAATAGTAAATTAGTCACAGACCCGGGGCTCCAACAACTGAATATATGTGAATATCACTCTCCCAGCTGCAGAGGAAAACGGCCTTGCCAAGCCAAATCCTGTAAAAAGGGTTGACAATGGCAAGACTGATCCTTCTCACGCATTCCCACCGGCCACTGGGCCTCACGAGGACAATCCAATCGTGTGGGTGTCCCGTGGGCAGCAGCACAGAAGCACCAGCTTGTCCAGCAGGTTCCCCGCCAGCTGAAGGGCACAGATGGATGTGCCGCCATCAGGGCCTGGGCCTGAGTGTGCCCAAGGCCGTGGTACATCCAGCCACGCACAGAGCTGCCAGAATGCCCGTAGCTCAGCCCCTGCAGTCCTCACTGCCAGGCTGAAAGCGGGCCATGCTGAGCCATGCACAAGGCCACCTGGCTCACAAATAACCCAGGAAATCAGAGTACTTGGGTTTTTAAATTGCTCCACTGTGGGCAGAAAGAAACCCTACCCAGAGTCAAAAGTGCTGACCATGTCATTGAATCATAGATTCTCTTTGCTGATGGGCCACTTTGCATCCGAATACTGCCAAGGCCCAAGGTAATGGGTATGGTGGTATAAGACTCAAACGAGTAAGTGAAAATCAATACAGATGCTCTTTGACCTATGATGGGACTCTATCCTGTTTAAGTTGAAAATGTCATAAGTTCAAATGCATTTAATACCCTTAACCTACTGTACATCAGAGCTTAGCGTGGCCCAGCTTCAACATGGTCAGAACACTTGCATGTTCCTACAACTGGGCAAAGTCATCTAACACAAATCCTATTTTTAAATAAAATGTTGGGTATCTCCTGTAATATATTGAAAACAGCACTGAAAGTGAAAAACAGAATGGCTATATGGGTACCACCATAAAGTAGCAAAATCAAAAATCAAAGCATCGTAAGCCAGGGACCATCCATCTGTTAACTGGAAGCCTCATGTCAGCTAAGAGCAATAACACGCATTTGCTAACAGCACATTTTGTTACCTGCCTAATTACCGGTCCGTCCAGCCACTTGAGGACACACTGGAATGCCGTGGATTCCTTCCAAGGCTGGCGCGCTCTCTGTGGGTGGGGAGGGACAAGCACGTTTTGGGTGAAGATCCTGTGCCAGTCGTTCATCCTGCCCGCCTGAGGGTCCCGTGGGCTTCCCGGATGATCTGTGCCAGTCGTATTCAAATAAAGAGAAGAGCTGTGAGGGCTACAGTGGTCACAGCAATCCTGAAGGCTTCTGCCTCCCACTAAATCCCAGAGGAACCTCCATCCCCCAAACCCACACTCTGCAAACCCCAGAAGAGTGGACTTTGTTGCTGGCTGGCACCCATGCTGCCTCCTCTAGGAAGTACCATTTGCATTTCAAAAAGGAAAAATAAACGTAGATATATTTATTTGTATTTGCTTAGAATTTATGAAAGCTGTACAATAACACACTGTATCTAGGGTGATACACCAGGTACCTGGGGTCAACATGGGATGATTCACTTTTCCTGTGTATCCTTGTCAACTTTGAACTATGCGAATTACCTTTTCAGAAATAAAAATAAAATGGAGAAATAAAATCTACCTCCAGAGAACCCTCCGCCCCACCCCTACCCCCGTGGGCCAGACTCAGGGCACGACTCTCCTGACCTCTGTGGCTGGTTCCGGATGGGGACATGAAGGGATGTTTTATTCAGCTGTGTAAGTTGGATACCACACAAGGACACCAGGGGTGGGTGGCTGCTGAAATACAGTCCTAGCGTTAAGACTGTCTTGTAGGGGACCCAGGGAGCATGAGAGAGGGAATACAGCCCTTGGGCCAAGAGGTGGTCAGCCTGAAACTGCCCGGGGCCACCTTAGGACACACATAAAAACAAGCAGAGAGGAAAAGGTAGGAGTGAGGGCCACTGGGTCCCCATGTCATTATTAGAGACCTCAGTTGGTCACCCCACGACACTTCAGCTACATGAACAAAGTCTCTTGTTGCTAAAGCCATTTGGGGACAGGTTTCAGGTGTTACCAGCTTCTTGGTGGGTCTTGGCCCGTTTTGAGTGTTATCTGATCCTGTCCAGCCAGACCGGGATCTAAATCTTCTCTAGCCAACACAGAATCCAAAGATCTGAACCTCAAGAAGAGGTTGAATTCCGTAAACTAAAATGGCGAGTAAGGAGAAAAAGAAGTGGGTTTGGCCTTCTAAGACAGCAGCTCTCTAAGTACATTCCCCAAACCCAAGGTTCAACAGGATCCTGTCAGGGGCTCTACAAGGTCAAAACTATTTTCATGACACCCAGGTGTTATCTCTTTCACCATGGTGGCATGGTGGGGCAGAGGCAGCAGCAGGGAAAGCCACTGGGGCCTCACTCAACCCAAGGCTGGTTGGGTTGAGTGAGGTCCTCCCAACCTCTCACAGAAAAGAACAAGGCAGCTTCAAGTAAGAACATCCTTGGTGAAGCCGGAAAAACTATTAATCTTATTACTTCTTGACCTTTGAGTACACACGTTCTTAATTTTGTGAGACGAAATGGAAAATACACAACAAGCATTTCTGCTGCAAACTGAAAGGCAACAGTCATCCCCGGGGAAGCCTGGCTGTGACTGGGCTGCATGCTGAACACACCGCTTTTATTATTCAACACCATTTTCACTAAGAAGAATGACTGAGAGACAAACATGGGTACTTGGCAGACATCTTCTCAAACGTGAACAAAGTTAGCATGTCACTTCCGGGAAAACAACTGCAACAAAAATGGAGTTTCCAAGCAAAAATGAGAATTAAGAACATTTGTATCCTCTACCATGAGCCTACTAGCTTCACACTTCTTCAAGACTTTCCTGATGAGAGGGGCAGTGATATAACGTGATCTTCTAAGGTTACACCATTAAATGTGTCAATAGTTGGAAGGTCTGCATGACTCCGTGAACCAATATTTTCTGAACAATGCGTAATGGTACAAAATCCTGCAAGAAGAAAACATCCACCCAAAGTGCAAGACAGACCAAAGGAGTTTAATGTCAGAGCACGAAGAGTTCATTCACATGGTGGAGACTCTGCTTTAGAACAAATCCTTAAGAAACTTCTGCTCGTAGGGTTTCAATGCAGCAGCAAAGAATATCCACAATGACCCAAGAGACTCCTCCCTAACTAGATCGGGATGGATTTCCTTCACATACTTCAACCAAGGCAACACAAGGCAACAGACTGAGTACAGAAGCAAACAGGAGCCTTCAGCTGTCCTCTCTTAAGGAGACTGTAAAGATATTTGCAAGAATGCAAAAGAATCCCACTCTTCTAAATTTTTTTTTGTTTTGGATAATATAGTTGGTTTTTGTAAAAAATGTTTTTATGTTAACATGTCACAGCCTTATTTTTAAATAAATTAATATTTTTAACATTTCTCAGTTTTAACTTCTATGGCAGTAAACATTGGTAGATATAACTCACATAAACAAAAGTTCTTTGGGGTCCTCAATAATCTTTTAAAGGGTAAAGGGATCTGAGACCAAAAAGTTTGAGAAGGGTTGTGCTAATGGTTCACCCCCTGCATGCTCCCGGCATGTGTGGGAACCGAGAGGACATGACCAGGCAGCCTGAGAGGGGCCTTGGCCCAGGGTCCCGCCTCCACCCACAGTGCACCCAGACGCTGCATCCTTGGCCCAGGGTCCCGCCTCCACCCACAGTGCACCCAGACGCTGCATCCTTGGCCCAGCGTCCCGCCTCCACCCACAGTGCACGCAGATGCTGCATGTGGGCCAGGTATTCCTGAGGACCAGACTCAGTCTGGTCCTGTGTGAATCCAGCAGGCACACATGCTGGTTTGTTCCTTTTTGTTCTCTGTGGGCTATTTTTGTCGCTCAACTTCCCTTGTTTTGTGGAGGACCCTGACCCAATTCCATGTATGGGGAGAGCTGCTCCCCGATTCCAGCCAGAGACTGCAGTGATTGCTTCAAGGAGGAACACATGGCCCACACTGAGCCATCAGTCTTCCCCGGGAGACTTGAGCCCAGGATGTCTCTCCTCCAATGCCCACAACTGCCCACACCATGCCAGCCCAGAGCCCCAGGAGCCACCACAGGGAGAGCCGACTTTGGACTTCTGACCGGCCTAACTGGAAAAGAACAAATTTGTGCTACTTTTAAGCAACCAAGTCTGTGGGACTTTCTTACAGGAGCCACAGGAAATCATACAGCTGTCCACGACTTATAAGCAGAAGACACCTGACCAATACCAGCTCAAGGGCCATCTCCCCCAGGAGGGCTTCCCAGGTGCTCCCAGGGTCCAGGCCCCAGGCTCACATGGCCCCTGTGCTTCCCTTGGTCACATCATTCGTCACCTATCTTGTGTTGAATTGCTCGCTGGCCAAGTTCTTGAAGAAAGAAGCCTCATTCCTCCTGTGTTCTTGGTACCGTCACAACTCAGTAAATGGTCACGGAACCAAACAGAAGCTTTAGCAAAGCTACCCTCAAGCTTTTCTTTCCCACTGATGTTTTATAACATTCAGAAATGTATTCACACACAATGCAGGCCGTGATGGCCCCAGGTGGGGATTTCAGAGAGGAAGTCTCTCCTGACGCAGATGCCCATGCTCCTCACCTGCCCCAGATTTCTGACCCGGTGCCTCCTGCCCTCTCCCTGGGTGTCTGCAGGACTCAGTGCCACACTTGGCCCAAGGACACTGCTGAAGGACGTGCATACGCCAGTCGACCCTCACAGGGAGCATGAAGCATGCCGGCCCCCTGCTGTACTAGGAGGGCAGACACTAGGCGGAAGGGCATCCATTCCGAAAGCACCTGCCACCCACACGGAAGTCCTGAGGCTCGGGATGTGGAGGCAGGGCAGTCCTAGTCTGAGGGGCCACGGAGGCCGAGGTGACACCTGAGACTCTGCAGGTGGGAGCCCAAGCGCCCGCAGCAGCTCTCACTGCCATCCCAGCACCTCACAAACCTCTCCGGGTGCCCTTCCACCTGCTCCTTGCTCCTTTCCACCTCTGCTCTGGCCTCTAGGAGTCAAACCAAATGCTCCCTCCTCAGAGCGAGAGCCCCATCCCCCACCTCCGGCTGCTCCCACACAGGGCAGGTGACAGAAGAGCCACCACGCTTCACCAGGGCTGTGCTGTAGTCCTGCGAGACTGTGAGCTCCATGACACCAGGCTGGGTCTTCAGCAAAAGTCTTTTAAGGATGAAATACAAATGCCCTGGAGGAAGTGCAGAGGGGCCTTTGGGGCCAAATCAACAATAAAAGAGAAAATCGAGAAGGCTCCAGGTCTTGAACCCAAGAAAAGGGTACAGTGGGCTCTCCAGGGGAAAAAAAAAAAGAAGAAGAAGAAAATACACCCACTTTTAATGAGCCCCTGATGCAAGACAGGAACTCACATTCTATGGTTACTATTCCAACAACTCTGCCAAATGAGAATCATCATTATCGCCATCTTACAGATGAGAACACTGAGACTCAGAAAGGATAAACAGCCAATCCAAGGTCACACAGCTAGCTATTATAACTAGCTATTATAATAGTATTATAGATATAATACTGTAAGCTATTATAACTACCTCCCACTACCTCAATCAAGGAGGCCAGGAGAGGCCAAGGGAGAAGAGAGGCCCAGAGGGAAAAAGTAAGAGCACCAAAGGAACCCAGGGCTAATGCTGTCTCCTCTTTAACTTCAGGACAGATTCGCAGCCTCCCCACCTGTTTCCAACCTCCAAAATGAGAGCTGTGAAATCTCCTTGAGATCTCTGCTTCTGCTGATCTATTCAGCAACTATTTCCCGAGCACTTGTGTTCCAGTGCATAAGAAGGCTGTCAAATGTGCTGTCTTCAAGCATCTAGAAAGCCAGTGGGGGAGAAAGACAAGAAAGTGACTGTGAGCAGCAACAGGCCCCCGGGAGGGTGCAGAGGTGAGCAGGGCTGAAGGAAGATGCAGGGGGTGGGAGGCGCTGTCAGGGTCCGGGAAGCCTCCTTCCCGGAATGGAAAATGTGTAATGCCTGAGACCCAGATGCCTTGGGGAGCTTTTGGGGAAGCAGAGGTCTGATTAAGCACTGCCTGGAATTCCCTCATTCATGAGCATTCTTTCAGCACCTACCCTGCGCCCGGGAGAAACGGTCTTGAACACAGCAGACAAGCTCGCTACCCCCATAGAATGTAAAGAAACGGGGCACAAATTAGCATACAAAAAGACACAAGTGTGACCTACGGAAACTGCACAGAGGAGGTGCAACGAACGGAGCCCTGGGTTAGGACCGGGAGGCGCTGCCCACCATCAACAGAAATACTCCTCCTTTTGCCAACTACACACGCGAGAGGCTGGATTTCCTTCACAGACGTCCACCAAAGCCACACATCGCGACACACGGAGGCAGAAAGCAGCGGTCTCCTAAGAAGTTAGACACGAGGAATCTCGGGCAGCGAGGTGCCTGCAAGCCCGGGGGCGGGCGGGAGCAGCCTGCACGCGTGGGGAAGGGCACGCGGGAGCGGGTGGCGCCTTCCGGGCCGGGTCGGCCGGGAGGTTCCAAGGCAGGAAAGGGGCGCAGAAGGCCGGGACGGCGCCGGGTACAAAGCCTCGCAGGGACGCCCGAAGGCCGCAGAGCCACCGCGGGGAACTGACAGCCGGAGCCGGAGCTGGAGCCGGGGGGCGGGGAGGAGGGGCGGAGGGGCGCGGCCAGGCGGGGTCCGCGGACTCCGGCCTGGGAAGGATGCGCGCGGACTAGGGCGCGGGGAGCCAAGGCCCAGAACATCGGTACCGCGCTCCCTTCAGCCGAGGGGCTGCAGAGAGGCCAGGGGGCAGGGGGCAGGGGGCAGGGGGCAGGGGGCAAAGGGCAAGGGCAGAAAGGAACCCACGTAGCCAAACGGCACCCAGCGGCCCCGACCCCAAGTGTCCCGACGAGGGGGGACGCCTGCGACTAACGCGGGGACAGCCCCCGCCGCGCGCCACCGCCGCACCCCAGGCACCGGGCCCCCACGCAGGGACGGCGTGGACCACCCTACCCCCGAACCCCGAGGCTCTGGCCAACACTGAGGCCCCCTGTGCCTCGAGGCCGCGTCCAACCTCCCCCGCGGCGCCGGCCCACATGGTTCCGCCCGCCGCGGGCCGCGTTACCTAGGAGACCGACCCGCCGCGGCCGCGCCGGAGGCCACGGAGCCCACGCTTTTCAGAGAGTCTCCACTCGACGGACCCAGAGGCCCGGCGGCCGGTGCTCAACGGAGCCACAAGCCTGAGGACCGAGGACTGGCCGAGGGGCGCGCCCCGTCCGCTGCCACCCGCGGGAGGAGCCTCGGAAGGCGGCGCACCGCGCCGCACACTCAGTCCAAGAACCCGCCTCGCGTCACTGTCGCCGTCAGGGCCGCGGAGCCAATCAGAGCCCAAGTCGAGGGCTGCGCTTTGCGAGCGCCAGCCAATCGGTGCGGCGGCGGGCCCATCCTGATTTGCATGTCCGACGACCCCTCAACCAATGGTAATGTGACTGGCGTGAACAATAGCCAATCAGAAGCTGGAAGAGGCGTGGCCCCGGGCGTCCCACGAGGTGAAGATGCTGCTGGCGGAACCTGCAGGAGCTAGCGGGATTCGGGGGCGCTAAAGTCGCAGGGGCAGGGCGGGAAGGAAGATCCGGCGCGGGGCACAGGATCCGGAGCTGGAGCCCCCAGGTGAGTACCGGGGAGACCCCGGCGGGGCGCGCTTTCCACCAAGCTGCTCCGGGACGGCGGCGGCGGGTATCCGCGAGGCCCGCGCTGCGGCAGGCGCCGCGGTCCCGTCTCCATCTCTTCTTCCCCGGCCCTGCGTCCCTGCCTCCGCCGCTGTCTCACCTCCTCTCCAGCCTCCTCACCTCCTTCTCCATCGTCTCCCTTCCCCCATCCCTTTCTGTCTTTCCTTCCCTGTCCTCCCGCCCGCCCGACCCTTCAGCTCGCATCCCTGACCCCTGCCCCTGCCGCCGTCCCTCTTCCCGGTGCACCTCTTCCCCATCTCTGCCCGCTCCGGTCCTAGCAGCCTCGCCCTCCCCTTTCCTCCATCCTCCTCTCATCCCCTCTCCCGGCCTCTGCGCAGCCCCACCGGGGCGCTGCTGTTCCCGGTCCTCCCCATCTCTCCTCCTGATCGCTTCTCAAGGCTCATCCGTCGTTCTCGCTGCCTGTCCCTGTGTCGCTCCGGTCCCTTTCCCCACCCTCCCATTCTGCCCCCAGCCCCTCCGACCTCTCCCCGCGGGCACGCTCTCACCACCTTACCCTGCTCCCCAAGACTGTGACCCTGCTTCCTGCACCAGTTCCTCGGGCTGTTTACAGCACACACACCGCCACTTCTGACCCTGAGCCCCTACTCCTATCTTAAGCTTCTCCCTCCTGCCAGGCCTTGGCACAAAGCACTTCCGCACCTCCCTACCTGCTGCTGCTCCCAGGATGCAAAGACCCCACTGCTGCACCGCGTCCTGCGGCATTAGCAGCAGCCGGGGTACCTGCCCACCTTCCCACCCCGCCAACCAGCCGCATCCTGGTGTCCCTCCTCCTGGCATTTGTCCTGGGGGCTCTTACAGGGACTGTGCTTTGCCCGCAGCATCCCGGGGTGCTCCAGGTGGAAAGCCCCTTAGCACCTTTCCTCCCTGGCCACCGTCTCCTTCCCTCCCCACCCCCACTTTCCTGCTCAGCCTCACTTTGTGATTCAGCATTTTTGGGGTTGGTAACTTTCTTGCTTCCTGTCGTGATAGGGACCTGGCTACGGAGCTGAAGGCAGGGGTCTTGACCCTGCGGTTAGCAGGGCCACCTTAGGAACCAGACCTGAGCTGCCTGGTTGGGAGGGGGCTGAGGAGCTGGGGACCGCCACTGGGGGTTGTCTTTTCCTCCCTTTCATTTGTCTGCCCTGTGTTGAACTGTGTCCAAGGGGAGATGACATAAGTAATAGCTCTTGGGGAAGTGGGCTATTAGCATTTATGGAAATTAATACATCCACATCCGAGGAGCAAGAACACCAAGTTCAGGCCACAGCTGTCCCACTGTCTGTCGTTTCAGGATTTTTTCTTTCTCTGCAACTTCTCCTCCCCGACAAAAACCCCAGCCTCACCCCTCCCCTTTCCCCCAGTGCCAAGAGTAAGCTCCTGCTCTGCTAAGGAAGCCGCATTCAGGCCCCGCGTTGCAGGTTGCAGGGTTTGGGGACCTACGTGTGGAGAGTCACATCTGCCCACCTGATTCTCGCCTGGCGGCCGTGTCTGCTGCAGAGCCCTGTGCAGCTCCTGGCCCTGTGCTCTCGCAGTGTGGGGCCCTAAGAGTGCACTTGGTCCTCCAGGTCCTGTCATTGTCTCCACGGCCACACTCGGCCTCAGTGGCACTGACAGTGTTCGGGCCGCAGCACATCCCTCGAGAGCAGCATGGTAGGGGCTTCCCTGTTGACACCCAGGGCCATTTTTTTTTTCCCTGCGCCAGTCAGCAAATGCTTTGTAGGTGCTAGTCAACACCTGGGGGCTGAGCCAGGCACTGGAGTTGGGGGGTGTCGTGAAAAAGTGTGAAACCCTTTTCGTGTGTTTCTTGGTTGAGAACCGTCTTGGGTCTGGATTTGGAGCCTGGATGGGAAGCAGTGTGCACAGAAGCCATTGCACCCGGGAGGTGGGACGTGGGCCATGGCGCTAGAGAGCTGGAAAGGCCGAGGGTGCCATGGGCTGGCCAGCTAGAGAAGGCTTCCTCGCTTTCATTTTTCAGTCATCTTCTAAGACCCAAATGGTTCAGGAGGAAGCGAGTGCCACACAGTTTTGATTTGGCAGTTTCCGGCCTGGGCTTGGAGGGAGGGGCCTCCCCTAGACCTTCCTGTGTGTTGGTGCTCTGCCGTGGTAACTGGGAACACATCATCTGTGTGGAAGGAGAGCCTGCTCCCTCGCGAGAACCAGGGGACCGTGCTTCTGTTTCCAGGGACTCTGGCCAGGTGCGGTATGTGTCTGGTCCTCGGCTAAGTTCTCAGTGATATTCACGCCGCCAGAGGTCCCAGAGTGAATGTTTTCCTGGCGTCCCTGAATAAGGAGGCAGGACAGTGGGCAGCTCGGGGCGGCAATTCGAGAAGGATTGATGCCAGAGGTGTCTAGGGCCATAGACCCCATGTTCCCGCCAGTCCCCCTCCCACCACCAGGAGGACTTGGGTCTTGGCACCCAGCAGCCGGTCATCCTTGCTCTCAGAGGACTAAACGGAAGGACAGGCTTCTCCAGGGTCAACAGAGGCAGTGACGGAGCTGGGTTGGACCCCCTACTTCCTACTTATTTGAGCCCAGTTCATGCCTTGGCTGTCCGAGCTGGGGGAAGCCAGCACCCCGAGGACATGACCGGCTGTCCCTTCAGAAGGCCACTTGGAGGCATTGCTGACATTCATGGGCGCAGCCAGTGCCCTTGGGTGTGTCCAGGTCACTGGAGGGGCTTTTGGGACTGGGAGGTGCCACTACCATGGAGATTTCTCAGCGACTCAGTCCTGCCTGGCATGCAGGCCCTGGTGCAAGGGTACTGTTGTTCGTGGCCTTCAAAGAGATGGCCCCATAGTTAGAGAAGAGTGAGGGCACCAGGTCCGTGGTGGGATGAAGGAAAGGAGGGACCCTCCCCACACTGGAACTACACTCATGACCTCAGTTCGCCTCCGGCACTTGTAAACAACCCTGTGAGGGAGGCTGGATAGGGAAACTGAGGCACAGAGCAGCAGTGAAACTGATCCTGGCCTCCCAGCTAGTGAGGAAACCTTGATTCTGTTCCTGCCCTGCCAGAACTCTGTGAGAGGTGCCCCCTCCGCCATCACCTGAGCTCCATCGAATGCCTGAAATCCTCACCTCTGCAGGAGTGAGTCTCCCAAGAGGCCCTGGAGGCCCAGGCCCAGACCCTGGGGGATATGGAAGCACTCCTTTGTCGTGGCGTGGGAAGCCCCACACTGCTCTTTCCTTGGTGACGGGTGACCCGCCATGTTCAGGCCCCTCCTGGTCTATCTTCGGGTGAGTCTATTAAGGGATACACCATCTCCGCTCAGCCAGTCCCGAGGAGGCAAAGGGAACAGGACCCTCTTCCCCAGGAGAGAGCACACTGGGGGAGATGGGGTGGCACACCTGGGCTTCGTCCTGTCACTGCCCACTGGCTCGAGGCTTTCCTGCCTGCCTGGGCTTGGCAGATGCGTGAGACTCCCTGTCTCATGGGCCTGAGCAGATGCTGGGCCCTCTTGTCCTCTGCCACATCCTGGGGAACTCAGATGAAGGCCAGCCTCCCTCTTCCTGCACACCCACCATGGGATGAGCCCTGGGCTCAGGCCCCTCCCTGCCTGAGGGTGCCCTGCCACTGCCACACCCAGGTTTCCACTCAGACCCCTGCTGGCCAGCGTCTCAGGAGGCTACTCCCTGCTCTGCGCAGTGACCACATGGTTAGCCCCAGAGACCCAGGTTCTGCGTGTCTTCAGTGACAGAGCAACCCCATGCCCACCCTGCCGGCTTCCCCGGCACCTGTCTCCTTGCAGGCAGCCTCCTCCACTTCTCCAGCACACAGGTACCCACAGAGCTAACTGCTTTGACGCCATGCTGGTTGTAGACAAAACAGGATTGGGAAAAGGGGAAAAGTGGAGAAATGGTGGGGACCACCTTCCTGGCCGTCCGCCTTTACCTGGACCCAGTGAGAAGGCTTTCCTGGCTGTGATCTTGAGCCCTGACTGCCGAGCAGCCGAGATCTATCATCCAACTCCATGGCTGGGAGCTGGGCACAGGTTTCTTCTCAGACCCCGCACCAGATTCAACCCATTCCACGTGGGCCAGTTTTCTGGAGCAACTTCCTGGGTCCTGTAGACCCCTGAGGTCTGGTCCGCAGGGGTCCTGAGTCACCAGCCTGGGCTGTTTCCCTGCCAGAGACTTAGCTCTCTGAGTCTCTGGCTCTCTGGCCTGCTAAGCCACACGGATCATTCGTGTCTCCCTCTATCTGAATGGGTGAACTGGTGCCTCAATGGTAGGAGCCTGGGGCTTCCCTGGCACACAGTGGGTGCTGGATAACTGTCAGTTCCCCCTCTTCCAGTCGGACGAGGCGCCCCAGCCACCATCCTGCCTGGAGCTCAGGTGGTTCCTGGGCAGCCCAACGGAGCCCCCAGGAAAACCGGAGCAGAGGAACCTGGCTTTCCTTCTGCGTGGTTTCCTGGGACCTCTTGGCAGTCTCTCAGCTGGAGAGCCCTGCTGAGTGATTTCACAGTGGAGAAGGATGGAGGGAAGGAAGGGGAAGAGAGGGCAGGAGGGGAGAGCCCGTTGCCCTGGTCTGCAGGGAATAGCCTCCCTCTGAGGGAGGGACACTCCTTGCCCTATTCTCCCTGACCTTGGGCCTCGTGGAGGGCCTGCAAGCCTGCCAGACCCCCACTGCACACCTGCCCACCTGTCTGTCTGATTCCAGCAGCCCCTGGGCACCGAGTGGGTTGCAGAGCCATGCTCTGAGCATGCTCCCCCTCCTTCACCATGAATGTGTTTTCATTTTCCACCCCCGGGCAGCTTCATGATCTTTCATTGCAATCTCAGGCCCTGGTATCCACAGGCTCTCAATGCAGCCTAGGACAGAAGACTCTAGAATTCTGCCTCGGAGCCCTGTGATCCCAAACACTCAGCCGTGGCAGGGGCTCTCTGAAAGTGATATTCTTGCCACCCCTCCCAGATGCAGGAGGGTAAGGAATAACTAGAATGCATGGGCAAGGAGATTCAGCTCGATCTATTCATTATAAAACAAATTTAAATTTAAAACATTGCTTAAAACCTATACATGCCAGTGAAGGGCGAAGGTCTTAGCAGCAGACATTTGAAGGACCAAGAATGAGCAAGACCCACCTCCCTCCTCTAGGGCTGAGACCCAGGAAAGGGATGCAGTGACCACATGCCTGGAATGGTCAGAGAAAACCCTGCTGATAGGGAAGGAGAGACGGGGGCAGTGGGGACATTTGACCTGGACCTTGAAAGACAGGCAGGTTGTGATAGGCAGAGCTAGGAAAGGATGGTCTGGAAAAGGGCTCTGCATGGGCAAGGTCACAGAGGGAGGACCAGGCAGGCTGGATGATGGCCAGAGGCCCAGTGCGGTCACAGGCTAGGGCATGAATATGGGTGAATAGGATAACTAGGGGAGGGCATCAGGGCCAAGGCCACCATGGGCTGGACAGTGATGGGGAGGGAGGGAAGAGGAGAGCCCTGGAGCCCCCCAAGCTTTTCTGGCTGGGTCCACCTGGGCTGCACAGACTGAAAGAGGCAGAGCCAGAATCGGGGCCTCTGGATGGGGAGGACTGGGCTCGGTTGACCTTGGGTTTCGAGGTCTGTGTCTTGGACAGCAGTGCCCACTGACATTGAGAAGGTAGGGCTGGGGTTCACAGGAGAGGTGGGACCTGGAGGTGACTGCCACCTACCTACTGGTCACAGCCCTGACAGTGTCACCTGGGGGTAGTGCCAAGGGTCGCCAAGGGTACGGGTTTGAGAGGGAAGATGAAGGTCAAGACAGACAGTAGGGAACCCTGGATTCTTCCAGAGCCCGGGGAGGAGAGGAAAATAGAGGATGAGGCAGGTATCTGCTGCATCCGGTGGGCCAGCTGCTGCCAAGGAGGCAGCCTCTGTTGAGAGGGGAAGCAGAGCTGGGCTCCCAGGAGCAGCGAGGGGGCGCAGGACCCCAGATTCAGCACCACCAGCTTCCAAGCACTCGCCAACCAACTTATACCCATCTGACTGAGGCAGAAACACTGAAAGTCAAAGTGGCTTCCCTAAGGCCTCCAAGCTACTAGGCGCAGGAGCCAGGACCCCAAGCCAGAGTCCCACCCTGGTGACCTTTGGACTTTGCCGCCAATGGCTCTGGAGAGATTTGACCGTGAAAGGAGGAAAAGGAAGGTGAGGGCACAGGGTGGCTCCGGGGCTGGCGGGCGTAGACGAAGCCGCTTTGCTGCTTAACCGCAACTGCCAGCAGCACCCTCTTTCGTCCGCCCCTTTAGAGACGATTTCAACGGCGCATTCTTCCATTTCCTGCCTTAATGGGGGGCATTTCTGGGGACACCCGTGAACTGCGGGCTGGGGCTTAGCCTTGTTGGTTGCCCTGCATAGGTTGGCTGCGTAGTGCTTTACGTTCTGTGTAAGAATTGTGGAGTCTTGGGGCCTGGGTGGGCCGAGGGTCCTGAGATATCGGTGTGCCCAGCAGGCTTGTAGGGTGTGGCACCTGCCCAGCCCTCAGGGGTCCTGGTGCAGCTTAGCAAGCTCCTTGGCCACCAGTCCCTGGTGACTCAGATCAGGGGTTCCAAGAACATGCTTTGAGAAACACTCCCTAGCCCTAGCCGTTTCAGTCTGTCAGTGAACCTGCCCACCTCTACTTCTTAAGGAAGCACACGAGGAAGCTGTTTGTGATGGTTGAAAGCTCCGGCGAGAAGGGCTTTGCGGGGGTTTCTGTAATTCTTGGGAACATGTGAAGCCCACATTCTACTGGAATGACCTGCTGCACTTTTGTGAGCTTCAAATCTGAGATGTGCTTTCATCCTCCCGTGTGTGGCAGGGCGCCTTGTTAGTGTCCAGGCCTCTTGGAATGTGGTTTGGTTCAGGGGTACTGATGGCCCGAGTGCTTGCCCACGGCAGAGGAGGCCAGGGGTCAGTACAGGAGCCAGTCCTCGCCACCCTGTTCCTGACCATACAGAGTCTGTCACCTGCCTGTGCCCTGATTGTACCCCATCTGCACCGTGTCTGCACCCTGCCTGCGCCCTGTCTGTACCCCATGTGCGCCCCATCCGTACCCTGCCTGCGCCATCTGCGCCCTCTCCGCACCCTGTCTGTGTCGTCTGTGCCCTGTCTGTGCCCCGTCCGCATCCCGCCTGCGCCCTGTCTGTGCCCCGTCCGCACCCTGCCTGCACCCCATCCATATCCTGCTCTGCTGTCTGCACCCTCTCTGCACCCTGTCTGCGCCGTCCGTGCCCCGTCTGCACCTTGTCTGTGCCCCGTCCACACCCTGCCTGCACTCTGTCTGTGCCCCATCTGGGCCCTCTGCACGCCCTACCTGTGCCCTGTCTGTCTAGATAGATCCTGCAGCGCCTCCCGCCTCTGCTCAGCCAGCCCCCCGCACCCCCTAGAGGGTATTGCCTTTCCATGGAAATGAGTAGCAGGTATTTTTAGTCACCCAGACCAGGAGGTATTCAGGTGTCACAGACACAAGGCCCGGAGCCATGTTGTCCCTTTGCTCCTACAAAGGAAACAGGATGCCCAAAACAGGACTTGTAAATCCCAACTCAAAACCTCCCCGTTCCGCAGGGACACAGGGTGCTTTGCTCCTTGAAGGAGTAGTGGATGCCTCCTTATTTACATCCTTCGTGCTTACAAGGCAGTGGGGGTGTCCAGGGGACATCAGCCACCCTGTGCTGGGGCACTTCAGAGGCTCCGGGGAGCTGCCATGCTCTCTCTCCATCCCAAAAGATGGGTCTGGGGAGGCCACTGGGGCAGGCGAGCCCGCTCCTGTGAGGAGTGAACCCCACCCCCCGCCGCTCTGCTGGTGTGAGTGACAGTTATCAACAGACCCTGAATGGGGGCTTCCCAGAAAAGAAAAAAAAAAAAAAGAAAACAGTGATATCCCTGGGAGAAAGGGGCCTGTTTACATGAAGCCTATAGGCCGTTGGAATCTGAAGTAGCACCTGGGGGTCCTGGTGACGCCAGCACAGACAGCCCTCTCCAGGGCAGTGCTACAGTGAGACCAGGGTCTGGGGAATGTCACTTGCTCCTCATTAACTCATGAATCGGGAGCCAGGATAAGGTCGCTGCCCTCAGGGCCAACATCAGAGCGGGAGGAGGTGTATGGTCCAGGGCACCAAGGCGTCACTCAGGCCACCACCAAAGCATCACACCAAAGCATTGACAGCGTCCATCTCACATCGTCAGGAAAGGGGGAAGCACTGGATGGCTGTGGCCTCACAGGCAGGGAGAGTGGGGTCCAAAGGCGCAGAGACAGCATGGGGTGTCAGGGCACTGCAGGGAGAGGGACAAGGGCAGGTAAGGAGGGACCTTGGAGGCCGGAACATCTTTCACGGAGGCCTCCTGCTTCCTCTGTGCTGCTGAGCTGGGCCATTCATCTGGCCTGGGTGGAGGGAAGCTGAACAGGGTCCCTCTGCGACCTGGAGGCCCCAGGCCCTACCCTGAGCCCTTGGTGCTCTTGGAGCCCTGAGCTGCTCCAGCTGCATGTGATCACCACACACACACACACACACACACACACACACACACTCTCCCAACACACACACAGACACACAGAGCCTGTGCCACCAGCCCTCATTCTCTGCCTCACCCAGGGCCGGAAGGTTCTGGCTAAGCCTCCGGGGGTGCCACTGGGAGGGATGCCTAGGAGAGGGTCTCCCCAACCCTCTAGCAACCTGATAATCATGATCACCGGTTGTTGGAGTGGCCTGGCCACCTGCTGGGCTGTATGGGTGCTGAGGGCCTGGCTGAGCCCCGTGATACACCCATGGGGGTGGGTCTCTGAAGAGCAGTCTGTGTGAGCAGCAGGAGAGGTGGCACCTCAGGTCAGGGGACGCTTCCCCCCAGGCTCTGGAGGGGACAGGATAACACCTGTCCCCAGGCTTGGCGGAATTCCTGGTCTCTAACGCAGCCCGGAACACACAGAGAAATGATCCAGTGTGGGGCAGTGTTGCTCACATGGTGGTAGGACTGGGTCCTAGGCTCCTGGAGCCAGCGGCCTCAGAAAGCCCCTCTAGGTTCTCTGAGTCTTTGACACTGTGCAGCCCAGACTCCTCATTTTATAGACAGGGAAACTGAGGCCAGATGACTCATCCTTGACAGAGCCGGGATCATGGTGCAGCTCTCTGACTGAGCCCCCTCGATGTCCTGTAGTCTCTCCAAGCATGCCCTGCAGTGGTCATGACTGCTGACATCTGTCCCTGCCTAGACTGTGGGCCTCGTGAGGACAGAACATGCCTGCTGTCCCCATCACCTCTGTCCCCCAGCTCAGCCTGACTGGTAATGCCCCGGCCATGTCATGAGGCCTTGGAACCAAGCCTAAGCTTCCTACAGGCCAGCAAACATCGTCCCCAGCACTGGCTCCCTGATTTCATCTCCCCTGGCCGTGGCAGGCAGAGAGAAGCCTTCAGAACCAGGGAGGACCAGAGGGCTCCTGGCCCAACGGAGGCCAACTGTGACACCAAGGGATCCTCCCCAAGGGGTCTTCCCCGCCAGATACAATCCTGCTCTGAGCACCCTGAACAACAGGCAGTGCCCAAGGGAGGCCAGAGACAGCCGTGGCCTCTGGGGCCTGGCACTCAGCCAGAGCTGGCAGGAGGCGGGGATGCACCTCCTGCAGCTGAGGTTGAGACAAAGCCAGGTGCCTGCCACGGCAGCTGTGGCCTGAGCTGGCATCGGTGGCTGATGGCCACAGACTCCCTGATGCCTGTCATCTGTACTGAGGGCTCTGTCCCAGCCCCTGAACCGTACGTGATGCCCACACCACCGATGAGGACACAGCTTGTGTTTTTACAAACGAGGCACTTAATTATGTGGAGGTAAATCCTTTGAACTGCAGAAACCATCCCAGCACGTCCCCATCAGGTGTTCCCAGGTGGCAGGCAGAGAAGGCCAAGGTCCCTTGAGTGGATTTCCAGGGGAGCTGAAGGGCTACGGCCCTGCCAGGACTGGGAGGTACTGGGAGGGGCTGGACAGCTGAGAGCGGCTGCCCCCCTGCAGGAAGAGGAGGCAGGCGCTTCACCCGACTCTGGACGACGCTGACAGCAGTGTCAAGGACTCTGCCGTCACTGTTGTCCTTTGAGTTGGCAGCTGCCCTGTGTTGCAGATTTGCTCTGGCTCTGGCCCCCTGCTTCGTCCCCTCCACACATTTGTTCTTAGTCCTCAGCTCCTCCCGTCTCTGTGTCCCGGGTGAGAACAGGTCCTAGACCTTGTCTCAGGTCACACAGCTACCAGAGGACAGAGCTAGAACATGACCGCAGCAGACGCCTGATCCTGCGCCCCAGGCGACCCGTTCACGGGGCGGGCGCTCGCCCTTGGCCTCGCTCCTGAGCCACAGTCACCAGGGTGCCAGGTAAAGGGAAACCACATGGGGGCGAGGCCAGCGCACAGCCCCAGCAGCCTGGCCCCTGCTGGCTGCAGGGGCTCCAGAGCCTGTGCTACAAGCCCGGGTGGCCGGAGCCTCCTGCGGGATTCCCCATCCCACCCCTGGAACTTGCTTTCCCTGCTTCCCACACACAGATCCTCCCCACCAGAGCAGGGTCATGGGGTCAGAGGCAGGGTCCGTGTGGTGTGGAGCAGGGGTTCCTCCCCACTCGCTCGCTCGGCTGCCTTCAGCCCCTGCAGACACGCAGGCACCGTCCACCTTCTCCACTCTTAGCGCGAGCCCTGCCCCAGCCAGGAGCACTCACTGAGTGGCCACATTATACCCTCCCGTTTGTCTATAGTTCACTTAAACATTATTTCCTGGGAGATCCGGCAGCTCTTCACTCTTCCGAATCAGGCTGTGGGAAACGTTTGTGTGCATCTCGCTTTATTTCCTCTCTTGAACTATTAGGATAAAGTCACAGAGGTAGGATTCCTGGACCCCAAGCTCTGGACCTCTACTACCCAATTTCAAAAAGGTCGTAGTATATAGCTCATGTCCCAGAACCAGCCACGTCTCCTCGTCGTCGTTTCACCGCAACCTCGCCAGCAATGAGTATTTTCATTTAAAAATGTTTTTGTCTGCTGGCTATGTGATTGCAGAGGCATGGCTGGCCCCAGCTTGCAGCGGTCGCTTCTGCATCTCTTTTTATTCAGCGGGGCCTTTAATGGATGTGGTGGAGTAAAGCTGCCTTTCAAATTGCTGCCGCAGCGCTGCCTGGCAAGATGTTAATCGTTCATGCCCTGTCACGTGGTCATGGGACGGTAATCCTCTTTGAAGCCATTTGTTATTTATTCTTACAGTCCCCCGGAGAGCAGGGAGGAGCCCCCAGTGCCTGGATCACAAACGCAAATACAGAGAGGGCTGCAGACATTTCAGCCTCGAGGTTGGAGCAGAAGCAGGGCTGGGGCCCACCAGGGTCCAGACCCCTAGTAAAGAGGTCACTTCCCACAAAAGAAGGTTGTTTGTCTGCTTCTCATAGAACCTGCTCTGGTTAGAGGGTTTTTTTTTTTTTTTAAGAGACACGATCTTGCTGTGTTACCGAGTCTGGTCTGAAACTCCTGGGCTCAAGTGATCCTCCCGCCTTGGCCTCCCAAGTAGCTGGGACTGCAGATGGGCATTGCTGCACCCAGCTTGGTTAGAGGGTTTTTAAGCCTAGGGGGTGCATTTGTTTCCTAGTACCACAAGCAGGGTGGCTTGAAACAGCATTATTTATTCTCTCATGGATCAGGAAGCCAGAAGGCAAGGTGTGGGCAGGGTTGGTTCCCTCTGGAGACCGAGGTAGCATGTGTTCCAGGCCTCGCTCCTGGTTCCTGGTGGCTGCCCGTAGTGTTCCTTGGCTTGTAGAAACACCCCCCCGAGATTCTGCCCCCATCGCCACATGGCCTTTTCTGTGTCTGTCTCCTCTTTTTATATGGACACTTGTCATTGGATTTAGGGCCCATCCTAATCCAGGATGGCCTCATCGCAGGATTTCCACCTTAATTACATCTGCAAAAACCCTTTTGCCAAATAATTCCACATCGACAGGTAACTGGGATTATGACTTGGGTGGATCTTTCAGGGAACACAGTCCACCCCACACAATAGGTTTCTACCCCCGAGTCCCACCTCCAGCCCCGTCTCCCTCCAGAGTCTGGCTGCTTCTTCCTCATCAGACAGTTCCTTCCCTCTGTAGGGATTGCATACAAGTGTTGCTGGCTGAGGGGTGAGGGTGGAGTGGGGGGATGTGGGAGCTGAGCTGAGGGATGAGGGTGCAGGCAGAGATCTGGGAGCTGAGCTAAGGGGTGAGGGTGGAGTAGGGGGACGCGGGGGCTGAGCTGAGGGGTGAGGGTAGAGTGGGGGACATGGAAGCTGAGCTGAGGGGTGAGGGTAGAGTGGGGGGATGTGGGAGCTGAGCTGAGGGGTGAGGGTGCAGTGGGGGGACGTGGGAGCTGAGCTGAGGGGTGAGGGTAGAGTGGGGGGATGTGGGAGCTGAGCTGAGGGGTGAGGGTGGAGTAGGGGGACGTGTGAGCTGAGCTGAGGGGTGGGGGTGGAGTTGGGGGATGTGGGATCTGAGCTGAGGGGTGAGGGTAGAGTGGGGGACATGGAAGCTGAGCTGAGGGGTGAGGGTAGAGTGGGGGGATGTGGGAGCTGAGCTGAGGAGTGAGGGTGAACTGGGGGATGTGGGAGCTGAGCTGAGGGGTGGGGGTGGAGTTGTGGGTTGTGTGAGCTGAGCTGAGGGGTGAGGGTGGAGGCGGGGACGTGGCAGCCCAGCTGAGGGCCTTGGAGCACACCTGGTAGGAAGCCAGCCTGTGGACCTGGAGCCGACTGAGGGTCCCCCCTACCCCCCATGAGTAGGAGTGGGATCCAACCTGGGTCCCCTCTCTCCCCTCCTGCTGGTGTATTTGTAGTTGGAAGGCAGCACACCCTCCTGGCTCAGAGAGATGGGTTTAGTGGCCCGGGGAGGCACGGAAGCCCAGGTCTGTCTTTTCCCAGCGGTCACTGTGAGGATGCAGGGCCCCCACGTGGGGAGACAGGGCACAGCCTCCCATTGGGGCAGATGGGGGTCTCCCTGCCCAGGATGCCGGCCGGAGTTTCCCCTGGCAGGGACCACGGGTGCTGTGACTGGAGGGAGGTCCCAGGGCTGGCACCCTGGGGCTCTGTTCTGATGTTCTGATCCATTCCACCCTCACCCCTCAGCTCAGCTCCCACATCCCCCCACTCCACCCTCACCCCTCAGCTCAGCTCCTACATTTCCCACTCCACCCTCACCCCTCAGCTCAGCTCCTACATTTCCCACTCCACCCTCACCCCTCAGCTCAGCTCCCACATCCCCCCACTCCACCCTCACCCCTCAGCTCAGCTCCTACATTTCCCACTCCACCCTCACCCCTCAGCTCAGCTCCCACGTCCCCCCACTCCACCCTCACCCCTCAGCTCAGCTCCCACATCCCCCCACTCCACCCTCACCCCTCAGCTCAGCTCCTACATTTCCCACTCCACCCTCACCCCTCAGCTCAGCTCCTACATTTCCCACTCCACCCTCACCCCTCAGCTCAGCTCCCACATCCCCCCACTCCACCCTCACCCCTCAGCTCAGCTCCTACATTTCCCACTCCACCCTCACCCCTCAGCTCAGCTCCCACGTCCCCCCACTCCACCCCCACCCCTCAGCTCAGCTCCCACATCCCCCCACTCCACCCTCACCCCTCAATTCAGCTCCTACATTTCCCACTCCACCCTCACCCCTCAGCTCAGCTCCCACGTCCCCCCACTGCACCCTCACCCCTCAGCCCCACTCCACTCCCACCCCTCAGCTCAGCTCCCACATCACCCACTCCTCCCCTACCCCTCAGCTCAGCTCCCACATCCCCCCACTTCACCCTCACCCCTCAGCTCAGCTCCCACATCCCCCCACTCCACCCTCACCCCTCAGCTCAGGTCCCACATCCCCCACTTCACCCTCCACCCCTCAGCTCAGCTCCCACATCCCCCACTTCACCCTCACTCCTCAGCTCAGCTCCCACATTCCCCTACTCCACCCTCACCCCTCAGTGCTCTGTCAGAAGCGCTACCTGACCACATCCCTCCTCTGGGCTCTGAGTTCCCCTGTGCAAGTGGAACCAATCTTTCCCCTCAACTTCTTCCAAGGGCCGTGATTGAAACCCACCTAAAATACAATGATAAGAGCTGTTGTCGAGGGATCAGACAGCAGCCTGTGTAAGATGAGCACTGGGTTCTGGGGAAGGACGGTAAACAGTTCGCCTTATTCTGTGCTGGGCACTGTGCTTAAGCCCAGCAGCGGGCCCTGGCTGGACTCAGTGTCCAGAGTGTCTCTGCTCAGGGCTGGCCGAGAGTCAGCGCTTTCTGTCCCTGTGGCGGACAGTCCGACCTCTCCGAGGCTGCCATAGAGACTCATATCAGCCAGGCGAGCTGGGAGCGCCACCACTCCCCAGATAGTTACTGCCCGGGCCTCCCTGCCCAGTCACTGCATGGGGGGGGCTCAGCTCCTGGGTGTGAGTTTGTGCCAGGCTCCAGAGAGGTGGGGACCCCAGCCACACCCAGGGACAGGGCCAAGTGGCCAAGAGACCACTTAAATGCCAGCGTGGCCACCCCATGTAAAGCAATGATCTCTCTGAAATTGCTCATCTGGTATACACCAGGACACTGGCCTCTTCTTCCTTCTCCCATCCTGGGATTTAAGAAGTTAAAACCCACCCCCTCTGCCCAGGAAGCCGAGGCAGCAGCTTGGAGCCAGAGCCGGAGGCAGAGCGGCTCCATCCGTGGGGAGCCGCGCCACCTCTGCGCCTCCTCCGCGCCTCCTCTGCGCCCCGCGCCGTGCTGAGTCAGGCTCTGAAACGCAGTCATCATCCGGAAGTGGTTCTTGCTGTGGCCCCATCCCCCTGTGTGATTTTCCTACCTTGGCTCACTTAAAATTTCAATCTGGCTCTGAGAGGAGACTCAGCATTTCCTTTATCTCCTTTTACTGTGGATGCTTGGAAAGGAGTGGGAGAAGCTGGGCGCCGCAGTGTGTGCGCGTCACTGTTGCCCTTACCCCCGAAGGAGGGGATGGCCAAGAGAACCTGGAACCTCCCCTCCCGTCCCTGTGCCCGCCGCTTCCCTTGGCCCTCACTGATGAGCCCAACAGATGCAGAGGCTCCTTCTCTCCCTGGCACTGCAGCCAGGTAGAGGCAGCTGCAGCCGCAGCCCTGAGAGGGGCTGGAGACGCTGAGGCAGGGGCAGTGGTGGGGTCTGGCTCCCCTCAGTTCAAAGTGGCCTGCAGATGCTGCCTGGAGCTGTCTGGTTTGACATGGCTCCCTCTGAGGGAGCTGATGAGTGAGGGCCAGGAGCACTACTTCATCAGGCATCCCCTCACCTGCACCAATGGGGAGGCGAACCTGGAGCTGGGCCATTAAGACCCACAGATTGTTTTCTCCATGTTGCGAAGGGCAGGGCTTGGATTTCACGAGGCAGATGGTGAGCCAAGTCCGGTTCCGCTGCGCTGGGTCCCCCATGGCAGAAAGGACCCGCCCCCCCATCACCCTGACAGTGGCTTGCATGCCCAAGAGCAGCCAGCATCCAGGACAGGCTTCCCTCGTTCCTCTGTTCATCCTCTTTAAGAATCACTCAGAGCCAGGCACGGTGGTTCACGCCTGTAATCCCAGCACTTTGGTAGGCCAAGGTGGGCGGATCACCTGAGGTCAGGAGTTCGAGACCAGCCTGGCCAACACGGTGAAACCCCGTCTCTACTAAAAATACAAAAATTACCCAGGCATGATGGCGTGCACCTGTAATCCCAGCTACTCGGGAGGCTGAAGCAAGAGAATTGCTTGAACCCGGGTGGCGTGGTGGAAGTTGCAATGAACCAAGATTGCACCGCTGCACTCCAGCCTGGAGACGGAGCGAGACTGTCTCAAAAAAAAAAAAAAAGGATCACTCAGGACACCAACATGGGCTGAGAAATGCTCCTGGTATCAACAGAACTGCAGCAGATGATGAAAACAAGGCTGTGATCAGGGAAGTGGCTGAGGGAGTGAGGCCCCCGAACCACCACCCCAGAGCTCTGTCCCAGGCCCCTGGGGTCTCATGCTGTGACCTCCTGCGCCACATGGGGAGAGGTCACCTGGGGGACTTGTTTCCGTGGGAACCTCAGGCCTTGGGCCTGAGTGAGGAGATGTCTGAAGCCTCTGGCCTGGGCGGAGAGTGAGACCCCAGAGCAGCCCTGCCCATTCCTCTGGGAGCAGCCTCAGTGAAAGCTGTAAAGCAGGGAAATTGGACACGTCCAGGCCAGAAAGAGCAAAGCAAAAGTGCCCCTGGGTGCACTGCACCCCACAGTCCAACCCTTCTCCCCCAGGAGCTGCAGGCCACGCTCTGAGCCTCTGTTTGAAGTGGTCCCTGACTGGACATTCTCATCTCGGGACATGAGCTAGGGTCACCCAGCACCACTATGCAGCTCTCCAAGTCCCCCTGGCCACCCCGCCCTCTGTAGGGGTGCTGGGCCTTGCTCTGCACCTATCCCTTGGAGTATCTGCTTTCCAGAGCGGCAGGAGGCCCGCCTGGTATGCCCATGGGGGCATCCACCTGTGCAGAGTGTGGCCTCTCCCCAGCAGATCGCTGGGTACATGAGCAGGCAGCAGACCATAAGCAGGCTGGCTAACGGGTGGAGGGGGCCCGGTGGTGTCCGTGTGCGTGTATGTGTGCACACGTGTGCATATGTGTATGCACACACCTGCACACACACCTTCAGATGCACGTCCCCTGTCTAGACCCCATCAAAGCCTCTTGCCAGGACTGGCCTGGAACACACTGTCCAGCCTGATTCTGTTCTCTCCCTGGCTTCTCTTGATCAACTTCCTGTAATGGGAGGAACTCTGACACACTTCACAAAAGGGTGTCAAATTAGTTTTAAAGGGAAAAAGAACTGCAGCATGATCTGGAATTCGCTTTCTGCCCTGCGGTTCCACTGTGAAGGCAACACGCCTTCGAGGAGTTGGGGGATGAGGCAGTGGGGCCCTGTGAGGCCCTGCGGTTTCTATCGGAGTGCTCTCTGACCCCCGGTGTTCCCTCTCTGTCTCTCTATGTCTTTAGCAGGTGTTTCCCACACTTTAGTCATTGGCCTTTCATCTCATGATTTGGGTCATCTGTGCTATTTCTTTTCTTTTTTTCTTTTTTTTTTTTTTTCCGACAGGGTCTCACTCTGCCGCCCAGGCTGGAATGCAGTGGCGCAATCTTATCTCACTGCAACCTCCAACTCCCAGGCTCAGGCGATTCTCCTGCCTCGGCCTCTGGTGTAGCTGGGATTACAGGCACACATCACCACACCCAGCTAATTTTTGTATTTTTAGTAGAGAAGGGGTTTCGGTTTCACCACGTTGGCCAGGCTGGTCTCAAACTCCTGGCCCCAAGTGATCCACCCGCCTCAGCCTCCCAAAGTGCTGGCATTACAGGTGTGAGCCACCGTGTCCAGTCATATGTGCCATTTCTTAGCTTGCATTTCCTTTTTAGTTAGTTAAACTTATTTCTTAAATAAGCTTATTTTAAACTGAAACTTGATGTCCCTGCAATAAAGAACCAGCATTACTTGTCATCAATAAAAGGTAACTGGAGGCAGGCATGGTGGCTCACACCTGTAGTCCCATCTGCTTTCGAGGCTGAGGCAGGAGGATCTCTTGAACCCGAGAGTTCAAGTTCAACCTGGGCAACATAGCAAGACCTCCGGCCCTTAAAAAAATAAAAAGTAACTGGAAAAATAAGTGGATCAATATTAACTTCAAGGCCTGTCTCAAGTGTGGCCAAGGCTGTCTCAAGGCAGCACAGGCCTTGCTCTGAACAGCCCTGGATGAGCCACAGCTGTGTCTGGGGATTGAAGAGAGTGCCCCTGGCCCCTCCCTGCTCCGGTCACCCCCAGTTCCTTTAGTTCACAGCCCTCCATGTTGTCAAGGGCTGAGGAGTCCCTCCTCGTCCCTGCTCAGGTGAACACAGGAAATGGGGAAGCCCAGGGTGGGGTGGGCCGCCCCATCTTCCCCTTAGCTGATGGGCAGGCTGGATGGGCAGGGAGGGTCTTTCCTGGGAAGGTAGTGGCCCGGGAGCTGGGCTGGCCCTCGAGTGTTGAAGATTTAACTTGAAAGCCATGAGGGCGCTCTTCCCCAGAAATCATCGTGGAAGCGGCGAATGAGTGGCAGGAGGTGCATGGACAGTCCTGGCTCTGCAGGCGAGCAGCCTGCCCCAGCTCTTTCCTCCTTAGAATTGTGTGACTTTAGCCACATCATTTAGAAGACACAGATGATAGAGGTGGTAGAAATGGAAAGTGCAACTCTCTACCTGCTGTTGCCCACCACCAGGACGACCACTGCAAATAGTGTGGGTGACCCGTTCAGACCTGGGACTCAGCCACACATTGGCCCCTGAGGCAGATGAAGTCCCCAGCAGATGGGGAGATGCAGCATTGCTCTGAGGGAGCAGCAGGAGTGAGGACAGGAGCTGCCACGTGCACAGGAGCAGGAGGGAAACAGGCAGGCAGCTGTGCCCAGGGCCAAGTGTGCAGGAGGCGAGGCAGGCAGCTGTGCCCAGGGCCAGGTGTGCGGGAGACAGGCAGGCGGCTGTGCCCAGGGCCAAGTGTGCGGGAGACAGGCAGGCGGCTGTGCCCAGGGCCAGGTGTGCGGGAGGCGAGGCAGGCAGCTGTGCCCAGGGCCAGGTGTGCGGGAGGCGAGGCAGGCAGCTGTGCCCAGGGCCAGGTGTGTGGGAGAGAGGCAGGCACGTGTGCCCAGGGCCAGGTGTGCAGGAGGAGAGGCAGGCAGATGTGCAGGGGCAGAGGGGGTTGAAGGATGGAAAGGTAGACAGGAGAGGCTGTGAATGGCTCTGGATGCCGAGCTGAGGCACTTGGACGTCATGCTGACAGCCCTGGACCTCCACGAAGGGCTTTTGAGAAAAGCATGGCATGAAAAGATCTGCTGTTGAGAAATAGAAACGGGGCTCTGGTGGCAGGTTGACAACCATGGTCCAGGCAGGAGCTTCCAAGGCAAGTGGTGGAGGTGGGCGAGAGGGAGAGTTCCAGGGATATCCGCGTGGATGGAGCCAACACCTGGAGCCCAGGGCAGGGGGGTGGGCTGAAGGGGCACCTGTGGGGCCCTTGCCTGTGGAGGTGAGAACTGCAGCTTGGAGAGCAGCAGAATTGCCCCCCGGAAGGTTGCTAGGGGAAGATTCCCAGAGAAGCTGAAAGCAGTAGTGCTCAGAGGACAATGAGCTGGCCTAGGATGGTGGAGGTGGAGGTGATGAAGGCAGAGGGGGCAGAGGCCATGGTGGTGGTAGAGGTGGAGGTGATGGAGGTGAAAGTGGAGGTGGTGGGTGGAGGTGATGAAGGTGGAGGTGATGAAGGTGGAGGTGATGAAAGTAGAGATGATGGGTGGAGGTGATGAAGGTGGAGGTGACGGGTGGAAGTGGAGGTGATGAAGGTGGAGGTGGTGGGTGGAGGTGGAGATGGAGGTAATGGTGGAGGTGATGAAGGCGGAGGTGATGGGTGGAGGTGGAGGTGATGAAGGCGGAGGTGGTGGGTGGAGGTGGAGATGGAGGCAGTGGTGGAGGTGATGAAGGCAGAGGTGGTGGGTGGAGGTGGAGATGGAGGTAGTGGTGGAGGTGATGAAGGCGGAGGTGGGTGGAGGTGGAGATGGAGGTAGTGGTGGAGGTGATGAAGGCGGAGGTGGAGGTGATGAAGGCGGAGGTGGTGGGTGGAGGTGGAGATGGAGGTAGTGGTGGAGGTGATGAAGGCGGAGGTGGAGGTGATGAAGGCGGAGGTGGGTGGAGGTGGAGATGGAGGTAGTGGTGGAGGTGATGAAGGCGGAGGTGGTGGGTGGAGGTGGAGATGGAGGCAGTGGTGGAGGTGATGAAGGCGGAGGTGGAGGTGATGAAGGCGGAGGTGGTGGGTGGAGGTGGAGATGGAGGTTGTGGTGGAGGTGATGAAGGTGGAGGTGGAGATGGAGGTAGTGGTGGAGGTGATGAAGGTGGAGAGGGTAGAGGTCATGGTGGAGGTGATGGGGGAGGAGGAGGTGATGGTGACAGAGATAGAGATGATTGAGATGGAGGGGCAGAGATCATGGTAGAGGTGGAGGTGACAGCAGTGGTGGTCGTGAGCTGTGTGTGTGTTTCTGTGCAGGTGCTCACCCATGCACGCATGCCCATGAGATGCCTGGCTCTCCACACACGCCCTGTGAGCCAGGCATCCTCTCGGTCAGGGATATAAGCCTGGGCCTGTGCAGGCTGCCCTCTCCCACTGTGGATCCCCTTGGAGGAGACTGCTGCAGCTGCAGGGCACCCTCTGTCGCCCTAAGAGGAGCAGCAGAACATGACCTCCCATCGCTCCACTTCCCACTGCTCTGCTTGGCTTCAGCCTCATGCTGGCATCTGTGTTATCTATAAGCAGAAAGCTGCTTGTTCAGAGCGGGCTGAGACACCTTCGTGCGTTCATCAAAAGCGTGCTGGGCACCAATGAGGTGTCAGTTCCTGTTCCGGGCATGAGGGATTCAGCAGGAAACGAGACAGACCCACCCCCTGCCCTCAGTGTCCCGCTGGGGCCAGTCAGGTGAACAGTCACACAGGCTGGGGTAGGCGCTTGGCAGAAGACACACTTGTGACGCTCAGAGCTCTCTGGAGCAGCCTCTCCGAAGAGATGAAATTTGAGCAGGAACCCCAAGGAACAGCATCCCAGGTAGAGGGATCTGAGTCTGCAAAGGCCCTGGGCACAAAAGAAACAACCACGCAATCCAGGGCTGGGGAGGAGCCCTGTCAGAGGACAGCACCAGCCTCCCCACGTGGATGCCCGACCAGCATCTGAGGTCAGACACAGCCGCCACTGGCTCCAGGGCTCCCCCACACCACTGCACCCACAACTCCCCTGTTTCAGAAACTGACCACTCACCTCTGGAAACCCAGGAGCCACCTGCACCCCTGTCTTCCCCCTACACCCCGCATCTGTCCGAAGACCCTGCGGTCTCAGCCTCTTGGATTGCCAGCCACTGGTCACCTCTGTCTCCCCGCCCTTGCCCAGGTGGCCCCAGCTCACACCTGCATTGCCTCGGAGACTCCTGACGACACCCACCCCCTGCTGCTGCCCGGGCCCCCCCAGCAGTCGGTTCTCAGTGATCTTGAGAAGCACCACTCAGCTCACCCTACGAGGAGGCCTTTGGCTGTTCCCGTATTTGTCTCTGGACTTCTCTGCTGGCCATAGAACAAGACTGTGCTTTAGAGGGTGGACTCCCAGAACTGCCACTCACCAGGTGACCAAGGCAGGCCAGCTTTACCTCTCCAAGCCTCAGTTTTCTCAGCTGTCATTTGTGCCTAAAACATAGTACTAACCTCATAGGATTATGGGGCAAAAATTACGCTGAATGAACGCACGGGAAAGCCCTTATCCCGAGGCCTCATTCAGACTGCACTGGGTCGCCAGCAGCTCTGACATCGCTGCCCACACATTAATACAGCCCAGGGCTGCTGCTCAGATGGGTGTCCTTCTCCTGCACCCACTGTACTGGGAGGGCACTTCCTGGATGTCCCTGGACCCCCGCCATCCAATGTCCAGCTTCAGCGTAGGACTTGGTGTCCGCAAGAATGAGGCCCACATCCAGGAGCAGGCCAGTTTCACGTGAAGCCCAGGGCTGAAGCCAGAGGCCACGCAGCACCACGTCGGACAGTGTTTATCTGTGCTAATCATGAAGTAACACAAGTGAGGTTTAAAAATACTACGCTTATTTCATTTCAGTGCAGGAGGGAGAAAGAACACACAGTCTGTATGAGCAACTCAAATCAAAAATAAATGAGGCAAAAGAGTCACCAAAAATAGTGTGGCATTAGAGACAGCAGCCTGCGTGGCTCGGCCAGCTGTCCTCGGCTCTCTGCCGGCAAGCAGCACCACAGAGAGGGCTGCGAGGATGCCTTGATGGTGTTTACTCCAGAGAAGATGAACCTGATGCCTGCGATCTGATGAGAAGTCACAGTTACCAGCAGGGAAGGTAGCACTGAGGGGACACACAGGGCACCCAAAGGTCTCTGGCATCCTCTCCTCCTCCCGTCACCCTCGCCAGGCAGTGAGGTCAGAGGCTAGGCTCGCAGGCAGCATGGGAACCACTTGGCCAGAAGTTTCCTCTTTGACCTGAAGGAGTTCCCCCTTCCAGACTCAGAGTGTCCCCACAGAAGGGCAGGGCTGTGGCTTGGACCCATGTGGGGCTCCAGCCCCCAGAGGAGCAGGACAGCATGTGCTGTACACAGCAAGAGGATTTGCACTTTTGCCTTAATTTTATTACAGACGGGGTCACCTTCCTTTTTTTTTTTTTTTTTTTTTTTTTTGTTTTTTGAGATGGAGTCTCACTCTGTCACCCAGGCTGGAGTGCAGTGGCGGGATCTCAGCTCACCACAACTTCCACCTCCCAGGTTCAAGTGATTCTCCTGCCTCAGCCTACCAAGTAGCCAGGACTACAGGTGCCCGCCACCATGCCCAGCTACTTTTTGTATTTTTAGTAGAGACGGTTTCATCATGTTGGCCAGGCTGATTTCGAACTCTTGACCTCCGGTGATCCACCCACCTCGGCCTCCCAAAGTGCTCAGATTACAGGCGTGAGCCCCTGTGCCTGGCCTCACCTTCCTTTTTTAATGTGTCAGAGGTCTGCAAATTATGGCCCAGGGGCCAGATCAGGCCCACCGTTTGTTTTTGTAAATAAGGTTTTATTGGAACACAGCCACGCCCTTCATTTACATATTTGCTGCTTTTGCACCCAGAGTTGAGTAATCGTAATCGAGATGGACTGGCCCGAAATGCCTAAAATATTTACTGTCTGTCCCATTGCTGCAAAAGTTTGCCCTTCCCTGCCATAGCTGCGTAAGCACCCTGGGGAAGCGTCCTGTCCGCTGAAGACAGCTCCAGTGTCGATGGGGCTTGGGTCAGTGTTGGGTTTGCTATGCTAATATTGATTTGGAGCTTTAGAGATTTTTGGTTGATTGGTTGGTTGGTTGGTTTTTGGGGGTTTTTTGAGACAGGATCTCGATCTGTCACCCAGGTTGGAGTGCAGTGTCGCAGTCATGGCCCAGTGCAGCCTCCACCTCCCCGGGCTCAAGTGATCCTCCCACTCAGCCTCCCAAGTAGCTGGGACCACAGGCATGCGCCACCACGCCTGGCTAATTTTTGTATTTTTTTGTAGAGACGGGGTTTTACCATGTTGCCCAGACTGGTCTGGAACTCCTGGGCTCAATCTGCCCACCTCGGCCTCCCAAAGTGTTAGGATTACAGGTGTGAGCCATCACACCCAGCCCCTAGAGATGTTTTTATTTAAAAAAGAAAGGAGATTCTGCAATAATGAGGTTTCTCTGATGCAAGGAACATCTTTTGTCCAGAGACATTTAGTCACTCGATGGGCCTCAAACCCCACCGTAAAGGAAGCACTACATTCCAGCCACCAGCACCCACCTGCTGCCTGCTGCCTGCTGACAGCTTCAGCTTTCAGAGCGAAGGAGGCTTCCCACGGACTCCCAGGGGCCAAGCAGGGTCCCCCAGACCACCCTGCTGGGCCACCCTCCAACATCTCCGAGTGAGGGGTGGGTGGGACTCCACAGGCCAGGGCTCAGGGAGGACCTCGCTCCTGGCGGGTCCTTTCCTGGGATGCACTGACGTCCCTTGGCTCTTCCCCAGCTTCCATGAGTCACAATGGAGCTATTTAAACCTGGGGCTGTGAGAACATGTCAATGTGTCCACCCCCTTGAGACCACAGGGCTTTCAAGACAGAGCATCCTTTCAATAGACCGTGGAGCCAAGTACTGAATTTGATGAGGCGTTTTCACGAGGCCTGTGTGAAACACTTAAAAATTGTGCATAACATGTGACTGGACAGGCGTCTACCAGAAAACAGTGCAAGGAGCTTTTAAGCCATGAGGTTTGCATCTGTAGGAAGGCTTTGGGGTGCTGCTCACACGCGGTGTGACTCGGGCGGGGCAGGCAGTAGACGGCAGCGGTGACACTGCAGTGACGCTATGGAGCATGGACACTAATACGTCCCACTGGACTTCTGCGTGGGCCCCAGACAGGAGCTTGACCAGCGTCAACTGGACCTGCTGCATCTGATCCTCTCCCAGAGTGAGGTTTTGAACAGAGATGGGCAGAACACCACTAATCACACCGCTGCTGAAATAGGTCTGCCTTCTGGGTACCGGTTATGAAAGCGGATTTGTGTGTCACATCCCCAGGAGAGGAGGTTATGGTCTCACAAGAGGAAAACCCAGCAGAATCCCAGAGTTGGCTGGAAAGTCAACAAACCACCTAAAACTCACCCACAAAATACCGTGACCAGGAGTATGCATGGAGACAGTGCCGAGCTCCGTACAGGCCGTCTGACTTCAGTGAGACCCCCTCCCCACCAAGACAGAGGAAAAGTCCTAGACTCAGGCCCACAAGGATGGGCAAATAGGGCTGGGGACGCAGGGTGCGTAGAGCAGAGGTGTAGATTCTGCAAGGGTGTGTGCAAAGCAGATAGGGGAGCACAGGTGTCTGCAGGGGAAGCATGGCCTTCTTATTGAGCTTTTTTTGAGATGAGGTCTCACACTGTCACCCAGGATGGAGTGCAGTGGCACGATCTTAGCTCACTGCAACCTGAGGCTCAGGCCATCCTCCCATCTCGGCCTCCCAGGTTGCTGGGACCACAGGTGCACATCACCATACCTGGCTGTGTGTGTGTGTGTGTGTGTGTGTGTGTGTGTATTTTTAGTAGAGATGGGTTTTCAGTATGTTGCTGGGCTGGTCTAGAATTCCAGGGCTCAAGAGATTTACCCACCAGGCATGGGTGGCTCACATCTGTAATCCCAGCACTTTGGGAGGCCGAGGCAGGCAGATCACTTGAGGTCAGGAGTTCGAGACCATCTTGGCCAACATAGTGAAACCCCATTGTAAAAAATACAAAAATTAGCCGGGCATGGTGGCAGGTGCCTGCAATCCCAGCTACTCGAGAGGCTGAGGCAGGAGAATTGCTTGAACCTGGGAGGCGGAGGTTGCAGTGAGCCAAGATAGCGCCTCTGCACTGCAGCCTGGGCGTCAGAGCAAGACTGTCTCAAAAAAAAAAAAAAACTTGGCCTCCCAAAGTGCTGGGATTACAGGCATAAGCCACCACACCCAGCCAGGCGTGGCCTAAAAGGCTGTGTTCCTGGAGGAGATGTTGTCCTGGAACAGGGTTCAGCAAAAAAAAATTTTTTTTTAGACAAGATCTCACTCAGTTGCCTAGGCGGGAATGCAATAGTGTGATCATAGGCGACTGCAGCCTTGACCTGCCAGGCTCAAGCAGTCTTCCCACCTGAGCCTTGCAAGTAGTTGGTACTACAGGCACACACCTGTAATCCCATAGCTGTAAACCACACCCAACTAATTTTTTTTGTAATTTTGTAGAAAAGGTGTCTCACTGTGTTGCCCAGGCTGGTTTTGAACTCAGCTCAAGCAATCCTCCCACCACAGCCTCCCAATCCCAAAGTGCTGGGATTACAAGCATGAGCCACTGCGCCCAGCCAGGCAAATGTTTTCATAGAGGACCAGATAGTCGATGTTTTCAGCTTGCAGGAAATTCAGTCTCTATTGCAACTACTCAGGTCTGCCATAGTAGCGTGAAAGCAGCCCCGGGCAATATGTAAATAGGTGCTGTGTACTGAATGTTTCTGTCCCCCAAGATTGATAGCCCTAATCCTCAATGTGATGGTATTAAGAGGTGGGGCTCTGGGGGTGATAAGGTTTAGATAAGCTCAGGTCTTGCTCTGTTGCCCAGGCTGGAGTGCAGTGGAGTGATCATGGCTCACTGCAGCCTGGGCCTCCTGGGATCGCTCAAGCGATCCTCCAACCTCAGCATCCCAAGTAGCTGGGACCACAGGTATGCACCACGACGCCCAGCTAATTTTTTTTATTTTGGGATAGAGGCCTCACGACAGGACTAGTGCCTTGGTAAGAAGAGGAAAAGGCCAGAGCTCCCTCCCTACCCTGTGTGGACCCAGCAGGAAGGAATTCTGTCTGCAAGAGAGAGCCCTCACCTGGAACCAAATCAGCCAGGACCCTGATGTTGGATTTACCAGCCTCCAGCACCGTGAGACAGAAACGTCTGCTGTTTCAGCCACCCAGGTTGTGGTATTTCATTATGGCATTCCCAAGCTCACTAAGATAACAAGATAGCTTGGCTACCTGGCAATAAAACTTTATTTATGGATGCTGAGATTGGGAACTTTATATAAATTTTGTGTGTTATGAAATGTTATTCTTCTTTTGGTTTTCTTTCGTTTAAAACTGTAAAAATTGGACTGGGCACAGTGGTTCACACCTGTAAGCCCAGCACTATGGGAGGCTGAGGCAAGAGGACAGTGTAAGGCCAAGAGTCTGAGACCAGCCTGGGCAACATAACAAGATTCTGTCTCTATAAAAAATTATAAAATTAGCCGGGGGTGGTGGCACACACATGTAGTTCCAGCTACTTGGGAGGCTGAGGCAGACGGATCACTTGAGCCCAGGAGTTCAAGGCTGCAGTGAGCTGTGATCATGCCACTGTACTCCAGCCTGGGCAACAGAGTAAGTTCCCTTCTCCTAAAAAAAATTAAATGAAATAAATAAAACTGTAAAAACTGTTCTTAGCTCGAGGGCTGCACAAACACAGGTGACAGGCTGGCGCAGCAGTTTTCCAACCCCTGTCCTACAGCAAGGAGGGAAGCCGTCACACTGCACTCTCTGCTGGCCAGCCGGTGTGCAGTGTTGCTCAGGTTCTGGGTGCCTCTGTCATTTAGGAAGGAATCAGCACCATTAAAAGAGAGTGGCAGGGTGCTGATGTTCCAGAGAGAAACTGTGCCGAATGATGGCTAATTAAGGCTCTGGAGTTGGGCACTGGAGCACCGGACTCCCTGCTCTCCAAAGCCCAGCTTGCCAGCCTCGACCTGAGCGTCTTCACTGATACAGCACCAACCCGAGGCTGGCCTGTAAGGTTTGGCGAGGGTCCAGTGTCACAGCCCACGTGCAGCACGTGCTGCACAGTGTCGGCCAAAATTATATTCATGGCTTAAGTCAGAAACCTTGTGTGGAAGGAGGGAAAGAAGCAAGGTTTGCTCTCAAGAACAAAGGGCCCGGTTGTAGATGGGGTGAGCTATGGCAGGTGTCCTCAGATGCTCCAGGGATTGTCCTAGACAGAGGGACTCACTTCGTTGTCAATCTCCGGAGGGCGGAGCAGGCCCAGCAGGTGAAAGTTATGAGGAAGCTGGTTTCCAATCAGCATGCAAAGGACCATGTTGTCATTTCAGTTGTCCCCAGTGGGATGATCTGCCTAGAGTTTCCCACAGGTGGAGGTCTTGCGGAGGGGGGTCATGCATCCCCCGGAGCCCTGTACCTGGGGTCCCGTCTCTGCATGCTCGGAGGCTTCACGACATGTAAACCTAGTTATCTTGGTAACACTTGGGGGATGTGCCCCCTCCCCACAGTCCTGGCCCAGAGGAATGAAGTTACATCAAAGCAAATTGATTCGGTCGTTGATCCTTATGTTGTAGAAATAGCTAGAAGCTATAAGGAGAACCACTGTGAGGTCCCCATTAAAGGAGAAGAATTTTGGTGGTCCCCAGACAGGGCTGGCTCGGGATCTCGTTCTGTGGTCAGGACCACCTGCTGCAGTACAGCCTCCCACCTCAGCCTCTCAGACTGCCACCTTCTGCCCCCAATCCAGCCTGAGATGCCCCCAGCACCACCCCTGCTGAAAACAGAAGCAGAACCTGATACTCAGCCTCTTCCATGACAAGAACACACCAGGATCGCGTCCCTTTCCAAGCAGAATTTTCCCGAAGCCCCACCCTCCTGGACTCGGGTTATGGACCGCCACAGGCCACCCCAGCTGGAAGAAAATTCAGGAAATATAGGGGTCATGGGTGACAGGTGGGCCAGCCAGCAACCGTATCTACCACATTTTTAAAATTTCTATTTTTATTATTTATTTATTTTTGAGACGGAGTCTCGCTCTGTCACCCAGGCTGGAGTGCAATAGTGCGATCTCGGCTCGCTGCAACCTCTGCCTCCTGGATTCAAGTGATTCTCTTGCTTCAGCCTCCTGAGTAGCTGGGATTACAAGTGCCCACCACCATGCCTGGCTAATTTTTGTGTAGAGATGGGGTTTCACCATGTTGGCCAGGCTGGTCTCGAACTCCTGACCTCAGGTGATCTGCCCGCCTCGGCCTCCCAAAGTGTTGGGATTACAGGCATGTAATCCCACCTGTAAACCTGTAAGGCCACCACACCCAGCCTAAAATTTTTATTTTCATATATATTTTTTGAGACAAAGTTTTGTTCTGTCACCCAGCTGAAGTACAGTGGCACAATCACAGCTCACTGCAGCCTCGACCTTCCAGGCTCAAGCCATCCTCCTGCCTCAGCCTCCCAAGTAGCCTGGACTGCAGGTGCACATCACCATGCCCAGCTAATTTTTTTATTTTATTTTTTGTAGAGACAGGGTTTCTCCATGTTGCCCAGGCTGGTCTTAAGTTCCTGGGCTCAAGCGATCCACCCACCACGGGCTCCCAAAGTGCTGAGATTACAGAGATTTCAGGCACGAGCCACCATGTGCCATGTTTATTGAGCCAGCTTAAATATTTGGCTTAAACACATACACCCAAATGTGGAGCTGCTGTTGACTCCATGATGCAGAAGTTTCTTTTTCTTTTTCTTTTTTCCCAGTTTTTTCTATTGTGGTAAAGGTACATATAAAATGTGCCATCTTAACCACTTTTAAGTGTACAGTTTAGTGGTATTAAGTATAAAATTCAATAGTATTAAGTGTATAGTTCAGTGGTATTAAGTGTACAGTTCAGTGGTATTGAGTATACAGTTCAGTGGTATTGAGGGTAAAGTGCAGTGGTATTGAGGGTATGGTTCAGTGGTATTGAGTATACAGTTCAGTGGTATTGAGTATACAGTTCAGTGGTATTGAGGGTAAAGTGCAGTGGTATTGAGGGTATGGTTCAGTGGTACTGAGTGTGTAGTTCAGTGGTATGAGTGTGTAGTTCGGTGGTATTGAGTGTACAGTTCAATGGTATTGAGTGTACAGTTCAGTGGTATTGAGTGTACAGTTCAGTGGTATTGAGGGTAAAGTGCAGTGGTATTGAGGGTAAAGTGCAGTGGTATTGAGGGTATGGTTCAGTGGTATTGAGTGTACAGTTCAGTGGTATTGAGGGTAAAGTGCAGTGGTATTGAGGGTAAAGTGCAGTAGCATTGAGGGTATGGTTCAGTGGTACTGAGTGTGTAGTTCAGTGGTACGAGTGTATAGTTCGGTGGTATTGAGTGTACAGTTCAGTGGTATTGAGGGCACAGTTCAGTGGTATTGAGTGTGTCATTCAGTGGCATTGAGTGTACAGTTCAGTGGTATTAGGTGTATAGTTCAGTGGTATCGAGTGTGTAGTTCAGTGGTATTGAGTGTACAGTTCAGTGGTATTGAGTGTCTAGTTCAGTGGTATTGAGTGCGTAAATTCAGTGGTATTGAGTGTACAGTTCAGTGGTATCCAGTGGGTAGTTCAGTGGTATTGAGTGTATAGTTCAGTGGTATTGAGTGTACAGTTCAGTGGTACTGAGTGTATGGCTCAGTGGTATTGAGTGTACAGTTCATTGGTATTGAGTGTACAGTTCGGTGGTATTAAGGATACAGCTAGTTGGTATTGAGGGTACAGCTCAGTGGTATTGAGTGTATAATTCAGTGGTATCGAGTGTGTAATTCAGTGGCATTGAGTGTACAGTTCAGTGGTATTGAGTGTGTAGTTCAGTGGTATTGAGTGTACAGTTCAGTGGTATTGAGTGTACAGTTCAGCGGTATTAAGTACATTCATAATATATGCACTACCATCACCACCATCCATCTCCAGAACCTTTTTATTCTCCCAAACTGAAATTCTGTCCCCATTAAACTGGAACTTCCCATTCCCCCTCCCCTGCCCCTGAGGGCCACCATTCTGCTTTCTGTCTCTAGGCACGTGACTACTCTAGGGACCTCAGATCATTGGAATTGTACAGTATTTGTCATTTTGTGACTGGCTTATTTCACCTAGCAGAATGTTCTCGAGACTCATCCGTGTTGTACCATATGTCAGCATTTCCTTCCTTTGTATGACTGAGGGATGTTCCCTTGCATGTGTGTGCCACATTTTGCTTATCTTTTTTTTTTTTTTTTTTTTTTTGAGACAGGGTCTCGCTGTCACCCAGGCTGGAGGGCAGTGGCGCGATCTTGGCTCACTGCAACCCCTGCCTCCTGGGTTCAAGTGATTCTCATGCCTCAGCCTCCTGAGCAGCTGGGATTACAGGTGCCTGCCATGACACCCAGCTAATTTTGTATTTTTAGTAGAGACGGGGTTTCGCCATGTTGGCCAGGCTGGTCTTGAACTCCTGACCTCAAGTGATCTGCCTGCCTTGGCCTCCCAAAGTGCTGGGATTACAGACATGAGCCACCATGTTCAGCCTTTGCGTATCTTTTTATCCATCAGTGAACCTGGGTTGTTTCCATGTTTTAGCTATTGCAAATCATGCTACTGTGAACACACGGGTACAAATATCCCTTTGAGACCCTGTTTGCAATTATTTAGGGTATATCCCCAGAAGTGGAATTGCTAGATCATATAGTAATTCGACTTTTAGTTTTCAAAGAACCACCATACTGTTTTCCATAGTGGCTGTACCATTTTACATTCCCACCAACAGTGCACAGGGTCCCCATTTCTCCACATCTTGCCAACCCTTATTATTCTGGGCTTTTTTATAGCGGCCATCCTAATGGCTGCGAGGTAGTATCTCACTGTGGTTTTGATTTGCATTTCCCTAATGGTTACTGACGTTGAGCACCTTTTAATGTGTTTATTAGCCATTTGTGTCTTGTCTTTGGAGAAGTATCTATTCAAGTCCTTTGCCGTTTTTGTAATTGGGCTGTTTGGTTTTCTGTTGAATTTTAGTTCTCTATGTATTCTGGATATTAATTCCTTATCAGATATGGGATTTGCAAGTATTTTCACTCACTCTGGGTTGCCTTATTACTGTTGATAGTGCCTTCTATTTTTCTTTACCTATTTATTTATAGAGGTGGGTCTTCTTATGTTGCCCAGGCTGGAGTCCAGTGGCATGATCATAACTCACTGTAGCCTCAAACTCCTGGGTTCAAGGGATCCTCCCACCTCAGCCTCCTAAATAGCTGGGACCACTGGCATGCACCACCATGAATGACTAATTTTTTTTTTTTTTTTCGAGATGGAAAGTTTCACTCTTGTCTCCCAGGCTGGAGTGCAATGGCACAATCTAGGCTCACTGCGACCTCCGCCTCCTGGGTTCAAGCAATTCTCCTGCCTCAGCCTTCCGAGTAGCTGGGATTACAGGCGCCCACCACCATGTCCAGCTAATTTTTGTATTTTTAGTAGAGACGGGGTTTCACCATGTTGGTCAGGCTGGTCTCGAACTCCTGACCTCAGGTGATCCACCCATCTCGGCCTCCCAAAGTTCTGGGATTACAGGCGTGAGACACCATGCCCAGCTGCCAGGCTAATTTTTAAATTTTTTGTTAGAGATTGGGTCTCACTATGTTGCCCAGACTGGTCTCGAACTCCTGGCCTCAAGCAATCCTCCCACCCTGGCCTCCAAAGTGCTGGGTTACAGGTGTGAGCCACCGCACCCAGCCAGTAGTGTCTTTTAAATGAAGTATCTCTAATTTTGCCACTCAGCATTTACCAGTCACCTGCCTTCCTGGTCCAAAGAAACTTTTTAAAAAAAGAGTTGGCAAATATCTGAAAATACAATTTATTTTTAAGAGCCAGGAATGAAGCTGAGGTTTGAGGGCTGGTTCAGTGTGTCTGAAACTGCGAAGCAGCCAGTGAGGTTACTTTCGCATCCCCTAGCTTTTACCTCTGCTCGTGAGATTCAGCATCTGCAGCTGTGGTCTGTGATAGCCGTGAATACAGTCTGTGTTTGGAGACCCACAGAGTCAGGGCAACATCTCCGTGCTGGGGGCCAAGAGGATAACGGCTGTTCTCTGGCTCTGGGAGGCAGCAGAGGTCACCTGTCCAGAGCCAGAGTTCCATGGGGGGCTCCAGGGCAGGAGGTCAAGGTATGTGTGAGGAAAGAACCCCAATTTCGAGCTGGACACACCTAGGCTCTGGTTCCAGCTTTGCCACTAATTTCACCAAGCGACCTTGGATGTTATTTAATATTCTTGGGCCTCAATTTCCCCATCTGTAAAAAGCATGTCATAGTCAGGGTTGGGAGCAAGGCCCAGAGCTGGCTCAACATGGGTTGCTGTCCCCCAGCTCTCCGTCATGGCGCCTCGCTCTTTCTTTTTCATTTTCCCATTCGTTCGCCTTCCTCCTTCTCCCTTCTCCCTCCTGTTTGTCTCTCGACACCTCTACTTTCCTAGTGAGCACCCAGACTATTTTATTTTCCCTTCCTTTTCCTCTTTCTACCTCCCCTAACCACTGTCTTTATCTTTATCCTGCCGGGAACACACAGCAGCACCCCTGGTGTAGGCTTCAGAGCTGTGTACCTATGCCAGGAGAGGGGGTGCCAGCCTCCCTCCTGGAATCACACACACGGGTGTGGCCTGGGACCAGGGACTCAACACGGTGCAGGTGGCTGGCACCATGGGAGATGGAATGTTCCACCCGAGTCCTCCCTTTGCCTGGTACCCCAAAGAGCTTGGGCTGTGCCCAGAGTGAGTCACCAGAGAGCCTGGCCCCAGGCTCAGCAGCTGGCGTAGGAGGGAGGAGGGGCCTCCCCAAGAAGGAATGAGGGGCCTCCCCAAGAAGGAATGGCAGAGCAGGGAGAGGCCGCGGGGAGGGAGAAAAACCCCGCAGAGGGTGCTCTTACCTCTGGCCCGTCCTCCCCAGGGCCACCTGTCCCCTCAAGGCGGCTGCCCCCTCTGTGTCCTGGCACAAAGTTGGGAGATGGAGTGGCAGAGCCTGCCCTGGGCTTCTCAGCAGTGCACAGCTCAGAGCACACTTTAGAGTCAGCCAGCCCTGAGTCCAGGGCTCTCTGACCCTTCGTGTTGTCACCTGTAGCATGGGGGGGCAGCAGTACCCCTTCCCAGGGCAGCAGGGAAGATAAGATGAGGGAGCGCAGGTAAAAGGTGGGCAGCCCACCCCAGCACACAGCCGATCCCGGCACACAGCCGATCCCGGCACACAGCCGATCCCGGCACACAGCCGATCCCGGCACACAGCCGATCCCGGCACACAGCCGATCCCGGCACACAGCCGATCCCGGCACACAGCCGATCCCGGCACACTGCTGGCAGCAGTGAGGGGAGCTCTTCAACATCACCAGAACCCTCTGCCCTGAGAAAGGGGCTCCTGGGCCGACAGGGAAGGTCTGCCTCCTACTCTGGAGGGGCCGCTTGGGGACAGGCCCGGGCTGTCTCCTCACAGCCACCTGCTTCCTGTCCTCTGCCTGTCTCCTGCCCCATCTGGCCGCTGCTCATCCAGGAAGGTCGGAGATGTCGGGCCCTCCCACCTGGGTCACGCGCTAGGCATGCCTGAGAGCAAAGGCCACGCCCCGACACCCCACGGGGCCCTGGCGCGCCAGGCTTCTCAGCCCTGCGGCGGCAGTGCATAGCTCTGGCACGCGCTGCACCAACTTCCTGTTGGGTGCTGTGGTCCCAAGGCGCGTGCTTTGCAGCAGATGTGTGACCTGGCGTTCCCCTGAGTGCTCGGAAAATGGCCTTGTCTCCGGTCGTTCCCGTTCAGGAGCAGGTACCTGGGGTGCTCCGGGGATCCCGTTGTCTAGGATGGGTTTTCTGTCTGACGGGTGGGCAGCCTCAGCTCCCTGAGCAGGGCTTAGGTCCCCCGTAATGTCCAGGGTTAATTGTGCCAGCCTGAACCCCTGAGCCCCGCATGCCCGCCTAGGGATTGGCCTCAGCCTGGGGTGAGCTGACCCCAAAGACACCCTGCCCAACGCAGCCCGGCCCTTCACTGCTTCCTGTTGCTGCTGCTGGACAGAGTGGGCCTGGCACCCAGCAGAGATGTCTGACGGCCGCACATTCTCCCCTGGCTTCTGCCTTCATCCCTGGGATGATGTTGAGGGAGACGCCGGAAGATGGAGAGCCATGTGGGGCCACCTCTGTCCCTCTGCAGGGGGCAGGGCTGGCAGCTCCTGGGGAGAGCCCTGCCCATCTTGTCTGCTGTCTCTCGGGAGGCCCTGGCCTGGGGATTCCCATCTCTGAGTGGAAGGCGCGAAGGCCCCTGCCTTGAACATGGATGGCGTGGGTCCCCAGTCCCTCCTCTCTCCCCTCCCCCTTGGGGCTGAGCACAGGGCAGTGGTGGGGGATAAAGACCCCTCAGAACACTTCCCCACCCTGCAACCCCTTGCACAGCCCTGAGTCACTGTCCCAGAGGGGAGGGCAAGGGGCTCCCTGGTGATGGCTTCCTGCGTCCCCTCTCACTTGCCTCCTCCATTTCCCCTGGGCAGGATATGGGTGCAGGGTGTGGTCTTGGAGGGAGGAGGCTGTAAGCCTCCTGGGGGACACAGTGTGTGTGTGTGTGTGTGTGTGTGTGTGTGTGTGTGTGTGTGTGTGTGTGTGTGGACGGCTGAAGGGAGGAGGCCGGGGGCCTGGGTGTGCGGCTATGGGGACTGAACTGTCGAGGGCTCCTGCTGCCTCTGCAGGGGACAGGCCCTGCCAGCTACTGAGTGAGCAGCCTGCGGCAGCCCTGACTCACTGCGGGTCGTGCCGTCTGTGCAGCACTGGGGTACCCACCACCCAGTGCCAGGTGAGCGGCCCTGCACGGCACCGTAGTTTCCACCTGTGGTCACTGAGAGGCAGGATGGAGCTAGGGCAGGCATGGGAATTTTTTGGCTGTGGTCTATTTTTTGTTCATTGCAGCATTGATTACATGTGAATGTGGACTGTTCTTGCAAAAGTCTAGACCTGTCGTATTTGTAATCAGGGAACAGGCATTGAACGTTGCTTTGAAGAGATTGAAATTTCTAGCTTGTGATCTTCTTGAAAATTGTTAATGAGGCGTTGATGTGATGTACCATCAAATGCTCCGTTCGGCAGTCATGACCTTGGGCACCGTGGTTAGGTCCCAATGCTTCTGCTGTTGACTGAACCATGTGACATCTGTCGCCGTGCCACTGGTCCCCTCGGCTCAGGCCTCAGGAGATTGGAGGAGAGACTGAGGTTTCTCTGTGACAAACACAGGGAATCCTGACTGGGATCTCCAATCTCTAGTAAGGTTTGCACAGTTCTTCTCCTCGCATTTCTTTGGCTGCATCTGAGCCAAAGTCTGGATGGAGCTGTCGGGGAACTGGGTTATGTTGACCTCCCAACCCCTGCCCACCCTCTGGGGTGTCCTTCTGACAAATGGGCCTTTCTTCCAGATCCCCATCATGACCCACCAGGCCAACGGCCCCCTAGGGTCTTGACCCCAGTGCACTCAGAGTCAGCACCTGCCTTCGTTGCAGCATTGACCCTCTGCCATCAGATCCCACCCAGGGAAGGAATGGGCTCCTGTGTGGGCTCCTGGCTTCTGGGTGAGAGGGGAAGTGTGTGTTGTGTAAGTGCCCTTCTGTGTCATGCGGTTTTGAGCAGTTATACCTCTTCCTGTCTCCGCTGGAAGCACAGTCACTGCCATGGCTCCTCTAGGCTCTGGCACGCAGAACAAGCAGACCATGGTTTTGTGTTATACAGTAGTCACGGCAGATACTTCGGGGGCTTGGCAGGGGGGACCTCCGGGGTTCCAGAAGCAACATGCAAAATAACATCAGTTCAACAAGCAGGTGCTGGAGTCCTCGCCCCGAGGCCTTCCGGAAGACACCCAGGACGTCACACCTAGCCCAGAACAGCCCCCCTCTCTCCATCCCTTCTGCGATGTTCACTAGGCATTACCACATGCTGGTGGCCGCTCTGGGTGCGGGGGTACATCCGTGAAGGAAAGAGATGAAGCTCCCTGCCCAGAGGAGCTGACCTCCCAGCAGTCTTACAGGATATGGTTACAGAGGTGAATCTGGGGGAGAGTCCATCGTTGGTGTTGCTCCACTGACCTCCAGGATGGCCTCCAGGGACCCCGCCTCCTGGTGGCCACTGTCCCCATCGTATTAGAGTTGGCCTTTTGAAAGCTGTGAGTCCAAGTTGCCTGGCAAATAGATAAGGAATACAAGGTGATCATTCTTAAGACCTCGGGGATCTGCAAACCAGCCTTCTGGAACCTTTGAGCTTCCAGGATGATTCGGAATTTGGATGCAGCCACAGAAAGCCTAAGCGCCACAAGTCCCGCCATGACGCCCTGAGGCGTGGGTTCACACTTGGGTGTGGCTGGTCACGTCTATAAAAATGAGCCTTCACTTTGGGAGGCCCAGGCGAGTGGATCACAAGGTCAGGAGATCAAGACCATCCTGGCCAACATGGTGAAACCCTGTCTCTACTAAAAAATACAAAAAAATTAGCCAGGCATGGCAGCGTGTGCCTGTAGTCCCAGCTACTCAGAAGGCTGAGGCAGGAGACTTGCTTGAACCCAGGAGGCAGAGGCTGCAGTGAGCCGAGATCGCGCCATTGCACTCCAGCCCGGGCGACTGAAGAGACTCCATCTCAAAAAAAAAAAAAAAAAAAAGATGAGCCTTTTCTGGGAAAGTGGAAAAGACAGAGAAGCCTCCTGACAGCCAAGGAGACCAGCAGCCAGTAGAGCAGGTGTTGTAACAAGGCCGAGGACCCTCAGACACCAATTTTGCTGGTAAGACCGCTGCCCAGGATGCACCGTACAAGAGCAGCTTCACCTGCCTTCATGCAGATGGCACAGATGTCCAGGAAGCAGCTGTGGTCAGTGACTCCCCAGGAGTCACACCCAGACCTGGGGCCAGAGCCATCCCTGCACCTCTGCCTGATGTGACACCAGGGCGGGGCACAGGCTAGTCCCAGCTCCTGCAGCCCCCGCTGCACACCCCTACCTGTTAGCACACTGAGTCCTCCCTCATTATCATCCCATTTTACAGATGGAGAAACTGACACAGGGAAGGCTGAGAGAATTGCCCAAGGTCATAGACCAGCACATGGCAGAGCCAGTGCCAACTCCAAAGCCCAGATCCGAACCACTGAGTGGGCCTAACCTCCTTCCCAGGAACCCAGACTGATCGCCTCAGGTCACCCAAAGGGGATGGAATAGTGTCATCAACCAGCTCCCAAAGAAGATCAGAGCATGTGCAGTCAGCACTGGCAAGATTTCAGCTTAGAGAGAGATCCTCTCCAGCCTCAAAGTACCGACTTTGGATCAAGACTTCTCACTAAAGGAAGGTTCCGGCCAGCTCAAATTTTTTGTACTCCAGAATCTGCAATAAAGAGACAGATAATGTCTTTTGCAGAAACTGGAAGTAGGTTTCCAGGTACCCACTGGACTTATAATTCAATGTTTATAAGTATGACCCTGGAGATTAAATCAAAGCAGAACTTGCTCCCTGGAGCCCTGGGGTTAAGCGCTAAGATGAATTCTGTATAATGATGCTGCTGGTAGCTACAGCGAGCATTTATTTATCATGCACTCATGGAGCAGCTGGTTCCATGTCACAGAGAAGCTGGGGTTGCCTGGTCCAGGTGGGGTGGCTCTTGCATATGTAGCAGGGTGGACTGGGGCGTGCCTGTCCCATGATCATGGCAGAGGTTCAGGGGCAAGTCTCCTGTGACTGAGACATCTGATCACCTTCCGGTGGCCAAAGCAAGTCACATGGTTGCACAGGAGCGCAAGGCTAGGAATTCACCCCTCCAACGTGTGTGTGTGTGTGTGTGTATGTGCATATGTACGTGTGTCTGTGCATTGTGTATATGTGTTATGTATGTATGTGTGTATGTGTGTGTACATATGTGTGTATGTGTGTATGTCTATGTGTGTATGTGTGTAGGTATGTTTGTATGTGTATGTATCTGTATGTGTGTAGGTATGTGTGTATGTGTGTGTAGGTATGTGTATATGTATGTACGTGTATGGGGTGTGTGTATGTGTGTTTGTGTGTATGTGTGTGTGTATGTGTGTAGGTATGTGTATGTTTATGTGTGTTTATGTGTGTATATGTGTGTATGTGTACGTGTGTGTAGATATGTGTGTGTATGTGTGTAGGTGTGTAGGTGTGTGTGTATATGTGTGTATGTGTAAGTATATGTGTGTAGGTATGTGTGTGTATGTATGTGTAGGTGTGTGTATGTATGTGTAGGTGTGTGTATGTGAATAGGTATGTTTGTATGTGTAGGGGTGTGTGTGTGTGTGTGTGTTGGGAGAGGCAGCAAAGTCACACAGCAAAGGACATGGATGCTGGGAGAAGTGAGGCATTGGGTGTCAGTAACTCCACCTCCCATACCCTTATGCCCTCCCTATGCAAATCAGGTGCCAGCTCCATCAACCAGAACATGTGGGTAACCATAACAGGTTGTCCCCACACCAGGTCAAATCAGAAAGTGTCTTCTATTATTTTGTGTCTCTGTCCTTGACTCCTGGGCTCAGTCCTGACCTTTCCTTGTGGTTTCTTGGCTTAAGCCATTCATTTATTTCCTTCTCTCACCTGGGTGCACTGACTTCTTCCCATCTCATGCAAGCAGCTCAGGTGGCTCCGACAGGGTACAGATTCCCTTTGATGCTGAGGTTGAAGGAATCAGAGACAGTGCCCCCAAAGCTCCTACTCAGACCTCCCAGGGCACATTTGCGCCCAATATAATAGTCATTTACCATTAACTCCAACAGAGAAATTGTGGTCCCAGGCCCCCCATTCTGCAGATGAGAAAACTGAGGCTCCAAGAGAGGCCCTCGCCTTGGTTGGCTGTGCCCCCGGGAGTTTTGCTCCATTTATCCATTTAGTCTGGGGCTGCTCTTCCTTGTGTGTCCTTGCCTAGAATTATGTATGGGTCCACCTTTTCCAAAAATCTGCCAGCCCTGGCCGGGTGCAGTGGCTCACGCCTGTAATCCCAACCCTTTGGGAGACTGAGGCAGGAGGATGGCTTGAGCCCAGGAGTTTGAGACCAGCCTGGGCTGCAGAGTAAGGCCTCATCTCTATTAAAAAAAAAAAAAAAATAGCCAGGCTGGGTGGCACACATCTCTGATCCCAGCTAATTGGGAGGCTGAGGTGGAAGGATCCCTTGAGCCCCATAGGTCAGGGCTGCAGTGAGCCGTGATCATGCCACTGCACTCCAGCCTGGGGAACAAAGCAAGACCCTGTCTCAAAAAAAGAAAGAAAGAGAGAGGGGCATGGGGCAGCGTGGAGAGGAAACTGCCAGCCCTAAATCTCATGACTTAGGCTTGCCCCAGGAGCCAGAGTCCCATAAAGGGGCACTATGGGCCTTCCATCAGTCCCTGAAAGAGTCTCACCAGCAATGCCTTCCTGGGGCTATGGCTTTGATGACAGTTCAAGACCCCCAGGATCCCTTTCTGTGTTTAAACAAACTTGGCTTCCTGTCCTCTCACCAACTCTTGCATTCAGAGCTCAAACTGGCAACATACTTGGCCTTTCTAGAAAAACTGCAGTTGAGAAAACACCTCCACTGAGGGGTCATAGGGGAACCGAATATTCACACAGCCTTCAAGAACCTCCCCTGTGATTCCTGGTTAATCATGAAAAAAAGAAAGAGCAGTGGCCGGTTGCGGTGGCTCACACCTGTAATCCCAGCACTTTGGGAGGCCAAGGCAGGCAGATCACAAGGTCAAGAGATTGAGACCATCCTGGCCAACATGGTGAAACCATGTCTACTAAAAATACAAGAATTAGCTGGGCATGGTGGCACGCGCCTGTAGTCCCAGCTACTTGGGAGGCTGAGGCAGGAGAATCACTTGAACCCAGGAGGCAGAGGTTGCAGTGAGCCAAGATCATGCCACTGCAGTCCAGCCTGGCAACAGACTGAGACTCTGTTAAAAAAAAAAAAGAGAGAGAGAGAGAAAGCAAGCAAGAAAGAAAGAGAAAGAAAGAAAAGGAAGGAAAGAAGGAAGGAAAAAGAAAAGAAAAGAAAGAGCTATGCCCTGGCAGACACCACCTTAACCAAATGGCCAGACCTGGTCTTGCCCTCGATGGGCAAACTTGCTTGTTCGCCCCTGCCTGGACGCATGAAAAGGAAAAGACCTCCCCAAAAAGGTTCAGCTAAATTGAATCCTGAAGCTACAATCAGACAAATCCAAAGCAAGGGACTGTCAGCAGGACAGATGACCTAAACGTTTCAAAAAAGGTCAATGTCATAAAAAACAAAAATGAAAAATATGGGGGGTTGCTTCTAGATTGAGAGAGATGAGAGAGAAATAACCAATGCCATTTGTGAGCCTTGAATGGATCCCAGATTTTTGTAAAGCTGTAGGAGTTATTTTTGGAATAATTGGGAACACCTAATAGAGGATCAGGCGATATTGAACTAAGTATCTTAGGTACAATGCTGGTGCTGTGGTTAAGACAAAATTCTCAGATGAGTGCTGAGGTATTGAGGGGTGGAGCTCAGGGGATTGCTACGCACTTTCAAACAGTTCAGAGAAAAGTGTGTGTGTGCATGTGCGTGTGTGTGCATGTGGGTGTGTGCGCATGTGTGCATGTGGGTGTGCGTGTATGTGTGTGTGTGCCTGTGTGCATGTGCGTGTGTGGGCATGTGGGTGTGCATATGTGTGTGTGCATTGCATGTGTGCCTGTATTGTGCATGTGTGTGTGTGCGTGTGGGTGTGTGTGCATATGTGTGCGTGTATGTGTGCATTGCATGTGTGCCTGTATGTGTGCATGTCTGTGCATGTGGATGTGGTGTGCGTGTGTGTGCCTGTGCATATGTAGGTGTGTGCCTGTGCATGTATGCATGTGTATGTGTGTACATATGTGTGTGGAGAGAGGAAAAGGGGAAGAGAGGAGCGGGAATGCATACAAGTGAGACAAGAGGTAAACAATTGGTGTATGATTGCGATCAAGAGTATATGGGTATTTATTGCTATTCTAATTATTTCCACTTTTATGAGGTTTGAAAGTTTTCAAAGTAGTGAGTTGGTAGGAAGAAAGAAAATGCCCAAAGAGGGAGCCTACCGACCTTCCTGGGTCCCCTGTCCTTGTCAGCCAACCACGTAAAGGGAAAGAGCTAGGATTTAATGACCGGATTCCTTCCTGGGCTCCAAGCATTTTCACATCTTGCTTCTCATTGCTCCGTGAGAAGTTGGGCAGGCCTTTCTAAATGCTCCATGCTTCAGTTTCTCCAAATCTAAATCCGGAAGATTTGCTCCAGGTCACACGCAGACCAAGTGGAAGTGGAGCTGATGGGAGGGACCTAGCCTGTGGGCTCCCTGCTTGGACCCTGGGCCCTGCACCCCGTCAGCTGCTAGGCTCCCCTCTTGGGTCTGGTGTGTTGGTTTCTGAAGCCTGTTCTCCCAAGTCCCGGAGGTGTCAGGGATCCCAGGGCCACCCAGCTTAGCTGTGCCTGCCTCCCTCTGCGCTAAAGGAGCCACTGTGCCAGCCTGGAACTCACGGCATCCCCTTTAGGATGTTGGCTCCACAGGGATTGGCTCCTTGGCAGATGCAGTCGCTCCTGATTGGACAGTGGTGTCTGCAGCTCGACAAGGTGGACTCTGGGCCAGTCGGCTCTGCCTGTGTGTCTTGCGTCCTGAAATGCAAAGCAGGGGCTGTGGGGAAATCTCACCAACCCCTCCTCCCCTGGGAGGTGGCAAAGGTGGTGGACTGGGCTGCTGGGACCCTGGGGAGGAATGAAACAGAGGCTGTGTTGATGGCCTGCAGTTCCTTGTAATGTGGTCATCAAACGGTGTACAGTTCCCGTCTGTGGCTGCAGGCTGGAGAGCTGACTGCTGGCACAGATACAGCCTGACCTCGGGTCAACACTTCTCGGAGTCCAGAGGGGTTGGGAGTGGGACAGGTGGCCTCCCAGGGACGCCTCCCTGAGTGGCCAGTGGTGCCGCTTGTCCCTGCACCTGTAGCTGCCCTGAGCACCCCCACTGGACACAGTGGGCATTGCACCCTCCGGAGAAAGCTGCCCTTGTTCCACGTGCGAGCCCTGTCCCCAGCGCCATGGGCTGTGCTACCTGCAGTAACGCAGACTGCGAGCCCCGGCTGCCTCTCCAGTGCTCTCTCTCCTCTGGCCTTCAGCAGGCTGGGTCACAGAGGTATCCATCCACTCATTCATTCACTCAACAAATATCTGTTCCATGTCTACTAGGTGCCAGGCACAGCTGGGAACCAGCAGACAAAACTCCCTGCTTTCCCGGAGCCGGCATCTTGGTGGGCAGACAGCATAAGCGAGACGAGTAGGTGGAGGAGAAGGCGTGTGAGCAGGTGACAGGCGCTGGGGAGAAACAGCCCAGGGGAGGGACCAGGGAGTGTGGGGGAGACGGGGACTGCGATGAAAGGGAGGCGTCCAGGGAAGACCTCCATGAGAAGGTGACCTTGGCATAAAGAGGCAAACGTGGGAGCATGCTCAGGCAGACCACGGTGGTCAGAAGTTGAATTCGGGCCGGAGGAGGAGGAGTGCATGAAGCCCTGAGGTGGGAGTGAGTCTGTCTGCTGGGTTCACAGACCCCCAGGGAGCCAGTGTGGCAGGGGCCAGTGTGTGAGGGGCTCAGCGGGGGATGTGGCTAGAAAGGTTGTGGACCCACTGTTGAGATTGGACTTTGGCTCTGAATGGAATGGAAGCCATTGGAAGGTTTGGAGTGAAGCAGTGACATAATCTGACTTATGTTCTGGGAGGATCACCCTGGCCGCGTAGAGTCTGCCGGCGGGGGTGGAGGTGGGCGCAGGGAATGCTGTGAGGAGCAGCATGAGAGCCGGTGGCAGCTGGGCAGGAGAGGAGACAGGGAGAGGCACGGGGCCCCTGGCCCAGGGATGGATTGGATGTGGGAGGCGGGACGTGGGAGGAAGGGAGGAGTCGGGGTGACTCCCGGGAGTGGGACTGACACCTGGGAGGGTGGGGAGCTCGTTACTCATCTGGGGCCACCCTGGGAAGAACTGGGCTGGGGGTGAGGGCAGTCGGGAGCTCAGTGTCTGACCCAGGAATCCGAGGCACACGTTCCCCACCCTCATAGCTGAGCCACACAGGCAGGAAATAAACAGCTCTGGGGTTCAGGGGAGTGGTAGAGGGGGTGGGGTCTGCAGCATGGGGACGGGGTTCAGAGCCACGAGATGGGTGGAAATCTGAGGGGCTTTGTGGGGATGGAAAAGAATATATTCAAGAGCTGAGCAAGGGCAGCCACTGGAGGACAGCGATGAGCAGGAAGAAGCCCAGGAGACTGAGAAGGAGTGGCTGGAGGGATGAGAGGGGAGCGTGGAGTCCTGGGAGCTGGGGAAGCCGCAGGCAGCACCTCTGTCACCCCGATACGATGGGCACCGCTGGACCTAGCAACGAAGAGGTCACCGCAACCTTGGCAAGTGCAGTTTCCACGGAGTGGTGAGGGCAGAGGCTGATTGGAGTTGGTTTATAAGCCGGAAGAAGAAGAGGAATCGCAGATAAGTGAAGGAAAACTTTTTGAGGAATTTTCTCAAATGGAAGGCAAGAAACAGTGGAGAAGAAAGTGGGTCTAAGAAACTGCTTTTTTAGGCCGAGTGAGGTGGCTCACATCTGTAATCCCAGCATTTAGGGAGGCCGAGGCGGGCGGATCACTTGAGGCCGGGAGTTGGAGACCAGCCTGGCCAACATGGTGAAACTCCGTCTCTACTAAAAATACAAAACTTAGCCAGGCATGGTGGTGCACGTCTGTAATCCCAGCTATTTGGGAGGCTGGGGCATGAGAATCGCTTGAACCCAGGAGGCGGAGGTTGCAGTGAGCTGAGATTGTGCCACTGTACTCCAGCCTGGGTGACAGAGTGAGACTCTGTCTCAAAAAAAGAAAAAAGAAACTGTGTTTTTTGTTTTCTTTGGAGATGAGAGAAATAATAACTTATTGGGTGCAGCTGGCAGTGCGTCCTGAAGAAGGAGGAATGGGCTTGGGATGCCCTTGAGTGGGTGTGGGGCTGGGGACAGCCATGTGACCATGGACACTGTGGGGCCGGTTCACTGGGTAGCCACAGGAGGGAAGGCAGGTGGCTTTGAGCACAGATCGTGTCGCTGTGTGTGGAAGGTGGCTTCTGATTGCTTGTGTTTTCTCAGGGGTCTGGGAAGCAGCAGTGGCAGCTGAGGGTGGGGTGGGAAGGGAGGAGCAGCGAGGTGTCCCCTGAACCTGGGAGAGAGGATGCCGTAGAGCAGGTGCCCATAGACTCTTTCTGTAAAGGACCAGATAGTAAATAATTTAGGCTTTGCCAGCCAGCCAGTCTCTGTTGCAGCTCCTCAGCCCTGCCCTTGGAGCCCAGAAGCAGCCTGAGAGGATTCGTAAACAGGCATGGAGGTGTTCTAATGAAACTTTATTTACAAAAATAGGCAGCAGGCTGGCTCTGGCCTGCTTAGACTCCTGGCCCTCAACCTCGCCTCTAGGCCAGGGGTCTTCAAAGCATGGTCCCTGGGCCTGCAGCATCAGCGTTACCTGGAACTTGTGGGAAATGCAGATTCTTGGACCCCCACCCTATGTTCATGGAGCCAGTGACTCAGTCCCTGCACTGTTTTCCAACCCAAGTTGAGTTTGTGATTCCGGAATTCTGGAAGTTAGCTCAGCACCTAGACCCAAGAGAGAGTGAAGTGTGGGGTGGGCTACATGCCCTGTTAAAGGCACAGGCATCCCAGCCCCCATCCCCTTCTGCAAGGCTGTGTGAGGACATCCTGCCTCCCGTGGGCCGTGTTTGCTTATGCAGCATCCATGGGAGGGCTCCCTGGGGACGGGCTGTGGTGATGACTCTGCTCTCAGCAGAACCCTCCACTCTGAAGCCCTGGTTTCCTGTCCACGTCCCTCAGCTACTCAGGGGAGCCTGGGGGCAGGAACTCCATTGCTTGTAGGGGAGCCTCCCACAGCAGCAGGGCTCAGCCAGTGTTCCATGCAAGAAGAAATGCACTGTCCTCCGATCGAAAGCACAGCATCTTTAGGAGTTTAACGACAGTTTTTTAACGACTTTAGTGAGATGATTTGATTTCCTGCCTCTGAGTCATCTAAGAGCAAAATGCGTGAGCTGCTAATGGGCTCAAAGAGAGGCTGCCTTTGAGGCCCCTCCAGCCCCCCAGTGCTGCAGGGATTCAATCACCCCAAAGCCAGGTAACCAGCCTTGGCCTCCCAAAGTTCTGGGATTACAGGCATGATCCATCGTGCCTGGCCTGAATGAGGGTCTTTTTTTTTTTTTTTTTTTTGAGGCGGGGTCTCGCTCTGTCACCCAGGCTGGAGTGCAGTGGCGCGAACTCGGCTCACTGCAAGCTCCGTCTCCCGGGTTCACGCCATTCTCCTGCCTCACCCTCCCAAGTAGCTGGGACTACAGGCGCCCGCCATCACACCCAGCTAATTTTTTTTGTATTTTTTAGTAGAGACGGGGTTTCACTGTGTTAGCCAGGATGGTCTCGATCTCCTGACCTCGTGATCCACCCACCTCAGCCTCCCAAAGTTCTGGGATTACAGGTGTGATCCACCATGCCTGGCCCAAATGAGGGTCTTTAAGAATAAAACTCCAGGGGATCGTCACCAAGCCCCACCACTTCCTCTGAGGTTAGCATAGTGCTGGATCTTCTCTGCATCTTCTGTCCTTGTTTTTGGTTTTCATTTTGGTTTACTTGAAACAGGATCTTGCTCCATCACCCAGGCTGGAGTGCAGTGACACGATCATAGCACTCTGCAGCCTCAATCTCCCAGGCTCAAGCAATCCTCCCACCTCAGCCTCCCGAGTAGCTGGGATTACAGACATGCATCACCACGCCCAGCTAATTTTTTTATTTTTTAATTTTTTTGTAGAGACTGGGTCTCTACAAAACAAATGTCTCTGTGTTGCCCAGGCTGGTCTCAAACTCCTGTGCTCAAGCAATCCTCCTGCCTCGGCCTCCCGAAGTGCTGGTATTCCAGGCTGGTCCCATTTTACCAGCAGGTCTACACATGTGCTCACATCGCTCACTCAGAGGAGACCTCCGTTATTAGGGGGACCTAGACCTGTGCTGCCTTGACCCCAGGGACAGAGGTTGTTTGGGAATCCCCTCCCTTACTTTGATTTCTTCCGAGGAAGCCGGCTTCCTGGTGACGGGAGGTCACTGTTCTGGGGAAAAAGAGTGGGAAAAACAAAGCCAATCAGCCACTTGGCTAAGTGTCAGGTTTCCCAACAACTTCATGGGTTGCTGTGGATGGGCGGGGCTGTTTTGAGCCCAGACCATCCCTTTGCCTGTGGGTGTGGGACCACGTGATTTTGGATCAGGGGTCATTTGTCCTTCCAGAAGCCAAGCCCTGTTCCAGGCATGGGGGTGCAGCAGTGAGTGAGACCCACAGAACCACTGCCCTCCTGGAACACACCCCCCCCAGAGAGGGAACTGGGGCACCACAGACCCGTGTGCAGGCAGCAAGGGCGTGGTGTCGGCCGGGGAGCAGCAGGGACCCCTGAGCCCCACAGTCGGGGCTCATGGCGCTGAGAAGCACTGCAGCAAGGGCGCAGCCAGTAGGAGAGGAGCCGCAAGCGCAAGCATCCGCAGACAGTGTGAGCTCAGCGTGCTGGGAAGGCGGGGGCCTGGGTCAAGGGCCAGGCGGCAGAGCATAGGGGCCTGAGGGGGCAGTGCCTAGGAGTGGGAGGAAAGAGCATGGGACCAGATTCACTTTGGAAATAGAAGCCCCCAACCAGCAGCCAGCCAGGTGGAGGAAGGCGTGCAGAGCTGAGAGGGTTCAGGAGGCGGTGGGGGGAGCCACTGGGAGGGGACCCAGGGGTTCAGGTGAAAGACAGCAGTGGCTCAGCCCAAGGGTGGCAGCCAGAGATGTGGGTGGACGGCTGGATATTGGCAGCCATACTCATTATCAATGCTGCTGTAACAGCTCATCACAAACCCTGCAGCTTCCAACTGCCCAGAGTGAGATCTCCTGGTTCTTGTGGGTCAGGCATTGGGGCAGAGCAGGGCTGGGTCTGCTGTTTTGGGACCCCTGAGCTGCAGTCGAGGTTCTTGCCGGGACTGGGCTCACCTTGGAAACCTCTGGTAGGAAAGGATCCACTTCCAGGCTCCCTCGTTCGTTTGAAGGACTCCTTTCTTTGGGCTGTTGGGCTGAGGGCTCAGCTTCTCGCCAGCTGTCGGCCCGAGGCTGCCCTCAGTTCCTGCCCCAAGGGCCTCTCCAACACCACAGCTTGCTTCATCAGAGCCAGGAGGGACAGTCTCTAGCAAGACAGAAGTGACAGTCTTGCCATTACCTTTGCCGTGTTCTGCTGGTTAGAAGCGACTTGCTAGGTGCAGCCCACACTCCAGGACAGGGGCTGCCCAAGGGCAGGAATCCCAGGAGCTGCGGACATCAGTGGCATCTGAGAAGCTGCCTGACTTAGGAGCTCAATGGCAGCACCAGGAAGCTGCACTGGGCTGGAGTCAGGGCAAGGGACAGTGTCAGCGATGACCCTGGGGGACAGCAGTGCAGTCAGGAGCTCAGAAAGTACACAGATGCCCCCTGGGCGGTCTCTTCTGCACCATGTGGGCAGCAGAAACTACACCTACGGTTTCAGAACAACAGTTGGGGTGGTGTGGAAGGACCTCCACGACATATAAGGTGGGAGTGTGGAGTGATGGAGTGTGGAAACCCTTCTCACAGTTGTCACCTGCTCTCCAGCCCCTCCTGAGCCCGTGGACCTGCCTGCCTGCCGTGTGTCTGTCTGTCGTCTGTCTGTCTGTCTCTCTGCTGAGGGGCTCCCCGATGCCCTGAACCCAGACAGCCTCCTCAGCCTTTGTGATCCCAGAGTCTCCCGGCCAAACCTGGTTGATCTTTTTTAACCACCACCCTCTTCCCCTCCCTTATTTTGCTTTTCTTCCAGAATTTTCCCACTGTAAAAAACCGAGCAAGTCTGGATAAGTGAGGCTGGCTCCATGTATCCAGAATCAACGACGGGCTCCCCGGCTCGGCTCTCGCTGCGGCAGACGGGCTCCCCCGGGATGATCTACAGGTGACCCCCTGCCCCCTCACCCAGGCCCCCTCCCAGGGTCAGTCCTGCTTCGAGGACGGGTTCCCAAGGCCACTGTCCTCCCCTCTGGAGGTGGAAGGGCCCAAGCAGGGCCCACAGGCTTCTGCCTTCCACGGGGTTTTGAGGTGCACGCTGGTGAGCGTTTTCTCCAAGAAAGGAGCAGGGGCTTTAAAAACCCAAGTGGGAAAGAAAAACCAAAACTTTTCCAGGGCGTTTGAGCCAGAGTAGACTCCTTTCTTGTCCCTGACCCTTCCGAAATATCTCGTTTGAGGTTAACAGAGCGGCCGGACAGTGAGTGCACGGCCAACCCCGGCATCCTGTTCCTCCCACTTTATACATCGCAGCCCCTGTGGCCCTGCCAGTTTCTCCTGAGCGAGGATGACGACCTTGCAGGCCTTTGGGGAACCACGTCTGCCGGTTTCCCAACACTGGAGGGAGTGGGGGCGGCCAAATGCTCCTGGGGCATCCTGACCCCCTCCTTGTGGAACTCACTTCCGCTTGCAGCCCTGGGTGTTTCTGTCTGCACCATAAACAGCGCTGAACATCAGCGACAGCTGCGGAGGGCGTTCAGTGAGAGCTGAGCCTCTGGGGACAGAGCATAGAACCCACGAAAGACGCAGGCACAGGCAGTACCCCAGCAGCCCATCAGTCTTGGGAAGCCAGACCTTTCCGGATAATCACTGGGGCCTGAGCCAGAGCCCGTGTCTGTGACAGCCACAGGGAAAGGCAGTGTCTGTCCTAAGAAGAGCCAGGCGGGCAGGTGCGGGTTTGCCAGCACGCGGGTGCTCTGCACGTCTGGGTTGGAGGGTTTTCAGCCATTGCCCACAAGCATATTGCAAAGCAAGTCCTGAAGCACATTCAATCCAAACCAACCCTCACTCGGAGGTTCACCACGGAAAACAGGGCCTGGCATGGAAGGAGCCCTTGGTGTCCAGGAAACTGGCTCCGGGTCTCTGCCCCGTGGCCACCGGGTGGCGCTGCTGCAGAGCACTTGGCACCGGCTGCGCTTCCTCAGAGACTGCCCTGAGCAGGCGACTGGTGGGGGCCCGGGGGCATGGGACATTGGTGGTTCTTTCTGACCTGCACCTGCTGGGGTTGATGCCAACTGTGGACTCTCTCTCTTCTCTCCCTTTCTCCTTTTTCTCTTTTCTCCATTGCTGTCCGAAGTACTCGGTATGGGAGTCCCAAAAGACAGCTCCAGTTTTACAGGTAATGAGTCTTCATTCTCCCTAAAACCCAGCGAGCCGAAGGCCAGGGAGCGGGTGGGAGGACTGCACCCTTGCCGAGCAGGGTGTGCTGGTGTATTCTCTGAAGCCAAAGCCCCCGAGACCCCCAGGCTCTGCTCATCACCCTCTGTGCCTACCCACAGGATGCTGTGCAATGTCCTGATGGAAAATGTGAAGTCAGGTTAATTGTATGTGTTGGTCTGCCAGAAGTTTGCTTTGATTTGAGCAAATGGGCTTTTGATGACTGCCAAGCTCTCAGCCAAATCTACCGTTAAAGCTTCACTCATCAGGCAGTGAGGGAGATGTCTTCCTGTGGTCACCAGCTTGCCCTGCTTCCATTATCAGAGTACAGGACGTGGCGAGCCCATCCGTTCCCCCTTTGCCTGTGGGTTTGACCTGATCTGGAACTCACAGAGCTCCTCAGGCTCATTGAAGGTTAATGCCTGCTTGGGGGTGTGCAGTACTGATACGACGTGGATCAGTGACATCTTTCTGATATGTTTTTCTGTTGGTGAATTAACAAACCGGGCACCTGGCGAGAGACTGTGCCCCAGCAGGATGTGACATCAAGATGCCAGGCTTAGGGCCCTGCAGGGTGCTCTTGGGGAGACCCGTTCCTCTCTCTGGGCTGCCTCTCCCTCACCTGTAAGGCAGGGGATGCATGTTCTTGGTGCAGCCTCCAACCCTAGGAAGTAAAATGTCAGGGCTGCCTGGAGCCCATGGGCAGCAGCCTCCCCATGCCTTGGGACTGTTTGGGGAATTGGCACGGCTTCTGGCAGCAGGTCCCTGGTATGCATTGCTGCATCTTGGCGGTCAGGCCGGGAGGTCTCTCTATTCGGACCCGGACATCTGGTAACAGTGCTTTGGGGATCGTTGCCAATGTGCCAGGCAGTGGTCATGGAGGTGGCAATGTATTTCCATGTAGCTTTTCTCTCCCCGCGCCCCCACTCCCCACCCCCCCCCCCGTTTGCCAGCCATAGCACCTCTGATGGGGACCGTGGACCTAGATGCTCAGAGTGATCTGTGCCACGCCTTCAGTGCCTCCTCGGAGGTCCTGCTCCTTACAGGGAGCTCTGAAGACATGGCCAACTCTTAGATCCTACTGAAATTTTGGTAGATAAGATTTTGCTTAAGATAGTTAAATCTGAACTCCGGCTTGCAAATGCTTTCCCTGGATGAAATGTTTGTATTGTGATGTATGTACACATGGTATAACAGATCCTAACAAACATATGCCGCTCATCCCAGGGGATTTCATCAGTGAAACAAAACATGTACCTGAACTGCATCCTCAGAGAGCCGGGAGCAGCCTCAGTCCTCAGAAGGGAAGGGGTGAGGTCTGATGAGCAGGCAGGAAAATCCCAGGTGCAGACCTGCCAGCTCAAAAGGGCTGCCCACAGGTACAGACCATCCAGCTCCAAGGGCCTGCCCCTAGGAGGGGCCAAGTAAATTATCCAGTGACCAAGTGAGAGCCTTCCAGCCCACTCAAGGCCCTCAAAACCCCACAGGCTCAACATGTTGTCCCCCCCGCCGGGATCCCTGTGCTTAAGAACCTTCATTTCCAGGTGGCCTTCCTGGCCCCAAGGGAAGCTCTGAAGCTTACCCTCTAGGCTCTCAGCCCCAATTCTGGTGCCCACAGGCTCTGGCCATCCTACCCGTTGGATCTCCAGGGGGTCACTTGGGTGTCTCTTGTGGGGGCTCTGGAGATGACCTCTAAGGGCTAGGGTCTTTGTTTGTTAACAGGCTGGGGGCCACTCCTAGTAGGGCACCCTCATCACACCAAGCATACCACTAAACATGGCTATTGGATGGTTCTTTCAGTTACTTAGGCCTGGCCCTCTCACAGGGCAGAGGCGTTCAAGGCATGTGCCCTGCCCCCATGCAGCTCCCAGGCAAGGAATTGGCATAGGACACTGTGCCAATCAGCTGTCCACCAAGTGCTGCATAACAAACAACTCCAAAACTCAGTGCCACGCAGCAATCAGCATCTCTTCCTTGCTCCCGTGTCTGCGGGTTGACCAGGCAGCTCGTCTAAGCTGGCTTGGCTGGGTTTGTCTCCAAGCTGCAAGTTGGATCCCCATGTCCTCCATCTTCCCATGCTTAACTGGGGCCTACCCCAGGCATGTCCTTCCCATGGCAAAAGTACCAGAGGAAAAGCAGAAACATGCAGGGTCTCTTACGGCCTATGGTTGGGGTCAGAGCGCTGTCACCTCTGCTCACGTGCTTTTGGCCAAAGTAAGTCTCAGGAACCAGCCCACAGTCAAGGGGCTGGAAATATATTGCCCCCACCAGTGGGAGGAGCTATAAAGTCACATGGCAAAGGGCATGGGTACAGAGAGGGGTGAAGGATTGGGAGCAATACTTCCATGTACCCCAGGTCTCAAATAGCCCTGATGATCTCCAGAAGGCAGAGCACGTCACAGGAGAAGCCCAAAGAGCATTTGGGGTCCAAGGAAGGAGGGGCCACAGCCAGCTGAGAGCCAAGAAGACTTCACGGAGAAGGCAGCAGGGGCTTGGATCTGGTCCTTGAAGGCTGGGCAGGATTCAACGCAGAGGCTGGGAAGCATATTCCAGTAGATACAACAGCCTGAGCCACAGCTCAGAGGTGTGCACAGAGAACAGGAAGTGACAGTTACCCAGCCTGGGCCATCAGGGACATGATGGAGAATAAAGAGAGGCTGGCTGTAGAGGTGGATGTTGGTGGGGGGCCTCGAATGCCTAGCGATGGGGCACAGATGCACTCAGAGGGCACTGGGGAGCCATCTATGGTGTTTGAGCAGGGCAGGGGTCAGAGATCTGCTCTAGGAAGGAAGCCTGGTAGCAGGGAGTAAGACAGGGAAGAGAGAGGCTAATGCAAGGAGACCAGACAGTGCCCAGGAAAGGTGCAGGACGGCTGAGCTCCAGGAACTGCACAGAGAGAGAATGAAGGGGTGCAGGGCCTGAAAAAAGGACGTCAGAAGCCACGTCCACAGGGCTTGGCCACTGATGGGCAGGTGCTGAGACAGAAAGGGACAGAGAGGAGCAGTGGACCCAGGGAAGGAGAGGGCCTCATTCGGAGCATGTTAGGCTGCAGCTACCACCCAGTAGTGAGGCGCAGGCCCCCCGACCAGGGCGACATGTGGGGATCTGACAGAGTGGGCTTGGGCCTTTGGGGACAAACCATTTCAATTGCCAAGGCCTTCGCAGCTAGTCACCCGCAGCCAGGCACCTCCAGACTCTACGTGCTCTCCCAGCCTCCCACTTCATTTACCTTCCACACTGCGACTGGGGCACTGATTTCCTGTCCCCCACCTTCCCCCATGGCAGCTACCACTGTTTGCTCATTCATCATGGGGGGACGGTTCTGCCTCCATTCAAAATCCCACATTCACTGGCGCGCTTTCTCAGCCGGAAGATGATGTCACGCTGGGACTTTGCTGGCATCCTGTGACACGCAGTGACCCTGGGGGTCATGACCCTGGGGTTGGGGCTCAGCACTTAGCCTCATCCCAGAGCTCAGCCTTGTTTGGCCTAGTCTCAAAGCATTTCCCAAACCCCAGGTCAGGACATGTGCCGTGGAGAAGGGCTCCTGTGTCCCTGCCTGGAGTGAGTGGCAGTGTGGAGTCCAAATAGCAGGTTCTGGGGCCTTCCTGCCATTTATAGCTACCGGTAGTATCAGATATACCCATCTCGGGTGTATCCCCAGAGGACAGGAGGAGCATGCGCGTGTGCTGAGCAGAGGCCTCTCCAGACCCCCTTGGCTGTGGGTGGTGGCCCCATACGACGGGGCCCCCAGCTCCCCTGCTGCAGACACAGTTCAGAGTTGAGTGGTATGCGGAAGCCACAGGCTCTGTGTCCCGCACTCAGATACCAAAGAGCAAGGCCTGCCCCTTTCGACCTGTGGGTCCAAAGGTTTGTGTTTCTGGCACGCGGGGATGGTGGAGGCAGCAAGGGTAGGCCTGAGGGACGGGCAGGACCTCCCCCTCACCTTGGGCTGCACCCCAACCCCACGCACCGGGAGTCAGCCTTGCCAGGTTGCAGCACGGAACTGCACTTCCCGAGCTTTTAGGGGAAGAGGCACTCGTGAATAATTCAGCCTCTTTCACTGAGATGAAAACGCCCTAATAGAACTAATGGACTCGCTGCCTCAAAACTCGACTCTGGTGGGACTCATCTCATTCACCAATTGCTTCTGACGTCCTGCAGTGACACTCCCTAATGAAAAAGCCGCTGTGCCAGATCCTTAGAGTGTCTGGTGATCCCTAATAAACCAGACTGTGGCCTTTTTAACGAGCAGACGCCCCCACGAAGGCAGGTGAGTCCTCCCTTCAGCCGCTACCTTCCTAGTGGAGATGCCGCTTGGGGGCACGCATCCGCGGGAATGAAAAATAACAGAGGAGACCATATTTTGGGGTGGTTTTGTCTGATCCGGAATTAGACCCTCCGTGTTTTTGCAAAGCAGAAGACCTTAAAAAAGAGCCAGCCTGAGGTAAACTTGGAATGACCGTGATGGATGGGGTGGTGGGCGGCAGGTTTCAGCCGGGCAGCACCTCTCGCTTGAGTCTGCTCACAGCCCAGACCTGCCCAAGGCTGACTGTTTTCCCATCTGCCGGAGACACGGGCGTCTAGCTCGTACCTCGCTGTGTTCACCATTGATTAAGATTCAGCATTTTCCAGTTTTGCCCAGAGCGCTGTCAGGGAGGTTTGGTCTTGTCTGAAATGTCTGTGCAGGAAGCACGTGCTGAGGGAGCCAGGGGCTGCTTGTTTGGGCCTCAGTTTGCTGATTGTCCTTGAGCGAAAATCATTCTGTGTTTGCACTGAAGCAATGCCGTGTCTTGTAGAGCCGCACCCCGGAATGGTAGCAGCTCCCCTTCCATTTCCGCTTTGGAGAACTCTGGCTGGGCTCTCTGCTCTCTGGACAGGTGTCACCATTCAGAAGAGATGCTCAGGGTTCCTTCTCAATCTCAGGTTGTATGCTTTGTTGGCTTTCAGTAAACAGAACAATTCAGAAATTCCAGGTAGAGGAGTCTGGGGTGAGGTAGTGATTCCTACTGACTTAATGAGGTTAACATCTTCCTTGCATTTTTCCATGTCACGGTGTTAATTCACGTGAATTCCCCTGGGCCCCTGATCTACAGGAATAGATTTGCACCAGGCAGGCCCAGCCCAGGAAAGAACTTGTGGGTTCCACGTAATTAGCAATGGCTATTGAGGAGGGGCTCGTTTTTCTTGGTACCAGGGTGGTGAGGGAGTGTCAGGGCTCAGAGACCCTCACTCTGGAAAGCGGCCGGGATTTGGGATATTTTGAATTGGAAGTCAGGGGTCACTGTGCTCTTGAGCACAGGAGAAGTGGGGACCCTGAGGCAGGAGCCCGGCAGTGGGGCCACTCTCTCCTCCCTGCAGTGTCTTACCGGGGGGCCCTTCGTCCAAGGACCTGACGCTGCTAGAGTCTCGGCAAAAGCCCAGAATAGAGCCCCAGTGTGAGGGAGTCCAGAGGTGTCCTCTGTCCCCAGGCACCGCTGGTAACGGGCAGAGCCTCTTTGCCTTCTGCCTGTACCTATCCTTCTTCCCCTGGGGCAGCCCTCCCAGAGTCATGAGCCTTCAGGACCACAGGGAGCCCCCGCTGTACAGAGTCCTGGCATGGGAGTCCCCCCCACACAAGAGAGGGTGACCTGCAAAGAGCTGCTGGGTCTGAGGTAGGAAGCCAGCCCCGCCCCCACCAACAGCTGCCTGGCACTGCCAGGAAATGCCCAGGTATAGCCCTGGTTGGCCTTTTGGAGCCTGGGCCTTGGTTACTGTTCTACAAATATCTGAGCCCCTCCTCTGTGCACGGGACACTCCCGTGGGCACTGGTCAGGGGGCAGTGGCAGCAGGCAGAAGAGTCCTTGCCCTCCTGGACCCAACCTTCAGGGGAGTCCAGCGGCCATGGGCTCCTCATGGCACCAGCCCTGCTCCTCACCCCACCACCCCATGCCAAAGGCTGCCATTTCTGTGCCCGCAAGTTCCCTGGCCCAAGCCCTGCCCTGGCACCATGGGGACAAGCTCGTAGCAAGAGGCTCTGGGCTCCCTCCGTGCCGCAGGGCTCCCACCTGCAGGTCTGCTCCCAGGGCTGCAACATGAGCTCTAAGGAAAGATTGCAAGCGGGCCCCCACAGGGAGGGACGCCCTCTAAATCCTGGCCACAAAACCCATTCTGTCCTGCCCTCTCTCCCCTCTCCCACTCACATCCCCAAACTCAGCCTTCCACCATCTTGTTGTGAAGGGGGCGATTATTCACATCTGTGTTCTCTTCCCTTAAGCATTTTCTAGGGAGATTTGGTGTCTGTGTGGCTCACTCCTCTCACTCAAACCTGTGGTCACAAGTTCCTTCCCGCCCTGCCTGCTGGCCCCTGGTGGTGGATTTTTCTTTCCACAGCATTTATCATAATTGGTGTCTTATCCCACGCCCCCCAACAGACTGTCTTCTGGCTGCGTCACCAACTCCCACCCAGTTGTCCAAAGCCTCATCTCATGCAGCCCACAGCAGCCTGGTACAACAGGCCTCTGCCCAGCCTACCTCACAGATGTGGAGGCTGAGGCCGGGAGCGGTCAAGGTGCCTGCCTGGGCCACACCATGAGCAGGTGACAAGCAGAGCTGCCCCTGTCCAGAAGCTGGGCACTCAGCCACCCCGTCCTCCAGCCCCGGGGCCTTGGCTATATTTCTAGAGCCAAACCAGACCCGGATTGCTTTTTGTGAGTAATGTCTTGAAAGCTAATGGCTATTGATCTCAGCCTGGTCGGGCCAGGCAGGGAACTTGCGTGTCTGAGGCTGGTCCTGCCTTTCAGAAAGAGCCCTGGGGCTACAGCCTGCCCAGCTGGCCTTCTTTCTAAACACAGACCTCAGGGAAGTGAGGGTTGGCCCCCATTTGCCCCACACCGGACTGGCAGCTAGCCACATGGCCACCTCAGAAGCAGCTGCCTGCCACGCGCATGGAGGGAAGGGAGTGGCCGGCCAGTAGGCAGGGAAGGGAAGCTGGTGCTGCTGTCTGTGGGTGCCAAGGGCCTCATTTCCTAAGGTGAACCTCTCCTGGAGTCCGGGCCTCTCTGCCCTCCAGAGCGATTCTCCTGGAAGGCAGACGGCTTTCCATGCCAGGGTACCCGCCTGCTTTAGCGTCCAGAGGTCCAGCAGCCACCACCCCTCCCAGCATAGAAATGAGCAGTGGTGAATGCAACTCCTGGCATGGGAACCCCCCAGCAAGAGAGGACGACCTGCAAAGAGCCACTGGGCCTGAGGCAGGAAGCCAGCCCCGCCCCCACCAACAGCTGCCTGGCACTGCCAGGAAATGCCCAGGTATAGCCCTGGTTGGCCTTTTGGAGCCTGGGCCTTGGTTGCTGTTCTACAAGTATCTGAGTCCCTCCTCTGTACACGAGGGGCACTCCCATGGGCACTGAGCAGGGGGCAGTGGCAGTGGCAGGAGGCAGAAGGGTCCCTGCCCTCCTGGACTCAACCTTCAGGGGAGTGAATTCAGCACACAGGACAGCTAGAAAGGAATCAGCAAGGTGGATGATGGCGAGCGCCATGGAGACAGATCACAGCAGGAAAGAGGCACATGGTGTGGTTTGTGTGGGACAGAGGGTAGGATGGGAAACGCAGCCCCCCCACCCCCGGGAGCCATGCCCATCAGACAGAGGTGCAGAGGTGCAGACAGCACAGCAGGCTCCCCAAGGACGACTGGTTGCTCGCCTTTAGGGAGGGGGCCATCCAGCCCTGACCAGGGTGGTGGGGCCAAGGCCTGTGTGGACACTGCTACCCAGCTCCCTGTAGGGGCTCCTCGGGGGCTCCTTGCCTGCTGGTCTCTCTTTAGCTCTTCTCTGAGCCCACCTTCCCTACCTCAATTGCATGTTCATGCAACAGGCATTTGTAGGCTCTGCTCTGAGCTAGGCCTCATGCTGGGCACAACAGGGCAGACATGAATGAAGGTCCCTGCAAATAAGATACAGACGAATACTTGCAGGGAAACCCCCATGAAAGAGGCAGCTGTGGGGCTCCTGGAGGTGGCCCCCCTCTCTGGGTGCACATATAGGCAGAGCAGTGAAAGGTCAGCAGGCTGGTCACCCATTCTGGAAGGACCCCAGCACATGGGGCTCATCACAAACTCCTGCCCCTTGTGGGTCTTTCCTTTGGCCCCTGGAGCTCACCCCAGGAAAGGCCCAGCCTGGGGCAACTCCAGGACATCTCAACCCCCTTCAAGGACCGTGCTAAAGCCTCTGTAGCTGCCTCAGCTCCCAGGATAGCCCTCCCAGCTCCTTCCCAGGGATAATCGAACTTTTCCTCTCTTGGGGCAGAAGGTGGGGACAGTGCTGGTTCCTTTCCAGCTCCCAGGCCAGGTTCCAGGATCCCACTGTGCAGCTGACCCAGCTGAAATGGTGACTTCCCCTCTGCACCTTCTCTCTCTGGTGATGATGCAGAGCTGCAGTGCAGGCCACCTGGGCCATGGCCGAGGCTGCAGTCAGGTGGGGTGAGGGTCACTGGACTGGGGACCTCCTTTGTGTTGAGCCTGCCTCCATGTCCTCATTGCGCTGTCACAGACTCTGCAGGGTGAGGACTCAGCCCCGAGGCTGCCCTCACTGGTCCACTCACTGTTGTGCACATGAATTAACACCAGTGGTTGCGTTCTGGACACACGCTTTCTCCCTTGGCCTTTTAATTGTCCACTATCTCTCAGGGCTCACTCACTCACTATGTTGAGATGCCTCATTCTTGACAGCAGCACAAATTCCCACTATGTGGATGGACTGTCACTTAGGTAACCAGTTTCCCTACTGATGGACATTTACATTGCTTTTAGTTTCCAAGAATGTGCATTCATCATTTCAGCTATATTTCAGTGGTTCTTCACATAGAAACTTTGAAACTCCCCTGTCCCAACTAAGCCTATTTCCCCAGGCCACTCTCCTCCGCAACCTGCTTAAATGCATTCTGCTCAGTTTTTCTTTTGCAAAAAGCATGAAGCCCAAAGATCTCTGCGGTGCAATGATGCGTTCAACAAGCAGGGAATGTGTTGTATAGATAGCATTTCCCTTTACAAGGCTAAGAGCAAATAGGACCTTCCCATGTTGGGGCCACCTGGCATGCGGGGGTGAGGTGCCTCCCTGGCATAATTACAGGAGAGTTTACTTCAGCAACAGGTGTGCCCTGCGCTGCTTTCCCAGGGACAGCTTTTGACCCAGTTTTACCCTGGGAACCACCTCAAGAGACCACCATGACATGGTACCGCAGTCACCACGGAACAGCAACCCTGGTCTTCAGCATTTGGGGGGCTCAGGCTCTGCATGCTCTCTGTGCTCCCGTTTTCATTTGGACACTTGGGGTGCAGCTGTCCTGCCTGGAATGCAGCTTTGCCTGTGCTTGTCTCACAGATGCAGGGGACAGAAAAGGGCAGCTTAGCCAGAGTTCCTGGCAAGCACTGCTTTGCGGACTGAGAATCTCATGCCAAGAGGTGTTTACATCCAGGGGCCGGGTCCCACTCCTAGACACCAAGACCTGGTGGTGGCACTAGTTAAAGGATGTTTCGCTGCAGCTGCCCCCTGCCCCAGGGCCAGCCATCCAGCCTGGGGCACGTGGGGCATTGGCACACTGTCTAACTCATCACCGTCTGGACAGTGGCAGCTCCCAAGCCAGGCGGCACCATGCTGTCCATGACGTACAGCGAGAGTCTGCGGAGCGTGAGCAGCAGGTGCCACTCTGAATGGGCCCTGCACCCCGTCCGCCAGACGGACACGCTGGAACTGCAGCGGCTGCGGGAGGTGCGGGCGGCTGCCCAGGCCAGGAACATGGAGAGCTTCCTCCGCATGCACGGCCTTTCCCTGGACGGCTGCACCGCCCAGCGCACAGGCATGAAGTATCGGTAAGGGCCGGGCAGGGGGGCGGTGGGGTGGGAAGTCTGATTTCAGCCATATAAATATGTATAAAAGGGCTGGGCACGGTGGTTCACACCTGTAATCCCAGCACTTGGGGAGGCAGAGGCGGGTGGATCACCTGAGATCAGGAGCTCGAGACCAGCCTGGCCAACCTGGTGAAACACCACCTACTAAAAATACAAAAAATAGCCAGGCATAGTGGGGCGCACCTGTAGTCCCAACTACTCAGGAGGCTGAGGCAGAAGAATTGCTTGAACTCAGGAGGCAGAGATTGCAGTGATCCAAGATCATACCACTGCACTCCAGCCTGGGCGACAAGAGTGAGACACTGTCTCAACAACAACAACAAAAATGTATAAAGGAAGAAAATGAGGCCAGGCACGGTGGCTCATGCCTGTAATACCAGCACTTTGGGAGGCCGAGGTGGGTGGATTGCTTGAGCCCAGAAGTCTGAGACCAGCCTAGGCAACATGGCAAAACCCCATCTCTACCCCAAAATACAAAGAAATTAGGTAGGCATGGTGCCATGCACCTGTAGTCCCAGCTACTTGGGAGGCTGAGGTGGGAGGATTACCTGAGCCCAAAGAATCTGATGCTGCAGTGAGCCGTGATCGCACCACTGCACTCCAGGCTGGGTGACAGAGCGAGACTCCATTGCGCAAAAAAAAAAAAAAAGTTTAGTAAATTCTCCATGGGGTAAAAATGTGTGGGTGTGTTTCTCCATGGGGAAAAATGTGTTTCTGGGTGTTGGAGACCCCTGCTCTTAATGATAGGCACGTAGGTCTGAATTTTCTTGGAACCTCCAAAGGACATTCTTTTTAGTGCGCTTGTCTTTGAATTCAGCACCTCGGACAGCGCTCTGCTAGCCACCGTTCTCTGGCTGGTGTAAATCCCTCTCAATTGCAAATTGACAGCTTTATCTTCTGTGCCTCTCAGGAACATGCCCTTGTGAGAGCCATTCAGCCAAAGAGGACCCTCCCCACCCAGTCCTTGTAGAGTTGCCAGTTAAATTTGAAGTTCAGATAAACGCGTAACTTTTTAGCATAAATACGTTCCATGCAATATTTGGGTCATACTTATACTAAAAAGTTCCTCATTGTTTATCTGAACTTCAAATTTAACTGGGCGTCCTGTGTTTTATCTGGCAACACTAAATATCTGGCTTCCGTCTGAGACAGACCCTAGGGATCATCTGCGTGCTCTGTGCAGAGTGGAGTGCAGGCCAGGACCGCTCCTTTAACGTTTTCTCCTGTGGACGGCGTGTTTGGTCCTTCAGCCCATTGTTTGAATATGTGGTTGTAATTTAGAAACAAAACACTTCTCCTGTGAGTCCATTAGATGGCAGTGTTTTTCAGGCTTTGTATCCTAAATCCAGCTGTAAAGGAAGGACAAAGGGTCCGCTAGTTTGGCCACAGCTGACCTCCTTGTTCTGCTGGAAATTTCTCAAGAAGGAGACGCTGGGCATTCATGAGGGGCTGGTCATTGATTCCTTTTGTTTATTCAGTAAATGTTTATTGAGAGTCTGCTTGGCACCAGGCGCTGAGCCAGATCCTGGAGCTGCTGCATGAACAAGAGCAACCAGGTCCCCAACCTCACGGCAGCCATGGCCTGGGGGTGTGGGGGGCAGAGAAGCAGCGAGCTTGCACGGAGACAAGTTCCAACAGCGACCACTGGCCGAGGCAGCAAAGCAGGACAATGCAATGAAGAAAGACCAGGGAGGCCGAGGGGGAACCCTCTGAGAGAGGGATCATCTGAAGATGTGGAGAACATTCCAGCCCAAGAGGAGAGGGGTCTGGAATGGATGCCTCTCTCAGCTGGAGGAGCGAAGAGAAGGCCCAGGCGGCTAGGCTGGAGGGAGGAAGGTGGAGGACACAAGGCGATGATGCAGGAGGGGCCAGACCCCATCCTCCAAACTCAGGGAAACCTCAGCTCTCTCCTATGTGGACAGGATTTGTGATGGAGGATAGTTTAGTGGGTTAAATCAAGACCCCCCAAAATTCACATTCATCCTAAACCTCAGAATATGACGTTAGGCTGGGTGTGGTGGCTCACGCCCGTAGTCTCAGCACTTTAGGAGGCAGCCTGGGTAACATGGCGAAACCCCATCTCTAAATACAATCAAAAAATTAGCCAGGCATGGTGACACATGCCTGTGGTCCCAGCTACACAGGCGGCTGATGCAGGAGGATCACTTGAACCCAGGATTTCAACGCTGCAGTGAGCCCTATTTGTGCCACTGCACTCCAGCCTGGGCGGCAGAGTGAGACCCTGTCTTAAAAAAAAAAAAAAAAGAAGAAGAAGAAGAATGTGACATTATTTGGAAATAGGGTCATTGCAGATATCATTAAGATGGGGCAATGGGGCCATACAAGACTAGAATGGACCCTAATTCCTACGACTGGTGTCCTTATAAGAAGGCCATGTGGTGATAGAGAGTGGAGTGACGGGTCCACAACCCAAGGGACTCTGAGGAGTCTCGGTGTTACCGGTGGAGGGTGTGCAGCCAGGTTCCTGGCATCTTGAACAAAGAATTGGACAAAACGCACATACAAAGCAAGGAAAGAATGAAGCAACAAAAGCAGCCGGGTGAGGTGGCTCACGCCTGTAATCCCAACAGTTTGGGAGGCCAAGACGGGTGGGTTACATGAGGCCAGGAGTTCGAGAGCAGCCTGGGCAACATGGCAAAAGCCTGTCTCTACTAAAAATACAAAAATTAACCAGTCGTGGTGGCGGGCACCTGTAGTCCCAGCTATTCGGGAGGCTGAGGCAGGAGAATCACTTGAACCTGGGAGGCGGAGGTTGCAGTGAGCCAAGATGGAACAAAAGTACACTCCACAGGATGGGAGTGGGCAAGCGGCTCAAGAACCTGGATACAGAATTTTCTGGGGTTTAAATACCTTCTAGAGGTTTCCCATTGGTTACCTGGTGTACATCTTATGTAAATGAAGTAGTGGCCTGTGATCATTCTGATTGGTTGCAGAAAGTGACCAATTAGAGGCTGAAATGAAGTTACAAAGTTACACTTCTATGCAAATGAAGACTTGGCCCACAGCCAGCCTGATTGGTTGCGGGAGGGGACAAATCAGAGGTATTTTCCATTTTTCGTCTGCCACACAGAAAAGGGGGCGCCATGCAAAGAGAGTAGCCTCTGGTTCTTTTGTTACTTGGGCGTGGAAAGTTGGGGTTTTCCTTTTGACTTAGTTATAGGAAATCAGCGGGAATTGGCCTTCAGTTCCCTGCCTCCAGACCCTGGTCTCCTGCCCCAACAGGAGCCACGAGATGCTGGAAGGGACAGGAAAGGACACCTCATGAGGGTGTTTGGAGGGAACACTGCCCACACCTGGACTTCAGACTCCAGAAGTGGGAGAGAAGACATTCCTGTTGTTGTAAGTCCTCTAATTTGGGGATCTTTGTAATGGCAGCCGCAGGGAACTAACACAGGTGGAGAGAACATATCTTTTATTTGCCTGAAGCCCCGAGGAAAATGCCTGAGCAGCCTCGGAGACACTGCAGGTCCCACTGTGGGGCTGAAACGCCCTTGGGGATCTCGCTTCTCAGGGAGTGGAGGAGACCAGAAGACAAACGCTTTTTTTTTTTTTTTTTTTTGAGTTGGAGTTTCGCTGTATCGCCCAGGCTACAGTGCAGTGGCACAGTCTCGGCTCACTACAACCTCTGCCTCCCAGGTTCAAGCGATTCTCCTGCCTCAGCCTCCCAAGTAGCTGGGACTGCAGGGATGCACCACCATGCCTGACTAATTTTTGTATTTTTGGTAGAGACAGAGTTTTGTCATGTTGACCACGCTGGTCTCAAACTCCTGACCTCAGGTGATCTGCCCACCTTGGCATCCCAAAGTGCTGGGATTACAGGCATGAGCCATCTCACCCCACCAACAAAGTCCCTTTAGCAGTTGATGGGCCAGAGGTTGTTGTTACACCCAGGTCAGGGTGAAGGTGGGGCGGGGAGGGTGGTGGCCTCACTCTATCTGGTGAATTTCATTTTGCTGCACCAGGGTTGACGGGGTGGGTGGGATGCTCCGTGACTCAGACCACCAGTTATTAAAGATCCCAGATAAATTTATTCTGTGCTTACCTCTTCTCCGTCAGCGACTGGGCTGGGTCACCATTAAACTTGGTCTTAAATATGAATATAGAAAAGATGATACCTGGGGATAGGCACTGCCCGGTGCCGCAAGAAACCAGCTGTGCCCCTGGCCTGGGCATTTCATCAGCTGAACTGAGCTGTAGCTGATGGAGGTGGACGGCAGCATGCCTGTTACACTTCCCCAGTTTTTTTTTGAGACAGAGTCTCACTCTGTCACCCAGGCTGGAGTGCAGTGGTGCAATCTCAGCTCACTGCAACCTCTGCCTCCTGGGTTCAAGCGATTCTCCTGCCTCAGCCTCCCGAGTAGCTGGGACTACAGGCGCGAGCCACCATGCCCGGCTATTTTTTGTATTTTTAGTAGAAACGGGGTTTCACCACGTTGGCCAGGCTGATCTCAAACTCCTGACCTCAAGTGACCCACTCGCCTCGGCCTCCCAAAGTGCTGGGATTACAGGCGTGAGCCACCGCGCCCGGCCTACACTTCCCCATTGTTTAAACTGTCCTCAATTATTGCTGTTAAAAAGAATTTTAAGATGAATTTTTAAATCCACACAGCCCCTGTGTAAGCATGAGGGAGCAGGGTGAGGGCAGCTGGCCTAGCACACACTTCCCCTCCCCTGTGGACGTTAGGGTTCAGAGATGTGGCCTCAGAATGGCAGGCCAGAAGCTGTGGCCGGGCCCACACTGTGCTGACTGGACACCAGCCCTCAGTTCAGCTGTGTTTTCCTCTGCTCCCCATGGTGCTGGGAGTGAACCCAAACTCCCCGCAAGGCTCTACGTGGCCCTAGCCTGCCTCCTTGGTTTCAACTCGGACCCCTCTCCCTCCCGCTCAGGAGGCTCTGGACGCCGCCCCTTCCTTCTGTATCCCCAAAGGGGAACTCATTCCATCCACAGGGTCATCGCACTTTCTGTTCCCTCTTCCTGGAGGCTGCCTCCCCAGACGTGGCCTGGTTCCTTCCCATTGTCACATCTAAGCTTGGTCCCCAAAGAGACTGTCCCAAGCACCCACTCTAAACAAGCACCTATGAAGTCATCAGAAGCCCCTCTCCTGAGTGAGTGTCTTCCTCACCCCTCCTCCATCTCGGTTGCCTTGCTCTTTGCCCATCTGCACTGCTTTGAGATCAGAGCTTTGTCTGTCCCTGGCACCCGGAACACCCCCAGCCTCTGTGAGTTTAGGTCGGAAGGCGCTGCGTGGTCTTGGTCTTAATCTACTTTCCAAAGCACATGTCTCGTTCGGGCTGCATCCTAGATGGTGGGAAGACAGGACTGACTGGAAGCTGGTCTGAGGCTCTCTCTGCAGTCCAGATGTGGATGGCAGGGAGCCTCTGCGGTCCTTGGGCACTGACCCTTGGTCATGAACTCCTGGCAGGGCAGGAGTCCTGATTTCCTGTGCTTTCTGACTCTAGATCCCAGGCTCTTACCACAAGCTCAGGTTCACCAGGAAGTACTTGGTTGGTTGCCAGGTTCATTGAGCAGACTGTAGTTGCTCAGTTAACCATAGGCCATCACTTCCAGCTGGGAAGAGCTGGGAATCCAGGTGTGTCTTAAAGGACAGGCGGGAAGGAGGGCACTGAGGGCAGGAGGAGGGGAAGGAGAAAAACAGCAGAGACCAGGGGGGATGGCAAGTTAACCTGTCTACAAGGCCAAGTGCATCCTGGGAAAGAGGGGTCCCCAAGGAACGGGGTCCATCTTGGGAAAGATCCTGTTTTACTTTCCTGAGGCTGCTGTAACAAGCTGGGTGGTTTACAACAGAAGCTTTTTCTTTCCCAGTTCTGGGAGGTGAAAGTCCAACGGCCAGGTGCAGCCGGGCCATACTTCCTCCGAAGGCCCCAGGGAGGGTCCTTTTTGCCTCCCCCAGTTTCTGGTGGTGCCGGCAGGCCTGGGCATTCCTCAGCTTGTGGCCACATCGCTCCAACCTCTGCCTCTGCCGTCCCATGGCCATTTTCTCTCTGTGGGCCTCTGTCTCCAAATCTCTCTCTCCTTATAAGAACACCAGTCATGGCCAGGCACAGTGGCTCATGCTTATAATCCCAGCATCTTGGGAGGCTGAGGCAAGTGGATCACTTGAGTCCAGGGGTTCAAGACCAGCCTGAGCAATGTGGCAAAACTCTGTCTCTACAAAAAATGCAAAAAATGGCCAGGCATGGTGGCAAGTGCCTATGATCCCAGCTATTCCTGAGGCTGAAGTGAGGATCACTGAGCCCAGGAGGCAGAGTCTGCAGTGAGCCGAGATCGAACCACTGGCACTCCAGCCTGGGTGACAGAACAAGACCCTGCCTCAAAAACAAAAAGCAAAAAACAAAAACCCAGTCATTGGATTGAAGGCTGACCCTAATCCAGGACCATCGCATCTTAACTTGATTACATTTGCAAAGACCTTGTTTCCAAATAAAGTCACACTCACAGGTATCAGGAATTAGGATCTCAACTGTCTTTTGGGGACACATTTCGACCTGCCACAGGCCCCAAGGATTGACTCAACACCTTGAGCCTGCGGGGACATCCCTGAGTGTCCTGGGAGGAACCCGGGCTCCCACCGGCTACCTGTGTGACCTCAGACAAGTCCCCTGGCCTCTCCATGACTCGATTTCCTTACCCGGAAAGTGGAGACCGGGGTCACTACAGCAGAATTGTCCTGAGGACTAAATAAGCTCCAGGTGACATAACTCAAAGCTCCAGGCTTGGCTCATTGTGGGAGAGAAATGCAGGCCCTTCCCGTCCCTGGAAAAGGGACCTTCCCACACAGCAGTCGCTGTCCAGGCACCTGGACTGTCCCCTGTCTATCCATCTTGGGGTCTCACTCGTGCACCTAGTCTCACTTAGAGATGTAGTTCAGTGCCGCGCAGACAAGGGGCGGAGGCATCAGGAAGGAACAGGAGGAGGGAGGGAGGCGAGCAGCCAGTCATTCCGGAAGAGCTGCCGGGCCAGACGCAGGGGCTGGGAGAAAGCCAGCTGGCAGGCCCAGTGCTCTCCTTGAGGGCCTGCCCAGGACCACGGCTGGCAGCTGTGTGGGGCTTGGGTCGGGGCTGGGAGGGCTTCTGCTGGCAGCGGGCACCACATTGGAGCCTCGGTGGTCATGGTCATCCCAGGCCTGGAAACAGCATCCGTCTGCAGCCCCAGCCTCTCCAGCCCCAGCTTCCCTAAAGGGACAGAACAGCCCTTCCCTCCCCCACAGGGCTGCTGCAGGAGAGGTGGGAGGAAAGGCAGAGAGACCCAGACTCCTGCACTGGGTGGTTGCCTTGTAACCGACTGATGATGTGCTAGGTGTTTCTGGAGCTGACCTGGCCACAGGAATCACGGGCCATACCTGTTTTTCCTGTTTTTTGTTGTTTTTTGTGTTGAGACAGCGCCTTGCTCTGTCGCCCAGGCTGGAGTGCAGTGGTGCAATCATAGCTCACTGCAGCCTCAGCCTCCTGGGCTCAAGTAATCCTCCAGCCTCAGCCTCCCTAGTAGCTGGGACCACAGGTGCGCACCACCACACCTGGCTAATTTTTGTGCTTTTTGTAGAGATGAGTCTCACTAGGTTCCCCAGGCTAGCTGGGAACCCCTGGGCTCAAGCGATCCACCCACCTTGGCCTCCCAAAGTGCTGAGATTATAGGCATGAGCCACTGTGCCCAGCCACACCTGTTACACTACCGATCCCCAGGCCCCTTCCTGGAGGTTTGGGGCATCTTCCCCTGGAGGCTCTTCGGACAAGCAAGGAGAGGGAGCACCACCCATGTGCTGGCGCCGTGGTCATTGTTGTTGGTCTTGTTACGTCTCAAAGGGTGCTTCTGAGGACAGAAGGAGGAAGAGAAAGAGAGGTGCTCGCTTGGGGCTGGAGAGTTGCATGGGAAACAGCAGCAACTCAGAGCAGAGCCGGCCATCTCACAGCCGCGGGCCTCTCTCCCCTTTCTGGGCTCCTAGAGTTGGAAGTGAGTGGGGCCATGAGGTCCTGGTGAGCAAGAGGAAGGAGGAGGAACTGGCTTTGCAGACCGTGCAAAGCCGGTTCCCGGGAAGCACACACATGGCCTGCAGGAGGCCTTGTCCTAGCATCACCTGCAGCTTCAAGCACAGTCCACTCAGCCCAACCACAGAATGGGCCCCGCCAGTGGGATGTGCGCTCTGGGCAAGGCTCACATGTCCTGTCATCGGTCCTGTGGCCTCCTCCTTCCCTCGGCCTCCCACTGTCCCTCCGTGTCAAGTCTCCCACCATCTGATGCGCCCTCTGGCAAGGCCAGTGAGTCACCCTACTCCAGACACAGAACCTGCTGCTGCCTCACAGGCTCCCGCCATCTGCCCTCCTGCCTCTGCTCTCAGGAGAAGGACACTCCTGGAATTCCACATGGATCCCACCTTCTCCCTGGAGCCCTGCCATACTCCTGGGCACCGCTGATGCGCTCTCCTGCTGGCTGACTTGGCCTTGAACACGGGTGGCTCAGGCCTTTCCCAGGGACCCTTGCTTCATGCCCCAGCTGGAGGAAGCCACACTCACAGCACTTAGCCCCTATGGGGTCTTCAGCTCTTACTCTCCTGGTGGACTCCTCCTCCAGGAAGGCCACCGGCCCTGCCTCCCTTTGTTCTTAGAAACTGCTCCTTTGGGGCAGCCCCTCAACTGTTCAACATCCTCTGCCCTTCCTTGGGCAAGAAGCCACCTTTGGGTGTAAACCACACTCCGTTCAGCACGGACAAGGCGGTCTCTGCAGGATGCAGACCCTCAGTCTCACTCTCGGAGGAGCTGCTGGAGGCTGTGCTTTTAAAAGCCATGTCAGGCCAAGCGTGGTGGCTCACGCCTGCAATCCCATTACTTTGGGAGGCCCAGGCAGGTGGCGGATCACAAGGTCAAGAGATCGAGACCATCCTAGCCAACATGCTGAAACCCCGTCTCTACTAAAAATACAAAAATTAGCTGGGCATGGTGGCACGTGCCTGTAGTCTCAGCTACTCAGGTGGCTGAGGCAGGAGAATTGCTTGAACCCAGGAGGTGGAGGTTGCAGTGAGCCAAGGTCGCACCACTGCACTCCAGCCTGGCAACAGAGCAAGACTCCGTCTCAAAAAAAAAAAAAAAAAAAAAGCCATATCTAAAACCTTCTCCAGACCTTGAGCCCTCCACAGGCCTCGTTCTGTGCATGAGAGGGCATCCGCCCCCTTCCACTGCGAGCCTGTTGCCATTGTAGGGGAGGAGCTGGCCGGCCCCAGCTTTCCAGCCTCTCCAGGCCCAAGGGGGAGGAGTGGACCCCAGGCACTGAGCCGGAAGCCTCCGCTACAGCAGGGATGCTGTCTGTGGTGCACTCCAGGGACACAGAGCAGAGCTTTTAATGGGGGTGGCTGCTCTCCAGTGAATCACAGCAAGAGCTAGCTGCTTCATCTTATCAACAGCAGGTACCGGAGAGACAGAAAAAGAACCAGAAATGGGTTGTAGGTTGAAGTCAACCAGCCACGCTCCATGCCTCTGACCAAAGCCTACCAGCACTGGGCCGGGCGGTGGCTCACGCCTGTAACCCCAGCACCGGGCCGGGCGGGGGCTCACGCCTGTCATCCCAGCACCGGGCCGGGCGTGTCCCCACACATGAATGTTCCAGGCTTCCCTTGTCTGGACGATGTGATCAGGGAGACACCATCCCAGATTCTGGCTGGTAACAGAGCAGGCCTCCTCAACCCTGGCACCATTGACACTTGGGCTGGACAATTCTCTGTCATGGGGCAGCATCCGTGGCCTCTGCCTACTGCCAGTAGCACCTCCTGCCCAGTTGGGACAACCAAAAATGCCTCCCTATGCTGCCCAGTGTTCCCTGGGGAACAAAACCCCTCCCAGGTAACATGCACTGATACAGAGTAATCATCTCTGCCACCAATTTTCACAGATTATAACGGAATATAATGTGCATAATGCAAAAATTATATTGAATTCTTTTTAAAATTACCCTCCACCCCACCTTATTCCAAAAAGGATTGTAGGTGACGTTGTTAAATTAATCTGCTACCATGAAATTTTTAAAATAAATAATAGCAAATATGGGGAAAATGGAAAATAAGGGTAGGTCAGTAAAATAAGTCGGTGGTAAAAATAAAATACCAAATTCACCCACTAGATGACCAGGCAGTGACTGGTGAGGGCTGTGTGTTTTATACAGACTTTCCGGCAAAGAATAAACCCACTGATTGCTTAGAAGTCCAGTGTCAGCCAAGCGCGGTGGCTCACGCCTGTAATCCCAGCATTTTAGAAGCCCAAGGCAGGCGGATCGCCTGAGGTCGGGAGTTCAAGACCAGCCTGACCAACATGGAGAAACTCTGTCTCTACTAAAAATACAAAAAATTAGCCGAGCGCGGTGGCACATGCCTGTAATCCCAGCTACTCGGGAGGCTGAGGTAGGAGAATCACTTGAACCCGGGAGGTGGAGGTTGCAGTGAGCCAAGATTGCACCATTGCTCTCCAGCCTGGGCAACAAGAAAAAAAAAAAGAAGTCCAAAAAAAAAAAGTCCAGTGTCTCTAAAATTTCTACCTTGGGTTCTCAAAAAAGAACACAATGTGAGCTAGGAAACGCCATTCCCCCAGTAAGTGGGCATTTGTCTAGCAGCTGTTTGTGTCCCTTAGTATCATATCATAAGGAACATAAATTAGTCTTTCCTGGGTCCATTGATCCAATATTTATTGAAGGCTTTTGGGCACGTGACATGGTGCTGGACGGTGGAGACACCAAGATGACCACATGCAAACTGCTCCCCACCCCCTGGTGTCCCTGGGAAGAACATGGTCAGTGGCGCTCGGAGAAGGGAGGGGTTACTTGTGCTGGGGGCCTAGCTTCATAGCGCACACACACTGTCTGAGCTGATGTCACAAGTGACTCCGAGTTCAAAGGCAGAGAAACAGGAAAGGCACTTCCACAGGGAACAGCAGGAATAGAAGCCCAGAGGGTTTTCAGGCAGGTGACTTTTTTGGGGGAGATGGGAACAGCTTTATTGAAATATAATTCACGTGCCATACAATTCATTTAATGCAATTATATGGAATTAAGTGCAATTCAGCAGTTTTCATGTATTCAGAGCTGTGCAAACATTGCCACAATTTTAGGATATGTTCATCAACCCCAGAAAGAAGCCCCATACCCTTCAACTCTCACTCCCCATTCCCACCCCCTGCAACCACCAAGCTTTCTGTCTCTACGGATTCGCCTATTTGGATTTTTTTTTTTTTTTTGAGACGGAATCTCACTGTCGCCCAGGCTAGAGTGCAGTAGCGCAACCTCGGCTTACTGCAGCCTCCAGGTGCAAGCGATTCTCCTGCCTCAGCCTCCCGAGTAGCTGGGATTACAGGCGCCCACCACCACACCTGGCTAATTTTTTATTTTTATTTTTAATAGAGACGGGGTTTCGCCATGTTGGCCAGGCTGGTCTCAAACTCCTGACCTCACGATCCACCTGCCTCAGCCTCCCAAAGTTCTGGGATTACAAGTGTGAGCCACCGTGGATATTTCATATGAATGGAATCATACGTGTTCTTTCATGACCGTCTTTAACTTAGCATCATGTTTTCAAGGTTCATCTGTGCCTGTGCCAGTAATTTTTTTTTTTTTTTTTTGAGACAGAGTCTTGCCCTGTCACCCAGGCTGGAGTGCAGTGGCATGATCTCAGCTCACTGCAACCTCCACCTCCCGAGTTCAAGCAATTCTCCTGCCTCAGCCTCCCGAGTAGCTGGCATTACAGGTGTGTGCCACCACAGCCAGCTAATTTTTTGTATTTTTAGTAGAAATGGGGTTTCACCATGTTAGCCAGGCTGGTCTCAAATTCCTGACCTCAGGTGATCCACCCACCTCAGCCTCCCACAGTGCTGGGATTACAGGCATGAGCCACCACACTGGACACTTCCTTCTTTTTATGGCTGAATAACACTTCATTTTCTGGAGAGGGCTACATCCTGTTTCTCCATTTGTCGGTTGATGGGTGTTTGGGTTGTTTCCAGTTTGGGGCTATTGTGAATAAGGCTGCTGTGGACATTTGTGTTGAAGTTTTTGTGTGGGCGTATGTTTTCAGTTATTTGAGGACATAGCTAGCGGGGGGATTGCCTGGTCATGTGGTGAGGCCGATGACATTTTACACTTGGTGACTGAAAGTCTCGTGAGTCTCCCTGAACTCTGTGCTGCTTAACGTGCACCACTGGGGTAAGAACACCCCTGGGGAAGAGTAAGATGCCAGCCATTGTGGGATCCGATGTTGCCAGCCTTTGTGGGATCCGACGGTTTACCAGAGTGCAGAGAATGCGTAAGGAAGAGGTAGAGGATTTCTGCGTCTCACTAGGCCAGCATGCGTAGCACCACTTGAAGCTCTTGGTAGAAACGCCGCCTTCCGGGCTGAACACCGCCTTCTGGGCTGGGCCTCAGAGCCACTGATTCCGTAGGTCAGGGGGATGCCCAGGACCCTGCCTTTGTAATAAGTTCCCCTGACATGATCAGATGTTGAACAGCCCTGTCCTAGACGGTGAGCGCCATGAGAGCAGGTGCCTTGTGATACACAGTAGGCACCCAGAGGCTCTTTGAACAAATCAATGTGATCCTTTTTATAAATAGGGAAGGGGGCTGTTGAAAAATTCTGTTAGATAGTCTGAGCAAATTCCATCTTGGCCCTGGCTTTGCACATTTAGGGGAAGTAGGGATGCTAAGATTTGCTGCTGGTCACACCCTATAAAGAGCCTCCAAGTAGGGAGAAGGGTAGGGGGCAAAAGACTTAACCTGAGCCCTAGGTAGGGGCCAAAGGTGGAATGGTTGCCATCTGTGCCTCTTCAGCAGCCCATGAGCTCCCGGGAGGCCAGGGCTGTGGCCTTTGAATCCTGGGGTCCAGCCTCAAGGAGGGGTGGGCTGTGCATAGGGTTGCCTATCCCCCGTCACCCCACCACCTTCCAGTGCCCTTAGTACCTCCTGGCAGGACAAGAGGGGGCCCAGAAGGCAGCTCTGACCAGGGTCCACCTGCAGGGTGTGAGGGGGACACTTGGGATCAGAGGGCAGAGCCAGCCCCTCCGGATGCTGAAGAGGATGAAGTAAAGTAGGGCAGGGGCTTCATTCAGCCATTCACTCACTGATTGCAGAGTATGTATTGAGCGTCTGCTGTAACCTAAGTTTTACTGGGAGTGTTGGAATCTCTCTGTCCCTTTGACCCCCGCGTTTCCTTCCTTGGGCCATCTGTGTCATAACCATCAAGACGCAGTGGCTTCTTCACATTTCTGGTGATGTTGCTTCTCCATGTGCCAATCCCCCAGCGGATACCCCACTCTCCGGAGGGAGAACCCCAAGCAGGTGCCGCTGGGCATGCGCCAGGGAGGCTGTGACCGGAGCAAGCACTGCCTTGCTTGGAGCTGGCTGCCTACAAGCTCAGACATCCAGCCCGCAGAGTCCACCCTGGCTGCAGCGCCTGCCCAGGCCTCAGGCCAGTCCTGGCTCAGCAGCTGTCAGCCCGGAGCAGCCAGCGATGGCCTCAGGGGACCAGCCAAGGCAGGCGGCTTGTGCATCCTGCTTCATTAATAATGAATGGCCAGACGCTGCCCGCGCCTCTCCCTGGTCGCCTCATTGACATGGTGGGAGCCTCAGCCGCCCACAGCGCGCAGAGCCAGGAGCTGGATCCCAGGCCCCCTCAGAAAGACTCAAGAAGCCCCGAGAAGCAGCTGCTCCCCAAGACCCCCTGAGCTGCTGCCCCAGAAGAGCAGTCACAGCGGCCCTGCGCAGCCCCCCAGGCCATCACCTCCGGCTCCACAAGTGACACCAGAGAGAGCCCTCCCTTCTCCAGTCCAAGGAAGGCGGGTGTGCTCATCACCCGTCACTCATCATCAGGAGTAACTCACAGCCCAGCCCTGCCCAACACTTTTGGAGACTGTTGGGCTGAGGACTTGGGCAGCCAGGGCTGGTTGAGGGTGGGGACAGAGGAAGGACCTGCAGAGACGAGAGATGTGAGGGGAGGAGAAAATGCGCACCCCCCAACCTCCAGCCGCGCTTCCAGCAGGTCTTCTGTACCTCGGGCCTGGAAATGTGACTCCCTCCCTCAGAGCTGTGCAGCCTTCTTCCCCACCGTTGCCTTCGGAAATCCTCACTCCTCAAGGAATGCCTGCAGCTTCCTTGGCTTCTGGATAAAGTCTCGTCCTGGTCGGGGGAGAAGAGTTTCTTGGGGACAGATGGCTCCTGAGCCCAAGGGGACAGGGGACGCAGCCAGGATCTGAGCACCCGGCCTCAGCATGCAGGTGTCCTTCGTTTGCTCGGAGCACAGCCTCAAGGGCCGGGGCCCTGAGGATCGGCTGGGCCGACCGGCGGCCAGCAGTCCCAGCCTGGGCTCCCGAGGCCGCTTCCGCGCCGTGGCCATGGTGGCCCGGAGCCTGGGACAGCTGTCGGTGCAGAGCCTCCCGTGTGCCGGTGACACCAGCGTGAAGCAGCAAAGGATGAAATATAGGTACGGGGGCACACAGCTTTGCAGGGTGGGGGCTGACCTCCCGGCCTCCCCAACTCCCCACCTCCTCACTTTCGAGAGCGCATAAAATCTGCAAATCCCCATTTGTCAGACTTGGGCAGTTTGTGCTGAGGGCCGGGAGGGGCTGTGCTTAGTGCTTGGTAGATGATGAGAAACAGCGTGGAGAATCCGGTCAGTGCTAAGTTTCTTTCTTCCCAGTTTCAGGGGGAGATGGTGAGGGCGCCGTCTTCCTTCCTTCTGCCTCTGTTTTCTTTCTGAGGGTCGTTTACAATAGCCAAGCCACCAATGCTCCCTTTTCCTGGGGAACCCTGAGGCATGGGCCACAGGGCCCCCCCAACATCCTCCTGCCCTCCCCTGGGCACACAGGCTCCACAAGATGCCCTGGGGGTGGTCTGATATCTTTCCAGCCAGGCCACCATGACAAACATCCGTTTGATAGTGAGGGACTGTGGGGTGAACCCTGTGATGGAATGAATCTTCCCTCCTCCACCTGAGCCAGGCCCAGGGCCCAATTCCTCTAGCAGGCGGGACTCTTGCTCCAGCAGGCACAGGCAGCCAGGCCGCATCTGGAGTTTCCCGATGGTCAGCCCAGGCACCTTGCTTCCCTCCACCCGGGCTCAGCCCCCATCTGGCTCCCGGTGCTGTGACTTGTATGTGGGGAGGATGCCGACCACTCATGTCAGGAGCAGGGCCTCCCTCCTCTTCCCTGCCGGGGCCTTTCTCCAAGGCTGGGTGAATGTGCCCAGGATGGAAAAGGGAGGGTCCCAGCTTTGTACAAAGGGTCCCGGGAGCAGGGTTCTGGGGCACCCTTCTGGGGGCCGGCCTTCCTCACTCCCCATGTAAGTCTCTGAGTCCAGAGCCTTGATTGCGTCCAGAACCATCCTCCAGGCATAAAGGAAGTCTCCACAACACGTGGTCTACAGAAGCTGGAAAAGCTAAATTAGGTCTCTGGTTCCCAGGTTTCCTGGGAAAGTTTTCCCAAAACAGGAACCGAACTGGGGACAACTCTGCTTTTCAGTGACCTGAAACTGGAGTGCAGGCCACCAGCCTCAGAAACAGCCACAAACTGTTCTCATTGCATTTGGGAATCTTCTGGGTTTATAGCTGGTATGGGTGCCAACCTGAAAAGCATTGTGAGTCCATCCTGATGCCTGAGCTGTGTGGCTTAAACCTCTACAAAACCAATGCCTGAGAGTTGGGCCTCGTGTGAAAACCGTGTCATCTAAGCCAACCCTTGCTGGAGGTGAATTCTGGGATGACTCTGGGGGTCCTGCATCCACATTCGTGTCTCTTCCTTCCCTGCGTCCTGGGAGGGTGAGACATGCTTTAATGAACCTCTGGGCTGAAAGTGTCCAATCCTCTAAGCTTAATGACAGTCCAGAATGGAATTCTCTGTTCTAGAAGCTCTGGGGTTTACATCTTTTGTTAAGTAGGGATCAAAAGCTAAAATTAGAGCCAGGAGAGGTGGCTCATGCCTGTGATCCCAGCACTTTGGGAGACTGAGGAGGGTGGATCACTTGAGCTCAGGAGATCAAGACCAGCCTGGCCAACATAATGAAACCCTGTCTCTACCAAAAAATACAAAAATTAGCTGGGCATGGTGGTGTGCACCTGTAGTCCCAACTACTTGGGAGGCTGAGGTGGGAGAATTACTTGAACTCAGGAGGCAGAGGTTGCAGTGAACCAAGATCACGCCACAGCACTCCAGCCTGGGTGACAGAATGAGAGCCTGTCTCAAAAAAAATAAAGCTAGGAGTAAACCGAACATGTATATGTATATTTTTTGGTTCAGATACCTATTGCCTTCTGCAACTTTTATGTCAGTCCTAGGATCTCAAAGGAGTTAAAAGCGGGACTATTTCTAAACATAAGGCACTATGTAATTGGAAAGTGTGGCTGTTAACACTGTTTCCCTCCTAAAACTCATTGAGGAGTGGCTCTCAGAGGGTGAATGCTCACCACGCCCATGTGTGTGCTTATGTGTGCATGCACACACGTGCGTGCTGGAGGCAGGGAGGGCAAGACAGGGCAGTGAAGGGGGGTGTTCATCAGGCTGGCAGGTTTGCAGTCTGTGGACCAGAGTTCAAATCCCAGCCCTGGCACTCTCTGACTGAGGGCGGGTTTGCAGTCTGCAGACCAGAGTTCAAATCCCAGCCCTAGCACTCTCTGACTGAGGGACCCCCATCTCTCCAGTGGAGTTGCAAACACCGCCTTATACCTGGCCAGGCCTGGGAGCTTTCCTTGCTGCTGTCACGGCGGGAGGGTAGGTTCATAGCCCTGTAGGATGAGGTGCAGTTTCACAGGGGCTGAGATGGGCCTTAGAATCCAAAGCCTGTGCCATCGGGCACCCCCGCCCCGGGCCTCTCCCATCCCACTCATGCGGTACCTGCGTCATGAGTTGCTGCACAGGGACTGTCCCAGGGCCACAGCCAGGGTGCAAGAGGGGGGCAGCAGGGACTGAGGGGGAGCCTGATCCCAGCCTCCCTGTGACTCTGGCCTCCTCCCTGGGAAGCTGGCCCTTCCCAGTGGTGTGCTCCAGGCACAGCTGTCCAGTGACACGCACAGTCCACAGGTACTAGGAAACTAAAGGTGCATGGCCAGTACCAGGCGCCACATTCTTGCCCAAGGGCCTAAGGCGTGCTCAGTGTAGGATGGCGGGAGGCCAAGCCTGATAAGTAAGGGAGGGGCCAGCACTTGGTCCCGAGAGTCTGACCCCAGGGCCTGGGCTTCTCACCCCTGAATTACTACCCAACATCGTCCCAAACAAGCACTCCCTGGGACCCTGCCACTGCCAGCTCCAATTAGAAGACAAAGACTGGAAGCCCAGCCTGTCCTTAGGGAGCCTGGAATCTCGGAGCAGGGCAGGCGTGCAAACATCATCACTGCACGGAGCAGACAGGCGAGCAGGGCACTAACAGGAGCCACCCCATGTGCCTTCCTCCGCAACCAGCTAGCCAAGGCCACGGTGCTTGCCCTTCACCTGATCACAGTTTTGTCCTCTGCCCAGGTGGCTCCAATGAAAGGCCCCAAACTCCTCTTTGTAAAATGACCTGTCATTTCCCGGAGCCTTCCAGCTCCGGCCCTTCCCAAGTCTGAAGTGCAGTTTTTAGGGGTGTGCAGCAGCCGGGGGCTCCACGATGGGCATCAGTGCTCCCCTCCGGCAGAGGTTATGTCTGTGAGTCCTCACTCCAGGAGTCCAGACCCCAGGAGAGACATGAGGCAAATTAATGAAGACCGACAGTATTTGGGTTTCGAGATGTTGACCACCTGCTTCATTAGGATGTCAGGTTTCAACGATGGGGAAGAAATCGGTAGAAAATGATCTCTGTGTCTGGGAAGTTTCAAGTACAGCAGGGAGCAGCCCCATCCAGACCCGGCTGAGACGTGTGCTCCCCACCCCACACGCAGCAGCCATGCTTACAAAGCGTTCAGCCTGGAGGCGCCCTGTCCCTTCGCATCCCTTCTCCCGAGGCCTGGCAGCGGATGGCAGAACCAATACCATCATTTTCACAGGGAAACAAGTTGAGCAGGGTAATTGCGGCATCACGTGGTGCCCTAGTTTTGTTAAATTAGTCCTGTGGGTGGTGGGTGGAAGAGCGGCTGAACCCAGAGCCCACTCGGGGAAGTGGGCCCATTTCCCAACACTCAGACCAGGAACAGATATGGAATCAGGGGCAGGGGCACCTTTTGCCAGCCCTCCCCAAACTGGTGACCAAGGGGTGCCTCTTCTCTTCAGCCCTGACCTGGCCTTCAGCAGAGCCTTTTCAAGCAACTGTTCCCCACAGTCACTCGTGGAGGTGGTTTTGCAGAGGTGGGGGCCAGGCCTCCCTTCTCGATGCCCAGACATATCTAGACCAGTGGGGTCCAGGGCTCTGTGAACACCCAGACATTGCAAGCAAGGTTCGTTCTGAGGGCATTCGTATCTAGGCATATTTCCAGGCTTTATCTGTTTTTGCAAAGGGGTTATGACCCCAAAGCAGCTGAGAGGCACTGATCAGAACCTCCAGCCCTTTGCTTCATTATTGGACTCCTACTAAGCATTTATAATTTCTTACCACAGTTACTTTCTAGCCAGCATGGGGGAAATTACCTAAACTTCTAAACTGACCAGGCTTATGTGGAATGTATTAGTGGTACAGTTGGGCTGTTCTCCCCAGCAGCCACAGACACGAGTTATTCTGGGTTGGAACATGCCAGCAATTCAGAGGGTACTATCAAGAGTATTTCACTGATGTATAAGGAGGAAAAAGGAAACTTCAGTTCCTTTTTAACATGGTAATAGTTAAAGCTTATTTGATTTGTCCATTGTTTTTGAATAAAGAAAAGGTTACCCTCCTGCTCTCTTTGGGAAATGAGACACATGTGAGTCAGTGTCCTGTGGCCTTCTATCCTCATGGATCTTCTTCTGTCCTCGTGGCAGCCACCGTGAGAAAGGCAGCCTCGTGAGCCCATTCTGCAGATGAGAACACTGAGGCATCGGGCCACTCCATAAAATGCCCGGTGTCCTCCAGCCAGGAAAGTTGTACCAGGATTTGGGCTCTGGCTTCAGAGCCTCAGCCCATAGCCGCCACCCGGTGCGCCCCTTTCCTGAAAGAAAACTCAGCTTTTCTTATGTTCTCCTTTAGGGAAAATCCCAGCTCTGCCTACAGGAGCAATATTGCTGGCAGCTGGAGTGGTTTTAATAGGAAATTGAAAAATAAACCTAGGCAATTTTAAAGTACCTTCAGTTTGGTGACACGTTCAACTGTTTTCAAGCTGCTTACAAATATTATATCCACTCATGAGTTAGGAGTCCAGGAGCCTTATAACCAGGGAAACCGAGGCTGAGAGGGACAGAGTGGGCTCGTGTCAGAAGTCGGGGGTTCAGAATGAGGCTTGAGCCCCATGCCGCCTTCCCAGGGGCCAGGCTTGGACAGGAAAGAGGATAAACTGAGGACATCGCATCCTCCGAAGTTGGAAGTGTCATGGCCCCAGGGAAATGCAGGGCCCTTGGGCCAGGAGGCTGGGCCTCACCCGCTGGTAACTCATGGCTCTCACTCCCCACCGCCTAGAACCAGCTGCCCCTTGACCAGATGCTGGCAGCTGGATTCCACAAGGGAAGTGGAATCTGACCCCAGATGGGTCAAGGCCTGGCTGCAGCTGTGAGATCCACCCGGCCACTTGTCAACCTCACCATCTGGGCAGATCACGCCCTGCTTAACAGGCTGGGGTGTGGGATGCATGCCACCATGGTGGGGAACGTGAGCTGGCAGCCAACTGCCTGGGTGGGATCCAGCTCCTCCGCGTGCTGGGCAGGTATCGTAACGTGGGAATCGATGTCACGACAAGCAAGGCGCCTGCTGCGTAGGGCACCTGCCGCTTAGGACTCCTGCCACCGCGTAGGGCTCTGCTGCGTAGGACTCCTGCCGCCGCATAGGGCTCTGCTGCGTAGGACTCCTGCGGCGAGGGCTCCCTCCTGCCGCGTGGGCTCCTCCTGCCGCGTGGGCTCCTCCTGCCACATAGGGCACCTCCTGCCGCGAGGGCACCTCCTGCCGCATAGGGCACCTCCTGCCGCGAGGGCACCTCCTGCCGCGTGGGCTCCTCCTGCCGCGTAGGGCTCCTCCTGCCGCGTAGGGCTCCCGGGAGGATCCGGGGACAGGATGCCTGGGGACTGCCTGGCCTGCTGCAACCCTGCAGGCTCCTAGGCAACCTGTGCCAGGACATACGGGCATGCCGGTCCTCAGCAGAGGGCTGCCACCCTCCTTCACCTCCTAAGGACAGTCATGATGGCCCAAGGCCTGTTCCTGTGGACCCTGGGATGCACCACAGTGGGCAGGTGCCTCAGTGGCCCCGGGAAGGAGCCCGGGCAGCTGTGCTTGGTTAGGAGGCCTACGCTGCCAGGCTCTGCCGCTGCTGTTGGGCCTGGCTGTGGCTGTAACAAAGGAAGGGCTGGCCTTGCTTGAGAACTGGCAGCCCTACCATGGAGCTCCCCGCACCCCGAGGGACAGATGCACAGGCCATGTGGTCCAGTGAAGTGGGACGATCTCCTGCCCCAGTCGCTGGAGACAGGAAGAAGAGACACAAAATCACAAATGCAGCCTTAGAGAGGAAGGAAGAAGGGGCTTCTCTGCAAGGGGCGCCGCATGGATGGTGCCATGGGGGTGAGACCAGTCCAGTTTCGCCATAAAACAGACAGCGTCCCTGTGCATTTCCATCTGTCCTTGAGACCACTCTGCAGACCCCCACTGGGCACCAGCAGGGCCCGTGCCAGCAGCATGGTGTGGGCCGGGGGCAGTTGGCACTTTACCCCCGGGGTGGGTGAGCAGAGGCACCTCTCTGAAGGTCCCCGGTGCCTTTCGGAGCCTCCAAACACACATTGACTGTTGGGGGAGTGGGTGGGGGGCTGGCCCTGGCGGGAACTGAGCCTGGCTGGCAGGGTCCTGCCTGGGTGCTGAGAACTCACGTGGCGTTTGTTTTTCAGGAACCTGGGCAAGTCTGGCCTGCGGGTCTCCTGCCTGGGACTTGGTGAGTGTGGGGGTCCCCTCCGTCCCACCAGGGAAACAGGCTGTGGGGAGGCCGGGCATGGACTGAACTGGACACCCCTTGGGAGGCAGGGTGGCCCAAACCTTGGCACTCCCCAGGGAGTAGCTGCACCCAGAGCCCAGGATTCAGGGGGGCTCGGTTGCCATGGCAACAAAGAGGCAGGTGGGAGGGGGGCTGGGATAGAGGGAGAGAGACACAGTCTCAGCAGAGGAGGTGAGGCGGATACTAGGGGCCCCTCCACACATGGTCCCCACCCCACACCACAAAATCAGAGGCCCTTAGGGCCCCGGGAGTGCAACGAAGACACCTTACCTTCCAAGGCAGGCTCAGCTCGTGAGTCCCTCCTGGAGCGCCATTGGATTTGGCCCTTTTTCCTCTCCTGTCAGATACAAGGCCTGTTTCCAGAATGTGCAGTCCCCACCTCCCCTCTGCATGCAGTACACACACCCCCACACACACACCGCCCACTGCAGTACACACACCCCGCCCCCCACCAGCACCCACTGCCCTGACACCGCCCTCCCCGCTCTGTCCCAGCAGGAGCACGCAGACGCGGCTGTCAGACCTGGTGTGTTTTCAGAGAGGCATCCCTTGTGCCATTTCTTGCGGCATGTCCTTGGAACTAGAGCTGCCTCAGTACAGCTCTGACCAGCATTTCAAAAGCCCCAGACCTCCTGGACCCATAGCCAGCAGCCCGCTCTAGAGACTTTTGTCCCCTCAGTTTATTGACCCCAGGAGAGCAGGACTTTCTCTGAAGGCCAGCTGTCCACACACACTAAGGACACCCTGGCCACAGAGCAGCACAGAGGGACACCTGTGGCTGCCCCCTGTGCCCTACAGCCTGAGGTCTGAGCACCGACGGGATAATCTGGCTTCCTGCCAGGTTCCTAACTTGAGCCCCTGTGTCTCCTTCCAGGAACATGGGTGACCTTCGGAGGCCAGATCACCGATGAGGTAAGATGGGGCTCTCCCAGCACCCCAGAACCCAGCACGGGCTCGCCAGAGCACATGGTTAAGTCTGCCGCGTGGACCAGTGAGCACGTGCTCCCGGGAGCCAGCGCAGCAGCCTCCCTCCCTCTTTCTGTTTTGTGAGGGCGCCCTGCCCCAGGGGAGAGTAGAAAGGTGAGCCAGGTGGCCATGGCCAGAGGGGATGCCGAGTCTGGTGCCATCACCCAGCAGTGGATGCCTCGGGCCTCAGCATGTCCCTTAAGCTCCCCAGGACTCAGATTTCCCACACGCGTGACCCCCATTCCACAGTTAACGAGGAGAATTCAGGGTGCACACGCTTCCCAAATTCTGAAGCCGGATGCAGGTCCTAGCTGCCCCCATGGAGGCTCCAGTAACTGTCTGTCTTGGTCATTGGGAATGCAGCCCCTGCAGTGTCACAAGCTGAAGAACCTGAGATCTGCATTTCACCCAACATCCACTGTCCATTTCCCAGCTGCCGCGAACCGTGCGGATCGCAGTCAGATGTATTTGCTGGGGCTCATGTCCCCACAATTGGAACAAGAAAGTGAACACTAACAAAAAGCCAGCTTGTATGCCGCCAGCGCCTCTGGGTCTCTCGGAAGGACAGGGACGGCACACGCCCAGACATGTGTGCTTCTGGACAGTGAGGCAGCATCTCAGAAATGAGAGCAGTGGCATTTGCTCAGACAGCTCTGGGCATCTGCACAAGAAGCAGTTTTCACATTTATCCTACTTAGCACTAGAAAGGTTGCGTTTAAAAATTGATCAGCGAATTGATGTGAGACCTTGTTAGCTGCGATTGCTCAGTTTCCAAGGGAAAGCTTTGCTTCTATCAAAATTTAAATGCGTACAGTTTGTGTTTGAGGTCACTTTTATCTTTAAGACACTAGCTGGCCGGGCGCGGTGACTCACACCTGTAACCCCAGCACTTTGGAAGGCTGGGGCGGGCGGATCACCTGAGGTCAGGAGTTCCAGCCTGGCCAACATGGTGAAACCCCATGTCTACTAAAAATACAAAAATTAGCTGGGCGTGGTAGGGGCGCCTGTAATCCCAGCTACTCAGGAGGCTGAGGCAGGAGAATTGCTTGAACCCAGAAGGGGGAGGTTGCAGTGAGCCGAGATCATATCACTGCACTCCAGCCTAGGCCGTAGAGTAAGACTCTGTCTCGAAAAAAAAAAAAAAAGACAATAGCTGGTTATAGAATGATTTGCCCCTTGCTTTGAAGTTGCTGGATAGGCGCTATCTCAGGGTGAAGTCTGGAGTTATTAAGGCAAAAGGAATTGCCTTACCTCAGCCCACCAGATTGGTTCAGTTGGAGCCCTGGGGCCCATATGGTTCAATCTGAATCAGCCTTGCCTGACTTGGCCTCGTTTCCCTTTCGATGTGGTTTCTAAACCAGGATGGGAGAATTCTGTAGAACGGCATAACTTCATTTCCAAACAATATTAGCTGGGTGGCCTGTATGTCCTTGTGGGAAAGATAAAAACAAGCAGACAGACTAGACCCATCCAATGAGATGACGTTTTCACCAGCAAACCAGGCATACCCTTAGAGCATTAATGAATGGCCCAGTGGCAGCCCCGCTGGCCCAGGCCTCTGCAGTGTCTCCATCAGGAACACAGTGATGGACATGTGTGAAGATATTGGAGGTCATTTCTAGATGACACCAAGCTGGAAGGACAGAGAATAAAATAGATGGCAGTGTCAGGGTTCTGAATGGTTGTGGCAGGTGAAAATGGCTTAGCAAAGGAGCAAGACAAATTTTTGTATTAATCCTATAGTTAGTGTCAAAAAAGAAATCAATACATCTAGAAGGGGGGGCCCGCCTGGCTGCGGTTCAGATGAAAAGGGTTTGTGCACTTCAGGTGCTGCGGCTCAGTCCGAGCCAGCAGGGAAGCAAGGACCGTCCTGGACTGCTTTTTTTGTTTTTCAGTTTTTTATTACATATATGAAACATAAAATTTGCCATTTTAACCATTTTTAAGTCTACAGTTCAGTGGCATTAAGTACATTCACATACTGTGCCACCCTTACCAATATCTGTTTCCAAAATATTTCATCACCCCAAACAGGAGCTCTGCACCCTTAAACAACAACTCCCCATCCCCTGGTCACCTCTAGTCTACTTCCTGTCTCTATGAACTCTGCACACTGTTTGTATAAATAAAGTTTTATTAGGACATAGCCACGCCCATCATTTACACATAGTGGCTGCTTTCACTCCACAAGGGCAGAGCTGAGTAATTGCAACAGAGACTCTCTGGCCCACAGTGCCTGAAGCATTTACTATGTGGCCCTTTACAGAAAAGACTTGACGTCTCCTGTTCTTTGGGCCGCAGCAGCTGTACCCTGCACTATCTGCAGGGCTGCTGTGTGAACTGCTCAGCCCAGTTCTATGCCATGCCAGGGACAAAATGAAAGCTTGCCCAGGGGTGGAACAAACCACCTGGTGAGGCAGGAATGACAGCCACCCTCACATGGCACAGGGCAGAGTCCACAGTTTGTAGGACACCATCACACTCTCAGCCAGTGCTCACAGGAGCCCATGAAGGGATCAAACTATGCTAGGAACCCTAAAATGACGTAATGCCTGTCGGAGCCACCACGGTGGTTTCAGGTCTCCAGCCCTCCCATTGTTAGGTGCCCTTTCTGTGGCCTCACACTCCCCATTAGAAGCATGTGTTCAAGACAAGCTGGACAATAAAAATTTAATAGATGTAATGGTTGAGAACCTAACACTTATTATCTCACCTAATCCTCTATCAACCCAGGGAGGCAGGTGCTATTCCCAGTTCAGGGAAGCTGAGCCTCTGGCTATAAACAGGTGCAGGGGCCTCACCTGGCCTCTGGCCACAGGGGGTTCCACCTGGTGCTCTTTGCCTCAACGCTTGCGGCCAGTGCTCAGCTGTGGGGTAACCGTACTGGGGTAGGGACAGATTCCTTGTCCCCCCAGATGAGGGTGACAGGGAGGTGGCCTGTATGTCTCCTGAGCTTCCTTCTGACTTCAGTGTCTGGGACCCAGATACTGGAAGGAACCAAAAAGTCACAACATAAAGGCTGCGTAAACTGAACCAGGATGCAGCCACAGAGCGGAGGGCTTTAGAAGTCATGTTTTAGGTCTAGGGGCGGTGGCTCATGCCCGTAATCCCAGCACTTTGGGAGATTGAGGCGGGTGGATCACAAGGATAGGAGTTCGAGACCAGCCTGGCCAATATGGTGAAACCCCATCTCTACTAAAAATACAAAAAAATTAGCGGGGCGTGGTGGCAGGCACCTGTAATCCCAGCTACTCAGGAGGCTGAGGCAGGAGAATTGCTTGAATCTGGGAGGCGGAGGTTGCAGTGAGCCATGATCGCACCACTGCACTCCAGCCTGGATGACAGAGCGACACTCCATCTCAAAAAAAAAAGAAAAGCATGTTTTGAAGAACAGCATGGGAAAGGCCCGTGACAGCCAATGGAAAATGCAGCCAGCATAGACAGCAGTCTGTGGAGTAGAGCTGCAGTTTTCTAGGGAAAGGGCAGAAAAACCTGGAAGAGAAAGTACAGCAAAATCAGAGCCGTCAAAACATAAATAAATAAAATAGTGAGAAAGCAGAGCCCCACAGTGCCGTGAGTCGCTCCCTCTCTTTCCTGCCTCTGGTCCTGCCAATCCCAGGCGCCACCCTGGATGTAGCTGGAATTGTATGGTGGCTTCGTTTTTGCTGAGGGACAGGTGAGGTTAGGGTTGGTGTCTGCAGTGCCGGACCCTGCTGATCCGGCTGTCTGCACGCCTTCGGGGGTCTGTGATGACCACAGGTTTCTGTGATTGGCCGGGCTTTCCTCCCAGGAGGGAGCCAGGTGTGTTCAGGGCCACCGTGCTCCGGAGCGGAGAGCGCCGAGCCCTTTGTTCTTAGTCTATGAGCAGGAGTGGGAGGCCTCCCGGTGGGCAGAGCAGAGCCAGGAGCATCCGGGGCCCCGCCTCAGGCTTGCGGAGCCCCTGCCTAGCGCCAGCTCCCTGCCTGCTTCCAGCCTCTTCCCAGTCACTGTCTTTCTAGAGAGGGCGACAGGGTAAAGAGGCAGGCAAGACACCGTCTCCAGTGGTCGAACAGCATGCTGTGGAGAGGGTGCGAGCTGCCTGTGGCTGCTGTAACAAATAGCCACCAATGCGCGGCTGAAAACAGCAGCAACGTATTCTCTCACAGCTCTGGGGTCCAGAGATCCAAACTCGGTACCCCTGAGCCTAAGTCCAGGAGTCAGCCGGGCCGGGCTTCCTTCTCCCGGCCAGGACCTTTCCCGGCCTAAGTCCAGGAGTCAGCCGGGCCGGGCTCCCTTCTCCAGGCCAGGACCCTTCCCAGCCTCTTCAGCGTCTGGCGCTGCTGGCCTTCCTTGGCCTGTGCCCGCATCCCCCAGTCTCTGCCCCTGTGGATACTCTCCGTCCTCCTCTTCTGTCAGTCAAGTCTCCGTCTGTCTCGTCCTCATAAGGTCACCTGTGATGGCACTGAGGGCCCACTTAGCTAAGCCAGGACATTCTCCCCACTGCAGAGTACTCACGTTAATCCCATCTGCAAAGTCCCTCTTTCTACCTAAGGTCACATTCCCAGGTTCCAGGGACGTGATACCTTTGGAGAACCATTATTTAGTTGACTGCAGAGAAGAAAGTAGAAAAAGGAGGGCAGGGGGGCGGGGGTCCTGACGACAGGGTGGTCAGGAAGCAGAAGCGAGCAAGGACGCCACGTGGTGGTCCAGAGAAAGAGCCTTCGGGGGCCAAGGGGACAACCAAGGCACAGCCCTAAGGCCGAGTGTTGGGGAGAAGGGGATGCAGGGGATAGAGCTGGGGGTCAGGGTGCAGATCTGGTGGAGACTTTGGCTTTGACCCTCTGCGAGATGGAAGCCCCTGGAGGGCTTTTGCATGGAGGAAATTTGACCTGATTTAAAAGGTCTGCCAAGGCTCGCCCTGGCTGCTGCACTGGGAATGGCGAGTCATGAGGATGTCCCAGAGTTCAGCGTGTGCACGATCCCATGTACTCGGAAGGCACATCCTGATGTGGCAGGGCTGTCGTGGAGCCTGGGAGGCCGCATTTCTGATCTCATGCTGATGCTGGCCCATGGACCACGCTTTGCCTGGGGAAGGTGCAGGGAGAGAGGATGGAAGCAGAGAGCTAGGAGGCTATTGTGAGAAACCACCCAAGAGCCGCTGGAGGCTCAGAGCAGGGTGGGCACCGTGGAGGTGGGGAGACGGGTCAGATTCTGGACTAATTTGCAGGGGAAGCCGCGGCAGGGGCTGAACTTCAGGCTCCAGTGATGGGAGGATTAGTCAAGGAGGGCTCCCCAGGGTTTGACCGGAGCACAGGTGAGCGAGACCTCCCGGGAGCTGATGCTGCCGCAGGCTGCCCTCCCTGGCCCACACCAGCCCCAGGGCCTAGAGTGCCCCTCCCCCACCCACTCTCTCCTTGCCTGCCTGACAAACTCCTAAACACCCTTCAAAACCCAGTCTTTGTCGGCCGCACTTTGGGAGGCTGAGGCGGGCAGATCACTTGAGGTCAGGAGTTCGAGACCAGCCTGGCCAACATGGTGAAACCTCATCTCTACTAAAAATAGAAAAATCAGCTGGGCTTGGTGGCATGCACCTGTAGTCCAGCTACTCAGGAGACTGAAGCAGGAGAATCTCCTGAAGCCAGGAGGCAAAGGTTGCAGCGAGCCAAGATTGTGCCACTGCACTCCCGCCTGGGCAACAGAATGAGACTCCATCTCCCAAAAAAAAAAAATAACCCCAGTCTTGGATATTCTGGACATGTGATACCCCTTGGATGAACCTTGAACCTTGAGGACATTACACTCACTGAAACAAGCCACAAAAAGGACACACGGTGTGACTGCATTTGTCTAAGGTGCCTAGAGTAGTTAAATTCATAAATACCAGAGAATGATGGGTGCTGGGGCTGGAGGCAGGGAGCGGGGAAGGGGAGTTACTGTTCAATGGGTACAGTTTCAGTTTAGGAATATGACAGGGAGATGGATGGTGGTGATGGTTACACAACTATGCGAATGTACTTACTGCCATTGAACTATGCTTGAAAAAGGTTAAAATAGTAAATTTCATCATATATATTTTACCACAACTTAAAGTCTCTTTGATAAATGCAGTAATGTTTTAATTAAACAAAAAGAATGAAAGGGATCTTCATGAGCAGGTGTGGATTGGTTTTTAGGATGTATTGTGAGTGAAAAAATCAAAGTGCAGAAACATATGGGTAGTGTGCCACCCCTCCTGGAAGAAAGATGGGGGATAAGAAAATACATGTGTCTGAAATATAAAAACAGAAAACGGAGCCCTGGGTCCCCTCCTCTGAGAAGCCCTGCCAGGAGCGTGAGTGCCCTAACCACAGACTTAGCCCCTTCGGGGCCCAGCGCACCGTGCCCTCCTGGGCTCTCTCCTCCTGGGCCTGGATGTGGGAGGCATCTGGGAAAAGTCAGGAGGAAGACGAGGAGGAAGCAGTGAGCAGGTGAACAAGCCACCCGTCTGTCCGTGCTGGAGCCCTGGTGCTGGGAAGGAAAGTGCTAGAGGTGGGGAGAGATTCCTGGGCTCTCCCTGGGTGGGCACATCCGGGAGGAGGAGGCTGGGGGGGCAGCAGCAGGTCCCTCGGGCGGCGGATGCATTTGATGCATGGATGCATTTGATACCTCAGGGCAGTTGAGCTGCAGCAGGAAGACAACAACAGAGCCCCGGCAGGTGGATCCTGAAAACCGACGGCCTCCACCCCCGGGCTTCCTGACTCAAATCACAGCCGCTCACTAACCGGGGCTCAGCTTCAGCTGTGCTGTATTTCAGTGTCTGAGATGTTTGGGGATGAGTGCCAGTGTCGCCAGGCTGCCGGCCAGATTTCCATACACCCCCCACCCACAAACATGCTGCCTTTCTGGCTTCTCTTGAGAGGTTGGCAGATCTCTAGCACCAGGTCCGCCTTCCCACGTGCAGCATTTGGGCATGGGCCTTCTCCCATGGGTGCCCCCCAGTGGTGGCTACTCCGTCCTCACTCTCCATACCTCCTGGCCACAAGGGCTTCTGAGTTCAGAAAGGAGAGACGCAGCCCTGTGAAGCCACCCCTGGCTGGTTTTCTGTCCTATGGTTTTTGAGGGTTATTAAGAATTATTCACCCCACGCTGGGCTTGTTGCTGGTGAGGCCCAGTGCTCTGAGCCGCACCTGGGGAAGCGTGACACTCAGAGGGAAGCAGCCCTGTCCGAGAGCCAGAAGCTCAGGGGCACCTTTCTCTCCGGCCTCTTGGAGGGAGCTGTCACTTGCAGAGGGGCTCCCCTCGCTCCATGAGTCCCACCCCACGACCAGTTCTTTGCTCATGGAGCACAATCGCGTCCTGACAGCAGCCATGGAGCAAAGTCTGATGCACAGCGCATTTAGCTCGGGCAGTCATTCATCCATCTTGCCCATGAGGCAGCCACCACCACAGCAGTGCCGCTCAGGGCCGGGAGTATGTGCCGTTGGAGAAACACTGGACAAGAGGCCAGAATGGATGTCACCCACCATGCACCAGCTGTGGGATGTCAGTTGCTCCATCTACAAAAATAACAATTCAGTCCTCATGTGCAGGTGCTGGGAAAGATTCAATGAGGTACAACTGAATACACCGCCCTGGCTTTAAGGACATAGACTCATCCCAGCAACATCCACAGAGCCCCTGCTGGGGACTGCCTTGGTTTCCTAGGACTGCTGTAACAAAGTAACATAACCTGGGGGCCTGAAACAACAGACACCGTTCTGTCACCTTCTGGAGGCCAGAGGTCTGATACCAAGGTGTTGGCAGGGCAAGGTTCCCTGTAAAGGCTCGGGGGAGGGTCCGCCCCATGCCTCTTTCAGCTCCTGGGGGTTGCCAACAGTCCTTGGCTTGTAGACGTGTCACTCTGGTCTCTGCCTTCGTAGTCTCATGGACTTCTGTGTCTGCATTTTCTCTCCTTGTAAATCACCAGTCACATAGGGTGTAGGACCCACCCTAACACAGTACGACCTCATCTTCGCTAATTACATTGAAGAAGGCCCTATTCCCAAATGAGGTCACCTCTAAGCTTCTAAGTAGACATGAATTCTGTGGGGATACTGTTCGACCCAGTACAGGTGCTAAGCCCTGTGATGACCCCAACTGATGGGGTCCCTGCTCTCAAGAAATTCACAGTCCTTGGCAGTTTCTTCATTCCTTTTGCCTTCTTTATTCTTCTCAATGGGTTTGTTACTGAGAGCTGCCTCCATCCCTGTCCTGTGGCAGGAGAGGGCAAGGAGACAGCCCACAGGGGAGCCTGTCGGGCCCGGGAGGGCAGGGCCTGGACACGGGGAGGCCTCCCAGGCCGAGAGGGTGGTGCTCCAGAGCCTCTGGGCCCCACCCCCGGCTGGCAGGACAGTGTCGGTTTTCTCGTTTCAGATGGCAGAGCAGCTCATGACCTTGGCCTATGATAATGGCATCAACCTCTTCGATACAGCAGAAGTCTACGCAGCCGGCAAGTACGTGTCTTTTCACACGGGAAAAAGTGGTTCAGAATGCCTGGGCAGAGCCGGAGCTACAGGGATTCCTGCCGCTCGCGTTCCCAAGAGTGCTCACAAATGCACCTTGCACCCTGCTTTCATTTTTAAACTCTGAATGGCTTTAGGAGGTGCTATTTTCATGGGGCTGGAATTGCAGAACACTTGGACACTGATCACTTGCTGAACTCCCCGTGGAGCCACCAGGGGGACCACAGTCCCTCTGGTGCCAAAGATGCTGTGCTGGGTGAGAGGCGCGATGGAGCTGCTGTCCTGGGCTCTCCTGATGTGCCTGACATTTTGACATTTCATGTCTCACTTGTGCAACTAGGGCTGCAGGGCCTCAGAGCTGGGGAGGGCAGGCTCCGGCCAAGTGCTGTGGGGAGCACTTCCCATCTTGGCGGTGAACTTTCCTGCTCAATTATGTAAAAGCTCAGCCTTCTTCAGCCAGGCTGTTGGCTTCAATTTTAAAGACTGGCTGTAATCAAATCATCCACTCTCCTGCATCGGGTTTCCAGAAGTCAGCTTTTGTTTGTGAAATCATTTGTTGGCCCTCTCTTCATCCTCCTTCTGCCCCCCTCCTGCCTGGGGCCAGCCAAGTTCCCGTCAGCCGGGCAGGCTGCAGGCCTGGGCTGCTGTGCACCATAGCTGCTTGGCCCGCAGCTGCTTCGTGGGCCCTGGGTGGTTACCTGCAACTGCAGCGGGGCCCAGAGCACCCGGCGGCAGGGAACCCAACTGGGCCCTGCTCAAGTTCCCACCCAGAGCCTGGGGAGCGCACAGCCCTGGGGGCTGCCGCTGGGACCCTCAAACCGCCTCCAGCCCCCATCTGCAGCCCTTTTGGCCCTCCGGATGGCACAGCCCCCTCCCACTCCCTCCATACTGGCAGCAGCTTCCCATCAAAGTGAACTGCTTTCCAGACAGATGAGCCCAGCGGAGGGGTCTGAGGTCAAAAAGCCCAGTGCAGATGCCAAGCCGAGAGGCACCTCCCGTCCCGAGCCCCCCACCTCTTCGCTGCCTGCTTTGGCCTGGGTTATGCTGCCCTGAAGAATGTGTGGGAGGCAGCTCCGTGCAGCCTCCGTGGATGAGGCCGGGCACACCCCATGTCACAGCAGCCACACTCCGTCCTCTGTCACTCGCAGTTTCCATGTTCCCCTGTTTAACTGGACACCCAGAGCTGGTGAGCTGGGCAAGTTCCCTGGGTCTCCGGCAGCCTCGGGCCTCTCGGAAGCCGCTTGCCAGAAGACCGGGGAGTCAGGGAGCAGCTTCCCCTCAGGTCGCCGTTTCTGTGGAATCCCCTGCCCTCTGCTCCTGGGCCGGCCACTGCGGTCCCTCTGTCCAGCTCAGAGCTGAGCCCCCGGTGGACGCCCATCAGTGCCCTCACAGGGGAGCTGGGCGCTGCGTGCCGGGGATAGGCAGGGAGAAACTGCTTTGGGGAGTTTGGGGGAGGCTGAGAGGCAGCTTGCAGGGGGCCAAACCCGTATCTTCCCGAGGCCCCTTGCTTCTCCTGCTGACACTAATTTGCACGCTTCTCAGAGAGCTGCAGGATTTCTGTGTCCCGCGAACAGATGTGAGTCCTACCAAATCACAGCCAGAGCCACAAGCCACAGGCTTAGATAACTCACTGTCTGCTGCTCCTCTGCCCCAGAGATCGCTGCTAGCTTTTCTCTCTTCCTCCTCCTTTCCTGATCCCCAAATCAGGGACCAAGGAATAAAAGGAAGAGGCCTAGGGCTGAGTGAATTTTCTGTGTGTCTTGACCATAAATGAGGAGCATTCAGAGCGCATGCTAAACAGCTTGCAAATCAGAGCCCATTATTTCTGAGTGGATGACTCAGGCGCTTTTATAATTGGAATGTAGCACAGAGTATGGATCATTCTCCGTCTGTTGTTTTGCTCAGAAACATTTTGCTACAAGCAGAAAGTTCTTCAAAGTTAATCCAGTGCTGCAGTGCCAGGCAAGGCTGGGACGGCCGCCCATGCCCCCAGCTGGCCTGGGTTTGGTGCAGGACCCAGTGATGCCAAACAGGACAGACAGTGGTCCGCCTAGCATCTGACTCTGCCGTTCAGTGCAGGAAATGAGAGGGACACGTGCACCCACACACATGCACACATGTATACACACACATATACACAAGCATGCACAGATCTGCTGGAAATCCAGCCCTTGACCCTGAGTACATGTTGATTGTCTCTCAAAACAGAGCGTGACTTGATGAATAATTTACCTTTGAAAAAAGATACTTGTCCCGGCGCGGTGGCTCACGCCTGGAATCCCAGCACTTTGGGAGGCCACAGTGGGCGGATCACTCGAGATGAGGAGTTCGAGACCAGCCTGGCCAACATAGTGAAACCCCGTCTCTACTAAAAATACAAAAATTAGCCGGGCGTGGTGGCAGGTGCCTGTAGTCCCAGCTACTTGGGAGGCTGAGGCAGGAGAACTGCTTGAACCCAGGAGGCAGAGGTTGCAGAGAGCCGAGATCTCGCCACTACATTCCATTGATAGAGCGAGACTCCATTTCAAAAAAAAAAAAACAAGATACTTCTCTGGAAATTTTGCCCACCTAATGTTGCCAGGCATTTTCCCTGGTGAATTTTCAGCTGACTAGGAAATGGGATGCTCGACAGCAGCTCCTTCCTTCTGTGTGAGAGCTGGGGCCGCCACTGCTTAGACACGTGTCTGCAGGGGAACATGCCACAGCCATCCTAGTGGGGGGCAATAACACAGCTGCTCCCACTCCCTCGGGCCAACCCTGTCTGTGGAATGAGCTACTGAGCCAAGGCGGGTGTTAACAGCCTGGCTCTCTGGCCCCAGTGACATTTTCACAGAGGGAACCAAGTGGCCAGTGGCCACAGTGGGTCTGGGTTTGATTTTTCTGTTTGGCTGTGATGAGAGCTCGGTGTCTTGTTTTGCAGGGCTGAAGTGGTACTGGGAAACATCATTAAGAAGAAAGGATGGAGGTAACGGCCCTGCTCTCTGCGGCCTGTCCCTGGGGTGGGTGCGGGCGAACTATCCCAGGGTCAGCCTCGTCGGCCTGTCGTGCAGTGTCGTAAGGCCCGCAAGTCCCCACATCTTTCTTGCTGGGAAGTGGAGAGGAAAATTCAGTTCTCCAAGAGTAGGAGGTGACTCTGCTTGAGAAAGAAGTTGAAGGGAGGCCGAATACACTGTCCACCCCCACCCTAGCCTGCCCACTCCGCCTCTGTCCCAACTCATCCACAGAGACCCAGAGCACCAGGGTCCCTGCTTGCAAAGTGTCAGGCCAAAAAGAGCTTGGCGTGAGAACGGGCCTGGGTACAGCAAAGGCGTGCTGCTACAGAAGATGTGGGTGCAAAGCACTTCCACTTCTTTGGCTGGAGCACTTAGGGTCAGGGGAGCCAGGGGGCCAGAGAAGGGAGTGGCTCAGAGAGCTTGGGGGCCTGGGGTTGGATCCCACCCTGCACCTTGTCCACAGGATCTTCGCGGCGTCTCAGCCTCTCCGGAGCTCACTGTTCCCATCTGTAAGAGGGTGTGTGTGGGACCGTTCCGGCAGGGCTATCCTGAGGGTCAGTGGCCCCAAGTCTGTAAATCACCCACCCAGCTCAGGGCGGGACGTGTCACACTCCTCTGGGAAGTGGTCCCCTCCAGCACAGACCGGGGAGCGGTCCCCGGGTGTGATGGAGCCCAAAGGTCGCAGATCGGGGGCCATCCACCCTTCTCTCCCAGGAGCCTATGGGCCCTTCCCAGGCCAAGGTCCTCACCCACCTTGGGACCAACTGGGCTGAGCACTTGCCTACATTTTGAGGCTCCCCAGACCCCTGGACACAGCTTTATCTCAAGGTGCTGACAAGCCCCGGGGCCCTGTTCCTTAATAAATGCGTCTTTATTTTCAGAAACATCAGAAGCAGTTATAAAGTTGGGCCTCCCTCCTCCCTCCCCTCGAAATGCCACTCAGAATCCCAGTGCCAAGGGGAGCCCCCGCCCCCTCCCCCATGGATTCCTGACACCCCTTCCTCTTGTCCCATCAAATTTGTTTTTTGGCAACTCTGATCCCAAAACAAATTCCTCCTCACCCTGTAATTAAACGAAATTGCACGTATTAGCAAATCCCCTGATCACGTCTTTGGCGAATGTGCATGGAGGTGGTGTGGGGTGATCCCCCTTCCTGGAGGTGACGCTGCCTCTGCCAGAGCTCTGTGGCCGATGCTTCGGGGCAGAGGAGGCCTCCTACTCCAGCCTCGTGAGCTGCTTCCCTGAGCAGCCCGGGACCCGGGTGGGAAAGAAGCTCAGCCATGGGGCACCAGGAGGTCATTGTCACCCCCTGGGTGGGAAGTACTCCCTCCTCTGGGAGGGGTCAAGGTCAAACGTGGCTGGGAGGGGCCATCATTATCCCCCATCCCACCAGGACAAAGCCACTGGTATGGGCATTTGTCTCGTGTGGACTTAGAGCAGAAGAACGAATTACTTCCCTTTGCGCTGCTCAAGCCCAAATCCTCAGAATTCTCTGCCTCAGCTACTCAAACCCAGAACCCCACTGGCCTGGCCACACTTGGGCTCCCTATGCCTCCCCTCCCTCCTTTGGTGCCCCCCAAGTTACCCCGACCAGGCCGTCCTTATGCCTCCCCTCCCTCCCTTGGTGCCCCTCAAGTTACCCCGACCAGGCCGTCCCACACAGATTTTCTGCAACACGTGTCACATTCTGTAGGGAACGTTGCAGAGAGCTTCCCTGCCTGCCTCCCACCTACATCTTTCCATCCTCAACTCCTGCCAGATCCCCCCAGAGCCCGCCCCTGCCCCCTGGCCCACACCCGGCCTCCTCCAGCCTTGGCTCTTGCCACTTCCTCTACCTGGATCAAATCCATGCACCCCTCATAGTCCCTGAGCCAGGCCCCCCTCCCACATCCTGGGCGGAAGGCATCTCCTCCGGACTCCGGTCACACTAGGCCCCCCACTGTCCAACTCCCACTGCCTGACTCACAGTTACTGCCTCGGTGGCTGCCTCCTGGCTCCATGAGGAGCCCACGCACCCCGGCTGGGCACGTGGTACACATCATATGATGGAGAAGTGCCCATTTCATGCCCCAGGCTCCTGGGTGGGAGGGCTTTCAGGACCTCTGTGTGAGAGATGAGGACGTCGGGGATGAAGGAGGACCCCCCAGGGGCCGGGCTTATCACACCCCTTCTTTCTCTTCTGTTCCACAGGCGGTCCAGCCTCGTCATCACCACCAAGATCTTCTGGGGCGGAAAGTAGGTGCAACAGCTGGCGATGCTTCCAGCCCCGGCCCAGCAGCCACGGCCCCGTGCTCCCCAGAGACCCCTGACCTAGAAGGCTCCTGGGGTGGCGGGAGGACAGTCCTCCTTGAGAAGGGAGAGTGGTCGGGGTCTGTCCTGGACAGGCCCCGGCCCAGTGCCATTTCCTGTCCCCAGCAGGGGCAGAGCTGGTGTTTCTGCAGCCATCAGCTATGCCTGGTGCCTGTCCCTGTTAAGGGACGTCAAATCCAGAAAAGAAGCTGTGGCCGAGTTTGCCTTTTACAAAAACCTCGCTTAACTTTCCTTTTTACTCACATGGATTATTTTTTCCTGGTCACTATGGTAACATCATAAAAATTATAGAGAAAACAGAAAATTTGTGAACTGCCCAAACCCCCAAAGCACTCCAAATTCCCTGGGCCGCCTGTCACCCCTGCAGGTCTCCAAGTGTCTAGCTCCATAGTTTCTGGGCTGGACACACTTGGGCTCATAGGAATTATAACTACGATTCATTCATTCATTCTTTTTTTTATTTTTATTTTGTTTTTATTTTTTATTTTTTTGAGACAGGGTCTCGCTTTGTAATCCAGGTTGGAGCGCAGTGCCACAATCACAGCTCACTGTAGCTTCAAACTCCTGGGCTCGAGCGAGCCTCCCACCTCAGCCTACAGGGATGAGCCACCATGCCTGACTAATTTGTCCTTTTTCTCTCTCTCTCTTTTTTTTTTTTTTTTTGAGACAGGGTCTCACTTTGTCACCCAGGCTGGAGTACAGTGGCGTAGTCCCAGCTCACTGCAGCCTCAACCTCCTGGGTTCAAGTGACCTTCCTGCCTCAAGTAGCTGGTTCTACAGGCACATGCCACCATGCCCAGCTAATTTTTTTATTTTTATTTATATTTTTATTTTTGTATTTTGTAGAGATGGGGTTTCATCATGTTGTCCAGCCTGGTCTCAAACTCCTGAGTTCAAGTAATCTGCCCACCTCAGCTTCCCAAAGCACTAGGATTGCAGGCGTGAGCCACCACGCCTGGCATTAATTTGTCCTTTTTTAAGATATGGGGTCTCACTATGTTGCCCAGGCTGGTCTTGAACTCCTGGGCTCAAGTGATCCTCCTGCCTTAGCCTCCCAAAGTGCTGGGATTACAGGCGTGAGCCACTGTGCCCAGCCTGATGTGTTCTTAATTTAAAAAATAATAATAATAATAATAATAATAATAAGTCCAAATCAAACAGACGGGTTAGGTTGAAAATCAAAGCCCCCCACCCCCTGCTGCTGCCCCCCTCCCCTCTGAGCCCTGTGACCAGGCCTCTCCCTGGGCCTCTGGGAGTTCAGCCCTGTAGCCTCGGGTCCCTACCCCCAAAGTGGAATCCGACTCCACACGGCATTTGCTGACCCTGTTTTTGCGTCTAACATTGCATCGTAAACGTTTTTTGGGAGGGGCCAGGGTGCCAAAACCGCTGGTGACATCACACGCGGTCGGCCTGTTTTCCAGGGCGGAGACGGAGCGGGGCCTGTCCAGGAAGCACATAATCGAAGGTGAGGACGCGCTCGGGCACCTCAGGGCCCCCATACCTGTGGGATCATCCTCGGAGGCCAAAGTGATGGCAGCACAGGGCCCGACCCCCCCAGTTAACCCACTGAGGGCCCAATCCCGGGGCACCCGGTGCTCTGGCCTGACCTTCTCCTTCCACCCAGGTAGCACAGCGGGACGCTGCAGAGAACGAGGGCAGCCCGGTGGCTGAGCACAGACCACAGACCAGCCTGGGTTTCAATCCAGGTTTGGCCCCACACTGGCTGAGTGGGTCTTCAGCAGGGGCACCCTGCCCCATGCCTCTGCCACAGTATCTGTGCAATAGGGACAGTAAGAGCGCACCCGGCGAGGGTGGCTGGGATGCCTGCAGCGCCCAGGAGAAGGTGCCACACAGCCCGGGGCTCAGCACTCGCAGGCACCGGAGCAAGGCACCGGGGTGTCTGGCTCTTGCTGTATCTTTATTGTCTTCATGCCTTTCCTGTCCGTGTTCATTTTCTTCGAGGTAATAGATCATTCCATTGAAAATCACCTGGCGGGGCAAGCCACCCACTCCCATCCTCCCCACCCCAACCCAGCGTTTCACTCTGCCGGCTGTGTGTCCTGAGCTGCTCTAAGCACCAGCGGGTGGCTTGGGCGTTTTAGACACTATTGCCATTGTTTTTGTTTTTGAGATGGAGTTTTGCTCTTGTTGCCCAGGCTGGAGTGCAGCGGCACGATCTTGGCTCACTGCAACCCCCACCTCCTGGGTTCAAGCAATTCTCCTGCCTCAGCCTCCTGAGTAGCTGGGATTACAGGTGCCCACCACCACATCTGGTTAATTTTTTTTGTATTTTTAGTAGACACAGGGTTTCACTATGTTGGCCAGGCTGGTCTCAAACTCCTGGCCCTCAAGTGATGCGCCCGCCTTGGCCCCCCAGAGTGCTGGGATTACAGGCATGGGCCACCACGCCCGACCATAGACACTATTGCCTTTGATGGGACGGGCAGCAGGTGTAGCCCTCCCTCCACATGTGATAGATAAAGTCATCTCCCTGTTGTAATACACAGTGGCCTCAGAGGAGGGTATATTGTCTGAGGGAGGAGGGGCTTCCCCTTCATTTAGTCAAGGACACGTGGCCTGTGGTCCCCCGATGTCCTCCTGAAGGGAAGATCCCCCCACTCCCTGTGGGATGTGCCCCCACCTCTGCCGTGGCATTTCACGACCTCCATCAGCTTCTGGAAGCTTCCAGATGCCAGAGGCCTCTTCTCCATCTCTTGTTCCCTGAGCCGGGCATGGATGGGCCCAGGTGCCTGTGGAGATGGAGCCACAGCAGTGACGCCCCCCCACCTGGTCCTCCCCCAGGTCTGAAAGCTTCCCTGGAGCGACTGCAGCTGGAGTACGTGGATGTGGTGTTTGCCAACCGCCCGGACCCCAACACCCCGATGGAAGGTAGGTGGTCTGCGGCGGCGCCACCGGTTAGGCCTGGGCGGGGTCTGAAGGGTCTGAACCTGGGGTTGTAGAGGCCGCCAGCATGGGCCCTGCTGGGCACCCGGGTGAGCCGTGAGAGGAGGCCGGGTCCAGGGTGGGGGGCGAGGGGGCAGGCCTCCCCTCAGTAGGGGGTGAACTCAGCCTCTGGCTGCAGACCCCTCGCCAGGTGCACCTGGCACCTCCAGGCTGAGTCCCTGTCCTGGCTTTGGACCCAGGCCGATCCGCCCTCCGAGTCAGAGCCGCAGTGGAACTGTCCCCTCCCCTCTGCGGCTGCTATTTTGCAGCTAAGTGAAGTCGCAGTGTGGGGACTCCAACTGCGGTGTTCTCTCCAATCACCATCCATTGGGAAGCTTGGGGGGACTTTTTTGCTCTGGGGGATAAATTACTACATAGAGGAGAAGAAGCGTTCAGCGCTTTGAAAATCGGTTTTGGTTACTTTGGCGTTTTTTATTCTTTCTACTCCTGCGATCTCAGCCCCCTCCGCTCCCCCATCCTCCTGCTACAGGCGTCTTTCCATGTGTGCTTTGCTGCTGCAGGGACTTGAAAGTTAAATTGTGTTCCAGTTATTGTTTTTTATTTGTTCATATACAGCACGCACGTGCGTGTGTTGATATATTTTTTTCCTTTTTAACTAAACGCGTGTTCTGCACGGTGATTTGTGCCTCCCCGCTGTGCCTTCGTCGTGCCACGCCTCTCAGTGCTCCCAGCTATCAACTCTGGTCTCTTTAAATCTTTCTTCTATCACCAGGGGACCCATTTAGTTCCTCCAAGTCAAGGACATTCATCATAGAAGGTACACAGTGCCCCCAGCCTGACTATTGACTTCTGTGTCCAAGCTGCATTTTATGAGACAGTATTTTTATTTACATGATTCTTTTACCCCATGAGAAACTTCTCCATAAAATGCATAAAGAGGGGAAAGAGCACCCTATGAGAACACCTTGCAAGTGAAGGAAAAGCAAAGTGGTGTTGGAGCCCCTCGCCCCCAGCCCCCCATCCCCTCGTTCCTCCTTCCTCCCGTGCATGGCCCCCACCCCTGGGCTTGCACTGCTGAGCTCCGCGGCGGCCGGGGGTCCTCTTGATCTGAGGATGCTGTGATCCCCACCTGGAGCCTTGACCCTGGATGGTGCCATGGGAAGGGTTGGGGAAGACCAGGTTTCCACAAGGAGCAAAGCCATCAGGGACCCCAAAACACGCGGCCCCCCACCGAGTCTTAGCTCCTCCATGGTTTATGTTTGCTAAGCTCCTGTCTCTCCTGGAGGCAGAGATCACCTGGCTTGTCACGCTGCCCCGTCCACAGCACGCTGCTCCTCGGACGGCATGCTGGCTGCGTGTCCCCTCTCACCAGGTTGCCAAAGCGCTCCATCAACGTGGAATCATTTTCCTCCTGAAAGAATAACCACAGGAGCCGGCAGCCTTCTGAAACCAGGGGGTGGCCTCTGGCCACGCACAGTCTCTCTGCCCTCCCCACAGCTAACGGCCCCAGGACCCCACCCCAAGGGCAGGTGTCGATCTCCCTGGGCCTGGGCCCCTGTCTGCCAACTGGTGCTGCCACCTGAACCCCCATGTATTATTTGTGATGCGGCAGGAGATGCTGTGAGTTTTGGCAGCAGCTAGAAGGATTCAGTCTTCCTACTTCCGTTCAACCCCATTAAATATTGAGGTGAAGGACAGTTGTCCCTAATTGTCCCTGGGTCTGGGGCCACTGATATCACACTTGGGCACAAGTGCAGGGTGCTCCCTCATGTGGGCTCCCTGTCCAGCCTGCTTCTGCCCAGATCCTCCAGGGAGCCCAGGGGCCTTTGCCTAGGACTCCCCACCTCAGGACAGCCAGAGGCTCCTGCCCCGTCAGCCCCGTCTCTCCATCACTGCATGGAAGGGGCGCCGCAGGGCAGCATGCGGTTTCACTGGCTGGGACCTTGGAGACCTGAGACAGCTGCCGGGGAGGGAGAGTGAGGGAACGGGGCTGGCCTTGGGGGCCTTGGCTTCCCTCTGTCTGGCATGTGGACCTAAGCCTTGGCTGAGAAGAATCGGGAACTGATGCTGCATGCTCACAGGTGCCCCGAGAGTGTTTCTAAAAAACCACAAGGCCGGGCAGGCCAGGAGCCCGGACCTGGGCAGGATGTAGTCAGAGATTCTCCTGGGACCCTCTAGGTTCTCCTCAAACTTTCCCAACCAGGCACTTCCTGAGGGTCTATCGGAGTTGGCAGTTAAAGCAGGTGGCCCAGGGAGGTGGCCCAGAGAGTTCAGACTCCCTCCCAGATCTCCACCCCCAGGAGGGGACAGAGAGGATTCCCAGGAGCTACAACCTCTGACCTTGGAAGTAAGCAGAGAGCAGGGCTGGGCCTGCAAGCGTGGAAGCCAAGGGTGGTTTGCCAGGGGTCCTGGGTGAGTCTGCCGAGACCACCACTCCAGAAACCCCAGTGGCCTCAGCTCTAGCCTTTAGGAGGCCCCAGGTTCTGCTCAGGGTGGACCTCAGTAAAGGGGCACTCAGGGAGCGACCCCCAAAACAGAAGTGGACGGGAAGCCAGCACTGCCACTTTGTGGCCTCGTTGCCATTCCAGGGGGGAGCCTGCAGAACAAACCCAGCATCTTCCATCCTTCCTTCCTTCCCATCAGCCCCACTCCCAGCATTTTCAGGACCTCAGCTTCCACGCAGCATGGGCAAAGGACAAGCAGGCACTGAGGGAGAGCCAGGGCTTTTCCAGGGTCAACGTTGTTGCTGTCTTTAGAAACACTTGCACTCCCACTCACTCCCACACTGCCTTTGGCGGTCGAACTTGCAAGCACTGTATCCGACCCGTGAGAAGCCTAGCGCCATAGTCCCTCGCCCTGCAAAGCTCAGAGGCTTCTGAAATTTGAAATTTCGACGCCAAGTTCTGTTTTTAAAATCACAATATCCCCATGAGGCTGAGAGGGAGCTATAACCAGCAGATTGCTGTGTCTCAAAGCCATGTTTGAATATTGGGAAGAATCCACTGTGTCGCTGGGGCGAGGGTCCCTCCTCTCTTCTTTAAAAGGCCAGCGTGAAGTCTCCGCGATTTCATCCTCAGGGCCTTAGGAGTCTCCGCCGTCCACGATTCAGGTTGTTCCCAGGGCTCATGGAGCCTCAAAACTGTCCTACTCCAGGCCCTGGCCCCTCACAGGAGGAGCACCCAGACCCCTGTGGCCCTGGGACCACCCCTTGCCAGGGGACAGGCGGGTTGGGACTCTGGCCTGGTGCTGGGCTGGTTTGAGAACCTGGGCCATGGTCTTACAAGGCTTTCCACGCCCACTTCTCAGTCTCCTGGACATGACAGGAAACATGAGCTCAGCCCCGAAGCCCTATTCTCCGGGACCATATGGCGCCCCAGGTCCTGCCACATCTCCTTATCCAGCCCACTCTCTGTTCCAATTAGACTTTGGAATAGCCCGAAGTAGGAGACCAGAAACGCAAAAACACATGTCCCTCCTGCCGCCAATCTGACTGTAACGTTCATGCATTCACCTGGTCCTTCCTGAGTGATCGGGGCCCTCGAATCTTCCCCAGACCAGAGAACCTCCAGTTCTAGAGTCCAGAGCCACATTCTTTGATTGTCCCCTCTAATCTACCATAGAAACATCACGGTCCATCCATAACCCATTTTTCAACATTTCCATAGGCCTGTAACCAGTCGGGGAAATTGTTTTCACGACCAACTTCTAGGATTGTGGTTCACTTTTCTCTTTCATCCCAAAAAACCCCTCCCACACCCAACTTCAGAGCCAGGAAGTACACTGCTTGCAAGACATCTTCGCAGCCCCTGTCCCTCCTCCCAGCGTCCTGCCTGTATTTGCAGAATGTCCCGAGGCTGGCCCTGAGCCCTGGCTGCCCCCCACCTGCGGTTTCCCTTTCTCTCACGACAGAGACCGTCCGCGCCATGACCCACGTCATCAACCAGGGGATGGCCATGTACTGGGGCACGTCACGCTGGAGCTCCATGGAGATCATGGTACGGTGGCCGCGCAGCATGTGTGTGTCCAGGCACAGACTCCCGGCACCGGCTGCGTATGGAGACCCCAAAGCTCTGGCGGGGTCTGTGCCTTTGGTCCCAACTGCACCGATGCCTGGGTGCTAAGGGAGGGACAGGATGGTGGAGTGTGGTGGTTATGTCTGTAGGCCTTGCAGACGGGGATTCTGCATGGATCCCAGCGCTGTGTGGCCCTGGACAAATGGCTTAACGTCTCTGAGCTTGTTTCCCCACCTGTAGAACACATCTGCTAGGTGAGCCCCCATGGGGCCATTCTAAGGAGTCCCTGAGAGAGCCAGTGTGAAGCTCTTAGCAGATGCCCTGGAGCTCAGCAAGCACTCTGGGGTGACAACACCGTCAGCTGTTTCCACTGGGCTCCTGAGACGTGCCCGGTGCTGTTAGGGTCAAGGGTTCCACAGGGACCCTCTCACATGCAATCCTCACCGGTGCCTTTACCAGGTGAGTGCCGCAGGCAGCCCATTTTTCAGATGTGGACACTGTGGCACAGAGAGGTTCAGTAACATGCCAAGGTCACACAGCTTGGGCCAAGATTAACATCCAGGCTGTGTGGTTCAGAGCCTGGGCTGCTCATAACTGGACCCTCCGGCCTGGGGGTCCCACCACCCACCTCCTTTTCCCAGCTCACCAGGGCCTGCCTGGCTCCCAGGGAAGCTATGAGTGTGAGCAGTGGGGAGCCCGGGCTGCAGCTGCTGGGCCAGCCTGCTCCGGGGACACCTTGGTGCCCTCTCCATGGCTGCCCCGGCAGCCTCCCGCCTGCTCACAGGCAAGGGCCCTCGGGGTCCCTTTCTGCCTTCACAGGAGGCCTACTCCGTGGCCCGGCAGTTCAACCTGACCCCGCCCATCTGCGAGCAGGCTGAGTACCACATGTTCCAGCGTGAGAAAGTGGAGGTGCAGCTGCCGGAGCTGTTCCACAAGATAGGTGGGCACCCTCGGGCCCCTCGCCCCGCCCCACCCCACCCCTGCTCTCGGGCCCAGGGCTTGACTCCACCTGCTTTTCCTCTTCAGGAGTGGGCGCCATGACCTGGTCCCCTCTGGCCTGTGGCATTGTTTCTGGCAAGTACGACAGTGGCATCCCACCCTACTCAAGAGCCTCCTTGAAGGTGAAGGAACAGCCTGGTGGGGAGGGACGGGCAGGGGATAGGCATTTTGGACGGGTGGGACCTTTGGGCCGACTGCTTTGGTGCTGGGCAGGGGTTCCGGGAGCTGCAGCTGTTCCCACCTCGGTCTGCTGGGGGCGGGCTCCTTGGCGTGAGAACATGGAGCCCCTCCTGGCCTGATCCCATGTGTAGAGGGGCTGCCCAGCCTGTGGCACAGGCCCAAGTGGAGAGGCCCTTTCACATCCCCCCCCCTGCCCCCACCACATCCCCCCATCTCTACCCCCTACCACATCCCCCACCTCTGCCCCCCACCACAGCCCAGCATTCAGAACTCTGAGACCCCTGGGCCTGGGCTCCGAGATGGGGGCTGCAAAGCCACATGGAGGTGACCCTGGGAGAGGCGCCCCTCCCCACCACACAACCTCTGAGTGGGGACTCAGGAGGGTCCCCAGACTGCAGGATCTGGAGAACAAGGAGCAGGCCAAGAAAGTCTGCCCAGCCAGCAGTCTCAGCACTGGGGCCCACAGCCCTGGGTTCCAGGGCAACGTGGCCTGGCCCCCGACTCCTCCCATCCCATGGCAAGGTCAGGGCCCCCCTCCAGGAGGCCCTGCAATCCTCTGGGGGGGATGGCCAGGGGAGAGAGCACTCCCCTAGGGCCAGGAGGTTCTTCTGGGCCACGGGTGGCAGCCGAGACCCCAGGCTGCCAAGTTTCCTAAGAGAAGGAAGGCCAGCACCTCGCCTCCTTGTCCTGACTTGGGGTTGGGCCAGCACCACAGTCTTTGCACTTCAGAGCCTGGACAGGCCCCGCTCATCCACCAGCCCGTGCCCGGCCCACTGCCCACTCTCCCCTACTTGAGAGGCCTGGGGCAGGGGCACTGCCCTGGCTTCAAGATGAGAAGAGCCCCTATGAGGGAGAAGGGTCCAGAAGGAATGAGCCCATCGGCCCCCTGCACGTGGGGGTCCAGGTGACCTGCTCTCATCTGTAGCTGTGCTGCTCCCCTCCCCCGCAACCAGGGCTACCAGTGGCTGAAGGACAAGATCCTCAGTGAGGAGGGCCGGCGCCAGCAAGCCAAGCTGAAGGAGCTGCAGGCCATCGCCGAGCGCCTGGGCTGCACCCTGCCCCAGCTGGCCATAGGTAACGGTGGGGTCGCCATGGGGCCAGTGCCCCTGGGGAGAACCTGCCCCAGCTGGCCGTAGGTAACAGGGTGGGGTTGCCATGGGGCCAGTGTCTCCGGGGAGAGAGGGAAGGGATCCCTGGACATCATCCCCCAGCCAGCCTCGGGTAATCGGGCTCTAAGGGGCATGGTTGGGACCCCATGCCTCTAGGGGGATGTCAGGAGTCCCTGAGGACCTGGGCCACCCCCTCCATCTGCCAGCCATAGGTAATGGGGCTCCCGCTTTCATGGGAAGAGGATGGGGAGCGCTAAGCACTTGGGCCACCTCTCCATCAGGGAGCAGCGGGCTCCCCCATGCCTCCTCCAGCCACCTCTTAGACAAAGCCCGTGCCCAGCACTGCAGGGCTTCCTAGACCCCCTCAGACCCCCAGACCAAGATGCTGGGTCTCTCGGCCCAGTCAGAGGCAAGGCAGACCCATCAGGGGCCCCTGTGGTGGGTGTTTCTCCCTCACCTTGGGTCTCGCCGCCACAGCCTGGTGCCTGAGGAATGAGGGAGTCAGCTCCGTGCTCCTGGGGGCCTCCAATGCGGACCAGCTCATGGAGAACATTGGGGCAATACAGGTAAGAGTGAGAGGCCCTGCTGGGCAGAGGGCCCATCCCAGCCCGAGCCCCGTCCAGTGCATCCTCCCAGGCTCGTCCTGCGTGCCAGGCTCTGTTCTAGGCACTCAGGATGCGCCCGTGAACCATCAGAGTTGTGCTCCTGGAGAGCTTGCTTTCCAGCAGGAACAGACATGAACACTAACTGCACGAAACAAGGAGGTTAGAATGTGTGTCAGGGTGGACGAGCGCTGTAGGAGAGAAGCCAGAGATAAAGGGAGGGAGCTGGGGCCAGGGACGGTGGCGCTGCAGACTCAGGTTCAAGGGGGCCTGTCAGGTGGGCTTGTTGAGAAGGTGGTGCTTGAGCAGTCTTGAGAGATGCGGAGTAAGTCACGCAAATGCCTGCGGGAAGAACCTTCCACCAGCAGGAAGAGTTGATGCAAAGGCCCAAAAAGGCCTGGAGCAGAGGGGCAGATCCTGAGAGGCACGAAACACCTCCAGGGACTTCTGAGTGAGACGGGAGCCGTGGCAAAATTGTGGGCAGAGGAGGGCGAGCTGCAGCTCAGCCTGGAAAGGGAGGCTGCTCTCCGGCTGCTCCATCGGGGAGGCTTTGGGAAGCAAAAGTCGAAGCAGAGAGCCCTGGTGGGAAGTGGCAGCTGCGGGTCCGAGACGGGAGTGGTGGTTGGATCCTGGATGTTTGGGAAGGTGGGGCCCCCGGGACTGGCTGACAAACTGGATGTGGGGGTGAGAAGGCGAGGTGGAAGTCGGTCCCCGGGTGTGTCACCCGGAAGGGTGGCGGTGCTGTATGCTGAGGCAGGCGCAGCTGGAAAAAGCAGTCACGGACATGGAAGTCCAGCATTTGGCCTGGAGTTTCCATTTTATGTCACTGCTGCCACCACCCTTCAGGAAGGTTCTAGGGCACCTTGACATTTGAGAGGGAGTGCACAGACCCAGGCATGCTTCCTCTCTGCCCCAAACCTTCTGAAACACAAAAGCAGCGTGGCCTCCATCTGCCTCAGATGGAGCCCAGATGTGATGGGGCAACCCGGGCCTGGCCAGCCGACCATCTGGAAGAGCCTGGCCCCACCTCCTCCCCAGGCCAGGCCCGTCTTGTTGGTGGGATTCTGATTTGTTGTTGTTCTTGCACGCAGGTCCTTCCGAAACTGTCATCTTCCATTATCCACGAGATTGATAGTATTTTGGGCAATAAACCCTACAGCAAAAAGGACTACAGATCCTAAGCCGCCCCCGCCCGCCTGCTCGGACAGTTTCCGTTCCCTCCTAGTCTCTGTTCGCTCGCTTAAGCTGTTTTGAAGCCAAGTGAAGAGTGTGGTTTGCATCCAAGAGAAAACACCACACTGTGATGTCATCGGGAAATGATCTCCCAAGTCGCTGCCAGACACCACCCACTGCTTCGCCGGACAATGTCGAAGTCCAGTCTGTGCCGGGGAAGGCACTGGTTAGGAAGGATGTTCAAACGGTCCCACCCAAGCCTGTCACCTCTGCTCATCCTCCAAGACCACCCAGCTTTCTCCCAGCCACAGCCAAGATTCCCAAAGTCAAGGCCCAAAGATTTCCAAGGTTCCCAAAGTCAAGGCCAGGCCAAGGCCTGGTTGGGTCCTTGGGGCGGGCAGGGCCAGCCTCTCCTCTGCTGAGAATCCCCACTTGGTGTAGGGGGAGAGGGGAAAGGGGTCTGGCCCATCGAGGGGCCCCTTCTGCCAGGGCCTTGGTTGCTGGGGCAGGGCCTCCCCACTGGGGGTCTTCCTCCACCTCCCACTTTCCAAGGGCTCCAGGAATCTGGGGCCTGACCACAGATTCCTCTCCCATCCTTTTCTGCTCCAACCTGCCCCACTGGGTCCCGGCAGGGGCCATGCCTACCAAGCTCGAGCTGGCCCTTGACCCCCACCCACCCCCACCCTTGCTGGCAGGGGCAGGGACCCCAGGGGGATTGACTCTGCAGTTTGGGAGCCACAAAAAGCGTAGCGGTGTGATTTCTAGCTCAGCCTCCCACCGTCTTCCTCCTACACACCAATGATGAGCCTCATGCCAGTGAGGCCCGGAGCGCTTGGGAGGGGTCCCAGTGGGGCAGGCCCCTCTGTCTGGCCACCCCTCTGTCCTGGCCCCGGAAGGCCCTGTGGTCATGTGCTCCTAGCTGCACGGTGGCTGCTGGCCACACCACGGCAAGTGGCAGCAGGGGCCGGCCCTGTGCACAAGGATGCACTCCTCTCGGCCCCTGTAGACTTTCTCTAAAGCCGCCCGCCAGCCCAGGCCGCTGCTCTGCACCGAGCTGGTGGGCTTGGGTTTTGTGGAGCGCATGCTTGGACCCTTTCAGTAAGGAAGGGTCTTTGGGGTTTTCTGTGCCCATGACTTGGGGGCTGCACCCCCACAGCACCCCCACAATGTAGGAAAAGACCTCAGGGAACCTCTCCCTGGAAAGACGGGCAGGGCTGGTTAGCCCCTCCCACTGCCTGACACCTGGGACAGGCTGGGCAGAGGGGAGAGAGGGCAGGACAGGCCAGAGTGACGCCCCCGTGCAGCTTGGGCCGGAGGGCAAGGGATGCCAGTAAGTCTGCAGGTGCGGGGTGCCACCTACAGGCCCAGGCCTGTGTCCCAAGCAGTACCCAGGCTTTGCAGACCACGCGGGGCAGGGCTCCACTGAAGCCACCCCCACCCCTCGCCAGCTAGCTCCATAGGGAAGCCTGTGTCTCCTGCCCCCAGGGCGCACCCTCAGTGCAGGCACCTCTGTTCCCGCTTTGCCCCTGGAGGAGCCACTATTCCAGAAGGCTCCACCCTGCCGTCCTGCGGGAGCCTGCTGTCCAGTCCTGGCCGGGCCAAGGCCTGGGAAACTGTGAAAGTCAGAAAGGCCAGCGGGGAGAGGCTGGGGCGAGGGGAGGAGGGGGATCAGCTTCTGCTATTACCGACCCCCCTTCATGCTGCCCCTGGCGCCTAGAACCCTTGCCCCTCCTCATAGACCAAGTCCCGGGGGTCTCCACTCAGTCCTGCTGCCTGCTTCACCAGAAGCAGCCCTGTGAGTGTGGGGTGGGGAAGTCCCTTCCCAACGGAGGTCCCAGCCTATGGCCCTGGGCCCAGGTGGGGGTCGCCTGCTTCCTTCCCGGACAGGGTCCTGCAGTGGCCAATGGTGCCAGAGGGCAGGTGGCCCACCCTCGCCATCAGGGAGGGTGGCTGGCCCCATCCCCACTGCCACCCAGCCCCACCCACTGTTGGAAGAGGGACCAGCGCGAGGTGGTGCCCAGGGTGGGCACTGCTGCTTAATGCGAGGCACACCTGGGGCAGCTGAGCCCCCAAAGGCTGCGGGTTTGCCAAACACAGAGAGGCCAGGCCCCAGTGTCAGGATGCAGTCAGCCTCTGGCGCAGCTCTTTCCACGACCTGGTTCCTGGATGTCCTGCTTGCTCCACACCCATCTACAGGGAGGATGTGAGGGGGCTCTGCCTCCTAGGGCCAGGTCCCCCCTCTCGGGAGGAGGTATTGGGTAGGACCATCCAAGAAAGGGCAGAAGACCAAGGGCAGTCGGGGTCTAGAAAGGAGGGCGCTGGCCCTGCTGGACGCTTCGGAGCCCCCACTGTTTCCCACTCAGCTTTGTGCTCAGATCCCAGGTCCCAAGGAGTGACAGGGGCTTCCTCCCACCTTCTGTCCTTGTCCAGTCATGTAAATAATGTGCTTTTTCTCTCCCCGAGTCTTTTTTTTTAAACCTACCGTGGTTCCTCAGCTAACTGCATTCCCTACCCAGGCAGAGACTGTCCTATGCCTCGAGCTTCCAAACGAGACTCAGACCGCGACACAGCCACCGTATTTATGGAATGACAAAATAAATAAAGCCCAAACCCATCGGTCTCTGTGACTTTTTGCTCCTCTCATTTCCTCAGGGTCAGGGCTGGGCCAGGGTGACACGGGAGGGGAGGAAAAGGCTGCCAGCAGCAGGGCCTGGGGCATCCCCCAAACCGGAGCCTGCAGCCAAGGGCAGGTGGGTTGGAAAGGGCCCGTGGAGAGAGAGCGGGGACAGAGAATGGGGACAGGGTGGTCAGAAGACCTGTCCCCCATCTCTCCCAAGCGATTCAGCCAAGGGAGGGTGCGTGCCTCCCCTGCCGCCCCCAACACACACATTCTCTTTCACCAACTCTGAGGGCCCAAAGCTGCTTGCTGGGAGGCTGCTGTCCCTCTGGGGACCTGGCTGGCTGCTGTTCTCATAAGGACAGAGGTCCAGGCCTGGGGAAGCTCTCATGGTATGTGTTTGGGGTACAGGTGAGAGGGGCCTCACCCCAGCACACCCCTGTTTCGGGCTCCCCTCCTTCCCAGTGAGCCCCTGCACCCGTGAAATGACCATCCCAGGCAAGAGAAGGCTTCCGGACACGCCCCCACCCCCCACCACTCCTCCCTGGCCCCAGCCCCCACCCCCATTCTAAATCTTGAATCTTAAAAAGAAAAAGCCTCTGATTAAATCCTTTCCCAAAGGATTTATTAAAACACAGAAAACCAAAACATACACACAGAGTACAAAGTAAAGGTGATTGTGTTGGCTACAGCCTCTGTCCAGCCTCCCGTGGGCGAAGACCAGACAAGCCACGGCTCACAGGGGAGCCTGGCTTCCAAAGCTGGACCCGCCCCCGCCGGGGCCACCCTGGCTGGGACTCCTGGCGCGCCTTGCACCCAGCCCAGGGCCCTCCCTTTGCCAGCCTGGGGCTGTGCCTGGGGAAAGGGGTCGGCCCCCTCTTAGCTGGGCCTGGGCCGGTGGAGTCTGCTCCCTCCACACCCCTGAACTCAGACCCCACGGGCCAGTGGGGACCCTCCCTTCCTCTCCAGGGGTGCTTGGGCTCCAATCGCTGCTTGAGGAGTTCAGGACACACACACACACCCAACGGGCCCTTTCTGGGTTATCGCACCTAAAAAAATACTTTGTTTAAAAAAAAAATCTGAAAATTAAAGAAAAAAAAAACACAACGCCAGTGAGTTTGGGCTGATGCACCACAACCTGTAAACTTTCAGACACAGAAAACAGGACAGGAACCAGCTGCCGAGGCCGAGGCGGGCCTTGCACAGAAGAGACTTGGGGGAGGGGCCGAGGCCAGGTCACCAAGACGGTGAGGGCAGAGGGGCGTGCCAGCCTCGGCCCCCACCCACGCCCTGTCCCCTGCCCACAGACCCTGACGCACACTGGAGGCTCCAAGTGACCGACACTTGACCAAGTCCATCTGGCTTCTGGCTCCCATGTACCCGAGCCCACTCTCCACTCCACCTCCTTGGGCCTCAAGTGTCCTGGGATGACAGGAGTGAGGGCTGCAGGTGTCACCGGGCCAAGGCTTGGTCAGCTCCTGACCTCGGCAGGGGAGCACCCGGGGGACTCTGGGAAGGCAGCCCCCAAAAGCAGGAGGACTTCAATCATAGGGGGCAGGGAAAGTCCAGCCTGCCCCTGGGGGAAGCCAAGTTTGCAAAAAACGCAGGAGCTTCGGAAGGTGGCTTTCACGGGGGACGCTGCTTCTGCCTCAGGCGTGTATGAGAGGGCCCTGCAGACGTGCTCACTCCACCCCGAGTCACCTGAGCCCATGGGGCAATGCCTTCCAAGACCTTGGCTCAAACATGGCTCTGCAGAAGCCCTACTCAGCACTGGCTTAAAGTGGCTGGAAATTTCCAATCGCAGACTGGCACTTTGGGCTCGCGTTCATGCCCGAGGACCCTGATTCTACCAGCAGCAAAAACCAAACCCAGCCCAAAGACGCCAAACATACGGACACCACCATCACCACTTTTGGCAGAGATGACTGACAAACCAAGAAGGACATTCTCAGATCTTTTCTCCTCTCCCAAACTGGTCAGCCCCAAACCCGCTCTGACTCTAGTAGCCCACCCCTCCCGGGCCCCGGGGTGCTGGCCACGGACAGCACCACCCCTTCTGGACCAGGCAGTGCAGGGGGCCCAGGCCCAAAGGAGCCCTGGCCAGGCTTTCCTGGGTGCCCGAGTCTAACCAGGCAGAGGAGAAGGGAGCCCTGGCGAGGCCTGGGAGGGAAGCAGAGAGGAAGGGACAGAGCAAGCCTGCCTGAGAGGAAGGCGCACAGGGGAGGGACCATCAGCCCTTGGGGTGGAGACACAGACCCCTGCCCTGACCGCCACAGGCCTCCAGTCCTGCTGCTCGGGACCTATCTGCTGTGGGCCAAGGAAGGTGGGCACTGCTCCCAACGAGGGCCAACCCCAGTGCTTGCCACTGCTTGTTTGGGGACGAGGGCACGGGAGTGAGCTTCTGACCCGAGCCAGGACCCTTTGCCAGGAGGCACCGCAGAGCACACAACACGCATGTGGATGAACCATAACATGTGAGCCCGCTGACAATCATCTCCACTCCAGGGTGCTCCCCACTACGCCCACGTGCAGTGTCAGGGTCGGGCTGGCCTTGCAGACCTGGATCCAGACTGGAGTGTGGGAATGCGCCAAGAGGAAGGACTTGTAGGTCCCGCCCTCCGGGGTTCAGAGACAGCCTCATTATGAGTGAGGCATATAGGGCTTAGGGAGGGCCAGGCAATCGCTCCAGTGTCTGCAACACAAGCTGGTGAATCCTGACCCAGCCCTGGCCCCCTCAGTCCCAGGCAGGCCCTCTCCAAGGAGCTGAGCCCCAGCCCGTGTGCACCTCCACCCCAGGCCCAGCTGGGTTTTTCACGCAGCCCTTTCCTAACATTCCCAGGATTCTGCACCCCAAGGCACCTTCCCTGGGAAGGTCCCAGTACAAGACTCAGAAACGCCTTCCAGGTCGACCTGGGGCCAGGAGAAGGATCACACACAAACAGGCCTAGGGAGGGCCTGACCTGCTCCCCATCTCCGTCCCCAACTTGGAGGGGCAGGGTCCGGGGGAGTGGGTGGGATTCCAACAACCCACATGTGGGAAGATGGTTTTGGGATGTCAGGGCGCTCCTGGCAGGAAACAAGGCAGCAAGCCCTTGGTGCTGCGGCTGGGAGGGGTCTGCAGAGGGCACTGGGTCCAGTCCCCCTCCAGGCAGAACTCTCCCCACGCCTTCCAAGAGTGCAGCCTCAGGCAAAAAGCCCCCGGGAAGGCCTTTCCAGGGACAGGGGAATGGGACAAGTCCAGGCCCCCAGGGGCAGCCCGGTTCCACCTCCGGAGGTGGGCAGGGTAGGCATCCCAGGGCACAGGGCAGGGCCAGGGTCTCCTGGGCCAGCTCAGGGCCCATGACCCTCCTTGCTGGGGCGCAGCTATCACTGCCCTTAACCACACCTCTGGCAGAAGGCAAACCCAACGCAGCAGTGGCTCCGAGGCAAGTGCTGCCCCCCCCCCAGCCCACCCTCCCTGGGATCATACGCTTCTGCCTGCTGTGAAGAGCCGGGGCCACAGGCCCCCCACTGGTAACAGAGTCCAGGGCCTTCAAGATGCGCTGGGCCGGGGACAGACACCTGCTGGCAGAGGATCCACCTCCCCACAAGGAGAGAGCAAACACCTGGCGGCCTCCAGCCTTGGCAGGAAGGAGGGGAAATGTCAGCCAGGGTCTCACCATAGGGCTGGACAGCGGCTCCCCAAACCTGCCCTGTCTGGTGCTGGGAGGCTCCAAGCGGGCAGGGGGCCAAATCAGAAGGGGCTGTCACACAGGTGCAGACAGGTCAGGTAGGGGACACTGAGGGCTCCTAGGGCACCGGGCGCCATGTCCTCCCCAGCTGGGCTGAGTCCACAGGGCAGTGCCAGGACTACCTTGGGTCTGGAACCCATCGGTAAAGAGACATCAGTGCTGCAGGTTCGAATCTTCCATACGTCATCCAACTTTTATCAAGACAAACGTGTTCAAGTCTTCAATAGGAAAGTGCAAAAGATGTACAAATAAATGAAATCTCTTCTAAGAAGTCGTCTGGAAAAGGTGGCGAGGGGGCACGTCCGGCGTGGTTGTGGGGGCAACGCTGTGTGGAAGAACACTTGAATTATGATGAGGTGGCACTTCTGGGCTCTGGCCCAGCTGAGCTGGGCCTCGTCCTCCATGTGATGGCATTACTAGGTTTCCCTTTTTGTCCCAAGGTGGCGCTGGCTCCTAAAAAGGTGGCAGCTTTTCTCTCCCATGTGGGTCGGGCAGGTGGCCCGGCAGGCGTGGCTGCAAAACGCAAATCAGTGGGTTAAGCAGGTGGGCAGTTATAGGGGGCATCAGGGTGGCACCCAACAGCCTGTAGCTGCTTCTCCACCTATCACAACCAACTATGATCGGGGTGCCCCCCAGCCATGACCTCCCAGCCACAGGCTGCCGGGCCAGGCCATGAGCTACACCCAGAGTGCCGAGAGCACCCAGGAAGCAGCAGTGGGCAGGGGCAGCCAGCCAGGAAGCCCCTCTGGAGCCTCCTCCAGCAAGACACGGTTCCCACAGGGACAGACACAGCGTAGTGGAGGCTGGTGGCCCCAGAGAAGACCAGAATGAACTGGCAGTTTCTCTGAAATAAGCCCCCTCTCCTGGCCAATAGCCCCCACAAAACCCTCAGCCACCCTCCTGGTCCTGGGCAGGAAGTGAGGGTGTAAGACAAGATGTGATGTCTGCCACCAGCAGGACAGCAGGGGCAGGACAGGGCTCCAGGCGGGGGCAGCAGTCTCTGACTTCCGCTGGGAACATGTGTGCAAATGAGAACACATGTGCACACACAGGAGCTCACCCAAGTCCACCGACCCCTTCATGTCCTGCCACCCCAGCCTCCCAGTGGACAGACACGCTGGCCACAAGGTGGTCCCAGGGCCAAGGGGGCAAGGTAGAGGGGCTCCAGGCAGGTGGGTGGCTCTCAAAGCCGCCGGAGGCAGTAAAAGCTCCAGGACTTAGGGACGGGAGTCAAGTGCAGGGGCAGGGCTGACTGTGGCCAGGCCTGGTTTGCCAGCAATGGGGTGGCGGGGAGGAACACAGCACCCAGCAGCCCTCACCTCAGCTGGAAATGAGCGCTGCAACACAGGGAAGTCTCGAGGACGGCTAGATATCTGTCAAAAAAAGAGGAGAGCCGGGCTTGCCTGACGTTGGCAGCAGCAGGCAGGCCGGGCCCGGCGGGCACCCGTGTGCATGCTGCCCGGAGCGGACGGGCACCTACCGGTCACATAGGGCCCCAGGGGCATCTGGTTGTAGTTGACAATCCCTCCCGGTCCAGGGCCCCGGAAGTTGGGCCCAAAGTTGTTGCTGTACATCTGGGAGGAGCCGAAAGCGCCCTGGAGGCAAGGACTCAGCTTCACAGGTGGTCTCAGGCCCCCCACCCAGCCTCCACCCAGGGGCACGCCAGGGGGCTCGGGCCGGGGCACACAGGCCGAGCCTGACCTGCTGGATGGTGGGGTCCCCGGCGCGGTTGGTCAGGCGGCTCAGGATGCTGCGCTCCGACATCTGCAGCCGGGCGGCCACCGGGGGGATGCGGGACAGCATGGATGGCAGCCGGGTCACGTCGGCCTTCATGTCGCTCAGCAGCTCCTCCAGCTGGTTCAGGACTGTGGTGGGAGGCGGAGGGATGGTAGGATGCAGGGATGGAGGGGTGGAGGGATGGAGGAGTGGAAGGATGGAGGGATGGAGGGGTGGAGGGGTGGAGGGGTGGAGCAGTGGAAGGATGGAGGGATGGAAGGATGGAGGGATGGAGGGGTGGAGGGGTGGAGGGATGGAGGAGAGGAGGGGTGGAGGGGTGGAAGGATGGAGGGGTGGAAGGATGGAGGGATGATGGAGGGATGATGGAGGGATAATGGAGGGAAGATGGAGGGATGGAGGAATGATGGAGCGATGGAAGGATGATGGAGGGGTGGAAGGACGGACGAATGGAGGGGTGGAAGGACGGAGGGATGGAGGGATAATGTAGGGATAATGGAGCGAAGATGGAGGGATGGAGGGAAGGTGGAGGGATGGGGGAAGATGGAGGGATGGAGGGATGATGGAGGGATGGAGGGATGATGGAGGGATGGAGGGATAATGAAGGGATGATGGAGAGATGGAGGGATGATGGTGGGATGGCGGAGTGGAGAGATGGAGGGATGATGAAAGGATGATGGTTGGATGTTGGAGGGATGGAGGGATAATGAAGGAATGATGGAGAGATGGAGGGATGATGGAGGAATGGAGGGGTGGAGAAATGGAGGGATGGAGGGATGATGGAGGAATGAAGGGATGAGGGAGGGATAATGGAGGGATGGAGGGATGATGAAGGGATGATGGATAGATGGAGGGACGATGGAGGGATGGAGCGGTGGAGAGATGGAGGGATGGAGGGATAATGAAGGGATGATGGAGAGATAAAGGGATGTAGGGATGATGAAGGGATGATGGATAGATAAAGGGATATAGGGATGAAGCGATGATGGAGGGATGAAGGGATGATGGAAAAATGAAGGGATGATGGAGGGATAATATAGGGATGGAGGGATGATGGAGAGATGGAGGGATGATGGAGGGATGAGGGATGATGGATGATGGAGAGATGGAGGGATGATGGAGGGATGGAGGGATGATGGAAGAATGAAGGGATGATGGAGGAATAATGGAGGGATGGAGGGATGATGAAGGATAATGGAGAGATGGAGGGATGGAGGGATGATGGAGGGATGGAGGGGTGGAAGGATGGAGAGATGGAGGGATAATGGAAGATGGAAGGATGGAAGGAAGGTGGAGGGACGGGATGATGGAGGGATGGAAGGATGGAGGGATGATGGAGAGATGGGGGATGGAGGGATGAAGGGACGGTGGAGGGATGGGTGATGGAGGGGTGAAGGGATGGAGGGATGGAGGGATGGAGGGATGATGGAGAGATGGAGGGATGATGGAGGGATGGTGGAGACATGGAGGCATAGAGGGATGATGGAGGGATGGAGGAATGATGGAGGGGTGGAAAGATGGAGGGATGATGGAGGGTTGGAGGGGTGGAGAGATGGAGGGATGATGGAGAGATGGACGGGTGGAAGGATGGAGGGATGGAGAGATGACGGAAGGATGATAGAGGGATGGAGTGATGATGGAGAGATGATAGAGGGAAGATGGAGAGACGGAGGGATGAAGGGATGAAGGTATGATGAAGGGATAATGGAGGGATGGAGGAATGGAAGGACGAAGGGATGATGGAGGGATGGACGGGTAGAGAGATGGAGAGATGGAAGGATGGAGAGATGATGGAGAGATGGGGGATGGGGGTGGAAGGATGGAGGGAGAATGGAAGGATGATGGAGGGATGAAGCAATGATGGAGATGATGAAGGGATGACGGAGAGATGGAAGGATGAAGGGATGGAGGTATGATGAAGGGATAATGGAGGGATGGAGGGGTGGAAGGATGGAGGGATGAAGGATGACAGAGGGATGAGGGATGGAGTGGAAGGACAGAGGCATGGAGGGATAATGGAAGGATGGAAGGATGGAGGGGTGGAAGGATGGAGGAATGGAGGGATGATGAAGGGAAGGAGGGATGATGGAGAGACAGAGGGATGGAGGGTTGGAGGCATGGAAGAATTATGGAGGGATGGAAGGATGGAGGTGTGGAAGGATGGAGGGATAAGGGATGAGGGATTGAGGGGTGAAAGAATAGAGGGATGGAGGGGTGGAAGGACGGAGGCATGGAGGGATGATGGAGGGGTGGAAGGATGGAGGCATGGAGGGATGGAGGGATGAAGGGCTGTGCCAGGGGAGGTAGCCCGAGAGCTGGGGCTTATTTGCAAGGGTGTATGACTGCACTTGCCCAGAACCGGGCACCAGGGGGTGCCCTGCACCAGGCCCTCCCAAGCTGCAGGCAGCACTGCCAAGTGGGGACACAGCAGGAGCTTCCAAAGAACTCCTCCCAGGAGCCCCTCTGGGCTGGGCAAGGGCCCACGGGCTGCAGACGAGCCAGCCAGAAGCGCTGCCTGACGCTGGGCTTCCCTCCTAAGAGTTCTCAGGGAGACCTGCAGCCCCAGGCCCTACTGGGCACAGGATCAGAGTACACCAGGGAGGGCTGCAGGGCACAGGGAGGGGTCCAGCAACTCTCACCACAGGGCCACCCCTCCCCCAACCAGCCGGGAGCCCCGAGGGCAGAAGTGTGCCCTGTGACCACAGGCAGAGATGTGCAGCCAGCACCAAAGCTCTGAATCCTGGGAGATCTTGGGCAAACTACTTCCCTTCCCACACGGGGCCAAGGAGAAGGCTCCAGGCTGATGGGTATTGCCCGGGCTAAAGACACAGTGCATTTAAGTCACGCTGTCAGGACTCAGAAGCCTTTACAGTTTCGTGGTTTTCTGTGTCACTAGCCCGGGCCGGGGCCCGCACAGAGCAGGCTTGAGAAACAGGCTGGAGAAGCAAGCAGCCTCAGTTTCCCTGCAGGGGAGATAAGGGGTCTGATGACAGGACTGTTCCATCTTGGCCCAGAAGTCCACCGCCCTCTGGGCTGACATCTGTCCCCAGCCCCTACCCCATCAGTGCCCTCATCTACAGCCAAGAGCGCTCGCTGGGCAGGAGGAAGGGCGGGGGGCTGCACCGTGGGGGGCAGGACTTGCTCACCCTTGTGCAGGACGGCATTGGCAGGCTTGTTCCCAGCAAGGGACTCCTTGGACAGGTGCTGGTGGCTCTCGGCGAGGCACTCCACTTCAGCCAGGCGGGCGTTGAGGGCCATGGCGGGGTGGTTGGGGTCCTGCGTCATGTTCAGGTACGCGGCCCTCCGGAGCTGCTCCTCAATGACCAACGCCTGCTCCAGCAGCTGGGGGCGGGGCGCAGCGTCGGCCCGGCCCCTCCCGCTGAATGGCTACCCTCCGTGCTCCACCAGCGCCCACCCCAGGCCAAGGCTCCCGGCAGAAAGGAGGGAAAGAGGACGTACTGCCATCTGCTGCCCACCCTGGCCTGGTGGTGGCCAACCCTTGGAGCTGTCACCAAGCTGGGTTCTCTGTACCCCAACACCCCAAGGCGGCAGATACTTCCCAGTGGGGCCAGGGCCAGAGCAAGGATCCACCACTGTTAGTTGATGGACATACTGCTGCTTCGTGGCAGCGTGACCCAGGTACACGGGGAGGGGTTGCTGCTCTCTAATTCCTTTGCCTTTGCGAGGGTCCTCCTGACACCGTCCCTCCCTGCCCCGTGCAGCCCTGGCCCTTCAGAAGACAGACCTTAAACCTGCGGGCCAGGAACTTGTTCTTCATCTCCAGGTAGTTGCCCTTGTGGACCTCAGACTTGAAGGGCTCGTTGAGGATCATGTACCGTGGGTCATTCTGGATGTCCTGCCAGCGGGCGTAGCCGTGCCTGGGTGGGGCACCATTAAGGGCAAACCTGGCCGTTAGAAGTGGTGGGGCCGTAGGGGGAGGCAGCTCAGGGAGGGGGAGGGGCCAGCCCGGGGGTCGGCATTCTGGCTGTACGCTCTCAGGCAAGTCCTTAAGCCCAGCTGCACGAGGAACATATTGATGACACAACAGTGACAGTATCAGCAGACACTGACAGGTGCCCTGGGTGCACCAGACACAGCCCCGGGGCTTCAGAGGGTTAACTCTTCACCCCAACAACCTGGGGTGCATACGTTTAAGTCTTGCCCCCAGTGCCTGTGAATGGGAACCTTTTTCGGAAATAGAGTATTTGCAGATGTAATGAAGTTAAGAAAGGGTCATGCTGGACTAGGGTGGGCCCTAAACTCAATGACTGGGATGCTTGTAAGAAGAGGAAAATTTGGGGCCAGGCATGGTGGCTCGCGCCTGTAATCCCAGCATTTTGGGAGGCCAAGGTGGGCAGATCACTTGAGGCCAGGAGCTCGAGACCAGCCTGGCCAACAAGGCGAAACCCCGTCTCTACTAAAATTACAAAAACTAGCTGGGAGTGGTGGTGCATGCCTGTAGTCCCAGCTACTCAGGAGGCTGAGGCAGAAGAATCACTTGAACCCAGGAGGCAGAGGTTGCAGTGAGCTGAGATCGCACCACTGCACTTCAGCCTAGGCCACAGAGCGAGACTCCATCTCAAAAAAAAAAGAAAAAGAAAAAGGCCGGGTGTGGTGGCTGACGCCTGTAATCTCAGCACTTTGGGAGGCCAAGGTGGGTGGATCACTTGAGGTCAGGAGTTCGAGACCAGCCTAGCCAACATGGTGAAACCCCGTCTCTACTAAAAATACAAAAATTAGCCAGGTGTGGTGGGGCACACCTGTAATCCCAGCTACTCAGGAGGCTGAGGCAGGAGAATCGCTTGAACCCGGGAGGCAGCAGTTGCAGTGAGCCGAGATCAAGCTGCTACACTCCAGCCTGGGTGACAGAGTGAAACTCTATCTCAAAAAAAAAAAAAAAAAGAGAGAGCAATGTGGACCCAGACAGAGACACATAAGGAAGAAGCCGGGATGACAGCGGCGGGGAGCGGGCGACACAGCAATGCCGAGGATTTCTAGCCACCGCCAGAAGTGAGGAAGATTGAGGAAGAACGAGGAAGGCTTCCCCCGGAGCTCTCAGAGGGCTCTCCCCGAGGTCCACGGAGGAACGGGCAAGTCCCTGCCCAGCCCGGCCTGGCCAAGGATACGTCACGATGCCCGCCAGCAGCCAGTAGTCATGGCGCCGGTGCCAGATGTCGTAGATTTTCCCAGAGGATACAGCAGCCCGCTCCTCGTTCTGCCACAGCGTGTGCAACTCTGGGAAACAAGCCAAGGTGAGCAGGGTGAGAAGTGCCCCAGCTCTCACGCACAGGCAGGCTTGGAGAGCCGCTCCCTCCCTACTTGCCACTGCCTCCACCCCCAGAGGTCCAGTGTTCCAGGGTGGCTAAGAAAGGTTATACGATGGACTTCCATCAACCAGTCACACTCTAGTATAAAGTTAACCACTGGTCTAGACTCCTGGGACCCACAGTCAGGAAGCCTCAGCTCTCTGCCCAACCCCCAACCCCAATACCCGTGAAGCCCCCGTCCGCGATGTTGAACATGAACTTGAATTTCCCCTTCTTGTCCTCCTTCTTCCCCTCGTCATCTTCCTCTTTGTCACCATTTTGCTGTGTTTCAATGGGCTCCTTCTCCTCAGCCTTGGTGTCATCTGCCGGGGACAGATCACATTCATTCATCCATCCATCCAAAAAGCAGTGCCCAGCGGCCTCTCTCTGCCAAGCACGGGGGACCCAGGAGGCAAGTAGAAAACATCCTCTTGTCCTCAGGGGACTCGCTGCCCAGAAGGGTCTTAAACAAGCCAACGGCCTCTCTCTCTGTCCTGGGCAGGGAGGCTTAGCTCCAGGTCCTAGTGCTCCTCCCCGACCACATCAGGACCACCCAGGAGTAGGACAGGAGAGCGCTGTGAAAAGTACAGTTCAAGTTCAAAGACAGAGCTGCCTGAGGGGGCTGATCTGAGGACAACTGTTCCAGAACATTCCAGGGCCTAGAGGTATGCAAAGCTTCCAGCTGAGCCCCAAATCCCCCAGGCCAGGCTCTATGACCAGCTCTCCTCTCTCTTAGCGGCAAGGGCACAGCAGGGCTCAGGAGAGAGTAGGGGAGAGGCTGTCCCCGGCATTGGCTGTGAGGGGCTGGTGAATCCAGGCTCCCACCTGCCAGCTCCAATCAGGCCTGGGGCCAAGGGGACGGCGCCTGGGAGACTGTGGGAGGCTGAACAGGGTCCAGAGGGCACCCTCAAGGGACCATGGGGCACAGGTAGAGAACACAGAAGAGCCCCAGACCTGGCCTGAGTTCGGAACTGTCCCCTCTGCTGTGGATCAAGCTCAGCTCCAGCTTGTCCAGGATCTTCTCCTTCTCAGGAAGCACCTCCTCTGCAAGAAAAAGAGGGTTCGCGGCATGGGGTGGGGTCCCAGAAAACACAGAGGACTCTGGGCTCGTGGCTTTCCACCCATGGAACCCTATCCATCAATATGTTCCGCAGAGTCCAACAGGTGCCACCAAAAAGAGCTCTCCTCGGCCAGGTGCAGTGGCCCATGCTGTAATCCCAGTATTTTGGGAGGCCGAGGCAGGAGGATCACTTCAGACCAGGAGTTCAAGACCAGCCTGGCAACATAGTGAAATCTCATCTCTACAAAAAATACAACAACTTAGCTGGGCTTGGCGCCATGCGCCTGTGGTCCCACCTGTTCAGGAAGCTGAGGTGGGAGGGTCGCTTGAGCCGAGGAGATAAAGGCTCCCATGAGCCGAGATGGCGCCACTGCACTCCAGCCTGAGTGACAGAGCAAGACGCTGTTTCAAAAAAAAACAGCACACAGAAGATGAGTTCCCAAGAAGAGAAGGAAATCACCGGGTGCCAGGAAGGAAGGGGAAACTGAAGGTGAGGAAGCAGGAGCTGGTGTCCAGGGGCCCCAGGTTGGGGTGATGAGACACCAGGAAGAAGCCTGGAGAGCTTGGAACTTGGAGCTGTGTCTCAGCACCCAGGCAGGACAGGGGAGGCCTCAAGCCCAAAAGATGCAGAGAACTGGAATGATGCCAACACGGTCCAACACCGTGGTCTCTGAAGGAAAGTTCTCACCACTGGCCACGGGAGTGAGATGGCCTGTCTCCACCACAGGATCAAGGAAAAGAAGGTCTCCAGTGAGGAACCCACACCCAACGCCTTGTCCTCGTGGGTGTGGGATATGAACTGGACCACCCAAGGCAGAGACAGCATCATAAAGCTGCTCCCAGAGGGACACCGCCCATGAAACCTCCCGGCCTGAGCCTCCAGAAACAAAAGGGGAGGGATGCTCCCACTCCCCAGAGGACACGGAGCTCCTGCAGATAAAAACCACAATCCAGGCCGGGCGCGGTGGCTCACGCCTGTAATCCTAGCACTTTGGGAGGCCGAGGCCGGAGGATCACAAGGTCAGGAGTTCGAGACCAGCCTGACCAATATGGTGAAACCCCGTCTCTACCAAAAATATTTTTTAAAAATTAGCCAGGTGTGGTGGCACGTGCCTGTAATCCTAGCTACTCGGGAGGTTGAGGCAGGAGAATCGCTTGAACCCGGGAGGCAGAGGTTGCAGTGAGCCGAGATCACGCCACTGCACTCCAGCCTGGGTGACAGAGTGAGACTCCGTCTCAAAAAAAAAAAAAATCACAATTCCTGATGAGGATGCACCCAATCTAAACCCAGAAAACAATGATCCCCCACCAGCCGACGCACAGGAAGCAGACAAGCGCCTGGGGCTAACAGGACAATGTCAGAGACTCTCAAACAGAGGTGTCCAATCTTTCGGCTTCCCTGGGCCACACTGGAAGAAGAACCGTCTTGGGCCACACATAAAATACACTAAACACTGATGACAGCTGATGAGCTTATATATATATACACATAAACACACACACACACATTTTTTTGTGATATATATATATATCACAAAAAAAATCTCATAATGTTTTAAGAAAGTTTATGAATTCGTGTTGGGCCACATTCAAAGCCATCCTGGGCCACATTTGTCCCACGGACCACACAGGTTGAAAAAGCTTGCTCTAAAATAAATATGTCTAGGGTGACCAAAGACAGAGAAAAAAGAAAAAGAAGGAAGAGAATCCACAGGGAAAGAATAAGACTCCCTCAAAACTAGAAAAAAAACATAAAATTTCTAGAAATGTGGGTGGATCACTTGAGGTCAGGAGTTTGAGACCAGCCTGACCAACATGGTGAAATCCTGTCTCTACTAAAAATACAAAAATTAGGCAGGTGTGGTGGCAGGCACCTGTAATCCCAGCTACTCAGGAGGCTGAGGCAGGAGAATCACTTGAACCCGGGAAGCAGAGGCTACAGTGAGCCGAGATTGCACCACTGCACTCCAGCCTGGGCGACAGAGCGAGACTCCATCTCAAAAAAAAAAAAGGGGGGGGCAGGCGCGGTGGCTCACGCCTGTAATCCCAGCACTTTGGGAGGCCGAGGCGGGCAGATCACGAGATCAGGAGATCGAGACCATCCTGGCTAACACAGTGAAACCCTGTCTCTACTAAAAATACAAAAAATTAGCCAGACTTCGTTAGCCGGGCGTGGTGGCGGGTGCCTGTAGTCCCAGCTACTTGGGAGGCTGAGGTGGGAGAGAGACTCTGTCTCAAAAAAAAAAAAAAGAAAGGAAACACACAATCATTAACATTTTAATTGCAGAATTTAATTGCAGAATTCCAACATGGGCTCCAAGACTTCCGGCCCTTGGTGTCCACGCCCTGCAAGATCCCCTGGAAGGTGAAGAGGACAAACTCGACTCCCCAGAGCAGGTTCCGTTTTGCGGCACGGGTGACCTTAAAACAGGGAGATGACCTGAGTAGGCCTAACCTGACCACACGAGCCCTTTTCTCTGGCTGGTCACAGAAAAGGAAGTCAAGGATGCGAAGCACGGGAGGGTTTCTGTTCACCACTGCTGGCTTGAAGACACACGAGGCTACATGGCAGGAATGTGGTGGCTTCCAGGTGCTGAAAACGGACCCAGCTGACAGCCAGCAAGGAAATGGGACCTCAGTCCTCCAGCCTCAAGGAACTGAATTCTGCCAACAACAAGGAGTGAGCATGGATGTGGACTTTTCCCCAGGGCCTCCAGATGAGAACTCAACCCACTCGATACTTTGATGTCCTGAACCTTGTGATATCCTGAGCAGAACACCCAGCTACACCACGCCAGGCATCAGACCCACACAACTGTGAGCTCATGGTGAGTGCTGTTTTAAGCCACTAAGTTTGCAGTAATTTGTGACACAGCCATGCAAAATAATACAACTGGGAAGGTTTTAAAAAACAGCTGTGCAAAGAAAATATACATGGAAGCTGGATCTGAAGATTACTCAAAAAGCCTGGCAGAGAAATAGATAACAAAAAAGAAGCAAAAGATATGAAAACTTATCAGCCCCCATCTTTTGCTAACCTTGTACTCTGCTTTCTTCTTTAGAGCATTTGGAGTCTGTGGTTGAACAACACGTATTTCTGTTTATTGTGGATTGCCTGTGTTCCCCAGTGGAATACAAACTCCACGGAATGAAGCTTTCAGCTGTTTTGGTTCATTGCTTGTGTCCTCAGTGCCTGGGACAGCATCTGACACTCAGCAGGCTCAAAATATATATATATATGCATGTGTGTATATATATGTTTGTTGGATGAATGAACCAATCAATGAGTAATAGGAATTCCAGAAGGACAAAATAAACATAATGAGGGCAAAGAAAATATTCAAAGAGAGAATGACTGAGAATTTTCCCACAATTGATGCAGGACATAAATATTCAGCTTTAAGAATCACAGTGAGTCACACACAAGATAAACAAAAACTTCACTCTAAAAACAAAACAAAAAATACCCTCCATTGTAGTGAAGCTACATATCACCAAAGACAAAGAGAATGTCTTCAAAGCAGTCTTTCAATGTGAGAAAAGATAGAAATGACAAACTTCCTAGACAGGAGCAGCAATTACACCAACAGCAGCCTTCTCAGCTTCTCAGCAGCCTTCTCAGCATAATGAATGCCAAATAAAAAAAGGAAGAATATCTGCAAAGTGCTGAGGGAAGATCCCTATCCCATCTTCAATTGTACTAACTATTCAAGAGTAAAAGAAAAATAACAATGAGAGAATTTACCATTCCCAAAAAAATTGCTGAAAGCACCATTAAAGGTGTACTTTAGGAAGGACTTTGAATGAAGCAATGATGAACAAATAGGCAAACACAAACTGGTAAGAATGTGAGAAGATCTAAAAAAGGATTAAAAATTTAGAAATAAGCATAACAACAAATTTGGGAAAGTAAAAACAAACTGAAACTAAAATACTGGGCAACAGCATCGTGGCAGATGAAAGGGAAGTGAGTTAGAGCTAAAGCTATCTAAAGTCCTCATATTACTCAGGGGTATACATGTTAAAAATGTTAAGAGTACAGAATGAAATTGACTATAAACCTTCCAAATGAGTTGAGGGGGAAAAGAGGAGATATAAAGAAAATTTGATCAATCCAAGAGATGGCAGGAAAAGAGAAAAAAGGAGAAAAGAGAAGGGTAATATATAAAGTACAAAATAAGATAACAGAATTCCATCCACATATCTAGTTATTACAACAAATGTAAAGAGATTAAACTTGCCAGCTAAAAGATAGGGACCCTATAATTAGATTTTAAATGATGAATCCCCTATACACCGTCTACAAAAGATAGACCTAAAACATTACAAAGAGATTAAAAGTGAAGAAATGAAAGAAAATATTTGTAAATCATATATCTGATGAGGAACATGCATCTATATAAAGAACTCATACAAGCCAGGCACAGTGGTACACGCCTGTGATCCTAGCTACTCAAAAGTCTAATACTAGAGAATTACTTGGGCCCAGGACTTCAAAGCCCTCCTGGACAACATAGTAAGGCCCTGTCTCTAAAAGTATTGATTAATTAATTTAAAAAGAACTCTTACAATTCAATAATTTAAAAAAATCCAATTTTAAAGTAGACAAAGGATCTGAAAGGACATTTCTTCAACAAATTATACACAAATAAGCCATAATCACATGAAAAAATATTCAACATCTTTATGCACAAAGTAAACTCAAATCAAAATGACAATGAGATACCACTTCTCACCCACTAGGGTGACTATAATCAAAAAGACAGATAATAACAGGTATTGGCAAGTATGTGAAGAAACTGGAACCCTCACACATGCTGGTAAGAATGTGAACTGATGCAATACACATGGAAAACAATTCAGCAGTTTCTCAAAATGGTACAGAGAATTACCATATGATCCAGCAGTTCTACTCCTAGATATATACCCAAAAGAACTGAAAACCTAGACTCACACAAAAAAATGTGTACACAAATGTGTACAGTAGCCAAAAAGTGGAAACAACTCAAATGTGTATCACTATGAATGGATAAACAAAACAAAACATAGTAGATCCATACAATGGAATATTATTTGGGCATAAAAAGAAATGAAGTACTGCCTGTAATCCCAGCACTTTGGGAGGTCAAGGTGGGAGGATTGCTTGAGTCCAGGGGTTCAAGACCAGCCTGGGCAACATGGCAAAACCCCGTCTCTACAAAGAATACAAAAATTAGCCGGGCGTGTTAGCATGTGCACCTGTAGTCCCAGCTACTTGGGAGGCTGAGGTGGAAAGATCGCTTGCACCCAGGGGGTCAAGGCTGTAGTTAAGCCAAGATCATGCCACTGCACTCCAGCCTGGGTGATAGAGCAAGACCCTGTCTCAAAAAAAAAAAAAAAAAAAAAGGAATGAAGTACTAATATATTCCACAACATAGATGAACTTTAAAAACACTATGCTAAGTGAAAGAAGACACACAAAGGGCCAAAGTACTGCATTATTCCATTGGTATGAAATGTTCAGAATAGGCCAGTCCATAGGACAGAAGTGATTGCCAGGGGCTGGGAGGAAGAGGAAGAAATGGGGAGTGATTACCAATGGGTAAGAAGAATTTATTTTTGAAGTGATTAAATGTTCTGGAATTAGATAATGGTGATGGTTGCACAACTCTGGATGTACTAAAAATAACAAATGGTATACTTCATTACTTTTTTTTTTTTGAGACAGAATTTCGATCTTGTTGCCCAGGCTGGAGTGCAGTGGTGCCATCTCGGCTCACTGCGACCTCTGCCTCCTAGGTTCAAGTGATTCTCCTGCCTCAGCCTCCTGAGTAGCTGGGATTACAGGTGCCCACCACCACGCCCAGCTGATTTTTGTATTTTTAGTAGAGACAGGGTTTCACCATGTCGGCCAGGCTGGTCTCAAACTCCTGACCTCAGGTGATCCACCCACCTCAGCCTCCCAGAGTTCTGGGATTACAGGTGTGAGCTACCATGCCCGACCTGAATGGTATACTTTAAATGGCTCAACTGTATGATATGTTAACTATATCACCATAAAGCTGTTATCTTAAAAAAAAAAAAAGGAATAGAAAAAGGCGTAACAAATATATACTAAACAAAAGAAAGAGCAACCCAAATCAGCAAAAATAAACTTTTTTTTTCTTTTTTGAGACGGAATCTCGCTCTGTCACCCAGGCTGGAGTGCAGTGGTGCGACCTCAGCCTCCCAAGTAGCTGGGACTACTGGCGCTCGCCACCATGCCCGGCTAACTTTTTTGTATTTTTAGTAGAGACGGGTTTCACCATGTTCGACAGGATAGTCTTGAACTCCTGACCTTGTGATCTGCCCACCTCGGCCTCCCAAAGTGCTGGGATTACTGGCATGAGCCACCGCACCTGGCCCAAAAATAAACTTTTAAGCAAAAACTTTAAAGAGGGATAAGAGGGTTATTACACAATAATTAGAAGCACACTTCACAAGAAAAATATTAAAAACCTGAACAAATATGCACCTGACAACCCAGTCTCAAATGATATGAAGCAAAATCTGGCATTATAAGAAAGAGATTAATCCATAATCATAATGAGAGATTTTAACACAAGTCTCTCAGAAACTGACTGATCAAAGCAAACCAAATACTAGTAAAGATATTAAAAACTTGAACAATATAATTAGCATGCATTATCTACTGACCTAATGCGCATATATATATACGTGTGTGTATATATACGTACATATATAGGTACATATGTACGTACATACGTGCGTACATACGTACATATGTGCGTATATACGTACGTATGTACGTACATATATACGTATATATATACGTGTATATGTATATATGTGTGTATTATATATATATATATTTTTTTTTTTTCTGAGATTGAGTCCCTCTCTGTTGCCCAGGCTGGAGTGCAGTGACACGATCTCCACTCACTGCAACCTCTGCCTCCCAGGTTCAAGCAATTCTCCTGCCTCAGTCTCCTGAGTAGCTGGGACTACAGGTGCATGCCACCACACCCAACTAATTTTTGTATTTTTAATAGAGACTGGGTTTCGCCATGTTGGCCAGGCTGGCCTTGAACTCCTGACCTCAGGTAATTCACCTGCCTCAGCCTCCCAAAGTGCTGGGATTACAGGTGTGAGCCACCATGCCCAGCCCTAATGCATATAGTTAGAACCTTAAACCCAGCAATTAGGGAACAGACATTTTCTTCAAGCACACATACATCATTTACAAAATCTGACCGTATCAGGCCAGAGAGCAGGTTTCAACAACCTCATATAGACTCATGTTTTCAGACCACAATGCAATTGAGTCAGAAATCACTAATAAAAAAGTAGCCCAATCACCCCCAATCTCTGTATGGTAAGAAAAGTTAAAGACCAACGGGCAAGGTGGCTCATGCCTGCAATCCCAACACTGTGGGAGGCCGAGGTGGGTGGATCACTTGAGGTCAGGAGGTCGAGACCAGCCCAGCCAACAGTCTCTACTAAAAATTAAAAAAAAAAAAAAAAAAATGGCCGGGCGCAGTGGCTCACACCTGTAATCCCAGCACTTTGGGAGGCCGAGGCAGGCGGATCACGAGGTCAAGAGATCGAGACCAGCCTGGCCAACATGGCAAAACCCAGTCTCTATTAAAAATACAAAAATTAGTTGGGTGTGGTGGTATGCACCTATAGTCCCAGCTACAAGAGATCGAGACCATCCTGACCAACATGATGAAATCTCGTCTCTACTAAAAATACAAAAATTAGCTGGGTGTGGTGGTACACGCCTGTAGTCCCAGCTACTAGGGAGACTGAGGCACAAGAATCACTTGAACCCGGGAGGCGGATGTTGCAGTGATCCGAGATGGTACCACTGCATTCCAGCCTGGGTGACAGAGCGAAACCCTTTCTCCAAAAAAAAAAAAAGTCCATTAAGTCCATGTATAGAGGCCTGAGCTCCTGGCCTCCCCTCACCAGGGGGCCTGCAGAGGGTTGGAGTCTACCTCTCTGCCAGGGAGAAATGAGCGGAAGTACAGCCACCTGCCCTTCTCTGAACCCAGGCCTGCTGAGGCCAGACATGGCACTGGGGTGGGTGGCCTGCAAGAAGCCCCAACCTCTCGGCAGCTGCTCCGGGGAGGGCGGGGCCTTCTCCGTCTCCTCTGGCCGCTCCTCTCGGGCTCTCTCCTTGCTGGCTGGGCTCTCGTGCTTGTCCTCACTCTCCACTCTATCCAAGGCGGCTGGAAGGGCCTGCAGAGGAAAAGCCAGGAGAACTACAAGGCCTGGGGCCTCACCAGGAACGGAGGGCGGGGAACGTGCGCTGGGCTGGGAACCCAGTCTCCTGGCTCCCGTCGCTTGCTCCTAGCCTGCTCCCCGCCGATTCAGAGCCCCGAAAAGGGAGCCAGGAGGCCTGGGTTCCACCTCGCTGTACAGGGCCTGAGAAGGTCCCCAGACCCAACCTCCACCCCACACACACCACAGGCCCAGACGCCAGCAAGTTCCACACCTGGACTTCCAGGGGCTGCCTTGGCTTCTGTGCCCCGGGGTCTTTCTCATCCATGTAGCCCAGCTGGGCTTCCATTTTGTCTGAAAGATCAAGGGAAAGAGCTGAGACAGGTGGGCTCAGACGGGAAGGAGTAGGGCAGGGAGTGGGGTGGCAGAGAGGAGAGATGGGGGCTTGGCCTTCGGGAGGCTCCACTGCAGCCAAGCACCTCCAGGAGAGACAAGCAGGATCCCCGGCTAAGTCAGAGAGGCCAGGCCAGGCCTTTGACTCAGGAGTGCTTGGAGGACCTTGAACCCAGTAAGACCAAAGTGAGGGGCTGTCAGGACGGGGCCGCACACAGCCGTGGCTGCTCATCTGGAGGCAGGGAAGTGAGGCAGATGGAGGCCCAGATTGGGAGCCACGACACCCGCTCTGGTCCCAGCTTTCGGGCGGGCTGGCTGGTGTGTGCCTCTGGACAGGGGGTGAATTTCCTCCCTGCCAAGCCAGCCGCCAACACACTGCAAAGTGCTGGTCACTTACACAGCTCTGAGAAGCCCCGGGAGGTGGGCACAGCCGGGAAAGCGGAGGCCCACAGAGGTTAGGTGACTTGCCCAAGGTTAGACAGAGTTCAGGCCAAAGCCAAGAAGCAAACCAAGATGTGTCCACCTCCAAGGGCTCCCTTGTGCTTGGAGGTGCAGCTTCTCAGGGCCTGGCCTCACCCATCACCATGGGATAGCTATGTCCGCCCCAGGCCTGTGAGGCCCAACCGACGGACCAAGTACTTAACAGGTATTTGCTTCACCCAAATAAATACCTAGATCACCAAAGTGACACGGGCACAAATGACCCAATTAAGTGTGCAAAGAATCTGAAAAGACATTTCTACAAGTCTACAAACAGCCAATACGCACACCGAACAACATTCAGCGTCCTTGGCATCAGGGAAATGCCAATCAGAACCACAGTGAGACACCACCTCATGCTCCCAGGACAGCTAGAACCATGAAGGCAGAGAACAATTACTGCTGAAGACGTGGAGAACCTGGGACTCCCGCACAATACTAGCAGGAATGTAAAATGGTACAGCTGCTTTGGAAAACAGTCTAGTAGTTTCTCAAAAGGGAAAACAGGGTTATCACACGGCCCAGCAATTCCATTCCTAGATATCTGCCCAAAAGAACTCAAAACGTATGTCCACGCAAAAACATAAAACACAGCAGCATTATTCACAGCAGCCAAAAAGTAGAAACAATCCAAAATCTATCGACAGCGCAATGGATAAGCAAAATGCAGTAAATTCATACAAGAAAACGTTATCGGCCAGGCGCGGTGGCTCACGCCTATAATCCCAGCACGTTGGGAGGCCGAGGAGGGTGGATCACCTGAGGTCAGGAATTCAAGACCAGCCTGGCCAACATGGCGAAACCCCGTCTCTACTAAAAATACAAAAATCAGCCAGGTGTGGTGGCGGGCACCTGTAATCCCAGCTACTCGGGAAGCTGAGGCAGGATCGCTTGAACCTGGGAGGCGGAGGTTGCAGTGAGCCGAGATCACTCCATCGCACTCCAGCCTGGGCAACAAGAGCGAAACTCCATCTCAAAAAAAAAAAAAGGAAGAAAGAAAGAAAAAGAAAACATTATCAGCCATAAGGCAGAATGACAGAATGACTGAAGCACTGATGCACGCTGCAATGTGGATGAACCTGGAACCCCCAGGCTGAGTGACAGAAGCCAGACAGAAAGGCCCACGCACTGTGCAGTGCCATATACACGAACCATCCAGCATTGCGAAATCCAGAAACAGGAAGCAGGTTAGTGGCTGCCCAGGCCTGGGGTGGGGGGATAAGGAGTGGCTGCTAATGGGTACAGGGTTTCTTTTTCAGGGGGAATGAAAATATTCCGGCCTTAGGCAGTGGCGATGGTTGTACACCCTACGAATATACTAGAAATCACTGAATAGTACTTTTTTTTTTTTGAGATGGAGTCTTGCTTTGTCCCCCCAGGCTGGAGTGCAGTGGTGTGATCTTGGCTCACTGCAACCTCCGCTTCCCAGGTTCAAGCGATTCTCCTGCCTCAGCCTCCCGAGCAGCCGGGATTACAGGCACGTGCCACCATGCCCGGCTAATCTTTTGTATTTTTAGTAGAGACGGGGTTTCACCATGTTGGCCAGGTTGGTCTCAAACTCCTGAGCTCAGGTGATCCTGCCGCCTCAGCCTCCTAAAGTGCTGTGATTAACAGGTGTGAGCCACCGCGCCCAGCCAGTTTTTTAAAAGAGTGAATTTTGCAGTATGTATATAAATTATATCTCGTAACTGTCATTAAAATGGAAAACTCTCTGTAGAGTGACATTTCAGCAAACAGAGGCTTTGGGGGAAGGAGAGGCCGTCTTCTGTGGGATTGTGGGTTAGACTAGGGGTTTCTGTGACCTTGCCACTTTCCATGACCCCAGTGCCCTCCCCGGCCCGCCCAGCCCACAGACCTGGCAGGCCCAGCGGGGCTGGCAGGAGGTGGGCAGGGCTGGCGGGCACTGGTGTGTTGGGGTCCGAGGAGATCACCTCGCCCGACTTCTTCCCCTCGGGCCCCTCAGGGATCAAGTCTGGGGTGCTGTACTTCCCGTTGACATGCTCAAACTCCTGAACCTGGGGTGGTGGGAGGGAAGGTGGAAGGGAAAGAGGGAGGGCAGTGGTGGCAACTCAGCCCTAAGGGCCTCAGGGCAGCCAGGGGGGCTGAAAGTGTCACAGGCTTGGGGTAGCTGCTACCTCCGCCCAAGGCTGGCCAAGCCAGGCCCCTCCTGACCACAAGCTCCCCTGCCCACCCTCCCACCCTCTGTGTGTCCTCCAACTGTATGTAACCCACCATCCTGGCCTCCACCCCACAGGCCCCTCACCCAGAAAGGCTTTCCAGGTCAGTCCCTCTGGAGTGACTCGGACCCTGGGCAGCTGTGTGGCCTGAACCAGGCACTTGTTCTCTGACCACTGACCCACAAGGGACAGCACCAGGAGCCCAGGCAGCCACCAGGAAGGGCCCTACAGAGAGTTACTCACCCACCTTCTTCCTAACTAGTGACATGACCCCGATGCGGGTCAGCACGTGCTGCCTGGAGAGGCCCTCCCGGGGCACGCCGTCTGCGAAGGTCTCTGCACCATCCGCCCCCGGCTCACACAGGTGCCGCATGAAGAGGGACACATAGGCTCTGGGGTGGGGGGGGGGGACTGGGGCTCAGGGAGTGGGGGGCCGGCAAGAACCCTCTGAGAGGGCTGGCAGGACCCCAGGGGAACTCCTGGCTGATCTTCAACCATCGCCCACCTCCTAGTCAGGCCTGGGCCAGGCCCGGGAAAGGACAGAGAGGGCCTCCCTGGCGAGGGGACCTCCTAGGACAGCCCTGGGTGACCGGGATCTTCCTCGCTGCCATAACACCAGCTGGTTTGGGCAGGGGCGGATGGTCAGTGTTTGCAAATCAGCCCTGCCCGGCACCAGGACTCTAGCCACCCAAAGTCCAAGTGGCAGTGAACTTTCCAGACGGCCTCATCCTGGCGGAAGCAAATGCTGCCCTCTGTGGGGCTCACCCGCAGGACCCTGCCCTACTCAGGGGCAGGTGGTCACACCCTGGGCCACCACCTAGCCCCTTTACCTAAACTCCTTCTCGCTCTTCCCTCGAAGGTCCCGCACCAGCCAGTGGGAGTTGAAGGCGTCCTGCGGGGGCATGCCCCAGCGCATGATGGCGTTCAGAAAGGCCTTCCGCTGTCGGGCATTGAAGCCCAGCACCTGGGCGAGTGGAGCGTGGGAGTATGAGCCCAGGACAGAGAGGGGTGGGGGTGGAGGATTCTGGGATGGGGGAAGAAAAGCATGGGAGGAGGAGAAGGTAGGAAGGGGGCACAGAGAAGGCAGGGGCCTCCACCTGGGGCAGGACCCTGACGGCGAAGACCAGACCAAGTTCTGTCCAAGCTCCGCCTCTACCTGGCATGAGACCCGGGGCAGTCCCCCAGCCCTCCTCCATACCCCAGGGGCAGCAGGAAGCAGGGGCAGAAAGAGATGCGGGAACAGACAGGCCCCACCTCGATGTTGCCACCAACTCGGGCGAGAAGCGGGGGCAGGGGCTTGTCCCTGTCACTCTTCAGCTGCCTCCGGGATTGTCGTCGTCCACCTGGGGAGCAGCCCGCCACAGTTCCTCAGGTGGGAGCCCAGAGATTCCTGATCCCCAAGGACAGCGGGACCCCAGACCAGCCCCGCTCCTGCTGCCATCAGCTCCCCTGACATGGCCTCAGCAGTAGCCCAGACCACTAACACTGAGACTCACTCTGCCCTTCCGGCCTCTCTTCAAAGTCCTCATCCTCATCCTCAGAGCCAATGGAATATTCTGACTGGTTATCAGAGAGCTCATCCTGCCACTCTGCAGGGGGCCAGACAGAGGGGCACGGAGTGAGCTGTACAAGCAAAGCCCACCCTCAAGTTCAAGCATGCCCAGGGCCACGCCGAGCCCCTGCACCCCAGCTCCATAAAAAAGCAGTGACAATGGCCCACATACTTCCTGTGGGCTCATTTAGTAATCCCAACACCACCACGTTATACACTAAGGGTACCATGTGTACCCACACATTACACATACTGTGTGCAAGGGACGTGCCCAAGGCCACGTCACGAGCAGTGGTGAAGTCACTGAACTGAGCCACACCTTGTTCCCCCAAACACCCAGCACCTCTGCACCTGCCCCCAGTCCCCTTTCCTCCAAAAAGCTGCCTCCCAGCTCCAACCAGCGCCGCCCAGCGTTCCTGGCCCCCACCTCCCGGGGGGGTCCTGCACAGGGATGCCCCAACAGAATCCTGCCCCACCCTCCACCTCTGGGTATGGGACACCCATCCCTCCTGGCACACTCGCCCAGCTCTCCCGGCCCGCACCTCCCGGGGGTTCTGCACAGGGATGCCCTGACAGAATCCTGCCCCACCCTCCGCCTCTGGGTATGGGACACCCATCCCTCCTGGCACACTCGCCCAGCTCTCCCGGCCCGCACCTCCCGGGGGTTCTGCACAGGGATGCCCTGACAGAATCCTGCCCCACCCTCCGCCTCTGGGTGAGGGGCACCAGTCCCTCCCTCCCGGCACGCACCCTGGTCCTCCTGGGAGGCATCGTTGTAGTTGACCTGCTTGCGGATGCGCTTGCCCTTGCCCAGGTTGCGGGCCAGGTCCTCCTGCTGCTGCTCATAGTGGTGCCGCAGCAGCTTCTCCCAGTAGTCGGGGTCCACGTTCTCCTCCTGCTTGATGATTTCCCGCTCCACCTCCTCCTGGGGACGCAGCACCACGGGTTCCATGGGTGGAGCCATCTCTGCCCTCCCGGAAGCCTCAGGCTGCCTCCACCTGACCTGCCCTTTGCCCCCTCAGGGCTCAAGGATTAATGGGATGGCCTGCCTACTCCAGGAAGCCTTCTCTGATCACCCCGGCCCTAGCTAGCTTTTCTCTCCCTGCCCCTATCCAGTCAATCATTTACTTATTCATCCATCCATTCACAAAGCAAGTATTTCCTCGCCTCCTGTCAAGCACTGAGGTACTGAGTTGAATAAGCTCCCCCTTGCCTGCCCTCAGGAGGCTCCTGGTTTCAAAGGAAAAGGTCATGGGCTCACCAGGTCTGCACGGAGGGTGGGGAGCAGAGGAGGAAACGGAAAGGCCTCCAGGAGAGACCCACAAGGAGCTCTTCGGGGACAGCTGGGGTTTGCCCGGTAGAGAAGGGAGAAAAGTGTGGGGTGGACCAGGCGTGGTGGCTCATTCCTTAACCCCAGAACTTTGGGAGGCCGAAGCAGGTAGATCACCTGAGGTCAGGAGTTCAAAACCAGCCTGGCCAACATGGCAAAGTCCCATCTCTACTAAAAATACAAAGATTAGACAGGCGTGGTGGTGCATGCCAGTAATCCCAGCTACTTGGGAGCTGAGGCACGAGAATCACTTAAACCTGGGAGGCGTTGGTTGCAGTGAGCTGATACTGCGCCACTGCACTCCAGCCGGGGCGACAGAGCGAGACTCCATTTCAAGAAAAAAAAAAAAAGAAAATTGTGGGCCGTCCTGGAACGTTGGCGGTCCAGGTGCAGGGCCGAGATGCAGGCCCTGAGGAAGGGGCGGGAGGGTGCAGCTGGGTAGGGACTGAAACCAGACCCCGGGGACAGGGCTCTGTGCAACGGGGTGGCAGATCAGCTTGCACTTCAGAGAGTGGGGAAGCTGGACTGGAGCCGGGATGACGCCACGGAGCAGGCGGCTGATGTGTGCAAGGGCAGTGGCCGGCCCATGTGGCTGTACTGCCCTCAGCGCTGCCTCCGTCCCTTCCCTCACTGTTGTGTCTCTAGTCCTGAGCCCGCGGGTGGAGCGACAGGGCCGCCCTGCAGAGGCCGGAGCACGTGGTTGGAGGGCGGAGCACACGCTGGAGTGCGGGGCACAGCAGGGAGGGCGGGGCTGCGGCTGGAGGGCGGGGTCACAGCTTGGAGGGCTGGCTGCGGCGGGAGGGCGGGGTCACAGTGGAAGGCGTGGACACAGTGGGGGGCGGGGCTGCGGATGGAGGGCGGGGCTGCGGATGGAGGGCGGGCCGGGGACCTTACCACGCCGTCCTCCTCGCGCACCACGTACTGCGCCACCTTGAAGGAGCTCAGGTACTCGTTCATGTTCTGTAGCTCCGTGTCATCTGTAGCGTCCTGGTTCCGGTCCAGCAGCTTGGAGATGGCCGCATCGTCATAGTGGATCACACTGCTGTCCTCCACGTCCTTGTTGTCACCTGGGGAGCAGGCAAATGCAGTGTGAGGACAAAGACTGCCCTGGTCCAGCCCCGGGGTCCCAGGAACAGACTCCCAACAATGGCCCTTCCCATCCCCAGCAGGGGCTGCAGCTGAGAGGCATGGTGACCAGACAGAGGAAACTGCGCTGTAACAGCCCCACTCGCCGCCCACCTGGCAGTCCCAGGACGCCCAAGTGAGGGCAGGTCAGGGAACCCCTCCTCTGCAGGAGCAGCCACCTGGTCGGAGGAGGAGCTGAGGCTGGGCTGGGTTGGCCCCTACCTGGCGGGGTGCTACCGTGCTTCTTCTTTGCACTGGCGGCCAAGTTCCCCCCTTTGGAGGACTGGACATCAGGGATGGGTGTGACCGGCCTCTGGCCCTGAGACATCATGCCTGTCAGACAGAGAAGGAAAGCACTGGTGCAGGACCACAGAGGGCTGCAGGGTTGGCGGGCAGTGCCCAGAGACACCACCCTGGGCTGTCCTAGCCAGGAGATACAGGTGGGGGGTGCAGAAGAGAGGCTGTGTGTTGGAGCGGGCAGGGACCCAAGCAAGCCCTGGATGGGTGTCTCAGCCGGGCCACCCCAGTCCCCTGCCACGCTCCCTCGGAACAGAGGCCCACCCTCCACGTCGTCCTTGAAGAGTTCCTCCGTGCCGAACTTGAGGATGTCGTCCAGCTCCTGCTTGGTCATGGACCCCGACTTGGAGCCGAGGCCGGGCCGCACCACCAGGTGGGTGAGCATCATCTTGCGCTTGGCCACCTGCGTGATGCGCTCCTCCACCGAGGCCCGAGTCACGAAGCGGTAGATCATCACCTTCTTGTTCTGGCCGATGCGGTGGGCGCGGCTGAAGGCCTGGGGAGACCTGCACCTCAGCACCCGTGGCTCACCCAGGGCTCCAGGCAATGGAGGAGATCACACCCATGAGCTCAAGAGCATGGAATGGGCTGCATGACTGTGTAGGGAAAGGCGTGTGGTGCGTCCAGGTGTGTGGAGCCCACCACTGCAGCTGGGCTCCCTCCCTGACTGCGGAGCCTCCCACAAGCCTGGGTGCCAGGCTGGGTTTGGAGTGGAAAAGCTTCTAGCCATTGGAAGCAGGCAGGACTGCAGGTGTGCAAGAGTGTGTGAGGGATGATACGGCCAGTGTGCTGGGTGTAACTGAAGCCACACAGAGCTTCGTGGGGGCCACGGGGAGGTAGGAGGCTGCATTTCCCTGTGAGCGAACCACTAATGGGACCACAAGACCATGTGCTGGAGACACGCAGCCACCTTCTGAGGGCAGCAAGGAGCTGAATCTGCCCAGTATAATACAAGGAAGTGCCTGAGACTCTGTGCAGCCCTACATGAGGTGACCTGGGTGTGGCCGTGTATATCTGTGTATGTGCATGGGCGCACACACATGTGAATGAGACATCAATTTGTATGTGTTCCCCTACATTTGTAAGCATTCAATGTGTGTGTCCCAGCGCCCGAGAGGGGTGGCCAGGTACACTAGGGTGGCTCTATTCCCATACCCCTCCCCCCACAGCCCTTCCATCCTTCCTTACAGCCCCATCTGCCCCTTGCACTATCTTATCCTCCCCTCCACCTCCAACAGGCCCCACTCTCTGCTCCCCACCCCCTTCAAAATGGGTGCCCCTCTGGGTCCCAGGGCTCCCTCTTCCTGCCTCCCTCCACGGCCTTGGTCCTGAGGATGATGGGAAAGACCAGATCAGTGGCCACTAGGAACTGCTGTGCGCCCTGGGACACTTCCCCTGCCCTCTCCAAGCCTGCTTCCTCCTCTGGACAAGGACAGAGCTGGAGGGATGGGGGCCAAGCTTCCACTCACTCCCAGAGCCCCTCTTGGGGCCGAGACTCCACGGGGGAGGGAGGCCCACAGCACCAGGATAGGTGAGGGGGTGATGGCAAGAAGGGCATGAAGGACAGAACCTGCCTGAGGCCCGGGATGAGAGGCCCCCTGGGAGGGTGGTGGGCGGCAGCAGCACAGACCTGGATGTCATTGTGCGGGTTCCAGTCCGAGTCGTAGATGATGACAGTGTCCGCCGTGGCCAGGTTGATGCCCAGACCACCTGCCCGGGTTGAGAGGAGGAAGCAGAACTGCTGGGCCCCGGGGGCTGAAAAAGAGAGGCCAGCAGATGGGAGTGTTTGGGGGGGTACACCTTGGGTGGGCAGAAAGGATGGGGGAGAGAACAGAGAGAAGGAACTGCAGCAACAGATCCCTGGCAGAGAAGGACAAAGCCGGAGACCCCATCAGAGACGGGTGGCCACAGCTGCACTCAGGGGAGCCAGAGGAGGCCTGCCCAAGCCCACTTAGCCCCCAGCGAGCTCTGAGCCCTAGTGCAGTGGGAGGGCACTGGAACGAGGAGGTCAATTTTCAAACCCCAGATGAGCAAAAAACAAAGTGCAAGCCGCCAGCAAGTACAAGCAGAGCCCTAGAGAGCTCAGAGTCCTTCATGTCCCCGCAGCTTCCCACCCCTGGCTTCCCTTAGCCCACCGATGCTGCCAGGGCAGCCCGGGAAAACTCAGGGGCGCAGCTCCGGGACCTGGGGTCCCACCCCACTGGGCAACCCTGTCACAGGATGGCTGGTTCTCAGCCTCTCAGGGCCCTTCAGTGACCTGGGACTGACCACAGCCCCCACTGGAGCTGCAAACAGGCCCCTGGCACACCCAGGGCTTCAGCCACTCCTGCTTCCACATGTGGCTGGGCCACGTCTAGACCCTGAAACTCTGAACTTGCTATTCCTCCTGGCTCTCTGGCACAAGTGTTTGAGAGGAATCACTGCTTTGGGCGTTTGGAGAGCGTGGCCCCAGCCCCTAAGGGCTGACGCCCCAGGGAAACAAAGCTTGTTACTATTTGCTGCAAACTTGCTACTGAAGCTTACAGCCGACTGCTTCCCACTCCAGAAGTTTCTTTTGCTACAGGAGGAACTCCACCGGCAAGACCCTCCTGACCTCCACCCTCGCCTCTCCTTCCCAGGCAGGGAAGACCAAGCATGGGTGACTCTGGGGAAAGAGCCTGATCATGTGTGGCCCAGCCCTTTCACTCTCTCCTGCCTCTGGAAGTGGCCCCAGGTAGCACGTGCATCTCTGTACCTTCTGCCACCATTCACCATACGGCAGGCTCTGTCCAACACCACTTGTAACTGGGGCTCACCTGGCGTCAATATTAGAGGCCCCGTCTGCGTTTCTCATTGTCTAACTCCATTCCCAACAGGTGTTATCTACTGGGCCCCTCAGAACTCCGATTCCATGGGAGGAATCCTTTTAACATTGGAAACTCGGACTGGCCTGCTGTCTTTAGCTGTTTGTGAGGCTGCTCAACACAACACCAGCTGGGTGACCTGGCTAAGAACCAGGCCTGGGAGAAGAGGCCAAAAAGGAGTCTCAATCAGAACCCTTGGGCAGGATGGGGGTACCATTGAATCTGTCGATTGCCTCCTGCCGGAGGCCCCCGGTGATGCCACCATCAATCCGCTCATACTTGTAGCCTTCGTACTCCAGGAAGTCCTCCAGGAGGTCCAGCATCTTGGTCATCTGCAGGGGAGACGGGCACGTGAGGAACTGCCAAGGAGCAAGGGGCCCCATGGGCCATGGGCGGGGACCCCGCCACAGGCAGGGGAGGAGAGAGCTGCCTGCTAGGTGGGGAGACAGCTGGGACCCAGGCAGGCCCAATGCAGGACTCTGGGGAAGAACAAAGCTTCCAACCTCACCCCTTGGAGCCAATCCATCCTCCTGCCTAGCCCCACAGCCACTTACCTAAATCAGGGCTCTGACATGAGCCTCCCCTGCTCCCACCACACAGAATTAAGTTCCATCTCACTGCCCTGTATTCAAGGCGCTGCAGGACGAGTGCTCCTTCACAGCCCCCAGCCATTCCAAACTACCTGACTCTCTTCCTGGAATGCCCACCCCCTTACTGCCTAGGGAACATAAACATCACCTCTGTGATGTCTTCCCTGATTTCACTCCTCCCCATAAGAAAAGAAAGGCAGTCCCTTCTGAGCTCCCATGACCCCGTATAATTCCCTTTATTCTCGAGAGAGAGTTTAGCTGGATATAAAACTATCAGCACACATTTTCCCTCAGTGCACCGGAGATTTTGCCATGGTCTCTGCCACCTGTTGTTGTTAAGAAGTCTGAGAACGATCTGGCTGCCCTTATTTTGTAGGTACTAGGTCTAAAGTACCTAGAGGTTCTAACGTGTCTACGGGTTCATTTATTTATATTTATCTTGCTTGCTATTCCAGAATGCACTCCAGATCTGAGACCTCACATTTCTCTCCAGGTCTGCAAACTCTCAACAAATCCAACTTCTTCACCATTTTTTCTGTTTCTTCTGCAACTCCAATTGGATGATTGTTGGAGCATCTCAAGGTGTCTTCCATGTTCTCCCTGTTTTATCTTTGTCTCTGTACATTGCATTCTGGGAAAATGCCTCAGCACCAGGTTCCAATTTATCAATGTTCTCTTCAACAGTGTTCAGAGTCTGTCCAGTCTGTTGAAATGTTTTATCTCAATTTCATGCATGTTTCTATCCAATTGTTCCTATTTCAGTTCTTCCTGCTTTTGCTTAATTTCTTCTTTATTTTAGGGTGTCAATTACTCCATCATTTTTGAGGATCCTAAACACATCTATGTAAAGTCTTTTCAGGCTATCCTATTCTTTTCTCTCTCTCTCTCTCTCTCTCTCTCTCTCAAGAGACAGGGTCTTGCTCTGTCACTCAGACTGGAGTGAAGTGACAAGATCACAGCTCACTGCAACCCTGAACTCCTGGGCTCAAGCAATCCTCCTGCCTCAACCTCCCAAGTCGCTGAGATTACAGGGTGAGCCACTGCGCCCAGCCCCTATTTTCTTATTTGGATTCTATTTATTGTTTTGGGGGATGTCTCAGCATTCACTTTTGTATGGGTTTGGAATTGGGGTTCATAGGCTCATTTTGGGCAGGAGGGCCCCGTCTCTGTCGCTTGCCCTGTGTGCACATTTCTGGAAGCTGTGTGGTTCCCATTACTTGGTATCTCAAGGCCTCTGATCAGACTTGCGTCTCGTGTTGGTACCGAGGTACTGGGGGGATGTGGGTCCATCTCCACTCCAGCCCACTCCTTGGCTCAGCCCCTGGTCTCAAACTTGCCCTGCTTTCCAGTATTCTTCGGGCTGAAGCAGCCCAGCAGGGTGACCTGGGGCTGCAGGCGGCGGACGCTGCTTTCAGTTGATGTTTGTGCACAAGGAGCCATAGCCCAGACTCTGGGTTTGAGCAAGGGGCCTGGCTCAGTGGGCCCACGAGAGGAGCATTTTTAGCCCCATGACCCTGTAGGATCATCACTGTGGCCTCCAACACAGAGCTGACCACAGGGTCGGGTACCTGTCCCTTGAGCTGTCTCCCACAGTAGACTGAGCAGCTTGAGGACAGGGACTAGATCACTGGTCCCTGCACCCATGTGCCAGCACAGAGCCTGACTATGACAGACGCAAACAAAGGGATGGAGGAAGAAATGAACACACCTGAGCCGGCGGCCCTGCCTCCAAGCCAAAAAGCCAGGTGCCAGTGGCCCCTCAGGGCCTATTGGAGAGAGGGGCTCCTCCCAACCACACCCCAGGGCCCTACCTTAATGAGAAGCCAGGCTGCGGGGGAGAGGGCCAGGGCAGGGGAGGAGGGGCTGTCCTACCAGCCTGGACATGCAGACCAGAAGGGCAGGTGTGGGGAGATGTTGCTCTTTATGGCAAATGTGTTCTGAGCTCCTCAGCCGCATTATGCCAGGGCACGGGGGAGTGACCCCTGACACACAGTCACATGACCCACATGGGAACGGCACTGGGCCCTGAGGGGTGCCAGCAAGTTTGCGCCCCCAAGCATCAGGGCAGGATGCTCTCTGTGGGGTGTGGAGCCGGGGCGGGGGTGGGCAGGGGCAGCGCACCTGGGAGAAGATGAGCACACGGTGCCCCTCATCCCGCAGTTTCTTCAGCATCTTCTGTAGCAGCATGAGCTTCCCTGAAGACTTGACCAGGGAGCTTCCATCGTAGGAGCCATTGGGCAAGACAGGGGCCTCCTGCAGACACAGCAGGAGGTGGGGCATTGGTGGGCTCCCCTCTCCTCTCTGACTCTGCACCAAAGGGGCCGCAGGGAACAGACAAGTGCTGAGCAATGGGGTGATGGCCTGTCTGCCCACTGAACATGAGACCCACACCCGAGCCAGGCCAGGCCCCACAGTGCGGGGTAGACCGTGGGTCCCACGGCCCTGGCTCCAGGCCCCCCGTTCCCAGGCAGGGCTCACAGCCGCACCAGCCCTACCACAGCAGCGGGTTCCACGGTAAGTTCCCCAGCACCTACCAGAGTGGCCACAGGCAACCTTCCATGATGGCCAGGGAAACCTACCATGACAGCCACAGAAATCGCCACAATGGCCAGGAGAACCTATCACAGCGGCCACAGGGACCTACCATGGCGGCCACAGGCACCTACCATGGCGGTCATGGAGAAGCTGCCATGATGGCCGGGGAAACCTACCACGGCAGCCACAGGGAAGAGGTAGGGGTGGTTGCAGCACTTTTTCAGGTCCATCATGATGTTGAGCAGCGATACTTGGTTCCCGCCCCCCTTGGAGTTCAGTGCCTCAAAGTTCCGTGTGAGGATGAACTTGTAGTACTTCCTGCAGCAGGGCACGAGGAAAGGCAGGCTGGGTCAGACCCGCCTCCATGAGGGCTCTCTCTGCTCTGCAGTGGGGCTGGAAGCTGGTGGCCAAGCACCCATTTACAGAGAGACCCAAGGGACCCCCAAGAGGTGAAGCCACCGGCCTGGAGTCCCCCTGCAAGTGACTGGGGGACACTGCCAGCACTCAAGCGACCCAAACTCTGGTCACTAAAACCTGAGAAGAGGCCCCACGAAGAAAGTGTATGCAAAGCATTAGCCGAGACCTCAGTGAGGCTGAAGAGCCCTCCGCCCACCTGGGAATCGACCCAGGAGACCAGCCCAGGGGAAAGGGCGAGCACAGGCTGCTCCGGGGTCAGCCCATCACTCACTTCTGCATCTGGCTCAGCTCCACCCGGACAATGAGCTCGGTCTTGGCCGGCATGTTCTTGAACACGTCAGCCTTGAGCCGCCTGAGCATGTGCGGCCCCAGCAGGTCATGCAGCTTCTTGATCTGGTCTTCCTTGGAGATGTCAGCAAACTCCTCCAGGAAGCCCTCCAGGTTGCTGCAACAAAAAGCTGGGATAACAGCCAGGAGCAGAGGACCGGGGCAGGGGAGGCAGGGTGCAGAGCGCCTAGCCCATGTAGGCCGGCTAGCTGGTGAACCAGGGAGCCCTGGCATTGCCCTGGATATCGTCTCAATTTCTGTCTAAGCCTGTGTCACCTCCACACATCACAGCCCTCTTTTCCTCAGCCACACTGGACACCTTTCCATCCTCAAAACCGTCCTGGACAGGAGCTCTCTATTACCCAGATAACAGATGAGGAAACTGACTCTGATGAGTGCCCGAGTTGATACAGTCCAGCTGTGCCAAAACCGGCCCTCAAATCTACATCTCCTGGTGGCTCATGCCTGTAATCCCAACACTTTGGGAGGCCGAGACGGGCAGATCACCCGTCGGGAGTTCAAGACCAGCCTGGCCAATATGATGAAACCCCAACTCTACTAAAGATATACAAAAATTAGCCGGGCGTGGTGACACATGCCTGTAATCCCAGCTACTCAGGAGGCTGAGGCAGGAGAATCACTTGAACCCAGGAGGCGGAGGTTGCAGTGAACTGAGATCAAGCCACTGCACTCTGGCCTGGGTGACAGAGTGAGACTCTTTCTTTTAATAAAAAAAAACAACAAAAAAAAAAAACACTGCATCTCCTGATTCCAAAATCGACACTGTGCACCCTGAACCCCCCATTCTGAGCAGGCAAGTGGAGGTAGGTGAAGATGAGGGGGATGGGGCGGTGGGCTCCGGCCACCGGGGAGCTTGCCTCTGCCTCCACCACGGTTGCCTATGTGAGTCACTTGGGTCTCAGTGGAGGGAAAGGAACCTGCCAGGGGAGGCAGTCCAGGAGGAACCCCGGGTGGTCTAGGGCAGAGCTAAGGAAAAGTCGTGGTATTAGCAGCAGTTGATATTTACCAAACATTCCCATGTGCCCACGCCACCCACCCCAACACCCTGCTCCTGCAGGAGGTCAAAGCGGGGACATTGCTAATGCTCCCATTTTACTGATGAGGAAGCAACGGCCGAGCAGGTCTCACAGCCAGGATGGGCTATTGATCCGTCTTCACTGGGGCCACCCAGCCCCACCACCACCTCCCTAGCCAGATCCAGGTGACTCACTTGAACCTCTCTGGAGTCAGGAAGTTGAGGAGATGGAACAGCTCCTCCAGGTTGTTCTGAAGGGGGGTCCCTGTCAGCAGCAGCTTGTAATCAATCTTGTAGCTGTTTAAGACCCTAAAAAACTGAGGGGAGGAGAGTGGGGCCTGTCAGGGGGCTCTGGGCGGCCCCTCGCCCCGGGAAGCTCTGGGGTCTGGCGGCCAGCGCCACCTACCTTGGACTGGTTGTTCTTGAGGCGGTGGGCCTCATCTACCACCAGGCAGGCCCACTCGATGGAGCCCAGGATGGCCTGGTCAATGGTGATGAGCTCATAGGAGGTGAGCAGCACGTGGAATTTGATCTGCACTTCTTTCTGGAGAAAAGAGGGGCATTGGGGATGAGACGGCTGGGAGCAGAGCGGATCACAGTCCCAGGAGACAAAGAGCCAAGAAGGAGGTGTGCACAGGAACCCACAAAGGCTCCACGGAGCCCTGGGCCGGCCAGCCTAGGACCAGAGGGGCAGATGCTGACCACCAAGCAGAGGGGCATCCACTGAGGCTCAGAACACAGCCCTGAGAGAGGGTGGTGTGGAGGAGGAGAAGAAACGGCCTCGGCTTGTAACAGCTCCAGTGAGACAGTGTCTTACTCCCACCCCCCAGCGTGGAGTACAGTGGCACGATCACCACTCACTTGCAGCCTCCACCTCCCAGGCTCAAGCAATCCTCCCATCTCAGCCTCCCGAGTAGCTGGGACTACAGGCATGCCTTACCACACCCAGCTAATTTTTGTATTTTTGTAGAGACAGGGTTTCACCATGTTGCTGAAGCTGGTCTCAAACTTCTGAACTCAAGTGAACCGCCCACCTCGACCTCCCATAGTGTTGGGATTACAGGCGTGAGCCACCACGACCAGCCCTGGCTCTGGGCTTATTACTTTGTTTCCACTCTCACCTCATCCTAACAAAACATACAAGCTCAATTGTGTCCTTTATCCCCCACTCCCCCCAGGGTTATGTTTGTCTTTTGGAGAGAGATCTCTCTATGTTAACTAGGCTGGCTTCAAACTCCCGGCCTCAAGCAATCCTCCTGCCTCAGTCTCCCAATGTACTGGGAATACAGGCGTGAGCTACCGCACCTGGCCTTTTATCCCCATTTAAAGCTCAGGGGGCCTCAGGCTGGAGCACTCTCCCAGGTACCCATAGCTAACAAATGGCATAGCCAGGATATGAACAGAGAAAGGGACCCTGCACTTGGGGTTTAATGCCCTGAGGTTGCTGATGTGAAATTATTAATCATTTTGTTGTTTATTGTTGAATTTGTGTTTTGTAACAAATATCCCAGGGGACAATGGAGTGTGTGCTGGGGGCGTGGAGCCTCCCTGGGACAGGTTCTCATTCCCTGCTCCCCTGCCCCTGCCTGGTGACCACTGTCCCCCTACTCCCCCTGGTGGGGGCCTGGACCTGGGTGCTGGTTGGGGAGGGGGAGCCAGGCACCCGGTCTATGCACCAAGTTCCAGGACAGGGCCTGGTGCCTGTGAGGGTCTGCACTCTCCCGGTGAGGATCCCCACACCTGAAGGAACACGACTTTAAAAAGCAAATTTAGGCCAGGCACAGTGGCTCCCGCCTATAATCCCTGCACTTTGGGAGGCTAAGGTGGAAGGATCACTTGAGGCTAGGAGTTGGAGACCAGCCTGGCCAACATAGCCAAACCCCATCTCTACTAAAAAATACAAAAATCAGCCAGGCGTGTTGGTGGACATCTGTAGTCCCAGCTACTCAGGAGGCTGAGGCGGGAGAATCACTTGAACCCAAAAGGCAGAGGTTGCAGTGAGCCGAGATCACACCATTGCACTCCAGCCTGGGTGACAGAGTGAGTCTCTGTCTCCAAAAAAAAAAAAGCAAGCAAATTTAAAACACCTTGGCATGTTGACAGAGACCACAGAAGAAAGGAAAAAGCTGTTTTCCTGCGAGCCCTGCATTTTCATTTTGCACCGGTCTCCCCCAGTGATGTAGGCCTGTCCTGTGCTGCACCAAGCCTGCCTCTCCCAGCAGCCCACATGCCTGTGAGAGAGCAGAGAGGGCCGAGGATGCCGTGCAGCATAGGCTTTGCCTGCACGTGGCACCTGGGTTTGCACACAATCTTTTAGCCGAGCATCGGTCTCCTCGCCTATCTAGGTGAAGAATGCTATGAGATCTCAAAGAGCTAAGTCTGTTTCTCAAAAAATCAGAAATAGAATTACCATATGATCCGGCAGTTCCACTTCTGGGTGTATACCCAAAAGACAGGAAAGCAGGGACACAAAGGGATATGTGCACACCCATAATCCTTCCCATCAGCGTTACTGACGACCACTAAAAGCCAGAAGCAGCCCAAGTGCTCAACAACAGATGAACAGATAAACAAAATGTGGTCTATCCCTGTGATGGGGGTTCTCCAGCCTTGGAAGGAAATTCTGACCCGTGCCACAACATGCATGAACCTCAAGGACATTCTGCTCAGTGAAATGAGCCAGTGACAAAAAGATAGATGTTTCCCGATTCTACTCATATGAAGTACCCAGAGTAGTCAACCTCGTGGAGACAGACAGTAGATGGGTGGCTGCCAGGGGCTCGAGGTGGTGGGGATGTTCATGTTTAATGGGGACAGTTTCCACTTTGCAAGATGAAAAGAGTTCTGCAGACTGGTTGCATACCAATGTGAATGTACTTAACACTACTAAACTGTTCTGTTGTTGTTTTGTTGTTGTTGTTGTTGTTGTTTTGGTTTTTCTGAGACAGAGTTTAGCTCTTGTTGCCCAGGCTGGAGTGCAATGGTGCTCACTGCAGCCTCCGCCTCCCAGGTTCAAGCGATTCTCCTGCCTCAGCCTCCTGAATAGCTGGGATTACAGGCACCCACCACCACGCCTGGCTAATTTTTGTATTTTTAGCAGAGATAGGGTTTCACCGTGTTGGCCAGGCTGGTCTCAAACTCCTGACTTCAGGTGACCCACCCGCCTCGGCCTCCCAAAGTGCTGGGATCACAGGGGTGAGCCACCGTGCCCGGCTGATTTTTTTTTTTTTTTTAAAGAGACAGAGTCTCATTATGTTGCCCAGGCAAGAGTACAACAGCTATTCACAGACACAATCATGGCGCACTACAGCCTCGAACTCCTGGGCTCAGGCAATCCTCCTGCCTCAGCCTCCCAAGTAGCTAGGACTACAGGTGCACACCACTGTGCCCAGCTGAACTGTACTTTTAAAAACGGTTAAGATGGTAAGTTTTACATTATGTGTATTTTACCACAACTCTTAACAATAAAATAGAAGAGCCAAATCAGCAAAGTGCTTGGCACACGGCAGGGTCCCAGTGTGGCTCAGGGGAGGTTCTTTTGCGTCTGATGATCCAGGGGCTCATCCATCTACAAAGTCACCTGTGGGATCATCGATTCATTCACTCATTCAACAGTTTCCGAGCATCTCTAAGAGCCACAGCTGCTAGGAGGCAGTGGAGGAGGCCGACCTGAGGGACTCGGAGGGCCTGTGCGAGGATCCACCAGCCCCCAAGGCTGTAGCACTGACATCTTCTAGGGGCCAATGGCTACAAGTCCTCATTCCTCAATGTGGAGAGGGTTTAGAAATGCAGAGGCTCAGGCCAGGTGCGGTGGCTCAAGCCTGTAATCCCAGCACCTTAAGAGGCCGAGGTGGGCGGATCATGAGGTCAAGAGATCGAGACCATCCTGGCCAACATGTGAAACCCAGTCTCTGCTAAACATACAAAAAGCGGCTGAGTGTGGTAGCACGCGCCTGTAGTCCCAGCTACTTGGGAGGCTGAGGCAGGAGAATCGCTTGAACCTGGGAGGCAGAGGTTGCAGTGAGCCCAGATCGCACCACTGCACTCCAGCCTGGCGACAGAGTGAGACTCCATCTCAAAAAAAAAAAAGAAAAGAAAAAGAAAAAGAAATGCAGAGGCTCGGGCCCCACCCCAGCACTGCTGGGTCAGAGACTGTGCTTTAACAAGACCTTGCAGGGTTCACAGCACCATGAGACCTCATGCTTATTAACTCACTTGACTCTGTGGGGTGTGTCTGTTAACTCCATTTTGCTGAGAAAACACTGAGACCCAGTGAGGCCACGTGACTTGCCAGAAGTCACACAGCTGGTGCACTGCATTGAATAGTGTCCCCCCAACATTCATGTCCACCCAGAAGCTCTTTTGGAAATAGGGTCTTTGCAGACATAATTAGTTGTCTGGGCATGGTGGCTCAATGCCTATAATCCCCATGCTTTGGGAGGCTGAGGCAGGAGGATCACTTGAGCCCAGAAGTACAAGACCAGCCTGAGCAACATACGGAGAATCCATCTCTACAAAAAATTTAGAACTTAGCTGAGTGTGGTGGTGTGTACCTGTAGTCCCAGCTCCCGGGAGGTCAAGGCTGCAGTGAGCTATGATCAATCACTGCACTCTAGCCTGGGTGACAGAGCGAGACCCTGTCTCAAAATAATAATAATAATAATAATAATAATAATAATAGGCTGAGCGTGGTGGCTCACACCTGGAATCCCAACACTTTGGGAGGCCAAGGCAGGCAGATCGCCTGAACTTAGGAGTTCGAGACCAGCCTGGGCAACATGGTAAAACCCTGTCTCTACCAAAATACAAAAAATTCGCTGGGCATTGCGGCATGTGCCTGTAATCCCGGCGACTCTGGAGGCTGAGGCATGGGAATTGCTTGAACCGGGAGGCAGAGGTTGCAGTGAGCTGAGATCGTGCCATACTGCACTCCAGCCTGGGCGACAGAGTGAGACTCCGTCTCAAAAAAATAATAATAATAATTAATAATAATAATAATAATAATTAGTTGGGGCCAGGCACAGTGGCTCACTCCTGCAATCCCAGCACTTTGGGAGGCTGAGAAGGGCAGATCACTTGAGGTCACAAGCTCAAGACCAGCCTGGCCAACATGGTGAAACCTGTCTCTACCAAAAAATACAAAATTAGCCGGCCATGATGGCGCACTCCTGGAGTCCCAGCTACTCACGAGGCTGAGGTGGGAGAACCACTTGAGCCCAGGACGGGGAGGTTGCAGTGAGTCGAGATCGCCCCACTGCACTCCAGCCTGGGCGATACAGTGTCTCAAAAAAATAAATAAATAAATAAATAAAATAAGTAGCTAAGATGAGATCATACTGGATTAGGGTAGGCCCTACATCCAGTATGAATGATGTGTTTATAGGATGAGAAACAGACACAAACGGGAAAACCCCATGTGCTAACAGAGGCAGAAACTGACGCGACAGCTGTAGGCCAGTGAACCCCTGCCGCCACCAGGAGGCTGGAAGGAGGAAGGAAGGGTTCTCCCCTAGGGCTTTCAGAGGCACGTGGCCCTGCCCTCACCTTGATTTCCAACCTCCAGCCTCCAGAACTGTGACCGAATACATTTCTGCTGTTTGAAGCCACTCCATTTGTGACACTTTGTTACAGGAGCCCCAGAAAACTGACATGGCTGTAACTCAGCCTCTAGGACAAGCCCCTCAGAGCCTGCCGGCCTCGGTAGCCCTCCCAGGCTGAGGGACCCCAAAGGAGTGCACGGCACCCGTGGTCCCTGAACTAGACCGGGGGCCTTCCTACCGTCCTTCCAAGGATAGCGAGCCCTCACCTTCATACGGAATACCTTCTTCCCACTCCGAATGGCGTTGTCCTCAAAGGAAAACTCGTTCTCCCGAATCACCGAGCGGCTCTCCTTGTCCCCCGTGTAGGTGACCACGTAGAAGTCGGGCGCCCACATCTCAAACTCGCGTTCCCAGTTGATGATGGTGGAGAGGGGCGCGCTAACCAGGTAGGGCCCTTTGGAGTGGCCCTGGAGAGAGAGGCCGATGCCGTGAGACCACCTGCCCTTGGCCAGGACCAGCCACCCCTCCTGGCCGCCTGCCCCGCCTGCCCACCTCCTTGTAGAGGGAGTAAAGGAACACGATGGTCTGCACCGTCTTGCCCAGACCCATCTCATCGGCCAGGATGGTGTCAGTGCCCTGGGCCCAAGAGAAGCGCAGCCAGTTGAGGCCCTCCAGCTGGTACGGGTGCAGTGTGCCGCCTGTGGAGTCGATGTACCATGGCTGCTTGTCGAACTTGACCGTGGGCTGCAGGGGAGGCAGCGGTTCAGACACGCCCCAGATCCTGGGCCACCAGAGTCCACACTACAGGCCTTTGCACATGCAATTCCTTCTGCCTGGAACACTCTTCCCACTCCTGTCTGTCTTCCTAACTCTTCTCCAGTTCTTGGATGGAACACCTCTTCCTCTAGGAAGCCCTCCCTGACTCCCAGCCTGGCTGAAGTGCTCCCACAGTGTCCTCCCATGGCAGCCCTGTACTTCTCCTATCAGGGAAATTTCCCGACTGTTGAATTCTCTGACTCTGAGCCCAGGTTGTCATCACCACCTTGGTCCTGTTCACTGCCTCCTCTTGAGTACCACACAGTGCCTGGGACATGTGGTCACTTACTCACCATTTTTTGGATGAACAACAAAACGAACATCCATCTGGGGCATTCGCAACGCCCCCAGTAACAGGCTCCTCCACTGGATCCAGACATTTACTTTTTTTTTTTTTGAGACAGAGTCTTTGTTGCCCAGGCTGGAGTGCAGTGGCACAATCATGGCTCACTGCAGCCTCAATTTCCTGGGCTCAAGGGATTCTCCTACCTCAGCCTCCCTAGTAGCTGGGACCACAGGCACACCACCGTGCCTGGCTAATTTTTTGTAGAGGTGGGATCTCACTACGTTGCCTCAAACTTCTGGGTTCAAGCGGTCCTCCCACCCCGGCCTCCCACAGTGCTGGGATTACAGGCATGAGCCACCATGCCCGGCCCATTTGTCTCTTGATCCTGCTCCAGGTCACTGGCCCCATGCAGTCCTCCCAATGGACCAGGCCCATCTGCCTTTCCCCAGCATCTGACAGGCGCCTGATAGTCCCAGGCCAGGCCCTCCGTGTTCTGTGGATACCCACCAAGGGCCCCTAGAAGACAGTGTGTCTTCTGAAACAGCTACCCAGGGCTCACTGGCCCTCGTCTCCTCAGGGCCAACCCAGGGCCAGGCGCTAGTGGACACCCAGGGAGCTCTGCTGAGTGAGTCATCCTGGGTCTCCTCCCAGGTGAGAGTGGTGTGTAAGTAGCATGTCAGCTGCAGTGTTATGAGGGGCCTTCCAGCTGTCCTAGCCTACATGGGCATGACACTGTCTGCATAAGCCATGAGGGCCCAAGGAAACATCCTTTTGAGAACACACACCCCCTGCACATTCAAGTCTGAGGTGGGCAGGCCCTGGCAACCCCACCCACTGCTGCCCCACCCTCCCCACTCACGTCCACAATGGGCGTGTCCGGCGGCTTCTCCTGCTTGTCGTCCCTCAGCTTCTTGCCCTTCTTGAGCAGCCTCTTGGGCAGCCTGGTGTCTTCTCCCAGCATCAGCTCCCTGGGAAACGGCATTGGAGGCAGGTGAGCAAGGCTCAGCCCAGGAGCAGGTCCCGGCAGCCTGTGCCTAGCAGCCGGATCCCTGCGACCCACCTGTGGCCCCAGTAGGCCTGCTTGAGGTTGTCGTAGTAGGGGATGTCGATGTCATCGATCTCCCAGGTGCACTGGTCGTAGGGCAGGTCTTTCCACTTGATCAGGTAGTGCACATCCCCCTTCTTGTCAAAGCTGCAACACGGTGAACAGATGTGGGTCGCTCAGAGCAGTGGCCACAGCACAGGTTTGATGAAGGGCACCTCCCAGGATGCAGAGCCATTCACACCCAGGGTCCCCTCGGATGCTGGGCCCAGCCAGGAGGAGGAGACGAGGGCAGAAGCTCCAGGGAGGTGCAGCGGCTTGCCTGGGGCCACACAGCGAATGAGAGGGGGATGTGGCAGAGCTGGAGAGGGACACGGAGGCCAGCTAACAGAGGAGCAATGAGCCAGCCTCCCACATCCTTTGCAGCCTCTGTGGCAGGGATGAATCCCATTTGTCACAGGGTCTGGATTTTCACAGGAGTTCTGGATTTCTAAGTTGGAAAGTTCTCCTTCCTGCCAATGGACTCAGTTTTCTAACTTAAAATACGCAAAGGACTTGTGCAGTGCCCACGTAGGGTGAGGAGTCATCTCTGCAAAGTAGATAAGGATGCAATTCCTGCGTGTGAGGTGGTCTCTTCTGGGGACACAAAGACCCAGTGACCAAGCCCAGCAGCACACAGCTTGATTCTGGCCACTGGGAGGGTCTTTAGGGCCTCCCACCCACCCAGGCTAAGGCAACCAGGCCAGAGGAGTGCTGGAGGGCCGGGCTGGGGCTTGACTACCCCACACAGCAGTGCCGAGGAGGCACACAGACCCGGTGAGCAGCGGCTGCTGCGGGCCTGGGAACATTAAGAGAAAAACCGATCCCGTTACCACGGCAACCGATGTTTGTTTGTTTTCCCATACATAATTGATTGTTTTGCAGATTGGGGGAACAAATCTGGGGGAGATTCACCTGCCCCACTTTGGGGCAGAGAGAAAAACTACCATGTATATTTTTAGCATGTAATTTAGTAAAGGTAGAAAACCATGGGCCAATTCATTGCCGGGCTCAGGTTCCCACAGGAACTGACCCTTGAAGGTCATTCTCAGGGAGGCCTGGGGAGGAAAAGGGGGGTGTCCCATAGTTGAAGGGGGGCAGTTTTTCAAATTCCGCGACCCTCGTACTGAAGACCACCCACAGCCAGCCTCTGGCAAGCTCCTGTCACCCGTGCAGCAGCCTGTTCCCTAAAAGGGCCTCAAAGCTCAGCAGATGGGAACCGGGATTGAAATCTGAACATCTGGCTCAGGCTTTTAACCTCTGCTCTACCCAACAGCTGCCTGAAGCCAGAAGCACTGAGTGTCAGAGGCCACCGATCCTAAGCCCCTCAAAAACAGAGGCCACAGGGTAGCTGGGATGGGGAGCACAAGCTCCAAGCTGCCACCAGGCAGCAGGTACTCTGGGCCCCACCCCAAGGCCCATCTGTCAGCCACCACCAGTTCTCAAGCACCTCAACTCAAGAATCAGCAGGCATTCCCACCACCCACCAAATCAAAACCAAAGCCCACGGGCCTCCTGCCTCTGGCTCTTTGTGCCAGCCTCCTGCAGCCTCTGATTGCTAAGGCATCCCAGGGAACTGCCAGACTGCTCCAGGAAGAGCTGCTGCTGGGGCACTGGGGGGTGCAACAGTAGCTAAGAAAGCAGGTCCTGCAGTCAGAAAGCATGGGGTTCAAATCCCAGCTCCACCCCGTGGCTGTGTGATTCTGGCGACTTAACCTTGCTGTGCCTATTCTCACATCAGTAAAACAGAGGTGAAAGTAAGACGCCTCCCTCCCAGGGTAGGCAGTGCTCAGTACAGCCAGCTGCTGTTACAAACGCGGGGGAAATGTGGACATACTCCCACACCTCGGGCGTCCCTCGTCCTCAGAACCCTCTTGCTGGTATCAAGCACTAACCCAGCATGAGGGTCCCGACGCCCCAGGGGTGTGAACACGTATGCATGAGTGTGCCGGCATGCATGGGACGGCCCCTCTAGCAGGTCAGGCAGATCTCCAGCACTGGGAACCCTGGGCCCTTCCTTGTGCCCCTGCTGTGCCCACATGTGGTTCTGCACGGCAGCCCCAAAGCAAGGGCCCTGGCACCCTGCGCTGCACCCATTTTACAGGGCAAAGAAGCTGACGTGGCCCGGCCCCAGCGATGGGCAGGGTGGCCGCCTGCAGGCACACACCTATGGTTCAGGATTCGGTGAATCATCATCCACTCTGGCTTGATGCCATAGCGGTAGAAGCGCTCCTCCATCTTGGCATAGAGGGGGTCCTTGTTCTTCCTCTTCTCGCTCTTGCCGTCTTCATCCCCAGAGCCGTAGTCAAAGGGGGGCGGCTCATCCATGTCGTTCTTTCTTTGGTAGTTGCGATACATCACCGTGTGGTACAGCTCCAGCTGCTCATGGAGCGGCACAAAGTCACAGAAGGGAGATGGGCCATGGTCCCCTGCATCTCCCTACCCAGCTCCTCTAGCCCCAGCCCAGGTCCCAGGCAGGACAATCCTCCCGCTCAGCACCACCCCAACTCCCAACAGCACCCCTCAGTCAGAGGCGCTTCAGCCCCTTCCCGCCAGCCCAGGAGGGTCCAGGGCTCACCAGGTCCCGGGCCTTAGCACAGCCACCCTCCCGGGCACTCACCTGTAGCTCCTTCACCCAGGAGCAATGCCAGTAGGACAGCCCTGCCCACTTGACAAAGAACTCTCTCTCAGGGATGCCCTCCAGGGGCTTAGGTGGAGGGAGGCTGGGCTCCACGTCAGGCCCCGGCAGCCCCACCATGAAGGGGGCAGGGGGCTCCGTCCACCTCCAGTGTAGAATCCGCTGGACTTTGCCCTTCAGTGGGGGGCACTGTGGACAGAGAAGGGTCCCCAAGGTGGGGCTCAGCTGCAGGGCCCCACCCTGAGGCTCCCATGACAGCAGGCTGCCATGCAGGCTCCCTCCCATCAGTGCCACTGCCCCCAAGTCAGAACAGTACCACGGTGACGCCATGACATCCACCCCGTCCCCAGGAGCCGCATGGGTCATGCACACAGGAGATGGGCAGTGGGGGTCTGTGAGACCACGTGGCCCTTTCACTCAATGGTGAACTTATCGGCACCCAGAATATCTGAGCCAGCGTAGGTGAGACTGCCATGTGCATAGGACAGAGGGGGAAACTGAGGCCCACTCGGCAAGGGACAGCAGAGCAGGGAGCAGAACATGAGATTCTGGACTTCCCCTACCTTAGGTCTTCCCATTGCCCCCTGAAAAGAGGTCACATCACTGTGTGATCCCCAAGCACTCAGGGAGCATGAGCCCTGTGCTGGAGCCCAGGGACACGGCAGCCCCATCCACCATCCCTCACCCGGGGCAGGGCTGCACCCAGGCACCGTGCGTCTAGGCTGGGACAATGAGGCCCCATCTCTGGCAGCCCACAGACACACTGCAGGGGCCCTGACAGATGCTAGGGTGACAGTGAGCTGCTGGCTGGCAAAGGCAAGAAATACAACAGCCACAAACCACACCACTCGGGCCCTGAGATGGGTGGGAGCAGCCTTGGCCCTCCAAGGAGGCGGTGCTGTCTGACTGGACAGGGTCGGGGGTGACTGATTCAGGGAGACAGCTCTGGTGGGGATAGCAGGTCCCAGCTTTGCTACTACCTGTCCTCGGAAACTCATCCAAGCCTCCAGAGCCTGCTTTCCCATCTGTAAAATGGCCCACCCCTTCCTCCACCTACCAGATCTGTGGTGCCACATCACACCTGAAGGCATTCTGGAGGTGCAAGGTACACCACACAGCCAGCCTTCCTTTGGCCTTGGTGACAGCAAAGGCCGAGAGGCAGAGGAGGAGGAGGAGGACATGGGAGGCAGGAAAGGCTCCTCCACTGGCTCTTGGGGGAGTGGAAGAGGGGACCCTTCCTACCCAGGCCATGGACCCTCCTACCCCCATCCCAGCCCCTCAGGGAAGAAGCTGAGAGGAACCCCACTCCTGCCCCCCTCCCATCCCCAGGGCCTTCCATCAATCCTAGGAAAGCACAGAAGGCTGCACCCCTCAAAAGGGTCCTCCCCTGGCCCCTACACAGACACAGACAAGTATGCGCACGGATGCACGCACACACATACACACGCACAATGCACACAGGACGGCCCAGGGCTAAAGGAGGCACAGCCCAGGACCTGAGGGGTGGAGGATCTGGCACCACAGGGGGCAGGACAGACAGCTCAGAGCAAGGGGCCTTCCGATGTCTACTGTGACTGGGGGGTGACGGATGGGGGGTGCCCCTCTTCCTGTAGAAACTGAGGCTCCCGCCCTAGGAGCCTCCTGCCCTAGAAGCCTCCTGCCCTCTCCCTATCCCCAGCCTTGGAACAGGAGCCAGGTCTGGGGTGGCTCCAGGAACCTGAATTTGAGTGGATAGTTCTGCCCTTGTGTGGCCTTAGGCAGGTCACTCTGCTTCCCTGAGCATCAGTTTTCTCATCTAAAAAGGGAGTAACATGCCTGGTGCCAGAATACTCAGTAATGTTAAAGGACACTATGATGGATGTGGAGCCCTTGCAGAGCACGTGGTCACTGAACAGTGGTCGCGGTGTTGGCATGATCACCACACCTGTCTGCCTTTCCCTAACACTCATGCCTCCCGTCTCTAGGGGAGTCAGACGCGGAGAAGGGCGCGAGGAAGCTATTGTGGACGGGGTCTCGAGCAGCGCGGGCGAAGCTTTGCGGGATCGGCTACCGAGGCGGGGCAGGAGCCGGCAGGGGCGGGGCCTTTTGAGGAGGGCAGGCCTTCCCCTGGGGGCGGGGCCTGTTCCTGGGGTGGGGCGGGGCGTCCGGCGCGGGGCGGGCGGAACACTCACAGTACAGCGCGGGCAGAGCCATTCACCGTTTGGGATCTCGGGCAGCGGCGGGTTGAGGCAATGCAGGTGGTAGGAGGAGGGGCAGGCGTCGCAGCAGAGCAGCTCGCCCCCGTCCTTGCACACGCGGCAGAACTCCATGTGGTCGTCCTCCTCCTCCTCGCAGCCGCCCTCCTCCTCTTCATCGTCGTCGTCCTTCGGCTCCCACTGGATCCCCTCCTTCTCCTGGGGGAGGAGGCCAGGTGGAGGCACCCTGGGCGGGGTCCCCGCTCCACCAGGCCCGACTCCCTCCCTCCCCTACAGCATCTCCCCGCATTCTGCCCCCAAATGAGGGCACAGGGGTGGGGGAGCCAGGCGTGGCCCCGCCCCCAGCCCGGGGCTCTGCCAAGGCTTACACAGTGGGGGCAGCTCCACTTGCCCTCGGGAGCCTTCTCCAGCTCTGGGTCCAGGCATACGAGATGGTAGGCCCTCGGGCAGGTGTCGCACAGGATGATCTCCCCACCCTGCTGGCACACCTCACAGTAATCCTGGTGGTCTGTCTCATAGCCGTCACCATCATCAACTAGGGTAGGGGAGAGGCAGTCATGGAAGTCCTCATCCACACTCCCAGCACACAACCAACTGCATCGCCCCAGGCCAGACAGGCACAGAGTAGATGTCTAATAGAGGGTGGATGGAAAGGTGGGTGGGTGAATAGACTGATGGTTGAGGTGGTAAAAGGGTGAGGAGATAGAAGATGGATAAAAGGAAAGAAGGAAGGAAGGAAGGGTAGGAGAGTGGGTGGATGGGTAGAAAGATGAATGGATAAATGGATGATGGATGGATAGACAAATGGATGGATAGATGAATGGATGGACAAATGGATGGATGGATGGATGATGAATGGACAAATGGATGGACAAATGGAAATGGGTGGACTGATGGATGGATGGATGGATGGACAAATGGATGGATGGATAGGTGGATGGAAGGATGGATGGATGATGAATGGACAAATGGACGGATGATGGATGGATGGATGGATGGACAAGTGGATGGATAGATGGATGTATAGATGGATGAATGGACAAAAGAATGGATGGATATATGGATAAACCAAATGGATGGATGAATGGATGGGCAAATGAATGGATGATGGATGGATGGACAAATGGATGGATGGATGGATGGATGGATGGATGGGCAAATGGATGAGTAATGGATGGACAAATGGAAGGATGGATGCATAGATGGACAAATGGATGGATAGATGGACAAAAGGATGGATAGATGAATGAACAAATGGATGGATGGGTGGACAAATGGATGATGGATGGACAAATGGATGATGGATGGACAGAGTGGTAGATGGATGGATGAACCAATGAATGGATAATGGATGGACAAATGAATGGATAACGGATGGACAATGGATGGATGGATGATGGATGGATGGACAAATGGATGATGGATGAATGGACAAGTGGATGGATGGATGGGATGGATGAATGGATGGACAGATGGATGGATGGACAAAAGGATGGATGGATGGATGGATGGATGGATGGATGGATGGATGGACAAGTGGATGGATGGATGATAGGATGGATGGATGGATGGATGGATGGATGGATGGACGGACGGACGGACGGACGGATGGACAAAAGGATGGATGAATGGATGGATGGATGGATGGTGGATGGATAGCTGACGGATGGATGGACAAATGGATTGATGATGGATGATGGATGAATGGCTGGATGGATGAAGGATGGATGGATAAAAAGAAGGGACTGAGGGAAGGAGGGAGAAGGAGGGATGGGAAGGAAGGTGAGGTAAAGATGGGTGTTAAGTGGGTGGGGGGTGACTGAAGGGAGGATGGCGATGAGATGAAGCACTTCCCTCTCCAGTCACCACACTGCTAATGCAAATGCCCTGGGGTAGCTCCCACCATAGGTTCCTTGTTCTTTCCTTACTGGGACAGGATGCCCCTCCCCAGACAGTAGAAACCAGGGCCGTGTGGGAAACACAGGGGCCCCACCTGGCTGAGACATGAGGATGCCCTCCCCCTGCTTCCCACGGGGAGGTTCCATGCCCCGCACATCCACCCGGCAGGCCGAGAACCGTCCAGATGGGGAGTCCTACTCGTGCCCCACTACATCCACCCAGCAGGCCAAGAACTCTCTGGAAGGGGAGTCATACTCCTCTTCTTCTTGCGCCTCCTCTTGCTCTTCTTGCCCAGGGCTGCAGAGCATTCGGAGCGCACGGAGGCACTGTGGATGCTGGCGCTGTCGAAGTCCGACTCCTCCCTCTCATCTTCTTCACTCTGCAGGGGAAGACAGGGTCCTGTGATCCCAGGGCTTCACCCAGAAGGCTTCGCTGGCCCAGGCAGTGTGGGGTGGGACAAAGCACGGAAGAGGCTCTGGAGACACAGTGCTCTCTGTGATTCATCTCAGCCCCCAACACAGCTGAAAACCTCACATTACAGCCTGCCTGTCCAGCCTGATGTCCCACCGCCTACCCAGAGCCCTGCTCTCCAGCCTCAGACACTTCCCACAATTTCCACCTCTGAACAGCTTCCCAGGCCTTGCCCTCCATCCTGCCAAACTCCTAAACATCCTTCAAGGGGCAGCCCTAGGGACACCTCCTCCAAGAAGTCTTCCCAGATCTCTCCTTTACTGGACCTACTGTGGCTGCGTGTGTGCCAGGTCTGGCCTGTCCTGTCTGACTGGTACATCACGGGCTCTCCACCAGCAAACATGCCTGCCAGGTGACGAGTGCTACAGGACCACGGCCCACTGTGGCTGAGCAGCGGGCCTGGTACACAGTATGTGCTCAACAAATATCTGCTAAGCTGAACTGGACCGTCAGCTCCAGGGCGGGCCACACCTTCTCTCCATGCTCCCCTCCAGACCTAACACTGGCTCCTGCCATGGTGCAGGGAAAGAGCTTCCAACTCCACCCACCGCAGGGCTGGGGTGAGGTGAGGGAGGCAGCTACCTGTGGGGGTGAGGAGGGCGAATGCCCCTCACACTCACAGAGAAAGGGGGGCCCCAAGGCTGAGTAAGACCTGGGCTTAGTGTCTGAGCCTGGGCCCAGAGCTGGCCCTGAGGACAGGAGGAGGTAACTGGGGCTCCAGCCAGCCTGATCCTACCCACATACCACTTCTCTAGGGTCCAGCCCCCACCCAACTACTCCCCCCGAGAGCAGACCTGGGTGCTGGGCGGCCAGGCCCCACCAGGACAGATCCCTCCACCTCCTGCCCAAATGGAGTTGCAGCTGTGGACAGCAGGAGCCAGGACTGAGCTCCCACTCAGGAGGGTGAGCCAGGGGAGCACTCCCTGCCCAGAGTCCAGGCTAGAAGGGCCCTTGGAAGGATTCAATCTAAACTCCTCATCACACAAATGGAGAAACTGAGGCCCAGCACACCTGCATGTAGGATGGAAGGAGAATAGTGGAGGGGTGCGACCTGCCCCAGCTAGTTTGTAATGAACTGAAGGCCCTCGCCTGGCCCTTGCGTGCTCATGTGCAGACACACATGCATGCAAATGCACACACACGCGCACACACGCACACACTCACCGAGGAGCCTTTCTTCCTCTTGTTGCTGATCCCCCCGAAGCGGAACTTGAGCCCGGCCGTCTTTTTCCCTTTGCCCTTTTTCTTCCCATCTTTGGAGCCTTTGATCTTCTTCCTCACTCCAGGCCCTGAAAAACAGCAGTGATGATAGCCAACCACTGCCACCACTGACGGCCTGCTTCCTGCCATCATCTCACTGAGCTCTCGGTTACCCAATAAGGAAAGGGTCATTTCTACCATCACCCCGTTTCAGATGAGATGCCTGAGGCTTGGAGAGGTAAACCCCTTGCTTAAAATCACACAGCAAGTGAGGCAAAAACCAGATGACGGCTCTGACTGGAGGCTGCCCTGACCGCCTTGCTGCCCCTTGTCCATGACCCACAGAAATGTGGCCCTTTTGGGAGGATCCCCTATACCGTCTCCAACCACTGAAAGGAGGCACTAGCCATCCCCCACAGCCAGCAGGGCCACTGAAGGCACAGCCGCCCACCTGTGGTCCATGCCTGAGCCCCCAAAGGATGTCTTGGAGCCAAAAGGCCTTTTCCCACCTGCCAGCCAGGCAATGCTGGTCCCACCCAAGACTGCCCCACCTCTGCCAGTCAACCCCAGCAAGGGCCAGCAGGGCTGAGGCTGTTTTTATGGAGCTGGCCACAGGGCAATTAGCTACCTGGGGAGTAATGACCCAAGAAGGAAGGGGGGCCTGGAGGCAGGGATGCACACCCCACAGAGGCAGCCTCTCCCCAGGCCGTCCTCTGGCCACACCACACACACGGACATGGAGCTAGGAGCCCAGCTGCACCCTCCATGGCGCCGCGGAAAATCTATTTCAATTTTCCAAGCTCTGAATAAGCAGCTCATGGAATCGATAGCTCAGCAGCTGGAGCGCGAGAGGAAATGAGAAAACAAGGCAGGCTGGGCAGACAGGGGCGGGCCAGGAGCCCCTCCCGAGATCCTGATGGCCCAGACAGATGGAGCAGGACAGGGAACAGACTCTGACCCTTGTCACTTCACCCACCAGGCTCCCTTCAGAGACTTGGCATGGTGATGCCAGACACAGAACCCCAGAAACTAAAGCTCCTTGGGGCTGAAAGAAGGGATCCCCGGAGCCCCCTCAGCCCCTTCCATCAAAACCCAAATCAGCCAGACGCGGTGGCTCACACCTGCAATCCCAGCACTTTGGGAGGCCGAGGTGGGCAGATCACCTGAGGTCAGGAGTTCTGAGACCAGCCTGGCCAACACGGTGAAACCCCGTCTCTACTAAAAATACAAAAAATTAGCCAGGTGTGGTGATGCACTCCTGTAATCCCAGCTACTCAGGAGGCTGAGGCAGGAGAATTGCTTGAACCCAGGAGGCGGAGGTTGCAGTGTGCAGAGATCGTGCCACTGCACTCCAGCCTGGGAGACAGAGTGAGAGTCTGTCAAAACAAAACAAAACAAAACAAAACAAATCAGGGCACCCAGGAAAGCTGAGCTGCAGGTGACTGACAGCCCTGGGGAGATCAACATCCCCAGCCTCCAAAAGGCCAGAAACCTGCACCCAGAAAGCTCCCTCCCCAGGGCCTTCAAGTCACAGGGGGCCTCTGCTGCCTGCATCCTCCCCACCCAGACGCCCTGCCACTGAGGCAGAATTTGGATCTCGATCTCCTTCCAGGCCTGTCCCAGAACAGCCTCCCTGGGAAGCGAGACCTGGCCGTGCCCAGTCCCTCCAACTCCTGCCTGCTTCCCGGATCCTAAAGCTGGAGGGGCAGGGCCTCCATGCTCCACATTGGCCGAGGGCCTGGAGAACAACCCTGCACACAGTGGGTATGCAGACAAGAAGAAGAGACGGGCTCGACTGGGGCCTCCTCCTCCTCCCCAGAAACGGCACAGGCTCAAACCCAAGAGCCTGCCAACTCCCAGAAACCCAGGCTGGAGCGGCTCCACTCTGCGTACCTCTGGTCCCGCCCTCCCTCCAGGCCCACGTCGGGGGCACCTCCTGGCTGGCCAGGCTCAAACCTCCCAGACCTCTGCCCACATCATCGCCTCTGCTTCTCCACCAACCCCAAAAGGGAGTCAGGCACAAAAGAGGCGACGATGCTGCCTCACTGCTGAGAAAGGACCGGGCAATCCAAGGTCACACAGGCACAGAGCCCTCCATTAGGAGCACCCCAGCTGCCCCTCCCTGCCCGCGTCTGCCCCGTGGCTTCTCCTATAGGGTCTGAAAGGGACCTCTTCCCAGCGGGACTAGGTGCCCACCCAACCCCAGCCTTACCTTTGCCCTCCTTGGTCTTGGCCTTGCGGATAGGCACAGGCTGGGGCACCTGCGGGGGGCTGACGGCTAGCGGAGGGGAGATGGTGACCGTCTCTACAGCCGCAGCCACCGCCGCCGCCGCTGCTGCCGCGGAGCTGCCCTTGAAGGGGTTGTTGGCGCTGAACTCCCGCCACTTGGCACCCAGGACGGTCATCATTTTGGACATGGGGATCTTCGGGTTCTTCTTGGCAATGAGTGGCCTGTAGGGGGAGAGGCAGGAGGGTGAGGGCAAGGCCAGGTGAGATGAGAGGCCCACCCGACCCCCGGCAGGGCCCACCCCTCTGCCACATGTGCGATCTATGGCAGCAGCCCCAGGTTCCTGATTAGAGAGATTAGGCGGGAAACCCACTGACCACAGCCCACCCCCAAAACGCCCCAGCTTCCTGTCCACACCCACAGCCCACCCCCAAAACACCCAGCTTCCTGTCCACACCCACAGCCCACCCCCAAAACACCCAGCTTCCTGTCCACACCCACAGCCCACCCCCAAAACACCCCAGCTTCCTGTCCACACAGTTGGTGATTTTCTCATTGGGTTTTCAGGCCCTGCAAGACTTGTGGGGCCACAGGTGGGCTACAGTGGGCCTTGGGGTCTCCGTCCCACCTCTACCAGAGCTGAGAGGCCATGGTGGTGAAAGACCCCCCAGGAAAGACTGGAACCACCTTCCCCAAGGGGAAGAGACTCAAGGGCTGAGGGGCAGGGCCCACAAGGGAAGGCCTGGTGGTCTGTTAACATGAAGGGGTCCTGCCCCCTCCCTCCAGCTCCCCCAGGTTGCTCAGTCGGTCTGACAGAGCCCACCCCTACCCCAGGTGCCGGGGCTTCACTCCTCTGCCTCCCTCCCGACTTGGTACCACCAGAGGATGTGCGGGCCTGGAGAACAGCCCTAGTGCCCCGCCCACCTGAGGAACTGGCTGAAGGCCTTGTAGTTGGTCAGCGTGTGGTAATCCTCCTCCGAGAACAGGTAGTCCACGTCGTCCAGGCCCCACTCGGCCATGAGCTGCCCCGAGGACTTGGGCTCCTACAGAGACCCAGGCCAGAGGTAGAGTTGTTGAGGGGCCTTCTGACCTGCACCCCCATCCCCAGGGTCTCTGCCTAGGAGGCTTTGGCACAGGGGAAAGAGGAGGGGTTGTGTCTGCAATGTAACCAGACCATTCTCACCCACCCTAGGAAACATTCAAGCCCTGCAGCCCCGCAGCCCCGCAGCCCCCAATCTGTGCCACGTCTCAGATGCCAGCCCACGAAGTGCAGGCCAAGTGTTCGACGTCAGGGTTTGGGGAGAGGCCATGTGTGTGCCCTGAACTTCCAGAAAGGGAAATCAGCCAGGTGTGGGCAAGGAGACTGGATGCCTGAGACCAGGCCCCCATCCTGAGATAGGGCTGCCCGACCAGCCTCGGGACACCAGGGCAGGACAACAGAACTTGCCCTCTGTGGGGACTGCATTCTGGGGATTTGGACAGCAGGACAGCACAGTGGCCTGAAGACGGGAAGATGTCCCTGATGAGGCCGCAGGGCTCCAGGGCTGCCTAAGCCACTTTAGAAAGACATGAGGCCTCCAGGCCAGGGGTGGTGGCTCACGCCCGTAATCCCAACACTTTGGGAGGCCAAGGCAGACAGATCATTTGAGGTCAGGAGTTAGAGACCAGCCGGGCCAACATGCTGAAACCCTGTCTCTACTAAAATACAAAAATTAGTTGGGTGTGTTGGTGTGTGCCTGTAATCTCAGCTATTTGTGAGCCTGAGGCAGGAGAATCACTTGAACTCGGGAGACGGAGGTTGCAGTGAGCCGAGATGGCGCCACTGCACTCCAGCCTGGGTGACAGAGCAAGATTCTGTCTCAAAAAAAAAAAAAAAAAAAAAGACATGAGGCCTCCCCAGGATGCCAGGTATAGCTACGTCAGCCCTTGTGAAGGACAGGCCACTGCCAGTTTCCAGTGAAAGGAAAGTGCACTCTGCTGGGGCAGGGGCATGGGACAATGGGCCAGCTGGGGGCACAGCCCAGAGAGGATCCAACTACTGCTGAGGCCTGGGGTGGAGGGACATCCTGGGGGCACAGCCCTGAGAGGATCCAACTACTGCTGAGGCCTGGGGTGGGGGGACATCCCAGGGGCACAGTGAGTTCTCAAGAGAGCTAGCCCAGGGGTCAGGTGACCAGATGACCAGGCCCGGGCTGGCGGGGCTCAGAAAGGGAGGTGCCGGATGTGGGCATGGGCTGGTTCTGATCCTGGCTCTGCCACATACCGGTGGTAAGAAGTGGATAAGTTACTTAACTTTCCTGCCTCGGTTTCCCCATCTGTAAAATGGAGATAATGGCACACTGCCTTGCAGAACAGAATGACTTAGTGCAGGTGCTTGGAACAGGGTGTGTCAAAATGCGTTAGCAATTGTTAGCACCCAACCCACCCTTCTTCTTCCTTCCCTGACACCCCACTTCTTCCAAGCAGCCCTGAGCTGCCCCCACCCAACCTGATACATTAAGCCAATCAGTACACACCACTCCTAGGCCAAAGTCTGGTCAGGCCAGTCATGTCTTAAGCCAGTCCAATCAGAGGGAATGCTGGTCTCCTGCCTGCATACCTGGACATGGGAGGCCTGCTCTCCCTCCTGCTGGAGGGGCCAAGAAGCCCCGAGCTGCTGCTGCCCTCATTCTCAGCCACAAGAATGCTCAGCCATGAGGGTGCCTGGCCTGAGCCCAACACTGCCACAGCAGAGGCAGAGTGAATGATGCAAAGAGACAGCCTCTGATAACACCACTGGGTCCCACAACCCCGAAGCCCCTTGCCTCTTAGTTCTCAGGGCCCTGATCCCACACATCCCTCTACTGCCTAGGCCCCGGAGCTGGGCTTCTGCTCCTGCAACAGGAGGCTGCCCTGAGCGTCTCCCAGCACTGAGAACCAGTCTGCCCATCCAGGCTGCGGGAGGCCTCCAGAGCCCATTCTTGCCTCCTGTTCTGTGACAGCTCAGAGAATTCCTCACATGGGGCCCCCTCTGTGGCTGACCTGCCCCCGTGGACACACATGGCCATTCCTGATGGCACACGGACCCCTTGGTCCCCACCCAGGACAGCAGAGCAGCAGGTGAGCGAGGGGATGATACTGTTACAGGGTGATCCTGAATCACTCTCTTAAGTGAAGCTTTCAGAACTGTCAGCCCCGCAGCGACGATCCGTCTCCGGTGACTCACAACACTCCACTGACTCATGAAATCACCCCAGGTGTCAGGACACCGCCAGGAAGAATCGCTCCTCCTCCCACACCTCCCAACTTCAGTTATTCACATTCATGATTTCTGCCTCACCCAACAGCAACTGTACTAATATTTACAGAGCGTTTATCTTTAAATCTGTGACCAGCCCAAACCGAGCCTTGGTGTCTCTTAAAAGAACAAAGGGAGCACAGTGTTCCTGAATGGCACTGTCACTCACCCACTGCCTGTCCACCAACCTCACCCCTGGCCTCTCCATCTCCCCAAGGAGCCCCAGGGTGCAGCCTCTGAGACTCCGGAGCACCTCAGCATGACCATAAAGGCCTGGCTTCCTTCACATCATTTCCCATGTTCCTGGGGACGCTGGGCCCAGGGGAGAGCTGGCCCATCTCTGTAGCCGCTCTGCCCCACGTGCAGTAGGAGACTCCGGGAATGCCTGCTTGGGCAGGATTTCAGAACACAAGTTCCCTTTCTACCATAAACAAAGCTGTCCAGCACTTCTTGTGGCAAAGACTCCATTTGTTGTTTTATTTTCCCGAATTGCTCCAAGCAAGAGGTTCCTGACACTAAACTTGAGCTCACACTATCTATCACTCTCCCCTAGAAATAGCTGCTCACTCAAAAATTAGCTGTGCGTGGTGATGCGTGCCTGTAGTACCAGCTACTCAGAAGGCTAAGGCAGGAGCCACTGCACTCCAGCCTGGACAACAGAGCAAAACTCCTTCTAAAAAAGAAAAAAAGAACAGGCTGGGCGCAGTGGCTCACGCCTGTAATCCCAGCACTTTGGGAGGCCAAGGCAGGCAGATCGCGAGGTCAAGAGATGGAGGCCGGGCGCGGTGGCTCACACCTGTAATCCCAGCACTTTGGGAGGCCGAGGCGGGCGGATCACGAGGTCAGGAGATCGAGACCATCCCGGCTAAAACGGTGAAACCCCATCTCTACTAAAAATACAAAAAATTAGCCGGGCGTAGTGGCGGGCGCCTGTAGTCCCAGCTACTTGGGAGGCTGAGGCAGGAGAATGGCGTGAACCCGGGAGGCGAAGCTTGCAGTGAGCCGAGATCCCGCCACTGCACTCCAGCCTGGGCGACAGAGCGAGACTCCGTCTCAAAAAAAAAAAAAAAAAAAAGAGATGGGGACCATCCTGGCCAACATGGTAAAATCCTGTCTCTACTAAAAATACAAAAATTAGCCAGGCGTGGTGGCACGCACCTGTAGTCCCAGCTACTCGGGAGGCTGAGGCAGGAGAATTGCTTGAACCTGGGAGGCGGTTGCAGTGAGCCGAGGTCACGCCACTGCACTCCAGCCTGGCAACAGAGTGAGACTCCATCACACACACACACACACACACACACACACACAGAACATACAGGCAAGAGGCTCAGCCCCCTTAAAGGGGGATGTCGCTCTGTCCCCCCAGCCAGGCCTCCACAGTTACCTTTAAGCATCCATCATCATTATCATCCTCATCCTCATCCTTCTTTTTTCGCTTGGCTTTTTTCTCCTTCTTGTCCTTGAGTTTCTTCTTCTTCTTTTTATTCGGGGAGTAGTCACTGCCTTCACTCTCCGACTTCTCTTCCAGATCCTCTTCATTCTCTGATAGCTCATCATTGCTCCCCTGGAAAAGAAGGGGGACAGTGAGGGCAACAGAGGCCCCAGGAACATCCAGAGTCCTGGGTGGCAGGACGGCCCTGAGAGCTACCTCCTGGCCCACGCTGGGGATCGACCGATCCCCATCACTCCACTCATCATCAGAGGCCACTGCTCACAGCTCAGCCCCAAAGCCCAGCCAAAGGGGCAACCCCAAGCCAGCCTGAGCCAAGTCTTGTCCCCAGGGTCTACGCCACAGGAAGCAGTAGAACCTGCAGGTGAGGCGAGGTGAGGCTCTCGTGAGAGCAGGCTTCTCCATCTGCAAGCTCGGCTCAGCCCACTCCAGCAGCCCTGCGGGTGAACTCAGGCTCCGCTTCAGTCATCATTGGGCTTCTATGGACTTTGGGGGCTGAATTAGTTTTACATGATGAGGCATGGACCCAGGAGCTGGCGGTGGAGGATGTGGTCCCAGAGTCAAAAAGCAAAGTGCACAGGAAGAGCCCCAGCCAGGGAAGGGCCCCAGCCAGAGAAGAAAAGCCCCAGCCAGGGAAGGGCCTCAGCCAGAGAAGAAGAGCCACAGCCAGGGAAGGGCCCCAGCCAGAGAAGAAGAACCCCAGCCAGGGAAGGGCCCCAGCCAGGGAAGGGCCCCAGCCAGGGAAGGGCCCCAGCAAGGGAAGAGCCCCAGCCAGGGAAGGGCCCCAGCCAGAGAAGAAGAGCCCTAGCCAGGGAAGGGCCCCAGCCAGAGAAGGGCCCCAGCCAGAGAAGGAGAGCCCCAGCCAGGGAAGGGCCCCAGCCAGAGAAGAAGAACCCCAGCCAGGGAAGGGCCCCAGCCAGGGAAGGGCCCCAGCAAGGGAAGAGCCCCAGCCAGGGAAGGGCCCCAGCCAGAGAAGAAGAGCCCTAGCCAGGGAAGGGCCCCAGCCAGAGAAGGGCCCCAGCCAGAGAAGGAGAGCCCCAGCCAGGGAAGGGCCCCAGCCAGAGAAGGAGAGCCCCAGCCAGGGAAGGGCCCCAGCCAGAGAAGGAGAGCCCCAGCCAGGGAAGGGCCGCTGCATCTCAGGCCCCAGCGCCACAGCTCTCTGCTTAAGTTCACATCCCATGGAACTGCGTTCGTCAGGTGAAACCTGTAATTAATGCAGCAGGCACATCACAGTTTTCTCCATGTGCGGACTCTGCAGACACTGCTATGGATGGCACAAGCCCACCTTCCCCCTCTCCCACCCCATCCTGGCCGCTTCCTCTCCATATGAGACAAGGTAATTTAGGCAGCTCTTAAGCTTGGCTTCCTTGATTTAGTTTCCTGTCTGTACAGGCAGAAAATGGCCCATTTATATGGAGATAAGGGCGTTTACAACCAGAGCACCCCACCAGAGAGGTGCTGCCCCTCGGAGAAAGTGGTTTACTTGTGGCCTTTAGAGACACAAGTCAACTGGCGAAGCCCTCCACAGCCCCTTCCCAGGGAGGGGCCGGGCAGCACTGCCATGATCCCCGGGGCATGCGGGGCTTGCCATGCGCAGGACTGCTGTTAACTGTTTTCGGGGTGAGCAAGGAGAGGCATGGGATGAGATTAAGACAGAACCGGAGAGATAAAAAATGAGCTCAGGAAACAGCAGTGGCCAGGAGGGAGGATGAAGGAAAGAGGGAGGGAGGGAGAAGGAAAGGAAAGGGTGGCAGAAGGAAAGAGAATGAGGAGGCAGCAAAGGCGGGGGGCCTCCCTGGATAGTCTTGGGAGGCCCCCAGCCCAACTCTGCCCTTTCAGGCCACACTGTCAAGAGGGGATGACCTGCCTTTTCCCAGGAGAGTGGCTCCAAACAGTCACATCCAACAGTTCGTGGAGGGGGAGACGGTCACTGACAGGGGAGGTGGGGGCCCCCTCTGACATCCAGCTGGGAAGCACCCCTTCCAACAGGCTGCCTGCACTTCCCTCCTCTCCTGGAAGCCCCGCTCCCTCTCCCCTGCCCACCAGCCTCCCTGCTCCCAAACCTCTTAGCCCATTAAGCCTCCAGAGTCAGCGGCGCTGCCAGCTGCCAGGCAGCAGGGCCTCTGTGCTCTTTGCTTTTCCGGAACCCGGGTGTTTCCGGGAATACTGACACAGCCACTGGCTGGGAGCCTGCTCTCAAGGCTGGAGGAGATGCTGGGCCCTGGAGCCACGGCTCCCAAGCTCGGCCTCGGTCCTTTGGGGAGGTGGAGATGAGACAGTGATGTCCACGTCCCGTTGAGGGTGTCAGAGTTTGGCCAGCTTCAAGAGACCGCCCTTCAGGAGATCTGAGAGACACGCTCTCCCTGAGCCCTCACCCCAGCAAAGGTAAGGACAAGAGAGGCCGCCATGAACTTCAGCACCACGGACAGAGGCTGGGGCTGGCCGGAGGAAGGGGCCCTGGGTGGCCTTCAGCTGCTAGAGAGCAAACCCCACAAACCTACCGAGGATGAAGTTGAGGGACCCACGGTTAATCCTACGTGGCCTGCCAGTGAGTCCCGGGCTCCCCAGGGAGGCTCTGCCCCTTGCAAGCCTGAGACTTGGCCAAGTCACTGTAGCGAGCTAAACCTCAGCTTCATCGTCTGTGAACTGGGAATGCCAGAAAGGATAGAACCAGGGAGACTGTAAGAAAATGCCTTGAGGCTGGGCGCGGTGACTCACGCTTGAAATCCCAGCACTTTGGGAGGCCGAGGCGGGCAGATCACCTAAGGTTGGGAGCTCAAGACTAGCCTGACCAACTTGGAGAAACACTTTCTCTACTGAAAAAAAAATACAAAATTAGCTGGGCATGGTGGTACATGCCTGCAATCCCAGCTACTCAGGAGGCTGAGGCAGGAGAATCGCTTGAACCTGGGAGGCGGAGGTTGCAGTGAGCCGAGATCGCACCATTGTACTCCAGCCTGGGTAATAAGAGCCAAACTCCATCTCAAAAAAAAAAAGAAAAGAAAAGAAAGAAAAGAAAATGCCTTGAACATCTGTGACCCGGGAGAAACCTAAGCACAGAGAAGCAGGGCTCTGAGCCAGGGTGGAGGGGAGGGATGGGACGTGCACCCAGGTCTCCAGGGCTGGGCCGCCTTGCTGTGTCCTGGGCAGGGGACTCGGCCAAGCCAGAGCAGGCTGCAGTCAGAATGACCCTTTCCCCCTGACACCACCACGACCACATGTAGACACCAGAGGCCGCTGGGATTCTGATAATGCCCAGAAAATGCCCAAACAACCCATGATGACCCCAGCTCTGCATGGAAGCCAAAGATACAGCCAGGACGACAAGCTGGAGGGGACACACCAAGCTCACCCCCACATTTTTGCTGTCGGGATTGGGCTCCAGCCAACTGCACAGAGGCTGCCAGCAGCTGGGGCGAGACGCGGTACAGAGGGAGCAGGACCTGGACAAGAAGGGGCTGCTGTGGCAACATCTACGGGGAGCCAACCCAGCATCTGATGGCAAGCAGTCCCCTCGGCGACCTGCAGGGGAGACCAGGAGTGGCGGCCCAGGGAGAGCCGGAAGGAGGGAGGGATAGGGAGGGGAAGGCACCTCCAGCAGCCTCCACTGTCTGGCAGGAGCAGCAGCGCATGCCACCTTGGGAGAGTAGGGCTGGCAGAAGGCCATGAGCCCAGCACTGACAGGGCTCGCCCAGCGTCCGCTCAGGGTTAAGTGGCAGAGCAGGAGGGCACAGACCCTCAGCACAGAATGGGCTCAGACAACGTCAGGCATGTCTGTTGCCCATCTGTGGCCCCTTCCCTGCTGTCACCCACTGGGGCTCAGGCAAGCCAGCAAAGCCCTCATTTCTTGGAAGCAGGTGCACTTCTCTCCCTCCTCCATCCACCTGCACTGGGGAAAGCCCAGTCGATGAGAAGGGTCTGACGCCCAAGTCCCCACCTGCCTCCCCTGCCCTGAGCCTCTGCCCTGCCTCCACCACATGGAGCCCGCACAGCTGGGCCTCCCACCTGCACCAGATATCACCTGAACCCTCCTCCCCTACCAGGGGCTGGCCGAGGGTGGGGGTGCAGGGCAGAACCCTGCATCCAGCTGTTTTGACATTCTAGAACTAGGCCTCCTTTTTGTGGTGTTTTTCCAAAATCTCTCCTTGCAGAGAAAGCTGCAAATAGTTCTGAAAACACCTAGCAGAGCAGTGGCCCATGAGCAGGACCTGGAGGGACGGAGCATCATCCAGCGGCAAGAAGGAAAGAAACGATCAAGAACCAGAGGCAGATTCACAGTTCAGTATCTCAAAACATACTGAGAGGCTCGTAGACCAAGCCACGTGCAGGGGAGGAGACAGAGACGCAGACCAATAAGTCCCTAACTAAGCCCCCGAACCAACCCAACCCTAAGGTTTGAGGGCCATCAAACCACACTGCAGGCATGAAGATACAGATGACAGTTGGCCTTCGACCTTGGCACTGACCTTTCGGCTGCAGCAGCCTTAGGCGTGACTACAGGGGACGCCCTACCAGCTAGCAGAAGAATCTTAGTGGATGTGGAGTCCCCACATGAACTCCACCTGCAAAGCTGCCTTGAATGTTATGCCCAGCCTATGTGTGCCAGGAGGCAGGGGCAGGCAGGAGGGGTCTCTGCTCTGAGCCCCCACCCTGCTGAGGGCACAGCATGTGGTCGCAGCCCTGGGGATCCCAATGGACAGTCCCGCCACCCTTCCTCCTTCCCAGCTCCGCAGATGTTTCTTGGCAGAGGCCTCCCACCTCCATCTCCCTTCCCTCTAGGCCCGATGCTCCGCACACGCACCGCATCTCCTAAAAACGGAGACATTTAAACTCATAAGGAAGGGTGCGGAGAGTGGGTCATTCTCCATTTGGGGTCCTTCAAGATTGAGAGGGAAAAGGGAAGAATGAAATAGGAGCCTTCCCATTCACGAGTGTTATAAACAGTTATAATTTAGCACTGAATAATTGGTTGCTATGGTAACCGCTGCAGTACAGGTTGAAATCATTTCTCCCTCCTGCGCTCGCTAGGGTCTGACAGGGAGCTTCATCTACATATGCTCAGGTTCCGGCTGCAGCCCGGTTATTTTATGTAAATCAGAATCCACGACTTGCTGCCGGCCTCCCCCCACTAACAAACTGCTGCTTGCGGCCCACCTGCCCTGGCCCCTTCACCCCGTCATCTTGGAGCCACCTGGTTGGAGGCAGAGAGGGGCAGAGGGGTGAAATTCCCTTGTCTTTATCCTGGGGCTCCTAGTCTGCCAGGCAGGTGGGCAAAGGGGCACCCGGCAGCTGGGCCACAGTGTGCTCCAGACCCCTTAAGATCTGACAGCTGGCCCGAGCCAGGCTCTCAAATGCAGGGGAGGGGGCACCTCTGGAGGCCTCTTGTCCATCCCAGCCCCCTTCCCCTTCCAAGAACCAGAGCTGCATCTCAGTAGAGAGAAGGAGAGAGGGTGAGGAAGGGGTGGAGCAAATCAAAGAGAGGGAGAGAAATGAGGGTACAGGGGGAAGAGAGAAAAGACGGCAAAGGAGAGAGAGGAGATGCCGAGAGGTTACCAAGGTGGACACCAAGCACAGGCCAGAGGGAATGACCAAGTCTGAGACCCAGAGAGAGACAGACAGACAAGAGCCAGAGAGAGATAAGGACCTGGACAAAAACAAAAACATATTGTCAGAGAAAGAAGCGGGAGGGAAGACCTGGGCCAGTTGGAAAAGGGAAGGCTCAGCGTGATCATGGCCCTGGGAATGAGAGCGTCGGAGAACCAGCCCTCCCAGGTCTCAAAGACCCCCTGGCCCCCAGCCCCCAGGCCTCGCCCCTGTCCAGGCGCTGCCCACCTCCCAAGCCTCCCTAGCCAGGGCTGGTGCTGTACCCTGAGCCCAGGAGACGGGAGGGGAGCCAGCCCTATCTGGGGAGGATGGGGGCTCCCACAGGGCTCCCACAGGTCTCTGCTGCACCCCACTGGGTCCTTCTTCTGCATTTGGAAGTCAGGCCCACCCAGCCCAGTGGCCTGAGACCCAGGCCCAGGTGACACTGCCCCTCTTGGCCTAGACTCCCACCCAGCTTCTAAGTCAGAGGAGGTGGGCAGTGGGTGCACAGGTAGGAGTCCCTGCCATGGACCACGAGGCCTCGGGGTCCTAAAATCCACATCACCCCGAGCCCATGGAGCCCAGGTCTGAGGAGTGAGGGCGGGGATGGCAGCAGAGCAAGATTTTACAGCCTCCACCAGACAGTCTCGGTGTCTTCATCCCAGGGCCTTGCAGCTCCAGAGCCATCTACCCCATGCCCAGCACAAAGACCGACCTCTGGGGCCAGGGGACAGCGGCCACAGCAGCAGAAGAGGAGGGCGGGGCTGCAGCAGGGAATTCAGGGAGCCCCTCCCAAAGGAGCTGGCTCACAGCCTCTCCTTCCCTGGGGGAGCCTCCAGGCACGCACTCCCCGCTTCCCCTGTCCTATCTCCACTTCCCCATCAAATAACAGGGACAGGGAGCTTCACCCTCTTTGAGACCCCGGGGAAGATGCAAGAGCCGCAGAGTGCAGGCCTGGGAGTCTCTGGGGCATGATGGGCCAGGCAGGAGCCTCCACACCCAGCTCCACAGACCCGGGTTCCCCCTTCACCTCACAAATCCTCCCCATGCAGCCCCCATGCTGGCCCAGTGGTAAGGGGGGGTTCCCGGGAAGGGACAGACACACATCCATCCCGGACACTGTGTCAGACGGGGCACAGAGCTGAGGGACAACAGAGAAGGCAAGCAGAATTGGGCAGAGGGGCCAGGGTCTCTCTAGGGGAAGACAGGGTGGTACACACACAGTCACATGCACACACGTGTGTGCACGGAGGACCAGAAGGGCCTGGATTGGCTGCAAAGCAGGTGGGGGTCGGGGGCAGGGGCTTGGAGTGGCAGCAGTGGGGGTGCTGCACAGGCTCTGGACCAGGGGGCCGTGGGGCACAGTCAGAGCACACTCAGGAAGCTCTCCCAGGAGAGCCCAGGGCTGCAGAAGCCCCACAAGGCAGGGGCTGGGAGAGAAGGGCCGGTAGGAGGTGGGTGAGAGGTGCTGACTGCCGCCCCCAGCAAAGAGCACCGGGGCGGTACACACCTGGGGCAACTCTGGCCAGAGGGTTGGGGCTAACACCTCCCAGCCCCATCCTTTCCCCAGCAGTCCCTGAACTCCGTGGGGACCAAGGACACAGTCCAGGGCGGGCTCTGCCCTCCCAACATCCCCAGGCTGACACCCAGACCAGAAAAGGAACCACAGGCTGCAGGTAGAGTTCAGAGCCCCCCAAAATGCCTCCAAGTACCCGAACAAGCCGGGGAAGTGGAAATGGGGCACAGACCCGAGGCCCAGAGGCGAAGGCAGGGACCCTCGCCCCCCACCACCACCATCTCTCCCACCCCAGGGCCGCCAGGGGAGCCTGCCAGGATGTCATGTCATAGCAGTCCCTCCTCTGCTCGAAGCCTTCCAGTGATCTCACCTTGTTCACGGGACAAGAGGCCCATGGTGCACCACCCGCAACAGGCCCTCCCGAAACCCTCACAGCACGGAGTGTCTCCAGCCTGGGACAAGCTCCCCAAACCCACCCCTAAGCTCTTCTGGCAGCCACCTCCCCACCTCACTCTGCAGGGAGGCCTAGATCCGGGCCCAGCGCTGCCAAGGGCACCCCCTTAGCATTAGCACCTCACCTCACCACCACTGCGCCTCACCAGCTACCTCCCTGGGCCTCTCACTTGCAAGGTGGGGCCAGGCCAGTCCCCTCTAGGCGGGGGAAAGAAAGGTGGAGAGCTGGCCTCAGGTCCCCCCGGGGCAGGTGGGAGGGGAGAAACACTCCTGGCAGCGGTGGCTGGTGGAGCTGACAGCCCTGGATTCAGATCTCAGCACCACCACTGTGTCACTGTGTGACCTTGGGCCAGGGCACCTCTGAGCCCCCGCTCTCATCTGTGAAGTGAGGTGCTTGCCATTGCTCTCAACATAGGGTCGCTTGGAGGATCAGAGGAGACGCCCAGAAGGAAGCAGACAGCATATGGTGAGGAAATGGCAGACCTCAGTGTCCTAGACCAAGTAGGAAGGACTTTAAGCTGCAAACCCACCTCAGTTTCCCCATCTGCCAACCAGCGATCATCCCTCCCATGCCACCAATTTCCAGGGCTGATCATGAGGATCAAGTGAGCCCGCGTGAAGCACAGAGAAGCACACTCGGAATGTGTCAGCAGCGTGGGAAGACAAGGGACGTGTTCACACCATCACACCCTGCCAACCCAAGGCAGCGGAGCATGCGGCAGCCTCGCCCATCCAGAACCAGCCGAGAACCAGGGACAAAGTGACGGGAATCCAGAGGTCACCTGCAGGTGACTGTCCCTAAATGGGGCCTTGCTTCTCTTCTCCAACTCACTTCATCAGGTTTCAGTTTAGAGGGACGGAGTCAGCTACAGAGCAGGGAGTGGGGCAGGGAGGTAGGGAGGCACCGTGGCGACGGAATCCAGCCCTGTCCCTCGCACAGGATAGGACAACGGGAGGAAGGAAAAATGACGCTCCGACATCCTGCTCCGGAAACAGGACAGCTCAGCAACGTCTTAAAAAGGCTTCCGTGCACAACGCTTCATACGAGAAACTGGTTATGGTGTTTTTCATCAAACTCAGCTCTCAGAAACCCTCAAACTCCAAGGTCCAGGGACCCCAGCCCTCCTCTGCGGCCGGGCAGATGCAGCCACAACCCCACCCGCCCCAAGCTCGCCGGCGCAGGTGCTGCCCCTCACCTCTTTCTTCTTCCGCTTCCCTTTACACTTGTTTTCCTTGAGCTTCTTGGGTTTCTTCTTCTTAGGAAGGCTCACGGGCTCCACAGGGAAAAAGTCATCGAAGGCTTCAAGACCACCATCTTCTTCTTCTGGAAAAATCAGAAGGTGGCAGCAGTTACTCCTGAGCTTCCTCCAGGAGAGCCCTGGAGACACAGAGCCAGCCCTGGGGAAGCTGGGACCCCCAGACACCCAACTGTGCCAGGTCACAGCTGCCCTGCCCTCCCCAAACCCAGTGAAGTGAGAGAACACAGGACAGGAGCCCCAGCTCTAGGGACTGTGTGACATCACCTCACCTCCAGGCCTTTCCTTCCCTCCTCTGTAAATGGGACAATAACCACCTGCCCCTGATAAGACAGTGTTCAGAAAACTGAACCTCCATGAACAACAAACAGAATTGCCTTGTTGCCATCACTGCCGGAGAAACGGAGCATCTCTACCAGGAAGGAGTTGGGGCTGATAGAGCAGAGTACAGACCTCAGTGAGGCCCATCTCTCCCTCCAGAGAGAGGACCACAGTGTGGCCAGGAGGTGGCTCGAGAATGCTGGACCTGCCAGGCACAGTGGCTCACGCCTGTAATCCCAACACTTTGGGAGGCTGAGGCGAGCAGATAACCAGAGGCCAGGAGTCTGAGACCAGCCTGGCCAACACGATGAAACCCCGTCTCTACTAAAAATACAAAAATTAGCTGGGCGTGGTGGTGGGCGCCTGTAATTCCAACTATTCGGGAGGCTGAGGCTGGAGAATCGCTCAAACCCAGGAGGTGGAGGTTGCAGTGAGCTGGGATCGCACAACTGCCCTCCAGCCTGGGCAACAGAGTGAGACTCCATCAAAAAAAAAAAAAAAAAAGAGAGAGAGAGAATTGTGGAGCACAGGGACACTCAAGCCCCAAACCTGAGGACCCCAGGGGTTTGCAGGACAAACTCAGCAAGGAAGATGCCAGGATACCCCATGGGTTTGAGAGGATGCCACCTTAATGGAGAATCCAAGACCATATCGTATCTCCTCGTGGATCCCGCACCTGTGCACACACAGGCACACAGGTCCGCACTCCCCCACCTCCAACACACTCACAACGGGAAGCCAAGCGCATTCCAGCTGGGCACTAGAAAGCTGTGACAGTCCACAGAGAGACGCCGTGCCCAGCACACGTGGGTGTTCAGGACTCACCTCACCTGCACTGACTCGAAAGGCCGAGGGGGCCCTGGCCGGGCAGGCTCGGGAAGGGAGTATGTTTGACGACACTGGCCACAGTCCCAGGTCTGCCTCCCTCAACCTCCAACCCAGAGGAAGGGCTGCCACATGTCCTGGGGGGTGTGACGTGAGACCCCTGCTGGGACGGCAGTAGCCTGGGGTCTGACGCTCATCTGGGAAATCAGGATAGAGAAAAGGAGTTCCCACGCACCAGATATGAGCTGTGGAGGGGCTGTGGGGAGGGTCCTCTTGGCAGGCACAGCAGCAAGAATCAAACCATCCAAAGTAGAGACACTTCTGCCCGTGGGGGCAAAGGAGGCTTCCAGAAGGGAAGAACCTCCAAGAGTCCTCTAGAAGGGCCCACGAGAGAGCCGGCCCTTCATGCCAGCCTGCGGCCCCAGCGCCCCAGCCAGCTTGTCCTACTCGCTCTCCACCATCCCCTGTGCACTCAGGAGCACTCAGGGGAAGCTGAGGGGCAAAGAGAGGCCCCTCAGCCTCAGACCCTCTGCCATGGACACCCCAGGCCTGACCTTCTGTGACAGTGGAGACACAACAGGGAGTGTCACTCAGAGCCTGAGGGTTGCCTCCAGTGGGACCCCGCGGAGGACGAGAGGTCCTGGGGCCACCAGGAGGCTTTCACCCAGGAAGGGGGCAGAGTGTCCCTGCTGGATCAAGTTTAGAGACAGAGAGCCCCTTCCCCCGAGGAAGTTTTTGATCATAACCACCTACAGCTGGCAGTGTTGGAGCCAGGTTCGAACCCAGGCAGTCTGGTGACCCTGGTGACCCCTGGGTCACCAAAAGGGCTTCGAGGCGACCCCCAGTGTGGCCCACACGCTCAGACACACTCGCCACATGCAGACGCACAGACATGCATGTGCACCCAACACTCACCTGTCACCCTCCACACAGGCCCCCACCGCCCGGCCTGGGACCCCCAGAGAGTCCTAAGCGGGGAAAGGGGGACAGGAGGGCTCCTACCCTGGGTCTCTGGGGCTCCCATGGCCCACACTATGGGTGCAGCTTTAGCCCCACTGTCCCCACTCCTCGGGGGCACCGGGGCTCTGGTGGCTGAGCGGACGCCCCTCCCACCCTTGCATCCCACGGGGCCAATGTGCACCAGTGGAAGGTGTTTGCACCAGTGGAAGGTGGGGGCTGCACCACTGTCTTGGTGCCTCTCTGCACCAGGGCCTCCCTCAAGGGTGGCCAGGTGCTTGGGGCTCCCACACAGGGAGGGCACCCTGTGGAGGGCTAGGGCACACAGGGGAGCCAGCAGCAAGGGCCGCCCCAGGTGGGTTTATGTGGGTGAGGCCCCAAGCAGCCAGGGGCAGGGGCTGGGCTGCTCCGGCTGACCCCACCCCATTCCTCTGATCACTAGTGTGGAAAGGCGGGGATTTTTCAAACCAGCTGAAAACGTGCACGGGGACCCCCTCGGAGTCGTCCTGCAGAGCAGGTGTCGGTGGGGCAGTGGCAGGGCTGGCGGGGAGCTGTCTGTGGTGGGGCAGCCGATGGGATGCCAGTCCACAACTGCCCGCTCTGCCACCGGGCCTCCGCCTCCCCCGCCACCGCAGGAGACCGCCTGGGCAGAGCCACCCCCACACCCTGGCGGTGCCCAGCACTGCTTATGTAACGGGCTCTGGCTGATGCAATCTCGAGGGGGGGCCTCTCCCTCCTGCTTCCTCCCAGCTGTCCCCTTCCGGCAGGGTGGTCCCAGACTTAGGAAACCCAGCCCAGCACATGGTCACTGACTGGTGGCCTGACCAACAGAACGGATGAGGGTATGCACAGGTGGCTGCCAGAAGTTCTGGAAGGAAGTCTGGGATCTGCCCGTGGGTAAGGGGAGGACAAAGGGGGACCCCTGCTCTGGCCCTAACCCACGCCCAGAACAGGCCTTCGAGGACAAGGCCCCAGACCCTCTGCCCATGGACAGACCCCAGCTCCGTTCCCAGAAGACCTCACAGCCCAGGGCCTCTGCCTGGTGAAACCCACCTCTGAGAAGGCTCTGGAACTGGCACACGGAGACGGGGACTCAGCCCTGCCTAACCCTGTCTCTGATGGGCCCTTCCTCTCCCCAGATGGCTTCTGGTGGGTGGCCCTGAGGTCACCACACGCCTGATTCTCTATGACACTGCCCCCCCCAACACCTCACACGCTCCCGTCTTCAGCCAAGCCCCAGCCCCTTTCTGCCCTTGGACACTCTCTGCTCCCGCAGCAGGTCCTGAGCTTTCTAAAACCAGATCTGGGGGTCACCATACAAGCAACTGCACGGTCAGCCTTTCCCCAAGCCCAGCCTGTGCCCTTGAGCCCACCAGTCCCTCCTCCCTATGGCTCCATCTGGTGGGGACAGAGCAGAGGCCCAGAGGGTTCCAAGACGCAGAGCATGCAGCCAGTGTTAAGGTGGCATCCTGCCCGTCCCGGGTGAGGGGCTCCAGGGAGGAGCAACCTCACCTCAGAACTCCTTGTCCTGCCAGCTCCTGGCCCCTCGTGGCTGCCCCACCACCCTCCTGGCCCACCTGGCAGTGCCCTCATGCACCAGCCCTAACCCTCCAGGGCCTGAGGCTCCACGGATCCAAGCCTGCTCTAATTAAGACCCATTACCCTGTGATCACCCACCTCCTGGGGGTGGAGGCGGGGTGGGGCTCAAGTCGACCAGAGGAAGGAGAGGCACCTTCTGCTGCTTTCTCCAGAGCTCCCTCAGCCCCTCTCTAGCTCCCAGTATGCGCCAGCTCAGCCCTGTGGGACCCCCAGGCTGGCCTAGGCTGAGCCACTGCAGGCTGCGGCCAGGCCGATGAGGTGGGCCCTTCTCAGGGTAGCGCATTGCAATAGCAGCAGTCGTGATAACTGCATACCACCTGCCAGGCTCGTGCCAGGCCCAAAGTACCTAGGACTGATTAATTTGTATCAGTTCAACACAGCAACTCAGAGAGGGGTACTATTCTTTCTGGTTTGGGGCTTTATTTATTTATTTATTTATTTTAGAGACAGAGTCGCTGGCTGGAGTGCAGTGTTATGATCATGGCTCACTGCAGGCCTCGACCTCCTGGGCTCGAGCGACCCTCCCACCTCAGCCTCCTGAGCAGCTGGGACAACACGCACAACCACCACACCTGGCTCAGGGTTCTATTCTTATCCCCATCTGCAGATTGGGAAACTGAGGCTCAAAGGACCTCATTATTTACCTACATCTCAGTCCTACAGCTGGCAGTGGTGAAGCTGCCACTGTTTGAACACAGGCAGTGGGCGCCCACCCCCTTGCGAAGTCTCTCCCCCAGCACCCTCCCACTGAAACAGCCCACGCTGTGTAAACCGGCTCGGTGGATGCCCTGGGGACACTGAGGTGACTCAGGCTGGTCTGTGGTCTGGCAGGTCACAGGTCCCTCAAGGGGGTCAAGGCTGGTTCACCACACTAGTCCCCCTGCACACAGCCCCACAGCTCTGCCAGACCCAGGCTCCAGCCCCTCACTCCTCTGGGGAGGGGCAGCAGCAGAGCAAGGACGCAGCCGCCAGGGCACTTGGCAAACACAAGGTGATCAAAACAAGGGGAAGGCGCGTGACTGTGGAGCGAAAGTTAGGTCATCTGATTCTGGGTGGTTGAAGGATTTGCAGGGGCCAAGCCAGGAGCTGGGACGAGAACACCATCACCAGGTTGCAAAGGCCGGCAAACCTGCCAAGGACAGGGACCCCACTCAATGTCCACCACTCTCTCCAGGACCTGGGGAGAGGCGTTATTTCTTTTTTTTTTTTTTTAGACGGACTCTCGCTCTGTCACCCAGGCTGGAGTGCAGTGGCGCGATCTCGGCTCACTGCAAGCTCCGCCTCCCAGGTTCACGCCATTCTCCTGCCTCAGCCTCCCAAGTAGCTGGGACTACAGGTGTCCGCCACCACACCCGGCTAATTTTTTGTATTTTTAGTAGAGCCAGGGTTTCACCATGTTAGCCAGGATGGTCTCGATCTCCTGACCTCGTGATCCACCCGCCTCGGCCTCCCAAAGTGCTGGGATTACAGGCATGAGCCACCGCGCCCGGCCGAGAGGGGCTATTTCTGTTCCCCACCTGGACTCCCCAACCAGCAACAAGCAGAGAACAAGGCCACCAGGAGGTCAGGAGGAGGGAGCAACAGGGGCAGCAGAGGCTTCAAGCTACCCCTCCTGGAGGTGATACCAGCAAGTCCCCTCCCCACTGAGCCTCTCTCTTCATCTGTGAAATGGGCCTAATGTGGCAGCCTTTCCCCCAGGGCTATGGGGAGAAGTAAAAACTGTGAATGCAAAGGACCCACACGATGCCTGCAGGGGCTCAGCAATGGCAGGCAGAGCCCAGCGAGACCCAGGAGGGTCAGGGCGGCAGTGGTGAAGGGCAGAGGGCAGCGGTCTCTAGTTTGGCCACTGCTGGGCCAGAGGTTCTCAGGGCCACCCTAGACGCTGGCCAAGGAGTTCTCAGGCTGCCGTTAGTCCTCGAACCTCCCCCCATGAGACAGGGCTTATGCTGGCAAAGGGGGGCAGTACACCGCCCAAGAGAGGATTCATAATTTATTTATGACATTTAACAAAACCCAGACATCACCTCATTGGTGTCACATCAAAAGAAAGCATCAGTCCTGAGTGGGGAGTGGAGGGAAGAGACGGGGATAGATGAGGCATTTACCCCAAGTGACTGGGGCCTGGGGGGAGTCACCCTGGGGGTGCAGGGAAAGCAGGGAGAGGCCCAGGGCATGGGTGGGGAGGAGGAGGACAGAATGGTGAGAGGGGAAGTCAACCTGGGGGGACAGGGAGGGACAAAAGAGAGAAAAACGGCCAGACAGAAAGGGAGAGGCAGGGGCATGACCTCAGGGGAGACGAAAACTGACAGATATGGGGACAGAGGGAGAGAGAGAGACAGGGAAGGAGAGTGAAATAAGGACAGAGCCACAGAGATAAGCAAAAGCCCAGAAAGTTAGACAACACACATTGTGTTCAGTACCCAGCTCAGAGAAGATATTCCAGAAGTCTCTGATGGGTGGACGGATAATTGTATAGTGAATGGATGGATGGTGGATAGGTGGATGGATGAATGCATGGTGGATGGATGGTGAATAGATTGATGGATGATGAATTGATGGATAGATGGTGGGTAGATGGATGGATAGATGGATGGATGGTGGGTGGATGGATGGATGGATGGATGGATGGCAGATGGATGGACACTGGACGGATGGTGGATGGGTGGATAGTGGATGGATGGTGGATGGGTGGATGGACGAATGGATGGTGGATAGATGGTGAATAGATGGATGGATGATGAATTGATGGATAGACGGTGGGTGGAAGGATGGATGGTGGATGGGTGGATGGATGAATGGATGGTGGATGGATGGTGAATAAGTGGATAGATGGTGAATTGATGGATGGATGATGAATTGATGGATAGATGGTGGGTGGATGGATGAATGGTGGATGGAAGATGGAGGATGGACGGATGGATAAATGGATGAATGGATGAATGACGGATGGATGGATGAAAGATGAATGGATAGATGGATGGATAGATGGTGGGTGGGTGGATGGATGGATGGTGGATGAAGGATGGATGGTGGGTGGGTGGATGGATGGATGGTGGATGAAGGATGGATGGATGGATGGATGGATGGCAGATGGATGGCTGAATGGATAATGGATGGATGATGGATGGATGGTGGGTGGATGAATGGTGGATGAATGGATGAGTGGATGGTGGATGGATGCATGGATGGATGGTGGATTGATGAATAGATGGACAATAGGTGGATGGATGGATGGCAGATGGATGGATGGTGGGCGGATGGTGGGTGGATGAATGAGTGGTGGATGAATGGATGAGTGGATGGTGGTTGGATGCGTGGTTGGATTGTGGATTGATGGATGGATGGTGGGTGGATGGATGGATGGATGCATGGATGGATGGTGGATGGATGAATGAATGGATGGTGGATGGATGAATGGATGGTGGATGAATGGATGAGTGGATGGTGGATGGATGCATGGATGGATGGTGGATGGATGCATGGATGGATGGTGGATAGATGAATGGATGGATGACGGGTGGATAGATGGATGAATGGTGGGTACAGGAATGGATGGATGGTGGGTGGTGGATGAATGGATGGAAGCATGAATGGTGGATGGGCAGATGGATGGATGGTGGATGGGCAGATGGATGGATGGTGGATGGGTGGATGGTGGATGGACAGATGAATGAATGGTGGATGGATGGATTGGAGGATGGATGAATGAATGGTGGGAAGCATGGACAGATAGTGCATGGATGAATAGTGGATAAGAAGAACAAGAACAAATGGATGGATGGATGGATGGATGGATGGACGGACGGACGGATGGATATACATATGGATAGATAGGTGGATGGTGAATGGTTACTTGGTTGGTTTTGTGGGTCGACGGGTAGATGTGGGAGAGCAGGTAGATACATGGATACATGGATGCATGGATGGATGGATGGATGGTGGGAAGCATGGACGAATAGTGCATGGATGAATAGTGGATAGGAAGAACAGATGGATGGATGGATATGGTATGGATATGGATTGATAGGCGGATGGTGAACGGTTACTTGGTTGGTTTTGTAGGTGGATGGGTAGATGTGGGTGGGTAGGTAGATGGATGGATGGATGATGGGTGAGCGACTGAATGAACTGATAAAATGATAGATGGATCCTATTACCTGATCAACTTGGAATGACAATGAATAACCCACTGGCCAAGCCACTGGGCAAAGTGTGCTGGTCATTTTGTCTCCCTCCTCCCAGAAAAGAATGTTAAATACAATCAGGCTCCCTGGGACCCCCCTACCAAACCATGCTTCCACAGGGGTAGGGGTGCAGGCTAAAATGTCATGGCCTTTTGGGAATCATGACTGTCACTCTCTCCTGGCCCCTGGACCTGAGGAAGCAAGCCTAAGATACTTACACATCTAGGGCCAATTGTCACTGGGGCCAGAGAGGTAACGGTGCCTAGTCCAGACATTGCCCATTCTGGGCTCACTAGCTTTGTCTGTGATTGAGGAAAAGCTGGGCCAATGAGGCAGGGAATTTGCCAGCCCAGCAGTGGCCCTAAGAGGGCTGAGAGCCACATTTTCTGAAGCCCTCTCCTGCTTCCTGCCACCCCTACCTTGGGCTTCACAGCCCTCCTCCCACCCAGGCTCCTACTCCCCTGAGCTTACTGGCTAAGGATGCAAGTATCAGAAGCATTTCCTTGGAGAAGGCAGGACAGCTGCCCTCCTTGGCTGGTGCTAACTACACCAGCCACAGTTTATTGAGCACCTATCATGTGCTGGGCACTGTGGCCTAATGTTCCACATGCACTGTCTCACTGTTCCTCATAATAACCCTCTATGAGGTAGCCAGTGCTATGTCCCCATACTACAAGTGGGCACACCGAGGAGAGGGCTGCCTGGCTTGTCCAAGACCACTCAGCTAATGCTCAGAGCTAGAAGCCAAGGCCTCATCCCACCAGCTCTTGACCCCTGGCTTCAACCAGCCACCCCAACTCCCAGGAGAATCTGGCAACTGCTGGTCCCCCAACCAGAAGAGGCACCCGCCCTGCCTTCCTCCTAGAAGCTGGCTCAGACACCTGCCTCAATGCCAGAGCTGGCCAGGGCAAACCTCCCCCTCCCCACCATCACTGCACGGGAAACAATAATTCACTGCTGAGAGTGAGCAACTCCCAGGGGGAGGTGGGAGATGAGCAGAGTCAAAGAAAAAAGATCGGACAAGTCATGAGTTTAATAGCCGTAGACTGAAAAATCATCATGACAGCTTCCAAAACACTAGCTCCTCCAGCCACAAACTTCCATCTTTTGGAACCAGCTGGTTCTGGTCTTTGGGGGTCACCGCCACTGAGCTTGGACTCAGGGCTGCATAGGGGCTATGAGGAAGAGCTCAGGGTGAGTGGGGGGCCAGCAGTGCGACTTGACAGGAGGCCTGGCTAGGGCTGTCTTCACAGCCAGAAGCTGGGGTGACCTAGAGAGTCCCAGCCCTCAGACACTGAAACCACAACCATCTCTCAGGAACGCATGGTTTCAGGTGCTGGGCATGGCAGGTTATCGAGAGTTACATTCGAAGGGGAACCCACAGATCCAGGAGGAAACTGATGACAACGTTTCGAGTATGTGAGGTGTGGTGACACAAGCATGTAGTCCCAGCTACTAGGGAGGTTGAGGCAGGAGGATCGCTTGAGCACAGGAGTTCAAATCCAGCTTGGGCAACACAGCAAGACCCCATCTCTTCCAAAGAAAGCATGACAATGTGTCTCAGAGTGACTGGAAGGCCCTTAGCAAGGGTGTCCCTCCCCATCATAACATTCGAGCTGGGACCTAAATGACCAGGAGGCAGCGGTGAGCAGAGGAAAGAGCAGGTCAGGCAGAGGTCACAGCCAGGGCCCCATGGCAGGATGGAGCGTGGAGCGTGGAGTGTTCCAGAAGCAGCAAGGAGGCCAGCGTGGCTGCTGTGAACAAAGGGGTACAGGAGTGGACCCGGGACAAGGGTTTCAGAGGCGACTGGAGCCATGCGGGTCGGGATCTGACTTGGGTTCACGAGGTGACCCCAGCTGCTGTGCAGTGGGTGGTCAGAAGGAGTGGGTAGAAGGCCCTGGAGGGGACCGGCAGGAGGGGACAGAGGCTTGGACCCAGAACATGGAGAGAAGCCAGGAGCCTGGAAAGGCTCTGGAGGTGGAGCAGCTGGCCTTGCTGATGGATGGGGACAGAATCCCCAGGCCAGAGGTGCCAGAGCAGGGCGTCTCTTCTGCAGGGCTCTGGGGGCACTCCTGGAGGCTCTGGGGCCAACCCACCGAGGGGGAGCACGGGTGGTGGGCAGGATGACCAGAGCCCCGCCTCTCTGGCCCAAGCAGTGAGTCGGGTGCCTACTAGACTGGGGGCACCTTCCCTGGCCTCTTCCCCTCCCCAACCTCTAAGTCCCCACATAGTCAGAGAGAGCCGGAGTGTAAGATGGGAAAGACAGCCAGGGGACTCCACCAGCGGGTCGGTGCAACCCCAGAAATGCCACTGATCCCACAAAAGGGCCACACCCCAAACACCATAACAAACAACTTGCTGAGAAAACCAGTAAACTGGCTTACTGGGGAGCCAGCCTCCTAGGTGGAAAATGGCCACTGATTTTTTTTTGTGCCTGTGCGGGGCCTCAGAGTTCCCCTCCGGAGAATGGGTCTAATTCCAAGGACCCAGGATATGACAGTCAACTATTGTCCAGGCAACTCCACCCCAAGAGAGGACTCCCCTATTCCCCGTCCCCAGCACGCTCGCTGCCAACTTGGCCTGTCTAACAGGCGAGGTGAGTGCCGGGCTCCTGTAGGAGCTCAGTGACAGCATTAAAGCCACCAACTAACCAAGCAAGCAAACAGAAGGGGGCAGGGGGTGTGGCCACCTGGTGGGAATACCCTCCCCAGAAGACGCTGGCTGCTTCCTCCAACAGGAGCTGGAGGTGTCCATTTGTGGAGTCTTCTCACCCCTGGAAGTCAGAAGGGGCCAGATGCACGTTCCTGGGCCCGGGAGGGCCTCCAGCCTCCCACAAGTCTCTCCGAAGTCCAGAGAGGCCACAGACTTGGCGCAGGGAAGCCGAGAAGTAAGAGTCTCCCAGAAAGGAGGGAGGGTGGCTGACAGGGTGGGGCCCTACCCAGCTGTGCCAGGAGGGAAAACGTCCCAAACAAATGGTGAGCAGTTAACTAAAGAACTGTCCCGCAAGGCAACCCCTGGCGCACAGCCCTGTGTATACTAAATTCTGAGAGAGATAAAAGGAGAGAGATGGTAGGGGCAGGGGCGGTGGCCCTGGGGCGTCAGGCCCGTAGCCAAGGCAGGGTGGGCTGGGAACGGCCACCACCCTGGGCGATGGTGAGGCTGGAGACAGCGGCGGGCGCTAGGTCGCGCCAGAAGGACGCCGGCGGCCCGGGTAAAGTGCTTGGGAGCGGCGGTCACAGCGCACAGAGGCCAGGAAAGAGGAGCAGGGGTCCGAGCCCGTGCGTCCCAGAGCGGAGTCCTCCTGGGCCGGGAGGGAAGCCGCCCCATCCTGGGCGCTCAACGCGTCCCCAAGCACCGCCGGTCCTCGCCCCTCTCTGGGCCCCACCCAGCCCGCCCCGCGGCCGACATGGGCCAGGGGCCGGGTCCCGCCTGCCCGCAGCGAGGCCAGAGGCGCACGGCGGCGGGACGCGAGCGCGGGGTGCGCCGCTCCGGGAGCTAGCGCGATTCCCGCCCCCTTCAAGGGCACGCGGGCTGACCCTGACAGCGCCGCGCCCCCCAGCGCAGGCCCCGGCCCGCGGTCCTCTGGCCCGCCTGGCCCGCGTCGCCGCCCGGGGGGCCCGGATCGCACCCCGCCCTTAGCCGCCCTCACGCCGGCCCGGGCGCTCACCCAGCCTTCGCCCTTGGCCGCGCGGCGCCAGCAGGGCGGGAGCGCAGCCCCGCAACCCGGGTGCCCCTCCTGCGAGGCGCCAGCCCGGCCGCGCCGCCCCCGCCGCCCGCGCTCCGCCCTGGGCCCGGCCCGTCTCGGCGCCCCCGCCGCTCTGGCCCCAGGCGCACCCGCGCCCCGCTCACCTGACATCTCGTCCTCATTCTCCATCTCCTCGGCGAACAGCCGCGGCAGCTCCTCCTCGGTGCCCACTGGGCCCCGCATGCCCGGCGCGGGGAGGAGGGGAGGTGGGCGCCCCCCCTCCCGCCGGGCGCGGTGCCAGCCTTAACCCGTGCGCTGCCGGACCGGCGCGCGCGGCGGGCGAGGCGGCCTCGGCGAGAAGATGGCGGCCGCCTGCCCCCCCACCCCCCCAAACCTCCACCCCCCCGTCTCGACCCCCCTTTCTCTCGGCCGCCTTAGCCTGCTCCCCGCAAAGCCCGGGCGCTCCTCCCACCGCGCCCCGCAGCCCGAGTCCCGCAGCCGGCCGAGGGTGGCGGCGGCAGCGCCAGAGGCACGGCGGCACGGCGGGGGGGCGGCACACATGCCCGGATTGTGACGTCCAGTCTGGTTGCTGTGGCAACCCCATCCCATCGTTCCGGCAGCGCGACTAGTTAACAGCAGAGAACAAGTTGGGGGACTAGTCCTGAGCCGCCGGGTGAGGGTGGGGACCGGGGGGCGCCCCGGCAGGGGGAGCCGTCGAGGCGTCCGCGCGCCCGCGGACCCGACGGCCGAGCGGGCAGTCGGGGCTTGGCGAGCCCGGGCGCAGGGGGAGGCGAGGAAACACCGCCCCCGCGCACCCCGGGCAGAGCCAGCCGCCGCCGCTCGCCTGCGAAGGCGCTGGGCCCCGAGCCCCCAAGGGCGCGGAGGCAGGGTCTTCAGGGCAGCGCGCGGCCCGCTCCCCCACTCGGTTCACAGGCGCCGGGACCCACCCCGCTCCCGGCTCCGGCCTCGGCACGTTCCTAACCCCCTCTCCAAAGAGGATTAGAAGAAAAATGTGTTCCACACTTGGGGAAAAGACGCTCTGGAGACTGTGGGTCTGATTTACAGCAGAAAAATCCGCGCAGGCGGGCTCCCCTCACCTGCTTCCCCGCTCCCACCGCCCACGTGCCCCCTTCCAAAAAGCCCCTCCAGGCTGGGTGCAGCTGAAACCCATGCAGACCCCTAGGGGTGGTGCGGATCTGCGATGTCTGTGCCCAAAACTCCCGCTCAGAAGCGACACCTGTCGCAGAGCAGGAAGGAGCCGCCGCCACCAGCCCTCGGTCGTTAAAGGTGAAGATGGAGGCCAAAGCCCTCGGGAGCAAGACTGGAATTTTAAATGAGCGCCTCCAGTCTCCGCGGCGGCAAGTCTTAAAGCTACCTTAAGAACGCAAAAGTTCCAGGGGCTGGCCGACCGCCAGCTCTCTAACCCCAGAAGGCCCGTGAAGGGAGGGCCCCCTCTCACTGCCTCGCAGGGGCACTGGGGGAACCCACCTGAGACACGCAGGATCGGCAGCAGTTTCCCTTCTTCCCGTTCAATTTTATTGCCAGCAAACCCCAAACAAAAGACCCTCTGCATTCATCCCTGGGCAAGGAGAGGTCGGTCCAGCCTTCTGGAACCAAAGACTGGGGTGTTGGGAACCCCTCCATCTCCCAGATCCGCTTTAACTACGCTGTAGATAGAGAAGCCGGGTCAGCCCAGTGCTGGCCGCCTGCAAGGGGAAAGGAACACTCTTCAGGGAAGCAGGCCAGGAAACCAAAGGGCCTCCCCTCCCAAGGCCGTGTTTCCCCACAGAGCAGCTAGCCAGGGGGAGCCCCAGATCACCGAGGCTTGAACCAAACCTGCCTCTTCCTCGTTCTTTCCAGACCAACTGCCTCCATGAATGGTGACCAACAAGGGAAGAAAGCCCTAAGCTGACACGCCCACCCCTCAGTTACCAGCCCCCCAACACCTCTCTAATCCCTTTCAAAGGTCCCCTGCCCTTCGGTAGAAAAACTCTGATTTACAATACTTCTCATCACCAGAAAGCCGCCCCCATCATTAACCCTGGCTCCAATTCCCAAGGCGAGGCTGAAAGTCAAGATATCGTTCAAGAAAGAACAGTTCTAACTGCTTAATCTGGCAACAAATTAGAGCCGAGATGCTCATCAGTCATAATCCTCTCCCCATCCTGTTCTTCCCGATGACTGCAACTAGGTAATATTATTTAATGTCCAAAAGCAAAATGAAACAAAAACTGGAATGCTAGAAACAAATGGATTTTTTTACTACAAATCTCCAGGTTTTTTGGGTTTTTTTTTTCAAGGGGGGGAGTTGAGATGGTGTCTGTCGTCAGGCTGGGGTGCAGTGGCGCAATCTCAGCTCACTGCAAATCTCCGCCTCCCGGGTTCAAGCGATTCCCCTGCCTCAGCCTCCCCAGTAGCAGCTGGGACTACAGGCGCGCACCACCACACCTGGCTAATTTTTTGTATTTTGGTAGAGACAGAGTTTCACCCTGTTGGCCAGGATGATCTCAATCTCCTGACCTCGTGATCCGCCTGCCTCGGCCTCCCAAAGTGCTGGGATTACAGGCGTGAGCCACCATGCCCGGCTCTCCAGTCATTTTTAAAGGTGAGCCCTTATTATTGTTAAACTATTAAATGGGTATTTTAATGACAACGGACCAAAAATGCATGACGTTAAAAGCAATCCCTGAAACTTGCAACTCTGCGTTGCAAGAACAAGCCTATCATTAAGGTTACTGTTTTAGGAGACAAGATTCTCATGTTTGCTGATCATAGAGCTCATAATTACACCTCAGTGACAATTCCAAAATCAAAATATTTTTTAATATACCGGTTACAAAAGCATCAAGGAAAAAACTTTTTTCGGCTGGGTGCAGTGGCTCACACTTGTAATCCCAGAACTTTGGGATGCCGAGGCGGGCAGTCATGGATCACCTGAGGTCAGGAGTTCGAGACCAGCCTGGCCAACATGGAGAAACCCCATCTCTACTAAAAATACAAAAATTAGCCGGGCATGGTGGCGGGCGCCTGTAATCCCAGCTGCTCGGGCGAGTGAGGCAGGAGATTCGCTTCAACCCAGGAGGCAGAGGTTGCAGTGAGCCAAGATTGCGCCACTGCACTCCAGCCTGGGTGACAGAGCGAGACTGTCTCAAAAATAGAAAAAAAAAAAACTTTTTCCAAGAACAGAGTGGAAAAAGCTCATCGTCTTCTGCACATACCATACTCAATTTCCATTCCAGGACTAAATGAACTCCTCATCCAGGAACCCCCAAGGCCTGCCTGAGGCCATTTCGTTCAACAATGCATATCCACGCTGTGGCCACCTGGCACCACCAGCTTCTCAAGGGCAATGAAGTGCTTGTACATACACCACCTCACAGCGAGTCACATAGATCAAAACTCTGCCCCACACCTCCTCCTCGGCAGGGGTGAAACGGCGTCACTCAGGACCGCAGTGTCCTCTGCAATGAAGGCTCAGTGCCCACCTGCTGCACCAAGACTTTCGTTGCACTTGAAGGCTTTTTCCGAAAGTGTGGACCCTGCACCACCTGAATTCAAATCAGTTGGGGTTGCAGGGGAGGAAGGAGCTTCTCAAAAAGGCAGCCCTGGGCCATGGCCCTGAACCTGAGAAAATCCTTGTGTAAGCCTGAGAACGTTTTATGGGTGTTCTCTGGGTTCTAGCTATGGTGGCAGCTAACTCACTCCGCTGGTCAGCACAGCCTTTACAGACTGTTTTAGCTGGGCCCAAAATAGCCTGGGGGAAAAAAAAGAATGTGTATTCTCAAATCCATCCCAAAGACAAGAAAATGGCTGGATGAGAAATTCAGTTTCCTGTTCCTAGAGATAAGCACTATGATTGCACCGTTTAACAGGCAGTCCTCACCTCCTTCCTGTAGGTGGAGGGCTACCTCCTTGCAGGGATGGCAAATCCCCACACCAAGCCTCTCTTCTACCCTCTTCTCCCTCAAAGAGAATCAACCCCACAGTTTATTCCACTAAATACAGGCCCATCACCACGACTCAGCGAACAACCTGGGCAGGTGCCAACCCAGGCTCTCCTTCAGGGACCTGGCCCATCTCTCACCGCCGTGGTGCCCCTACCCTGCAGCTTCTGACTCGTCACCCCAGTATTCTGTCCAAGGGTTACTGGGGAGATGGTCTGTCCCCTGGAACTGCCAGATCTGTAACTGTCCCACATCCTAGGTCCCCCTCTCCTGTGGGAGGTCTTGGTTTACAATACTTGACAAGTTTAAGGGTCTGAGTCCCATGTACAAATGGAAAGTGAAATCAGGTGTCAACACCAAATTCCAGGCTCCCCTGACATCAATGACTTCAACAGCCGGACCATTATTCCCCATCACCAGGGTCCTTATCACCCTCCAGGAAATCAAGTGTCCCCTAAAAAGGCTGAGCTCTAGATAGCCCCAGATATCAACTGTCTTAAGACACTTGGTATTATCCAACTTCCTCACTTTCCCCGTGTTTCTGACCACCTCTGTGCTACACACCATTCATGAGCAAAGTTAGGACCCACGTATTTCAACACCTGGCTGCTCCTGAAAATGTATGAGGACAACAGTCCTCAAAACCCAAACACTTCACCACTGGAAGTGCCATGGGAAAAGGGGGATCAGAGGCTTTTTGGAGGGAAAACATGAAGCCTTTAGAAGTGACTAGTTCGTAGCACTTAGTGACATCAACAAACCTCATTTCCTCAGCTGTACCAGCACACTCGAGGGAAGGGCGTGAAGGTGTTGTGTAACTGGCATTGGCTGAGACGAGACCAACCTCCTGTTTCCGGACTCTTATGAACTTAAATCACGGCTTGAAACTCTCCACGACCCCAGTCAGCCCCTGTGCCTCAACTATTTTCGATCAGGCAAGTGAGGTGTGAGTCAAAACAAAGGAAACTGGTCTACAGTGTGCTTTGGGCGCAGCTGGTGTCATGGTTGTGATGGAATTCAAGTTGACACTACCTATTCCCCATCAGAAAACGGCATTTGCTGGCAAAGTTGATCCCCAGACTCTGGATCTGGAGAAATTCTACACAGAGTTCAGTGACAGCCAACCCCTGAATCTCACTGCGGCAAAACAGCACAACTAAGGGAAGAAAAGTGGAAATAAAGGACATCTTTTCTTCTAAGCCTAATAAAGACCAACGTAACTGTTGGTACAGCAACTAATTCGTGAGGACAAAGCTTTTCTTCACATGCCAGTCCTTAAAAAAAACAAAGCCTCGTACAGTAAGAGTAGCCAGGTGTTAGCCACTTTAATAGAAAATATGATCAAAACTCGATTACAAGAGTTCAAAAAGACATAGAAAACCAGTGAGTTTCAATTTTATTACAAGTTTTCAAATCTGGGACTAGTTTCTTTTTTTCTTTTAACTGAAATGCCAACTTCAGCCCAGGGTTTTTTCACAACCAAACTAAAAATGACTTACTACATGGGAACATCAATGCAACAAGTAGAATTTGTAAACTCAAGCCACAAACTTAGTTAATAATCATGGTTAAGGGACATTGCCAAAGAGCAACTGATGCCTCAGTGAAGTTTGAAAGAAACTCTGCTTTCTGTGACGGCAGAGAAGAAATATGCAAGCAATTCTGCTTCAAAGAAATTTGCATAGAAATGGAAAAATGCCAGAGCCTTTAACACAAGTGAAATTGCAAAGCCTCAACACGTTCAACTCAATCCACAGAGCACCAAATGTTTAATGGGAGCCAAGGTAGGACTGAGCATTGAACTTCCAGCTATGCAACTCGCAGGGCACAATTTCAAGTGTGGAAACCATCTGTAGGCAAGCTCTTTTAAAAACATGAATTTTAGACACCGTAAATTCTAATGCAGACACTTTTGCATTACTGTTTGAATTTCAGAAGGGCACCACAAGGCACCAGAGTCTTTCAAAGTCACTCACAGCAACAATTGCATTTTTTTCCCAGCCTTGGTAGCCCCTTTCAGTTGTCTAGCCTCTGCACTGTGGCACACCACTGACATTAAATCCAGTCATGGCCTAAGTGGCATGAGGCAGCTATTTCCAGGGCACCTCCCACCTCCTTGGCATGGGAGGCTTCCCAGTCACTCCTCCTTCGTGTCCCCTCTTTCAAGAACCTCCAGAGCTCTTGGCATCAGGGGCCCCCATTGCTGGGCCCCACACGGGAGACCACATCTGGAAGCACTATTCCTACAGCTCCCTCTGCTGGAGACGAAAGTGACAGTTTGTTGCAAAGACCTGTAGAAACATTACTTACACGTTCATTTCTGTACACATTTAGTTAATTTAGAACCTGGGACTTTTACAATCGATTCCCCAAACCCCTTTATGGCAGCAACACTGAAGGAGCACAGTTTCTCTCTCTAGGAAGAAGAGGATTAGCAGACATAATTGTGTGCGTCAAGAGAAATTTGTAATCAAAAAATGAAAGTAAGACGAATGGCCCAGAAACCCGCATTTTATTGACAGTCATTTTCCCACAGAGAATCTTAGAAAGATGTCGCGTTTTCTTTTAATGAATGAGAGAAGCCCATTTGTATCCCTGAATCATTGAGAAAAGCAACAGATACAACTGACAGTCACACTTTTTAAAATCAAACAGTCACTACCTTCAGCCCACACCTCCACACCCGCATCTGCCTCCCCAATGGCTGTCAGTTCGGTAAAGTCACCCTCTCCTTCTACTCTGGTATTACCACGAGAATTGAAATTTTTAAGCAGAAAAAAAAAGAAGTCAAGTTACAAATAAATGAGTGGCGAACCAAGGGAAGCCCTTTGACTATGATTTCCAATTTTCTGTTCAATCCACACTGCAGAGATACAAGGATAAACCACCATTTTGGTTCCCAAGTTTTATTCAAGAACTCATACAAAATTTTCCAGATAAATGAAATTTAATCCTCGTCTTCCTCCTCTTCTTCGTCCTGGTTAATCTGGAAGTAACGTAATTCGTAACTCTCTTTGCTGTTAGCAACTACGCGCAACCAGTCACGTAGATTATTCTTCTTCAAATATTTTTTGGTGAGATATTTCAAATACCTGCAGAGAAAGGACACAAGAACTCCACTAGACAGTTGGTGCTTGCATTCTAAAACATTTTAACATTTATAAAACCCAGCACTCAAAATCATTACAATTCAAGGTGTTTTCCCAAGCCTCAAAAATGGCAAAGGTAAGGCAAATACACCCAGCCAAGGCTCTGAGTTATCAGCCACGTACCATCGACATCGGCAGTAACAATTAGAATAGCCTCAGCATGGTGGCTCAGGCCTGTAATCCCAGCGCTTTGGGAGGCCAAGGCAGGCAGATCACTTGAGGTCAGGAGTTCGAGACCAGCCTGAACAACATGGTGAAACCCCATCTCTACTAAAAATAAAAAAATTAGCTGGGCGTGGTGGTGCACGCCTGTAATCCCAGCTACTCGGGAGGCTGAGGCATGAGGATCCCTTGAATCCAGGAGGCGGAGGGTGTAGTGAGCTAAGATTGTACCACTGTATTCCAGCCTGGGTGACAGAGCAAGACTGCCTCCAAAAAAAGAAAAAAGAAAAAAAACTAGGCCAGGGGCACTGGCTCACACCTGTAATCCCAGCATTTTGGAGGGCTGAGGCAGGCGGATCATGAGGTCAGGAAACGGAGACCATCCTGGCTAACACGATGCAACCCTATCTCTACTAAAAATACAAAAAATTAGCCAGACGTCGTGCTGGGCGCCTGTAGTCCCAGCTAGTCAGGAGGCTGAGGTAAGAGAATCGCTTGAACCCGGGAGGCAGAGGCTGCAGTGAGCCGAGATGGCGCCATTGCACTCCAGCCTGGGCGACAGAGCAAGACTCCATCTCAAAAAAAAAAAAACAAAAAAAAAAAACAAGAGCAGATAAGTAGATAAGTAGATGTACCAGTTGTCCATGAAAATGCAGCAAACACCTATAACATGGTTTTTAGTGACCACTGGAGAAAGATAACATGATAGAAATTTACAGTTAAGTACGCAACCTCAATACCTTTTATGCAGAAAATAGTGGGTTTCCAAAGAGCTGTAAGCGCTGCGCACACATCACCTCACGGAGTCAAACCCCCTTTTGAGGTTGTCTGGATGATGAGGACTGCTTCTTAGGGGTGTGCACACACTCGCTCCTGCTCACCACCCAACACACAGGGACAGAATGCCACCCTGCCACTGCGCTCACGCCCAGAGAGCACAAAGCCTTTCAGTCAGCCTGCCCAATTGCTGCTTTAGCCAGGTGAGAGCTAAACACTCACCACAACAGGGATCATTTAAAAACTCTTTTATTTATTTTTTTAGACAGAATCTCCTTCTGTGGCCCAGGCTCACTGCAACCTCTGCCTCCAGGATTCAAGCAATTCTCATGCCTCAGTCTCCCATGTAGCTGGGATTACAGGTGTATAACACCATGTCCAGCTAATTTTTGTAATTTCAGTAGAGATGGGGGTTTTGCCATATTGGCCAGTCTGGTCTCGAACTCCTGGCCTCAAGTGTCTGCCCACCTCAGCCTCCCGAAGTGCTGGGATTATAGCTGTGAGCCACTGCGACCAGCCAAAACACTCATTCTTTATGGAAAGGCAAAAACTGGCTTTTGTGCCCAACACCCTAACTACATAAAGATGACCTAAGGGCTGGGCACAGTGGCTCACGCCTGTAATCCCAACACTTTGTGAGGCCAAGGTGAGAGGATCCCTTGAATCTAGGAGTTCGAGACCAGCCTAGGCAACATAGCAAGACCCTGTCTCTACACAACATTTTTTTTTTTAATTAAAAAAAAAAAAGATGAAGTGCACCACAGTCTTGGCAGCTCTCTCACCGGCTTGCTTCCGTGGCCCTGAGGCTATTCCGAATCTTCCCAAGCCATAAAGAGGGAATTTCACAACACACAAACCCACAGCAGAGCCAATTCATCTACCCAAGCTGTTTCTCCCACAGTGAAAGGGGATCCCTGCTACTAACCATCTCTTCAGACCATAGCAAGGATTACATGAGATGCTCAGAGAGATCCCTGGCATTTTTTTTTTTTTTGAGACGGAGTTTCGCTCTTGTTGCCCAGGCTGGAATGGCACGATCTCCGGCTCACCTCAACCTCCGTCTCCCGGGTTCAAGCAATTCTCCTGCCTCAGCCTCCCGAGTAGCTGGGATTACAGGCATGTGCCACCACGCCCAGCTAATTTTGTATTTTTAGTAAGAGACGGGGTTTCTCCATGTTGGTCAGGCTGGTCTGGAACTCCCGACCTCAGGTCATCCACCCGTCTGGGCCTCCCAAAGTGCTGGGATTACAGGCGTGAGCCACCGCGCTCAGCATGGATCCCTGGCATATTCACAGGACCCAAATGTCATGAACCAACAGACTCACCATCTCCAAAAAAGGAGCACTGTGACAGTGCTCCACACCAACAAAGCAATCTCCACACCAACAAAGCAATCTCCACACCAACAAAGCAATCTCCACACCAACAAAGCAATCGCCACAAAGTGTGAAGATCTCAATTCAACTGTCCACTTTTTGCTAAGCAAAGATAAATCAATTTGGTCATTCCATCTAAAAAGTATACTTTTGTCAATTATTTCCACCATATTGTATTCAGATGAGGTTAATTCAAAATTTCAGGTGGTTGAAATGTTCCCTGACATAGCCGGACATGGTGGGGCACTCGTGTAGTCCCAGCTATTTGGGAGGCTGAGGTAGGACTGTTTGAGCCAGGAGATGGAGGCTAGAGTGAGCTATGATCACCCCACTGCTCTCCAGCCTTGGTGACAGAGTAAGACCCTATCTAAAAAAAAGGAAAAAAAAAAATCCCTAATAGTACACTGGGGAAAAAAATCAGGTTAAAAAAAAAAAAAAAACCCTGTACAGGCCAGGCAGGGTGCCTCATGCCTGTAATCCCAGCACTTTGGGAGGCCGAGGCGGGTGGATCACCTGAGGTCAGGAGTTCCAGACCAGCCTGGCCAACATGATGAAACCCCCTCTCTACTAAAAATACAAAAAATTAACCGGGCGTGGTGGCAGGCGCCTGTAATCCCAGCTACTCAGGAGGCTGAGGCAGGAGAATTGCTTGAACCTGGGAGGCGGAGGTTTCAGTGAGCTGAAATCGCGCCATTGCACTCCAGCCTAGACAAGAAGATCAAAACTCGTTTTCAAAAATATAAATAAATAAAAACCCTGTACAAATTCAGAGACAGAAAAAGTTCTAGATTCGGGACACCTTGAACCTTTCAGGAAAATTAACTATTATCATCAAGAAAGGAAAGCTGTAATAGATGATTAAGGCACCTTCCCTACTCCACTGGATAAAGAACAGAAAGTTTGTGAAAACGCAAGTGACGCATGTCAGGAGATACCCTCACCCTGGTAAACAGGTCACAGAAAGGTAGCAGAATCTTCCCCAAGGGCTCTGCTACAGCCCAGCAGGCCGGACGCTTTGTACCCCCACCAGAAGCCCCATTCTCACTGCTTCCCAGGCAGACTGTGAGGACTTCACTTAAGCTTCAAAGTCTCTTCTTCACGGACATAGCTAAACATAAAAGCATTAACTACAACCAATTTGTACTAACATACCTTAAAATTTCCCACCACTTGATTTAGTATGTTGGTTTTCTTTTGTTTGTTTTTTTTGAGACAGAGTTTCGCTCTTGTTGCCCAGGCTGGAGTGCAATGGTGCTATCTTGGCTCACCGCAACCTCCGCCTCCCTGGTTCAAGCAATTCTCCTGCCTCAGCCTACCCAGTAGCTGGGATTACAGGCATGCACCACCACACCCAGCTAATTTTGTATTTTTAGTAGAAACGGAGTTTCTCCATGTTGGTCAGCTGGTCTAGAACTCCTGACCTCAGGTGATCCTCTGACCTCGGCCTCCCAAAGTGCTGGGATTTAGTATGATTAAAAGCTCCTAACAGGCCACAGCCCCAGGCTAGGAGCTGAGTATATGCATATCCAATTCTTCAGCAACTGGTAAAGTATTTTAACCTCATCCTCAAAAACCAACACATAACAGAGGAGGGAACTAGCAAATTAATGTCTCCATTTTGAAATGAAAGAAAATGGGCCCCCAGGAATTAACTAGAGTGGACTCTGTCTAAACTGAGGTCTTCAGATTCCTTGTTCAGTGCCAAAGTAGCACTTACAAGGGAAACAACTGGAATTCAAAAGGAAAGCTCTTGGTCAGACACAGTGGTTCATGCCTGTAATCCCAGCACTTTTGGGAGGCCAAGGCAGGTGGATCACCTGAGGTCAGGAGTTCAAGACCAGTCTGGCCAACACGGCGAAACCCCGTATCTACTAAAAATACAATAATTAGGCCGGGCGCGGTGGCTCACGCCTGTAATCCCAGCACTTTGGGAGGCCAAAGTGGGTGGATTACGAGGTCAGGAGATCGAGACCAGCCTGGCCAACATGGTGAAACCCTGTCTCTACTAAAAAACAAAAAAAATTAGCCACGAGTGGTGGCAGACACCTGTAATCCCAGCTACTCAGGAGGCTGAGGTAGGAGAATCGCTTGAACCCAGAAGCCGGAGGTTGCAGTGAGCCAAGATCACGCCACTGCACTCCAGCCTGGGTGACAGAGTGAGACTCCGTCTCAAAAAAAAAAAAAAAAAAAAAAAAGAGGCCGGGCGCAGTGGCTCACGCCTGTAATCCCAGCACTCTGGGAGGCCGAGGCGGGCGGATCACGAGGTCAGGAGATCGAGACCATCCTGGCTAACACGGTGAAACCCCGTCTCTACTAAAAATACAAAAAAAAAAAAAATTAGCCAGGCGCAGTGGCAGGCGCCTGTAGTCCCAGCTACTCGGGAGGCTGAGGCAGGAGAATGGCGTGAACCCGGGAGGCAGAGCTTGCAGTGAGCCGAGATCTCGCCACTGCACTCCAGCCTGGGCAACAAAGCGAGACTCTGTCTCCAAAAAAAAAAAAAAAGAAATACAAGAATTAGCTGGGTGTGGGCCAGGCGCAGTGGCTCATGCCTATAATCCTTGTACTTTGGGAGGCTGAGGCAGACGAATCACCTGAAGTTAAGAGTTCGAGACCAGCCTGGCCAACATGGCAAAACTCTGTCTCTACTAAAAATACGAAAAATTAGCCAGGCGTGGTGGCACATGCCTGCAATTCCAAAAACTCGGGAAGCTGAGGCAGGAGAATCGCTTGAACCTGGGAGGCAGAGGTTGCAGTGAGCCAAGATGGCGCCACTGCACTCCAGCCTGGGCAACAGAGCAAGACTCGGTTTCAAAAAAAAAAAAAAAAAGTAAGCTCTTACTGTGATCTAGAGACAGGAGGCAATTTTTTTTTTTTTAATTGAGATAGGGTCTCACTGTGTCACCCAGGCTGGCCTGCAGTGGCACAATCACAGCTCATTACAACCCTAACCTGCTGGGCTCAAGCCATCCTCCCACTTCAGCTCCCCAAGTGGCTGGACTACAGGCACATGTCACCATGCCCAGCTAATTTTAACTCTTGTAGAGATGGGGGTCTCACTATGTTGCCCAGGCTGGTCTCAAACTCCTGGGCTCAAGCAATACTCCTGTATCACCCTCCCAAAGTGCTGGGATTACAAGCATAAGCCACTGTGCCCAGCCAAGAATATTTTTGAGAAAACAGTCTTGAAAGCAAGTCTGAGTACCTTACTGTTTAAAATACTTTAGCCTGGCCGGGCATGGTGGCTCAGGCCTATAATCCCAGCACTTTGGGAAGCCAAGGCGGGTGGATCACTTGAGGGGAGGAATTTGAGAGCAGCCTGGCCAACATGGTGAAACCCCCGTTTCTACTAAAAATACAAAAATTATCCGGGCATGGTGGCAGGTGCCTGTAGTCTCAGCTACTCAGGAGGCTGAGGCAGGACAACTGCTTGAACCCAGGAGGCGGAGGCTGCAGTGAGCCGAGATCGCGCCATTGCACAACAGCCTGGGCGATGGAGTGAGACTCCAGCTCAAAAAAAAATAAAACACTTTAGCCTGTGAAAGACAAAATTTTAAAACCACCAAAAGTTGACTATTGTTAACAACCATAATAGCATTCATCCACTGCCTCCTGCACTGAGCATAGTTCCAGAAATTAACAGATGCAAACCAATCACTCTGCGGGTGCCCCCACTCCCATGCAGGGAAAAGGCGGGCTGGGCACTGGGTGCACGCAGGCCACACACACACTTCCCTCCTGTACCTTTTGGAGAAAGGCACCTCGGATGTCACGGTGATCTTGCTCTTGCTCCTTTCGATGGTCACCACCCCTCCACCAAGGTTCCCAGCTTTTCCGTTCACTTTGATCCTTTCTTGCAAAAACTGCTCCTGTAGAAATCATTAAATTGACCAATGAAGTGACAAGTTCATCTGTCTCAACAGAATATTTTATCTGTCTCCCAACACTGAACTAATATCATTTTTTGTTTTGGTTTTGGAGACAGAGTCTCACCAGCGCAATCACAGCTCACTGCAGTCTCAACCTCCCAAGCTCAAGTCTCGACCTCCCAGACTCAAGTGATCCTCCCACCTCAGCCTCTCAAAGTGCTAGGATTACGGGCATGAGCCATCCCACCTGGCCCCAGCTGACTTTACAATTTTTTTTTTTTTTTTTTGAGATGGAGTTTAGCTCTTGTTGCCCAGGCTGGAGTGCAATGGCGCGATCTCGGCTCACTGCAACCTCCGCCTCCCAGGTTCAAGTGATTCTCCTGCTCCGCCTCCCAAGTAGCTGGGATTACAGGCATTCGCCACCAGGCCCAGCTAATTTTGTATTTTTAGTAGAGACGGGGTTTCTCCACGTTGGTCATGCTGGTCTCCAACTCCCGACTTCAGGTGATTCGTCCACCTCTGCCTCCCAAAGTGCTGGGATTACAGGCGTGAGCCACTGCGCCTGGCTTAACATTTTTAAGAGAAGGGGTCTCTCTATGTTGGCTAGATTGGTCTCAAATTCCTGGGCTCAAGTGATCCTCCCACCTCAGCCTCCCAAAGCGTGGGGATTACAGGTGTGAGCCAGCATACCTGGCCCTAATATCGGTTTCTTAAATGTTCAGTCTTTTTTAAAAATGGTAACAAATCCCATTTACATACATACTATGAGACAACATCCCAGTGTAAACGTACTTGACTACTTCCACACAAGGCCGACTGGGCCTCGCCACGAAAGGCTTAGAAGGACAACACTAGACAGGAAACCCAAGGCCAGACTTTTACAAGATACGCCTGTAATCCCAGCACTTTGAGAGGCTGAGGTGGGTGGATCTCCTGAGCTCAGGAATTTGAGACCAGGCTAGGCAACATGGCGAAACCCTCTCTCTACAAAAAATACAAATATTAGCCGGGTGTGGTGGCATGTGCCTGTAGTCCCAGCTACTCAGGAGGCTGAGACAGGAGAATCCCTTGAGCCCAGGAGGCGGAGGTTGCAGTGAGCCGAGATCACACCACTGCACTCCAGCCTGGGGGACAGAGAGACCCTGTCTCAAAAAATAAATAAATAAAACAAACTTTTACAAGGTACATGCAACCAAAGCTAAAAGCAACTTCTGAATCTAAGGAGTATAAAACACTGTTCACAGCACTATCAGAAAATAAGCCTTCAACCTAGTAGAAAGAGCAAAGACATAGGGACTGAAACAATTCTAGACCTGGTCCAGGGCCATGTGTGGTACAGCAGAAGCAGCAGCCACTCAGGAGCCTGAGATATTCTCTGCAAACTACTGTGTGGGCCTCAGCAAGACATTCACCTCCTTGTGCTTCAGAAAGCTTTGCCCAAAAAGGACCTTTTTAGTTGTTTTCTTGCTATGGCAATGACATGAAGTCCCTTTCAGCTCAAAATTCCTATAATTTTCTGTTTAAAAACTCCAATACAAAATATGTTAACTGGCTGGGTGCAGTAGCTCACACCTGTAATCCCGGCACTTTGGGAAGCCAAGGCAGGAAGATTGCTCAAGCCCAGGAGTTCAAGACGAGCCTGGGCAACTTAGGAAGACCCTTCCTCTACAAAAAAATTTAAAAATTAGCTAGGTATGGTGGTGCATGCCTGTGGTGCCAGCTATTCCAGAGGCTGAGGTGGGAGGATCACTTGGGCCTATGAGGTTGAGGCTGCAGTGAGCCAGGATCATGCTACTGCCCTCCAGCCTGGACAACAGACCCTTTCTCAAAAAATAAAAATTTGGGAGACTGAGGTGGGCAGATCACGAGGTCAGGAGATCGAGACCATCCTGGCTAACATGGTGAAACCCTGTTTCTACTAAAAATACAGAAAATTAGCCAGGCGTGGTGGCGGGCGCCTGTTTCCCAGCTACTTGGGAGGCTGAGGCAGGAGAATGGCATGAACACGGTAGGCGGAGCTTACAGTGAGCCAAGATCGTGCCACTGCATTCCAGCCTGGGCAACAGAGCAAGACTCCGTCTCAAAATAAATAAATAAATAAAAATTTGGGGCCAGGCGCGGTGGCTCACGCCTGTAATCCCAACACTTTGGGAGCCCGAGGCAGGCGGATCACAAAGGCAGGAGATTGAGACCATCCTGGCTAACACGGTGAAACTCTGTCTCTACTAAAAATACAAAAAATTAGCCGGGCATAGTGACAGACACCTGTAGTCCCAGCTATTCGGGAGGCTGAGGCAGGAGAATGGCATGAACATGGGAGGCGGAGCTTGCAGTGAGCCGAGATCACACCACTGCACTCCAGCCTGGGTGACAAAGAGCAAGACTCCGTCTCAAAAAAAAAAAAAAAAAATTTGGCTGGGCACAGCGGTTCATGCTTGTAATCCCGATACTTTGGGAGGCCGAGGCTGGCAAATCACCTGAGGTCAGGAGTTCAAGACCAACCTGGCCAACATGGTGAAGCGCCGTCTCTACCACAAAAATACACAAATTAGGTGGGCATGGTGGCACACGCCTGTAATCTCAGCTACTCGGGAGGCTGAGAAAGAGAATCACTTAAACCTGGAAGGTGGAGGTTGCAGTGAGCCAAGATCACACCATTGCACTCCAGCCTGGGTGACAGAGTGAGATTCCACCTCAAAAATAAATAAATAAAAATAAAATAAAATGGCCAGGCGCAGTGGCTCATGCCTGTAATCCCAGCACTTTGGGAGGCCGAGGTGGGTGGATCACCTAAAGTCAGGGGTTCGAGACCAGCCTGACCAACATGGAGGAACCCCATCTCTACTAATAATACAAAAATTAGCCAGGCGTGGTGGCAGGCGCCTATAATCCCAGCTACTCGGGAGGCTGAGACACCAGAATGGCTTGAACCAGGGAAACGGAGATTGTGGTGAGCCGAGACTGCACCATTGCACTCCAGCCTGGGCAACAAGAGCAAAACTTGGTCTCAAAAAACAAAGTAAATAAAATAAAATAAACAAAAAGTATACATTAACCATAGATGGGGCACAGAGTGATTAGGTCAGAAATCTTGAATTCTGCATCTCAAGATTCATAAATGACTTAAGTTTTCTATCCTAAGGAGGCTTCCAGAAGGAAAGACAATCACACAAACAGATGAGTGGGCTGAGGGAATGGCTCAGAGGGAGGGAGGCAGGAATAATGCCAGAACAGGGCCACCATGTGAATACCAAACTGGAAGACACCAAAGTTGAAAAAGAGGAGGCCACAGAAAAGCCAGAAGTCACTGGATAGAGAAAGAACTAAGGAAATAGGGGATTTCTTGAAGGACACAGATGCAAACAGCATCTACATAAAGGCAATAAACTATAAGAGGTTACCTAAATTCCATTCTGGATAATTCGTGACCATAATTATTTTGTGTTTAAAAATTATTTTTGTTGTAATGATACTGATCCTGGCAATAGTTCAACCTTCTGGAGAATTTAGAGCAAATGCAAATTTAGGAGACTTCTACACACAAATACGAAGTCTGAATCCCCCAAACATGGCTATTAGAGGAAAAAGAATAAAATGTCAAAACCAAACTGCTGAGTCAAAATGTGGCGGAAGGATTATTTAATATTTCTAGATTGCAATAGGATAGAGGAATATTGGGGAATGGGCCAAATACAGGGGCAAAAAATCAGCACAGAGCAAGATCTGAAGAAAAAAAAAAAAGCTCCAATTACAATTCAGCAAGCAGGGTACTTTAAACACTGAAGCTCAGATGCTTCATAATATAGAAAAGCTTCGGGAACTGCTGCCACCTGTCCAAAGCTCCACATCAAAGCAGTGAGACCCAGGACAGAGGCAGCCCATAGTCAGGATCAGGGTCCCTCACTTATGCTTAAACACACCAAACAGCAAGGGGGATGCCATGGACCCAGTGAAATTTGTCTGTTTCTCAGTAACTTTTTTTGTTTTGTTTTTGAGACGGAGTCTCGCACTATCTCCCAGGATGGAGTGCAATGGTGCGATCTCTGCTCACTGCCACCTCCGCCTCCCGTGTTCACGCGATTCTTCTACTGCAGCCTCCCGAGTAGCTGGGATTACAGGTGCACACCACCACACCCAGCTAATTTTTTTGTATTTTTAGTGGAGACGGGGTTTCACTATGTTGGCCAGACTGGTCTCGAACTCCTGACCTCATGATCTGCCCGCCTCAGCCTCCTAAAGTGTTGGGATTACGGGCGTGAGCCACCGTGCCTGGCTTGTTTCTGGGTAACTTTTAAGTAAAATCATTTGTGGAAACTAAAGGAGAAAAACAAGATAGTCCTCTAACACCTCTGTGCTAGAGCCCTTCTTGCTTATTCTAAGCCCATCTCCTTTTACTCCTCACAACTGTTGCACACACAAGAAGAAACAAGACTTGGAAACAAACAAGTAATCTGCCCACATTCCCAGGGTGAGATGATACAGCCAGACCTGTGAAGCTGCCTATAAGCCTGAAAACAGAAATGTACCCCAGTAGGTTTTCTCAACAGTATCTCAAAATGTTCGTGACCACCCGAGTGGCAATAAGGATGTAACTTACAAAATTGGCAGCATCCATGATTCCATCTTCTACAGGGTGGGTGCAATCAAGAGTGAACTTCAGAACTTGCTTCTTTTTTTTGCCCCCCTTCACCACAAGCTTTTTCTAAGAAAATACACAAATGATAACAGAGATGAAGTTTCAGTCAGTCGGAAAAACAAGATTAACAGAACCAGAAACGTCATAGGTATAAAAGTCCATACAAATACAAAACTAACGGAAGTGTGCTCCCTTTGCCAGAGGGCCAAGAGGCATCACTGCCTGAGTGCCAGAGGTATAATGGGGCAGATGCTGCTGTACAAGCTTGGGGCCTGGGGTCATGCCCTTTTGATGGGGAAATCATTCTAGCACTCTTGACTCACTCAAACTTTCCAGTCTCCCCAATCTCTACAGGCATGAAGGTCTCTTAGTTTATGAACCACAATAAAATGAACACTTCCTTTTGTTTGCCCTAACATTCCCAATTTCAAAAAAATACTATTTTTCCAAAATTAGAGTGCAGGCATACAAAATGCCTTGCATACCCACAATTTTCATATGAAATCAATCCTTGTCCTACATGTTCAGAGTAGGGTCCTGATCCGTCTTAGCTCATCTCCCTTAATCCTGTCTCATCCACCTTCTCATGAAGGGAGTTGCAAAGTATTCTAGGTGCCTGTCCACTCCAGCTTGGACAAGGTTAAGGCTAAAACCTAGAATCTTATTACAACACTACCGTCAAGAACTTCTGACATTTTGATTCGCTTCATCTATGCATTAGTACTTCCAAACCACCCGGCAAAGCACATCCTACAAGGTTCCAGTTTCTTCACTCTTACGAAGAAGCTTGTGTTAATCTTATCTCTCTACAAACTTGACACCATTAATGCACTTGTGCATCGTACCAACCTGTACTTTCACGTTTAAAAGCTCTGCAGAACTAAATAGACTTTTCCAAAAACACATCTTACCTCCCTTCATGTTTAAAAGAACTTCATCTAAAACTTGTGTTAACTGGATCAACTTTTCAAACATTTGGCCACTACAAAAATCACTGATTTATTTTTTACAACGTCTCTTCGCAGTAATAATCTAAGAGGGGTACTTTAAGATCTATTCCGAACACACACAATCAATCAAGAGACCTACCCACAACGGGCTTGATACTTCTCCATCAAGGTTTTAAACCAAAAGGCATTCAAAAGCCCAACCAGACAGAAAGAGCAGAAGAACCGGAAATGTTAACCAGGGAGTCCCAACAAAAGAGGAAAAGTAGGATCTTGGGACGAAGAACACGGAAAAACAACTTTCTCAAATAACCTAGGAGGAGGGCGCCGCACAGCCCAGTCCCAGCATAGCTAAAGGAGAATGCAATGAGAGCCTTCTCCCTACACCACTGCAACACCCGTTTGGGTCTGTACAGTGCGCCCTGATAAACTAATTTCCTCTGGGGACGCTAAAAAGCTCCTCAAACCCAGGCCTCCTCTCCGAAAGCACGCCGACCAAGCCGCCCTTCCGCGGATTCGTCCCCGAGTCTTGGCCGTGGACTTCCGAATGCGCGGCTCCCCAGGGTAGCAGGTCCCGTTCTTCTTCCCCGCCCTCCACCCAGGTAATCAGGCCCCCGGCCGGGGTCCGAGGACCAGTGGCCGGCCCAGACCGCAGTCTCCAGGCTCCAGCTCCCCGCTAGCCCCTAGCTGGGGCCCCGGGCCTCCGAGACCTCCCGGATCTCCCTCACGAGCCTCGGGCCGCGGCCTCCTCCGCCTACAACGTGCTGGGATCGGCAGGGGCTCTGGCCCGCTCCGGCCGACCTGCCAGCCCACCCCAGCAGGACGCTGCAGGGCGCCGTCCCCAGCGAGCCTGGGTAGATGCCGGGCTCGGCGAGGCCCACGTGCCTCCCCTGGAGCCGAGGCCTCACGCGGAGCCATACTAACCACAGGAGCCATGGCGGCAGCGGAGTTAGAAAGGGAGGTGAGCGAACTACGCAGACGCAAAGAGCCCGCAGCGCGCAAGGCACGCAGGGTCCAGGCCGCACTAATCACTTTGCCACGCCCCTCGTCCGCCACCTTTTCTCTTGGTTATGTACGATAGGGGAGCGATTGGTTTTTCCTGAATGCAAAACGCGTCCTCTCCCAGGCCTGGAGGGTTTCTGGGGAAGGAAGGAGGCCCGGCGGGCTGTCCCACTGCGAACGATCGGAGGGGGGAAGCCAGACTGGACGAGCCCAAAGATAAATAAAGGGGTTGGCTTTACTTTTTGAAAGTCTTGGGAAGAAAAAAGAAATAAGGAAATTCACTATACTGTAAATTACCAGCTAGTGGGATGGAAATCGAATCTACTAATTTGGGGAAGTGGGAAAATTCCTTGTAGCCACCGGGAAATTTCGTTCAGAGGTCCCAATGCCAGACCACTATGGCTTCCTCAAAAAGCCCCAGCTTGGAAGCTCATGCCCAGGGGCTGTCTCCCAGTGCCTGTCCTTTTTGCTGTAGCCAGGCCGCCCCCTCGCTGATCACCACTCCCTAGTTTCCCAGCCCAAGCCTTCTAGTTTCCCATCCCAAACCAGTAAGTAGTTGAGGACCACCAGGAGATCTGGAAAATGCAGATTCCAATTCCAGCGGTCTCAGTGGCCTGAAATTCTGCATTTCTCACAAGCTCTCAGACGATGCTGATGCTGCGAGTCCATGGACCGCATGTGGAGAAGCAAAGGTCCTCATCCCCAGGCCCACAGGTCCCTTGAACTGGGCTACTTTGCACCCAGTCACCCGCTGCGTCCTCACGGAATTATATTCCAGGATCCTGAATTGTAAATCACTCAGTGGCACACACACTCTCCACTCCCTTTACCTGGCTTCAGTGTACTCACCTAGCAAAAGTCCAATCACCAGAAGAGACTGTGCTGATGGGTCTAGCTTTCAACTCAGGCCTCAAGCCGGTTGACCAAGCTCCAAAGCCAGCTGCTGTTCTTGGCTCTATAATGATCAGGCTGGGCCTCTGCAAACACTTCTGCTTTCCAGCTGATCCCGGTTTGGCTCTATCAATAGGGGGCTTTGCTTCCTGCTTGCTCCTGTCCTGTCTGGTGTCATCCACTCTTGCTTCTTTATCCTGGAGGTGGCAGTTGGAACATTCTGGAAGCAGCAGTGGAATCCAGTCTGCACTTATTCCAACATTTGCAGAACCAGCCTCGTTTTCTCCTCAGAGACACCAGCCCTAGCAGAGCAGCACCCTCTCCTCAGATGTCTGAGTTTCACCTCCCTGTGCCCCTCCTCAAGCATCTACATTTTAATAATACCACCTACCAGTGGTAGCTACTTCCTGCAGTTGCTACTGTTAGTATTATACCCCGACAGTTACCTAAACACATCTTTATACCTAGTTAACAATCCTTTATATTAAATTCTCTCAGTTAAAAACTATAATGTGTTGTCTTTTGACTGGACCCTGGCTGATAACGGACCCTAAGCGAGCCCTCAGGGCTACTGACAATCCTAAATCTCTCCCCCAAGGGACTATTTCCCTTTCTTGTTGTTTTTAATAGAGACAGGGTCTTGCTCTGTCACCAAGGCTGGAGTGCAGTGGTGTGATCATAGCTTACTGCAGCCTCAAACTCCTGGGCTCAAGTGATCCTCCCACCTTGGCCTCCCAAATTGCTGGGATTACAGGCATAAGGCACTGCACCTGGCCCAAAAGACTATTTCACACCTCAGTCATAATGCCAGCCCCTTCTTCCTAAACCTCCCTCTCAGCAGTTGACTTTTATTGTTCTTTCCTTTTTCTTTCTTTTTTTTTTTTTTTTTTCTGAGACAGGCTCTCGCTCTGTTGCCCAGGCTGGAGTGCAGTGGTGCGAATACGGCTCACTGAAGCCTTGACATCCTAGGCTCCAGCAATCCTCCCACCTCAGCCTCCTGAGTAGCTAGGACCACAGGTGTGCACCACCATGCCCAGCTGCATGTTTTTTTGTTTTGTTTTGTTTTGCTGTTGTAGAGAGTTGGTGTCTCACTATGGCTATGTTGCCCAGGCTGATCTAGAACTCCTGGGCTAAAGCAATCTTCCTGCCTCAGCCTCCCAAAGTGCTAGGATTACAGGCGGGAGCCATCACACCCAGCCTCCTCCCGTCCTTATCTACACTTGATCTTTAGACAAGACCCACATGCTCTTCCCTTTAAATATGACTCCCCAGGCCAATGTGTGCAGCCTCTACCCCTCCCTGGACTCCCCACAGGTACAGCCAGTGGCATCCTTGGCATCTCTAGACTAGTGTCCCGTAGATCACCCTGACCCTCATGAGCCCATTCTCACCTCTTCACCCTCACCCCCACCTCCCCACACTCAAACCCTCATCCCTCACCCCACACCCCCTGCCCCGCCCCCACCTCTCCAGCCTCACCCCCATCCTCCATCCTCACTCCCATGCCATGTTCAGCCCTACTCCCCACCCTGAGCTCCTTCATCTCCAGCCACATTGATCTGCTAGTCTCTAAATGTCTTCCCATTTCTGGGGCTTTGCACTTGCTCTTGCCTCTGCTTGGAACTTTTCCCAGCTTTTCTATTTTTGTTTTTCTTTCGAGACAGGGTCTTACTCTATCACCCAGGTGGGACTGCAGAGGTGCAGTCACAGCTCACTGCAGCCTCAACCTCCTGGCTCAAGCAATCCTTCCACCTCAGCCTCTCAAGTAGCTGGGACTACAAGCACGAGCCACCATGCCCAGCTAAGTTTTAGTATTTTTTATAGAGGGGGGAGTCTTGCTATGTTGCCCAAGCTGGTCTTGAACTCCTGGGCTCAAGAGATTCACCCACGCTGGCCTCCCAAAGTGCTGGGATTACGGGTGTGGGCCACTGCGCCCAGCCTTCCTGGCTTTTCTTAATTTCTTATCCTCTGGGGGTCTCAAGCTCAGTTCCCCCTCTCTGCTCATGGTTACCTAGTGTGGTCCTCAGCTCGAGCCCCTCCCAACTGCCCTCCATCTCATCATCCTTATTTATTTATTTAATTTTTTAGGCGGAATCTCACTCTGTCACCCAAGCCGGAGTGCAGTGGCGCCATCTCGATTCTCCTGCCTCAGCCTCGCAAGAGTAGCTGGGATTACAGGCATGCACCACTACACCCAGCTAATTTTTCCTTTTTTTCCTTTTTTTTTTTTTTTTTTTTTTTTTTTGAGACAGAGGTCTCACTCTGTCACTCAGGCTGGAGTGCAATGGCGCAATCTCGGCTCACTGCAACCTCCACCTGCCAGGTTCAAGCAATTTTCCTGCCTCAGCCTCCGAAGTAGCTGGGACTCCAGGTGCGTGCCACCATGCCTGGCTAATTTTTTGTACTTTTAGTAGAGACAGGGTTTCACCATGCTGGCCAGGCTGGTCTCGAACTCCTGACCTCGTGATCCACCCGCCTCGGCCTCCCAAAGTGCTGGGATAACAGGCATGATCCATCGTGCCCAGCTAATTTTTGTATTTTTAGTAGAGACGGGTTTTCACTATGTTGGCCAGGTTGGTCTCGAACTCCTGACTTCAGGTGATCCGCCCACCTCAGCCTCCCAAAGTGCTGAGATTACAGGTGTGAGCCACGGCACCCGGCCTATCATCCTTATGATTTTCTTCCAAGCAGTTAATGCAGCCTGTCATTATTTGTTAATCTGTGTACTTGACTAACCTTGGCTGGTGTGTTCCCTTCTATGTGCCCATGGTAGATGCTCTGTAAATACTAGTTGAACAGATGCAGACATGAATGAATGGATGAATGAAGCACTCACCTCCTACCGGGAAACTAATGCATCATTCCTTAACAAAGCACCTACGCGGTTTTGTATACCAGCTCCACCACTTTCTGGGGTAATATTTTCTACTTTTTAAGAGTGTTCTCCAGATTAAATGAGTTAATATAAGTTAAACAGCTTAGAATAAAATATTGGCCCATATCTCCCCACCCTCCCTCCCCTTGTACAAAAAAAAAAAAAAAAGGCCCGGTGTGGTGGCTCACGCCTGTAATCCCAGCACTTTGGGAGGCAGAGGCGGGCAGGTCACCTGAGGTCGGGAGTTCGAGACCAGCCTGACCAACATGGAGAAACCCCGTCTCTACTAAAAATACAAAATCAGCCAGGCGCGGTGGCACATGCCTATAATCCCAGCTACTCGGGAGGCTGAGGCAGGAGAATCGCTTGAACCCGGGAGGCGGAGGTTGTGGTGAGCTGAGATGGCGCCATTGCACTCCAGCCTGGGCAACAAGAGCAAAACTCCATCTCAAAAAAAAAAAAAAAAAAAGAATCTTGGCCCATAAAAGAATGTTGGCCTATAAACACATAAACATTAGCCATTGCTACTACTGTCATTATGATTTGGTCCACAAATAGAACCAGGGCTAGGGACCGGGCATGGTGGCTCACGCCTGTAATCCCAGCACTTTGGGAGGCCAAGGTGGGGCGGATCACGAGGTCAGGAGATCGAGACCATCCTGTGAATGGTGAAACCCTGTCTCTACTAAAAATACAAAAAATTAGCCGGCCGTGGTGGCGGGCACCTGTAGTCCCAGCTACTCGGGAGGCTGAGGCAGGAGAATGGCGTGAACCCAGGAGGCGGAGCTTGCAGTGAGCCGAGATTGCGCCACTGCACTCCAGCCTGGGTGACAGAATGAGACTCAGTCTCAAAAAAAAAAAAAAGAACCAGGGCTAGGGACAGTCCTCAAAAGAACAGCTAGTTTCTCTCTAGAATTCACTTCCTTCTCCTAGCAAACTCCTACTCCTACGCATCCTTCAAAACCCAGCTCAAGGCCAGGCAAGGCGGCTCACGTCTGTAATCCCAGCAACTTTGGAAGGCCAAGGCAGGCAGAATGCTTGAGCCCAGGAGTTGGAGACCAGCCTGGGTAACACAGCAAAACCCCCGATGTGTGCAGCACATTGTACTTTTTATTTTTCTACTAAAAATACAAAAAAAAAAAAAAAAAAAAGGCTGGGTTCAGTGGCTCACACCTGTAATCCCAGCACTTTGGGAGGCCAAGGTGGGTGGATCACCTGAGGTCAGGAGTTCGAGACCAGCCTGGTCAACATGGTGAAACCCCGTCTCTACTAAAAATACAAAAAATTAGCCGGGCATGGTGGTGCGTGGTTGTAGTCCCAGCTACTTGGGAGGCTGAGGTGGAAGGAAGCCAAGGCTGCAGTTAGATATGATCACGCGGCGACAGAGTGAGATCCTGTCTTAAACAAAACAAAACGAAAACAGCTCAAATATCTCCGAGCTTTTTCTAAGCCTTTATTGAGCACTACTGTGGGTCAGGCTCTGGGCTTGACTTTGTAATCGCAAGAGGGGCAGAAACGGGCTGCTCTCAGGACACTCAGGAGAACACGGGCGGAGAAAGCTCACTGATCACGTCGACCTAGCAAGCGAGCGCACGCTGGAGAAAACGCTGGGATCAACACGCATCTGCCAGGCCCAGACGGCAGAGGGGGCACTGCTGGAAAGGCCGGGAACCTCCCCTCTCAACCTCCCACCCAAACCCATCCCTCTTTTGGGAACTTGGCAGGCAATGAGGATAGGGCCTTAATTAAGTGGACGCCCAGTATGTGTATTTCACGTGCGTTATTCCACTGGGGCCTCACCCATTATCAGGACACCAGTTCTATTTTAACCCAGCGCTGAGGCTCTGAGAGGTCAGTAACATGGCCAAGAGCTCACAACCAGCGAAAGGCAGGGCTGGGATTACAGGGCGTCTCACTCCGCCTCCCAAGCGCTGGAAAGTCGGTGGAGGGGCGTCCGCTGCTCTCTGGCGCCCCCAATTGGCCGCCGAGGAAATGAGGCGGCGATGACCTGTTCAGACCCAAATGGGATGGAAGAGTGGGGATTAGCGGGGGTAGGGGGTGGGGTTTGGACTCTTTTTTTTTTTTAAGACAGTCTGGCTCTGTAGCCCAGGCTGGAGTGCAGTGGCGCGATCTCGGCTCACTGCAACCTCCGCCTCCCGGGTTCAAGCAGTTCTGCCTCAGCCTCCCGAAGGGCGCCACCATGCCTGGCTAATTTTTGCATTTTTAGTAGAGACAGGGTTTCGCCATGTTGGCCAGGCTGGTCTCGAACTCCTGACCTCAAGCTATCTGCCCGCCTCGGCCTCCCAGAGTGCCGAGATTACAGGCGTGAGCCACCGCGCCCGGCCTACCCTTGAAGACCCCGCAGCCAAGGTCCTCCGGCCCCGCTCTGCGCGGCGCTCTGGTCTTGGGGCTCCGGACTCTGTCATGCCGGGCAGGGGCCAGTCCGATCCTTGCACCCTTGCCTGGCACCGTCCCTGGAGCCTTGGCGTCCTGGCCTCTCCTCCCCGCGGGCTGGAGGTGGAGTGGCCGGGCCGGAACCAGTGCGCAAAGCAGATGGCGAGCGCGGAGGTCGGTTCGGCCCCGCCGCGCCTCAAGGCAGCAGCCACCCTGGGGAAGGTGGATGCCGGAAGAGGCGTCGCCTGCGGGTCACCCAGAGGACACCCGGCGGGGAATTCCGAGGGTGGGAGTGAGGAGAGGTAGGAGAGGCCACGGCAGAGGGAGGCCCCGCGCAGAGTGGGAACCATCGCCCGGTGCGGGCCTGAACTTCCAGGGCCGGCTACTCCTCGGCAGAGCGACCGCGCGGTGTCTCAGAGCGCGGCCCGGAGCCGCACTAAGAGCGCTGGACGGCGGGAGAGAGGCTCGGAGGACCGGTAGCTCCCAGCAAAGCGGCCCAGCGGGTAGGTACAAGGCCCCGCCCCTCGCCAGTCCTCACTGCCTGTTCTCCCTGCGCCGGGGAGCTCCAGGCCCCAGCCCTAACCTGGGCCCTAGCGGCTCCCCACTCCATGACCTCTGGACGCCCAGTCGGGTCCAGGCGCGATAGGGAGGGCGCGGGCGCCCGGGCAGAGGGGCCGCGGGAGCTCAAGCGGGGCTCCGTGCGTGCCCCAGCCGCCCGCTTGCGCTGTCGCTGCAGATGTCGGGAGCTATCTTCGGGCCCCTGGAGGGCCCGAGCTCCCTGGATGCCCCGAGCATCCACCCGCTGGTGTGCCCGCTGTGCCACGTGCAGTACGAGCGCCCGTGTCTTCTGGACTGTTTCCACGACTTCTGTGCCGGCTGCCTGCGTGGCCGCGCGACCGACGGCCGCCTCACCTGCCCGCTGTGCCAGTAAGTGTCCCAAAGTTCCCCAAAACCCCCCAGACCCCATCCCCCGGGCCCAAGGTTGGCTCTGCCCGAGCTGGGACCCAGGTGCCAGGAGAGTAAGGCTCCAACTTCAGGCAGAACGACTGGGAGATACTGCACCCGGTCCTTAGCTCTCCCCGCCAGAAGTTGCAGGCTTCGGTCCATTTTATAGATCAGCTTAACTGAAGCCTGGAGATTGCAGTTACTGGCCCAAGACCTCCCATCAAAAGTCAGAGGGTAAGGGCGGGGCTCCAGCACTGGTCAGGACGCTCCCGGTTACTCGCTTGGGGGTCCTAGAAGTCTTAGGTCCACAAAACCACAGTTTCAGTTATGTGGGCTCAAGGAACCCAGGAGTGGCTCTGATTTGCCCAATGCCGTGAGAAGATGTCGAGGAGCAGCTTCTGCTTTTGATACTAGGGGACCAACCCCACTGTCTGCAGGAGTGCCCAGGACTGGGCAAGGGTAGGGACCAGGGCAGGGTGAGTGCTGGCTGTGATATTTATAGCAGACCCCAGAGCTGTGGTGCACCCCACCTCCCAACACAGCTATTTTTAGCTCCAGCCTGGAATGTGAGGGGTGGGGGTGGGGAGCCCTGGGGAAGGGGTATCAGAATCTCGGGGCCTGGGCTTCTCTGCAGACACCAGACGGTGCTGAAGGGTCCCAGCGGGCTCCCGCCGGTGGACCGGCTGCTGCAGTTCCTGGTGGACAGCTCAGGGGATGGCGTGGAGGCGGTGCGCTGTGCCAACTGTGACCTGGAGTGCAGCGAGCAGGCAGGGGCGGCAGGGCGGGTGGGTGAGGAGCAGAGGGTACCCGGTTGCACAGTCCCCAATGCTTGCACATGCACTCAGCATGTCTTCAGAGGACGACCTGGCAGTGGATTCTCCAGCACCTCCCTAGGGCACCTTGGCCCCAAATGTGAACCCCATTATACCGGTGGGGAGACTGAGGTCCAGAACAAGGGACTTGAGCCAGTGTCCAGACAGTGGCAGAGGCTAAGGCCATTCGATCTGGGGAGAGCTCACTGGTCCCCAATTCAGGGTGGAGTTGTGGACCTGCACAGGAGGGGCAGTCCAGTTTGCAGGCCTGGGCCGACCCTGAAGGGCCTCTGCTACCCAAGTGGCATAGAAGCAGCTACAGCCCAGGGGAGGTGGGGACAGCATGCTGTTCCCTCTGGGCTGTAAAAGGCACAGGGGACTCTGGCCTGCGGAGGCCAGAAAATGTATCGGGAATCCCAGGAGGACGGCCCGACTGGGGCAAAAGCTCCAGCGTTCTGGACAAGTGCTGAGCAATGTGTGACCCAGACGTACAGAGAGGATTAGCAGGAGGTAGGGACTGCAGGTAGGGCCTGTTATGTCCATCATTGCATGCGTCCATACCAGGGCTGCAGGCCAAGCCCTGGAATCCCAGCCCTGGGTCTGGCTTGGGGAGGAGAACCTTAAAGCCCTCACTGCTCTTCCCCTCCCCCCGCCCCCAAGTGTGACTCCAGATGGCCAGGGTGTACACCACCTTTCGGCCACTATTGAGTGTGCCAAGGGGGCCGTGAGAGGCCCTCACACCCTTTTGTTGCAGGTAAAAAAAAAAAAATTTTTTTTTTTGAGACGGATTCTTGCTTTATCGCCCAGGCTGGAGTGCAGTGGCGCCAACTTGACTCACAGCAACCTCTGCCTCCCGAGTTCAAGTGATTCTTCTGCCTCGGCCTCCCGAGGAGCTGGGACTCCAGGCGCCCGCCACCATGCCCAGCTAATTTTTGTATTTTTATTAGAGACAGGGTTTCGCCATGTTGGCCAGCTCCTGACCTCAGGTGATCCGCCCGCCTCGGCCTCCCAAATTGTTGGGATTACAGGCGTGAGCCACCGCGCCCGGCCTCGGTAAAATGTTTTATAAAGGCAGTTTCTGCCCTCTCCCCGCGTCCCCCACCCCCCTCCACGGACCTACTTACCCAGCCTCTGAGCCGCAGTGCCCTCCTCTGTAAAGTGGGTATATCAGAGCGCCAAGTGCCTGGATTACAGGAAAGGGCTGCGTTTAGCTGCGCACCCGGCCACGGCTGGGACAAACACGCGCAGTGACACGCGGCGGCTGCGGTTCCCGCGCTGGCCGCGGTCGGGCTCTGGCGCTCCTGAGCCCGCGCTCGGCCCGCAGGACGTGGAGACCACGTACTTCTGCAACACGTGCGGACAGCCCCTATGCGCGCGCTGCCGCGACGAGACGCACCGAGCACGCATGTTCGCGCGCCACGACATCGTGGCCCTGGGTCAGCGAAGCCGCGACGTGCCCCAGAAGTGCAGTGAGTGAGGCTTGCGGGGCCGGGGACTTGGGGGTGGGGGCGGGGCGGGCACTGACCGGAGCCCTCACCACCGCCCGCCGCCCCCGCAGCGCTGCACGCAGAGCCCTACCTCTTGTTCTCCACCGACAAGAAGTTGCTGTTGTGCATCCGCTGCTTCCGCGACATGCAGAAGTGCGTACAGGGGACGCGAGGGGAGGGGGCTGGGGGCCGCTGGAGCGGGCCTCACCCGCCGCCTTCTGCAGGGAGAGCCGGGCACACTGCGTGGACCTGGAATCGGCTTACGTGCAGGGCTGCGAGCGGCTGGAGCAGGCGGTGCTGGTGAGCGCAGGGGCCTGGCGCGCGGGGCCGCGCGGCGGCGATCGCGAGCCTGACCACGCCCTGTCCCCAGGCCGTGAAGGCCCTGCAGACGGCCACGCGGGAGGCCATCGCGCTGCTGCAGGCCATGGTGGAGGAGGTGCGGCACAGCGCCGCCGAGGAGGAGGACGCTATCCACGCCCTCTTCGGCAGCATGCAGGTGAGGGGTGGGGGTTGGGGGATAAACGACCCAGCCGGGACCTGGTGACACAGGGCTGGTCCCTTGCCCTTGTGGATTTCCAGTGTAGTGGGGCAGCAGGCCTTGCACCAAGCACTTTCCTGGAGTTGCTAGGAGAGCTGGGAGGGGAAACCAGGGCCTGCCGCAGGCTGGTGGTGGGGGTGTGAGGTGGTCAGGAAAGACTTCCCTGGGGAGGTGACATTTAAGGTGACGGGACCCAAGCCCTCACCAGGCAGCAGATGCAGGGCTGGTAGGTTGGAGAGATACCTAGTGTAACCAGCAGGTGGCTGGGGTCCGGGGGGTAGGCATGGTGGGAGGTGGCAGGGCTGGGGCGCAAATCAAGAGCATGCTCGCCATCTCTCCCAGGACAGGCTGGCAGAGAGGAAAGCGCTGCTGCTGCAGGCTGTGCAGAGGTGAGTTGGGGGGAGCGGGGCTTGCTTCCCTTACCCCTTGGCCTCCATGGCCTCAGCTCAGAGCCTGGGCAGGCCCTGCCCCACCCTGAGGAGCAAGACATCCGAATGTCCTCCCAGCTAAGGAGGGCAGCATGGCTCAGGGTGCAGAGAAGGGGTTCAGGGACGGACATGCGAAGCTGGAGGCGGGTGGGGGATGGAACTGCCCGGCCCTGCTCCTGGCCCCCTGGAAACCAGGCAGCCCCCCTCCCCCAGCCAATACGAAGAGAAGGACAAGGCCTTCAAGGAGCAGCTCTCTCACTTGGCCACCTTGCTGCCCACCCTGCAGGTACAGGGAGCTCGGGGTGCGGGTGGGTCCCTCCTCCTCCCCGGCCAGGCACTGAGCAGCATCCCCTCCCCCAGGTCCACCTGGTCATCTGCTCCTCCTTCCTCAGCTTGGCCAACAAGGCTGAGTTCCTGGACCTGGGCTATGTGAGTCTCCTCTGCTCCTGCAGATGCCCCCTCCCCACCAGGAGCCCACCCTGCAGACCAAAGCCACCAACTCAGGGGTGGGCAGCCTGTCACCTGGAGCCTGGACCAGGGATCTCGGGGCTGACCCCCTCCCAACTCCATCATCTGCAAACCTGTTAGGGTCACTGTTACAAGGACAGTGAAGCCAGGAAGGGGGCATGAGCCTACAGTCCCCCGTGGGGCGGAGTGACCACTGGAGTCCAGCCGCCCCCTCTCCTGTGGATTTGGGGATGGGATGGGGGTTTGTCCGGGTGAGTCCCAGAAGAGGGCTGGCGCTGCTAAGGGACACCAAGTCAAGTGCCAAAGACAGACGTGCTCCGCCTCCATCTCCCCTCTTCCTGCCCCCTGGCTGCCACACCTCCACCGGCCTGAGGCCCTCCTCACTGCCACAGGAGCTGATGGAGAGGCTGCAGGGCATCGTCACGCGGCCGCACCACCTAAGGCCTATTCAGAGCAGCAAGGTGTGCAGTGGCCTGGGTGGGCCAGGGTCGGGGGCCCTGCAGGGCAGTGGAGGCCACCTCATGACCCCATCCCGCTGCCCAGATTGCCAGTGACCACCGAGCTGAATTCGCGCGCTGTCTGGAGCCACTGCTGCTGCTGGGGCCACGTCGGGTGGCAGCTGCTGCAAGTGGTGCTAACACGTGAGCAGCAACCGGGGAGGCCAGGCACAAGGTCCCCAACACTGGGGTGTGGGGGAGGGTGGGCGCTGAGGGGCCAGATCGCCAGCAAGAAGCCAGGTGCCACCATTCCTTCCTCCGTCCTTAGCTCGCCACCCTCCCAGCAGGGTGTCTGGGCACAGGGGATGGCCAGGGCGAGTCCACTAAGTAGGGGAACAGGAAGCCCTGGACCTGAAGTCCATGGCAGACCGGGCTCGGAGCTTGGCTAAAGGAGGAGGGGAGGACTCAGGCCCCCAACTACCACTGCAGCCTCCCCTGGGGTGGGGCGCCTGGGGCTGGGCTGACCGCCACCTAGGTGGCCTGAGGTCATAGGGGGCCTGATTCCTGGACTCATCTGGAGAGGAGTTAGAAGAGATGCTGAAATGGCATGTGTGTGTCCAGGGGCCCCAAGACCAAGAGAGACTGGGCCCACACTTCCTCTGTCCAGCATAGAAGTGAACACACCACTCACTCGGTCCTGGCCCCGGCAGCATTCCGACGGACTTGCTCTTGGCCCCACATCCTGGAACCCACTCCAGGGACTTTAAAAAATAGATGTGGATGTCCGGGTGAGGCCTTGCCTCAGCCTTTTCAAATCTCCTGGTGGCTCTGCTGTGCTCCAGGTGGTGGAGAGGGCTGTGAGATCCCGGAGCAGTCCAGGGGGCTGCCCTGGGAGGCTGGGGGAGGGGCAGACTTCCCCACCCCCCTGCATCCACACTGGCTCTCTCCCCAGGCTGGCAGGGGGCTTAGGCCCCAAGGCGCTGACGGGGCCCCACTGCCCCTCCCCAGTAGGAAAGATGTCGGGGTCACCCGTCCAAAAGCCCACGCTGCACCGGTCCATCAGCACCAAGGTGCTGCTGGCGGAGGGCGAGAACACGCCCTTCGCAGAGCACTGCCGCCACTATGAGGACTCCTACCGGGTGAGGGGGCAGGGATCTGCCGGAGGGGGGAGATGTCCTAACCCACTCCTCACCAAGGTACGCTCAGGGAAATCGAGTTCTCCCAGCTGCTGAAGCTGGGAGCCATTCCTCCACCAAGTCCATGGCAGTAAAAACAGCCTAGGGTGACCCACGCTCTCACACAGCCTCTCTGTGCAGCACCTGCAGGCAGAGATGCAGAGCCTAAAGGACCAGGTACAGGAGCTGCACCGAGACCTCACCAAGCACCACTCGCTCATCAAGGCGGAGATCATGGGAGACGTCCTGCACAAGTCCCTGCAACTGGACGTGCAGATCGCCTCGGAGCACGCCTCCTTAGAGGGCATGAGGGTCGTCTTCCAGGAGGTAGCCCTCCCAAGGACTCTAACTCCAGCCCCACCTGTCAGGGGATACCTGGGCTACCCTAAGACAGTAAGCGGGGAAAGAGGACCTGGCCTGTACCCCACGGGACCCTCATGTGGCAGGGTCTGGAAACTGGGAGTCTTTGCTGCTTGGAACCACGTGGACCTGGCTGGGGGGTGCTTTGTAGATCTGAGTAGCTAGAGATAGCAATGCCGCCACCGTAAATTCAGCTCACTGCCACATCCAATGTCCAGCTTTTCTCTTTCAGATTTGGGAGGAAGCCTATCAGCGAGTGGCTAATGAGCAGGAGATTTATGAAGGTTCCAGACAGTTGGCTGCCGAGTGAACCCTCTGTCCCTGAGCTAACCCACATACTAGCAGAGGAGGAAGTCAGAGTCGGCCACTAACCAGATGCAAATCCCCACACTCTTCCCCTTAGCGCTTGACCGTGCCTCCCAGCTGCTAACTGGCCTCAAATGATGCATGTGAGGTCAGGATTCATTGAGTAGAATGCCCCCACCAAGTGCCTCCCTCTTTAATTAGAGGTCATCATGGAAATGGTCGGGATATTTACGTGGTGCCTGGCTTGAGTAAAAATCTGAAGCCAGATGCTTCAGGATTAAGACCCCATGCTCTGGCCTTGGCCCCACAGCCCAGCTCCATGACCTTCTCCAGCTGAGGCAGGAGAATGCCTACCTGACCACCATCACCAAGCAGATCACGCCCTACGTCCGCTCCATTGCCAAGGTGAAGGAGCGGCTGGAGCCCAGGTGAGGCCAAGGGGGTGTTCCCAGGGCCACTGAGACTCTTCAGAATGTGCATGGGGGCTGGGTGCGGTGGCTCACGCCTGTAATCCTAACACTTCGGGAGGCTGAGGTGGGCGGATAACCTGAGGTCAGCAGTTCGAGACCAGCCTGGCCAACATGGTGGAACCCCATCTCTACTAAAAATACAAAAATCAGCCATGCATGGTGGCTCATGCCTGTAATCCCAGCTACTGGGGAGGCTGAGGCACGACAATCTACAGCCTGGGTGACACAGTGAGACCTTGTCTTAAAAAAAAAAAAAAAAAAAAACTGCATGGGAAAGGTGCCACACCCACAGGACCCTGTTCAGGGAAGTCAGCTGGCCAGGTCATTAGGGTTCCTTTGGGGTATCTGGGCGGACAAGGTGCCGGACATTTGCAAAAGCATGGTCACAGTGAGTGGGCTGCTCTGAGTTTCTGCTTTTAGGCTCAGAGTTGGTCCCTCCAACCCTCAGGAGTAGGTCAAAGCAGAAGGCACTTTCTAAGGGTGTCACGAGGGTCCTGCTGGGCTGATCCAGGCAGCAGGACATGGAGGAGAGGGCAGGAACTTCATCAATGTAAGACAAGCCAAGTCTGTGCAGAGTCCTGACCAGGCTGTCTCAGCACTGTGCTCAGGTTCCAGTGGCAGAGGGATCTTGGTGGCAAGTCTTCGCTGTTCCTGTCTCTGAGTCACTGGGCCCCAGGATAGACTGGTTGCCCTGTAGGTCTAGGGAATGGCTGGAGCCTGGGCTCTCCCTTCACCACCCTTGTGGTGAAGTGCCTGTCAGGTTTTAGGGGGGCCCACCTCCTGGTAACTTCTTGAGAAAGAGTGTGAAGGAGGTGCATGTTTGGGATGGCAGGGTCTGACAATGTCTCCATTCTAGCTTCATACTTGACAGTTTCACTGGGTATCAAATTCTAGATGGGAAATTCTAGATTGGGAAGGATTCTCCTTCAAAGGCATCGCTCTCTCGCTTTCTTATTTTCTAGCTTCCATGGTTGTTGTTCATGAAGTCTGAAGGCACTCAGACTCCTAACCCTTGTAATGCGACCTACTAATTCTCTGTGGAAGCTTGTAGAATCTTCTCTTTGCTCCCAGTGTTCTGAGATTTCACTTTGGTGAGAGTCTATTTCCATCCATTAGGTTGGATACTGGCAGGCTCTTTCAATCTGAAAATTCATGGTCTTCAGTTTTGGCATATTTCTTTTTTTTTTTTCTTTTTGAGATGGAGTCTTGCTCTGTTGCCGAGGCTGGAGTGCAGTGGCGCGATCTTGGCTCACTGCAGCCTCCGCCTCCTGGGTTCAACTGATTCTCCTGCCTCAGCCTCCCAAGTAGCTGGGATTACAGGTGCGTGCCAACACGCCTGGCTAATTTTTGTATTTTTAGTAGAGATGGAGTTTTGCCAAGTTGGCCAGGCTGGAATATTTCTTTCTTTTTTTTTTTTTTTTTTTTTTTGAGACAGAGTCTCACTCTGTTACCAGGCTGGAGTGCAGTGGCATGATCTCAGCTCACTGCAACTTCCGCCCCCTGGGTTCAAGCCATTCTCCTGCCTCAGCCTCCCAAGTAGCTGGGACTACAGATGTGCACCACCACGCCTGGCTAATTTTTTGTATTTTTAGTAGAGACGGGGGTTTCACCATGTTGGCCAGGATCGTCTTGATCACCTGACCTCGTCATCTACCCGCCTCGCCCTCCCAAAGTGCTGGGCATGAGCCACCACGCCCAGCCTCTTTTTCAATTTGTTGATTTCTTCACTTTTTCTTTTTGGAATTCCTATTGTTGGATATTGGCTCCCCTGGGCTGGCCCTCTAATGTACCTTTTCTGTCCTATTTCCCTTTTTTTTTTTTGGATGGAGTTTCACTCTTGTTGCCCAGGCTGGAGTGCAATGATGTGATCTTGGCTAACCACAACCTCCGCCTACTTGGTTCAAGCCATTCTCCAGCCTCAGCCTCCCGAGTAGCTGGGATTACAGGCATGCGCCACCACGCCCGGCTAATTTTGTATTTTTAGTAGAGACAGGGTTTCTCCATGTTGGTCAGGTTGGTCTTGAACTCCCGACCTCAGGTGATCTGCCTGCCTCAGCTTCCCAAAGTGCTGGGATTACAGGCGTGAGCCACTGCACCCGGCCCCCCTTTTTTTTTTTTTTTTTTGAGATGGGGTCTTGCCATGTTGCCCAAGCTGGTTTTGAAATTCCCGGGCTCAAGTGATCCTCCCGCCTCATCCTCCCAAAATGCTGGGATTACAGGTGTTAGCCACCGTGCCAAGCCTCTTTATCTTCCATTAAGTAGTTCATTTCTGCTATCTTGTTTTGCATGTCCAACAGCTCTTTCTGTACCCCGTTTCTTTTGATGGCATCCTGTTGTTTCAGGGACACAATATCTTACACCTCTGAGGCTAATAGTTTATTTTTTCCTTTTGGAATTTTCTCCCTGAAGTGTTTCCTCCCAATTGCTTTTTGCTTGTGAAGGTCTTTGTTTGTTTGAGACAGTCTCGCTCTGCCGCCCAGGCTGGAGTGCAATGGCGCCATCTCAGCTCTCACTGCAGCCTCCACCTCCCAGGTTCAATCGATTCTCCTGCCTCAGCCTCCAGAGTAGCTGGGATTACAGGTGTGTGCCACCACGCCCTCTAAGCTTGTGTAGGTTTCTATCTTCCAGGCTGAAGGTTTTTCTCAGATGTCAGGTCACCCTTGAGTATCTGCTCATATTAGGAGTGGGGCAGGGCTGGAGCCATGAGGCAGATCGGAAGCTCTGAGCACAAGGGTGGTACTTCCTTGGAGGAGATCAGGGTGGGTGGGCTCTTGCTTTTATGGAATGCCCCGAGGTCAGTTTTAGATCCCTTTCCAGTCCTTCCTGGGAAGCCTGTCTGTGGAGCATCTGTATGCACACTGGGTTTTCTGGTTTCAGTACATTTCTTGTCTGTGTGTGGTGACCTCTCAGAACCCCTCAGACTTCGGCTGCAGTGGGAGAGGACCAGTTGCTGAGTGGCAGGGATCTTGGCAGTCACCTGGAAGACTGGAAGGGGACATGAAGGGGGCTTCTGGGTGGGGACAACGTCCTGGGTGCTACCCACACAGACTTGTTCACACCATGAATGTATCAAGCCATACTCTACCTCTGCAGAAATAAATTGAGGCTGGAGCCTAGCTCCTGGAGGTTTCGGGCAAGGTGGGGCCGGCTCTGCTCCTCTTCAGAGCAGCCACTTTGTGGATGTCTGCAGTTGCTCCCTCAACCCACTTCACTCCAGGTCTGCGAGTCCACTCATCCACTGAGTCTGCTCTTGCTCCAGTCGCAGCGAGCCCTCCCGTAGGTCCAGGCCTCCTCCCTTGGCCTCTCAGCAGCACTCGTGAGCATCGCCATATTCATCTTTTTTTTTTTTTTTTGAGACCGAGTCTCGCTCTGTCGCCCAAACTGGAGTGCAGTGGCGTGATCTCGGCTCACTGCAACCTCCGCCTCCCGGGTTCAAGCGATTCTCCTGTCTCGCCCTCACGAGTAGCTGGGACTACAGGCGTGTGCCACCACACCCGGCTGATTTTTTTTTTTTTTTAATTTTTAGTAGAGACGGGGTTTCACCATGTTAGCCAGGATGGTCTCGATCTCCTGACCTCGTGATCCGCCAGCCTCGGCCTCCCAAAGTGCTGGGATTACAGGCGTGAGCCACTGCGCCGGGCTTTTTTTGTTCGTTTGTTTTAAAGACAGGGTCTTTCCCTGTTGTCCAGGCTGGAGTGCAGTGGCTCAATCACAGCTCACTGCAGCCGCGATCTCCCAGGCTCAATCAATCCTCCCACCTCAGCCTCCTGGGTAGCTGTGACTACAGGCATGTGCCACCATGCCCGGCTAATTTTTATAGTTTTGGTAGAGATGGGGTTGTGCTATGTTGCCAAAGATGGTCTCCAACTCCTGGGCTAAGTGATCCTCCCACCTCAGCCTTCCAAAATGCTGGGATTATAGACGTGACCGTGCCTAGCCATGTTAGTCTTCAGTACACCTTCTCTTTGCTGACAGCCCCGCGCTCCCATGCTCCTGCCAGCCTCTCCAGCCGTTCCTTCCTGGTCTCTGGCTGGCTCTGCCTCCTCAGCTCAGTGCCCAGATATGTTTTTCCCCAGGGCTCAGCCTTAGGCATTCTCCACAGCCTACGCTCACTCCTTGGGCGACCTCATTCAGTCCCTGGCTTTAAGACCCCATCATGACGCAGACCCCCAGCTCCCGCTCCAGCACAGTGCTTACCAGAGCTCCAGACTCATCTCCCACTGCCCCCTTCCTGGGCAGCCCTACCTGGATGTCTACAGGCACCGCGAGTTCAGCAGTGGCCAGAATGCTTGACGTCCTCCCGCAGACATGCTATTCCCATCTCCCCATCTCAGTGAATAGCACCACATTCACTCAGGTGAAAAGCCTGGGAGAAAGCCTGGATTCCTTTCACCCACTTCATTTCCAACCCACCCCCAAGTCCTGCTGGCTCTACTGTTCCTGCCTCAATCCACCCGCTTTGGTCTCTATTGCTCCCCTGAATCCAGATCATCATGGCCAACCCTCCTACCCCTCCAGCCGCCATGAAGCCAGGAGTCCTTTAGAAGTCTATGATTCCCATCACCGCGGGGCTGGACAGCTCTCTTGGGGACCTTCCCTGTGCACCTGTGACCGTGTCTGCCCCTCATAACACCCTAGTCACAATGCCCTTTCAGTTCCCCAAAAAAGCTAGACTGGTCCCACTTCTGGGCCTCTGCCTGGAGTATTCACAGACCCTCAGTCGGGCCCCAGCTTGGATGAGTGTCAGCAGAGGCCCTCCCCACTCCACCTGGATTAAAGCAGGTCTGCCTGGCGCCCTGCACCACACACCCTTCCCTCCCTCAGCGTGTCTGGCCCGACCAGCACGCAGCTTCCATGATGGCAGGGCCTGGCCTCTCCTGCACGCCATGCAGGCCTGGCCCTTGCCAACCACTGGACCTTAGTAAATATTTGAGGAGCAAAAGAATGAAACGCTAGGTGGGTGCATGAGTGGTGGCAGAGTCTGGTTCTGAGGTTTCTGAGCTTAAGGCCGTGCAGCAGCTGGCTCTGCTCCCTTGAGATTCTGGTGCCCACTCCCTTGCCAGGTTTCAGGCACCCGTGGATGAGCAGTCAGAGAGTCTACAGAACACGCACGACGACAGCAGGAACAACGCGGCCTCAGCCAGGTAAAGCAAGTCTCTCCACTGGAGAGTGTGCACGCGATGTGGCTTCTGAGGCCAACAGGACGACAAAGGAAACTCCAGGCTTTTCCCCTTTGGCGCCAGCTCTGGGGCCCTGGCTGGGCCTCTTTGTAAAACAAGGGGTCAGAGAGGCTCTCAGCCCAGATGAGTAACTTATAAGTGACCTCATAGATAAAACAGGTGTTCCTTTGATAGACAGAACCCCATTTTACCATTATAAACAGCCATGGCTGCTGCCTGCATCCACTTTCACCACTGGGAGCTGCACGTGCTTATGCTAGGGGACTCGGGTCACTGAAATGAGAAAGTGACCGAGGACTGTTCCCCAGAGCCAGCGCATGCGCCCCAGTACCTGCCAGAGGAAGACGGCTGTGCATTAACACCTACGACACAGTCACAGGCTGATCTTTGTGTATTTTGCTTTCAGGAAAACATAGTCACAGGGCAGAGGACAGCACTGTAGAATGAGAACCAGAAGAGCCTAGGGGTGTGCAGAGGGTTGCTGAAGTGGCCAGAGTCACAGCGCGGCTGGTGACAGAGCAGAGTCTGGCCCCAGCCTCCCCTGCACAGCCGCCATTTATTAGCTCAGATGCTTCCAAATTCAAAATGCAGTGTCACCAGAAACCGCTGACACAGGCTGATGGTTCAGCAACTCACAGCCATCCCCTGGGGATGGGCTCCTACTCAGAAGTAGACAAGGTCCTTTTGGAGACAGAGCCTTCCTGGTTCTCACTCACTGAGGCCTTCCAGGAAGACGTTCCATTCTGAGTGCTTTGGCCCAAGTGGATTTTAGTGCAGGGATATGGTGAAATGGGGGAGCGGGCTGGGCTTACATGAGGCTGTCCCTTTAGGAATAATCCAGGAAGTGTCCCGGAAAAGAGAGAGAAGACATCAGAGCCTAAAGGAAACAGCTGGGCTCCGAACGGCCTCTCAGAAGAGCCTCTACTGAAAAATATGGATCATCACAGATCCAAACAGAAAAATGGGGGCGATGTCCCCACATGGAGGGAACACCCGACTTAGCAAATGGGACCGGTCCCCAGGGTCAGGCTCTTAGAGCAGGCACAAGACTGGGACACTGGACAGAAGGTTGTTCCCATGATGGTTTTTTTTATTTTTTATTTTTGAGATGGAGTTTCGCTCTGTTGCCCAGGCTGGAGTGTAATGGTGCAATCTCGGCTCACTGCAACCTCTGCCTCCTGGGTTCAAGCGATTCTCCTGCCTCAGCCTCCCGAGTAGCTGGGATTACAGGCGCCTGACACCACGCCCCGCTAATTTTTTGTATTTTTAGTAGAGATGGGGTTTCACCATGTTGGCCAGGCTGGTCTCAAACGCCAGACCTCAGGTGATCCACCTGCCTCAGCCTCCCAAAGTGCTGAGATTACAGGGGTGAGTCACCGCGCCTGGCCAATGTTGTTGTTGTTTTTAAGACAGAATTTCACTCTTTGTTGCCCAGGCTGGAGTGCAATGGCGCAATCTCTGGCTCACCGCAACCTCCGCCTCCCAGGTTCAAGCGATTCTCCTACCTCAGCCCCCAGAGTAGCTGGGATTACAGGCATGTACCATCACACCCGGCTAATTTTTTGTATTTTAAGTAGAGAGGGGGTTTCTCCATGTTGGTCAGGCTGGCCTCGAACTCCCAACCTCAGGTGATCCGCCCACCTCGGCCTCCCAAAATGCTGGGATTACAGGGGTAAGCCACTGTGCCCGGCCGGTTATTTCTTTAAAAGGTAATCATTTGTCAAGAGTAAAACCCAGAAGCTCTGACAGGCCATAATTTCAGATCCTTTGGCTTGGGCAGTTTTGATTTTCCCCGTGTTTGCATGGCATGAAGTCTTCGTCCTTGTCACAGTAGCTTGGGATGACTCCCAGTCCACATGGAAAACATCAGGGAGTGACAATCCAGCAAGAAATCCCTCGCTAGTTCCACACCTACGCACCGAGCGTCGGTGTGCCAGGCCCTGTGCTGGGCAGAGTGTGGTATGTCAGGGTGTGCCGGTTTTAGGTAACAAGACTCCACCACTGAGTGGCACCTGCCCTATTGCAAAGGAATCCAGTTCCTCCGGAATAACAGTCCCACTGTTAACCTGGTGCTACTGGGAAGTTCCACACAGTAATCTGAGCAGTGACTCATGGAAGGATGAGGAACGTTTGCTCCAGCTTCTCTCCCTTTCCAGCAAGGGCAGAGCTCCTAAAGCCAGGGGTTAGCACCTGGCCAGCTTATGTGGCAGATGGTCTCAGTTACAACTTCGCTGCTTTCCCAAACTCCTGCAGCCCTCCTGAGTCCGACTTCCGTTGATAGCAAGGCACTGGGTGGCAGCAACCTTTTTTCTAGTAGTTTTTTCCCAGCAGTTTTCCATTTCTCCACAGTATCCTTTTCATTTAGAGGAGCTTAATAAATGCTTTTTAAAAAGTAACCCACGTGACGTAAAATTTTACAAGTTTTTGTGGCAAAATGATGCCCAGATAGTCACATTTAAGCAAATATTCAGCTTGATTCAGTGATTAACAGCAAATGGGTCTACGTGCTAACATGGCAGCACATTCAACACATAACACATCACTCACATTGACGTCCACTGTCCCTGCACCTGCTACTTCAGGGGCACTGAGGCTCCTGTTCCAAGGCCTTACAAACCTATGTGGTGGCCTGCAGGGCAAAAGGAATTATCATTACAACTGGTTAGAGGTAGGAATTCAGAAAGAAATTGAGGAGGCCAAACACACGTCGTTTGAGGCTAAAGGCTTAAGACGCTTCTTACCCAAGAGTGACCTCAGAGTTTCACATCCCAGACAATCACACTGTGGTTGAGTGAAATCAAGTGCAGTTTTATTTAAGAACTGGAAAGAATAATCAGTATCTGTGAAAGAAAATCCAATTTAGAATATTTAAATAAACATTTATGTAAAAAGAAGAGTAGAATAATTACTCCGTTCAGTTCCTCTCCTTGCAATGGGATAGGCTGCCTCTGCTGCAGATGGCTGGGTCTTCCAAACCCATGACAAGTGCCACGGCCTCTGCAGCAGTGGCCCAGAGAGTAGGCACTTCCCAGCATGACAGAGAGGCCGAGGCCTTCTAACCTTGCCAAACCACTACAAAAGCAAACTAGGGTGGGCAAGCCCAACTACCTAAGGCAGGAAGAAAGTGCAGTGAAGGGACAGTGGTGTGCTGTGCGTATCGTGGGGGTACTCCTAAGCAGCTAGCTGTTGGCGAGATCTTACAAAGCCTGATCGGCTAACGCAGCTTCCTGGTTTAGGAACATTTTCCCCGGTCGTATCAATCCCCCAGGTTGGTAAATGAACAGAAGGGATGAATAAAGCCTACTTTTTAGGCTCAAGGAGCAGCTCGTGAAGGGGTGGCAGGTGCGCTGCTGCCTTGTTTTCTGTCCTGCTAAGAGGCTCACCCCGCGACCTCTTCTGTAAACTGCCACTCAGCAGCGGCCTGCAAGCCCTCACGAAAGGCTTCACTCTATGCTGTTTCCAGGTAGCTTTGTTCTGACAGTACCTATTTTCCACTTCAGAATCTCCACTTTAAAACCTGCAATGGAAAAATAAATCTCTTGACAGTTTTTTAAATCGAGAAAATTGGTGATGTGGCCTTGGCAGCAAATACCCAGAAAGCCTTTACCTCATTAACCTGATTCTCCACGGGCCCTGCCACTGCTAAATTTATAAAGCTAAAAATAATCTCAAGATCATGGAACTAAAAAGAAGTCAATCACTTACCAAATCCTGTCCTTAAGGAGTTCATCTTGGCTGGGCGTGGTGGCTCACGCCTGTAATCCCAGCACTTTGGGAGGCCGAGGCGCGTGGATCACTTGAGGTCAGGAGTTCGAGACCAGCCTGGCCATCATGGTGAAACCCCGTCTCTACTAAAAATACAAAAAAATTAGCTGGGCATGGTGGCCCAAGCCTGTAATCCCAGCTACTCAGGAGGCTGAGGCAGGAGAATCGCTTGAACCCGGGAGGCAGAGGTTGCGGTGAGCCGAAATGGTGCCACTGCACTCCAGCCTCCAGCCTGGGCCACAGAGCAAGACTGTCTTAAGAAAATAAAAAAAATGGAGTTCATCTTTTATCCCTAAGTAATTGCTGACTTCTGCTCTGGGATTATAAACAGGGTGGGAATGTTCTCCCACCATCCCTACCCCTGGAATTCCTCTCCAAAGCAGAGTACGTCAAGTTTTCCCTGGTGTCAGACAGCATTTCACCATGAAACCCTAAGACCTGCCTCCTGGGCTCCTTCCAGCTGGTGGGCCTGGTGTGAAGGTGGGCTTCCTGGGCCTCTGGCAGATGGAGGATGGCATTAAATGCCAACACAGTCAGCTTACCATCCACAAGGCCAGCAGCTGCCAACAGCTGCCCTAGACCTATCAACAAGACAACTTCATGGCTCCCAATGGGAATGGAGGCTGGGCCCGCCCTACTTAGAGCAGGGGAAAGAACTTTTCCCTCAAAGAGCCGGGGCAGGATGCCAGAATCTAACTACATCCTCTCCCGGTTTGCAGTTCTAGGAAGTGGAATTTGCTGCCCTAGGCGTGGTCTAAAGGACAAGTTTAGAAATGATTCAACTCAAGTTCCTAAACAGAGTAAGTGCCAGTTGATGTCCCACCGTGGATCCTTTACTCCAGAAAAATTGTAATGATGGCTCGGCCACCGCCTTGGCTAGAGTCCCACTGCACGCGTGTCGTGAGGGCCGATGGGCAAGTCCGTCCGGTTTTTTTTGTTGTTGTTGTTGTTTTTTGAGATGGAGTCTCGCCCTGTTGCCCAGACTGAAGTGCAAAGGCCCGATCTCAACTCACTGCAACCTCCGCCTCCTGGGTTCAAAGGATTCTCCTGTCTCAGCCTCCTGAGTAGCTGGGATTACAGGCACCCGCCAGCACGCCCAGCTATTTTTTTGTATTTTTAGTAGAGACGGGGTTTTATCATGTTGGCCAGGCTGGTCTCGAACGCCTGACCTCATGATCCACCCGCCTTGGCCTCCCAAATTGCTGGGATTACAGGCGTGAGCCACCGCGCCCGGCCGTCTGTCTGGTTTTCAAACCAATCAATGAACCCGTAAGCCTCTTTGGTATATATAACAATGAAAAAATTCATTAAGCCATGAAATCTAGAAATAAGTCATATTTCTGAGTTGATAAAATGCTTTTCTGAACATACATTTTAGGTATCTGGCACAATTAACCAAATGTCTGCCCATTTTTGTGTAGCTTTCATACAGTACAGATTTCATTGATGTCGCTCCCACATCTGAGTATTAAAAACATTTGACATTGTTCTTCTCAGTCCTCACAACACCCCTGTGAGGTAGGTGGTATTGACCCCATTCCACAGATGGGGAGGTCTAGGCACGGAAAGGTTTAGTGGCTCCTCACAGGCCGCGTGGTGGGGCAGCAGAGTGGTGCTCTGGCCCCGCGCCGACGCCGCCTTCACATTCACACTTCTTCAGTGCCACCGCAACACTGCATGGCAGGATCTCACGCTGAGGCCAAGTTCCTGTCTAGTCCAGAATGAAGCCAGCGTCTCACCTCTTAAAGCTTCGATGTGTGACTCAAAGCCAACTTACTCTCCCAAACTTGCAAAACAAACATACTGACTGAATCTTAGTTGGGACTATTTGCAGTATTTAAGATTATTTTTGAGAGTCAATCTGCTTGGATTTGTAGTTGTATATGCTCAAATCCCTTTGGAAAACAGTTTGAAATGACATGAGGGACAATGTAATTTTGAGAACAGAACACAGAAAACAAGAGTTCTGAGACTGGCATTGAAATTGAGAATATAAGCTATGGTAAAATGAGAATCAAATCCCAAATAAACGGAGAGCAGCACTTCTCAATGTTTAAGGCCACGCACAGGGCAGGCATTCAGTAAGCACTTCTTGGATCAAAAGAAACTGATGCTCCTTTGAGCCGCCTATCACTGACAACAGGAGCTGAGACCCCCGGGAAAGCCAGCCAGGGCCATGATCCCCTTGGCCTGGGGCCACGGTCACACAAAGCCACTCAGCCAAATCGTGTAGAGTTATCTAGGCTTACTTGCTGCAGGATAAAAGTTGAACTAGAACACCAAGCATTGAGCTAGGAATACCCCTTTGAATGTGTACTGCTACTTATAAAAAATAGGTATGTAGCTATGATTAAATAGATGAAGGGCCAAAGCATCCTATGAGGAAGTATTTTTAAAATTGTATAGATGTTCATGCAGTGGGGGACAGAAATAAAGAGGTTAAAGCGGTCTGTGTTTTTCGGTTAAATGAAAGGTTGTAAATGCATTTTTACCGCTGATAAGAAGGGGTACCTGCTACCCCTTTCTGCTGTGGAGTGTTGCTGAGGACAGAGTCCATCTCTCCCAGCGAGTCCTGGTTATCCTTTACTTACACTCTGGCCTCGGGGGCAGTGGCGTGTGGCCTCGGTCCTCCCCAGGTAACTCTGGAGGGCGCTGTGGAATATTGCTGTGATTTGCCCCTTACTCGTCTTTCACCCATGTTCCGCCTTGATTCGGCATAAGGACAGACTGCTCCAGTGGGGCCTTGGGTCCTCAGGCCTTCTGACCGCTTGGTCTTGAGTGACATTCCAGAAGAGTGACTAATGACATAAAACGATTAAGAAAATCCATGTGGCAGCGGCCAACCGGAAACAGTTTTGTCCCAGGCTGCACAGGGTCGGAGGCCCCAAGGTCACCGGGGCCACTGCCCGTCACAGGTCCACCTTGACCCCCTTTATGAAAGGCAGGCCCGTGGGCACCCTCTTCTTATACTCCAGGTACTCCTCTCCAAAAAAGTGAATTAGTGAGATTTCTTCTTCTTCTGTTCGATCGCGGAAGAATCGCCACACTGTCAGGGCATAGCTGACGCCGCAGATGGGGTTACACAGCATCACCTAACAGAGGGAGACACCAGGCTCATCAGGGTGACCGTGGGATGACGCCCTGTGCTTTGGTAGGCGTCTGTCTCTAATACCCAGAGGATTTCTGTGCCCATGCCCTGCTGAGACCGTCAGGGTCTCTGGGAGCAGTACTGTCACCTTAGCCCTGAGCACTCAGTGCTGCAGGCCTTTCTCACGTGCTTTCCTGTTGCTCCTCTTACATGAGAGAGATCTGTAAATCACAAGATCAACCTCTTGGATTTCAACCCTCAGCTTGGGGTGACAGCAATGCCCCCCACCTCCAGGTGTGAGCTCCCCAACATGAGGTCCCATGCACGCTGCCTTCCTGCCCAGGACCCTCCCACCACAAATGCATTCGCTTACACCACAGCTGCCTGGGCCTCTGCCTCCTAAACCCACAGCCTCTGCTTCAGCACGAGATACAGTGCCACAAAACTCAGCTTCCGAAATGCCCCTTCCAGCAGATTACCTCCACGCTCAGAGAGCTCCAGAGACTGAACCCCACCCCCTGAGTCTGGGTTTCCAACCCCAGAAGAGCAGCACTTCGCCCACTTCCCCAGTCTCCTGCCCTCCCCACGCTGTGCCCACTTTGCCTCTTTTTTTTCCCCCGAGACAGATTGTCACTCTGTCACGTGGAGTGCAGTGGCGTGATCATGGCTCACTGCAGCCTTAACTGCTTGGGCTCAAGTGATTCTCCCACCTCAGCCTCCCAAGTAGCTGGGACTAAGGGCACATGCCACCACACCCAGCTAATTTTTGTATTTTTTGTAGAGATGGGGTTTCACAATGTTGCCCAAGCTGGTCTCGAACTCCTGGCCCTTTCTTCCACCTTTAAGAACATCCTGGCCAGGTACGGTGGCTCATGTCTGTTAATTGCAGTACTTTGGGAGGCCAAGGAGGGCAGATCACCTGAGGTCAGGAGCTTGAGACAAGCTTGGCCAACATGGCGAATCCCCGTCTCTACCAAAAATAGAAAAATTAGCTGGGCGTAGTGGTGGGAGCCTGTAATCCCAGCTACTTGGGAGGCTGAGGCAGGAGAATTGCTTGAACCCAGGAGGCAGAGGTTGCAGTGAGCTGAGATCGCCACTGCATACCAGCCTGGGCGACAGAGCGAAACTCCCTCTCAAAAAAAACAAAGAACATCCTTCCCACTGATCTCCAGCCAAACAGTCCTTCAAGGCCAAAAGCATTCCCCAGCTCCTCAGGGAACCACTCACCTACACCTGCCCACTGGTCCCCTGTGGATGTGCATCTTCCCCAACATACATTTTCTGTATGTTTTCTGAATATATATTTTAGGCTCCAATACAGCCACCCGGAGAGCCAGGCTCATGTCCTGACCTCTCACACCTTCTCTTATTGAGCACTTACTATGTTCCCAGCGCCATGCTAAGCCCTTTACAATCATTACCCTGTTCAACTCTCATGGCAAACCTTTGAGGGCACGCTACTATCCCCACTTTGTTTTTTTTAAAATTTTATTATTTTTTAAAGACAGGGTCTCACTATATTGCCCAGGCTGGACTTGAACTCTTGGCCTCAAGCCATCCTCCTGCCTCAGCTTCCAGAGTAGGGGGAACTACAGGCATGTGCCACTATGTCTAGCTGCCCCCACTTTAACATGAGAGGAGAAGGAGGCCAAGCAGTGAATGTCAGAATCAGGACTGGCCCAGTCAGTGACTCCGGGGCCTGTACCCTCACATCTGGCATAGCTTGCTGGGGATACCCTACAGTGGGAGTTCTCTATAGCAGGCTGCAGCCTGTTACTAAGCCATGAAATCATTTAGTACATTATGAACAGTATTGAAATAATAAGATAGAAAACAGGATTTTGTAAACAGTAAGTGTAAGTATTATATCAGGAAAGACATGTTCCTTTCATACACACACAAGTGCTGGAGCACAATGTAAAAAAAATCTATGGGCAAAAAGGTATGGAAAACCCTTTGGTTCTAGTGCACACACATATACAGGAAGCAAGCATTTATGGCAAATTACATTATTCAGTCATAACTAATTTGTTCCCAGGGAAGGTGATTGTTAATGTGGCGGTTTTACATGTTTCAGAAACAAAAATTGTAAATGCTATGTGATCATTTGCCCCACCTATACCGTTAGGGGTCACCAGAGTCACCAAGGACCATGCATTGCTGATGGGATGCCTGAGAGATCTCTGGATTTGCCCAAAGACTTGGAGACTTTTCCCAAACACTTCGTGAATTTTCCAAGATCTATTCACATTCTTTGGCCAAGTTTTTCTAGGACCAAGAGTAAAGAATCAAGAAACAGTTTCAAGAAATAAGGCGGCCAGGCGCGATGGCTCACGCCTGTAATCCCAGCACTTTGGGAGACTGAGGCAAGTGGATCATGAGGTCAGGAGATTGAGATCATCCTGGCTAACACAGTGAAACCCCGTCTCTACTAAAAATACAAAAAATTTAGCCAGGCATGGTGGCGGGCGCCTGTAGTCCCAGCTACTCAGGAGGCTGAGGCAGGAGAATGGCGTGAACCCAGGAGGCGGAGCTTGCAGTGAGCCGAGATTGCGCCACTGCACTCCAGCCTGGGCGACAGAGCGAGACTCTGTCTCAAAAAGAAAAAAAAAAGAAATAAGGCTTTGGGTTGGGCATGGTGGATCATGCCTGTAATCCCAGCATTTTGAGAGGCTGCAGTGAGAGGACTGCTTGAGCCCAGGAGTTCAAAATCTGCCTGGGCAACACTAAGACCCCATCTCTACAAAAAACAAAAAGTTAGCTGGGCATGGTGGTGCACACTTATAGTCCCAGCTACTCAGGAGACAAAAGCAGAAGGTCTGCTGGAACCCAGGAGTTTGAGACTAGCTTGGGCAACACAGCGAGATCTCATCTTTAATACACAAATAAATAATTTTGTTTTCTGTTTTTAAGACAGGGTCTCACTCTGTTGCCCAGACTGGAGTACAGCAGCAATCAAAGCGATCCTCCTGCCTCAGCCTCCTGAGTAGCTGGGACTACAGGTGCACACTACAACTTCCAGATATATTTTTAGTTTTTTCCTCTGGAGAGAAGGGTTCTCACTATGTTGGCCAAGCTGGTTTCTTTTTCTTTTTTTTTTTTGAGATGGAGTCTCGCTCTGTCGCCCAGGCTGGAGTACGGTGGCGCGATCTCGGCTCACTGCAAGCTCCGCCTCCCGGGTTCACGCCATTCTCCTGCCTCAGCCTCCCAAGTAGCTGGGACTACAGATGCGTGCCACCACACCAGGCTAATTGTTTGTATTTTTAGTAGAGATGAGGCTTCACTGTGTTAGCCAGGATGGTCTTGATCTCCTGACCTCATGATCTGCCTGCCTCAGCCTCCCAAAGTGCTGGGATTACAGGCATGAGCCACCATGCCCGGCCAGCCAAGCTGGTTTCTAATTCCTGGCCTCAAGCAATCCTCCTGCTCTGGTCTCCCAAAGCCACTGTGCCTAGCCAAATAGTAATTTTAAAAAAGAAATATGCGGGTTGGATGCAGTGGCTCACGCCTGTAATCCCAGCACTTTGGGAGGCTGAAGCGGGTGGATCATCTGAGGTCAGGAGTTTGAGAACCGCCTGGCCAACACAGTGAAACCCCTACTAAACCTACTAAAAATACAAAAAATTAGCTGGGCGAGGTAGTGCACAACTGTAATCCCAGCTACTCGCGGGGGCTGAGGCAGGAGACTCACTTGAACCCGGGAGGTGGAGGTTGCAGTGAGCCAAGATCGCACCACTGCACTCCAGCCTGGGCGACAAAGTGAGACTCTGTCTCAAAAAAAAAAAAGAAAGAAAAAGAAATACATGTGGTGGCTCACGCCTGTAATCCCAGCACTTTGAGAGGCCGAGGCGGGTAGATCACTCAACCGCAGGAGTTCGAGGCCAGCCTAGGCAACATGGAAAAACCCCGTCTCTACAAAAATACAAAAATTAGCCAGGGGCTGGGCATGGTGGCTCATGTCTGTAATCCCAACGCTTTGGGAGGCCAAGGCAGGCAGATCACCTGAGGTTGGGAGTTCGAGAACAGCCTGACCAACATGGAGAAACCCCGTCTCTACTAAAAATACAAAATTAGCCGGGTATGGTGGCGCATGCCTGTAATCCCAGCTACTCAGGAGGCTGAGGCAGGAGAATCGCTTGAACCCGGGAGGCAGAGGTTGCAGTGAGCTGAGATCACATGATTGCACTCCAGCCTGGGCAACAAGAGTGAAACTCCATCTCAAAAAAATAAATTAATTAAAAAATACAAAAATTAGCCAGGTGTGATGACACACATCTGTAGTTTCAGCTACTTAGAAGGCTGAGGCAGGAGAATCACTCAAACCCGGGAGGCGGAGGTTGCAATGAGCCGAGATTGTGACACCGCACTCCAGCCTGGGCAGATACTTAGGAGACTAAGGTGGGAGGATCACTTGAGCCCAAGAGGTAGAGGCTGCAGTAAACCATGATCATGCCAATGCACTATAGCCTGGGTGAGAGACCCTGCCTCAAAACAAAACAAAAAACCATACATAAATAAAAAAAATACACACACACACACACACACACACACACACACACACACACATAGAGCAGGTGCAGTGGCTCACACCTATAATCCTTACACTTCTTTTTCTTTTTTTCTTTTTGAGACAGATTCTTGCTGTGTCACCCTGGCTGGAGTGCAGTGGCGTGATCTCAGCTCACTGCAACCTCTGCCTCCCAGGTTCAAGCAAATATTGTGCCTCAGTCTCTCGACTAGCTGGAATTATAAGTAAGAACCACCATGCCTGGCCTAATCCCAGCACTTTAGAAGGCCAAGGTAGGAGGATGGCTTGAGCCCAGGAGTTCAAGACCAGCATGGGCAACAAAGGAGGAACCATCTCTTTTTTTTTTGAGACAGAGTCTCACTCCATCACCCAGGCTGGAGTGCAGTGGCACAATCTCAGCTCACTGCAACCTCCACCTCCCAGGTTCAAGCGGTTCTCAGGTCTCAGCCTCCCGAGTAGCTGAGACTATAGGCATGTGCCACCAGGCCCAACTAATTTTTGTATTTTTAATAGAGATGGGGTTTTGCCATGTTGGCTAGGCTTGTCTCAAACTCCTGATGTCAAGTGACCCACCCACTTCAGCCTCTCAAAGTGCTGGGATTACAGGCAACCGTCCAGGAGAACCACCTCTACAAAAAATTTAAAAATTAGCCGGACGTGGTGGCAACACCTGTAATGTATTCCAGCTACTTGGGAGGCTGAGGTAGGAGGATCACTTGAGCTCAGGAGGTCAAGGCTGCAGTGAGCCATGATCAGAACACTGCACTCCAGGCTGGGCAACACAGCAAGATCCTGTCTTTAAAAAAAAAAAAAAAAAAAAAAGCTGGGCACGGTGGCTCATGCCTATAATCCCAGCACTTTGGGAGGCCGAGGCGGGCAGATCATGAGGTCAGGAGATCAAGACCATCCTGGCTAACACAGTCAAACCTCATCTCTACTAAAAATACAAACAATTAGCCGGGTGTGGTGGCGGGCGCCTGTAGTCCCAGCTACTCAGGAGGCTGAAGCAAGAGAATCGCTTGAACCTGGGAGGCAGAGGTTGCAGTGACCTGAGATCATGCCACTGCACTCCAGCCTGGGCAACAGGGCAACAGAGTGAGACTCCATCTCAAAAAGGAAAAAAAAAAAAAAAAGGCCAGGCACTGTAGCTCAAGCCTGTAATCCCAGCACTTTGAGAGGCCCAGGAAGGCAGACTGCTTGAGCTCAGTAGTTCAAGATGGCTCTGGGCAACTCGAGAAACCCTGTCTCTACAAAAAAAATACGAAAAGTAGTCAGGCATGGTGGTTCGTGCCTACAGTTCCAGCTACTTGGGAGGCAGAGGTTGCAGTGAACCAAGATCGCACCACTGCACTCTGGCCTGGTCAACAGAGCAAGACTAGGTCTCAAAAAAAAAAAAGAAAGAAAGAAAAGAAAAGAAACGAAACAAGGCCTTTTCTTCAGCCTGAGACAGAACAAACCTCCATGGCTCACACAGCTCACTAACACATGGCCTCGGCCCCATTAATACCTATTTCTGATGAAAACTAGCCAAGCTGCCACATGAGTGACAGAGGGCACTCCCTTCCCTAAGCCCCATCTCTGTCCTCACCCCCTCTGGGGTGCTTCAGATCTATTAATAGGTTGAAGGGGCAGAGAAAGGGAGAGGCACAATGGCTCATGCCTATAATGCTAGCACTTTGCGAGGCTGAGGTGGGAGGATCACTTAAGGCCAAGAGTTTGAGACCTGCCCAGGCAACACAGTAAGACCCTGTCTCTACCAAAAAAAAAAAAAGAAAAAAGAAAACAAACAAACAGAGGCAGAAACAGGATGAAGGGATACAGCAGGTAGCTAACAGCACCAAGAATCACCAAGGACTTACGCACCCAGGTTCTGGGCACATAGTGAAAAGCATTAAGGACTACATTAGTTCTCTTGACTTTTATTAAATTATCACTTGAAACGCGCCAAGAAGAACATGTACCTATTATTTAAAGGAGACCAACAACCTCATGAATACACTGAAAACCACTAATTGTATATTTTGAAATGGTGACTTTTATGCTACGTGAATATCACGTTTAAAATGTTACTTAAAAAAAAAAAAAAGAAAAGCAGTGTCATATTTAATATTATACCTGAGTTCCAATACTCCAGTAAAACCACCCGACGTAAGAAGGATGCCGAAACCAAGCGTACACTCCACTGGTCACCAGAGTATGTGTATCTGATTTTTCATTCTGTACCACGTGGTTGAAATTGGAGCCAGCTGTAAACATGGCCGCCTTCCTCAGACATTCTCCGAAGACCACCATCAGCAGCCCTGTGACACTGAGCCAGGTAATCTGCTTCAGTTCTGTGGGAGAGAGACATCAACGACACACGGGGAGTGAAAACACTGGCCTGAGCTCCCCTTCGCACTGCTTAAAATTAACCTATTTTCCCGAAGACAGAAACAGAAAATGTGCTGCTGGGCAATCAGCATTTGTCATCACATTAAAATTTCATAAGAAAACACATTCCCCTAAGTTATGCTGTTCATCAATTTACTTTAAAACACCAATAAGCACAATGAAAGCATCATGGTAAAGAGATGCTCTCCTGCTACAGCTGATGGGCTCTCTGGTTCACGACCCCCGGCCACATGCTCAGTCCTTCATCTGGGGACAAGTATAGCTAAGAGAAGCAAAAAAGGGTCCAAGGTTTCCACCCTGAATCCCAGGAGCCACATGTATTTCATTTCATTGGCTGTGAGACATTCAATTTCAGAGTGCATTCCACATACGGAGGCTTTTATTTTTTGAGACGGAGTTTCACTCTCATTGCCCAGGCTGGAGTGCAATGGCACAATCTCAGCTCACTGCAACCTCCATCTCCTGGGTTCAAGCAATTCTCCTGCCTCAGCCTCCCAAGTAGCTAGAATTACAGGCATGCACTACCAGGCCCGGCTAATTTTGTATTTTTCGTAGAGACGGGGTTTTACCATGCTGGTCAGGCTGGTTTCAAACTCCTGACCTCATGTGATCCACCCACCTCGGCCTCCCAAAGTGCTGGGATTAAAGGCGTGAGCCACTGCACCCGACCTTGTTAGTAAACTCTTTTTTTTTTTTTGAGATGGGAGTCTCGCTCTGTCACCCAGGCTGGAGTGCAGTGGCGCGATCACGGCTCACTGCAACCTCCGCCTCCCGGATTCAAGCAGTTCTCCTGCCTCAGCCTCCCGAGTAGCTGGGATTACAGGCATGTGCCACTACGCCTGGCTTTTTTGTATTTTTAGTAGAGACGGGGTTTCACCATATTGGCCAGGCTGGTCTCGAACTCCTGACCTTGTGATCCACCCGCCTCGACCTCCCAAAGTGCTGGGATTACAGGCGTTCGCCACCGTGCCCGGCCAGTAAACTCTTACATGAAACGTCTAAATATCATCTGATTATAAAATTAGAATCACAACTACTCAAGGTTGGGGCTTCAAATTAGATGGTGCACTATGTGATGCAAACTTTAAAGCAAAAGGTCAGCACGTCCTCGAGTCAATATCCAGAGGCAGAATTCATGAGCGGAGCTCATCCTTTATAAATAGCTTAGTGAGGATAGAGGTCTGCGGAAAATCGCTTGGGGGAGATTAGACCTGAAAGGTGAATCAATGTCACTGTCCTCAGCCTGAATGGGAGCCACCCTTTTCCCCTCCAGAGGGGGACATAAGGCACACGAACCTGGCCAAAAGATATTTTCAAGTGTGAACTCTAACCAAGAAGAAAGAGCAGCTACTGTATACTCCAGGCTGTGATTCAGGAGAAAGGAATCCAAGGACAGACTTTTGGGATTATTGACTGCTGTCACCAAGTATTCAGAATAGTGGAACAATGACAGGGAGCACATGTACCTATTTAAAGACAAAAAGAGAGTTAAGTTGGGACAAGAGAACCAAGTTAACCATAAGTGCACATCTGGGTCTCCTGAGCTGTCCCTAAGTCTATGAGGCCCTGTTCTCACCTGTCTGAGAGTGGACACAGGTACCCATCTGCAGCATCTACTACCTCAGGTTTGCAAAAAGTGGAGTTTTTAAGGGGCTGTTTTTGTTTCTGGTGTTTTGTTTTGTTTTGTTTGAGACAGAGTCTCGCTGTGTCGCCCAGGCTGGAATGCAACTGCGTGATCTCAGCTCACTGCAACCTCCGCCTCCCAGGTTCAAGCGATTCTCCTGCCTCAGCCTCTCAAGTAGCTCAGACTACAGGTGCCCACCACCACGCCCAGTTCATTTTTGTATTTTTAGTAGAGACAGGGTTTCGCTATGTTGGCAAGGCTGGTCTCGAACTCCTGGCTTGGCCAGGCTGGTCTTGAACTCCTGACCTCGTGATCTGCCCACCTCGGCCTCCTAAAGTGCTGGGATTACAGGCGTGAGCCACCGCGCCCGGCAAGGGACTGTTTTTGAATGTCACAGGCAAAACAAACCCATAGGTCACAGAGGCATTATGGGCCCTTCTGTCCGTTAAAAATGACACTACACACAATAAAACATGAAAGAGGGAGATAACAACATAAAGGAGTGATGTATGTCGGATACAAAATTTAACAAAACTGAAATAATTCCGGCAAAGAAGGATTAGATGGCTCAAAATATTGATAAGAGGAGATAAAACTTTTTACCTTGAAGCCACTGGTTCATATCCAGGTCAGACTAGAAGGCTCAAGGGACTGAAATCATAGTGTAGGGAAAAATCCTACAGTGGCTGTGGGGATGCACTAGATGTGACCTAATAGAAATTAGAGATGAAAAAGGCCCATGAAGACAAGCCAGAGCCCTGCCCCTGCCCGCCACCGAGGACCTGCACCCCTTCCGGGAAGGGCTGCTCAAGTTACGGAATGCTGTCACCACAGCTGCGGATGACAGCACCTTTGGGGGTGCCAGGGAGATCTGTTTCTGCCTGATTCACAATCAACCCACAGGCACGAAATCACAAGGGCTGAAATGTGAGCAACTAGGGGGAAGCCAGGAGACTTCGTTTCCAGAGAACCCTGAACAGCCTTCTGCCGGTCACAGATGAGACAGGGATGAGGAAATGCCGCTACAGACCCTCTGATCTGTCCACCCTCGCCTGAAAACCAGTATTTCCGAAGGAATTCTTACCAGCCAAAGTGACTCCAAGAAGACTGGCTAAAACTTAGCAGCGTGCCGCAGCCGAACACAAACCCCAGGAAACAAGCTCGGATGGCTATCTGAAAGGAACCCAAGAGAAGCTCAGTCATTCACAGTCCTCAGAGTACAGATCTGGGCTGCTGACCTTCCCGGAATAGGCAACCCACAGGCAAGCAGATAGAGCCGATTTGCTGAGGTTGAAAGGGAGAAGTGGGCGACCTGGGTTCAAATTCTGCACCCACCGCTCTCTGGCTGTGTGGCCTCCCAAATTATTTAACCTCTCTGAGCTTGCTTCCCCATCTACAGCCAGGGGATAACAGTACCTACCTTTTAGGACTGCAGTAAGGATTACCCACGTAAAACACTTAAGACTAACTGCTACCTACATTTTAGCTGTCATTATTATTATTATTCGTGATTACTATTCAGGGCTGTAGGAAAACTGCTTAAGCCTAGTTTATGAGGTCAGGGCACCCGGGCCTGTGCGCCCAGCCCCACCCACGTCACTGCGGGGCCTTTGACCTGAGACAGGGCAGCAGGTAGGTCTCTGCACCTTAAGTTACATAAAAGCACTCGCGGGCTCGCTCACTCCACCCCACGCGCACCTGCTGAGCTGCACAAGCTGCAATTTAACAACCCACTCCTCGGGTGCAGGGCGCCCGAGCCCGGAGAGAGAGGGTCCCCTCCTGCGACCTGAACTCGCGGATGAAGAGCGCGCGCGTGGGAGGCCACTGCGGGCCCGGGGAGAAAGGTGCCCACGCGCCGCGCCAAGCGGACCGCCGCCCGCCCCGCCGGCCCCCGCCGGCCCCCGCCGGCCTGCACCTGGTAGCGAGGCGGCCGATAGAGCAGCAGCAGCAGCGCGTTGAGCCCGGCCACGTAGAGCGCCAGCCCGGTGCGGCCCTGCAGGCCGGCGCGCGTGAGCAGCGGCAGCGCGAGCACCGAGGCGCCCAGCAGGAAGGTGGCGAGGCTGAGACGCGCCTCAGAGCCCGGCGGAGCCCGCGCCGCGCAGCCCGCCATGGCGCCGGGCGGCGGACTAGCGGGCGGCGGCGCCGGCTGTAGCCCGGAGAAACGCGCCGGCTGCGCCTGCGCACTGTGCCGCCGATGCCGGCCCGGGAAGGGCAGCTGCCCGCAGCTGCGCGCCGCCTGCCAGTTCTCGCGAGAACTCCGGCCCGCCCTGTTGCTGTCCGGAATTTGGCGGGAGCGCCCCGCCCGCCCGCCCCTCCCCGCCCCTCGGGGACATCCGGGCTCTGAGCCAGACTCTGTGCCGGGCGGGGGCCGGGAAGTGGTGGGAGAAGTCGCCGCCCGCGTCTGTCCAAACTTAGTCCCAAACTCAGGAGGTTCCTGTCCCAAGAAGCAATGTAAAGTTTGAAACGAGCCGAGCGCGGTGGCTCACGCCTGTAATCCCAGCACTTTGGGAGGCCGAGGCTGGCGAATCATTTGAGGTCAGGAGTTCGAGACCAACCTGGGCAACATGGGGAAACGCCGTCTATACTAAAAATACAAAAATTAGCTGGGCGTGGTGGCGCACGCCTTTAACCCCAGCTACTTGGTGAGGCTGAGGCAGGAGAATCGCTTGATCCGGGGAGACGGAGGTTGCAGTGAGCCGAGATTGTGTCACTGCACTCCAGCCTGGGTGACAGAGTGACACTCCATCTCAAAAAAAAAAATTTTGAAACGGCCGCACCCTCGCCGGCCCTGCGTCGTCCCCGAAAACCAGACGCCCTGGGGCGCGGGGCCAAGTGCGGCGACCTCCTGCCCTCCCTCTGCGGCTCCCTGGAAACCGGCCTGGACAACGGCACCTGGGCATCCATGCAACGGGACCACCGCCCGCTTAAATTCCTGTTGTGGAACAAGGCTGGACGGTGATGGGAATGCTCAGGATATGTTAGGTTTTCTTTTTTTTTTGAGACGGAGTCTCGCTCTGTCGCCCAGGCTGGAGTGCAGTGGTGCGATCTCGGCTCACTGCAAGCTCCGCCTCCCGGGTTCACGCCATTCTCCTGTCTCAGCCTCCCGAGTAGCTGGGACTACAGGCGCCCGCCACTGCGCCCGTCTTATTTTTTTGTATTTTTAGTAGAGACGGGGTTTCACCGTGTTAGCCGGGATCCATCTCCTGACTTCGTGATCCGCCCGCTTCGGCCTCCCAAAGTGCTGAGATTACAGACGTGAGCCACCGCGCCCTGCCTATATTAGGTTTTTAAATAGCAGGAGGCAAAGCTTTTCGGTGTGATCCTGACTTCACTTGGGGAAAAAGGGCAGGTATCTGAGCCTGGGAAAATGATCAAGCTATCAGCCAAAATGGTATAACGCCGACTATATATGTACCTTTTTTTTTTCTTTTTTTCTTTTTTAGACACAGGGTCTCACTGTGTTGGCCAGGCTGGAGTGCGGCAGTCTGGAACTCCTGGGCCCAAGTGATCCTCCAATCAGCCTCACAAAGCACTGGAATTACAGGTATGAGCCACCACCCCTGGCCTATCTTTAGGTAGTGGCACTCTTGGTGATTTTTATTGTCTTTATCTGTTTTTGCAGTTTCCATACTGCCTACAATGAACACAGGATACTTTTTTTTTTTCAGATGGAGTTTTGCTCTTGTTGCCCAGGCTGGAGTACAATGGCGCAATCTCGGCTCACTGCAACCTCCGCCTCCGGGTTCAAGTGATTCTCCTGCCTCAGCCTCCTGAGTAGCTGGGATTACAGGAGCCTACTACCACGGCCAGCTAATTTTTTTGTATTTTTAGTAGAGACGGGGCTTTACCATGTTGGCCAGGCTGGTTTCAAACTCCTGACCTCAGGTGATCCACCCGCCTCGGCCTCCCAAACTGCTGGGATTATAGGCATGAGCCACCGTGCCCGGCCCATAGATTACTTTTATAATCAAGTTTTTCTTTACTTTTTAAAGAGTAAATTCTCTCACCTCAGGTAGCTCAGAGAGCTGCGCTGGAGGAGAAAAGCCAGTAAGTGAACAACTGGAATAAACTCTGCAGGGGTGGCAGTGGGGGCAGAAGGAGAGCAAGGATGGGGAGCAAAGAGGGACCCCAGGGGAGGCCCTCAGCTTGGAGGGCGGCAGGGCGAGGAGGCTGCGAGGAACAGACGCCAGAGCTAGGCCTTGGGGCCCTTGGGGATGGACAGCCTGCCCTCCATTGGAAATGAGATCAAGGAGGGAGTGAGGGCTTGGCGTTTGAAAGGCACAGAGGCGGGAGGGAGAAAGGCTGAGAAGGGATGGGGACAGGCCCTCGGGGAGGCTGGCATCAAGTGGTGGGTCAGCGAGAGAGGCAGGCGGTCTGTGAGCCCTGCATCTGAGCCCCTCTCCACTCTTGTCCCTGCAGGTCCTGGCAGGAGCTCTGGTACCTGGGAAGCTGGATGGAGAGCCTGGGCCAGAATCCCGGACCCCTCACCTCTGCGGCCTAGCTTTGTGACCTTGGCAAATCCATTCTATGCACCTCCATTTCCTGTACAGTGGGGATCCTTATTTCTCTGGCACAGATTGGTATTTGTTCTGTAAAGCCCAGTACCACTTTATTTTATTTTAGTTATTGATTTTTTTGAGACAGGGCCTCACTCTGTTGCCAAGGCTGGAATGCAGTGGCGAGATCATAGCTCACTGCAGCCTCAAACTCCTGGGCTCAGGCCATCCTCCTGCCTCGGCCTCCTGAGTAGCTGGGACGACAGGCGTGCACCACTGCGCCTAGCTCCAGTACCATGTTTAAACGGTGCTCAGAAAACGTGCTAAACTTGGTGGATGGGAATTGAAAAGAGATTTAATGTTTTAAAAATCAAAGTCACTCAGCTGCAGTGCCACATGGGAAGGAGGCCTGGATGTGAATGTTCCTGGGAGCTGAGAGCTCCTGTGACTGTCGCCAGTTTCCTGTGGTCTCCCACAGACTCAGGACATCTCCCTCTGCTCCAGGACACCTCAGGACCACCAGAGGGCACTCATCGCACCTTCACCCCTGGAAGGGAGCTGGTCCTGGGGCCAAAACCCACTGTGCCTGGGAAGCCCTTCCTGGCTTCTGCTCTCCTCAATGTATGACAGCCCTGATTTACCCCCAGGGACTGTTGCCACTCGGGGTTGTAGAGTAATATGTAACCAGACTGGAGAACCACAGCAATGCTCTCTCCTCTGCCCATCACCTCCCCTTGGCCCCTCCCTCTTCATCAGCCCCATTTTGGAGAAGGGAGAAAGAAGGGAGAGGCAGCAGTCTCCTCCCAGGTGGGGCCGGACTCCAGGGAAGGAGAATTTTCAGAAGTTGCTGGAGTTGCCGAATCTGTCAGGGCCCAGGGTTCACAGAGCAGTGATGGAGGAGAAAGGAGAGGAAGCAGATCTAAGCACACATGGGCATCAAACCAGAGGAACAAAGTCACATGCAGAGGGCTGCACATAGACACAGGGAAACACACACACGGAGATGCACAGAAACACGCAGACCCCATGCAGGGACCTGCTTTCCCGCCACAGAGGAAAGCAATCTGATCAAACAGACCCACTGTGCACCCAGCCCTCCATGCTTGGGGACAACACACCTACAAAAATATAAGAAAAAAAAGGAAAACTGCTCTGCCTGGGATGCCTTGCTTGACTTTTCTTGTAAATAAGCATTTGAATGTGTTTTGTTCTAGGAGCTTTCGAGGCAGGCACAAAGGGAGCCCTTTCTCATGCAGGAAGGTCCCTCTGCAACCTCCCCCTTCCCTCCCCTTCCTGCCATCCGCCTACAGGCTGAGGTGGCTTTATTTCTGGGACCCGAGTGTGGATACCTCCTGTTTTAGAGAACCCTGAGAACCACTGTGCTATTTCCAAGTTAAACTCCAGGCCGAGATGAAATTAGGCTTCTTTTTCTTTCTCTTTTTTTTTTTTTTTTTTGAGATGGAGTCTCACTCTGTTGCCCAGGCTGGAATGCAGTGGCACGATCCCAGCTCACTGCAACCTCTGCCTCCTGGGTTCAAGCGATTCTCCTGCCTCACCCTCCCGAGTAGTTGGGATTACAGGCACCTGCCACCACACCCAGCTAATTTTTGTATTTTTAGTAGAGACGGGGTTTCACCATGTTGGCCAGGCTGGTCTCGAACACCTGACCGCGTGATCCGCTGGCCTCGGCCTCCCAAAGTGCTGAGATTACAGGAGTGAGCCACCATGCCTGGCCAGATTGGTGATTTTTTTTAATCACCTGCAGCTCCCAGTCATTCACAGGCCTCTGCCCCATCCCCTGTCCATATGGAAGCTGAGAGGGCCGCAGGGAGGGGCCTGTCCAGTGTGGCCGCAGCTCTTCCCAGGAGGGAATCCCTGTCATCCAAAAGTTTTCTTTCCCCTCCTCTGGCCATTCCAGGCTAAAGGAATGAAAGCTCCCTCTCTCTAGGCTGGAAAACAGGTAAACGATATGTAATTTATGAGCACCATCAGCCCAAAGTGCACAAGTCATATATGCACAAAGGGGCCGGGTAAATATTTAAAGATTAGAGCCAGCTGGGGAGAAACACAAAAGGCCAGGGCAATGGGGGTCTTTCTGAATTCACTCTCCCCGAGCTGGGCCAGGTCAGCATTGATGCACTCGCTGGAGTCCCGGCCTTTGTCCTCTGAAGGGCCCTTGTCTGCTGGGCTATTGGGAGCCCCAACACAGCTAAAGAGAGTTAAACAATCGCAGCCTCTCCAACCGCATCTGGAGACAATTGGCTGAGTCATTTCAGAGCTTTTGCTGTGTGTCCCAATAGTTAATTACATGGAGCAATCACTTCATTTCACTTTGAAATGCATCTGCAGAGGGGGACAACAGATTTCTCCCTCGTCACCTGCATCCACAGTAGCCTGTGCGGCACTCACCAGTTAGCACTGGTTGAAACCTCTGGAAGTACAGAAGGGAAGGGGCTGCCACACGGAGCCACACGGCTGTCCTCTGGGATGGGCCGCAGGTAGGGCTCTTGTCCTGGGGCCCGAAAACCTCTCCCTACTCTTGGTTCCAGACCTGACATAATGTTCTTTTTTTTTTTTTTTTTTTTTTTTTTTTGTCAAACTCAAGAAAACCAAATGAGGGGGGAAGGGGTGGCACAGACACTTGTCACTTTCTGCATTAAATTCCCCAACATGAGACAGGAGGGGGCCCTGAGCAGCCTTGGAGGCTCTAAGAGCCCTCAGAAGTTAGAGAAGGAAGTTTTTTTCCTTGAATGAGCATAGGGGGGCCTGGGTCTCCCCACTTCTCCTCCTGGACCTGTGCTCCTTTCCAGGCCGCCTTGGGGACCCCAGATGCTAAAGATGGAAAGGGAATTGGTGGCCTACATCCCAGCTTGCGTAAGCCCCGCTTCTAAGTTGGTCCATGCCCTTCCTGGCAGCCCGAGAGCACTTTGTCCTGCTTGCCCTCAGAGGATAGGGTGAACCCACTGCCATTCCCCCTCCAGCTCTGAAAATACCTCCTGGTCTCTGTGAGCCCCTTTGGAGCCAGGCCTGCCTGAGGCTGTGCGAGGATGCCCAGACTCAGGGCTTGTAATCAGCGTGACAGGCTGGGGTGGAGGGTGGACCCCGAGTCTTCAGCCTGGGTTTCCGGGAAGGGTCCCTGTAGAGACTAGTCTGCTGTCTTTCCCAATGACCTTGTCAGATGCAAAGCACAATGACTTTAACTTAGTAGGGGAAGTGGCTGCCCAGAGATAGGAGCAAGAAGTGAGGGTAAAGTGGCGATGGTGGGGAGAAACTCGGCTCAGAGCTCGGGAAAGGGGAGGGTGGAAATCGCACCAAGATCTCTCCCCACCTTGATCCTGCGCGACCCTCGGCCAGTGTAAGGCGAGTAGCGGGCCAAGGAGGCTGTTTGTGATGGAGGAGCCACGGGTGGGGGCGTCAGAAAGTAGGGGGATCATTCCAGGTGGGGAGACCACTGACCGAAAACGGGCCACAGGACAGGGGGCGCGGCGGGCAGTGTCGGGGTTGGGGTCGGGGGGCAACGGAGGCGGAAGTCCATTCAGTGGACCAGGGCGGAGCGACGCCTGAGAATTCCGCCCAGGCCTTGAGGCGGGCCTCGCCTCCCGCAGCCAAAGCAGAACATTGCGAATTAGAGCATTTTGCGGTCAATTTTCCACTGCTTAAGAAACACTAAGCTATCCACGTGAGCGTCCCCCCGCCCCCGGCCCGATGCGCCTGGAATCCCAGGGGACGGGCTTGGGAGGGGTGGTGGCCCTGGGAACGGCGGGTGTCGGGGTTCGGGCGGGGGCAGCCTCGTGGCCCCTTTATGGCGGCCCGGACTCAGGAGAGGGGGCGGGCCCGGCACCCAGCGGCGGGCCGCGAGAGCTGCGCGGAGGGCCATTGGTTTGCTAATGCCCTCGAGTTGAAAGGCGCGGGCGGCGGTTTATAGGGAAGGATTGTAATTAGAGGACAAATTGCCCCGCTGCCCCGCAGCTCGAGAACGCGGGGAGGGGGAGGCCCGCCGGGGCGCGACGCGCGCCAGGCCTCTGTGCAGATGTGCAGCAGCTGGAAGTCCGCGCCTGGCGGGGCGCCCGGAGTTTGGCCCCGAGGGGGCGGGGGCGGGCGCGGGCGCCGCTTTGTGGGGCCCGCACAATGCCCTTAACACTCGGCTGCCCCTTTTGTGCCCGGCCGCGCCGCCCGCCCGCCCCGCGGTGCCTTTATACCGCGCCGCCACCGCCCCAAGCTCGGAGCGAGTCGCATGGAGGACGCCCCGGCCCGGCCGGTCCTGGCGCTTCAAAGCTGCCCGGCGCGTGCCAGCGCCCGCCGCCTGGTCTCGGCCCCCGCCGCCCTCCCAGGCCCGGGTCGGCCCGGATCTGGCCCGCGGGCCCTGCGGTCCGGGCTGGACAGAGCCCCAGAGCTGCTGTTGCCGCTGCCTCGGCCTGAAAGGGGGAGGGCGTGGCGCGATTCTCCACGCTGCTTGGCGCCTGGGAACGCCGCTATCCTGGGAAGGGTAGGCGGGGGCGGGCTGGGGGGAGATGCCCTGGCTTGATAGAGCTGGGGGGCGCACCCCACCCTGAGTCCCTACACAGAAGCCGGTTTGTTCATTCCTCTGCCACAGGGCTCAGCTGCAGAATTTTTGCGACTTCCCTGTCACCCTCAGAAGCAATGGGGGCTGCATTGTTCAGAATATAATTTTACAAGCCCCAAAAACTAAAGCCATGAGGGCCCATGGGAGGTGTCTAGGTTTGAACCCAGGGACTTCCTGGAGGTCAGCCTTCCTGTCCATCACAGCAGCTACAGTTCAGCCTCCTGGAGTCCAACCAGGGGGATGGCCCCAGAGCCTTGCTGTAGGCCTAGCCCATCCTGGGGCAAGTGCTCCAGGCGCCTCCTCCACTGGGTCCGCCGTAGTCTGAATCATAGATTGGGGTGCGGGCCCTGGATCTCTCGAAGTGTGGCCTGGAGCTCTTCCCAGAATGTCAGTGGTCTCCTGCCACCACCACCTGTGCGTGGAGCTGAGAGCAGGCTCATGGGAGTAGACTTCTAGTGCTTCTCCATGGGGACAGGGTCTACCACCAAAGCCACCCAGCCTGGAAGCCCAGGGCTGTAAGGAAGGGAGAGGCAGCCGTGTTCACCCCACCTGCCTCCTGTGGGAAGTCCGCGTTGGATCCTAGCAGTGTCAGAGAACACAGGACCCAGGCTGCACCCTCACCAGGACCCCTCCCAATCCCAAGGCCCCAGCAAGGATGAGGCTGGCTGTGGCCCCGCGGGTGGGCTGCATGCTTTAATGGGACACAGGCTGCTGCATGGCCCCCGCGGGCTCAGCTTGTGCCTGGCTTTGAGCAGCCACAGGCAGAAAATTGCTGCATTGTCCCGACATTAGGGCAACTAATGCGGCGTTGCGGGTATAACCAGAGCATGAAGTGCATAAAGAGGCGTCGCCTTGGCATCTTCATCAGTCCCGAGGGAGCCCAGAGCCCTGTCATAGTCAGTGAGGCAGCCTGTGGCCAGCTGGCCCATGTACCTCCCCAGTAGGTGACCCCTGGAATGCTTGCACTCCAGGGTATCAAGGACTTGGCAAGTGGGACTGGAGAACTTACGGGGATTGGGACAGGATGGGCATGGAGGGGGTGGGCATGGCAGGGGTCCTCAGACTGGGGAAGTGGTGGAGGCCAGAGAGATAAGGAAAAGACAGATAAAGGGGAGGGGGGGGTCCCTCGGGAGACAGGGGGGGTCCTGAAGGTGAGAGGAAGCCTAGGCTATGGGAGGGGGCTGAGGGAAGGAGGTGGGGAGCTTCCCAGTGCGTCCTCCCTCGGTCCCCTCCTCCTCAAGGTTTCTAGAGTCCAGAGGGCCTCATTGACATGTAAACGAGGGTCCCTATAAAGGCGGCGCTGCCTCGCACTGGTGCATGGACTGCAACATGGGCACGGAGCCTGCTGCCCGGGGCAGCCTCCCCGGCAACTTCCGAAAGGTCTGGGGTCTTGAGGGACTAGGGGCAGGCACCCTTCCCCGGGAGGTGTGGGGGGGTGCCGAGGGCAGGAGGGTGGCAGTCCTGCACTCTAAAGGCTGTTCATCTGCAGATTTCCAAGCCGCTGATGGAGAAAAAGCGCCGGGCACGCATCAATGTGTCACTGGAGCAGCTCAAGTCGCTGCTGGAGAAACACTACTCGCACCAGGTGAGACTCAGGCGGGGTGGGGGTGGGTGGGTGATACGATCCCAACCTCCCTCTCTCCACCTCGGGAGGCCGGTCTAATAGACCTTTCCATGGTCGGGTAGATCCGGAAGCGCAAATTGGAGAAGGCCGACATCCTGGAGTTGAGCGTGAAGTACATGAGAAGCCTTCAGAACTCCTTGCAAGGTATAGGGGAGGGCTGGAGGGAGGAGGGGGAGGCTTGTGGGATCAGAGCCAGGGATGCACAAGGCCAAATAAAGAGGGATACCTCAAGGACCGCTTGACCCCGGGCTTTTGAGACCAGCCTGGGCAACATGGCAAGACAGCAAATATAAAGAGGACAACTCGGAGGCAGGTGCAGTTGGTGAGGAGGGGGCCCCAGCTCGCTAGGGGGCGAGGGAGGAGCAGTAAAGCCCGGGCTGGCTGTGCGATTGCAATCTGGGTGGTAGGTCTGGACCCCGGGGGAGACGTTCGGGTCGTCTGACCTCCGCCCTCCTCTTCCCTTCCTCAACACGCTTCCTCCCTCCTTTCCCCTCCACCTCCACTCCCCTCTCCTCCCTCCCTTCCTCCCCTCCCCTCCCTCCCCCTTCCCCTCCTCTCCCTCCCCCTCCCCTTCCCCTTCCCTCTCTTCCCCTCCCTGTTTCTCGCGTCCGCTCTTCCCCACAGGGCTCTGGCCTGTGCCCAGGGGAGCCGAGCAACCGTCGGGCTTCCGCAGCTGCCTGCCCGGCGTGAGCCAGCTCCTTCGGCGCGGAGATGAGGTCGGCAGCGGCCTGCGCTGCCCCCTGGTGCCCGAGAGCGCCGCCGGCAGCACCATGGACAGCGCCGGGTTGGGCCAGGAGGCGCCCGCGCTGTTCCGCCCTTGCACCCCTGCCGTCTGGGCTCCTGCTCCGGCCGCCGGCGGCCCGCGGTCCCCACCACCCCTGCTCCTCCTCCCCGAAAGTCTCCCTGGCTCGTCCGCCAGCGTCCCCCCGCCGCAGCCAGCGTCGAGTCGCTGCGCCGAGAGTCCCGGGCTGGGCCTGCGCGTGTGGCGGCCCTGGGGAAGCCCCGGGGATGACCTGAACTGAAGGCGCTCCCTATTTGGTCTCGCGACACAGGGACTATTTTCAGCACGCCCACAGTGACTGCCAGGACCCCCCAGTCGTCCGTTCTGGTCGTGGGGCGGGGGTGGCTTGGAGAGGGCCGCGCACCCCGCAAGCGCAGGGAAATACCCCCAGCCCTGCCGGACTGGGTCTGCGCGTCTGGGCATAATCCACCCCCACTCTAGCTCCACCTACACACGCCGGACCGCTCGCTCTCCGCCCATCCTCCGGAGGGGCTGGGAGGGGGTGTCCTGGGCTGCGCCCCTTTCCCAGGGACCCCTGGCGGGCAACCCGCCCGCCCCCACCCCCGCCCGGTTGCCGCGCAGCGGTGGGAATGTCGCAGTTGGCAACAGCGCAGAGCTGACCCCTCGCAGCGAGGAGAATCGCTGCCCCGCCCCGGACCATTCAGCGGACCGCGGGCGCCCGGTTCCCACCGGCACAAAGCGCGCCTGGCCCCGCCCCGCCGGCAAGGGGCCCCCAGCCTCCCCCAACCCGGGATCCTCTTGACTTCCAAGGACCTCCTTCGCAAGCGGTGCTGCCCACCGGGCTGGCGCATTCCCCGAGGCCCACCCTTCTCAGAAGCCCCGCCCCTAAGATGCACCGCCCCAACCGGACGCCCCGCCCACGCGGTTCCTGGAAGGGACCCATTGCTTGGTGGCACCAGCTTGAAGGCTGCAAAAGTGAACCCGGTGCCTCTCGTGGGAGAGGGGAACGCCTTCCGCTCGACAAAGACCCTGGCCCACATTCCAAGCCCGGACCCCGTAGACCCCGCAGCTCCAGATCCCTAGGGCTGCCGGAGAATCCAATCCCTGGACGGCTCTCGGAGCGCGCTGCGCCACTTTATTGGTCCATAATGAGGTCACTGCTGCGCACGGACTTCGGTGGTGGGAGGCTCTCAAGTCAGATTTTCTTCCCCTGGGCTTCTGGCCCAGGAGTCCGGGCCAGCGAGGGGCAGCTTGGGTTGTGGGGTCAGAGATCCTGGCACCCTCTCCCGACACCTTGTAATTCAGAATAAAGCCAGCGCGAATCTGCGAAGTCGGTATCAAGAGGACACCAGAGGTCTAATGTCTCCCACCCCTGCGATGCCTAGTTAGGTGCATCTTTTGTAACCACAAATACCAACTTTCTACAGAAGCTCTTCTCTTTTTGGGCGGCCCTGACCTGCAGGGCACTAAACCCGTCCTGGTCCAAACGCGTGGAGAAGGACCCACGGTCCTTCAAAAACCCAGCTCCACTGTCGCACCTAATGGGCTCGCTGGAGCTGGGGCGAGGGTGGGAGTCCCGGCTGTCGCCGTCCAGGGTGGCCTCTCCGGTCTGCTTCCCGCGGTGTGGGGTGGGGTAGAGGCCAGGACAAATCCCTCTGCAGTCCACCAGGTGGCGGTGTTGCACTGCAGACCCAAAGGTCCTTCCTCCAAACTCCAGGGCGGGCGCGCGGGGGGACAGGGGCTCGACAAGTCCCAAGCAGCTTAGGCCCAGCTCCTATTGCCCTGCCCTGTTCTGTCTCTTCAGTCAAGCTCACGGTGACTAGCAGCCCCAGGTGCCAACCCTGGGGCAGGGGTTGCCACCTGGGCTAATAGGGCCTTTCCTCCACTGGTGGGCTGTGGAGCCCACCCCACTGCTTCATCCTGTTGCTACTCCAGGACCATCTCACTCCTCACTCGCTGGTGGGACCTGAGCATTTGTCTGAAGACAGAGAGCAAGTCCAACCCCCCAAAAATGTCACACTACCAGAAGAACTCAGGTTCCAGAGGAAGACATTAAGGGCAGCTGGCCAGCCCTGCTGTGGGGTTGTAGAAGGGTTTTCTACGAAACCAGCCTTGGAATGCCAGGTGCAAATCATAAGGAAGTTTTTATTGGGTCCTGTACAGAAGAGAAATGCTCCGTTGTCAAAAAACTACAAAGGGATCCCTGGCTCTGGGTGTGCTATGAAGACAACTCCCTCCCCAGTGAGCCCAGGGAACAGGCTGGATGCTGGACAAAGTTTGGGAGGGAGCTCCAGGCCCAGGGTCCTCCACTTGGGGTCTCCCCCTTTATGTTTGTAAAAACCGCAGGATTGGAGTATTTAGAGGACTCTGTCCCCCTGCAAGTATTGCCGTTGGATATGAAACACACAGAGCAAAACCCCAAGGTGACAAATGAGTGAAAACCTAAGGTGACAAGTGGACAGACGCCCCCCAGATGGAGGAGACACTGGCTAGCTGGCGACCTCTGCCCCTACGTAACTTGTCAGTCCTTGAAGGCACAGCAGCATTGGCCAGAGATGGCCCCTCCCGCGGCCAGGGCTGGATTGCAGTTCCCTGCCTTGCTCACCTGTGGCCACAGCTCATACCCCCAGTTACCCCACAGCCAGGGACTGGAGGGGCCTCTGAAGCACAGACAGGCTTAGGCAGCCTCCCACCCCCACCCCAGCAGCTTCTTCTGGGAGTGGGACCCTATCTGAAGGATGAAGAGATGGGCTTGGCCACCTGAGGGCCAGAAGGAACTGGGCACAGGCAGGCTCTATGCTCACCTTGGAATTACCCCAGGTCTTCATATTGTGGGGCCACTGTGTAGGGGTAGGGGTCTGGAGGAGACAGCCTTCTCATCTACCCTATTTCACTAGCTCAAGGTTATAGCTGTTCCTGGTTCTCCTTAGCCTGGGAAGACCCAGGGCCCATGGCAATGCCCAGGCCTGTAAGGGGTCTGCCCAGGATGGAAGGCAAAGAAATACATTGCTCCCAGGGGTTGGACGCCTGCCCGGGACCAGGCCTTGAGCTGAGAACCTGGAAGCCCCTGCCAGGATCCCTTCCTGGCCAGGCCTGCACGGGTGGGGAGTGAGGCTGGGGATGACGCAGGGACACGGAAGGCCAGGCCCTGCTGCCCTCGTGCTCTCCGCTTGCACCTGCCAGCGTCATGGTGGGAGCCATGGAGGGAGATGATGTGGTGGGGACAGGCAACGACGGCAGAGTAATGAGGGTGGGGACACTAATGGTGGTCAAGGTGGCTCAGGTGCCATTGGTGGTGGTCCACAGTGTTGTGCTTAGCTGGGGTGGAGTGTGGGTTCCCAAGGGGGCAGGGGGCACTGAGAGTGGGAGGCCTCAGGCCTAGGGAGCCACACCAGGCCACATGCTGAAAACGGACCTCCACAAAGGCCGCAGAGGGCTCTAGACTACCTCTCACACCTGGGCCACTCAGTGGCGAGGGCCTACAACCAAGAGACTTCAAACAGCCCTGAGAGTTAACGTGGTCACCTGCTCATCACAGATGGGGAAACTGAGGCAGGACAGGTCGGAAGCAGGGAAACCTGATCAAAGCTTGTTCGGGCTCTGAACACCCCTGTGCTTAGAGACCCTCTGTACCCTCCCCCCCCCCGAAGGGTGTGGCGGTTATGGTGCAGTGTGGGTGGAAAGCCCCTGGGGAGGCCAATGGCTCCAGCTCAGCCTCTCCAAAGCGGGGCTTTGTCCGATCCCGCAGTGGCCCTGTCTCAGGTTCCCTGCTCCCGACGTCCTGTTGCGCAGGGCTGGTGATGGCGCAGCTGGACGTGTGCACATGTCACTCACTACCCAAGCCCAAGCTTGGGATGTCACTCAGCTCCCCAGGCCCGACCTCACTCGGCCCGGGACATGCGGTGCCCAGCGCAGTCGTCCGGGGCAGCCGTCGCCCCTGGGACAAGGCCAGCTGGGAGGAGCCGGAAGACAAACGCTGAGGCCAACGCCCCCTCACCCCTGGGAGGGGTGGCGCATGTCTGCGCGCGGGGCGGAGGCGGGCGTCTTTGGTGCTGCGGCCCCGGAGAGCGGCCTGGCCTGCCTGGCGTCCGTGGGGAGGCGCCGGCGGTCCTAGGACGCGGAGCCCAGCGAGTCCGAGTGCAGCGTGGCGTAGCCCGAGGACTCGGAGGGGGAACTCAGGAAGCTGCTGGTGCTGCCGCCGCCGCCCGCCGCGCGCAGCCCCCCGGGCTCGCCCCACGACGCGCTCAGGCCGGGGCGCAGAGAGCCGGCGTGCGAGTGCGCAGAGGGGCGTGGCCCTGGGCTCCGCTGGGCGCTGCTTGGGGGCGTCGGGGCCTCTCCGGGATCTGCGCCGTCGGGGGCGGCGGGCGCAGCGGGGAAGGGCCCGGGCGGGCGGCGCAGGGCCTGTGGCTCGCACTCGAAGGCGGTCAGGGCGAAGGCGTCGGGCAGCAGCGAGGCCGAGGCGGAGCGGGGGCCGGGCCCGGGGCGGCGGCGCGGGCTGCCGGGGGGCGAGTCGCGGGCTCCCCGCGGGCCGCTATCCAGGGCCGAGGGCCGCAGCGACAGCAGGCTCTCGGCCGAGCGGCGGCGCGCGCGGGACGGTGGTGCGTCCTCCGCGAAGGCCAGGAGGCTGGCGCGGCGCCGCTCGGGCCCGGCAGGCAGCACCAGGTGCGCCAGGGCGGCCAGGTCCTCGCCGGAGCCCCAGCGCGGCAGGAAGGCGGGCAGCGGGACGGCGGCCCACACGTCCGCATCGTCGTGGGAGAAGCGCCGCGTGGGCGGGACCTGTCAGGACGCGGCTGGCTTTTACCCCGAGCTGCCCTCCTGGGAAACGGGGACAAACCCTTCTCCACCCTGGGGAAAGGCCTTCCGTGGGTCAGGGACCAGGCTGCGCGCTGGGGCAGTCTGGCTGGGAGCTGTGAGGTTTGGTGCAGTCTCTTCGAGCCGCAGGGCTGTGTCAGACAGCTGGGGTCGGTTGGGGAGGGCGCTCGTTGAGGATACTGAGCCGGCAGGAGATAACTCATGTGACAGGGACCATGGGGGTGGCGGTTGGGGCCCACCCACACAAGCTGTGTGACCTTTGGACAGCCCGTCCTCGGATGGTGACAGCCACCCCTGCGACTGCAGAAGGCGTGAGATGGGCTCCGAGTGGAGAGGCCTCGGGGAGCTCAGGACACCCTGTCACCCGCAGGTGCGGCCTCTCCCCCAGCCCTGCGCTCACCTGCAGGTATTGCATCTTGTCCTCCTGCAAGGGCCGCAGTGGGTAGAGCTGGGGCAGGCCCCCCTCCAGGGCGGAGATCTCATACTTGGCCATCCTATCTAGGGCCACAAAATCACCTCCATAGCCATAGTCCAGGGAGCGCTCCAACACCAGGTCCGGGGAGATGCCACCTTCCAGGCTGGTCTCTGTAGGGTGGGGGGTGGGTGGGGGGGCAGAGCCTTAGGGTCATGGAAACTTGGGGGCATCTGGGAGGGAATCCCAGGGATCCCCCTGAGATCCCCCAACAGACATATACAAGGTAGGGGGCTGGTTAGCTGAAAAGGGAATGGGAGGGGTTCTGGGTTCAAATCCCAAATATGCCACCCTTTAGCTGTGAGACTGGGCAGGGAGGTCACTCACTGAGACAATTTCCTTATCTAGGACATGGGGTGGGACCAGAGGTGACCTCGGGAGGACTAAATAACACACGCAAGGGGCTGGCAGTGCCTGGACAGAGCACGGGCTGGGCTGAGGGTAATGGGATTGCTGGTAACGGTATCCAGACAGGACCTCGGTCTGCAGGAGCCCCCAGGGCAGCTTGCTGGGGATCCCTGAGGTTGGGGGGTGAGCCCAGGAGCTCCGCTGGAGCACTTGCAGACATGTCTACCCTGCTCTCTGTTAACCAGAACATCCCATTACTTGGAACCTGGGGCAGCCAAGCCAGATAGGAGAGTGCCCTGTGGGAACCTGGCTTAGGTCCCTTGGACATTCAAGTACATTTGGGGGTGACACGGGGTGTCTGGTGGTTGAGAATGAAGTCACCTCCTTAGTGGCGTTGCCTGACAGCCGTTTTCCTGCCAACCCCAATGACCTAACCTAGACGCCACTCTCCCTGGGGCCACTCTCAGGCCATCCTCACCATCGTCTGACTCCTCGTCGTTGGCCATGAGGGCCATGCACTTCTCCCGGACAGCTTTGAGGTCAGCCCGGTAGCGGTCGCAGGCCCAGAGGAACACAGGCAGCAGCAGGGCCTGGGCCACGGAGCACCACAGCACGCAGAGTGCCATCCAGGGCGCTGAGGCGTCGGCCCGCAGGCTGCTGAAGCTCACCACCTGTGGGCACAGGGCTCGGCCTGGCACCTGCAGGACCCCCCACCATCACACAAGCTCCCCCTGAGTCTCGGTCTCCCCATGTGTACGGCAGGTCTGACAGGTGGGTATCTGCCAAGGAGAAGGGGCCCTTGGGGAGAAAAGAGCTGGAGCGTGGCAGTGGGAGGCCCCGCCTTCCGGGAGCTACCTGGCTACTGGGCAGCACTGGGTGGCCTTGCTCTGTCTTCCTCCTGGCTGCCCATGGAGAGAAGTGGGGCATGGATTACCACCTCCTCCCCGCTTTGTTTTGAGACAGTCTCATTCTGTCACCCAGGCTGGAGTGCAGTGGCTCAATCATGGCTCACTGCAGCCTCCATCTCCTGGGCTTAAGAGATCCTCCTGCCTCGGCCTCCCAAAGTGCTGGGATTACGGGTATGAATCACTGTGCCCGGCTGCCATCCCCTTTTTGAGATGAGGAAACTGAGGCTTAGAGAACCAGGTCTCAAGCCTGTTCAAGATTCTACCACCCCCTTCCCGGCCAGTGGCCTCCTCAGCCCTACCCCTGCTTTTGGGTCCCTGCATTCCTCCTCTCCCAGGATAGCCCTCGTTGCTCTGTCCCAAAGAGTGATGCTTAAGTGACTGCCACAAAAGAGTGAAAGTGTGGAGGATGTGGGTATGTTGATTCTGCCGTTTGTGGGCCACGTGACCCTCAGAAAGCTGCTAAACCCCTTTGGGGCTCAGTTTCTTCATCTGGAAAATGGGCTAAGAACAGGCCATGCTCTAGAGGGTGAAGACTCCGGACGCTTTATAACAGCAGCATGGAGTGGCCCCACAAGCTGTACCCTCTTCCCCGTCCGTAAGAGACGCAGGGGTGGTTCTGACTCCCTCCCAGCCCCGCCTCTCCCCACCACTGCCCCCACTCTGCTCCCGAGGTGCCTTGTGGGTCTCTGCTGTTTCATGAAGCCCCTGCCCTCCATCTGCACAGGGACCGGGCTGCCAGCCCCCACTGTACACATGAGGACCCTTAGCTGGGGAGAACCAGGCCTGCTGGGGGTGGGGCAGTGGGGGCTGCCTCCTGAGCAAGGCCCTGACTCTGAAGCTGCCACCCCCCGAGTCACCATTCTGGAGCTCATGTCCTCATGTCCTGCAATGGCTCAGGGAAGGCAGTCTTGCCTGCTGCTTGGATGAAACCCCTCAGGCTGGTCTTTGCCCCAGTCCTCTCCCTGTCTCACTGCAGACCTTTCGGGGATGGGCGTAGAGTCCTGCAGGGGGCAGGGGTTGGCTACTGAGTCCAGACTTCATTCTTGGGCCAAGCTGGTCCCAGCTTCACCAAGAGGACCCCAGGCAGCCCCTCTGGACCTCAGACCTTTGTCGGCAAGGCCTTTCTCACAGCAGCCCTCACCTTGGCCTTCCCCAGCCGTTAGTATCAAGTGCAACTCCCCAACAGACATTTGAGGCCCGCCCTGGCCTTGCTCTGTCTCCTGATCCTGCGCCCCTACCTACCTACCTACGGCACCAAAGCTCCCTCTGTCCATCCTGGGACCTGGACCCACCAGGAAACCCATGGGTATGCTATCCTACCTCTGCATCAAACGGCCCTTGAGGCCAGATGCAGTGGTTCACGCTTGTAATCCTAGCAGTTTGGGAGGCTGAGATGGGCAGATCACCTGAGGTCAGGAGTTCGAGACCAGCCTGACTAACATGGTGAAAACCTGTCTGTACTAAAAATACAAAAAAAAAATTAGCCAGGCGTGGCAGCGGGCACCTGTAATCCCAGCTACTTGGAGGCTGAGGCAGGAGACTCGCTTGAACCCAGGAGGCAGAGGTTGCAGTGAGCTGAGATTGTGCCATTGCACATCCAGCCTGGGCAACAAGAGCAAAACTCTGTCTCAAAAATAAATAAATAAATAAAGTAAAACAAAAACAAAAAAATGGGCCTTGGGCAAGGGGAGTAAACTCTTCTGCACTGTAGCAGCTAGGCCCTGGGCCCTGCAGTTGCCGGATGTGGGTTCAAGTCCCACCAGGCTGCCCTGACTCTAGGCAGGTCTTTACACCTCTCTGAACCTCGGTTTCCAAATCTGGAAAATGGGGACGATGATCAAGCCCATCTCAAAGGATTGGGTCTGAGGACTCAACCACCTGATGCCTGGAGTATGAGCAGCCCCAGGGCTGTCCCAGAGACAGGCCCCTCTACCCGACGCCGTCACCCACCAGCACAGGGAAGCCCATGAGGCAGTCGTAGATGAAGACTATGGTGGTCACGAGGCCCGTGGTCTGCAGAGAGGTTTTGGCGGGCTCCGAGCCATCGATGGAGGAGCGCCGCTTGCCCTGCGCGTCCTCCACCACGATGGTGGGCACGGTGAAGGCGCGGCGGTCGGCCTGGCGCCCCACCTGCACGGCCAGCGTCTGGAAGAGGGCGATGGCTGTGCAGATCACGCCCATGGCCACGCTGCCGCCCACCAGCAGCAGGAAGCAGACGCCAAAGCCCAGGCCGATCTCAGCCACGATGAAGCGGCAGCCATGGGTGTAGAAGCGCTCGCTGGTGTCGTGCCAGCCAACGGCAGGCAGGGCCGACAGGATGAAGGACACCATCCAGATACCCATGACTGTGTGCACCGCCTGCTTCTTGGCATTGCTCAGCCTGGCATGAGGCAGGGTGGAACAGAGGGATCTGGCGTCACCCACAGGGCCTCCCCAGGCCTCTGGGGACCTGTAGGGGATCCGCACCACCCAGGCACCCCACACCCCCAGTATATCATAGTCATGGCACAGCCAGTGTGGCAGGGCCTTGTTCCTTGCATAGGAGATACTGTGAACATTGTCACACGTCCCTCTTCCAAGCATTCTGTATTGGCTGCTTGTGTCTACCCATGCAAAGCTACGTGTATGCCCCCAGCAGCTTACAGCAGCCCCTCCTGAGCCTGCCTGCCCTCCCAGCATGCCACAGGTGTGGCCACTCCTGTGTGCGCATGGGCACACCAGATATGTCTTTGTTTTCACGCCTGCTTAGAACCCCAAGAACCCCAGAACTTCACATGCTCACCGGTAGTTGACAGGCCAGCAGACCATCCACATGCGGTGGTAGGAGAGGGAGGTGACAGAGAAACAGGTGGCCAGGGTGAGGGTGTAGAAGGTGGACACGAAGACCTTGCAGAGACCCTCATTCCACTCGAAGTCGGGGCGCTGCCGCCGCAGCTGCACCACGGAGTAGGTGGCGATGGGCACGGCCACATTTAGCATGTGGGTGGCCGCGAGTGTACACAGCAGGAACTCCAAGGGCTTCCACTTCTTCTGCTTGGCGCCAACGCTGAGGATGCCCCAGGCATTGGCCAGCAGGGAGAGGCCCCCACATACCAGCCAGCCCACTGCACTGCCAGGCAGCCGCCGCTCATCACTCATGGTGCAGACCGGAGCTGGCAGGCGGCTGTGGCATCCTCCTTGGAGCCAGGTCTCAGGGAGCAGCAGCCCTCACTCCTGGTGGCTCAAGGATGCTGGGGACCACGAGCATCTGTGGGGGGGTGGCAGTGGGCACTCAGTGACTTCCTCTCTGGCGACAGCGTTGTAGCCCTTAGGTACTTGGGATGGGAGATGGCGAGCGCTACACTTTGAATGTCCCCTGCAAAACTCATGTTGAAATTTAATTAAAACGTGTTGAGATTTAATTGCCATTCTAATACTATTAAGAGGTAAGACTATTTTTTTTTTTTTTGGAGACAGAGTCTCGCTCCGTAGCCCAGGCTGGAGTGCAGTGGCGCAATCTCAGCTCACTGCAAGCTCCGCTTCCCGGGTTCATGCCATTCTCCCACCTCAGCCTCCTGAGTAGCTGGGACTACAGGCGCCTGCCACCACACCCGGCTAATTTTTGTATTTTTAGTAGAGACGGGGTTTCACCATGTTGGCCAGGCTGGTCTCGATCTCCTGACCTCGTAATCTGCCCGCCTCGGCCTCCCAAAGTGCTGGGATTACAAGATAACACTATTTTTTTAGAAATGGGGTCTTGATCTATCACCCAGGCTGGAGTGCAGTGGTGAGATCATAGCTCACTGTGGCATGGAACTCCTGGGCTCAAGGGATCCTCCCCACTCAGCCTTCCAAGTAGCTGGGACTACAGGCCTGCACCACTATGCCTGGCTACGTTTTTTTTTTTTTTTTTTTTTTTTTTTTGAGATAGAATCTTGCTCTGTCACCCAGGCTGGAGTGCAATGGCATGATCTTGGCTCACTATAACCTTCACCTCCTGCGTTCAAGCAATTCTCCGGCCTCAGCCTCCTGAGTAGCTAGGATTACAGGCACGCACCACCACGCCTGGCTAATTTTTTGTGTTTTTAGTAGAGATGGGGTTTCACCATGTTGGTCAGGCTGGTCTTGAACTCCTGACCTTGTGATCCACCCGCCTCGGCCTCCCAAAGTGCTGGGATTATAGGTGTGAGCCCCATGCCCTGCCCTGCCTGGCTAATTTTAATTTTATTATAGAGAAGGGGTCTTGCAGTGTTGCCCAGGTTGGTCTCAAACTCCTGGCCTCAAGCAGTCTTCCCGCCTTGGTCTCCCAAAGTGTTGGGATTACAGGCGTGAGCCATAGTGCCTGGCCATGAAACATTTAAGAGGTGATTAGGCCATGGGTGGGTTTAATGTCTTTACAAAAGGGCTTCCAGGAGTGAGTTCTCTCTCAAGGAGCTTTCCCTCTTCTGCCATGTGAGCAACAGTGCTGTTCCCCTCCAGAGGACGCAGCATTCAAGGCACCATCTTTGAAGCACAGACCAGGCCTTGCCAGACACCAAACCTGCCAGCACCTTGATTTTGGATTTCTCAGCTTTTCTTTTTTGAAAAAAAAAATTTATATATGTGTGTATTTTTTAAATCTTTCTTTTCTTTTTTTTTTTTTTAGACAGAGTCTTGCTCTGTCGCCCAGGCTGGAGTGCAGTGGCACCACCTCAGCTCCTGCAACCTCCACCTCCCGGGTTCAAGCCATTCTTGTGCCTCAGCCCCGAGTGGCTGGGACTACATGCATACACCACCATGCTCGGCTAATTTTTTTGTATTTTTAGTAGTAACAGGGTTTAACCATGTTGGCCAGGCTGGTCCTAAACTCCTGACCTCAAGTGACCTGCCCACTTCAGCCTCCCAAAGTGCTGGGATTACAGGCATGAGCCGCCGTGCCTGGCCTTATTTTTATATTTTAGAGACAGAGTCTCACTATGTTGCCTGGGCTGGTCTCGAACTCCTGAGCTCAAGTGATCCTCCCATCTAAACCTCCTGAGTAGCTGGGATTACAGGGCAAGTGCTCCCACACCCGGCGAGACATAAATCTGTTCTTCATGAGTTACTGCGTCTTAAGTACTGTGTTACAACAGCACAAATGCCCTAAGGCGGGGAAGGCCCTGGCGCACCATGACCTATCTGGCCCTGGCTTACATCAGGCTGCACTCTCCTCTCCACGCCCCGGGAGGACCCTCCTGCCCATGTCCCTGACACCCAGGGGCTGTATACGGGGTGCCCAATAAGTGCGTATTCCCTCACTTCCGTCCACTCCTGGTCAAAGCTCAATATCTGGGCTCCCTTCCAGGTTACCTGCATCCTCAGGGAACCATCCAAGGTGGGCCCAGATGGGCACTCTTGCCCCGTGCATGACCTGGCACCATCCCAGAACAAGTCCTCTTGCCATCAAATGTTCCAGAATCCTCACACAGCCCATGCCAGAGCCCCCCACAGTGGACATCTCTGACGTACTTGCCTTAATTTATTTTACTTCATCAGGCCACGTAAGGACATGTCCCGGAAGACCACACCCCCTGAACCTCCATTTCCCTCTCCTGTTCCCCAAGTGACCTGTTGGGGAACGGAGATGGTCACCACCTTCCTGACCACCCTGAGAGGGGGCAGGCAGTCTGCTATGTCAGCCCCCAGCTGGTCTTCCAGAGCCAGGACCCCGCGCTGAGGTTAAAGCCCCCACACAGCAGCGGTGTGGCTGGGGCAAGGTCCCTGCACCTTCTCCTCTAAGAGACTGCCATGCTTCTTCCGCGGGGAGGCTGAGGTGGACAGGAGCCACATCTCTATAGCCCTGGGCCCAGGTCTGGCACACACTGGGTGCTCTGGGGTAGTGGCCAGTCTCATGCTCTGGTTGGCTTGGGCAGCAAGGGCCTGGAGACGGCCAGTAGACCAGACCAGAGCTTGACTCTGAAGTCAGAGGAAGTGCCGATGGCCTTTCCATGTGAGTCAGGGACATAGGATGCTGGGCAGCAGGCATGTGGCGGGGAGCGGGGAAGCACCCATCCTGCCAGAGGGCTGGGCAGCGAGTCCTTCCCTCACCCTTCCCAGCCTGGCAGCCCTCTGGCTGCAGCCCAGGCAGGCAGTGTGGGAGAAGCCCAGTACCAAGTGAAGGCCTACTTGTGCTCTGCTCACACTTAACTGGCCCTTCTTACCCAGGGGCCATTTAGCCTCATTTGCTCTCTTTCTCATGCCCCGGTCCTTATGGGCATCTATAGTACCAGATACGCCCCATGTCCCCCAGAGAGGAAGTATCTCCAGCTCAAGGTGGGGGGCCACTGCCGCCTTAGCCAAGGCCCCTGGCTCTCGGGCAGGGAAGGCAGCGATGCCCCAGCCAGCAGCTGGCAAGCCTCCTGCTTGTCTTGTCCAGAGTTCTTTCTTTTTTTTTGAGATGGAGTTTTACTCTTATTACCCAGGGTGGATCTCGGCTCACTGCAACCTCCGCCTCCTGGGTTCAAACAATTCTCCTGCCTCAGCCTCCCAAGTAGCTGGGATTACAGGTGCCCGCCACCACGCCCAGCTATTTTTTTGTATTTTTAGTAGAGACGAGGTTTCATCATGTTGGCCAGGCTGGTCTCGAACTCCTGACCTCAGGTGATCCACCCGCTTCGGCCTCCCGAAGTGCTGGGATTACAGGCATGAGCCACCGCGCCCAGCCTTGTGCTGTCTCTTATGGGCCAAGACACTGAGCTTGGAGGTGCCGGGGAGCCTCAGACCTGTGGGCAGATACATATTCACTGGGACCAGGACCTGGGGCAGAGTAGCCTCAGGAGTGAGGGGAGCACTGGGCCACCTCCAGCCTTTGGGGTGCCTGGCAGCCTTTTGGGGGTTCAGAGCAGACAGAGTGTGAGTAAGCGCTGTGAGCAAGAGGGCTGCAGACACCAGTGGTCTTTACGCTCTCAAATAGGAAAGTGGACTCAGCATGCACCTAGCAGGTCAGCATCTATTTCTACCTGCCCAAGGCAGCCTCGGCTGTGAGACTGGGAGGCCTTCCCTCAGATGCCCAACAAGCTCTGTCTAGCCCCGTGAACAAGCTCTGTCTAGCCCCGTGACCTTGGCCCCGCCCACCCTGTCCATGTGTTGATTACTGGTGCAGGGTGGTAAGGAAAGAGCCACAGGCTGCAACCAGCCCAGCCCTTCGCGGTGCCAGTTCTTCCTCTCGTCTAGCCTAATGCTGCATTACTGCTGGGAAAGGCTTTAGGTCTGAAGGCAGGGTGCAGTGGCTCATGCCTGTAATCCTAGCACTCGGGGAGGCCAAGGTGAGTGGATGGCTTGAGCCCGGGAGTTCGAGACCAGCTTGGGCAACATGGGGAAAACCCATCTGTACAACAAATAAAAAAATTGGCCAGGCGTAGTGGTGTGAGCCTATAGTCCCAGCTACTTGGAAGGCTGAGGTGTGAGGATCACCTGAGCCTGGGGAGGTCAAGGATACAGTGAGCCATGATTGTGCCACTGCACTCTAGCCTGAGCAACAGAGTGAGACCCTGTCTTAAAAAGAAAAAGGCTCTAGGTCTGTGGGCAGGGGCACGTGCATCCTCTTGCACACGGGCATGCTCCTCCAGTGAGTGCCCCCACAATTCATCCCCATTGTAAAGTTTGTCCAGCAGAAGCAGGGAGAGGTAAAGCTGTTTGCCCGGCCAGCACTTGCCTGAGCCAGGATCCAAACTCCACTTGCCTGACACCAAAGTCCTGGCCTCTCAAACCCTAAAATGTTGGGGAAAAGGGCATTTTTTTTTTTTTTGTCCCTAGAGCTGAGGTCTTTCTGAGCCTCAGGTCTGCAGGGCAGGTCTCACCGTCCCCACACTGCAGATGGGAACACTTCAGGCAGAAGCTCAGGGCAACACGGAGAGAATAGTGTCAGGGCTGGGTTTGGGGCCAGGCACTCCTGGGCACTGTAGTCTTGGCATGGGAGAGGAACGTCCTGGGGGACAGGGCGTGGACACCGGGTTCCAAGTGCAGAGTGACAGAGGACTGGTTGTGTGGGAACAAAGTGTCCCTCTGGCTCTGGGTCAGTGACCACAGATCCACGGATTGCACCCTTTCTGTTCATTCTTCATAGAATGGAGCGGCCACTAGGGCCAGACCCCAGGCTGGGCTCCCCACAGTGCCGACGGGACCCAGTCTCCTGCTGGGAAGTGTCTCCTGCAGGGCACTTAAAGCCCTGTCTTCTGCTGGGAAGTTTCTCCTGCAGGGCACTTAAAGCATTCCGCAGCATCTCAGGACCCGGCTTCCCACTTCCCCGCCCACTGCAGGGCCAACTGCAGGTGCAACTAGCCTGGGACCCACCCGGGCCATGAGGCCTCCCTCCGCAAGACATGCGGGCGGGGCCGGGGCGTGACGTCACAGCTCCGGGCCAATGAGGCCGCGCGGCCCCGAGGCCCCATTGCGCAACAAAGAGAACCCAGAACTTGAAAGGATTCCCCGGGCTCTGGCTGCGCCCCGGCTTCCGCCCCCACGCCGGTCTCCGCCCGCGCTGCAGCCGATGTGTTCCACGGGGCCCGGCCTGGCCGTCGCCCAGGGAGGGACGCGCAGCGCGAGGCCTGGACATCTCCGGCACGCCCCCCCCAGCCCCCGCCCCTACAGTCCCAACCCCCTGGGGCTCCGATCCCCCCCCCCCCCCGCAATCCCCGCTCCGACTCGCGTGCTCTCGCCTGCTGGTCCCCAGTGGGTGCCCCGAGTCCTGCCCCACCCCGAGGGCGCGTCCGAGCGACAGGCTGGGAAACCTGGCGGGACTGCGGCCCCCGGACCCCTCTGGGTTGCGCCGAGCAGGGGCGGGCTCAGGATCCCCAGACCGCGCCCCGCCCCCGTCCCCTGAGAAGCCCAGGGGGCGGCGCTGCTAGGCCCCGATGCAGGGGGACGGAGGGAGGGGCTGGCCCCAGGGAAGTTACCCCGAAGGTCCCCAAGTTGGGGGGGTGCCAGCGCTAAGCGCCGCTCGTGGGCCCTCGGACGGACCCCGCGACCGATAGGGCGCGGAAAGCCCCCTCCCTTCCCGCCGAGTCCTCCCGCCGGGGTCCTCCCGTCCGTCCGCCCTCGGGCCAGGGCGGCGACGCTCACCCTGCATTCGAGCGCCCGGGGCTCCGGCTCGCTGCTCCCGCCTCCGGCTCCGGCTGCGGTTCCCGCGCCCCCGGGCCGAGCGCAGGCCGCCGAGGGCCGCGGGGGTGGCTGGCGGCGGAGCGGCCCGCGGGCCGGGGCATGCTGGCGGCGGCCACCGGCGGCCGGCGCGCTCCGCTAGGTGGGCTCGGCCCCGCCGCCCCTCCCTCCCCTAGGCGCCGCCGCCGCCGCCGCGCTTCGCTCAGCTCCCGCCGCTCCGCTGCTGCGCCGGGCGGCCGGGGGCGGGGGGCGGAGCAGGGCGCATGTCTCCGCCGGGGCCTCCGCACCGCCCCTCGGCCCGCCCCGCCCCCGCCCGCTCAGAGGCGCGGCCGTCTGTCGGTCTGTCAGCCCGTCCGTCCTTCCGTCAGTCCGTCCGTACGCAGCCCACCCGTGTCCCCGCGTCCGCCCGCGGCCGGCCCGAGCCTCCCTGGGCTGGTGGCGCCTCCTGACAGCGCCGCGCCCCTGGCTCCCAGCTCGGCTCGGTGCACACTCCGGACGCCGCCTTCGGACGCCGGGGCAAGACCCAGGCCCGGAGCTCTGGGGGCCCGGGGGCCAGAGGGAGCTGGGGCAGGAATGGACACTGAGAACCTGGGGCCAGGGCTGGGGCTCAGGGAGACCTTCCTGGAGGAAGCCGCATCTAAGATGAACAATCGGGGCGGGGCGTGGAGAGGACAAGGGACGCATGGCCAGCGGCTTCTAGGAACCGGGAATCCAGTCTGAAGCAGGGGCAGCGAGGGGCAAGGTTGGGCCAGTTACGGATTCACGCTGCTCCCCGGGCCTGGGGGGTCCACTGAGGGAATAAAGTGCACGGGCCACCGGGCTGCCGAGTGGTCCCCGCCACCCCCACAGGCTCAGAAATTGTTCTCTCTGAAACTCTGAGCACCACCGCCCAGCCGGGAGAGGCCAGGGTCTGCAGCCCAGCGCCTGAAGCCTTCTCCTACTCCCCTCCTCCCCTCCTCCCATTCTTCCCGCCCCTCCGCCCCTCCCTCCCAAGCCCTCATGCTATCACCACTCCTCATAGAGCACAGGCTGTCACCCACAGACTGACAGCCTCAGCTGGCCCCATGCAGGCGGAAAGCCTCCTGCTTCTTGATGGGGGCCCTGGAGAGGACGCCTCCTGAGGATCGTGCCTGTCTTTTCTAGAAAGCACCTGACCACACACACAATGGGCACAAGGCCTCTGGGGCTGCCTGGCATAGTGTCCTTCCGTGCCTCTGGGACACATCCATGACTAGGCACCCCTGTGTCTGGAGGAAACTAGGCACCCGACCAGGAGGAGACCCAAACCAATTGCAGCCAAAACGGATGCTTGGAGCTTGCCCAGTCCGGGCAGGGCTGCTCCACAGCCTGCACCTGCCTAAACCGTCCCCACACCCCAGGTCCCTGAGCAGCTTTTAGGGGGCCCAGGATGGGTCTTAGGGTCCGTCCCATGAGACAAAAAGAGGAGTGTCTGTAGAGAAAGGCCCCGCAATAACGTGTGGGGCTGAGCAAGGGGGAATCTGGGGCCATGCACACCTATACTCCCTGTGGTTTCTCGGGCAGCCAGGGCCCTCAGTGTCCCCAGTGAGCCCTCTGTGGACAGGTTGGCTCCCCCTCCAGGTGGTCCTGGTTATAAATAGGCCACCAGCAGTGGGAGGCTGGCACAGGGCAGCTGTAATCAAGGGTGGTGTTTCTAAGTGTCTCGCCTGTGACTCGGGGTGAAACGGTAGAAACGCCACACTTAATTACATGGCCACCGAGAGCCATGCCGCTTAGAAACACCACGGTTAAGATTGCACACACAGCCATGGAGAGCCATGCCTCTGTCTGGGCCTGGCTCCCCTCTGCCAGCCCAGCTGACCCACTGCCTGGACCAGTGCCTCTGCCCGGCCTCAGCTGGCTCTAGGGCAGGTGGGAGATGGCCTCTGATGGCCGCCCCGGGGCCCTGGCTTATTTCGTGCTGTGCTGGGTTCTGCTGCAAAGTGCCCGGTGCCCCTGGGAGGCGGTTTTCAGGTGCCTGGTTTGCCCAAAGCCACACGGATGAGTGGCTGAGCCAGGACTGAACTAGGGAGTCTGATGCGGGGCCCAACTTCAAGTGAAGGGTGTGGGTGCTTTGGGGAACTGGTCCCCTCAGTGAGCCCCTGGGCTCAGGCACTGCTGTGGCCAGCCCTGGGCCTTCTGCTAGCTGGGAAGGGTGGCCTCCTCATTGCTCTGAACCCAGGGCACCATTCTGGCATGGGTCATGGGTGGAGCTGGGGGCCGAGGCTGGCTGAGGCCAGCCCCGGGGGGCCAAGGGGCATGGTGGCGTGGCAGAAGCTTCATGTGGCTGAGCTTGTCCCTCCCACCTCCAACCCCCTCCCAGACAGGAAATAACCCCGTCAGCCGTGACTGGGGCCCGGGACAGATTCCCAAGCTCTTGGCTGGTGTTTCTGCACATCTGGAGCCGAGTCCTCGCTCTCCAGGGGCCAGAGGGAGCCTTGTGCGAGGCCGCAGCTGTTGACGGGCCAGTCTTCTCCAGGCGGCAGGACAGATGTTGGGGCTTCAGGGACAGACTGAATTGGGAACATTCTCCCAGATGCCACTTCTGGGTGTGCTTGATTGGAGGGCCTCCTTTTCAGCCATGGATGCAGGTGGGGTCCTGGTCCCTGTAGTGGCCTTGGCTGGGCCAGATGCACAGATCAACCCTGCTACACCGATACCCTCACCACACACGTGCTCACAGATATGCAGACAGATGCACACGCACATGCACAGATATGTCAGTGACACGTATGCCCACAGCTTCACACCAACGGCACTGACACACATTCGTGCTGTCCCTCAGACCCCTGCCCTATAAGCCATCCCAGCAGACTCCTGCCTGAGTGGCTGGGGGAGTTTCCACGTCAGGCACAGAGTCCTGGCGCCAGCTGGGGGGCTCCTTCAGACAGGATTTTGGGGTGTCTAGGCAGTTTCTAGCAAGAGGCTGGGTCAGGGTGGGGCTCCCACACGCTGAGCCAGGCCACATTTGGCTCTTCCCACACCATCACCTCGCTGAGTCTTTCCCAGCAGCCCCACCCTGTTCATAGGAAAGCCACACAGGCTCAGAGCCGGCATCCTCTGCAAGCCAGACAGGGGGGTTGTGGGGTGCTGGCACTCCCACCAGGCAGCGTGGCCCTGAGCCCACATCCTCCCAGCATCTGGGCTGCCTATGAGGTCCAGGGAGCCAGGGTGTCTGGGGCCAGGACACCAAACCAGGGACCCACGGGAAATGGGCATTCATAGCCAGCAAGTCACCAGCCGGACACCAATCGGTGTGGCTGTGCCTGAGGTTCTAGGGTACATGCAGGTGCTGGTGCTGGGAGGGCTGAGACTGTCCACGGGAGCCCCAATGTCCCACACCCCCTGGGAAAGCAGCCCCCCCAAGACAAATGACCACCCAGGACACGTGGGTCCAGCCAAGCAGCAGCTTTATTAGTGGTGCTGGGTTCTTCCCATACCCTACAGCGTGCTCGGAAGCATTCCCGAGGGTTTCTGCCCAACGCCTCCCGGCGCTCGGGACAACACTGTGTAGCATTGATACTGGAATGATATAAATAAAGCTTTGGTGTGTAGGTTTGCAGGAGAGAGTACAGGTTAACACTGTGATACGAAAACTTCAGACAACACCAGCTCTCAATGTGAATTGGGTTTTTGGCCAAGGGGGGAACTTCTAAGTGACTGGACACTGGGCCCGTTGCCATGGCTACTCGAGGCACCAGTGGCAGGAGGAGGGAGTCTAGGGCTGAGGCTCCGCGTGGCCCTGTCGCTTCGCCTTCATCTGCAGGTACCGCCCTTTGCCTTCCTCAAAGCGCTTCTTCTCGTCCTCGGTCTCGGGCTGTGGACCACACACAGAGACAGGCAGGTTAGGGTCACTGCAGAACCAGTGCCGTGGCCTTGTGACCTGGCCTGGGGCCCTGCCCCCCACCCGTGGGATCTGCCCCACCCCTGGTGCATGCTGAGTACCACGCCTCGGCCCCGCTGGCCTCCTGGGACTGCCGGGTAGCCCAGGCATGGGGCTCATGTCCCACCTCGCTGATGGGCCTATTGACTGGGCTGGGTATGTTCAGCCAAGATGCTTTGAGGGGCCGCAGGAGCCACAGGTGGCAGAGCTCCATAGAGGAGACACTAAGGGCATGGCGGGTCAGAAGCAGTCAGTGAAGTGCCGAGCCCTGTGACATCCTCTCACCACCTTTCACAGCAGGTGACCTCCAAGCCCAGGGCCTGTTTGCTACTGGACTTCGGTGGAAAATGCACTTGATAATGAAACATGGGAGCTGAACGGAAGTGGAAAGGAAGAGGGACCCTGCATTCGCTGCACTCCCAGGAAAGCTGCACACAGTCACCACCCCGCAGAGAAGTGGGGAAAGCCAGCTGCACACGGTCACTGCCCCAGAGAGACGTGGGGAAAGCCAGCTGCACACGGTCACCGCCCCGGAGAGAAGTGGGGAAAGCCAGCTGCACACGGCCATTGCCCCAGCGAGAAGTGGGCAGATGCTGTGCTGCCTATGGCCTTGAGAAGGCCCCGCCCCGTACTGGGAGCAATAGGCCTGCTTTGTTGGGAGGGAGCCCTGTCACCACGCTCTGGACCGTACACTCAGGAGGCGGCACCTTGGACCCCAGGGACCCCATCTCATTGGTCTGGGGGCAGAGCCAACTGAACAGGTGGGATTTGGCCCAAGACGGGGTTCTGCCCAGGACGGTCCTGGTTCATGCCTGTCGACGGGCTGCGATTATGAACGGCACCCCCTTTCACTCTGTCTTGTGGCCCCTGGGCAGGTGCCACCCCTGGAGTATTAGGTGGTCACTTCTGATGTCCCATCTGTCCCAACGCCATGTTCTGACTGGCCCCACCCTGGCTGGGAATTCAGGTTTAATGAGCTGTGCTAATTCCTCTGGGACATTTCATCGCAACATTTTGAGGGTGTCTGAAAGCCAAAGAGATGGGGCAGTTGCCCTTCATTTCATCCACAATGACACCAAACTGTACAGCTATTTTTGGGCCTAAGTGTTTCATAGACAAATGGTATATTGGCAAGAGAGAGCGCAGTCAGCCAGAGGATGTAATGTCAAGTTATACCAAATGCCTCCTCCCCTCAGCTCTCTCCAAAATCAGTCTCTAAATGTCACCAGGTGTAAACTGTCAAAACCTCGCCGGCCTGGAGCCAATGGAATCTTCGGGTATTTAAAGAAATAGGTGGCGCTCCTTGCAGCGGTCCTGGTCCCCCTTTGAAGAGTCTTCGGTGTACACAGGAAAACTGCTTTTCCAAGACACTTTATTGAAGAAGTCCCTCCCGCTGCTACGGTTTGATCTCTGGCTGACTTTTAAAAATAAAATTTGAGGCTATGCAATTTGACCTGAAACAGTCCAGGGAAAATGAAATGTTCTTTCTCAGTTCCAGCAGCACTTCTCAGTGGGCAAGACCCCTGAGCTTCCTGGGCTTGGAGGGCACAGAGCGCAGCCCCTGCAGATGACAAGCTCCCCTGAAGACATACATGGCTACATCCTGCTGGGCACAGCTGAAGACCTCTGTGCACACTGAGGCAGAATGTGCTAGATCAGGGCTTCTTGAACTTTTAAGTGCATCTGAGTCATCTGCCAGTCTTGTAAATGCAGATTCTGATCCAGTGGGTCTGGGAGCTGAGACTCACTTCTAACAGGATCCCAGGTGACACAACGCTGTGGCCCGCGGACCACATCTGTGTAGCAGGGCCCTGCCCCCTTTCCATCTGCCGCTGCCCCAAATGGGGCACATCTGAAGTGGCCAAGAATGCAAGGTCAAAGCCACCAGGATGGGATATAGGGGCCTTGTCCTCCCCTTCCCCTGTGGAATTGCTTGGTGATGTGGAGGGAAGCTGCAGCTTCTTGTCTGCCTGCAGCGGCAAGGCCGAGGCTCAGCAGAGGAGCGGCCGCCCACAGCCTGGCTTCCTGCCTACCTTGAAGACCCTGTAGCAGGCAGAGCAAGAGCTGTAGGGTGGGCATGGGGTCCCAGAGCTGGGCGACAAGGCAACAGGACCTGGTGGGGTTGGTACTGGGTTCTGCTGGCTTTGGAGTGGCTGTGGCAGCCCTGGGAGACATCGGGTTGGGAGCAGGAGAGCTGGGGACGGGCAGGCTGGATCGCACTCAGGCGCCTCCCAGTCTGAAAGCCTGGCCCCTCGGCTCGGGTCCTCCCTCTAGCTGGTGGAGTATCTGCCCTCCACAGAGAGGAAAGACGGCAAGGAGCTTGGAAAGAAAAAGAATCCTTGAAAGCAGGAGAGAGCGAGCCTGGCCCAGGAAAGGCAGCTGGAGTGAGAAGGGACACAGCTGAAGCCCCCACCCAGCCCACAGGAGCCAGGTCCGGCCTGAGGAGAGGCAACTTCCTGGGAATGTGCAGATGTGGGAGACTGGCGAGAAACTTGGTCCCCAAGTGCCTGAGTCCCCAGCCACATGCTCTCAGGTACCAGAGGACCAGGAGGGGCCAAGAGAGGTGGCAAATGGCTCTGCGGAGCCAACGCCACCAGCTTAGGAGCTGTTACCATGGGTGTCCTGGGGGGCTGGTGGGAATGGCCCGTCCAAGGCCAGGGCCCTGGAGAGGGGCTGAGGAAGGGCTGCCAGGTCAGGAGATGCCTGCCTGCCTGCCTGCCTGCCTGTCTGTGTCTGCAGATCCTCTGGGCTCCCTCCCCAACTCCACTGGGAGATGATGCCTCTCTGATGGTCTGTACCAGGCAGGTTTGGGGATCTATGCACTAAATGGCCTCTTACAATAAACAATGCACACTGGGATGAAGGTTCTGAAACGTCTCAAATCTGTTTAACTTTCGCCTTTCTCAAACTGAGCTGGCCAGGGATCCCTTTCATAAGGAACCAAGCTCTGCCCCGCCTCTGGGATGGGCTGCTTCAGGCAGAGGCTTGCCCACCTTGGGACCCAACCATGCTGTGTGCCCTTCCTGGGATGGTCTCTTCATTCCGCCTGGAAACCAGCCCAGCATCTTCAACCCTGGAGCCGGGTGTGAATCCTGATTCACCACTGACTCACATCGACTCCTCTTTTGTAAAATGGGCCAATGTCCACCTCACAGCAGAGTTGCGGGGACCAAATTTCTCCCTGCAGCCCATGTTCAACCAGGCATTAAAAACAACACAGTGAAAGAAGCCGGTCACAGGGTCTGCCTATCACCCATTTACACGAGATGTCCAGGAGAGACATATACACAGAGGCAGAAAGTGGATTGGCGGTTGCCTGGGGCTGGGGGACCAGTGGTGGCTAAGGGGTGGTGCTTCTTTTTGGTGAGATAAAAGGTTTTGAAATAGACTGTGGCGGGGGATGTCCACCTCTGTGAATAGAAGAAAACCTGCTGAATCGTATCCTGGAAGTGGGTGAACAGAACGGCATGTAATTACATCTCAGTAAAGCTGTTAAAAGAGAAAACCTCCACAGTTGAGAGCTCTCTGTGGTGGGGGAGTAGTCAGGGCTGTCAACGCATAAGACTGGCCCTGAGCTAATAACTACACAGGAATTCTTTCTTCTCTTTACTTTTGCGTATATTTGACCTTTTCTATAATTAAAAAGCTAGAAAAGCAAAAAACTAACTAGACCTAGATCTAGGAAAACCAGCCCCTCCTTTCTTCCCTAGGCACCAATGATCTCCAGGCCCCAAAGAGACGGGGACTTGGCTTTACAAGCGGTGGGCTGCGGGCAGAGCTGAGGGAGCCGTCTGGGCTGTGCACAGGCGCGATTTTCCCCACTCCCCGCCAAGAGGCGCTAAGAGCTAACTCAGGACCATGCTCCTTCTGGTCCAGTTCATAGGTGTGTGATGGGCCCCAGGCCCCACGCACGCGGCACGGCCCGAACGGCAGGGAGATCTCCGCCCAAGAGCGAGAAAACCTCCAGGGCTTCATACAGCCCGGTCCTCACCTCTGCCAGCCACACGCAGCAGTGGAGCGGAGCCCTCGAGTCCCCTAACGATCTGGCCTCCATGACCACCTGGGAGTGGAATAGGAGTAACTTCCTACAGCTCTCGGCATCTTTACCAGAGATGTGACCACAGCCCTCCAGCCGCCGAGGGCGTGGGAGGACCACCCAACTCTGGGTCTGCAGAAGGCACTGCAGACGAGAGCCCTCCCACCCCTTTGCCCCCACATGGGCTGTGCACGTGGGGCAGGGACTACAGCGATAAGGGGATATTCCCTGCGCAACCCATGCTTAGGGCGCGGCAGGCTGTGCACATCAGGGTCTTCCCAACAACCCCACCAAGCAGCACAGAAATGATTGTCCACTTTTACCAATGAGGAAGTGAAGCACAGACAGGCTGAGTAACTTGCCCAAAGTGACACAGCGGGTAAGGGGAGAGCCTCCATTTAAACCTGGGCATGGGGGCTGCCCTCCAGGTCGTCCTATGCCGAGGGACTTTTAGGGGTGGGACTCGTCCATGGGAAGTGAGGAAGGCGATGGACCTGCAGCGTGTCCACGATGAACCAGGGTCAGGGGCTTCCCTGCCTCCCCTCACCTCACCCCGGCCCTCGGCACAGCCTAGGAGCACTTGCTGAGCTTGGCCTCCCCCAGGCGGGGGCCCTGCCCTGCCCTCAGCCATATTATCCCAAACCACTACAGCTGCTCCCACCCCAGCGGCCACCAGGCCATCGAGCATTCCCAATGCCACAGGCCGAGGGCTGTGACTGCTTCTCTCGAGGTCAGTTAATACACAGCCTGAGGCGGGCACGAGCCCAGGTGCAGGTCATTCTCAGGGTCGGCTCCAGGCTGAGGGAGAATCTGGTGCCCAGCAACGGGCCCCAAGGCGGCTCTGATGTGGCCCTGCTCTTTAATATTTGCAGCAAACTCATCAGCCAGGCTCTGCCCTCAGACAAAGCAAATGCTGTCTGATGATGGATGGATGTGTGGGAGCCTGAGAGCCTGTGAGGGCCCCACTGCTCTTCCCGTCTCCCGGGATGGTAGTATCTGCTGGATGTTCCAGGCTCTGAGACAGAGTCCAGACCAGCCCAGGAGCCTCAACGTCACTGCGTGGAGTGCCCGCCCATAAGCGCTGCCCTCCCAAGGTGCGGGCGGCCTTCCTCCCTGAGTGCCCAGGGGCGCCCTTCCAGGGTGAAGGTTTATGAAGATGGCAGTCAAGGGCAGGGATGTCCCAGGTGCCTGAGGACCCAGGCTCACCACCCAGGGGGAGGTGGAACAAAGGGCCGCGGGGCGGTGTCTGTCCCATGGTAGGTTACGGGCTCACTGCTGGTGGGCAGCCAGCCTCCCCAGGTCATGGCTTTGCTAAATAGTTCTCCTACCCAAGTGACAAAGGGGCCACCCTGTCCCGCTGGGTGAGAAGCTGACAGAGCAAGACAGATGTCTCCAGCACAAGGCCCCACCCACGGCCCGGCTGCTGCCTCCTCGCAGCCATCTCCCTCCACCCAGCAAAGTAAATAAATGCATACGCTGTTGGCTGTTGCTGTTTTTAATGGAGGGTTGGGGGTGGGTGGAGGACGAAAGAACGCTCTGCGGGAAGACAGATGTCTCTCTCAAGTCCCCGAGGCTGCTGGTGGGGGAAGGACTGGAGCCTCTGGGGCACTGGCCAGTGGTGCCAGCTGCCGGGCACCCACCTGTGGCCTCAGGCAGGCTCCTCCGAGCCTCTGGGGCTCCCCAAGAATATGCCAGAGAGAAAGGATGAGGTGGCAAAGGGCAGCTCAGGGCACATGACCCCCATGTATCCCGGGCACCTGCCTGATGGAAGGGATGGGGCAGCATGGCCAGGAGCAGGACTCTGAGTCCCACGGGCCCAGCTGTGTGGCCCAGGGCCAGGTTTGTTCACCTGGAAACAGGAACTCAACAAAGTGACATGGCAAAGTGCTTCCTATGGTGCCGGTGCACGTGAGCTCCTACGTGTGTGTGCACATGTGTCTGCGGTCCCTGGTGCATGTGTGTGTGTCTGTGTGGTGGTCCTGCTGTCCTCAGAAATACCTGAGGCCAAGTGCAGCCTGGGAACTGCTCCAAGGACTGTCCTGCTGGTGTGTGGCTGCCCCAAAGGAGGGCCAGATGGCCCGGGGTCACCTTAACGCAGCGGGCCCTTTAGGATGTCACACCCACACATGGGGACGCAGGGGTGGGGAGGGTCCCAAGGTAGCAGGTTGACAGTACGCTCCCTCCCTGGTGCTCAGGGAGCACCGCCTGGCACTCAGCACCAAGCCCCTGGCTCCCCTGCAGCCTAGTGGCTGCCTGGGCCTGGGGTCTGCATCTTTTTCCTCCCTCCACTTAGTGCTTCCTGCCACTGCTGTCTTCTGGGCTCTCTTCCACTGGAGGGGAAGCCTGTGGCTTTCAGAGCCAAGTGCTGCAAACCAAATGTTTTCCACTTTGCATTTTCTGTGCTTGGAGAACACACATTTGGAACATGGTATGGAGGACGAGTGACTAAGTTCCACCCTCGGTAAAATCAATAGCTTGTCCTTTTTGTAATTAATGAATGGCGTAAAAAGGGTTTCCAGTGGTGATATAACAACTTCCTGTAAGCCTGAGGGACACAGACCTTCTTAATTAGGAAGCCACGTAGCATGCCCTCTCCCTGTTATAACAGGAGACAAGAGGGGTCTTGGGATAATCACAAAAGCAATGAAAACATCTCATTATTGAGGACACTCAGCACGGCCGGGCGAGGGGCCTTGTGCATGGAGAAGCCAGCAATGATGAGCTTAGCACCAGGACCACCAGCCTCACAAGCACCTGTGCCCCCAGGGTCTTGCTCCACCTGAGGACCTTGCCTTAGCGGAGCCTGTCCGCCATCCGCTGTGGCCTCTCCGCCATCCGCTGTGGCCTCTCCCAGCAGCTGCAGGCCTGGGTTAATTACCTCCTCCTCCACACCCACCCAGGACTGCACCAGCCTCCAGCAGAAAGCAGCCGGAAGTCTCAAATAATGAGATCATTGTGGAGAGTCATAAACACCCTCACCAGGGGCTCCCCTCACCCAGCAGCACCGGCTCAGACTCCGAAAGAACTGCCCCCAAGTGGGGCCAAGAAAGGAGGCGTAAAGGCCAACGGGAGGCTGCTGGCGGAGGCAGGGAGATCGTCACCACAAAGGGGAGAAAAGGCATTGGGACTTGGGCCTGGGTGGTGGCCTCTCAGGAGCCCCTCCTGCAGGCACGGAGTGCCGTGGTCCCGGGACGCTCGGCTCACAGCTCTTGTGCCGGAGTGTGGACATGGCGGTCCCCACCCTACAACACCAATAATGATCATAGCTGTCACCTGCTGAGTGCCCACTGTGGGCTAGGCCTGGGCCAGAAGCCGCGTGCTCATGGCACACCTCTGCTGTGCGTGTGCCCACTCTGTGCTATGCCCTGTGGAGCCCTTCCTGTCCTGCTGGAGGCCAGCACCATGCCTGGACATAGCAGGGGCACAGGAGGTGTTTGCTGGATGGATGAATGAATGAATGAATGAATGATCAAACAAATGAAGATCAAAAAGGCTTAATTCTAAATAGGGATGGTCTTTATGTTAACAATTCAAAACCAGTACTTCTGCTCAATGAACACTGGCATCATCTGTCCCCAATCAATTCCAGGGGGCTCAGACCATGGAGGGTCTGAACAGGAGCCTGCAACAGTGACAAAGATGAGATGAGAGTGTCCAGCACACCTAGGCTTGGCCATCCCCCTGGAGATGGGCCAGCTCTGTGGCCATGCTGGGGACTTGCTTCTGATCCTGCACACACAGGTGGGGAGGGCTCTGCATCCTTTCTACCACCGTGTGGGGCACAGGGCCTGTTTCTTCCTGCACCTTTGCTTGCAGGGCTCAAGATGTGTGTCTGGCCGCAAAGAGCCTTTGCCAGGACACTCCACACCCCTTGCTGAGAGCGCCGAGCCAAGTGGGCGGCCTCCAGCCCCAGGATACTCCAGGCATGAACTCGCCCTGCTGAAAAACTCCAAGTCCCATGGCCAGGACCTCACATGGGCCCAACAACCTTTCCAGGCCTCCCTGACAGATCTCTCGCTCACCTTCCGCAGCACCCTGGGTCTAGCCGGGATGCTCCCTCGGTTCACTGAATCCTCTGGAAATCCCACCCACGGGCCTCTCCTGGTACAGCCCCCCTCCTGGCAGTGCTCACTCTGTCCGTGTCACAAATCTGACAGCAGTGGGGACAGAGAGGCCCCAAGGCTCCATCCCACACTCTGTTGTATGCCCCCCAGGCCTGGCTCTGAGCAGAGCCTTCTGTAAACCTCCAGGGGGAGAACATGAGCAGCTCACTGTGCCCAGGTGGGTTTTTAACCCCCCGCAGCCGGTTAGGCCACAGTGGCATCAGAAGAGCTACCTACCAGTGCCGCTCAGAAGGGCCAGTGTGTGGCTGTCTGGACACAGTGGATCTTTCAGAGATATATGCAGAGCAGAAACATGAAAGGTGGCTGGAGAAAGAGTCTGGGCTCAGGCAGAGGGAAGGCGAGAGCCAGGCTGGAGGGGAGGGCTACATGCTCTCATCTGCGCCAACCTCCTTCTCAGCACCCATGCTCGGGTTCTAGGCACATGGGACTCACTGGCCACCGGATGTTCCTAAGCGCTAACCAATGAGGCGACAGGGGCAGCTTCAGGATGCAGGTATTTTCCCATCACAAGACTGACTCCCGCTAAATGCAGGCAAAAGGAACAGAGAGCACGACACTGGATTCTGAGCCTCATGAATATTCCAGTCCATGACTCACGCCTGTGGGCTGGCAGCAAGGTGGGGGCAGGAGGGGGGCAGGGCTTCCCTCACTAATGGCCAAACGCGGCAGGCGGTTCACCAAGCCCTTCCAGGAACACACCGTCAACCTTCTGCACTCCAGTAACAGCTGAATTTCCTAAATTAGTCAACAATTAAAAAATTATTCCAAAAGTCCAATCTTGGCCAAACAAACAAAGGAAGCCAGTGTAAGAGCCCGCACACGGGCGCAGCGGTGCCCATCCCAGGGCGAGTGCAGAGGCTGCGCGCGGCCACCACACAGTGCTTCCGCCCACTCTTTTGCTAGTGAAATTCTCTGGGAGTAGGTGCGGCCCCTCCCTGCCAGCAGGAGCCTGTGGCAACGGGGTGTCTAGGATGTCGAGGCAGCAGAGACCCTAGGGCCCTGCCCCGTGACAAAGGCCCCACGTGGGGACCTCTTTCTCTGTCCTACATCCTGGGACCGGACCTCTCTTCTTGTCCTGGTCCGGCCTGGACACGGTCAGGAATGGCCACCTCTGCTCCTGAGGCTTCTTCGAGAGGAACGGGGCCCATGCGAGGACCCCAGGCCCCTCTGCACACCGTGCCTGGGGGTCAGGCAGGTCCTGGGGGTGGGGAGCAGCAGGCACCATCATGGAAAGCTTGCCCCATGCTTCCTCCTAAGTGCAAAGGGGCGAGGGACCTTCCAATTACAGCATCACTGAGAAGGCACGGAGAGGGAACTTGGGGTAACAGCCTGGCGACGGCTCAAGACAGCCACAGCCAAGAGGCATCTCCAGCCTGCTCTGTCTGCAGCCCCCACATCAGTGCGTCACAAAGCTGTGGCCCTCAGCACTGCATGGCAGACAACTTCCAGAAGGCTGCAGAGGGCCTTTCAGCTGACTTAAGCCCTGGGGCCCATCCCGCCCCTCCAGCTGAACAGCAGGTCAAACAGTGCCCTCCTTCCGGACGCTCCAGCCCATGCCACGCTGTCCTCTCGGCTGGCGCGGGGCTTACCCGGCCCCTGCACTCATGCAGGTGAACCAGCTGAGGCCAGGAGAAGGAGGTCATAGGGCAGCAGCAGAAGCGAGGTGGGCACCATGTTCCAGAGCCTTCTGAAAGTTGTGTGGGTCTGTGCTGAGGCCACGCCTCACATAAGGCCCCAGCAGAGGCAAAAGAATCAAACTGGAGTGGAAAACTTTCCACTAAAATGTGCCCCAACCCCCACACTCCACAGTGGCCTGTGGAGGTTCAGTCACCTGCCCAGCACTGGTCCTGAGATCATCTGGGGCTGAAGCAAAGGCCCTGGGCTGAGCGCGGTGTGGGTGGGCGGCGCAGTGCAGGTGGGCAGCGCGTTGGGACTCCCAGGGTTTAGGTTCTTGCACAGAAGGGTTCTCAGGCAGGGCTCCTCCCAGGACCCCACAGTAGGGCCTGGCTGGGAGAAAGCACAGTGGCATCGATGACAGCAGTGAGCGGCCCCCTTTCCCAGTCAGTGAAGTCACAGATGGGCCTGCTGGCCGTGCGACCCCTGGCGAGTGACTCCCTGCCTGGTGCCCGCCTCCTGTCTGGGGATGGGAAGCATCTGTGAGCAGACACACCAGCTCGCAGAGGGGTTGGCGTTCCCTGAAGCCTCCGGCTTCAATGACCTGTACCCAGGCACCACCCAAGAGGAAGCCTCCCCTGCCCCTCCAGTCCCTTGCCCACCCAGGAGACAGGCAGCAGCCTCTGCATCCAGCTGCCCTGGCTTCCTAACCAGAAAACAAACCTGCTGAGAATGGCCCCCGGCCTGGTAGGGCTCCCTCAACCTGAAGGAGCCCAAGGGTCTCAGGGCCTCTTCTAGGTCGGGGCACGTCAGAGCGGACAAAGCTCAACAGGGTGCGTTTTCCCTGAGTTCTTGGAACTCCCCTGGCTATGCATGAGGCAGCTCTGAAAGGCAAGGTAAAGATGGCCACAGCTAGGCCAGGCGCGGTAGCTCACGCCTGTAATCCTAGCACTTTGGGAGGCCGAGGCAGGTGGATCACGAGACCAGCCTGGCCAACATGGTGAAACCCCATTTCTACTAAAAATACAAAAATTAATAAGGAATGGTGGCATGCGCCTGTAATCCCAGCTACTCGGGAGGCTGAGGCAGGAGAATCGTTTGAACCCGGGAGGCAGCGGTTGCAGTGAGCCGAGATCCAGCCATTGCACTCCAGGTTGGGCGACAGAGTGAGGCTCCGTCTCAAAAAAAAAAAAAAAAAAAAAAAAAGATGGCCGCACCTGCCTTCATTACTGCCTCCCACTTCCATCCAGAAAACATTTCGGTGGCTAAAGACTGAAGCTCGGAGTCCTGGGCTGGCCACCTCGGGAGATGTGTGTTCATGAGCACCAGAGAGACCCTCTGGGATGGGCTCCCTCCAGTTTGGAAGCCTGCTTTGCAAAGACCCTGCCCTGCATAATGTGGTTGCACAGTTGGAGCCTCGGCTAATCTGGGGACACATCCCCTCCCCAGTGTGCCCAGGAAGCAGTGGGGTCACGGCGCTCACTCAGCCCTGACAGCCATGGAACAGGCTACAGGCTTCTCCCTGGTCAGGGGCCTCAGCGAGCCCCTCACCCCGCCCTGTCTACACCTCCTCCTCAGGCCCAGGCTGGGACCCACAAGTTCTCAGCCCCAACTCCCTGGGCCTGTAGAGGCTACAATGCCCACGCCTGCAAGAATCAGAGGCAAGTACAGCCCCCACCTGAGGTGCCAGGGACGTCCTCCGCTTCAGCAGACACACGGCTCTGACCCTCCTGCAGGCTGAAAAGCCTTCCCACATCTGTCTGCTGCCGCCTGCGTCCTGCTGTCCCTCCCCACAAGCCACTTCTCCAGCCCCCTTCGGCCCAAGGTCAGAGGGCACTGCCACGGGGAGGCCTGCCTCTACGCGCTGAGTTGGCCTCTTCTAATACGAGACCGAGACCGGGAAGTGCTGGCAGCTGCCCGGAGCGGGTGCGGCAGCCCCCAGCATAAAATATTCATGGAGACGCAACTCCAAGCAGAGAGGCTGCATCCGTGTCAGCCAGGCCCTGGGGAAGGGAGCTAAAAATAGACAGGAGGCTGAAGAAAGCTGACGTGGGGATGAGGGAGGCGACTGGGAGTAGGAGGAGGGGCCGCCAGGGCACATCTGGAGGGACGGAACGCACATGCAGGTTCACCGCACGGAGCACACACGTGCTCCCAGCCCAGAACTCGTGCTCATGTGGGCAGTCCCCAAGTGAGAGCTGAAAATCCCTCTCCGGGCAGCCTGCCCCGCCAGTGGCTATTTCTATCAACATCAACATTGACATCCATGGGCCCCAGGACACCTCAGTGAAGAATCAAAGACCATCTTTAATGAGTGAGAAATAACAGCGTAGATCAACATGACGCGGCCACACCCAGGGGATGGGCTGCCATTCCCTCCATTCAAGCTGGCGCCCTTCCCTGCCCCTCTGCAGCCCCTTCCCCCAGGGCTGGCCCTCCTCCTGCACTCTGACCACCCCCCCCCAGGGTATGGAGTTCTGGAAGGGGCGGCCCCAGGACTGCTCCCCAGCTGGCTCTGGGAAGGTCACAGGCGCGGCCCCAAAAGCCTCCGTGACCGCAGGCTGCTATCCACACAAGGGTGGACCCCCTCAGGTTGGACTCTATAGGGAGTGGGGAACGTGAGGCACAGAGGTCCCCTCCCTGAGAGCCCATGGATCGCTGGCCCCTCGTGGTCACTGCACTGGTCTCCCTGAACCAGCTGAGTGCTGGGGTAGGTGCAGTGGTCCTGACCCCACAACCAGTGTGCACAGCCCAGCTGGGGGCAGCCGGGAGAGGGAACCGTCATTGGTGGGCAAACACCAACCACGCCTGCAGCCGCTGCCAACCTGGGAGGATGCCCCCCACTATCAGCTTTGAAGGGCTGCTATTGGGAGATGCCCCAGGGCACCCCATCAACCTGCACTGAAGCCTGTTCAAAGCACAGGTCACCCAGATCCTCCTCTACTTTACGCCCATATGCGTGAGCCCCATAGACTCCCACCAGCCCTCTCTCCCCAGCCCTGCCCCGTCCTAGCCGGGTGGCCTCGGGTGTGTCACTGTCCCCAAGCTCCCCCGTTACAGACAGTGGCTCTGCGCCTTTGGCCCTCGCCGTTCCCTTCACCTGAATGGTCCCCACAAGACAGCTCCTGCCCTTCCTCCCTGACTCCAGGCCTCCGCTGAGGCTTTCCTTGGGAAGGAACATATTTAAAATTGTACCTGTCCCCCGGCACACTCCGATCCCCTCATTCCCTGCTGTCTTCTTCGTGACCCTGGACACCATTCAACTTCCTCTATCTTCACTGTTTGTTTACTCCTCCCTCTGAGAGGGTGTGAGGCCCCAGGGAGAGCAGGTGAACAGCAGCAGATGATGAAGGCCCCCCATCTTCACCCACCCCACATGGTGGGCACCGTGTCCATCACCACCGTACAGATGAGGAAACCGAGGCACATAGAAAGTGCGTGCCTAAGGCCACACAGCTAGTAAGTTTAGAGCTCTGGCTGACCCGGGCAGCCAGGCGCCTGCTCCTGGATATGTGAGCCTGACAGTCCACGCAGCGTCTGCAGTGGCGGGGGGTGGTTGGGAGGGGGTCTGGGGTGGCGGAGGCGACGCTTCTCTAGAGCGGTTGTGGGTGCCCTTCTAAGGAAAAAACGTCTGAGAAGTGCTGTAGCTCCAGGAGGCTCTGGGGAGGGTGGTCCAGATGGGAGCAGCAGGTGCACAGGCGCCGGGCAGGAGTGAGCTTGCTGCACCCACACCCAGGGCATGGAGGAGCCACCGTGCATTTCGGTGGGAGAGGGAGCAACTCGGATTTTGATGACCAGTTTCCTGGGCTGCAGGGAAGGGTCACATTGAGAGCACCAGGAACAGAGGAAGGAGCAGCTGAGGACTGAGCAGGGGCCCCATGGGGACGGGGCAGTAAGAGCTGTTCGGGAGAGGAGTGGAGCGGCACTGGGTGGGCGTGGGCATGGGGGGAGTAGGGAGGAGCCAGCTGGGTTCCCAGACTTCCAGAGCAGCACAGAGGCGGAGAGGGATTTTTTTGCGGGTGTGATAATGAGTTCCATTCAGGACAAACTGTATTTGTGATGCTTTTGGGAACCCTGTTGAGGGGCAGCACTGGCCAAGTCAATTTGGGAGTCAATACAACACACAGGCGATGCTCGAGGCACAGACCATGGATCTGACCACCCCAGGAGAGAAGGGCCACAGGTTAGGACATGTCAAAGCCAAGGGTTCGGGGACCGTGTGGTGGCCGGGGAGGCTGGAGTATCCCTACAGACACTACAGGGTCCCCCATCCAGGGAGCGCAGGCTTCACTGAGGGCCTGGTCAGCTGTGCTACAGACAGGGAGCGGACAGCAGACAGGGCGTGTCCTTGCGTCTGTCCATGCTGCCCGCAGAGGGAAGACAGAACTGGGAAAGTTTGTCCAGGAGGCAGGAAGAGGTAGGGGGCGGGGAAGGAGAGAGCTTCGGAAATGTGCCTGGGTCAGGTGGGGGATTCAGCATCAGGACAGACAGCAGCCACGCTGAAAAGCGTCATGGGAGGGGCGTCGGGTCCATGGGGAGAGACCAGAGCGGGCCCAGGTGGGAGTGGAGCCCATACTTCATGGCCGAGAAAAGCAGGCAAGTTTGGAGAAGGCGTGTCCAAGGTGAAAGGAGAACCAGACACAGGGCTGAAGGTCAAGGACAGAGGAGGCTGGAGCCTCATAGCAGGGTCAGGGGCTGAGGAACGACTGCGGACCAGCCCAGGCGACGTGGAGGGAGGACACCATCCTGCCAAGGGCCGATGGGTGGCACGGTGGGCCAGGGCAAGGCGGGTAGGCTTACAAGTAAATGGGGAGGGGTGGGGGCAGATGAGGGAGGAAGGAGCAGGCAGCAGAGCCAGCCCTGATGGGGCAGGAGGGTGGCAGCCTAGGGTACTTTGCCACAGAAGAGGCTGTGGGGCTGAAGGCATGGAGCAGTCCTCGCACCAGAAGGGGAGCATGCCTCGTAAGCCCCAAGTCAAAGAGGGGCCTGGTCACGAGAGTCATGCAAGGGTGGGTCACAGGCATTGTGTTAGTGCCGTGCTGGGGGCACCCACCACTCACTTTCCTTCCTTTCAGCCTGGCCGAGTCCTCCTCATCCATCAAGTCCAGGTTCACCATCAGCTCCTCTACTCAGCCCACCCGACCTGGGAGAGGCCGGCACCCAACTCCAGCGAAGAGCTGGCCTGGAGTTGGCAGCGGAGGGTACTCGCTGGGCCTGACAGCTCACACACCACACCTGGCGCTACCACCACGGGCCCTGGTGAGGCATGAGCTCCTCCACTCCAGGAAGGGGCAGGGCTGGGAGAGGGGCTTGGAGGGGCCTCAGCCTCGACTGGGAAACAAAGCAGCTGGGGCGACTCGGCGGCCCTCCTCAGCCATGTGGGGAAGCGACAGGCCGTGCTCCAGGCTCTGAGAGGAATGGGTTTTCAGTGCATGTTCGCCCCAGAGATTTCAGTGCACGCTCCTCTCCGGGAGGCTGAGCAGCAAATGCTTGCGGATCTGCGTGGGGAGCAGACGCCGCGGGGGCAGGGGCCTCGAGAACCTCTGGAATCAGGGGTCAGCCTCGCAGGGCCGTGGTGCCTGCCTGGCCACTTCCATGAGAACGCCAGCTCCCAAGAGGCCTGCGGGCACCCGCCTGCTCCCAGCTGCTCTGTTCCCGCATCCTCGCTCCCCGGAGGGGCAGGAAGCTCCTACAGCTCTGCTTTCCTCTTGCTCCCCTCAGTGACAGACACAAGAGCTGGTTCAAAGAGAAATCAGGACCACCCCAAAGGCTGCAGAGCCCCTGGGGTCAGCCAGGATGGGGAACCTCTGTTCTTATGACAGAGACAGGGAAGCTGCCTCTTTGGGCCGCGCGAACCCTGTCGATGTCTGTGACCCTACAGAGTCCATGCCAGGCGGAGAACCACCAGCTCTCAAACGTGGCAGAGCTCAGGGGATGTGGACACCTGGGGGCAGCAGCCCCTGTGAACGAGTGCGTGTGGCCTGCACACGCCCACCCCACCTGCCCTGCATGAGGAGGAGAAAGGCCAAGGGGCTGGGACCCTCAGCCCAGAGCCCACCAGCCTGGCTTGGTCTCATCAGGCAGGACCTGCAGGCCAGGACCACCTGGAGGGAGCCCACCCCTCCAGCTTCCCAGCAGGCCCTTCAGCAGAGGATGGGGGACCCAGGGCACGGTCCTCATCCCCCTCCAGCATTCTTACACAATGCCAGGGAACACCAAGGCGCCACACTCAGAGGCGACCTGGACGCCCAGGCAGCAGCCATGCTAAGGCGCTCTTAAAGGGGTCTGTCTCTCTTGTCCTGTCTGCCCAGCCCCACCCCACGGGCCCTGGGAGTACAGCCCAAAGGCCTACCCGCTGGTTATGAAGCGTTCCTTCTCAAGGCCTCACCGGATCAGCCCCGCAGCCCGAGGTCACCGGTCACGGCAGTGGCCAGGCCCAGCCCTACTCTGACCCCTACTGACAGGACAGGACTCATGCAGGCACAGATTCCCCCTGGAGGCCCAAACACAGGGACCCTAGGGCTGCCTGGCAGGGAGGGGCCGCCGTTCCAAGGATGCGCACTCACCACCAGCTGGGGCACAGGCAGCGACCTGCCTTCCTGGCTCAGCGACACGTAGGTGAAGAAGGCACTGGCGGCCCGGTAGCGCTTCTGAGAGCTGTCCACAACAGGGTCGGCGTCCACCAACACCTCGATCTCCATGGACTTATTGCTCGTGAAGGTCATGCGTCCCGAGATGGTGATGACGCAGCCTGTGGAGAAGGGAGGGCGGGGGTCAGGGCGGCCTCCACCCCACGGCTGGGCGGGGGACACTGGCGTTTCTGTGGTCAGCAGGCAGACACTTGGTTAGGGGAAGCAGTGGCTTGGCTGACTACCAGATGTTCAAATAACAGAATATTAGAATGTGTCGTTAGTTGCCCATGAATGTTTATCTTTCTAGTGAGCAGGTTTATCTACGCTAAAATTCAGCACTGAAGGATTTTGGTGGCCATGAGTTCAAGCCCCCGCCCAGGCGGGCTCTCTCCTGGCCGGGAGTGGCAGCACCTGCTGAAAGGCTTCAGAGCCACTGTGCCCCCACGGGGGAGGCCGCAGACTGCCTTCCAGGAGCTGTGGGTGTCGGCTGGCTCTGCCCTTCCTTAGGTCAGGGCCAAATCTGCAAACTGCACTGTCCATTCATTGGCCTTGCTGGTGCCCACCGGAGCCACAGCTGCCCCACTACACTGCTCCAAGCACCAAGACAGAACCTTGTATCACCTTCCACAGCCATTCCCACCCTCAGGGGCTCCAGTGACACAGGGCAGCTGCCCGTGCCCCTTGGTGGGATTGAATCTTATGTGACTGCATGCCAAGCCTCCCTTCTGGCCCCACTGGTCTCGCCCACGGGACCAAAGCTTCCTCCTCTGGGCTGCTGGATGCCACACCCCTTGGCCAGAGTCCTCCATGCTCAAAGCACCAGCCCCATTTCTCTGTGAATCATGACAAAGTCCAAAGTCACCAGTTCCCATACATTGTTCCCATGTCCCTCTCTCCCCCTCAACCCTAACCAACCTCTCTGTACGCCCCACGCTCCCCAGGGCACGACAGTCCATCCTGGCAGAAGCTTCCTGACCCAGAGCTGCTCTTCTGCCCCCACCACCCTCCCCGGCCTGGGCTCCATCCTCCTACCTGGCCTCAACATAATCCCTTAATCTCAGGGAGCTCAGCTCTTCCCTATAGGCAGGCATGAGACACCCTGCCTGGGGGATAGCTACGGGATGGAAGGACTCAAGCCAAGAGCTGACCTGGGGCCCCGGGAAGGTGTCACCATCGATGTCACTGGCCACCAGGCTGCAGAAACCCCCGGGGACTTCCGGGGCAAGTGCTGCCCTGCGGTCAGAATGCCCTCCCAGGCGGCCCAGCGTGGCCTCTATTCTGGGCCAGGCTCAAGGATATCCCTGCCCGACTCTGGCTGCTGGGACTTGCTCCCCAGGAAATATATCTGGCTTCGGGGACTTTTTAATGTGGCCTCTGGAACCCCCAGTGTCCTAGCTGCACCGAGACCAGCCTCACAAGGCAGGTTTAGAGACCCAGAGTGAGAAAGCGGCCAGGTGGTGGCTGTTGGAGGGCGGTTAGCAGGCCAGAGGCAAGAGCGGTTATTCCATGTTAAAAAGTATCAGAACGATCCATGCTACATTCAACTTCATACTTACAGGGAGCACTTCGTGCCAGTGCTGGGAGAGGAGGAAGGAGCTGTGTGGTCAGCGCCAGCAGGCATTACGTGAGCTGTAAGGTACAGAGTCCCATGCAAAGCGCCCGCAGTCACAAGACGCACCCCGGGAGGAGGGCAGGCCATGGGTCAGGCCCCAGCTAAGGAGCTAGAAGTTTCAACAGGTCAGACCTGAGGGTCTCCCAGCATCTCTGCCTCCTTCCTCACAATGCCCAGCCCACATCCCTCACCAACAATTGTGTATAACACTTGGGAGTCACAGGCCAAAAAGCAGGAACAAGCCCTTTCCATGAGCAGAAACCAACAAGAACTTCCCTGTGGCCACGGTGTCACACACGGGGGCCACCCATGAGCGTGGTGCCTGGAGGAGGGCAGGTTCCAGGGGTCTTTGAACACTGGCTCTTAGTTTTGAGGAGCAACAGAAAACGTGTTTTTGTTTTTGAGATGGAGTCTCGCTCTATTGCCCAGGCTGGAGGGCAGTGGTGCCATCATGGCTCACTGCAACCTCTGTCTCCCAGGTTTAAGCGACTGTCACACCTGTCACTTAAATAGCTGGGATTACAGGCGTGCACCACCATGCACGGCTGATTTTTGTATCTTTTGTAGAGATGAGGTTTTGTCTTGTTGACCAGGCTGGTCTAGAACTCCTGGCCTCAAGTGATCCAACTGCCTCGGCCTCCCAAATTGCTGGGATTATAATTAGGTGTGAGCCACTCCGCCCAGGCTCCAAAAACATGCTCTTGGTGTTGCCCATGAAGGCCCACCTTGGCCACTGCTGCCACGGCCAGATCCTGGCTGCTCATGGCTTAATTGCTGTGTTAGAAATCTGAAGAAACTCCTAACAGCAATCAACAATGACTTTAAACAACTAAGTAGGTTGATTATAAAAGCATTAGACGTAACAACAAAAAGAAGAGAATGCTGTCTGGGAGAGCCTCTTGTGGTCCATAATACAATTAACACTTCATAAATGTCAGGAAAATTTTCAATTACAACCAAAATCTGAGAATTTTCACCCTTCAGAGAGCAACATCATTATTCTAAACAAGACACAGGCTATAAGGTTGGCTAGCAGGACAAAGTGAAATACTTTAAAACTGGAAACCTAACTGGATATAGTGGCACACGCCTGTGGTCCCAGCTACTCGGGAGGCTCAGGCGGGAGCATCGTTTGAGCCCAGGAGGTCGAGGTTGCAGTCAGCTGAGATCGCACCACTGCACTCTAGCCTGGGTGACAGAGCAAGACCCTGTCTCAGAAAAAAAGAAAAAAACTGGAAATCTGATGTGGTCACTGGCTGGGACTTAATTTGAAACCTAGGGTTGACAGACGAATCACAAGTCCCAGTCACCAAGAGAGAGCCCAGTTTCCAGGGGCCCTGGTTTAGGGTATCCCATCTCCTAGACCCTGGGCTCAGAAGGCACATCCCACACATGACACCAAGGTCTCACAGGCAGCCTCTGGGAAGGGACTGTCCCAGGGGACCTCGGGGGGACCAGCTCCCACCCCCAGGGCTCTGTTCCTGCTCTAGCCCTTCCTGAAGAATTCCAGCTACAGACCGGGCGCAGTGGCTCATACCTGTAATCCCAGCACTCTGGGAGGCCGAGGCGGGCTCATCACTTGAGGTCAGGAATTTGAGACCAGCCTGACCAACATGGTGAAACCCTGTCTCTATTAAAAATACAAAATTAGCCGGGCATGGTGGCACATGCCTGTAATCCCAGCTACTTGGGAGGCTGAGGCAACAGAATCGCCTGAACCCGGGAGGCGCAGGTTGCAGTGAGCTGAGATCATGCCATTGCACTCCAGCCTGGGCAACAAGAGCGAAACTCCATCTCAAAAAAAAAAAAAAAAAAAAAAAGAATTCCAGCATTCCAGCTACAGGCACTTTGTCAACCCCAGGATGGCGGCTGAGGCGCACACCAAATCCTCTCCGCCTCCTCCAGGTCACATAGAGGCCCCCCTGCAGCATCGAGGCCTCCCTGGGGACGGAGGTCCATCCAGGTGGGGTTGGGGTGATGAGCGACTGGCCTCAGCCTCTACAAGGGCCCCTAGCCTGCCCCCTGCTTTCCACACCCCACCAGAGTGGCCTTCTGTGAGCTCCCTGAAGCTCCTGGCCCCCGTGGTCTCTCCCTAGAAAAGCCCTCCTCTTACAGCTATCTGGTTCATCTTCTGAACCTCGGCTCAAGCATCCCTTCTCCAGAGAGCTGCCCAGGGCGGCTCAGCCCCCTCCACCACACCCCCTCTAGAACTGTCCTCCACTCCTGCAGAGCCAACGACCCCATTTGCATTGGCACACTTGTTGGCTTGTCTATTTCACTGTTGTCTGTCTGTCCCCATCTAGCCTGGAAGTCCCACGAGGGCAGGGCTGGGCCCAGGGGGCCCAAAGCAGGTATCCAGTTGACAGGCTGGACCCCTCTGGGGACCCACGAGGGCTGGGGTGTGGGTCACATGTGGACACCAGGTCACCACAGACTCAAGCTGGCCAGAGCCCCATTAGAGCCCCAGGTTTGCATCCTCCTGAAGTGGATGCTGAGCAGCCCAGAATCAGGAGTGCCCAGGAGCATGGCCAGCAGCCCCTTCCAAGCCCTGCTGGCCGGTACTTCCTTCCAGTCTCAACTTCAGTGCCACTCCTGGAAGCAGCCTGCCCTGGAGCCCCACACCTGTCCACCTCCCTTCCTCCCTGCAAAAGGGTGGAGAGCCTGGGGGCAGTCACGTGCTGGCCGTCACCTGCCCACGGGGCAGCACAGACTGATTCCGCCCTTCCTGCTAATTCCTCCATGGCGCAGCCATGTGCTGTCATTCCTCCCACTGGGTCAGAGCCTGGACCATCCAGGCTGCCGGCCAAATCATGACCATGCCCACAGGTCCCTCCACCAAATGTGGAGGCGGGTGAGGCTGGTCATGCATCAGAGAGCTGAAGACAGCGTGTCCAGGTGGCTCTCGGGAGCCCTGAACCTGACAGGAAAGGCAGAGGCAGGGCCCGACAAGCACTGCCTGCAGACCTGGCGTGTCACACGGAGGTCAGGATGCTTCAGGGTCTCCCAGCAATGAGGGGAGCTCAGGCCTCCTTCCCACAAAGTCTGCCTTGATTCAGCCCTCCCGCCAGGCATGAGAAGGGCAGGAAGGGGGGTCCGCACCTGCCTTGTATACCAGTAGTGTCTGTCTGTATCCTGTGGCGAACCTGGCACTAGGCAAAGTTGGGACATTGCGGGGCCCATCCGAGGAAGGGGAGAGAGCCTCAAATCCACTTCCACGCACCTGTCTCAGAAACCAAAGCAAACACAACCCCAAGCAGTGCCAGTACCTGCCATAACAAGGCAGCCAAGACTCGGAGGGCTCTGTGGGGTCAAAAAGACCTCTTGGTCCTGACAATCAGCCCACGAGCGGAGGTGCTGCCTTGGGATGGCTCCACCACATCACCCGTCCAAATGCACCTGCAGTCAAGGTGGCTGGGGTTTATTTAAAAGATGGGTGGGACCAGCTTGAGGTGAAAAATGGATTAACCAAGAACAGCATCTCCCACTGAGCGGGCGGATCAGTGCCCACCTAGGAGAGGTGTGGATGCTTGTTTAGTTCTGGGGAAGGCGGCCAGAAGGGGAGCGCCTGGTCCTCTCTGAGCCTCTGTAGCAGGTACAGCAGCCAGGGCCCTGATGAAGCCAGATATTCATGACAAAGTGTCTCATCAGGAAAGGCAGGGCTCTTCGAGGCCCTGGAGCAAATACCTGTCAAGGCCAGTCTCCGGAGGCTACGAAGCCATGCGGGAGGAGCCCTGAGTTCCATGGCTTTGGAGTCAGATGGGCCTGGATTTAAATCCAGGCTTGGCCACTGAGCAGGGACAAGCCAGGAGACTGCACTGTGCCTCAGTTTCCTCATCTGCAAATGCTTTCCCCATGCACCCAGCTTCAGAGAATGCAGGGGAGCAGCAGACCCAGCCACGACCCACTCACAGTGGCTCTCCTTCATCAGGGGCTCCACAGGCCACCTGGGCATTTTGGGGGTAACTTCCTCCACATTTTTAAAGGAGACACAGTCAACCCATGTGGTTCTATCCTTGCTCTGAGGCTATACTGATGTCAACTGCCCGCATTCATTATGTCACATGACAGGCCCAGGACAGTAATTTGGGGTGGGGCCTGAGTGTGCCCCAGGGGCACCGCTGGAGAGGCTTGCAGGGGGTAAAAGGAATCATACCACAAAGTAACAAGAAGCTAATTTTTTGTATTTTTAGTAGAGATGGGGTTTCAGCATGTTAGCCAGGATGGTCTCGATCTCCTGACCTCGTGATCTGCCTGCCTCGGCCTCCCAAAGTGCTGGGATAACAGGCATGAGCCACCGCGCCCAGCTTAACGATGCATTTTCAAGCTGCCTGAGAGCCAGGAGTTCCGGCACAAGTGCACGGGGACCAGGTGCAGTCACTCCGCAGTCCAGGGCAGGCCTCAAAGGTGGCTGTAGCCGCATGTAATCAATGAGGGTCAAGCTTCATCACTCACACTCGAGGCCCTGACGGGGCGGATGCCAGGTGGGGTTTAGGCCAGGTCGCTGGGGACACCAAAGCATGGGCTCAGAGCTCTGGTCCCAGAGACCAGCTGCTGGGCCTGCCCTCCCAGTCCCACCTGGAACCAGCTCCATGGCTGTGAACAGCTTCCTTAACCCCTCGGAATTGCAGCTTCCAAATGGGAAAAACAAACAGAGATAGCGACAGTCCCTGTCTCACTGGGCTGTGTGAGAAGTAAATGGTATGAAGCAGGTGGCACAATGCCTGGCATCAAGTGTGTCATATTAGGTACAGTTAAACGTATCGGTGCCTGTAGTGGGCTGAATTGTGAATTACAGCCGCTTTCTGTTTTGAAGTAGTTGTTGAGCCTGCCTGGAGTGGCACAGCCCGTGAGCGCTGGCAGGTACCCCAGCCTGACTCCCCCAGCAGACGGGCGTCTCTCCAGGGGCGGCAGCAGCCAGATTTCAGCAGTATGCCAGGGATTTGGAAAAGAAAACAAAATAAAAAAAAAATAGCTGTTAGCAAGACTGAGAGGTTGCCAAGTGTTTCAGAGTTTAGGAAAAGCTCAGCATTTATGCTCCAAAAAGAGCTGTGGCTGTTAACTTTCGTAAGAAAAGCCTGGAAACAGTGAACTGACTTAGTATTTCTTACATAACACACCCCAAGGCCTTTTCTAGAAGACTCCTTATTTTTCACCCTAATAGTGGAGATCGTTTCTCCCCAAGAAAACGTCAACTTTAGGTTTTCTCACCAAGTGCTTCCAAAACTATTACACTGAAGGCAACGATATAACTTTTTCACACCAGCTACCTCTGGACATTTTAATGTCTCAACTGAAAAAAAAAAATCCACACAGCAAGTGACCCCACAGCTCCCATTAGGGGCTCCACTGCTTGCCTGGGGGGCGGAGGCTCTCCCACTCTGTGGGTGCTACCGGGCTCCACGTGCCTTCCCCTGTGCTGGTCCCCTGGGTGCGGGCTCCAGCCTGTCGTGGCCCTCGCGTCCCCAGCACCAACTCCGTTGCTGGCCTGGGAACTCCACGCGCCTTTGGTGGGTGGGCACTTCCCATTTCCCATGAGATCCAGTCGCACAGATGAAGCGGTCCTTCCTTCACCCCAACTGCCTGGTGAGAGTTTAACTTGCCACACACCTGCTAAGGACCCCGTAGGTGCTTGGCCGGGCTAGTTGGCGCAAAGGTGTAAGGGGACAGCTATGACAAGTGGCAGCCTGTCCTAGCAGACCTGAAGTGCCAGCTGGAGGGGCTCAAGCTGAATGTGGCATGTCACGGGGAGCCACGGAGGCTGTGAGCAGAGGAATAGCAGGTCCCTAGCGTCAAAAGGCTGTGACAATGGAGGTGGCACTGGGTTGGGCTGGTGAGGGGTGAGGGTAACAGAGGTGGCCCTCTGTGGTCTAGGCAAGTGTGGGGCATCCTGGAAGAGTCTGGTTCATAAATGCCAAATTTGCAGCCAACAGAGCTGGGCCCACGGCAGGGTGGCAGTGGCCTCCATGGCCGCGGGTGAGGCCTCTCCCAGCCACGACAAGTGCCCCAAGTTCGTAAGTTCCTCCTAGGCACACACCCTTCGTGGCTGAAACTCAAAGTTATCTTCTGAACCCCTGGGCCAATGTCTGGATGAAGCAAAGCTGTCCGTGTAACTTCCTGACAGACACCCCACCCAAGCGAGGGCAAGCCACAGCCACAGGGCCTGGCACTTGGTCAATATCGCATAAAAGGTCACTCTCCCAAGGAGGCAGTTTTACGGGAGGCTGAAGGAGAGAAAGCAAAGCACTTCCTGCCTTAAATCTGGAGAAGCCACCCCACAGGTCTGGCGTCTCCATTCCGCATTCCCACTGTTTTCTGGTTATTTTATTTTATTTTTTTTTGAGACGGAGTCTCGCTCTGTCGCCCCGGCTGGAGTGCAGTGACACGATCTCGGCTCACTGCAACATCTGCCTCTCAGGTTCAAGCGATTCTCCTACCTCAGCCCCCCGAGTAGCTGGGATTACAGGCGCCTGCCCCCACGCCCGGCTAATTTTTGTATTTTTAGTAGAGACGGGGTTTCACCATGTTGGCCAGGCTGGTCTCGAACTCCTGACCTCAGGTGATCAGACTGCCTCGGCCTCCCAAAGTGCTGGGATTACAGGAGTGAGCCACCACGCCCAGCCTGTTTTTGTTTTTTAAATTGAGACAAGGTCTCACTCTGTCACCCAGGCTGAGTGCGGCGGCACAATCACGGCTCACACTGCAGCCTCTGCCTCCTGGGCTCATGTGATCCTCCTCCCTTAGCTTCCTGAGTAGCCCAGATAATTTTTAAATTTTTGTAGAGATGGGGCCTCACCATGTTGCCCAGGCTGGTCTCAAACTCCAGGGCTCAAGTGATCTTCCTGCCTCAGCCTCACAAAGTGTTGGAATTACAAGCGTGAGCCACTGTGACCAGCCTGCTTTTTTTGTGTGTGTTTTGTTTTGTTTTGTTTTTAAAGAAACAGGGGTCTCACTGTGTTGCCCAGGCTGGTCTCGAACCCCTGGCTTAAGCAATCCTCCTACTTTAGCATCCTAAGTAGCCAAAACTACAGGCTTGAGCCATCGTGCCCAGGCCCAGCTATTTTTCTAATAAAATATGCTGAAATGGGCACATCAGAAAACCCCCTTCCACCTGCTAAGACAGAATAATGTGCTCCCAAAAGATGCCCACACCCAAATCCACTGAACCTGTGACCTCACGTGGCAAAGGGGACTCTGCAGACATTGACTAAGTGACAGCCCTGGAGATGGGAAGATTGTTCTGGGGTACCCGGGTGGGCCTGATAGAATCACAGGGGTCCTGTGAGAGGGAGGCAGGAGTGTCAGCACGAGGGGGGGAATGGGATGCTGTTAGGAGAGGCTGGAGGATGGCCGGGACCATGAGCCGAGGAATGTGGGTGGCCTCAGACGCTGGGAAAGGCGAGACATGGATTCTTCCCTCCAGCTCCTGGTAGGATGCAGCCTGCAGACCTGCCTTAGACTTCTGACCTCCAAAATTACAGGAGAGTGAGTGCAGGCTATTTTAAGCTACTGTGTATGGAAATGTTACAGCAGCCCCAGGAAACTCATGGAGGCCACATGACTGGCAACGGGTCTCAACTCCTGGGCTTTTCCCCACTGTGGCAGATCAGCCTGTGGGAGGTAGGGGGTTTCCTCCCAGGGGGACCAGTGGCCTCTCAGGGCTGCTCACATGAGGGGCACGGGCTGTGACCGGCTGCCATGGCCCTGCTGTGCCCTCAGGCTCCAACCGCCTGGATGTGCCCAGTCTACCTGCAGGCACCTTTTCCATAAACGTATGATTTTAAAAGTAATCCTTATGTGGATTAAATTTATACTTGACTTAAGGTTAATACTAATACAACACCCCAACACAAAGAACTGCAACCCTCGGTCTATGCGACTATTTCTTGTTATTACAAAACCGCTGCCTTCTGGGGCTTATGGAGGAGACGTCACATCCGTTCTCACTTCTGACACTGACCCTGACTCCCTGCCATTTAGAGGAAAGGCCCTGGTCCTTCATCAGTAGCCCCTAGGCCTGCTAACTGTAGAGACTCTCATTTGGCTCTAGTGAGGCTGCTCTCTGAAGTCAGGGTCCGGAGCTAGCCCCTTGCCAGCTGTATGACTGCTCTTCTCAAAAGTGGGGGGCCCCTGGGGGACTGCTGGGGTCACTCTCCCTGCATTCCTTAGAGTGGCCCCTTCTCCAGGCTGACGTCAATTTCACTGCTGGCTCTCACAAGGGCAGGTCCCACATCCACAGAGACAGAGGCAGCTTGGGGCTGGTGAATCCCAGAGGGGATTTTATCAAGTTCATGATTTTATAAAAGTGGAAGTGAGCTAGTATCTACATGAGTTGAGCTTTAAGGAGACAAAGCATTTCTAGTGGGTTCCCAAATGATACATCTACTCACAACTTCAGAGTGGGGCCTTATTGGAATAAAGGTCTTAGCAGGTATAATTAAGCAAAAGGTCTTGAGATGAGATCACCCCGGATTCTCCAGGTGTGTCCTAAATCCTATGACAAGTGTCCTTATAAGAGACAGAAGAGGAGAGACACACAGAGGAAGAGGCCTTGTGACCACAGAGACAGACCAGAGTGACGCAGCCACAAGCCAAGAAACGTCAAGGAACAGCTGCTGCTCCCAGAAGCTGGAAGGGGCAGGGACGGATCCTCCCCTGACTTCAGAGGGACCTTGGCCCTGCTGACGCCTTGATTTCAGAATTCTGGCCTCTAGAACTGGGGGCGAACAGATGTCTGTTGTTCTGAGCCCACCAGAAAGCAATGCCCATTCTCTACAGTACAAAGCTCTGCCAGGCACCACGTGCAACCCGAGGTGAGGTTTCTGTGCCTGCCAGTAGCTCCCTGGGCTCTTGACACCGACTGGGATAGTCCACAATAATGTGTGCCCCCACCCGGCAGGGCAGCAGGGTCTGGCCCTCGAGACCTCCTTCATGGTATGGTCGAAGTGAGAGGCAGGTGTGGGGCTCGAGGGTGTACAGCGGCCCCAGCAGAGTCCATGAGAAAGTCACGCTGGAACTGTGAGGCCAGCCCCCCGCGGTTTCTCACACACCCACCCAGTGTCACCCAGAACCCAGAGCCAGCAGGGGCCGTGCCTCCCCGCACAGCCTCGCTCTGTTTCCCTACCAAGGGGCAAGCGTGGGAGGCAGCGAGCTGATCTAAGGTGCAGTATCCTAGGAGCAAGCATGATGACCCTGCTCTGACAACCCTGGCCCCACTCGGCCAGCACAGCCCTCGCCTCCCTGCAAAGGACCTGGCAGGTGTGACAATCCTCTGGAAAACAACACACGAGTGTGACAGCATTCAACGGCCCCTGGATGTGACAGAGTCTAGTGGGCCCTGGAGGATACTGGCATAGAAACAGGCCAGACTCCATGGCTGCTATTTCAGTTTGGTCCAAATTCCTCTATACACAAAACAAGATGTCATCTAAGAAAACAACAGTCTTTCTGTTTCTGGTAAGGGGCCCAGTGTTTTACCCAGGAGGCCCCGGCCACAGCCGAGACGAGGTGGGGGCCTGGGCGGCCCACTGTCAGGCCCTGGGTGTGGCTTGGGACAGCGGGAATCAGGCGAGCCCACCCAACCTGCCCTCACTGCGTGAAGGAAGCCAATCCAAGTGAATGTCCTGCCAGAAATTGTGGCTTCTGAAAATTAAGTCCCCCCGTTAGCCTTGTGGAAAGCCTTTGGCAAAGCAGCTCCTCGTCCGAGTTGCCCCAGATGTCTTCTAGGTTGCTAAGTTAATTCCTGGAAAAAGCATTCGACCCAGACTGCAGTTCCTGGTTTTCCCTCAAAATTAATGATTCCTATTGACCAAGAACCACAACACACCTCCTAGCACTCTCCCTTAAAAGTTAATTCTGGTTGTACAAGGAGTTAAGGGTGGGGACTTTGTTTTTTTTTTGTTTTTTTGTGTTTTTTTTTTTTTGCGACAGATTCTTGCTCTGTTGCCCAGGCTGGAGTGTGGTGGTATAATCTTGGCTCGCTGCAACCTCCACCTCCTGGCTTCAAGCGATTCTCATGCCTCATCCTCCCAAGTAGCTGGGTTTACAGGTGCCTGCCACCAGCCTGGCTAATTTTTGTGTTTTGTGCTTCGCTGGAAAGTCTATTTCTTTTTCTTTTTTTTTTTTTTTTTTGAGACGGAGTCTCACTCTGTCGCCCAGCCTGGAGTGCAGTGGCGCGATCTCGGCTCACTGCAAGCTCCACCTCCCAGGTTCACGCCATTCTCCTACCTCAGCCTCCCGAGTAGCTGGGACTACAGGCACCCGCCACCACGCCTGGCTAATTTTTTGTATTTTTAGTAGAGACAGGTTTTCACCATGTTAACCAGGATGATCTCGCTCTCCTGACCTCATGATCCGCCCGCCTCGGCCTCCCAAAGTGCTGGCATTACAGGCGTGAGCCACAGCGCTCAGCCAGAAAGTCTATTTCTTTCCTGATGGTTCTCCAAGGACACTCAGGGACAACTGAGCACGGCAAGTCCTATGGAATGCACGTTTCCCACTATGGGCTGTGCATCCGTCTTTCACAAGGTCACCCTAATCGTGATTTACCCAGGCAGGAGTCCTAGAAAAAATAGCATGGAATATGATGCCACAGATTCTCCTGCAGAGTCACGCACCACACAGGCCTGTGGGGGACGAGCTAAAACACAGAGGACCCACTTGTTTTGGGCAGATTCTAAAATGACATTGTGGTCTATGTTTGTGGCAAACATCTATTGGTCAAGAAAAGATTCTGAGTGAGCCGCTGTCTCTACAAAAAATACAAAATACAAAAATTAGCTGGTTGTGGTGGTGCATGTCTGTAGTCCTGGCTACCTGGGAGGCTGAGGTGAGAGGATCACTTGAGCACGGAAGTGCAAGGCTACAGTGAGCAGGGATTGCACCACTGTACTCCGGCCTGGGTGACAGAATAAGATCGTGTTGTGGAAAAAAGAAAAGGATTCTGCAAAGTGGAAGAAAGCAACGCCAGAGACCTTCCTTCTCCTTACCACAAAGCATCCAAAATCCAGCATGTGTGAGCCTAGCCTTCTCTCAGTAATTCCAGGGAGGGAGGCAGCCCTCCACCATTCCAATCTTAGGTGCTTCTGCCCTAGTCCAGGGTCTCCCATTGCCAGGTGTGTTCTGCAGTAGCAGCTGCCGGAGACAGCACCAAGGCTGGGCTACCCGGGGCCTGGGAGTCTGCCCCTGCTCAGGCTCTGGTGGGCAGGAGCTGTGGCAAGGAGAGCCAAGCTTGCACTTCTTCCACTCTCGCTTCCCACGACAAGGGGCTGGTCTCAGCCAACAGCTCCTCCAACAAGCCGCTTTAATGAGGTGGTGTCCTCAGAATCAGCACCAGGCCCTGACGATGCTGACACCACCCTCGGTCTGTGAGGCAGTGCTGCTGCAGGGGGTGCACGGCCTCATCTCAGCAGACGTCACACTGACAAAAATCACCACGTGTCAGGTGCACTTCACTGTACTTCTGCAGAGAGCAGTCACATAAGACAAGCATGGTGACCTCTGCTCATACAAACTGCAGAGGCCTGGCCTGTCAAGCTGGCACACATACCCCAGGGACAGCTGACACCATTTCCAGGCAGGGGCCAGGTGGCTGGGGTTGGATTTTTGTGGTGGAGAAAAACCACCCAATGCCAGTGCTGCCCTGGGTGGCGTGGGCAGGGCTGGCCGAGGAGGGGCTCCTGCGGGCTTTTCTGTACTGACCCTGCCACTGCCTAAATCATGAATCATTAATTCCGCTCCCAAAATGAAATGTGCTGCCATGAGGTTTGGTGTCCAGGGTCGTGGCAGCTGCAGGCACAGGACCTTCCCAGAGCTCTGTCTGTGGAGCGTTTTCAGAGGGTGAGTTTAGGCAGGTCTTTAGGAGGATAATGGCCCCGTCATATCTGAGTCAAGGATTTTACCAGATTGAAACATCAAGTCAATAAACAGCAAGGACAAAGAAAGAAACCTCAGCTTCCTGTTCCCTGTGGCAGATGGGCACACACCAAGGCCCACATGACCCTGGGTGTGAACAGAAAACAAACTGGTGCAGGGACCCAAGCAGCCGAGGGCCACTGCCTCCCTCGTCTTTGCCAGAAGAGTGGTTACCTTTTCTGATCTTGTCATGAAAATTAATGGCGTCCACGGAAGCTGTGACGATGTTGGTCTTGCAGTGGCGTGCAGCCACGATCCCGGCGACCTCATCCATGAGCTTCATGGTCACACCTGCGGAGAAAGGGACATGCGGCAGATGAGACACGGAGGCAGAGGAGATTATTTCACACCCTGGAAACAAGTTACAACTCGAGCCCTCCCCTCCCACTAGCCACCAGCAAGGGCCGCAGCCAGCAGGGGTGCAGGGTGCTCGGCCGCACGTGCTGTGGCTCACGCGCTACATGGGGCTTCCTCAGGAGATTTTGAAAAAAACGACCATGGCTGATATGCCAAGCCACTAACAAAACAGCCCTTTTCCTGTCCTCTACAGATATCTCACCCTGCTGGGCAAGTTTTGTTACAATATCAACTGGGATGGCTGCAATCCTGAAGTCACAGAACAGCACGTGCTGGCGAGGATGTGGGGGAAACTGGAACCCTCCTCCACTGCCAGTGGGAGCCAAAGGTGCAGGTACTTTGGAAACAGTTTGAAGTTTCGCAAGAGGATAAACACAGAGGGACCGTATAACCTAGCAATTCCACTCCTAGGCAGATACCCAGAAGAAATACATGTTCAACAGAAACTTGTACAGAGCTTTCACAGCAGCATGTACGCATAGCAGCCAAAAAGTGGAAACAACTCAAAGGTCCATACATGATGAATGGAGAAAAAAAATGTGGCCTGTCCATACAACGGAACAATAGACGCTGCACTAGGAATGAAGCTTGAAAACGCTATGCAAGCAAAAGGAGCCAGACACCAAAGACCACACACTGTATGCTGCCATTGACAGGAAAAACCCAGAAGAGGCAAGTCCATGGGGACAGAGGGTAGATTAGGGGTTCCCTAGGGATAAGGGATTAGGGGGATATGGGAATGACCACTAATGGGTACAGGGTCTCTTTGTAGGAGTAATGACAATGGTCTCAAATTGACGGCAATAGTAGTTGCACAACTCTGTGCAAATACAAAAAAAAAAAATCAACAACTTGTACACTTTATTTTTGTTTTTGAGACAGGGTCTCACTTTGTCACCCAGGCTGGAGTACAGTGATGTGATCTCAGCTCATCGCAGCCTCAACCTCCCCAGGCTCAGGTGATCCTCCTACTTCAGCCTCCAAAGTAGCTGGGATGACAGGCACATGTTACCACACCTGGCTAATATTGTTGTAGATGGGGTCTTGCTATGTTGCCCAGGCTGGCCTCGAACTCCTGGACTGAAACGATCTGCCCACCTCACCTCCCAAAGTGCTGGGATTACAGTCGTGCTACTGAGCCAGGCCAGTACACTTTAAATAGGTGAAATGTGTGGTATGTGGATCATCGTCAGTACAGCTGTTATATCAAACAAACAAACAAAGACTCACTGAAAGAATACTGGAGAATACTCGGGCTGCAGATGTCCGCTTTTACTCAGTCTCTCTTATTTGATGGACCACCACTGTGCACATGCTGGTCCCCCACCCCCAGTTCTCATCCCTGGTACAACACATATATTACAATTATTTCAATTTTTAATTTTTTTTTTTTTTGAGACGGAGTCTCGCACTGTCGCCCAGGCTGGAGTGCACTGGCGCGATCTCCGCTCACCGCAACCTCTGCCTCCCAGGTTCAAGCAATTCTCCTGCCTCAGCCTCCCGAGTAGCTGGAACTACAGGCACGTGCCACTATGCCCAGCTAATTTTTTGTATTTTTAGTAGAGACGGGGTTTCACTATGTTGTCCAGACTGGTCTTGAACTCCTGACCTCATGATCCGCCCACTTCAGCCTCCCAAAATGCTGGGATTACAGGCATGAGCCACCGCACCTGGCCATAACTTTTTAATTTATTTTTTATTTTCTTGCAGAGATGGGGTCTTGCTATATTGCCCAGGCTGGTATCAAACTCCTGAGCTCAAGTGATCCTCCTGCTTCAGCCTCCCAAAGTGTGGGGATTACAGGAGTAAAGTAGGCCACCGCTCCTGACTCTTATTTCACTTAAAAATTTAAAATGTACCTTTACTTAGGTTGAACTACATGAAATTGCCAATAGTCAACAATATTTGACTTACAAAAGCAGCAAAGTGATATTAACCAACTTAATACCTATTAGAAATTTTAGAAAGTTATGTACATTCACCCTAGGACACAGAATGATTTTTTTTTTTGACGCGGAGTCTCGCTCTGTCACCAAGATTGGAGTGCAGTGGCACAATCTCAGCTCCCTGCAACCTCTGCCTCCCAGGTTCAAGCTATTCTCCTGCCTCCGCCTCCTAGTAGCTGGGATTACAGATGTGTACCACCACACCCAACTAATTTTTGTATTTTTAGTAGAGACAGGGTTTTGCCATGTTGTCCAGGCTGGTCCCAAACTCCTGACCTCAGGTTATCTGCCTGCCTCGGCCTCCCAAAGTGCTGGGATTACAGGTGTGAGCCACTGCACCCAGCCAAGGACACAGAATGATTCCTAATAAACCCAGAGAGAGGCAGAAAACCAGACTCCATCCCACAAGCGAAAACCAGACTTGTACAGTCACGTTTAGGGTGGGAATCAAATGCCCACAGCATCCAGCAGGTGAAGCTGGAAAGAGCAGAATTAGTGGGGGCCCCGAGCAGAGGCCAGCCAGGGCCCCCTGCTGCTCAGCTCCTACCTAGCGCCCCCCATGGGGACCCCATTCTTCAAGAAACACATCCACCTAATGAGAGGCACGCATCTTGTGGGCATCTGGACTCTACCAACTAGAGAAAAAGATGAGCACCTGGCGAGATGTGAACAGTGATTGGGTATTCGACGATACTAAGGACTTATAAGTGTGTTTGGGAGGATGTGATAGCGCTATTGTGGGTGTTCAAGGTAGGAAGTTATCTTTTAGATACAATATCTGGGATCTGCTTCGAAATACCGCAGTGGGAAAGAGGTGAGGCAGGAACGGGCAGGTGTTGCCCATTGCTGGTGCTGGGAGACGAATACCCAGGGGCTTGGGATGCTCTACACTCTGCTTTTGTGTATATCTGAGCATTCCCAGAATAAAAAGCTAAAACAGAGACATGGGTGTTATTGATTAAAGCATTATGTTTTTATTACCATGACTTTTCCCACAGAAGCTATAAGAAGATGCTGCTAAATGAGGTAGGACAGGTGAGGGGAGGAGGGGCCAGGTTCACGCTCGCTGCACTTTCGCCTGTCCTTTCAAACACCTGGGGCATCTGTTCGGCTCAACCTGTGCTGGGGGCATCAGCATCCCCGTCTTTCTTTTTCTTTTTGAGAAAGAGTCTCTCTCTGTCACCCAGGCTGGAGTGCAGTGGTGCAACCTTGGCTCACTGCAACCTCTGCCTCCCGGGTTCAAGCGATTCTCCTGTGTCAGCCTCCTAAGTAGCTGGGATTACAGGAGCCCGTCACCATGCCCAGCTAATTTTTGTATTGTTAGTGGAGTCGGGGTTTCACCATGTTGACCAGGCTGGTCTCAAACTCCTGACTTCAAGTGATCCACCTGCCTTGGTCTCCCAAAGTGCTGGGATTACAGGTGTGAGCTACTGCGCCCAGGTGCATCTCCATTTTTCAATCAGCATCCCCATTTTCAAATGAACAACGGAGGCCCTAAGTCACATGGAGGTCCGATTCTGAAGAAAGAGTGCAGGTGAAATACCGGGAAAATAGCTGTTTGGCAAGGGAAAGAATCCTAGGCAGCGGATTTTCTCCCCCAGGCAAATAAGATGCCGCTCCGGGTGCCAGGCAGGGCAGGGCACCTCTGGGCTTCAGGTGGCTTGGCTCTCACAGTTCTGCAAGGTGGTTTTATGTTGTTATTGGAAATAGAAGGTGCAGGTTGGCTAAGCCACCACCAGGCTCTCCTGGTCTCTCTCCCATGGCAAGGGGCCTCCATAAAGGCCCAGCAAGCCCAGCCCTCACAGGGTAGAGGACGGTTGGGCCAGGTCCCTAGCCCAGGACGGCAAGGAAGTGAAAACACAAAACAGAATAGGATCATCCGTGTGTCAATATCGAGGGCTTCCTTGGAGGGGGCAGCCTCAGCTTCTGAATTAACCACACCCACCTGTGAGTGGGCCCCTACCACAGTGTGGTTCAGGAGCAGAGTCTGGAATGAGGCCTGGTGCGAATCCCCCTGCCCCATCGCCCATGCCTGGAGGGGCTTGAGTCCCTCTGTCCCCGTCTAGAGTGTGAGAGTCACTGCCATAGCCTGGCTGGGAGTGAGTCCCCATCACCTCCGCCACTGCCGGCTGGGTGACCTTGGGCAGGCAGGTTGCCCTCCCTGAGCCGTGGGCTCAGTGTCTGTCAGGCAGAGGAGGTGACGGCGCCCACAGGCAAGGTGACTGAGGAGCAAATGGGATGACCATGTGGCTGCCAGCAATGGCAGCTGCTATCATGGGATGTGGGGATTTGGTGGACATCTGTTGAGCTGAACACTAATTTAATTTAGGGCTTTGGGGACAGATCTGAGGTTTGGAGGCTGAACAGAAAAGGAAAGAAAAATGAAATAACTCAGAACACCAGGTAACATGCTGGCTGAGAACCCCACACACTTGGCTCAGGTGGGCAAAGGAGGGATCCAGAGGACAGTTGGCCTCCCCTTACCAGGCACCACACACAGAGGGCATAGAGGACAGTCGGCCTCCCCTTACCAGGCACCACACACAGAGGGCACAGAGGACAGTCGGCCTCCCCTTACCGGACGCCACACACAGAGGGCAGAGAGGCCCACCCGGCCACCTCCTGACTAGGTACTAGGTCATGGCTTCAGAGAGAGAGAGAGAGAGAGCGCAAGTGTGTGTGTGTGTGTGTGTGTGTGTAGGGCACGTGTGTGCGTGTGTTTAAGGGGCTTAGTAGCGGCAGAGCTGCAGCCCACAGACTGAGTTCTTCTAGGTTGATCTGCCTCATAAAGAAACTGACTTGTGACCACAACAGCTGGACTAGTGGTCCCACTCACACACACAGCCAGCACAGGTGTGCCACGGAATTCCACGGCATTTCCCACAGACCAACTCTAAATACTGCCCTGGGCAGCCAACAGAAGCTCTGTCAGCCTCCAATGGGGGCCAGGACCAGCTGCATTTGCCATGAAACGCTGACCATTTATATTCAGAAAATGGCAACCTGGTGATGAAGTGACAACAGCTGAGCACAGGAATGACGATGAGCCAGCAGGATTCCAGCAGGACCGTGTGTGCTGGGGAGACACATTGTTAACTGGAGTATGTGAGAAGTTTATCACCAAATGTGCACTATATGTGGCCTTCCTCAGGGGGAGATACGTCGCCATCCAGCAGCTAGTCAGGGTCCTCCTAGGAACAAATGAGCCAGGGACAAGCAGGAGTTTTAAGGAAGGGACACCAAAGCCTAGCATCAGGAGCCAGGACAGCACATGGACACAGGGTCCTGATGCTGCTGGGGGCCGTGAGCTGGATGCTGAGGGCAGCGGCTGGCATTGCCGGGGAAGCTGGTGCCAGGCATGGCCCAGCATGTCACATAGAGGAACTCGGCTGCAAAGTCAGTGCCATGAGCCGTGAACTTTGTCTGTTCACTGAGGCAGCCTGAGTCCATGACTCACAGCTGGCCCCTCCCCTCTCCACAAACACGGAATCTCACCGGACCCCACCCGATCCTGTGATGCACAAGGCCGGCCCTCTCCACAAACACAGAATCTCACCGGACCCCACCCGATCCTGATGCGCGGCCGGCCCTCTCCACAAACACGGAATCTCACCGGACCCCACCCGATCCTGACGCGTGGCCGGCCTCTCTCCACAAACACAGAATCTCACCGGACCCCACCCGATCCTGATGCGCAGCCAGCCCCTCCCCTCTCCACAAACACGGAATCTCACCAGACAGCACCCTATCCTGATGTGTGGCCGGCCCCTCCCCTCTCCACAAACACGGAATCTCACCGGACAGCACCCTATCCTGATGCGCGGCCGGTCCCTCTCCACAAACACAGAATGACCAACACCGGGTCTCACTGGACAACACCCGATGAGGCAGCAGCCTCCCTGTCTCCATTCTACAAGTCAGGAACCAGACACATGGAGAGTCACGCTTCCAAAGTCACACCACTAGGGGTAGGATGGGACCGGACCTGACCTTGGGCCACCAGAGGCAATGCCATGTTGCCTCCCCATCCTGTCCTGTGACATCGAGTCCAGAGTGGAATTCTTCCCAAGATGATTGCAGGAAGGAGCGTTCAAAGTCACAGACCCAGAGTGTCCAGTGCTGGCCACCAGCTGGTGTCATCAACTCAGGGTGGTTTAGCTGTGGGGGAAGGAGGAGGGAAAGGAAGGGTTCGTGTTGGATTTAATGTTCAGAACTTAGGAAGTGCCTACAATTAACCCCTTGTTCTTCCATCCTGAAAAGCAGAATGAGAGAATAAATGGAAGGAGTTGTAATCAGCTCCTTCAAACCGGGGTTTGCCCCATTTATCCAAAAGGCTACCTTGTTGGTATGAGACTCCACAAGGGACCTCATGTTACTGAAAACCGCTCAGGATCCAAAGCACGTGACAGTCAACCCCGAGGGGAAGATGTGAGCGGCTATTGAGTGCCTGGTGTGCGAATACCCTCTTCACCACCCCCATGCTCCTGCAGGCTCCACACGGCACCCCCAGACCACACTGCATGATGTGACATGGACGCCTGCACTGGGTGAGGACCTGCCTCGTTGTCCCTGTGTCCCTGACCCAACACAGAGCTGGCATCTGGTGCTCAGGAAATGGTTGCTGAATGAATGAATTAATCAATGAATGAATGCAGGTTGACTAACAGGTCACAACCAGCCCAAGCAAGCTGCCCCAGCCACAAAGTATGTGGCTCCTTCAGGCAACAATTTGCGTCAAGAATTAGTCACAGATGAGGGCAGGAAAAGCTCATCCGGTCCCAGAAACCCCAAAGCCAGGTGAGCTTGATGACCGGCCAAAAAACCAAGCCCACACTCAAAATGATCTTGCTGTGTGAGCTGGACGGTGACATTTACAGGGACAGCCTCCTCCAGCCCCAGCAGCCAGCACACACGCACCGGCCTGGGAAACCACGCAGAGTTTAGATCAGCGGCAGACCTGCTATGAAACAACAACTTTATACTAACGATGGAAAAGGCCAAGACTGGTGGATGGAGTCAGTGCTATTCTGGGGCCCAGGCCAGGGGGGCTGTCGTAATCCCACCATGTGTGTCTATTATCAGATTATACCCCACACCTGGAGTTTTATTCTAAGGACCCGGAACAGTGACTCACGAGCGGTGGGAAATCAGGACGGTGTAGCATCCTGACTCTGGCAGACAAGGAGGTCTTTCAAGACCTGGGCTGGCCTCATGGACACTGGCCAGGGCAGCAGGCAGGAGGGCTCTGAGCTCCCAAAGGATCTCATCTGGAAGGATCTTTGTCCACTTCAGGTCATCTGCACCTCCCAGAGAAGTCATAGTAGGATCCTGGGCCAACTCAAGGCCAACTTTACGACTCAGGAGATAACCTTTCTCGGGGAAACACTTAGAACGGTCCAAAAACCAAGCGTTTGGCCTTGCGACAGCGAAGGCTCCCAGTCCCTGCAGGTGTTGAGGCAGCAGGATCAGAGGCGGGAGCAGAAACCCACCCGAGAAGACGGACCTGGCGAAAAACCAGTGCCTCAGCCTCCACCCACCCCAGTCTGTGTTTTCACAAATGCACTTTTTAGTGTCGATCCAGTGGGCTTGAGAAAAACATAGAAAAACCATGGTCTGTGTGTCAGCTGAACTCTGCTGGCTACTTAGAGGGAAGGAAAGTGATCTCATAAAAACTGAGATTTTAATCAACCACTGTTGATCACAAGCCCTCTCCTACCGGCGAGACACAACCCTGGGCATCCTGTTGTAGGGCCTCGTGCCAAGCCTGCTGGTTACCTGCCACCGAGAGAGAGCAATGAGGTCAGATGGTCCCTGCAGAAGTGAGATCATTAGAAAGCCACGTGCCCATCGTGTCCTGCGTGTAAAGACTGCTACCACACAATGCCTGTGTCTATGACAGCACACACAAGACACTACAATCAATGTGTTAACTGAGAAAACTAAATTTTAAGAAAACAACCCAGAAAAACATAGTGCCTTCCTCACAACTGCCTTTCTTGCCACCACTGTCCACCTGGGCCCCTGCCTTGCCAGAGGGAGCCACCCCGCTTCTGACGCTGGAAGCCACTGTCTCCCTTTCACTTTCTTCCGCTGTATTTAAAATATCGAGTGCCTAAGTTTTTTCCAAGATGCTTCTTTCCAGGTTCCTACTGAAAAGCCTCATCAATTTCCCCCACCGCAGGCACAACGGGTGCTGCCAACGTTGGAAAATAACTTTGGCACATTACAGTCCACCGCAGGCAGTCCTCATCTCCCAAGATCTGTAATTTAAAAGATGACAACAAAATTGTAGGACCCGCCGTCCTTGGAGCTGCATTTATTTCAAGAATTACGGGGAAAAAAAAAAGACTTTCTTGGCCACTAATGTATACACGTTAGGTACCAAAGGTATTTTTAATTGTAACATTTAACTGCTTATAGGTTTTTGTTTTGTGTTTTTTTGTTTTTAAGTATTGATCTGTCAACTGGCTTAAAAATAAGGCTTCATTTTCTTCTCCCAAGGCCTTGCTCGTGACTGGGTCAGGCTTGCCTGCAAACCCAAGGCGGCAGTTCACAGCTCGGAGCCCGTGTGCCGCTGTCTGTTCTGTGGGCGGCAATCTGAGATGCCCCCATTTCTATATTTAATCCCAACTGACGGAGCGTGGGCGCCGGCCTCCTATATTAAGAAAATGATAGTAACTTCATCTTGTTTTAAATACCCCACCCGTTAGTAATTACAAGAGTTCTGAAAAGATCCAGTTGAGTGAGAACCTGCGAGACAGCCCTGGCCTCTCCCTCCCAGGTTCTGTGGCTGGGACCATGGACAGAGGAATATTCACTAAGTGGTTCCCGGACGTCTGGGAGCATCATAGACCCAGGGAGAAGGGCCAAGAGCTGCCCACGCCCATTGATTCCTTACATTCTATAGAGTCTGAAGCAGGGAAGGGGGGAGGTCTTGACTGCTTCCTGATGTTTGAGTATCCATGCTTCACTTTCAAAATAAGGAAGCAGAGAAAGGGTAGATGGATTTTGCATCCCAACTGCCATGGAGGCCCCAGCAAGAGGAGGCTGCAGCTACACACGAGCCCCCAGGCCCACCCCTAAGAAGGACAGGCCAGTGAGAGGCTGCGGCCTCAGCCTGGAGGCTACCAAAGCAAGGTCGCTTCCTGGAAGGCCCAGAAATTTTGGTGGGGTGTCAGTTTCCTTCCAAGAGTCCAGGGGACGCTCCTTTTGAAGGGTTTGTGTTCATCACTTGGAACAGGGAAATGTTGTCAGTGGGTATCTGCCACGCATGCCCCTGGCGACCACAGCTAAAGAGAGAAGCACAGGCTGGACAATGTGGCACCAAAAAAAAAAAAAAAAGAAAGAAAAGAAAAGAAAAACACCCCCATCCGACCCGTACACAGGTAGAAAAGTACGTTCTTTTTTTTTTTTTTTTTTTAATTGATAATTCTTGGGTGTTTCTCGCAGAGGGGGATTTGGCAGGGTCACAGGACAATAGTGGAGGGAAGGTCAGCAGATAAACAAGTGAACAAAGGTCTCTGGTTTTCCTAGGCAGAGGACCCTGCGGCCTTCCGCAGTGTTTGTGTCCCTGGGTACTTGAGATTAGGGAGTGGTGATGACTCTTAACGAGCATGCTGCCTTCAAGCATCTGTTTAACAAAGCACATCTTGCACCGCCCTTAATCCATTTAACCCTGAGTGGACACAGCACATGTTTCAGAGAGCACAGGGTTGGGGGTAAGGTCACAGATCAACAGGATCCCAAGGCAGAAGAATTTTTCTTAGTACAGAACAAAATGAAAAGTCTCCCATGTCTACCTCTTTCTACACAGACACGGCAACCATCCGATTTCTCAATCTTTTCCCCACCTTTCCCCCCTTTCTATTCCACAAAACTGCCATTGTCATCATGGCCCGTTCTCAATGAGCTGTTGGGTACACCTCCCAGACAGGGTGGTGGCCGGGCAGAGGGGCTCCTCACTTCCCAGTAGGGGCGGCCGGGCAGAGGCGCCCCTCACCTCCCGGACGGGGCGGCTGGCCGGGCGGGGCGCTGACCCCCCCGCCTCCCTCCCAGATGGGGCGGCTGGCCGGGCGGGGGGCTGACCCCCCCACATCCCTCCCGGATGGGGCGGCTGGCCGGGCAGAGGGGCTCCTCTCTTCCCAGTAGGGGCGGCCGGGCAGAGGCGCCCCTCACCTCCCGGATGAGGCGGCTGGCCGGGCGGGGGGCTGTCCCCCCCACATCCTTCCCGGACGGGGCGGCGGGCCGGGCGGGGGGCTGACCCCCCCACCTCCCTCCCGGACGGGGCGGCTGTCCGGGCAGAGGGGCTCCTCACTTCCCAGTAGGGGCGGCCGGGCAGAGGCGCCCCTCACCTCCCGGAAGGGGCGGCTGGCCGGGCGGGGGGCTGACCCCCCCACCTCCCTCCCAGACGGGGCGGCTGACCCCCACCTCCCTCCCGGACGGGGTGGCTGCCGGGTGGAGACGCTCCTCACTTCCCAGACGGGGTGGCTGCCGGGCGGAGGGGCTTCTCACTTCTCAGACGGGGCGGTTGCCAGGCAGAGGGTCTCCTCACTTCTCAGACGGGGCGGCCGGGCAGAGACGCTCCTCACATCCCAGACGGGGCGGCAGGGCAGAGGCGCTCCCCACATCTCAGATGATGGGCGGCCGGGCAGAGACGCTCCTCACTTCCTAGATGGGATGGCGGCCGGGCAGAGACGCTCCTCACTTTCCAGACTGGGCAGCCAGGCAGAGAGGCTCCTCACATCCCAGACGACGGGCGGCCAGGCAGAGACGCTCCTCACTTCCCAGACGGGGTGGTGGCCGGGCAGAGGCTGCAATCTCGGCACTTTGGGGGGCCAAGGCAGGCAGCTGGGAGGTGGAGGTTGTAGCGAGCCGAGATCACGCCACTGCACTCCAGCCTGGGCACCATTGAGCACTGAGTGAACGAGACTCCGTCTGCAATCCCGGCACCTCGGGAGGCCGAGGCTGGCGGATCACTCGCGGTTAGGAGCTGGAGACCAGCCCGGCCAACACAGCGAAACCCCGTCTCCACCAAAAAAATACGAAAACCAGTCAGGCGTGGCGGCGCGCGCCTGCAATCGCAGGCACTCGGCAGGCTGAGGCAGGAGAATCAGGCAGGGAGGTTGCAGTGAGCCAAGATGGCAGCAGCACAGTCCAGCTTCGGCTCGGCATCAGAGGGAGACCGTGGCAAGAGAGGGAGAGGGAGACCGTGGGGAGAGGGGGAGGGGGAGGGGGAGAGGGAGAGGACGTTCTTACGGTTCATGGCAAGACCTCAACCAAATACTCCATATTTCTGGAAAGGGGTCAGTGCCCCATGATTTGAGAGGGATGACGTGCTGGCCACCAGGGACCCGGCTGAGAGGAGGACCCAGTGTGGGCAGGACAAAGTGAGTTCCTGGGACAGGTGCCTATAGGATGCTTGGACTGGAGTGATATGAACCCCACGCCCAGGCTTTCAGGGTTGACACCATCTCGGGGTTCAAGGTTCAAGTTCACCAGTCCCCACGTCCCGCTCCCCCGCTGAAGCATCAGGATGGACGTGAAGCTGTTCTTCAGAACAGAAGAACCTGGAGAACGATGTTTTCAAACACCAAGATCCTAGAAGGCGAGTACTAGAAGGAATTTAACTGCAGCCTGTGCCACTCAGCTTCACGAGGAAGAAAGCGGCGTCCCAAAGCATTTGTTTGTTCACCTCTTGATCCCCCTAGACCAGAAGTTCCTCAAGAGTAGGGAACAGCTCTTCGTCCACCTTTTTCCTTCCTTGCCCCAACACTGAGGGTCTGGTGTGTTGTGTCCCACGTAGCAGTGGGGGCTCCGGCCAAACAAGGTCACGGAATTGGAAAAGAGTAACTGTGCCCTCTTTTGCATTTTTCAGTGAAAGTCAACTCCTCCTGCAGGTGCAAAAGATTGTTTTTTCACAACTGCCCCAAGAAGACCAAGTGAACAAGAGCGTCTTGGTGGAGGCCTCACTTGCGTCCCCTCCCATGTTTTCTCTGCCTTCCCTTTCCTCTGCCTCCTCCTATAGTCTCAGGCTAAGCTGTGCTGTCCCCTGGCCTCAAGACCCCCAGCAGCGTTGTTTGGCTCCCCAGCAGCTAGACACCTGCATGGATGTTTGTCGCAGAAGGTTTGACTCCCAACCAGCCAGCAGGGCTGTGTCTTCTTCACAGTGTCCCTGGTGGAGCACGGCGGGGCTCGGCACACAGGAGGTGCCTGGTCACTGGTTCTCGAGTTAGAGAGCGGTCATTACGTGTTTCTCACGTGCAGCGCACGTGCAGCCTGGCACAATCCTCTGGGTGGGGCTGACTGCGCGGCACCAGCACAGTCCGCAGTCCTTCCCACGCAGGACCTTCATTTTTCCCAGTCCAGTCATTCAGCTACTGAGTGCTGACTCCATGCCAGGCCCTGCGCTAAGTGGGAATGCAGGAGTGAACAGACAGACAGAGGTCACAGGAAAGTGTGTCAGGAGTGATGGTGCCTTGGAATAAAAAGTAAGCTGAGGCAGTCTAATTTATACAGAGTGCTCATGAGAGGTCTCTTTCCTTTTCTTCAGAGACCTGGAGAAAAACACAGGCAGCCTTACAGTTGTCTGGGTAACCCAGGTAGAGAGAAAGAACCAAGACCCTGGCAGAGGGAACAGCAACAGGCGGAGGGAAGAGCAACCAGGCAGAGGGAACAGTAACAGGAGGAGGGGACAGCAACAGACAGAGGGAACCACAACAGGCGGAGGGAACCACGACCAGGCGGGGGAACTGCAACAGGCGGAGGGAACTGCAACCAGGCAGAGGGAACCGCAGCAGGCAGAAGGAACAGCCACAGGTGGAGGGAACTGTGACCGGGCAGAGGGAACTACAACTGGGCAGAGGGAACCACAAACAGGCAGAGGGAACCACAACCAGACAGAGGGAACTACAACTGGGCAGAGGGAACCACAAACAGGCAGAGGGAACCACAACAGGCAGAAGGAACAGCAACAGGTGGAGGAAACTGCAACCAGGCAGAGGGAACCACAACCAGGCAGAGGGAACTACAACCAGGCAGAGGGAACCGCAACAGGCAGAAGGAACAGCCACAGGCAGAGGGAACAGTGACCAAAGGGAACTACAACCAGGCAGAGGGAACCACAACAGGCAGAAGGAACAGCCACAGGCAGGGGGAACAGCGACCAGAGGGAACTACAACCGGGCAGAGGGAACCACAACAGGCAGAAGGAACAGCAACAGGCAGAGGGAACCACGACCAGGCAGAGGGAACTACAACCAGGCAGAGGGAACCGCAACAGGCAGAAGGAACAGCCACAGGCAGAGGGAACAGTGACCAGAGGGAACTACAACCGGGCAGAGGGAACCACAACAGGCAGAAGGAACAGCCACAGGCAGGGGGAACAGCGACCAGAGAGAACTACAACCGGGCAGAGGGAACCACAACAGGCAGAAGGAACAGCAACAGGCAGAGGGAACCACGACCAGGTGGAGAGAACTGCAACAGGCAGAGGGAACCACAACCAGGCAGAGGGAACTACAACCGGGCAGAGGGAACCACAACAGGCAGAAGGAACAGCCACAGGCGGAGGGAACAGCAACCAGAGGGAACTACAACTGGGCAGAGGGAACTACAACCGGGCAGAGGGAACCACAACAGGCAGAAGGAACAGCAACAGGCAGAAGGAACAGCAACAGGCAGAGGGAACCACGACCAGGCAGAGGGAACAGCCACAGGCAGAGGGAACCGCAACCAGGCAGAGAGAACCATGACCAGGTGGAGAGAACTGCAACCACGTGAAGGGAACAGTGACTGGATGGAAGGAAAAGCGACTGGGCGGAGGGAAAAGCGACTGGGCGGAGGGAACAGCGACCGGACAGAGGGCTCCCAGCACAGCCAGTACATCTCCCCAGACCCTCCTAGACTGTCATAGCTGGCGCAGTCAGTGGCTCTTTACTGATAAACTTATTTGTAGACTGAAGATAGCACAGAATAGAAAACCACTACGTCCTGGCCACTATTTTCTGCCATGACAGCACTCACCGCCAAGGCCGATCAACAGTCATGTTCGCCCTGTCGGCTTTCATTTACTCCCTTGACCCAGGTGTGCACACTGTGACTTGGGGCTGGCAGAGCAGGCAAAACAGACGTGGTCTCCAGCCTCGGCAGCAGAGGCCGAGTCATCCCAGTTAAGGGGCTCAGTCATGACCTCACACCCACATTCTGCAAACCAGGTGCCAGGGCAGTGCCCAGTAGGCTGCAACTAGAGGGTGCTTGGACTTGGACGGGACAGCGGAACAAGCTCTGATGGCCCAAACTTTACAGGTTCTGTGTTGGTAAAGACTTGGATTTGGGGGATTGCAGTAGGGGGCTGGGAGGACAGCTCCAAGATATGGGGAGAGGAGGGACCCAGAGACCCAGACAGAGACATAAAGTCGGCCTGCTCCTGCCCTGAGTCTTTCCGCCTCCTTCCTGTGGGTGGATTTTGTTATTTTTTTTTTCCAGTTCCAACACTTAGGTATTTTTTATTTTTCCTTTTAAGTAATAAGCTCAAAGTTTGTCACTTTTACTCCGAAAACATCTTTAGCTATCTCCCCGATTTTGATAGGAAGTATTCAGTTTTCATTATCTTCTACATAATCATAAGTCCAGACGTTACTTTTTCTTTGGCCGGCAGTTATTTGCAGGAGTGTTCCATTTCCAGGGGCTATGTTCTCGTTAAGGAGGCTTAGGCTTAATGGGTCTCACTTTAGGGAACTTATAATTAAAACGCTCTTTGTGGTCAAGTGCATGATCCTATTTTGTAAACGCTCCCCTGGATATGAGAAAAAAGCTTGAGTTCCCCATGGAGCAGAACATTCTCTATGTCTGTAATAATAAAACTAATAAAGTAAATGTAATAAAAGTTATGAAAGTAACTGATCTTTCTTAAATGCCTCCCATGTGCTGCCTTCCCTGTGTTATCTCGTCTGTTTGTAATCCCTGCATTATCTCACTGGTGGGGAGGAGAGAAAGGCCCAGAGAGTTTAGGTTAGGTGAGGGCTGCCACAGGTCACAGCCTCAGGGCACCGTTCACACGTCACCTTCAGAAGTTAGGACAAGGACAGCAAGTGGGGAATCCAGAGGAAGAGCAGGTCCAAGGTGAAGCTGCCACAGGCTGCCAGAGCTTGGGAGTAACAACTGAGCTGGATATTAGAAAATCTGTCAGTTGCCACTTGGAGGCGGGAGCTGAGGCCGTGGGGTCAGGTGAGCTCACGGGAGAAAAGGTGGGAAGAGGGTGAGGGCAGACCTCAGGGGCACACCCACACTCAGGGGCAGGTGAAAGAGGAGGAGGCAGAGCCTCCAGAGAGCCCCAGGGTCCTCCCCCTGATGTGCGCAGAACCACTCGGGGTGCGATCAACATTCAGACACCCAGGCCCATTCCCCAGCCACCCTGGCGCCCACCAGCGTGGGAGGATGAAGGCCTTGGAAAGCATAATGGCCTGAAATCCTGTGAGGGGACCTCAGGGTGGCCAGGTCAGTGGTGTCCAATGCTCTGGAGAGGTCCAGGGACATGGGTGGGAGATTGCTGGACATAGGGACACGGTTGCTGGATCCATTGAGACAAACCTACACTCTAGCTGTGGGTTTCTGAGGCCCCTGAATCATCAGAGCCACCCAGGGCACTTGTTGCTAAAAATACAGGTTTCTGGGCCCCAGCCCAGCCCTGCTGCAGCAAAACCTCCAGGAGAAGGGCTGGGGAATCTGTTTGTTTGTTTTGTTGTTGTTGTTGTTGCTTTTTGAGACAGAGTCTTGTTCTGTCACCCAGGCTGGATGGAGTGCAGTGGTATGATCTTGGCTCACTGTAACCTCCACCTCCCAGGTTCAAGTGATTATCCTGCCTCAGCCTCCCAAGTAGCTGGGATTACAGGTACCTGCCACTACACCTGGCTAATTTTTGTATTTTTAGTAGAGACGAGATTTCATCATGATGGCCAGGCTGGTCTTGAACTCCTGACCTCAAGTTATCCACCTGCCTTGGCCTCCCAAAGTGCTGGGATTACAGGTGTGAGCCACCACGTTCAGCCGGAATCTGCACTTTTAACAAGCACAAAGATGGTTTCTAAGGCTCAGATGAGTTTAGGAAACTCTATTGTGGCCCCTCTTCCCTGCCACATGCTCCATCCTGTGCTTCCCAGTACCATGGGAGCTGAGCAAGCTCTCCCGATGAGGATACCCACCTTGACTTCTGTTTCAGAGCAGAGTTAGTTTTTACTCAGAGCCGATGTGATCAGTAAACGTTGAGGTTCTTTTCTAAGCCAGAGAACAACCCATGCCCTCCCTCCATTCCCCTCACGCTCTAAAGACCCTGATACAGGAACCGGAGAAGCAACCAGAACAACCCGGATCATCCCATGGACGAGGGCCCCATGAGGGCCACATCTAGGCTGAAATGAGAGAGACAGGCTGATGTACCACAAAGGTGCGGTGTTGGGGGTGCCAGCCGGGTCAGTTCCCCCAACAAAACCGGTCCAGGGCAGGGCTGGAGCTGCCGCTGTCCGCAAGGTTCAATCTGCCCCTCAAGGTATCTCAACTCCCTCCGTCCCCAGCTATTGGGGTCTCTTGTGGTATAATTCAGGGAGGATCACAGTAACTAACTGTAGGAATGAGGTTCTTCTTCCGGCTTCTCAAAATAGCTCAAAATGGGTACTAGGCTGCTCACTTAAGGGTACCCAGGAAGATGACAAGAAGGATTTCAGAACTGGGAAACTTGCTGAGAAGAAGGGAAACACACTCATGGACACACGAGTCCAGGAGCGCCCCTTTCTCACAGCCGTTTCTCTTTCCCAGGGTAGGACGTTTACCGCGGCAGTGCTGCCCCAGCCTGTCCCCGAGAATTCCCTGGGGAGCTTGGGACACTACAGCTCCTGGACACCCCTCACCCCGACTCCCAGGGTCTGGGTCACCTGTCGGGTGGGGTCTGGGTGTCTGTGGTTTTAAGAGTTCCCCAAGTGACCTTAATAGGCAGCAGAGACGAGGTCACAGATCCAACCTCTCAGGGGAGGCGCCAACATCACCTCAAGTGGAGGAGACATACAGACCGGATCTGACGGAGAAGTGAGAAGAGGGCAGGATGGAGAGGAAGGGCTGGCTCTAAGCAAAAGGAGGCTGCGTCTCCCTCGGTAGAGCTGGTGGCCGGGGAAGGAGCCTGAGATAGAGGGAAAGGCTCCAAAGCTAACCACAGGATGGGCGGTTAGCAGGGGCCAGGGGAGATGGTTAAGGGGTATTACAAAATTGAAAGAATGAATAAGCCCTACTATTCGACAGCACAACAGGGTGACCACAGTCAATAATAACGTAATTGTACATTTCAAAATAACTAAAAGAGTGTAAGTGGATTGTTTGTAACACAAAAGATAAATGCTTGAGGAAATGGATACCTCATTCCCCATGATGTGCTTTCTTTCTTTCCCTCCCTCCCTCCCTCCCCCTCTCTCTATCTCTCCCTTTCTTTCTTTATTTCTTTATTTCGAGGCAGAGTCTCGCTCTGTCACCCAGGCTGGCTGGATTGGAGTGGCATGATCTTGGCTCACTGTAACCCCTCCCTCCTGGGCACAAGTGATTCTCCTGCCTCTGCCTCCCAAGCAGCTGGGATTACAGGCACCCGCCATCATACCCAACTAATTTTTGTATTTTTAGTAGAGACAGGGTTTTACCATGTTGGCCAGGCTGGTCTCAAACTCCTGACCTCAAGTGATCTGCCCACCTTGGCCTCCCAAAGTGCTGGGACTACAGGCGTGAGCCACCGCACCTGGCCGATGTACTAATTTCATATTGTGTGCCTGTATCAAACCATCTCATGTACCCCATAAATATATATACCTACTATGTACCCAAAAAATTTTTTAAAAAGCTGTCCACAGATGAAATTAAAACTTTTTAATTACATGAGGTGAGCCCACCTGCCAAAACTGCCTGGGAAGGGTGGCCTAGAGCGCAGAGATTGAGAGAGACATGACACGGCCCAGTGGGGACTCCAGACCAGTAGCCTCAGCATCGCAAGGAGCAAGGGGGCAGTGCAAGTTCTTGGGCCCCTTCCTACCTACCAAACACCTGGGGTGACCCCAGTGAGCCAGAACCATGGCTCTCAATGTGAGTGCACAGCATAATCGCCTGCGGCTGCTAAGCTGGTGGTGTCTGGGGGACAGGGGTGGAGAAGGATGTCACTTCACTTGGAAGAAACACCCAGAAACTGCAAACTACGTGATTTGCTATCCAGATAAATGGGTTAGTAATAAAAAGTCCCTGGAAGATCAAGGATAGGCCAAGGGCTGAAGGCTGGAATGGGGAGGGAAGATCAGGCCAGCAGACAGGCAGAGGTTGCGGCCAGAAAGTGGAGGGAAAATCTACAGTCCCTGAATTTCCCAGCAAAAACCTCAGAAGCCAGAAGACATGGAACAAACGCTTCCAAGCCCTGTAAGGAACACTTCCCCACACCCTGCTCAGCCACAAGTCTTTTCAGACGCGCAAAGCTTGGGAAGATGACCCTCTAGGCCCCATGACAGAGACTATCTCTTCCTTCATCAGTCACTCCAATGTCTAACAGACACGTCTGACCAGCGGCACTCACCCACCCACAGATGTGGCCACATGAGGACATTGTGGCCAAAAGGGGAGGCTGCAATTTTCAATATGCCCTCCACCCCTTTGGGGCTGGACGCTGATGAAGAGATAGGCAACATGTGGCTCACCAAGAGGGCACTCCCAGGCTGGCGGAGCCACAGGGCAGCAGAAGCCTGGGTCCCCAGCACCACGGGGCTGCCTATCGGCTGTGGATCGCTCACAGCTGCATTGTTAGTTCAAAAAAAAAAAAGAAAAAGTCCTCTCTCTTGTTGAAGCCAAGCTGTCTGGGTGGCAGCTGAGCCTTTATTCCAGTTAATATATTGCCTTTCTTGGGGAGCCACTGGAGGACATGTTCCACCAAAACCAGCAAAGAGAAAAATTGAAGATCCATGAATCCTGGCATCCAACCCAGGCGAGTGCAAAGGCCGTCCCAGGAGAGCAGTTTAGAGCAGGCACAGAATGAGCAACGTGGAGGAGGACTGAAGGCGGACCCCTCTAGGGAACATGGCAGGGAACAGTTCCGTGGCAGGCAGACTGTACTGAGAGCATCTTACAGAGCTGCTGGAGGGCACAGAACAACCATTGGCTTTCGTAGTAACACCGTTTCGAGGGAAAGTAATCACAGTACCCCACCTGATGAACAGTGATGGGGCTCATGCATCTGAAACTTACGCATCAAGGGACAGCAACAGAGCCTCATGCTTAGGAAGCAGAGTCCTGAATCAGAAACAGGAGCTACCCCTGCAGGAGCGATGGGAGGAAGAGAGACCCACAAGCCCTCTGGATTGTTTCCACATAATACTTAAGTATAAAATAATTAATTTAAAAATAAAAAATAAAGTACAAGGAAAAAACTAAGATGGCCAAAAGTTGAGAAGTGAAGAATGCATGCTCAAGACTCCTCTAAGGTCTGCCTTGAACAGGGCTACCGGCTGACCCCCAAGAACTTCCCTCTCCCAAGGTCTGGACCCCCACAGGTATCTGCTAGGTCACCCCTTCAGTCTGTACAAGCAAACGTGGGGGTAGTGGAGGGGAGAACAGGGGGTAACTGGTCTTTTCTGGGCCGATCCTGAGCACTCTATGCAGGAGGGTGGGGGACCATGGAGTGACTCACTCAGGACTCAAGGGAAGACAGAAACCAAAAGCCCAGTTTGCCCTCTTCACATGCCCTTCAACCCAGAACTGCACGCACACCACCAACCCTCCTCCCGCATGGGATGATGACGGTCCTCCACACCCTCCACGAGCCATTCAACCCAGAACGGCAGAGACCCCGCCAACCCTCCTCCCTCATGGGACGATGACGGTCCTCCACACCCTCCACGAGCCCTTCAACCCACAACTGCACACACACCATCATCAACCCTCCTCCCGCACGGGACAATGACCCTCCACACCCTCGGGCTCACTCCCCAGATCTCTACTATTCCCCTAACTAAAGACAGGAGGTTCTGTCCATGCAACCAGGAAAGCAGCAGTGAGCTAGTGTCTGGTGGGAGCACTGCGTTCTCCCTGTGATTCCAGGCAGAAGAGCTCCTCCCTTTCCAAGACACCCTTCATGAGTTTATCACCACCCAGACCTGTGTGGAAAGTCCTCAAGACCAAGGCTAGCCAGTGTGTGGAACTCACAGAAAACGGGACTCGGGCGCAGCTTTGCGCAGTCTAGAATTACAGAATAAAGGCTAAATTGGCATCCACTTCACCATTTTCTTCTGCAACTGGCATCTAGTGAATTACAGTTTAGTGAAGATTTTGATTCAAATGATTTTAGATGCCATTCTTGCCAACAGTACTTTACAGGAAAATACGATAAAATCACAGTTCGTGTTTTCAATGTGGTGTTTATTTTATTCATTCACTCGTGGTGAGTTACCAGGCCCTATAAGAGAAGGTTAAGGCTGGGCACGGTGGCTCATGCCTGTAATCCCAGCACTTTGGGAGGCCGAGGCGGGCAGATCACGGGGTCAGGAGATCGAGACCATCCTGGCTAACATGCTGAAAACCCGTCTCTACTAAAAATACAAAAAATTATCTGGGCGTGGTGGCGGGCACCTGTAGTCCCAGCTACTTGGGAGGCTGAGGCAGGAGAATGGTGTGAACCCGGGAGGCAGAGCTTGCAGTGAGCCGAGATCACGCCACTACACTCCAGCCTGGGTGGGCGACAGAGTGAGACTCTGTCTAAAAAAAAAAAAAAAAAAAAAAAAAAGAGAGAAGGTTAAGCTTGGTAAAATTATTAGATTTTTTTACAAATTGTGGGCAGAAAATCCCTACTAAAATAGGCATTATTGTAAAGCCATTATTCCTAATACACATCTTAACATGTGCCTGTATCAGTGAAGCAGCTTAGACACCGTAAATGAACATGACATGCTGCGGACTTCCAAGGGGCTTCTCCAGTGACTTCTCCCACTCCTGGCATCTCACTGATGCCTTTCAGCACATAAAGAAAGAAAGACTGGGCTTAAGGGTGTGGACTTTTCAGCACGTAGACAGCGACGACGGAAATGCCCCATTTAGTGAAGAACGTCTAACATGTCGACAAAGTAAGCAGAACTCATAGCCCAGAGTTTCACAAATTCCAGGCAGAATGGAGCTGTATGAGTCTCAAACACAATACTCGGAAGTGGCAGAAGCCTGGGCTTGGGATGGCCAGGCTCGGAAGAGGGAGCTGAGCCCACCCTGGAATTCGAGGGAGGACAGAGACATGGGGGCAGTAAGGAAGGGGAAACAGGGAATGCCTCTGAGGCAACAGCTGTTCTGCGGGCAGCAAGACACTCAGATTGTCATAGTGCTCGTGGGCCTGGAAGTGCTGTTATAAAGCACAGCTTCCCTTGGCAAGACCATAGTTAATCAGATTTACGAGCAGTGCAGCCACCACTGAGTGGGAAGACGAAAACAATCATGAAGTAGGAAAAAGAAAAAGAAACAAACTTTGGAAACATATCTCACATCAGGGCCGGGCGCGGTGGCTCACGCCTGTGATCCCAGCACTTTGGGAGGCCAAGGTGGGCAGATCACTTGAGGTCAGGAGTTTGAGACCAGCCTGGCCAACATAGTAAAACCCCATCTCTACTTAAAATGCAAAAATTAGCCGAGTGTGGTGGCACGTGCCTGTAATCCCAGCTACTTGGGAAGCTGAAGCGGGAGAATCTCTTGAACCCAGGAGGCGGAGGATACAGTGAGACAAGATCAGATCATGCCACTGCACTCTAGCCTGGGCAACAGAGTGAGACTCCATCTCATAGGCCCAGAGCCAATGTCCCAAACCTGAAAGTGATTGGTGCCTCTCACTCATGGAGTAAGTATCTGCAAGGTGCCCCTTTGACTCTCTGTGGGTGCTGGAGCCAACACAAAGAATATGATCCAATCCCTGCTCCTGAGGTGTCCCTGGTAGAAATATAAATGTAAGCCAGCACAGAGTGGTGTCGTTTGAGCTGGGTTTTGAAGGATAAATAGGAGTTTTCTGAGTGGAGAAGAAAACAGAACTTGGTGTTCCAGGCAGTTAGAAATGACAGCATTGTGCAAAAGTGCCTGTTATGCCTGGGACAGATGAATAGCTCAGTACACCAAGAACAGCTGCACCCAGCCTTCATTAACCACACAGCACCTTCACAACTTCTGCTCTCACTGATACCACTTCACTATGATCTTATCTCCTTGACGTTTTTCTTCAACCAACTTGTTTTTAAAAGCTTACTTTGGTCTTCTTCAAAATTACAGTAGCCATGAAATTACAGGTTTGATATGCTATCTACATTTTCTTTAAATCATGAAAAATAATTACACATTATTAAAGTAAAAAGTGTCCATCTGTGAACCTAGAGCTAAATCCTCTTGCGTTCCAGCTGTTTCCCAAACTCTGGGAAGCCAAGCTACGAACTTTAAGGCCTGTGTTGTTTGAGAAGAGATCTGTACTTACTGGGAAAAAATAAATGCAAACATTAGAGGAAAAACATTATTAACGAGTCACTGCCGGTGAGTCACGATGCTAGTCTTTGGGGCCATCGGTGCCCTGCAAGGCCCTGCCCTGACCCTCAGCAGGCATTAAACATCTCACAGCTATCAGATCCCGGGGCTGCATGTGAGCCTCCCCAGGGACGCAGTCATCCGTTTAATTTTTATCACCAATTTGAAAAATGGGTGCCAGAGTCTTTCTTTTTTTTTTTTTTTTTTCTTGAGACGGAGTCTCACTCTGTCGCCCAGGCTGGAGTGCAGTGGCACGATCTCAGCTCACTGCAACCTCCGCCTCCCAGGTTCAAGTGATTCTCTTGCCTCAGCCTCCCGAGTAGCTGGGACTACAGGCGCCTGCCACCACACCTGGCTAATTTTTGTATTTCTAGTAAAGATGGGGTTTTGCCATGTTGGCCAGGCCGGTCTTGAACTCCTGACCTCAGGTGATCCAGCCACCTCGGCCTCCCAAAGTGCTGGGATTACAGGCGTGACCTATGGCGCCCAGCCTGCCAGCATATTTCTGTGATTTATTGTTCAACCTTTTCTTTTGAGATAGGGTCTCGTTCTGTTGCCCAGGCTGAAGTGCAGTGGCACGATCATGGCTCACTGCAACTTCGACCTCCTGGGCTCAAGCGATCCTCCCACCTCAGCCTCCCAGTAGCTGGGATCACAGGTGCAGGCCACCATGCCCGGCTTATTATTTATTTTTTTGTAGAGACAGGGGTCTCCCTATGTCGCCCAGGCTGGTCTTGAACTCCTAAGCTCAGGCAATCCTCCCGCCTCCATCTCCCAAAGTGCTGGGATTACAGGCATGTGCCACTGCACCTGGCCTATTGTACAACTTCTTGGAAGTTTGTACTTCACCAAACACAAGAGCCTCAAGTGTGTCAGACAGCAGCACGGCTGCCAGAGAAGCAACAATGAGCCAAGGGACAGGAATGGAGTGGCCAGGGCGCTTCCTTCTTACCTCCGTGCACAAAGCCGTGCAGGGTGCAGTCTGAAGGCCCCACCAGGTGGATCAAGCTGGACTGGCTGTAGCTGACAGTGTTCGGCTCTGGAATTGCAAAAGAGAGAGATTAGTTATGGGGTAGGCTGATTCCCACAGCTGAATGGTCTGGCAATGCCGAAACCACCCTCAGGTCTACACAGTCAACGAAGGCGTCCAAAGCCGGGTTCAGCTATGATTTCTCTAAGGAAAACTATGGTCTCCAAACAGGCTACAGTTGGTGAAGGAGAGGTTTTCAAGGATTCATGACCCATTCTGTTAGTGGGCCATGACGAGACTCTCTGGGGCCATCAGTGCCCTGCAAGGCCCTGCCCAGGGGTAGCCATGAAACACCTCAAAGCTGTGAGTCCCGGGGCTGCGTGTGACCCTCCACCAGGCTCTAGTTAACCATCTGACTTGCATTTCCAATTTTACAAGAAGTGCCACAGTGTTTCTGTAATTTACTCCACAGCCTGAGAATGTACAGCTCCACAGGGAGCAAGCTGTTCCCTCTGGCCAGCCCCCAACCCCATTCACTGCTCTATCACCTCACTCTTGCAAGAGCCCCAAATATCTTGGAGGAGCTTCAGTCACCCAACACTGCACTGCTCCTGAAATATCTTTAAGAGGCCGCACTTAAGAAAAAAAGCCGATGACATATAACGTCCAGTCTCTAGAAGGTAGACCTTTCTTTTTTTCTTGAGACAAAGCCTCGCTCTATTGCCCAGGCTGAAGTGCAGTGGCACAATCTCAGCTCACTGTAGCCTCCGCCTCCTGGGTCCAAGCAATTCTTGTGCCTCAGCCTCCCAAGTAGCTGGGATTACAGGCATCTGCCAGCACACCTGGCTAATTTTTGTGTTTTTAGTAGAGACAGGGTTTCACCATATTGGCCAGGCTGGTCTTGAACTCCTGACCTCAAGTGATCCACCCGCCTCAGCCTCCCAAAGTGTTAGGATTACAGGCGTGAACCACCTTGCCCAGCCCAATATATAATTTTTGAAAAGTCAGTTATCCTTATTGTTTTCTCTGTCTGACAAAAGAAAATGGAATTACCATGAGCTCTTCGGATTCATAGCTGTCAGCTGTCCAGCTTTGACCATGTAGGGACTATGTGGCCACATGGCTGTCCATTTTTAGGGTTTATGACAAAATTAGCCCTGCCTCAGACAAGTTCAAGTGCCTGCCTCATCCCTGGCGCTTGCGTTGAAAACAGTGTTCACTTCCAAGCCTGGTCCAGCCCTTCCAGAGCAGATGGGGTCCTGGCAGGTCACCTAGCCCCGGCTCCTGGGTTGGGATCCGCCTTTCTGGGGTCAGGCAGTGCTCTGGCCAAGCCCCAGGAAGATCCGCCCTGAGCCATCCACGAGGGTGCGAGGGCTGGTGAACATGGTCAGGCCAGGGGCTTGGCCCTGGGTCTGAAACGCCTCCCACTTGATGTCTCTGGCCCTCTGGCCAGGCCCATAGTCCTGCTCCCGTAAGCAGTAGTTTGGAGGCTGAGGGCATGGGGGAAGCAAGAGAGGATAGGGGAGGAAGGGAGGTTCTGGAGTTGGACTGCCTGGGTTTGAATCCCAGCTCTGCTGCCTTCATGGGAACTTAACCTCCCTTTGCCTCAGTTTCCTCAGCTGGAACCAGAGATGGTGAAAGCAAAACTATCGGGTTATGAAGATGATGTAAACACCTAGCACACACGAAGCCCTGTAAATAGCTTGTCACATAGGACGGGATCCGAAAAGGAGAGTTTTGTGTTTATGGCTGTGTAAACCTCGCCCACTGCTATCCTGGGGGCCTGGTTCAGGCTCCTCACATCATTTTGAAACTGCAGGTTCACAGATTAGGCACTGTGTCAGTCAAGATCATAGTCACTGCTGCAGCAGATAAACCCTGAAACCCTAGTGGGTCACACAGTGAGGTTGATTTCCTGCTAGGTAAAGTCCAAATCAGGCTTTCCTAGTGGGGTAGATTTCCTCCAAATGTTGGAGATGCGGGGATTCAGGCCCCTTTGGTCCCGTAGCTCCATTACTTTTAATGGGTAGCTTTGAAGGTTACCTTGGAAAGGGACAGAGTCGGGGGAGGCTCACACACCTGAGGTTTTGATGGGTCAGGCCTGGAAGCAGCATTTCACTCTGCTCACACTCTAGACATGGTATTTTCACACCCGCTGCAGGGCAGGCAGGGCAGTGTGGCCCTGCTATGTGTGGAGACAGGCTTGGTCATCTCTGTCTGGTTCTACCCCTCCAGTCACCAGATCCCTGTTGTATTCTTTGCACACGTGGAGCACCTCACCCTCAAGGACGACCACCTGAAACCCTATCCGGCCTCTGCGCTGACCTCAGAGCGCAGCAGCTGGTCACATGCATGCAGTCTTCTCCATCGTGTTTACACGCAATTCTTCATGTTCCTGCAGCCAATGAACTAAGAAGATGAGTTACCTACACTTGCACCCTTTATACAGCAGCGGAAGAGGGAACAGAAGAGCACACTCATTCAGGAAAGGAAAGAACACAGGAGCTACCCAGGAGCCCCTGGCCCAAGCAGAGATGACTCCCGCCAGGGTCTGAGCTATGGCCATGGGGAAGGGTCTTTAGTTAGACTCTGATTCCACTCTTGGGGAGGAACTACATGGTCCTTTGCTCAGCCTCCTGGAAGGTTCTTCCCTGTTGGTTATCCACCATGGCCTCATCCAAGCGGGCACTGGGAAATAGGGGCCCACGGCCCACCTCCTGCTTGTCTAGGTTTGGGGAGGTTACTTTAAAGTTTGAACAGTCAAAAGCTTTTTTTCAGTCCAGGCAAATTCAGTTTCCTCGTAAACTTAGTAGGCATCTGATCTGTCTGCCTCCAGTCAGTTCCATGTGACAGGAACCACACCCAACGTTCTTTCCAAGTGTCACGCTCAAGCCTGGTGTATTTTTTTTACTTTTCCATCCCACTCCACTCCACTCCCTTTCTCACTCTCTCAAGACACATGTGGGTGTGTAAACCACACTTTAATCTGATTTTTGACACAAGGCTGAGTCTTTTTCTTTTTTGAGACGGAGTCTCGCTCTGTCACCCAGGATGGAGTGCAGTGATGTGATCTCGGCTCACTGCAAGCTCTGCGTCCCGGGTTCACGCCATTCTCCTGCCTCAGCCTCCTGAGTAGCTGTGACTACAGGCGCCCGCCACTGCGCCCGGCTAATTTTTTGTATTTTTAGTAGAGACGGGGTTTCACCGTGGTCTGAATCTCCTGACCTCGTGATCCACCCACCTCAGCCTCCCAAAGTGCTGGGATGACAGGCGTAAGCCACCGGGCCCAGCCAAGGCTGAGTCTTAATGGGCTTTTGATTTCAGTCTCCTTCCGTTCCCAGGTCAATAAACAATAGGCTTTTCCAATCTTTTCATGCCGCCAATTTCTGGCCTTCTCTCAGAGCCCCACTCCTCGTGGTATTGTGGGTTTCAGGGTGTACTAAATTCCCCTGAGGCCCAAGGTGCCCTCGGCAATTGCAGGCTGATTCTGGACACCCCTAGACCCTGGCAGGCCCACGCTGAAGCAGCAGGTGGGAGAGCAGGCATCCCCTCCCTTGGGCCAAGCCACAGGTCGTGCGAACTGGCTGCAATGCAGGATGTCGGGGCCCCCAGGGGCTCCTTCCCAAAAGCCTTGGCACTTGGAGGGGTCTGTTGGTTGGCTTTGAGATCGCGACCCTGCACGCCAGCTCCCAGAGGGGCCCAGATGCAAGGACCTCTTGACGCATATTCAGGAGGGTGGGCTGGGTGGGGAGGCCCCCAGAATGTGGCTTTTTGGGAGGAGCTCCTCTACTCTGCTTCTGACTCCATGACATGCTACTTCTCCCACACACCCTGGCATGAGGGCAAGCCCAGGGCAGGAATGAGGAAACTCACATGGCAGCTAACAGTGACCAGGAGAGAAGGGAGGGGAGGCGGTTTGAAATTCTGTGTGTGGAGTGTACCCGTGTGCTGGGGCCGCTGTAACAAGAGTGCCCACCAAAGGCTGGCGCCTTAAGCGGCAGAAATTCGTCTCACAGCCCTGGAGGCTGGAAGTCCCAGGTCAAGGTATCAGCAGCTGGCTCTTCCTGAGGCCTCTCTGCTGGGCTTGTAGATGCCGCCTTCCCCCGTGTCCTCACAGGGTTGTTCCTCTGTGTGTGTCTGTCCTAACCTCCTCTTCTTGTAAAGACACCAGCCCACCCTAATGACCTCATTTTAACTTAATTACCTCTTTAAAGACTCTTTCTTTACATTCAGTGACATTCTGAGGGACTCAGGGTCAGGACCTCAACATATGATTTGTGGTGACACAATTTAGCAACCATGACCCAGAGGCACATCAAAGCCTCGGAAATGACACTGGGGCCGGGCGCAGTGGCTCATGCCTGTAATCCTAGCACTTTGGGAGGCTGAGGCAGGTGGATCACCTGAGGTCAGGAGTTCGAGACCAACCTGGCCAACATGGTGAAACCCCTCTCTATTAAAAATACAAAAATTAGCCAGGCATGGTGGCGGGTGCCTGTAATCTCAGCTACTTGGGAGGCTAAGGCAGGAGAATCACTTGAACCAGGGAGGCGAAGTTTGCAGTGAGCTGAGATCATGCTGTTGCACTCCAACCTGGGCAACAAGAGCAAAACGCCGTCTCAAAAAAAAAAGAAAAACAAAGCAATGAAATCGGACACTTAGGAGACCTCAGGTATCAACTTCTGGGTCAGGACCACCCTTCATCCCACCAGCTTTTTCGGCTACTGAGAAACATTACTTGCCTAAGGCCAGACCTAGAAAGGACCTGTCTTCACCTGAAATGAGTCCCAGTCATTTCGTGGCCCAGTGGGCTGGCGTGTTCAACAGCTTGGGGCTTGTCAGTTAGGAATGAGCTACCCTTTCTGAGTGCCAGCTGTCCTGGGCAGGGAACAGATGAGGTCTAGTCCCTGACCAGGTCTGCCTTCTGGCCAGGTATGGTGGCTCACGCCTGTAATCCCAACACTTTGGGAGGCTGAGGCGGGCGGATCGCCTGAGGTCAGGAGTTCGAGACCAGCTTGGCCAACATGGCGAAACCCTGTCTCTACAAAAAATACAAAAATTAGCTGGGTGTGGTGGCACATGCCTGTAATCCCAGCTACTCAGGAGGCTGAGGCACCAGAATCGCTTGAACCCAGGAGGTGGAGGTTGCAGTGAGCCGAGATCGCACCATTGCACTCCAGCCTGGTCAACAGAGTGAGACTTGTCTCAAAAAAAAAAAAAAAAAAAAAATATATATATATATATATATATATATATATATAGACAAATTATAGCTGTATATATTGGACAAAGGACTTTTAAGGAACTCTCAGACTCTGAGGTACCTGAAAGACGAGGCCACCCCTGTGGAGGTTGCTAGGCAACAGTCTGAACTCTTGCTCTAGGATGAGGTCTGGGATGTGGGATGGACAGGGGCTGGGAGCAGGCAAGTCAAAGGCCAAGATGGCCTCTCCAGGGCAGAGACGGAGGGTCCTCCCACGGGATGGGATAGCACGTGTCACACCTGTTAGAAAGACCCCAGTGCCAAGCACATACGCACACTCTTCTCCCAGAGCTGCTGTTCCCCATTGACCCGGACGCCCCTGCCAAACCCAACTCAGGCTAAGCCACCATACAGGAGACCAGGCTGGTCTCAGATGAGCCCACCCCTGGGCTCCCGAGGGTACCGGGAAGCCATGCCACTGAGATACCGGCTCTACCAGGAAACTGGAGTCAAAGATGCAGATGTTCAGAAATGCTCAAGAAAGAATGGACATGGGACTTCCTAAGAAATATTTAAAAGCCGAGTCTCTAATCCAATCATCTGAGGAAGATACATTTTTATAAAACAAAAAAGTAAAAATAAAAGCACATACAATCAGGAAATCGAGATTCAGGAGGCCAACTCTGACTGACAGTGAATAACACATTCTGAAAAATATCACGTGTAGATTTACAGTCAATCGGAGGCTGGCAAACAGAAGAGAATCCCACGAGTAAAGGAATTTAAACTGATTGAAAACCTTGAGTAATTTTAGTGTCCCTGAGGATCAGTTAAAGGCAGAAGCTAGGATCTAATCCATGCTTCTCAAAGCCAGAGTCAGCCCAGCAGTGCTGCCCACACCCCCCGGGGTCTGGCACCTACCCCAAGCTCTCTCCAGAAACCGCTCACAAAAAGGTAGGTCCAGGCAGCCCCCATGTTCCATCCAACCCTCTCCTCCAGGACCCCTTTGTGTTAGGCTAGACATAGCCTCTTCTTGTCTCTTGCAAGGGCACTGATCACTGGATTTGGGGCCCACCTGCATAACCCAGATGATCTCAAGATCCTTAATTTAACCACATCTGCAAAGACCCATTTTCCATATAAGGTCCCATTCACAGGCTCTAGGGATTTGAATGTGGACATATTGTCTGGCCCTGAGCGCTGTGTTGGTGCCTTTCCTAAGACACCTCCCGTTGCTCCCATCCCATCCCATTCCTTACAGCCGGTGTCTGACCTGACTGCTGGGCTGCCCTCCCAAAAGCACGGCCTGGGCACTGCCTGCCCCAGCACGTGCCTCCAGGCCTGTCTGGTGTATTGCTGTGTTGATAAACTGGCTGTTTAAATTTTATTTTTAAAAGATATCTCAGCCGGGCGCAGTGGCTCACGTCTGTAATCCCAGCTCTTTGGGAGGCCGAGGTGGGCGGATCACGAGGTCAGGAGATCGAGACCATCCTGGCTAATACGGTGAAACCCCATCTCTACTAAAAATACAAAAAATAAGTGGGGCATGGTGGCGGGCGCCTGTAGTCCCAGCTACTGGGGAGGCTGAGGCAGGAGAATGGCGTGAACCCGGGAGGCAGAGCTTGCAGTGAGCTGAGATCGCGCCACTGCACTCCAGCCAGGAGGATAGAGCGAGATTCTGCCTCAAATTAAAAAAAAAAAAAGATATCTCTTTACTGGGGTTTCATCAAAGCAGCACCATTCTTTCTATTAATACTGACACATTAATTTTCTTTCTTTCTTTTTTTGGTGTTTGTTAAAAAGCAGACATGAAAAGAGAGGAAACCTACAGTGGTTTCCCCAACAGTAAAGAAACCGACCTACCCAGTCCCACTGGCCTAAGGTGACAACCAGTCCGCTTTTGGCAAGTTGAGGCTGGAGCACAGACTGAGTCAGAGACACACATGTGAGACCAAATACACACAAACTCCTGTTCAAGCCTCAAGTTGACCCGCCCAGAAAACAAGCACACTCCTGCTGCATGCCAGCAGCCAAGCCCAGAAAGCCATGCTCTCATCTGTGCGCCCACTGGGTTTTCACCAGTCCCCTTTGGTGCTTATGTGGACTAAGCAAGGGAGGTGAGCGGCCATAACAATGCCCCGAGTCCAGGTTAGCAGGGGCCAGGGCGCCTCTCGGCAGGGCTAGGAGCAGGTGGACCCCAGAGTGGAGCCCACATCACAGGCACATCCAAGGGGGAAAGGGATTACTTGAGGCAGGTCCTCCACCACTGCTGAGGGTGGAGGCAAAACAGAGAAAGCTGAGTAAGAAACTCAAACACCCACCATGACCAGGGTCTCCCAAGGCATGGTGGGGGGCAGCAAACCCTCCTCAGGCTGCCATCCCGCATGAGGTACCCTGTGGAACCCAGCACAGAGCACGAATGTGCCACGAGCCCAGGCCATCGCAGGGAGGCAGAGAAGCACACAGTGCGTCCTGGAGGGAGTTCTCCTGCCACTACGACAACATGACCACCATGTGTGCAGTAGGGAGAGGGGTAATGCTCGTTGCCTGCCCCCGAGGGCTCACCCTTTTCCTAGGGGGACAGATGCTCCCCAGGGCCCCCTGCCCTGAATTGTTTCTAGGAACGCGGGGAGTTCTCTGGGTAGAAAGTCCTTGCTTGAGGCAAAACATCTCATCGTGCCTTCGTTTAGATTTTGAGTGAACATTTTGTTAAAGCCAGAGCACCCTGACATGAGAGCAAGAGGATGGATGGCAGAAGGGACCAACACCACAGGGAAACTGGGCATGCCACAGAGCCCAGTGCCTACTGGCAGAGCCCCTCCTCCAATCAATGTCTGAACAGTGGGGCCGGGAAGAAGTGGCGCTTGAACAGCTGCTGCCGTTTTTTTCTTTTTTGGATGAGTTGGAAATCCCATCAAGAACAAGCCACTTGGCCAGGTGTGGTGGTTCACACATGTAATCTCAGCACTTTGGGAGGCCAAGGCAGGCTCATCACTTGAGGTCAGGAGTTAGAGACCAGCCTGGCCAATATGGTGAAACCCCATCTCTACTAAAAATACAAAAATTAGCCGGGCATGGTGGCACATGCCTGTAATTGTAATACCAGCTACTCGGGAGGCTGAGGCAGGAGAATCACTTGAACCCAGGAGGCAGAGGCTGCAGTGAGCCAAGATTGTGCCAGTGCACTCCAGCTTGTGTGACATAGCAAGACTCCAACTCAAAAAAAAAAAAAAAAGAAAAGAACAAGCCACTGAGCGAACACAAGGAAAAGATACAACAAAAACAAATTCCTTGTGAACAGGTGCACACCACCTGCCTGGCAATGGAGGCCCCACGCACAGTGCCCTCTGGGACTCCCTGAGTCACGCAGGTCGCCTTCCAGGTGTGTGACTGGAGGGGTCTACATGGCTCAGGGCGGGGCTGGGGGACAGCCCTCCCTGGGGACCCCAGAGAAACTGGTTCCCGGAGAGCATGCTCAGCACCTGGGGAACCTCAAGCATGAGGCTCACGTAGGCCCGGCCTGCTCCTGCCTCCTATGCGTCCCCGGTGAGGAGTGGCACCTGCTGCTGGTGTCCGCGGCTCTTACCTGGGTTGAGGACTGGCTGGACGATGTCCCCGTTCCTCCACTTGGTCTCCATGCGCTCCAGCTTCTGGGCTTCATACCGCTTCCGGCCCTCCTCCTCCTGCTCCTGCCGGGAATACTGCGAGAAACCAAAGACAGGTCAGGCCCAGGCAGGACACGGCCTCCTCCCCTCGCTGGGCGGCCATGATCCCAGGCCCTTATAGCCTTGTGTAACTGGGACTATTTTTTCTTCTGTTCATGTGTGTTTTAATATAAGTAATAAGAATACAGAAACAGTGAAATCCCATGTGGCTCCACTCCCCAGAGAGACAACCTGGGTCAAGTGTTTGGTTTAGATCCTTCCTGGAATTGCTTTAATGCCTACAAATATATAAAAAGCTCTATGGTGCTGTATGTGGAGCTTAAAAGCAACCGTGTATCTATTTAACGTAATTTTTGTAACTATGTGGGCACTTAGCTTGTTCCCAATTTTTCTTTACTTTTCTTTTCTTTGTTTTTGAGATGGAGTCTCGCTCTGTCCCAGGCTGAAGTGCAGTGGCGTGATCTCAGCTCACTGCAACCTCTGCCTCCCGGGTTCAAGTGATTCTCCTGCCTCAGCCTCCCCGGTACCTGGGACGACAGGTGCCCGCCACCATGCCCGGCTAATTTTTGTATTTTTAGTAGAGATGGGGTTTCACGATGTTGGCCAGGCTCATCTTGATCTCTTGACCTTGCGATCTGCCCGCCTCAGCCTCCCAAAGTGCTGGGATTACAGGCGTGAGCCACCGTGCCCGGCCCCCGCTTTTTCACTATTAAAACCATACTGATCCTAGGTTACTTAAAATCATTTTGCACTGTCCCATTGCTTCCTAGGATTCATTACAGAATAAAGGGATCCTCAAAAAGGCCCCACCCACTCTCCAAAGTCCATGACAGAGCAGGAACCCTGTGTGTCCCTGCTGACCCTTGGCCAATCAAACAGGTTATATATTGGTAGAGAATGGGCAGTAAAAGATGGAACTGTCCTCCCACGGCTCTCCAAATGAATCACAGGGGTTTTGACTCCAGAAGTTAAAAATAAATGTGACTATAAGACTCAGCACAGGCCGGGCATGGTGGCTCGTGCCTGTAATCCCAGCAATTTGGGAGGCTGAGGCGGGTGGATCACTTGAGGTCAGGAGTTCGAGACTAGCCTGGCCAACATGGTGAAACCCCTGGCCAACATGGTGAAACCCCGCCTCTACTAAAAATACCAAAATTAGCCAGGGGTGGTGGTGGGCACCTGTAGTCTTAGCCACTCGGGAGGCTGAGGCAAGGGAATCGCTTGAATCCGGGAGATGGAGGTTGCAGTGAGCCGAGATTGCGCCACTGCACTCCAGCCTGGGCGACAGAGCGAGACTCCGTCTAAAAAAATAAATAAATAAATAAAAAACACCAACAACTCAGCACAAAAGCCAAAGCTCCTGAGTCCCGGGACACAGCAGGGGGATACTGCATTTCTTGGACGTAACAGACGGTTCACTCACTGCCCTGCTGTGCACACTGGAGGGGATGCACCACACTCGGATGGGACCCTCGGAGGGGCCCTCGGGGCCTGTGTGCTGGCCGCAGGCTGGTTCCAGACCCTCTGCCTGCTCCATCCCCCACGACCTTCTCCCTCCCCCTTGGCCTGGCCAGGGGCCGACTACCACCTGGCTGTTCTGATTAGCCTCCACTTCTGCTCTCACATTCACTCAACCAACCATTCCAGCTGAGCTTGTGGGGAAGCCACGGAACTCAGGGCCCCTCTGGGCCCCTCGGCCGCCTGTTGAAGCCCCTCTGACCTAAGCAAGTTCACTTCAGACGGCTGTGTTAGGCCTTCTTTCAAAAGCCAGTTTTAAACATCTCGATAATTCCTGCTCATGGCTCAGCTCCAAAATTGTGCAGGGTCTCAGCACCATTCACCGTTCCTCGGCGTAACTACCCATCATCTTCAGTTGAGAACCCATCTTCAAAAGAGGCTGAGAAGGGAGCTGAAGCGTTTGTTCAAAAGAAGCAAACTGTGGGGAGTGTTTTAAGTTGCAGTGGATAATTCAACCTTTTCCTCCATAAATAAACCACGTCCTAATGTTCCACCGGCCAAGTAACGACTGTGAGAAGAGAGTCTGTGCTGTGTATCTACCTAGGAACATTGGTGGGTGAACTTCAGCATCCTCAAGAGATGCCTTTTAAAGGGATTTTTTTTTTTAAAGGAGCCAGCCCCCGGTCTAATAAATCCTCATGGTATCCAGTACATTTGTCTGGGCTTGGCAGGCGCACAGGGAAATGATGGGGCCCAGTCCTGGACACAAGCCATGAGGAGAAGCCCAGCCTCCTCCCCAATGCTGCCTTTCCATCTGGGAACAAAACCGCTGGAACATTTTAATGATGGCTGGCACCTAACTCTCACCCCCGAGAGCTCATCAAACCCAACTGATCTGAAGCAGCAGACAGCGTGGCCCAAATATCTGAGAGACAGGCTGTGAACCTCTTCGCTAGAGCACATATTCAGACATTTGAAAAAAACCAAAGCATCCACCCCCGACAGCCACTCAGCCTGTCCAGGGCTGCGGCTGCCCCTCTGGTCATCCTGGGGCCCCTCGGGCCCATCACAGGCCCACCGAGGTTCCCTGCTCACTGGGAAAGCTGCAGGCAGGCTGGGGAGGAAGGTGGAGCAAAGAAAAGACATCCTGCGCTAGACGACTGTGCGCATGGCCGGCAGCTGGGTTCCTCCAGGGAGACGCACACATCCAGGAAACCAGTGTGTGTGTGTGGTGTGTGTGTGTGTGTGCGTGTTCAAGATATCTACATGCATACGTATGTGACATCTCTATTTGTATGTGTATATATAATATATATCTGTATATCTATACATACAGGGACGTACATTTTCCTAAATCGGGGATGGCTGTCTGTAGAAAGGTCAGCGGGAGCATGCTCATGCAATATAAGACAGCCCTGTGGCCAGGCCACCAGCAGATGGGCATAAATGCCCATCGGAGCCAGGGAAGGAAGCTGTACTTTCTGGGATTCCTAAGCAGGCCTCTGGCCGGGCCCACCAGTGAAAAACAGGAGACCTAGATTCCAAATCAGTGGGAGGTTTATACTACGTGGGCCTAGCGTGTGTTGGGGGGAAGATGGTGCAAAGAGCTCTGAACAACAGCTGCAGCTGAGAACCGTGCAGCCTCTCCCATCTGCGGCTCCGGCTGCCTCGGAGCCATGGAATGGTTTCAACAACTCCTCGACAAGGCCAAGTTGGTATTTATGTCTCATCAAACCCACTCTACAAAGGAAATGAAAAAGCAACTGGGAGCTCCTCCAGGATGTGGGAGGGAGGGAGCTAATTACTGGGCAAGGAGAGGCGAGGCTAACAGGGGCCACGCTGAAAGCACCCTGTCCCTGCAGCGAGGGGATGGGAGCCAGGGGAGTCAGAAGCTACCCGTCCCCTCCACTGGCCAAAAACCCAACAGCTCTTGGCGCATCGATCCTAAGCGACAAGGCAGCAAAAGTGACTGTGTTCAGGTCCAGGCCCGCCCCTCGGTATCACCCGCCTGAGATGCACCATCAGATGCTGAAGCCAGGCATGGGGCCTGGGAGAGATTTCAGAACTGGGTAGCATCTGAAAATTAAATCCGTTAAATGCTATGTCTCAATATTTACATGTGATGTGGCTCACTGAACGCCAAGGGCTTAGAGAAAAGAATGAACGTGGGGTGGGTGTGCTTGCAATTCTGCGGAGAACAGCCAGGAGCCCCCATCTGACCCCTGCTCCTTAGGTCTTCAATCACCCCCAAGTTAGCACTGCTGAAAATGACCACAACTTCCATCTCAGCCAAGAAGCAGGGAGAGAACAGCCCCACAAGAACAAGAGACGGGAGAGGTTGTTGAACCGAGGGCTGGTGCAGTGGGTTGAACAGCATCCCTCAAAATGTATATCCACCTGAAACCTCAAAATGCAAATGCTCCAAAAACCAGGTCTTTGTAGTTGTAAACAGTTAGAATGAGGTCACAGCAGAATGGGACGGGCCCTGAGCCCAGTGACCCGTACTCCGGTAAGCAGGCCGTGCGAAGATGGAGGCAGAAGCTTCAGTGACGCAGCCTCAGCCAAGGGACGCCTGGAGCCACCCGGCGCTGGAGACGCCAGGAGGGATCCTCGCCTGGGGCCAATGGAGGGCGCAGGGCCTTGCCCATACCTTTGCACTTCTGGCCTCCAGAACTGTGACAGAATCAACTTCTATTGTTTGAGAGCTACCCAGTCAGTGGCACTTTGTCACAGCAGCCCCGGGACACTGTCAGGTGGGAATATGAGACCTCGGACTCCACACCCCGACCCTGAGCCCCCGCCCACTGGCCAGATTCTGGCATGCTGCCATCCTGCTCTCATAAAACCAAAGGTGCAGCCACCAGCCTGCCCTTCCCATTAAATATGGACAGGGCTCCCCTGTCACCAAGATTAAAAAAAAACAAAACCTAGGCCAAACAGCAGCTGGACCCGGCAGCCAGCCACACCCACCTGGGGAGACACCCCACCCAGACCTTCACTGCCCTCTGAGGAGACCCTGGCAGGGTGCCTGGTCAGACACGGAGCTGGGGACAGAAGAGACGGCAGGAAGCAGGTCTCAAGGAGCACCTCCCCAGTCTCACATGGGCAGTGGCAGCAGGGACCGAGGCCCCATCAGCCCTGGTGACCGGGGGGCCACGGGAAGATGGAGAGCCAGGCCTCCTACAGGCGGGAAGTGGCCTGCACCCGGCAAACGCTGGGGAGGGAACCAAGGCTGCCGGCAGCGGCAAGAGCACCCAGCGTCTCTATTGGGTCTGGAAGCAAAAAGAGCAGGCACCAATTCCTGACAATCTGGTTCTCAGTTTTATTATTTCTAAAAATGTATTCTATATATATATCTCAGCCGGAGGAAAAGCTCCCTGCCGGGGCCCACACTGCAGAGACTCAGAATCCTGGTTCCTTCCCTCTAAGAAGAGCTCTTCCTGGGGGCTGTGGCCTGTGGACCGCAGGGTCAGGCTGCGGGAGGAGCTGGTCACATCTGTCCTTGGACTTGCCAATGAACTTGGGGCACAGGAGAAGGAGGCGAGGGAGTACTTTTAGGCAACGAATTAAATTTCTTTATTCCCAACGTCTCCCCTCCAGGAGTCTGTATGTGTGGCTTCCACAGGCTTCGCCCACAGGCCCGCCCATGGCAGGACCCCTCTGACAACATAATGAACTGGTATTATGAAAGGTGCTTCTGCCGGGCGCAGTGGTTCACACCTGTAATCCCAGCACTTTGGGAGGCCGAGGTGGGTGGATCATGAGGTCAGGAGATCAAGACCATCCTGGCTAACATGGAGAAATCCCGTCTCTACTAAAAAATATATATAAAATAATTAGCTGGGTGTGGTGGCGGGCGCCTGTAGTCCCAGCTACTCAGGAGGCTGAGGCAGGAGAATGGCGTGAACGTGGGAGGCGGAGCTTGCAGTGAGCCGAGATCGCGCCACTGCACTCCAGCCTGGGCAACAGAGCAAGATTCCGTCTCAAAAAAACAAAAAAAAACAAAAAAAACAAAAAGAAAGAAAGAAAGAAAGATGCTTCCAACCACAGCGAAGCCAGAAATGAGAGAAACACAGAGAAGGAGACAGACCCCAGCAGGGGACAAGAAGGGAGAAAGACAAAAGCTCATATGACAACTGTTTCCACAGCCACTGCGTCAGAAGCAGAGATCAGAACCAGCTTGCAGGGGCCACGGGGGAACAGCTGGCCCGGCCCCCGCAGCCTGGTGGTCCTGGCTCCCGAAAGGACATGTCACTATCACGATCCTGTCACCGTCTTTTCTCTGGTTAGGGAGTGTGACAAAAAGGTCCCTAGGTTGGAGGGATGTTTATGTCCACGGGTTCTGGGCCAGCTTGCGCTCACATTCCCAGCATGAATTAAACATACATTAGAAGATCCCACACAGACATGTCTCCTCCCCACCCGTGTTTCCTCGGAGGCAGGACAGAAACTCCTGTGGAGCCAGGGATGCCCTGCCCAGCCCAGAGGGGACACTGCCTGCTGGCGGACCTGGCCCCCTGTGCCCTAGCTCTGGCCTGTTGCTCCCTTGAGACCCTTAGCTGAACGAGCCTCCCAACATCAGGTGAGGTGACCTGATCTCTGCCATCTGCCCCCAAGAGAGAAGTAGAAAGGGCACCTTACCACAACAGGAGGCACCTCGAGGACCTTGTCCACATTCTTCAGCGACAGGGGCACATACCACAGGGTGGCCTTATTGGTCAGCTTTTTGGCACCTTAAGAGAAGAAAATCACATTAAGTGACGCCCGGGAGACGGGGTGGGAATGTGAGCGTCCAGGCACGTGGCAGGTGCTGCTCCAGCGCCCGGTCCCAGTACCTGAAACACACCACAGTGTGCACCACCTCTCTGGCCCCCAACCCCCAAGCCCCCAAGCCCCCAAGGCCTTTTCAGCATCCTGGCTGGGGAGTGCTGCCATCATGTGAGTGTGGACAAACAGAACAAGAGACCCCAGAGCCCATGGAGAGAGGCTGCGTGGGGCCCACCCCCATCACAAGGCATGCCCCCCCAAAACTGGCTTGAGCTCAGGACCCCAGCCCCTCCCAACGCACCCACTCTGGGGCAGTTCTCCCTTTCCAGGGGCTGCTGAGAAGACTTCAGACCACGTGGTTTAAGCCTGGATGGTCCGGAGCTGGTCAGCCACAACACCCAACAGGGATCACCCTGGAGGGCACCAACTGCAGGCAACCTCCTCTTCCTGGTGTTTTGACAGAAAGGGAGCTTGATTATGAAAACACATCAGAGGCTCCCAACGAGCCTCCCAGACAGAGGGGAAGGACTGATTGGCTGCAGGCAGACGCCCTTCGTTCTGCCCGGGGACACGAGGCTGAGCCCGCTTCACCTGCTGGCTCAAGTCTCCAGCAACTGATCGCTGCTGACATCGAACGTCAAAATCAAAAGTGCCTTGCTGGGGAACTTGACGTCCTGATGCTCAGACACGCAACGTCTTCTGCAGATCCCATCCACCTGTCTAAGCACTGCCAAGAACTCCCGCCAAACGGGGAAGCCCAGAAAGACACTTGGCCCATACAGACGTGCAGGCTGCAGAGGCTCAGGAGGATGTGGAGGCTGTGCCCAGGCAGAGCAGCCCAGGGGAGGGGCAGGGGGGACGGCCAGGGCCCCCACAGCCCAAAGCACAGAGCAGCGGAGCCAGCTCATCAAGCTCCATTTTTGCCACCCCAGGAACTTCCTTTCCTTCACACCAGACACTCGGGTGTGCTGCCAGCCCATCCAAAGCTCCACCAGAAGCTTCCAGGTGCCAAGAGACGGGCTATAGGCTGCTGACTCCTTGGGGCACTGAGCCCACCCACAGAGCAAAGTGGGGCTGCAGGACAGGGAAGGCTGTCCGTGCTGAGAAACAGAGGCTCGTGGCCTGCTGGGGCTAAAGGAGCCTAGAGATCCCTGGTGTACACCCCTCACTTGTACAGAAGGAGTCTGAGGCCCAGAGACGTCTAGGGGTTTACCCAGGGTCACACAGCAACTTGGTGCCATACTCCCATGTCCCAGTCATTTCAGAGAAGTATCTGCAAGGATGCCTTTAAAAAGTGGCTTTGTCAGGCACGGTGGCTCACACCTGTAATCCCAGCACTCTGGGAGGCTGAGGTGGGTGGATCACTTGAGCTCAGGAGTTCCAGACCAGCCTGGGTAACATGGCGAAACCCCGTCTCTACCAAAAATACAAAAAATTAGCTGGGTTGGCTGGGCACGGTGGCTCACACCTGTAATCCCAGCACTTTGGGAGGCCGAGGCAGGCGGATCACCTGAGGTCAGGAGTTTGAGGCCAGCCTGACCAACATGGAGAAACCCCGTCTCTACTAAAAATACAAAAATTAGCCGGGCGTGGTGGTGCCTGTAATCCCAGCTACTCGGGAGGCTGAGGCAGGAGAACAGCTTGAACCCAGGAGGCAGAGGTTGCGGTGAGCCGAGATGGCGCCATTGCACTCTAGGCTGGGCAACGAGAGCAAAACTCTGCCTCAAAAAAAAAAAAAAAAAAAAAAAAATTAGCTGGGCATGGCGGTGCACACATGTGGTCCCAAAGGCTGAGATAGGAGGATCGCTTGAGCCCGGAAGGCAGAGATTACAGTGAGCCTAGATTGCACCACTGCACTCCAGCCTGGGCGACAGAGCGAGGCCCTGTCTTAAAAAAATAAATAAAAGTGGCTTCTTCAATGTGGAAGATCCTCACTATAAAGCAGAAGAGCAAACTGCAGGAAGTAATGGAGGAAAGGGAGACAGGAGCAGCCCCAGGGCCCTGCCCAAAACCCCCAGAGGAGCTCACTTCCCACCAGTTACCTGAACCTGCCTCCCCAAGGCAAAGCGCTTTTCCTCCTCAATAAACACAGCCCCAGGCTCCAAATCAAGCCCCAGGGGGCCCATTAAGAAAAGGCCTGTGCCTGCCCCTCCTCCCCGCACAGAACACACCTTGGGAACGTGGGGCTCCCAGTGCTTGGGAACCACAGGCAAATAATATGGGAAAATATTTCCACCGCACTTTGACTGAGAGTGAATCTGACAACCTGCTTTTGGGAATAAAGATTTCCTGTTGGATTCAGCTAGAGCCAGCCTGACAAGCCGGTTTCCATGACAACTCGAGTGGCCCTCTGGACCTAAATGAACACCATGGAGCAAATGAGGCAAACATGCTAATTGTATTTTCTCCATCATTTAATGAAAGCATCAAAAGACAACGGCAGTATTAGAAAATTATCTCTCGGCCAGCTGCGGTGGCTTACGCCTGTAATCCCAGCACTCTGGCAGGCCGAGGCAGGCGGATCACGAGCTCAGAATCGAGACCATGCTGGCTAACAGGTCTCTACTAAAAATACAAAAAAATTAGCCAGGCATGGTGACACGTGCCTGTAATCCCAGCTACTCGGGAGGCTGAGGCAGGAGAATCACTTGAACCTGAGAGGCGGAGGTTGTAGTGAGCCGAGATTGCGCCACTGCACTCTAGCCTGCACGACAGAGCAAGACTCGGTCTCAAAAAAAAAAAAAAAAAAAAAAAAATCTCTTAAAATCTTAAGAGCTCCCAGCTATTTTTCTGGAGCAATTCACAGCAATCACATCCCAGTTAGCTTAATATTTTGACAGTTGCTGGAGATAAATGAGCTGCCTCAAAGGCAAGGTTTGCGGGTCGTCTGCCTGGGCCTGTGCTCGCTCAGCGGCCTCGTGACAGGCAGCACAGCCCAGGTAAAGGGGACACACAGAACAGGGGACCCCTGTCTCCTGGGGTGGAGACAGCACACAGATGTCACGCACACAGCTTATGACTCAGCCTGCTCCGGGCCAGGGTCCCCGCGCGCATCCTCTGCCCCCACCTGCAATACCCCTATCTTTCAGAGGTCACCACCCATTCAGCCAGTGCTCCCCGTGTGCCCACAGTGTGCCAGGCACTGTTCTTGCTGTTGGGGCCTTCGAGTTCAATTTCCAGGGGACACATGGGCAGAGACAGAGAAGGGCCTCAAGAGAACAATAGAGACTGCAGAGAGAGATGGCAGAGAAGCAGAAGCACAGACGAGGAGATGAGCGAGACAGAGGGGGAGATGAGACTCGCAGTCACAGAGTGAGACAACAGCGGGCTCCGGGGCCTGACCAAGATATGGAGAAAAGCTACAGCCTTGGGGCTCCAAGGCCTCCCTGCCCAGCCCCTGCTACAGGGAAAAGGCTGAAGCTGGGAAGAAGAACCTGGGGCACCGCCCAGCCCCACTGGGAAAAGCCTTCATGTGCTGGCAAGCGTATCCTGCCTTCTCCAAGCCTCACGCGCACGACAGCGCAATGCCAGCCCTGATGTCCCCAGGGAGGAGGGGTGGGCATCTCTGTCCCTCTCTGAGCCCATCCTTCGGAGGAGGAGGAGAAGGCCGAGGGCTGTGGTGGCCAGGACACAGCTGGGAGGCCGAGAAGCTCCCAGCACCTTCTGGGTGAGCTGGTGGGGGCTGCTCTCTCATGCTCACGCCTGCCTTGGCTCTGCACAGGAGCCTCTCCCCCTCTCAGCCCCTAAAGAGCGAGGGATCCTCACGAATATGTCAGATTGTGTCGTCCTCATCAAAACCCCATCAGCCAGCATGTCTCAGCACTGATGCCCAGTTCTTCCTGGTCGCCTCTGCTCATTCACTTATTCATTCATTCATTTGCTCATCCACTATCGGTTCCATATCTATTATGGGCCAGCAGAAGCGGCCAGGAAAGGGAAGTTCAGGATCTAGGGAGTTCCTCAAGCTCAGTACCCCTGACCTTTGGCCTGCATCACTCTCTGCTGTGGGGACAGCGGGTCCCAGCCATGCTGAAAGCCTGAGAACGCCTTTCTGTCTCCCTGCCTCTCTCCCCATCATCCCAAACTGCTCGGCTGGGCTCGGTGGCTCATGCCTGTAATCCCAGCACTTTGGGAGGCCGAGGCAGCTGGATCACCTGAGGTCAGGAGTTTCAGACCACCCTGGCCATCATGGCGAAACCCTGTCTTTACTAAAAATACAAAAATTAGCCAGGTATGGTGGCTCATGCCTGTAATCCCAGCTACTCAGGAGGCTGAAGCAGGAGAATAGCTTGAACCTGGGAGGCAGGAGAATAGCTCGAACCTGGGAGGCAGAGGTTGCGATGAGCCAAGATCACACCACTGCACTCCAGACTGGGCAACAGAGTGAGACACCATCTCAAAAAAAAAAAAAAAAAAAAAAAGAAACCTGCTCTTCAGGGCTTCCTCTGAGGCTATGGCCTCTGATGGACCACAAAGGGGGCTTTCATGGCAGAAAATCTGCAAAGCAGATCCCTTCCTGGCATTTTTGAAGCCACCAACTCCTGCAATGACAAAGGGCACTGCTGACTGGGCCCTCACAAGCAGGAAGGTCCTAGGAAGCAGGAGAGCGCGGCAGGCCATCCCTCCTCTCCAGGAAGGGGCCAAGGCTCCACCCCCAGCACAGTCGGAGAAGAGCTGCGATCTCACAGGAGATGGCAGGGAACCCCCAAGGCCCCTAAAGTGGGGAACCCACCCAGCCCTGAGCCTCTCCCGAGTCGTGGGCGCTGCTCCTGTTGTGGGAGGTGCCCATACACCCCTTCCTGGGCCACATCCTGAGACCAGCATCCAGGGTCCCTCTGATGTCAGAGGTGCCTGCTGAGGGAGCAGCAGGCAATGGGAACGCAGACCACCTTCCACCCCAGGCCCTTGCTCAGCTCCATCTGCCCACCTGCCGGAGCTGGGCTGACACAGCCATTCTAATCAACCCTGCTGAGGTCCTCAGAATGTTCTAGATGCATAATCGTGCTTGCTACCGGCCCGTCATGAGGAAGAGGACTCAAGCCCCTCAAATGGCTGTGAGCTGGCACTCCACGGGGCAGCCACTGCTGAGGAACAGGCATGGGGAAGAGGAGGAAACCGGCCCAGCCTCTCTGCATGGGAGGACTGGTGACCTGGGAGGTGGCAGGGAGAGGACCAGGGGCAGGGGAAGAGGCCCGCCTTCCCCCTCACCTCCCGTCCCCAGCCTGGGTATAAAAAGAAGCGTGAGCTGGTGAACACTGGAGCCGCCCCCTCCTGCAGCGCCCAGTGGGAAGGGGAAGGGGGTTTCCATGGTTACCATGGCCAAGGAGGAGAATATTCAGATGAAAGCAGAGGCAAAGGTTCACCCAGTGAGCTTCCATCTGAGCCTGGTTTCTGGGGCTCCCAGGAGCAAGCACTGTCCTCTCTGGAGCCAACACCTCCCTACGCTTGAGGAGGGCAAGCAGGGCAGGGAGACCTGCAGAGGGGTGGATGGTGCGTACCGGCCTCACAGCCCGCGCCCAGCCCCTGCCATGGATGAGCTGGCCACGGGCAGCAGGACAGGCAGCATGATGTGCTCAGGCCGGACCCAGACAGCAGGGTTGAGTCCTGCTCTGGGTAACTGAACTCGTTTCCTAACCCCTCTGTGCCCCTTTCCTGTCTGCAAAATCAGGGCAATGGACATAGCTGCTCCCAGGGCCATGGTGGGAGGTGAGAGAGGTCTCATTGGTGGAAAAGGGGCCAGGCCCTGGAGCGTCCTCTGCCCTCAGGAGGGAAGCAGCTGTGTAGCCACGGCCCTTACTGCTCCAGTCAACACTGTCGCTCCCAGAAGTACCTGTGAGGATGTTTTCGGACATCACGTTGACCTGCACCTCCACAGAGTGCTTGGAGGTGTAGGTGATCTCCGCGCTGACATGCGCCACCTCACCGATGCACATGGGAGACAGGAAGTCGGTGCGCTCGACACGAGCCAGGGCGGCCACACAGCGCTCCTGTGGAGACAGAGGCAGTTGTCAGCCCAGGTCAGCCAGCCCAGCCCCGAGAGCCCCACCCAGGACATGCCCCCTGGAAACGGTCTTTGCCTTTGCTTTCATTCCCCACTGTGAAAGCAACCAATGTATCACCATTTATTGGCACCGCGGTTTTTTTTTTTTTTTTTTGAGATGGAGTCTCGCTCTGTCACCCAGGCTGGAGTGCAGTGGCAAGATCTCAGCTCACTGCAAGCTCAGCCTCCCGGGTTCACGACATTCTCCTGCCTCAGCCTCCCGAGTAGCTAGGACTACAGGCGCCCGCTGGGACTACAGCGGGCCTTCCGAGTAGCTGGGACTACAGCCACCACGCCCAGCTAATTTTTTGTTTTTTTGTTTTGTTTTGTTTTTTGTTTTTGAGATGGAGTCTCGCTCTGTCACCCAGGCTGGAGTGCAGTGGTGCGATCTCCCCTCACTGCAAGCGCCGCCTCCCAGATTCACGCCATTCTCCTGCCTCAGCCTCCCGAGTAGCTGGGACTACAGGCGCCCGCCACCATGCCCGGCTAATTTTTTTGTATTTTTAGTAGAGACGGGGTTTCTCCATGTTAGCCAGAATGGTCTCAATCTCCTGACCTCGTGATCCGCCCGCCTCGGCCTCCCAAAGTGCTGGGATTACAGGCATGAGCCACCGCGCCCGGCCTAGCACCGCGCATTCCTAAACACAAAAGCACAGGGATGTAGAGGAGCCCTGCAGAGTCCAGCCCAAAGCAACTGCTGCAGGCGATTCCCCAAGTGATGGGATCACCAGCTGCTTCTTCCTTTCTTCTGATTTTCTCACAATAGGCATGCATTATTTGCTTAATATAAAGTGAACAAATGCATACATACCCATTATGGAAAATTTGGGAAATACAGAAAAGTAGAAAGAAGGGGAACGTCACTCCTCCCATTCAAAGATAACCATGGTTACTATTTTGGGATCTGTCTTTCCAGGCTTTTTTCCCAAGAATCGGGGTGGGTTTTGTTGTCTCACTTGTTCGTCTGCCTGGCTCGTTTCACAGTTTTAGTCTAATATAGCTGTGCAAAAACTAAGTATACACCCTCACCTTCTGATTCTTTTTCATTCAACGTAGGAAAAATAATCTGCCTGTGTTGTGACACATTCTTTGCAATCACTATTCTTCTTTAGGCCGGGCGCGGTGGCTCATGACTATAATTCCAGAACTTTGGGAGGCCGAGGTGGGCGGATCACATGAGGCCAGGAGTTCGAGACCAGCCTGGCCAACATGGTGAAACTCCATCTCTACTAAAAATACAAAAGTTACCCGGGCGTGGCGGTGCACATCTGTAATCCCAGCTACTCAGGAGACTGAGGTATGAGAATCAGGTGAACTCGGGACGGGGAGGTTGCAGTGAGCTGAGATTGCGCCACTGCACTCCAGCCTGGGTGACAGAGCAAGACTCCATCTCAAAAACAACAACAACAACAAAACACTAAATACACTCTCACCTTGATTCTTTTTCATTCAGTATGGGAAAAATAATCTGCCCGTGTTGTGACATGGCTCTTTGCAATCACTATTCTTTTTTTTTTGAGATGGAGTCTCACTCTGTTGCCCAGACTGGAATGCAGTGGTGCAATCTCGGTTCACTGCAACCTCCGCCTCCAGGATTCAGGCAATTCTCCTGCCTCAGCCTCCTGAGTAGCTGGGATTACAGATGTGCACCACCACGCCTGGCTAATTTCTGTATTTTTAGTAAAGACGGGGTTTTACCATGTTGGCCTCAAACTCTTGACTTCAGATGATCCGCCTGCCTCATCCTCCCAAAGTGCTGGGATTACAGGCGTGAGCCACCGTGCCCGGCCCAACTATTCTTTTTAAAAATTTAAAAGTGGCCAGGTGTGGTGGCTCACGCCTGTAATCCCAGCACTTCGGGAGGCCAAGGCGGGTGGATCACACGGTCAGGAGATCGAGACCATCCTGGCTAACATGGTGAAACCCCGTCTCTACTAAAAATACAAAAAATTAGCCGGGTGTGGTGGTGGGTGCCTGTAGTCCCAGTTACTCGGGAGGCTGAGGCAGGAGAATGGCGTGAACCCGGGAGGCGGAGCTTGCAGTGAGCCAAGATCGCACCACTGCGCTCCAGCCTGGGCGACAGAGCGAGACTCCGTCTCAAAAAAAAAAATTTTTTTCAATGTTATTTATCCTTCAAATAGGCGACCCATTCTCATGATTCAAAATGTAAAAGGAACAAAAAAGCCTATGGTGCTGGGTCTACCTCTGGCCACCTCGTCTCCTGTCACACAGGACCCCTTGGCAGCTGGGTCCCATGTGTCAGATCGGACTCCGCATCTACAACCACATGGTGGGGCTCCCAGATGGTGGACATGGACAGGTGGTGCTGCACCCTGCTTTTCTCTCTTCATCTACCCTGGGGATCATCCTCTGTAGCTTTGGGTCTTAGTTCGTTGGGCTGCCAGAACAAAATGCCATAGCCTGGGCAGCTTAGACACAACAGAAATTTATTTCTCACAGTCCTGGAGGGGGGAAGTCTCCAGGGACTTGGGTCATTCCAAGATCAGGGACGGGCAGATTCCATGCCTGGTAAGGGCCGGCTTCCTGGTTCACAGACAGTGCTTCTCGTGTGTCCTCACGTGGTGGCCGGGGCAAATGAGCTCCCTCGGGACCCTTTCATGAAGACATTGATCTCATTCATGAAGCCCCACCCCCATACCCTCGTCACCTCCCAAAGGCCCCACCCCCTAATACCATCACCCTGGGGGTGAGAATTTCAACACATGAGAGACACGAACACTCAGACGGTGGCTGTGTCTGAAAGACTTCCTTATCCTTTCCAGTGACTTCCTTTTCATAGCACTCCAATGTAAAATTATTATCATTTATAGAGACAGGACCTTGCTGTGTTGCCCAGGCAGGAATGCAATGGCTATTCACAGGCACAATCATGCTCACTGCAGCCTCAAACTCCTCCTGGGCTCAAGCGATCCTCCAGCCTCAGCCTCCTGAGTAGCTGCGACTACAGGCACATGCAACCACACCTAACTTTTTTTTAGAAAATTACTTTCAATTGCTAGCCAGGTGGAATTGAACATTCTTCTTCTGTTAGAGATGTGGGGCACCCCCAGTTGATTCTCATTACAAACAATGCTGTGATGGGCACCCTTTCACTTAAACCGTTTTCTGCATTTGGGATTATTTTCTGGGCCCAAGGACAAATACTTTTATATATGGTCCTAAGTGTTTCTCGGAACAGCAGTGACTGGCCTGGCCTTTGCCACCTCACGGCATCCTGACCAACACTCAGAATTGACTTATTTCTCATCTTTGCTGAATAAATGACACAAAAGATGACCTTGTGTTTGAGCCATGGGGAATGTGAGTCTCCATTTCCCAGAGGACTGCCATGACTTTCTACTGCAACAATCACTTCCTTAGGACATTGACAGCATGACACTGAGGAGCCCTCAGGCTTCCCAGGGCGGGCAGGGAGCAGGTGAGGGAGGGGCCTGGGCCAGCTCCGACATCACTGGCCCAGGTGATCTTCACAGCACCCCGACAAGGGGTGCCACATTAGGCAAGCGTCCCAGAGCACACAGAGTATGTGGCAGTCACTTCAAGCCCTGGTGTGTGCGTCTGTGCTCTCCCACCTACCGCCTGCCGCCCCCAAAGCACCGACATGCAGCTCACCCACCTACATGAGGACTCACTGAGGTGGGGTTAACATGCAAGCTCCGGGGCCCACCCCAAACCCAGCACCTGCTTCTTTGGAGGTAGGCTGGGAGCCTCTGTCTGAGCCCTTTCCCAGGTGACTCTCCTGCACACAGGCGCAGGGACTCTGTGACTGCATCTGGGGCTGGGCAAGAAAAGTTCTAGAGCTGGCAAGGGTGGCCCGATGCTTCCCCATTCTGGTTTGCACGGGCTTGTCCCCCAGCAAACCCTGCCCTACTCACAACAGGTCACAGTAAAGCGATGCCTGGAACTGTCTCTTTCACCCCCAAGTCAATGTATGTGGCTATGGCGCCACCCATTGGCCAAAGGCTGTTAGGGCAGGGCTGCACAGAGCCAGGCAAGAATTAGGCACCGCCTCTGGGCAGGGCAATGCCCATCTTGGAAGGAGCCAAGCACTGTCTGCAAGACCTAAAAGTGGAATGAAGCCAAGTGTGTGTTGTTTGAGGGTGATTAAGTACATTACGGTATGCTATGCTGACACAGATCAAACAGACCTATGGGCGCATGCTTTTCCGGGGCAGAGGCCTTCCACCTCCCTGCTCTGCAGCTGGTTTCTGGCAGCATCTGTGGGGCCTCTCAGTGCTGGGTGTACAGAGGGGTGTGGGTCAGAGAAGCCTGGGTTCTAGCTGGGGGGACGGACGAGAAGTAAATGGGGCCACGCCACGATGGGGACAGCCCAACGATGTTAAGGCAGGGTGTGACTTCAGATGAGAGGCATCTGAGCTGAGGCCTAAAAGACCAGGTGTTAGGCAGGAGGAGGTAGGGGGAGCGTTGGTACCACAGGGAGAGGAAAGAGCAGCAGGAGTGGGGAGGTGGTGGGGAGCCACCAGAACACAGGGACGCAGTGGGAGACATGGACAAAGGTCCAAAGAGGCAGGCTGCCAGGCCTTGCAGGCCAGGATGTGAGGGGCAGGTCCAAGGGTCGCTCAGAGGAGGCACAAAAGCAGGTTCACTCAAAGAGTGACTTGAGGCAGGAGGAAGGCAGAGCGCACCTCTCTGTGCTGTCCCTCGGGACACCCCTCACACAGAACCATCCAGTAGCCTTCCCCACAGTGCCACGGGGACACCTGGTGATGGCTTCAAGCCTGTCCTTCATAGGGCAGAAGGCCACTGATGACCCTTGAGCTTGGTTCTCTCCCAGCTTAACATACTAAAGAAAAAAGTAGGGCCGGGCGCAGTGGCTCACGCCTGTAATCCCAGCACTTTAGGAGGCCGAGGCAGGTGGATCACAAGGTCAGGAGTTCGAGGCCAGCGTGGCCAACAGAGTGAAACCCTGTCTCTACTAAAAATACAAAAACTAGCCGGGTGTGGTGGCACATGCCTGTAGTCACAGCTACTCGGGAGGCTGAGGCAGGAGAATCACTTGAACCCAGGAGGCAGAGGTTGCAGTGAGCTGAGACCGCACCATTGCACCCCAGCCTGGGCGACAGAGCAAGACTCTGTCTCAAAAAAAAAAAAAAAAAAAAAAAAAAAGAAAAGAAGAAGAAAAGTAATGTCTCCCAGGCATCCACACAGGAGTCTTGCCACGGTCCCATTTCACTATCAGGAGACCCTGTGGGAGGATTTTGTTTTACTATCTGGCAGCCTGGGAGGCTGCAGAGGTGGCTCTGTGTGTCTGATGGGTACAGATGGCAGGAGCCGGGACCCAGGACGGCTCTGATTTGCTGGTGGGCGGCTGCTTCCCAGGAGCGGGCAGGGCTCTGGACCAGGCCCAGGGAGTCCCTGAAGGCCAGTGTGATCCAAAACTTCAATACATGGACTGACAAGTATTTGCGTTCCATGGGAAGATCTCCCAGCAGCCAGTGCCTCGGATGAGCCCCACACCTCCTGCTTCCAGGACTGCAGGAGCAGGAAAAGCCCCACCCTGCCCTGGGACAGAGACACGAGCTCCTGATCAGCACCTGCCCGGAAGTGCCCTCTGCCACGCTCTCAAAAGCAACTGGTATCACACGGCCCGTGAGGCACAGGCATCCCAGCAAACCACAGGCACTGGGTTCCTCATGGCCACAGGGCTTCCAGCCAGGACAGCAGCTGCAGAGGCAGAGCCTAAAAGAACAGCTCTGGGCCCTGGGTTCAAATCCTAGCTCTACTGCTTACTAGCTCTGTGACCTTGTGCAGCGACACAACCTCTCCACGTCTCAGTCTCTGTAAACACAGATAATAAATGGTCCCAACAGGCTGCTGCAGAGATTCGAGGGGATAACGAATGGGAAGAACTCGGTGCTTAGGAAACGCCCAGGAGAGGCAGGGATAGCTGTCTCTCTCTGACATGCGGGGATAAGGCAATTGACAAACGTCAAGTGCGTGGACCATGCCCGGCATCCAGTGAGGGCCCAGAGAGGGTGCGGTCTCATCACCATGCCCAGCCCCGGCCGTCTTCTGGCTGACGGCAGCTCTGAGGATGCAGCTGTCTGGAAAGCCACCTAACTGTTCTAGGCCTCAGTTTCCCCACTTGTAAAACAGGGTTAAGAACAGTGCCTGTCTCAGCAGGTGGCTGGGAAGACTACACAGGGAGAGGAAGGGTGAGCCCCAGCGTGGCCGCGGGCTCATCGTAAGCGCTTACTCGGTGGACGCTCTCCATGACGGTTGACGGTGCCAGGCCCGAGCTCCCAGCATTCATCAGATGATGCCTAAGCACGCTCTATGCTCAGTCTGGAGAAACCAAGGGCAGAAGTCCTGCCTGCCCTCGTGGGGCTACCACTCTGTACAAGCACAGCAGGTCAGGAGTGGAGCAGCAGCTGGAAGCAGAGAGGGAGCCAGGCCATCAGGGGCATGGCCGGACGCTGTGTTTTGTTTTTGTAGAAACAGGGTCTCACTCTGTCATCCAGGCTGGAGAGCAGTGATGTGATCTCAACTCACTGCAGCCTCAACCTTCCTGGGCTCAGGTGATCCTGCTGCCTCAGCCTCCCAAGAAGCTGAGACTACAGGCACAGGCCACCACACCTGGCTAATTTTTGTAGTTTTTGTAGAGACAAAGTTTCATCATGTTGCCCAGGCTGGCCTCAAACTCCTGAGCTCAAGTGACCTGTCCATCTTAGCTTCCCAAAGTGCTGGGATTCCAACATTTTTATGTAGAGCCTAGAAGAGGAGAGGGCAGGGCCCTGTGGATATCTGGGGAAAGCCAGTGCAAAGGCCCAAGGCAGGAATGCACCCAGCAAGTCCGAGAAGAAGCAGAAAAGCCAATGTGGCCAGAGGGAGAGTTGAGAAAGAGATGTAGGAGGTGAGGTCCCCGAGCCGCGCTAGGCAGAGACAGGGACTCGTGCGGACGTGCCTTTGGCTTTGGGCGAAACAGGAGATCTGGAGGGCTCTGAGCAGGCAGCACTGTGCCCTGACTCCACATCTCCCTGGCTACTGCTGGAGAACAAACCAGGCAGCAGGGACCAGCAGGGTGACCTGCCAGGAGGCTGCTGCAGTGATCAGGTGATCGGGTGATCGGAAGAGCAGCACCATTGGACCCAAAGTGGGGGTGGGCCTGGGGGTTGTGCTCAGATCTGGACTTCCTGGAAGGTAGAGCAGTGGGATCTGCTCCCAGAGCCTCATGAGTTTGGGAGGGAGAGAGGCTGACAGAGGCTCCAGGCTTTGAGCCTGAGCACCGGGGTGCTGCAGAGACCATTTACTGAGGGGAGGGAGGCTGGGAGAAGCAAGCCTGGGGCAAGGACAGGAGTGTCGTTTTTTTGCACATCAAGGCCAAGCAGGCCAAGTAGGCATCCAGATGGGCTGGCCAAGAGGCCCCAGCCAGAGACAGAACCTTGGGACTTCCAGCCACAGACTGGAAGGCACCACCAGGGGAGTGTGGATGCGGGGGTCCCCTGCCCCACCTAGGGCCCCAGCAAAGCCCTTCTAGGCACTGGGACTGTTCTCACCCCCACGCCCTGGGGCTGCCTGGAACTCAGAGACCCCCTCCTAAGCCTAGAATTTCTGGATCACCATCCTGGGGACCAGCCTCCCAGAGGCTTCTCCAAGCCAATGTGTCAAAACTGTCCCTCCAGCAGCCCCAGATCCGGAGAAGGAGCAAGGAGGGGCAAGTGTTCAAAGCACAGGTTCGAGGTATAGTCACAGCCCAGACCTACCATCTGCCTCCCCAGGTGGCCTCAAGCAAGTGTTCAATCTCTCTGTACCTCAGTTTCCTTATCTATGCAACTGGGATAATAAAAATAACAACAGCAGCTGGGCGCAGTGGCTCACGCCTGTAATCCCAGCACTTTGTGAGGCCGACGTGGGCAGATCACTTGAAGTCAGGAGTTCGAGATCAGCCTGGCCAACACGGTGAAACCCCATCTCTACTAAAAATACAAAAAAATTAGCCAGGTGTGGTTGTACACACCTGTAATCCCAGCTGCTCGGGAAGCTGAGGCAGGAGAATCGCTTGAACCTGGGAGGCAGACATTGCAGTGAGCCGGGATCGCACCATTGTACTCTAGCCTGGGTGACAGAGTGAGACTCTGTCTCAGAAAAAAAAAAACAAGACAAGAACAGCTGCCTCTCCGGGGTGTTGTGAGGATTCCATGAGCTAAACTTTAGCTCCTGAAGCATTCTGGAGCTTTGCAGAATGTCAAGTGCTGACCAAATGGCAGCAAAATAATTCCACGATTCTGAGTGACAGCATCACCCTCTGGCCTCCCAAGCCCCTCCTTCATCTTTCCTCCCCATCTTGGGGACTTTTCCTTCCCTGTGTCCATGCTCTCCTGCCAGGGACCCTCACTGTCTCTCTCTGGAAGGGTGCAACAGGAACTTGGGACTTGGCCCTCACCCCTGCCCCAGGCTCTCAGGCTCAGGCCCACCCTCCCCACAGCCACCAGAGGGTGCTCTCTGAACGTGACTGAGCTGCACCGGAGCCTCGGGTCCAAAGAATCAATCTACCCCCAGCCCAGCCAGCGAGCCCCTCCTAAACCAGGCACTGCCAGCAAACCCACTCCTGAACCTGTACCACACGACATCCCCCACATCCACGTCCAACCATCCGCACTTACTGTGGCTTGGTTCATTCTACATATGCACACACACATGCATACGCAGATACACACACACACACACGCACACACACACAGCTTCCACTCCTCCACTGAAACACACCCTACCCACTGTTCCAGGCTGAATGCATGTGCCATGCTCTGCATGGCTGTCCCCACCTCCCAAAATCCCTGTGTTGAAATCCTAACCCCCAAGGGAATGGTAGTAGAAGGCAGGGTCTTTGGGAGGTGATGAGAGAATGGGGACAGAGCCCTCACAAATGGGATTAGTGTCCTTATAAAAGGGCCTGAGAGAGCCACTCCTACCAAGCGAGGACACACAGGAAGTGATGTGACATCTATGAACCAGGAAACAAATGGGCCCTCAACAGACACGAAATCTGCCGGCGCCCTGATCCTGGACTTCCAGCCTCCAGGACTGTGAGAAATGCATTTCCATTGTTCACAAGCCAGCAGGCTGTGGTCTTAGTTCCGGCAGCCCAGGCTGACAGAGCCAGCAGCCACTTCCTGCATCTCAACAGTGTGGCTCAGAGCTCACAGTGCCTCCGCTGGTCCCTGGTCTCTGACGTGGCTTCCACTTGGCCTCTTGATAGAGTGGCATTATGCCCGTGCCCATGGTGGGGACCTGCACCTCACACTCCCACTCTCCAAGCTGGGGCTGAGTCTTCCTCTTCTCTGCCTCCCTGGAGGCCACAGAAGGTGTGCTGACCGAGCCCCATAGTGCAGAGGCTGCAGCTGCGGCACCAAGGCAGACGCCCTGTCCTCAGCACCCAAGGGCTGGCTTCCCCCCAACAGCCGCCCTTCAGAGAAAATGTCCCCTCCCCAGGGCTGGGGATGGCTGAATGTCCTACAGCAGCCCTGAGGTTGACACTAGACACCGTGCCCCTTGTCCCCAGCTTTAGGGTCACAGGGCCCTCCCGAGCTACACAATTTTGGGGCAGGTGGAGAGCTGCTCCCATTGTGGGCACAGTGGTACCAGGCCTGTGAGCTTCAAAGCCAGGAAGTGGCCAAGTCACAGAGAGCCACGGCACTTGCTATGGTGCCATGGCCACCAGGGTTGGTCAGGGCAGAGGTGGGACCTCTCCTACATCTGCTGTCTGGCCTCTTATGTCTCAGCTGTTGGCCATCACAATAAACTCCACCCCACGGAGGCGGGGCATGCTTCTGATCAGGGCCAGGTTGGCGGGGGACTCGGCATGGCGGGGAGTGGTGGAGGGAGGGCCTGTCAGCTTGCTTGACGCTTCATCTCTGGTGGGTTCCTACACCTCCTGGCTGAGGCCAAAACCAAGCATAGCTCTGAGGGTCCGGTGCAGAAATACTTGGGCCACTTCTCCCACAGTTCCCAAGGCCCAGTGCACAAGGGGAGGGAAGGCTGCAGGCCTGGCTCCCCGGGGAACTCCTGTCCTGAACTCACACTGGTGCGGCCTCCAGGGCCCAGAGGTATGGGGCCCAGACCCTTACCCCGTTCTGGCTGTTGCAATGCCGGGTGCTGATGATGGCGCCTGCCTCCTCGATCATCTTCAGGATGGTCCCCCCGTGGACATTGCCGGCCACGTTGGCATCATCTGGCCGCATGATCCTAGGGCAGAGGAGAAGCAGGATGAGGCCTCTGGAGAGGATGCCATTTGTGCAACAGTGACAATCCAAGGAGGGGAGAAGGTCCCCAAAGGGCTCAATGGCTCCCGGAGGAAAGAGAACCTTCCCAATGTTTGGGCTCTTCCTAGGTGGTGTGTTCGTCAGGGTGGGGTGCCACCTGCTAGGCCACGGAAGGGGCCCTGAGATGCTGTTTCCATGAGAGAGAAGGAGGGCAGAGGGGCACTTTCTCCCCCTGAAGCCACATGTCCCTGGACTGCCCTGGCAGGGAAGGGCTGATGGTGAAGACCTTTAAGCAAAGCCACAGGGCAGGGAGGTGGTGATCAGCCCTTGGGGTTCCCAGTGACCAACACACAGACTGTGACCCTAGGAGCAAATTCCCGGGACCACCACCACCCCCGTCAGGAGTCCCAGAGAAGCCAGGTAGCCACGGCTGTTCTGAGAACTAAACATGAGTCGCAGCTTCAAGACCCCAGGCCCTGTCAGCAGGTGAGCGCCTGCCCACTGCGCGCTAAGCTCCTCTGTGGGTCCCGGGGGCAGTGTGGAATCAGGCCCTGGATTGAAGGCAAGGAGCCTCCCAGGTCAGAAGGAATGGAAACGCCACCTCACTTCCCCAAAGAGGAACAACTTCATCCTTGCCGTGAGCAGCCGGTAGTGTGGGAGCTCCACGAAATCTCTGGAATCCCAACAAGCCAGCTTGGCAGTCCTGCCAGGGCAAGTTGCCTGGCACCTTCCCAGACAGCACCCAGCTGATGAAAGCCGCCTTCACAGGCCGAGGCCTGGAGACGAGTGACAGGCAGCGGGCACAGGTCCAGGGTCCAGCATCCACCTGCAGCTTGTGTAGCCTGCCCAGCCTTGCTGGACAGTGTGGGGGCCCCAGGAGCAGCGTCTCCCCAGGTCTGCATCTCCTCTCTGCTTCTCTAGCAGCTCCAAGGCTGAGCAAGTCACTCTCCAAGAGCGTTCCTGGCTCTGGCTCTTACTTGCTAGGTAACCTGGGCAAGCTGTCAGAACCCTCAATCCTCCATGTGCTCATCTGTACAATGGGTAGAATGACAACACTGCCTCGCCTAACTGGGAGATCACGCAGATCGCACACTCACTCCACAACAGCGCTGGCAGACACATGGTACACAGTAGATAGTCCACACGTTAACTAGGAGAATTTTTCCCTTTTTGGTAAGTATTTAGCCAACTTGGTTGGAAGCTCCAAGAAACCCACCATCTGGCCACAGGATGCCACTTCTAGAGCAAATGACCACAGATGTCCCCCAGCAACCCATAGCTGCCCATCCCCAGTGTCACCCCTCCACCCTGGGTGAGAGTCTATTATGCAAACCAGGGCCCACTTAGGCCAACTGGCTTCTGGCTCTGAGGTCAGGCAGGGCCCAAGGTTCCGTGGGAGGCTCAGGGACAGTTGCCTGTGGAGCGGCCGGCACGGCGTGACACAGTGGCCGGGGGATCCCCAGAGCACACAAGAAACCTCATTTGGCTTCTCAAGTGTTCATTTTAAAATACCTTTGTTTTTAAAAATTGAACTTACTCTATGAAAGGTTTTTGGGCTTTTTTTGTCTGAGTTATGAGGTAGCCAATTATAAGTCACAAAATGATTCTATCAGCCTCTTCCCTTTGTTTTCCACTTAGTAGGAAGGGCCTTCCCCGCACCAGCTGCAGCGGGCAGAGGGTCACTTTCCACACAGGCCTGTCCTGGGGGCACTAGCCAAGGCTGTGGGTGGGTGCGGAGAGCAGGGCCCAGCTCCTGGTTCTAGAGCAGTGAGGAAACATCAGCCCAGCATTTCCCAGGAGCAGCAGAGCCAGCCTCCAGAGCAGCCTGAATGACTGCTGCAGGCCTCACTTTGCCTGTCTGTGAAGTGGAGCCACACACAGCAGGCTGGCCCCCAGGAATGACACAAGGCCAGGGAGAGAAGACGCGGGCCAAGGGCTGCAGAGCAGCGGAGGAAGTGCTTTCATGCGGTGGGCACTGAAGACAGGACAGATATGTGGGTAGCCTTTAAGACAGAAGACCAGGGACAGTGCCTGAGGCCCCGAGGAAGAGCCTGGAGCCACCTGGCAACAAAGTGAGGACTCGGCACTTGGCGCTGTGCCATCAGGAGTACATGCCAGGAACTGCAGACCGCACGCCAGCTGGCTACCACGGGCCTGGCCGCCTTTCTTCGGCACCTTGGGTCCTGCACCAAGGACCATCCTAACTCCCCAACTGACCACCCAGGAAGCCAGCCCCTGCCCTCAAGGTCAGACACAACCCTCTCCCCTACAGGACCTGACTCCTGCCTGGGGACTGTGCTGTCACCTCCAATGCACAAGGCTCAAAGCCCAACTCACTTACCCCTTCTCCCTTTCCCCAAATCAGACACCTTCCCTCCAAGCCAGGGCAGCCAGTGAGTCCCAGCCTCAGCTGGGATTCCTTCCCATCCTGCATACCACCACCAGCTGCTCCACACCTGGCCCCTCCCTCTTCCCCTCCCCACCTCCCTCATTCCTTCCAAACAGCTCAGGAACCGCTGGATCCAGCCAGCCTCCAGGACCCATAAACAGCTCTGTCACTCTCTCAGGCCCCGCCCCATGGCCTGGCCAAGGCCAACCGTGTCCATCCCAGGACAGGGTCATGACTGCCTCTGTCTAAAGGCAGGCAGGGGTGAGAGCCAGGGAGCCAGGGAAGCTGCTGCGTCTCACTGGAGACTTCGTTTTCCCATTTCTTTTTTTTTTTTTTTGAGACGGCGTCTCGCTCTGTCTCCCAGGCTGGAGTGCAGTGGCACGATCTTGGCTCACCGCAAGCTCCGCCTCCTGGGTTCTCCTGCCTCAGCCTCCCGAGTAGCTGGCACTACAGGCGCCCGCCACCACGCCCGGCTAATTTTTTGCATTTTTTAGTAGAGAAGGGGTTTCACCGTATTAGCCAGGATGGTCTTGATCTCCTGACCTCGTTCGTGATCCCATTTCTAATAAAGACACGGGTACCGAAAGCACTTCATGTTCCTCTTTACTATTTTGTTTGTTTTTTGAGACAGCGTCTCATTCTGTCACCCAGGCTGGAGTACAGTGGCATGATCTTGGCTCACTGCAAACTCCGTCTCCTGGGTTCAAGCGATTCCCCTGCCTCAGCCTTCCGAGTAAGTGGGATTACAAGCATGCACCACCACGCCTGGCTAAATTTTGTATTTTTACTAGAGACAGGGTTTTGCCATGTTGCCCAGGCTGTCTCAAATTCCTGACCTCAGGTGATCCTAAAGTGCTGGGATTACAGGTGTGAGCCACCGCACCCGGCCCCTCTTTACTATTAAAAAACTGAAATACAGGCTGGGCGCAGTGGCTACTAGGGAGGCTGAGGTAGGAGGATCACTTGAGCCTGGGAAGAGTACGTTGCAGTGAGCCACAATTGCACCACTGCACTCAAGCCTGGGCAACAGAGTGAGATGCTGTCTCAAAAGAAAAAAAAAATTGAAATATATTTGGCTGCTGGGCGCGGTGGCTCACACCTGTAATCCCAGCACTTACAGAGGCCGAGGCGGGGGCGGATCACTTGAGGTCAGGAATTCAGGACTTGCCTGGCCAAAATGGCAAAACCCCATCTCTACTAAAAATACAAAAATTAGCGGGGCGTGGTGGTACACACCTGCAATCCTAGCTAGTCAGGAGGCTGAGGCAGGAGAATTGCTCGAACCTGAAAGGCAGAGGTTGCAGTGGGCTGAGATCATGCCACTGCACTCCAGCCTGGGTGACAGAGTGAGACTTCGTCTCAAAAGAAAAAAGAAAAGAAAGAAATACATTTGTCTATCTCTAGGATTCCTGGGGTTAAAAATTATCTAAAAATAAAGAAAGACACAGGCCAGCTCGGGCAACGGCACAGGCCTGGCCCAGTTCTGGAGGACTGTTTACTGCTGAGTCTGACATGTTATTCCTCCCCCAGCCCCCAACACGCTAATCCTGCACTTCTTCCCCCTCCTCTGACCCCAGAAACTTCAAGGAAAGAAAGCAAGCTGCCCAGGGTGGGGCCTTTCCTACGTGGCTGCCTTCTTTCTCTGGGCCTGGCCCCAAACATCCCCCGCTCTATCTTCTGCCTGCCGGGTCCTGGCAGCCAGTGACCCGGGCTGACTGCAGGTCTGGAATGTCACCCGGGCCCACAGCCCCACCCTTTTTCTGTTCCAGCTGCTCCTGTCCCAGATCAGAACCATGTCTGTCCAGTCCTTGTAGCATGAGTGGCAGGTGCTGGGGCCCAAGGCTAATGGACGCAGATGCTGCCAACCCACTCTCAGCCACCCCACTCCCGGCCGGTGTCCCCTCTGGAGGTGGCATCCAGCTGATGACAAGGGCTCTGAGGAAGCTGAGCACACATGGGTCAAGGAGCCACTCCCAGAAGGGCGCCACCCCACCTAATCTCTGGGAAAGCTTCCCAGAGGAAGTGACACCTTGGCCAAGTCCTGAAGGGTGAGCCAGGAGCAGAGGTCCGAGAAGGCTACGAGGAGAGGGAATGTTCGGGGCCCAAGGCCAGGAGTGCCCAGCGAGCTCCAGAAACAGAAAGCAACCCCACAAAGCTGGCGCATGGCCCAAAAGGGGGTGAAGAAGCGATGTCCTGAGACAGGGACGCAGCTGTCATGCAGGGCCTCAGGGCTGAGACAAAGTCTGGATCCATCCTGAAAGGAGGGGAGGCTGGGGAGGCTGAAGTCCAGGAACCACACAATCAGACACTGTTTGGGGAGGTCACCTCCCATGGCCTCTGCACTGGCCTCTCACTCCCCATGGCCTCTGCACTGGCCTCTCACCCCCCGTGGCCGCTGCACTGGCCTCTAGCCCCCCCATGGCCTCTACACTGGCCTCTAGCCCCCCCATGGCCTCTACACTGGCCTCTAGCCCCCCCATGGCCTCTACACTGGCCTCTAGCCCCCCCATGGCCTCTACACTGGCCTCTAGCCCTCCCATGGCCTCTACACTGGCCTCTTGTTCCCCCCATGGCCTCTGCACTGCCCCTCACCCCCCATGGCCTCTGCACTTGCCTCTTGCCTTGGCTGAGATCCTAACTGGCCCCGACTGCACAGCCCCAGGACCAAGTCACTCCCTTATCCATACCTTCCAGGGCCTTTCCCATCTACAGAATAAAGACTCAATCTCCTAGTAAGGCATCTGGAGCTCTCAGGGATTGGGAACTTTTCCGCCTCAACTCTCACTGCCCTGCGGGGCTCCGACCTGCACCTGCCAGAGCACTGCTGCTTAGCAGGCACGCCTGGCCCTTCCCACCGTTCTACCTGTCCCAGCAACGCCTGACCCACCCTTTGTGAAGGACAGGGAACCATTCACAAATAGGGGAGTGTAAGCGAATACCCACTCACAGAGGGCACCCGGCACCACCCACCCAAACCCCAGATGCACAGGGACACCCTGACCCAGGATTCCACTCGCAGAAATTTACCCCACAGCTGTTTCCACACACGGTTAAACGAAGCACTGCAAGGGTACTCACTGCACAGCCGTGTATAACGCAGGACATGGGCCAGCGCCGAGATGTCCACATAAGGACATAAAAGCAACAGCCACACATTGGAATATTGCTCAGCCTTGCACGAGGAGGAGGAACCTTCTCAGAGACCAGCTGTCAGGTGAAAAACAGCAAGGCACAGAGCCATGGGAGCAAGGTGACCACCTGGGGCGCAGGGACGACCATTCCAGGAAGGAGGTGTGACAAACCAGAGGCCTCCATGGCCCCCAGAGGAAGAAACTAGCTACTGGGCAGGGACCTCGGTGAGATGCCTGTGTCTTTTGGATGCCTTTAAACCATCTCAACCCTTTCAAATTAATAAGTGTTCTTTGAAAACGCTTCAAGGCACAGCTCAAAACTCAGATCTCATCACACCAGAGGCCGGCCAGCACTCATCCCAAGAGCGCCTACAGCAGCGGCCCTGGGGTCCAGCCCACATCCTCGCAGGACAGCCCGAGCCTGTTCCGCAGCGGGAGTGAGGCGCCTGGAACAATTGAGGGGAGCCTGGCAGGGAGGGGAGCCGCTCCTGCCCCCTGGCCTCACCTTGAGGGCTGGCCATGCCTCCTGTGCCCTGGGGTCCTCTCAAGGTGGAGTCCCACCTAAGCCACATGGAGCCTGAGTACTGGGTTGAATTGTGTCCCCCAAAAGATGTGTTTGAGAACGAACCCCCAGAAACTATGAATGTCACCTTACTTGAAAAGAGTTCTTTGCATCCAGATACAATCAAGATGAGGTCGCCGTGCCTTAGGAAGGGCCCTAACCCAATGACTGGTGTCCTTATAGGAACAGGGAAGTCTCGACATGAGACACAGGAGGTCCAGGTGAAGATGAAGGCAGAGACGGGAGCAGCCTCCCGTCAAACCTTCGGGAGCATGGCCCTGCCCACCGCTGGTCTCCAGCCTGAGGAAACTGCTTCCGGTTGTCACCTGCCACCTGGTTTGTGGCCATGCCCGGAGGTCTCTGATGCTCCCAAAGAAAGCAGCACTGAGTGGCACAGGGGAGCCCCGAGGCAGCAGCGGCAGCACCCTCAGCACCCTCAGCCCTGCCCAGCACCCTCAGCCCAGCTCAGCACCCTCAGCCCCGCTCAGCACCCTCAGCCCAGCTCAGCACCTGCCACCCACACCTGGCCAGCCCTGGACAGGCCCCTGTGCGGTGACCTTGGCAGCAGCCCTGCAGGGCACTGAACCCTGCCTGCCCCTTCCACAGCCCAGCACACGACCAGCTGGGAGTGTCACCAGTGTCTCTGACTCTGACACAAAAATGTCAGTGCTGGCCAAGCGCAGTGGCTCACACCTGTAATCCCAGCACTTTGGGAGGCCGAGGCGGGCGGATCATGAGGTCAGGAGTTTGAGACCAGGCTGGCCAACATGGTGAAACCCCGTCTCTATTAAAAATAGAAAAAAAATAGCTGGGCGTGGTGGCAGGCTCCTATAATCCCAGCTACTTGGGAGGCTGAGGCAGGAGAATTGTTTGAACCCAGGAGGCGGAGGTTGCAGTGAGCCAAGATCATGCCATTGCACTCCAGCCTGGGCCACAGGGTGAGACTGTGTCTCAAAAAAAAAAAAAAGGACGACGACGACTACACTTTTGTGGCTGGACGCAGTGGCTCACGCCTGTAATCCCAGCACTTTAGGAGCTGAGGCAGGTGGATCACCTGAGGTCAGGAGTTTGAGACCAACCTGACCAACATGGAGAAACCCTGTCTCTACTAAAAATACAAAATTAGCCAACCATGGTGGCACATGCCTGTAATCCCAGCTACCTGGGAGGCTGAGGCAGGAGAATCGCTTAAACCCAAGAAGCGAAGTTTGTGGTGAGCCAAGATCGCGCCATTGCACTCCAGCCTGGGCAACAAGAGCGAAACTCCGCCTCAAAAAAAAAAAAAGTCAGTGCTAAAATGAAAACATTACTACGTGAAACCCAGGGTAACCAGGGGTAGGTGAGCCTTGCTTCCTTTACTCCATGGTGGAAGCTAAAGTGCCCACCTGAAGGTGCACAGCCAGGTAAGGGTCTGGGGTATAGGCAGGTCAGGCCCACACGGGGCCTGCAGGGCAGGCGGCTCATTACTGCCCCCTTCTGACAAAGGCCTCAAACCAGAGGTCAAGCACCAGGTGCGTGTGCTCCACCCTCACCTCAGCTGGAAAGCTGGGTGGGACAGAGGTGTCTGGGCAGACTGTCCCCAGTCATAGGGCTGCAGATGCCACTCATGGCTGGGGGCCACCACCTGGGGCCTGCAGACACTCGGAGCTTCCTTCAGGAGCTCAGCAGAGGCTGCCTTGGCCAGGAGTAGACAAGGGACAGGGGTTGCCCTTCCCGGAAGGAAAGGAGAAGCGGGTCTCCTTATGGCATGGGGGGCGGGGGCCTCACACCAGGCAGCCTTGAGGGACAAAACAGGCACGTGGATGGGTGTGGGGCCTCAAAGTCCAGGCACAAGCACACATAAATGCCTCCTCTTTCCATGGGGGACTCTGCCAAACAGAAGCTCAAGCAGCCCTGCTTCTCCTCTTTTTTTTTTTTTTGAGAGGGAGTCTCGCTCTGTCACCCAGGCTGGAATGCAGTGGCGTGATCTTGGCTCTCTGCAACCTCCACCTCCCGGGTTCAAGTGATTCTCCTACCTCAGCCTCCCAAGTAGCTGGGATTACAGGTGCGTGCCACCATGCCTGGCTAATTTTTGTATTTTTTAGTAGAGACGGGGGTTTCACCATGTTGGCCAGGCTGGTCTCAAACTCCTGACCTCAGTTGATCCACCTGCCTCGGCCTCCCAAAGTGCTGAGATTACAGGCGTGAGTCACAGAGTCTGGCCCCTGCTTCTCCTCTTTGACTTGCTGCCTAAGGCAGTTCCGGCGAAGTCCCTTCAACCCACAGACACGCCACTGCATCTCCAGAAGAGGGAAGGGTGGGAGGAAGGGCTGTGCCAAGGAAAGTTCCAGCAGCACTTGCAGGCCCCCAAGCAGGACGGGGGAAGAGGCCAACAATGGCCCTGAGCTCCCAGCCTCCATTTTGGCCAGGGGCAGGGGACTGACCCAGGAGGCTCCTTGTGCAGCCCACAGACCCCCCCTCCACCGCAGGTAGGAAGCTCAGCAGCGCTGGGAAACCGCAGTGAACCCAGCCCAGCTGAAGGGAGCAGAGGGAAGCCACAGGAGCAAGGCTGGAAAGAAAACCAGGTGCCTTCCTCCCTGGGGACTAGAGCAGGCAGGGGAGTGCCCTGGTCCGTCAGGGGACCCCAGCTCACGCAGGCCTGCACTTCCTATCCCAGCTTCGGCTGACCACCTAATCTTGGGGGTCAGTAAGAGCCAGGCCAGGTGGGTGCCCTACTGCCCTTCCTGGCTGCATGACACCAGCCAGCCTGCTGGGCACAGGGGCCGAGTCCCCTCTACCCACCCTTCCCTTCCAAATGTCCCTAAACAATCCACCCACAGTGGCCCCTGCACGGCCTAGACATGCCCATGACTGGCAGTACCTGCTCAGCTGGAAAGCCATGGTGGCTAGGACATCCCAGGATCAGATGCAGAGAAAGGCGAGGGAGCAGGGAAGCATCACAGAGTCCTTGCCTGACCCAGGACTGTCCCAGCTCCCTGCCACACCGGGCTTGGTGGGGAGCACCCCCCACCCCCAGCTTCCTGAGCTGCCCAATCTGGCCAGGAAGAGGCTGCCTCGCCAATCCAGAGCGTCTACCAGAAACCGGTCGTCATGGAAACCTTGCTTTATAAATAATTACAGAAGAAGTAATTCTGTGAGCTCTTCTGGCTGCCATGCCAGGAGATCAGGAAGGCAGAGGGGCCGCTGCTGAGCGGCCTCAGGGAAGCGGCTATGAGGCTCTGCCTTCTCTGACAGGGCACAAGACCCCCTAGTCTTTCTCCAGGGTCTCAGCCAAAGCCAGGTCTGGCCCCACTGCCGCCTTCTAGAGCTCCCTGAAATGTAGACAGGGGAGGAAGGTCACAGGCCAGCAAGGACTCCAGCAGGTCCAAGCCTGCATCCTGCTGATGGAGCTGGCATCTAAAGCCTGTCCCAAGGGCCAGCTCCCTGGCTGAAGCAAAGTGGACAGGCGGTCCAGCCTCCCCTCTCCTCAGGCCACACCCCTGTCCTTCCCCACTCCCCCTCTTCCTTCCCCCAACCCCTGCTTCAGAGGATGCCATGCCTGTCTTGGGGCTCAGCAACTCCACTACCCTTCCTCCACTCCCGCGGGCTCTTAGGCTGCCGGCTGCCACCTGTGGGCCCTGTGCCCCCCAACCCGTACTCTCTTCACTCCGCCTCCCCTTCTACTGGGTGTCAGGAAGAAAGAAAGAGGCCAAACAATCACAGCGGCCAGGGTGCAGGCTACAGGAGGCCCAGTGCAGGAGGCGGGATGTGTTATCACCACAACCTCCCCCAATGCTGCCCCCACCAGGGCTGCTTTCCCAGGAATCCTGTGACCAGCAAGGGAAATGGAAAGTCCCCAGCCAGAGTGCAGGCCGCACAGCCTCAACCAGGCTGCACCCGCCGGCCTCTGGGCAAGTTTCACATGTTTAGTTGTGAAAGAGAAAGTTAGGGCAGAGAGGGCTGATTAGGCCACTCCCACTGGAACAGCCGGCCCTTATCAAGGCCCTTATCAAACTGCCAGAGCCTGGGCTTATTCTATCTAACCAGCTGGCAGGCACTGAGCCTGGGAAGTCACTCTGGTAAAAGTTAAATAGGTAAATTATTACTAAAAGGATGTCCTTTCACCTATGTGCAAAAATAACAAGTCCTAAAAGGACAAGTCCTCTCACCTATGTGCAAAAAGAAAGAAAAAGTCATTTTCAGCTTACAAACCCCACACGCACTGGGTCCCACAGGGAGGCTGGTGCTGCCCCCGCCCAGGGATGCTTAATGTCTAGAAGCCAGCAGAGGAGAGGATTCTAAAGGGATCCCACCGACCCAAAATGTCTGCCCGGAGGGGAGGTCAGAGGGCTGAGTCTGGCCCAAGCCTGGCAGCTAACCCTGGCTGAAAATGCCCCCTGAGCCCTCCCCACCCAGGCAGCCTGCCGGGGCCCAGGCCCGGGCCATCAGCCTCCTCAGCCCCCTGGCTGCCCATCTCGGCCCATCTTCCTGAGTAGCCGGCATCCCAGGGCCAGGGTCTTGAAGCCACAGCGTCTCCCACCCTGGCACACAGGACAGGTCCTCCCAAACACACTTCCCTCCCCTGACCCCAAATAGCCCATAGTTCCTCTCAGCTCCCAACTCACTGTTTGGCCTTCTCCCCAAAACAGGCCCTGTCGACTTCCTTTCTGAGGACGTTTAGTGACAAGCTTCTCCGAAGCAGGAGCATCGTCTCCCCACGTCTCCTGTCGGCTCCCTCCAGAAGCTGCAGCCAAATGGAACTCAAGGAATGAGCCTGGGCCCCAATACTGTGCCCTTTGGACTTGGCCTCATCCCTCCAGGCGGGCATTGCTGCCTCCCTAAGCAACCCTTCCAGCTGGTCCCAGTCCAGGTGTGCTAGGCCCACCACCCACCCCAAATCAGTGAGGACCTACCAGGCTTCCACAGCAACACAGATTCAAGCCACAACCAGATGGTCCCGCAAAGAGGAAGCACTTCTCAGATAGCTTAGCCTTATGAGTAAATAATCTCAAAGTTAAACAACTACAAGGTGCTATTTCCCATCTAGTAAATTAAAAATCATTTTAATTGACAAAACGAGATGTCTAGAAATGTTCATAGCAGCATTATTCACAACCACCCAAGGATGGAAACAACCCGGTGTCCACCACGGATGGGTAGGTAAACAAAATACGATAAATCCATACAATGAGATATTATCTGACCATAAAAAATGAAGACCTACAGATCCACAGTAATGCACGGACCAGCCTTGAAACCACCCTGGGTGAAAGAAGTCAATCACAAAAGGTCACACGCCATCTGATTCCATGTATATTAAATGTCCACAACAGGCAGATCTACAGAAACAGAAAGTCAGCTGGTGGGGGGCAGGGGCTGGAGGAGGGGAAATGGGAGTGACTGCTAATGCGTGCAGGTTAATTCCGGGGGTGATGAAAATGTTCTGGAATTAAATCGTGCTGGTGGCTGCACAGCCTTGTGAATCCATTAAGGTTCACGCAGAATTGTACAATCAAAAAGGGTAGACTCAATAGAGTTATAGCTCAGGAAAGCTGTTATAAACTACAAACAAGGCAGGGTGGAGTAGTTCACGCCTGTAATCCCAGCCCCTTGGGAGGCCGAGGCAGGCGGATCATCTGAGGTGAGGAGTTTTGACACCAGCCTGGCCAACACGGTGGAACCCCACCACTAGTGAAAAGAAAGTTAACCAGGCATGGTGGTGTGCTCCTGCAATCCCAGCTACCAGGGAAGGTGAGGCAGGAGAATCACCTGAACCCAGGAGGCGGAGGTTGCAGTGAGCCAAGATCACGTCACTGCGTTACTGCATTCCAGCCTGGGCAACAGAGCGGGACTCTGTAAAAATAAATAAATAAATAAACTACTAACAACTGGATGCCAGAAGCTGTGGCCCCTCCCTACATAAGCACTGGCCATGTGGGTGACACATGGCAGGAGCCCTCGAAACGCTCTTACCTTTGCCACAGAAAGGCACTCCCAAAATCTAAAGAAAAACACACACAGCTTGGCAGAGATCTGCAGATGTGGCATCCATCTCTAACCCAAAACAAAGTAGAACTGGCTCAGTAGGCTGTGAGCATCCCTAAAAACATGCTCGAGGTTGTGTCTGGTTTCTACTTTTCTGGGGAAAAGACCCAGTTTTCTGCAGCTTTCAAAGGCATCTGGAAGCTAAAAAGTCAAGAGGTGGGCTGGGCATGGTGGCTCACGCCTGTAATCCCAGCACTTTGGGAGGCCAAGGCGGGCGGATCACCTGAGGTCAGGAGTCTGAGACCAGCCTGGCCAACATGGCAAAACTCTGTCTCTACTAAAACTACAAAAATTAGCCGGGCATGGTGGTGGGCGCCTGTAATGCCAGCTACTTGGGAGGCTAAGGCAAGAGAATCGCTTGAACCCAGGAGGCAGAGGTTGCAGTGGGCCAAGATTGTGCCATTGCACTCCAGCCTGTGTGACAGAGTGAAACTCCGTCTCAAAAAAAAAAAAGAAAAAAAAAAGTCAAGAGATGGCAGCACCTCTTCCCCCATCCCTCCCATACCTACCCAGGCAGCCAAGCATATAGAAAGAAGGTAGGAAATGAGACAGGCACCTAGAACTCAAAAGCACACTGAGCCCAGCTCATCAGAGGGCACTCGGAAGAGAGAATTCAAGGAGAACTCCGCAACGACATGCCCTAGAATGGGAGGCCACATCCCTCTCCCCAACCGAAACTCACTGCCTCATGCTAGAGGAAGCTGGTAGGGTCAGAAACTTACATCCAGGCTCCAGAAAGATCTCTCAGAGCTCAATGTGAAAAAAACAAATGACCTTTGGCTAGGCGCGGTCGTGCACGCCTGTAATCCCAGCACTTTGGGAGGCTGAGGTGGGCAGATGGCTAGAGCTCAGGAGCTGGAGACTCTTCTAGGCAACATGGTGAGACCCCATCTCTACCAAAAATCCAAAAAAATTAGCCGAGCATGGTGGTGAGCACTGCGGGTGGCAAGCCATCCAGGTGCCGAGGCAAGAGACCAAGGGCATGAGCTTTTCCAGTATAATAAAATATATAAAACAGTAAGAATTATACTAGATCTAGATCATAGACGTGATTATATATGAATATCATTAATCATTAATTTGTAGCAATTACTCTTTATTCCAATATTATAATAATCCTCGCTCTATAATCATAACCTAGGAAAAACCAGGCTATACAGAGATGGGAGCTGAGGGGACATGGTGAGAAGTGACCAGAAGACAAGTGCGAGCCTTCTGTTATGCCCGGACAGGGCCACCAGAGGGCTCCTTGGTCTAGCGGTAACGCCAGCGTCTGGGAAGACGCCCGTTGCCAGGCAGACCGTGGTTCCAGCAGTAGCGTCAGTGCCAAAGAAAAACACCCGCCACTTAGCAGACCAGGAAAGGGAGTCTCCCTTTCCCCCGGGGAGTTTAGAGAAGACTACTCCTCCACCTCTTGTGGAGGGCCTGACATCAGTCAGGCCTGCCCGCAGTTATCCGGAGGCCTGTCTCCCTGTGATGCTGTGCTTCAGTGGTCACGCTCCTAGTCCACTTTCATGTTCCATCCTGCACACCTGGCTCTGCCTTTTAGATAACAGTAGCAAATTAGTGAAAGTACTAAAAGTCCCTGATATGCAGAAATAATGGCGTAAGCTGTCTCTCTCTCTCTCCCTCTCTCTCTGCCTTGGCTGCCAGGCAGGGAAGGGCCCCCTGTCCAGTGCACATGTGACCCACGTGACCTTACCTATCATTGGAGATGATTCACACTCTTTACCCCTCCCCTTTTGCCTTGTATCCAATAAATAACAGCACAGCCAGGCATTCGGGGACACTACCGGTCTCTGCATCTTGGTGGTAGTTGTCCCCCGGGCCCAGCTGTCTTTTATCTCTTTGTCTTGTGTCTTTATTTCTACAATCTCTCATCTCCCCACATGGGGAGAAAAGCCACCGACCCTGTGGGTTTTCTGTGGTCCCAGCTACTCAGGGGGTCCCAGCTGCACCTGTGGTCCCAGCTACTCAGGGGGCTGAGGTGGTAGGATCACTTGAGCTGGGAGGTCAAGGCTGCAGTGGGCCAAGATTGAATTCCAGCCTGGATGACAGAGCGAGACCTTGTCTCAAAAAAGGCTAGATGCAGTGACTCACACCTGTAATCCCACCACTTTGGGAGGCTGAGGCAGGAGGATCACTTGAGCCCAGGAATTCCAGGCCGGCCTGGGCAACAAGACGAGACTCCACCTCTAGAAAAAAAGAAAAGATATTCAACATCATTAGACATTAGGAAAATACAAAAGTAACATCTAAAAGCAATTATCGGCGAGGTGTGGTGGCTCACACCTGTAATCCCAGCACTTTGGGAGGCCAAGGCAGGTGGATCACCTGAGGTCGGGCGTTCAAGACCAGCCTGACCAACATGGAAAAACCCCATCTCTACTAAAAATACAAAATTAGCTGGGCGTGATGGTGCATGCATGTAATCCCAGCTACTCGGGAGGCTGAGGCAGGAGAATCCCTTGAAGCCGGGAGGCAGAAGTTGCAGTGAGCCAAGATCATGCCATTGCACTCCAGCCAGGGTGACAGAGCAAGAGACTCTGTCTCAAAAAAAAAAAAAAGCCCAGCATTTGGCCTGGCGCAGTGGCTCACGCCTGTAATCCCAGCACTTTGGGAGGCCGAGGTGGGCAGATCACGAGGTCAAGAAATCGAGACTATCCTGGCCAACATGGTGAAACCTCATCCCTACTAAAAATACAAAAATTAGTTGGGCGTGGTTGCGCTCACCTGTAGTCCCAGCTACTCGGGAGGCTGAGGCAGGAGAATCACTTGAACCCGGGAGGCGGAGGTTGCAGTGAGCCAAGATCACGCCACTGCACTCCGGCCTGGGGACAGAGCGAGACTCCATCTCAAAAAAAAAAAAAAAAAAAAAAAAAAATTAGCCAGGCATGGTGGTGGGAGCCTGTAATCCCAGGTACTCAGGAGGCTGAGGAAGCAGAATCGCTTAAACCCGGGAGGCAGAGGTTGCAGTGAGCTGAGATCGCCCCACTGCACTCCAGCCTGAGCAACAAGAGTGAGACTCCGTCTCAAAAAAAAAAAGGAAAGGAATGAATAACTGATACATGCAACCATGTGGATGAATCTCCAAGTAATCGTGCTGAGCAAGGGAGGCTGGACAAAAAGAGAACTGTGCAAGTCCATGTTTATAAACTTGGAGGAAACACAAACTATAGTGACAGAAAGCAGATCAGAGGTTGCCTGGGGGCAGGGAGGGACCAGAGAAGCAGAGGGCCTCAGCAGGGTGACAGGTCTGTTCACAGTCTCGGTCTTGATTGTGGTGAAGGCTTCACAGGCTCACACAGGCATACCTCAGAGATATTACGGGTTTGGTTCCAGATCACCGCAACAAAGCACACATTGCACTTTATAATAAGTCACATGATTTTTTTGGTTTCCCAGTGCACGTAAAAGTTACACTGTAGTCTATTAAGTGTATAATAGCATTATGCCTTAAAAAAAAGTATATACCTTCATTTAAAAACACTTTATTGCAATCGGGCATGGTGGCTCACACCTGTAATCCCAGCACTTTGGGAGGCCAAGGTGGGTGGATCACAAGGTCAGGAGATCGAGACCATCCTGGCTAACACGGTGAAACCCCATCTCTACTAAAAAACAAAAAATTAGCCCGGCATGGTAGTGGGCGCCTGTAGTCCCAGCTACTCGGGAGGCTGAGGCAGAAGAATGGCGTAAACCCGGGAGGCGGAGCTTGCAGTGAGCCGAGATCGCACCACTGCACTCCAGCCTGGGCAACAGAGCAAGACCCCATCTCAAAAAAAAAAAAAAAATTTATTGCTAAAAAATGCTAACAATCATCTGAGCCTTCAGTGAGTGGTATTCTTTTTGCTGGCAGAGTCTTGCCTCGATGTTGATGGCTGCAGACTGATTCATATTGTTTTGGGGTTTATTTTTTTTTTTTGAGACAGTCTCATTCTATAGCCCAGGCTGGAATGCAGTGGCACGATCTTGGCTCACTGCAACCTCTGCCTCCCGGGTTCAAGTGGTTCTCCTACCTCAGCCTCCCAAGTAGCTAGGATTACAGGCACGCGTCACCACGCCCAGCTAATTTTTTGTATTTTTAGTAGAGACAGGGTCTCACTATGTTGGCCATGCTGGTCTTGAACTCCTGACCTCAGGTGATCCGCCCACCTCAGCCTCCCAAAGTGCTGGGATTACCGCCCGGCCTGCAGACTGATTAGGATGGCGACTGCTGAAGGCTGGGATGGCTGTGGCAGTTCCTTAAAATAAGACAACAATGACATTGACCACATCAATTGACCCTTCTTTCCACAAAATATTTCTCTGGGCCAGGCACGGTGGCTCATGTCTGTAATCCCAGCACTTTGGGACCCCGAGGTGGGAGAATCGCTTGTGCCCAGGAGTTCCAGACCAGCCTGGGCAATATAAGGAGATGCTGTCTCTAAAAATAAAAATTAAAAAATTAGCTACTCATGGTGGCACTTGCCTGTGGTCCCAGTTACTTGAGAGGCTAAGGGTGGGAGGATCCCTTCAGCTCAAGAGGTCAAAGCTGCAGTGAGCTGTGATTGCACCACTGCACTCCAGCCCGGGTGACAGAGTGGGAGCCTATCTCAAATAAAAAAAAAAAAAAAGATTTCTCTGTAGCATGCAATGTTTGATAGCATTTTACCCACAGTAGAACTTACTTTTTTTTTTTTTTGAGACAGAGTCTCACTCTGTCAGCCAGGCTGGAGTACAGTGGCATGATCTCGGCTCACTGCAACCTCCGTCTCCCGAGTTCAAGTGATTCCCCTGGCTCAGCCTCCTGAGTAGCTGGGACTACAGGTGTGCACCACCACACCAGGCTAATTTTTTGTATTTTAGTAGAGATGGGGAGAACATGTCAGCCAAGATGGTCTCGATCTCCTAGACCAGCCCAGTAGAACTTTCAAAAGTGGAGTCAGGCCGGGCGCGGTGGCTCATGCCTGTAATCCCAGCACTTTGGGAGGCCGAGGCAGGCGGATCACGAGGTCAGGAGATGGAGACCATGATGGCTAACATGGTGAAACCCCTTCTCTACTAAAAATATAAAAAAATTAGCTGGGCATGGTGGCAGGCACCTGTAGTCCCAGCTACTCGGGAGGCTGAGGCAAGAGAATTGCGTGAACCCAGAAGGCAGAGCTTGCAGTGAGCTGAGATCGCACCACTGCACTCCAGCCTGGGCGACAGAGCGAGACTCCATTTCAAAAAAAAAAAAAAAAGTGGAGTCAGTCCTCTTAAAACCTATGTTGTTTTATCAACTAAGTTTATGGAATATTCTAAATCCTTTTGTTATGGGATCTTTGGGGTATCCCTTTTCTGGCCAGAAACCTCTGTGTCTTGTGGCACCTTTGCCTAAGTTTTGCTGGGGCCCACTGGGCTTATTCCACCCACTCAGCCTGGCAGGCTGCGCTTGGCTCATGCTACCAGCCTGGAGCTCCCATGCCTGCCAAGGACAAGCCTGGTGTGGAGCAGCGAGCAGTGTGTGAGTGAGCATGGAGTACGGCCACTGCACAGTCAGACATGCCAGCTGCTGCTGCAGGGCAGGCAGCTCCAGATGCTGGCACAGGTGCTGGTTCTCTGCAAGGCTGCACCTGGACCAAGCGCACCTCAAGCAGCTTGCCTGGTTGGCACACGGGAATGCTGTGGTGCCTGGAAGCTTGGTGACGCCAGGAACTGCAGGGCCCCAAAGAGGGAGTCACAACCCTGACTCAGGGAGCTCCCAGGTCTGGACTCCCCAAAGGGCCACAGCTCTTCTTTCCTTCCCTTCACTGGCAACGTGGCAAGAAGGGGCATGTTTCAGCCCTGTTTGTGTTACAGTTCTTTCAGCCTCACCATTTGGCAGGTCCCGAGTTCTTGCCCTGTGACCAGGAAGAATGAGGTACGCAGAAAAATGGAGAGTGAGCAAGACAAAGAGGAGCTTTATTGAGTCACAGCCAGGTCATCCCAGTGAGTGTTCAGCTCTCAGCAGAGAGGGTAGCTCTTCTTTGCAGCTGGTCATCCTGTCATCTTTCTGTCCTCTGCTCTAGTCTGGCTGAGTCCGGGGTTTTTATGGGCCTCAGAGTGGAGGAAGTGTGTGTTGACTGGTCCATGGGTGGGCCAGCAAAAAGCACCACAAGCTTCCCCTCTGGTCCTCGGGACTGGCCAGCCAACCCCCAGGCTTCAGGCCCTCCCCAGTTTGAAGGTGAGGCTTCACTGGGGACCAGACCCCTTCTACCCAGGAGCCTGTCTGTCTCTCGCCACTGTTCATGGCATCCAGGCTGTTTGTGCCAGCCTATCCTCAGCCCCCACTTGGCCTCCCTCCCATGCCTGTTGGTGCCCAAAGTCTGAAGGGCACCATCAGCAGGGTGGGTGCGGTGGCTGCACCGCAGTCCAGGTCCCCAAAGTGAATGCCGCTCCCACTTCCCGCCCCAGGGCCCTGAAGCATAACCCAAGCTCTGCATCCCAGGCCCAGCCCCCACACTCCATATGCAGGTGCAGCATCACCCCAGGCCCAGCTCCACCTTGGGGCCCCTCTCTGCCCGCACCTCCATGCCCAATCATGCTGCTTCCCCACCAGCAGGCAACTCAGCCTGGCCCCGTTGTGGTGGCTCCCAGGGCAGTGGGCTCTGGGAGACTCCCAGGGGTAGACTCCAGGGACTGACTATTTCCTCTGCACACCCCTCCCCACAGTGAGAGCGGGTAAGAGCTCTGACACTGAGCCAGGGTCTGGAGCGGCAAGGCTCCAGGCCTGGGAGCAGGTCCTGCCTGGCTGTGCAAGGATGGGGGCGGTGCAGTCAGCTGCCCGGGGAATGCAGGGCACAGGGGACCCACTGCTGCCACTGCTGCTGCCACTGCTGCTCCCACAGCTGCTCCTGCCACCACTGCTTGCACCACCCCACTGCACCTGGCGTGAGGGCAGGGGTTGCTCCAGATGGCCCACCATTGCCATTACTTTCTTGTCATTTCAGCAATGTTCATGGCATCTTCCCCAAGACTACATTCCATCTTAAGAAACCACTTTCTTTTTTTTTCTTTTTTGCTCTGTTGCCCAGGCTGGAGTGCAATGGCACAATCTTGGCTCACTGCAACCTCTCCACTTCCTAGGTTAAAGCAATTCTTGTGACTCAGCCTCCTGAGTAGCTGGGATTACACACACATGCCACCACATCTAGCTACGTTTTGTATTAGTAGAGACGAGGTTTCACCATGTTGGCCAGGCTGGTCTCGAACACCTGACCTCAGGTGATCCACCCACTTTGACCTCCCAAAGTGTTGGGATTACAGGCGTGAGCCACCTCGCCTGGTCTATAAATATTCTTAATGGCTTCTAGAATAGTGAATGCTTTCCAATGTAAATTTTTCAATTTACATTGCCCAGATCAGAAGAACCACTATGGCAGCCAGAGCCCCACAAAATGCATTTCTTTTTTTTTTTTTTTTTTTTTTTGTAGAGAAGGAGGCTCACTCTGTCGCCCAGGCTGGAGTGCAATGGCACAATCTCAGCTCACTGCAACCTCCACCTCCTGGGTTCAAGCAATTCTCCTGCCTCAGCCTCCTGAGTAGCTGGGACTACATGCACATGTTGCCATGTCCAGCTAATTTCTTTTTTTTCTTTTTTTTTGGAGATGGAGTCTCGCTGTATCGCCCAGGCTGGAGTGCAGTGGCACGATCTCAGCTCACTGCAAGCTCCGCCTTCCAGGTTCATGCCATTCTCCTGCCTCAGCCTCCCAAGTATCTTGGACTACAGGCGCCCACCACCACGCCCGGCTAATTTTTTGTATTTTTTGTAGAGACAGGATTTCAACATGTTGCCCAGGCTAGTCTCAAACTCCTGAACAAAGGCAATCCACCTGCCTCAGCCTCCCAAAGTGTTAGGATTACAGGCCCAAAATGCATTTCTTAAACAATACAACTTGAAAGTCAAGATTACTCCTTGATCCATAGGTTGCAGAATGGATGTTGAGTTAATAGGTGCTATTATCCACTATGGTTTGGATATGAGGATCCCTAACCTCATGTTGAAATTCAATCCCAATGTTGGAGGCAGGACCTAATAGGAAGTGTTTGGGTCACAGGATGGATCCCTCTGGAAGGGCATGGTGCCATCCTCGTGGTCATGAGTGAGTTCTCACTTTATTAGCCTCTGGGAGAACTAATAGTTAAAAGGAGCCTGGCACCTCCCTTCTCTCTCACTTCTCTGGCCATGTGACCTGCACACACCAGCTTCCCTTCCCCTTCTGCTGTAAGTAGAAGTGGCCTGAGTCCCTCGCCAGAAGAAGATGCTGGTGCCATGCTTCCTGTACAGCTTGCAGAACCATGAGCCAAATAAAGCTCTTTCCTTCATAAATTACCCAGCTTCGGGCATTCCTTTACAGCCACACAAATGGACTAAAGCCAGCAGGCACGAAAACAAAATTAATCTCCTTGTGCATCTCCATCAGAGCTCTTGGTTTATCAGGTCTATTGTCAATGAGCAGTGTTAGTATTATTATTATTATTATTATTATTATTATTATTATTATTATTATTATTTGAAATGGAGTCTCGTTCTGTCACCTGGCCTGGAGTGCAGTGGTGCGATCTCAGCTCACTGCAGCCTCCGCCTCCCTGGTTCAAGTGATTCTCCTGCCTCAGCCTCCCAAGTAGCTGGGATTACAGGCATGCACCACCATGCCCAACTAATTTTTGTATATTTTTTAGTAGAGATGGGGTTTCACCATGTTGGCCAGGCTGGTCTCGAGCTCCTGACCTCAGGTAATCCAACCACCTTGGCCTCCCACAGTGCTGGGATTACAGGCATGAGTCACCACGCACAGCCAATGATTAGTATTATTTTGATTTTTTTTTTTCTTTTGAGACAGAGTCTCACTCTATTGCCCAGGCTGGAGTGCAGTGGTGCGATCTCGGCTCACTGCAACCTCTGCCACCTGAGTTCAAGTGATTCTCCTACCTCAGCCTCCTGAGTAGCTGGGATTATAGGCGCCTGCCACTGCGCCTGGCTAATTTTTATATTTTTAGTAGAGACAGGGTTTCGCCATCTTGGCCAGGCTGGTCTTGAACTCCTGACCTCGTGATCCACTTGCCTCAGCCTCCCAAAGTGCTGGGATTACAGGCGTGAGCCACCGCACCCGGCCTGATCAGTATTATTTTGAAAGAAATCTTTTTTCTGAGCAGTAGGTCTCAACGGCAGGCTTAAAAATATTCAGAAAACTATGCTATAAACAGATGTGCTGACATCCAGGATTTGTTGTTCCATTTATAGAACACAGGCAGAGTAAATTTAGCATAATTCATAAGGGCCCTAGGATTTTCAGAATAGTAAATGAGCATTGGCTTCAACTTAAAGTCACCAGCTGTATAAGCCCCTAACAAGAGAGTCAGCCTGTCCTTTTTTTTTTTTTTGAGACAGAATCTCACTCTGTCACCCAGGCTGGAGTGCTGTGGCAGGTGCAATCTTGGCTCACTGCAACCTCTACTTCCTGGGCTCAAGCGATTCTCCTGCCTCAGCCTCCTGAGTAGCTGGGACTACAGGCAAGTGCCACCACACTCAGCTAATTTTTGTATTTTTAGTAGAGACAGGGTTTTGCCATGTTGGCCAGGCTGGTCTCAAACTCCTGACCTCAAGTGATCCACCCGCCTCAGCCTCCCAAAGTGCTGGGATTACAGCGTGAGTCACCAGACCTAGCCTGTCCTTGGAAGCCAGGCATTGACTTTTCCTCCCTAGCTATGAAAGTCCTAGATGTTATCTTCTTTCAACAGAAAGCTGTTTCACCCACACTGAAAACCTAGGCAGGGCATAGGGGCTCACGCCTGTAATCTCAGCATTTTGGGAGGCTGAGACAGGCAGATCATTTGAGGTCAGGAGTTCGAGACCAGCCTGGCCAACATAGTGAAATCCTGTCTCTTCTAAAAATAAAAAAATTAGCCAGGTGTGGTAACGTGCACCTGTAGACCCAGCTACTCGGGAGGCTGTGGCAGAAGAATCTCTTGAACCTGAGAGGTGGAGGTTGCAGTGAGCCGAGATTGCACCACTGCACTCCACCCTGGGCGACAGAGCAAAACTCTGTGTCAAAAAAAAAAAAAAGAAAAAACCTATTGTGTAGCCACCCTCACCGGTGATCTCAGCCAGATTCGGATAACCTGCTGCAGCTTCTCCAGCAGCACCTGCTGCTCTACCTTGTACTTTCATGTTATGGAGGTGGCTTCTTTCCTTCAACCTCATGAACCAACCTCTGTTAGCTTCACGCTTTTCCTCTGCAGCTTCCTCACCTCTCTCAGCCTTCATAGAATTGAAGAGAGTTACGGCCTTGCTCTGGATTAGGCTTTGGCTTAAGGGAATGTTGTGGCTGATTTCATCTTCTCTCCAAATCACTAAAATTCTTCTTCTCCGTTATCAGCAAGAAGGCTGTTTTGCTTTCTTATCATTCATGTGTTCACTGGAGCAGCACTTGTAATTTCCTTCGAAGGACTTTTCCTTTGCATTCACAACTTGGCTAACTGTTTGGCACACGAGGCCTAGCTTTCAGCCTATCTCAGCTTTCAACATGCCTTCCTAAGTTTAATCATGTCTAACTTTTGGCTTTTTTTTTTTTTTTTTTGAGAGTCTCGCTCTGTCGCCCAGGTTGGAGTGCAGTGGCACGATCTTGACTCACTGCAACCTCCACCTCTGGGTTCAAGAGGTTCTTCTGCCTCATCCTCTGAGTAGCTGAGACTACAGGCGTATGTCAACACACCTGGCTAGTTTTTTGTATTTTTAGTAGAGATGGCGTTTCACTATGTTGGCCAGGCTGGTCTCGAACTCCTGGCCTCAAGTGATCCAACCGCCTCAGCCTCCCAAAGTGCTGGAATTATAGGCATGTGCCACCGTGCCTGGCCTCCGGCTTTTGGCTTAAAGTGAGAGATGTGTGACTCTCTCCTTCACTGGAACACTAGAGGTAGGGTATTAATTGGTCTAATTTCAAAATTGTTGTGTCTCAGGGAATGAGGGAGCTCACGAAAAGGGAGAGAGATGGGGAAATAGCCGGTCAGTGGGGCAGTCAGAACACATACAACATTTATCAATTTCATTTGCTGTCTTACATGGACGTGGTTCGTGATGTCTCAAAACAATTACACTAGTAACACCAAAAATTACTGGTCATAGATCACCATAACAAAAATGATAACGAAAAAGTTTGAAATATTGCAAGAATTACCAAAATATGATATAGACACACTACATGAGCACAGGCTGGCCGAAAAATGGTGCCAATAGACTTGCTCAATGCAGGGTTGCCACAAACTTTTTTTTTTTTGAGAAGGAGTCTCGCTCTGTTGCCCAGGCTAGAGTGTAGTGGCATGATCCCAGCTCACTGCAACCTCTGCCTCCCAGGTTCAAGTGATTCTCCTGCCTCAGCTTCCCATGTAGCTGTGACTACGGCACATGCCACCACACCCAGCTAATTTTTTATATTTTTAGTAGAGATGGGGTTTCGCCATGTTGGCCAGGCTGGTCTCGAACTCCTGACCTCAGGTGATCCGCCTGCCTCGGCCTCCCAAAGTGCTGAGATTACAGGCCTGAGCCACCACGCCTGCCCCAAACTTTCAATTTGTAAAGAAGGCAGGACCTGGCTGGGAGCAGTGGCTCACGCCTATAATCCCAGCACTTTGAGAGGCCAAGGTGGGTGGATCACCTGAGGCCAGGAGTTTGAGACCAGCCTGACCAACATGGTGAAACCCCGTCTCTACTAAAAATACAAAAATTAGCTGGGCACAGTGGCAGGCGCCTGTAATCCCAGCCCTTCAGGAGGCTGAGGCAGGAGAATCGCTTGAATCCAGGAGGGAGAGGTTGCAGTGAGCCGAGATCGTGCCATTGCACTCCAGCCTGGGCAACAAAAGCTAAACTCCATCTTAAAAAAAAAAAAAAAAATGCAGGACCTGCAAAGTGCAATGAAAGGAAGTCTGTCTGTACCTAGGTCAAAACTGATCAAACTGAATACTTTCCATATGTGCAGTTATAGAAATTATTCCTGTATAACTCTGTTTAAATAAGTATCTCTTTCACCTCCCACCTCTGCCTTTTAGAGAATTAAATATCCATGGCAAATGCATTGGGCTTGTTTCTACTTGAGGCACTTACTCTGGGCAAGTTTCCTGGAATTCTGCCAATTTCTGCAAGGGAAGGTGGCAGCAGGTGCGATGAAGTCACCTGAGGACAGAGGCCTGGTCCCCATGCTGGCAGCTGCGCCCACGTCCCTCAGCCCAAACAGAGGCGGGAGGGAGGTGGCCAAATGGCCCTGGGAGCTCCAGTTAGGGAGTCACTAAGACTAAGAGCCCTGCCCAGCCAGGCACTGGTTAAAGCCCTCCCACAGGCCCATGGGGACTGAAGGCATGTCCCTCAGTGGGCAGACCAGCAGGCCCTAAGTACTTCCAGAGTATGGGGCCAGTGGGTCAGTACGGCCACCCTGAGTCTCACTCTCCAAATGTCAAGGAGGATGCCCTGAACACACAGGCTTGGGGCCTGTGGGGAGAAGCTGAGCTCCACAGCGTGGGGGCCAAGGACTCTGCCTTGCCCAACATCCTGGAGATCAAGCACCACAACCTGCCACGCACCACCTGCAGGCCACATGGTGGATGAGGGGCAGGTGGAAATGGCCAAGGAGGTGAGGTCTGCACTCTACTGGGGTCCCTGCCCCACCTGCCACACACCCCTAGGTCACTGCGCCTGGAGGGCCTCAGTGTCTTCACCTGTAAATGGAGGGTAAACTGCCAAGCTGAGAGTTCTCCGTGGCTGGGACACCCTACACTATTCCACAGACTCCCCGTCTAACCTAGGACAAACCCCGGCATCAGTGAGCCCCTAGGTCTCGGCCAGTTGAAGGGAACAACCACGTCAAGAGTCAGAGGAGAAAAACCAAGTTTGGCATCTGCTGAAAACGATGGCTTCCCCTGTTCATCCTGATCAGTTACATGGCTGAAGTTCCCACTTTATTGATTTAAAGATTTCAGCTCTGAGAAAGACACTGTTAAGATAATGGAGACAGGCCGGGCGCGGTGGCTCACACCTGTAATCCCAGCACTTTGGGAGGCCGAGGCGGGCGGATCACAAGATCAGGAGATAGAGACCATCCTGGCTAACACTGTGAAGCCCCGTCTCTACTAAAAATACAAAAAATTAGCCGGGCGTGGTGGCGGGCGCCTGTAGGAGGCTGAGGCAGGAGAATGGCGGGAACCCAGGAGGCGGAGCTTGCAGTGAGCCAAGATCGCGCCACTGCACTCCAGCCTGGGCGACAGAGCGAGACTCCTCTCAAAAAAAAAAAAAAAAAGATAATGGAGACAAGCCACAGACTGAGGAAAATGTTTACAAAACATATATCCGATAAACAACTTGTATCTAAAATATACAAAGAAATCTTAAAACTCAACAATAAGAGGCCAGGCGCGGTGACTCATGCCTATAATCCCAGCACTTTGGGAGGTAGACGCGGGCGGATCACTTGAGGCCAGGAGTTAGAGACCAGTCTGGCCAACGTAGAGAAACCCCAAAAATTAGCTGGGTGTGGTGGCACATGCCTGCAATCCCTGCTTGGAGATTAATTCCAGCCCTTTGGGAGGCTAAGCCAGAAGGATCGCTTGAACCCAGGAGTTCAAGATCAGCTTGGGCAACATAGGGAGACCCTGTCTCTACAAAAAAACTTTTTAGGCCGGGCGCAGTGGCTCACGCCTGTAATCCCAGCACTTTGGGAGGCCAAGGCGGGTGGATCACGAGGTCAGGAGATCAAGACCATCCTGGTTAACACGGTGAAACCCCGTCTCTACTAAAAATACAAAAAAAATTAGCCGGGCGTGGTGGCGGGCACCTGTAGTCCCAGCTGCTCGGGAGGCCGAGACAGAAGAATGGCATGAACCCGGGAGGTGGAGCTTGCAGTGAGCCGAGATTGTGCCACTGCACTCCAGCATGGGCAACAGAGCGAGACTCCACCTCAAAAAAAAAAAAAAAATTTTTTTAAATTAGCCAGGTGCTGGGCGCAGTGGCTCACGCCTGTAATCCCAGCATTTTGGGAGGCCAAGGCAGGCGGATCACTTGAGTTCAGAAGTTCGAGACCAGCCTGGCCAACATGGTGAAACCCTGTCTCTATTAAAAGTACAAAAATTAGCCATGCGTGGTGGCAGGCGCCTTTAATCCCAGGTACTCAGGAGGCTGAGGCAGGAGAATCACTTGAACCTGGGAGTCAGGAGGTTGCAGTGAGCTGAGATGGCGCCAGTGCACTCCAGCCTGAGGAAAAACAGCAAGAAACTTGGTCTAAAACAAAAACAAACCAACAAAAAAATTAGCCAGGCACAGTAGGGTGCACCTGTAGTCAAGGCTACTAGGGAGGCTGAGGTAGGAAGATCACCTGAGCCCAGGAGGTTGAAGCTACAGTGAGCCGTGATTGTACCACCGCTTTCCAGCCTCGGTGACAGAGCAAGACTCTTTAAAAATAAGGTGGGAGGGGCCAGGCGCGGTGGCTCATGCATGTAATCCCAGCACTTTGGGAGGCTGAGGCGGGTGGATCACGAGGTCAGGAGATCGAGACCAGCCTAGCCAACATGGCAAAATCCCATCTCTACAAAAAATACAAAAATTAGCATGGCGTGGTGCCATGTGCCTATAATCCCAGCTACTTGGGAGGCTGAGGCAGGAGAATAGCTTGAACCTGGGAGGCGGAGGTTGCAGTGAGCCGAGATGGCACTATTGCACTCCAGCCTGGGCAACAAGAGTAAAACTCCATCCCAAAAAAAAAAAAAAAAAAATTAGCTGGGCGTGGTGGTGGGCACCTGTAGTCCCAGCTACTCGGGAGGCTGAGGCAGGAGAATGGCGTGAACCTGGGAGGCAGAGCGAACATGGCGACAGAGTGAGACTCTGTCTAAAAAATAAAAAATAAAAATAAATAATAATAAGGTGGGAGGGTGGCGGCAGAGGGCCAAAGACCCGAACAGATGCCTGATATAAGAGGATATACAGACAGCAAATACGCACATGAAAAGATGCTCAACACCTTATGTCATTTGGAAACTGCAAATTAAAACAACACTGAGACACCACTACATGCCTGTCAGAATGGCCTAAACCCAAAGTACTGACAACATCAAATGCTGGTGAGGATGTGGAGCACAGGAGCCCTCATTCACTGTTGGTGAGAATGCAAAATGGCACAGCCACTTTGGAAGACAGTTTGGCAGTTTTGTACAAAGCTAAATGTACTCTTCAATTAAATCAATCCTATATTCCATTAAAGACATTAAAAAAATACATGTAAAGGCCAAGTGTGGTAGCTCACGCTTATAATCCTAGCACTTTGGGAGGCTGAGGCGGGAAGATCACTTGAGCCCAAGAGTTCGAGACCAGCCTGGACAACATAGCGAGACTCCATCTCTATTTAAATAATAAAAAAATACATTATGTAAAAACTTAGTAGGTACATGGAAGCAATTAAATGCAAAATCAAGTAAAAATTCAAGCTGGATATGGGTGAATTAAGAATCTTAGTAGAATCTTAATAGGTGTCAGATAACATGGGTCAATTCAGCAACTTCAGGCTGGTTTATGAGTGTCACCACTTCTAAGAGCCTGGCTTTTATAAGGTACAAGACAAGGTGAGATTTGCCTGTCATTAAAGGAAGCACAGAGTATCAATCATGCAGGATGTAGTTTCCTGAGACACCAAAGTGTAGTATCAAAAGCAATTCCATTGTAAAAGCTGAGTTCTAAATACAAGCGACACCTGAGTGAACACAGCAACAAAACAGCAAAGAAACACACAAACATCAAAGTTTGGCACTTACTGTAAACAATGGCCAGGTGCGGTGGCTCACGCCTGTAATCCCAGCACTTTGGTAAGCCTAGGCGGACGGATCACAAGGTCAGGAGATCAAGACAATCCTGGCTAAAATGGTGAAACCCCGTCTCTACTAAAAATACAAAAAATTAGCCAGGTGTGGTGGCAGGCGCCTGTAGTCCCAGCTACTCGGGAGGCTGAGGCAGGTGAATGGCGTGAACCTGGGAGGTGGAGCTTGCAGTGAGCCCAGATCGCACCACTGCACTCCAGCCTGGGCGACAGAGCAAGACTCGTCAAAACAAACAAACAAACAAACAAACAAACAACGGCACCAGTTACAAGGCCAAAGCATCCACTCGCTACAATGCCACCACTGTTCAAATTAATTCCACCAGAGCAGCCCTGGGTGCCCGAGAGGTAGTGGCTCAAGGTAAGACTGGAACTGGTGGCCTGGAGATTGTCGGGAGGGGAGGGAGGGAGGGGCAGTGTCTATGATCAGCATGCCCTCTGCTGGTGGCCGGGGTGCTCCTCGATAGCGCCAGACTGCGGCAGATGGTCCAGTCCCCCAGTGATACATTTTACAGCAAAGCACACAGACCACGGGCCTTCCCAGGTCCCAGCCAACAAGTCCCATGGGGGCAGGTACCGTTGGGCCTTCTCCCAGTCCCGGGCTCATGGGCACACAGCCAGCAAGAGGAATGCTCTGGCCCTCCTGAATCAGGGACTTGGTTTCCTTTACTCTCCCAAGGCTCAGAGAAGCTCCCAGCCTCACACAGCTCAGCTGCCAGCCCCTGACCTGCCATAGCTGAACCTCCAGCCCTGAGGCCAAAGGATTCAAGGCAGGGCACAGAGACATCTGAGCTGTCTGGCATGGCCCTGGTAAGGTCTCCTGTGGGGACCTACCCCCAGGGAGGCCCAGACAGCGAGAGCCTATCATGTGCCATGGGACAGGCAAAAGCCACAGATGAACATTTAGGGGGAGGAGGAGGGAAGGAGGACAGAAAGGCTGGCGAGGGCAGGGGCTGGTGTTCAGCAAGGGGAGGGAAACAGATGTGGACAGGTGCACGGCGTGGCCTGCCCCTGAGAAGTAATGTCCCTAGAGTCCTAGTTTTATTATTGCTCAAGGACTTTTTTTTTTCTTTGAGACGGAGTCTTGCTCTGTTGCCCAGGCTGGAGTGCAGTGGCGCAATCTCGGCTCACTGCAAGCTCCGCCTCCCGGGTTCACACCATTCTCCTGCCTCAGCCTCCCAAGTAGCTGGGACTACAGGCGCCCGCCATCACGCCTGGCTAATATTTTGTATTTTTAGTAGAGAGGGGTTTCACCGTGTTAGCCAGGATGGTCCCGATCTCCTGACTTCATGATCCGCCCACCTCGGTCTCCCAAAGAGCTGGGATTACAGGCGTGAGCCACTGCGCTCAGCCTGCTCAAGGGCTTTCTGTTTCTGTCCTCCAGGTCAGAGATAAATGACCCTCAGGTATAAGAGTTCAAAGAAAGGATGCAGCGGCTGTCTTTGGCCTCCACTTGCCAGCTGTGACGGCAAGCAAGTAGCTCCACCTCTAATGCCTGCTCCCCAGCCTATAAAGAGGTGTGTCCACACGTGCAAATGGAGCTGGACCCCTACCGCACATCACACATAACAATTAACTCAAGATAGGTCAAACACCTAAATGGTAAGAGCTAAAGCTATGTAACTTTTTTTTTTTGAGACAGGGTCTCACTCCGTCACCCAGGCCCCAGTGCAGTGCTGTGGTCTCTAACTCACTTCACTGCAGCCTTGACTTCCCAGGCTCAAGCAATCCTCTCACCTCAGCCTCCCAAGTAGCTGGTACTACAGGCATGCACCACCACACCTGGCTAACTTTTTTAATTTGTAGAGATGGGGTCTTCCTATGTTGCTCAGGCTGGTCTTGAACTCCTGAGCTCAAGCAGTCTTCCCACTTCGACCTCCCAAAGTGCTGGGATTACAGATGTGAGCCACAGCATCTATCCTATAAAACTCTTTAAAGAAAATAGGCCAGGTGTGGTGGCCTATAATCCCAGCAATTTGAGAGACTGAGGTGGGCATATCACTTGAGGTCAGGAGTTCAAGACTAGCCTGGCCAACGTGTTGAAACTCTGTCTCTGCTGGAAAAAAAATACAAAAATTAGCCAGGTGTGGTGGTGCACACCTGTAGTCCTAGCTCCTTGGGAAGTTGAGGCAGGGGAATCACTTGAACCCAGGAGGCGGAGGTTGCAGTGAACTGAGATCATGCCACTGCACTCTAGCCTGGGCATCACAGCAAAGAAAAAGTAAAAAGACAACCCAGTGAGTGGAAAAAAATATTTGCAAATCACATCGGAAATAGCCAAACAATCATGAAAAAGAACAAAGCTGGAAGATTCACACTTTCTGATTTCAAAACTTACCACAAAGCTACAATAATCAAAACAGTATGGCATTAGCATAAAGACAGATATAAGAATCAATAGAACAGAGAGCCCAGAAATAAACTCAAATGATATATATGGTCAAATGATCTATGTGACAAGGGTATAAACACCTTTCGGCCGGGTGTGGTGGCTCGCCCCTGTAATCCCAGCATGTTGGGAGGCTGAGGTGGGAGGATCACGAGGTCAGGAGTTCAAGACCAGCCTGACCGACATGGTGAAACCCCCCGTCTCTACTAAAAATACAAAAATTAGCCAGGCATGGTGGCATGTGCCTGTAATCCCAGCTACTCAGGAGGCTGAGGCTTGAACCCAGGAGGCGAAGGTTGTAATGAGCTGAGATCACGCCACTGCACTCCAGCCTGGGCAACAGAGCAAGACCGTCTCAAAAAAAAAAAAAAAACAAGAAGACGACCTCTCAATGGGGAAAGACAATCTTTTCAACAAATGGTGCTAAGGAACTGGATATTTACACACAAAAGAATGAGTTGCACCTTTACCTAATAGCATATACAAAAAAAAAAAAAAACTCAAAATGGATCATAAGCCGAAAAGTAAAACCTAAAACTATAAAACTCTTAGAAGAAAACATAAGGCTAAAGCTTTACAACATTGGATTTGGTGATGATTTCTTGGCTATGACATCAAAGGCACAAGGAACAAAAGAAAACAGACAAATTGTATGTCATAAGAACTTTAAAATGTGTGCATCAACAGACAATATCAACAGAGTATAAACACATCCCACAGAATGGGAGAAATTATTTGCAAATCATATATCTGATGAGGGATTAGTGTCCAGAATATATAGAGAACTCCTAAAACGCAACAATAAAAAAACCAACCATACACATTGCATTCATGTATCAAAATACCACACTATACCCATAAATATGTACAATTATTATGTGTCAAAAACAATAGAAGCAAAAATGGACACGGACTTTCTCAAACACCAAAAGCTATAGTCTTCAGTTTCAGAATACTGATGAAAATTTGAAAAATATATACATGGATACTTATATAGATACACAAGGATATGTATATAACATGCACATAATATATACACCTATACATGTCTATGTTCAAGTATATGAATAAATATACAAACAGTTTAGCAATATATTTAATTTTCAGTTTTAAAAAAAACCTGATTCAAAAATCAGCAAACAACTTGAGTAGACATTTCTACAAAGAAAAAATACAGTTGACAAATAAACACATGAAAAGACATTCAACATCACTAAACATTAGGGAAATGCAAAGCAAAACCACAATGAAACACCACTTCACACCCATTAGGATGGCAACTATCAAAAAAAAACAGAAAATAACAAGTATTGACAAGGATGCCCAGAAACCAGAACCCATGTACACTGTCGGTGGAAATGTAAAATGGCATAGCCGCTGTGGAAAACAGTATGGTCGTTTCTTTAAAGATTTAAAATAGAATTGCCATATGATCCAGCAATTCCACTTCTGGGAATATATCCTAAAGAACTAAAAACGGGGTCTCTGCTGTGTTCATAGCAGCATTATTCACAAGCTAAAATGTGGGATTAACCCAAGTGTCCATCCACAGATGATGGAATAAGCAAAATGTGGTCCATCCATGAAATGGAACATGATTCAGTCTTTAAAAGGAAGGGAATGAGCCGGGCGCGGTGGCTCACGCCTGTAATCCCAGCACTTTGGGAGGCCGAGGCAGGTGGATCATGAGGTCAGGAGATCGAGACCATCCTGGCTAACACGGTGAAACCCCATCTCTACTAAAAATACAAAAAAAAAATTAGCTGGGCGTGATGGTGGGCGCCTGTAGTCCCAGCTACTCAGGAGGCTGAGGCAGGAGAATGGCATGAACCCGGGAGGCGGAGCTTGCAGTGAGCCAAGATTGCGCCACTGCACTCCAGCCTGGGCGAAAGTGCAAGACTTGGCCGGGCGCGGTGGCTCACGCGTGTAATCCCAACACTTTGGGAGGCCGAGGCAGGCGGATCACGAGGTCAAGACCATTCTAGCCAACATGGGGAAACCCCGTCTCTACTAAAAATACAAAAATTAGCTGGGCGTGGTGGCGGGCACCTGTAGTCCCAGCTACGCGGGGGGCTGAGGCAGAAGAATCGCTTGAATCCGGGAGGCGGAGCTTGCAGTGAGCCGAGATTGTGCCACCGCACTCCAGCCTGGGCGACAGAGCGAGACTCTGTCTCAAAAACAAAAAACAAAACAAAAAAACTGAGCTGGACATTTAAAAATGATTAAAATGAGCCTGGGAAACATAGTGAGACGTAGTGGGTGACAGAGCAAGAAAATATGGCTACAAATACGTATATGGTAGCCAGGCGCTGTGACTCACACCTGTAATCCCAGCACTTTAGGAGGCAGACGGAGATGGGCAGATCCCTTGAGCTCAGGAGTTTGGGACCAGCCTGGCCAACATGGCGAAATCCTGTCTCTACAAAAACTACAAAAATTACCCAGGTATGGTAGCACATGCCTGTGGTCCCAGCTACTCGGGTGGCTGAGGCAGGAGGATCACTTGAGGTAGAGGCTCAGTGACCGAGACTGCACCACCACATGCGCCCCAGAAGACAGAGTAACACCCTGTCTCAATTTAAAAAACAAAACAAAACCTGCCATCTTAACCATATACATATACACATATCATTAAGATGGCAGTTTTTTTGTTTTTTTTTTGTTTTTGGACAGAGTTTCGCTCTTGTCACCCAGGTTGGAGTGCAATGTCACGATCTTGGATCACTGCAACCTCCGCCTCCCAGGTTCAAGTGATTCTCCTGCCTCAGTTTCCCAAGTAGCTGGGACTACAGGCGTGGGCTACCACGCCCAGCTATTTTTCGTATTTGTAGTAGAGACGGGGTTTCACCATGTTGGCCAGGCTGGTCTCCAACTCCTGACCTCAGGTGATCCACCCAGCTTGGCCTCCCAAAGTGGTGGGAATACAGGTGTGAGCCACCATGCCCGGCTAAGATGGCAGATTTTTTTTTTTTTTTTGAGACGGAGTCTTGCTCTGTTGCCCAGGCTGGAGTGTAGTGGCGCAATCTCAGCTCACTGCAAGCTCCGCCTCCCGGGTTCATGCCATTCTCCTGCCTCAGCCTCCCAAGTAGCTGAGACTACAGGCGCCCACCATGACGCCTGGCTAATTTTTTGTATTTTTAGTAGAGACGGGGTTTCACCTTGTTAGCCAGGATGGTCTCGATCTCCTGACCTCGTGATCCATCCGCCTCAGCCTCCCAAAGTTCTGGGATTACAGGCGTGAGTCACCGCGCCCGGCCTGATGGCAGATTTTTTTAACGGTAAATTATATATTATGTGTATTTTAACACAGTTTTTTTTTTTTTGAGAGACAAGAGTCTTGATCTGTTGTCCAGGCTGGATTGCAGTGGTGCAATAAGCTCACTACAGCCTCAACTTCCTGGGTTCAAGCAATCTTCCTGCCTCAATCTCCTGAGTGGTTGAGACTACAGGCACACCCCACCTACCCTGCATCTGGCTAATTTTTTTTTCTTTTGAGACGGAGTCTTGCTCCGTGGCCCAGGCTGGAGTGCAGTGGCACGATCTTGGCTCACTGTAAGCTCCGCCTCCCGGGTTCAAGCCATTCTCCTGCCTCAGCATCCCAAGTAGCTGGGACTACAGGCGCCCGCCACCACACTCGGCTAATTTTTTGTATTTTTGGTAAAGATGGGGTTTCCCTGTGTTAGCTAGAATGGTCTCGATCCCCTGACCTCGTGATCCGCCCGCCTCGGCCTCCCAAAGTGCTGGGATTACAGGTGTGAGCCACCACGCCCAGCCAACATCTGGCTAATTTTTTAATCTTTAATAGAGATCAGATCTTGCTATGTTGCCCAGGCTGACAACTTTTTTGAATTGGAAAATTTTCTTAATTAAAAAATTTTATCTGAGAAGGGACTTGCATCTAGAATATATAAAGAGCTCTCATCACTCAACAACAAAAAGACAATTACACCAATTGGAAAATACAGGAAAGACCTGACTAGACAGCTCTCTAAAAATACACAGTGGTCAATAAGCACATGAGAAGATGCTCAGTATCATCTTCTCTCATTAGGGAAATGTAGATCAAAGCCACAGTGAGATACCACTGCACATCTACTAGCATGGCTAGAATTCAAAAGATGGATAATAACAAGTGCTGACAAGGATATGGGGAAATTGAATCCTTTTTACACTGCTGGTGGGAATGTGAAATGGTGCAGCCACTTTGGAAACAGTCTGGTAATTCCTCAAGAGAATAACCACAAAATTACCATATGACCCAAAAATTATATTCCTAGGCGAGCTGTTTTTACTCATGCTTTTAATAACAAACATGGGTGTCTCTTTCAACCCCACTTCTCCAACTCTCCGACACTAGGTGGGTGTCCTACAATTCAAGTAAAGTCTGGCACTACCTTCTGCGGTATAGGAAGGTAAGGTTGAAAGCGCTAACCCGCTAATCCTCCCTTGGCCTTTCTGGAGACCAGCTCCCATCCTGAAGCTATATCTAGGGCCCCCAGCCACCAGTTCTCTCATTAGCATACTAGACACTCTTAGGACTACAAAGGTCCCAAGGGCTTGGGGAGCTCCATGTCAGGAGAACAAAAAATCCTCCTACCACCCCTTTCAAAATTGATGGAGGTCATGATCCCACAGCTCTGTGAACATAAAACTGAAATCTACTAGCTTGTACACATTAGTGAATGAATTGTATGGCATGTGAACTATAACCCAATAAAGCTGGCACAAAGGGGGAGGTATGTATGCCCACTCAACAGAGTTTCTGTAAAGTTTAGGAGAAATAAAGTATGCAAAAGCCATCTGTAAGCAGCTCAACACTGCACTGTTAGGATCAGCCAATCGTGCAGGAACAGCTCCCTCTGGCCCTGCACCAACCTTCTGGTCTAAAATCACAGCTCAACATCCAGCCTAGGGACAAAGCAGGGCACGGATGCCAGCTGCCAGCTGTGAGCCAGCACAGCTGCTGGCTTGCAGGAGCCTTGATCTGCAGAGGCCCAGATTCCCACAGCCCAGGGTTGCCAGGTCACCTCCTCCAACAAAGCCCGGGTGTTCCGCTCGTCCCTAGGGGAAGAACATGCCAGGTCTCCACTGAGGGTGGCCACTTAAGTGGGCACTTTCAATCCAGCAAAACACACAGCTCATCCAACACCCGACCCTACTACCCTCCCCAAAACTCCTCCAAGTTATGCGGCCCAAGGCCCTGGCTGCCCAGTCGGCGTCGCAAGTGAGACACCATGGGCACAAAATATTCCCAGTCATCCTACCTTCCAGTAATGCAGGCTCCACAGGGTGGGAGATCAGCCCTGGGCCCAACCACCTGGACGGGAGCGCAGCACCCTCGCCGGGGCCCCACACATCCCTGGCCAGCCACCAGCCTCCTGGAAGATGCCTGCCTCCCAAACTCACAGAGCCGGAGAGCCCTGGCAAGCAGCTTCATCCTGCGGTAAGTGGGCAAACTGTTTACCCAGTGACAAGTATGATGCCCAGCAGAGCCCAAGCCTGTGTCTGCCTGGCCGGCTCAGCAGTGAGCCGGTGTGATCCCTCCCTGATAGAAAGCACCAGGCTCCTGCTCCTCCTAGGACCGCCCCTCCCCCACCAGCCCCCGGCAAGCCGCCTCCTCGGCTTCCGGAACTGGATCACAGGATGTTCTCTACAAAAGACCAGTGATGCAAGGAATCCATGACTCGGCCTGAACTCACAGACAGGGAAACAGGACAGGGCCACCACCCCTCTGCGGGAGAGGATGAACTGGGTGGGGCCACAAGCAACACTCATAAGGGTTCCCACCTCCAGGACCTTAAACCTCGCACCACTCAGGCTGGCCCTCAGGCAAGTAGAAGAATGAGTTCCACCTGGGCGGAGTTCCACCTGGGCAGAGAGGTCTTGGCTCACAGGCACCGGGAGAGCTGGAAGGCTGCGGGGAAGCCGAGGAAGGCCAACACACCGCACAACACGGCAGGTGCCTGGCCCTCCTCTGACAGTGGCCCTCAAGCTCCAGGAGGGCCGAGGAAAATGCAGATTCCTGGGCCTACCCCTCCCTGACCTTCCCCGCCCCTGGAGTTAGAGGCAGTAGCTCTGGGGTGGAGGCTCAGGAGCCTGGTTTTCTTTTTATTCTTCATTGTGGTAAACATCAAATGCTTACAAGAGTAGAGGGAGGAGGGAGTGAACCCCTATGTCCCCATCAAGCAGCCCCAAAACAGTCAGCTCAGGGCACCTCTGGTCTCTGCTCCCACCTGCTCCCCATGCCAGGTTATTCTGCAGCAAATCCCGGATTTCCCAGTACGACATCGTAAATATGTCTGCATTTCCTCTCAAAGATAAAAGCTCCTTGTGAAAAACCTAAAGGAGGGGTATGGTGACTCATGCCCACAATTCCAGCACTTTGGGAGGCCGAGGTGGGAAGATCACTTGAGCCCAGGAGTTCAAGACCTGCCTCGGCAACAAAGTGAGATCATGTCTCTACAAAAAATCTTTTTAACATTAGCCAGGCACAGAGGCGTGCACTCGTAGTCCCAGCTACTCGAGAGGCTGAGGTGGGAGAATCCCTTGAGCCCAGAAGGTTGGGGCTGCAGAGAACCATGATTGCACCACTGCACCACTTAGTTGCCTGGCCAACTAAGCGAGACCCTGTCTCAAATAAAAATAAAAACCACAAAACAAAGATCTCATCTAAAATATCATCCAAATTCCTAATATCATTAAATAGCAAGTGACTTCACGTTTCTGTCCTAAATGAATTGAAATCTGCATTTGTGAACTTCATTCACAAGATCCCAAGTCTCTGTGGCCTGGTGAAGAGAAACTGCAGTGTGCAGGGAACAGGGTAATACAGGGCTACGGGGACACAGGAGCGAGGCCCAGCACTGAGCTCGATCCGGTTCCATCGACACGAAATTCTAGAAGAGGCACAGCGAGTGAGTGAAAGCAGATCTTTTTGCCAGGGGCCAACAGTAGGGGAATTTTGGGAGTTTGGAAATATTCGACATCACAACTGGGCCCGCCACTACTCAGTGTGCACACTCATCAAAACTCAGCAAACTGTACGTTTCAAATATTCTTGTGTATGCATTCTAAATCTATCTCAATAAAGCTGGTTTAAAAAAGCAAACTACAAAACAATTATCCTACCTTAAAAAAAAAAGCAGTGATTCCTTAAAATCATTATCAAGGGACTATTCAAGTTTCCCCATTATCTCCTCAATCTTCATCTTGTTGACTCTCTGCTGAAGTACTGTTCACATGCAGAAAACCCATATTTGTAACAGACTTCCCCAGTTATTCCCATGCAGGGGTCCAAGGATGGGGAGGCACATCCTTGATCCCCCTCCCCAGGAGGGCTCTGAGAGTGAGAGGCCAAGGGGTGGGATGGCAAGACAGCCTATGGGGTCACCCCCTGGTGCAGGCTACACAGGCCAGGTGGGTCACACAGGAGAAAGCCACTTCTGGTCTGACCAGAACTGGGGAGCCAGCTAGCTGCAGGTGCCAATTCCAGGGCAATGCCAGGCTAAGTGGCCCACTTACAGCGTGAGGTTGGACAGTGGGTAGACAAAGGCCTCCCCACGCACAGGCTCTCTGGGTTACAAAGACTGCATCTTCACCCAGGGTCCACACATCCCAGCAGCAAGAGAGCCAGCACTGTAAATCATTTTGCGGAATGCTCCAGAATACAAGCTCTGAGTGTGGCTTCTGTAAATCAGGTTCTTTGTTTTTTTTTTTTTCTTTTTTTTTGAGACGGAGTTTTGCTCTTGTTGCTCAGGCTGGAGTGCAATGGCACAATCTCGGCTCACTGCAACCTCCGCCTCCCAGGTTCAAGCGATTCTCCTGCCTCAGCTTCCCAAGTAACTGGGATTACAGGCACCCGCCACTACGCCCAGCTAACTTTTTTTTCTTTTTTTTTGAGACCAAGTCTCACTCTGTCGCCCAGGCTGGAGTGCAGTGGCGGGATCTCAGCTCACTGCAAGCTCCGCCTCCCGGGTTCATGCCACTCTCCTGCCTGCAGCCTCCCCAGCAGCTGGGACTACAGGCGCACACCGCCACGCCCGCCTAATTTTTTGTATTTTTAGTAGAGATGGGGTTTCACTGTGTTAGCCAGAATGGTCTCCATCTCCTGACCTCGTGATCCGCCCACCTGGGCCTCCCAAAGTGCTGGGATTACAGGCGTGAGCCACAGCGCCTGGCCAGGTTCTTTCTTTTCATTAATTCCATTATAAAACCAAAGACAGAGCCCGGCCTGGTGCAGTGGCTCACACCTGTAATTCCAGCACTTTGGGAGGCCGAGGCGGGCAGATCACTTAAGGTCAGGAGTTCGAGACCAGCCTGGCAAACACAGTGAAACCCCGTCTCTACTAAAAATACAAAAATTAGCCGAGTGTGGTGGTGGGTGCCTGTAGTCCCAGCTACTCGGGAAGCTGAGGAGAGGAGAATTGCTTGAACTGGGGAGGCAGAGGCTGCAGTGAGCCAAGATCCTGTCACTGCACTCCAGCCTGGGTGACAGAGTGAGACTCTCTTAAAAAAAAAAAAAAAAAAAGGCCGGGTGCGGTGGCTCACGCCCGTAATCCCAGCACTTTGGGAGGCCAAGGTGGGAGGACCACAGGGTCAGGAGATCGAGACCATCCTGGCTAACACAGTGAAACCCCATCTCTAATAAAAATACAAAAAAAAATTAGCCGGGTGTGGTGGCGGATGCCTGTAGTCCCAGCTACTCAGGAGGCTGAGGCAGGAGAATGGCGTGAACCCGGGAGGCGGAGCTTGCAGTGAGCCGAGATCGCGCCACTGCACTCCAGCCTGGGCAACAGAGTGAGACTCCGTCTCAAGAAAAAAAAAAAAAAAAGACAAAGGTAGAGCCCCTCTTTGTCTTTTCCCTTGGGGGAAATAATTCTAACCCCATAACATACTGAAACTCATAGCCACTCAGCTGCTGTTTATTGACCTGTCAACTAGACCTCAGACACTATTCTAGGCATTCATGGTACCACATGGTACAACACAATTCCTGATCTCAGGAAACTTCCTGGTAGATCTGCATCTAAGAGCATGGCAAGCAAAGAAAACACAAAAAAACCTTGTAGATTTCACACATCTACCTATAAATAAAGCATGCCAAGTTATCTGCCTGCTGGGTGGTGTCCATGCCAAGGTCCCCCTCCATCAGCATGGTTATTCCAGAGCTGGCTACAGTCCCCAGAAAGCCTTGGAGCTTCCTTTAGGAACACCCTGCCCCCCACAGACCTACTAGTAAATTGATGTTTAAATTTCTCTACATATTGCACTCCCCAAAAGATAGCCACCAGCCACAGGTGGCTACCCACCTGAATTTAAATTGATGCAATTAAAAATTCTGTTCCCTTCGTGACCAGCCTGACCAACATGGTGAAACTCCATCTCTACTAAAAAAATACAAAAAAATTAGCTGGGCGTGGTGGCGGGCGTGTGTAATCCCAACTACTCAGGAGGCTGAGGCAGGAGAATCAGTAGAACCTCGAAGGCAGAGGTTGCAGTGAGCCGAGATGGCATCTAGCCTGGGGGACAGGGCAAGACTCCCTCTCAAAAAAAAAAAAAAAAGAAAGAAAAAAAAGCCCCTATCCCTTCAACAATGTCTGAACTGAGAACATGTGACCATTGTGTCTAAGATGGTGGGAATTTGGACGTTCTCACCCCTGCTAGACTGTGACCCCTTAAGGCAGGGGCCACATTTTCCACACGTTTCCCTCCTGGTGCTATGCTTCTTGGCAGTGTCCAGTAAAGCATTGTTAAATTCATGGGCTTGGCTGTGCTAGGCCAGGAGGCTCCTCTTTCAACTTGGGGTGTCAGCTCAGATGTCCTTAAAGGGCTCCCCATCCTAGTACAGTCACTCTCCAGTGTCCTGCGGTTTCTCTGAGTCAAGCCGATGGAACCACAGCCTTCTCTTCACAGGCCTACCCCTACCACCACTCCCGCCTACTCCTTTGGCAGTCACGCTCTGCACCTGAGGCTCACCTGCTCACTCATGAGCAGGGGCAGCCAAGCATCCTCCTCACCAGTCGTCTGGCCAAGGCAGCCACTTAGAAACAATATGCAATTGGCCAGGCACGGTGGCTCATGCCTGTAATTCTCAGCACTTTGGGAGGCCGAGGCGGGCAGATCATCTAAGGTCAGGAGTTCGAGACTAGCCTGGCCAACATGGTGAAACCCCATCTCTACTAAAAATACAAAAATTAGCTGGGCACGGTGGTGCACGCCTGTAGTCCCAGCTACTCGGGAGGCTGAGACAGGAGAATCACTTGAACAAAGGAGGCAGAGGTTGCAGTTAGCCGAGAGTGTGTCACCGCACTCCAGCCTGGGTGACAGAGTGAGACTCCATCTCCAAAAAATAAAGAAACAATATGCAATTGTGAACCTGAGATAGCAGACTTGGTTTACAGTGGGTAAGAAAAAGCACACACACGGGCCAGGCGCAGTGGCTCACGCCTGTAATCCCAGCACTTTGGGAGGCCGAGGCGGGCAGATCACCTGAGGTCAGGAGTTCAAGACCAGCCTGGCCAACATGGTGAAACCCCGTCTCTACTAAAAATACAAAAATTAGCCAGACATGATGGCGGGTACCTATAATCCCAGCAACTCAGGAGGCTGAGGTGGAAGAATCGCTTGAACCCAGGAGGCAGAGGTTGCAGTGAGCTGAGATCGTGCCATTGCATTCCAGTCTGGGTGACAGAGCGAGACTGTCTCAAAAACAAACAAACAAACAAACAAAAAGCACACACTTACTGTATGGAAGTGTCTAAAGCTATACAAAAATCTAGTAACTAGGCTAGGAGCAGTGGCTCACGCCTGTAATCCCAGCACTTTGAGAGGCTGAGGCGGGAGGATCACCTGAGGTCAGGAGTTCAAGACCAGCCTGGCCAACATGATGAAACCCCATCTCTACTAAAAATACAAAAATTAGCTGGGCGTGGTGGCGCACGCCTGTAGTCCCAGCTACTCAGGAGGCTGAGGCACAAGAACTTTTTCCAGCTGGGTGCGGTGGTTCACACCTGTAATCCCAGCACTTTGGGAGGCCGAGGAGGGCAGATCACAGATCACCTGAGGTCAGGAGTTCGAGACCAGCCTGGCCAACATGGAGAAACCCCATCTCTACTAAAAACACAAAAATTAGCCAGGCGTGGTGGCGCACTCTTGTAGTCCCAGCTACTCGGGAGGCTGAGGCCCAAGAATCACTTGAGCCCAGGAGGCAGGGGTTGCAGTGAGCTGAGATCGGGCCACTGCACTCCAGCCCGGGTGACAGAGTGAGACTCTGTCTCAAAAAACAAAAAATCTAGTAACTGTTAGAAGCTGGGTGAAAAAAGACAACATGTATAAATTGGCTATTCACCACCCTGAAGAAGTAAATAAAAGGCCAGCCTTCCACGGGAAGATTTAAATCAAGGTTTCCTTTATTCAGGAGAGGGGTGGGAAGAATACTGGATCTGGAGTCAGAAGACTTGGGCAGGGGCTGTCCCTGGATCTCCTGGAGCAGGATGACCTTACACAGTTACTCAACTCCCAAAACTGCCATTTCCTCCTCCACACAGGTAAGGGTGGCACTACCGACCATCAACCTCCCAGGGAATTGGGCAAACCAAGTGGGATGAGACAGGTATAAGCTCTTTGCAAACCATGGAGCCCAAGTTTCCCAGCCAATACTCAGCAGAGCTGATTCAGGAACCTGATGCAGGCTGTCTGTCTCCAGTTATTTCCTTTTTTTTTTTTGCCCCGCTTTCCCCACCTCCAGAGTCGATGGGACCAGAACAGCCACAGAGCCAAAGTCAAAGGGGCAGGGCTCCCCCAAAGACGTTCCCCCTCTGGAAAAGTCAAAACCGACCTTGAGGTAAGGAGAGGCCCTCGACCAGGCCAGAAGATGAGACTGAGAGTCAAGAATCGCCATAGACCCAGGACTTGCTATATGCCCAGCCTTCCTGGAGATGTCAACATCTACAGGAAAGTAACTTGCTTCTATTGGACTTGGCTTGAGCCCAAGGTCAGTCTGTGATGCCCAACCCCCAAATGTGAGGAACCCACTACCAAAACAGAAAGCAGCTCTCACTCCTGGTAGTTCATCAAGCAGGATAGGACCGGTCGCAGGCCACAGAGCCTGTGTGCAGTGGCTGAAAACCTAGACTCCTTGTCCTCACTTAGCTCATGCACAAATGCCAGCCTGCTGCTTCCGATTCTGCCGAAGAGAACTGCAGAGTAACCTTCAGGCTGCCCTCCCCACCTCCTATGGGAAATGAGCTTGTTCATGATCTCCAGCCTCCAGCTTCCTCTGGGGGCCTGCATCTATCTACTCAGTACCTGGTGGAAGAAGAGGGGGTGCTCTAGAAGGACAACCCTTTGCCTCTATTGTGTAAGATGCTTTCAGGCCCAACAGACCACTGATTCCCTTTTCTTCATAGTAAACTGTTAGAGGTAGACAGTATTATCTGTTCTTCCTTTCAACACCTGCCCTCCCCCAAACCGAAGCAGTGCACTGAAGACGGTAGCTCTGCAACCTCCTCCCACAGGGGCACCCACCGAGGGGCTCGCGCGGCTCTGGGCACCTCCCCTCCACCTCTGGGGGCTTTGGTTAGCGCAGCACAACCGCCGAGGTAATGATCCCGAATCCTCGAGGAGGCTAAGCAGGACCACGGGGCTGAGGCTCCGGGATGCTCGGGCGAGGCCCGAGGCGGGGCGGCCCACGGGCGCCGGTCGCCGGGCTCTGGAGCTGTGCATTGACCTCCGCCCGCCCCGTCCCTGCCTGGCTTTCTCGCCCAAACGGCCCGTGGCGCGGCCGCCGCCCTGGAGATGCGGCCAGGAGGAGCCGGCTGGAGGCGGGCGGGGGCCGCCCGGCTTGTGCGGCATCGCGAGTCGCATCCCGGCCGGGCGGGCGTCCGGGGCGGCGGCGCGGAAGGCCGTGCGGGGAATCGGCGGGCGGGGGCGGCCTCGGCGGGTGGGGACCACAGAGCCAAGCGGGGCAGGCCTGGGGCGGTGACCGGCGCGCCTGGCCGCTGCAGGCTGCGCGCGGGCCCTCTCTTACCGGCAGATCTGGATGGCGGACGGCGTCTCGACGTCTGGGCCCGACATGCTGGGGGCTGCGGCGGCGGATGCGGCGGGCGGCTGCAGAAGGGCGCAGGTGTCTGGCAGGCCCGGCGCGGAATGAATGAGCCCGGGCCGCGCCATAAAGGGGGAGGGCAGAGGTGGAGCGATGGGGCTGGTGAGGCGGGGCCTGCGCGCCGGGGGCAATCGAACGCGGCCTCCCCGCGCCGACCCCGCCCCCGCGCCGGCCCCACCCCGAGCCCCGCCTCCCAGGCCGCCAAGGCTGCAGAGAGCTCGCGCGGGCGTACGATTCTGGCGGCGTGGGGGCCCAGGCAGCCGCCGCTTCCAGAAGGTTCGGTGGCGGTTGGGCCGCGCCGGTGCGGGGAAGGCCCGCTAGCCGCGGCAGCCGCGCCCGACCCGGTGGCAGCCCCGAGGGAAGCGTCTGGGGCGGCCTAAGTGGCGGAGCAGGGCGGACTTGGGCCCTCACTCTCCGCGCGGCGGTAAATATTTGTGCTGGGCGTTCCCGGCCGCCCGCGCCGCCGATTCGCTGCCGCGCCCAGTGCCTGGGCGGCCGGATGAGGTCAGAGCGGAAGGCGCGGCCCGGGCTCCTGGCAGTGGGGCCTGATTCCCACCCCCGCCCCCAACCCACCCCGGCACCAGTCGCCCGCATCGCGGCTCTCGCTAAGATCGGCCCTAAGAGAGAATGGAAGGCTGTTTCCTAGAAAGGAGCATTGGTGGCGGCTGCTGGGAAGACACGGGGAATGGAACGGGCCTTTGCTTCCGCAGCACAAAGCGTCACGAGGTGGGGAGGAGGAAAGGCCGGCGACTATCTACACCGCCGCCTGCAGCTTTTACTGGGAGCGCTGAGCGCCAGCCTGGAGGTGCACGTGTTGCAGTGAGGAGCCCTGAAACATGCGTGTTTTACTGCACAAGATGTGCCCTTGAATGGAGTCTAGGCCAGTCGGGGTCACCAAAAAAAATCCACCAAAAAACACCCAAGAAGGGAGAAGCGGTCACCCCCCACGTGCTGGAATGACAGCTTTTTACTTGCTAGGCAGTTGGACCTTTTCCGAATTTTCTACAATGCACATAGATTTGTACTTACATCTTTAAATTAAAACCCACGCAACTCCGGCTCCCTAGTGCAATTTGAACAACCCATTTACACTCAGCTAGGTAGCTCTGAAGGAACTGTGCCTCACCCCGGTCACCCTTGAGTTACCAGACCGTGGAGGCAGCCCACAGCATGATCTGTAGCTCCCAGAAGCAGGGGCAGTCAAAGTCAGAACTCTGTGATTTCAAGACTTTTATACTAAGAATTTTGTTTTTCTGTTTTCTTTTTTTTTTTTTTTTTTTGAGACGGAGTCTTGCTCTGTTGCCCAGGCTGGAGTGCAGTGGTGCAATCTCAGCTCACTGCAAGCTCCGCCTCCCAGGTTCACGCCATTCTCCTGCCTCAGCCTCCCAAGTAGCTGGGACTACAGGCGCCTGCCACCACGCCCGGCTAATTTTTTGTATTTTTAGTAGAGACGGGGTTTCACTGTGTTAGCCAGGATGGTCTTGATCTCCTGACCTTGTGATCTGCCCGCCTCTGCCTCCCAAAGTGGTGGGATTACAGGCGTGAGCCACCACGCCTGGCCTGTTTTCTTTTTTTGATATAGAGTCTCGTTCTGTCGCCCAGGCTGGAATGCAGTGGTGTGATAGCTCACTGTAACCTCTGCCATCCAGTTTCAAGCAATTCTCCTGCCTCAACCACACTGAGTAGCTGGGACCATAGGCATGCACCACCACGTTTGGCTTATTTTTGTATTTTTAGTACAGATGTGTCCAGAATTGGTGGGTTCTTGGTCTCACCGACTTCAAGAATGAAGCCGCGGACCCTCGTGGTGAGTGTTACAGCTCTTAAGGTGGCGCATCTGGAGTTTCTTCCTTCTGGTGGGTTCGTGGTCTCCCTGGCTCAGGAGTGAAGCTGCAGACCTTCACAGTGAATGTTAACGGCTCATAAAGGCAGTGTGGACCCAAAGAGCGAAAGAACAACACTCCTACAGCGTGGAAGGGGACCAGAGTGGGTTGCCACTGCTGGCTCGGGCAGCCTGCTTTTATTCTCTCATCTAGCCCTACCCACATCCTGCTGATTGGTAGAGCAGAGTGGTCTGTTTTGACAGGGTGCTGATTGGTGTGTTTACAATCCCTGAGCTAGACACAAAGGTTCTCCATGTCCCCACCAGATTAGCTAGATAGAGTGTCGACACAAAGGTTCTCCAAGTCCCCACCAGCGTAGTTAGATACAGAGTGTTGATTGGTGCATTCACAAACCCTGAGCTAGACACAGGGTGCTGATTGGTGTGTTTACAAACCTTGAGCTAGATACAGAGTGCCGATTGGTGTATTTACAATCCCTTAGCTAGACATAAAGGTTCTCCATGTCCCCACCAGACTCAGGAGCCCAGCTGGCTTCACCCAGTGGGTCCCGCACTGGGGCTGCAGGTGGAGCTGCCTGCTAGTCCCGCACTGTGTGCCCACACTCCTCAGCCCTTGGGTGGTCGATGGCACTGGGTGCCGTGGAGCAGGGGGCGGTGCTCATTGGGGAGGCTCGGGCCGCACAGGAGCCCATGGAGTGGGGGGAGGCTCAGGCATGGCGGGCTGCGGGTCCCGAGCCCTGCCCCGGGGGAAGGCAGCTAAGGCCCTGCGAGAAATTGAGCACAGCAGCTGCTGACCCAGGTGCTAAGCCCCTCACTGCCCGGGGCCGGCGGGGACGGCCGCGGCTCCGAGTGCGAGGCCCGCCGAGCCCACGCCCACCTGGAACTCGCCCTGGCCCGCAAGCACCGCTCGCAGCTCCGGTTCCGCCCACGACTCTCCCTCCACACCACACCGCAAGCTGAGGGAGCCGGGTCCGGCCTTGGCCAGCCCAGAAAGGGGCTCCCACAGTGCAGCGGCAGGCTGAAGGGCTCCTCAAGTGCCGCCAAAGTGGGAGCCCAGGCAGAGGAGGCGCTGAGAGCGAGCGAGAGCTGTGAGGACTGCCAGCATGCTGTCACCTCTCACAGATAGGGTTTCACCATGTTGGCCAAGCTGGTCTTGAACTCCTGACCTCAGGTGATCCACCCACCCCAGCCTCCCAAAGTGCTGGGATTACAGGCCTGAGCCACCTCGTCCGGACGCAGACTTTTGTTTTTTAGTGAGAATTAAGTTGATGCAAGCATCAAGGGCCCCCAAGCCTGTTCAAACACCACCTCTTCCCAATTGAATCCTGAAATGGTTGGAAGCAGTAACTAGATTTAGAGCCTCAGGCAAGGTAGTTTCCTTTTTTTTTTTTTTTTTTTTTTTAAATCTTTTGAGACAGAGTCTTGGCTCTGTCACCCAGGCTGGAGTACAGTGGCACAATCCCTGCTCACTGCAGCTTCTGCCTCCAGAGCTCAAGCAGCCCTCCCACCTCAGCCTCCTGAGTAGCTGGAGCCACAGGCATGTGCCACCATGCTCAGCTAATTTTTGTACTTTTCTGTATAGAAGGAGCCTCACCACATTGCCCAAGCTGGTCTTGAACTCCTGGGCTCAAGTGATCCACCTGCCTTAGCCTCTCAAAGTGCTATGATTACAGGTGTGCATCACTGTTCCCAGCCTGGCAGTTTCTTTACCTATGATATGGGGGTGATAAATACTTTCCTGACCGTTGTGAGGACTACTTGGCAGGCTGAGGTAGGGCCTTTCTTCCTCTTCCCTCCTCAAACCTTCTGTTTCTCTATACTGCTCTTCCCCCAGCTATGAGTGCAGCAAGAATTTACTAAGACCCCATGCTCCCTGTATAGGTGTGCTTGCTCCTCTGAGCATTACAGACACTTCATTGTTCAAAATCTTCTAAATCTGCCTGGCATGGGGGCTTGCACCCATAATCCCAGGAGGCTGAGGCAAGAGGATCCCCTGAACCTAGGAGTTTGAGGCTGCAGTGCCCTCTGATGGCTCCTGTAAACAGCCACTGCACTCCAGCCTGGGCAACATAGACTCTGTCTCTTAAAAAAAAAAAAAGTTCAAATGCTGCTTGGGACACAAATCAGGGACACAAAAAGCCAGATTCCAGCCACACACTGAACCAGAGGGAATCTTAGACAAGGATGGGCCAAGTGGTTTAGAATGAAATAGCCTGGGCCCTCCAGAGTGAGGCCAAAAAGTGATCTGGAACAGTTCCTATACTTTTGGGAAAGGGTGTGGCTACCCTTCCACCTGAGACAGCATCTGTCCCTCCTGCTCACATCACTACCCCGAAGGTGGTAGAGGGACCCAGAAAAGATAACAGCTCAGCCCAGAGATTATCATGTACCCATTCTGCACTGTAGAAAGAAAATAGTGCTCCAGATTACTACTTATGATGTTGCCCTGTTTTTAAGGATGGCAATGGGGGCGCCCAATTCCTCAGCAAAAACCTTGTGAATGATTTTGGCCATAGTGCTAATGGATTTACACTGATTTTGCACCTTCCACAGTCTCACCTTCTCGTGTTAGGCTATTTTCTACTTGCTCCTCAAGCTATGGGCCATTTCTATCCCTGCTTTCAGCAAAACATCTCAAAAGAGCTGCTTACACACACACCCTCTCCCCTCACCTCCCATCCTCCTTTGAACCTGTTCCAGTTTGGTTTTTGATTCTACCAGTCAATCTATCAAGGTCACTAATTCCTTCCAAGTTGCTAAATCCGATAATCTGTTGTCAGAAGTCATTTTCCTTGACCTCTCAACGGCATTGAGCAGATGTGACCTCCCTATCCTGGAAGCGCTCCTCCCTCACGTCCGTCTTCCTCCCTCGCTGGCCACTGCTCAGCCTGCTCTGCTGGCACTGCCTCCCTGCCTCCTGTCAGAACTTTAGACAAGCCCCAAGCAGTGCTTGAACTCTTGAGGTCTCATTCTGTCTCATCACTTTTTTTTTTTTTTCCTTCAGACAGGGTTTCATTCTGTCACCCAGGCTGGAGCACAGTGGTGCAATCACAACTCACTGCAGCCTCGACCTCCTGGGCTCACATGATCCTCCCACATCAGCCTCCTGAGTAGCTGAGACCACAGGCACACACCACCATGCCCGGCTATTTTTTGTATTTCTTTATAGAGTCTGGTCAGGCTGGTCTCGAACTCCTGGGCTCAAGCGATCCACCCATCCTGGCCTCCCAAACCAAAGTGCTGGGATTACAGGCATGAGCCACCATGCCTGGCTGTCTCATCACTCTAAATTTATTGTTATTTTTATTTTTTTGAGACAAAGTCTCGCTCTGCTGCCCAGGCTGGAGTGCAGTGGCGCGATCTCGGCTCACTGCAACCTCTGCCACCCGGGTTCAAGAGATTGTCGTGCTCCAGCCTCCAGAGTAGCTGGAATTACAGGCCCCCACCACCACACTCAGCTAATTTTTTTATTTTTAGTAGAGACAGGGTTTCACCATGTTGGCCAGGCTGGTCTTGAACTCGCGATCTCAGGTGATCTGTCCGCCTTGGCCTCCCAAAGTCCTGGGATTACAGGCATGAGCCACTGCACCCAGCCTGTCTCATCACTTTAAGTCCCATCTGTATAATACATATCTCTGGCCAGCTCAGAGCTCTCCCCTAAATTCCAGATCCATGTATCCCTTGTCTGCACCAAATCTCACTTTGGTTGCATGGCAGGTACCCGACACTCACCTTGTCCTGATGCCCCTCAGAAATGGCCATCCCAGGAAATTGCAGTCCCGTCCCTCCAGTTGGTCAAGCCAAGACCCAAGGAGTCACCCGTGACTCTCTCTCTCCCTCACACCCCTCATCCAAACCATCAGCACATCCTGCAAGCTCTGCCTTCACAATGAATCTGGGATCTGAACAGTCCTCACTGTGGCATTCAGGGTTCTGCCCCACAGCCACATCCACGCTTCTGACCTCATGAGCTCTCTCCCCTGGCTCACTTAGCTCCAGCCACCCTGAGCTCCCGGACAGTCTTCGAATGTGCCGGACATATCTCAGAGGCTTCACGCTTGCTCCTTCCTCTGCCTGGGCCACCCTTTACTCAGGCAAACATCACCTTCTAAATAAGGCCTTCCCCAGCCATTCTCTATTAGGCCCATTGCAGTCCCCCCACTCTTCTCCAGTACTCCCAGTTTTCCTCCCTGGTTTATTTTTCTCGTTAGCACCTAACACCATTTAATACGTATTGCACCCATATGTTTATTGCCTCTCCCCCAACTAGAAGGTATAGAGCAGGAATTTTTTACTGTTTTATTCACTGCTGTATCCCAAGCTCCAAGAAGAGTGCCTAGCACATAGTAGGTACTCAATAAATATTTTATGAATGACTTCATAGAGATAATTATTATATCAACAGCAGATATTAATTCATTATATTTAGCTTATACTCTTTAAAAATATTGACAAACTGTCACTTTAAACAATCTTTAAATATTTTAAACTATCTTTAAATATATGGTTTAGGCCGGGCGCAGTGGCTCATGCCTGTAATCCCAGCACTTTGGGAGGCCGAGGTGGGCAGATCACAAGGTCAGGAGATCAAGACCATACTGGCTAACACGGTGAAACCCCATCTCTACTAAAAATACAAAAAATTAGCCGGGCGTGATGGCGGGCGCCTGTAGTCCCAGCTACTCAGGAGGCTGAGGCAGGAGAATGGCTTGAACCTGGGAGGCGGAGCTTACGGTAAGCCGAGATCCCACCACTGCACTCCAGCCTGGGCCGCAGAGCAAGACTTTGTCTCAAAAAAAAAAAAAGAAAAAATATGTATATATCTATATATGGTTTAAATAGGGCTGGGCGTGGTGGCTCACGCCTGTAATCCCAGTACTTTAAGAGGCCGAGGCAGGCAGATCACGAGGTCAGGAGTTCAAGATCATCCTGGCCAAGATGGTGAAACCCCATCTCTACTAAAAATACAAAAATTAGCTGGGCACGGCAGCGCGCACCTGTAGTCCCAGCTACTCGGGAGGCTGAGGCAGGAGAATCACTTGAACCCAGAGGGCGGAGGCTGCAGTGACTCAAGGTCGCGCCACTGCACTCCAGCCTGGGCATGAAGTGAGACCCCATCTCAAAAAAAAGACTCACTGCTGCCTGTACCTCACTGGCTTCAGCGGTCCTCCCACCTCGGCATCTCAAGTAGCTGAAACCCCAGGCACACGCCACTGGCTGTTTTTCTATTTTTTGTAGAAATGGGGTTCTCACCATGTTGCCCAGGCTGGTCTTGAACTCCTGGGCTCAAGCAGTCTCCCCACTTTGGCCTCCCAGAACGCTGGGATTTCAGGTGTGAGCCACCATGCCTGGCCAGGAATCATAATATTGAGGAAAAGGAGGAAGATATAAAAGAATCCCTGGCCGGGCACGGTGGCTCACGCCTGTAATCCCAGCACTTTGGCGGGCCAAGGTGGGCAGATCACGAGGTCAGGAATTCAAGACCAGTCTGGCTAACATAGTGAAACCCCGTCTCTACTAAAAATACAAAAAATTAGCTGGGCGTGGTGGTGGGCACCTGTAGTCCCAGCTACTCGGGAGGCTGAGGCAGGAGAATGGCATGAACCTGGGAGGCGGAGCTTGCAGTGAGCCGAGATCCCGCCATTGCACTCCAGCCTGGGCAACAGAGCGAGACTCCGTCTCAGAAAAAAAAAAAAAAAAAAAGACCGATCTGGCCAACAAGATGAAACCCCTTCTCGGCCGGGCGCGGTGGCTCATGCCTGTGAGCTTGCAGTGAGCCAAGATCATGCCACTGTACTCCAGCCTGGGCGACTGAGTGAGACTCCGTCTCAAAAAAAAAAAAAAACCCTTCTCTACTCGGGAGACTGAGGCAGGAGAATCGCTTGAACCCAGGAGGCAGAGGTTGCAGTGAGCCAAGATCACGCCTTTGCACTCCAGCCCAGTTGACAATGCAAGACTCCGTCTCAAAAACAACAACAACAAAAAAAAAAAAAAACAAAAGAAAAAAACCAACGAATACCTATAGTATCATGCCACACACGCAATGATCTAAAACTCTGTTAGGAGAACATAAGTAGGTGGTAAAGCTATAAAGAACAAGGAAATTATTATCACAAAACTCAGGATAGCGGGTACCTCTCAACGGAAGCGAGAGGATTGCGCTGGGGGATCACCTGGGGGTCGGGAGTGTTCATGTTTTCTTGACCTGGGGAATAGTGTACATGCTTACAATAAATGTTTTACATTGTGCATATGTTTTATGCATTTTTATGTTTATGTTCCAATTTTTTTAAATTAATGGGAATATCTGGGATGTGAGGTTGTGGACAATTTTCTTTCTTTAAATTTTTTTTTTTTTTTTGAAACAGAGTCTCACTCTGTTGCCCAGGCTGTCGCTGGCACAATCTCAGCTCACTGCAAACCTCCGCCTCCTGGGTTCAAGGGATTCTCCTGCCTCAGCCTCCCGAGTAGCTGGAACTACAGGCATGTGCCACCACACCCGGCTAATTTTTTGTATTTTTAGTAAAGACAGCATTTCACCGTGTGAGCCAGGATGGTCTCCATCTCCTGACCTTGTGTTCCGCCTGCCTTGACCTCCCAAAGTGCTGGGATTACATGCGTAAGCCACCAAGGCCGGCCTCTTTCTTTATATTTTTAAGGAAGTAGTGAGCCTGCCTCGTGGTTAAGGGTGTGGACCATCCAGTCAAAATTCTGTATCATAGCTTTACTTCCTACCCAGGCAGGTCACCTACCCACTCACTGGGCAGGTTGCTTCATCAGTAATGTGATCATAGTGCTGTGAGAACTGAACAAGTAAGGGAAGACATGCAATTAAGCATTCTAAAATATTAACTATTAGTGTATTTGACTCCATTAAACATAATAAATGTCAGTTTTTGAACTGAAGATTTATATAACTCAGAGCTCTAAAATAGAAGAGGACCAGGCTCAGTGGCTGACTCCTGGAATCCCAGCACTTTGGGAGGCCAAGGCAGGAGGATCACTTGAGGCCAGGGGTTCAAGACCAGCCTGGGCAACATACAGAGACCCCACCTCCACAAAAAATTAAAAAATTAGCCGAGTGTGCAGTGACTCACGCCTGTAATCCCAGTACTTTGGGAGGCTGAGGCAGGTGGATCACGAGGTCAGGAGATTGAGACCATCCTGGCTAACACAGTGAAACCCCGCCTCTACTAAAAATACAAAAAAAAAAAAAAAATTAGCCGGGCGTGGTGGCGGGCACCTGTAGTCCTAGCTACTCGGGAGGCTGAGGCTAGAGAATGGCATGAACCAGGGAGGCAGAGCTTGCAGTGAGCCGAGATCACACCATTGCACTCCAGCCTGGGCGACAGAGCGAGACTCCGTCTGAAAAAAAAGAAAAAAAATTAGCCGGTTGTGGTGGCACACACCTGCAGTCCCAGCTACTCTGGAGGCTGAGGTGGGAGGATTGATTGAACCCAGGAAGCAGAAATTGCAGTGAGCCAAGATCACACCAATGCACTCCAGCCTGGGTAACAGAGCGAGACTCCGTCTCAAAAAAAAAAAAAAAAGAAAAAAAGAAAGGTGTGTGGAACAGGGCCTGGCATAGAGGAAGGGCTGTGTACAGCTTTGTGAATCAGCTTGAGAAGCCAAGCAGCCCTGGGGTCCTGGGGGCTGCAGGAATGGATGCGTTTGACCAGATGGGAGGGATTCAGATCACCTTGGCCCAAGGAGAAGACCCTAACTGGTTCAAGCTGGGATTCACACAAGAGGAGGACACTGCAGGATTCTCCAGGGTCTGCCATCACAGCCTCCCAGGAATCATACAGGATGCAGCCGGAGAGCCGCTCTGTTCACACAGCCACTGTGTTTCTTTCATGTTAATGAATTTAGCTCTTGTGTTTATCCTCTGCAGAGATGATAGACACTTCATGATTATTCCTCTTGTCCATGGAATTGAATAGACAAGACCCTAAGTCTGTTGCCAGCAGGAAATGTGAGTAAATGCTGAAGCATACACATAGTCTTCTGTTCCCAAAGGGCCGACACATCTAAAAGACAAACAGAAGAGGCTACTTAGAGGGGCACGATGGCTCTCCTCTGTAATCCCAGCACTTGGGGAGGCTGAGGCAGGTGGATCACTTGAGCCTAGGAGTTCCAGACCAGCCTGGGCAACATGGCAAAACCCCGTCTCAAAAAAAAAAAAAAATTAGCCGGGCATGGTGGTGTGCACCTGTGGTACCAGCTACATGGGAGGCTGAGGCGGGAGGATCTCCTGAGCCTGGGGAGATCATCTGGACATCAGAGTAAGACCATCTCAAAAAAAAAAAAAAAAAAGGAACAGCCTCTCCTCCTAACTGAACCTTTTTTTTTTTTGAGACGGAATTTTGCTCTTGTGGCCTAGGCTGGAGTGCAATGGTGCCATCTCAGCTCACCACAGACTCCGCCTCTCGGGTTCAAGAGATTCTCCTGCCTCAGCCTCCCAAGCAGCTGGGATTACAGGCATGCCATGTGCCACCATGCCTGGCTAATTTTCTATTTTTAGTAGAGACAGGGTTTCTCCATGTTGGTCAGGCTGGTCTCGAACTCCTGACCTCAGGTGATCCACCCACCTCGGCCTCCCAAAGTGCTGGGATTACAGGGGTGAGCCACCGCACCCGGCCTTTTTTTTTTTTTCTTTGAGACAATGTCTTGCTCTGTCCCCCAGGCTGGAGTACAGTGGCATGATCACAGCTCACTGCAGCCTCAACCTCCTGGACTAAAGAGGTTCTCCCACCTGAGCCTCCTGAGTAGCTGGGACTACAGGTGTGCACCACCAACCATGGCCAGCTAATTCTTTTGATTTTTATAGAGACGGGGTCTCAGTATGTTTCCCAGGCTGGTCTCGAAGTCCTGGACTCAAGTGATCCTCCTGCCTTGGCCTCCCGAAGTGCTGGGATTACAGGCATGAGTCACTGTGCCTGGCCTAACCTGATCTTTAAAGTCAAGTGCTCTGACCCCAGAATGAACCACTCCAAAGAGACCTAAAACTCATAAACGACCCATTTGAAAGCGGGACCCATAATCCAAGAGGGAAGGTCAAAAATAAATGGGTCATTTCCCGGAGAAGAAAAACACCTCTATGTTTGGAGTAGACATACATTCATTTCCCAAAAGCAGCATTTGGAGATCATCTCTTTAAGTAGGTCAAACTTTATAACTAGAATTATAGCCGTGCCCCGGTGCCTGCAAATTAACGGGGTTAGTGGGAGGAGATCTAAGTGACATGACCTGGCCGGGCGCGGTGGCTCACGCCTGTAATCACAGCACTTTGGGAGGCCGAGGCGGGCGGATCACGAGGTCAGGAGATCGAGACCATCTTGGCTAACACGGTGAAACCCCGTCTCTACTAATAATACAAAAAAATTAGCCGGGCGTGGTGGCAGGCCCCTGTAGTCCCAGCTACTGGGGAGGCTGAGGCAGGAGAATGGCGTGAACCCGGGAGGCGGAGCTTGCAGTGAGCCGAGATCGCGCCACTGCACTCCAGCCTGGGCGACAGAGCGAGACTCCGTCTCAAATAAATAAATAAATAAATAAATAAATAAATAAATAAATAAATAAATAAAAGTGACATGACCTGTGAAATTCTCCGCGTTGCTTCCCGTAAGCCGCAAGGCGCTCCGTCTCTCGGTCTGTGGCCCTCTGGCTCCACCTAGGGGCCGAGCAAATTCCCAAGCGCTGGGTCCCGCGCCCCACCCGGGATCCCACCTGGGCGTCATCTCTTGGGGCGGTCTTGCTACAAATCACAATAAACGTTCCCCCACTCAAATTTTTAACAAGAACTCCGTGATTATGACAAAAGACACACAGTCAAGGGTAATTCTATTTTTCCTCATGATAATAAAAAGCTGAGGTATAATTGTATGTTTCTCAAGGGCCTTAAAGAAAAACGATGTTGGTTTTATGCATCAAGTAATTGCTGTGTGAAGAGCTAAAGGGCCCTCATGTGCAGGAGATAATCAGCGGGAGCTCTGCACCAGTGTGACTGTGGCCAACACACTGGAGGCGACTGCTCCCAGCCCGCAGCCCCACCCAGCAGAGGCCGGAGCCCAAGACGGTGCCCGAGTCGCTTCCTCACCGTTGGTGAGCAGGCTCCCAGAGAAAGAACTGCCTTCCAACCAAACGCCCACCAGATGAGGGAGATTTGGGCGAAACGGCCACACATTCATCTTGACACCTAGGATCACTCAGAGAGCAGAACTACCTTCTGTCCTCAGCAGGACAATAACTCAAGTTAGATTCAGCATCAGCGGGAATGACCTGGAGGGGCTTCCTAACTGGTGATGAGGCGGCTAACTAGTTGAGTAAAAATGTTATAAACCAAAGGGTCCGGAGTCTTACAGTCCAAACCCACCTCCATGCACCTCCTAGCTGTGTGGCCTTAGGTAAGTTCCTTGGCCCCTCTGCACTTCAGTTTTCTCATCTGAAAATGGGGCAATAATAGTATCTACCTTGTCAAGTTTGTATAAAGATTAGGTGAGTTACCAGGCACACATCAGAGCAGGGCCTGGTGCAGAGGGAGAGCCTGGTAGATAGCACCATTATACCTAATTCATAGTGAGCATTCTCAAGGGCCAAACAGGCATTTATTGAGCATCTTATATATACCAGGCCCTGTGCTGGGCGCTAGTATCTTACCTATGATACCACATGGTACAGAAACCATCTGGGTATTCATAAAGGGCAGTTGCAGAAAAAATGCACAAATCGTAATTGTACGGCTTAATGCATGATCATAAAGGAATGCACCCATTAACCCGTCCCCAGATCAAGGAAGACATCACCAGCACCCCAGAAGTGCTTCTCTTGCTTTCTGCCAAATATGGGGACCTCTTCTCCCTAAAGGGAATAACCATCCACAACATCAGTGCTGTAGTGGGTAGCAGGAATTTGTGCATGCTTGTTGCTGTATAATGTTGCATTGCATGAATAATGAATATAAGGATCTTTGCATTTCTTTTTTTTTTTTTTTTTTTTTTTTGAGATGGAGTCTCACTATGTCGCCCAGGCTGGAATGCAGTGGCGCAATCTCAGCTCACTGCAAGCTCCGCCTCCTGAGTTCACGTCATTCTTCTGCCTTAGCCTCCTGAGGAGCTGGGACTACAGGCACCCGCCATCATGCCCAGCTAATTTTTTGTACTTTTTGTAGAGATGGGGTTTCACCATGTTAGCTAGGATGGTCTCGATCTCCTGACCTCGTGATCCACCCTCAGCCTCCCAAAGTGCTGGGCTTACAGGCATGAGCCACTGCACCTGGCCTGCACTTCTTTCTTTTCTTTTTTGGAGACAGAGTCTCACTCAGTGGCCCAGGCTGGAGTGCAGTGGCACAATCTTGGCTCACTGCAACCTCCACCTCCCAGGTTCAAATGATTCTCCTGCCTCAGCCTCCCGAGTAGCTGGGATTACAGGCACCCGCAATCATGCCTGGCTAATTTTTGTATTTTTTGTATTTTGTTGTTGAACATGGGGTTTCACCATGTTGGCCAGGGTGGTCTCGAACCCCTGACCTCAAGTGATCTGCTTGCCTCAACCTCCCAAAGTGCTGGGTTACAGGCATGAGCCACCATACCCTGCCAAATTATGATTCATTTAATGTCTGTGGCATCTATAGTGACTCCCCTCTTTCATCCCCAATATTAATAACTTGCAACATTTCTTTTTTCTTTAGTAGTCAAGCTTAGTTTATCAATTTTATTGATGATTTAAATAAATCAGCTTTTGGTTTCAAGTATTTCATCTATTTTCTGTTTTCTAGATTTCTGTTCTTTTTATTTCCTTCCTTTGACACATTTTGGATTTAATTGGCTCATCTTTTTCTAGCTTCTTAAGCTGGAAGTTTAGATAATTGCTTTTTTTATTTTCATTTTTTTGAGACAGAGTCTCACTCTGTCACCCAGGCTGGAGTGCAGTGGGGCAATCTCAGCTCACCGCAACCTCTGCTTCCTGGGTTCAAGTGATTCTCCTGCCTCAGCCTCCTGAGTAACTTGGATTACAGGGGTTTCGTCATGTTGTCCAAGTTGGTCTCGAACTCCTGACCTCAAGTGATCTGCCCACCTTGCCCTCCCAAAGTGCTGGGGTTACAGACATGAGCCACCATGCCTGGCCAGATAATTGCTTTTCTTTTCTTTTGTTTTGTTTTATTTGTTTGTTTGTTTGTTTTGAGACAGTCTCGCTCTGTCACCCAGGCTGGAGTGCATTGGTGCAATCACCTGGCCAATAATCGCTTTTAGATGTTACTTTTCTCTTTTCTTTTTTCTTTTTTTTTTTTTGAGACGGAGTTTCGCTCTTGTTGCCCAGGCTGGAGTGCAATGACACGATCTTGGCTCACCACAACGTCTGCCTCCTGGGTTCAAGTAAGTCTCCTGCCTCAGCCTCCCAAGTAGCTGGGATTAGAGGCATGTGCCACCACGCCTGGCTAATTTCGTATTTTTAGTAGAGACGGGTTTCTCCATGTTGGTCAGGCTGGTCTGGAATTCCCAACCTCAGGTGATCCGCCCGCCTTGGCCTCCCAAAGTGCTAGGATTACAGGCGTGAGCCAATGCACCCTAGGTGTTACTTTTCTAGCATAATCCTTTAAAACTCTGAATGTACCCGCAGGCCAGCATGGTGGCTCACGCCTGTAATCCTAGCATTTTGGGAGGCCGAGACGGGCGGATTGCCTGAGCTCAGGAGTTCGAGACCAGCCTGGGCAACATGGTGAAACCCTGTCTCTACTAAAATGCAAAAAATTAGCTGGGCGTAGCGGCATGCACCTGTAGTCCCAGCTACTCTGGAGGCTGAGGCAGGACAATCACTTGAACCTGGGAGGCGGAAGTTGCAGTGAGCCGAGATCGTGCCACTGCACTCCAGCCTGGGTAACAGAGTGAGACTCTATCTCCAAAAAAAAAAAAAAACTCTAAATGTACCCACAAGCATTGTTTTAGCTATATCTCATAAATCTTGCTATGTTGTTGTATTTTCATTTCCATTTAGTTCTTAACATTCTCGAGTTTACCTTGTGATTTCATCTTTGACTCATTAGTTATTTATAAGTCATTGTTAATTTCGGGCCAGGCAGGGTGGCTCATGCCTGTAATCCCAGCACTCTGGGAGGCTGAGGAGGGCAGATTGCTTGAGGTCATGAGTTCGAGACCAGCCAGACCAACATGGCGAAACCCCCATCTCTACTAAAAATACAAAATTAGCCGAGTGTGGTGGTGCACACCTGTAATCCCAGACACTCTGGAGGCTGAGGCAGGAGAATCGCTTGAACCCAGGAGGCAGAAGTTGCAGTGAGCCAAGATGGTGCCATTGCACTCCATCCTGGGCAACAAGAGCGAAACTTTGTCTCAAAAAAAAAAAAAAATTGTTTAATTTCCAAGAATCTGAGGAGTTTCTGGCTCTCTCTCCCTTTTTTCTCTCTTTCTTTTCTTTCTTTTTTTTTTTTTTTTTTTTTGATGGAGTTTTGTTCTTGTTGCCCAGCTTGGAGTGCAGTGGTGCGATCTCGGCTCACTGCAACCTCCACCTCCTGGGTTAAAGCAATTCTTTTGCCTCAGCCTCCAGAGTAGCTGGGATAGCAGGCATGTGCCATCACACCCAGCTAATTTTTTTTAATGTATTTATTTTTAAATGTATTTATTTATTATTTTTTATTTTTTTGAGACAGAGTTTCACTCTTGTCACCCAGGCTGGAGTGCAATGGCGTGATCTTGGCTCACTGCAACCTCTGCCTACTGGGTTCAAGCAATTCTCCTGCCTCAACCTCCCGTGCAGCTGGGATTCCAGGCACCTGCTACCATGCCCGGCTAATTTCTGTATTTTTTAGTAGAAACCCAGTTTCACCATGTTGAAATTTTTGTATTTTTAGTAGAAACCCAGTTTCGCCAGACTGGTCTCAAATTCCTGACCTCAAGTGATCCACCCGCTGAGGCTTCCCAAAGTGTTGGGATTACGGCCATGCCCCGCCAGTTTCTGGCTATCTTTCTGTTGTTGGTTTTTAATTTAATATTGTGTGGTCAAAGAACATACACTGTATAATTTCAGTTCCTGTAAGTCTATTGAGACTTCTTTTATGGCCCAGCAGATGGCCTACCTTTGGTGACTGTTCTACAAGCCCTTCAGAATGTGAATAGAATAGCTGATGTTGGGTGTAAGATTCAAGAATGGTCAATTAGACTGAGTTTATTGATAAGGTTGTTCAAGTCTTCTATACCTTTACTGGCTTTCTCTATACCTGTTTTATCAATTACTCTGAGAAGAGTGTTGAAATCCCCAACTATAATTGTGAATTTGAGTATTTCTTTCAGTTACCAGTTTTTACTTCTTATATTTTGAAGCCCTGTTACTAAGTGCATACACAGTTGGATTTTTTTTTTTTTTTTTTTGAGAAGGGACCTTGCCCAGGCTGGAGGGCAGTGGCTTGATCGTGGCTCACTGCAGCCCCAACTTCCTGGGCTCAAGCCATCCTGTCACCTTAGCCTTCTGAGTAGCTGGGACCATAGGTGTGTGGCACCACGCCCAGTTAACTTTTTTATTTTTTGTAGAAATAGGGTTTCGCCATGTTGCCCAGGCTGGTCTCAAACTCTTGGGCTGAAGTGATCCTCTTGGCTCAGCCTCTCAAAGTGCTGGGATTACAGGCAACTGCCACCTGCCTGGCCCACATTTGGAATTTTTAAAATTGTAATGTATCCAACACAAAGAAAGGACAGGTGTCAAAATATCAATAAAAAATATATTCATTCCTATAATCCCAACACTTTGGGAGGCTGAGGATTGTTTGAGGCCAGATGTTCAAGGCCAGCCTGGCCAGCATAGTGAGACCCTGTCTCCACAAATTTTTTTTTTTTTTTTTTTTTTTTTTTTTTGTGATGGAGTCTCGCTCTGTCGCCCGGGCTGGAGTGCAGTGGTGCGATCTCAGTTCACTGCAAGCTCTGCTTCCCGGGTCCACGCCATTCTCCTGCCTCAGCCTCCTGAGTAGCTGGGACTACAGGCGCCCGCCACCATGCCCGGCTAGTTTTTTGTATTTTTAGTAGAGACGGGGTTTCACCATGTTAGCCAGGATGGTCTCCATCTCCTGACCTCGTGATCCACCCGCCTCGGCTACCCAAAGTACTGGGATTACAGGCGTGAGCCACTGCGCCCGGCCAAAATTTTTTTAAAAAGTTTTCCCAGCATGGTGGCACGTACCTGTAGTCCTAGCTATTTGGGAGGGAGAGGCAGGAGAGTCCCTTGAGCCCAGGAGCTGGAGATTACAGTGAGCTGTGATTGCATCACTGCACTCCAGCCTGGCTGACACAACCAGACCCTGTTTCTAAAATAAGTAAATAAACACACAGACAAACACACACACACACATTTCCAAATAGCCAGAAGAGAAGAATTGTAATGTTCCCAACACAAAGAAACGGCAGGTATCAAAATATCCATAAAAATATATTTCAAAATAGAAATGTCTTTATCTTCTTGATGAAATGACCCTTTTATCATTATGCTTGTTTGTTTTTTGTTTTTGAGATGGAGTCTCGCTCTGTCACCCAGGCTGGAATGTAGTGGCGCAATCTTGCCTCACTGCAACCTGTGCCTCATGGGTACAAGCGATTCTCCTGCCTCAGTGTCCCAAGTAGCTGGGATTACAGGCGCAAGTCACTGTACCCGGCTAATTTTTTTTTTGTACTTTTAGTAGAGACAGGTTTCACCTTGTTGGCCAGGCTGGTCTCAAACTCCTGACCTCAAGTGATCCGCCTGCCTCAGCTTCCCAAAGTTCTGGGATTACAGGCACGAGCCACCACGCATGGCCCCCTGCAGCTTTGAAGTCCCGGGCTGGAGTGGCCAGCAAGGGCACTCTATGGACTGGACAATTAAAGTGGACAAAGGATGGTCAGGAGACTGTGGCAATGGCCCAAATAAAAAGTAATGATCCTCCCATACCTGAAACAGTTTTCAGACCGGGAAGGAAGGCTGGGTCCCCAGGAGAAGGACCCAGCAAAATACACAGGAATGACTTACCTGGCTATCCCCAAAGAAGCCTACAGCATTTATCGGGTTATTGTACCATAGGGAGGGTGGAATACACACCCATTTCTAGGACCATTGGACATAGTGTTGAAGCTCACATTGATCCTGAGATCCAAGGTCATCATCTGTCCCTCTCAGAGTGGTGACATGGTGGTGGCCAGATTGAAAGGAATCCTGGCCTTGTCTGGCTTGCAATGGGTCCACTGGGCGAGTGGCCACTGTGGCCATTTCTCTGGTCCTCGAATGTGTAATTGGAATATAGAGACTTGACACTTGGCACAGCCCCCACATTAACTCTTTGGCCTGTGGTGAGAGCTATCACAGAGGGGAAGGTCACGTATAAATTCAACACTGCTCCCTGCCCCCAAGACAGTAAATCAGAGCAATCTGGAATCCCAGAGGATGCCAAAAATGGATGTCACTCCTAAAGACGTAAAGGTTCCATCACATCTTCATTGCATTAGTTAGTTTAGATCCTACAAAAACCACATGGACCCTAAAGGACTAGAGCAAACTCAGCCAAGTAGTAGCCCCATTGCAGATATAGTGTCTTTTGGGGTTTGGTTTTTTATTTTGATAGTAAAATACACATAACATAAAATTAACCATCTTGGTCGGGCATGGTACCTCAGACCTGTAATCCCAGCACTTTGGGAGGCTGAGGTGGGTGGATCACCTGAGGTCAGGAGTTTGAGACCAGCCTGGCCAATATGGTGAAACCCCAACTCTAATAAAAATACAAAAATTAGCCGGGTGTGATAGTGGGTGCCTGTAATCCCAGCTACTCAGGAGGCTGAGGCAGGAGAATCTCTTGAACCCAGGAGGTGGAGGTTGCAGTGAGTGGAGATCATGCCATTGTACTCCAGCCTGGGTGACAAGAGCGAAATTCCATCTCAAAAGATAAAAAATAAAATTAACCATCTTAACCTTTATTTTTTTGAGATAGGGTCTTGCTCTGTGGTCCAGGCTGGAGTGCAGTGGTGTCATTATGGCTCACTGCAGCCTTGATTTACCAGGCTCAAGCAATCCTCCCACCTCAGCCACCTGAGTAGCTGGGACTATAGGCACACGCCACCATGCCTGGCTAATTTTTTTGATTTTTAGTAAAGATGAGGTCTCACTGTGTTGCATAGGCTAGTCTCAAACTCCTGGGCTCAAGCAATCCTCCTGTCTTGTCCTCCCAAAGTGCTGGGATTACAGGTGTGAGCTACCACGTCTGGCCATCTTAACCATTTTTTTTTTTTTTTTTTTTTTGAGACGGAGTCTCGCTCTGTCGCCCAGCCTGGAGTGCAGTGGCGTGATCTCGGCTCACTGCAAGCTCCACCTCCCAGGTTCATGCCATTCTCCTGCCTCAGCCTCCCGAGTAGCTGGGACCACAGGTGCCCGCCCCCACGCCCGGCTAATTTTTTGTATTTATAGTAGAGATGGGGTTTCACCGTGTTAGCCAAGATGGTCTCGATCTCCTGACCTCGTGATCTGCCCGCCTCGGCCTCCCAAAGTGCTGGGATTACAGGCGTGAGCCACCGCGCCCGGCCCATCTTAACCATATTTAAGCATCATGCACATTCACATTGCGGTGTAGCCATCAGCAGCATCCATCTCCAGAGCTCTTTTCCTCTTGCAAAACTGAATCTCTGTACCCATGAAGCACCAACTCCCCATTCTTCCCACCCCCCAGCCCCTGCCAACCACCATTCTTAGATGTGATATCTTTGTTAGAGCAGATTAACTTGCTCTCAGGTGTATGGTCTGCGGCCATTGACTCAAGCACAGGGAATGAGAACTTCTGGAAGTGGGCCTGGACATCTGAATTGCACAGGCTTCCCAGATAGGTACGAAGGAACAAGAAACAAAACAAACATTACCGCAAATGAAACACTGTGTAAATATGTGGATTACATCCTGTAAGTACGAAGAGAATGGAAGGCATTTATCTTGTTATTGTCACTGGGGCAGATCCGGAGTCAGCTCTGGGCGGAGATGGATTTACCCTGGAGCTGCTGAAGCTTAAGCTGGGGGCTGCTCAGGAGCCTGGATGTAGAGTAGGAAGCAGTTCTGAGCATGGAGGGGAAGCCAGGTGTGCCAGCCAGAAGCATCCTATGAAAAGAGAGGCCAAAAGGATGAGATGTGAATCTCCAAGCACCACTAGTTAATATGACTTATTTTCATTCTGAATATTCATTTTCATACTTAGAAGTCTATATTCGTAATTTTAGATTAGTTCTCCTACAAAGGGCCTCAAAATTTAGTTCCTACAATACCTGGATCTGCCTCTGATTTTTTTTTGTGTGTGAGACAGAGTCTCACTCTGTTGCCCAGGCGGGAGTGTAGTGGCGTGATCTTGGCTCACTGCAACCTCTACCTCTGGGTTCAAGCGATTCTCCTGCCTCAGCCTCCCAAATAGCTGGGACTACAGACACCCACCACCATGTCCAGCTAATTTTTGTATTTTTGGTACAGCTGGGATTTCGCCATGTTGACCAGGCTGGCCTCAAACTCCTGGCCTCAAGTGATCTGGCTGTCTCGACCTCCCAAAGTGCTGGGATTACAGGTGTGAGCCACCATGCGCCACCACCCACCCCCCACATTGCCCAGCTAATTTTTGTATTTTTAGTAGAGATGGGATTTCACCATGTTGACCAGGCTGGTCTCAAATTCCTGACCTCAAGTGATCCACCTCTCTCGGCCTCCCAAAGTTCTGGGATTACAGGCATGAGCCACCGCGCCCAGAATGCCTCTGATTTTTGAGGTCTACAAAGGTTCGTGTTTTGTTTTGTTTTGTTTTGTTTTGTTTTGAGACAGAGTCTTGCTCTGTCACCCAGGCTGGAGTGCAGTGGCATAATCTCAGCTCACTGCAACCTCTGCCTCCTGGGTTCAAGCGATTCTCCTGTCTCAGCCTCCCGAGCAGCTGAGACTACAGGCGCGCACCACCACGCCCAGCTAATTTTTGTATTTTTAGTAGAGATGGGGTTTCACCATATTGGCCAGGCTGGGCTCAAACTCCTGACCTCGTGATCCACCCACCTCAGTCTCCCGAAGTGCTGGGATTACAGGCGTGAGCTGCCACGCCCAGCCTGGTTCATTCTTCTTTAACATTGTCCTGTGCTGCCTGAGGTTCGTGAAAAATCCTAACATAACGAACACCAAGATGTGGGGCTCTCTGGTTCCCCCTCCACGACAGAACCAGCGGTGGACACGTATTCAGCCTGGAATCTTCTTCCTTCAGGCCTCACCCCCAGGACAGGGAACCCCTCATTCCTGCGCCTGGTCCTGGACCAGCTGCCGAGCCCCTGCTCCCTGCTGCCCCCCAATGGACCTCGGGTAACAAGACACCACGTGTGTGGGGCGTGTTCTCTAGATCCGTTCTCACGATCCTGAAACCATTATTGAGCCTTACAGCTGCTTTAAGCGCCCGGGGCTTCATCAGAGCCTTTGAAAACCCCAGGTGAAACTAGTTACTCACTGGGAAGCCTCGGTGTGTGGCTGCCTTCTCCCTGATACTGCATGCCCGGGCAGCTCTCTGAAGGGCAGCCACAGCCACACGGTTACACAGGGACACACAAACACACGCACATGCACACCTACACACACGCAGGCACTCCCACTCAGCCCCCAGAGATCCATCCACACTCGAAGGAGGCTCAGACAAGAAGTTAAGCTAGCAGAAACAACATCATTGGCTGGGTTAGCTCCTCTCTACAATGGCTTTAGAAACCTGGAATTTTTTTTTAAAGTACAGGCAGGCTGGGCGAGGTGGCTCATACCTGTAATTCCAGCATTTTAGGAGGCTGAAGTGGGGGAGGATCGCTTGAGCCCAGGAGTTCAAGACCAGCATGGGCAATGTAGCAAGACCTCAGGGCATCTCTACAAAAAATAAAAAAATTAGCCGGGCGTGGCAGCGTGCGCCTGTAGTCCCAGCTAGTCAGGAGGCTGAGGTGGGAGGACGGCTTGAGCCCAGGAACTCAAGGCTGTAGTGAGCCATTATTGCACCACTACACTCCAGACAGAGCAAGACCCTGTCTCAAAACAAGTACAGGCACACCCCATTTTATTGCAGTTCACTTTATTGCACGTCAAGATATTGCCTTTTTTTTTTTTTAAACAAATTGAAGGTTCGGGGTAACTCCAGAGTCAAGCAAGTCTATTGGCAACATTTTCCCACGAGCATGTGCCCACTTTGTATCTGTGTGTCACACTTTCGCAATTCTTGCAATATTTCAAACTTCTTCCTTATTATATCTGTTGTGAAGCTGGTTCTCCCAGACGTTCCCTGCAGGCTGTTTATGCAGCGCCCATCCGAGATGAACCCACAGGACACTCAGGATCCCAGACTGCAGGAGTCGTCTGGGATCACAGGCGGGGCAGAGCAATTTGTCAATGTTTATGAGGAGTCCTCCTTGGCAGCCCAGTCTTTATCCTCACTCACGTGGAAATGAGATTCGACCTCTCCTAATCACCTGGTGCCCGAGGAGCAGGTAGGCGCCTGTCCCAAGCCTGAGTTTCCTGGGAAATCTACATTTCAGCACAGATGGGTTCCCAGCAGCTTAGTGCTCTGGCTGTCCTTAGGTCACTGAATCATTTCACCCGCTAGTTTTTTGTTTGTTTGTTTTTGAGATGGAGTCTTGCTCTGTCACCCAGGCTGGAGTGCAGTGGCGCGATCTCGGCTCACTGCAACCTCCACCTCCTGGGTTCAACTGATTATCCCTCCTCAGCCTCCCAAGTAGCTGGGGTTACAGGCACCCGCCGTCATGCCCAGCTAATTTCCATATTTTTGTAGAGACGGGGTTTCACCATGTTGGTCAGGCTGGTCTTGAACTCCTGACCTCAGGTGATCCGCCCACCTTGGTCTCCCGAAGTGCTGGCATTACAGACGTGAGCCACTGCGCCCGGCCTTGCCCACTGGTTTTATGAGAAAGAGACATGGGAGCCTTTTCCCCAGCTGGGGCAATCATCAGACAGTCACATGGAGTCACAGAACCATCTTGCAACAGCATCCCAAGACCTGGCCATTGGGCAGGATGTGGGACTTGTGAAAGGTCATAAATGACCCTTTGAATCAGTCTCCCTCTGCACAGGAAAAGCCCACCGCCCTGCGTTCACCTTTGCCCATCAGATAGGGCTTGGGGGGCACCTGAGGAGGAGGTGCCTGCCACTGCCTGTGGAGGAGGATGTTGGCGTTCCTATTTCACAAGCCCGGCTTGGAGAGCCAGCGGAGACCTTCTGCGCAGCTAGCTCTTGCACACACCCCTGCGGAGAAACTCTGCCTTCTTGCCTGGGGCCCAGAACCTTACCCACCCAGGCTTGCCCCCTCCCTTCCAGGGCCCACTGACCTCCTGACTCAGGCTCCCCCGAGTGCCTGACCCTGTGAGTCACTGGCCCATCTACAATCCTTCTCCCCGTGACTGCTTGAGTTGTAGCTTGATTGGAGCCAGGTCAATGCAAGTCACAGAACTGCGAACTGAGATGGACTCTCAGAAGCAAGAGGTGGCAAGCATGGCGGAGAGGAAGCGAGGGTCCTCCTGGCTGGTTAGATCTTACAGAGTTTAAGCTGTACTGAGAGTTTTTATGAGGACAAGGGGCCAGTCCTGTGCCTGCCTGATGTGGAGTCCTAGGCGGGCTTGGGCCGCAGGTTACCTGCTCCCGGAGGCTCACAAAGGCAGTGCCAACAGGCGCTCATTCTCAGCAATGGGTGAAAGTAAGAGGAACCTGCCCTCCCTCCTCTCCACACCTCCCCAGTATTTGTCCTCATGGAGTAAATATCCAACAGTGATCCCAGGGCATGGGAGTGGGAGTTAAGGCAAATGCCAGACTGTCCAAGGCTCATTACAGGGTAGTCCTCTCATCCTCTGCTCACTAGTCCACTATATTCAGTGAGCACCCACTGTGCACCCTGTGCCTTGGGGACGTGGAGGCACGCTCAGCCCCAGCCTCGCCCTCCGGGAGCTTACAGTCTAACCCTCTGGGCACAGGGAGGTGGGAAGATGGCACGGCCTTGCTGGGAGCCTCACCCTGTTGGCTGAACAATGATTTTTTCAATAATGCCTACAGCTTCCTTCATATCCTGCCACCCAAACCAGTGCCAAGGTCATCATGGGCTTGTGTGGCACAGTCAGATTTAGTGACCATCCCCACTCCCACATTGGTTCTGTCTTCTTGCCCCCGGTGCTCTGGTCCCTAGCACAGGCTGCTGATTTGGGGACTCGGGGGAGAATCCTCCACCTTCTGCAAATGCTTAGCCATGAAATGACGGGTGTTTGCCTGACTATGATTTCATGAATCCCCCATGAAATGATGGGTGTTTGCCTGATTATGGGCCAACAGTGCCCCCCACTCCTCGTGGGCACTCCTGGGATCAGCAGCCCCTTCCTAGCCTTCACAGGGACTCTAGGCCTCCATGGAAAAGAAAGAAATAAAAAATTTTTTTTGAGACAGAGTCTTGCTGTGTCACCCAGGCTGGAGAGCAATGGCTCAATCTTGGCTCACTGCAACTTCAGCCTCCGAGGTTCAAGTGATTCTCTTGCCTCAGCCTCCCGAGTAGCTGGCACATGCCACCACACCCGGCTAATTTTTGTATTTTTAGTAGAGACGGGGTTTCACCATATTGGCTAAGCTGGTCTCGAACTCCTGACCTCAGGTGATCCACCCGCCTTGGCCTCCCAAAGTGCTGGGATTACAGGCGTGAGCCACCGCGCCCGCCCAGAAAGAAAAATCTTAACAAGTTGCTTCCAGTAACCAGTCTCAATGAGTAGCAGGGAGTAGTTTGCAAGAAAAAAAAACAAGTGAAGATGTTTCCCATTCTTTAACCTGCTCCATCCCTCAAATTCCTGCTGCTCCATGGCAGGGGCCCTGCTCACCCCACATTGGCACAGACTCTGCTGGAGTCAGATCCTCCAAAGCCACAAGCTTCCTTGAGGCCACGGGGCCGCCTCATTCTTGTTCTGCCCCTTCCTCACACTGAAAGACTGCATAGCCTGGGGTGCAATGCCCAGGTGTGAAATTGATGCTCGGGAAAACAAATCCTTCCCAAAGTCACTTAAGGAATCCCCCAGCCCCACCGCACAGACCCCTGGATGTATACTGCCCCTATAATTCTGCTCTAGGCAGAAAAGCCTAGGAGTGGAGGTGACAGCTCCCAGCATATGCACCCTTTTGCTCTGCTCTGCTGCCCTGTAGAGCCCTGGAAGTGACCAGAGCCCTTAGGCTACTGCTGCTGCATGCCCAGAGGGTCCCAAGCAGAGCTGGGCAGGAGGTAGGCCCAGGCAGGGCTGGGAGAGCAGTGACCAGGCAGGGTGCACGGCTGCACTTTGCCCAGGTCCTGGCTCTGGCTCTGGTCTGGTGCCAGTGCTGGGGTGGGTGTGTCGGCTGCCCACGCAGCTGCGGGGTCCAGTTCCAGAACTATCTCCACCAGCTGGGATGGGGGGCTTCTTCTTCACCCTGCTGCCTCTTGTCCTTTCTTCTCCAGCCAAGTTGGGGGTGAAGCAGGGACGCTCCTTTTATTCCCTGAGCCGAGCCCCAGCCCCAGGGCTTTCAGTCTGCCACGCCAGTCACAAACAGCCGGCTTCCGGCCTGGGTGTGGGTACTGGGCTGGCCCCTAATGATGGGAACAGCAGCCGCCACCAAGAGCTTCAACCTGTCCAGTGCCCCAAGGTCCCAAGCAGTCGGCAGGGTCTGTGGATCGGCCGAGGGGCTACCACGGCCGCCAGAGGCCAGGGCCGCAGGGAGGCGAGGGCGGCGAGGGCACCGGAGCGGATGCGGGCTCTGGGGCAGACGCGGGCGCTGGGGCGGGGGCAGACGGGCCACTGGAATCCCCAGCGCGCCCGCCGTCCAGGGTGGCGCTGGCCGCTCTCCGCCACAGGTGCTCCAGCAGGCGCGCGCTCACGGCGGGCTCCAGGACACGGCAGGCGGGCAGCACGCGGGCCAGGCGCGCCACACAGGCGCTGTAGCCCTCGCGGTAGCTGTCGCAAGGCACTGCGGGCGGAGAGCCGCGTGAGGCGCGGGGTAGGGTGCCGGGTGCGGGGTGCAGAGCGCGCGGCAGGGCAGGGAGGGCTCACTCACGGGGCGCTGCCGTGGGCCATGAGGACGCAGGCAGCTCCTGCAGGAAGCGCACGGTCATTTCCAGGACGTCTGCCTTCTCTAGCTTCGAGCAGTTGGAGTTCTGCGCCCGGCCACGAGGAAGAGCGACAGAGAACCACCAAGACAGAACTTTGGCCGGCTACCGTGCGCACCCTCGCTCTAGTCGGGAGCTGGGTGTGGGGCGCGCCGTGGCCTGCTGGGGGTCCGCTCCGACGCGCCCACCCCACCCAGGCTCCGCCTCGGGCGCCGCGCGGAACCCCCTGGTGGGTTCCTCCCGCAGGAGCACCCCGTCCCCCTGCCCCCGCTCCGCGCCCCAGGACCCTCTGCCCTCCGCCCGGGCGCGCTCACCTCCCGGCCCAGCAGCGGCAGGATGAGCCCCTTAAGCTGGCTCAGGCTCTGGTTGATGCGCGCGCGCCGGCGCTTCTCCAGCAGCGGCTTCAGGCTCTGCGGACGGGCGGCGCGGTGGTTAGACGGGTCCCCGGAGTCCCCAGCCCCGCCCCCAGTCCCCGGTACCCACCTTGCGCAGCTCCGCCGCGTCCCCTGCCCGGCGAGGCAGCCCCATGCTCCGCGGGGAAGCGGTGGCAGCTGCGAGCCCCACGCAAAGGGAAACCGAGGTCCGAAATGAGGTCCCGGGCGCGGCCCGGGCTGGTGCCAGACGAGTGCGCGCCCCGCCCGCGGCCGAGCTTTAAGGGAGCGGCTCGCCCGCCCCGCCCCGCCCCGCGGAGTCCGGCCGCCCGCTGGTCCCACCTCCTGCCTTTGTTCCTGCGCAGGGTGGAGCCGGGAGGGGAGACCGCGACGCCCCCGGGGATCCCGCTCCCCGCCTTTGCGTCCTGTCTACCGCGGGGTGGCGGCCCCCAGTTTTCCCCGAGCACCTGCGGGAGAGTGGTAAAGGCGCCATCGGGGGCCTTCGCTGCGTGACCCCGAGGGCAGGAGGGCCAGGTGGGGCCAGGCCTTGCCTGACTGGAGCTACGGTCCCTCCTCTCCAATGCTGCCCTTCATTCATTCCCCAGGCTCGGGTTCAGCGTCTTCTCTGAGCCCCGCCCTGGGCCGCAGCAGGGGACCCAGCGGTTACGGGAGCTCCCATGAGGGACAGCAGCGGGAGGGACTTGCACCCCCAGCTGCTTTATCGGGTGAAGGGCTGAGCTGGACGGGAAATCCGAGTTCCGGAGAAAGGTCGTGACTTGCTCCAGTCCTCGACGCTGGGAACAGGCCGAGCCTGGACAAGGGCCCCAGTCGCTGGACGCCCGGCTCTAAGGAGCCCGTAGAACCCTTCGGCGGCTTGCCTAGTTAAGAGTCTTTTGGTTACCCCACTCCAGGCTTTGGGTGGGGAAACGGAATCCTAGAGAAGCAGAGGCAGCCCTGGAGCCCTCGGAGCTCGTTTTCATTCCCACCGGCTAGGGGTCCGGGTTCTCGCCCGCAAGACAGTCAGGGCTCATGTGACGCGCGGGCAGGACAGTTTTGGGTGCGGGCCCCAGTGGCCCGCCCAGGACCGCCTTCGCGCCGCGTGGCCGTTGCTGCGGCAAACTGGCTGGCGTCCCCCGCCCATCTGCTCCGGGCTCCCCTCCCCCGACCGGCTGGCGGGGCAACGGCCACGCCCGCGAACCACACTGCGAACTGCCGGGCAGAGAGATGACTGGAGGGATCCACAGAGCCAGCCAGGAGGAGTTCCCCTATGGGGCGGGGCCAAGGAGGGCTCTGTCCAGGGTGTTGGATGAACCCCCTGTCCCCCGAACCCCACTTCCGAGCTCCACCCCTGCCGCTAGCCCCACGTCTCCCTCCTTCAGGGTTCTCGCCGCAGGGTGGAAGAAGGCCAGCGAACACACTGAGGGGCCCGGAGAAGCCTGGGCCAGGGGAGCCCAGGCCACCCATACCTATCTGTGGCATGGGAAGGAATGTAGGCCACCTTTCATGGACACTTACTGTGTGCCAAGCTCAGGGCTTAACGCTTTAAGGCTCGCTAACCTGCATTAACCCTCATAAAAGACCTAACAAGTAAGAATAAATCCTTCAACAGATTTGGCCCAGCAGGGCTTGGAGGAACCTGAGACCTTGTTCTCCGTGGTTGAGGCCAGTTTGACTCCATAGGCCTCCCCTAAGACAATTAATTGTTCTTTAAGAGCTCAAAAAACTCTGTGGATCTTTTCCCTCTCATCCCCAGGCCAAGCGACTTAGCTTGGCTGACTCAGGTCTGCACCCACAAGTCCGCCTGCAGCATCTGCATCTTGGGGAGGGACTGACCCTAGCTCCTGGGAGAAAAAGGCTGAAGGAGGAGGCTCCCCTTAGAACATCCCCCTCCAGGTTTGCGGACCACCATTTGAAGACTGAATGGCAGGGGAGCAAACACCATTTCCATTGCCAGTTACCCCCAGTTAAAAATATTTCTTCCTCTACTCTCCCATTGGGTAAAGGACTTTAACCAAGTAACCCACAGTTCTCTTCAACTCAAGGATTTTCAGGTTTTGCTGGTTACTTGGAAGGAGTGGTCTGGAATCAGAGGAACGTTAAAGACAGCTAGGTGGGCAAATGTCGGGTGCAGGCTTTAGGGGAACTGGGACCACCTAGGATACAGTAAGGATACACTCCACCCCTGGTCCCTATTCTTGGGAAGTGCCCTGGCCCTTGGGTTGAGGAGAAACCTGGGGTGGGCTGGGGTGAGCCCAGCAGAGGGGTGAGAGAAGCCCTCCTGGGGAGAGAATCCCTAAGCTGATAGCTGGAGGGTGGGAGACTCTAGGGGTGCTGTGGGCAGAAGGAACCTTGGGTGGAGAGGAAAGAAGAGCCCAGAAGGCTCAGCCAGGGAGTGAAAGCTTTGCCACTTCCCATCTGTGTCATCTCAGGCAAAATGCTTTAAAAAAACAAAACAAGGCTGGGCGTGGTGGCTCATGCCTGTAATCTCAGCACTTTGAGAGACCAAGGTGGGCAGATTACTTGAGGTCAGGAATTCGAGACCAGCCTGGCCAACATGATGAAACCCCATCTCTACTAAAAATACAAAAAATAAAAAAATTAGCTAGGCATGGTGGCGGGCAGACACCTGTAATCTCAGCTACTTGGGAGGCTGAGGCAAGAGAATCACTTGAACCTGGGAGGCAGAAGTTGCAGTGAGCCTAGATTATGCCATTGCAATCCAGCCTGGGTGACAAGAGTGAAACTCCATCTCAAAAAACAAACAAACAGGCCGGGCACAGTGGCTCACGCCTGTAATCCTAGCACTTCGGGAGGCCAAGGTGGGCAGATCACGAGGTCAGGAGATCGAGACCATCCTGGCTAACACAATGAAACCCCGTCTCTACTAAAAATACAAAAAATTAGCTGGGCGTGGTGGCAGGCACCTGTAGTCCCAGCTACTCGGGAGGCTGAGGCAGAAAAATGGCGTGAGCCTGGGAGGCGGAGCTTGCAGTGAGCTGAGATTGTGCCACTGCACTCCAGCCTGGGCGACAGAGCAAGACTTGTCTCAAAAAAAAAAAAAAGAAAAAAAGAAAAAAAACCCTCCCTATCTCTCCATGCCTCATTATCCCCGACTGTGAACTGGGAACAATAGTTGTACCTCTCTCATAGCACCTCTGGATTAAATATCCATGTGAAGCATGGTGAGCACTTGGTGGGTGGTACAGATTTCATAAAAGTGCTACTGCTGCCGTGAGCTCCCTAGGGCTGCTGGGGAGGACCCAATTGGCCCGGTGGACATGGGAGAGCCCGGAGAGGACAGAAGCCTGGCAGGAAGGGCCTGGCTCACAGCCTGAGTTTGAGTCATGTCCCGAAAGGAGTCTGAGAGGTTGGTCAGCAGGGGTGGGTGCTCACATGTGGCACTAATGGAGATGTCATTAACAACAGTGGCAGGGGCTCAGGGGCATCTGCTCAGCCCACTGGAATAGCAATAAAGCATCACCTAGCCCTGGCCCACAAAATCACAAAACCATGTGCTAGATGAGCTCGTCCATGACCAAGGTGGCCACCTTAGGAGTGGAGAACACAAATTGCAGGGCCTTTTGGAATGGAGGAGGCCCAGGGGAGGGGTGCCCAAGACAAGCCATTTTAGCACCTCCTCCCAACAGTACCCCTGCCACTTGCTGGCCTCACGGCACACCTGCCTCTGGGCACCCAGAGGAGGGCAGCGCCAGCCGCAGTGAGCCTGTTGCTTTGGCCACCAGCTCCAGCAGCGAGGCTGCGAGGAAATGACTCCTCCTTCCTTTTGTCTGCAAACCACTGGGCAAGCGTCCCAGATTCCAGCGGCCACAGGTCCCATGGAGAGAGTGAGGGCGATCTGGCCTGGTGGAAGTCGTTGGAAACCCACCTGGCTAGGCACAGCCCAGCAGCTCCAGTTACCTGGGCACCTGGGAGCGCGGGAGGCCATCACGCAGGTCGCCACTAGGTGGCAGGCCCAGGGAAAGGACCGGAGGCAGCTGCCGAGTTTAGCACTATGAGTTTAGCACTATGACTCCCACTGTTCCTGGAAGGGGCTTCCTTCATTCTACAGCATTTCCAGTGCTGACTGTGCCAGGCTGGGGCTGGGGCGGAGTGAAACCTTCAGCCCGGGGTGGGGCCAAGCCCCCACGGGACTCCAGAGGGGGTGGGTGTTGGGACAGGAAGGGCACAGGGTGCTTCAAGATCGCTGATAGGCCGCCTGCACTCCCACAGCCATGTAGCTCCCACCTTCTGTCAGCTTTTCCTCGCGTCCTTTGGGCACTAGCCGCTCCCACGGCTGGTGTTCAGTGGAGCCTGCAGGGTGGCTTGGCACACATTCGCTCTCCTGCCCGCGCCCTCTGGCACTTTCCTGAGCCCCTGCAGGGGTCTCAGCCCCCTCTCTCTGGATGCCGGCGCTCCCGCGTCTCCCCACAAGCCCTAACCTCCCACCCATCCCTGCCTTCTGTGTGGCTGGAAGCCCCTCCACACCGACAGCGGCTGCGGGCGGCCTGAGGCCATGGCGTTCCCAGCGCACTAGTGGTTCCCGTCCTGCCTTCCTGCCCTCCCCGCTGGAACCTCTGGGGGCAGTTCTCGGATCTGGAGGGACCCTGGAAGGCAGGGCTCTTTGCAATCTCCGGGGATTTCGACCCAGAGCCCTTCAGGGACGTGGCAGGGCTGCTCCTGCCTCAGGGCCGTTGTCCTCGTGCTCCTCACCCCGCCTGGAATACCCTTCTCGCCGCTCAAACCCAGCCCCACGGCACCTCCTCAGAGACCTTTCCCTGTCCGCCCACGCGGTCCCGACAATCACTCCCCATCACCTCTGGAATTGCGTCGCCGGCGCCTGGAACCGCAGTTAGCGGGCACTGGGCAGATGAATGAATTTGTCTGTGCCTGGACGGCTCTCCAATTCGAACCCAGTTTTGCTGCCCTCTGGGGTCTCAACTGTTACGTGAGGCAAATTAGGAGAGAAGCCCCTGGGCACCTTGCCCCAGTCGCACGAGTGTCCCCGCGTCGCGGCGGGGGCGGGCGGGGAACTCGGGCGGAGGCTGCGGGGCGGGGCGGGGCGGGGTGGGGGCGGGCCCGAGTCTTAAGCCGGCGTCCGCGGGCTCCGGCCCCAGAGCGCGGCGGAGCGGAGCGCCAGGCAGCGCGGAGCGGAGGCCAGGCCCACAGCCGCTCCGCCTCCCGGCCCGCAGATCCCCGACGGCCGCACCGCGGGCTCCTCTGGCCCGCAAGAACACGTGCATGGCGTCCTGGGGAAGGCGCTGAGTGCGGAGTCGCGGCGCCGCACGCGGCACCATGGCCCTGGAGCAGGCGCTGCAGGCGGCGCGGCAGGGCGAGCTGGACGTGCTGAGGTCGCTGCACGCCGCAGGCCTCCTGGGGCCCTCGCTGCGCGACCCGCTGGACGCGCTGCCCGTGCACCACGCGGCCCGCGCTGGGAAGCTGCACTGTCTGCGCTTCCTGGTGGAGGAAGCCGCCCTCCCCGCCGCGGCCCGCGCCCGCAACGGCGCCACACCGGCCCACGACGCCTCCGCCACCGGCCACCTCGCCTGCCTGCAGTGGCTGCTGTCGCAGGGCGGCTGCAGAGTGCAGGTGGGTCCGCGCGGTTCGCCAGGGGCACTGAGGCTTCCTCCTCAGGACAGAGTCCTGGCCCAGAGTCCCCCGGGGCTCAAGGATGGGTGGGGTTTGGCACCTCCTGGCCCAGCTGAACCCTGCACGGAGCTCCTTCCAGAGGCCCTCAAGTGAATGGGCTCCCTGGCTTGCCAGTACTGGGGCAGATGCCCTGGCGAGCCTGGGTGCTCCCTGGAAGCGCACCTGGGTGATGGGAGCCAGAAGGGAGGGGCCTCCGTGGGGCTTGTGGTTACTAGTGTGTACCGGGAGAAGCAAAGCACTGATCCTGTAGTCCTGGAAGTGGGTGGGACGTGAGGCCTGGGCAGCAGAGTCAGACGCCCGTGTCCTCCAGGACCGGATCTGAAAGGAGGCTGGGCAAAGTCCCACAGCCCACCCGAGGCTGAGATTCAGGTGTCCCAGCCAGGGTGTGGGGGAAGGGTGATGAGCCGTGGTAAATGGGGGTCTCCCCATAACCCAGGCTGACCCCAGGACATCAGTGCTGTCAAGCTGTCAGCTGCTTCTCCAACCCAGGCTGATTCTTGCTGCCTCCAGACCCCACCTGGTCACTCTGAGCAGTGACCTCCAAGGGGAGTCCTGGCTGCTGAGAAGCAGGTAGCCAGGCAGCGGTGGGACAGTTCCAGGCACAGGGAACAAGAAGTGCAGAGCCCTGAGGCATGCACGCTCTTGTCCTGTCGGAGGGCCAGCCTCAGGCATCATGTTCAGAGTGGGTGAGGAAGGGAAAAGCTGCCAGGGCCAGGCCAGAGAGTATCATAGGCCGAGGTTAGGGATTTGGATGAAATTCTGGGTGTGGGGGCAGCCATGGGAGGGAGGAACCACAACCGATTTCCACTTAGACCACTGGGTGACCTGGAGATGGAAGGGGAGGAGTCAGGGTAACTCTAAACTGGCTTACTATGCCCCAAAGATGGCCAGGCCAACCCCACCTTCTGCCTTCAGATAGCAAGCCCCTCTTCCCACCCTTCCTGGGAGATGGCCCACCTGCTATCTCTCAGTGGGCCCTGTTACCAGGGCTTCCTGGCCAAGTGGCCCATGCCCACTCTTTTGGGCGGTGGCATGCCTCCCAGATCCAGTGTCCAGCCCTGGCCAGAAGCCTCTCTGGCCAGTGCAGAGGAGCTGGGAGAAGCAGGTGGCCTTGGGCCCAGCTTATCGTCTCCTGCCCTCTGGGCTGGGCAGGCTTGGGTGTGGGGGGAGAAAGTGTGGGGGGGATGACCTGGATCCTTGGGCTTGCCCAGCCCAGAGAGATAAGCTGCTTTAGGGTGTGGTCCACCACGCACGAGGCTCCTGGGGCCTGGACACCTGGACAGCCTGGACAGGCACAGGCCAGAGCCCACAGGCCTGTGGCCCTCTCCTTACAGTTTCCACCACTTAGAGGCCCAGAGCCAGTGGGACCCCTGGAGCTTCAGACCCACAGTCCCCAAGGCCAATAGGAAGGGAGCGCCTTTCTCAGGAGCTGGGGCTTAGGTCACATTTCACCATGGTTCTGCCTGGGTGCCCGCTAGCCAGCCCCGACCTTTGGGCTCGGAGGGGACAGACTGAACCAGTCTCTGGCCCCCCCACTCCCAGCTTTCTAGCACACAGGAGGGGCCTCGGTGTTGTCCTCAGCTTCCTATGGGCCATCACATTCTCTGCCCCATCTTCCTCCCTGCCTCCTTAGCAGGACAGCCAGACAATTGCCCCCACCCCGCAGGCTGCCTGAAGACCCTACTAGTGGCCCCGGCGCCCCCAGCTCCCTCCGTGCCCTCTTTTCCTTGCATTTCTCACGGGAGCCTCAGAGGTTCTCTTCCCACCGTGATTTGACTTCCTGAGGCCTGGGGTCTCTTGCCAGCTCCTGCCGCCTCTGCCAGTCTGTAACCACAGTGCCCTCTCTCTGGGCAAGGCGGGGCAGAGAGGCTTTACTCCCTGATCCTAGTGAAGTGTGTCCACTGCATCCTGCACCCAGAACCCTGCCCACCCCTCTGTCATCCTATGTGCTTGGTGCTGGGAGGTGGTTCTGTTCCCGAACCAGTACCCACTCTGCCAAGTGCGGCAGCCTCTGTGTCTAGATGTTCCCGGGAATTCTCCTCCCAGCACAGGTCCTGTAAGCACTCCCCTCCAGCCCCTTTCTCAGCAGACACACACAATGGGGTGTGCACTGATGACACATTCAGCAGTTCTGGGCCCAGACCTCTGGCCCCACCTGCTCTGAGGTCCCCGGGGGGAGTTTTGTCCAAGCCCTCCCAGAGGCCACCACTAGCCTGCACCTAGCACCCCTGGCTGACTGCCCCGGACCCGCCCACCAGTACCCAGCAACTTCCACCTCCACAGGGGCGAGAACACAGGCTGCTCCTGTGGCTGGGCACTGGCGAGTCTGCTGGGGGAGGGGCCGGTTTTCTGCACTGAGGTTGGGTTCCTGGAGGCGTACCAAGGTGGAGGTCTCTGTTCCCACGTGACACCGAGGAAGGGTGGAGAGATCGGGGGCAAGTGTTGGATGCAGGGGGTGACCCCCAATCCTGATGCTAGCTTGGTACAGCCCCACAGCCCCCCTTCCTGGCCCTGCTCAGCCCAGTAACCCTGTGTCACTCCTTCAGGCATTCCCTGAGTCCCTGGGAGTCAGGGCTGTGGCCCTGGGCCTGGTGCCAGTCTCCTGCCGTGACAACCAGGTGCCTGTCGTGTAGGCAGCTCGCAGTCAGGACCTGCAGCCTCTGAAAACCCTGCACGGTGCTGCCTATTGGCTACGGTTCAGAGAGGGCCAGTTAGTTGCCCAAGGACAGAAGCAGGACTCAAACCCAGGATCCGCTTGACCCAAAAAAAACATTGCTGAATGAGGCCTGGCCAATCCCTCCAGGGAAGACAGAGAGCACAGAGCTACCTTCCAGGCCTGTGGGAGTCTGGGAGTGGCCCAAGCCAGGGGCGGGGCAGCAACAGGCTTTAGGACTTGAACCAGCTCTCCTCCCACAGGACAAAGACAATTCTGGTGCCACAGTCTTGCATCTGGCTGCCCGCTTCGGCCACCCCGAGGTGGTGAACTGGCTCTTGCATCATGGCGGTGGGGACCCCACCGCGGCCACAGACATGGGCGCCCTGCCTATCCACTACGCTGCCGCCAAAGGAGACTTCCCCTCCCTGAGGCTTCTCGTCGAGCACTACCCTGAGTAAGATCACCCCTCTTAAGGGGTCCTCTGGGTGGGCTGGGCCAGGGCTTTGGGGGATGCCTGGGATTTTCCACGCCTCTCTGGCACTCCAGGGCAATGATCCCTCCAGTGGCCATCCTGGGGCCAGAGGGCCAGGCCAGAGAAATGGCTCCCACTCAACATGAAATTTTCCCCTCCTGGAAAACCCCTTCTGGGGCTGCCCCCAGAGCCCTGCAAGCAGGTGCTCCCAGCATCCTCAGCTGCCCGGCCGCACACAGCTGGACCTGGGAGGCTGGGCACACAGGCCAAGGTCACCTGTTCCCCTTGGGCTGCTTCTGCCGCAGGGGCTCTCTCTGGCTCAGGCTGTGCTCATTTGCAAGACTGTTCAGGATGGAGTCGGGGGCAGCAAGGGCAGGAGCGCCTCCTAGGCCCTAGTCAAACAGGCAGAAAGGGAACCCCATCAGTTACCAAGCAGTTAAGGGAGAAAGGCCCCTCCCAGACCCCCACCCCACCTCCTGGCCCCAGAGCCCCTGGCTGGAGGCCATCCAGAGAGCATCTTGTTATCTCCTGTGGCCCCTCAGCCCGTTCCTACTATCAAGGGAAGCATGGGGATCCCAAACCTCCTGGGGAGTGGGCTGGGAGCTCCCCTGGGTGGGGTGGGGGGTCACACAGAGCAGGGGGCATGTGTGAGTCTTGGGGAGGGAGGGAGGGAGGGAGGGACTCAGGTGTTAGGTGCGCCTGGGGAGGCAGGGATCCTGGGGAAAGCTGCCCAGGGCCTGTCTGAGAGGGTAGGGTGCCAGATGCCACAGGGGTCTGAGCGGGGAGTGGGGTGCTCTGATGGGTGACCCTCATTAGTCTAAGTGGGAGCCTGAGATGTAAATGTGAATGTGGACCCAGCCTCAGGACGAGAGCAGCTTTGGTATGAATTCACTGCTTCCAAACAAACTAGGATTTGGATCATGTCAAAGTCAGTGGGATTTAGACTAGGAGGGCCCCAGGGACCCTTGAGTAGAGGGTTCCAACTGGCTCCTGTCAGCACCTCTTGGAGGCTGTCCCAGATTCCTGAGTTAGACTCTCCAGGTTGGGGCGTGGGAGCCACACCTGGGACATGTCCCCACCCTCACGGCGGTGATTCTGATGCACCTGTCCCACCCCCTCACTTCAAGCAGAGGAGAAGGACAGGTCTTGAGAGGGGCAGGTGCCCCTGATGGCGGGACCAATATGGCCCAAGTGTGAACTGGAGGACGCTGAGCCCACCTTCTGCAAGTGCTGGTGGGGACCGCCAGCCCCTGAGCCTTCCTCACTGAGAAGCCGTGATCCCTCCGTGGGCTGGATCCCAGGTGTTAGGAAGACTGGCTGTGCTGTGGAACGCCCTCCAGGGCTCCGGGGCTGGGGGACCCTGACCCCCTCCCAGGCCATGCCAGGTGCTGTGTGTGATTGGGCGCTGGTGCTGACTCAGTGGCCAGATGGCCTGGACTGATGAGCTGCCAGCCCCCCAGGAGTCACCATGAATCTCAGGGAGGTGGACAGAGGGCTTGGGCTCCGTTCCCCACAGCAGCATGTGACTCGACTGATAAGAAGGTGTCTTTGTGTGGTTGCCAGGCTGGGCTCACGCAGGAGGGGCAGCTGGGAATTGGGGTTGGGGGCTGGGGTACCCACTTAACCTCCTACCTTGGGGGTAGGGATTCCTGCTCATCAAGGCTGTGGATATGAGGGCTGGGAGCTGGGGAGGGCAGAGGCTTGAGCTGCCCCAGGACACAGGGCCCCATCAGGGGACCCAGGTGGCCCAGCTTCATGCTCTTGTGAGCCTCTGGGGCCTGCTGTGAATCGTTGTGAATTATTCACAAGGCTCAGCTCTCTCGCTGGCGCGTGGGTGAGCACTGAGGGAGGAAGGGCTCCCGGACCTGCTGGTGGGAAACTCGATCCTGCCAGGGAGGCTGTGGGTGGCCACGGGACGAGGAAGTGACACGCTGCAGAGGAGCTGGAAGGCTGGACAGCCTCGGGGAAGCTCAGCTAATTCCAGGTCTATACCTTGGGGTGTTATAACAGAAAGCGCTTGAGATTGCAGGAATGTCCTGCACGTCCCCCACACCTCCCCGTCTGTCCCGTTCATGGGGCCAAGTCTTCCCAGAAGCAGAGGACTTGTCACACTGACCTCAGGGGCTGCTGCCACGCGGGACCCTCCCTCTGAGCCCTTGTAGAAAAGAGATCTCTCATACAAAATTAGCCAGGCGTGGTGGCGCATGCCTGTAATCCCAGCTACTCAGGAGGCTGAGGCAGGAGAATCGCTTGAACCCGGCAGACGGAGGTTGCGGTGAGCCAAGATTGAGCCATTGCACTCCAGCCTGGGCAACAAGAGTGAAACTCTGTCTCAAGGGGGAAAAAAAAAGAAAAAAAAAAGGCATCTCTCAGTTGGGAGGCATGGGGCTGGCAGGAGCCGGGCTGGGCAAGTCCCAGGCTCTGGGTCTCAGGGAGATTGAGTTGGGAGGATTGGCCCTCCCGGCAGGAGCTCCAGTGGCTGATGGAGGGGAACAAGGGGTCCAGATCCCTAATCAGGGCAGAGTGAGGAGGGGCAAAGAGCAGGTGGCCCCAAGGCCGGTGGCCATCCTCCCAGGAGGGTCCTGGAGCCCAGGAGCTCACTCTGTCCCCCTCACACCTGCTTCTGGCTGCCCCAGGGCCTGAGCAGCTGGGCAGGGCTGTGGGGGTCAGGGAGCTGGGGATCAGTTGGGACCCTGAGGCTTAAGCTTCCAGGCTGGGGAGTGAGGAGGCTCCAGGCTCTTCCCCTGGGCTCGTGGGTGCTGCCAGTCACAGCAAGCTGGAAAACCAGTTAGCCCAGAGATTTTATCAACTTCAGCAGGTGCCTCCTTCCCCGAAAGCCTCCCCTACCCCCGACCAGACTAGACTGGAATGGGATTGGAAAGTACCTGGGGCTGGGTACGGTGGCTCATGCCTGTAATCCCAGCACTTTGGGAGGCCGAGGCAGGTGGATCACCTGAGGTCAAGAGTTCAAAACCAGCCTGACCAACATGGTGAAACCCCGTCTCTACCAAAAATACAAAAATTAGCTGGGCATGTGGCCGGGCTATGCCTGTACAGGTGGCCCATGCCTGTAATCCCAGCTACTTGGGAGGCTGAGGCAGGAGAATCACTTGAACCAGGGAGGCGGAGGTTGCAGTGAGCCCAGATCATGCTATTGCATTCCAGCCTGAGCAACAGAGCAAGATTCTGTCAAAAAAAAAAAAAAAAAAAAAAAAAGGAACGAACGAAAGAAAGGAAGAAAGGAAGGAAAGAAAAGAAAGAAAAGAAAAAGAACCTGGTGCTGAGTATCTTCTAGGGGTCTGGCACCACCCAGTGTCATCTGAGCCACACAACCACCCCGAGCAGTAGCTATGTAATCAGCCCATTTTACAGATGGACTCATTCAACTAATGTTTATTGAGCATCTTCTATGTGCCAGGCAATATTCTAAATGCCAGTGATATGCTGGTGAACCAGACAAGCTTCCCTGCCTCGTGGAGCTGACAGGTACAGAAATGGTGTTTTAGAGAGGCTGATTCACCAGCTGTGGTCACCACTGGCTTGCTGTGTGGCCTTGAGCAGGCTGTACCTCCTCTCTGGGTCTCTCTCCCACTCCTGGTCCAGGTCCTAATCACTCAGGGCCTTTCAAGTCCACCGGAGACTTCCCCTTTTCCCTTCCTTTGTGCAAGGCTTCATGGAGCCTGGCTGCTCCCACGGCCCAGGGGTTCAGGCAGCCCCCACCTGGGACAGAAAGGGAGTTTCTTGGGAAGCACCAGCAGCTCTCAGCTTAGAGAGCCCCAGGGCCCAGGGCTCAACTCTCCCCCTTAGAAGGCTGGAGGCTGTGCCTGGGGTGGTCCCTTTCCCCACTAAGCCCCTGATTCTGCCACAGGCCGTGGGGGCTCATTCCTTTTTGATCACCAGCTCCAGGTCTACCCTTGGTGTCTGTCAGTTCACCTGGCAGCAGGGCGTGGGGGCAGGGCCTGTGTCCGCACTGAGGAGGTGGCTGCTGTCCTTGACCCCCTGACCTACGTGGAGGCTCTGGGAAAGGAAGGGCCTGGTGGAGTCCGGAGCAGCCCCTCACAGCAGGAGACCATCTCATGTCTCCACCAGCAGCTCCTGGTCCCAGCTGTCGTCTAACCGGGGCTAGTGCCCCTGCCCTACCCTTCTAAGGGGGAGAGCTGAGCCTTGGACCCTGGGGCTCTGTAAGCAGCACACTGCTGGGGCATCCTAGGGCTTCTGAGAAACCCCCTTTCTGCCTCACGTGGGGGCTACCTGAACCCCTTGGGCTCAGCTGGGCCATGGGAGCAGCCAGGCTCTGTGAGGCTGTGCACTACAGAACGGAAAAGGGGAAGTCCCCAGTAAGCCTGAAAGGCCCTGGCCTTCACCCGTCCATGTCCACCCGCAGCCTTTGAAAACACAAGTCCTGCTGGGTGCGGTGGCTCACACCTGTAATCCCAGCACTTTGGGAGGCTGAGGCGGGTGGAACACGAGGTCAGGAGTTCAAGACCAGCCTGGCCAACATGAAGAAACCCCGTCTCTACTAAAAAATACAGAAATTAGCTGGGTGTGGTGGCACGTGCCTGTAGTCCCAGCTACTCGGGAGGCTGAGGCAGGAGAATTGCTGGAACCAGGGAAGCGGAGGTTGCAGTGAGCCAAGATCGCACCACTGCACTCCAGCCTGGGCAACAGAGTGAGACTCCATCTCAAAAAAAAAGAAAAAAGAAAAGAAAAGACAGTGCAAGTCCTGGTCTGGTGCAGTGGCTCATGCCTGTAATCCCAGCACTTTGGGAAGCTGAGGCGGGCGGATCACGAGGTCAGGAATTTGAGGCCAGCCCGGCCGATACGGTGAAACCCCATCTCTACTAAAAAATACAAAAATTAGCCGGGCATGGTGGTGGGTGTCTGTAATCCCAGCTACTTAGGAGGCTGAGGCAGGAGAATTGCTTGAACCTGGAAGGCGGAGGTTGCAGTGAACTAAGATCGTGCTGCTGCACTCCAGCCTGGGCGACAGAGCAAGACTCCATCTCAGGAGGAAAAAAAGTTAGCCGGGTGTGGTGGTTCCTGCCTGTAGTCCCAGCTACTTGGGAGGCTGAGGCATGAGAATCACTTGAACGCAGGAGGCAGCGGTTGCAGTGAGCTAAGATTGTGCCACTGCATTCCAGCCTGGGCAACAGAGCAAGAATCCATTTCAAAAAAAAAAAAAAGAACAAGTCCCATCACAGGCTTCTGACCACTGACAGGGAAGGCTGCTCACTTCCTTACAATGGCCCAGAGGCCATCCCTCCTCCGGGCTGTGGTCCCATCCAACAGGCCAGCGCCCCTGCCTTCACAGAGGCTGATCCCTCTGCAGGGATCAGAGATACCCGCCTGCACCCTGCCTTCCTCCAAGTCTTTGCCCAGACCTCACCTCAGCAAGGCCAACCCTGAGCCTTGCTGAAATTGTCAACCGCACCCATGATGCCCACTCACTCTCCCACTGGCCTTGTTCCCTGCTGCCCTTTTTCTTTGAGACTTGAGTCTCGCTCTATCGCCCAGGCTGGAGTGCAGTGGCACGGCTCACTGCAACCTCCACCTCCCAGGTTCAGGTGATTCTCCTGCCTTAGCCTACCGAGTAGCTGGGATTATAGGTGCATATGGCACCACACCCGGCTAATTTTTGTATTATTAGTAGAAATGGGGTTTCACCATGTTGGCCAGGCTGGTCTCCAACTCCTGAACTCAGGTGATCCGCCCGCCTCGGCCTCCCAAAGTGCTGGGATTACAGGCATGAGCCACTGCACCTGGCCTCCCAGCTGCCCTATGGTTGCCTGGCTTTGCGTTCTGTGTGCATCCTGCGTGACAACCAAAAGCTAACCCCTAGGAGAAACCCCTGAGACACATTCCATCTCTTCACTCCCTGCATGCCCGAATTTCCAGCCAGGCCCTTCATCACACAGACAGATGTGTGTTTTCATCCCATCTGTCCCTGACTAATGAGGCCAGGGGCTTTGTCTTCCCGGCTCTGTATGCCCAGAGCCTGACTCCAGTAAACGTCTGCTGAATGAGTGGGGTATGGAATCCCAGGGACTTGTCCACTCTGCCTATAGCTCATTGCATGTGACCCTAGACAAAACTCCCCTCTGAGCATTCCCAAGCCTGTCTGGCAAGTGGACCTAACCTGCCCTACCAGCCTGAGGCCATGAGTGAAGAGAGATCCCCTACTCCTGGCCTGGATGTCCCTTCTCATATTTATTCATTCAACAAAAAGCAACTGGGTGCACCCAACTGCCCGGCCCGTCATCACGTCAGCCATACATTCTTCTATCCATGTGTGTATGGGTCTGAGGAATAGGAGAACAAGATAATTCAGGAGTGACAAGTGCTGTGTAGTGAAATGAGCAGTTTGGTAGGAAGCGATGGGGATGGTTCTTGAAATTGAGGGGTCAGGGAAGCCAGGTGTCTTTGAGGAGAGGAGAGCTGAGACCCTAATGAAAAGAGGGTGGGCCTCGCAGCCCTGCCTTGATGGAACTGGCAGTGATGCGGGGAGGTGTAGAGGCCTCAGGTGGGGTCAAATGTGGCCTAATTAGGGGCCAGGAGGAAGACCTGGGAGGCTGGGAGAGTTGCAGGCAACTGTAGGCTTCTGGAACTATTCCATGCTAGCTGACGGCCTGGGGTGTAGAACCTTTCTCAAATCAGGGCTGCATTTCTTCCCTGGGCCAGGCCTACTCGGGAATCTTTTAACATAGGCCGGGAAGTTTGACTGGAGGACACCGAGAGCCATAGAGCCACCATAGGCTCGGTGAATTTCAATTCAAAGCAGTCACAGGCCGCAGCTGGACTGATCCTCGGATGGAGAGCCTCTTCCTGGCCTCCCTCTGGGGAGGCATGACTGGCAGTGGGGAGGGCTGCGGGAATCATTCTTCAGCCCGGGTCTGGCCCCATGGGCAGCTCACTCCCTGCGGCGGCGCTGGCAGTCAGCTGGCACCAGTCTCCGCCGGAGATTCCCACAGCCCACACGGGCGACCCATGTTTCTTTTGTGTAATCAGAGGTGACTTGATGAATAGTTACAGTTCATCCATAGCATCTTTGTTCCCAGGAGAAAGAAAACAAATCATGATTTATATGATCATCGCCAGGGCGCCTCTGACCTACAAAGAGGGTTTGGGTCAAAGCCGGGGCAAAGGGCAAGGGCTTGGTCTGGGAGCACTTTTCTGCAGCTGTCACTGTGGTCGGGGCTAGAGCTGGCAGGGGTCTGGGAGTCAGAGGTCTCCCCAAAGACCCATCCTCTCCCCTCTAGGTAGTGTTCCCCACAACAGAAATGGTGCCCAGCCTGGCCCATACTTGGCAGGACCTGGACACTCCAGGCCAGCCATAGACCCTCCTGGTGGCTGGTCCTCCCAGGTACAGGGAAGGATCCTAAAGTTCAGCAATGGCTGTGCACCAGGCACCAGGCCTGTGCTCAGGGCTCTGCCAGCACTTCTCAGGCACTCCGCATGAGGTCAGGATGACAACTGTTGTCCCCATTTCATGGATGGGTTTGGGAAGACAAAGAGACAAGAAGCAAGACTGTGGCACAGCTCAAAGGCACGGGACTTGAGCCAGGTCCTCCTTATAGCGAAGCCGGGGCCCTCCCTGCAGGTCCTCCTGCCGGGGCTGTGCCCCAGCAGCTGGCAAAGAGTGTTCCTGAGTTCCCAGCAGTGAGGTCTGCGGGAGAAGGGCAGTGGTCTGTGCGGTGGGAGGGAGGGAGGCAGAGGGACAGACCAACCAAGAGCAGAAGGGGTGTAGACGTGGCACATTTGGAGTCAGAAGCAGGCTCTGCATGAGACGCAGCCTCAAATTGGGGCTCTGCCTCTTTCTCACAGAGTGATCTTAGCTCTCTGTGCCTCAGTTTCCTCATCTGTACCAGGAGAACAATGCTAACACCTGTCCTGTGGGGTTACAAGGACCAGCTGAGAGAACGTGTGTGTTGTACTCATCACAGTGCTTGAGACAGAGTAATCATTCAGTAAATGGTGGCTGCTATCACTATTATTATTTACTATTATTACTTTTATTAATTCCTCTCTCCAGTGATGGGAATTTTTTCTTATTTATTTATTTATTTATTTATTTATTTATTTATTTTAGAGGCAGGATCTTGCTCTGACACCCGGGCTGGAGTACAGTGGTATGATCATAGTTCCCTGCAGCCTCAACTTCCTGGACTCAAGTGATCCTACCTCCTCAGCCTCCTGAGCGGCTGGGACTACAGGTGTGCACCAACACACCTGGCTCATTTTTGTATTGTTTGTAGAGAATGGCGGTCTCTCTATGTTGCCCAGGCTGGTCTCGAACTCCTAGGCTCAGGCAGTCCTCCTGCTTTGGCCTCCGAAGGTGCTTGGATTCCAGGTGTGTGATGAGAATTTCATTTTGGTCCTTATGCTCATCCATATCTTTGTAATACTCCCCAGTGACTGTGAGAGTGCCCATTGTTCTTCTTGTCCTCAGGCCAAGGTGGAGGGGGATGTTGAGCCGGGATCCCCTCCCCCGCAGCCCAACAGCATATCTGCCCCATGTTCTGGGGTATTCCAAGGGGATGTTGAGCCAGGATCCCCTCCCCCTCAGCCCATCAGCATATCTGTCCCATGTTCTGGGGTATTCCAAGCTGGAGGCTCTGACTCCATAATGGGGCGTGTGAGTGCAGATGGTGGAATACTAACGAGAATGGTGATGAGCTCCAGCACTTACTGAGGGCTCATTCCGTGCCAGGAACTTGGGCTGGGAATGCCAGCCAGCGGCCCTGCAGGAGGCTGTGGGTACCACTGCCCCCTGCTGCTCAGATCCTGCTTGGTGCCAGCTTCTCAGACCTTCTCCGGCTGGCTGGGCACCCCTGGGTCATGGATCTCTGCCAAGTGGGGGGTGCTGGGAGAGCAGAGCTCACCGCAGGTCTGGCCCCCCCACCAGCTGTGCAGACCGCCGTGGGCCTCTACAGATAGAACCCAGTGGGCCCCCACCAGCCCCTGATCCCCAAGACCCCGGCACTCACTGTGCCTTGGTTACGGGGTGAATAATTTAGGCCGCTGAGTGTCAGTCATGAAATATTCAACAGCCTGTTCCTGACGCAGCAGCATGTGAGTGTGCGTGGGGGTGACGCTGGCGCTGGGGTGTGGAGGCTGGCAGCCACGAGCCAGCATGTTTCTGAAGATAGATACGTAGCTGTGTCTTCTGTCTCCCTCATCTATGTCGACGGGACCCCCTCTGGATCACCAGGCATGGTGCCTGCTCCCCGCACCATCGTGAAGTGCCGGGCTCAGCATCAGCCCCAGCAAATGGCAGCCCTGTGTCTAGGGAGTGGGGAGGGAGGAGAAATCAGTGAGTGGAGGTCCATGGGGGCTGCAGACAGCCTTGGGGTCTCAGGAGTCAGGGAAGTAGACAGAGAACCAGGGCTTTAGGGACAGGGAGATGCCAGCTGGGAGGGTCTCAGGATGTGTGTGAGAGGGAGGGAGAGGGCACACGTGACAGGGGTCAGAAGAGGGGCTAAGTCGTGTTGGGAACAAGAGGGTGGGTGGGCAAAGGGGGGTAGCCTGGTGCCCATTGATGGGCAGGCAACAAGCGGATGGGCAGTTGGATGGGTGAGCGAGGGATGAATGCGGGGTGGAGCATGTGGTTGATCTAGGGGGTGAAACACTGGGGGAGGTAGATGGGCAGGATGTGAAGTCCTGTGAAGAATTGGCCTCCTAAGCACAAAAGGTGAATTGGAACCCAATAGGTCGCGGCCCCCAACCTGGAGCTTCTCCTGGGTCTGGGGATAGATTGTGGCTCCACCTAGTGTCCTTCGGTGGTAACTGCACCCTGGCTGTTCACCTGGACACACCAGGCCAGCCATAGACCCTCCTGGTGGCTGGTCCTCCCAGGCACAAGGAAGGATCCTAAAGTTCAGCAATGGCTGTGCGCCAGGCACCAGGCCTGTGCTCAGGGCTCTGCAAGCACTTCTCAGGCACTCTGCACAAGGTCAGGATGACAACTGTTGTCCCCATTTCATGGATGGGTTTGGGAAGACAAAGAGACAAGAAGCAAGACTGTGGCACAGCTCAAAGGCCCCCCTCTGGGCTGGGAGAGCAAGGATAAGGGACAGTGACAGCCGAAAGCTAGGCCCTAGGAGAAGCCCCTGAGACACATTCCAGCTCTTCAGTCCCTGCATGCCCATATTGCCGGCCAGGCCCTGCATGCACAGACAGATGGGTGTTCAAATGCCACTTACCAGCTGTGTGACCGAGGAGAGAGCTGAGTCTGTGCCTCTGTTGTGGGACTATGGGTGATGGCACAGAGTCCCAGCCCCACCTGTGAGCCTCCTCAGCTGCAGCTGCACCATTGACTGAATTCTGATTCTGGCAGGTCCCCTGCTAGGTGCCTTACCGGTGTAATCTCAGTTGATGGTCATAGTAATAGTTGATGGCCGGGTGCGGTGGCTCACACCTGTAATCCCAGCACTTTGGGAAGCTGAAACAGGCGGATCACTTGAGCTCAGGAGTCCGAGACTAGCCTGGCCAAGATGGCAAAACTGGGTTTCTACTAAAAATACAAAAATTAGCCAGGCGTGGTGGCACATGCCTGTAGTCCCAGCTGCTTGGGAGGCTGAGGCAGGAGAATGGCTTGAACCCAGGAGGCAGAGGTTGCAGTGAGCTGAGATTGCGCCATTGCATTCCAGCCTGGATGACAGAGCAAGACTCCGTCTCAAAAATAAAAATAAAAAAGAAGAACCTGCTTGCTAGTGCCGTAGCCCAGAGCTAGCACAGCAGAAGCATTCAGTACATAGTGGACATCCTGAGGGCTGCCAGATTAACAAAAACAGCAACAACCAAACCCAGGACGTTTGACTAGCTTTGAATCTCAGATAAACAAGCTGTACTTTAGTATAAGTATGTCCCATGCAATATTTGGGATATAGAATACTAAAGCATTATCCGTTTATCAGAAATTCAGATTGAATTGTGTGAACTGCCTTTTGTCTGGCAACCCTTACCACCCTGCCCTCTGGGAACTCAGTCTTCTGGGGGAGGCAAAGGTCAAAATCAGTTATGGTCAACCAAGCATGACAGGTCATGCTCAAGTGGCCCTGGGCAGTGTGGGGCGGAGGCCAGCAAGGGGGAAATAAATCAGGGTGGCCCTCATGGAGGAGGGATGGGTACTGAGTCTTCAAGAGGGAGGAGAAGGACATTCCAGATGGAGGGGGCACACAATGAAAGGGATAGAGGTCAGACACAGCAGGTGTGGGGATTCATGGTGACAGTGGGTGAGAGGGGAGAAGAGGCCAGCTCACCACATCTTTGTAGACCTCGGTTAAAAAGTGGGACTGAGCCTGGGTGCGGTGGCTCTGTAATCCCAGCACTTTGGGAGGCTGAGATGGGCGGATCACGAGGTCAGGAGTTCGAGACCAGCCTGGTCAACATGGTGAAACCCTGTCCCTACTAAAAATACAAAAAATTAGCGGGGCGTGGTGGCACATGCCTGTAATCCCAGCTACTCAGGAGGCTGAGGCAGAAGAATCGCTTGAACCCGGGAGGCAGAGGTTGCAGTGAGCCAAGATCGAGCCACTGCACTCCAGCCTGGGCGACAGAGCTAGACTTCTTCTCAAAAAAAAAAGTAGGACTGAGGGCAGGGCAGTGCTGGGTGGGACGCCCTCAGGGACCTCTGAGGGAGGGTGGCTCAGGACTCAGTCCAGGGGGAGCCCCCCGGGCAGCAGCGGGCCGGTGACAGGGCCCTTTCCCACCCACTCTCCCTGCCGTCCAGGGCTCCCCGGGACGGGATGGGGGCGGGTAAGAAGGCCTCGGAGGGGGTGAGGCGCTGAAAGCCCACGGTGGGCGCTGTGTCTCCGCAGGGGAGTGAATGCCCAAACCAAGAACGGTGCCACGCCCCTGTACCTGGCGTGCCAGGAGGGCCACCTGGAGGTGACCCAGTACCTGGTGCAGGAATGCGGCGCAGACCCGCACGCGCGCGCCCACGACGGCATGACCCCGCTGCACGCCGCGGCGCAGATGGGCCACAGCCCAGTCATCGTGTGGTTGGTGAGCTCCGGGCCCGGGCGGGGAGCAGGGGAGGCGGGGCGGAGCCGGCAGGGCGGGGAGTGGAGGGAGCGGGGCCATCAGGGGTGGGGCGGGGGGGCGGGGGCGGGCCACGGAGGTACAGGGGGCGGGCCTACAGGGGCCTGGCGCCCAGCCCCCGCCCCCCTCTCCCCGCCCGTCCCGCCCAGGTGAGCTGCACCGACGTGAGCCTGTCCGAGCAGGACAAAGACGGCGCCACCGCCATGCACTTCGCGGCGAGCCGCGGCCACACCAAGGTGCTCAGCTGGCTGCTGCTGCACGGCGGGGAGATCTCGGCTGACCTGTGGGGCGGGACCCCGCTGCACGACGCCGCCGAGAACGGGGAGCTAGAGGTCAGCGCGGGCCCGGGGTGGGGGCGCGCGCCCTCTGCTGGCACCGCGCTTTCAGCACGGCCCTGCCCGGGCGCGGGGGTCCCAGCTCGCGGCCGCGGCCGGGTCCTCACTGCGTGCCCCCGCAGTGCTGCCAGATCCTGGTAGTGAACGGCGCGGAGCTGGACGTCCGCGACCGCGACGGGTACACGGCCGCCGACCTGTCGGACTTCAACGGCCACAGCCACTGCACCCGCTACCTGCGCACGGTGGAGAACCTGGTACGATCCCTGAGCTGCTCCTGTCGCATTCTTTCTTCTCGCCCCTCCACCCCAGTGGTGGGTGTCGTCACCCCTTTTACCAAGGAGGAAGCTGAGGTTCAGGGACGTGAAGCCCGCTACCCCACACGACCTCTCAGCCCAGAACCACTGCCTACTGGGGACTGAGGGAGTAGAGGCACAAAGGTCAACGGAAAGAGGACAGGGAAGACCAGAGTCACCCCAAGGGGTAAGGCTGGAGAAATCACAAGACAGGACCCACTGGGAATAGGCAGGCTCATTCACCTACCCATAGACATTAGCTTGGGTATAACTCACAGCCACCCTCTGCAGAAAAGAGTGTTTAAGTGTCCCGTTCCACATATGGATAAAGTGAGTCTGCGGGGCACCAAGATGGCATCACCAGTAACTGTTAGAGTGGAGAACCTACCTTGATGGCCTGGCCAGGAGGCACCTCTCAGCCCCTGCACCATACATTTGCTGACTTCATGGCTGGGTCATAACTGGAAACCCACGCTACTCTTTTTAAATTATGTTATTATGGTGAGACAGCCATGAAGTGACCCAATGGGACTTGAACTCAGCTGTGGATGTCTCCAAGTGCAGGGCTCTGCACCATCTGGTACAATGCCTGCTATGAGGCAATAGGCAGGGAAGAGAGTGGGCCTCGCAGTCAACCCGAAAAGGATGCGGACCAACTCCATGGGGCAGCCTGGCCATGGAGGGGCTGTGCAATGAGGCCCGGAGGGAAGAAGGCAGATGGTCTGTGCCCTGAGCACCGTCTGTCCATCTGCCCTCCCCCCCCCAGCACAGGGGGATGGTCCTGGCTCTGGGGGCTGCAGAACACAGCAAGGCCCAGAGGCCAGAGGCTGCAGGGGGGCCTGAGGATGAACTTCCCCCCGCGAAAGAGTCTCTGGAAGAGAATGAATGGCCCAGCAGGTAGTGAGCACTCTGTCACTAGGGTATATAAGCTGGGATGGACACTGGGAAGGGCATTTCTGCATCAATGGTGGGTCCCCTTCAGTTAAGAGTGTCTGTGACTCTGTTGAGGGACCGTGGGGGGTGGCACCAGAGCCCAGGGCACCTGAGGGCCTCTCTGGATGCAGCTGCTAGCGGTCATAGGACAGCAAACACTATTCATTGGATTCTGACTTAGGCAGGCACCCTGCCGAGTGCCTTAAAGGTGTAATCTCCGTTACTCTTCACAGTACATTAAAAAAATAGTTGGCCGGGTGCAGTGGCTCATGCCTGTAATCCCAGCACTTTGGGAGGCAAAGGCAGGCAGATCACGAGGTCAGTAGATCGAGACCATCCTGGCCAACATGGTGAAATCCCATCTCTACTAAAAATACAAAAAAAAATTTAGCCAGGTATGGTAGCACACGCCTGTAGTCCCAGCTACTCGGGAGGCTGAGGCAGGAAAATCGCTTGAACCCAGGAGACGGAGGTTGCAGTAAGCCAAGATCGCGCCACTGCACTCCAGCCTGGTGACAGAGCAAGACTCCTTCTAAAAAAAAAAAAAAAAGGCTGGGCACGGTGGCTCACGCCTGTAATCCTAGCACTTTGGGAGGCTGAGGCGGGCAGATCACAAGGTCAAGAGATCGAGACCATTCTGGCCAACATGGTGAAACCCCGTTTCTATTAAAAATATAAAAATTAGCTGGGCATGGTGGTGGGTGCCTGTTGTCCCAGCTACTTGGGAGGCTGAGGCAGGAGAATCGCTTGAACCCGGGAGGCGGAGGTTGCAGTGAGCCGAGATCACGCCACTGCACTCCAGCCTGGGTGACAGAGCAAGACGCTGTCTCAAAAAAAAAAAAAAAAAAAAAGGTTGAGAGGCCATGTGGGGTGGCTCATGCCTGCACTTTGGGAAGCTGAGGCGGCGGGTGGATCACCTGAAGTCAGGGTTCGAGACCAGCCTGGTCAACATGATGAAACCCCATCTCTACTAAAAATACAAAAATTAGCTGAGTGTGGTGGCGGGCGCCTGTAATTCCAACTACTTGGGAGGCTGAGGCAGGAGAATTGCTCGAACCCGGGAGATGGAGGCTGCAGTGAGCCAAGACCACGCCACTGCACTCCAGCCTGGGCGACAAGAATGAAACTCTGTCTAAAAAAAAAAAAAAAAAGTTGACAATATGGCATTTACTGGGTGCCATGTCCTGGAGCTCAGCAGAGCAAGTAGTGCTGTTATCCCCATTTGCAGATAAAGAAAGTTAGGCACAAAAAGCATAGGTGACTCTCCCGAAATAGCTAGTAAGTCAGGGAGGGGAAGTCTGAAGCCACTGTCCCAGACTGCAGAGCTGGGTGGCTCAGGCCAGGTGCAGTACACCTGCTGTGGCCCAGCCTCTTATCTGCTGCCTACAGGGGTCAGGGCTTGGTGCCCTCAGCACCCACTGCTGTTGGCCAGGTAAAGAGCACCTTCGGGTGCTGCCCACGCCACCTCCTATGGCTCCCCTGATTCCTGCGGTAGGCAGCAGGGCCTGGTCCCCTGGAATGGGTGGAGTATGTGTGCCCTGGTTCCCTCACCCAAGCAGGCCCAGCTGCGGCAGGGACAGATCCAAGCCACAGAAGACGCTGGCCCAGAAAAGGCAAACACTCCCACAGAGCCCCTAATTACGGGGCCAATGAGCGCGGCCGCTGAGCCGTTACCTGGTGCCAGGCCTGCCTCTCTCTCCCAGGGGGCCTGTGACACTTCTTAGGCAGGGAGGGGGCATGGGGCAAGGAGGAGCAGGCCTGGGCAGGAGGCAGCGGAGCAAGCGGGCTTGCCGGCAGCAGGGGCAGCATGGCAATGTAAGCAGGGCCCCCACCACAGCCCCGTCTGCACCGGGAGGGGACAGGCCTGTGGTCAGACGCACAGACCGGGCAGGGCGAGGGGATGGCAGGCCTGGCAGCCTGAGTTCTGGCTGCCCATCACTGCAGCTGGCCATCCAGGCCCCACCCTTACCCCGAGGGCCCCATCAGGAGACAGGCCGGGCTGGTGTTGGGAGTCTGCCCCAGGCCCCAGGTCCAGCAAGGAGAGCCGGCTTGCCAGCCAGGTAACTAGGGATGGGCCTGTGCTGTGCGCCTCCCCATGGAGCCTCTGCCGATCCGTGAGGGAGAAGGCCGATCTCCTGGCATTTCTCCCCTTGGGGTGCAGCTCAAGGGCCCCCTCCTTGTCGATCTCTCCACCCTCCTAATCAGGGAGGAGCCAGGGGAGGGAGTTTCCCAGGAACCTGGGTCCTGCTGCCTGGCGGGGCTGGGCTTGAATCTTAACCTGGAGGAACCTGAGAGACCGTCTAGTGATGGGGAAGAGACCCCAGAGAGCGGTGTGGCTTGGCCAAGATCCCACAGCGAAGGCATGACTGAGTAGGACCCTGGCCTGGAGAGCAACGCATCTTGGGGTATGGTTGTCTTCATGGCCTCCCTGCCTCCCCTTCAGAGCGTGGAGCACCGCGTGCTTTCCCGGGATCCATCCGCAGAGCTGGAGGCTAAGCAGCCGGATTCAGGCATGTCCTCACCCAATACCACGGTGTCGGTCCAGCCGCTGAACTTTGACCTCAGCTCGCCTACCAGCACCCTCTCCAACTACGACTCCTGCTCCTCCAGCCACTCCAGCATCAAGGGCCAGCACCCTCCATGTGGTGAGTGTGCCCAGGAGGAAGACGGGGAGGGAGAGCAGACTGAAGCCAGACTGCTGGGCTGTGAGGATTGGCCTTGGGCCGCCCTGCCACAGCCAATATCGGACACTACCCTCATCACTTGCTCTTAAACATGGGGAGGCGACACCCCTTCTGGTGAGAGACAGATGTCACTCATACTTGTGTGTGCTTATCACAAACATACATGTACATCCACATGTACTCTCCCCACCCACAAAGTCCACGTGTGTCGCCCACCATTCATTATTCTTAGCTACTCACATACAAAAGCACACACTTGTACATGTGTACATACAGCATACAGATATGAACACACAGAGCCATGCGAATATCTGCACACACCCACCCTACACACAAGCAAGCACACAGTGCTCTATTTCCATACTACAGATATGCACGCACACACACACACATACACACCATGTCCACAGAGCAATGCACACACATTCATCAGTACAAAGAAGCATGTGCACAAATGCGTACCCCCTCAAACATACACAAATGCACGATCGCCTCGGCAGACTGCAGGCTTGTGTGTACACACACCCTGACCGTGCCCTGAGCATGGGCGTCCGTCCACTTGCAATGCCTGCTTCACGCCGCCAGATGGTGGCCTCCAGACCTGGCAGGGGTGCCCTGCAAAGATTGGATGTGGCCATCCGTACTCCCAAGGAGTAGACCCTCCCCTTCCAGGTGACCCTGCCCTCTAGACACACCAAAGCCTCCAGTGCTTCCCCTCCAAACCGGAGTGCCTGGTCTTCCCCCAGTAAGTGCTGGGCTGGGGCAGGGTAGGGCCAGGGAGGGGAAGCCCAGCACCGCCAGGGGCCACAGCAGGTGTACCAAGTGGTGCCCGGAGCCCACCTTGCCCCTCGGCAAGTTGTTTCCAGGTGGTGGAGAGTCTCAGTCTTGGGGGACAGCCTGTCTGCATGCTCCCAAATCTGGCCCTTCCTTCTGCCTCCCCAGGGCTTTCCAGCGCTAGAGCTGCAGACATACAGAGCTACATGGACATGCTGAACCCGGAGCTGGGCCTGCCTCGGGGCACGATTGGGAAGCCCACACCCCCACCACCCCCACCCAGCTTCCCCCCGCCACCCCCGCCCCCAGGCACCCAACTGCCCCCACCCCCACCTGGCTACCCAGCTCCCAAGCCTCCTGTAGGACCACAGGCAGCTGACATCTACATGCAGACCAAGAACAAACTCCGCCACGTGGAGACAGAGGCCCTCAAGAAGGAGGTAGTGAGCCCTCACCCCCTGCCTGCCTCCCAGCAGGGGGACTGGGCTGATGGGGGCCAGTGAGGCCAAAGGCCTGGCCTCACTAGTGGGCATAGGGTGGGGATCCCTGGGTCCATGGCATGTTCAAGAGTCAAAGCTCCTGGCGAGTCCCACAAGGGGTCAGGGCTGGACACTGGACTGGGAGGAGAGTAAGAGCAGGTCATTGCCCTCCATGGGAGCTGGGGGGTGAAGGACGCAGGTCCAGACAGCTGTGCCTCACCAGGAACTGGGCCTGTGCCACCTCTTGCACAGAGTGGCCGGGTTGTCATGGAGTTGACAGAGAATGCATGGAGACTGCCCCTCCCCAAGCATGCCCCCCCACCCCCACAGCCCCAGGCTCAGTCGGAGAGTGTCACCCAAGGGAGGTGGCTGCCAGGTGGAAGGTGCCAGTGGCATGGCTGTGGAGGTGAGGGCTGGAAGGAGGGTGGGGGGAAGGTGAGCAGGCACTAGCAGGGCTGGGTGGAAGTGAAGCTGTGGCTGGTTCCAGTTTAGGGCTTGAGCTCCTGGGGGAAAGGGCCAGGCCTGAGCTGGGAGCCCTGGAAGGAAGCGAGCCTGTGTGGAGAGGATGAGGCCAGGGTGGGCAGGTGGAGTGTGAGGTGCCTAGGGATGTCTGGGGCCTGCAGGCCCCTGGCTGAGGCTCTGGAGCAGGGGTTGGGGCAGAGGTCTGGTCTGAGCAATTCCGGGTATCCCGGGCAGGGTGCCCTGGGGAACACTGGCGTTCTGGCCATAGGAACAGAGCAAGGATGGTCTAAGAGGTGAGGGGACAGCCTGAGGTCACAGGTGGCCAGATGTGGTGTGGCAGCCCCCTGGGGTCCTGCTGGAGCCTGGGACCTTGCAGTTCTCAAGCCCAAGGCAAAGCCACCCCAGGGCCAATTCATAAAAGGTGACTCGGGTCACAAGGCCACTGGGCAAGGGAGGCATGGGAGGGACACCGAACCTGCAGGCCAGCTCCAGTAGCTGCCCTCTTCATGCCACCTTAGACCAAGCTCCCACAGTGGCTTCCCCTTTCATCTCTGGGAGGCAGAGGGGGCCCTGGAATCGCTGAGTTCCCAACGCAGACTGTTGGCCCCGCCCAAATCCACAGGACAGGTGGCCCAGCCAGTGCCCCGTCTCCACCGTTGAGCCCAAGTGCCAGGTCTGCGTGGTCCCCTCCTGGCTGTGTGAGCCCCCTCCCGGCTGTGTGCGTCCCTCCGGGCTGTGTGCGCCCCTCCCGGCTGTGTGCGCCCCTCCCCACTGTGTGCGCCCCTCCCGGCTATGTGCGTCCATCTCGGCCGTGTGCGTGCTGGGCCGCAGGCGCCAGGGCCGGGGCCCGGACGCTCCACAAAGGGCTCTTTGTGTCGCCGCGGCGCCCCCCGCGCGGGTGCCTGACCGGGGGCGGGAGCAGGGTCGTGGCGTCCGAACCTCCGGGCTGCAGGGGGCGCGGAGCGGGCGGGCTGGCCCAGAAAACAAATCCTGCGGTGTCGCATTTCCTGCAACGTGAGCCAGGTCGGGCGGGGTGAAGGGTCTGAGGCCACCGCAGGGACGCATGGGCTGGAGAGTGGGGCAGAGGACAGCCCCCACCCGGTCACTCAGTCTTTGGCCCGGCCGCCTCACTCTCCCTCACTGAGCTGGGCCTAGTTGGGGGCAGCTGCGATGGGGTGGGAAGCCACGCTGTCACCCGACCCCGCCTTACGGCCCCTGAAATCCGAGGCTTGAGCGCGGGTGTCGGTGTCGCTTTCGTGGATGGCGATGGTTTCCAGATGCAGGAGGGGAAGGGTGGGGACGCGACCCGGAGCCGGGGGCCAAATATGAGAGGCCTCCTCTGCCCACAGTCAGCCCTCTCCCCTCTCGGGCGGGGATGAAGGTGGGGGCTCAGCTCCCAGCTTAGGGAGAGGCGCAGGGGGCGGGGTCACATCTGGCCGGGGACGGGTGCAGAGCCGCGGCCAGGTGTGGCAAAGTAGTTGGCGCCCCCTGTGGCATCCGCGACGGCTGGGGGGGTTCAGCCTGGGATTGGCGGGCCCCGGGTGATGTCAGGCCGTCGGAGCCCATAGGCTGGCTGTGCGCGGGTGGCTGTAACCTGAGAGGAAGTATCAGGTAACGCAGGTGTCGGGTCCTGCCGCCCCCACAGCCAGGTGCACAGCGGGGGCCACCAGCACCGTGGCAGGTAGGAGCAGCCCCCGGACGGGCAACCGGGGTCCGTGGCAAGCCGGAGCCTCCGAGAGCACAGGCTCTGGAGGGGGCTCCCTCCGGCCCCGGACCCCCGAAAGACAGGGCTCCGCGGAGCCCTGGGGACCCGCAGTCCTTCTGACAGCCGAGAGCGGAGTGCGGCCGAGGGCCTAGTGAGGGCTAAGCTGGGAGGTGCCCCTTCGCCAGCTCCCCCTGGCGTCGGGGCTGGGCCACCCCGCCCCTGGGCCCGCCTCTTCTGGCCTCAGTGGGGGCCCCTGTGCCCCTTGGCCGGTGCCCAGAACCCCTCCCTGTAAGGCGGGCGGAGCCTGCCCTTCCACCGAGGCCCCCATGACCCTCGCCCGCTGCCCACTGTGAGAACCAGGGGGTCTAGGAAGTCAGCTGCTGCACCCCTCGACGGCCGCTGGCCGCGAGTCCCCAGGAGGTGAAGAGCTGGGTGGGGAGGCGTGGGGGGCGCCTACCGGGCAGGTGCCCGAGCCCCACCGGTCACTGTCTTCCCGCAGCTGAGCTCCTGTGACGGCCACGACGGGCTGCGGAGGCAGGACTCCAGCCGCAAGCCCCGCGCCTTCAGCAAGCAGCCCAGCACGGGGGACTACTACCGGCAGCTGGGCCGCTGCCCCGGCGAGACGCTGGCCGCACGCCCGGGCATGGCGCACAGCGAGGAGGTGCGTGCCCGCCAGCCCGCGCGCGCCGGCTGCCCGCGCCTCGGCCCTGCCGCCCGCGGCTCACTCGAAGGCCCCTCCGCTCCCCCGCAGGCGGCGCTGCTTCCTGGGAACCATGTTCCTAACGGCTGCGCCGCGGACCCCAAGGCGTCCAGGGAGCTGCCACCGCCGCCCCCACCGCCGCCGCCGCCCCTGCCGGAGGCCGCGAGTTCGCCACCGCCGGCCCCGCCTCTGCCCCTCGAGAGCGCTGGCCCTGGCTGCGGGCAGCGCCGCTCCTCCTCGTCCACCGGCAGTGAGTAGGGGCAGGTTGAGGGGCGTGGGGCGGCGCTAGCCCTGAAAGGGGAGGGAAATCTAGACACCGCCCCCTCCCCAGCTGTCACTGCCCGGGTCCTTCCTCTTCTACATGGTCTTCCGGCCACCCCTACCCCATTGAGTACTTGACCCTAAGAGAGGGCTCTGGGTTGCTTGAGGTCCTGCCAAAGCACGACCGGGCTGCACGGCCTGGGGCAAGTCCCTTCCCCAATCTGGGCCTGCCTCCCACCCCCTAGCTGTGTGGCCTGGGCAAGTCCCCTCCCCTCTCTGGGCCTCCTCCCACCAGCTAGAAAGGGCCTCCCAGCTCTGGCGCTGGTGTTTCCCATGAGCTGGTGCTGGTGTTTCTGATGAGCTGGTACTGGAGGGACACTCGAAGTAGAACCAGCTTCAGAGAGGCCCCGCAGCTAGCCACCCTTCCCCCTGCCCGTCTATCCTGAGCCTCTCTTCCTCTCTCCACGTCTTTCTCTTGTCCTTCCAAGCAGCACAGACCTGAAGTCTTCTTAGATATGCCAGGAACTCTTCCTAGCCAGTTTCTGCCAGGGGCCCTGGGCCAGCCAAGGCGTGGCTATGGGGGCAAAGCTGTGACCCACCGTGTTTCCCCCTCCCTCCCCGGTGACTTCCCTAGGCAACCTTTTTTAAGAGCTAGACTGGTGCAGGATTCCTGGGCTGCTTTTCTGTAGGGTGGGACAGTGTCCCCCTGCCAGGACACCTAGAAGGCCCAGGACAGAGTGCCTAGATGTGGTGCTCCCATCCCAGCCTGGCTGGGGTGTCTTCCTCACCCAGCCACTCAGGGCAGAGATCATGCTTAGTGGCACCCCTCAAAGCTTCATCTCCCTGACTAGAAGTGCAGAGCAGAGCTAGTCCCCCTACGGTTCCTATGGAGCCCCAGCCCCTGCAGACCAGAGCCCATGTAAGCAAGTCCAGCACCTGCCGAACCTCCTTCTTCCCTCCACAGCCTGCAGCAGGGCTGAAGCTAAGGGCAGAGAAAAACATACTCTGGGCTTCCCGAGACACCCTCACCCAGCACAGCCAGGGCTGGGTGCCCTACCCCAACCCAGTGCCAAGGTGGAGGCCCTTGCTAGGGGCTAGAGCCAGTGGTGGCCCTGCCCAGCCCTCAGGGGCACCAGCCAAGCCAGGAACTCGATGGACCACCCTCATGGGGCCCCAGAGCAGCCTGAGCCAGGGTCAGATGGGCAGAAAAGCTCCTCCTCTCTTCTCCACTTCCCCCCCGCCCGCTCTCCCTGGCCCGCTCCCTGTCCCCTGCTGTCCCAGTCTCATCCTGCCCCCCCTCCCTCCTAACTCCGCTGTCACTTCTCTCCTCTTGGTCCCTAGAAGTGAGAGTCCTGAGGCACAGGAAGAGTGAGTAGCTGCGTGCGCGGCTCCTGGCTGAGGCTGAGGCGCGGGGTGGGGGGAAGAGGCAGGAAAAGCAAGGCAGAAGGGGCCCAGACTTGAGGAAAGGGCAGGGGCAGGGGCTGGCAGGCGAGAGAACCTCGAAGAATGGGTGGGGCCTTGCACCTCATACCTACCCTCATACCCACATATGCACCCAAGCATTCTGCACCTGGCTGATGGTTTTGCCTAAATAAATGAGCCAGCCACACCGATTTTCCCTTTCTCCTACTCTTCTCCCCCACCACCCCCACCCGCTGTGACTGCATTCTGGGATCCCCAGCCTGGGAATCCAAGAGCTGTCGGCCCATTTTATTCCTCCCTCCCAGACCTGACCCCTTCATCGGGGCTCAAGAGACCTCTCTCTCCAAATCTCCATTTGCCTCCTCTGGCTAAGCTGGAAAATGCACACTCTGCCCTGGGTGTTTCCATATTATCCGCCTGCCCTTCCTCCTGGGTGCCTCCCGTAGCCTTAGTAAGGGCTCTGCTTTCCTGGGCCCCTAGAGCTGAGCCATGCTTTGCCATAAAGGTGCTCCCGGCTTGCAACCAATGTGTCTGCTTGTGCATCTGTCTGTGGGTGTGGTGGGGAGGGAGGGGACCAGGTGGGTACTGGCACTCTGGGGTCCGGACTTTATGTCCATGGAGGCCCCAATTGACTCAGTTCAAGGGTCACTGAGGCTTTGCTGATGTAGGGAGAGGGCCAGAGGGAGGCTCCACCCCAGCCGGGCTGAGCCAGGGAACCTGGGACAAAGGTCAGGTGGCTGATTCCAGGTAGTGTTTTGGAGCTGGGCAGTCAGTGGCTGGGCGGGGACATATGCCCAAGAGCCACCATGAACTCCCAGGGGCCTCCAGGCAGGGGCCCTCCATCCCGTGAGTAGGGTGGGGAAGATGGTGGGGTTGCCACAGTCAGGGAACCAAGGGCCCGCCTCTGGGGGCCCTGAAACCTGCCTGCAGGACCTGGGATCTGGAGAGCTGCCCGCTGGCCCGGAGGATGGGCACCCATCCAATCTTGGCTTAGGAAAGGGGCTGCAGAGGGGCGGGTGAGGGGTGGCGGGGATGCAGCCCCACCCTGGCCAGTGCCTCATCTCCTGCCTCCGCATAGGCACCAAGTCTTTCAACATGATGTCCCCGACGGGCGACAACTCGGAGCTACTGGCTGAGATTAAGGCAGGCAAGAGCCTGAAGCCGACGCCCCAGAGCAAGGGGCTGACCACAGTGTTCTCAGGCATCGGGCAGCCGGCCTTCCAGGTAGGCGGGCCCAGCAGGAGCCTGCGACCCGGCTTCCCTGGCCCTAGGCCACCGGGCGCTCAGCCCCACCGCTTCTCCCTGCAGCCCGATTCGCCGCTGCCTTCTGTGTCACCTGCACTGTCACCAGTCCGGAGCCCCACACCGCCAGCTGCGGGGTTTCAGCCGCTGCTCAATGGAAGCTTGGTTCCCGTGCCGCCCACTACTCCTGCGCCGGGAGTGCAGCTGGACGTGGAGGCTCTCATCCCCACGCACGATGAGCAGGGCCGGCCCATCCCCGAGTGGAAGCGCCAGGTGATGGTGCGCAAGATGCAGCTGAAGATGCAGGAGGAGGAGGAGCAGAGGCGGAAGGTGGGTGGGGCGGGGTGCCCAGGGAGCCCTGGGGTCTGCATCTGGATGCACAGCCCATCCCCCACGCCACCCCCAACCCCAACCTCGGGACCTCCCATTTTCTTTCTTTTTTTTTTTTCTTTTCTTGAGACAGAGTCTTGCTCTGTCGCCCAGGCTGGAGTGCAGTGGTGCGATCTCGACTCACTGCAACCTTCGCCTCCCAGGTTCAAATGATTCTCCTGCCTCAGCCTCCCAGGTAGCTGGGATTACAGGCGCCTGCCACCACGCCCAGCTAATTTTTTTGTATTTTTATTAGAGACGGGGTTTCACTATGTTGGCCAGAGCTGGGATTACAGGCATGAACCACCGTGCCCGGCCATTTTCTTTAGGGAAAGCAGGGTGGTACAACCCTGTTTGGGGCTTGTCCCAGTCTCCACACACACCCCCACCAGCTTGTCCTTGGAAGTGAGACAGCAGCCTTTCTCAGACTCTCCTTCACCGGCCCAGCACCTGGGATCTGGTTAAAAGGCCTGTTCGGATTTAGGAGGTCTGGGCGGGGCTGAGGCTCGCATTTCTAGCCAGCTCCTGGGTGAGGCTGCTGATGCTGCTGGTCCAAGGACCACACTGAGTAGCCAAGAGGGCTTTGGTCTCAGTCTTAGGGACCTGGGCTCCATTGCTGTGCTGCCGCCTTCCAGCTGCCGATACTGAGCCTCATCCAGCCTCAGTTTCCTTCTCTGTAAGGTGGGCTGATCAGCACCAGCTGGCAGGATGAGTTGCCTTTTATTCATCCAACAACTATTCCCCAAATGCCATTTATTTTTATTTTTTATTTTTTGAGACAGGGTCTCACTCTGTTACTGAGGCTGGAGTACAGTGGTGCGATCTCGACTCACTGCAACCTCCACCTCCTGGGTTCAAGCGATTCTCCCGCCTCAGCCTCCCGAGTAGCTGGGACTACAAATGCCCGCCAACAATGCCCTGCTAATTTTTGTATTCTTAGTAGAGATGGGGTTTCACCATGTTGGCCAGGCCGGTCTCGAACTCCTGGCCTCAAGTGATCCGCCTGCCTCGGCCTCCCAAAGTGCTGGGATTACAGGCGTGAGCCACCACGCCTGGCCCCCGAGTGCCATTTATGTGCCCCACACACTGTTGTAGCCTCTGGAGATTCATGGTGAACATATCAAGGCCTGCTCTAAGGTGGCTGCGGACATGTGTGCGAGTCACCAAGCACACAAAATGGGGCAGTGTGAGAGAGTGGGTGGCAGTGGAGAGAAGTACCTGGGCTGATGCAACACAGCCAGCTGCAATGGGGAACGCAGGGGACTGGGGCAGCCCTAACCGGCCACCTTATACGTGGGCTGGGGGGCGTGTTAGGGAAGGAGGAGGTGATGTCTAAGGTGACACTTGGAAGACGAGTGAGGGGTGGCCAGGAGGAGAGTGGGCTGAAGAGCCGCAGGTGAGACAGAGCAGTCTGGAAGTGAGAGTGGATGTGGCCCTGACTGTCCTGGAGGAAGGGGGTCGCTGAGCTGGAGAGACCTCAGTGGGGGCCAGGTTACCAAGACCTGGCCAGAGGCCCAGAAGAGAACGGACTTTCTCCTGGAGCACTGGGGAGCCGGGTGCGGGGAGTGTTAAGCAGGGAAGAGGCTGCTTCCTATTTGTATGTGGGGAGTGGATCGCATAGGGTCAAGATGAATCAGGGACCTCTGTGGAGGCGATGGCAGGCCCAGGGGGAAAACTGGACATCAGAGGTGGAGAAAAGTGAGCAAATGAGAATATTACGGTGCCCAGCTGTCCAGCAGGACGAAGGGAGGGGAAGGGTGGGCAGCTCAGTGGAAGCTGCAGCTGCAGCCTCTTTAAGAGCGGAGTGGCCTCTGATTCTGCACAGAAAACATTGAGCACAGGGAGCGGGAAGGCTTGGGCCACAGGGGAGCTGGAGAAGGGGTCATGAGTCTGGGAGGAGAGGCCTCAATAGCCGCCCTCGGATGGGTTGGGGAGGGCCACCGCGCCTCTCAGCTTCAACGCCTTTCGCAAGTTCCTTGGGTGGTGTAATGAGCGAACAAGCCAGGCATGGAGACCCCGTCTGCTGGCCTGTTCTTGCCGCCGCAGCAGCGACCAGCGACCGGCCGTGCCCCACGCCACCGACCAAAGTGGACACTGCCCAGAGCCTGGAGCGGCGGCTCAGGCCGAAGCCTCACCCCAGCGTCACCCCCCGCCGGCCAGACGCGGTCCCTCCCTGCAGACGCAGCCCCGCGGAGCCATTACACCACCCGGGACATGCAAAAGGCTCCCGGCGCCACGGCGGGAGCTAGGCCAGAGGGAGACGCGCCTCCCTCCCCTCTCTTGTCTTCCCCGCCTTAGCTGACGGCCGCCAGCTCGTGCTGCTACCCCCGCGAGGGCTGGAGGTACTCCCGCGAGCACAACGCCATCCTCGGGCCCTTTGGCGAGCTTATGACCGAAGCCGACATCCTCCGCATCGAGCAGCAAATCGAGAACCTGCAGGTGCTGCACAAGGCGCAGAAGCTGGAGGCGCGCCTCGAGCAACTGGAGCTGGAGCTGGAGCAGCTGCTGCCCATCTCGGCCGCCCTGTCGGCGCCGCGCTTCACCGTCGATCCGCGCCGAATGCATGGCCGCGCCGCCAGCCTGCCCGCCTGGTGCAGCAAGATCTCCACGTTGCTCAAGAACATGGCCACGCTGCTGGCTGCGCTGGGCGGCCGGCCTGCGCACCTGGCGGAGCTGCTGACCGCTGACACGGGCCAGCCGCTGGCGCCGCTGCCCGACGCGCCCTGGCTGCCCGGGCCGCTCTGCCTGGGTCGCTCGCACTCGCTCAGCTGGTGCCGCGAGGCTGTGGCGCGCGAGATCCTCGAGTGCGGCGTCTCCGTGCAGCATCTCCGCGCCACCTACGAGCTGCGCGCACGGGGCGCGGCGCCCGCGCGCTGTCCGCGCCGCAAGCCCCCGCAGTCCGCTGGCGCCCCGGGCCGGGAGCCCATCTTGGAGGAGGACTACGTGGCGGCCCGCTCTGGCCAGCCCAGCGCCGCCGCCGCCCACGGCCCGCTGGTCGACTGGGAGCCCCTGGGCACCCTGGGCCCGCCCGAGGTACAGGATCGCCAGGCGGCGCTGCCTGAGCCCGAGCAGCTGGCGCGCCGGCCGCCCCTCTGCACGAAGCTGCGCGGCGTCCAGGACTACCTCGACCTGCGCAAGGAGCGCATCGTTTACCTCTTCCTGGAGCACTGGCGCCGCTGGGCCTGCCGCGGACCAGGCCGCCGCGCCCAGGCGCGCCTACGCGGACTGCTGCCCCGCGTGGCGGCTGCCGGTGCTGGCCCGGGGCTGGAGGCCACGGACGCCCCCCGGCTGCCGGCGAGCAACAGCGAGGCCCACAGCCCCGACGAACGGCTGCGGCAGCTGCTGAGGCAGCGGCAGGCGGTGGGCAAGCTGCTGGGCCACTGGCGGAGCCTGCTGCGTCGCGTGCCGGCAAGCCCGGGCCTGGCGCACGGCCTGTATTGGCCCCAGCACTTCCTGCCGCCCCTGGACGGCGGCGCACCCCCGCACTACGACAGCCTCACGCTCGACCTCTTCATGCTCGGCTACTTCCAGCTACTCGAGATGGGCCTGAGCCGCGAGGAGCGCAAGTTCCGCCACCTACTGTGCTACGAGATGTTCGACCGACTGGGCAGCCACCCGTGGGAGCGCATCCGCCTCTTCCACCGCGTGGTGCTGGAGGAGGTGGAGGCCGGCCGGCGCGGCTGGAGCGACGGCTTCGAGGACCTCAGGCACCGGTTCTTCGGAAACGGCCTGGAGGCTGAGCCGGCCCCCGAAGAACAGGCGAAGGAAAAGGAAGAGGAGGGGAAAGAACAGGAGCGGACCGAAGAGGCTGCTCCATTTCAGACGGGGGACCCGCCTGAGGGGCAGCCCGAGGCCCTGGCCCCTGCGCCGCAGCCGCCGCCGCCGCCCCCGCCCGCCGCGCCTCCCCCGACCTCAGACTCTCCTGGTTCCGAAGCCCCCGCCGAAGACCCCTTGGAACTGGTGTCTGAGATGGGCGAGTTCAGCAACGAGGACATCTGCCGCTACATCGACCGCAGCTTCTCCTTCTGGAAAGAGAAGGAGGCAGAGCTGTTTGACATCTGAGCAGCGGAATTCGGAATTCTCAGTTCACCCTCGAGCGTCTTAACGTGGGCCTGGACGCCTGTCTGACGCCCTCCAGAGGCTGGAAGCAGCAGGAAGAGCCCAGGACTGTGGCCTTGAGCAGCCCGGAGGGCCCAGGACCAGGCTGCCTCAGCCTCTGAGGTCCCATCGTGGCGGGCTGTGGGGCGTTGGTCGGATAGGCAGGGCAGGCACAGAACAGACCAGGTGTCCGCCTCTGGCCCCGTGGCCTTGCTGAGCTCTGTGTGGAGCCAGGCAGCAGAAGAAGCCCCTCTGAGTGAGGGGCTGCGGCTCCTCCTTGCGGCAGTGTGGCCTGCTCTTTGGTTTTCCACTGGAGTTCACAGCTACCTCCTTGGCTGAGGTCAAGGGTGCCACGTGTGCAGTGTTCTGTGTGAAGTGTGCCGTGTACAGACCCGTTCTCCTCTGTAACATTCAGGAAATAAAACTCTTTGCTGTAAACTGCCTGCGTTGGACACCACACCTGCCCCTGATGTCATTGTAGCCCCACGATTGTAGTGCCCGTATCCACTCTATTGGGAAGATGGCAACCATGGGGTGAAGGTCCTTCACAGGGGAGCCAGGGGCAGCCTGAGTCTCCCTGAGCCAAGAGGCTGGGTGGGGGCTGGCTGGCATCTGCGTCTGCCCAGAGGTCTTGGGCCTGTGGCCATTGGCCACCTGCCTCTGCGGGGAATCAGGCTCAGGACCTCTGGGTCCCAGCTACTTGTTCTCTGCTTCTGTCCCATTCAGCTCTGATCTCTCTGGTGCCTCCTGTAGGACATGAGGGTCTGGGTTACTAGGGGAAAGGAGGCCAGCTCTGAGGGGGTGTGACCAGGCACCTCCATCCACTTGTCACACAGATGTGCATCAAAAGGATGTCTTCCTGTGACCCTGACTCCTTCAGGTCCCGAGGTTGAGGGTGCCCCCTATCTCCCAGCCCCTGCAGGCCCTGAAGCTTTGTGGTTGTGTTTCAGGAGGAGGAGGAGGAGGCCCGGCTGGCCAGCATGCCCGCCTGGAGGCGGGACCTCCTGCGGAAGAAGCTGGAAGAAGAGAGGTGAGCTGGGGGTCAGGCAGAGGCTGGCCTGGCAGGGTGTCTTGACTGCGTCCCTGAGGTGGAGGTACCAAGTGACACTGTCTCTTTTTCCTTCCAGGGAGCAGAAGCGGTGAGTGCAGGGCTGGCCCCAACCTGCCACCCTTATCCCCACCCAAGTCGCAGAGGGTCGTCCCTTCATCCAGGCCAATTTGAGTACATCCTCCTGTCTCTTGGCCCTTGTAGCACAGCCTCCTTCCTCCCTATAATACCCCAGAATCTCTCTCTCATGCTCTAATAACTTTGTTCCCGGTTACTCAGTCCCTGCCTCCTATTAACCTGGCCTTTTCTACCCTTCAGTTAACCTAACCCCACTATCAATCACCTTGATTGTCTGGCCCTCAGAATGTACTTTCTGCCCCTAGTCATCTCACCCAGCCCAGTGCTGGCCAATAGAAATGTAATGAGAGCCACAGATGTAATTTAAAATTTTCTAGTAGCCACAGTGAAAATGTAGAAGGATATAGGTGAGCTTCATTTTAGTACTGTTTTATTTGGCACAAAATATCAAAAATATTATTTCAACACATAATCAATTATGAAAATTATTAATGAGATGTTTTATACTCCTCTTGTAAAAGTAAGTCTTTGGCCAGGCATGGTGGTTTACACATGTAATCCCAGCACTTTGAGAGGCCAAGGCAGGGGGACCACTTGAGCCCAGAAGTCTGAGACCAGCCTGGGCAATGCAGTGAGACCTCATTCTGCGAAAAAAAAAAAAAAAAAAAAATTTTTTTTTGAGATGGGGTTTCACTCTTGTCACCCAATCTGGAGTGCAGTGGCGATCTGGGCTCATGCAACCTCTGCCTCCTGGGTTCAAGTGATTCTCCTGCCTCAGCCTCCCAAGTAGCTGGGATTACAAGCGTGTGCCACCACACCCAGCTAATTTTGTATTTTTAGTAGAGATGGGGTTTCACCATGTTGGCCAAGCTGGTCTCAAACTCCTGACCTGAAGCGATCCACCCGCCTCGGCCTCCCAAAGTGCTGGGATTATAGGCATGAGCCACCAAGTCTGGCTTTTTTCTTTTTTTTTGAGACAGAGTTTTGCTCTTGTTGTCCAGGCTGGAGTACAGTGGCACAATCTTGGCTCACTGCAACCTCTACCTCCTGGGTTCAAGTGATTCTCCTGCCTCAGCCTCCCTGGTAGTTGGGATTACAGGCGCCCGCCACCACGCCCGGCTAATTTTTGTATTTTTAGTAGAGGCCGGGTTTTGCCATGTTGGTCAGGCTGGTCTCGAACTCCTGACCTCAGGTGATCCACCCGCCTCAGCCTCCCAAAGTGCTGGGATCACAGGCGTAAGCCTTCGCACCAGGCCTGCAAAAAAAATTTTTTTTAATTAGCTGCAGGGGGCTGGGCGCAGTGGCTCATACCTGTAATCCCAGCACTTTGGGAGGCTGAAGCGGGTGGATCACCTGAGGTCAGGAGTTCAAGACCAGCCTGGCCAACATGGTGAAACCCTGTCTCTACTAAAAATATAAAAATTAGGTGGTCGTGATGGCGCATGCCTGTAATCCCAGCTACTCGGGAGGCTGAGGCAGCAGAATCACTTGAATCTGGAAGGCGGAGGTTGCAGTGAGCCAGGATCACGCCGTTTTGTACTCTAGCCTGGGCAACAGAGTGAGACTCCATTTCAAAAAAAAAAAAAAATTAGCTGGGCGGGCTGGGCTCGGTGGCTCACGCCTGTAATCCCAGCACTTTGGGAGGCGGAGGCAGAATGATCACCTGAGGTCAGGAGTTCAAGACCAGCCTGACCAACATGGTGAAACCCCGTCTCTACTAAAAATACAAAAATTAGCTGGGCATGGTGGCACGCTCCTGTAATCCCAGCTACTCAGAAGGCTGAGGCAGGAAAATCACTTGAAACTGGGAGGTGGAGGTTGCAGTGAGCCGAGATCGTGCCACTGCACTCCAGCCTGGGTGACAGAGCGAGACTCTGTCTCAATTAAAAAAAAAAAAAATAGCTGGGCGTAGTGGCACACATCTGTGGTTCCAGCTACTTGGGAGGCTGAGGTGGGAGGATTACGTGAGCCCAGGAGGTCGAGGCTGCAGTGAGCCATGATCTCACCACTGCGCTCCACCCTGGCAACAGAGCGAGACCCTGACTCAAATAATAATAAAACTTAGTCTTTGAAATATCATGCACATTTTACACCTGCAATCCATCACAATTTAGACCAGCCACATTTCAAATGTTCAGCAGCCACATGTGCTTAGTGACTACTCTGTCAACAGGCAGATCTACCCTCTATGTTCTAATAACTTGTCTCTAATTCTCAGTCCCTCTCTCAATTATATGGTCTCTCTGCTCCCCAGCAGCCCCACCCCAGTCCTCAATACTTCATATTGACAGCTCCCCCACAACTCAAGTCCTGGTCCCAGTAATCTTGCTGCTGCACCCAGCAATACCACCTCCTCACATGGTGCCACACAGTGACCCAGCACCTCTGTTTCCAGTAAAACCCCAGCCCACAATAATCCAGCCTTAACCTCCCACTCACCCAGCTCCCCTGTGCTCCAGTAACCCCATTCTGCCCCCAATCTAGCCCCTCTGTCTTCAGCAACCGAGCCCCAGCCCTCAGTAACCCACCCCTTGCATGGGTGACCTGGCCTCTGCCTGGTGCCTGGCCCCACCCTTTCTGCCAGCCTGGGTATCTGGCCCCAGACTTCACCGGGTCTGCCCCCCTCCCCACTGCCTCAGGAAAGAGGAGGAGCGACAGAAGCAGGAGGAGCTGCGGCGGGAGAAGGAACAGTCAGAGAAGCTGCGGACGCTGGGCTACGATGAGAGCAAGCTGGCGCCCTGGCAGCGACAGGTCATCCTGAAGAAGGGGGACATCGCTAAGTACTAGAGGCCGCAGACTCCTGTCCGCAGCCTCGCAGCTCCGTGGGGCCCTCCGCCCCAGCCCCAGCCAGCCAGGCCCTGGTGGAAAGGCTGGGAGCCGCACAGCCCTCCCCTCCTGCGCTGGAAACCCTCCCTGACCCCCACCCTGGCCCCCCGTATCCCCAGCCCTTGGCAACACTGGAGTGCACACGCCGCCACGGTTGCCCAGAAAAAGTGCCCAAGCTGCTGACGCAAACAACAACAAATGCTGCTTATTTGCATGCCGACTTACATATATTTGCATGTTCGTTGACTATCAAAGAGTGCAGAGCTCTCCCCAGCCCCGTGGGTGGTGACTTTGTTTTCCTGCGGGGCTCAGCCCCCTCCAGGATGCAGCCCCCTCCCCCGCACCCCGGAACCGGCGTCGCTGGCGCATCCTGGGTGGAGGCAGGCCCCGAGCTCGGGGAAGGGGTTTTCCCTTCCTCTCTGACCCAGATCTGCGCGCGGCCTAGCCCGGGCCTCATTTCTTATCCCCGCCAAGGGTTTCCTCTCAGTCATTTGTTTACCAGAAACATGAAAACTGCCTGTCTGGCCGGGCCGCACTTGTGGCCCCCGGGACCCCACCTCTGGCCCCACCTCCCTCAAGTCTGCGCCCCGTCCCCAGCCAGACCCACTCGCTGCCGGGACCCTTTCACTGCCCCGGTGGAGTGAATAGAGGATGAGGGGCCCTGACCCTGTGTCTCCAACTGCTGCACCCCATCCCGACCCTGTCTCCGCCACCTCGCAGCCCCATTAAAGCGCTCTCATCTGGGCTCCGGTTCACTCACTCGCTGTGGCCGCGACTTGCTCTCTCCTTCTCGGGGTAATTGAGCCAGAGTGGACTCGGGAGGGGCAGGCTTGGGAGCTAAGGCCACACTGGACTCCACCATGGGTGCCAGATCCCGGGGTGACAAGATTCCCGTCCCCTTCGAATCCCTCGAGAAAAGTCCAGTCCACTTAACACCCCAGCCCCGCAGAAACGCCAAGAAGCCGTTTTTGTTTTGTTTTGTTTTCTTTCACAGATTTAATACCGCGATCTCAGCCAAACTCCGGCCGAGAAGTTGAGAAATGTCTTCACCCCCTCTCGACATTCGTTCGTGCTTCTTCGCCTTGGCTGGAGCGATAGGGGCGAGCAGGGGTGGGGCCGGCTGGTGCTGCTACGCAGGGCCGTGCCAGCGGCTTAATAAGTGACATAAAATGTCTACACGCATAAGTAACCGTACTTAGGGCTTCTGCAAGGGCCACCAGAGCGCCTAGGTGGCAAGTGGGCGCCGTGTCACGGGCCGCGCTGCAGGCGGCTGCGCAAGTCTTCCACGCAGCCGTCCAGCCCCATGCGCTCCAGGGCCGCGTAAACGGCTCCGAGGCCCGCGGGCTGCTGCTGGCGCCAGCGCTTGAGCATCTCGTACTGCTGGTCTCGGAAGCGGCCGATCTCCACCTCCACGGCTTCGATCTCTGCCTCGCGCAGCCCCAGCGTGCGCACGAACTCCTTCCAGCGCCGCGCTGGGACCGCGTCCATCACGTCGTAGAGCTGCGGGCCCGGCTGCAGCATCATGGCTGGCGAGCCGGCTGGGGACTCTGGCGAGAGTGTGGGCGCAGCAGCGGGGCCTGGGGCAGGGCCAGAGAGAGCCAATTGGGGTACGTGGGCCGCGGTCGGGAGGCAGAGTCAGGGGCGTTCGTGCGGGTACCCCAGGGCTGAAGCCCGCTGGATCCGGTGGGTCAGGGCATAGGGCGGACTCCGTCAGTTAGGGGGCAGAAAGGGAACACGTTGTGAAACCACAACTTCCCACCGCAGACAGGAGAATGGGGTCAAGGCCTCAGGCCACTGATGTCCCTTACCAAGAGCTCTGCTGGGCAACTGGTCCCAGGACCATGTCACCTGCGGGCAGAGCGCCTCCTGGGTCTCGGGGTAGCCAGGGGTCCAGCTGTTACCCACCAACTGGACGGTGCAGATCTTCTCACTGCTGTCAGGAGGTGCTAGAAGGGTGTGGGCGCTGTCCAAGGGTGACAGATGGGTGGCCTGGAAGCCAAGAGGGGCCCCAGGTCAGCCCTGCTTGCCAAGTAAGGCCCCTTACCCGCAGTGCCTCTCCAGGAGGGGACAGTCCCTGGTTCAGTCAGCAGACACCCCCGCAATGACACCTCCCACAGTTGGCCCTGCTCTCACTGTAGCCCAGCAGAACTCTTGCTTCTGCCTTGAGTCCCCTGCCCCCGCCTCCTTCCTCTTGTCCCCCAGCACCATGGGGCTCTCCTTCCATTGAACTGTTAGCTCCTGTGTACGAATCTGAACTCCAGCTGACTGAGCACCCCTTGAGGGCAGGCACTGTGCTGGTCTCATCCACTGATGACTCTGCTCCCAACACCTCTGTCCACTAGGGCTACCCGGTGCTGGCCGCGTGCCAAGCTCCAGGGATCATAGTAAGGCTTGATCTTCCAGCTCCAGAAGGCAGCCCAGAATCACACAGTGAGGTTCTTACCGGTGGTGGGGTCAGAGCCTCCATCCCAGCTTCATCTGCTGACAGACACAGAGAGATTGCGGTCAGCCACCAGGCAAGCCTCCTGGACCTGGGTGCTGGTACAGCTCCTCTAGGGTTCCTCTGCACCCCACACTCCCTGCCTCAGTTTCCCCTTCTGTATCAGGGTTGAGTAGACTCTGGGCTACCCATCCTGACCCCAGGCTTCTGGGTGCGTGTGTGGGTGTGTGTACTTACCAGTAACCAGGGGCTTGTGAGGCCAGCAGTGGCGGTATGTGTAGGTCAGGGTGGCCCCAAGCAGGAGGGGGACCACAAGGCCAGCCAGGAGCACCTGGACCCAGAACACTGAAAGCAGCTGGTGGGTGTTGGGTGGTTGCCCCCCTCCTCACCCGCCTCCCCTCGGTCCATCCCAGTTCTCCCACTCGCATTCCCAGCACACCACCTACTCTGCCTCCAGCCACAGACAGCGGCACAGCGCTCTGGACAGCTCCCCAGGGTGCTCCTGCAAGGGACGGGGGTGGCCTGAGGGATGAGGGGGTGCATGCCAGGAGGGGCTCCCTAAGACTGCCCAGCATCTGCTCCATCCTAGAGACCCTTCCCTCCCCAGGCCTCTCACTCTACCCAAGAATGTTCCTGTCATTGTGTCCCTGGTAACAACCACAGACACTATTCACTGAGCTTCTTCTAGACTACATGAAGAGTCACTAGAATGTCAACCCCAAAAGGACAGGGATTTTGCCTATTTTGTCCCCTGTTGCATCCCCAGCACCTAGAACAGTGTGTAGAACATAGCAGATATTCAATAAAGACTTGAATGGAGGCCGGGCGCGGTGGCTCATGCCTGTAATCCCAGCACTTTGGGAGGCCAAGGCGGGTGGATCACGAGGTCAGGTGATCAAGACCATCTTGGCTAACACGGTGAAACCCCGTCTCTACTAAAAATACAAAAAATTAGCCGGGGGTGGTGGTGGGCTCCTGTAGTCCCAGCTACTTGGGAGGCTGAGGCAGGAGAATCACTTGAACCCAGGCAGCAGAGGTTGTAGTGAGCCAAGATCGTGCCACTGCACTCCAGCCTGGGTGACAGAGCAAGTCTCCATCTCAAAAAAAAAAAAAAAAAAAAAAAAAAAAGACTTGAATAGCTACAGAAAGTCCCTTACCTCTGATCAAAGGCCTGTGAATTAGCTGCTAACATCCCATGTTGAGAAAGGGACACCACACATCAGAGACGCGAATTCTCTGCACTTGCCCAAGATCCCCTAGAGAACTAGCAGCACAGTCCTGACTCTCAGCCCTTTGTATTTATTTATTTAATAGATTTAATATTTAATATTTAATAGATTTAATATTTATTTATTTATTTAATAGGTCTCGCTCTGTTGCCCAGGCTGAAGTGCAGTGGCACGATCATAGCTCACTGCAGCCTCAACCTCCTTCAGCCCAAGTTTTAAAGCTATATCAATGTGACTCTCTGTGTAAGTGACAAATCATCTGTAATATCTGGCTAGGATCGCTGGGGGGAATGCTGGCTGAAAGTGAAGGCAAATACCCTTATGTATCTGGCTAAGGCGGATCCAGATTGCTCTTTTGCCATCTAAGTTTGCCTGAAGTGGGGCCCACCCATCACAGGGCCAAGGCTCCCTCCTCCCTATCCCCTCTTCCTATTCCTGAACCAGCAGCACCTGCCCCACCCCAGGCCCCTGCTCTGCTCCCAGCCGCCCTTCCCTCCATCCCACGACAGCTAGGAATTACGTGGGGCAGGACACGCAGCCATCGCCATGTTCATAGAAGCCAGGCAGGCAGGTCCCACAGTCAGTATCTCTGCGGGAACCTGCAATCCAGGAGAGGCATGCGTCACCATGGGACAGGAGTGGGTCAGGCAGGGAGAAGGGGGTCTGGGAGTAGAGAGCCCTGGGTGGGGGTACTCACAGAGTAGCCGTGTGTGGCGGTGCAGGGCCCCGCAGTCTAGGCATGGTTGGCAGTAGAAGGGTGAACTGCTGACACATTGGCTGACCTGGCACTCCACAAACCAGCCTGGCTTACAGCCACAGCGGGTGTCGGCCACTGCTGAACAGTTCTCCAGCGCCACCTGGGAGGCTGGTGGGGGTGCAGGGAGATGGGGAGTGGAGAGTTAGTCAGGGCCAAAGGCTCCCATGGAGAGGCAGAGGCATTATCCCAAGATAATGGAGACAGAAATAGGCGAAAGACAGACAGGTACAGGGCTACCCTAAAAAAGAGAGAAGCTCAGAGATTAAGGCCGACCAGAGGCCAAGGCACATGGAGAGATGGGAAGGTCACCAGGAAGAGAGAAGGGGCAAGGGCACCCTGAAGGAGGATCAGGGTGGAGGGTTCTGGCAAGGGTGGGTGCAGGACCCTCACACCCCAAGTTTGGGCCCGAGCCAGCCACTTCCTTCAGAAAGGCCTGTCCTTAGGAACTCCCTGCCAAGCACTGAGAAGCCCCTCACCCTGCTCATCACAGGCCTGGCAGCGGGCACATTCAGAATTATGGTGGTTCTCCCAGGCCAAGAAGGTGTCTTGGGGACACACAAGGCAGGTGGAGTTGCCGCAGGGCTCCGTGCAAGGGGCCTTCAGGTAGTGCCCTGTGGAACCAGGCAGGGGTCAGGCAGGCAGAGGGGCTGCCCAGCAACCCCCGACCTGCTTCCCACCCTGCCCTCCCTCCCTCTTTCTCTCCAGCTCCCTACTTCTCTGTCAGCCTACCCCTACCTCCCCTGCCAGCCTCCTCTTACCTCCCGGGCCTGCCCGCCACCTCTCCAGCCCTGCCTGCCCCATGCCTCTCCCACCCCTGTGGCCACTTACCCGCTGGGCAGCCTCTGCAACAAAACAGACCAATCTTCTTGTGGAAGTCACCGGCACAGTCACACCTGGGGCTACGAGTGCCGCCCTGGGCCCGGGCCCCCAGCAGCACCAGGAGGAGCGCCTGGGGGACAGGTGCTGCTGACTCTCAGCGCAGCTGCCCACGTGGGGCCTCTCCCTGCTGCGTCTCCTCCATTTCAGAGGCCCCAGCATTTGCCCACAGAGCAGCCCACTTCCCAGGCCCCGGGCAGAAGGGGTGCCCATGGGTGGAGAGGAAACTAACTTCCTTCCCCCCGCGCACACACCAGGCTTCGGAGGGGGCGCTTACCAGCCCCTCACAAGTTTCCCCTCCACCAGAGCAGGAATCCAGCAGCGCCCCCACCCCCACCCATGCTTTCTGTTGGGGGAGGGACACTGATAATGCTCTGCCTGGGGCCCCCAGACCCTCCTGGGAGGGGTTTCCTCTCAGTGGAAGGGCTACGCCCTGGAGGAGCCTTTAACGAGATCGGAAAGGGCGGCCAACCCAGCCCCCAGTGAGGCTTGGAGTGGAGACGCGCCCGGGGCCCCTTCCTTCACCGAGGCTCTTGGGACAGGGCTCAAAGCTGCCCCTAGCCTCCTGCGTCTCAACTCACCGCCGCCACCGCCGCGCAGCCCCGCGGCCGCTGCTCCATAGCCCTCCGACGGGCGCCCAGGGGCTTCCCGGCTCCGTGCTCTCTGCCCGTCGTGGTTCCGCCTTCAGCCCCGCGCCCGCAGGGCCCGCCCCGCGCCGTCGAGAAGGGCCCGCCTGGCGGGCGGGGGGAGGCGGGGCCGCCCGAGCCCAACCGAGTCCGACCAGGTGCCCCCTCTGCTCGGCCTAGACCTGAGCTCATTAGGCGGCAGCGGACAGGCCAAGTAGAACACGCGAAGCGCTGGGCTGCCTGCTGCGACCAGGGGCACAGGATAGAGCTGCATCTCGGTCCCCACCCCGACTCTCGCCCCAACCCTGAGAACCACTTCAAGGTAGAGCCAGGGCAAGTGACTTCTCTCTCGGCCTCCGCGTCCCCAGCCATGGAGGAGGTTGGGCCAAAAGTACCGCAAGGGGCCAAGCGCAGTAGCTCAGGCCTGTAATTCTAGCACTATGGGAGGCAGAGGCGGGCGGAACACTTGGGGTCAGGAGTTCGAGACCAGCCTGACCAATATGGTGAAATGCCGTCTCTACTTAAAATACAAAAACTAGCCCGGCGTGGTGGTGCACACCTGCAGTTCCAGCTACTAGAGTGGCTGGGGCAGGAGAATCGTTTGAACCCGGGAGGCAGAGGTTGCAGTGAGCCGACATCACACCACTGCACTCCAACCTAGGTGACAGAGTGAGACTCTGTATTAAAAAAAAAAAAAAAGTTCCTGAAGGGACCCCCATGGAGGACCCACCTTCCCAAGAGGGCTGGCCTGAGTGTGGGAACTGGGCAGATTCAGCCCTGAATCCCCGGGGGGCACCTGGGGAGAGGCTCTGATGGTGGCTGAAGGTGGGGAAGTCTGGGGGTGTTGGTCTGGTGGCACCCCACACCCCATTACTTCCCAGTGCTTCCCATGGCAAGCTCCATCCGTGGCCCATCCGTGGCAAGTGGAGGAGCACAGGAACACAAGGAGGCCGCCCTGAACTCAAGTGCCCCGAGTCACTGGGCCCCAAAGCAAAGGACTCTTCCCAGTGGAGTCTAGACAAGTCTTTATAAAAGAACCAAAAGCTCAATAAATACGTAACTTCACAGAACCCAGCCCAAGCCAGGGGTGGCCTGTGGGACTGGGAAGGTGGGGGCAGGGCAGGAGTGAATCCCACTGGAGGCCAGTGAGGGTAGAAGTAGGATGGGCAGCCTAGGAGCCCAGCCCTGAAGACTCGAGCTGAGCTGGTAACTTCGGGGAGTAGGTGACGAGGGGCTGCCTGGGCAGGTGGGGTGGTACTGTGGCCTGGGCCTCCTCCACTCCATCCAGTCCGGCAAAGCGCAAATCGGGCCCGGGCGTAGGCAGGGATCCTGCCCAGCATCCGGCTCATGCATACAGGAGGCAGTAGCTGAAGCAGGTGCCGGCACGCCCCAGGAGGCAGGCTGTCTGCTGTCTCTTGGTCAATGGCACTCTTGGGGGCCTCCCTCTGCTCAGACCTCCCTACAGGGTGGGGAGGGGACAGAGTCCTTCTTTGGCTGACGCCATTCAGAGTGGCTCTGGTCACCCTCTCTTCCCCACGGCACTCCTCAGGCCCCTTCACTGCTGCCCACCACAGCCCCCTGCGCCCAGACACTGGGCAGGGTTCAGGCTCCCTCCGCCATGACCCTCCCCAAATGCGATGCTCCCAGGCATGAGTGGGCCCCCATGCCAGTGCCCTGAGCCACCTGCCCTACCCCAGTCCAGGCCACTCACGAGGCAGTGAGCGTGGAGTTAAGCAGCAGGGTGGTCCTGATTCGGTAGAGCTGGGCCAGGGTCAGCTTCCTGTGCTGGGCAGAGACCCCTGGTGGGGGCTCAGGCTGGACCCTGGGAGAGGCCCCCGAGGGCAGGTCTCCACACCTCTTCCTGTGGGAGCCTGCAGGTTCCCCGGCCAGGCAGCCGACTAGCCCAGGACCGCTGCCAGGGCTAGGGGCCCCTCGGCAATCCCAGCTGGGCCCAGCTTCCTGAGGGGAGCCCTGAGTCCTAATACCTGGGGCTGGAACAGCCAGGCAGAGCTCTGACAGGCTGCGGCTGGGGGCAGAGGGTGTCCCATGGGTGCCAGCCCCTGCCAGCAGCTGGAGGAGGCTGGCCTCGGACTTAGACTTGAGCAGGTGGGGCGGGCAGCTCAACAGCTGGACAGGGGTGCGGCGGCGGAGACGGGGCGAGGGTGGAGGGGAAGGAACTCGTGGGGACTCTGGGGCCCGAGGCACTAGCTCTGCCATTGGGCCTGGGGCCACAAAGTCTTGTAAGGAGGTTGGGGAGAGGGTGCCGTAGGCAGAGTCCATGGAGCAGGAGCGGCCGTCCACCGGACCCAGGGGCAGCAGCTCACTGGTGGGCGTGGCAGATGAGGCAGTGGTGCTGAGAGAGGTCTCATCAGACTGGGAGCTGAAAGGACCGCTGTCGAACTCGGGGGAGGACAGCGTGTCCCCAGGCTCTACCACAACCATGGCCAGGGTCTCCGTGGAGCCATCTGAGGCACTGTGGGGCCAGGAGCAGAGTCAGCCCAGGCCATGAAACCTAGATGGCCTGAGGCAGCCCCAGGCTGGGCAATGCACGGTGGTTTATACCCTCTGCCCTCCTGGGGCTGGAGGCTCAGAGATGGCAGCATGTGGCAGGTGTGGCAGATCTTCCAGCTCCAGTGCCCACAACAGACCTCAGTAGCGAGCCCAGCACTCTTCCCTGCCAAGGCTGGATCTGCCCTAAGGATCCTCAGCACAGCACCCCAGGCAGCTACCACGAATGGATCAGGGCTGGCAGCACATGGAAAGGTGTCTGCCCTCCCCACCCGGACTCTGGGGGAGACAGAGCCCCGCTCCCACAGTGTTCATGACAAGAGGCCATTGGGAGGAAGGGAGCGTGGCTGGGCCTTCAGGAGTCCTGGGCTAGAGTACTTGTCCTGGTTTGACCTGCTGGGTGGTCATGAGCAGACGTACCAGTGCTGAGAGTCGGGGCTGCCGCTGCTTTTCCGCATGATGGTAGGGGAGCTGGCAGCTGAAGTGCCACTGTCCTCGCCTTCCTCCTCCTCCTCCTCCTCCTCCTCTTCCTCCTCCTGCTCATCCTCCTCCTCTTCCAGGCTCTGCAGGGGCTGCTGACTGCCTGGGGGCTCCTGTGCACGCAGCTGTTGCAGCTGGTTCTGCAGGCAAGGTTGGGGTACATGGGACAGAATGGGTTGTGACCAGCATCTCCCTAATCTGCCTTGCCCACCCACTCACTACTCTGCACTCACCTGGGCATTGTAAATGGTGTCCACCCAGCCACGGCACAAGGCCTGGCCACTGGCCTGGAACGTGTAGGCCCCTACAGCACTGTGAAACTCATTCAGGTAGATAAGGAGGAAGGACCCTGGTTAGGGAAGGCCCAAGTCAGTGTCAGCAGAGACGATGGCCCCCACCCATCACAGCCCCTGACCAGGAACAGGGGACCAGGGCTCCTTACCAGGGTCCCGTAGCTCCCGGCACACAATCTTGTCCACGAGCAGGGGTGGCCTGATGACCCTGGTCCTCTCTGCCTTCTTCACTGCTTTGGTCACCAACAGCAGATCCGTGAAGAGGAAGCAGTACACATCCATCTGCAGTGGCAGGAGGGGGGGTGGCCAGAGAGGCCAGCAGGGTCAGGGCCAGGGACTGTGGCACCAGCCTCCCCTGGGAGCACTCGGTTTTTGTCAAACACTCCTCCCACCATGAACCTTCAAGTAAAATTAAAATGAAGAGGAAGATGATTCTCTTTCACTGAGATGTACGTTGATGACTTATCTCAATACAAGTTTACATTAAAAAGAAGACTGGTGACTTTGAAGTCACCGTGTGCAAGCTCTCAGCCTGCCCCATGCCTGAAGGGGCCATGGCACAGTAGCAAGGCTCTGGGGTTCCTGGCCCACTTGTGGAATATGGCTGCCCTCCCACCAGGAACCCATGTGGCACCAACAAATGGGCACAACTGGTGCCTTCAAGGGCTAGGACCCTACTGCTGGATTTGTGAATGGCAGGCAGAGAACTGTCATTCACTATGACAAGGTCACTGGTTCTTGAGTAACCACCGAAGGGACTGCAGAGCTGAGAACCAGTGACTGGGGCCCAGGAGGTCCCTAGGAAGGGCAGGGCACAGGGGTGGGGTGGCCCTGGAATCACCTTGCTGTCCTTCCCCTCCTTCATCCTCAGGCTCCCCTCCAGCAGCAGCTGCCGCGTCTCCTCCGGGGAGGCGCCAGGGATGGGCGCTGTCAAGTCCAGGTGCAGAAATTCCTTCAGGAGCTGGGGACGGATGGCGTGAACGTAGGGGAGGCCAGAGACTGACTCCCATCTCAGCTAGGCATCCTCAGTGAGATGCCCAGCACAGCCCCTGCCTGCCAGCTGGGCCTTCCTCTCTCCCAGCCGGCAACCCCCGCAGACACACACGCCCACCTTGTCCACTTCGTCGCTGCTGCTTTCCACCACCTCGTAGGCGTCGATGCGGCTCACCACGGCCGCCAGCCGCTGCCGCTCCTGCCGCTGCCGCATGCACGCGTTCACGTGGTGGATGAAGCGCTCCACGGAGCCGATCTAGGGGCAGGTGAGGGAGCTTCAGGTCCAGGGTCATGACGGAGCAGAGAGCCGCGCAGGGGGGACGGCTCCCGCTGGCCATCAGGGTTACCATGGCGACGACGGCCTCCTTGGCGCGCGGCTCCTCGGTCTTCCTCAGCACCGACTTGAGCAGCAGCGGGTACTTGGTGAGCCGCTGGTGGGGTTTGGCCAGCATGTCGCTCAGCTTCAGCCTCTGGCACTGTGGGTGCTTCTCCGCCCACTGCGGTGGGGGAGTGGGGGCGGGCTCAGGGCAGGCCCCGCCCCACCCGGCCCCGTCCAGGGTCCCGTCCTCCTGCGCCCCCGCCCACGGCACGCGCGCCCTCACCGTGATGTAGGCCCGGAAGAGGTCGTTGTCGCGCAGCAGGCCGCGCATGTACTCCATGCAGCCCTCCTCCTCCATGCAGTAGCGGATGTAGGGCTTGAAGAGCGAGCCGAACTGGCCCGGGGCAGAACAACCACGGCGCCGGTTACCGCGCGCTCCCTGCGGGCCGGCCCGCGCCAGGCGCTGCGCAAGCGCTTCCTTACTGCACTTGGGCGACCACCCCAAGGGGGCAGCAAGCTTATGATCCCTGTTTCCTGATGAGGAAACTGAGCCTCAGCCAAAGTGACCACCCGTGGCCAGGGATCAGGGGTAGATGGTCAGGTGGAGGCTCAAACCCGGGCGACCGCCTCGTAATTCCTCACCCTTGGCCACAAGGGGTCAAGTGCGGTTACGGGCCTGGGGGAGGTTGGGGATGCTGGGCAGACCGGATCGGGCCGTGGAGGCTTTTCGGCGCCCCAGCCCTGCCTCAGTGCCCCCGCCTGCGCCCGGCCCCGCCCGTACCATCTTGAAGCCTTTGAGGAAGTCCCCGGGCTGTAGCAGCGCTCGCGTGCGCCGCGCCTTCTCCAGCACCGGCGCCATCACGCTAGCCCACAGCCTGCGGTGCAGCTGCGCGATCTCCGGGATGTTGCTGAACAGGCGCTCCGCCTCCACCTGGGCGCGGCGGGAGGTGCGGTTGGCCACGCCCCTCCGCCAGGTTAGCCCCGCCCCAGGTCCAGGTCCCGCCCTCCTTCCTGGTACCTCACCCGCCGCCGCCCCCGAATCCCAGCGCACCTCACACAGCAGCCCTGACTCTTGCAGGTTCAGGAGGCAGCACAGGAACAGCTGTGGGATCAGGGGATGGTGTGACTGGGGTCGGGAGGCTGTCTCAGCCCTAGGGCCCCACCCAGCCTCAGGCTCCCCTGCCACTCCTTCCCCTTCCCCGTTCCAGGAGGCCCCACAGCAGCCACGGATAAGAAGGCTGTACCCTTTGGCCTTCGCACCTGGGTAGTCCAGACCCTGAGGAAAGACCCAGTCCTCATAGCCCTCCCGAGGTCACACTGCCCTGGTCCCTCCTGGAGGGAAGCTCGGGGGAGACTGGCTTTGAAGCCATGCCTGGAATTCCCTTCTCCACCTCTGCCCTGGCTTAGCCTCCAGATTTCACCTCTGAGGGTGCTTCCTCCCTCCAGGAAGCTCCAAGCCCAGGGTAGGTGCTCCCCTCCCTGAGCCGAAATCCCTACACTGCCAGCTCACTCTGTCCCGTCCAGGGCGTGGCCTGCTGGGCACCCAGCACACAGCAAGTGTTGGGAAACAGCCACTGAACGAAAGTGAAAGAATGAGGCCTCACCTGTGCTAATTCAGCTGAACCTGACAAACCTGCCCGAAGCCCCCTCCCAGGTTCCTCTAGGAGGCACCTCCTCCCTGGGCGCAGCCCTTGTCTGACTTTCCTGCCCCCACCTCATTGCCAGGCACCTGCTCCTTCTGCAAAGGCTCAGACTCAGCTGAGGGCTGTCAGAAAGAGGGGGGCAGGGTGGCCACGGGGACCAGCGCAGCCCCTACTCACGTTGATGATCACCCGCAGTTTCCTGATGTAGGAGGCCTCCGTGTGCAGCAGCTCCCACACCGCCTCCTGCTGGTGGCACTGCCGCCGGGTCAGCTTCTAGAGGGAGGGCAGGATGGGTCATTCACGAGGCCTGGAGCACCTTAGGGTGGCCGGGGAGGATAAGCAACCTGCATGCAACTCTCATTTTCCCAATGGGGACATGGAGGTCCCAAGAGGAGCAGGGTCACCCTTGACACCACATGAGTAATCACAGTTAAGACACCCAAGATCTGGGCCCTCCTCTGCCATTAAAACAGCCAAGCAGCACACCATTTTCATCTAGCCTCAGTGTCTCCAAAGTGGGCTAATGGTAACAGTGGCCTCTTTGGGGCGTCCCATGGAACATCTGATCACTGGGTCCTCCCGAGGGCTGTCCTCCTTTCGGGACAAGGAGGGAGCAGCACTGTGGCCCGCACTCACCTCATGCCCATCAATGAGCTCCCGCCAGCTGTCCTCCAGCCTCAGGCAGGCATTGTCCTCATCCTCGTCTTCATCGTACTCCTCCTCCCAGGAGTCATGGTCGAAGCGCAGCCCCCGGGGCAGCCTGGGCAGCCCGAAGAGGCTGTAGGTGTGCAGCTTGCCCTCCAGCTGCTCCATCTTGTCTACCTCCTGGAAAGATACCCTGGTCAGGGTCAGGGGTCATGGCCAGCCAGCTGCCTGACCCTGGGCAGATGGGGCCACATACCCGGCCAAAGGCGCTGGTGCTGGGGCCGGAGCTGAAAAAGCCGCTGAAGCGACTGGCCGCCCGGTTCTTCCAGCTGTCGCCAGTGTTGGTGCTGCCACTGCTGCCGCTGGGCAGAGAGCAGCTGGAGGGCGTGGGGGGCTCCTGCCCGGGGATGCTCGCCTCCCCCAGGAACTCCGACATGTTCTTGCGGCGGCGGCCAGGGGCCTGGTCAGGGAAGGGTGGTCAGGGCCGGGACCCCCTGCCAGCCCCCATGGCCCCACCCCAGGGCGGGTTTCCAGGGCCTCAGGCCAGCCTGGGATGGAGGAGGGTCTCTGCATCTCTACCCTGGGGTGTCCCCTCTCCTGGGACCCAGACATATCTGGAGACTGGAAGGTCCAGACACAGATACGCCCAGACTATCATCCCCCAGTCCCCCAGCTTCAAGCATGAAGCACAGAGTTACACACTCAGATGCACTCTGGAACACAGCTCTGGGTGGTCTGTAGCCCCAGGTACAAGTGCTCTCACACACACATGCACACACAGGTTCCCTGACCCCTGGCACTAGAAGAGTCTCAGATACAAGCCCTCACCTTGGGCTATGGCTAGATCCAGAGAGAGAGGGTCCCCTACTCTCCCAGCCAACCCCATTTTCCAGAAGGGACAATTAAAACCCCAAGATGGGGCAGTGAGAGACCCAGGGTGACTGCCTCTGAGGAGGGGCTGTGGGCCCAGCCTGGGCCCCTTCCCACCCCCTCCCCTGACACACCCCCTCCTCCTCACCAAGATGTCCAGGCTCTCCCGGCGGCTCTGGGCGTCCACACGCTCCAGGGCGGGGGGCCCGGTCCCAGCTGGCCGCAGAATCGGCAAACTCAGGGACTTGGAGTCCTTCATGCCCTGCTCCACCTTGCCCTCATCTCCAGGCTTGGCTGGGGCTGCATGTGGGGGCCACGAGAGATCCTCAGTACCCTGGTCTGGTGGAGGAGGGGGTCCCCGGTCCTCTCTCCCCGGAGGATCCACACCAAGGCCTGCCTGCCCTCCCCCGACAGCCCCGCCCTGCCAGCACCCTCCCCTCCCCCAGCAGCATCCAGCAGAGACACCTGTATGGTAATGAGGCTGCTCAGGCCCACGACCAATGGGAACCTGAGCCTGGGAAGGGCGCCCATCTCCAGGAGGCTCCGCCAGTCCCAGCGGCCCCATTTGGCCCAGGCTGCTTCTCACCTTTGACACGAAGGTAGTGTCCCCCGAACCTGTAGGCCTCGAAGGTGAGGGACAGGGGTGTGTTGGACTGGTCCAGGTAGATGTCCACTTTGCCCAGCGCAATGCCCTTCCTTTCAAATACAGGCAGCAGCACCTCCCTGCCCCCAGGACAGGAGGCATGTGTGTTAGAACCAGGCGGCCAGTCGCTTCAGCTTGGGCCCCGCCCCCACGAGCCCCCGCCCCACCCACAGCCCCAGCTGCCCCCACCTTCCCAACGGAAAAGGGAAGCCCGCATGGGATCACACGCAGGTCCACAGACACCTGCCCGCAGAGGTGCTCACACAGGCGCATCTGCATACCACGGCAGACCTGTCACACGCCTGCCCACACGCAGGCCTGGCTCCTGCATACATGATTAAAATGCACAAGTACACAGACCCCACCGCACTCCCTCACACTGGCGTGCACACCAGCACGGGTCTGCCCACGCAGGGATGCGCTCGCTCACGGGCCACCACACAGACACACACGTCACACCTGCAGAGACCCGGAGCCTGCAACATGGGGCCACCCCTACTCCCAGTCCCACTTCCACCCTGAGCCCCATCAAGCCCTACCCCAGTGACTTCTTCTTCATGGCTGGGACGATCTCTGTCTCAATGTCCACATTCAGGTCAAATTTCAGAGTGAAGCATTCCTTGCTTGGGTCCTGGGAGGATGGTGGGGGTGGGGGCTGTGAGCTTCTCCTCACCGCCCTCATTCCCGCCCTCCTCCCCACCCTCCTTCCCACCCTCCTTCCCAACCCTCCTCCCCACCCTCCTTCCCACCCTCCTTCCCAACCCTCCTCCCCACCCTCCCCACCCTCCGGTCTCGGATGGGAACCCCAGCAAGAAAGGGAACCCCAGCGATCTCCCAGACCTCTGCACCCTGGGATGCAGACCTCCCCACCCCCATCCCGGAGGAAGGCCCAGGCTCGGGGAAGGGCGCAGGCTGTAGGGAACCCGCATCTGCCGGCTCTGGGGGGCTCCTCACATCCGTGTGTCTCCTCCTTGCTTTCTTCTTGGAGAGTTTCAGGCCTGTGCTCTTCCGGTCCCTGCAGGGAAGCGAGGAGGGCAGAGGCTGGAGGTGTGGGTGGCCCTCGCCAGCGTGGGCGGCGAGTGGGCCTGTGGCCTCCCCGCCCTTGGCTCACCCCAGGTGACAGGTAACCCGCGTGGATTCAACCCGGCCAGGCCCGCATAGGGCTGTGCGCCCTCTGGTGGCCAACACGGGAGTCACATCGAACGGTACCTGGTCTGGTGTGGGCTAGGATCCCAAGCACCCTGGAGGCTGGCCCAGGCTGGGTGGCCTCTTCCCGGAGTCAGGACAGCCACAGGCGTGGGAAGAGGTCTGCCCATCAGCCTTACTTGAGGAAGGCGCCAGAGCATCTGGTCCTGAATGTCTGATCTGAGACCCAGCCGTGGGGCCCTCCAGGTATCTCTCTGCCCACTCATCCCTCACCTACCCTTTGCCATCCACAGAGCTCTCCTCCTCCTCCTCCTCCAAGTCCACTGCGGGGCTGGTGCGCGGCGGGCATGACCGGGTGGACACGTTCCGGGCCAGCACAGAGCCTTGGGAGAAAGCAGGAGAGGGTTGTGCCTCCCCCGCCCCTCCTTAGCCTGCAGCATGGCTGCCTCCAGAGGGACCACAGCCTGTTACCCTGGAACCCCCAGATTAAAGGTAGCAAGGGCCCTTCAGTTCTGTGAGGAGAGGGGCTCAGTCATTGTTTTTTGTTTTTGTTTTGAGATAGGGTCTCACTCTGTCACCCAGGCTGGAGTGCAGTGGCATGATCTCGGCTCACTGCAACCTCCACCTCCTGGGTTCAAGCAATTCTCATGCTTCAGCCTCTTGAGTAGCTGGGATTGCAGGCGTGTGCCACCACACCCGGCTCATTTTTTTGTATTTTTAGTAATGACAGGGTTTCAACATGTTGGCCAGGCTGTTCTCAAACTCCTGACCTGAAGTGATCCACCCACCTCAGCCTCCCAAAGGGCTGGGATTACAGGTGTGAGCCACCTTGCCTGGCCTTAGTCATTGCTGTCTATCCCCACAGACCCAAAAGGACACAAAGGCCCTGGGATGACACCCATGGTGAAGCTCCACCCCAAAAACAAACTCACCTGTGGCCTCAGTTTACCCTTCTATAAAATAAGGATAAGGAAGCCTTGCCTCTGAGGTTATTACAGGAAGGGACCAAAGTCCATGGCTCTTTCTTCCAGGCCTCCCCTCCCCCATGCTGTGACCACACCTGAATTCCCAAGGGGCCCTGGCAGTGGGAGAGAGTCTTTTGTTTGTTTATTGTTTTTTAAGACAGGGTCTTGCTCTGTCGCTCAGGCTGGAGTGCAGTGGCACGATCAGGGCTCACTGGAGCCTCCATTGTCGGGGTTCAAGCGATCCTTCCACCTCAGCCTCCGAGCAGCTGGGACCACAAGTGTGTGCCACCACACCTGGCTAATTTTTGTATTTTTTGTATTCCAGACATGAGCCACCGTGCCCAACCAGAAGAATCCTTTTGTTCCTCTGATCAGCTGGGAAAGGACTCGGGGGTTGGCATTTCTCACCAGGCCTGGGTGCCTGCGAGCCACTCCTCCATAGGCAGTTGATGGTGGGCCTGAGCTGGGTCCCTGCTCAGCAAGAGGAATTTCTTATTTCCTGCTCCAAGTGCCTCCTGACCTGGCCACCCCCACTCCACACTGCCTCTGCTAGGCCCACAGCCTGGCTTGCAGGACTTGTCCAGAAGTCCCCTGCCCTGAGGATAGGCAGAACTAGAAAGAAAGGGGCCTTCTCTGTGTGGGCCACAGGCCAGGGGCAAAAGCAGCTGGGGGAGGTGAGAACCAGTGAGAGCACAGCACCAGATAGAGAAAGGCCTGCCTCTGGAAGGGGCACGCTCATGGACTTTCTCTCTTGCTAAAAAACATTTGGAACAAAAGGAACCGTAACATACTCGGGTTTCATTATTTACAGTCGACTTGTCCTTATGACGCCCTAGCACGTTTCCGACAGTTACTGAAACACTGACACAGGAGCTCTGGGGGCCGAGCTGCGGCTCCCGCCTGTGCTCACCTTGTGGGGGAAGGTCGAAGCGGACATGCCCATCATAATGCATGGTGCTGTGGAACTTGCTGTCACAGGCCTCGCAGAGGTTGAGGGGCCCCCGGCGGTGCAGCTGCTGGCAGTCGGCGTGGTGACATACCTGGGGTGGGGACAGAAGCCTTCAGGAGGTCCACGAGATCCACCACATCCCTCGACCCCGGCCCAGCGCTGCAGGGACTTAGAATGAACTGCCCTCCATCTCTCGATCCAGGGTGAGGAGACGCCCCCCAGCAGTCCCCCCTCTCCCACATCATCAAGTTTCCCCTCTGCTGGATCATTTCCCCCACTGCCACACCAACACGTGGTTATTTCTCCATCTTTTTCTTTTTTTTCTTTTTCTGAGACAGAGTCTCATTCTGTCACCCAGACTGGAGTGCAATGGCTTGATCTCGGCTCACTGCAACCTCCGCCTCCTGGTTTCACGCAATTCTCCTGCCTCAGCCTCCCCAGTAGCTGGGATTACAGGCGCACACCACCATGCCCAGCTAATTTTTTTTTTGTATTTTTAGTAGAGACAGGGTTTCACTGTGTTGGCCAGACTGGTCTCGAATTCCTGACCTCGTGAACAGCCCGCCTGGGCCTCCCAAAGTGCTGGGATTACAGGCGTGAGCCACCGCGCCCGGCTTCTCCATCTTTTTTTTTCTTTCTTTCTTTGAGACAGGGAGTGCAGTGGCACAATCATGGCTCACTGCAGCCTTGACCTCCCAGACTCACGTGATCCTCGAGCCTCAGCCTCCCGAGTAGCTTGGACTAGAAGCACACACCACCATAGGCGAGTGTTTGTATTTTTTGTAGAGACGGGGTTTCACCATGTTGCCCAGGCTGGTCTCAAACTCCTGGCCTCAAGTGATCCGCCCACCTTGGTCTCCCAAAATGCTGGCATTACAGGCATGAGCTGCCACGCCCAGCCTTATTTCTCCATTTTACAGAGGCCTCACCTCACCCTCCAGCTACGGCTGACTTTCTTTCTTTCCCTTCACAGCTAAACTCTGTAAACAGGTATCAGTATTCACGACTTCCTAGTTCTCTCCTCCCACTCTCTTTATTTTTCCCAAGTTTTGTTTTAAAATATTTCTTTTCTTTTTATTTTTTTAAATTTTTCTGAGAAGGGGTCTCGCTCTGTTGCCCAGGCTGGAGTGCAATGGCACGATCTCAGCTCACTGCATCCTCCGCCTCCCGGGTTCAAGTGATTCTCCTGCCTCAGCCTCCCAAGTAGCTGAGATTACAGGCACAATCCACCACGCCCGACTAATTTTTGTATTTTTAGTAGAGACGGAGTTTCACCATGTTGGCCAGGTTGGTATTGAACTCCTGGTCTCAGGTGATCCGCCTGCCTCGGCCTCCCAAAGTGCTGGGATTACAGGCGTGAGCCACCGCGCCCAGACTTGTTTTAAAATATTTCAAACCTACCAAAAATTATAAGAATAGCACATGACATCCACATGCCCTCTGGACTCCCCAAGTTGATATCTACCACATCTGCTTCTCTCCCATTCTCTTCTCGGCACCCCCCTCCCCTGGGGCAGAAATCATGCTGCTGCCTAAGAACAAAGACAGTTTTCCTACAAAACCCCATAGAATTGTCGCACTTGGGAAACTGAACCTTGATATATAGTCTATATTGACATTTTCCCAAGTGTCTAAATAACGTTCTTACAGATATACTTCCTCATATAGGAACTAATCAAGTTTCACACGTGGCATTTGGTTATGTCTGTTTATCCTTTTTTTTTTTTTTTTTTTTTTGAGACGGAGTCTCGCTCTGTCGCCCAGGCTGGAGTGCAGTGGCGCGATCTCGACTCACTGCAAGCTCCGCCTCCTCGGTTCACACCATTCTCCTGCCTCAGCCTCCTGAGTAGCTGGGACTACAGGCGCCCGCCACCACGCCCGGCTAATTTTTTGTATTTTTGGTAGAGATGGGGTTTCACCGTGTTAGCCAGGATGGTCTCGATCTCCTGACCTCGTGATCCGCCCACCTCGGCCTCCCAAAGTGCTGGGATTACACGCGTGAGCCACCGTGCCCAGCCTTGTTTTTTGTGGTCTTTTATTACATTGACTTTTTTTTTTTCTTCAAGACAGGGTCTCGCTCTGTAGCCCAGGCTGGAGTAGTATGGCATGATCAGCTCACTGCAACCTCAACCTCCCGGACTCAAGTAATCCTCCTGCCTTAGCCTCCTTAGTAGCTGGGAATACTAGGTGCATGCCACTACGCCCAACTAACTTTTTTATTTTTAGTAGTGACAGATCTCACTATGTTGCCCAGGCTAGTCTTGAACTCCTGGGCTCAAGCAATCTGCCCGCCTTGACCTCCCAAAGAGCTGGGATTATAGGCATGAGCCACTGTGCCTGGCTGACCTTGACATTTTGGAAGTCTTCGAGCCAGCAGCCTCGCACAGAGCTCCTCAATGTGGATCTCCCTGGTGGTCCTCAGAAAGTTTCAAACTGAGCGTTCAGGCGGGGACACCACAGAGCTGTGTGTTCTTGCTATTTGCCTGTAATGCTGGATCCTCTGGGGACCTCTGTACCTTGTAGAGTCCCTTTTTCCCCTATAATTAATAAGTAATCTGTGGCATGGCACTTTGAGATGTCTTGTTCCCCAGTAATCTCACTCAATCAGTTGAGGTCAGGAGTTCAAGACCAGCCTGGCCAACATGACAAAACCCCATCTCTACTAAAAATATAAAAAATTGCCAGGCACGGTGGCTCATGCCTGTAATCCTAGCACTTTGGGAGGCCGAGGCGGGTGGATTGCCTGAGCTCAGGAGTTCGATAGCAGCCTGGGCAACACGGTGAAACCCCGTCTCTACTAAAATACAAAAAAATTAGCCAGTCGTGGCAGCGTACGCCTGTAGTCCCAGCTACTCAGGAGGCTGAGGCAGGAGAATTGCTTGAACCGGGGGCAGAGGTTGCAGTGAGCCGAGATCACACCACTGCACTCCAGCCTGAGTGACAGAGCGAGACTTTGTCTCCAAAAAAAAAAAAATTAGCCAGGCATGGTGATGTGAGCTTGCGGTCCTAAGAGCTTTAGCATACATAGATGATTTTAACCTAAATCAATTATTTGATTCTTCTGATGGCTGCAAGGTGGGGGATTTCCTTTTTTTTTTTGAGACAGGGTCTCACTCTGTCACCCAATCTGGAGTGCAGTGCCGCAATCTCGGCTCACTGCAACCTCTACCTCCTGGGTTCAAGTGATTCTCCTGCCTCACCGTCCCAAGTAGCTGGGACTACAGGCATGTACCACCATACCCAGCTAATTTTTAGTAGAGATAGGATTTCGCCATGTTGCACAGCCTGGTCTCGAACTCCTGGGCTCAACTGATCCGCCCGCCTCAGCCTCCCAAAGTGCTGGAATTAGTGCTGGGATTACAGGTGTGAGCCACCATATCAGCTTGGGGTCACTCTTGACATTCTCTGTTATGCCCCCATCTGGTCAGCCCGAAAATCCCGCTGGCTCCACCTTTAGTATCTGTGGCCTCAACCCAGCCACAGCTCATAAGCGTGCCACTGCCCAGCCACCTTTTAGCTAGATGACAACAATGGCCTCAAAACTGGCCTCACTGCTACCCCCATCCCCCACAATATGTTGTCCATGTGCAGCTAGAGTGGGCCCTGTTCAAAGAGGAGTCCCACTGTATCTACTCAAAACCCTCCAAGGGTTCCCATCTCACTCTGAATAAAAGCCAAAAGGGGCCAGGAGCAGTGGCTATGCCTGTAATCCCAGCACTTTGGGAGGCCGAGGCGGGCGGGTCACCTGAGGTTGGGAGTTCGAGACCAGCCTGACCAACATGGAAGAAACCCTGTCTCTACTAAAAATACAAAATTAGCTGGGCATGGTGGCGCATGCCTGTAATCCCAGCTACGCGGGAGGCTGAAGCAGGAGAATCGCTTGAATACGGGAGGCAGAGGTTGCAGTGAGCCGAGATTGTGCCATCGCACTCCAGCCTGGGGCAAAACTCCGTCTCAAAATAAATAAATAAATAAATAAATAAATAAATAAATAAATATATAAGTAAATAAAAAGGCCAGGCGCGGTGGCTCATGCCTGTAATCCCCAGCACTTTGGGAGGCTGAGGCAGGCGGATCACAAGGTCAGGAGATCAAGACCATCCTGGCTAACATGGTGAAACCCCGTCTCTACTAAAAACACAAAAACTTAGCCGGGCATGGTGGCACACGCCTGTAGTCCCAGCTACTCAGGAGGCTGAGGCAGGAGAATTGTTTGAACTCAGGAGGCAGAGGTTGCAGTGAGCTGAGATTGCGCCACTGCACTCCAGCCTGGGCTACAGGGAAGACATTATCTTAAAAAAAAAAAAAAGCCAAAAGGGTTAAGGTTAGGGTTTTCAGTCTTTTATGACATTGACTTTTTTTTTTTTTAGGGTTAAGGCCACCCCATTCAGGGACCTCCTGTCCTGCTCTTCCATCCTGGCTCACTCCCCTCACCCACTGGCCTCCTGGTCGTTCCGGGACACACTCCCTCAGGGCAGCTCCCACCTCTGAGCTGTGACATCTGCCAGTCCCTGGACTGAGATGCTTTTCCCCAGATATTGAAATGCATGGCTCCCTGCCTTCCCTCCCCTCCTGCTAGCTTCCCCCCAAGTCACCTTCTCATCCTCCTCATTCGCCCTCCACGCTCCTTTCCTGTCCTCAGCACTTTCCAGCACCTGACAGGTCACATATTCCACCCTGCTGCCTCCACACCTGGTCACATTCGCAAGGACAGAAATGTTACTCTGTCTGATTCAGCGCCTGACCTCCGGTCCCAGCTGCTCCATAAATCCTTGTTTCATTTATGAATTAAGGCAGGAGAGAGGCGCTGAAGAGTTTCTGGCTGGTGAAAGCCCGATGAGAGATTTCCGAGATAGGCGTGGTGAGGATAGCAGAGAAAGTGACAGGAGGGAGGAGGAGGCCGGGAAGAATCTGAGTGTGTTTTTAATGTGGTCGTCATGTGTCTGGAGCCACACTGGGGGCATTACATGTGTATCTCATCCCATAAGATAAGGGCTGTTATTGTCCCTGTTTCACACAAGAGGAAAGTAAAACTCAGAGAGGTGAAATGACTTGTCTAAGGTCACACAGCCAGTGGATCTAGGACTTGAAGCCACTGTGTGTGGGGCTCTGGATCCCAGATTATTATTTATTTATTTATGTATTTATTTATGTTTTTTGCGATAGAGTCTCGCTCTGTTGCCCAGGCTGGAGAGCAGTGGCATGATCTTGGCTCACTGCAACCTCCGCCTCCTGGGTTCAGACAATTCTCCTGTTTCAGCCTCCCAAGTAACTGGGACTACAAGCACACGCCACCACACCCAGGTAATTTTTGGATTTTGAGTAGAGACGGGGTTTCACCTTGTTGGTCAGGCTGGTCTTGAACACCTGCCCTCAGGTGATCCACCCACATCGGCCTCACCAAGTGCTGGGATTACAGGCGTGAGCCACGGCACCCAGACTGGATCCCAGATTTTAACCCACATTCACGCCCTCTCATGGGTGTCTTAGGAGCGAGAGGCTGGCCTCAGGTCAGCCGGGATTACGGGGACAGGAGGAAATCTATCTCAGTTTGATGCAAGCCCTGTTGGTTCTTGTGTCCCTCCGTGTCTCCATCTGACAGGAAAGGGAACAGGGCACAGGACTGGCAGTCGGCAGGTGGCACTCCAAGCAGGCCCACGTGCTCAGGGAGGGGCTGATCTGCATGGAGCTGGGCCCCAGGCAGGTGGCTGGGGACAGGATGACCCAGATTCCTGAAGGCAGCCTTGAGCACCAGGTGCCCCCACTTCTACACCCTTCAGGAGTGATCTTCAACTGTGCTTGTGGGGCTTGAAGTGAGGGTGATGGGATTGATCCCTCAACCCCTGCAGCTCTTTCTGGTTTCTGTCTTAATCTATCGTAAAACAAAGTGCAAAAACTCCAGCCCGGGCCACACAGTGAGATCCTGCCTCTACAAAAAACAAACAAAATTAGCCGGGTGTGGTGGCGCTCTCTTGTAGTCCCAGCTACTTGGGAGGCTGAGGTGGGAAGATTGCTGGAGCCCAGGAGGTTGAGGCTGCAGTGAGCCATGATCACATTGCTGCACTCCAGCCTGGGCGACACAGTGAGACCCCGTCTCAGAAAAAAATTTAAAAACTACAGAGACCACTAAGCTGTCCTCAGCCAGGGCTCTACCCACACCCTCACCCTGAATCCACAGCGCACTGCTGAGAGAAACATCAGGCTTTGCAGCTTCTGGGAGCCCAAGCTTCAGGTGTCTCCTCATGAGAATGATCTGGGGAAGGGCCCTGCCCCACCTTGTCCCCTCTTCCTGGGAGCCCCCCGTCTGCGGGCTCCGCAGCCCTCTGGCCCTCTGTGAACCCAGCCAGCATGGCAGAGGCTCCCAGCTCCAATCCCTTCCAGGCCTCCTGAGATTTCCTAGTGCCAGCTGGGGCGGCAGACCTGCCCATGACCCAAGCCCTGGTCTCACCGCAGGTAGGGGGTGACAAGGAAGGAGCCGTGCTAGGTCGGAGGAGTTCTGGGAGGGTCTCTGGGACCCTTCCAGTCCAAGTCTGACTCTGTGCCACCATCTTGTTTTTAAATCAATCCAATATACAGACAGCAGATTTGATACCCTGATTCGCTCCTTACGGAAGAGTCAGTATTCAACAAATACGGACTGAGCCCTATGACGCACCCCACCCTGGATCCCTTGAAAGCCTCGAGATCAGTTTCCCTGCTGTGATGGTCTGGGTGGCCACTACCATCACTGAGGCTGCTCGACTCCTCCAGCTGCTGCCAGGGGCTGGTGCCCAGGCCCGGCTGACCTCATCTGCTTCCCTCCTCTCAGCAGTCCCCAGGCTCAGGGGCACTGGGGGCACAGTGAGGCTCAGCCCCAGGATCTGAACCAGGTGGTTTCCGACTTCGTCGAGCAGATCTGGTTGACGATGAAGTTCTGGAAGCCCCCCGGGAGAACCATGAGCCCAACTGAGAAGCTGGGGTGGGCAGAGCTCCCTGGTGCAGTTTCTGCTCCCCGTTCTGCCTCACGTCCCACCCCCAAACCCCAGAGTCTCCCCAGCTCCCTCCAGAGGCAGGACTCCCCCAGCACTAGGGCGGAATGGCCCCTTCTTGAAGCCAGACTCCAGCCCCTTCTCTCAGACCCAACTGCCCCTCCCTCACCTGCCTGCCTGCCCACCATGTCCTGCCTCTGTCCTGCAGGAGGGACACCAGGGTCCGGGGGGGAATGTTCCCAGGTCTCAACCCAAGGGAGGAGAGAGCCCACCCATGGGAACAGCCAGCTCCCACCCCCTCTAACGCCAGGCAGCCAAAATAACAGAGGGGGGCCCTTTGGGGAATACACGCATGTGAGGATGGGGACAGAGAACCAGGCGTCCACCCTCACACAAGGGCTGGGGCCAGAGGCACAAGGAGAAACAGAGGCCTCTGGGGTAGGAGGAGGCTGTGGGCAGGGCCAGGGCAGAGGAAGGAAAGGAGAGGGGCGGCCCAGCATAGGGCCCGGGACCCACAGGTGTGTCCGGAGCTGGCCCCAGACACAAAGCGCCAAGAATTGGCGGGGACATCTCAGCCGGCGGGGACACACCCCGGAGTCCGAGGTCCCCGTCACCAGGGTGCAGCTGCCCAGGTAGGGGGCTCGGCCGCCATGGGCCGCATCCTTCCCCTGGGGGCCGCGGGGCCCATAGTCACGGGCACCCCCTCCCTGGCCTCCCGCACAGGACTGGGCGGCTGCAGGCGAGAACTGGGCACCCAGCCCCGTTCCCGCCCCGTCCCGGCCCCGTACCTGGCTATCACCGTCGCGGGCACGACCCCCGGCCCAGGAGGGCTCCGAGTCCCGGAGGGGCAGCCCCGGGCCCGGCCTGGAGGCTGCTAGGCGTCCGGAGACACCGGGTCCTGTCCCCATGGCGGCCGGAGGAAGCCGCGGTCTGCGCCGCCCGCCGGACAAAGCGCGGAGCCCCGCTTCCTGCCATTGTGCGGCCGCGCCCGCCCCCGCCGAGCGCGGGGACCCCGGGGAGGGCCGGGCCCGGAACAGCCCCCAGCCCCCCAGGAAGGCGGACACCTCCCTCCCGCCCGGGCCCTCGCCACCCAGCCCCGGGGATCCCCGCCTCCCCGCCCGGGAACCCCTACACCCCCGCCTCCGCCTGCCCGGGCGACCCCCCGCCTCCCCGCCTCTGCCCAGACCCGGGGACTCCACACCCCTACCTCTGCCCGGCCGGGGGACCCCCACAGCCCCGCCTCCGCCCAGTCCCCGGGACCCCCACCTTCCCACCTCTGCCTGGCCCGGGGTACCCCCACCTCTGCGCCTCTGCGCGGCCCCGGGCCCCTCTCTTCTCTGACTCCCTCCTCAACACCAATGCCGGGCTCAGAGGGCTCCTCAGAACTTGCTCTTTCTCCTGGGGAGCTCCTTGAATGCTGGAGGCAGGGGGCGCTGGTGACACCCCCCCCCACCTTGGAGACTGTGGAGCCCCTCCCCTGGGTGACTCGATCCCCGCCCAGCCCTGGGGGTGCCCACTCTGCTGTGGTCCCCACCTCACCCTCAGCGCCAACACGCACGGTCCCTCCCAGCCAGAAGGGTACCTTCCCTCCTCCCTTCCTCCTGGAGACCCCCACCCCCGCCTCGGAGCCTCAGCCCAGGGGACCCCTTCTTACTCCCAGCAAGGGAGCTCTTAGAATACAGGCACCAGAAGGGGGAGGCCAGGATGGGGCACACTCCCCTCAGGGTCCTTGGTCCGGCTCTCCATCTAGCCCCAGGGACACCCCTCTCTGCTCCAACACCAGCTTTGAGCCCCAGTCACACACCCACCCCAACCTCACAACCAGCTCTCATCTCAGCCCCTCCCATCAACCTGGAGACCCCTGCCCGAGAGCCTGAGCCCCAGGGACACCCCCTCACACCGACTGCTCACTGCCCAGGTACGGCAGAGGCCGAGAGCCAAAGGCCGGTGGCCTCTGGAAAGGGCCGTGGGCAGAAGGCGGGCTGCTCTGAGAGGCTATCCTTGGCAGCCCCCAGGAGCTGGGTGAGGTGGAGGCATCAGGAAACCCTGGCGACCCACATGGCACAGCAGCCCAGGTCCCTGCAGTTCTAGGCCAGGTCCCCACCGCCAGGGGGCACTCAGCAAAGCCTGAGAGGACGCAAACGCCCAGACTCTGGTGCTGGAGTCACCACTACACGGCTGTCAAAGCGCTTTTACACTGATTCCCAGGAAGGCAGGGCAGGCACCATTAGCCCCATTCACGGCGTGGGGGATAAAGTGACATAAAGAGACAAAAGTCTACAGGCAAGACTGAAACTCAGACTGTGGCTCTGGGATTCTGGGATGGCCTCCTTGGGACACTCCTCAGAACCCATGGGGGTGAGGTGGCCATGCTGTCTGTCATCAGCCCACCCACCCCTAATTGCTCCTCCTCCACCTGGTTCCATGGGGAAAGAGGGTGGGAAGGGGGCCAGGGTCCGTGAGATGGCTTTGGGAGGGCAGCAGCGTTTTATTAGAGGCTGGGAGACTTCCAGGGCTGTCTCCACTCCCAAAGCCCAGGTCACCCACTGTCTACACCACAGGCAGAGTTGTGTTTTTGTTTTTTGTTTGTTTGTTTTTGAGACGGAATCTTGCTCTGTCACTCACGTTGGAGTGCAGTGGCATGATCCCAGCTCACTACGACCTCCACCTCCCAGGTTCAAGTGATTCTTCTGCCTCAGCCTCCCCAGTAGCTGGGATTACAGGCGCCCGCCACTACACCCAGCTACTTTTTGTATTTTAGTAGAGATGGGGTTTCGCCATGTTGACCAGGCTGGTCACTAACTCCTGATCTCAAGTGATCCACCCCCACCTTGGCCTCCCAAAGTGCTGAGATTACAGGCATGAGCCACCACACCCGGCCAACAGGCAGAGTTTTGAAAACTAAAACTTCCCATCTTGCTTATAGTGAAATCCCACCATGGCCGGGCTCCCGCCTCCCTCCCAGCTGGTCCGCACAGGGTCCACCTGCCGGTCTTCCTTCTCTCCCTACAGCTCGCCAAGCTCAGGGCCTTCTCCTCTGTATTTTCTGTCTGGAATTCCACGCACCCTATCTTGAAACAGCTGACACCGGGCCCCAACTTAAATGTTACCTCTAAGACGTCCTTTTCCCTCATCTTAAAATAAACCACCCTTACCCTCCCACTCTCAATTCCTTTAAGTTAAATTATTTCCTTCTTAGTGTTTATTACTACCTGTAATTCATTTCTTTGTTCACTTTTTTATCATCATTCTTCCCTACCAGACTGTCCTCTCCAGAAGCCAGCGCCTTGGCCGTCTGCATCTCACTGTGTCCTCGGCACTTAGAACAGTCCTGGTGCACAGTAGGTGCGCTTGGTGGGGATGAGATCAGTGAACAGATGAAGGCAGAAGGGCCTTCATGCCACAGAAGGACATGGGGACAGGAAAGGGCTCGGCCAGGATATCCCTTCCTGTGGCCGACAGTCAACAGAGCCTTCCCCACTGCCAGACCGAAGGTCTCTTCCTCCTCCTAGTATCCATGACCTTGGGCCTGCTGGCCCTGGGCAGGTGAGTTCCTACTTCAAATCGGGTGGTCTTGCCCCAGACCTCCACCCCCATACTGTCCTGTAGGCAGATAACTGCATTTCACTGAGCATTCCATGTGCCACCCCATCGTGGGAGTTCCAGGCAGTGAATCCCATTCGCTCTTCTCAAAGACTCTTAGGAGGAGATACTGTTACAATCCCCATTTAACAGATAGAGAAACTAAGGCCTGTGTCAACTGACTTGCCCCAAAGTCACCAGCTGCTGCTACGTAGGGAAATGGGTGCCTCAGGCACAGGGCAGGCGTGGGGCCTGAAGACAGCTGAATGTTGGTTTGGGCAACAGGGCCCTGGAGATTGCCTTCCTGAAGACACGGCAGATCCCAAAGCCAGCTTGTGGGGAGCCCACCGGTGTGGGGTAACCAGGTTGCATCAAGTGGAGACCACCAGGGCTGGGTCAGGGCGGATCACCAGAGGTCACCTGAGTGCCTGGGCCCTGGCCATCCCTGAGTGAGGCTGCTGCCTGGGTACTCAGCAAGGGTGGGGGACTGTTCCTTAGGGGCAAGAGTGCAGAGCAGAAAGGAGCCCCCAGCCCCTGTACCAGGGCAGTGGGGTGGGCCTGGGCAGGCTCCTGCATTCCCACCTCCTCTCCACAGCAGGGAGCTGAAACAGCTCAGGGGCAGGCCCAAGAAGTCCTGGCCCCCAACTCCCTGGGGAGGGAGCCCCTCCCCAGCCCAGCCCCAGCTCCAGGCTTGTGAGTCAGGGCCGGCTTGTTGAAACTGATACCCAGAAACCAGATGCGGAGGCTGATGAATAATGGAGTCTCCAAGGCAGGACCCCCGCACCCGGCTGTTCTCCCTCAGTATCACCTCCCCCAGCCCCAGAAAAGCAGATGGGAAACCAGGGATCCCCCAGGCATCCCTGCCCCACAACGAGCTGGGGCCCCAGCCTGGTCTGGGTGGGAGAGGGACTTCCCTGTCCAGGAAAGGACGCAGGTCTGGGGCCAGCTCCAGGCTCTGCCGACAGCAGACGGGCCTGGAACCAGGAGTCCGAGCTCTCTGGCTGGAGGGATGTCCTTGCCAGGAATTCCCACCAAGGCTAAGCTCCCCTGGGAGCCTGCTAGTCCCAAGGCCCCACCCAACACCTTAGAAATCCAGGGGTGGAGACTGCATGCATGGGCAGGCCAGCCAGGGCGGGGTGGCTTTGCCAGGCGGCTCTCTACGCTCCACCCGGCCTACCCACCCTCCTTTCCCCTAGGCCCAGGCCTCACCCATCACCCCTTGGGTTCTGAGGCTCACCTGGAGTCAGAGCCTGACCTAAGGCCCTGCCCTGTGCCGGGCAGATGGCAGGGACACAGAAAACCTCTCCCCAGGCTAAGCCCACCGCACGGGCCCTGGAAGCCAGGAAGGCCCCTTCCTCCCCAGGGAGCGGTCCTGGCTAGTATGCCCAAGGCTGGGACCCAGTGCTAGAGAAAGAGGGAGGGGCTGCAGTCTGTGAACATCCCCTCCTGCCCAGCCTCTGCAGTTCCCAGCCCCAGACCCCAGCGTGTGTCTTCGGAGCACCTGGACTAGCAAGCCCTTCCCCGGTGCAACTTAGAAGCCTCCTTGGTAGGGAGCGGGGGAAAGAGGGCACCTGCCTGGGCTTCAGAAGACCTGGTCTGGAGCCTACGTTCCCCCACCCTTCCCCTACTGGGCCTCAATTTGCCCACCTGTGCCAAGAGGGCATAGAATTCAGTATCTGGGGATGGCTGCCAGGTCCTAGTGTGTGCCCGGACCCCGGCTAAAGGGCAGGAGAATGGTAAAATACCCCCGAGCTCCCTCAACTTGAGGAGTTACTAAGGAATCTGCAGGGGACCTCTTGGCCTCCATTTCCCAGACTTCCACCAAGGCAGGCCAGGGCCTCCCCGGATTCACGGGTCTCCCGCATCCCCCACCCCTAAGTGGGTGCCTGGGTCTGCTCAGACTGCCCGAGGCGCAGCCTCTGGCGCCCCCTGCCGGCCTCGAGAGGGCTTTTCCGCCTGGGACCGACTCCGGGACTGGCCAGATGGGGAGGATCGGCTGAGCCTCCCAGCCACGCCGCGCGCCCGGGCCCCTCCAGGATCCCCCTGCCCCGCCAATACCCCCCATACCGGGGCCAGGGTCCCATAGACTCCTCACGGCCCTATCTCCGAGCCGACCCACCCTAGAGACACTGTGATGGGGGCGGGAGCTTGAACCCATTCCACCCTCACGTAAATGGAGATACAGCTGGTGAGGACCCTGTACCCACCCACAGGCCTGGCACTACGTGGGAATCTCGAATCCGGGTTCTGTCCATCGGTTTAGGGGGGTCCTGGCGCCTAGTCCCACCCCCCGTCCGGAGCGCAGCTCCCACTTCCCCGCGACTCACCTAGGAACAGGACCAGGGTCTCCTCCCCGGTGTCTAAGGCTCTAAGGCTCGGGCCGAGACTGCCAAAGCCTCATGGGGCGCGCGGGGAGAGGGGGACGGGAGCCGCGGGACGGGCTCAGTCGACTCAGCGCAAACTGGGGCGCGGGACGTAGGGGAATTACGGTAGCCGCGCGGGCGCTACCACCTGGACCGGCCGGGATGTACCAACGGCGCCGCCCGGCTGGGACCGGGGAGAGGAGGGGTCCCAGGAAGGGCCCCGCGCCGGAGCCAGGGAGGTGGCTGGAGGCCGGGCGGTGGCTTGGGGTAATCCAGGATCCGGGCTCAGGGGAGGGGGTGGGGGGCGTCACTGTCCCCGAGGGGCCAGCCCTTTGCAGATCTCCAAAAAGTTCAAAGTCCCTGGTCATTAACTTGGGCTTGAAGACGGGAGCTCGCCCATCCCGGAAGGGGGCTAGGGGGGACCAGGGCCCGCGACAGGAAGCCTCCGCGCGACAGAAAAGCCCCGGGGGACCAGGCAGAGAGACCCGCAGGCCTAGCCCGCCCCGGAATCGCCCTGAGCCAGGTTCGCTTCCGCTCTATTGTAAAAAGCTGGATTCTGATCTGCGGCCTCCGCGGTGCCCCAGAAACAGCCCGCTTTTCTCTGGGCCCCCTCTTTTTTTTTTTTCTGGCCCAGGTGATATGGCCGGAAAAGGGTGCTGTTCTGCCATTTAGTGGTTCCCAGTTCCCCTCTCCCAGCAGCGGGAGTTTAGAATAACTCTGGGCTCAGGACTGGGAAGGGTGTGGATACAGGGGGCCCACTCGAGGAGGTGGAGTTCAGGTCCACCAACCTGTTCCGCACTTTCAAGCTTTTTATACAGCCTTCCCCCGACCCCTTCCCAGGCCAAAACCTCCAGACTGCCCCACACAACCCTTGGGGCTGGGCCTATACTAGGGCAGCTCCTGGCTGGGCCAGGGATCCCCACGTCTTCACCTGCTCCCCCAAAACTACTTAGCCAAAACCCAGGAGTCCCCTTGCATTGTTTCTCTGGCCCTGCCCGTTTCTTCAGCTGCAGATAGCCCCACCACCTCTCTCCGGGGACCAGTCACTTCCAGAGATGGCCCAAACCTGGCCATTCCCTGGGGCATCCTGGTCTGCCGCTGCTCACCCCCAAAGCATTGCCCAGGAGAATAGGTGATTGCCTCTCCCATTACTCACATCCTGCCCGTCCCTTCTCCATGGGGGCCTCAGGTCCACCCTTTCCTCTCCCTGGTCTTCATCTCACCACCCCTCCCTCCACACACGCATACCCTGACTCATCCCTGCCACCTCACAGGCCATTGTTAAGCTGCAAGGGAACTCTGAAGTCCTCCCATCCAACCTCCACTCCACACTGCAATCCCCTCTACGCTTCCCTTTCTGTCTCTTCTTGCATATGTCTAGTGATGGGGTGCTCACTACCTCCACTTCGGGGATAGCTCCAGCTGCTGGAAACTCTTTCCTGTAGTGTGCTGAACCCCACCTCCCTGTCAAGGCCTTTGGGAGCTGTGCAGAAAAATTCACCTCCCTTTCCTCCTGAGAGTTCTGAGGAAATGGGAGGCTCTGACAGAGAGGCCTGGTTTGAGTCCTGATCTTGCCTTGCTTGGCAAGTCATTTTACCTCGCCACTCTGCAGGGCCCTCTCTAGGAAACGGAGATGGGGTAGGCCCCACCGCAGCGGGGGAGGCGGCCAGATGAGGTTTCTGTGCCAGGCGCTAAGGCAGGGCCTGGCATACAGTACGTGCTGGATCAATGGCGGCTGCTGGAATCACTACCTCCTCCATGATAAACACCCTCACATGTGGTGCCCAATGTCCCCTGTGGCCCAGGGCCACAAGTGTCCTCCTCCATGCCCCCTTGTGACCTGGGACGCCCTGACTAGACCTCGAACAGTGCCCAGTGGAGCCCAGCAAGGAGCTGGGGAGTCCACACACTGTCCCGTGGCCACCTCACAGGAGGGCAGGGGGAACCCACAATATCATTAGTCTGCCTTGATCTCCCGGCCTTTCTCCATCTCCCCAAACTCACAGCTCCACCTGTGTGCAAGAAGCTGGGATGGAGCCTGGGGAGGTCTCAGATCCCAGGGCAGGTACGGAGGGCACACCCAAAGTCTAGAGGTGACTTTGTTACCCCCACTCCCAGGACACCTTGCACACCTACGCTGTGCTAGGCTCTATGCTAAGCATGTTATATATGGGCCTCTTTTAATCCTCGCTGCCGGGTTATTTTCCAGATGAGGAACCTGGGGTTCAGAGAAGTGTAGTGACTTCCCCAGGGTCGCACAGCTGGAAAAAAGTAGGTTTGATCCTGGAGCTCAGAGGTGTGGACTGCTCTACATATCTTCATCCTGGGGAGGGGCCATTTCTCTCCTGGGGTCTCCATGACACACAGTCCAGACCCCTCATCTGGACATGCAGGTGCTCCTAGTGCAGCCTGCCTCCCCCTCCTCCCGTCCCCTTCTCCCTGTGCCCCCTGGCCTCGCTTGCCCCTTATAGCCCCCAATGTCCCCCCCTGCTCACTCAGCTGTCCTCCATCTCAGTACCTCTTTAATCCTCAGGACTCCAGTTGCCTCCAGGAAGCCCATCCTGGTTAGCCCTCCTCCCAGTGGGAACTCCAGGGGCAGGAGGTAGGGGACAGATGGCAAATTCATCTCAGAAGCTCCAGCACCCAGGAGAGCCTCAAATAAAACATCAAGGGTGGGCCCAGAAGCCGAAGGGTCCAGCCCTGCCTGAAATTGGTCCTTTGCCAGGGCAGCCTGGGGGGAAGTTTGGCCAGCCAGGGTCACTTCCCTTCCTTCCTCCCAGCACAGCTAGAATGTCACCTCCAGGAGGGCATCCCCTTTGTTCTCTGGAGATCTCCTGGGCCTAGAACTGGGCCTGGCACCGACAGATGCTCAGAGCTGGTCTGGTAAATGAATAAATGAAGTCATCTCCTTCAAAACGCTAGTCACATCCTGGAGAGTAAGAATAGGGCTCTTGATCAGACAAGCCTCACGCAGGCCAGGCTCTGACGATCATGCTGTGTGATGTGGGCAAGTTCCTCTACCTCTCTGGGCCTCCGTTTCCTTACAAGTCATGTGGTCATAAGAATAACGCTGTTCTCCTGAGGGTCTCAAGAAGCTTCACTGAGACAAGCAGGAGGGCCTAACGCCCCGCCTGGCATGTAAACATGTTCGGTCAGCAATAATTGTTATTATTATTATTATTGGGTGTTTTTTGAGACAGAGTCTCGCTCTGTTGCCCAGGCTGGAGTGCAATTGCGTGATCTCAGCTCACTGCAACCTCCTTCTCCAGGGTCCAAGCGATTCTTCTGCCTCAGCCTCCTAAGTAGCTGGGATTACAGGTGTGTGCCACCATGTCCGGCTAATTATTTTTTATATTTTTGGTAGAGATGGGGTTTCACCATGTTGCCCAGACTAGTCTCGAACTCCTGACCTCAAGTGATCTGCCCACCTTGGCCTCCCAAAGTGCTGGGATTACAGGCATGAGCCCCTGCGCCTGGCCTGTTATTTTTGAGACAGGGTCTTGCTCTGTTGCCCAGGCTGCAGTGCAGTGGCACAATCACGGCTCACTGCAGCCTCAATGTCCCAGGCTCAAATGATCCTCCCACCTCACCCTCCCCAGTAGCTGGAATTACAGGTACCCACCACCACACCTGGCTAATTTTTTTTTTTTTTTTTTTTTTTTTTTTTTAGACGGAGTCTTGCTCTTGTTGCCCAGGCTGGAGTGCAATGGCATGATCTCAGTTCACTGCAACCTCTGCCTCCCAGGTTCAGGCAATTCTCCTGCCTCAGCCTCCCGAGTAGCTGGAATTACAGGCACCCACCACCATGCCCAGCTAATTTTTATATTTATAGTAGAGATGGGGTTTCGCCATGTTGGCCAGGCTGGTCTCGAACTCCTGAGCTCAGGCAATCTGCCCGCCTTGGCCTCCCAAAGTGCTGGGGTTACAGGTGTGAGCCACCACGCCAGGCCTTTTTTTTAATTTTAGTAGAGAGAGGTCTCCCTATATTGCCCAGGTTGGCCTCAAACTCCTGGGCTAAAGCAGTCCTCCTGCCTCAGCCTCTCACAGTGCTGGGATCGCAGGTATGAGCAACCACACCCAGCCAGTAGTGGTTATTATTATCATCATCGACAATGTTATTCTTTGTTTCTCTTACCAAATCTGAGTGCCCCGCACCTCCTCTCCACCACTGCCTCTCCCTTCCTGGACTGCCCTTGCCTCTGTTCTGTCTATCCATGTTTTCACATCCATTAAAGGCCCCCTCCTCCAGGATGCCCTCCCTGACTGGCTCTCTATGCCTCTGATAATTCAGGCATTTCTGCCCCTACAGTGAGTCTGTGCCATTTGTCCCAAAGGGCGTCCCAGTAGTGACAGGGCCCAGACTCTCCCCGTGCACGCTGGGTGACCCTCATCAGCTGATGCCAATGTCAGCTGTGCCAAGTTCCAGGCAGGCCAGGGCTGGAGGTGAGGTCTGGAGGCTGCAGAGGGACCATACCCACTCTGAGACCAGCTCTCTTCTCCCAGGCCTCACCTCTATGAAGGCTGGGCCATCCCACCCCTGCCCCTGCCTGAGCAGCTTGAGGACCCCCCCTGAGAGCAGCTGCCCAGAGGAGGGGCTGGGACAGTGTGCCTTATTGCCCCAGCCGCCCCTTCAGGTCAGGCAAAAGCCTCGGGGCTCCGCAGGCCTCTGGCAGGATGTATATTGGGGGGAGCTGAGGCCAATTTGTTGCCAGGAGCCCCCATCTGGGAAAGAGGCAACCAGCCAACACCAGAGCCCAATGCCAGGCACCATCCGTGCCAGCAGATTGTATCTGACATCACACCGCCCCCCTGCCTGGTGACCACGGCAACTGGAGGCCGCCCCCTCCCCGCCCCGCCCCATAGCAGTTCTCCCTGTTCCCTCACCACGGCCCTCCTGTGCAGAACGAGTGTGTGTGTGTCTGGGTGGAGGTGCGGGAGGGGAGCGGGGGGTGGGGGGTGGCATTTTACATTTCCTGCAGCTGGCAGTGCTGAGACACATGATGGAAGACAACACGGGCCCTGGTATGACACAGACCTGGGTACTGGGTTCAAATCCCAGCTCTCCCACTTCCTAGCAGTCTGTCCCTGAGTGAGCCTCAGTTTCCCCATCTGTAAATGAGAATAAGGACAGGACCATCTCAGAAGGCCGGAGGAGGAGTCAGTGAGTCCTGGTGCCTGCGCCAGATGCTAAGTTGCGCAGTTGTCACTATTGTCATGTAAATGCATGCTGGGAGGGGCAAAACCTGGCTCCAAACCCCGGCTCCATCTCTCATGAGCTGTGGGCCTTGGCCAAGTCACTGGACCTCTCTGAACCTTGGTGTCTTCATCTGGAAAACGGGGTGACGATGCCTTCCCTGCAGAGCTGCCGCAATCAGTGCATATGGCACAGAAAGCGGGTGGCACTAAGCCCAGCACATCACAGGCAGAAGCGCCCAGCCAGTACTATTATCCTCCTTCCTGCCCCCTTTATCCCTGATTTATACTTCGCCCCACTCCCAGCTCCCAAGCCCTGGCACTCCAGGATCAACTGGCCCCTTCCTCCTTTTGTCATCCCCAGGGCCATGGTCACACTCGCCAAGTCCCAAAGCATCTCAGACCCATGCCCAGGCCTGAAGAGTGGCTGAGTTCAACAGGAAGGGTGCCATCTGGGCACTGGACCAGCACCGTGGGAGACCACTTCCCCTGGCTAAGCCTCAGTTTCCTCATCCGTGACATAAGGCTACAGCTCCTGTCACCTCAGAATGGCTGCTAGGACCACAGTGCAGCAAAGGGCTTTGGGGTACTCCACCCCCCTGTTCTTGTAGAAGTCCCCCGACTCCACTGTTCCTGAGCTGGGGGCAGGCCCTCTGCCTCCTAAACCAGACACACTGTGGCCCCACCTACACTTGAACCCAGCCCAGCCAGCCGCGCCCGTGCCAGGGCTCTGTGGATAGCTGGTGCTGGGATAGAAAGGGCAGTTAGAGCCCTGGCCCCTCTGCCCCCGAGGGTCCCCAGGCTCTCCAGCCTCCCTACCTTGGCCGCCCGCCCCTTGTCCATGCAGGCGGGGTTCTGACAGCGCAGTCCCTTCTTTTCAGCGGGGCTCTGGTCGTCTGCAGGGGAGGAGCAGAGGGCATCAGTCAGCGGGGCACCCAGGCTCCCCTGGGCCCCACTGGCCTCCCAACCGGAGGAGGGGTGGGGTGATCTCCTCAGTCCTCCCTTCAAAAGAGGTCAGCGTCCCTTTCTCTTTTAAATGCCAACTTATCTGCACGGGAATCCGTTTGCAGAGCCCTTTTCTCCTGCAGTCCTCAGGGAAATTATCCAGATTCCACGGGGAGAAAACATCTTTGGAAATACGCTGCTCTCTCCCTCTGTCCCTCTAGTCTGGGGGACAAGTGGGGGAGCGCTCAGTGACCTTTTGGGGCCCCAGACTTCCCAGGGGGTCCCGGCAGGGCTGCTGGGGGGAAGGGGCTCCAAGATCCCAGATCCCTGAGAACCTTACGCCCTGCATCGCTCCCTTTAGAGACAGAGGAGCCCCCGAAGGTCTGGGGCGACCCCCGTTCCCCAAGACTCATCTTTGACCCTGAATTTGGCCCCCTCCAAGCTGCCTCTCTTCCTGGGGGCTGGAGTGCACCGCGGTGGGGGCAGAGCGGCGCAACCAGCGAGAGGCGGGGGGAGGGAGGAGAAGCGGGGTGCTGCCGAGGCAGGCCCCGACTTGGGGGCCGAGTTTGGGTACGAGCGGCCCGAAGCCCGGTCGGCGCCCACCCCCTTGCCTGGAGCGGGCCCTCCCCGGAGGAGGTTAGGAGCCGGCCCGGCCCCCCAGGACCCCGCCCCGCGTCCGCCGGGTCCCCGCCTGCACTCACCCATGGAGCAGGCCCCGTGCCGCGCGGGGGGCGGGCGGCGGGCGGGGGCGCCGGGGACGCCGGGGACTGGGAGGCCGCAGAGCCGCCGCCGCCGGACCCTCGCACGGGAGGCGGGCGGGGCAGGTGGGCGGGGAGGAGCCGCGGCGGCCCCGCCTCGGGGGCGGGGGGCGGGGGGACAGGAGCGCGGCCGGGCCTCGGCGCCGACGGTGTCACCCCTCCCTCCCCGGCTCCCCGGCCCCTGCGCGCTGCGGTCCGGAGGCTGCCTCCACCTCCCGGAGGGCGGGCACCGGGGCGGCTCAGGAAGCGCGCACGGCTCTGTCCTGGAGGGTGCCATCCACGCGGAGGGTGCCTGTCCGCAGGAATGCAGGCCGGGAGCCACGCAGAGCCCCCACCCCAGCCCGGAATCGCTGTCTCCGAGGTCAGTTTCCATGGCAACACGGAGGCTGCCCCGCGCAGGGTGAGGGCTGTCACCGGGAGAGACTCGCCTGCCACGGCTCTTGCTGCATGTCCTCTGCTGGTTCAGTTTTAAACTTTATTGAAGTGCAAACGCGGACAGAGAAGTGCACCTGTCCTGTGAGCACAGCTCAACACATTTTCAGGAAACTTTCACAAAATAACCTGTGCCCAGACCGAGCTGCAGAGCGTCCCCACCCAGTCCCCAGCCCCCGCCACCTCCCTCGTGCCAACCGGTCCCCCCAAGGGCACCGCCGCCCTGACTTCCAACACATCGATTCGTCTGCCCGGTCCTGTAGTTTATGTAAATGGCATCAGGAGATAGCAAACCCTTTGCCCTACAGAAACAGCCTCGCAGAGGTGGCCAAGAGTCTGCGGGGGCTCAGTGCTCCTGAGCCTGCCTCTGGACCCCCAGCCCACCCTGCACACTGGCACCAGGAGGCATTGCGCCGACAAGACCTAGGTATAGAAGATGCAGCTTCCAGCAGGGCCGGGTCCCTCTCCCAAAGGCTAAGGGTGGACTTCCCTGACCCCTTCACTGGAAGGCCTCTCAGCTGGAGCCTCCCTGCATGGACTCCTTACATGGGCTGGGTCCGGCCCTGGGACTCACAGGTGACCAGAAACTGGTGCCTGCCCCAAGGACTCCTGGCACAGCAAAGTAGCACGGATCCCGGGTCTCCTGAGCTCTCTGGATTCATTCAGCAAACACACTAAAGATCCTCTGAGGATCCCCATGAGCCAAGCTCTAAGCTGGGTGCTGGGGACTCACTGGTGACCCTGACAAGACTTGGGGAGCTCACAGGGGGCCTGGTGGGCAGGGTAGCCCTTTGGGGGGCAGCACATCTGCATGACCCTGGGGAGGGGGCTCTCGAGGAGGGGCTGCCACAGGCACCCCGGGGGCCTCCAGGCTGAGAGGGAAGCAGCTGCCCGGGGCCCTGGGCCTCCTCAGTGCACAGCCTACGGGAACTCTCAGGATCCTCAGGCCCAGCCCAGCCTCACCCCCACACTGTGCTCATTTCCCTCTCCGAGTCTCTGCTCTCAGCCATCCAAGGGGCCAGCGATGCCTGTCCTGCCTCTAGGCTGGAGGTGGAGGCAGCCGAGGCAAGAGACGGCCCTGTGAGGACTGTGGCGAGGTCCCTGCCTGCTGGGAGGAAGCTGACTTGAGGGTGGAGTGGGGTTCGGGGCTTTTGTCTGCCATGACTCCAGCAGGCCCTCCTCTGCCATCTGTGTTTCCACGGGGACCTGGAGCCCTCAGCCAGCTTTGTGGGAGTTTCCCATGCGTCCAGCCTGGGACTTCTCCAGCTGAGCAGGACAACATCTGCTGTCCGCCCAGAAAGTTTCCAGGCCCCTGCGTTCTCAAAACTCTGAGCCTGGGGTTGGATTCTCACACCCTTTGCCCCAGGGCCTCTGGATTGTAGCCCCGTATTCTGAAGGCTCCGGGCCATGTCTTCTGCCACTGGGTCTGCCTCACCAGCTCCCTAGATCCCCCCATGACTGCTCAGGTCACAGCCACCATCGGGCCTGACTATCCTGTGGCCTCTATGCCACTTGGGTTCTGGAATTCCTTGTCCTTTGCCTGGTACTTCCTGGCACTGGGGTCTACCTGCCTGAACTCTCCGGCCTCTGACCCCTGGTCTCAGCAGGCTCCAGGTGCTCACCCTGCCTTCTAGACCCTACACTCCTGATCCCCTGGTCCTGGCTCCCCTGGGAGGTAGCTCCCTCTGGGCTCTGCTCTAAAGCTGCAACTTCCTGCATTGCGTAGGCGAGCTCCTCTCTCCTGGAGACTGCAGACACGAAGAAAAATCCATCAGGACCCTGGTAGCTCTCAGGGCCCAGAGTGGGGCCTGTGGGGCTTGGGGGTGAGGTCAGGACAAGCAGTCCCCACCATAGGCCTGTCATGAGCTCTCCTGCAGGTGACCTATCCCCATCTACAGCCTTCGAGGAAAGGGTGGGCCTGGTAAGGGGGACATACTGTATCAGGTGATAGCGTACCCTGGACATAGCTGGGTTTTTCTTAATTTAATTTAATTTAAAATTTATTTTTTGAGACAGGGTCTTGCTCTGTTACCCAGGCTGGAGTGCAGTGTTGTGATCAGGGCTCACTGCAGCCTCGACCTCCTGGGCACAAGTGATCTTCCCACGTCAGCCTACCGAGTAGCTGGGACCACCGGTGCACACCACCATACCTGGCTAACTTTTTAATTTTTTTATAGCAACGGAGGTCTCACTATGTTTCCCAGGCTGGTCTCGAACTCCTGGCTTCAAGGGATCCTCCTGCCTTGGCCTCCTAAAGTGCTGAGATTATAGTTGTTGAGCCATCTACATAGCCTGGCTCAGCCAGTCAGATTTGCTCTCCTGAGACTATGAATTGAGACAGGCCTGGGAAGGAAACATGATTCCGATCCCCTTCCTGATAGGAGCCCACAGGCAGGACTACTACTGGGCCCTGGAGACTTGAGTCCACTGAGAGTCAGTCCAAATAGGTACGATGCCCCAAGATTGTTGGGGAGCAGGAAAAAGGGGAGCAGCCCCTCAGTGGAAATCACCCCAGAGCAGACAGGGCAGGAGAAGGCAGCTTTGTGAGAGTGGGCAGCTCTCGGGGTGGCAGGGGGGCGGCCTCCTCTGCCTGCCCCGGGCTTCCCTTGGGAGCCCTGCCTCTTCGTAGCAACCCCTCTTATGTGGACCAGCCTAAGCGGTGTCTGCTCCCCGACCTCAGCCCGACCCTAAGCAGACCTGGAACCCTGAACTCCCCCCTCCGCTAAGCAAACCTGGAACCCTGAACCTCCCCTCCAGGCAGACCTGGAATCTTGAACTCCCCCCTCCCCTAAGCAGACCTAGAACCCTGAACTACCCCCTCCGCTAAGCAAACCTGGAACCCTGAACTCCCCCCACCCCTAGCCAGACCTGGAACCATGAACTACCCCCCTTGAGGCAGACCTGGAACCCTGCACTCCACTCGTCCCTAGGCGGACCTGGAACCCTGAGCTCCCGCCACTGCATGCCAGACACTGCCTCCCCACGTGCGCAACAGCCCAGCTGCCCTCCTGGCTCCCCCACCTCCCGTCGCAGGGAGACCAGGGCCCTTGGCCAGGCAGAGGAGCCTACTCGCCAGTTCTCCCCCGACCCTGTCTCAGTCGCAGGAGGCCACTTGGGCTTTGTCCTGAACATGATCTCTACCAGAACTGGGCCTCGGGGCGCGGGCAGAACGGCCGGCAGACATGTTTTGTTTGGCTGAGAACAGGGTTTCGGAAGAATTTAAATTGGTTGCCAACTTTGAAAAGTCAGGAGATTTCACATAAAAGTCCATATTTCTGGCTTCTCTTGACAAACCAGAGGAGCCCGGCAGCTCTGGACCCATGTTCTGGACGGCTCCAGCTCCCGAGCTGTGTCTGCCTCGGATCAGCACAAATGCTTCCAGCCCCCACAGTCCACGCCACTCCGTCGCCCCACCGCAGGCCCCTCACTCCGCTACTTGCCGGACACAACTGAGCTTCTGACCCCAGCCCAGCCCTTCTTGGTGCTATTCCTTTGCCCTCCCCCAGCATCCTCCCATCGCTGTCTGCTGCCATCCTGCCCACTCTTCAAGGCCCAGATTGAAGGCTGCTGCCTTCAGGAAGGCCTCCCTATTGTCACATATCCCAGTTCCAGGTGAACGTGTCCTTGCTGGACTCCCACTGTCTTGAACCTTTGAACCAACACCGACCTGTCTTCCCCATCAGACGGCTTCAGGAACGACACACAATGACCACAGCTCTCACTTGCCAACCACCTGCTGGGAACTCTGCTGTCCATAGATGGTGTCGTTTCACCATCTAACTCTGTGTAGAGGAATGATCATTGTCCCCATTTTACAGATGAGGAAACTGAGGCGTGGAGGGTAGAGAGATTTGCCCAAGGTCACACAAGTAATGAGAGTAACGAGGCTGTGAGTGTGTAAGCCTCCAAGCCTGTGCTCCTAACCGCCAGGCTACAGTGCTCCCATGGGGCCTGACACAATTAGCTGTCTGGAAAACGTGAATTGGTCCCCCCATCATGACATGAGTGTCCCCTTTCCCCACTGGTCCCAGGCTGACACAAGTGCATGGAAAACCACCTCGTTCTCATTTTCTCCAGGGTAGCCCCTCACCTGTGAACCCTCCACTCCGATGAACCCTTCTGTCTCAAGAAAACAGGCCCTCCCTGCCCACGACCTCCCAACCACAGGCCTGGCCATGCAAAGGCTGCCCCTCTCAGGAAGCAGCTGTGGCCTTGAATGTCCCCTCCCGCGTGAGCCCCACCCTCCTGGGCGCCGGTCCATGCCTGGGCAGCTGCTGCAGGCCATGCTGGGGCTGGACCTCTTAGCCGCAGCAGCCTGGGGAAGGGCAAGATTTGTCCCAAACCTGGCCAAACGCCAGAGGGGCATGTCCTGGGTAAATGGCTGCTGGTCCCAGGACATCCGCCACTCCCTATGCAGGACACTGGTTGGAGCGTCACTGGAGGCCTGGGAAGGAAATGTGTTTCTGATCCCCTTCCCAAAGCGCCATGGGGCACCTTGGGGCAGGTCAGTGAAGTAGGGACCCAGCTGCAGGGAGGGGCATGGACCTTGGCCAGGACACTGCTTCTGCCTACAGCCCAGAACCACCGCTGGCGTAGTCCCCGGGGACCGGAGAGCTGAACACAGCCCTACCCACCCACACTGCTCGAGCTCAGTAAGAAGAGGTGGGAGGACACATTCAGGATTCCTTCCTGGGGCCCAAGAAACTGTCCACACAGCTCTGCACACAGGCCTGGGGCCAGCCGGCCACTTCCTCCGGCTGAGGCTACTGCGGGCGCCTGCCCATCTGCCCCCCGTGGGCTTCCTCCAGAGGTTCCTCAGAGGAACCGAGAGTGACCAAGGGCGGAACAGGAGCGGGGCTGCAGAAATAGCTATGAGATCCCAATTCCCGACAGTCACACTCCAAGCGCCAGTCCCACCCCCATCACAGGCAGGGCTGGCATCGGCCCACCCTGCATGGGCCCCGGCCAGGGTCTGGCTGGCACAGAGGACAGAGCCCACACAGACAGCCGTGTGCCCAGGCTCACCCACCCGACCGCCTCAGCTCATGCATGAGACCTGTTCACGTGCTGTGACCCAGCCGCTGTGTGCAGCCCCCCGGCGCCTCTCTGCCGGCCCCGGGGAGAGCTGGGGCAGGCACACACGGGTGAACAGGTCTCAGTTCTGGTGCTCAGGCTGAGGGTGTGCATGGTGCATCTGGGTGCCACCACTTGGGATCTCAAAGGCCTCGCCACACCTCACCAGGATAAAGGGGATTCCAAGAATGGCCTTGACTCAGAGAGTGGGCATGGATATTCCAGGAGCCTAGTTTTAAAGAGCTTTGAGGCTGGACATGGTGGCTTATACCCATAATCCCAACACTTTGGGAAGCCAAGGAGGCAGAAGGATCATTTTAGTCCAGATGCTCAAGACCAGCCTGGGCAACATAGAGAGACTCCATCTCTACAAAAACATTAAAAAACCAGCAGGGCCTGGTGGTGTGCACCTGCAGTCCCAGCTGCTTGGGAGGCTGAGGCAGGAGTGCTGCTTCAGGTCAGATGCAGTGAGCTGTGATCTCGCCACTGCACTCCAGCCTGGGTAACAGAGCAAGACAACCCTGTCTTTTTTTTTTTTTTTTTTCAGATGGAGTTTTGCTCTTGTCACCCAGGATGGAGTGCAATGGTATGATCTCGGCTCACTGAACCTCTGCCTCCCGGGTTCAAGTGATTCTCCTGCCTCAGCCTCCCAAGTAGCTGGGATTACAGGTGCCTGCCACCATGCCTGGCTAATTTTTTGTATTTTTTAGTAGACACATGGTTTCACCATGCTGGCCAGGTTGGTCTTGAAGTCCTGACCTTAGGTGATCCACCCGCCTCGGCCTAGCAAAGTGCTGGGATTACAGGCATAAGCCACCGTGCCCGGCCTACCCTGTCTTAAAGAGAAAAATAAAGAGCACTTGGCACTGGGTATGCCCTCTCTACGTTAGCTCTGTGGCCAGTGTGATCAAGGGGCCCCAGAGCTGTGAAACCCCAGAAGCAGGAGCCGCCTGCCCCAGAGGCAGGAGAGACAGGCAGCTTCATAGATGTGATTCCTGCATCTGAGCCGTGAGGGCATCCCAAGGGGAGGGACCAGCAGGATGACTGAGATGTACAGAACAACTAAGAGAGCCCAGGGAGGGCCTGCCTCTGCAGACGGCGAGCAGCCCCACTTTGCCCCACCCTGCCAAGGGGAGCACAGTCTGAGTGGGGGCGAGAGGTGGGACACAGGCTCCCATTGGCTGGCCCTGCTGGCTTGGGGCTGGGTGGCTAAACGACCTGGGTCAAGTCTCTGGCTCTGTTGGGTCCTGTAGCACCGTACCTGCCTCAGGTAGGCAGGAAGCTGCCGGGTGAAGAAATAGAGCAGCCTGCCCCCGATCCCACCCTCCGACTCCAGGACAGTGCCCGGCTGAGGGTGGAGGGGAGATTTGCCCCCCCAACATCAGCTGCCACACTCCTCCTCACCCCACCCCCACATCCCGTGCTGCCTCCCGCATCCCCACTGCCTCCACCAGCTGGGCAGCTGGGCCGCCCCTCTCATGTCCTGCCCTCCCTGCCTTCTGCGCACGTCCCGATGGGGCCTGGAGTTGCTGGGGCCTGTGGGACACTGTACCTGCCTCTCCTGACAAGCAGCCACATTCCCCCTCCTCCACAGTGGGGGGCTGGTCACAGGCAGGGACGCCTGGCCTTCATGCCCACCCGGCATCGTCCTCTCTCCTGGGAGCAGCACTTCCCTTCTCTCTTTTTTTTTCTTTTTTTTTTTTTTTGAGATGGAGTCTCGCTCTGTCACCCATGCTGGAGTGCAGTGGCACAATCTTGGCTCACTGCAAACTACACCTCCCGGGTTCACGCCATTCTCCTGCCTCAGCCTCCGGAGTAACTGGGACTACAGGCGCCCGCCACCACGCCCAGCTAATTTTTTGTGTTTTTAGTAGAGACGGGGTTTCACCGTGTTAGTCAGGCTGGTCTCGATTCCCTGACCTCGTGATCCGCCTGCCTCGGCCTCCCAAAGTGCTGGGATTACAGGCATGAGCCACCGTGCCCAGCCTACACCTCCCTTTTCAAAACCCTTCGCTGTATGGTCTGCGGGCTCCCTCTTGCCTCCCAATGTGGACCGCAGGCTGAACCGTCACTCTCCCTGCCTCTGGCCTCACGGATGGGCTCAGGGAAGGACCACGCCAGCCTGGGGAGACTCATCCAGGACAGGCTCCTGCTCCCTGGGCTTGTGGCCTGGGGGAGGCCAGCTCCTGGGCCCGAGGATGAGGCTAATGGAGAAGAGAACCCAGGCCCAGGCCCCGGCCCCAGACAGTTCCACAGTGCTGGGAGCTGGAGATCAGCGCTCCGGTAGCTTCTGCGGACCGGACTCAAGTTTCTGTCACTGCACCAAAGCTCCCTGACAGAGCTAGGTCCCCAGCCCACAGTGCCGGTCAGCCCACTGTGCCGACCAGCCTACAGTACCGACCAGCCCACGATGCCGACCAGCCTACGGTGCCGACCAGCTGAGCTGAGCGGACAGAATGGGCATCCGACAGCCAGCACAGGTGCGCCCTGCCTCTGCCACCGCTGTTTGAAGCTCCCTGTGTGTCATCCCCATTAGTGCTCTCAGCCTCCCAGTGACCCCCAAGGCATCATTATTCCCATTCACAGCTCCCCAACCTCTCACCCCCAGGAGCAGTCCAACGTCCCACCCCTCTAAACACAAGCCACGGGGCTCAGCGTCCCCGAGAGCTCATCCTGCCTCTTCAGGGGCTTAAACTCCCTGTACCTCTGTTTCCTCATCTGTAAAATGGGGACAAAAGGAGAAATGACCCACGTCCTGGGACCTGGAACGTGAATGTTCCAGAACATCTCATTACACCACCCAGCCCTGAGAAAACACCATGGCCTGATCTTGCGGGCGGGGTGAGAGCAGAGGCAGAGGCCAGGCCTGAAGCCCAGTGCAGGGCCCACGCTGCCCAGCCAGGCCAGCCCTGGAGGAAGGACAGCCTCCTCAGCTGCTTGCCTGCCCTCTGGCCCCCAGGGTCCTCATTTCCGGGTCCTCTCCTGCACCAGCGGCAGCTCTCAGGAGTGGCTCTGGCCCCCACACCACCGTGGAGCAAGTGACTGTCAGCAGCATGTGTGTGTGAATGGGCTACAGGCCCTGGCTGGGCAGGCCCGGTGCCAGAGCCTGCTGAAAGTCCTCCCGGGAGGTGGGTTCGCACCTACCCCCGAGGTCCTCGATGATGTCCAGGGTGGAGCTCCACGAGAAACGCTCCACCGTCCCCAGCTCCAGCTCGGCCAGGTCGCCGGGCAGGGCCTCCAGCTCGTAGGTGCCCCGCTTCCTCCAGTAGAGAAACATGCTGAGGCCAGGGGAGGCCGCCCCGCCTGGCCCGCGCCCTCGGAGGCTGGGTGGCCTGGGGACGGGACGCAGGGAGTGCAGGGGCGCAGGGGGTTTCAGGGACCACTGGGGCTGGCCTCGGCTGGCAGGCGCTCCCTCCTCTGGAAGGGGAGCATTCTGGGAGCGGCTGGGGGCCTCAGAGCTGACCAATGGCCAGGGCCCCGGCCCCACACAAAGCGCCTTTCTTCCCCTCCTACAGACATTTTACAAATTTCGCCTTCCCGGCCCCCTCGGAGCCCCCACCGAGGAGACGGGCTGGCCGTCTGGGGACGACAGAGGCCCGGAAAAGAGTGCGATTGTTTCGTGGTCTCTTTGCTAAGATAGGTTTCCAGAGAAGAAAAATGTGCTGCCCGAGGAGCAATTCCGGCTCCCCACCCCTGACCTGTGACCCCGCTCCCAGCCCCAGTGGAACCCTGCAGGATTTCTCAGTGAGGAACAGAAGCACCTGTGGGGACGCCGTGGGCTGCCCCTAGAGATGATTCCAGCTCCTGCCTGGACCCTCCCCAGGAAGCTCAAGGCATGTCCCTCACCTCCACTGAGCCGAGGCCCCCAGAGGCCCCCCAGCAGGGCAGGAGCTGTGGGCCAGGCCTCACCCTCAGCCTGCCTGTGAGGTCTGGGCTCTGCTCTCTGGGCTCCCTTTCGGGGCTGGCCACACTTCACCAGGCTGCCTCCTCCTTCAGATCATGTCGCCTACACCAATGGCAGCGCAGGCATAGAGCCCTAGGCAGCCGAACCTCTGGCATCCTCAGGGGAGCCTCATTGCTCCCGAGCGGCGGGTGGAGCTGGAGGAAGTCAGAGGGCTGGGGGTGCAGACCCTTCACAGAAAGAACCATGAGAAGAAGAAAAAGCGAGCGGACAGGCGGGGAAATGAAAAGCCACTGGTCAGTTGATTCCAGAGTGTTGTCCAAACTGCAAAATGTTCAAGCTAGAAAATAGCAACTCAAAGCCTATGGCAGCCCTCCTGTGGAGAGACCTCTGCCACGGTATCCACGTGACCTGTGCCCCAGCAGGGTCATTGTGGCTTTCCCTGCGTGTGTGGGCACTTCCTTCATGGCACAGATGAGGAAGCTGAGGCTCAGCTTACAAGGAATAGAACTTGTATTTGACCCCAAGACTGTCTAGCTTCAAAGCCAACTTGGGGACCTGAACAAGCAGCTGGGGGAGAAGGTGGGGGTGATCAGAGGGCCATGGGGCAGCCCTTCAGAAATCCAGACTTGAACGGGGCCAAGGGCAGCTTGCACTGGGCTCCCCAGCCAGGCTTTGCTGAGCCTCCTCTGTCTTACCCCACCTGTGCCCCCCCAGCCTGCCAGGTCTGAAGGAGCAGAGCCAGGGCAGAGCTGGCTCTCCTAACAGACCAGATGCCTGGCAACAGAGACCCAAGGCCCAGGCAGAGGGAGCTGGCAGCAGAAGGCTCTGTTTCCGGGGGGCGGGGGGATGGAGGGGTCACCCCAGGGCTGTGGCAGGGGGTGCTGGAGTGGCCATCCAGGCAGCCTGCACGCCCCCAGCTGAGGGCTAAGGTGCCAAGAGGTGGCTTGAATAATTCGAACCATATGCCTGCCTGGCCGGCCCCTCCCGCGCCGGCACGGGGCCAGGGAGGACAAACGCAGGCCCTTGGCCTTCATCACTGGCACCCACACGACCTGGGCCTGAGCCCACAGGAGCTGGGGGTGTCCCTGGCTCGTGTTCATGTGGCAAGTGGCCTGCCTGGGGGTGTCAGACTGAGGCTTAGGGAATAGGACCATCCATGGCCTGGCCAGCCATCTCTGTCTCAGACCCACCATAGCAGAGGCCAGGGCCAGTGGGGTGGGTCCTAGAGCCTTTACCCAGCCTCGGCCCCTCTTTGTCTGGGCTTGGTGGGAGCCACACCTGGTTATTATTTTAGGACAGCCAACCCCAGAACATCCCCGCCTGGGTGCAGCAGAGACTCCTTCCTACCCTCAACTGTGGGCTGAGCACAAGGGGACGCCCCTGCTGCAGCGGTCACCTGGGGCCCCACTCCCAGGCATCCATTTCGGGCTCGGAGGCTGAACCCTCCTGAGGGGCTGCAGCCCTGGATGCCAAGAGGAGGAGGCCGGGCTCCACCCTCCATCCTGACCACACGGAGCATCATCTTCTGTGTTCCCTCTGCCTCCAAATGTGCCTCCTGCCTCCCACCTCCCACCTTCGCTTGTGCTGTTCCTGCTGCCCGGCTGTCCTCCTCTGTCTCCCACGCTCCTTCCATACAAGGCTAGAGGGTCCCCCACCCAGCCTCCCGATGCAGGAAGGCAGAGGCAGCCCCAGTGGGTCAGGGGAGGCCCCCCCAGGCCAGTGAAGCGGACCCCCACAGTGCTCGAGGGTGCAGCGCCAGCCCCTCTCTCTGAGGCAGCAGCTGTCCAAGGCAGGTAGACACACCTGGGCCTTTTCCTCGGGTCTGGGGAAAACCAGGAAACAAGACTGACGAGCGATGCCGCTGACAAACACGGGGGTTGCTCTTGGTGCCTTCAGGGACAGCTGTCTGTCTTGCATTCTGTTGTGTGCCCAGCCTCAGGCAGGCTCTCCACTTACCATGGCCCAATGCCATACTGAGCAAGCACTATTCACACATCATCTCCAATCCACACTTCATCCCCAATAGCAGGTGCTACTGTCCCCACCACAGAGATGGAGAAGCTGAGGCCATGACAGGCAACTTGCCCAGGGCCACACAGAGCTAGGAAGAGGGAGAGCCAGGGCTGAGCCCCAGAGCGGTACACACACTGCTGGCCGCACTGCCCACCCCGCTCTAGGCCTGGCCCTCCTCACCCACCTGTAGCGCCTCTCGAAGTCACTGCTGGGTACAGACAGGGAGCTAGAGGCCCGAGAGAGGCAGGCGGGCCCTCAGCTGGAGGGCTGCTCTCCCACAGCCCCAGACCTATCTCGGGGGACTCAGTCCCCTGGAAGCCTCACGGCCTCTGGACAGGAAGATCCCAGGGGAGCAGAGACAATTGGTTTGTGCCCTCACGCGGGCTGCCCCTGGGGCTGGGAGCTGTGGCCCTGGGCCCGGAGACCCTAAGATTTGCCTCTCGTCCCACCTCTGGTTCCTTCTGTGCTCCAGTGAGCATCCCCTGGCCTGGGGCTGGAACCAGGACAGGCAGAGGGACAGGGGCTAAAGACAAGGGCCCGCTTCATCCCGTTCCTGGCAATGGCCTTGGACATGGGGAGGGGGCGAGTCCTCTGCAAACTACAGCTGTTTCCTTGAGAGCGGAAGTGCCAAGTGAGGGAGGACCCAAGCAGGGTCCACCCCCGCAAGGTCTCGCTGAGTAAGGGGCCAAAAGAGGAAGAGAAACAGGTGGCAGGACCCGGCCATCGACCCCCACGCCAGGAAGCCACGGCCACTCGGGAGACGTAGGCTCTGGGGCACTTTTCCTGCCTAAGCTCACAGGCTGGGGGCTCCACGGGCCCCTGAACATCCTTTCTCCCCTCAACCACCCTGGATGACCCCTTCCCACTGCAGGGGTTTTCTGAGGGCAGCCCCCGGCAGGGGAGGGCTTGGTTCAGGGTTAGGCTTCTGCCTCCCAAGCTGGGCAGCCTCGGCCGTGACACTTCCCGATTCCACATCTGTAAAATGGGTTAAGGAGAGAGCCCCCCAGGGTGTCATCTCCACAAGACCCTGCACGCACAGGGCTTAGCAGGGAGCCTGGCGCAGGGTGAGTGCTCACCCCAAAGGGATAGACTTGGTGGGGAGTCCCTGTACCCAACAAGAGCCCCGTTCCTCCCCGTCCCCAGGCAAGGCCCACTGTGGCCTCTTGTGGACCCCAGGGCCCCAGGTGCAGGTAACCACATTCCTCCCTTCCTCTCCCGGTGTCTGAGGAGGCCTGTCTGGACCCCCAGGGCAGCCGGGGAGAGCCAGCTGCGTGCATGCGGGGCCGCCATGCCCAGTTCTAGCTACCCGGCTCTCATGAGAAGCACCCAGGCAGCCATGCTGTGGGTGAGTGTTTCTGCACAGGCCAGGCTGCAGAGCCCCATTATGTAATCTGGAGAGAGTGGGCGCTAGCCACTCCCCCTGCCCTCTGGCTCTCCTGTCTCTGTTCTTCTGGCCAGGCCCTCCCCAAACGCTCCACCAGGCCAAGTAAAAAGAAGAATCTGCCTCTGCCCGGCCGGGCACAGTGGCTCACGCCTGTAATCCCAGCACTTTGGGAGGCCAAGGCAGGTGGATCACGAGGTCAGGAGTTCAAGACCAGCCTGGCCAAGATGATGAAACCCCGTCTCTACTAAAAATACAAAAATTAGCCAGGAGGGGTGGCAGGCACCTGTAATCCCAACTACTTGGGAGGCTGAGGCAGAGAATTGCTTTAACCTGGGATGCAGAGGTTGCAGTGAGCTGAGATCATGCCACTGCAATCTAGCCTGGGTGACAGAATGAGACTCTGTCTCCAAAAAAGAAAAGAATCTGCCTCTGCCCTCTGGAGGCACAGGCTGAGAACCCTACAGGGCCAATACCTGATAGTGACCCTGGGGGCGGGGGCCAGGTGGGGCGGAGGCCAACCCACCAGCCAGCAAGCAGTGGGCCCAGTGTCAGCACCTGTGGGAGGGGTGAACAGGGCGTGGTGCGGGCAGCACAGACCCTTCCTCCAAATTAAACAATTCTGGGCTGGGCACAGTGGCTCATGCCTACAATCCCAGCACTTTGGGAGGCCAAGGCGGGTGGGGATCACTTTAGGTCAGGAGTTCGAGACTAGCCTGGCCAACATGATGACATCCCGTCTCTACTAAAAATACAAAAATTAGCCAAGTGTGGTGGCAGGTGCCCGTAATCTCAGCTACTCAGGAGGCTGAGGCAGGAGAGTCGCTTGAACCTGGGAGGCAGAAGTTGTAGTGAGCCGAGATCGCGCCACTACACTCCAGCCTCAGCGACCGAGTGAAACTGTGTCAAAAAAAAAAAAAAGTTAAACAATTCTGAAGGCCAGATGCGTGGGTCCAGTGCCCCAGCCCATCTGCCAGTCCATTTGTTTGGAAGATGCTGGTGGAAACCTGGGCCACAACCACCTGGCCCCTGGCCAGCCCGTCCTTGAGCTTCAACCAGGCCTCAGCCTTAGCCCCCAACACCCTCCCCTCCCCACAGTCTCTGATGGGCCCTGTGCCAGCCCTGGGTGCTGCTGGGGTGGGGGATGGACCAAAGAGGACAGGCACCACCAACAAGGACGGTCACTGACTCCTCCAGCCTGGGTTTCCTCCTCTGTAAAATGGAGACAATCCTAAGCCCCGACTAGGGTGATTAAATGAGGCTGCCTGTATGAAAGGACCCCGCTTGGAGCCTGGCAAGCCCGAGAGAAACGTCTGAAGGGGGCTGGCGGTCACCCAGCAGCTGCCGATGCCCACCGCCCCCAAGACAGGAGGGATCCGAGAGGGGTCCCACACACTCCTGTGCTGCCCAGACAGGCCTTTCTCCAATCCTCAGGGCCCCCAGGCGCTGGGACTGAGGCATGTGAGATGGGGGACTGAGGCAGCAGGGCCACGACAGGGCTCACAGAGCGAGGACTGGGCCGGCAGAGCCATGCAGTGGCTTCACCTCCAGGCCTGGAGTGGGCACTGCAGGCTGCCTGACTGCAGCCCCCCCAGAGAGGCTGCCCCCAGCACTGCAGAGAGTGAGTGTGTGACTGCCACTATGGCCTGAATAGAGGAAGGGGGAGAGGGTTCTGCTGGCAGGAAGCCCAGGGCCGGGCAGGGGAGAGGCCCTTGGAAGCCGGGGAGCCCGTGCTACTCTCTTCCCTGTGCTCAGGAACAGACTCCTGCTGGGCCAGGGACCCTCTCAGCCCCCTTTCCCTGGCTGTCCTTACAGCAGGGACACTAACATCTGCCGGTGTCCTATGTATTATACCAGGACTCTGGACCAAGGGCCTTCAAGGTGGCATCTCCTTTAATCTACCCAGTGGCCCTGTGATTGGATCACCATCACCCCGTTTTACAGAGGAGGAAGCGGAGGCTCGGGACGCCTGGAGACCTGCCCATGTCGCTCGGAAGGGGTTGGGTGCTGCCGCAGGGTCTGTCCACCACCCTCCATACCATTGGCTCCTCCTTCACAGCCGAGATATTTGAGCTCCACATGCTGTGGGGTCATCCCAGGCCGAGCGAGTTGTCCTTCCTGCTCAGCACTGTTCAAGCCCTGAGGCCACGTGAGCTCAAGTGGGCTTCTCCCAGCCCCAGATGTGCCCCCTGACTTGGACTCTGGGAGCCATTCAGGCCTGGACAAACCTCCCTGACCTTCGAGCCCACTGGCATGGGCCCCTCCCCGGGCTACCGAGTGTGTGGGGGGCAGGGAAGCCAGACAGTGGGGCCCTCAGGCCCACTCGGCTCACCAGCAGGGTGGGAGGCCCAGTCACTGCCCAGCATCTGGCCGGACCATCATCACCCACCCAACCACCAGCTGCAGCCTCGGGACAACTGCAGCCTGGGGCGGGCCGACCACAAACCAGCTCCCACACTGTTCTAAGCTCTGTCTCCAGGATGTCTTTCAGTGCCATCAGCCCTGCCCTGCGCTGGCACAGCCTCAGGCCACCACCGCCCTGCCTCAGTCCCTCCCCGTCTCACATTTACCCCCTCCAACACAGCCTCCAGAACCAGCCGGGCTCCCCGGGTTCAAATCCCAGCTCCAGCTCCTGCCGGCTGTGCCATCTCGAACAAGTTGGGCCTCAGTTTCCTCATTTATACAGCGTAGGCCTCACAGGCCTCACAGGGTGGCCATGGGGGGGTGAATAAATTAATCCAGGAGAGTCCCCTCCAAACTCAGAGACAGTGGCCAACAGTCACAGCAGAAGAACAGAACGCAAGTCTGCAAATGTCACTGTCTTGATTAAAAGCCTGCCCCCGGCATGGCCACTTAGACCCTGGGGCCCCGCCCACCCACTGTTCCTGGTGGAATCGGTAGCTCCTCTCACTGACGCCTGGATCCCGCTGTGGAGCTCCCCTCGCTCCATCTAGCCTGGGAGCCCTTAGAATCTAGACTCTATCGGGGATGCAGGGCCCAGGCCCAGCCTGGCCCAGGGCAGGTGCCAGGGAAATGCTTATTGATTTGAACTAGAATCAATTTGCAATCAACCATCTCTCACCAGGGCTGACTTCCAAATACCCCAAGGCTTGGTCCAGCTGGGCTCCACCTCACCCTGTGTGTCAAGGTGGCAGGGCTCCCTGGCATCCAAGTAGGACCATGCCCAGAGGGCAGCCCACATGCCTGGATGCCCGCCTGGGGTCAAACCTGGTCCCCTTGGAGAAGCTGAGACTCAGACTAAGACCCAGCAGCTGCCACCTGCCGGGGATTTTTCAGCCTGAGGTGAGGGGAAGAGGCGGAAATGAAGGCTGTTCCTCGGGGCTGTCTGCGGCCAAGCCAGCACAGCTACATTCCAGCCTGACTGCCAGCTGCTGGCCACTGCAGACTTTTAAACCTGGCCAGACAAACTGAGAGACTGGGGCCCTCTCGAGGGCCAAGTCTGTCCAAGGAACAAAGGCTCCTGGGCCGGGCTCCCAACCACGGAAAAGACAGGCTGGACTTCCAGAACAGCTAGGATTTCAAACCATCTACCCCATTGTCGAAACACTGGTCCTGTTGGTTGGAAACTGTCACTACTGTCACTGTGGACATGCCCAGCAGAGACCCAGGCTGCCTCGGATGGGCCTTGTCTGACTGTTGGCCCACAGAAGTCAAGGGCCCTTCCCCGCTAAGCCCAGGACACAGGCCCAGCCTCCAGAGGCAGTTTCTGTGCAGGGCAGCTATGGGGTCTCAACCCATCTTGGCATTACAGAGGAGGCTGTTTCCTGAGAGCCTCCCATATGGGCCTGGAGGGGTTCTGCCTGGATCCTGTTCATTTACATCTCGAGAAGCATAAAGCAGGGACAGGTATGGAGGTTCACGTCTACAGTCTCAGCACTTTGGGAAGCTGAGGCAGGAGGACTCCTTGACCCTAGAGTTCAAGACCAGACTGGACAACATGGCTGAGACCTTGTCTCTACAAAAAAAATTAAAAATTAGCCAGGCATGGTGGCACTCAGCTGTGGTCCCAGCTGCTCAGGAGGCTGGGGTGGGTCTCTGGAACCTGGGAGGTTGAGACCAGGCTGGGCAACATAGTGAGACCGTGTCTCTACAAAAAGTTTAAAAATTAGCTGGGCATGGTGGTATGCGCCTGTGGTCCCAGCTACTCAGGAGGCTACGGAAGAGGATGACTTGAGCCCAGAAGGTCAAGGCTGCAGTGAGTTGTGATTGTGCCACTGCACTCCAGCCTTGGTGACAGAGCAAGACCCTGCCTCAAAAAAAAAAAGAAAAAGAAAGAAAATGGCCGGGTGTGGTGGCTCACGCCTATAATCCCAGCACTTTCGGAGGCTGAGGCAGGCAGATCACGAGGTCAGGAGTTCCAGATCAGCCTGGCCAACATGGTGAAACCTTGTCTCTACTAAAAATACAAAAATTAGCTGGGCATGGTGGCAGGTGCCTGTAATCCCAGGTACTCGGGAGGCTGAGGCATGAGAATTGCTTGAACCCGGGAGGCGGAGGTTGCAGCGAGCCGAGATCATGCCACTGCACTCCAGCCTGGGTGACAGAGCAAGACTCCATCTTGAAGGAAAAAAAAAAAAAGAAAATTGGCCAGCCGCGGTGGCTCAAGCCTGTAATCCCAGCACTTGGAGAGGCTGAGGCAGGTAGATCACCTTAGGTCAGGAGTTTAAGACCAGCCTGGCCAACATAGTGAAACCCCAACTCTATTAAAAATACAAAAAATTAGCCAGGCATTAATCCCAGTTATTCAGGAGGCTGAGACAGGGGAACTGCTTGAACCTGGGAGGCAGAGGTTGCAGTGAACCAAGATGGTACCACTGTACTCCAGCCTGGCGAGAGAGCAAGACTCCATCAAAAAATAAAAAAATAAAATAAAAAGAAAGAAAGAAAATCATACCGAATTTTGGATATAACAACAGCTACAAATAGACAATGTGCTAAATGCTTTGAACATTTAGAGCCTTCAGTAGGAACTCTGCTTCCAACAGTGACGGAGTCAATAAATCAGACCCACCTTCCCATTTGGGACAACTAAAAAAGCTGGATGAGGCCGGGTGTGGTGGCTCACGCCTGTAATCCCAGCACTTTGGGAGGCTGAGGCAGGCAGATCACGAGGTCGAGAGATTGAGACCATCCTGGCTAACACGGTGAAACCCCGTCTCTACTACAAATACCAAAAATTAGCCGGGTGTGGTGGCGGGCGCCTGTAGTCCCAGCTATTGGGGAGGCTGAGACAGGAGAATCACTTGAACCCAGGAGGTGGGGGTTGTAGTGAGCCAAGATTTTGCCACTGCACTCCAGCCTGGGTAACAGAGTGAGACACTGTCTCAAAAAAAAAAATGTATGAGGTTGGGCATGGTTGTTCACACCTATAATCCCAGCACTTGGGAAGGCTGAGGTGGGAGAATCATTTGAGGCCAGGAGTTGAAACCAGCCTGGACAACAGAGCAAGACTCTGTCTCAGCAAAAAATTAAATTAAAAAAAAAAAGACTATGTAAGAGGGTCTTTAGAAGTGGGAAATCTAACCAGAAAGATAAGCAAATTTAATATAGTGTATCCTCTGGACACCACCCTCGGAAGTTCTGGAGGCATGACCCCAGAGTCCCCTACCGCTGCCCCTGCTCCTCTGCCAAGAGCCATGGCATTTCAGCAATGTGAGTGGACAAGAGGGAAATGCCTGGTGACCACATAAGGAGTCACCTGACTAGTCATGCCCCTCATATCTCAGGGACATGGACATGGAAGACGGTGACCACTTACTCTGCTGGTGGGAGAATAAGTGGCTGTCTGGATGACAATCTGGAAATGTCAGAATGAAATTGCTCACAGCCTTCCACACAGAAATTCCACTGTCCTAGGAATTCCCTCTACAGATGCTCTTTCACAAGTGCACACAGACACAGACACAAGAATGTCCACTATGGCACCATTTGCAAGAATGAAAAACTGGGCTGGGCTTCGTGGCACACACCCAGCTATTCAGGAGGCTGAGGCAGGAGGATTGCTTGAGCCCAGGACTTTCAGAGACCAGCCTAAGCGATATAGCAAGACCTTGTCTCAAAAGAAAAAACAAATAGGTGAAATATTGGAAACAATCCAAAAGTTTGCTATTAGAGGCCTGGTTTAAAATTTCAGGCATATCCATGTATATCGTGAAGCCATTAAAAAGGATGAGGAGGCCAGGCGCAGTGACTCATGCCTGCAATCCCAACACTTTGGAGGCCGAGGAGGGTGGATCACCTGAGGTCAGGAGTTCCAGACTAGCCTGGCCAACATGGTGAAACCCCATCTCTACTAAAAATACAAAAATTAGCTGGACGTGGTGGCGGGCATCTGTAATCCCAGCTACTGGGGAGGCTGAGGCAGGAGAACTGCTTGAACCCGGGAGGTGGGGGTTGCAGTGAGCCGAGATCACACCACTGCACTCCAGCCTGGGCAACACAGTGAGACTCTGTCTCAAAAAAATATAAAATAAAAGATGAGGAATGTTTTTATGTATTGGCAAGTTTTTTGTACTGGCATATATATATATGTGTGTATATATATGTGTGTGTGTATATATATATGTGTATATATATGTGTGTGTGTTATATATATGTGTATATATATGTGTGTATATATATGTGTATATATGTGTGTGTATATATATATGTGTGTGTATATATGTGTATATATATATATATATATACACATATATATATATATATACACACACACACACACACACATGTACACTTTTGTTCTGCTTATAAAAGTAATACCTCTGTGGCTGGGCAAGGTGGCTCACACCTATAATCTCAGCACTCTGGGAAGCCAAGACGGGTGGATCACTTGAGGTCAGGAGTTTGAGACCAGCCTGGCCAACATGGTGAAACCCCATCTCCACTAAAAATACAAAAAAAAAGGCCAGGCGCGGTAGCTCACGCCTGAGACCCCATCTCTACTAAAAATACAAAAAATTAGCCAGGTGTGGTGGTGGGCACCTGTGGTCCCAGCTACTTGGGAGGCTGAGGCAGAAGAATGGCATGAACCTGAGAGGCGGAGGTTACAGTGAGCCGAGATCGCGCCACTGCACTCCAGCCTGGGTGACAGAGTGAGACTCCATCTCAAAAAAAAAAAAAAAAAAAGATACAACCAAGCATATGCTGAGAATAGGTGACCATTCTCTGCTGTTCATGGGGTAGGTATGATACAGGGGACACTCCAAAAGGTCTGTAACCCCCAGTGTCACCCACACCTGGACGCAATCTCCCTTCAGTAAATAAGCAGGGCCAGGCTTATTTAATTAAGTGGCCATTTTACTATGTGAGTGCTAGGGGCTCACATGTCAACATGCTGTCGCTGTCACTGTGGCTCACATAACTCTATATTCCCTGAATACTAGCAGGGGATGAGCTTGTGGGGGTGAGCAAAGGAAGAAAAAGTCAGCAGCTCAGATTCCTTGCTGGGGAGGGGATGGCCCTGGGAGGAATTCTCCATGACTCGCTGTCAGCTTCATAAATCTGTCGGGCCAGCCATCAGGGAGACAGAGATAAAGGTTGGAACAGGCTCAGATCTGACGACAAACAGAAGGGTCCATGGCCCAAATGCCCCGAGGCCAGGCCAGGCCAGGCTATCCCGCTGGGGCCGGGATGTTTCCCAGACCAGGCTCCAACTCGGGTAGGAGAATGTTACTGGATTTCATGAACGCTATTCCTGACCCCCGACTCCCAAAATGCGTCATGGCGGATATATATATACATATATTTTTTTGAGACAGAGTCTCGCTCTGTCGCCCAGGCTGGAGTGCAGTGGCTCCATCTTGGCTCACTGCAAGCTCCGCCTCCCAGGTTCACACCATTCTCCTGCCTCAGCCTCCCGAGTAGCTGGGACTACAGGCGCCTGCCACCACGCCCAGCTGATTTTTTGTATTTTTAGTAGAGACGGGGTTTCACCATGTTAGCCAGGATGGTCTTGATCTCCTGACCTTGTGATCCGCCCGCCTCAGCCTCCCAAAGTGCTGGGATTACAGGTGTGAGCCACTGCGCCCGGCCGTGTCATGGCGGATATTAAAAGTAAACTTGAAAATATGGATGTGCAGGGCCAGACGCGGTGGCTCACGCCTGTAATCCCAGCACTTTGGGAGGCCGAGGCAGGCAGATCACCTGAGGTTGGGAGTTCAAGACCAGCCCAACCAACATGGAGAAACCCCGTCTCTACTAAAACCACAAAATGAGCCGGGCTTGATGGCGCATGCCTGTAATCCCAGCTACTCGGGAGGCTGAGGCAGGAGAATCACTTGAACCCAGGAGGCGGAGCTTGTGGTGAGCCATATCGCACCATTGCACTCCAGCCTGGGCAACAAAAGTGAAACTCCATCCCAAAAAAAAAAAAAAAAGAAAAAGAAAAAAGAAAAGAAAATATGGATGTGCAGGAGGAATTTCCTGGCCCTTCCCGAGAGCTACAAAGACAAGGTTGGGAACGGTTCCAGACCATCCTTGCCAGGGGCGTGCAACTTGAAGGCACAAAATGGGACAGTCTGAAGGGCCTTGGGGCATCTTTCTTGCCCCACTTTCTATGTCACAGAGGAGGAAACAGGTAACCCTCCTCTAACACGAGAGCCACAGCAGCAAAGCCAACCTGCCACCAGAGCAACCCTTTGGCATATGTTTTTGTTTTTGTTTGAGACGGAGTCTTGCTCTGTTGCCCAGGCTGGACTGCAGTGGCACGATTTCTGCTCACTGCAAGCTCCGCTTCCCGGGTTCACGCCATTCTCCTGCCTTAGCCTCCCGAGAGCTGGGACTACAGGTGCGTGCCACCACGCCCAGCTAATTTTTTGTATTTTTAGTAGAGACGGGGTTTCACCGTGTTAACCAGGATGGTCTCGATCTCCTAACCTTGTGATCCGCCTGCCTCGGCCTCCCAAAGTGCTGGGATTACAGGCGTGAGCCACTGCGCCCAGCAACCCTTCGGCATATGGAGTCTAGGTCTTTCTTCTGTCAGGAGTTAGATGGCTGAGCAGCAAGTCCCCCTCCTCTGCCCTCAAATCAGAGCTGATGGCTCAAACTGCAGGGCTTGGAGGGCTTAACTCACTGATTAATGGAAGAATGAGACCAAATGGATCCAGCCTGCAAGTGGCTCTTAAACCGTCCGGACTAATTCAGTGAGTGTGAGTCCTTGGAGCCCTCCAAGACCTGCAAAGCCCCTCCTTTCACTCTGTGTCCTCAAACCTCCTTTCTAGACAAAAGAGATAGAAAACATACTCACCGGTTCCTGAACAAAGGCTGAGCCAGCTTCGAGGTGGAGACCCATGTTTTGTCAGGACTGAATTCATGCTTGACCTCTGCGGTGGTGGCACCCTGCCTGGACCTCCAGCCACATGCCAATGCCACAGGCCTCTCTAATCAGACACACAGGTCTCCGTCCTGCTTTGCCCAGTTGCCATCTCAACATGGAAGGCTTCTCCCCGACTCAGCCCCAGTCTTAATTTCTGCAGCTGGACCTGTCTGCACAGAAAACCAAGGCGCTCTCAGCCCTGCCAATTTGCTCCCCGTCCAACACAGGTCCCCTGGGCGCTGTATATTTGAAGGCACAGACTTCGCAGCCGCCGCTCACACTGCATTTCCTTGTTGGTGGTTGGTTCCTTCTTGGATTTTCCATTCCTGAGTGCCCATTTGCGCCCTGGAATGGGCTCCCACACTGCTGGCTGCCCTGGAGGTGCCGTCCCTCCTTTCCAGGAAAGCAACACCACAGAGACCCCGGCCTCTGCAATCCCAGCAGCCAGCAGCAGCCCCTCTGCTGGGCTCCTTGGCTACCAGGAAGGCCTTAGTTTGGTGGCTTTCCCCTGCCAGGCAGAGAGGGGCTGGTCACAGCGGGAGATCAAGTGAGCCTCAAAACATTAGAAAAACCCAAGCCAGTCTGCAGAGCACCGCAGCCGCCTCAGGGCCGGTTACCATAGCTACCCTTGGCTTCCCAGCCCAGCACATGTCTGCCCAGCTGAACTCTGCTGATTCGCAAGACTTTGCTTGCTCAGCTCCTGGCACTGCAGACTGGACCTGCTGCCCCCAACTCGGCGGCTACCGCTCTTCCTGGCAAAGCCTTGGGAATACTTAACTTAGCAAGGTCTTTCTGAAAAGGCCCTGAACATCACGTAGGCTTCCCCACTTACTGCATAGATGGCCCCCATATTTACTTTAGCCACTGTTCAGGCTGGGCTTGTCAGCCAATCTCTCTCTGCTAGGCCCAACCCTATGAGGTGTGGGAAGACAAGGGCTGAGTCCTCGCTGCCGAGAGGCAGTTTTATCGGCACAGCACTAGGTGGGGGTTTGTTTCAGTTTTTTTTTTGTTTTTCTTTTAAGTAGATGGTGTCTCACTATGTTGACCAGGCTGATCTCAAACTCTTGGCCTCAAGTGATCCTCCTGCCTCAGCCTTCCAAGGTGCTGGGATTACAGGCATGAGTCATTTTAGTTTTTTAAAACTTGAACTCTTCCAGGAGCAAAGCCCTGTTTCCTTCTAATACACTCCCAAAGACAGTCCAGAAAGAATGCAACATCCCCTCTTTACTTACATATGAACCAAGACAGGAAAATTAAACTCCCACTTGAGCTTCAAGTCAGTGACAAATAAAAATTAAAAATACTGAAAAAATAAACTCCCACTGCACTCAATACTTCAATGGTTAAAAACAACAACAACAAAACAGGCCAGGCACAGTGGCTCATGCCTGTAATCCCAGCACTTTGGGAGGCCGAGGCGGGTGGAACACCTGAGGTCAGTTTAAGACCAGCCTGGCCAATATGGTGAAACCCCCTCTCTAGTAAAAATACAAAAGTGAGCTGGGTGTGGTGGTGCCTGCCTGTCGTCCCAGCTACTGGGGAAGCTGAGGCAGGAGAATTGCTTGAATCTGGGAGGTGGAAATTGCAGTGAGCCGAGATTGCACCATCGCACTCCAGCCTGGGCAAAAGAGACTCTGTCTCAAAAAGAAAAAAAAGGGCACAACAAAACAAACAAACAAACACATCACAAGCATTTGCTGGAGTCTCCACACTTCATTAACCGCCTTTCAACATTTTTTTTCCTCCCAGTGTTTTTTCACTATAGTTTCTTCTAAGCATTTAAGTGATTACCTGGAATAAAATGACCTATCTACATAAAATTACACAACTAAATTCATGTTTTCAAAAATATTTAATGATACAAAAGTTCATCTGTTAACTGAAAAGAGCTGAACAGAAACCATACATATTTTGTAAAATACACACACACACAGCAGAACCCCAGCTGAGACACCTCACAGTGTCAGTGATTACTATGTGGTGGTGGGCTGGAGGATCATTTTCTACATGTGTAAGCTGCTTATAAAATTTTAAAAGCAACAAGTGGGGGTTTATGAAAAACTTTCAGGAATGGGTTATCTATGGTGGCCGTGGAGCTTGCTTCCTCAAGGGCTCTTTGACCACAGGAAGCTTGGTAGCAACAATTTTAAGGTGAACCTGCCAGAGGCAAGATGAGTAAGTAGCTGTGGATTCATTTAGTTTCTGCATCCCTCCAGCATGACCGTGAGTAGCACAGCCGTGGTGCCAGCCTCCTGAGTTTACCATCTCATCAGAGGCTAGCTACACACTAGGAGTTACTGACCGTTTCTACATGCCGGAGACTGTGCTACATCTCTTATAGACATGACTTCACTTACTCCTCACCCAGGAACACTGAAGGAAGGACAATTACCCAATCTTCAAAACATAAAACAGGCTCAGGCTAAGCATCTTCCTCCAAGTTACACCACTGACAAGTGGTAGAGCCAGGATTTGAACTCAGAGCTCTATAATCAAAGCCTGCTGTCTTATCCATGATCTTGCCATCCAAACCCAAAAACAAATGACCTAGGCCGGGCGCGGTGGCTCACGCCTGTAATCCCAGCACTTTGGGAGGCCAAGGTGGACGGATCACGAGGTCAGGAGCTCGAGACCAGCCTAGCCAACATAGTAAAACCCCATCTCTACTAAAAATACAAAAAAAATTAGCTAGTGTAGTGGCGGGCGCCTGTAATCCCGGATACTTTGAAAATTACATACAAAAATTACTAAGAGGCCCAGGCACAGTGTCTTATGCCTGTAATCCCAACACCTTGGGAGGCCAAGGCAGGCGGATCCCCTGAGGTTGGAAGTTCGAGACCAGCCTGACCAATAAAGTGAAACGCCATCTCTACTAAAAATACAAAAATTAGCTGGGTGTGGTGGCAGGCGCCTGTAATCCCAGCTACTTGGGAGGCTGAAGCAGGAGAATCGCTTGAACCCAGGAGGCAGAGGTTGCAGTGACCTGAGATCAGGCCACTGCACTCCAGCCTTGGCGACAGAGAGTCCGTCGCAAAAGAAAAAAACAAACAAACAAACAAAAACTAAGAGCTTTTGTAAAGAATAGCTTCAGGCCAGGCGCAGTGGCTCACGCCTGTAATCCCAGCACTTTCGGAGGCCAAGGCGGGCGGATCACGAGGTCAGGAGTTCGAGACCAGCCTGACCAACATGGTGAAACCCTGTCTCTACTAAAAATACAAAAATTAGCTGGGCGTGGTGGCATACGCCTGTAATCCCAGCTACTCAGGAGGCTGAGGCAGGAGAATCGCTTAAACCTGGGAGGCGGAAGTTGCAGTGAGCCGAGATCACTCCACTGCACCCCAGCCTGGGCGACAGAGCTAGACTCTGTCTCAAAAAAAAAAAAAAAAAAGAAATTGCTTCAGCACTTTGGGAGGCCGAGGCAAGCGGATCACAAGGTCAGGAGATCGAGACCAGCCTAGCCAATACGGTGAAACCCTATCTCTACTAAAAATATAAAAATTAGCCAGGCATGGTGGCGCTCACCTGTAATCCCAGCTACTTGGGAGGCTGGGGCAGAAGAATCACTTGAACCCGGGAGGGGAGAGGCTGTAGTGAGCCAAGGTCGTGCCACTGCACCCCAGCCTGGGTGACAGAGCGAGACTCTGTCTCAAAAAAAAAGAAAAAAAAAAAAGAATAGCTCCAATGGAGAACTCCTTACTACCTAATCTGACCCATAACAGACTGTGGAAATGATAAAAAGTCCAATCTTGTCCTTCTTCTAAATGCCCTTAAAGCCACTGCCACCAGCCGGGTGCGGTGGCTCATGCCTGTAATCCCAACACTTTGGGAGGCCAAGGCAGGTGGATCACCTGAGGACAGGAGTTCAAAACCAGCCTGGCCAACATGGTGAAACCCCTTCTCTACTAAAAATAGAAAATCAGCCAGGCATGGTGGCGCATGCCTGTAATCCCAGCTACTCGGGAGGTTGAGGCAAGAGAATCACTTGAACCCGGGAGGCGGAGGTGGCAGTGAGCCCAGATTGCGCCACTGCACTCCAGCCTGGGCAACAAGAGCGAAACTCCATCTCAAAAAAAAAAAAAAAAAAAAAAAAGGATAAAAAGGCCACTGCCATCAATAATGGGATGAATTGTCATCCTGGAGAATGGTGCTGCTGCAGGTCTGACCGGCACAAGCTAGACCTGACAGAGGCCTTGGCTCCCTGTCTCCGAACCTCCTTCCCTAAACCCTGTACAGCTTCCTGGGCCAACTCTAGCCCCAGTACGGCCACCTGACCCACAGCTGATAGCTCCCTCTAGAGGCAACGATTTTTCTTTACTGATAGGGACTGAAGAAAAAGACTTGACCTTCATACAGGCCGCATTTAAAGCCTGAAGGCAAACCTAGATTGAATGCAAATGCAATTACAGGGCACCAGTTTCATTCTTCCAGAGCCTTGCTGCAAATGACCTCCAGTGAGTATAACTGTAAGATACACGAAAGTGGAGAAAGGCAAAACATTGATGGTGATGGATTGTCTTAAAATTCTTTACAAGGCCAGCACAGTAAAACATCATATGAATGAGCCAGATTTCAACATAAATAAGGGGCAACTAAGAAGCTAGACTCAATTGTCTCAAAGGTATCAAAACTAATCACCATAGCAAGGTTTCCTGTGCTTATTTTAAGTCCTTTGCTGTTGGGTCTAAGAGGTGCTGAGGGGCCACTGTAAAATACTAAAGACAATGATAACCAACAGTTGTATAAGTGTATATAAGTGTTAAAACCCACACATCCTAATAGTCTTACAATGTGATCATGCTGGGAAGATGGAATTCTGTCAAAGCGGTGGTCACAATACCAGTTTGAACCTCAGCCCCAGGAAGTATCCTGCTGTCTTAAATGCAGAAATGATGTGACCTGGTCCCATCACCCGTTTACACAAACCACTTCCAACCTAGAGGACAGAGTCGGAAGCACCAGGGAGAACGTGGAGAATGGCAGTCTGGTCACCAGCCGCCGGCACCCCCAGGAAAAAGCTCTAAATGGCAGGGTTGTTCATAGGTGCAAGTTCAGGTCCAGCCTCCCACAGGCAATAATGGAGCTTTCCCAAGAGCTGGTCTGCCAGTCCTTCTTCCTTCAAAACAGCCCAGTCTCCAGCTCTGCCCTGTGGTTGTCTCTGGCCTCAGATCAGAAGTCAATTTGGACAAATCTACTTTTATAAGAGCCCCCAGAAGAGGTTTTCCAGATTATTATTTTTTTTTTTTGAGATGGAGTCTTGCTCTTGTTGCCCAGGCTGGAGTGCAGTGGCGTGACCTCGGCTCACTGCAAGCTCCGCCTCCTGGGTTCATGCCATTCTCCTGCCTCAGCCTCCTGAGTAGCTGGGACTATAGGCGCCCACCACCACGCCCAGCTAGTTTTTTGTATTTTTAGTAGAGACGGAGTTTCACTGTGTTAGCCAGGATGGTCTCAATCTCCTGACCTCGTGAACCGCCTGCCTTGGCCTCCCAAAGTGCTGGAATTACAGGCGTGAGCCACTGCGCCTGGCCCCGAGGTTTTCCAGATTTGAAAGAAATTTCCTCAGCATAAAACCTCAGGATTAAAAAAAAGGAAGGGCTCTTGGGTCCAAATTTATATCTATCAAACCCGTTTAAATTTTTCTTTTCTTTTTTAAAAGATAAGGTCTTACTCTGTCGCTCAGGCTGGAGTAGTTGGTGTACTCCAGCCTGGAACTCCGAGGCTCAAGCAATCCTCCCGCCTCAGCCTCCCAAAGTGCTAGGATTACAGGTGTGCATGAGCCACCATGCCCAGCCCTATCTATTAAACCTTGATTGAATATAACAGACCAAGTACAACTGCACCAAATGGATGGGCTGTAACCATCCACACTGGCTCCAAGGAAGCAGACCGCTGGACCCCAGCTCTGCACATGGCTCAGGCAAGGCCCGTGGCGAGCCCTTGTATCCATTATGCTTGAGATCCTGCAGGTCGGCCTTCTTCCTTCCTTCTCGGTACATTGTAATGGCCCCAGTTTCCTTATTTTTATCCTGATTCTAATAACCAGGTCCCTGAAGAACTTTCTGAGGAATCTCTGTTTTAATGGCACACAAACTGTTCTCTGCTGTTTTACTCCCTCTGGACAGCAAGTATGAGTATCACACAGAAGACTAGAACAAATTCTAGCTCATGCAGCTTTAAAAGAGAAACTTAAGACTACTATATGACATTCACGAATTACACAAAAAACACTGTTGCTAATAAGGGCACCATTCATGGCCATGAAACTCCATCATGTCTCTTGTGGTCAGGCTTGAGACAAAGCTTTCTGGTAGGAAAGTTTCTTCCCTTATTAAAAACGCGAGCATCACTTCATTTTTCGACAGAACTTAGGTCTTCGGTATGGTTTCTCTTTATGTGCCTCCTCAGGTTCTCTTGCTCCAATTTTCTCTGATGCTCCAGGAAGTTTAAAATTGTAATCCGTTGTGACATAAGGTACTGTCCCTTCGATCCCACGCTGAAACGGAAACACAGAGAATGCATGGAAACACTCCAGGTCCAGCCCAGAGGGGTTTACAGTGCTCTCTCACACCTAGAAGGCAGTGTCATGGTGATGGTCTGGGTGGGGACTTCTCACTTTTAAGGCATTTGATCCCTTCCTTCAGAGCCCCCTTTAATCAACTGGCTCGGTAACAAACGTGCCAAGGCCTCCCTTCTGTCCCATTCCATCAACACAGCAAACAGCGTGAGGCAGAGTGGGGGTGCAGTGTGCGTCCCTTTCAAATGAGGGACACTGGAGGATGAGAATGGTAGGAATATCCCCCGTTCCCAGAGCCCACTCGCAGTCCCTGTGGCTGGCTCTGGGGCACACAGACGCCTTGACCTGGTCCCGTGATGCCTCTGAAGACTGTCCTCAGGAGGGCAAACCTGGGAGGGCCTCTGCTTGCTCCAACACAACCTACTCCTATGTAAAGGCTCCACCACGGGTTGCAGTGAGCCCAGATCGCGACACTGACACCACGAGGGACAGTGATTCATAGTCTCAGGCCTTGGAGGCGGCCCTGACACCGTCTCGGCTCACTCAGGATCTACAACAAAGTATAGGTTTCCCAGATCACCCATTCCCATGACCCCTGACCCTACTTCAGCTCCTCACTTCTGTGGACCTGAGTAGGCTCCTTCCAGGGCTGTGCCCGGGGGAAGGCTCACCTGGCACTTAAGGACACAATGTGGAATGGCAATAGCTCCAACGAGCAGACAATTCACGGTCCTTAGCTCTTCCGGGGGCACAGGGGTGAGGATGTGGTACAGCCGCTTCTCCATGTCAATGCCTCTACAGATGCCTTCAAGACACGCGCACAACACAAAAATCACCCTTTTGGAAAACATCAAACTTCTCCATCGTTAGAAACTGCAGAATGGTTTTGAACATAAGTCTTTATATCAACTCTGTTTTGTTTTGAAAATACAAAGAGCTGGCCAGGTGCAGTGGCTCACGCCTGTAATCCCAGCACTCTGGGAGGCCGAGGCGGGTGGACTACCTGAGATCAGGAGTTCGAGACCAGCTTGGGCAACACAGTGAAACCCTGTCTCTACTAACAATACAAAAAATTAGCCGGGCGTAGTGGTGGGCGCCTGTAGTCCCAGCTACTCGGGAGGCCGAGACAGGAGAATAGCTTGAACCCGGGAGGTGGAGCTTGCAGTGAGCCGAGATGGCGCCACTGTACTCCAGCCTGGGTGACAGAGTGAGACTGTCTCAAAAAAAAAAAAAAAATACAAAGAGTCAAGAGATGGAGTCCTTGAACACTGGGGCAGTTCGTACCTTCCCTGTGTTCAGCCACGAGGAACAAAAATGGTCTACATGCAAAAGTCCTAGATTGGGCCAGCTGCGGTGGCTATGCCTGTAATCCCAGCACTGTGGAGGCTGAGGCGGGTACATCGAATGAGGTCAGGAGTTTGCGACCAGCCTGGCCAACATGGTGAAACCCCATCTCTACTAAAATCACAAAAATCAGCTGGGCATGGTGGCGCGCACCTGTAATCCCAGCTACTCGGGAGTCTGAGACACAAGAATCACTTGAACTCGGGAGGCAGAGGTTGCAGTGAGCCCAAATAGAGAGAGACTTTGTCTCAAAAACAAAACAAAACAAAACAAAAAAAAAACAGCCTGGGCACAGTGGCTAATGCCTGTAATCTCAGCACTCTGGGAGGCCGAGGTGGGCAGATCACGAGGTCAGGAGTTCAAGACCAGGCTGACCAACGTGGTGAAACCCCATCTGTACTAAAAATACAAAATTAGCTGGGCGTGGTGGCACATGCCTGTAATCCCAGCTACTCAGGAGGCTGAGACAGAAGAATCGTTTGAACCTGGGAGGTGGAGGTTGCAGTGAACGGAGATCACACCATTGCACTCCAGCCTGGGCGACAGAGCAAGACTCCGTCTCGGAAAAAAAAACAAAACAAAAAAGTCCTTGATTGTTGGTGAGTACAGGCCAGGGGGAAAATCCACCACTAAGGAATATACAGAAGACAACCTGATATCACTGTTCCTCCTTTATGGTCTGTGAAAATGCTTTTGAGAAATACAGTGTTGTCCAAATCTGAAATGTGCATTTGAGGACTTTGCTAATTTGGGACTACTTAGCTCCAGCACCCTTCCAAAACTCCAAATTTATTGACCTCAGGAAACCAGGGCAGGTCAAGGAAGTGGGGACCCAATCCCGCTGGGCACTTTGAGCCCTGGTCCAGACCCTGGATCTGAGTGACGGGAAGTGCCAGGCTGTGGCACAATTGCGCCTGGGTTCAGGTCATTCCTGGCTGTAGGGATGAATTTTAAGAGAGGAAGTGGAGAGTTCAGTTAAGAAACTTTTCAGTAGATGCCGGTGGCTGACTAGCATGCTGAGAAGAGGTGGAAGAAGCTGACATATTTTGAAGAGAGAAGCCACCAGACCATCTAATGGGCTGAAAGTACCAAATGAAGGCTAGGGGATGCCAAGGAGGGGCCAGGGTCTGACCTGGATGTCAGAGTGAATCTTCCAATGGACCAAGTACGAGCCTGGGGCAAGGAGGAGAGGGTGAGGGCAGGAGGGTCCTGGGGATCCCAGGTCTGCATGCCAGTCAGGCACTCAAGTGAAGATGCACACTGACAAGATGGGTTTGGAACGCAGACGAACAGCTGTGTTGGAGGACACTGCAAAAAGGCAACGCCTAAAATGGATTTAGAACCCAGCAGTGACTGAGACAGCCTAGGGGAGAAGTGTCGAGCAAGAAGAGGAGGGCCAAGCCCAGGCCCTTGGGAAGCCTACATTTACAGGAGCTGGCAGACGAAGCAGAGAAATAGCTGCTTCCTTCCTGGCCTCCAGCCCCTAAGGCGTGCTATATAGATGAGTGGGGGTTCTCTGACCTCTGTAGCTTAGACACAGCTACAAGGTCAAGACCAGTCATCTACAGTTGAAGCAGTGGATCCTTTTCAGTAGGTTTATGGATATGTTTTACTCTCAGACTCACCAAAGCCCAAGCAGTCACAGATTGGAGTCTGGGCAAGCAGGATGGGCCCATTCGTGTATCCTCTGACGTCATCCTGGATCTTGCAAAGACCAACCCAGCTGGCGTTTACAGCATATAGTATATGGGTAGGGGCGACATCAGAGTGGGTAATCCGGAGTGCGACTGCATTGAAAGGGACCTGGAAAATGAATTTGCATCTCACTCTATTCATGGCTACTTTGAAAGACCACTTAATTTCTACAACTAGATTAACCAGCTATCTAAAGATAGGTCTGCCAAAGTGCCTACTCAAAAGTATCTCTAAAGAATAAAAACAGCCAGGCACAGTGGCTCACGCATGTAATCCCAGCACTTTGGGAGGCCGACGCGGGTGGATCACGAGGTCAGGAGTTCAAGACCAGCCTGACCAACGTGGTGAAACCTTGTCTCTACAAAAAACACAAAATTAGCCAGGCATGGTGGCAGGCGCCTGTAATCCCAGCTACTCGGGAGGCTAAGGCAGAAGAATCGCTTGAACCTGGGAGGCGGAGGTTGCAGTGAGCAGAGATCCTGCCACCGCACTCCAGCCTGGGTGATAGAGCAAGACTCGGTCTCAAAAAAAAATTAATAAATAAAAAATAAAAATAAAAAATAAAATAAAAAATTCTTTAGGCTGGGCGCAGTGGCTCACGCCTGTAATCTCAACCCATTGGGAGGCCAAGGTGGGTTGATCACTTGAGGTCAGGAATTTGAGACCAGCCTGGCCAACATGGCGAAACCCTGTCTCTACTAAAAATACAAAAATTAGCCAGGGATGGTGGTGCGTGCCTGTAGTCCCAGCTACTTGGGAGGCTGAGGCACAAGACTCACTTGAACCCAGGAGGCGGAGGTTGCAGTGAACTGAGATCGTGCCACTGCACTCCAGCTTGAATGACAGACCAAGACTCCATCTCAAAAACAAAAATTAAAAATAAATAAATAAATAAAATACAAAAATTTAGCCAAGTGTGGTGGCGCATGCCTTTAGTCTTAGCTACTTGGGAGGCTGAGGTACTAGAATTGAGAATCACTTGAACCCACAAAGTGGAGATTACAGTGAGCCAAAATTGTGCCACTGCACTTCAACCTAGGTGAAAGAGAGAGACTCTGTCTCCAAAAAAAAAGAAACAAAAAACACTTAAATTTAAAAAATAAATGTGGGCCGGGTGCAGAGGACACGCCTGTAATCCCAGCACTTTGGGAGGCTGAGGCGGGTGGATCATCTGAGGTCAGGAGTTCGAGACCAGCCTGGCTAACATGGTGAAACCCCGTTTCTACTAAAAATACAAAAGATTAGCTGGGCGTGGTGGCACGTGCCTGTAATCCCAGCTACTCGGGAGGCTGACGCAGGAGAATCGCTTGAACCCGGGAGGCGGAGGTTGCAGTGAGCCAAGCACGTGGCATTGCACTCTGGCATGGGCAACAAGAGTGAAATTCCATCTCAAAAAGATAAATAAATAAATAAATGTGAAGTAATACAAGACAGATTTAAGTATTGGCAGATAAATCTCACATTCACTTAAAGAGCATCTCCAGATGAATAAATGACCCATAAACTAAAACCCCATTAGCAAAGTGACTTAGACTCTCCAGGGGAGATAACTCAGAGGCCTGGAGCCCACACCACCATCGGGCCCAAGAAACATATCCTTGCTGCCCAGGTCTGCCGCTTCAGCCTATGTGACCTAAGGCAAATGCTTCCACCTGACAATGCCCAATGCTCAAAGCTGTAAATGAAGCACGTCTTAGCCTTTCTCTCACAGGGTGGCCATGAAGTCACTGAGCCCCTCCATGCTTCGCAGAGTGCCTGGCACAGAGCAAGCGCTCAAAACCGGACATGCTGTGCGGCAGAGCACAGACCTGGGCTCAGAGTCGGGCGTCCTGCGGCTTCAGTCCTAGCCTCAACTTTGACTACACCATTTTGGGCAAGCTGACTCCCAGTCCCTGGCCTTGCTTTTACCATCTGTAAAATGGGGATAATAACAGGACCACGGTAAGTAGTGGAGTTACACAGGCTTAGAACAGAGTACTGCACAGAGTAAGCATTTCAGAAGTGCTACCTGCCGCTAGTTTTGTTTTTTCATCATCCCGAATCCTAACACTATCATGCTTTCCTCCCAAAACAATTATTAGCAGCCTGGATTCCAAGTTGCAAATACTCTGGTGGTGGAATCTACTTTTGATGACAGTAATGTGAAGTACTTCTTTTTTTTTTCTTTTAAGTCGGCATCTCGCTCTGTCACCCAGGCTGGAGTGCAGTGTCATGATCTCAGATCACTGCAACCTCCGCCTCCTGGGTTCAAGCGATTCTCCTGCCTCAGCCTCCTGAGTAGCTGGGACTATAGGCACGTGCCACCATGCCTGGCTAATTTTTTGTATTTTTAATAGAGAGGGGGTTTCACTGTGTTAGCCAGGATGGTCTCGATCTCCTGACCTCGTGATCTGCCCGCCTTGGCCTCCCAAAGTGCTGGGATTACAGGTGTGAGCCACCACGCCCGGCTAATGTGAAGTACTTTAAGAGTGTTCTCTGGGTGCCAGGTTCCACTGTGAACGCTCCCTGAATCCACACGTTCACTCTCTGAGGCCCAGTAGCACCCCTGCTCTACAGCGGAAAAGTGGAAGTGCTGGAGCAGCCCCTGCGACCAGATGGGACATTCAAACCCAGCACGGACCCACACTTATCCTCAGTACAGAACCATGGCTAAGAGCAGTCACTGGAGCTGAACTGCCTGGGCCTGCATGCCAGCCCAGCCCCTAGTGCTGAGTCCCTCAGCCTCTCTACACCTCAGGTTCCCCATCTGTAAAGTGGGAATAACGACACAAGCTGTGTCACTGGGATGTTCTGAGGATTAAATGAGCGAGGAGTTATGTAGTGGTTAGGAGAGCGCCCAGCACACAGAAAACCACACAAGTGTGTAACAAAATGAAGACAATTTCTCCTGTAAGTTCAGATTACCTGATAGGGTGTCAGGCTATGTAAAGGAGAAAGTGGTTTGGGCATCGGGGGCTGCAGCTGGCTAAGGTAACTCAAGATGGACAGATCTCGAAGAATTTTGTTATGTGACTCTCTGAAAGGCAAATCACAACAAGGTAAGTAGACATTTAACCCTCAACGGCCACCTCCCACACCTGTCATCACAGAGGTCACATTTTCACAGAGTACTGGGCTTTCCAACACTGCCCCCCCTTGACGGACCCCAACTGGAAAAACAGGAAGTGTAAAGACTCTCCTTTAAGTCAAAGTTGCTGGCAGCCAGAGGTAGGGGACACTTCTGGATATTTCCACTGGGAACATAACAGTTCAGAAAACAACTGGTTCGTCTTTGTGCATGCACAGCTGTGACAGGGACCTGAAGATCTTAGAGGACTCAGGCCTTTAGAGGAATTGAGAATGGCAGGTCTTTTTCGACGGAAGGAAAAATAATTCTTCAGCCAAATGAGGGTTAGTTACCTATTTCTTGGAGTTATTCTGAATGCAAAGTCTGTATAAACACCTATCAGTTTATGTCCAGTGAACTCAACTGGACTCTCTTTTTCTTCATCAGCAAATTCCAAAGCATCTGCAAATGCTGCGAGTCTGAAACGTCGATTTCTCATCTTGGTCTTGCTTTTTGTGTACAAGCCATCCATGTCATCTACATACTGCGGGGTAAGGTCTGGCATATATTTACTGTGGTCAGAGCGGAACTGAACCACGTGGCTGGGAGACAGCAATCGGATCAGATCAATGAGAAGCAGGAGCCCCTGGTCTGTGGGGAAGAGACATTAGCACAGCTGATACACTCAAGAACAGTGACGCGCTCAAGAACAGTGACATGCTCCTACGACAAATGGATGCATTTGTTCTAAGACAAAGAAACCATCAATACGTTGGACTTCGGCTGGGCACAGTGGCTCATGTTTGTAATCCCAGCATGCCTTGACAGGCCAAGGTGGGCGGATCACTTGAGGCCAGAAGTTCAAGATCAGCATGGCCAACATGGCAAAACCCCATCTTTACTAAAACTACAAAAATTAGCTGGGCAGAGTGGCACACGCCTGTGGTCCCAGCTACTCTGGAAGCTGAGGTGGGAGGATTGTTTGAGCCTGGGAGGCAGAGGATGCAGTGAGCCGAGATCACGCCATTGCACTCCAGCCTGGGCGACAGAGTGAGACCCTGCCTCAATTAAAAACAAAAAACAAAACACTGGGCTTTAACGTGAATGTCTGAAACCAACAGTACTCACACTGCCTGTCCTTCCCTTGCAGATGTGCACATGCAGGCTTACCTGAAACCCATCCCATAGTGTTGACGATGAGAGGGGACTCTCTCTTGTAAGCGCTGAACACATATTTCACTATGTCAATATAATTCTCATAGTTGTTTTTACAAGAAGGTTTCCCATAATATACCATCTTCTGTGGAGTCCTCAGGTGAGTGAAAGGTGGTCCTAAAAAGATAAAGATGAGTAATCAGATGAGTAAGGTGAGTGATCAATCCTGGCTACTTAAAAGGTGGTGAGGGTTTTGTTTCAGCCGTTATCACTGACAAAGAACCTTAGGAAATCTGAGACCATCCTACCTACAGGAACACTCTAATTCCATTTTTTGGAAATCTAAGCTTTCAACTTAACACAAAGACATGCTCACTTTCACATAAATGGCTAATGCCAATTATGTCCTAACATGGCCATTCATTCAGCGAACACACAAATCTGCTAACTGCTGGGCTTGTTCCAGTGATTTGGGACATATCTGTAAACAAAACAGACAAACATCCCCACCCTCACAGGGCTTCTATCCCAATGAAAGGGCAATGAATAGCCATGTGTGTCTTATAGCAATACAGCAATGACTCTGTTCTAAGAGGCCCTTCACATATAGCCTCTAATTTTCTTTCTTTTTTTTTTTTTTTAGACAGAGTTTCACTCTTGTTGCCCAGGCTGGACTGCAATGGTGCGATCTTGGCTCACAGCAACCTCCGCCTGCCAGGTTCAAGCGATTCTCCTGCCTCAGCCTCTCAAGTAGCTGGGATTACAGGCATGTGCCACCATGCCCGGCTTATTTTGTATTTTTAGTAGAGACGGGGTTTCTCCATGTTGGTCAGGCTGGTCTTGAACTCCCAACCTCAGGTGATCCACCCACCTCAGCCTCCCAAAGTGCTGGGATTACAGGCGTGAGCCACCATGCCCAGCCAAGAGCCTCTAATTTTCATAACCCTGTGGCAGGTAGTAGTATCCTCATTTTTACAGATGAGGAAATTGGGAAAGAGATCAACTTGAACAAGGTCAGCCAGTCAGTAAACAGCAAGCTGGTTTAAACCCAGAGGGGCCGGCTCCTGCGTTCACACTCCTAATCATGACATATCTCCTCTGGCCAGGGACAGGGAGCTGAGCAGTTCAATGAGGGCAGGGTCTGCACAGTCAGCAGGCCAGTGACCAGGACTGTGTGTGACAGGGTCAGAAGGGAGATGGCCTGGGTCAGTGTGATTGCAGCAAGGCCACTCAACCGTCAGAGTGGCCACTATGATGGGAGCTGCGAATTCAGCCAGCGAGGCTCCTTTCAAGGTTGGGGCCAGTAAGGGCAGGGATGTGGGGTAGCCAGCAGCAGAGGGAGTGGCCTGTATAGTTCAGAGAAGACTGAGCAAATATGCAAATATATTGTAAATAATCATAGGCAGGTTTCTTCCCACCAGAGAACCAACTTACAAATATGAAAGTGAAGAAGGCTAACGAGAGTGACCCCTGGGGTGTTAAGCCAGAATCGGATGAGTCGGAAACTCATGGCTCTCTGTCTCTCTCTCTTTCTCTCTTTTTTCTTTTTATTTTTTTGAGACAGAGTCTCACTCTGTCATCCAGGCTGGAGTGCAGTGGCGCAATCTCAGCTCACTGCAACCTCCACCTCCCGAGTTCAGGTGATTCTCCTGCCTCAGCCTCCCAAGTAGCTGGGATTACAGGCACTCGCCACCACACCTGGCTAATTTTTGGACTTTTTTAGTAGAGATGAGGTTTTGTTATGTTGGCCAAGTAAGTTGGTCTCAAACTCCTGACCTCAAGTGATCCGCCTGCCTCGGCCTGCCACAGTGCTAGGATTACAGGCATGAAGCACCGTGCCTGGTTTTAATGAGACAGATAGAAAAGGTATCTACAGAAGTACAGATCTATATGCATACATACACATATACATATGTATGTTTGGGTTTAAATATGCAATATATGCTAGCTCTGTGCACTGAGGGGATCTAGAAACAATAACACACCAGAGGCAACAAGCGTGCACAGTACTGAAACTCTGGTTTCAATCTCTCTCCATGAAAAGGAGCCAGGGCTCTCTGGAAAAATAGCTCATTCCAAGGCTATGGAAGAGAAAGTGAAAGATGACCCCAGAACTTCCTGTTTTTCCTGAAAGTTAAGACAGTGCTCAAAAAAGGATGGAGCCATGGAGTAGCCAGGGTCAGTACAGCTGGAGAGCCCAGGCCAAGGGTGCAGTCAGGACCTAGGACGTAAGAGGAGCTCAGTAGACAGACAGGTCCTAGGAGGTGGCCGGCAGGGCAGAGCGGCTGCTTATACATAGGGATATTGTACACATAAATTAATGTGTTCAGAATAATGAGAGCCAAGTTTTCTTGTTTTTGTTTATTTTTAAGACAGGGTCAGCTGGGCATGGTGGCTTACACCTATAATTCTAGCACTTTGGGAGGCCAAGGCAGGTGGATCACCTGAGGTCGGGAGTTCGAGACCAGCCTGGCCAACATGGTGAAACCCCACCTCTACTAAAAATACAAAAAATTAGCCAGGCATGGTGGCGGGTGCCTGTAATCCCAGCTACTTGGGAGGCTGAGGCAGGTGAATTGCTTGAACCCAGGAGGCACAGGTTGCAGTGAGCCGAGATCGTGCTATTGCACTCCAGCCTGGGCAGCAAGAGCGAAACTCCATCTCAAAAAAAAAAAAAAAGTTGGAGGTATCACATTCTCTGACTTCAAAAGCAGTTATAATTAAAAGAGCATGGTCCAGACCGGGCTACAAAGTGAGACACTGCCTCTACAAATAATTGTTCAAAAATTAGCCAGGTGTGGGCCGGGTGCGGTAGCTCACGCCTGTAATCCTAGCACTTTAGGAGGCTGAGGCGGATGGATCACCAGGTCAGGAGATCGAGACCATCCTGGCTAAAGTGGTGAAACCCCATCTCTACTAAAAATGCAAAAAATTAGCCGGGCGTGGTGGCAGGCACCTGTGGTCCCAGCTACTCGGGAGGCTGAGGCAGGAGAATGGCGTGAACCCAGGAGGCGGAGCTTGCAGTGAGCCGAGATCACGCCACTGCACTCCTGCCTGGGTGACAGAGCGAGACTCCGTCTCAAATAAAATAAAATAAAATAAAATAAAAAAATAAAAGTTAGACAGGTGTGGTGGCTAATAATAGCTGTCATCCTACCTACTCAAAGTGAGGTAGGAGGATCCCTTCAGCCCAGAAGCTTGAGGTTGCAGTAAGCTATGATCACACCACTGTACTCCAGCCTCAGTGACAGACTGAGATCCTGTCTCAAAGGAAAAAATAAGGCCAGGTGCAGTGGCTCACACTTGTAATCTCAGGACTGTGGGAGGCTTAGGTGGGAGGATCACTTGAGCTCCGGAGTTTGAGAGCAGCTTGGGCAACATAGGGAGACCCTGTTTCTACAAAGTCTAAAAAAAATGGAGTTAGGCTTGGTGGTGCATACCTGTTTTCCCAGCTACCTGCAAGGCTAGCCTGAGCTCAGAAGGTGGAGGATGCAGTGAGCTGTGATTACGCCACTGTACTCCAGCCTGTGTGACAGAGCAAGACCCGGTCTCAATAAATAAATAAATATTTTTAAATTAATTTTTAAGTAAAACAGCATGGCAGGATCAGGCATGGTGGCTCTGCCATCTCCGTGCTTTGGGAAGCTAAGGCAGATCACCTGATTCCAGGAATCCAAGGCTGCGGTGAGCTATGATTGTGCTAATTAATGCACTCCAGCCTGGGTGACAGAGTGAGACACTGTCTCTCTCAAAAACCAAGCACGGTAATGGCATAAAAAAAGACATATCACCCAATGGAACAGCATAGAAAGCCTGGAAATAAACACTGCATTTACAGCCAATTGACTTCTGACAAAGGTGCTAATAACAAAACAAGGGGGAAGGACAGTCTTCAATAAATAAGGCCGGGAAATCTGGTTATCCACGGGGAGAAGAAGGATACTAGATATCCTTATCAAACACCATATACAAAAATCAACTCAAAATGGAATAAAGACTTAAGTATTAAGACCTGAAACTGTAAACCTACTAGAGGAAAAGCTTCATGACACTGGTCTAGGTAACAATTTTTTGGATATGACCCCGAAAACAAAGGTTAACAACAGACAAATGAGATGGCATCAAACTAAAAAGCTTCTGCATAACAAAGGAAAAAATTCCAAAGAGACAACCCTCAGAATGGGAGAAAACATCTGTAAATCATCCATCTGATAAAGAGTTAATATCCAAAATATGTAAGGAACACAAGAAACTCAACAGCAAGAAAACAAATAACCCAACTGAAAAATGGGTAAGGCACTTGTACTGACTTCAAAACTTACCGAAAAGCTATAGTAATTAAAACAATATGATACTGGGTCAAGGACAGACATGTACACTGATGAAACAGAAACGGAACCAGGAAATAAGCCCATACATATAAGATCAAACAATCTTCAAGATAGTCTTTTCAACAAATGGTGGTGGAAAATCTCAATATCTATATTCAAAAGAAAGAAGCTGGACCAATTCCTTACACTATATGAAAATATTAATTCAAAATGGATCAAAAACCTAAACTTAAGAGTAAAAACTGGGCTGGGTGCGGTGGCTCACACCTGTAATCCCAGCACTTTGGAGAGGCCGAGGCAGGTGGATCATGAGGTCAGGAGATTGAGACCATCCTGGCTAACACGGTGAAACCCCGTCTGCACTCCAGCCTGGGCGACAAAGCAAGACTCCATCTCAAAAAAAAAAAAAAAAAAAAAAAAGAGTAAAAACTGAACAAACAAATTCAGGCTGAAAAATTTAAAAATAAAAAAATTTAAAAAGTTAAAAACTATAAAGCTCTTACAAGAAAACATTAGAGACAATCATGATGACATTGGATTTAGTAATGATTTCAAGGATGTAACACCAAAAGCATAGGCAACAAGTGAAAAAATAGATACACTGAACTTCATCAAAATTAAGAACTGTGCATCAAAGGTTATTGTCAAGAAAGCAAAAAAACAACCTACAGAACAGGAGAAAACATTTGCAGATTGTACATCTCATAAAGGATTAATATAAAGAACTACTATTAATACGAAGAACTACTAAACTCAACAAAAAGTAACAATCCAATTCAAAAACATGCAGGCTGGGACCGGATGCCGTGGCTCACGCCTGTAATCCAGGCACTTTAGGAGGCCAAGCAGGTGGATCACCTGAGGTCAGGAGTTCGAGACCAGCCTGGCCAACATGGTGAAACCCCATCTCTACTAAAAATACAAAAATTAGCTGGGCATGGTGGCGGGCATCTATAATCCCAGCTACTCGGGAGGCTGAGGCAGGAGAATCACTTGAACCCAGGAAGCGGAGGTTGCAGTGAACTGAGATCACACTACTTCACTCCAGCCTCGGCACTCCGTCTCAAAAAGGAAAACAAACAGACAAAAAACAAAAAAACAAGCAGGCTGGGTGTGGTGGCTCATGCCTGTAATCCCAGCATTTTGGGATGCTGAGGCAGGTGGATCGCCTGAGGCCAGGAGTTCGAGACCAGCCTGGCCAATGTGGTGAAACCCTATCTCTACTAAAAATACAAAAATTAGCCAGGCGTGGTGTAGTTCCAGCTACTTGGGAGGCTGAGGCAGGAGAACTGCTTGAACCCGGGAGGTGGAGGCTGTAGTGAGCTGAGATCACGCCACTGCACCTCAGCCTGGGCGAAAGAGCAAGACTCTGTCTCAGAAACAAACGAACAAAAAAAACACACAAGCAATATTCAAGGACTGGAACAGACATTTTTCCAAAGAAGATATACAAATGGCCAATAAGTACATGCTCAACATCATTAGTCATTTAAGGGAATGTAAATGAAAACCAACATGAGACATTACTTCACACAAACTCAGACAGCTATAATCAAAATAAGCATTGGTGAGGATACGGAGAAATCAGAACTCTTGTGCATTGCTGCTGGGAATGTAAAATGCAGCTACTGTGAAAAACAGTTTGGCAGTTCTCAAAACATTAAACACAGAACTACCATAAGACCCAGCAATTCCACTCCTCGGTATACACCTGAAAGAACTGAAAGCAGGATATGGAGGAGATATTTGAATACCCATGTTCATAGCAGGATTATTCACGAAAGCCAAAATGTGGAAAGAAGCCAAGTGTCCCTTAACAGCTGAATGGATAAACTAAATGTGATATACACATACAATTGAATAACATCCAGCCATCAAAAAGAATTATTATTATTATTATTTATTGAGGCAGAATCTCACTGTTTGTCACCCAGGCTGGAGTGTAATGGTGCAATTTCAGCTCACTGCAGCCTCTACCTCCCAGGTTCAAGTGATCCTCCTGCCTCAGACTCCCAAATATCTGGGACTATAGGCATGGACCACCAAGCCCAGCTAACTTTTGTATTTTTTTTAATAGGGACTGGGTTTCACCATGCTACCCTGGTCTCAAACTCCCAGGCTCAAGCAATCTGCCGGCCTTGGCCTCCCAAAGTGCTGGGATTACAGGTGTGAGCCATGGCACCTGGCCAGGAATTAAATTTTGATACATGCTACAACATGGATGGATTTTGACAATACTATGCTGAGTGAAATAAGCCAGACAAAGGATAAGTATTGTGTGACTCCACTTACATGAGAATAGCCAAATTCATAGGGACAAAAAGTAGAACAGAGGTGAAGTCTCTAGGGGCTAGGAAAGAGGACAAGAGGAGGACAAGAGGGAGTTAAGGGAGTTACTCTTTTTTTTGAGACAGAGTTTTGCTCTTGCTGCCCAGACTGGAGTGCAGTGGTGAGATCTCGGCTCACCGCAACCTCTCCCTCCCGGGTTCAAGCGATTCTCCTGCCTCAGCCTCCCAAGGAGAGTTATTCTTTTTTTTTTTTTTTTGAGACAGAGTCTTGCTCTGTCGCCCAGGCTGGAGTGCAGTGGTGAGAGCTCAGCTCACTGCAAGCTCCGCCTCCTGGGTTCATGCCATTCTCCTGCCTCAGCCTCCCAAGTAGCTGGGACTACAGGCGCCCGCCACTACGCCTGGCTAATTTTTTGTATTTTTAGTAGAGACGGGGTTTCACCATGTTAGCCAGGATGGTCTCGATCTCCTAACCTCGTGATCCACCCGCCTTGGTCTCCCAAAGTGCTGGGATTACAGGCATGAGCCACCAAGCCCAGCCGAGAGTTATTCTTTAATGAGTACAGTTTTCATTTTGGGATGACAAAAAACCACACCCGACTAATTTTTAAATTTTTTGTAGAGACAGGGTCTCACCACGTTGCAAACACAACAAAAAAGTTGTGGCCAGGCACAGTGGCTCATGCCTACAATCCCAGAACTTGGGAGTCAGAGGTGAGTAGATGACCTGAGGTCAGGAGTTCGAGACCAGCCTGGCCAACATGGTGAAACGCTGTCTCTACTAAAAATACAAAAATTAGCTGGGCATGGTGGCGTGCGCCTGCAGTCACAGCTACTCAGGAGGCTGATACAGGAGAATAGCTCGAACTCAGGAGGCGGGGGTTACAGTGAGCACAGATCACACCACTGCACTCTAGCCTGCCTAGGTGACAGAGCAAGACTCCATCTTAAAAAAAAAAAAGCAAGCAAGGTGGTACTTACTCCAGCAGCACATATACTAAAAAACTGGAATGATACAGAGAAGACTGGCAATGGGCCCCGCACAAGGATAACATATTATTTTTTTTAAGTGATGTAGAACTGTGGATAACTGGTGAATTTTCAATAAAATCTGTAGACTGGTTAACAGCGTTTTTTTTTTTTTTTTTTTTTTTGAGATAGAATCTCACTCTGTTGCCCAGGTTGGAGTGCAGTGGAATGATCTTGGCTCACTGCAACCTCCACCCCTGGGTTCATGCGATTCTCCTGCCTCGGCGTCCCAAGTAGCTGGGACTATAGGCACGTGCCACCAAACCCAGCTAATTTTTGTTTTTTTGGGTTTTGAGATGGAGACTTGCTCTGCCGCCCAGGCTGGAGTCAGTGGCTTGACCTCAGCTCATTGCAACTTCCGTCTCCCGGTCAAGCAATTCTCCTGCTTCAGCCTCCCGAGGAGCTGGGACTACAGGCGTGCACCACCATGCCCAGCTAATTTTTGTATTTGTAGTAGAGATGGGGTTTCCCCATGTTGGCCAGGCTTGTCTCGAACTCCCTACCTCAGGTGATGCACCAGCCTCAGCCTCCCCAAGTGCTGGGATTACAAGTGTGAGCCACCACAGGCAGCCTGATTAACAGTATTGATTCAGTATTAATTTCTTAGTCTCGATAGTTGTACATAAGATGTTGAAATTAGGGAAACATGTGTTTCTAATTTACATAAAACAAAATAATTTTTGCCACCATACCCAACTAATTTCATAAAACAAAATGAGTAGCAGTTCCATTTCCTAAAATGAGAAAGCACCATAGTTTGTTTTTTGGAGGTTAGAGGAACAAGTTATGGAAAGACCATGAGTTTGGTAGGCGCATGTTCCCTTTTAATATTTTATACTCTTCGATTTCTGAGTTTTTGTTAGCATCATCACATATGAATTTCATAAAACCAAGACATTTGAGAAATATGTAATACATACCCAGAACTGGTTCTGTAATATTAAGCAAAGAAATGCAACCAGGAGGGGTAAATTCTGTCTGTCCCAGATCACATTCCAAATAGTCAACGCAGGGAAGACTGCAAATTTTTAAAAAAGAAAAAAGAAAGAAAATCCTAACTAGCTTTACTCAGTAGAAAGGATAATCACACAGTAAAGATTTCATGTGACACGCAGGCATAATCCACCACACACAGCACTTTAGAAGTGAAGCCTCAAGATGACAATCGCTGTTTAAAAACGAGTCCAGAGAAACGCAGTGCAGGCATGGTCACAATGTCCATTTGTAACACGGATAACAACTTGCTCTTTCAGATTTTTTTTTTTTTTTTACGATGGAGTCTCACGCTGTTGCCCAGGCTGGGCTGCAGTGCACAATCTCGGCTCACTGCAAGCTCCACCTCCTGGGTTCATGCCATTCTCCTGCCTCAGCCTCCGGAGTAGCTGGGACTACAGGCACCCACCACCATGCCCGGCTAATTTTTGTATTTTTAGTAGAGACAGGGTTTCACCATGTTAGCCAGGATGGTCTCGATCTCCTGATCTCGTTCGTGATCTGCCCACCTCGGTCCCCCAAAGTGCTGGGATTATAGGCCTGAGGCACTGAGCCCAGCTGAATTTTTTTTTTGAGATGGAGTCCTGCTCTGTCGCCCAGGTTGGAGTGCAGTGGCGCGATCTTGGCTCACTATAACCTCCGTCTCCCGGGCTTGAGCAATTCTCCTGCCTCAGCCTCCCAAGTAGCTGGGATTACAGGCATGTGCCACCACGCCCGGCTAATTTTTTCTATTTTTAGTAGAGACGGGGTTTCACAGTGTTAGCCAGGATGGTCTCGATCTCCTGACCTTGGGATCCGCCTGCCTCAGCCTCCCAAAGTGCTGGGATTACAGGCATGAGCCACCGTGCCCAGCTAATTTTTGTATTTTTAGCAGAGACAGGGTTTCACCATGTTGGCCAGGCTGGTCTTGAACTCCTGAACTCAAGTGATCCACCTGCCTCGGCCTCCCAAAGTGCTGGGATTACAGGCATGAGCTAACACTCAGCCATTTTTCATATAAGTTTATTTTTTCTTGAGACAGGGTGTCACCGAGTCACCCAGGCTGGAGTGCAGTGATCAGAACTCACTGCAGCCTCGACCTCCTGGGCTCAAGCAATACTCCCTCCTTAGCCTCCCAAGTAGCTGGGACCACAGGCACATGCCACCATGCCTGACTAATTTCTAAATTTTTTGTAGAGACAGGGTCTCATTACGTTGCCCAGGCTGGTCCGAAACTCCTGGGCTCACGCAATCCTCCTACCTCAGCTTCCCAAAGTGCTGGGATTACAGGCAGAAGCCACGGTGCCCAGCCTTTTTTTCTTTTTTTTTTTTGAGACAGAGTCTTGCTCTGTCGCCCACGCTGGAGTGCAGCGGCACCATCTCGGCTCACTGCAAGCTCCTCCTCCCAGGTTCACGCCATTCTCCTGCCTCAGCCTCCCGAATAGCTGGGACTACAGGTGCCTGCCACCACGCCCAGCTAATGTTTTGTATTTTTAGTAGAGACGGGGTTTCCCCGTGTTAGCCAGGATGGTCTCGATCTCCTGACCTCGTGATCTGCCCGCCTCAGCATCCCAAAGGCTTGGGATTACAGGCGTGAGCCACTGCGCCCAGGCTTTATTTATTTATTTATTTATTTAGAGACACAGTGTCACTCTGTTGCCCAGGCTGGAGTGCAATGGTGTGACATAGCTCACTGTAGACTCGAACTCCTTGGCTCAAGCCAGCCTCCCACTTTTGCCTCCCAAAGTGCTGCGACTGCAGATGTAAGCCACCATAACCCACCTCTGTTGTTGTTGTAAAGGTAAAATTTCAGATCTGGCATGGTGGCTTATATCTGTAATCCCAGCACTTTGTGAGGCCAAGGTAGGAGGATTGCTTGAGCCCAGGAGTTCAAGACCAGCCTGGGCAACATGGCAAGATCCTCTGTCTACAAAAGCAAAACAAACAAAAAAATTAGCCAGAGGCCGGGCATGGTGGCTCACGCCTGTAATCCTAGCACTTTGGGAGGCTAAGGCGGGCAGATAACCTGAGGTCAGGATTTCGAGATCAGCCTAACCAACATGGTGGAACCTTGTCTCTACTAAAAATACAAAAATTAGCCGGGTATGGTGGCGCACGCCTGTAATCCCAGCTACTCGGGAGGCTGAGGTAGGAGAATCACTTGAACCTGGGAGGCGGAGGTTGCAGTGAGCAGAGAACATGCCATTGCACTCCAGCCTGGGTGAGTGAAACTCTGTCTCAAAAACAAACAACTAGCCAGGTGTGGTGGTGCGCTAGTGTGGTCCCTGCTACGTGGGAGGCTGAAGTGGGAGGACTGCTTGAACCCAGGACGTCAAGGCTGCAGCAAGCCCTGTTTGTGCCACTACACTTTTTGCTGGGCAACACAGTCAGACCCGGTCTCAAAAAAAAAAAAATTAAGCGAAAATTCCCAGGAGTTTGAGACCAGACTGGGCAACATAGCAAGACCTCATCTCTACAAAAATAAAAAAATTAGCCAGGCATGGTGGCCCATGGCTGTAGTCTCAGCTGCTCAGGAGGCTGAGGCAGGAGGATCACTTGAGCCCAGGAGTTCAAGACTATGAGGTATGACTGTGCCACTGCACTCCAGCCTGAGGGAAACCCTGTCTGAAAACACACACACACACACGCACGCACACACGCACCCCCCCCCCGCCCCCCACCCCAGAACTTATAAATACAGACTCTGAGACCAAGTGTCTCCTCTTGGAAGTCTGCCTGCAGGTAAGGCAAAGTCAGCCTACGCTAGAGCATTGTCACATACTGCAAAGCAGACGGCAGTGAGGACCAGATGCTTCAGCTGGGCAGCTTTAGACCTGTATGTAATCTCTAGCTAGAAGCCAAGAAGCATTCCCTCCAAATCAAAAATCCCACTTCATGACAAAAACCTAGCAATGTGTCAAAGCCATAAGAAAAGCACTCTTACCTATTTAACAAATGGTTAATCAGGTATCTATTAAATGTTGACTTTCCAACATCCTGGGATCCACAAACTAGAATGACAGGGCAGCCATCTACTTCTTCTGAATGGGAAACAAACATTGATCGCTAGAATTAGCCGTCTTCCTTGGACTCGAATTATGACTAATCTTCCTCTGGGGGTCTGGTGGACAGACATTCAGGGTGATCAATGTGTATTACTCACCACAGGAAACATTGACTAACTCTTCCAGGGCTGAAAGGGTACTCTCAGTTAACTGAAGGCCTTTCCTTTTTTTCTCTCTTCTGATGCCAACAGACCTCAAGGCTAAATATTCAGGTTTAATCTGGGGAGTTGGACTCTGAAATCAACAATTTAAACTTTAAGGTGAAAAAATGCATATTTTTTTCTTCAGTACTAAATTAATCAAGCCTCACACAGTTGTGAGCCAGAGAAGATAAATTGTTTCCTCCCTTTGTCTCCTGCCCCAAAATCCAACCCATCAACAAGTGTTGCCAACTGTATTCCTGAAGTTATCCACGTCTATTTTCAGTTTCTGCTTTCTCTCGAGCCTTCACTGCCTCCGCAGGAGACTCCAGAGAAAAAGAAAATGCCTGGTAAGACATGACTGCACAGGAAACATTCAGCAGGAGGCCCTGGCTCTAGACCAGGTGAGTGATGTAGAATCAAGTCAAGGCAACCTCTGAAAACATAAAGCAAAAACACACGGACAGAACATATGCAAACAGAGTTGAAAGGAGGGAGAAGACAGGTCTGTGAAGTCCAGGACTGGGAAAGCAACCCAAGGAAAGGAAGAGCAGGCCCTTGCTGAGGCAGGTAAGGCTCAGTTGGAACCAGCTCACCACAGAAGAGGATGAAGGAAGGGCCCCGTCCTCTTGCAATTCATCAACACTGAAAATAAAGATACCATAAAGAAATGTGAAGCAGGCTGGGCGCAGTGGTGCACGCCTGTAATCCCAGCTACTTGGGAGGCTGAAGCACAAGAATCGCTTGAACCCAGGAGGTGGAGGTTGCAGTGAGTCAAGACTGTGGCACTGCACTCCAACCTGGGCGACAGAGGGAGACTGTGTCTGTGTCTCAAAAAAAAAAAAAAAAAAAAAAAAGAGAAGCAGCCTAGTGTGAGGCTTCCTATCGGCAATGCTGGATCTTAGAAAACAACAGAACAAGGCCTTCAACAATTTGAGAAAAAAGTCTGTTGAACCAACCATTCTACACTGTGTGCAATTATCAATCACTGAGGGCAAATCAAGAATATCTAACAAAATTAGATAATCAAGTTTACTATCTCCCTTATGTGAAAAAACAACTCCAGAATCTACTGACACATCCAGAGGGTGGGATAGGGAGGGAAGTATCCAAGAAAGAGCATAAGAAATATGAACAGTGGTGGTGAAGTCCCAGAAAAACAGATAAAGCTGAAAATAAATGAAAAAAGAATGTGGCTGCCCCATAGCATCTGGAACATTCACTTTCAGTAACCAAGGCTTGAGAACAGGCAATTCCATCTCCTCCTCTGCAGTCCTGGTCCAGCTACTGGACTCTGCAAAAGACTAAAAGGCAATCACAACAGTCCGTTCGCTGTCCCACTCTCATTTCTTCTCTCCTTTCACTTCAAATTCCCCACACCCACCTCGTATCTATCTGCTTCCCACACAGTGACGACCTTGATTTCATTTCCCAGTGCAGCAGGAAATAATCAGAGGACAACTTCTACTTCCTCTGGCCCTCTCCAAGGGACTTCCTCTAGCCACTATGAATGACCTGGCTATGCTCCTAAGGCCACATGATGCCAGAACCGGACCCATCCCTGGTAGCCAACTTACATAGTTCCAGCAGCCTCTCCTCTCTCTGCTGCATGGTTACCTCCCCCTTCCTCTGGATCATTCCCATCTGCCATGTTCCAGCATGTTTTTTTCATCCATCTTAACAAAATTACAAAACTCTCCTGATCATACTTATCCCTGCAACTAGTGCTTCATTTCTTTTCTTCCCTTTACAGCTAACTTCTACCAAAGCAAAATACTTTACTACTAAGCCTGTGAGTCCCTCTCCGCCCAGGCTCTTGACCCCATTCCAATCAGGCTACTTCCCGGCCTCTACAGCCAGCGCTTTCTCAGGTCTCACCTGACCACCAGCAGCTTTCGCCACCGCTGTTCAGTTAACTCTCGTTTAAAGACTTCCTGACCTACAGGACATCACACACTGGGTTTTCCACCAAAACCGATGACTATCTGCTGCTCCCTCATCTTTGCCTGGACCTCTTCTTGGAGTGCCCCAGGGCTCAGAGCTGGAACCATCTTGTTTCTATCTATTCAACTCCATCAGCATTATTATCGCATCTGGTGGCCTGGGTATCCTCTCTGCTGAAGGCTCCCATATTTACACCTCCAAACTCTTCCCTGAACTCCAGGCCCACATATTCAACTGCCCACTTGACATGTCCAGCTGATGTCTACCAGGCATCTCAAGGTTAACAAATGGAAACCCACTCCTCCTGCAGTGACCCCATCCCAGTTAATGGCAACTACATGCACCCCAGTCGTTAAGCCAAAAACCTGCTGTGATTCCTTGATTCTTCCTCACCCCTCACATATCCAGTCTGTCTGCCAATCCTGGAGATTAGACTCCACCTACTGGCCCATGGGAGACAATTATAGTAATAGTACTTAAGGAAATGGAAAAAAAAAAAAAAGAACTTAAGGAAATGAATAATACGGTCAGCAAAAATTTAGAGGTGAGGCCAGACACGGTGGCTCACACCTGTAATCTCAGCACTTTTGGAGGCAGGTGGATTGCTGGAGTCCAAGAGTTCGTGACCAGCCTGGGCAACATGGCAAAATCCTATCTCTACAAAAACTACAAAAATTAGCCGGGAGTCATGGCGTGTACCTGTAACCCCAGCTACTGAGAGGCCCCGGTGGGAGGGTCACCTGAGCCCGGAAAGGTTGAGGCTGCAGTGAGCTGAGCTCCTGCCACTGCACTACAGCCTGGGCAACAGAGACTTTATCTCAAAAATAAAAATAAAAGCTCTCTTCTTGGGACGTTGTCTACACGAAGTGAGAATGGTCCAGCATTTGACACACCGTCATAGGCTTTCCTACAATACATCATCATAGGCTTCCTACAATACACCGTCATAGGCTTCCTACAATACAGGCTCTAACAAAACTAGGCTGTCCCGAACCCCTGGTAATAAAATTGTTTGTCTCTGTACCAAGAAGGTTGGGAAAACACCAAAATTTGCATTGGCGTGGCCCAGGCAGGCTTCGAGGGGTCCGTGCCATGAGACTTAAAGTTCTTTTTTTTTTTTTTTTTTTTTTTTTGAGACGGATTCTCACTCTGTCTCCCAGGCTGGAGTGTGCAGTGGCGCAATCTCAGCTCACTGCAACCTGCGCCTCCCAGGTTCCATCGATTCTCCCGCCTCACCTCTGGAGTAACTGGGATTACAGGTGCATGCCCCATGCCCTGCTAATTTTGTGTATATTTAGTAGAGATGGGGTTTTGCCATGTTGGCCAGGCTGGTCTTGAACTCCTAACCTGAAGTGATCTGCCCACCTCAGCTTCCCAAAGTGCTGGGATTACAGGCGTGAGCCACCACGCCCCGCCAAGACCTAAAGTTCTTAAGAGATTGTCCAAAACAAAAACCATGTCAGCAGAGCCTACGGTGGTTCCATGCGTGCTAAACGTGTTCAGGACAGGATCAAGCGTGCTTTCCTTCTCGAGGAGGAGAACATCATTGTAAAAGTGCTGAAGGCACAAGCACAGAGTCAGAAAGCTAAATAAAAAATGAAGCCTTTTTGACTAATAAAAATTAAGACTCGTTAAAAATTAGAGGTAAGGAAAGAGATAAAAGAAAATATAAGTTCATTTAAACTACTCATTCATAGTTTAGAGACAATTTATATTATCTCAAATTAATAAACTGAAATATAAAGACAACCATTAAAAACCCCAAAAAAGGCCAGGCATGGTGGCTCACACCTGTAATCCCAGCACTTTGGGAGGCAGAGGTGGGCAGATCACCTGAGGTCAGGAGTTTGAGACCAACCTGGCCAACATGGTGAAACCCCGTCTGTACTAAAAACAAAAAAATTAGCTGGGCATGGTGGCATGCACCTGTGGTCCTAGCTACTTGGGAGGCTGAGGCAGAAGAATCACTTCATCCCGGGAGGCAGAGGGTGCAGTGAGCCGAGAGATCACACCACTGCACTCTAGCCTGGCAACAGAGAGAGAGTCCATCTCAAAACAAAGAACAAAAAAACAAAAATTAGCCGGGCATGGTGGCAGGCGCCTGTAATCCCAGCTACTCGGGAGGCTGAGGCAGGAGAATTGCTTGACCCTGGGAGGCGGGGTTGCAGTGAGGTTGAGGTCGCACCACTGCACTCCAGCCTGAGTGACAGAGTGAGACTCCGTCTCAAAAAAACGAACCAACCAACCAACCAACCAACCAAAAAAGCAGGGCTGGAGCATGGTGTTAATAAAAACCCAAAAAGCACTTAACCAACTACGATATAAAATGGTGGCTCAGGTATGAAACTAAGGAGGGGAGGATGAACATTTTTCACGATACACCTTTCTATAATAGTTTCCGTATACACGTATTACATTCTGTAGGACTGAGAGCACTAGATAGACCAACTGTTCTTCCAAGACAACATCCTACATAGTCATTTGAAATCACTGTTTTGGTGCAAGTAATTAGCAAAACTCTGAATGAAAACGGGTTCTACCTCTTGCACAAAAATGTAGGATGAACCCGGATAGCTGGTTATGAAGTTTACAGTGGCAGTTTTCAGATGTTCTAGCAACACAATGGAACACTGAGGAGAAAAATTCTGCATCGACCAACGCCTGTCATCTGTAAAGAGAAAAATAAACCACCTTAGAAGCAGTAACTTCATTACATTCCACGCCCTTTAGGACTGCCATCTCCTCGGCTAAACTATAAACATTAGGAGAGTAGGAATTACGGTTGAGAGCCTTTTTCAGGGGGCCGTACTACATACTAAGAACACATCTGGGAGGAGAAGTCAATCGAGGTTTGCCACATAATAATTCTGTGGCCTTGAACAATTTTTCTTGTCAGTAAAATGGTGATAACAATAGTACTTTCACTCTCAGGACCCTCGTAAGGGTTTATATAGATACCACAACGTCCTTAGCACACTGCCTAGACCATAGTAAGCATCTAAAATAATTTTTTTTTTTTGAGATGGGGTCTCGCTCTGTTGCCCAGGCTGGAGTGCAGTGGCGTGATCTCGGCCTACTGCAAGCTCCGCCTCCCGGGTTCAAGCGATTCTCCTGTCTCGGCCTCCCGAGTAGCTGGGACTACAGGCGCCTGCCACCACGCTTGGCTAATTTTTTGCATTTTTAGTAGAGACAGGGTTTCACCATCTTAGCCAGGATGGTCTCGATCTCCTGACCTCATGATCCGCCCGCCTTGGCCTCCCAAAGTGCTGGGATTATAGGCGTGAGCCACCGCGCCTGGCCCTAAAAATTATGAATTAGCCTTATTACAGTAGGCCCTCAGTAAATTACCCAGTTCTTTTCATTACCAAGGTTAAGATGAGATTTGAGCAAATTCCGGGCTTCCCTTTTCAGTTCCTTCTTGCTTTTCTCAGGCTGTGAGTAGTGAAGTGCATGGATACTCAAGCAAGAGTGGGTATACACAGAGAAGATGTCTTGGGCAGGCTGGCCTTGGCTGATGGTAAAACCAAATACCTGCACCTGGCCATAGAGGCAAGTCACACGACAGATCCCACTAAAAGTAAAACCCTAGCAGGGAGAGAAAACAGAAAAAACATTATAGATCATGTCACTAATGACTGAAACATTCTAAAATCTTTTTTTTTTTTTTTTTGAGATGGAGTTTTGCTCTTGTTGCCCAGGCTGGAGTACAATGGCACAATCTCGGCTCACCGCAACCTCCACCTCCCAGGTTCAAGCAATTCTCCTGCCTCACCCTCCCTAGTAGCTGGGATTACAGGTAAGTGTCACCACGCCCGGCTAATTTTGTACTTTTAATAAAGACAGGGTTTCTCCATGTTGGTCAGGCTGGTCTTGAACTCCCGACCTCAGGTGATCCATCCACCTCGGCCTCCCAAAGTGCTGGGATTACAGGCGTGCGCCACCGCACCTGGCCAAATTCTAAAATCTTAACTTGCTATTCACACATCAAAAGGCAGGTAAGGCCAGGCACAGTGGCTCATGCTTGTGATCCCAACACTTTGGGAAGCTGAGACAGGAGGATCACTTGAGCCCAGAAGTTCAAGATCAGCCTAGGCAACAGAGTGAGACTTCTCCTTACAAAACATTTAAAAATTAGCAGGGTGCAGTGGCATGCCTCTGTGGTCCTAGCTACTTGGGAGGCTGAGGTGGGTAGACTGCTTGAGTCTCGGAGGTAGAGGCTGCTGTGAACCGTAATTACACCACTCCACTCCATCAGTAATAAGTATTGGGCCAGGCACGGTGGCTCACGCCAGTAATCCCAGAACTCTGGGAGAAGGAGGTGGGGGGATCACTTGAGTGAGGCCAGGAGTTTGAGACCAGCCTGGATAACATGGCAAACCCCCCTGCACCCCACCCCCGCCACCACCATCTCTACTAAAATTACAAAAATTAGCTGGGCATGTGCCTGTAATCCCAGCTACTCCAGAGGCTGAGGCATGAGAATCGCTTGAATCCAGAGGCAAAGGCTGCAGTGAGCTGAGATCATGCCAGTACACTGCAGCCTGGGCGACAGTGATACTGTCCCAAAAATAAATAAATAAATAAAAATTAAATAAAATTAAAAAATTTAAAAGGCTGCAGCCATAAAAAGGGATGAGATCATGTCCTTTGCAGGGACTTGGATGGAGCTGGAAGCCGTTATCTTCAGCAAACTAATTCAGGTACAGAAAATCAAATATCGGCCGGGTGTGGTGGCTCACGCCTGTAATCCCAGCACTTTGGGAGGCCGAGGCGGGTGGATCACAAGGTCAGGAGATCAAGACCATCCAGGCTAACACGGTGAAACCCCGTCTCTACTAAAAAAAATACAAAAAACTTAGCCAGGTGTGGTGGCGGGCACCTGTAGTCCCAACTACTCGGGAGGCTGAGGCAGGAGAATGGCGTGAACCCGGGAGGCGGAGCTTGCAGTGAGCCCAGATTGCGCCACTGCACTCCAGCCTGGGCAACAGAGCGAGACTCCATCTCAAAAAAAAAGAAAGAAAATCAAAATATGGTATGTTCTCACTTATCAGTGGGATTTGAACCATGAGAACACATGGATACATGGTGGGTAACAACATACACTGGAGCCTGTGGGGGTCTGGGGAAGGGCGTCAGGAAGAATGGATGCTGGGCTTAATACATAGGTGATGTGTTGATCTGTGCAGCAAACCACCAAGGCACCCATTTAACTACGTAATAAATCTGCACACCCTGCGTATGTACCCTGGAACTTAAAAGTGCTGGGATTACAGGCGTGAGCCACCACACCCGGCCGATATTTGATTTTCTGTACCTGAATTAGTTTGCTGAAGATAACGGCTTCCAGCTCCATCCAAGTCCCTGCAAAGGACATGATCTCATCCCTTTTTATGGCTGCAGCCTTTTAAATTTTTTAATTTTATTTAATTTTTATTTATTTATTTATTTTTGGGACAGTATCAGCTTACCACAACCTCCACCTCCCAGGTTAAAGCAATTCTCCTGCCTCTGCCTCCAGAGTAGCTGGGATTACAGGCGTGTGCCACCACATCTCAAACTCCTGACCTCAGGTGATCCGCCCACCTAGGCCTCCAAAAGTGCTGGGATTACAGGCGTGAGCCACTAGACAGGGTTTCGCCATATTGGCCAGGCTGGTCTCGAACTCGCTACCTCAGGTGATCCACCCACCTCAGCCTCCAAAAGTGCTGGGATTACAGGCGTGAGCCACTGTGCCCAGCTCTCTCTTTTCCTTTTCCTTTCTTTCTTTTCCCCTCCCTCCTTCCTTTCTTCCTTTCTTTCGAGACGGAGTCTCACTCTGTCGCCCAGGCTGGAGTGCAATGGCGTGATCTTGGCTCACTGCAACCTCCAGCTCCCGGGTTCAAGCAAGTCTCCTGCCTTAGCCTCCTGAGTAGCTGGGATTACAGGCGTGTGCTACCATGCCCAGCTAATTTTTGTATTTTTAGTAGAGATGAGGTTTCACCATGTTGGTCAGGCTGGTCTCAAACTCCTGACCTCAGATGATCTGCCAGCTTCGGCTTCCCAAAGTGCCGGGACTACAGGCCTGAGCCACCGCGCCTGGCCCATACTTTATATTTTTAAACTAAGATCATACCCCATGGCAGCTACAGAGAAAGCATGGTGACCGTGAACTCGGCTCTGTGCTCCTGGTTCAGACAGACTCTACCACTCTGTCCTTTTAAAGACCCACAGCTTGCCAAGTCTCTTCCAGAACTTCCTGGGTTTTGCCTTCCCTCCTGCATTAGACAGGGAATCTCCAGGAATGGCATCCACGTTAAGAATCAGGCTGCCTGAGTTCGACTCCTAGCTCTCCCTCTACTGTGTAAGTTACCCAACCTCAGTCTCCTCGTCTGTAAACACTTAGAGAGAGGGACAACTACTCCGTAAGAGAGCTGGATGTTTAAATGGGTTCAAAGCCTAAAACACTTTTGGAACCCTTAAATCCTGGAATTTCTGAGCTCTCAGTAATTGCAACCTTTTTTTTTTTTAACTATTAAAATCCCTTTCAGAGTTCCAGGTGCGGTGGTTCACACCTGTAATCCCAGCACTTTGAGAGGCCGAGGCGGGTGGATCACAAGGTCAGGAGATCGAGACTATCCTGGCTAACATGGCGAAACCCCGTTTCTACTAAAAATACAAAAAATATAGCCGGGCGAGGTGGCACGCGCCTGTAGTCCCAACTACTCCGGAGGCTGAGGCAGGGGAATCGCTTCAACCCGGGATGCGGAGGTTGCAGTGAGCCGAGATTGTGCCACTGCACTCCAGCCTGGGGGACAGAGTGAGACTCTGTCTCAAAAAGAAAAAGAAAGAAAGAAAACAAAACAAAATAAAGTCCCTTTAGCTCGTAAGGCCTAGGGACCCCTTAGCAGGGTACCTGTTACCCTGCTGCTCAGGGGAGCCTAGTTGCCACCAACCATCAAGAGGATGGACTTGAATCCGACTGGCAGCCAGAGAACAGGCCCGGGGGACCACGGTCCTCTCCTACCCTGCAGCTCTCCCGGGGCTGCCTCTCCAGCCCTCCCTGCCCTCGGGGACTACTACCGGCGCCCCCCACCTACCTGCTCGACCGGCAGCAGCAGCAACGCGCGGCCGGGGCCCACGGGCCGCACCGGTGGGATGAGGAGAGGCCGGTGGCAACTCGAGGCGGATTCGAGTTCGGGTTCGGACTCGGGTTCGGAGGCCGGGGTCGGGCTAGGGATCGGGCTGGGGGTCGCGGTGTTGGGTCTCCGGGCCGCCGCCGCGCGCGACACCTGGCGGGCTCCCTCCCTCCAGTCCACGCCGGACGCCTGGGCTTGCAGTAACCGCCACCGTAGGCGCCGCCGACCGCACCAGCGCAGGCTCCCGAGCCGGCGGCGGGGCCGGCGGCTGAGGATGAGCTGGGGCCGGGCCTTGCGGACCCGCAGCCAAGTGGAACGGCAGGAACCCCGCTTTAGCAGCAGTCCCGAGTCCGCCATGCTGGGTCCTCAGGGCCTACCGCGCGAGAATCTCGCGAGATCCCGTCGGTCCGCCCCGCTGCCCTCCCAGCTGCCGAAAAGAGGGGCCTCCGAGCCGCCGGCGCCCTCTGCCGGCAACCTCCGGAAGCACACTAGGAGGTTCCAGCCGATCTGGTCGAGGGGCTCCACGGAGGACTCCATTTACGTTACGCAAATTCCCTACCCCAGCCGGCCGGAGAGAGAAAGCCAGAAACCTCGCGACCAGCCATGGGCCACCTCTCCGGAAAAACACCGGGATATTTTTTTTCTCCTGCAGAAAAAGCTTTAGGATTGGCAGTTTAAACAAAACATGTCTATTTGCATACCTTCGGTTTGCATGCATTTGTTTCGAAGTGAGCAACCCTGGGTAACAAGGCGAAAGTATATGACAATTTGCTCAGAATCTTAATGTCAGAAAACTGGAGACTGGGGCAGGGGGGTGTCGACTCAAAGCTGTGTCTCATTTAGTAAACTGAGGCCCAGGTAAAAAGTTCTGAAACCTCGCAACACCCGGAGAAATTGTGTTCCAGCCTCCCACCTCGCCCCAAAATGCCAGAGCTCCTTTTCTAAGCCAGGTGAAGTCACAGAGCGTGGACAGAACCCACAACCGTCCAGAGGAAGGGTCACTGGGTGCCACCTGGTTTGCATCTGTGCCTTCGTCCTGCCCAGTTCCTGAGTGGGACCGCAGGCCCGGAATGTCAAGGCAAACAGTCCTGCTTCAGCCACTGGGCTCCAGTCCCACCCCTTTTGGGGGCCTGAAGTTAGGAAGCATCCGGCAGCTGCCTTCTATTTAAGCAACTGGCCTCCTTAGAGGCCACTCCTTGGCCATGCCAGGCGCGGGCATCTGGCCAGCATGCTGCTCTGCACGGCTCGCCTGGTCGGCCTGCAGCTTCTCATTTCCTGCTGCTGGGCCTTTGCCTGCCATAGCACGGAGTCTTCTCCTGACTTCACCCTCCCCGGAGATTACCTCCTGGCAGGCCTGTTCCCTCTCCATTCTGGCTGTCTGCAGGTGAGGCACAGACCCGAGGTGACCCTGTGTGACAGGTGAGTGAGGGGCCAGCAGAGCCACACTTAGTGGGACCCCTGGCTATAGGGCCCCTCTGGCTGCCATCCTCCAAACAGGACCTTGCCTCTGCCTTTGCCCCTTGAACTGTCCCCAGGCCTTGTTCATCAATCCACTTGCCACCTAAGTGCTGGCTAGACCTTCCTAGACACTTCGGCCAGTTTCCAATTATTTCACCCTTGCTGTTAGAATGTGTTGTATTGTAACTTCATTGAAATTGGTTCTTGGCTTTGTACCATACCTAGGTGGCCAGGCCTAAGCAAGGGCAGCTTTTTCCCTCTTCTTTTTTTTTTTTTTTTTTTTTTTGAGACGGAGTCTCGCTCTTTCACCCAGGTGGGACTGCAGTGGCGCGATCTCAGCTCACTGCAAGCTCCGCCTTCCGGGTTCACGCCATTCTCCTGCCTCAGCCTCCCGAGTAGCTGGGACTACAGGCACCCGCCACTGCGCCCAGCTAATGTTTTGTATTTTTAGTAGAGACGGGGTTTCACCGTGTTAGCCAGAATGGTCTCGATCTCCTGACCTCGTGATCTGCCCACCTCGGCCTCCCAAAGTGCTGGGATTACAGGCGTGAGCCACCGCGCCCAGCCGCTTTTTCCCTCTTCTATCTTCTCTCCACTCCTACCCATGTTCAAAGTTCCCTAGAGTCCCAGATGACAAGTAGGATTCTCCATGGTTCTTCATGGGGTGGGAAGGGAAGACACATCCCATTAGATGCTTTAGGAGCTTGACAAATATAAATTAGGTTGGTGCCATCATGAAGTCAACAATCTAGGTAGAGGGAAACTACTGCTTTTCTTTTATTTCTATCTATCTATCTATCTATCTATATTTTTTTGAGATGGAGACTCAGTCTGTCATCCAGGCTGGAGTGCAGTGGCATAATCTTGACTCACTGCAACCTCCTCCTCCTGGGCTCAAGTGATTCTCATGCCTTAGCCTCGGGAGTAGCTGGAATTATAGGCATGTGTCACCATACCCAGCTAATTTTTGTATTTTTCGTAGAGACAGGGGTTTCACCATGTTGGTCAGGCTGGTCTCGAACTCCCGACCTCAGGTGATCCGCCCACCTCGGCCTCCCAAAGTGCTAGGATTATAGGCTTGAGCCACCGCGCCCGGCCTGCTTTTCTTTTAAAGAAGACAGTTGCAGCCGAGCACAGTGGCTCACGCCTGTAATCCCAGCACTTTGGGAGGCTGAGACAGGCGGATCACGAGGTCAGGAGTTCAAGATCAGTCTGGCCAACATAGTGAAACCCTGTCTCTACATAAAATACAACACATTAGCCGGGTGTGGTGGTGTGCACCTGTAATCCCAGCTACTCAGGAGCCTGAGGCAGGAGAATCGCATGAACCCGGAGGTGGAGGTTGCAGTGAGCCAAGATCACACCATTGCATTCCAACCCGGGCGACAGAGCGAGGCTCCATCTCAAAAAAAAAAAAAAAAAAAAAGACGAAGACAGTTGCTTGCAGACTGTGGAAGTCACAGACCCAGAGGCCCAAGAATGCTGCCGAGGCTTGGCTGCAGGATGTCCTACCCATGAAGCACACGAGATGGTTGGCTCAGGAAGAAGTTTCTGGAAATCTAGTGTATGACGACCTACTCGAAGGGCTACAGCTAGAAACCTGGATAAAGAGATAAAGAGAATGGGCTGGGAAGAGAGATTGGGTAGAGCAGGAGGAGGGAAGACATGAAAACCGGCTTCAGATACCTGAAGAATTGTCTCAGGCAGGAGGCACGAACCCTCCGTTGAGAGACTCGGGACAGAAGTGGTAGAAACCATGGAAGACCTTCTAACAAGCAAGAGGCTGGAAAATGGAACAGGCTAGCACACTTTATGTATTTGTTTGTTTATTTGTTTATTTATAGAGATGAGGTCTTGCTCTTTCCCCCAGGCTGGAGTGTAGTGGTGCAATCATAGCTCACTGCAGCCTTACTTGGGCCTCATTGAAGCTCAAGTGATTCTCCTGCCCCAGCCTCCCAAGTAGCTGGGACTACAGGCATGCACCACCACTCCTGGCTAATTTTTTAATTTTTTGTTGAGAAGGTGGTCTCACTGTGTTGCTCAGGCTGGTCTCAAACTCCTGGTCTCAAGTGATTCTCCTGCCTGGGCCTCCCACAGCATTGGGATTCTAGGTGAGCCACTGGGCCAGCCATTACAAAAAAGTTTTTTTGAGCTGGGATCTCACTATGTTGTCCAGGCTAGTCTCCACCTCCTGGGATCAAGCAATCCTCCATCCTCAGCCTCCTGAGTAGCTAGGACTACAGGCATGGGCCACTGCACCTGGCTTAGCCTGCTCTTTAAACGGGGCTGAATCCTGTCCCTGGCTCATTCCTGGTGGGCTCCAGACAGGAGTTGCTGAAGTAGGGGTGATAAGGCATATAGGCCCTCAACACATTCATAAGTGTCCTGGTGAGAAGCACTAATTAAACAAGGTTAAGCAGGTGTAGTGGTTAGTTTTTGTTTTTGTTTTTGTTTTTTTTCTGAGACAGGGTCTTCCTCTTTTGCTCATACTGGAGTCCAGTGGTACAATCATAGCTCACTGCAGCTTTGCTTGGGCCTCAGTGAGGCCCTAGCCTCCTTACTAGCTGGAACTACAGGCATATGCCACCACTTACCGCTAATTTTTTAAATTTTTTATAGAGACAGGGTCTCACTACATTGCCCAAGCTGGTCTCAAATTCTTGAGCTCAAGCAGTCCTCTCACAGTGCTAGGCCTCCCAGAGTGCTAAGATTATAGGTGTGAGCCGTGGTGGTGAATTTTGCGTGTCAGATTGTCTAGGCTATAGTGCCTAGAGTTGTGTAGTCAAACATCAGTCCAGCTGTTGCCATGAAGGTATTTTTAATTTATTTATTTTGGCCGAACGTGGTGGTTCATGCCTGTCATCCCAGCACTTTGGGAGGCCAAGGGAGGCAGATCACTTGAGGTTGGGAGTTCCAGACCAGCCTGGCCAACATGGTGAAACCCCGCCTCTACTAAAAATACAAAAATTAGCCAGGCTTAGTGGCTGGTGCCTGTAATCCTGGCTACTTGGGAGGCTGAGGCACAAGAATCACTTGAACCGGGGTGGCAGAGGTTGCAGTGAGCCGAGATCGTGCACTCCAGCCTGGGTTAGAGTCTCCAGCGAGACTCAGTCTAAAAAAAAATATATATATTTTGAGACAGTCTCCCTCCGTCATCCAGCCTGGAGCCAACTGCTGCGATCTTGGCTCACTGCAACCTCTGCCTCCCAGATTCAGGCGATCCTCCTGCCTCAGCCTCCCAAGTAGCTGGGATCACAGACATGTGCCAGCATGCCCGGCTAATTTTTGTACTTTTTTTTTTTTTTTGAGATGGAGTCTCGCTCTGTCGCCCAGGCTGGAGTGCAGTGGCGCGATCTCGGCTCACTGCAAGCTCCGCCTCCTGGTTTCACATCATTCTCCTGCCTCAGCCTCCGGAATACCTGGGACTACAGGCGCCCGCCACCACGCCCAGCTAATTCTTTGTATTTTTTTAGCAGAGACGGGGTTTCACCATGTTAGCCAGGATGGTCTCAATCTCCTGACCTCGTGATCCACCCGCCTCGGCCTCCCAAAGTGCTGGGATTACAGGCGTGAGCCGCCACGCCCGGCCCCAATTTTTGTACTTTTAATAAAGACAGGGTTTCACTATGTTGGCCAGGCTGCTCTCGAACTTCTGGCCTCAAGTGATCCACCCACCTCAGCCTCCCAAAGTGCTGGGATTACAGGCATGAGCCGCCGTGCCTAGCCTGAAGCTATTTTTTAGATGTAGTAAACATTTAAATCAACAGACCTGAGCTGGGCATAGTGACTCACGCCTGTAATCCAAGCACTTTGGGAGGCTGAGGTGGGTGGATTGCCTGAGCTCAGCAGTTCAAGACCAGCCTGGGCAACACAGTGAAACCCTGTCTCTACTAAAATACAAAAAAATTAGCTGGGCGTGGTGGTAGGCGCCTGTAATCCCGGTTACTTGGGAGGCTGAGGAAGGATAATTGCTTGAACCTTGGAGGTGGAGGTTGCAGTGAGCAGAGATCACACCATTGCACTCCAGCCTGGGCGACAGAGCGAGACTCCCTCTCAAAAAAAAAAAAAAAGCCTGAGGTTTTGGCCGGGCGAGGTGGTTCACGCCTGTAATCCTAGTACTTTGGGAGGCTGAAGCAGGTGGATCACCTGGGCCGAAGCGGATGGATCACCTGAGGTCAGGAGTTCAAGACCAGCCTGGTCAACGTGTGAAACCCCGTCTCTACTAAAAGTACGAAAATGAGCTGGACGTGTGGGTGCACCCCTGCAATCCCAGGTACTCTGGAGGCTGAGGCAGGAGAATCACTTGAACCTGGTGGGTGGAGGTTGCAATGAGCCGAGATCCTGCCATTACACTCCAGCCTGGACAACAAGGCAACAAGAGTGAAACTCTGTCTCAAAAAAAAAAAAAAAAAAAGCCGGGTGCTAATGGCTCACTGTAATCCCAGCACTTTGGGAGGCCAAGGCGGGCAGATCACCTGAGTTCAGGAGTTCAAGACCAGCCTGACCAACATGGAGAAACCCCCCTCTCTACTAAATATACAAAATTAGCCAGGCATGGTGGTGTATGCCTGTAATCCCAGCTACTTGGGAGGCTGAGGCAGGAGAATCGCTTGAACCCAGGAGGCAGAGGTTGCCGTAAGCCGAGATCATGCTGTTGTACTCCAGCCTGGGCAACAAGAGCGAAACTCCATCTTGTAAGGTTAGCCGAGAGAAAGAACAAGCAGACCCAAAGTCAGGCAAGCGTTTAGTAACCTGCTGGGCTGCTCCACAGCAATCAGAGGAGGCAACAGCCCAGGCTTACAGACTAGGGGGTATAAGTGTATTTTAGGGAGGGAGCAGGGGCGCCTAGGGGCTGTTTCTGGGTAAACCCACTTCCTGGTCGATGGGCAAAACAACAGCTGGGGAACATCTGCCTTGGCGGAGGGCCTGCAGATGGTGAAAAAAAGAGGGGACAGAGAAAAACAAGGGGTGGGGAAAACATCCGCCTTGGCGGTGGGCCTTTGCCGGGTTGGGTCCCTAACATTCCATCCTTTAATAGGTAATAGAGAGGGGGTGTCATTGCCTTCTGACTGCTTCTAGCTAAAGAGGGGCAATGTTGGCCGGGCGTGGTGGCTCACGCCTGTAATCCCAGCACTTTGGGAGGCTGAGGTGGGCAGATCACGAGGTCAGGAGATCGAGACCATCCTGGCTAACACGGTGAAACCCCGTCTCTACAAAAAATACAAAAAAAATTAGCTGGGCGTGGTGATGGGCGCCTGTAGTCCCAGCTACTCGGGAGGCTGAGGCAGGAGAATGGCGTGAACCCAGGAGGCAGAGCTTGCAGTGAGCCGAGATCATGCCACTGCACTCCAGCTTGGGCGACAGAGTCGGAAGACTCTGTCTCAAAAAAAAAAAAAAAAAAAGAGGGGCGATGTTTATGGAGAAAGGCTGTGGGGTTGGGATGGTTGTTCTTGAAGTAGCATCATGTCTTGTACTGTCCCATGGGTGAAGGCTCTAATATGGTCCTGTAAAAACTGGGTAAGGAGATGTAGGAGGCAAGGGCCAAATGCTAAAAGGAGAAAATGGGTTATGGCAGGGCCTAGGAGGGGCATTAGCCAGGGTGCCTAGGGGTTACAAAACTACTGGGGCCAGGAGTCTGAAAGGCGCTGCCTGATTTCAGAAGCCCTTTCATTTAACCGTTGGGCAGCATCTCGTACTAGTCCTGACTGGTTAGTATAGAAACAGCACTCTTCTCCTAAGAAGATGCGCAGTCCACCTTTTTCGGCAGTGAGGAGATCTAAACCTCAACAGTTTTGAAGTGACGCTACTGCTAAAGAGTCTATCTGGGGCCGGGCACGGTAGCTCATGCCTGTGATCCCAGCACTTTGGGAGGCAGAGGCGGGCTGATCATGAGGTCAGGAGATCAAGACCATCCTGGCTAATATGGTGAAGCCCCATGTCTACTAAAAATACAAAAAAATTAGCTGGACATGGTGGTGGGCGGTGCCTGTGGTCCCAGCTACTTGGGAGGCTGAGGCAGGAGAATAGCCTGAATCTGGGAGGCGGAGCTTGCAGGGAGCCCAGCTCGCGCCACCGCACTCCAGCTTGGGCAACAGAACGAGTTTCCGTCTCAAAAAAAAAAAAAAAGTCTATTTGGGATTGGAGAGTAAGGATGGATTCAGCTGTCTTACAGGCTGTCCAAGAGATCTTTTGAGAGACCGTGATAGTAGGACAGAGAGGTGGACAAGGGTTGGGGTGATCAGGCCCAACACCAGGCCGTGGGGGCTACGAGGTCCAGTGGAGTTGAAGGAATAAGAAAAGACAAAAGAGAAAGTGGGACCAGGGGGCCAACTGTAGTATGGAGGCTGTGAAGGCCCCCAGCTCTGGGAGCCCACATTATTTATTGGTGATCAAACAAAGAAACAGGTGGTGAGGATGTGGGGGTTGAAAGGAAGCACTGTATCAAGTGACTGAGCTGCAGCTGTGCCGGTTTAGCATTTTCTTTGAAACATATGGCTACTTGAGATAATGGGAGTGCTAGAAGCAAGGAGCCAGCAAGTCTAGACACACTCCAAAGGCCAGGAGGGTTTTTTTGTTTGTTTTTGAGACGGAGTCTCACTCTGTTGCCCAGGCTAGAGTGTAATGCCGAGATCCCGGCTCACTGCAAGCTCTGCCTCCCAGGTTCACATCATTCTCCTGCCTCAGCCTCCCAAGTAGCTGGGACTACAGGCGACCGCCACCACGCCAGGCTAATTTTTTGTATTTTTAGTAGAGATGGGGTTTCACCATGTTAGCCAGGATGGTCTCAATCTCCCAACCTAGTGATCCACTCGCCTCGGCCTCCCAAAGTGCTGGGATTACAGGCATGAGCCACCGCGCCTGCCCAGGCCACGGGGGTTTTAGACCCTGGACCCTGGGCATGTTCCAAGACTCTTTTACATTATGTCAGACATGCAAACCCTGCCTCAGCTCCTCTCCCAACACTCAGCTTTTCTCCCAACAGACAAGCCTGCTATCCTTGTTCCTGTTGCGGTGGTAATTCCTAGTCCTATAAGCAGGGGTGTTAGCTGTACGGCTCTGCGTTGACGGACTTGAGCTTTAATAGGGATTGGTAAACTCTGATTTCCAGGGGCAATGTCAATTTTGGGGCTTAAGAAGACTAGGGTGCAGGTGCCAGTCCAATTGGTAGGGAAGCAGACATAGGTTGAGGTTCCACACAAGAAAAATGTACCTTGGCTGGGCAGAGAGAACTGGTTATGTATATTGAAAAAGCACGTGAGTTTATTGTTTTCATCCTCCCACCTGCCTAGGGTGCTTGCTAAGGCGGCTCCAGTGAGTGGCTGAAAAGGAGTTGCAGGGATAATTGGAGAGGCTCCTCGTGTTTTATTCTCCCACTGGAGCAAGAATCGTTTTGTGTCTACCAGGAGCCATTTGGAAGAGTAATTGAAAGAGGGTATAAGGAGGCATTTGGCAGGGAGGGGAGCTGTGCTGCAAGAGGCCCATGGGTGAATGGCCATACAGCCTGTATGTCTGCCATTACAAAATCTTGATTGTTTAGTAAAGAGCTGGTGGTGACTTTTAGGGGTCCTGAAAAGTGGATGAGTTGTTTAAATTGGGCCGTTTGGGTGACCTTAAAATTTTGGTGGTCATTTGGGGCTTGAAGCTGTAAGGTATGGTTACATTGATGGGACAGTAGGTGACCTAAAGTCAGACCTGAGGGCAGGTTGCATTGGATACACACAGGGGCTTGGAAAGTCAGACCGGTGCCGGCGGCCACAGGGCCGTGAATGGGCTTGTCATTACTTGTATATTGGGTAAGGCTGGAGATATAGGAGCGTAAAAGTTGTACTATGCGCCGTGTCAGAGTGTTTTCTGTCGTATCTATGATAGAAAATTTAGCCAATGACTGCATGTCTAAAAGTTGTAAGGGGCTTTTTCCTTCATAACGGGGGTGACAGTTTAACTTAGTAAGAACTCAGTCTTTTGAGGGAATGGGGGTGGCAACATAGGTGGTAGTTGATAGGGAGATAAAGAGCCAGCAGTCTTCTGCTAGGATGGGGTTGGGCTGGTTTAGTGGGGAGGGAGTTAAGCTAAGGGTCTTGTAGAGGTAGCTGGGTACTATTGGAAAGGGGAGGTGTGGCTACGTGGGGCAGCCAAGGGATTAGGAGCGGTAGATAGGCAAAGAGTAAGTAGGAAAGTAAATAAGTGTGTTTCATCTGGGGAAAAGTCACACAGGGTGCCTTGAAAGGGGAGGTCATCTATCCACTCTAAAAGAGAGTCGAGAGTGGGAATTTGGGGCTGAAACCAGGAGATGTCTTGGCAAACGGAGAGGATGAAGAGGGTGAAGTGGCAAGGTAGGCAGGAACAGGGCATTTGAGAGAAATCAGGAATGTACTTGGGATTGTCAGGAGGAGAAGGAGGAGTCTGGGTATTGTTTAAGGGTCTCCTTTAGGGACGGGCATGAGGCAGAGTTTAGTTGGGCCAAGGAGGGAACTGGAGAATCGGCGGAAGGCGGCGGGTGGGTCACTTGTAGGCAGACTAGTCGTAGGAGCCCTTTTTAATCTAGAAAGTTGGTACCAAGAAGCATGTCCTGAGAGTTTGGCTGCGGTGGGGATTGTGAGGATGACTTGGAAAGGGCCTTCCCACTTAGACCTGGGGCTGGTTGGGTTAAGAGTTTTTAAGAAGACATGTTCTCCTAGAAGGAGAGTCTGGTCGTGGAGGCTTCATGGGGTTTTGGGAGGGCCTGGTCGGCTTGTTCGTGGAGAAGATGGTGGATGAGAGAGAGTGTTGGGAGGTATTCTCCTAGCTGAGAGTTAGAAGGGGGCCTGTTTTGTAAGAGGAAAGGGCGTCCATACGTTAACTCAAATGGACTGAGGAAGGAGGGTGCTTTTGGGCTGGCTCTGGTGCGGGCTAGGGCTATGGGCAGAAGGGAGGTCCAGGGTTTCTGGACTTCAAGAGTGAGTTTGGTTAACTGAGTTTTAAGGATGCCATTTGCCCTTTCAACTTTTCCTGATGACTGGGTTCAGTATGGGATATGGAGGCGCCACTGGACGCTGAGGGACTGATAAACCTGTTGGGTGATTTGGGAGATGAAGCTAGGGCCATTGTCTGATTGTATGGAGCAAGGGAGATCAAATCTAGGGATGATATCTGCTATAAGAATTTGGGCGACTACTGCGGCCTTTTCTGAAGAGGTCAGAAATGCTTCTACCCGCTCAGAGAAGGTGTCTATAAGAGTAAGAAGAAATTTTGTCCTCTTGACGGGAGGCAAGTGGGTGAAGTCTACCTGCCAGTCCTCCCCTGGGAGTGTTCCTCTGAGCTGATGTGTAGGGATGGGGGGAGCGGAGCGCCGCTTGGGAGGAAGTAACAGAATATACGACAGTTGGAGGTTATGTCTCTTAGTGCGGTGAATAGGTGGGGGGAGGAGAAATAAGGGTGAAGGAGTAGGTACAGGGGGCACGCACCGATATGGAAGGATTAGTGAGGAGATGTTAGAATTTCTATGAATAACTTCAGGATTGAGGAGAGGTTCATGGGAGATATTAGGGAAATTAGACTGCAGGTGATTAAGCATCTCAGTACGGGAGTGGGTGGGAGGAGAGGAAGATACTGCAATTAGAGATGCAGGGTTAAGGGGAGCACTTTTGGAGAGACAGAACTCAGGGTTTTCAAGAAAGAGAGCATGAAGTGGTTGGATGCGGGATGGAGAAAGGGCACTTAGTGCTCGGGAGGAAAGAAGATCTTATAGATTATGTGGGCTGTCGGTGGTGTCTTGACCGAATGTTGGGTTTTTGCTTTCTAAGGCTAGGGTGGCCGCTGCTGCTAGAGCTCTGAGGCAAGTTGGCCATCCTCGAGTGGTATTGTATAGTTGTTTAGAAAGGTAAGCTACAGGAGCAAAAGAAGGAGGGCTTCCTTTTTGTTGGCCAAGGACACCAAGGGCTATTCCATGGTTCTCAGCTGTGTAGAGAGTGAAGGACTGAGAAATGCCAGGCAAAGATAGAGCAGGAGCGGTTACAAGGGCGTTTTTTGTTTGTTTGTTTTCTTTTTGGAGACGGAGTCTCGCTCTGTTGCCCAGGCTGGAGTGCAGTGGCGCCACCTCAGCTCACTGCAACCTCCGACTCCTGGGTTCAGGCAATTCACAAGGGCGGTTTTAAGTTTGTGGAAGCTGGGGATTATGTTGTGAGAAGAATTTAGAGGCCCATTTAGAGAGCCTTTGGCTGCTTCATAGAGGGGGCTGGCTAGGAGGGCAAAGTTGGGGATCCATATTCTGAAGAAGCCTGCATTCCTAAGAAAGAGAGAATTTCACTCTTAGAGGAGGGTGGGGGTAGGCTGTCTATTAAGGCTACCCATGCCAGGGTCATGGCTTGGGCCCCGGGGGAGAGTTGGACTCCTAAGTATGTTACTGTTGGGGTGGAGAGTTGTGCTTTGGAGGGGGAGACCCCATATGCTTTGTTAGCAAGAAAGTTTAGAAGGGTAATAGTGTGAGTCTGAGAGTCTTCTAGGGAAGGACTACAGAGGAGGAGGTCATCCACATATTGAAGAAGACGGCTGGGGGAAAGGTCTAAGGAGGTGAGGTCTTGGGCTATGACTTGCCCAAAGAAATGAGGACCATTCCTGAAGCCTTGGAGAAGGACAGTCCCTATGAGTTGCTGTGATTGGAGGGTGTCAGGGTCAGTCCAGGTGAAGGCAAAGAGGTTTTGGGAATCAGGATGTAGGGAAATAGTAAAGAAGTCATCTTTTAGGTCAATAGCAGTGTAGTGGGTGGTACTGGAGGGGATCAGAGAGAGAAGTGTATAGAGGTTAGGGACTACAGGGTGAATAGGAGGACTGCCTGATTAATGGCTTGGAGGTCTTGAACGAGTCAATATGAGCCATCTGATTTTTTAATGGGGAGGATGGGGGTGTTACAAGGAGAGTGTGTTGGTCAAAGAAGACCACGTGAGCAGAGCTTGTTTACGATGGGCTGTAGACCCTTTTGGTGGGTTAGAGAAATGGGGTATTGGGGGATGTTGGGGAATTTGGAGGGGTCTTGAGATGGAGTCTCGCTCTGTTGCCCAGGCCAGACTGCAGTGGCGCTATCTCGGCTCACTGCAAGCTCCACCTCCCAGGTTCGCACCATTCTCCTGCCTCAGCTTCCCAAGTAGCTGGGACTACAGGTGCCCGCCACTGCGCCTGGCTAATTTTTTGTATGTTTAGTAGAGACGGGGTTTCACCGTGTTAGCCAGGATGGTCTTGATCTCCTGACCTCGTGATCTGCCCGCCTCGGCCTCCCAAAGTGCTGGGATTACAGGCGTGAGCCACGCGCCTGGCCTTTTAGCTGGATTTTGATGGGGTCATGATGAGCAGTTAGGGAAGGGATGGTGGTATCCTACACTATTGGGTTAACAAGAGAGGTGGGAAGTGGGTGCTGGGGAGAGGGGTCAGGGACTGGACTGGCAGAGAGGAGTAGGAGGGACTCAGGTTGGGGGAGGCAAGAAAAGGTGATACAAGCCTTGAATTTGGCTAAAAGGTCTCAGCCTAGAATGGGGATGGGTCAATGAAGCATGATAGAAAGACTATGAGAAAATGGTATTGAATAGGGAACAAGTAAGAGGTCTGGTGGCACATGGACGCGAGATGAATCTGTCAATCCCCACAACTGAGACTGAGGCAAGGCCGAGTAGGTGGCCCTGGTATTGATTAAAAAGGAGATCGGCAGCTGGGCGCAGTGGCTCACGCCTGTAATCCCAGCACTTTGGGAGGCTGAGACGGGCGGATCATGAGGTCAGGAGATCGAGACCATCCTGGCTAACACGGTGAAACCCCGTCTCTACTAAAAATACAAAAAATTAGCCAGGCGTGGTGGTGTGCGCCTGTAGTCCCAGCTACTTGGGAGGCTGAGGCAGGAGAATGGTGTGAACCCGGGAGGCGGAGCTTGCAGTGAGCCGAGATTGCGCCACTGCACTCCAGCCTGGGCGACAGAGTGAGACTCCGTCTCAAAGAAAAAAAAAAAAAAGAGGAGATCGGCTTACCTGATACTAGCAGAGTTACCCTGGGCTCTGCTGCATTGATGGCAGTTTGGCAGTTGGGGCCTGGGGCCCTGGGCCTCGTTCATCTTCAGCGGCTAGGTCAAGGAGCTGCGGGAGTGTAAGCAATTCTTCACCTTCTGTCTCACTCAAGGGGAGGTGATTCTGAGGTGCAGGCTTTTCTGTCCAACTGTTGAGACAACAGTCAGACTTCCAGTGGCCTGTCTGCTGGCAGACTGGGCAAGTGCTCTTCATCACTCGTGGATTAGGACTTCTTTGCCCAGTAGCCTTCTTTGCCGCACTTAAAGCAGGGCCCGGGAGGATTACTGCTATCGGGTCTTTTGTGCCCTTGTGTACTATGGCTAGATTGACGGATAGCCACAGCTAGAAGTTGGTATTTAGCGCGATCTCTTTAGGCTCTATCTAATTTACTTTGCTCATCCTTATTATTGAAGACTTTGAAAGCCAGGTTAAGGAGGTCTTGTTGTGGGGTTTGAGGGCCATCTTCAGCCTTTTTAAGTTTACACCAGGTGTTGGGGGCAGATTGGGAGATAAAATAGGTATTGAGAACAATAGTTCCAGCCGGGCGCGGTGGTTCACGCCTGTAATCCCAACACTTTGGGAGGCTGAGGTGGGCGGATCACAAGGTCAGGATATTGAGACCATCCTGGCTAACATGGTGAAACCCCATCTCTACTAAAAAAAAATACAAAAAAAATTAGCCGGGCGTGGCGGCGGGTGCCTGTAGTCCCAGCTACTCCGGAGGCTGAGACAGGAGAATGGCGTGAACCCGGGAGGCGGAGCTTGCAGTGAGCCGAGATTGCGCCACTGCACTCCAGCCTGGGCAAGAGTGTGAGACTCCGTCTCAAAAAAGAAAAAAAAAAAAAAAGAACAATAGTTCCTTCTTGGGAGGCAGTGTCGATGCAGGTATATTTTTGGAGAGACTCTGTAAGGCGGGAAAGGAATTGGGCAGGATTTTCGTCTGCCTTTTGGGAAGTTTCTTTAAGTTTTTCAAAATTTACAGGCTTATGGGCAGCTTTGTTAAGGCCTGCAATGAGGCAGGTAATCATGTGGTTATGGGATGCCCGGCTGGGGTCTGTGGGTTGGTACTCCCAGGAAGGCTCTTACTGGGGAACAGCAGCAGCTCCTACGGGCTTAGTAGGATCTTGCTGATGAAGATTGGCGGCATGTGCCTGTGCTGCAAGCCACACTCTTTCCTTCTCTTCTGGAAGGAGGGTGGAAGAGAGGATAATGTAGAGATCATGCCAAGTGAGTTCATAAGATTGGGTAAGATATTTAAATTCTTTGATATAAGTATCGGGATCAGATGAGAAGGACCCGAGATGTTTTTCAATTTGGTAGAGGTTGGAGAGGGAGAAAGGGACGTGGACACGGACGATCTCCTCAGCTCTTGCCACCTCCCGGAGCGGAAGTGAGGAGGCTGGTTGAGGGGCATGTTGGGCCCGAGAATGGGTAAGGGGTAGAGACGGTGAAAATTCGGAGTCAGAGGCAGGGTGGTTGGAGAGAGGGGGAGAAGGGGGCAGAACAGGAACGGGGACGTAAGGTGGGGGATTGGGGTGGTTTAATGGAGGACCATGATGGTGGCGAGGATGGGGAAAATTGGCGAGGTTAAAAGAAGAGGAGTCATCGACTGGGGCTGTAGGAAGAGTGACAGAGGGTGAGTTGGGTTTGGAGCGGGCAAGGAGGATTTGGAAAGTAGAACAGGACTGGCAGAGAGAAGGGTGGCTATGGAGAGTGAAGAAAGCCTGAACATAAGGAATCTCGGACCACTTCCCATTGCAGTGGCAAAAGTTGTCTAAGTCTTTAAGGACATTGAAATCGAAAGTGCCATTTTCGGGCCATTGGGAGCTATTGTCTAACCTGTATTGAGGCCAGACAGTATTACAGTAGAAAAGCAGCTTCTTAGGACAGACCTCTGAATGGAGGCCGAGGGCATTGAGGTTGCATAGAAGACACCCAAGGGGGGTGGTCTTAGGAAGCGTAGAATGAGAAGCTCCTATGGTGAATGGAGTGGGGCAGGCAGTGGAAGGAGAGACTGCCGGTCAACAAGGATGGTGGGAGAGGGCGTCCTGTGTCCCGCAAGCCCTGTCTGGAATAGAGGAGGTAGCCACTGAGACAGGCGTCCCTGAAATGGAGGAACCGGAGGCCTGGAGGCCAGAGGAAGCCCTTGGCCCAGCGCTGGGTCTTTCGGGAATTCAGAGACGGTCAAGGATTCTGGGTAAATGGCAGGAGTCTCTTTTACTCACCCTCGCAGAAGCTCTAATGATGAATGAGGTTGCCAATAATGGGAGAGTCTGAGAAATCCTCTGGGTCTTTGGCAGGTTCTGGAAGGGGAGGGTGGCCAGGAGAGAGGTGGGATGAGAGGGGGAAAGGCTCTAGCACACAGCCAGGGAGGAGAGAGGGAGGGAGGGAGGGGGAGAGAGAGAGAGAGAGAGAGAGAGAGTGAGTCCTCTGGGGATGCCCGGCCAGAGCCTACCCATTCCTGGGTTTCAGCACCAAAATGTAAGGTTAGCCAAGAGAAAGAACGAGTAGACCCAAAGTCAGGCAAGCAAGTTTATTAACCTGCTGGGCTGCTCCACAGCAATCAGAGGAGGCAGCAGCCCAGGCTTACAGACTAGGGGGTGTAAGTATATTTTAGGGAGTGGGGGCTGTTTCTGGGTAGAGCCACATCCTGGTTGATGGGCAGATGTTAGGGGAAAAAACAACAGCTGGGGAACATCTGCCTTGGCAGAGGGCCTGCAGGTGGTGAGAAAAGGAGGGGATGGAGAAAAACAAAGCGAGGGGAACATCTGCCTTGGCGGAGGGCCTTTGCTGGGTTGGGTCCCTAACACATCTCAAAAAAAAAAAAAAAAAGCCTGAAGTTTCTGCACAAGGAGGGAATTGAGGGAATTCTGCCTCCAGACCGCCTTAGGACTGAAGAGCATAGTAACATCAATTCTTTATAGAATGTCCAGCCTGCTGGCCTGTCCTGTAAAATTTGAACTTGCCAGCCCTCACAATGTGAACCAATTCCTTAAACTAAATTTCTCACTTTCTCTCTCTCTCTGGAAAACACTGACTAATGTAGCAGGTTTCTCTGCTCCAGGACTTCAGGACCTTTTCGATGCTAATAAGTTTCTCCATCAGGGCCAGCTTGTTCCTCCTACTGAGCTTGAGAGCCCTTGTTGAAGTTGTGGTTTGGGGGACTGGACCGATGACCTCAAAGGTTCCCTTTGCTCCCAAGCCTCAGAGTCTAGGAGGCCAGAGGGTCTCAGCAGGCCTTTGTCCTTCTCAGCTGTCTCTTACTGGCTTTCTCCACAGGTCTTGTAGCTTCAATGAGCATGGCTACCACCTCTTCCAGGCTATGCGGCTTGGGGTTGAGGAGATAAACAACTCCACGGCCCTGCTGCCCAACATCACCCTGGGGTACCAGCTGTATGATGTGTGTTCTGACTCTGCCAATGTGTATGCCACGCTGAGAGTGCTCTCCCTGCCAGGGCAACACCACATAGAGCTCCAAGGAGACCTTCTCCACTATTCCCCTACGGTGCTGGCAGTGATTGGGCCTGACAGCACCAACCGTGCTGCCACCACAGCCGCCCTGCTGAGCCCTTTCCTGGTGCCCATGGTAAGCTGGAGCCTCAGACCTTTGCCCATCTCCCTTCAGGCAAGTCTGGGCTGGGGCATGTGGGCAAGAGCTGCTGTCCCCCCCAAGGCTGCCTGCCCCCTGGATCTCTTGGGTGGTCACTGCTCTTTAGTCACAAGTCAGGGGTCCCTGCCCAGCGTGGTTCCTGCCCCAGCCTTCCTCTCTTTCCAGAGCTGCTTCCAGATCCCTGCCTCCACTCTCATGGGAAAACCCATTCTCCTTGGGAACTACTGCCACTCAGCTGTACCCCTGCTGCCCTCCACTTCCCTCCTCCCTCCAGAGGTTCCGTTGCCTTTGTTAGGAATGGACATCCTGGACGGGCGCTGTGGCTCATGCCTGTAATCCCTTGGGGAGGCTGGGCAGATCTCTTGAGGCCAGGAGTTCGAGACCAGCCTGGCCAGTATGGCGAAACCCCATCTCTACTAAAAATACAAAAGTTAGCTGAGAGTGGTGGTGTGTGCCTGTAATCCCAGCTACTTGGGAGGCTGAGACAGGAGAATTGCTGGAATCTGGGAGGTGGAGGTTGCAGTGAGCTGAGATTGCACCACTGCATTCCAGCCTGGGTGACAGAGTGATACCTTGTCCCCTCCATCCTCCCCCCAAAAAAGGACACCCTTTGCTTCCCACCCCATAGACTGCTCCACATCATCCCAGTCTCTCCTGCCTGCCTTTCCTTCTTCCCTCCTGGCTCAGAGGTGCTGACATGCCTCACCTTGCTGATGTCAGTCCTGTCTCTGTGCTTATTCTTGCCCTGTACCTTGGACCACAGCCCCTCCTTGGCTTATGGATCCTTCCCCATGGGTTCCTGCCTGGCCTGTGGTTGCCCTCATTCCTCTCCCTCTTCCAGGCCCTCTACCCTGAGCACTGACTCCCTGCCCCTTCCCATGGGAGTTTCCTGCTGGCCTCTCCCTGCCCTCATTGACCCTCAGCCCGATTCTGTCCCCACCACTCTTGCTTTCGCTGTGAGCTGGGGCACCTTCTAGGTATCCAAATCCTACTTTGCAGTCCTTCTTTATCTTAGGTGACTTGTGATTTTTTTTTTTTTTTTTTTTTGAGACACAGTCTCACTCTGACACTCAGGCTGGAGTGCAGTGGTGCAATGTTGTCTCACTGTCTCCCAGGCTCAAGCAATCCTCCCACCTCATACTCCTAAGTAGCTGGGTCCACAGGCATGTGCCACCATGCCTGGCTAATTTTTGTATTTTTTGTAGAGATAGAGGTCTCACTATGTTGCCTAGACTGGCCTTGAACTCCTGGGCTCAAGCAATCCACCTGCCTTGGCCTCCCAAAGTGGTGAGATTACAGGCATGAGGCACCGTGCCCTTTGTGACATTTTTGACCAGTCCTCCTATGAGAGTCTTTCCTTGGAATTTATGCCCCCCTCAGCCCCCTGCCCCCACCTGGCTTTCACTTGCAGCTCTTCTCTCCTTTTGCCCCACTTCCTCTGAAAAGGTAGGTGATTCCCCGGAGCAGGCTTCGCCCTCCTCTCCTCCCCTTTTCCAGTTCCCAGGCAGGCTGTGGGCTCGTGGTTTAACCTCCCATTCTCAGTCCCCTCCCCTCTGATCTGAGCCCCTGATGCTGGCCCAACATTGCCACATCATGGACCCAGCAAGGCCCAGATTGACCTTACCTCCCTACACAACAAAAGCCTCTTTTCTTCCTGTATTAGCCCCAATCCTCTGGTGGAGGGTAGTGAGGGAGTGGCCATCACCCTGGAGTCCTGCCCACTGCTGCTCCTCCTTGCCCTGCTCCCCACCTTTCATCCTTTCTGGCCTCCTTTTCCACTGCCACAGCCACAGCTGGAATTCACACCAGCATCACCCCTCAGCTAGATTCTCCCATCAGTGTCCTAAGGCTTCCCCCTGATTTTAGTCTTAAATTTCTTCTAACTCATTCCTCACTGAAGTCAGAGATACGCTCATGAAATGCAAGTCCCGGCCGGGCACCGGGCGCGGGGGCTCACGCCTGTAATCCCAGCACTTTGGGAGGCTAAGGTGGGCAGCTCATGAGGTCAGGAGTTGGAAACCAGCCTGGCCAACGTGGTGAAACCCTGTCTCTGCTAAAAATGCAAAAATTAGCCAGGCGTGGTGGCAGGCACCTGTAATCCCAGCTACTCAGGAGGCTGAGGCAGGAGAATTTCTTGAACCCAGGAGGCAGGGGTTGCAGTGAGCCAAGATCACGCCACCGCACTCCATCCTGGGCGACAGAGCAAGACTCTGTCTCAGAAAGAAAAGAAAAAATGCAAGTCCGAACATAGCACTTCTCTGCGGACATCCTTAGGGACTCCCTGTGGCTTACAGCAGTGGCCCCCAACCTTTTCGGCATCAGGGACTGGTTTCGTGGAAGACAATTTTTCTAAGGACGGGTGTGTGAGGGGTTGGTTTCAGGATGATTCAAGTGCATTACATTTATTTATTTATTTATTTTTATTTTTATTTTTATTTTTTGAGACGGAGTTTCGCTCTGTCGCCCAGGCTGGAGTGCAGTGGCGCGATCTCGACTCACTGCAAGCTCCGCCTCCCGGGTTCACGCCATTCTCCTGCCTCAGCCTCCCGTGTAGCTGGGACTACAGGCGCGCGCCACCATGCCCGGCTAATTTTTTTGTATTTTTAGTAGAGACGGGGTTTCACCGTGTTAGCCAGGCTGGTCGCAAACTCCTAACCTCGTGATCCACCCACCTCGGCCTCCCAATGTGCTGGGATTACAGGTGTGAGCCACTGCACCCGGCCATAATGTATTAATATAATAAAATAATTATACAACTCACCATAATGTAGAATCAGTGGGAGCCCTGAGCTTGTTTTCCTACAACTAGATGGTCCCATCTGGGGGTGATGGGAGACAGTGACAGATCATCAGACATTAGATTCTCATAAGTAGCGTGCAACCCAGATCCCTCGCATGTGCAGTTCACAGTAGGGTTCAAGCTCCTACAAGAATCTGATGCTGCTGCTGATCTGACAGGAGGGGAGCAGCTGTAAATACAGATGAAGCTTCGCTTACTCACCAGCTGCTCACCTCCTCCTGTGAGGCCCGGTTCCTAACAGGCCACTGACCTAACTTCTGCCCTGACCTACACATGCTTCTCTTCTTCCTTGCAAACTGCCTCCAGTGGAAGTCCCTGAAGGTCCCCAAACACACGGGACTATTTCACTCCTATGCAGGTTTTGTCTCCTTTGCTTGGAATGCATCCCCTCACCCCTTGTCCCCAGGCAGATTCCCACCCCTCCCCCAGAACCTGCCCCAGTGGAGCCTTCGCAGGTGATTTGTCAGTTTCACAGGCTGAGGGGTGCTCTCCTGGTCTCCCCGGCTCCCTGTATCCCCACACCCAGCACAGGGCCAGGCACTGGGGGGGCCTTCAGTGGAGACTGAAATGGCTGAACGGGACCTCCCATAGATTAGCTATGCGGCCAGCAGCGAGACGCTCAGCGTGAAGCGGCAGTATCCCTCTTTCCTGCGCACCATCCCCAATGACAAGTACCAGGTGGAGACCATGGTGCTGCTGCTGCAGAAGTTCGGGTGGACCTGGATCTCTCTGGTTGGCAGCAGTGACGACTATGGGCAGCTAGGGGTGCAGGCACTGGAGAACCAGGCCACTGGTCAGGGGATCTGCATTGCTTTCAAGGACATCATGCCCTTCTCTGCCCAGGTGGGCGATGAGAGGATGCAGTGCCTCATGCGCCACCTGGCCCAGGCCGGGGCCACCGTCGTGGTTGTTTTTTCCAGCCGGCAGTTGGCCAGGGTGTTTTTCGAGTCCGTGGTGCTGACCAACCTGACTGGCAAGGTGTGGGTCGCCTCAGAAGCCTGGGCCCTCTCCAGGCACATCACTGGGGTGCCCGGGATCCAGCGCATTGGGATGGTGCTGGGCGTGGCCATCCAGAAGAGGGCTGTCCCTGGCCTGAAGGCGTTTGAAGAAGCCTATGCCCGGGCAGACAAGAAGGCCCCTAGGCCTTGCCACAAGGGCTCCTGGTGCAGCAGCAATCAGCTCTGCAGAGAATGCCAAGCTTTCATGGCACACACGATGCCCAAGCTCAAAGCCTTCTCCATGAGTTCTGCCTACAACGCATACCGGGCTGTGTATGCGGTGGCCCATGGCCTCCACCAGCTCCTGGGCTGTGCCTCTGGAGCTTGTTCCAGGGGCCGAGTCTACCCCTGGCAGGTAAGAGAGCCCACCCCAGCACCTCCTGTCAGGGAGAACAGCCAATCCTGAGATGAGCAGAGTGGGCACTCTCCGGTCACTCTAAATGCCAAGGGGGATAAATGCCACTAACTTGAGGTTTTTTGTTTTGTTTTGTTTTGTTTTTTGAGACAGTCTGGCTCTGTCACCCAGGCTGCAGTGTAGTGATGCGATCTCGGCTCTCTGCAACTTCCACCTCCTGGGTTCAAGTGATTCTCTTGCCTCGGCCTCCTGAGTAGCTGGGATTACAGGCACCCACCACCATGCCTGGATAATTTTTCTTTTCTTTTTTTTTTTTTTGAGATAGAGTCTCGCTCTGTTGCCCAGGCTGGAATGCAGTGGTGCGATCTTGGCTCACTGTGAGCTCCGCCTCCCAGGTTCACTCCATTCCCCTGCCTCAGCCTCCCAAGTAGGTGGGACTACGGGCGCCCGCCACCACGCCCAGCTAATTTTTTTTGTATTTTGAGTAGAGACGGGGTTTCACCATGTTAGCCAGGATGGTCTCAATCTCCTGACCTTGTCATCCGCCCACCTCGTCCTCCCAAAGTGCTGGGATTACAGGCGTGAGCCACCGCACCCGGCCTAATTTTTGTATTTTTAGTAGAGATGGGGTTTCACCATGTTGGCCAGGCTGGTCTCGAACTCCTGGCATCAAGTGATCCTCCTGCTTCGGCCTCCCAAAGTGCTGGGATTACAGGCATTAGCTCTCTTCTCTTAGACAGATCTTTCTCTCTGATCCTTGCCTTCTCTCACCCACTGTGTCTTGGAAGTGTCAAGTGATAAGATCCAGGGCTAAAACTGTCTGTAAAGGAGTGTTTGTTAGAGGCCTCCTCTCAGGAGGTTGGTGGGGAAGATTGAGGGGCTTCCTAAGAAGGAAGGGACGAGACCTTCCTGATGGGCTGAAACCACCAGGACGGAAACCCAGGAAGGCCCCAGGCCCTTGCTTCTGGGACCATGTGGGTCTGTGCTGTCTGTGGTGGCTTCATGATACGCGTTTCTTTCAGCTTTTGGAGCAGATCCACAAGGTGCATTTCCTTCTACACAAGGACACTGTGGCGTTTAATGACAACAGAGATCCCCTCAGTAGCTATAACATAATTGCCTGGGACTGGAATGGACCCAAGTGGACCTTCACGGTCCTCGGTTCCTCCACATGGTCTCCAGTTCAGCTAAACATAAATGAGACCAAAATCCAGTGGCACGGAAAGGACAACCAGGTAATGGGGATGTGGCTACTCACCATGTAACTGGCTTATGGGCAACCTAGAGCCTGGGGGTGATGCTGACACAGTGTACAGGGAGCAGGAGGGGGGCCCCAGGGGTCCAGCTGCCACCACTCTACCCATCCTGGCCAGGGAAGCAGGGAAGACACTCCGTAGGCGAGTGTGCAGATGCCCTGGGGCGGAAGTTCACACGACCAGGGGCCCTGCCCTGGGAGTGAGCCCTGAGGGCAGATGCACAGAGATTCTGTTTTCTGTTCCACATGTGAGCTGTCCTTTGACTTGGGCCCCTACGTGTGGCCCCTCTGGCTTCTTACAGGTGCCTAAGTCTGTGTGTTCCAGCGACTGTCTTGAAGGGCACCAGCGAGTGGTTACGGGTTTCCATCACTGCTGCTTTGAGTGTGTGCCCTGTGGGGCTGGGACCTTCCTCAACAAGAGTGGTGAGTGGGCAATGGAGCAGGCGAGCTACCCAGCACTCCCGGGGGCTGCACGGTGGAGGGAGGGCCTCCCTTGGGCCCCATGTGCCCTGCCCCAGAACCAAGGCCCAGTCACTGGGCTGCCAGTTAGCTTCAGGTTGGAGGACACCTGCTACCAGACAGAATTCTGATCAAGAGAATCAGCCACTGGGTGCGGTGGCTCATGCCTGTAATCCCAGCACTTTGGGAGGCTGAGGCGGGTGGATCACTTGAGGTCGGGAGTTCGAGACCAGCCTGGCCAACATGGTGAAACCCCATCTCTACCAAAAATATAAAAAATTAGCTGGGTGTGGTGGCGCGTGCCTGTAATCCCAGCTACTCGGGAGGCTGAGGCAGGAGAATCACTTGAACCCAGGAGGCGGAGGTTGCAGTGAGCCAAGATGCATTCCAGCCTGGACCACAAAGCGAGAATTCGTCCCCCCAAAAAAAGAAAGGAGGCCGGGCGCGGTGGCTCACACCTGTAATCCCAGCACTTTGGGAGGCCGAGGTGGGTGGATCACCTGAGGTCAGGAGTTCGAGACCAGCCTGACCAACATGGTGAAACCCCATCTCTACTAAAAATACAAAAAAAGTTAGCCGGGCGTTGTGGCGTGTGCCTGTAATTCCAGCTACTCGGGAGGCTGAGGCAGGAGAATTGCTTGAACCCGGGAGGCGGAGGTTGCAGTGAGCCAAGATTGCACCATTGCACTCCAGCCTGGGCGACAAGAGAAAAACTCTGTCTCAAAAAAAAAGAAAGAAAGAAAGAATTAGCCAACTGAAAGCCTTAGACTGAGGTGTGTCCTCTGTTAGAGAGCTGTCATCACAACTCCTACAAAAGCAGTCGTATCCTGAATTCAACCTCTTTCTCTAAATGAATATAGCTATTGTTCCCTTTGTGCCCTCTTGTCCTACTGTCCCTTCTGTTGCCCATGCCAAAGACAGCTAGCTCCTTGAACAGCTTGGCCTGAATACAGATACTAGCGTGTCTGCAGCAGAGAAAAAAACAGCATTCCCCATCCAGAAATGCAAGGTCAAGAACAGAGAGCAAATTAGGTAGCTAAGGACTCAGGTCCTTAGTTGGTGTCCAGGGGCCACATTCTTTCCTTTCACCATCTCTGTAGGGACAGGAATACTTCCCTTCTGTCCTCAGAGGGTCAGGACTCAGAGAAACCACAGAGCAGCAGCTCAGGAAAGTGGTTCATGGAAATGCTGGCAAGAGAGAGGGGTTACAATGCCCTCCCTTGGGAGCAGGCTGCTCCCATCAGATCGTAACCTCTCTGGTATGTGGGCAGAGCTACCAGGTTAAGGTCCTCCCTAGGGTTTGCAAAACCCTCATGGGATCATGAGCCATACAGAACCGACCTGTGTGTCTCCAGAGTCTGTAATTAACACAGGCATTTTGAGGAAATGCGTGGCCTCAGGCCCCACTCCCGGCTACCCCCATCCCACTATGCCTAGTATAGTCTAGCTGCCCTGGTACAATTCTCCCAGTATCTTGCAGGCCCCTATTTCCTATTCCTACTCTGCTCATCTGGCTCTCAGGAACCTTCTTGGCCTTCCCTTTCAGACCTCTACAGATGCCAGCCTTGTGGGAAAGAAGAGTGGGCACCTGAGGGAAGCCAGACCTGCTTCCCGCGCACTGTGGTGTTTTTGGCTTTGCGTGAGCACACCTCTTGGGTGCTGCTGGCAGCTAACACGCTGCTGCTGCTGCTGCTGCTTGGGACTGCTGGCCTGTTTGCCTGGCACCTAGACACCCCTGTGGTGAGGTCAGCAGGGGGCCGCCTGTGCTTTCTTATGCTGGGCTCCCTGGCAGCAGGTAGTGGCAGCCTCTATGGCTTCTTTGGGGAACCCACAAGGCCTGCGTGCTTGCTACGCCAGGCCCTCTTTGCCCTTGGTTTCACCATCTTCCTGTCCTGCCTGACAGTTCGCTCATTCCAACTAATCATCATCTTCAAGTTTTCCACCAAGGTACCTACATTCTACCACGCCTGGGTCCAAAACCACGGTGCTGGCCTGTTTGTGATGATCAGCTCAGCGGCCCAGCTGCTTATCTGTCTAACTTGGCTGGTGGTGTGGACCCCACTGCCTGCTAGGGAATACCAGCGCTTCCCCCATCTGGTGATGCTTGAGTGCACAGAGACCAACTCCCTGGGCTTCATACTGGCCTTCCTCTACAATGGCCTCCTCTCCATCAGTGCCTTTGCCTGCAGCTACCTGGGTAAGGACTTGCCAGAGAACTACAACGAGGCCAAATGTGTCACCTTCAGCCTGCTCTTCAACTTCGTGTCCTGGATCGCCTTCTTCACCACGGCCAGCGTCTACGACGGCAAGTACCTGCCTGCGGCCAACATGATGGCTGGGCTGAGCAGCCTGAGCAGCGGCTTCGGTGGGTATTTTCTGCCTAAGTGCTACGTGATCCTCTGCCGCCCAGACCTCAACAGCACAGAGCACTTCCAGGCCTCCATTCAGGACTACACGAGGCGCTGCGGCTCCACCTGACCAGTGGGTCAGCAGGCACGGCTGGCAGCCTTCTCTGCCCTGAGGGTCGAAGGTCGAGCAGGCCGGGGGTGTCCGGGAGGTCTTTGGGCATCGCGGTCTGGGGTTGGGACGTGTAAGCGCCTGGGAGAGCCTAGACCAGGCTCCGGGCTGCCAATAAAGAAGTGAAATGCGTATCTGGTCTCCTGTCGTGGGAGAGTGTGAGGTGTAACGGATTCAAGTCTGAACCCAGAGCCTGGAAAAGGCTGACCGCCCAGATTGACGTTGCTAGGCAACTCCGGAGGCGGGCCCAGCGCCAAAAGAACAGGGCGAGGCGTCGTCCCCGCATCCCATTGGCCGTTCTCTGCGGGGCCCCGCCCTCGGGGGCCGGAGCTAGAAGCTCTACGCTTCCGAGGCGCACCTCCTGGCCTGCACGCTTTGACGTCACGTCCGGCGCGGAGACGGTGGAGTCTCCGCACTGTCGGCGGGGTACGCATAGCCGGGCACTAGGTTCGTGGGCTGTGGAGGCGACGGAGCAGGGGGCCAGTGGGGCCAGCTCAGGGAGGACCTGCCTGGGTGAGGAGGGCGCGGGGTGAGGGAGGGAGGGGCTGCGGGCCGCCGTGGCTGCCTTCCGCTCGGCCGCTCGGGACCTGTGGGCGCGGCGTGGGCTTCGCTCACCTGTCCCCGGCTGCCGCCCTCCGCCGTCCGGGATCCTCTCACTGTGCCGGGCCAGTCCGTTCGCTCTCATCCCATGTCTCCTTTCCCCAAACTTGGATTTTTCTCACCAGGCCCTTCTTCACGACCCTGGCCCCCCATCCAGCATCCCCCCTGGCCAATCCAATATGGCCCCCGGCCCCCGGGAGGCTGTCAGTGTGTTCCAGCCCTCCGCGTGCACCCCTCACCCTGACCCAAGCCCTCGTGCTGATAAATATGATTATTTGAGTAGAGGCCAACTTCCCGTTTCTCTCTCTTGACTCCAGGAGCTTTCTCTTGCATACCCTCGCTTAGGCTGGCCGGGGTGTCACTTCTGCCTCCCTGCCCTCCAGACCATGGACGGCTCCTTCGTCCAGCACAGTGTGAGGGTTCTGCAGGAGCTCAACAAGCAGCGGGAGAAGGGCCAGTACTGCGACGCCACTCTGGACGTGGGGGGCCTGGTGTTTAAGGCACACTGGAGTGTCCTTGCCTGCTGCAGTCACTTTTTCCAGAGCCTCTACGGGGATGGCTCAGGGGGCAGTGTCGTCCTCCCTGCTGGCTTCGCTGAGATCTTTGGCCTCTTGTTGGACTTTTTCTACACTGGTCACCTCGCTCTCACCTCAGGGAACCGGGATCAGGTGCTCCTGGCAGCCAGGGAGTTGCGAGTGCCAGAGGCCGTAGAGCTGTGCCAGAGCTTCAAGCCCAAAACTTCAGTGGGACAGGCAGCAGGTGGCCAGAGTGGGCTGGGGCCCCCTGCCTCCCAGAATGTGAACAGCCACGTCAAGGAGCCGGCAGGCTTGGAAGAAGAGGAAGTTTCGAGGACTCTGGGTCTAGTCCCCAGGGATCAGGAGCCCAGAGGCAGTCATAGTCCTCAGAGGCCCCAGCTCCATTCCCCAGCTCAGAGTGAGGGCCCCTCCTCCCTCTGTGGGAAACTGAAGCAGGCCTTGAAGCCTTGTCCCCTTGAGGACAAGAAACCCGAGGACTGCAAAGTGCCCCCAAGGCCCTTAGAGGCTGAAGGTGCCCAGCTGCAGGGCGGCAGTAATGAGGTACTGTGCCCAGGGTGTTGGGACTGGGGAGACAAATAGAGGGAATAGACACTTTTTTGGTATAATAGGGACCCTGGGCTGGGTGTGATGGCTCACTCACGCCTGTAATCCTAGCACTTTGGGAGGCCAAGGGGGGTGGATCACTTTAGCTTGGGAGTTCGAGACCAGCCTGGGCAACATGGCGAGGCCTCATTTGTACAAAGACTATACAAAAATTAGCCGGGTGTGGTGGCACACACCTGTAGTCCTAGCTACTCAGGAGGGTGAGGTGGGAGGATCACTTGAGCCCAGGAAGTGGAGGTTGCAGTGAGCTGAGATGGTGCCACTACCCTCCAGCCTAGGCGACAGAGCAAGATCCTGTCTCAAAAAAAAAAAAAAAATATGTGGACCTTAAGACAATCTCTGTTAATGTGGGTTTGGAACAGGCTTTCTCCAAAGGAAGCTGGTGACCTCAGGCTGACCTTTCTGCAAGCCCCAGCTGTTCACGGTTGCCACCTTCCTGAGAGGAGTGGGCAGCATCAGGGTTACAGGTGTTTCCCCAGGGCAGTGTTTCCAGCTGAGCTTCCAGTTCCCCACAAACACAGCCACTTTCCTCTGAATCCAAGATTCAGATGCTCTGCCTTGGGCCCCTGAAGGAACTTGTCTGATGAAGGGACTTGTCAGGGTTGGGGCTTGGGATGGAACTGGAGCTGGGTCCCTACAACTCCTGCTGATTCATTTGGTGACGCCACCCCCTCCTGCTGCCTATTGTGCTCTAGTGGGAAGTGGTGGTTCAAGTGGAGGATGATGGGGATGGCGATTACATGTCTGAGCCTGAGGCTGTGCTGACCAGGAGGAAGTCAAATGTAATCCGAAAGCCCTGTGCAGCTGAGCCAGCCCTGAGCGCGGGCTCCCTAGCAGCTGAGCCTGCTGAGAACAGAAAAGGTACAGCGGTGCCGGTCGAATGCCCCACATGTCATAAAAAGTTCCTCAGCAAATATTATCTAAAAGTCCACAACAGGTAAACGTTCTGTTTTTCTATTTTCTTTTCCTGTCTGCCATTCCCACGTTGGGGGAGGGGTCCTGCACTTCCCACTTCTGGGTGAGGTAGGGGCTGGGGGATCCATCTCAGACCCACATAGTGTCTGGCCTTGGTACACCTCTGATAATCAGGAAGTGAGAGCCTGCTTTGGGTTGGATTCTTCTTCCTTGCTGTCCTGTGAGTACTCTGGTTGGAGATGGGTTTGTGTACATCTTGTCAACAGGTTCCACCCACTGTGGACCTTGACCTCCAGCTGGTCTCTGCTAACAGAATGAGAAACCTGTGGCCCCTGTGCTAGAGCTGGGGCCCAACCTTAGGTGTTTCTGAAGCCTGGCAGTGTGGGCTTGAAGCCTGGCAGTGTGGGCTTTGGGCCACAGTGCCAAGCCTTGGTTCAGTGCTACCTGCGTTTCCAGGGAAGTGTTCACTCTGGGGTGTCAGTGGGGCATTCAAGTCTATTTGTCTAAACCTTCAGCGTCCAATAAAGTAACCAGGAACTCCAGGAGCTATTACAATTTTTATTTTTACATTTAATGGAGACAAGGTTTTGCTCTGTTGCCCAGGCTGGTCTCAAACTCCTGGGCTCAATCGATCCACCCACCCTGGCCTCCCAAAGTGCTGGAATTATAGGTGTGAGCCACCATGCCCAGCCCCCAGGGGCTATTTTATGTTTTTTGTTTGTTTTTGTTTTTGAGTTGGAGTCTTGCTCTGTCACCAGGCTAGAGTGCAGTAGCGTGATCTCAGCTCAGTGCAACCTCTGCCTCCTGGGTTCAAGTGATTCCTCTGCTTCAGCCTCCCAAATAGCTGGGATTACAGGCACATGCCACCACACCCGGCTAATTTTTTGTATTTTAGTAGAGACGGGGTTTCACCATGATGGCCATGATGGTCTCAATCTCCTGACCTTGTGATCCACCCGCCTTGGCCTCCCAAAGTGCTGGGATTACAGGTGTGAGCCACCATGCTCAGCCTATGTTGTTTTTCATTTTATTTTATTTTTTTGAGACGGAGTCTCACTCTGTTGCCAGGCTGGAGTGCAGTGGCATGAGATCGGCTCACTGCAACCTCCGCCTCCTGGGTTCAAGCGATTCTCCTGTCTCAGCCTCCCGAGTAGCTGGGATTACAGGTGCCTGCCACCACGCCTGGCTAATATTTGTATTTTTAGTAGAGATGGGGCTTCACTATCTTGGCCAGGCTGGTCTTGAACTCCTGACCTTGTGATCCACCTGCCTCGGCCTCCCAAAGTGCTGGGACTACAGGCATGAGCCACTGCGCCCAGCCTGTTATTTTTTTTTTTTTTTTTGAGACAGTCTCACTGTGTCGCCCAGGTTGGAGTGCAGTGGCATGATCTTGGCTCACTGCAACTTCTGTCTCCCAGGTTTAAGCGATTCTCCTGCCTCAGCCTCCTCAGTAGCTGGGACTACAGGTGCGCACCACTACGCCCAGCTAATTGTTTTACTTTTTTTTTTTTTTTTTTTTGAGATGGAGTCTCCCCTCTGTCGCCCAGGCTGGAGTGTGGTGGCTCCGTCTAAGCTCACTACAACCTCTGCCTCCCAGGTTCAAGCGATTCTCCTGCCTCAGCCTCCTGAGTAGCTGGGATTACAGGCACGCGCCACCACACCTGGCTAATTTTTTTGTGTGTGTTTAGTAGAGACAGGGTTTCAGCATGTTGGTCAGGCTGGTTTCGAACTCCTGACCTTGTGATCCACCTGCCTCAGCCTCCCAAAGTGCTGGGATTACAGGCGTGAGCCACCGTGCCCAGCCATTTTTTTACTTTTTAGTAGTGATGGGTTTCACCATATTGGCCAGGCTGATCTCAAACTCCTGACCTTGCGATCCACCTGCCTTAGCTTCCCAAAGTGCTGGGATTACAGGCGAGAGCCACCGTGCCCAGCCCCCAGGGACTATTTTAACTTAAAATTTAAAATTAAATAAAAATTCAGTTCCTCAGATACGTTAGCCAAATCTGAAGTGGTGAGGAACCACGTGTCTCCTGGTGGCTGAATCGGGCAGTGCTGACATAGCACATTTCCATCATCGTGGAGAATCCCCTTGGGCGGCACTGCTTTGGAGTCCCTGCAAGGCCTGTGGGGATGGCGGCCCAGTGGCATGCCTTCCAGTCCTGCCACTCCCAGCCAAGACATCACTAGTCTATCATGGTGTGTTTTCTTGCCATGCCAGGTTGGGCGGCACACTAGTAATCACCTAGAATGGGAGCCAGGGGGAAACCCGTTCGCTGTCCCTGTGCACCGTGTTCAGGGCAGCTGCTGCCAGTGGAATGCTGGGATAACCCCAGTGTCGGGGGTCCTGGGGCAGCCTGTGTACTGCTGGATGCTTGCTTTCAAGTACTCTGCTGGGGTAAGACTCTGGGGCAGTTTCCATCCCTTCCTTGGGCTTCAGCTTGCTGGACTGGCCCTGAGAACTGGGAGGGGATGGCTTCATGAAGTCATTTTGATGGGGGATGAAGATAGTTGCTGTAGAGGAAGAGGATGAGAGAGCTGCTTGGCCTCTGGAAGGTGGGAGGAGCTGTCGCAGGCTGCACAGGGGCTCTGAGGTCGAGTTCGTTTAGTTCATTGATTAAGCAGTCTACCAGGTGGCCAGCAAGGCTTTGTGGGTGCTTGGGATGCATTTAAGGGAACTAAACAAAGGTGCTTGTGCAGCCGACCTGCTTGCCAGGCAATGCAGATAACAGATAAGTCCATCTGCCTGCAGTAGACGGTGAGGAAGTGCTGCCGAAGAAGAAAAAGCAGAGGCGGGCCAAGGGGTTGGGGAGTTGTGAGTGGGGTTCGATTGCGATTTTAAGTAGCCAGGGTCTCTAGAGTCTTACTGAGAAGGTGAGATTTAAGCAAAGACTCAAAGGAGGTGAGGAAGTTGACCAAGTGGGTGACTGGGGAGCATCTGGGCAGAGAGAAGAGCCAGGGCGCTGGGGTAGGAGGATCCTGGGGGCGTGACAGGCAGCAAGGAGGCACATGCCTGATCCAGGTGGCCAGACGACACCCTGGGAGAGAAGCAGGCAAGGGGAGGGCTGCCTGCGCCTTGATAGGCCTCCCGGGCCCTTTCTCTGAATGGGGAAGCACTGGGGATACGTGAGCCAAGAGGTACTGAGGTCTGACTTAAAGGTCCTTCTGGCTCCTGAACTGAAACCTGTGGGGGAGGCAGTCACGGAGCGGGGAGACCAGATGGGCAGCTCCCCTGGCTACCTGGGAGAAGCTGTTGCCAGCCTTGGTGGGCCAGTGGAGTCAGGTGAGGATCTGGCCATGGGTTTGAAGCTCTGGGAAGACTGAGTTGCTTCTCCAATAGTCAGGACCCAAGATCTGTTTCTGCCTTCAGACAGAATGCGGTCAGCTGGGCCTCCCTGTCGGCCTCTGTGCTGGCCAGATCCATGGCAGCCTCTTAGGACCTGTGTGAGCTTCTTGCCACTGCACTCTCCCTTGCAGAGTCTCCATGCTGGGGGAGGCTTCTGGGCTTGTCCCTGCACCTTAACCAGCCGGTGTCACCTGAGAACACTTGTTCCCCTTAGAAGGGACCCAGAGGGGGCCCTGGGTGAGGGAGAGATGGGAAACCCTCTCAGCCCCCCCACCCCTGTGGCTTCTCCTGGCAGGAAACATACTGGGGAGAAACCCTTTGAGTGTCCCAAATGTGGGAAGTGTTACTTTCGGAAGGAGAACCTCCTGGAGCATGAAGCCCGGAATTGCATGAACCGCTCGGAACAGGTACTTGGGAGCTGGCCCAGGTACTTGTGGGCAGGGCACACTGGCCTCTCTGTCTTCGTGCCATCCGGGAAGGGCCCCAGGAGACTGTCTGAGAGGGGTACTGTAAACTCAGGAAAGCTGTGGGGTCCTTGGATGTCATGAGGTCCATGCCCTGGTACAGGTGGGGACACAGGTCCTGAGGGCGGAAGGGACAGGCATAGGAGGGACTCTGTGGGAGGCATTTGGGGTTGGCTTTCCTAGGCCCCTGGCCCACCTCCACCTTGGCTTTGGAGAAGGGGAGCCGCTACAGGGGATGGCAGCTGGGAAAGGCCCCCTGGCCACCCCCAGCAACCCCACTGCTGGCTTCTGTGTCAGGGCCCGCCGAAACCCAGGCCCACTCTTCCTAGAGGCCTGTCAGCAGCCACTAGGGCCAGGGACTGTGGGTGAGGCCACTCGGACCCTGCCCCCAGTCTGTCTGGGCCTGAGAAGGGCCTGGTGTGCGGTGGGCTTGCAGCACTCAGTGATGGTCAGGCCAGGCAGGTTATGTGTTGCCCTCTCCCACCCTAGCGTCCCCACCCTCCCCAGGCAGACTCTTCCCAGCAGCAAGCGGAAGCCCGGGCAGAGGCTGCTGTCATAGGCAGAGGCCCCCGCTGATGCCGGCCCTGCTTGCCCCTCACACTGCCAGGTCTTCACGTGCTCTGTGTGCCAGGAGACATTCCGCCGAAGGATGGAGCTGCGGGTGCACATGGTGTCTCACACAGGGGAGATGCCCTACAAGGTCAGGCTTGGCCTGTCTCCAGGGCCAGGGTTGGGTGGCCCCAGGATCCTTCCTGCTGAGCCCTTTACGTGGGGTGCTGTCAGGCACCTCCCTCACAGTAGCTGTCAGGGAGCCTGCCTTCCCTGCCTTCCCTGCCTTTCCAGTGCCCCCTTATCTAGGCAGGGCTACTGTCTGCAGCCTCACCTCCAAGGTCCTTATTAGGCCCTTGTTTCTTTCCATGGAGGACAGGCTTGGCATCCTCTGGGCAGCTGAGCCCTGAGGGCCCTCCTTTGCACCATCCTTCACACCAGATCAGGGGTCCTCCCAGAATCATCTCACCGGGGCCTCCCTCTAGTTCCTGCCCTATAGCCCAAGGGTGGGTGGCAGGGTTTCATGGGTGCAGGCCGCCCTGGAGGTGACTGTGGGCCTCTTTTTCAGTGTTCCTCCTGCTCCCAGCAGTTCATGCAGAAGAAGGACTTGCAGAGCCACATGATCAAACTTCATGGAGCCCCCAAGCCCCATGCAGTAAGTGACAGGGAGGGCTGGGCATGCTTTGATGCTGGCATGAGCAAGAGTGAGCTGTGCCCAGAGTGGGCAGCCGGCCATGTACTTTCTGTTGTTCGGGGGGGTGCTTGTGGGTCTCCCAGGCAGCCCTTCCCTGCTCTCACCCTGGCCCTGGTCCCTCCCTCTGCCTGCCTGGTCTGCCTGCAGTGCCCCACCTGTGCCAAGTGCTTCCTGTCTCGGACAGAGCTGCAGCTGCATGAAGCTTTCAAGCACCGTGGTGAGAAGCTGTTTGTGTGTGAGGAGTGTGGGCACCGGGCCTCGAGCCGGAATGGCCTGCAGATGCACATCAAGGCCAAGCACAGGTGCGTGTCGCCCGTTCTCTCTTGGGGCCCAGTCCTGCTGCCAGCCCAGGCTTGCACCGGCAGGGAAGACAGAGTTTGCTGACTTTTACACAGATGAGTGTGCCCTTGGCCTCCACCCTGAATCTAGTGCCTACAGCCTCTCTGGGATAGTGGGACCTGAGGGGCAAGCAGCTATGCCAGGCAGAGAGGCTGGGGGCAGATGTTTCAGGCTCAGACAAGCCTCTGTGCCCCCGGGGCAGATTCTGAGCTTCCTTAGTTTCCTGTGACTCCTGCTCATAGATTGTCCTTCTGCTCTCGGGGTGGAGGTGGTGCCCCTTTCCTAGCACTGCCCAAGCCCTCTTTCCACCAGGCATGCTCCTAGCTGTAGCAGAGCAAGGGGGTCACTTCCCTTGGTGATGGCCTCTGCCCCATGTCCCCACCTTAACAGGAATGAGAGGCCACACGTATGTGAGTTCTGCAGCCACGCCTTCACCCAAAAGGCCAATCTCAACATGCACCTGCGCACACACACGGGTGAGAAGCCCTTCCAGTGCCACCTCTGTGGCAAGACCTTCCGAACCCAAGGTGAGGTACGCCCTGCCCCTCCCCTCGCCTCCCCATCCTGAGGCCAAGGCCACAGGCTGAGCTCTTGCCTTGTGCCTGCAGCCAGCCTGGACAAGCACAACCGCACCCACACCGGGGAAAGGCCCTTCAGTTGCGAGTTCTGTGAACAGCGCTTCACTGAGAAGGGGCCCCTCCTGAGGCACGTGGCCAGCCGCCATCAGGAGGGCCGGCCCCACTTCTGCCAGATATGCGGCAAGACCTTCAAAGGTACCTGGGCGGCCCTGGGAGAGCCATTTCCTGCTCATCCGAGTTGGAGGGTCTCTGAGGAGGAAACGCTCCTTTCTTGCCTGTGAACCTCTTTTGTGCCCCACATGGTTAGAGTTGAGAGTGGACCTGCTTTGAAGGCAGGGGTGTCCTGTGCAGTAGTGACCCTGGGTGGCACTGGAGAGCCTGGCAGGGCCTGTGCAGCACTTGTAAACCACTGGTCCCCTCCCTTGCTGCCTGTCCCAACCTCCTGCTGGGTTTCCTCGAGGGTCCCGGGGCTCCTGCATGATCCCCCACGGTGTTCTCCCTCTTGCAGCCGTGGAGCAACTGCGTGTGCACGTCAGACGGCACAAGGGGGTGAGGAAGTTTGAGTGCACCGAGTGTGGCTACAAGTTTACCCGACAGGTAGGCCAGGGCCTGGGCCCCTTCCCCTACCCTAGGATCCCCCAAAGTTCTGAGCTCACCCTCCCCGCCAGGCCCACCTGCGGAGGCACATGGAGATCCACGACCGGGTAGAGAACTACAACCCGCGGCAGCGCAAGCTCCGCAACCTGATCATCGAGGACGAGAAGATGGTGGTGGTGGCGCTGCAGCCGCCTGCAGAGCTGGAGGTGGGCTCGGCGGAGGTCATTGTGGAGTCCCTGGCCCAGGGCGGCCTGGCCTCCCAGCTCCCCGGCCAGAGACTGTGTGCAGAGGAGAGCTTCACCGGCCCAGGTGTCCTGGAGCCCTCCCTCATCATCACAGCTGCTGTCCCCGAGGACTGTGACACATAGCCCATTCTGGCCACCAGAGCCCACTTGGCCCCACCCCTCAATAAACCGTGTGGCTTTGGACTCTCGTATTTCAGCCTGACAGTCTGTTCCCGTGTCCTGGAGTTGGGGAAGTGCTGCCTTCCCACCCACGCCTTCAGGAGAGAGTAGTGCCCTGCCCGGTCCTATGTGGGCCTCAGCTCAGCTGGCAGCTTCCCCTCCTGTCAGGAAACCTCAGCTGAGCGAGGCTTGGATGGGGTTCCTTTGGGGGCCAAACCTCTGGCCTTGGCTGCTCTCCACATCTGTATTCTGTTCCTCATTACTGCAGGATTTTAGAGTGGGGAACGCTGGCCAGTTAGAGCACCAGTATTCCTATTTTAGAGCTGAGGTGATACCGGCTTCTGGAGATAGAATTCATTACTAAGCTTCTGGAGTTCAGTAGAGTGATCAGGGCCCACGGGGCTGGCCTTGTTGGGCAGAATCAAGGATTGGGCCCAGTTAGTGTAGCTGAGCACGCCTGGGGGTCTGAGGAGGGTGGGGCCCTTCCTTCAAGCAGCCTGGTCTGTGTCCAGGAGGCTTTGGTCCCCACGTTCTATAGCTGTGGGGTACTGTGTGGCAAGGAGCAAATGCACGTGGGCCTTAGAGCAGATTGCTGTTGTTTAAATTTCTTCCCAACTAAGTTGGCCCTGGGTAAGTTACTGACAGCTTCATTTCTCTACTGAAAATACAAAATTGCTGGGTGTGGTGGTGCATCAGGAGGCTGAGGCACGAGAATCCCTTGAACCCAGGAGGCGAAGGATGTAGGGAGCCGAGATTGCACCACTGCATTCCAACCTAGGCAACAGAATGAGACCTTGTCTTTAAAAAACAACAACAAAAAAAAGAGGCCCACTGTGGTCTCAACACTGCTCTCCTTCCCAGCCGAGACACTGGCCTCTCCCTCAGGTTCAGATGGACTCTGCAGATAGGAAAAACATCTTGAGCCAGACGGCTTGTGTGGATTCACAGCCTGGTTTGGGACTGTATTTGAAGGGCTCCACCTCCCCAGGTCCAAGGGCCATCTCATCGCAGATGGGAGTCTCATCACCACCTGTATGTACCGCAATCTCAAGAAGGGCTGTGGGAGCCGGGCCCGGGCAGAGGACCAACAGGCAAAGACCAGCTTTGGAGCAGGCAGGTTTCCTGGGCATCATCTGTTCCACAGCATTTACTTCTCAGGCCTCTCTCTTTAAATGGAGACAAGGTCTTCCCGTATTGCTCAGGGTGGTCTTGAACCCCTGGGCTCAAGTGATCCTCCCTCTTCAGCCTCCCAAAGCACTGGGATTGCAGGTGTGAGCCACCACACCCAGCCTCTGGGGCATGTCTTTTCCAACGCTTCATCACTTGCTACAATCTGAGATGAGAAAGGGCCTGGAAGGCTGTTTAAGACCCTCAGTGTGAACCCTGGGCTCCATGCTGCCTGTTCCCCTGACATCTGTCCTCAGCCCAAGAGTCCCAGAAGACAGTAGCAGGAGGACAAAGGCAATGACTCCAAATGGATAGGAAATACTTTTATTGCAAAAAGTACTGAAGGTACCCTAAAACCTTAAGCAGGATTCTGGACATGGAAGCCTACAGAATAGACAAAAATAAATATGTCAACCTGCCCGACCCTCTGGGGTGAACTGGATGTGGACACTGGAGGGAGGGCGTCCTTTATTACATACGCGTCTCTGAAGTCATATAAATATAGAATACCTTATAGTAGATCAGCATTAAATACCAGTCACTGTGTTTATATAACTTAATTTGTGCTGTAGACAAAGTTCTGTACATGTAACATGTGGCCATGCCCAGGCATCCCAGCATCTATCCTGAAGTCAGTGTAAAGACATCCTTAAGTGGTGGAGACATGACAGCCCAGAACCCACAGCAGAGGGAAACTGGGGAGAGGAGGGGGCCTGACCCTGGATCCCCCAGCTGGTGTCCACAGGCTAGAGGGACCCATTGCTGCAGAGGCTGGTGCCTGGTTTTCCCCATACTTGGTCTTCTAAACCCAAAGACAGGGTCCTGATGGTGGAGACCTGGGTAGGTCCGGAGGACAGACACAGGAGAGGGCACAATCCCAAGCGCAGCTCTCCTGCACTGGCTCGCACCACAGCCCTCATCTGAGTGGCCGACACAAGCCTGGAGTACGGCAGCTGCCAACCACAGCAAAGCCGCAAAAAAGACTGAGAAAACAGGAACCCAGAGTTCCACAGGGGCAAGGCCTCGCAGACCAGCCAAGCCCGAGATGCCCTGTGCTGGCAGTCATCACAGTCTGGACAGCATGTCCTTCCGTGGGTGCCCAGCTCAGTGCCTGGAACGGTCAGGGATTGAGGGCGTAGCCAACCTTGTATGGCCAAACCCAGCCCTTACGCCCCTGCTGACAAGGGAGACAAGCTGCCCCGCTGAACTCCAACAACCTCTGGGTGGGCTCAGCAGCCCCTAGGAAGTTAAGCGAGAGCTACAGGGCAGGGGGGCTCCCTGAGGGAGTTTGCACAGACCAGGAGGGGCCAAGGGGTAGCCCCAAGGGAGCAGAGGAAGGAGAAGGGCAGGAAAAGGTCCAGGGCACAGGGCAAGCAACAGTGCCAGAGGGTGCCTGGTCACAGGAAGCCCAGCTGCATGTTCCATGCTGCCCACAGGACTCCCAGCCAGGCCCCAGCAGGCCTGGACAGTGCTGGGCCCCCATCCTCGGCCTTCCCAGCACAGCAGGTGCTGGAAGATGACCATGACCCAAGCGAGAAGAGCCGCCATGAACTGTGGTCATACCAGCCAGGGCGTTCTAGGACAAGACTTCCTAACCCGACAGCAATGACATCCACAGTGTATGGACTGGGCTCTTGAGGAGCACGAGGGAGAGGCCAGGCAGCCCTGTCAGGGGTCCTGGGACATATTAAGGCAACCAGCCACGCCATCTGGCCAGCACAAGGGACTTAAGTGCAATCTGCTAAGTGACAGTGCTAAGACTGTCTTCCTGCTGAGAACATCTCTACGAGTTAGTTCACTAGAAAAGGCAATAAACATTTGCTTTAACCTTCTTTAACCAGGAAAATGCAGTCTAAATGCCCTCTTCTCTAAAAAGGAGGCAAGGACAAAAACTCAAGCCAAGGCTACTTTGGGTACTTTGAGGGGAAACTGACCATTTCCAAGAGAAACCCAGGGGCTGCCAAGCTGCGGCATTCACCCTCCTGCAGAAAGCTTTGGCAATGGGACTTCTTAGACTGGACAAATCAAACAAAGCTGACCCTGTAGAGCTCCTTCTTCTTCCCACTTCTTCTAAGGTCAAACTGCAAGCATTTTCAACTTTGGAACCAACCACCAAAGCCACCTCCTGCCCAGGACTTCCTTTAGAAGCAGTGGGACTCCTCACGCGCAGGCCCAGCAAGGGCTTGGGCACCCGCAGCTGTCTGCTTGGCTGGGTGTCAATGATCACCTCCCAGGGCCTCCCGGGAAGGAGAGGGTGAGAGGTGAGGACGCAAGAGCCAGTCAGGGGGTAGGAGCAGGGGGCTATGGCTGAGGAGGCCCAGCATCTGATAGGACCACATCCTCTTCACCCTCCAAGCCCACACCCCTGCTCATGTCCCACTGTTCTGGGTGCAGCCTCTGGAGGGCAGCCCTCTGAGGTGTTTTGATGTAAGCCCCTGGCAGGGGCCAGGAGCTAGGGAGGCAGGCTCCCCACACCTCTGGACATGGAATTTGGGACCCCACTTCAGCCCGTCTGCCTGGTCCGCTGCTCCAGGTTCAGGCCATCCTCAGCCTCATGGGAGGACCCCTTCTCCCTTCACGCGTCCCTCCCAAGTCATCGTCCTCTCCCAAGGTGGGAACAAGTAGGTGCAGATGACAACGGCAGGAGGGGTGTGCGCCGCGTGGGTGAGCTGTGATCCGCGGGGTGGGGGTGACCTCCAAGACCCAGAAACATGTGCTGGCAGGAAAGTGGCTCTTCCTCAACTGCAGGGAGGGCGTTCCCGACGGCCTCTGATTCAGGCTCTCAAGGTACAGAAACCTTCCAGGTAATGGATCCTGGGCTGGCTTCGCCACCCAAGAGCCTGTGCTCCTCCTGTGAGCCCAACGTGTCCTTGTGCACAAAGGAGTGGGGCACTGCCCCGCAGAGGTGCCAGTTACCTGCACCGAGGCCCGTGCCGGGCCAGACTGGGGCTAGTGCAGCTCATCGGGGTCCCGCGGCGGCCGGGGTCGGCCTGGGTCCATGTCATCGCTGCCACTGTCCAACTCGAAGCCACGCCCACCCGAGAAGGTCTGGGGCATGAACTGGCGGAAGATGCTGACACTGCCATGCCAGAAGGTGGGTTCTGGGAGCCGCCCCACCACGCTCCACGCGCGAGTCTCTGGGTCATAGGCCTCTACCACGTCCGAGAGTTCAAATGTATTGTCGTATCCCCCAGAGACGTACAGCTTCCCCCCAAGGACGGCCAGGCTGCCCCCCACATGTACCTGTGGGCCAAAGGGATGAGTGAGTGGAGGTCAGAGGAGAGGGTAGGGCAGGGCCCCACCTGGGGAACCACTGGAGACAAGGCATGCCCTGTCAGTACCCCAGAGGGGTGGCCTTGGCTCTCCCAGAAAGCAGCAGAGAGGCCAACCCCTTTCCAACACCCTGCCTAGGAGAACGGGCCTCCCCGGAGGCAGCTGGGCCTTCCCTATGGTGATGAGGGTGCCCGCTGCAGCGCCAGGCCTCCCCGTGTGCAGGTCGTGCCGAGCAGCGCTTCCTACGTTCTCTCTCAGAATCTCTGCAGTGGCCCTCTGGGCTGAGCAGTGCTGTTCTCCCCATGTTACAGATGGGAAAACTGAGGCTTGCATGGCTGACAGTGGCAGAGCTGGGCTCTGAACCGCGAGGCTGGATGATTCCTTCCATCTTTCCCAAATTCGCTATGACTATGTGCAGCTTACTGCGGGGAAAACAGAACGCTGGGTCTCTTAAATGCCAGGACATTAAGCTGTGATGTAAGCTGTGAGGCTGGATGTCACGGAGTGTAGGTTTGGAAATGTTAACAGACACACAGGAAAGAAGGCTGTAGGCAATATGATGTGTACCTCAGACTAACACTGCTCACATGGCCAAATGGCACTGAAGCCTCCCTGTCCCATCACTGTCAGGCTGGGCACCCCTCTTCTCAACAAGCCCAGAGAGAAGGGGTGGACCCTGGTTGTCCTATTCAGAACACACAGCAAGTGCTCAACACAAGTATTCCCACAGTGGGCTGGGCATGGTGGCTCATGCCTGTAATCCCAGCACTTTGGGAGGCTGAGCCAGGCAGATCACAAGGTCAGGAGATCCAGACCATCCTGGCTAACACAGTGAAATCCCGTCTCTACTAAAAATACACAAACAAAATTAGCTGGGCGTGGTGGTGGGTACCTGTAGTCCCAGCTACTCGGGAGGTTGAGGCGGGAGAATGGCGTGAACCTGGGAGATGGAGCTTGCAGTGAGCCGAGATCGTGCCACTGCACTCCAGCCTGGGTGACAGAGCGAGACTCCGTATAAAAAAAAAAAAAGTATTCCCACACTGACTTCCTCAGGAACCAGCTGGGCGTGGTGGTTCACGCCTATAATCCTAGCACTTTGGGAGGCTGAGACAGGAGGGTCACTTGAGGCCAGGAGTGTGAGACCAGCCTGGGTAACACAGCAAGACCCTGTCTCTATAAAAATTTTAAGAATATCCTTTTGTATCTACATATGAGAAAAAAAATTACTGGGTGTGGTGGCACACGCCTGTAGTCTCAGCTATTCAGGAAGGTGCGGTGGGAGGACTGCGAGTCAAGGAGGTGGAGGCTGCAGTGAGCCATGATTGTACCACTGCACTCCAGCCTGGGTGACAGAGCAAGACCCTGTCTCAAAAATAAAAAAGGTAGGTCACAGACCTCATGCTGACTCTGCTCCGGCCACATGGGCTGCTGGTGTATCTAAGAACACGCCAGGGTGCCCTGCTGCAGGGCCTCTGTACCTGCTGTCCCTCTCTGGAACAGGTGTCCCCAGATGACTGTATGCCTTGCTCCCTCACTTCCTTCTGCTCTCTGGCTCACAGCAGATACTCAATAAACACTGCTCAAATGTGTACTAAGCTGTGTAATCATAGGGTATTACTTAACATCTGTGTCTCAGTGAGCCTTAAGTGCAAAATAAGGGTAAGAGCAGCCTTCTATTAATTGAGATGAGACCCACCCATCATGGCTGTGGATCCCAAACACTCATCACGATGACACTTGGGTTGCAAAATCAGGACCAGCCTGTGCTTCCAATGCTGGCCCGCCTGAAAATTTACCTGATTCATGGACGGGATCTTGTCCCATTCGTTCCTCGTCGGGTTGTACACGTCCACCTCAGCGGAGTCATCCCTGTGGAGGGGGCAGCAGGAGGACAACTGCTCAGAGCGAGGAGGAAGTGCACACATGCAGGGCTGGAGCAGAGTCCTCCCCTGGGTCACTGACTCCTCCAGTGACCTGGATCTTTCTGATGCCATCCAGCAGCACCCTTGCCAGGTAGGCTCCATCCCCAGCTCTTAGGAGCCAATTTCAGCCCCCTGTGCCCACTCAGCCAGGGCTCCAGGGCCAGAACTCTCACTCCCAAACCTGAAGATCAGGCTTTTGAGTACTTGAAGCCCATTCAGTGCCTCCCCATCACCCAGTACCAAGGTGGCTGTCCCCCACCCCCCAAGCCTACAGTAGCTCCCTTGAGATCTTAAAGAAGCCTCCTTGCTCCACTGTGCATCCCCACAGGCCCTGGAACACTCCTTGCCACTGTCCCCAATATCACTATGAGCCCCCAACCCTGTCCTGTTCACTACTATGTTGAAGTACCCCTCACTTTGGGGTCAAGACCCTTCAACTTCATCTGACACCCTTTATATCCCCACAGTAAAAGGCTCAAAGGCACAGCCTTGAAAAGCAAAGATGCAGGCCAGGCACTGTGGCTCACGCCTGTAATGCAGCACTTTGGGAGGCCGAGGCTGGTGGAGTGCCTGAGGTCAGGAGTTCGAGACCAGTCTGGCCAACACGATGAAACCCCGTCTCTAGTGAAAATACAAAAATTAGCCAGGTGTGGTGGCATGTGCCTGTAATACCAGCTGCTCAGGAGGCTGAGGTAGGAAAATCGCTTGAACCCGGGTGGCTGAGGCAGGAGAATCTCTTGAACCCGGGAGGCGGAGATTACAGTGAGCCAAGAGCGTGCTATTGCACTCCAGCCTGGGAGGCATAGTGAGTGAGACTTCGTCTCAAAAACAAAAAAAAGAAACAAAGATACTACAAGACAAACAACAGTAGTTGTGAACCTGACACGGCAGCACAAAACCAGCCACAGACAATGCATAGACACGAGCCTGGCTGTGTGCCAAGAAAACTATCCATGGACAGACATTTACATCTCGTCTAACTTGAAATGTTATTCCTGATTTTTTGCCCCCAATCATTTCAAAATGTCAAAGTCACCCTCAGTTTGTGGGCCCTGTGGTGGTGGTGATGATGATGATGATTACACCCTGGAACCTGCTAGGCTGCCCTGTCTTTCCCCAGCAGAGACTTGCAAACCACAGCCCAGAGGCTGGACAGAGCTCGCCGGCATTCCCAGAGGGGGCTACTGCACCCCAGCCAAGGAGGCATTTTGTACCAGAACCAAGGGGAGGGAGGCCCAGGTCATTTGTGGGTCACATGGACAACGGCTGAGGCTGTGGCCTCCCTGAGAATGGCACGTCCTAGGCACAAGCTGCCCAAAGACAGGTGGTGTTCTGGGCAGAGGGTTATGTGGCTCTTGAAGAGCCAAAGTGCGCAGACAAAGTGACACCGGGACAAATAGCCCAGGGGGACCAGCCCCAAGCAGGGCCCCTGCATGCTTAGCCTTCTCTTTAGGGCTCAAGCAGCTTCCACTCAGGCTGAGCCTGGGCGCCCCTCCTCTGTGCTCCGGCACAGGTCACACTGGTAAGATGAACGCATGCAGCCTTTCCAGAGCACTGCCTCCTCCCACACGTGCAAGTGGCTTAGGAAACCCCTGGAAAGGTCAGCAGTGGGTGGGGGTGGCGGGGCAGACCCTCATGCTTCCCTATGGGAAGGTTAACCCAGCAGGCAGACCTCCCTGGCGCACATCTTCACATCTTGCTCTAGGACAGATGGGGGAGGGGAGGAGGACTCTCAAAGACACTGGGCCTGGAACCACTGCCTAGGGGCCGAAAGGAAGGTTCTGGCCCTCTGATAAGTTGTATTTATAGCCATCTCCACCCCCTCTTTGAAGACACCTTCACAACTTGGGGGAGGGAGAGCCGGGCAAAGGGTCAGATGATGTTTTATAATGGGACCAGAGCTGGCTGAGATTCCAGGGCTTTCTCAGAGCAAGACCATTGGTTCTGGGCATGTGGTGGTGCCCAGCTACTTGCGTGACAAGCAACGCCACCCCTGTTCTTCTTGGTGCTCACTCCAAAAGCCTGGTAAGGAGCCTCCTGTCTGGGGGGATGGTGGGGCAGATGCCAAGGCCAGGGCAGCTCTGGCAGTGCGAGGCAGGGGGCCAAGGAGCAGGGAGCTCACATCCCCCAAGCTCCCCATTCAAAGCCCCAGCACGAAAGGGCACAGTGGGGACTGTCATTCAGTTCTTCCCCTTCCCTCCTGGACCCAGAGCTTCAGGCAGGCTCTAGGCTGGGAGGGAGCAGCAGGATTATGTGAACAAGCAGCGGAGTACAGCAGGGAGGGGCTGCCCCGTGCCATCATTGATGCCCAGAAACCAGCCGGAGGCAGCATTTGGCTGTGACCAGACAGGTCATCAAGGCCAGCAGACATATGATGACCCGCAGGCTGCCTGTCTCTGCTCCGTGCTGCTCAGCCTACAGCCTACTCTTGCTGGAAGAGCTCAACTCCACCACCTGTGAAATCGCTTAAGAAAGCCTGGGGTTTTCCTTAAACCCAAAGGAATGGAACAAGCACTGTGGGCTCCGAAAGACCAGGCCTGGCTGGGTGTGGGGGCTCACACCTACAATCCCAGCACTCTGGGAGGCAGGAAATGTGAGACGATTGTTTGAAGCTAGGAATTTGAGACCAGCCGGGGCAATACAGCGAGACCCTGTCTCTACAAAAAGTTAAAAAATGAGCCAGGTGTGGTGGCTTGTGCCTATAATCCCAGCACTTTGGGAGGCTGAGGCAGCTGGATCACATGAGGTCAGGAGTTCTAGACCAGCCTGACCAACATGGAGAAACCCTGTCTCTACTAAAAATATAAAAATCAGCCAGGCATGGTGGCACATGCCTGTAATCCCAGCTACTTGGCAGGCTGAGGCAGGAGAATGGCTTGAACTTGGGAGGCAGAGGTTGCAGTGAGCCAAGATCGCGCCACTGTACTCCAGCTTGGGCAACAAAAGCGAAACTCTTCTTTTAAAAAAACAAAACAAAACAAAAAAAAACAGACCGGGTGCAGTGGCTCACGCCCGTAATCCCAGCACTTTGGGAGGCCAAGGCGGACCGATCATGAGGTCAGGAGATCAAGACCATCCTGGCTAACACGGTGAAACCCCGTCTCTACAAAAAATACAAAAAAATTAGCCAGGCATGGTGGTGGGCGCCTGTAGTCCCAGCTACTCTGGAGGCTGAGGCAGGAGAATGGCGTGAACCCGGAAGGTGGAGCTTGCAGTGAGCTGAGATTGCGCCACAGCACTCCAGCCTGGGCGACAGAGCGAGACTCCGTCTCAAAAACAAAACAAAACAAAAACAAAGAGACAGACCCAGCCTCCAACCCCAGCTAGGCCTCAGTTTCTCATCTGTGGAAAAGGGAGAACAGCCATGATGTGTGCTTAAGACAGGGCCTGGTAAGAGACACCAAACACACAGTGGGGCTCGGCACCTGGAACTCACCTGACAAAGTACATGAGTCCGTTTAGAGTCGCAGTCTTGGGGGCGAAGGACCAGGGCGGGAGCTGGCCGCAGTCCACCAGCGACCACAGGTCGGTGTCCGGGTCGTAGCACTGCATCACCATGGTCTCCTTGCCAGCCAGGGAGCCGATGGCATAGAGCCGGCCACGGCACGCAGTGGTGGAGCAGTTGTCCATGGGGTAGGTCATGGGCTGCAGGGCCTCCCAGGAGTCAGTGGTGTGGTCATAGCGCTCGGTGCTGTCGGCGGCCACCACGTACAGCAGTCCGTCCAGCACAGAGGAGCTGTGGTACTCGCGGGCCTTCAGCATGGGCGCCACCTCCGCCCACTCATTCACGCTTGAGTTGTACCTCCACACGCAGTCATAGAGCCGGGAGCCATCGGACCCACCTGCCAGGACGCATGACAGGCAGAAGATCAGCCCACTCAGGTGAGTCACCCACCTGCACCCTCCCGAACTTCCGCAAGGGCCTCTGCCTTGGGAGGAATTAACATCACTGGGCTTCACCCCAGACGCACACCCTCTCCCCAAAAGCCCAGGCCACATGTTGTGGCTAAGGCAAAGCACACGCTGACCACTGTCCAGCGAGATGACTGCTGCCAAGCCTCTACCAAACAAAGGTCCTGAGTGCAATGCTGGAAGAATCCAGCAGCCTCCTCTGGACACCGCCCCCCAGCCATACATACACCTCAGCAGACCAGAGCCCTGGGCCTTGGGACAGTTCTCCTGGGGAGCCACAGAGCTTGTCAGCAGGGCACACAGGGACTTGCTCACTAACTCCTAGGCTTCCTGGGCACCCTCCAAGCAAGGTTCTGCCAGGACAAGATGAGCGGAAACCCACTTCCTGCTTTAAGCAAGAGACCTAACGCTACACTGCGAGGCCACTTCTCGATTCTGGTGCAGGTTACAAAGCTGTGTTTGGTTTAGAAAAATCCACGAAGCTGTGTAAGTATAATATATATATATATATTCTTCTGCCTGTATTATTATTATTATTTTTGAGACAGAGTCTTGCTCTGTCACCCAGACTGGAGTGCAGCGGCATGATCTCAGCTTACTGCAACCTCCACCTCCTGGGCTCAAGCAATCCTCCCACCTCAGCCTCCTGAGTGGCTGGGACAACAGGCACATGCCGCCACACCCAGCTAATTTTTGTATTTTTTGTACAGACGGGGTTTCGCCATGTTGTCCAGGCTGGTCTCGAACTCCTGAGCTGAAGTGATCCACCCACCTTGATATCCCAAAGTGCTGGGATTACAAAGAGCCACTGCACCCGGCCCGTATTTTCAATTTCAATAAAAAGCTAAGAATAAAAAGTGGTACTGGCTGTAATCGTAAATTACACCAGGTCTATTAGAAACCCCAGGACATGAAGGGACCCCAAGCATCCTGGGGGCTGTACCCCTTGGCCTCCCAGGCTGGCGCCACAGGACAGAGCGGACAAGACATTCTGTTTCACAGCCCTGAGCTCTAAAGGGAGAAAAGCAAGTTCTTGTTCTTAGGAAGTGAGCTCTGCCGGCCTCCTCCCTTCCATGGAGCTGTGTGAAAGGCAGCTGAAAGGAATGAACCAGCCACCTGCCTAAACCCAAGGGATTAACTGCTCTGCTGGGACATTTATGGAAGGGTGTGCAGAAAGCTGGGGCCAGTGTGGCCAGTTCTGGGAAGAAATTATCTGCTCAAAGCCACTGGTCAGACTTTCAGAAGAGGGGAGGGACACGGTCCCCAATCAACTTGGGGACAACCTTGGATTGGAAAGAGGCACAGATTCTGGCAGAACCCAGCAGAGGCTGGACTCAGAGCAGCAGGCTAAGGAAGCTGTGGCAACAGAATCCAGCAACTGTCCCACCTGACACCTCAGAGCCCCACTGGAACTCGGAGCACGTCCCAGAGTGGGCTCTCTCGCGAACATGCAAGGCTGGGCACAGCAGCTGTGACATCCCAGTCCCCACCTCCTTGCCTGATAACCGCCTCACACGCCTGCCTGGTGGGTTCTTTCCTTATATAGCAGTCACAGAGACCGCCCTTCCTCACCCCGACAAAGGAGGTAGCCTCGTGTTTGAACTGGGATTTATCTTTAATAAAAACCGTAGAAGCCCAAACTCAGGCGGACTGGGACCCGCCTACCATGACTCGGCAGTGTTTTGGGGTTTGGGCCAAGTAACTGGAAGAAAACCTCTTAACATGTGACCATGTTTACAGGCTCCGGGGAGTTCAGCCTAAACACCATGTGACCAGAGCACAGAGCCTAGGTGCAAGCCCAAGGGAACCTTGTCACCGGGTGACAAAGAGTGAGTCAGGGGGCCCGGTGTGGCTCAGCAGGGAGGGAGAAATTCCCCGGCTTGTGGGGAACAGATGCCTCACCGGGCGTCGGCCTCCTGCCCGTCCCTGGATTCCTTAAGGAGAAAAAGAAAGCACCCATTGTGCGGGGTGAATGCCCCAGTATCTTCCAACCAAGTGGGGAGGCACCTCCTGGGCACGGAGTTGGCTCAGCCTGGCAGCCCCGGCCGCACGGGGCACAGAGACCCACAAGCAGCTACTTGTCCCGGCTCACACAAGGGGCCCTTCTTCAAGGTTAAAAGTATCGCCCAGAGACATGTAGTCACCAGAGCCCCAGCTTGGACTCAGGTGCGCCCCTAGGATTCCAGGCTCTGTGCGCTTCCCCCGCGAATAGCTGGGCTCCCGTACCGGCGAGGTTCAACCCCAGAGAGCCTGCCCAGCCCCTGGCCCACTCACCCGTCACGTAGATGTCATTGCCCAGCGCCACGATGCTGTAGCCTCCGCCCAGGTGGTCTGGGAACTCGGCCAGGTAGCGCCACTGACCCGTCTGCGGGTTGTAGCAGTCGACAGTGACCAGCTCGTCACAGTCCTGGTCGCAGCCGCCCACGAGCACGAGGATCTCGGCGAGACCGGTGGACGGGCGAGGACGCATTCGGGGACAGGGCCCGCGGTCGTGGCGGTCGTAGCGCGCCGCCTGGAAGTCGCGCGCCTCGCGCAGCAGGCGCAGGCAGGGTGGGCAGCGCGCCACCAGCGGCTCGGCCTCGACGTGCGCCAACAGGTAGAAGCGGCGCACGAAGGGCAGGCGCACGGCCTCCAGCAGCTGCGGCCAGTGCGCGGCGCGGCGCGGCGGGTCAGCGCGGACCCAGCGCAGCGCCAGCTGGTAGGCGGCCTCCTCCTTGGGCACACACAGCCCGTCGTCCCGCAGGTAGCGCAGCAGGCGCGCCAGTGGCAGCCGCTCCAGCTGCTCGGCGCCCAGCTCGCCCACGTGGCGCAGAATGAACCGCTGCGCCGCGCTCGCCAGTCCCGAGCAGCTGAAGGCCTCAGCGAAGTCCTGCATGTCCAGGCAGTTGGCCAGGTCGAGCTGCTGCTGCAGGAAGGCCCCGCACGCCTCCTTCACGGCCGGGAACTGCAGCAGGTCGGCGGCGCGCAGCAGCGGCTCAGCGTTGTCGCCGCTTACCGCCACGCGGCCCGTGTAGCTGAAGTCCAGCAGCAGCTGCAGCATGTCGGGAGGCACTCCGTGCAGGCGCACCCGCTCGGCGCGGCTCTCGCGCAGCTGCCCCGCGAACATGGCGCGGAAGTAGGGGCTGGCGGCGGCCAGCACCGCACGGTGCGCCGGGAAGTCGCGCCCGCCCGCCGCCTCCAGGGTCACGTCCAGGAACTTGCGCTCGGCGCGCAGCTGGCTCAGGCCGCGCAGCAGGCTCAGGGCGTGCGCGGGGTCCGAGAAGGGAAGCACGGCCAGGGGCGCCGGTCGCTCCATGGCGCCTTCGATAGGTTGTCGAGGACGCCGCGGCCGGGGCCTGCGGAGAGACGCGGCGCGCTAGGCACCGCTGCTATAAATAGGGCGGGGCGCCGCGGCTCTCGAGGGGCGGGATGGGCGGGGAGACGTCTGCACCGCCCCCTTAACCCCTCTGTGCCGGGCGCCACCGCCCCCCGCGAGCGCGGGCTCGCCTGTCCCCCGCGCGGCGCCCGCCCCCGGCTCCGCAGGCTGAGTCACCGCTGTCCGCGGCCGGCTCCCTCCCTCCGCCCTTCTGCGTCTCCCCGCTGACGCCCGGGCCGGGGACAGCGAGTGACAAGTGCCAGGTCCGAGGGCGGCCTCGCCGCGCGCCGGGACCGGGGGCCTCCCGGGGTTGCCCACGACCCACCCGGCCCGGCTGCTGAACCCAACCCGGGAGAGGCGAGCTCGGCCCTGAAACCAAAGCCACCCCTCCTTTCACGCCAGACTTCCCAAGGGCGCCGGCCCAGGTCCCGGGGCGGCTGGGTACAATGGCTTTTTGTTTTGCTTTTGAGTTCCACTAGTTTCAAGGGTTGCTAGTTAACCCCATCACGGGACACACTCAAAGGATAGGCTTTTTACCATTCTGGACCAAAGCAAGAACGCGTATAAAGTTTTTCGGTGACGTTTTTTTCTTGGCGCATTTATAAGCGACCCGGGGCCGGATTCCAGGAGTCGGCCCCACTCCTGTGTTCCTGAAGGAGCTTCTGACTCAATCACACAGGCGTTAACTTTAGTCGGCTTCACGCGCAGTTGTAGTTTCCGAGTCTGCGTCGCAGCTGCAGGCTCCGGGGCTGCCCGCCCTAGGGGCTCCCGGGCCTCCCTGAAGCAGCTGCTCGGACTCCACGAGAGGGTAACTGGGTATAAAGAGCGAGGGCTCAAAGTCAGATAGGAGACCGCCTTGAAACTAGATGACGCCACTAAGCACAGTCCCGCCGTCACTTGTACTGCGGTGGGGAATGGTGAAAGAAGGAATCGCCCTTATTTTAGTTCCGATAGACACAGCACCACTTTGAATGTCACTTGTAGGGGAAAAAGAGCCCTCCCTTGGAGGCCATTTTTTCCTCAGTGGAAGGTAGGCTTTGCTCAGTTTTAGAAAAGACCCCTATTTCACCACCAGGACTGCTGCTTTGCAGAGAACACTTGGGTTTGTGCTGTTTTCCAGCCCCCCTACACCGGTGGGCCTTTGAGAACGCATTCCTGAGGAAGGCGCCCGCCCACGTGGGTCCCAGAGCAGGCCACGCGCATGGGAGCTGGCTATCATTTCCTGGTTCCAGCGAGGTCTAGGGCCGCGTAGCGTTTCCAGAAGACATTTTGTTTTTATTCCACCTCTGAAATGAGAACCGCAGGCTTTCTCTTCTACTTAAGAGTTTCACGTCATTTTGCCATAAGAATGCATCTGGTCTGAATTTCAGGGTGAGCATGGGCAGCACAGGCCCAAATCAGAAAACATTCAGGTACCCAGGCGGGCCGCCTGTTGCCCATAGAAGGACTGTTCACACAGCTATTCAAGGCAGCGGCAGCATTCCTGGGCCCAGGAGCAGGGCCAATAGCTTCCTTGCACAGGCTTTGTGACAAGAAAGGCTGAGTAGCCAGGAAGTGGAATGTTTGTAGGGAAAAGAACTCCCGTCCCCTGGGTCAGCTTACCCATCTTGCGTAAGTCCAGTGATTAAATCAATAATGTTTCCATAGTTGAGGATTGAGTACGGTTTTTCTGTATTCCCAATAACAGGGATTTTTAAACATCATATTTCAGTCTTACTATGTAGCCTTGAAGAATAATGATGTATTTATTGAAATGGAAAGATGTTTGAGCTATAAAGCGAAAAATCAGATTACTCATTGTATGACCCAAATTGATTTATATGTATTCATATGCCTAAAAAAATTTATTAAGTTAACATTTTCGGCCAGGCGCCGTGGCTCACGCCTGTAATCCCAGCACTTTGGGAGGCCGAGGTGGGTGGATCACCTGAGGTAGCGAGTTCGAGACCAGCCTGGCCAATATGGCGAAACCCTGTCTCTACTAAAAATAAAACAATTATAATTAGCTGGGTGCTGTGGCGCACGCCTGTAATCCCAGCTACGCGGAGGCTGAGGCTGGGGCAAGATTTCTTGAGGCCAGGAGTTTGAGACCAGCCTGGGCAACATAGTGGGACCCAATATTTTGTCTCAACAAAAAGTTTTCAAATTGGCCAGGCGTGGTGGCATGCACCTTTAGTCTCAGCTACTTGGGAGGCTGAAGTGGGAAGATCACATAAGCCCAGATGACAGTGAGCTGTCATTGTTCCACTGCTCCCACTCTGCCTGCCCCACCCCTGAAAAAAAGAAAGAGCTAAATAGCATGCCTGGGTTAGTAGGTTATTCAAAATTCCTAACACAGCTGATAGGTCTAAATCGGTTCCTTTCTTTTCTCACCACATTCCTTTGTTGAATTATCTATATATATACATGGTTTCACATGCCTGGTAGGCCCCGGTTATCAATGAAATACTTCTTTTCTCAAGATATGAATTCTTAATTTTACTTTGAACTTAAATTAACATTAACAGATAATGTACGTGTAGTACAGAAAGAGAATGCAGGCAAGCAAAAACAAAATGAACATAACCACCTAGATGACATGTTGTTTGTTTTTTGAGACGGAGTCTCACTCTGTAGTGCACTGGCACGATCTGAGCTCACTGCAACCTCTGCCTCCAGGTTCAAACACTTCAAGCTTGAACCCGGGAGGAGGAGGTTACAATGAGCTGAGATCACGCTACTGCACTCCAGCCTGGGCGACAGAGTGAGACTTCATCTCAAAAAAAAAAAAATTAAAATTACAAAAATGGCCATTGCCTAAGCAATTTAAGATAATGTGATTTACCTGAACATTCTGAGGCTACAAATTAAAAAGTGATTTAATGTGTGATGTGATTTAACAAATAGTTATTATTTTAAAAAACAACTTAATTTTGGTATTTAAATTCTAATTTAAGGCAGACAGAGCAAGAGGTGACTAAAATTACGTTACCTTTTTTTTCTTGAGACAGAGTCTCGCTGTGTCACCCAGGCTGCAGTGCAGTGGCGCGATCTCGGCTCACCGCAACCTCTGCCTCCCGGGTTAAAGCAATTCTCCTGCCTCAGCCTTCCTGAGTGGCTGGGATTACAGGCATGCACCACCACTCTTGGCTAATTTTGTATTTTTAGTAAAGATGGGGTTTCTCCATGTTGGTCAGGCTGGTCTCAAACTCCTGACCTCAGATGATCCACCCGCCTCGGCCTCCCAAAGTGCTGGGATTACAGGCATGAGCCACCTGGTCTGGCCATGTTACCTTTTTTATTGAGACAGGATCTCCCTCTGTTGCCCAGGCTGGAGTGCAGTGGCACAATCTCAGCTAACTGCAACCTCTGCCTCCCAGGCTCAGGTGATCCTCCTACCTCAGCCTCCCCAGGAGCTGGGACTACAGGCGTGAGCCAACACGCTTGGTTAATTTTTTAAATTTTTTGTAGAGACGGGGTTTCGCTGTGTTACCCAGGTTGGTCTTAAACTCCTGGACTCAAGCAATCCTCCAGTCTTGGTGCTGAGCCAAAGTGCTGAGATTACAGGCATCAGCCACCATGCCAGACCCTAAGGTCATTTTAAAAGTGGCTGTTTACAGCCTGGCCAACGTGGTGAAACTCCATCTCTACTAAAAATACAAAAATTAGCCAAGCGCGGTGGTGCACATCTATAATCCCAGCTACTCCAGAGGCTGAGGCAGGAGAATCGCTTTAACCCAGGAGGCGGAGGTCACAATGAGCTGAGATCATGGGACTCAAGCATGGAGGACAGAGCAAGACTCCGTCTCAAAAAAAAAAAAAAAAGAGCAGCTGTTATTCTTTTTTTTTCTTTAAGAATATTTAGGAACACACTCCTTAGCCTTGATTACGTCCACAGCTATTGTGCCTTTTCTTGTATCATATCATACACTCTGATTTTTTCAGATTCCAGGTTTTCTAAGGTATAATGCACTTACCATATATAACTCCTTTTTTTTTTTCTTTTGAGACGAAGTCTCCCTGTGTCGCCTAGGTTGGAGTACAGTGGCGCAACCTCAGCTCACTGCAACCTCCGCCTCCTGAGTTCCAGTGATTCTCCTGCCTCAGCCTCTCGAGTAGCTAGGATCACAGGCACGCACCACAACACCTGGCTAATTTTTCTATTTTTTGTAGAGATGGCATTTCACCATGTTGGCCAGGCTGGTCTTGAACTCCTGACCTCAGGTGATCTGCCTACCTCAGCTTCCGCTGGGATTACAGGCATGAGCCATTGTGCCCAATCTAAACATTTTTTCTTTAAGGAATGTTGCGCTATTCTCTATTTATTAAATGCATTTACATATGTAAATGAGATAGGGTAAGTAAAAACATTTAAACAGTGTTTGACATATAGTATTAGTTATTATCTTTTTTTTTTGAAACAGAGTCTTGCTCTATTCCCCAGACTGGAGTGCAGTAGCATGATCTCGGCTCACTGCAACCTCCACCTCCCGTGTTCAAGCCATTCTCCTGCCTCAGGAGAGTAGGTGGGATTACAGGCACCTGTCACCATGCCTGGCTAATTTTTGTATTTTTTTGGTAGAGATGTGGTTTTGCCATGTTGGCCACGCTAGTCTCCAACTCCTGACCTCAAATGATCCATCTCCCTTGGCCTCCCAGTGTTCTGTGATTACAGGCGTGAGCCACAGCACCCCAGCCTTTAGCTATTAACTTTCTTTTTTCTTTTTTGGAGACAGAGTCTTGCTCTGTTGCCCAGGCTGGAGTGCAGTGGCGCAATTTCGGCTCACCACAACCTCTGCCTCCCAGGTTCAAGCGATTCTTCTACCTCAGCCTCCCAAGTAGCTGGGACTACAGGTGTGCGCCACCATGCCCAGCTAATTTTTATATTTAGTAGAGACGATGTGTCACTGTGTTGGCAAGGCTGGTCTCTAACTCCTGACCTCGTGATCCACCTGCCTCGACCTCCCAAAGTGCTGGGGTTACAGGTGTAAGCCACCATGTCCAGCTTAGCTATTACCTTTGTATTCTACCAGTATGAACTCAAGAAACTCATTTGATTCTTCTATCTGTAGGTCAGATTCACTGTGTGAAACACTGACAATATATGGTCTATAAATTATTAATGATTTCAAATGATTCACACACATATTCATACAGTTTTCAAGTTACTAAAAGCTGAAAAGAAGATTTTGTGGAATTTTCACTTTTTTCCCATCTCCTGGAAACGGAAGTGAGCAAGGCAGAAAACAGAGGGTAAAAAGAATTCCTAAGAATATACTGGGCTGGGCGTGGTGGCTCATGCCCATAATCCCAGCACTCTGGGAGGCCGAGGTGGGGAGATCGTTTGAGACCAGGAGTTCAAGATCAGCCTGGGCCATGTGGTGAAATCCCTTCTCTACAAAAAATACAAAAACAACCAGCACTTTGGGAGGCCGAGGAGGGCAGATCACGAGGTCAGGAGATCAAGACCATCCTGGCTAACGCAGTGAAACCCCATCTTTCTAAAAAAATAAAAAATTAGCCGGGCGTGGTGGCGGGCGCCTGTGGTCCCAGCTAGTCGGGAGGCTGAGGCAGGACAATGGCATGAACCCAGAAGGCGGAGCTTGCAGTGAGCCGAGATCGTGCCACTGCACTCCAGCCTGGGCGACACAGCAAGACTCCGCCTCAAAAAAACAAAAAACAAAAACAAAAAACAAAATAAGCTGGATATGCTGGTGCATGCCTGTAGTCCCAGCTACTAGGAAGGCTGAGGCAGGGGGATCACCTGAGCCCAGGAGGCCTAGGGTGCAGTGACTATAGTGAGCCGTGTTCGAACCACTGCACTCCGGGCTAAAAAAAAAAAAAAAAAAAAAGGCTGGGCGCAGTGGCTCAGGCCTGTAATCCCAGCACTTTGGGAGGCCGAGGCAGTCAGATCACCTGAGGTCAGGAGTTTGAGACTAGCCTGGCCAACATGGTGAAACTCTGTCTCTACTAAAAATATAAAAAATTAGGCTGGGTGCCGTGGCTCACACCTGTAATCCCAGCACTTTGGGAGGCCAAAATGGGCAGATCACAAGGTCAGAAGATGGAGACCATCTTGGCCAACATGGTGAAACCCTGTCTCTACTAAAATACAAAAAATTAGTTGGGCGTGGTGGCGTGCGCCTCTAGTCCCAGCTACTCGGGAGGCTGAGACAGCGGAATTGATTGAACGGGGGTGGCAGAGGTTGCAGTGAGCCGAGATCACCCTACTGCACTCCAGCCTGGCGACAGAGCAAGACTCCGTCTCAAAAAAAAAAAAAAAATTAAAAAATAAATAAATAAATAAATAAAAAATAAATAAATAAAAATTTACCGGGCGCGGTGGCACGCGCCTGTAATCCCAGCTACTTGGGAGGCTGAGGCAGGAGAATCTCTAGAACCCGGGAAGCAGAGGTTTCAGTGAGCCCAGATCGCGCCACTGCACTCAAGCCTGGGTGACAGAGCAAGACTCCGTCTCAGAAAAACAAAAACAAAAACTATTAAGCTGAACAAAAAGCTGAAACATTTGAAAAGCAAACCTTTGGTTATGCTCACACCTGCACTAAAGCACAGAGCTAAAATGGGAGACAGAAAGCTTTCTTGTATGTTCCCTCAAGTGGATGCAGTGTAGCTGCTGAGATTTAGGAAGGTGAAGCTATATTTGGTAACTCAATTAAAATAACCACATTCTCAAGTTACTTACCGGGAAACCATGGTATTCTTAGTATTTTTAACTTGTTGCAACCTGTGCTAACGTTGGCTTTTTTCCTCCTCTCCTAAGTAACTATAATCATCTGAGAATTAGTATTCAGCAGTTGGTATAATTAGTTTGTTTTTTGTTTTTAGCAGAAAACAAAGAATCATAGACTCCAAGGATCTGGCTACTGTGGTGAATGTTCTTGAACTAATCAAGGAATTTCAGATTCGCCCCCTGCAGCCCAGGAGTAGTACAATACACCTATGAAAAAAACGGGAGATACTGAACAAACCTAATCCTGTCACAGAAAATCAACTGTGTTTTTTGAGACGGAGTCTGACTCTGTCGCCAGGCTGCAGTGCAGTGGCATGATCTCCGCTCACTGCAACCTCTGCCTTCCGGGTTCACGCCATTCTCCTGCCTCAGCCTCCGGAGTAGCTGGGACTACAGATGCGTGCCACCACACCCAGATAATTTTTGTATTTTTAGTACAGACAGGGTTTCAACATGTTGGACAGGATGGTCTTGATCTCTTGACCTCGTGATTCGCCCGCCTCGGCCTCCCAAAGTGCTGGGATTACAGGCGTGAGAAAATCAACTTTATTACTCCACAGCTACATATTATGAGATCGTTTGGGTCAACTACAAGTGGTATAGTCCTTTTTCTGAATTTAGGGAAAGGATGCTAAACATTAATGTCTAAATTTCCTCCAAAGGGCTGTATTTCTAAGGGAAATGGAAAGACAAAAGAGGTCCTTTTTCTTGAAGTTTTCTCTTTCACTGGAGTAGCAGGAAGGTACAGGTCATATCTATGTACTAAAAATTACTGTTTACTAAAAACATATTCAATAAATATCTGGGTGCGGTGGCTTATGCCTGTAATCCCAGCACTTTGGGAGGCTGAGACAGGCAGATCACATGAGGCCAAGAGTTCAAGACCAGCCTGTCCAACATGGTGAAACCCCGTCTCTACTAAAAATACAAAAAATTAGCCGGGTGTTGTGGCGCATGCCTGTAATCCCAGCTCTCAGGAGGCTGAGGCAGGAGAATCGCTTGAACCCGGGAGATAGAGGTTGTGGTGAACCAGGATCACACCACTGTACTCCAGCAGGGGCAACAAGAGTGAAACTGTCTCAAAAAAGAAAGAAGAATAAACTCTCAAATTGGAAATGAAGGACCTACTCAGAATAATGGACTTGTTGACAAAACTGAGCTTAGAATTCACAGGCCTATATTGGACTACTTGGTTACATCAAGGAAGGAAAATCCCAAACATGGATTGAGTCAGGGGACAGATTTTCAGACTCAAGTGATAACTTTTGCTCAGAGTGGGTATTCACTCCAGGCAGGCAAGATAGCTCAGGACTGTAAACTCTACAATTTGGGAGGCCTGGGTGGGAGGATCCCTTGAGCCCAGGAGTTCCAGAACAGCCTTGGCAACATACGGAGACCCTGTCTTAAAAAAAAAAAAATTAGGCCTGGCATGGTGGCTCACGCCTGTTAATCCCAGCACTTTGGGGGAGGCTGAGGCGGGTGGCCATTCTTTCTTTTTTTGAGATGGAGTTTCGCTCTTGTTGCCCAGGCTGGAGTGCAATGGCGTGATCTCGGCTCACTGCAACCTCCACCTCCCTGACCCATGTCGGTCAGGCTGGTCTCGAACTCCTGACCTCAGGTGATCTGCCTGCCTCGGCCTCCCAAAGTGCTAGGATTACAGGTGTGAGCCACCGTGCCTGGCCCGATAATTTCTTAATATGTGTGTGTGTGGGAAAGGATTTAATGTTTATTATGTGACACATTTACCACAGGGGATAATAATGAGGTGTAAAAAAAAAAATCCCTCTTCTTTCACTTGGGTTTCACCTCTAATAATTATTCTTGGCCAGGCGCGGTGGCTCACGCCTGTAATCCCTGCACTTTGGGAGGCCTAGGTGTGCGGATCACGAGGTCAAGAGATCAAGACCATCTGGCCAACATGGTGAAACCCTGTCTGTACTAAAAATACAAAAACTAGCTGGGCGTGGTGGTGGGCGCTGGTAGTCCAGGCTACTTGGGAGGCTGAGGCAGGAGAATCGCTTGAACCCGGGAGGTGGAGGTTGCAGTGAGCTGAGATGGCGCCACTGTACTCCAGCCTGGCGACAGAGGGAGATTCTGTCTCCAAAAAAAAAAAGAATTATTCTTTTTGGTATTTACATTTTTAAACTACCAACGGGATCAACACCTTAGCAGTGTTTCTTATTCTGGCAAAACGAGTTGCTCCTTGTGAATATGACCTTGGGCAATACAGGCTAACTTCGGGGCATCTGCTTTGGTCACAGTAACCAGGTAACATTCCAAATCTGGCTAAATCATCTGTGCAATTGTATAAGAAGTTGTTAATCAAGTCTCGATGGGCCAAGTCCAATGTCTCTGTTTTAATCAGTAATTTCATGTTTTATCTTGTAAAGTACCTCAATTTATCACCTTTGGGAAGCCCTCCAATGGGCTACAATATTGCAGAAATAATAAAACAACAACAACAACAACAACAGTAAGCTACCATTTATTTAGCCAGGCACTACGCTAAAATTTAACAGCTTAGGAAACTGAGGCTCAGAGAAGTATTTTTTTTTTTTTTTTTGAGACAGAGTCTCGCTCTGTCGCCCAGGCTGGAGTGCAGTGGCACGATCTCGGCTCACTGCAAGCTCCGCCTCCCGGGTTCAAGCAATTCTCCCGCCTCAGCCTCCCGAGTAGCTGGGATTACAGGTGTCCGCCACCACGCCCATCTAATTTTTGTATTTTTAGTAAAGACGGGGTTTCACCATGTTGGTCAGGCTGGTTTCGAACTCCTGACCTCGTGATCCACCCGCCTCGGCCTCCCAAAGTGCTGGGAATACAGGCGCGAGCCACCGCGCCCGGCCGCTCAGAGAAGTATTTCTAAGATTAACACCATCTCCTAACTATTAAATATCTTCATCAGAATGATCATAACCCTTGAAATAGCAACAGCCAGCTTGATGGAGCATTCGGCGCCTGTCAAATATCTTACTAGTATCTCCAAGAGTTCGTTTTCTAATTTGAATTTTCAATTTTGTGTCACTCCCCTTTAACTTCTTCGAAGCTACCAAACAGGTTACTGAATCATCTGCGTTTTGTACTTACCTTTTTCCCCCACTTTCGAATATTAAAAATGTTCCCGTCAGACCGCCTTTTGGTCACCGCATAGGGGCAGTCCCCACCGTGTCCGGCCAGCCTTCCACACGTACAGCTGTCGGATACTCTGCGGTCCAGCGTTTACACACTGCCCATCCCAGTTAAACACCACTAAACAAGTACCAGTCGATGCCAGCGCCAAACACCGCGTCTCCGCCTCGCCCTGCGGGCCGGAGGATATTCAGGAGAGTGGGAAAACGGCCGGTCCCAAGGTTAGGCTTAGGCGGCAACAGAAAGCAAACTGAACGCACACCTCTTTAGAACACTGACAACGCTGGCCCGGTGTTTTTAATGCACGAACCCGGCCACCTCGAGTGAATCCCGCAGATGCCTAGAGAAGAGCCCGGTCCAGTCCCGGCCCCGCGGGCCCGGAGCAGGGAGCCGCACGAAGCCCGCAGCCGCGAAAACAACTTCGCTGAGCCCGGCCTGGAGCGGGGGCCGGGCGGCGACTCCGCCCTCAGCGGGGAGCGGGGAGCGGGGAGCGATGCCCGGGGCGGCCGCGACGTCAGCGTCCCCGCCCCTGCCGCCCCTACTCCCGGCCAGGCCTCGGGGACCCCCGCCCCACAAAGGGGCGCGAACCCCAAGTAGGAGACGAGGAAGGGTAGGTGCCAGCCGCCGCCGCCCTTCGCAACCCGGGCCGTCAGCCCCGCCCCCACCGCCGCAGCGACTCCCGCCCCCGCGCCCGCCGAGACCAAGGCGCTACCGCTCACACTGCCCCTCCCCCCGCGGCCGAGCCGGCGCGGGCCCCCGCACCTCCCCCGCTCGCGCGGCCTCGAGTCCAGAAGACCCGCCTCCACACACCGGGGCCGCCGCCGCGGAGCCTCATGGGGGTTGGAGTCCCCAAGGTTTCCTTTGTGCGCAGTATTGGCGGGGCCTTGGACTACCACTCCCACAAGGCACCGCGCCCGCCTCCCGCGCCACGCCCCCTCGCCGCTGGCTTCCAGTCGCCACCCAGACTACATTTCCCGACAGGCCTCCCGGCTCTCCCGCCCTCCCTCCCGAGACACGAGCCGAACTGGGCGTCAGGTCGGGGAGCCGGTCGGGTTCCCGCTCACCGCCGCCGCCGCCGCCCCCTGCAGCCACTCTCCCGCCTCTACCGCCGCGGGAGCTGCATCGTCCACTCCGGTCGGCGGTGGAACCGCCAGTCCGGGGTCACAGAGCTTGAGAAGCGACGCGCTGAGCCCCCCATCACCTCCAGCCCGGGCGACCCCTCCCGGGTCCGCCCTCGCCCTGCGCAGCCGCCCGAGCCCCCAGCCCCGGGCGGCCCCGCTCCAGCATCCCAGCTCCTGCACTCTCGCAGCCGCCGCCGCCCCCCGCCCGGAACATGGACTCTGACTCTTGCGCCGCCGCCTTCCACCCGGAGGTGAGTGAAGCTGTGCGTCCGAATCGCCCCCGACCACCCCCTCCGCGATCCTGCCGTCCTCAGGCAGCCAGACCCCCGGTCGCCCGGAGCGCCGCCCTCCCCTTCCCCCGCTTTCCCCTCGTCGGCCCCCCCGGGAGCCCAACCCCCGCCCCCTGCTCGGGCCCGCGCTCGGTCCTCTCCGCCGGGCCTCGCCTCCGCGTCCCCTCCGCGGACCTCCGCGTCCTCCCCGCGCCCTTTCCCCAGGGCCGTTGCGCCTATTTCTCTCCCCCGGGCCGCCCCTCTCCGGCCTCGCGTCGACCTGGGACCTGTCGGCGCCCCCAGCCCCTCCCCGCCGGCCTGCTTACTCTTTCCCCGCCCCCGGGGACGCGGTCCGAGCCGCCGCCCGCCCCTGGCTCCGGTTGCTCTCGAGGAGTTTTAGGCCCCCCTCGGACCGGGGTCGGCTCCCGAGGCCCCCGGCTGCTCCCCCGATCCCCCGGGCCCGGTGGCCCGCGCCCCGCCCCCTGACTCCGCGCGGGGCCCAGTCGGCCCCCGCCCCCTACGGCTCTCGGGGGCCGCGTCCTCCGGGGGCCCCACCCGCTCTGGGGACCCGAGTCCTGCCCCCACCCACCGCCCCCCGGCGCGCTGGCCTCTCTCTTCGGGCCCCCGCCCCCCGCCCGCGGGCTTTGCTGGCTCCGCCCCGGCTCACTCCCCCTCCTTCCGGGGATCGGCCCTCGGGGCTCCCGGCCTCCCCCCCGCGCGGTCCCCTCCCCCCAGCCGAGGCTCGTTGGGGTCGGGGGTGCGGGTCCGGCGACCGCGGGCGGGTGGGGGAGGGGAGGCGGCGCCGGAGCCCGCCGGTCTCGCTGCCGCCCCCGGGGGTTCGCAGGGCCTCCCCAGGCCTGGGACCCCGGAATCCTGCCTGGCGCACCCCCCTCACACATACTCGCGGGATGGGCCCCGCACCTTCGGGGGCCGAGTGTCGCGGGGGGCGGCTGCCGCGGGAGGGCGGGTGGGGGCCGCTCCGCCATCTGCTTTCCGAGGAGGCGGCCGGGGGGGCGGGCGGCGTGGGCCGTGTGGGGGCGGCGTGGAACCCCCAGTCCCCGCGCCGGTGCCTCCCGCGCGCCCCCGGCCCGAGGCCGTCGCCGCCCTCCACTTGGCATTCGGGTTTTTGACCCACTTCTGCTGGTTCCCCGCCGAAAGAAAAGTTCTTCGCGGGAGTTGGAGGCCCGGGTGGCGGCCCGCGGTTCCCGTGGCTGGGCAGGCTCGCCAGTGCGGGGAGCGCGGTCAACGCGGGCCTTCGCCTCCGCTCCGTGGGCGGCCCTGGGGTCCAAGGGGGTGGGAGAGGAGAAGGTTTGCTTGAACCAGGTTGAGAAAATAATTTTCTAAGGGCACCGACTTTCTCGAAAGAAAACCCGCGGGCCGCACGCCTGCTCCTCGCGGCGGGAGGGGCGGCCCGAGACCCCTGCCCCCCATTTCCCCACCGGCTCTCCCCCAGCAGAGTGGCGGCCGGGTAACAGCACCTCGGGAAGGATGGGGGTGGGTCGGACAAGGCACTGAAAGGAACCTCAGGGAACGTGCCGGGCGAATAAACAGCAATACGGCACACTTGTTTTGCTTAGGAGCAAATAAGAGCTCCATCTCTCCGTGCTTCTCTCAGGAGAAAATATCTTTTTGTGATGGGTGTTTCTAGATGGAATGGGGCTGGGACCCGCGAGCAAAAACCTCCACTATTCCGTTTAAATGTAAGACTAAGCTTCGCAGTAAGGTTCTTGGTTTATTGTGAGTTGAGATAGTTGGGTGCCTGGCATCCCGACTGGCTGGGACAGTGGAGGGGACCCTCTGAGCACGAGAGAGGGGTCCTCAGGTGGCGCTAGCTTGGCAGGGTCAGCCAGGAGTGAACTCCAGGGTCCAGGTCTCCGAGAGCTCTGGAGAATGAGTGGTTGATTTTTTTTTTTTTTTTTTTTTGAGTTGGAATCTTAGCTCTGTCTACCGGGCTGGAGTGCAGTGGCGCGATCTTGGCTCACTGTAACCTCCGCCTCCGGGTTCACGCGATTCTCCTGCCTCAGCCTCCTGAGTAGTTGGGACTACAGGTGCACGCCACCACGCCCGGCTAATTTTTGTATTTTTAGTAGAGACGGGGTTTCACCATGTTGGTCAGGCTGGTCTCGAACTCCTGACCTCGTGATCCGCCCGCCTCGGCCTCCCAAAGTGCTGGGATTACAGACGAGAGCCACCGCGCCCGGCGAGTGGTTGATTTTTGAAATCACTTAACATACATCAGTTCCAGCTGCTGCTGCAGCAGTTCATACTCAGAATGGAAAATCTGTAGCAAAAAAGTAGTTATTAGAGCTTCGCCTGATAGGCCTGTGGAAACTAATAGATAAAGTCAGAAAATGCCACATGAGCACTAAGAAATAGACTTTTGTAGAAGTTTTTATCTCCCAGCTGATTTCCCAGCATTCTTGGCATAAAGTCTTAATACTCCTCTTTCTGCTCTCTGAAAATAGTGTTATTTCTTGACCTGAACTTACCGTATCTTGTTTGTGGACTGTGTAAATCTAACGGTATTTTTTGAGTGATTGACTACAAAAGTTCCAGCTTACTTCCTTTTGTTTCTGTGATTCCGCCTGGAAGCCTCTCCTTCAAACACATTCCCTTTTCTCTCCCCTTAATAGGAATACTCCCCCAGTTGCAAGAGGCGCAGGACCGTGGAAGACTTCAACAAATTCTGCACCTTTGTCTTGGCCTATGCTGGCTACATCCCTTATCCGAAGGAGGTAATCTTCTGAGTTTCTGAGACCTTTCTTGATGAGTAGTCAAACCCAGTGCCTCCACCGCAAGTTCGTGGGCTTCTGACTGGTCAGAGGGTCAGTAGGTTTGGAAGGGGCTGCTTGTGGTGACCCCAGTCACTAGTCTGGCAGAAATCTGTTTCTTGAGAGTTTGAATTAGCTGGGGAAATGGTTCTAAAACTCTGGTAAAAACTCTGGTAGAAAATGCAGGCTTGTCTAGAAAATGATTTAGTAAACTTTCTTTTTTTTTGGAATGGAAACTTGCTCTGTCGCCCAGGCTGGAGTGCAGTGTCGTAAAACTCCACCCCCGGGTTCAAGGGATTCTCCTGCCTCAACCTCCTCAGTAGTTGGGATGACAGGCGTGCGCCACCACGCTAATTCTTTTTTGTATTTTTGGTAGAGACAGGGTTTTACCTTGTTGGCCAGACTGGTCTCGAACTCCTGACCTCAGGTGATTCACCTGCCTCGGCCTCCCAGAGTGCTGGGATTACAGGCGTGAGCTACCGCCCAGCCGATTTAGTAAACTTTCAGTTTATTTACAAATAAAATATGTGATATTTGCTTGCTCTTTTTGTTTGTTTGTTTGAAATGGAGTCTGGCTCTGTCGCCCAGGCTGGAGTGCCGTGGTGCAATTGTGGCTCACTGCAACCTCTGCCTCCTGGGTTCAAGCGATTCTCCTGTCTCAGCCTCATGAGTAGCTGGGCGCGCCACCACACCCAGCTAGTTTTTTGTATTTTTACTAGAGACGGGGTTTCACCGTGTTGTCGAGGCTGGTCTCGAACTCCTGACCTCATGATCCACCCGCCTCGGCCTCCCAAAAGTGCTGGGATTACAAGCGTTGAGCCACTGCACCTGGCTGTCTGCTTGCTTTTAATAAGGGTCTGTAGTTACTGACTGTTGACCATAGCTGGACACTATTCTTGGCCTATGTAATGCTATGAGGTAGGTGCTATTTTTTATCTCCAGTTTATAAGCTGAGGAAACTAAGGCATAGAGAGGGAAAACTTTGTCTTAGGTCACCCACTGATTAGTGGTGGAGCTTGGGGTTCAACCAGATGGCTGGACTCAGTGCACACGCTGCCTCTGTCTCAGCTCCCTGGCTGCCCGAAATGCGTATGATTGTCTTCAGGGACTCATGGCTGCAACTTGATGTAGATGAAGGAGGTTTTTTCACTTGCTGAGAACAGGGCAGGACTGGAGGAGAGCGGCTGTGGTGCTCAGACTTCAGGCCTCTTTCGTATTCGATTAAGCTCAAAATTGAACAATCCAGCTTTTTTTTTTTTGCGACAGGTCTTGCTCTGTTGCCCAGGCTGGAGTGCAGTGGCACAGTCTTGGCTCACTGCAGCCTCTTTCTCCTGTGCTGAAGTGATCCTCCCACCTCAGCCTTCCAAGTAGCTGGGACTACAGGCCCACCACCACACCCACCTAATTTTTGTATTTTTAGTAGATACAAGGTTTCGCCATGTTGCCCAGGTTGGTGTCAAACTCCTGGCCTCAAGTGACCCACCTGCCTTGGCTTCCCAAAGTGCTAGGATTACAGGCGTGAGCCACTGCGTTTGGCCGTAATTTTATTTTTTGTAGAGACAAGGTCTCACTGTGTTGCTGAGGCTGGTCTCGAGGTAGTGATGCTCCTGCCTTGGTCTCCCAGAGTGCTGGGTTTACAGGCACGAGCCACTGTGCCCAGCTGCATTCAGTATATTTCTAGCAGGCAAACTGCCAGCATTGGTTTATTTCCATCTGCTACATAGGTGGCTAATGCCTGCTTTCTTTTCTTTCTTTTTTTCTTTTTTTGAGACGGAGTCTTGCTCTGTGGCTCAGGCTGGAGTGTGGTGGTGCGATCTCAGCTCACTGCAACTTCTGCCTCCTGGGTTCAAGCAATTCTCCCTGCTTCAGCCTCCCAAGTAGCTGGGATTACAGGTGTCAGCCATCATGCACAGCTAATTTTTTTGTATTTTTGGTAGAGAGGGGGTTTCACCATGTTGGCCAGGCTGGTGTCGAACTCCTGAGCTCAGGTGATCTACCCGCCTCAGCCTCCCAAAGTGCTGGGATTACAGGTGTGAGCCCCCGCACCCAGCCTAATGCCTGTTTTCTAGCAAGACAAGGAGGACGTTGCCACTGTTTGCAAATGATATGCTTGTGATCTGAATGAACCATAGAGTTTACTTCACTGCTTTGGGGCAGTAATTACCTACTTGGATTCTGCAATATTTTGGAATGTCTAGTTTTTTAAGAGTGTCAGGAAATTCTCAAAACTAATTTAAATTCACTTAAAACAATATATCTCTTGGGAGGGCAAATGGAAGGAGAGGTTTTACAATCAGGGAACAATGAGCAGATAGGAGTGGGTGTCCACAGCACTCCTTCCCACAGACACCTGTTGCACACTGATGAATTTTCTGTCTCTAAGATGGGGCTGAGGGTTCAGCAGGGAGTTTCTCTCTTCGTGGCATCACATTAAACTCATGGCACTGATGGCACTGGGTTTTTTTTTTTTTGAGACACAGAATCTCCCTCCCGTTACCAAGGCTGGAGTGCAGTGGCTCACTGCAACATTTGCCTCCCGGGTTCAAGCGATTCTCCTGCCTCAGCCTCCCAAGTAGCTGGGACTACAGGCACCACCACCACGCCCAGCTAATTTTTGTATTTTTAGTAGAGATGGGGTTTCACCATGTTGGCCAGGTTGGTCTTGAACTCCTGGTCTCAGGTGATCCGCCTGCCTTGGCGTCCCAGAGTGCTGGGATTACAGGTGTGAGCCACCACGCCCAGCCAGAACTCATGTTACTGTTGCTTCAAGTGTGATGCTGATGGGCAGAGAAGCTCAAAGTTGTGCAGATGTCTCTGGAGGTCTGACATGGCTGGGTGGCTGGGGATGCTCTGCTCTGGGCTGGATCTTGTCACCAGTAACTGGAATCTGCCACCTTTGTCTTTTTAGGAACTCCCTTTAAGGAGCAGCCCCAGCCCTGCTAACAGCACTGCTGGTACCATTGACAGCGACGGCTGGGACGCGGGTTTCTCAGACATCGCGTCCTCAGTGCCCTTGCCAGTCTCTGACCGCTGCTTTAGCCACCTGCAGCCTACTCTCTTGCAGCGAGCCAAGCCCAGTAACTTCCTGCTGGACAGAAAGAAAACGGACAAGCTGAAGAAGAAGAAGAAGAGGAAGCGCAGGGACAGTGATGCGCCTGGGAAAGAGGGGTACAGGGGGGGCTTGCTGAAGCTGGAAGCCGCTGACCCCTACGTGGAGACCCCCACGAGTCCCACCTTGCAGGATATCCCCCAGGCTCCCAGCGACCCCTGCTCGGGCTGGGACTCCGATACTCCCTCGAGTGGATCTTGTGCCACTGTGTCACCTGATCAGGTCAAAGAAATAAAAACTGAAGGCAAACGGACTATCGTCCGGCAGGGAAAGCAGGTGGTGTTCCGAGATGAGGACAGCACTGGCAATGATGAGGACATCATGGTGGACTCAGGTGAGTGGTCCCTGAAGGATGATGACCCTTGTTGGCTTGTGGTTAGAAGAGAGGTTATTTTATTAAGTGGTCATCTCTCTGGGGCACAGGGTCTGGTGCCTTCCGTAGAGTGTGACAGCCCCACTGTCCAAGGAGGAGAAAAGCTGCAGGAATGTGGATATCGAGATGTTTAGGAAGGGGTTGATTGCCACTAGAGACAGCTGAGATTCTAAGACCTTAGAACATAAAAAGGGTATAGTTCTAAGTAAGCATCCAGGTAAGCATCCAGGCCGGGCACGGTGGCTCCACCAGTAATCCCGGCACTTTGGGAGGCCAAGGCAGGTGGATTGCTTGAGCTCAGGAGTTGGAGACCAGCCTGGGCAGCATGGCAAAGCCCTGTCACTGCAAAAATACAAAAAAAGGCTGGGCGCAGTGGCTCATGCCTGTAATCCCAGCACTTTGGGAGGCCGAGGCAGGCAGATCACGAGGTCAGGAGTTCGAGACCAGCCTGACCAACATGGTGAAACCCCGACTCTACTAAAGATACAAAAAAAAAAAAGAAAAAATTAGCTGGGCGTGGTGGTGCGCGCCTGCAATTCCAGCTACTCAGGAGGCTGAGGTAGGAGAATTACTTAAACCCAGGAGGTGGAGGTTGCAGTGAGCCAAGATCGCGCCATTGCACTCCAGCCTGGGCGACAGCAAAACTCCGTCTCAAGAAAAAAAAAAAAAACAATAGTCGAGTGTGGTGGTGTGTGCCTGTAGTCCCAGCTATTTGGGAGGCTGAGGTGGGAGGATGGCTTGACTGCAGGAGTTTGAGGCTGCAGTGAGGTATGATTGCACCACTGCACTCCAGCCAGGGTGACAGAGTGAGACCCTGTCTTAGGGAAAAAAAAAAAAAAGTAAGCATCTCCTGGGTAATACCTGGTTCCCACACATTTTGGAGCCCCTCGTGCCTTTTCAGAGAGAAGTGTCAGCTTCGAGTGGCAGTTGGAAGTGTTCTCGTCAGTAGAGTTAATGGGTTTCATGGAAGCCCAGCTGATGGCGAGGAATGATGGGAATTTCTCTTCCCTCCTTGAGAGTATCTTTCCTTCCAGATGACGATTCCTGGGACCTCGTGACCTGCTTCTGCATGAAGCCATTTGCCGGCCGCCCCATGATCGAGTGTAATGAGTGCCACACCTGGATTCACCTGTCCTGTGCGAAAATCCGGAAATCCAATGTTCCAGAAGTGTTTGTCTGCCAAAAGTGCCGGGACTCCAAGTTTGACATCCGCCGTTCCAACCGCTCGCGGACGGGCTCCCGGAAGCTGTTCCTGGACTGACTGCTGGCTGGCGAGGAGGCTGCGAGCGTGGAATCGGAAGCGACCGCGGGCTTTTTTGCCCTTCTCTTAGTTGAGCACAGAACCCTCAGCTCTGGTGCGGGCAGATCCCTGCCATTTAGGTGCCTAAGCAAAAGGACAGGCTGTCCAAGGTAGAAACTGTACATAGCCGGTGACCGAATGCGACCTTTGCCAGCCAGAGCTGCTGCCAGAGCTGCGTTCCCTGCAGTGGAGGTGGACTGGACACCCACGTGCAGCGGGTTTGGCTCATTTGAAAATGAGGGTCCGTGGTAGCTGTGCGTTTTGCTATCATTGCTAAGAGATTCCCGCTGATTGGGCTCAGTGCCAGCTGTTATTCTGCTTCCACTGTGTTGGGGAGAGGTGTTCGGTTTCCCCAGCCTGTTAATGAACAGCCATACGTGTAAGCTTTTTCTTGAGTGTTAAGTCTTTTACCAAAAGTGTCTGTACAGCAGCCATCCAAGTTGCCCCTACTTAGTGGCTTGCCCTCTGCCTGCCTCAGCTGCTGCCTGACCGGCTGGGGGAGGCACTGGCGGGAGGCCTCGGGCTCCCCTGGAAGGGCGCTGGGCTGGCGGGTCAGCTGGTGGTTCTTAGGTTTCCTTCTGTTTGTTAAAAGGGACAATGTGGCCACTTCTCTGTGGAAAGGGAGTTGGTTGGGGGGTTGAGATGGCCCGTGTTCATAACTCAGTTTCCTGTTTTGCACGATGTAAAAACCCTGTCTTTTTGCACGATACAGCCAAAAGTATTGGCTGATTTCTTGCTGAGTGCCCTCTTAGTTGGTGTGTGAGGTCTTGGTGGGCTCAGGCCAGCTGTTTGCGAGTGTGGGAACTCATAGGTTCTGTCTTTGTCTCTTCCTTTCACCTCATTCTGGTAGCAGCATAAAGGTTAGGCAATCACTGGGACCCGCATGGTGTTCCTCCAAAGAATAGGGTAAAGGAGAGCTGGGAGGGAGCCCTCTCCGTTGGGTGACTCTTGTGTGCCCTTTAGACAGGCTGGCCTGCCGGTTCCACAGGGTACAGTTAGGACTTGAGTCTTTCTTTTTCTGTTTTGAGTTGGTGAGTGAGTGATAGGGTAACATGGGCCTTCAGGATGACCCCTTGGAACTGTGCCGAGTTCCTTAAATCTCAGCTGGGATCCTGGACCTGGGAGGCCCCTGTGAGGGCCAGCTCTGGAAAAACCTGGGAGTTGATGCCGGAGGCTGTGGAAGAACTCTGCTCGAGGGCAGGGTGCCCTGGAACACTGGTAGTTCTGGGGCTGGGAGGGAGAGGGGCTCCGGCTTTCTCTGAAATGAACACTGCTCTTCAGCAGTTCAAGTACTTGTTCTCAAAACATTTTCTAATTGATTGGTAGGTTTTCATAAGCATTGTTTCTTTAAGGCATGGAAAGGGAAGAATGCTCAAGCAAGTCATGTTTGTTTTCAGTGGGATGGGCCCGCGTTCTCACTGCTGGGGGCTTCCCCTTCATGTGGCACCTTTGTGCCAGGCCACCAGGCAGACTCTTCCCACCTTCTCCCACTGAAGCACCAAGGGGCTTGAACCGTAATTTGGCTAATCAGAGGCATTTTTTTTGTCCTAGTATCTTTCACACTTGTCCAACCGTCTTATTTTTTTAAAAGTTCTGTTGCTTGTATTAACACGAAACTAGAGAGAAATAGTTTCTGAAGCCAGTTTATTGTGAAGATCCCCAAGGGGGAGGTTCGGTAGAGAAAAATAGTAAGCTGGTTTAGAAACTGACGAGGGCAAACAGCCAGGACGCATTGGAGAGGAATTTGCCAAAGATCTACCCTGAGATAACGCCTGTCCAGTGTCTTCACCACGTGAATAACCAGCGCTCCAAAGTGTTTTTCTGCTTTGAAAAAAAAAAATTCCACAAGCTTTTAAAGGTGCATTTAAGAATCCATGTGACTTTAGAATGGAACTGCCGGCCCTGGCAACTGTCACGTGTGCTAGAAGGTTCGATGCCTCTGGAATGCATGTGATACTCATCTCCATTTTGTTTCCTTGATTGCATTTTTGTTCTTTTAGCAGATCTGTCCCTGTGGGTGGTGTCTAAGAAGTCGGACACCTTGGTTTTTGTGTTAGATTGAGCTGGGCAGCTGCAATCAGCTTCTTTATATGCAAATTAGGCACGACCCATCTGTGGTTCCTGGTTGGTGGCTAATGAAGTGAGGGGAGGGAGGGATGTCACCCCAAAAGTAGGCCCTCCCATTGGCTTTGGCCAGGCCAGACACTTCACATCGTTTACATGGTTCTGTGTAATTTTAAAGTTTATGTGTATAAAGCGAAGCTGTTTCTGTGAAACTGTATATTTTGTAAATAAATATATTGCTACTTTGAGGTTCATGATTCAAGGTTCAGGCGATTGCGTTCTGTGCTGAAGGACAATTGTGTTTCTTTTCTCCTTGCTACCTCCCCAAAGCATGATTACATCAAGTCTCTGGGAAGGCAGCGTCTCAGTGTGCACTTAGCAGGATGGAAAATGCCCACGGTGTTAAGGTACCTTGCTGGTGAATTCCTTAGAAACAAACCACAGGACGAGTAGATGTGAATGGTTTTTGCAGTTTCTTCATCAGATTGAGGATTAGCTCAAGCCCCAGTGAGTGGTTAGCCTACTTTTGATTTTTTTTTTGTTTTTGAGACTTGAGTTTCGTTCTTGTCACCTAGGCTGTGAAGTGCTGTGATGAGATTTTGGCTCATTGTAACTTCCACCTCCCGGGTTCAAGAGATTCTCCTGCTTCAGCCTTCCGAGTAGCTGGAATTACAGGTGCCCGCCACCATGTGCGGCTAATTTTTGTATTTTTAGTAGAGATGGGGTTTCACCATGTCGGTCAGGCTGGCCTTGAACTCCTGATCTCAGGTGATCCGCCTGCCTCGGCCTCCCAAAGTGCTGGGATTACAGGCGTGAGCCACTGCGCCTGGCCGATTTTTTTTTTTTTCTTCTTACAAGATGACGCCTTCCCTATAGGCTGCTTTGAGAAAGCTGCAGCCTCGGAGTTTCTGCAAGGCCTGAACTGGAATCTCCCTCCCCTTCAGTTGCCCTTTTTGCCTCTTCACGTTTGGGGGTTCCCTGTGACCAAACTTAAGGGCAGTGAGCTGTCTGGCCTCTGAACTGACACCACCAGTGGCCAACTAGTACCACCTCCAGTGACGTCAGAGGAGTCCAGACCTATTCACAATTCAAAGCCCTAAAAACACTGAGGGGTTGGCCGTTGGTTTCCAGTTGTCCAAGCCTGTGAGTGGCTATGCGTCCTGGTTGGGTGCTCAAAGCAAGGAGGTGAAAGGCGACCAGCATTGGCGAATGGGGTAAGACTTGCACAGGCCCAAGGCTAGGAGTTGGGGTTTCGGGCCTGAATTGGGGCCCGGAGCACCCCTTTACGTGGCGCCCCGGGTCCCGTCCGACCCTGGGGAGACGCGGGTGGCTGGGATGGCAGGATGAGCGCGCCCTGGAGGCGAGCCAGGCCCGTCACCACCTCCCAGCGGCCCCGCCCCTCCCCGCAGGTCCCTCCCCTCTCCGCAGGCCCCGCCGCCGCCGCCATCTTTGTTGGGGGCAGCCAGGCCTGGCTCGAGATGCCGAAGTCGTGCGCGGCCCGGCAGTGCTGCAACCGCTACAGCAGCCGCAGGAAGCAGCTCACCTTCCACCGGTAAGAGGCGGGGACCCGGGGGCGCGGGAGGCCCAGACCCGGGGCCCGCGGACCGACTCCGAGGCCTTGGCGCGCCGGGCGGGAGGCCCAAAGGCGTGCGGCCGCTGGGCCCGGGGACAGGCCGAGGTCCTGGGCCCAGAGGGGCTGGCGCCGCCGCGCCCGCCGCGGGGATGCGGGGAGTGGCGGACGGAGGGGCAGCGGCGCACCTGGCGGGGCCAGGGCCGGGACGTGCAGGGAGCGGAGCAGGTGTTTGCTGAACAGACTAGCGGGCCGCGGCCGGGGTTTGCTGTGTCCCTGGTCGCTGCAGCCCCCGCCGCGCGCGGTCCTGAAGGGAGCCCGGCACCTGGGCAGTGCAGTGGAGGAGTGGAACCCCCAGGGGCGTCCTGGCAGTGGGAAGGGACTCTGCAGGGTCGCGGGAGGACGCTGGAGACTTTGGAGTCTGCTCCAGCACTCGCCCGGCCCGGCCCGGCCCGGCCCAGGAGCAATCGTCATTAGTCACAGTTGCGCTTTCTCCAAGGTCCAGTCACGGCACCATTTCTCTACCCACTTTTGGGCACATTCCGAAGGGGGGCTTGTGCTCATCGTTCCCATTCCCTCTGCTCCCATTGTTCTGTTTTGTGATAAATGCTTTGCTTGAAGTATACGTAATGTACATGCAGAAAAATGCACGAATCATAAGTATACAGCCCAGCGAGTTTTCCCCAAGTGAACGTCACTGAACTGAAACGTTACCAGCTGGGCGCGGTGGCTCAAGCCTGTCATCCCAGCACTTTGGGAGGCCGAGGCGGGAGGATCGCTTGAGCCTGGGAGTTCGAGACCTGCCTGGGCAACAGAAGGAGACCCTACCTCTACAAATAATTTAAAAAAATTAGCCAGGCAAGGTGGTGTGCCCCTGTAGTCCCAGCTGCTCGGGAGACTGAAGTAGGAGGATCGCTTGAACCCAGCTTCGAGGCTGCAGTGAGCTATAATCTTGCCACTGCACTCCAGCCTGGGTGACAGAGCGATACCTCATCTCAAAATAAGAAATAAAACATCACTACCCCCGAGAAGAACCCCTACCTGGACCCCCTCCCAGGCCCTCCTCCTCTCTCCTGCCCAAAGGGAACCCTATCCTGCCCGCTATCAGAGTGGATTGCAGTTCATTCGCTTTCGTTGCCACATAATATTCCATTGAATGCAAGTGCCAGAATTTACTGATTTGTTCTACAATTGAAGGGCATTTGGGTGGCCCCATTTTTTGGATGACAAATACATGGTTCTGGAGGCTGGGCGTGGTGGCTCACGCCTGTAATCCCAGCACTTTGGGAGGCCGAGCTGGGTGGATCACCTGAGGTCAGGAGTTGGAGACCAGCCTGACCAACATGGTGAAACCCCGTCTCTACTTCTCTACTACAAATACAAAAATTACCCGGGCGTGGTAGCGCGCACCTGAAATCCCAGCTACTCAGGAGGCTAAGGCAGGAGAATCACTTGACCCTGGGAGGCAGAGCTTGCAGTGAACCGAGATCGCACCACTACACTCCATCTTGGGCAACAGAGCGAGACTCCGTCTCAAAAAACAAAACAAAACAAACATTGTTTTGGCCAGTTTTGGTGGGACTTGTGTTGCAGTGCATCTATCTGTTTTGCCTCTGTCAGGTATGTACTTGGGGATGGAGTTGCTGCGCCTTCTCTCTTGAAGTCGTTTCCTCCACTCCCACGAGAGCTCTGTCACATCACTAGTGAGCCTTGTGACACTGATCGATTGCATAGCATTTCACACAACTGACCCCTGAGCCTGGGTCACTTTTCCCGCATGGCGTCTGGTACACTTCTTGGCCACAGGTGTCTCTTCTCAGTCTCCTTTGCTGGATCCTCCTTATTTCCAGCACTAAGTGTTGGAGCCCTGGGGTGTGGGCCATGGCCCAGGGGTGGCTTCTAGCCACACTTGCTCCCCAGGGGCCCATCTCACCCAGGCTTATCGGTTCCGCAGGGTTGGCCGCCACACTGACATCTCCAGATGCGTGTGGCCGCCTGTCACCCCAGCACATGGAGAGCCTAAAAAGCACCTCAAATTTAACTCCTGACATAAAAAACAAACTTCTTTTTTTGGAGACAGACTCTCACTCTGTTGCCCAGGTGGAGTGCAGTGGCGCAGTCTCGGCTCACTGCAGCCTCTGCCTCCCTGGTTCAGGTGATTCTTGTGCCTCAGCCTCCCAAGTAGCTGGGATCACAGGAGTGCGCCACCACGCTGGGCTAATTTTTGCATCTTTAGTAGAGATGGGGTTTCACCATGTTGGCCAGGCTGGTCTTGAACTCCTGAGTTGAGGCAGTCTGTCTGCCTTGGCCTCCCAAAGTGCTGGGATTACAGGCGTGAGCCACCATGCTCAGCTGCTACAAAACAAACTTCTGATCCCCTTAACCTGCCGTCCTGTAACTTAATTTTATCTCCAACATGAAACTCCTTCCTTCTCAATTTTACCATCTACAGGCAAACCTTACTGCATGGCTTTCAAAATACATCCAAGTCTGCCCTCTCATTACCACTTCCTGCCAATGCCTGGTCCCACAGCAGCCAGGGTGGACCCAGGTTCCATCTCACCTCTGTCTAGAGCCTCCAGGGACTCCCCAGCTGCTCAGGGCCCTGCGTCATGCAGTCCCCACTCCCTCTCGCTGTCTCAGCTGGACCTGCGTGAGTGGCCGTTCCTGCTGTCCCTTCTGAAGCCTGCGTCGCTTGTGCTGCCACTTCCTGCGGTCTGTGCTCAAACATCACCCCTTCAGCTGCCTCTCCTCACCACCCCAGGGCTTCCCTCTGTCTGTTCTCTGGAGCAGCTGTCATCCCCAGAAGACACCGTCCACATCTGTGTGGCTCATCACTGTGCCCCCGCTCCAGAATATCAGCTCTTGGGGGCCAGGACTGTCTCATTACCCCCCATCCCTAGCACGAAGAACAGGGCCCGGCTCCTGGTAGGCTCCTGGCAAATGTAGCATCGGAAGCAGCTCACTTGGGCTCTCTGGCCATGCTCGTGGTCTCGGGTTTCCTATTAAGAGTGCTTTAACAGCTGTGACAGAAGCTTCCAGAAATTAGATGTGATTTAATAAACCGAGAGGACTGAATGTCCACAGCTGTCCAGGGAAGTACTCTGTAGTGATGTGAAAATTCCGAATGACTCTGAGGCGCTGGGTCCAGCCTTGCTGGGCCTCACACCCCGTGCCTCTGCCCTTAGGTTTCCGTTCAGCCGCCCGGAGCTGCTGAAGGAATGGGTGCTGAACATCGGCCGGGGCAACTTCAAGCCCAAGCAGCACACGGTCATCTGCTCCGAGCACTTCCGGCCAGAGTGCTTCAGCGCCTTTGGAAACCGCAAGAACCTAAAGCACAATGCCGTGCCCACGGTGTTCGCCTTTCAGGACCCCACACAGGTAGGAGGGCACTGCACCTTCCGTCTGGTCACATCCAGCCTGCGTTGTTTACCAGCAGCTGGGGGCAGTGGGGGTGGCGGCATGTGTGGGAAAAGCCAAGGCCAAGAACTCCAGTGACAACAGCACTGTCACGCCTCTGGGGTCCACAGCCCTGTGGCCCTGCTGGCCATGACCTCGGCTTTAAGAGAAGTCATAAATTAAAGGCATTTTAAAAATGAATTATTCTATGGCTGGGTGCGGTGGCTCACGTCTGTAATCCCAGCACTTTGGGAGGCAGAGGTGGGTGGATCACCTGAGGTCAGGAATTCGATACCAGCCCAGCCAACATGTTGAAACCCCATTTCTACTAAAAATACAAAAATCAGCTGGGTGTGTTGGTGGGCACCTGTAATCCCAGCTACTTGGGAGGCTGAAGCAGGAGAATCTCTTGAACCGGGAGGCAGAGGTTGCAGTGAGCCAAGCTTGCCTTGGTGGAGGTGGGATGTGTGGGCCTGGCTCAGGAGAGGGCTCACAAAGAGTTGGATGCTGAAGCCTTGAGATCGCATGATAGGCCACAGGGGCACCCACGTGGAGTGGGCAGGCAGGGCAGTGGCGGGACAAGCCACAGGCCAGCAGCTCCCTGCATTGGTGGATTTATGGGGAGAGGAAAGGGATCCGTGAGTGGAGAGTGGAGCCGATGGGAAGAACAAAGCGGCCACGTAGCAAACACGCCCAGAGCGGCCGCCTGGGAGCCCCTGCCCCATCTGTCCTCCCCAGCACCCTTCCCAGATAGCCTCATGCAGTCTGCCTGAACCTCTTCAGGTTGGCAGTCCCTTCCTTCAGGAAGCCCTTCTGGACCCTCAAACCCCCTCTTGCCTCCGACCCCTTCCTGCCCCTCAGTCTTCCTGGCCCCTGTGGCCCCTGCTGTCCTTCCTGTTTCCCTCATTGGTTTTGTCTTCTCCCCTGGAACAGAATCTCCATGAGGGCAGGGGCTGCCTTCCCTGCTTCAGGCCCCACACCCAGGACGCTGCCTGGCACAGCCCAGGTGCTCGGGGTATGTGTCCATAGATGAACACTTTAATCACCTTCACGTATTTGTGATAACGTTTGTCCTGGAAAGATGACACTTGAGCCACTGGGAGTGGGGACGTTTGTCACTGTAGCCCTCGGTGCTTCCAGTGCCTGGTTGGTGGGGAGAAGCTGGGTACGGCCTCTGCCAGCTCTGCTTTGTGGGCCCCACCCCAGTGTGGCCCAGGGGCTGCAGGTTCTGGGTCAGTGGCACCTCGAGTGGTGAGCTGCGCTTCTGCTGCTTGCTGGCGGTCATGGGGCCAGGTGCCAGGCCCTGGGGTGACACATAGGAAGTAGATGGGTCCCTAGCTCTACAGGGACCTATTCAGGGCACTCTGACCATGATTTGAGGACATCTTTGGAGAAAGAGAAGCGCACCAAGCGGGCAGTGTGAGTTGGGCTGAGCTTCAGGTCAGTTTCATTTAGCAGCTGTTCGTTGACTGGGGCATGCAGTGGGCCGAGCAGCGGGGACAAGCATGATGCCCGAGGCCTGCCCCGAGCTCTGAGGGTTCTTGGGGTCTGCATCCACTCTGTGTGTGTCTCTTGTAGCAGGTGAGGGAGAACACAGACCCTGCCAGTGAGAGAGGAAATGCCAGCTCTTCTCAGAAAGAAAAGGTGAGTGCACCGGGCCAGGTACTTGAATGTTTAAATTATGCTGTGGGTTGAGACAGGGAGGTGGGATTTTCCCAGCAAGGCCGGCCCGCAGGGCTGTCGCCTTTCCTCATATGCCAGTTTGGATTCCCGGTTTTTCTGGAGGGAAGGCCCAAGCCTCTCAGCTTCCTTCTTTTCAATATCAAAGAATCTCAGTTGCTAGTAGGGATCGTGCCTGATTCCCTTTTTCTTTTCTTTTTTTTGAGACTGAGTCTCGCTCTGTCACCCAGTCTGGAGTGCAGTGGCATGATCTCGGCGCACTGCAACCTCTTCCAGGTTCAAGTGATTCTCTTGCCTCAGCCTCCCGAGTAGCTGGGATTACAGATGCCCGCTACCACGCCCGGCTAATTTTTGTGTTTTGAAATAGAGACGGGGTTTTACCACGTTGGCCAGGCTGGTCTCGAACTCCTGACCTCAGGTGATCCACCCACCTCTGCCTCACAAAGTGCTGGGATTATAGGTGTGAGCCACCGCGCCTGGGCCCCCACTTTTTTTTTTTTGTAGAGATAGCATCTTGCTATTTTACTCAGGCTGGTCTCAAACTACCGGGCTCAAGCCATCCTCCCACCTCAGTCTCCCAAAGTGCTGGGAGTATAGATGTGAGTCACTGCACCCAACCTTTTTCTTTGTTTTTGAGACAGGGTCTCACTCTGTTGCTCAGGCTCTGTACAGTGGTGCAGTCATGGCTCGCAGCAGCCTCAACCTCCCAGGATCAAGCCATCCTCCCACCTGAGCCTCCCAAGTGGCTGGGACCACAAGCATGTGCTACCATGCCCAGCTAATTAAAAATTTTTTTTTTTTTTTTTTTTAGAAATGGGGGTCTTGCTATCTTGCCCAGTCTGGTCTCAAACTCTTGGATTCAGGGGATTCTCCTGCCTTGGCCCCACAAAGTGCTGGAATTATAGGCGGGAGCCACCGCACCTGGCCGTGCCTGATTTCTTAAAGTTCAGTTCCAGGGCCGGGCGAGGTGGCTCACGCTTATAATCCCAGCAGTTTGGGAGGCTGAGGCGGGTGGATGTCTTGAGGCTAGGAGTTTGAGACCAGCCTGGCCAACATAGTAAAAACCCCATCTCTACTAAAAATATAAAAATTAGCCGGGCTGGGCGCAGTGGCTTGCGTCTGTATTCCCAGCACTTTGGGAGGCCGAGGCAGGCGGATCACCTGAGGTTAGGAGTTCGAAACCAGCCTGGCCAACATGGTGAAACTCCATCTCTACTAAAAATACAAAAATTCGGCTGGGCCTGGTGGCTCACACCTGTAATCCTAGCACTTTGGCAGGCTGCGGCAGGTGGATTGCCTGAGGTCAGGAGTTCGAGACCAGCCTGGCGAAACCCCGTCTCTACTAAAAATACAAAAATTTAGCTGGGCATGGTGGTGGATGCCTATAATCCCAGCTACTCTGGAGGAGAATCACTTGAACCCAGGGGGCGGAGGTTGCAGTGAGCTGAGATCGCACCACTTCACTCCAGCCTGGGTGAAAGAGTGAAACTCCATCTCAAGAAAAAAAAAAATTAGCCAGGTGTAGTGGCATGTGCCTGTAGTCCCAGCTACTCAGGAGGCTGAGGCAGAATTGGTTGAACCCGGGAGGCAGAGGTTGCAGTGAGCCGAGATCATGCCACTGCACTCCAGCCTGGGTGACAGAGTTAGATTCCGTCTCAAAAAAAAAAAAAAAAAAATTTAGCCAGGCGTGGTGGCACATGCTTGTAATTCTAGCTACTCAGGAGGCTGAGGCACGAGAATCACCTGAACCCTGGGGGTGGAGGTTGCAGTGAGCCGAGATTGCACCACTGCACTCCAGCCTAAGTGACAGAGCGAGACTGTCTCAAAAAAAAAAAAAAGTTCAGTTCCAGGGTGTGTGCTAGGGAGAAGCTGGCTGTGGAGGGGCACAGACCCTGGAGCTGGTCCCTGGCTGTTGCCACTCCCCTAGAGGGACAAGTAGCAGCTGCAGGAGGGCCCTGCATGTGCAGGGCTGTAGTGCAGACTTCACCCTGCCGTTCCCAGGTCCTCCCTGAGGCGGGGGCCGGAGAGGACAGTCCTGGGAGAAACATGGACACTGCACTTGAAGAGCTTCAGTTGCCCCCAAATGCCGAAGGCCACGTAAAACAGGTAAGACTGAGTGCAAAGGTGGTCTGTGGTTGGACACAAGATGACTTGCTCCAAACAAAATGGAAACCAGTGAGCACCCACCATGAGACCTGTGTGGCCGAGGCAGGGTGTGCAGCCTGGGTTTCAGAGCTCCCCAGTCAAATTCTCCACCATGGTGTGGGCACATCTGGATTTTGGGGGAGCAGCCCGGAGTGTCTAGCTGCCCTGGGGTTGTGCTGTGTGCGTGTCTGGTGGCCTGCTCACCATGGCCCGCCTTCCTGCTGGTGATGCAGCTCTAGGCTCTCACTCCCCTGTCCTCAGGTCTCGCCACGGAGGCCGCAAGCAACAGAGGCTGTTGGCCGGCCGACTGGCCCTGCAGGCCTGAGAAGGACCCCCAACAAGCAGCCATCTGATCACAGCTATGCCCTTTTGGACTTAGATTCCCTGAAGAAAAAACTCTTCCTCACTCTGAAGGAAAATGAAAAGCTCCGGAAGCGCTTGCAGGCCCAGAGGCTGGTGATGCGAAGGATGTCCAGCCGCCTCCGTGCTTGCAAAGGGCACCAGGGACTCCAGGCCAGACTTGGGCCAGAGCAGCAGAGCTGAGCCCCACAGGCTCCGGACGCAGAGGTGGCAGTGGCACCAGGGCCGGCAGAGCTTTGGAGCTCTGGCTGTGGACATTTTTGTCTGCTGTGGACACTGAGAAAGTTGGCCATGAGGCCTGCTTGGCCGGGGATCGAGACAGTAGCCAAGCTCCCCGGCGAGAGCCCCAATGCCGTCTGGGGGACGTTTAGAGGCGTGGCACTAGGAGTGCACATCTGTGAGCATGACAAGCTTATCCTCCCATGGTAACAGAAGTCCAGGCTGAGGCTGATTCTGGACGCTGTCCTTTCAGCACACGCAGAGCAAAGATCGTTGGAAGCCCCAGTGTGGGAGATGCTCCTCAGGGAGGAAGCCATGTGAGGGGGCTGGCTCTGTGGCGGGTGAGTGGTCCCCTCCTCCATCAGCCTGGACAGCCGCTCGGGGTTCTAAGGAGTGACTCCTGTCCCGGCCTGGTGTGAGTGGGCAGTGTAATAAAGTGTCTTTCTATACGGTGTCGCTCCCATCATCATTTTCTCTAGTGCCGTGATTCCTTCTAAGAAGACTGACTTCCGTGGCCGGGCGCAGTGGCTCATGCCTGTAATCCCAGCACTTTGAGAGGCCGAGGTGGGGAGATCACTTGAGGTCAGGAGTTCAAGACCAGCCTGGCCAACATGGTGAAATCCCATGTCTACTAAAAAAGACACAAATTAGCCAGGCGTGGTGGCACACACCTGTAGTCCCAGCTACCTGGGAGGCTGAGACAGGAGGATCAGCTGAACCCGGGAGGTGGAGGTTGCAGTGAGCCGAGATCACACCACTGCCCTCTAGTATTGTCACTGGGTGACAGAGCGAGACTCAGTCTGAAAAAAAAAACTGACTTCCTATTTTGTCTAATTTATAGCTTTAGTGAATTAAAGAAAAAAGTTCTAGCCTGATTTCCTAACTTGGGGTCTATTTATTTCTCAGGCAATGTTGTTTAATGTAGAAAATGGAACCCCAGCTTCACGTGAAGCCTTGTGGTTGAGTGAGGAGTGAAGGATGGGGAGGAGGCCTCTGGGGAAGGGGTTCCCTCCCTCCTGAAGATGAACACACAATACACGGAAGAGCGCCAGCCTCTGCTTTCAGGAAAGGTTTATTGTGGTGAGTGCCTTCTGTACAGTCGACTGCAAATGAAACGCAGAGGATGGGTGCCCAGAAGCACCTGCGGCAGAGGCGCACGGGAAGCCCGGGGCCCAGGCTCATGCAACACGACGCTCACCGCGGCTCGGGCCGTGGGGCCGTCAGAGAAACCTTTTTAAAAAATGGAGATGAATGTTACAGAATTGGACAACCCGAACTGCTTTTCAAAACCAGAGGAAGGAGGTTCTTAGCCGTTACTCAGATACCAGTGCTGGGGAGGGAGGCCTGACTTCAGCAACAGCTGTGGGTGGGCTGGAGGCCGGCGCAGCTTGGGGCCCCCCGCGCCAGCTGTCTCAGCCACCACCTGTGCGGCGCTTGCTCCGAGGGGTCAGCAAGAGCAACTGATGGCTGCCACTTCCAGGCCCCGAGAGACAGGCCTCACGTAACTTTACTGCAGCCGAGGTCCAGGCCGTGGAGGGGGTCCTAGCTCCGCTGCATTCTGCATCCCAAGTGGGCACGTGGAGGAAGGGTCTGAAGGAAGGCTCCGGAGCACAGGCCCTGGTGTTCCTGTGAGGACGCTGGACCTGCAGGAGCGGGGAGCTGCAGTGCCACCTGCTGGGTACCACGGGCCGGGCCTGGGGTCCACGCCTTTGGGTTGGGTGTGTCTGATGTCTTGCCAAGCGCCTGGTCCTGTCCTCTTGAGCTGCCCTTGCCCAGCACTGCACTCTGGAGGTGGGTGGTGCAGGCGGTGGAGGGACACAGGCCAGCTCAAGCCCGCTGGTGGCAGGGCGTTTTCCCACCGGGATACGGGAAGCCACCTGTGTCAGGGCTAGGCCCTGGGATCGGGAGTTACACTACCCTGTCCCAAGCCGAGGGGGCCGGTGGAATGACTTGAGCAGCTCTGGGAGTGGGGAAAAAAGACGACTAATTTCCAAACCCGTTTGTTCTCAGATAAAAAGCAGTTTTATAAACCCGCAATCTGCTCCAGATTCAAGCAGTAATATTTCAGCAAGAGGAGGTGGTCATGGGAAGCCAGCACAGCAGAGGCTCCCTGACCGGGAGGCCTGCCTGCTTTTCAGGTTGTTTCCCATGTTCAGCGTGGACTGCAGAAGTGGCTCACGCTCCTGTGGTGAGGGCAGGGTGCTCCACAGACACCTCCAGACCCAGCCAAGAACTACAGGGCGGCGGGCTGCGGTCAGCACGTGTGCTCGGGACACAGCGGAGTCAGGGCCAGAGCCCTTCCCTCCAGGAACTGATCCTTGGGAAAACAGCCATGGGCCAGGCTGCAGTCTGGTTCCCAGTGGGGCTGCCTCAGTCCTACCCCCAGCACCCTCAAAAGCTGGGGTGTCTGCATGTCCCTTCACATAATTGATAATGGTACCACCTTCTATAATAATAATATAAAATAAAAACATCTGATGTCTGGGTTTTTTCATTTCCAAATTTGTAGACTCCCAGGAAAAGATTTTTTGCGGCCTTTTAAAAATCTGGTTCTTGGCAGTTTATCCATCTGTATCGATCCTGTGGGCTGTAAAGGAAAAGACAGACGCAGGTGATCAGAAGGTGGCCATTCCCATGCACCTTTCTACTGATGGGGCTCAGCAGTCACCCGGACCAGCAGCTGGCTGGGCCCAGGCGAGGCAGAGCACCCGCTGCTGAAAATCAACTGCTGCTGGAACGTAGAGGTCTGCTTTCATCCCCCGCCACTCAAGCCGCAGTTTCCAACGCGCTCACTCTAATTCTACCTGTGAAAGGGCCCCAGCCCCCCTTTTAGGGCACAAATCATGGGCTCTGAGTGAATCATGGGTCAAGGGCTAGTTGGCGTCTCTGCTCCCAGGTGGGCAGCTGAGGAAGGTGGAAGGTGGCTGGCAGCCCACACACTGAGCAGCCGCTTCGAGGTCCCCGCCCCCGTTAGCTGGTGACTGCGAAGGGACGGCTACTCACACTGCTTTGGTATCCGGAGGGCCTCACTGTCCAGCACCATCACCTGATGCAGGACGCCCCGGAACTGATAGAGCACTTTCAGGTTCTTCTCTTCCCCCACACACGGGTCATAAAAGCCAGGCAGCCCAGCCTGTAACAAACAAATTGCTACTCTCAATACTCCAGACGGTCTAAGACCAGCACTCCTCCTCACTACCACCGGAGGGGCAGTGTGCACAGGCTCTGACATTCCCTGGGGAGATGCAAACTTTGGGGCATGAAGAAAAAGAAACAAGAATTTGAAAAAGTTGCCAAGACTCGCTTCTTAATAAAGGCCCTATCCTCACACTAAGACAGGGCCACCAGATGACTTCTAGGGTGCCAGGAACTCTCTGGCCTGAGCTAACCTGCATTTTCATCCTTCTGTATGGTCCATGCCCCAGGCCCCAGAGGCAAGACTCACACATGTTACAAGTGACCTCATGATCTTTCTGGAATGAGGCAAAAATAAACAGAATCAAATGCCATGAAGGCAGGCGTGTGTTCTGTTTGCTGGTGTGACTGGCACACACCAGGGGCTCAGTAAATCCTTACTGAGTGGTGAAAGAAATGACTGAATGAAGAGAATAGCTCCAACGTGGGTACTACTCAGGAGCTGGGCAGCATCCCACACAGTAGATGCTGATGACGGCAAAGATCCCACTTTAAGGGGCCAGGCTGTCCTTGTCAGACTGAACCTATTCTTCACACCACTGTTTGTTTGTTTGTTTTGAGACAGGGTCTTGCTCTGTCACCCAGGCTGGAGTGCAGTGGCACAATCACAGCTCACTGTAGCCTCAACCTCCTGGGCTCAACCAATCCTTCCGCTTCAGCCTCCCGAACAGCTGGGACAACAGGTGTGTGTCACCATGCCCAGCTGATTTTTTCTCTTTTTTGTAGAGATAGGGTTTTGCCATGTTGCCTAGGCTGATCTTGAACTCCTGGGCTCAAGCAATCCGCCCACCTTGGCCTTCCAAAGTGCTAGGATTATAGGCCTGAGTCACCGCGCCCAGCCTGTTCAAATCTGTGAGCACATAGCATGTGGTGGCTGGTGCTGCTGTACCTTGGAGGCCTCCGTGAGGATGAGCTTCGAGTCCTTCACCAGGCACTGCAGGGGCACAGTCACGTCAATCACCTTCACCTTCTCGCTCTTCCTGCTCTTGTCATTGACAAACTTCCCGTACCAGGCATTGACGATGATGAGGCCTAAGGACAGACTCCGAGTAGAGGAAGGCCTCCTCCAGGCACCTCCTTGTGTGGCTTAGAGACCCCCAGCGCCCACCCTGGACCAAGAGAGGACACATGTTCTCACCCATTCTGGACTCTTCTGCCTCAATTATCCTTCGGACAGATTCCTGCATCAGCCGGACCTGCCAGAGAACAAGGATGACACAGTCAGGGCCCTGCCAGGCCTGTTCCACCTCTGGTGAGAGGGCCACAGGCAGGCAGTCTTGTCCACGTCAACATACTTGCTCAGGGCCTGGAAAGGAAGGGAGTGGGCACCCTGACAGCTCTGCTACCCGAGTGGCTCACTCTGAAACTCCTAGACCTAGGGCAGGCAGCTCTGGGTCAGAAGGTGAGAAGCACCTGAAACGGCATGACCCTCCGGTGGCCACCGGTGGGAGCTCCCTTTCTAGGGATCATTAATGCGTGGGTGGGATTTGTTGACCCAATAAAAAAACAATGCGTTGTCAGCTTTAAAAATAAAGAGATTTCACAGGAGAAGCTGGAATCCCAGCTCCTCTTGAGAAAGGACCTGTGTTCTCCTGTGGTGCCATTCTGCTGGGCATAGCTGTGCCGCCCCCTCAGACAGGCATGTGCTCGCCAGGCCGCGCACACGGCCCATGGCCACCTGGCAGTATGCTCGCCACATACCCAGGAAGCCTGCTCCCTCCTGCTCAGTAAAAGGCAGAACACTCAGAGGGAAGAAAAAGAGGCCAATACTCACCACTTTAAAAAAGCCCTTGTTAGGCCTTTGGAGGGTAATTATCTTCAGGGCAGGGACTGCAGAGCCCAGTGTCGCATCCCACAATAAAGACTAAGTGGAGAGCCAAGTTGTTGGAGAAGAGAAGTCTGACCTCTAAGGCCCTGAGACCAACATGTGGGGTGTGGAGTGTGTCCCCTACAGCCCTCGCTTGGGAACGGTGGGGCAGCACTCACAGCGGACTCCGCCTCTTGCTTCTTCTGCAGCACATCGGTGGCGGCGCTTTCCCTCTGCTTCTCCAATTCCCTTACGCGAGAGGAACACAAGCCCCACGTTAGCGCGGCGCTGCCCAGCTTCCAGCCAACACAGCCCCTCCCGTGCTGGACCCGAGCCCAGCAAACAGTCTGTGATCTTACTGGAGTTCAGTTGTAGAACTTTAAAAAATATTCCCACGACAGTCTCAGGCAAGTCTGTTAGTCACAGGCTGGCAGCTTTCATTTTATCCTTAGATGGCTCTGCCCCACCTCCTCACCAAGCTGACGGGACACCGACTGTCAGTCTCTTTGGAAAGAAGACCCCACCACAGGAGAATTTCAGGAGATCCCACCAACCTTGTGGGATTATTATTTTTTTAATTTTAATTTTAAGATAGAGATGGGGGTCTCACTATATTGCCCAGGCTAGTCTCGAACTCCTGGGCTCAAGTGATCCTACTGTCTCGGCCTCCCGAAGTGCTAGGGTTACAGGCGTGAGTTGTTAAATAACACTTTTGGTAGGAACAACTAATACCACTTTAGACACACAGATCCGCTTTCCTGTAACAAAGTATGGGCCTTGGGGTCAGCATATGCCTGTCCTCCCTTCTGAGAGAAGGCTGGGCCAGCACATGTCTTGTTCTAAGCCTCAAGCCTCCTAGGGAATTAGGATTCTGAGTCCAAAGGCCAGACGGGCCCAGAAGAGGAGATTCATTCCTTTATCTGAGATTCTCTAAGTGCAATGCTTTACTAAATGAGATATTATAAAGTAACAAATCTATACCAGCTCTCAGTTTTCTGTAGAGATGCTTGCACTAATAATTTAGGTTTCACGGCATGCCCCAATGGATTATCTAAGAAACTGCAAAAACGTTGTGTTTCTGTGACTTTCAAGACTCTAGTTAACGCAGGCCCCTCACATACGGATCCAGAACGCATTCCTCTTAAACTCAGCGCTGGGAAAGGAGAAAGGAAAACTTCTTCTTTCTTGAGGCCATGGTTTAGAGGATCAACACTTTTTTTTTTTTTTTTTTTGAGACCGAGTCTTGCTCTGTCACCCAGGCTGGAGTGCAATGGCGCAATCTAGGCTCACTGCAACATCCACCTCCCAGGTTCAAGCAATTCTCCTGTCTCAGCCTCCCAGGTAGCTGGGATTACAGGCACGTGCCACCACGCCCGGCTAATTTTTCTATTTTTTTAGTAGAGACAGGGTTTCACCATGTTGGCCAGACTGGTCCTGAACGCCTCACCTCGGGTAATCCACCTGCCTCAGCCTTCCAAAGTGCTGGGAATACAGGCGTGAGCCACCACGCCCAGCCGAGGCCCAACACTTCTATAAACTCCAGTCCTTTCTGAGAGTAAGATTTACAAACGAAGAGATAACAGCAGTCCAACTACGGACAATGAGGAGAAATAGTTAACATTTACCAATCGTGACCCAGACATCAGCCTAAGTGCTTTACATGCATTACTTAATTCAGGTTTCCTCATCACCCGACGCAGGAGGCTCTGTTATCCTCTCCATTTTAAGGGTGAGGAAACTGAGGCACAGGGCTGGCTAGTGACATGCCCATGACGTGTCAACTCACTTCTCTTTCTGAGCCCTGAGGTATGGTTTGATGATCAGACGGTGCATGGCAAAGTAGACCACTAGAGGCCCCACGGTGGCATAGAACATGGCGCTGGGCAGAAGCTGGTCCGTCAAGTGAATAGGGAAGAAGTATGTCTGACTGGCCCTGTTGAGCCTGGGGAAAAATACAAAAAAAAAAAAAAAAAAGCCAAGATGAATCAGGTTTTCCAGGGAAGGGCAATGGGGTGTCAGGCACAGGAAGAGAACTTGTGCTGCGTGCAGCTGCGAGTTAAAGGAGCCTGCAGTCTGCTCCTTTCACAGTCCACCACCTTCTGGCCTCCCGTTCCAAAGTCTGGCTGATGGATCTGACACTGTGACAGAAGAAAGATCCCAGTGTCTGCTGACCTCAAGCCAAAGCAACAAGAGGAACACTTCACGGGGTCAACGTCCCCTACAGGTGCATTCAGTCATAGGCTGGAGAGGACAGGAATGGGCTCCTCCAGATGTCACTGGAGAGTCACATCTCAGTTCTTAACTGAGGTTTCCAAAGAAGTTAGTGAAGACTTCAAAAGTTAGTCAGTTAAGGAGGTTCTGCTTCCAGTGGTGGCTGAGTAAAGTAGCTCCTATTGGACCAATGTGTAAACTCTGGACCACATATAAAAAATTTGGCCAGGCGTGGTGGCTCACGCCTGTAATCCCAGTACTTTGGGAGGCTGAGGTGGGCGAATCACCTGAGGTCAGGAATTTGAGACCAGCCTGGCCAACATGGTGAAACTTCATCTCTACCAAAAATACAAAAATTAGCCGGGCGTGGTGGTACCTGTCTGTAGTCCCAGCTACTCGGGAGGCTGAGTGAGGCGGGAGAACGCTTCAACCCAGGAGGCAGATTGTACCACAGCACTCCAGCCTGGTCAACAAGAGGAAAAGGACTGAGGATGCATGGACAGAATCTCAGAAACCCGTGGAAGAGTGTTAAGTTTAATATATTGGTAATTAGAGCCCCAGTGAGGAAAAGGAAATTTACAGATGCAAGAAGTTTAGGAAACCCCAAGCATCATAAATACAACAACAGCCTTATCTATGTACATCACAAACTGCTGAAAAGCCAGAAAAAGAAAACATGCTGAGTAGCCACTGACAATACCTGATCACACTCTTCCAGAATAAAAGCTCTTCCAGAATAAAAGCAATTCCAGAATTGATAAAGAACACTCAAAACTTGGCCAGGCTCAGTGGCTCACGCCTGTAATCCTAGCATTTTGGGAGGCTGAGGCAGGAGGATCGCTTGAGGTCAGGAGTTTGAGACCAGCCTGGCCAACATGGTGAAACCCTGTCTCTACTTAAAATACAAAAATTAGCTGGGTGTGGTGGTGGGCGCCTGTAATCCCAGCTACTCAGGAGGCTGAGGTAGGAGAATTGCTTGAACCTGGGAGGTGGAGGTTGCAGTGAGCCAAATGCACTCCAGTCTGGGGTGCAAGAGCGAAACTCCGTCTCCAAAAAAAAAAAAAATATATATATATATATACACACACACACACACACACACACACAAACAGAGACAGGTTAAATGTGAATGGGTAAAAAAAATAAATAGTAAGCATAAGAAGACTAAAAAAGCTATATAGTAACAGATAAGGTAGACTTCAAGACAAAAATTTTTTTTTTTTTTTGAAGTGACAGGGTCTCACTCTGTCATCTAGGCTGAGGGGCACAATCACAGCTCACTACCACCTTGAGCTCCTGGGCTCAAGTGATCTTCCTGTCTTGGCCTCCCAAAGTGTGCGCGCCACTGTACTGAGCCTTCAAATATTATCTGAGGAGAGATGGCTGACGCCAGCTCTAATCTAGGTAAGTGATTTGGCTTTGTTTCCAAAACTGAGCTGTGATCCACTTTGATTCACTCACTGAGTTCCTCTCAAGTACCACGATGGGTTTTAGGTTCTAGAAGTGCGGGTGAGAATAAAATGGACCAAGTCCAAGAGCTTATGTCTGATGAGGAGTGCAGGAGATGGCCCTTCAGATGGAGACTGGCTCGTTGGAGATTGAACATGGCAAACATGGTGGGGGGGATCACCTGGGGCAAGGGGAAGGGCTACTATGTTATACAAGGTGAATTAGGGGACATTTGAGCAGACAGCAGATACTTACAGGGAGTGAAGGAAATGGCCACGTATTTATCTGCAGACTGAGAAATAGCAAAGGCCACCTCATAAGCAGGAGGGGGCCTGGTGTGTGCCAGGAATAGCTCCAGGGGGTCAGGATGGCTGGGGTTGGGGTAGAGAGGAGTACTACATCACGGAGGGCATTGTAGGCTCCAAAGTCTCTGAAGGGCTTTGGCCTCCGACTGGAATTGAGGGAACCTCTGAGGTTTTAGGCAGAAGACAGACGTGAACTGCCTTCAATTTTAAAAAGGACTCTCCTACGGAAAGCAGACACACAAGGAGGGAGACAGGTTCCGTGGGGAGGGTGCTGTGTAACTAAGACAAAGATGCTGGCCGCAGTGAGGTTGAGAAATGGCGAGACTGGGGATACAATTTTGGAGTACATGTTCAGGAGATGATTTTGAGATATGTATGATTTGGAGTGTGGGAGAGAAAGAGATCGAGGCTGACTCCAAGGTTTTTGGACAGAGCAAGTAGAAGGCCAGAGCTCTCATTTACTGAGATAGGAAAGGAGGCTGGGCGCTGTGGCTCACACCTGTAATCCTAACACTTTAGGAGGCCGAAGCGGGAGAACTACTTGAAGCCAGGAGTTCAAAACCAACCTGGGCAACCAAGTGAGACCCTGTCTCTATAAAAATAAAATAAAAAAAGAGAGAGAGATGGGAAAGACTTCGGGCAGAGCAGGTTCTGAAGGTTCTTCGTTTCTGGGGGCACAGGGAGGGATCGAGTTCTGTTTGGATACGTGACATCTGAGATGCTGTTAGGTATCCAAGTAGAGATTAGGAAGAGAAAGCTGGACAAATATATGAGCTGGAGATTGAGGGGGTGGTCCAAGCTGGCACTTGCAACGTGAGTCCTCAGGGCATGAGAGCCATGAGGCTGGACATGACTGCTTGGGAGTGAGTCGAGAGAGAAGGGCTGTGCCCTGCAGTGGTGCCTCCATTTAGGGGTTTGGGAGACAGCAGCCATCTGGTACGGAAAGCCAGAGCAGGGCGTGGTATCCTGGAAACTCAGGGCAGAGAGGCTGTAAGGGCAGGAGGGAACGGCCACCGCGACAGCAGGTGCAGAGACCAAATGAGATGAAGAAGAATCACCCTCTGATCTGCCACAGGAGGGAGGGTGCCCCACTGATGAGGTGAGAAAGGCTGATTCTGGAGAGGGCTGGTTTTGCTGGAGAGGCCTGACTGGAGCACGTTTAGAAAGAAAGAAGACGGATGCAAGCGAAAACAGACATTTTTTTTTTTTTTTTTGAGTGGAGTCTCGCTCTGATGCCCAGGCTGGAGTGCAGTGGCGCCATCTCGACTCACTGCAAGCTCTGCCTCCCGGGTTCACACCATTCTCCTGCCTCAGCCTCCCAAGTAGCAGAGACTACAGGCGCCCGCCACCACGCCCGGTTAATTTTTTGTATTTTTAGTAGAGACGGGGTTTCACCGTGTTAGCCAGGATGGTCTCAATCTCCTGACCTCGTGATCTGCCCGCCTTGGCCTCCCAAAGTGCTGGGATTACAGGTGTGAGCCACAGTGCCCGGCCAAAACCAGACAACTCTTTTGAGGAACTAAGGAGAGGACAGTGACTAGACTCAGGTGGAGCAAGGGTATGTGTGCCAATGGAAACCCCTGGTGAGAGGGATGAACCGATATGGCAGCTGCTACTGGAGATGCTGTGCCCGGGGGATAGCTGCCAGGCCAGTGACTCCAGGAGGACTGGGCTGCTAGGATGCATCCTGTGACATCAGGCGAGGCTGCTGGAGCTCAGACGTACACCTCACTCACTCGGTGTTGGAACTATGCACTGCTTGACATTTGCTTACTCAGCAAAGACACAAGCAACTGTATTTTTTTTTTGAGATGGAGTCTCACTCTGTCACCCGGGCTGGAGTGCAATGGAGCGATCCTGGCTCACTGCAAGCTCCGCCTCCTGGGTTCAAGCGATTCTCCTGCCTCAGCCTCCCGAGTACCTGGGACTACAGGCACCCGCCACCACCCCTGGCTAATTTTTTGTATTTTTAGTAGAGATGGGGTTTCACCATGTTAGCCAGGATGGTCTCGATCTCCTGACCTCGTGATCCACGGCACCTGGCTGAATTTTTTTTTTTATATTTTTTGAGACGGAGTCTCACTGTCCTCCAGGCTGGAGTGCAGTGGCACGATCTCCATCTCAGCTCACTGCAACCTCCGCCTTCGGGTTCAAGCAATTCTCCTGCCTCGGCCTCCCAAATAGCTGGGATTATAGGCGTGTGCCACCACGTCTGGCTAATTTTTGTATTTTCAGTAGAGATGGGGTTTCACCACGTTGGCCAGGCTGGTCTCAAACTCCTGACCTCAGGCGATCCGGCCGCCTTGGCCTCCTAAAGTGCTGGGATTACAGGCATAAGCCACTGCACCTAGCCAAGCAACTGTGTCTTTAAGAACAAAATTACAATGCAAAGGCTATTTCAGCCTTAACTTGGGTAAAGCCTGGTTGAGTGAAGGTGACAGGCATTCCTTGACCCGAAAGGCCTAAGTTCAACTTACTTGACTTTGAGAGAAACACCCTGTGGAACTCCAACGCTGACAGCTGCACCCAAAACGCTGTGCCTGGAGATCTTCCTCTCAGCTCCGTACTCCACCACCGTCCCAAAGAAGCCTGCTCTGCAGGGAGAGAACGCGGTCTGTGCCTGTGCCCCTCATTCATCACTTCAGGGGCAGCTGTCATTTGAGAAGAGGCCAGGTACCTTCCCTTCCCTCCCTCCAGCCTCCTCGACCCCCAGGGAGCAGATTCATGACAGAAGAAAGTTGGGACACCCATGGTCTAGTTCTTCCACAACACTCTCTAAGCTCCTCAAGGGCTGGGACTGTAGTGTTAAATCCCCCACAGCCTCAAAATAGGAAGCTCTCCAAAAATGTCACACACACGTAGATATTCACACGAGCAAGGTGTCTTACACCAACTGGTTCCACTGTGAAGACCCGCATGCAGTACCAGTGTGCTTCCATTTTAGCCAGGCCAGGACTTACTTGAGGGATCCTTTCACACGAGTCTGATCGTCATCTTGGAATTTGTGCTGATAGCTGATCAGTGCAAAGGAGTGAGGGATTCCCAGCTGGGGAGACAGAGGGTGCAAGGATGCGTGGCTAGGGCGTGTGACTCTGTGGGGAGATGGGTATCTGCCCTCCCACTAGCTCTGGGCATCTGCTGCACACAGGCCTTTAAGGCAGGGGTCACGGTCTGGCAGCCGCAGTGAGTGCACCATGATTTATTAGCAGCCAGTAATTAAAAAGTGGGAGACTTCACTGAAAACCCAGTTTTCTAGCTTCTCACAAGAAATAAAAAACTCTGGTGACACTGAGCCTATGCTCCTAGGTGGCAGCGGCTGGTGAGAGCCAAGGAGCAGTGGCCCGTGTGGGGCTTCTCATGTACCAGCCCTGGTGTGGCCACAGGGGCGTCCGAGGGCATGATTCTGCTATGGGGCTTCATCTGCCCGCCCCCAATTCCGTGGGTGGCTCCCACCAGACATTAAGATGTTGTTCTGCTTTAAGATGATCCAACAAAGCTGCCCCAGGCGCCTGAAGGCAACTGCATTTCATACTCGAAGGTTCCACCAGGTCACTCGAGTGTGAGCACCGAGAGCCTGCCCCTCAGGGCCCTGTATGGGCTTAGACTTAGTGGTGATCAGGACGCAGGATTTAAGGGGAGCACTGAGTGCTTGGGAGGAGGGGTCCTCCCAGAGCTCTGTCTGCAGGAGATGATGGCTGCTCGGCTCACCTGCAGGGCCACAGTGAAGTGGCTGGTTTTAGTGTCTCGGACGATGCTAGTGTTCATGGCTGACTGGATACCCCATCGCCACTGCAGGTAGCCCACGGTGTTCTTGTCTAGGTTCCGAGCTAGGACAGTGGTCAGGCCGGGTCGGATTCCACGGGATGAAAACTGCAGAGCACAGTTTGTTGTCACAAAGCTGGAGAGACACAGAGACAGAATAGGTCCTGGATAGCACCTGCTCTCAGCTGTTCTGTTACTTCCTCTCTGCCTGGCTAAGACCTCACTTACTGTCACGTCTATGCATCCCTGGGCCAGCTCCCAGTAAAAAAAAAAGCAGGAGGTCAGGCCTCTATCCACACAGAGGGGGAGGGTCCTAGCCAGAATCTTCCTAGTAACCTCCCGACTCCCCTCAGCCGCCCTAACTTTAGCTACAACCAAATAGGCACCTGACTGTCTGCATTCCTATGCCAGCAGATGCAACCCCACTCAAGTTAGAATGGATGGGGGCCGAGGAGTGCAAGTCAGAATCACCAACGGAGGGTCTCATATTAAGCAGTCCAAGACAGTGGTGCTCATACTGCACGCTGGAATCACCTGGCTCATCCACAAATCACGGCTGGTGGCTTCTTCGCCGGCATGCTGATTCCTTCAGTGTGGGCTTGGAGTGCTAAGTGTCCCAATGATTCCAATGTGCAGTAGAGTTTGAGAATCACTTACCTAGAGGACACCCCAGACCTATGGAACCAGAATTTCTGGGTGGAGGCATCAGTATATTTTTGGAGCTGCTGTGTGATTTCTGATGTACTAGTGACCACAGCTGGGTACTAGTGACAGAAACTACAGGCAAAGCGAGCACAGGAAACCGGTTCCCGAAAAGAGCCTCTGCAGTTTCTTTCCAAGGGAGTCCAGCCCCATCTTCTGGTTGAAAAGAGGTATTTCATTTTACTAACAGAAATTCACACTTCATTCAAGGTGCTGAAGGGTAAACTAACAGCTGGTTTCTTTAATAAAGAGCTCCACATCAATTGCCTAAGTTTCTTTCTCTCCTTTCTAAGCTCTGGAGGTGATGTTTATGCCATTAAAATAACAGTAGGCAGGCTCATTGGCTCACACCTGTAACCCCAGCACTTTGGGAGGCTGAGGAGGCAAATTGCTTCACCCCAGGAGTTCAAGGACAGCCTGGACAACATGACAAAACCCCCATCTCTACAAAAAAGACACAAAATTAGCCAGGTGTAGCGGCACGCCCTGTAGTCTCAGCGACTGAGGAGGAAGGAGCACTTGAGCCTGGACAGGTCTTTTTTTTTTTTTTTTTTTTTTGACGGAGTTTCGCTCGTCCAGGCTGGAGTGCAGTAGCGTGATCTTCTCAGCTCACTGCAACCTCCGCCTCCTGGATTCAAGTGATTCTCCTGCCTCAGCTTCCTGGGTAGCTGGGACTACAGGCGCCCACCACCATGTCCGGTTAATATTTTGTATTTTTAGTAGAGATGGGGTTTCACCATGTTGGCCAGACTGGTCTCGAATTCCTGCCCCCAGGTGATCCACCTGCCTCAGCCTCCCAAAGTGCTGGGATTATAGGCACGAGCCACTGTGCCCAGCCAACAGGTCGATATTTTTGATTTAAGATGGCTTATTCGGCCGTAACTCCATCGTAAATCAAGGAACATCTGCAACTTGATCCAAGGATTAGAGGACCGTGGTTAGCAGACATCCATAACTAACCTGGCCACTATATATTAAGAAACTGGGCTAGTAGGCCGGGCGCGGTGGCTCACGCCTGTAATCCCAGCACTTTGGGAAGCCGAGGTGGGTGGATCACAAGGTCAAGTGATTGAGACCATCCTGGCCAACATGGTGAAACCCCGTCTCTAGTAAAAATACAAAAATTAGCTAGGCGTGGTGGCATGTGCCTGTAGTTCCAGTTACTTGGGAGGCTGAGGCAGAATAGCTTGAACCTGGGAGGTGGAGGTTGCAGTGAGCCAAGACTGCGCCACTGCACTCCAGCCTGGTGACAGAGCAAGACTCCGTCTCAAACACAAAACAAAACAAACAAAAAAAAGAAGCTGGCATCCTTGGTCACACATCACCCCCTTGTTTATAAATCAGTTGTCCTTCCGTTTAAATCTGCTCAAGTCTAATAAGCTCTGAGTAGTAAAACTAAATTCAATTTCCAAACCTGTAAATGCTGATGATCAGTCCACCCCAAACTCTTGGTGACCACTCAATGAATAGACACTGAGGCTCAACCAGAACAAAACGGCCAAAAGATTTTGCTTAATGAAGTGTCTCCCAAGCTTGTGTGACCTTAAGAATCACCTGGGGCGCTTGAAACACCTAGATTCCCAGTCCCCTCCCTCATAAGACCCAAAGCAGCTTTTTTTCTTTTTTTTGAGACAGAGTCTCGGCTCTGTCGCCCAGGCTGGAGTGCAGTGGCACGATCTTGGCTCACTGCAACCTCTGCCTCCCGGGTTCAGGCAATTCTCCTGCCTCAGCCTCCCAAGTAGCTGGAATTACAGGTGCCCACCACCACGCCTGGCTAATTTTTGTATTTTTAGTAGAGACAGGGTTTCACCATGTTGGCCAGGCTTGTCTTGAACTCCTGACCTCAGGCGACCCGCCTGCCTTGGCCTCCCAAAGTGTTGGGATTACAGGCATGAGCCACCGCACCTGACCAGCATTTCTTTTTTCTTTTGAGAGAGGGTCTTGCTCTGTCACCTAGGCTGAAGTGCAGTGGTGTCATCATGGCTCACTGCAGCCTCGACCTCCTGGCCTCAAGCGATCCTCCCACCTCAGCATCCCAAGTAGCTGGGATTACAGGTGTGTGCTACCACACCTGGTTAATTTTTATATTTTTTGTAGAGTCAAGGTTTTGCCATGTTGCCTAGGCTGGTCTCAAACTCCTGAGCTCAAGTGATCGTCTCACCTGGCCTCCTAAAGTGCTGGGATTACAAGCATGAGCCACCACACCCTGCCCCCGAGGCGGCTTTTAACCAGCATCTGGGGTGACCAATCTAAGTAGACAGGGTCAGGACAACACTGATGTGTATACAGATGCTGTTTCCCTGCTGTTCTCTTCTAAGTATGAATCCCGGTCCCCTTTGCAGACCCAGTAGGTGAATCCAATTACGTAGAGCAGGGGACTGTGGAGCTGTGTTGTGAGCAGCACCCAGGTGATGCCCCATGGCAGCATGTCCCACATTCCTTCCATCTTTTAAAAAAAATTTTTCTCGGTGGCAGTCTTGCTCTGTCGCCTAGGCTGGGGTACAGTGGTGCAATCTCAGCTCATTGCAGCCTCAACCTCCCGGGTTCAAGCAATCCTCCCACCTTGGCCTCCCAAAGCCCTGGGATTGCAGGTGTGAGTCACATCGGCTCCTTTTCCTCTTCTTGTGTCTGGAAGCACTGCTTTTTTTTTTTTGAGACAGAGTCGCCCAGGCTGGAGTGCAGTGGCGCGATCTCGGCTCACTGCAAGCTCCGCCTCCTGGGTTCACGCCATTCTCCTGCCTCAGCCTCCCGAGTAGCTGGGACTAAAGGCGCCCGCCACCGCTCCCGGCTAATTCTTTGCATTTTTAGTAGAGACAGAGTTTCACCGTGTTAGCCAGGATGGTCTCGATCTCCTGATCTCGTGATCCACCCGCCTCGGCCTCCTAAAGTGCTGGGATTAGAGGCATGAGCCACCGTGCTCAGCCAGGAAGCACTGCTTTGGTGCCTAAGCGGCCTCCGCCTGCCCCACAGGCCACGTCCTCCTGTTTCGCAGGCTCTCTCCCAACTTCTCCTGCTCTCCCTACAACAGGCTGACCTGCAAGCCTGCCTGTGTTCTCTGCCCCATGCCCCACAGACAAACGACCAGACTAGTGGGCAGGGATTAGGTCAACCCCTGCAGAGCGTGGCAGGCACACAGATACATGTCTCATTGGAAGTGTAATAACTAACTTTTTTTTTTTTTTTGAGACAGTCTTGCTCTGCTGCTTAGGCTGGAGTACAGTGGTGTGATCTTGGATCATTGCAACCTCCGCCTCCTGGGTTCAAGAGATCCTCCCACCTCAGCCTCCCAAGTAGCTGGGACTACAGGCAAGCGCCACCATGCCTGGTTAATTTTTATATTTTTAGTAGAGGGGGTTTCGCCATGTTGGCCAGGCTGGTCTCGAACTCCTGTACATGTTTGTACATGTTTGTACAGCCTACAATACATGTTTGATAAGAAAGTTATTCATGCCACTGTGCCTGGGCACAGTGGCTCACACCTGTAATGCCAGCACTTTGGGAGGCCAAGGTGGGAGGATCACCTGAGGTCAGGAGTTAAGAGACCAGCCTGGCCAACAAGGAGAAACCCCAACTCTACAAAAATTAGTCAGGCATGGTGGTGCACACCTGTAGTCCCAGCTACTCAGGAGGGTCACCTGAGCCTGGGAGGTTGAGGGTGCAGTGAGCCAAGATTGCATCACTATTCTCCAGCCGGGGTGACAAAGTGAGACCTGTCTCAAAACAAAAAACATATACTCCAGGCTTGCTGAAGTGGCTCATGCTTCTAATCTCAGTGCTTTGGGAGGCCAAGGTGGGAGGACTGCTTGAATCCAGGAGCTTGAGACCAGCCTAGGCAACATAGAGATAACTTATCCCTAAAAAAAACTAAACAATGAGCCAGGCATGTTGGCACACGCCTGTAGTCCTAGTTTTTCGGGAGGCTGAGGGAGGAGGACTGCTTGACCCCAGGAGTTCAAGGCTGCAGTGGACTATGATCGGACTATTGCACTCTAGCCTAGGCAACAGAACAAAACCTCGTCTCTAACAAAAATAAAGTAAAATAAAATAGGCCAGGCGTGGTGGCTCACGCCTGTAATCTCACCACTTTGGGAGGCCGAGGCAGGTGGATCACCTGAGGTCAGGAGTTCGAGACCAGCCTGACCAACATGGTGAAACCCCATCTCTATTAAAAATACAAAAATAGCTGGGTGTGGTGGCACACGCCTGTAGTCCCAGCTACTCGGAAGGTTGAGACAGGAGAATAGCTTGAACCCAGGAGGCAGAGGCTGCAGTGAGCCGAGATCACACCACCGCACTCCAGGCTGGGCAAGACAGAGCAAGACCCTGTCTCCAAAATAAATAAATAAATAAAATAAACTCCATGTGCTCCATTCTAGGACTCCTTCAGCTATATCTTCCTCTGGAAGAAAGAGGTATTATTTACCCTCCACCAATTCTTTTATCTGAGCTCACACAGACATCACTGCACCCACCATATAGGAAATGAAGACACTGCTGTCGTTCTAGAAGGGACAGGGATATACAGTTCTAGGAGTGTGACATGGCAGCAGCAGAGACGACAGGAAGCAGAGGCTGGCTGGGGACTACATCTCTGGCATATGTCAATCAACCCGATGATGAGGCAGTCTGTCATTCTCTGGGACAATGGAACGATCCATAAGTCTGTAAGTGTTTCGGTCCACTGACCAACTCTCCCTGAAGGCACTCTTTCTCCGTGGCCTTGTGGCATAGGTAAGGGAGGTGCGAGACCTGGATGGTGCAGCCTGGCCAGGGCTGGGACAAGGGTCCGGCCCCCTCAATCCTGCCTCTTCCCACCTGCACACTGCCTGGGCTTCACGCCAGTGCTATACCTGCCCTTGATGTACGCAGTGACCTTGTAGGACAGACAAGATAGTGCCAACCACTGTGATAAAAAGAACACACAGTTCTAGTCTCCTAAGCCAACAAAGACCACCAAAGAGGAGCTGCTGTCTCTCATATTTACCATCTTGGTGTGAGATTACGGAACAGCTTGAGACCGAACAAAGGCCCCTGTAGGTCTCCAGCTCCAAATTCCAACTGTTTGAAAAGGAAAAAGAGAAGGCATTAATGGTGTTTTATCTCATAGCAGCAACCCAGGCTCAGGTATGTACCTCTAGGTATAATTCCTTCATTCAATTCACTGGTCTTGCCAGGGCTCTAAAAGAAGGGGGTGGAAGATTGTTAATGTCTCATCTTAACCTTTGCCAAATGGAGCTGTCTGCTGCCACAGATCCAAAGGAGACCCAGGCTTCAAAGGCACATGTTTCATTGGTGTCCCTCCAAAGAAAAAACTGCTCCCCTCTGTTCCTTGCCTCCCAGGCTGAGGTCAGGAGACCAGCTGGCTCCCCCTACCCCTCCCGGCGCAGCCCCCCGCCACCTGCAGAGCACCGACTGCGGTCCGGTGTGCCCCCCACCCCCGCATGCACTGCCGACTCCTTTTCATTTTCATCCTGCGCCAAATGTCTCCCAGGTCACTGGGGCGGTCCTCAGGAGCCTGATGTTAAAGCCCAGCCGCGGTTCCACACCCGCACAGCCTTGGAAGTCACAGCTGAGCCTGGCTGCCGTGTTTACTAGTCTGGGTGACTTTCAAGCAACTCTTCAATGTTAATTTGATGCAGCTCAATTTGCTCGGCAGAACTGGCTGTTAAATGGCCACCAATCAGTGAACCATCACGCGGAAGAGAGCACCTGCCTTCTGAATTGTGCAGGAAAAAGAGCCCACAGGCTTTTTGCTCAAAGGGAACAAACACACGGAGTTTCAGAGGCTGGATTTCTAGAAGTTGGCATCTCATAGGAAACCTTGTTTTTCTATGCCAATTTTAAACTGTGAGGAAGACTGACAGGACTTCTCAGATATGAGACCTATTTATTTATTTATTTTTGAGACGGAATTTTGCTCTTGTCCCCCAGACTGGAGTGCAACGGCGCGATCTTGACTCGCTGCAACCTCTGCCTCCTGGGTTCATGTGATTCTCGTGATTCTCCTGCCTCAGCCTCCCAAGTAGCTGGGATTACAGGCAGGTGCCACCATGCCCAGCTAAGTTTTGTATTTTTAGTAGAGACGGGGTTTCACCATGTTGGCCAGGCTCATGAGACCTATTTTTCTTTTAGGACCAGTCAACTTATGGAAGCTTGACACTTGGTACCGTTCTTACACAACAACGGGGCCCCCAGGGTGAGTTTGAGGGTGAGCTTTGAGAGTGTAAATGTTCAGAAATAAGGCTTTGCACAGACAACACAACTCAGCCAATAGACATTCTTACCTCTCCCCATCCCTTTGCCGAAGTTACTCGTCTGAGCGCAAAGTTAATGGAACCTCCTCCATTTCCATTCTGGGTTGAGAGGCTTCCAGAGAGGATGGCTGTGTCTGTCGCTGTCAAGGGTGCCTAAAAATGGTATTTGCTGGTAATGAATGAATCAAAACAACAGGAAGTGCCAATGGCAGCAGCCTAAAGAACGCACTGTGAGCCCAAGGCCAAAGGTGCAGACGATTCCTCTGTTCAGAAGCACACATGGATGCAGAACTGCCGCAACAGCTTCACTTTTCTTCCGCTTTGTTATTTGGTCTGCATGTGACCACGAGGGTAATATGCTTTGCAAAAGCTTTAATGGGCACATTTCACAACACCAGGGGAAACATGGGGCTGCATGTCCCAATGGTATCAGATAGCACAGTGACTTCACTGTGTGCCTTCCCTCTGTGGTTTGCCATCAGGGTTCCAGGGGGACTGAAGACCTTCCCATGGCTGTATTCTGTATCAACTGACTCAGGGAGCTCCAAGAGGGGGCAAATTTCCCCAAGTTAGGACTCCACGTTGTTGGCTGATGCAATGGAGAATAAATTAATGAGCTGAGGAGACAAAGACCTACTATAAACGCTCAGGAGAATGACCTGACCTCGTCACATCCAAATAGTGGGCAGAATGGTGACATTTTCGCGTGCCCAGGGCTCAGGATGAGAGCTGCTATAGCCTTGCGGCACCTAGCAGAATTTGCCTTAAAACTAAAACTGGTTGTTAGAATGATCCATGGAGGTCTGCTTTCTCTCCCAGAACCCCATGACCTTGGGCCTCTACTTCTCCCAGACCATTAACACCCTCTGCTGGAAAGGCCCAAGACCTTGGGAGCCAAGTGCCCCAGCCCACACTCCTGCTGGCTCACATGCCAGCACAGCGGTAACACACGGCTGGGAATGAAGCGCTTTCTTTTTTAAGTGGCTAATTGCATCCTTTCATAAATAAAGATGAGAAAAACCCTGGGCAGACTCTCATTCCAGCTGCTTGGTGTGCTGTGCCTCATTAACTCGAGCCCTTGCTGTACTCGGAGAGGTGGTTGTGTGCTTTACCTCAATGGACTGGGATATGTGCATTTTATTAATTTCAATCTGCGGAAAGCTACTGCCGGACACATCTTCATACTCCTCATCATAGCGATCAAAAAGGTCGGTGGCATCTACTCCAACGCTGATCGTTCCCTGGGGCAGAAAAACAAGCCGTCAGCAGAACGGGTGGTATTTGTGGAATGAAAGACAATGCTACACTTCAACAGCCAGCTCGCTTTAATTGAACAAGTCATTTGACTTCAGGGTTCACTGGGTTTAGGTAGGACACTCCACCAGGAAGCCCACAAAGCATGAATGTCACAGTCCGAACCAAACTGCAGAGCACCACAGACGTCCAGAGCTAGAAAACATCATTTGACCAGGAGAGCCGGTCCGCATGTCTGCAGAGCAATGACACGCCAAAGACAAAAGTGTTAGTCAAAGGAGTAAGAGCTAGACAGTTTGATTTTCAGAGACCAAACAGGACCCAAGAATGCACAAAACCACCTAGAAATGAGCTACATGGATTAAACATTTTTTGGTAAACAACCTTATACCACAAAACTACCCTAAAACTCTTTAAATAAAAATACCTTCAAAGATAAAGCAGCACAAATTATGAACAAATGGGAGACTTTAAAATTAATCCACCTTCTCAAATTAATGAGAATTAAGTTTGAGAAACAGAACACTGTATTTGCTCAAGGAATTCTAAGCTAAAATTTTGCTGATAAAAATGCTTGTTACTCAGAAAATCAATGTTTATTATTCTTTGATAGTCACAACTTTAAAAACGGACATTATCTTAATCCAGTATATAAAACCATGGCCACACACATTTTTTTAACTAAACTTTTTGCAGCCCATTGAAACAATGTTTTTTTGCTAGCTTTTCTTTTTTTTTTTTTTTTGAGATGGAGTCTCGCTCTGTCACCAGGCAACATTAGCCATTAGTCCAGTGCAGTGCAGTGGCACGATCTTGGCTCACTGCAACCTCCGCCTCCTGGGTTCAAGCGATTCTCCTGCCTTAGTCTCCCGAGTAGCTGGGACTACAGGCGCACGCCACCATGCCCAGTTAATTTTTGTATTTTTAGTAGAGACAGGGTTTCACCATGTTGACCAGGATGGTCTCGATCTCTTGACCTCATGATCCACTCGCCTCGGCCTCCCAAAGTGCTGAGATTACAGGTGTGAGCCACCGCGCCCAGCTGGTGCTAGCTTTCTATCAGATGCTTCAATCTGAAAATGCATTAACCCTAATAATTACTTGATTTCTGTTGAGGGTGAAACACCTGACATTATGAATGCTACTATAAACTCAATCAAAAAGTTCCACATTAAAGGTAAACGTGTTTGTTTTTGCGGTGATATTCAAATACCAACTTGGAGGCAGTATAGTGTTATGGTAAAAAATTTTCTTATTAAATCAAGAAACCCATGGACTAGAAACATCCTTAGAATTAGTTGTAGTGATACGCATAATGCATAATTGTGTCAAAACAAGCTGTGGTATTCTACCCATGGAAAATGAAGTTGTAGTTGCCAAAATTTACAAATTTTTTATATTCACAGAGTAACAGCATGAACACATCTCTGTCATGATGATGATTCTGAATAATCAACAAAACTGCATGGCAGTATATGAACAATCTGTGGCCAGGTGTGGTGGCTAATACCCGTAATCCCAACACTTTGGGAGGCTGAGGGAGTGGGATCACCTGAGGTCAGGAGTTCGAGACCAGCCTGGCCAACGTGGTAGAAACCCTGTTGCTACTAAAAATACAAAAATTAGCCAGGTACACGTCCCAGCTACTCTAGAGGCTGAGGCAGGAGAACTGCTTGAACCTGAAAGGTGGAGGTTTCAGTGAGCCAAGATTGCGCCACTGCACTCCAGCATGGGTGACAGAGCAAGACTCTGTCTCAAAAACAAGAACAGGCCGGGTGTGGTGGCTCATGCCTGTAATCCCAGCACTTTGGGAGGCCGAGGCAGGCGGCTCACGAAGTCAGGAGTTTGAGACCAACATGACCAACATGGTGAAACCCCATCTCTACTAAAAATACAAAAATTAGCCGGGCGTGGTGGTGCGCACCTATAATCCCAGCTCCTCAGGAGGCTGAGGCAGGAGAATTGCTTCAACTTGTGAGGCAGAGGTTGCAGTGAGCCAAGATTGTGCCACTGCACTCCAGCCTGGGCAACAGAACAAGACTCCGTCTAAAAAAAAAAAAAAAAAAAAAATTACAATCACTGAAAATAAAGCTTGTAATGAAAAATAATCTGAAGCTGATCTTTTTAGGGGGAAAAAAACCATACAAAATAAATAAGAGTTTATGAGATATAATGAGATACAATTTTGAAATTCCATAACGGCATTTTGGAGTATCTTTATTTTGTGTAGGAATCTTGGTGGAGCTGTCATGTTTAATTAGGTAAATTTATATTCTGTTCAAGAATGAAATGGAATTGAAAAGGTCTACAGTTTTATAGCATCTAAATTTGATAAAACATTCAAAAGATCATAAATAAAGATGATTTAGAAAAATGTGTCAAAGAAAACTGTTGTGAATAAAGTTAAAAAGACAATACCTGTCAAAATACTTGGGCCAAGATATTTTTATGTTCTAATATGAAGAAATTTAGAATTGAGAGAATATTTTCTAAATTAAAAATATGATATACAGAGATGAATCAATTAAATGTGTCAAAAATTTCAGCTGAGTGCTGTGGCTCACTCCTGCAATCCCAGTACTTTGGGAGGCTGAGGTGGAGGGATTGCTTGAGCCCAGGAGTTCGAGACCAGCCTAGGCAACATGTTGAGACTCTGTCTCCACAAAAAAAACTAAAACCAAAAAAAAAAAAAAAAAGTTTAGCTGGGAGTGGTGGTATCCGCCTGTGGTCCCAGTCACCTAGGAGACTGGGAGGATTCCACTGGGAGGTGGGAGGATTCCTTGAGCCCAGGAGGCCAAGGCTGCAGTGAGCTGTGACTGTATCACTGCACTCTAGCCTGGGTGATAGTATGAGACCCTATCTCAAAGTAAAATATAACTTGCTAAATATAAATGCAACTTTCATAAAGATGGTAGGCAATGTTATAAAAGAAAAAGACACAGGAAATACACTCTTCAAAAAATAGTGTGACACACTGTGGAAGTCAGATCAAAGGCCTCCTAAGGAACCATGCCTGCGGGTACTCACACCCTTGTACAGAGCCCTCTCCTTGATCCTGAACCTCTCAGGTTCACAAAAGCAACTCTCAGACTTGCTTTTGTCCAACAGAATGCGTGGATGTGATGGTGCTGACTTCAAGACCAGCTCACGAGAAGCCTTGCAGCTTGGCCCAGGTCTCTAAAATGCACTATCTGGGGGACACTAGCTAATACGTATTAAGTCCAACTACCCAGAGACTGCTGTTGGCAAGGAAGCCTGAGCTGGCCCGGGGAGAGGTTGCCTAGAGAGACAGCGATGCCAGCCACCTCCGCTGAGGTGTGTGAGACATGAATGCAGAAGCCACTGCTGACATGCAGACCAGCCAGCCTTCTGAGGATGAGACCCAGCTGCCATCTGACTGCAACCCCTGTGAGCACCATCCCATCACAGTCAAGTCCCAGCCAATCCACAGAACTGTGAGACAGTATGGAATTATTGTTGGAAGCCACCAAGTTTGGAAATGGTTATACAGCAGCACATAATCAGACCACTGATACTGGAGATAGACAGGGTTGGTGAACAGACTAAAGTCTGTAGATACATGCCCCAAATAATGATTCCTACTCTTTTTGAGATGGAGTCTTGCTCTGTCGCCTGGGCTGGAGTGCAGTGGCACGATCTCGGCTCGCTGCAAGCTCTGCCTCCTGGGTTCACGCCATTCTCCTGCCTCAGCCTCCCGAGTAGCTGGGACTACAGGCGCCTGCCACCACGCCCGGCTAATTTTTTTGTATTTTTAGTAGAGACGGGGTTTCACCGTGTTAGCCAGGATGGTCTCGATCTCCTGACCTCGTGATCTGCCCACCTTGGCCTCCCAAAGTGCTGGGATTACAGGCGTGAGCCCCCATGCCCAGCCAGACTCTGGGATTTAAAGATAACCAAGTGAAAATAGGTTTATCAGCTAACTTATGTTTCAAATCCTGTGTTGTCATTTCAACAGTGATCACAGAATCTTCACCAGGACTAGGTTCCATCTCAAGAAACCACCATTTCTGTGCATCGATACTCCTCATCTGCTCCAGCTTGATCGTGAGATTGCAGCAATGGAGTGACACCTTCAGACGGGATCTGGGGACTGAGGGCTCCGGGATGCCACTGAGATCAGAATGAGTGACACAATACCTGAAGCGTCTAATGAAACTGGGAGGAACGTTTCAGCTCTGACAAGAGAGTCTGGAGATGACTTTGTGACAGATTTACAGAAAACTAATCAAAGGAAACGAATGAGACAATTACTAATAACACAGAGGAAAAAGTGTTAAGAAAGGCTAGGTAATCCTGGTATATGATCTGGGTCAACTGAGTAATTATATGGTCACCGCAATGTATATAGTGAATATTAATGTAATCCAATTATAATTACACTGGGTAGACTGAAAACTGAAGAAACTGAGAGAACCATGTAAACATGACAGAAGAAACAGCTCCAAGAGCTGGGAGTGGCTGCCTTAAGGGAACAGGAGTCAGGAGTAGAAAGCGGGGAGCGGCAGGGCTTTTCTTTATAAGTCTAGTAAATACCTGACTTTTGAACCTTGTACACATATTACTCTGACAAAAAAAATTGAAAAAAAAAATTCCCCATATCTTAAGGACTTCCAAACAAAAAGCTATCTAAAAACTTACTTTATAGAGAAATTCTTTATAGGCCTATTTTTAAATTAGTAGAGTTCTTGTGTCCGTAAACCTCAGCTGCTTCTCCCTTGGGAGGAACCAACATAACCATATGACATCAATACTCACAGGCCAACTGCTGCCCCCCTGGCCAGCAGATGTCATCAATGGCCCCTATAATTCCTGATCCAAGTTAATACAGCCCAGATAGGAGCAATGCCTGCCGGCCCTGGGTCTAGTCCTGCACTGGCTCTGCAAATAGTCTGTAAGACTTAGTTTTTATTTAAATTACATACACATCCCACCCACTGCTACCTGTTGGAAGACAGAGGTCCTCATCACATTGTGTTCATGACTAGACAGTGGATCAAAGCAGTTTCCATGAGTCCCCAGCAGCCCAACTTGCTCAATGTTCCTTATATTAACCCCAAATCATCTCCCAGTAACACTGACTTGTTGCTATTGGTTCTTGTCTCTTGAACCATCACACATTAAGCCTGGTCCCTATTTCACATTGGGGAAATGGAATGTCTTCAACTCCTACTAATGTCTTCAACTCCTACTAATGTCTTCTCTCATCGTTCCAGACACACTGGCCTCTTTGCTGTTCCTTGAACATACCAGATTCACCTCTCCATTTTGGCCTCTGCGTTGGCTCTGCCCTCTATCTGCAACACTCTTCACCAGATGGCCACGTGGCTAACTTTGTCATCTGCTTCCCATCCTTCCTCCAGTGGCACCTTTTCAGTGAAGCCTGACTACTCTAATTAAAACTGCAGGCTGGGCATGGTGGCTCACACCTGTAATCACAGCGCTCTGGGAGGCCGCGGCGGGTGGATCACCTGAGGTCAGGAGTTTGAGACCAGCCTGGCCAATATAGTAAAACCTCGTCTCTACTAAAAACACAAAAACATGAGCCGGGCATGGTGGCATGCACCTGTAGTCCCAGCTACTCGGAGGCTGAGGCAGAAGAATTGCTTGAATCCAGGAGGTGGAGGTTACACTGAGCCAGGACAGTGCCACTGCACTCCAGCCAGGGCAACAAGAGTGAAACTCTGTCTCAAAAACAATACCAAGGCCGGGCACGGTGGCTCACGCCTGTAATCCCAGCACTTTGGGAGGCTGAGGCGGGCAGATCACGAGGTCAGGAGATCGAAACCATCCTGGCTAACAAGGTGAAACCCCGCCTCTACTAAAAATACAAAAATTAGCTGGGCGTGGTGGCAGGCGCCTGGAGTTCCAGCTACTCGGGAGGCTGAGGCAGGAGAATGGCATGAACCCGGGAGGCGGAGCTTGCAGTGAGCCGAGATTGCGCCACTGCACTCCAGCCTGGGCAACAGAGCAAGACTCTGTCTCAAAAACAAAAAAAAAAACCAAAATCAAAACAAAAAAACTGCAGCCTTCCCCACTTCCTTCGCTTTATGTACCCCCCACATCATTTCTCTCTCCTTCTAATATATAATTTTTTTTTTTTTGAGACAGAATCTCACTCTGTTGCCCAGGCTGGAGTGCAGTGGCGAGATCTCAGCTCACTGCAACCTCTGCCTCCCAGGTTCAAGTGATTCTCCTGCCTTAGCCTCCCAAATAGCTGTGACTACAGGAGCACGTCACCAAGCCCGGCTAATTTTTGTATTTTTAGTAGAGACGCGGTTTTGCCATGTTGGCCAGGCTGGTCTTGAACTCCTGACCTAGATGATCTGCCTGCCTCGGCCTGCCCAAGTGCTGGGATTACAGGCATGAGCCACCACGCCCAGTCTTAATATATAATTTATATATTGCATTTACTGCAGCTTCTCTGTCCCTCAACTAGATTATTCAGCTTCATGGCAGGATTAGGTTGTCTGTTTTATTCTCTGCGGAATGTTCACATTCCTAAAGTGTCTGGCACATTACAGGCACCCAAATTAAATTACTTTGCGAATAAATCAACCATTTTTACCCACCTCCAACCCACAAAATTGCTAATATTAAACCAAGTCAACGAAAGATGACCATTTTCCCTGATTCCCCCCTTTCGTAGCTAGCACATTTCTCCCTGTTAAATGTTATTTTGCAGTTTAATCCCTTCATTCTTGTTCACTGGGCTCTTTTAGAACCTTCTGCCTTGGGTCAACTGTGAATGTGATAAACACGTCTTCACTGACATCACTCAGAAATTCTGAGCCTGAGTTACAGCCTTTCTCCCACAATGAGAAACTTCTTACCAGGTAGGAAATGATGTATTTGTACTCGTTGAGTAGAATCAGTTGTTTATTCAGCCAGGAATGTACCATTCTAAATTCTTTATTTTTTGGTTTCAAATCTTCTTAAAAACATGTAAAACATTTAACTGACAAATAGAGACTGCACACGTGCCAGGTGTACAGTGTGCTGATTTGATCCACGCAGACACTGTGTAGTGATGGTCACAATCACGTTAACACATTCACCACCACCCAGGTGGAATGATTTTCATGTTTATATTTATCTGGCCATGAGGGTAACATAAGAAATTTCTGTCAACTGCAATCTCAAAAGGAACTCTTTACTAACTGAAAATTCCACCAAAAGAGGTGATACGAGGCAATGTGAAATTCACCTGTTTTATAACTGGTGAACCCAGCATGGCACTCATGACGCTTCCCACAGAATCACTTTATCTCAAATGGAAGTCAGAGCCTGTCCTCCCCGTATAAACAGTAGTCTTTAATTCTGAAACCTTGTTTGTGAGCGATTATGCTGACATGAGGGGGTGAAAACAGCCCTCCGACGGATACTCATTTCAAGACAAACAGCTGTTTTACCTTTGAATCCCTCTATGCCTTCTATCCCGATTGCCAAGACCACTCTTCTTCTCCAGGGTTTCAGTTTCATTATCACAGTGCTTTCCCAGACCTGATTAACCAGGCTCTGGTCCCTTTTCTCCTTACAAGACAACTTCTCACGTTCTCCAATTGCAACAGCAGCCCATTTCTGCAGACGGTAAATTGCCCCTTCCTGCCACTACGCACAACAAACATATGGCTTAAACAACCCTTCTTCTGCCCCATCATCCTCTCAGCCAAGTCCAGGCAGTTTCATGACATCAGAATCACTTCTGCAGAACAGACTGAAGTCATAACCATGGGCGACTTTGCTGGCTACGGTTATTAGCCAGGGCAACCCCAACATCCTTTAAAAATAATCAAGTGATGCACGCTTACATCTTTATGAAAACATTTTGGCATTTAAAAATATTTTTATGGTTACATGCCTTCCTTGATACGTTATTCAGATGGGGTCTCTCTCTGTCACCCAGGCTGGAGTACATCTTGAAGGCTGGAGCCAGGCTGGCACGATCCTGGCTTACTGCAACCTCCACCTCCAGGGCTCAAGCATTCCTCCTGCCTCAGCCTCCCGAGTAGCTGGGACTACAGGAGCACGCCACCATGCCCAGTTAATTGTTTTTTGTTTTTTGTTTTTTTTTTTTGTAGAGATAGGATTTCACCATGTTGCCCAGGCTCTTGCTACATTATTTTTATTTATTTATTTAGAAACGGAGTCTTGAGCTTGTTGCTCAGGCTGGAGTGCAGTGGCGCGATCTCGGCTCACTGCAACCCCCGCCTCCCAGGTTCAAGTGATTCTCCTGCTTCAGCCTCCCAAGCAGCTTGGATTACAGGCGCCTGCCACCACGCCTGGCTAATTTTTGTATTTTTAGTAGAGATGGGGTTTCACCATGTTGGTCAGGCTGGTCTCAAACTCCTGACCTCAGATGATCCACCCACCTCAGCCTCCCAAAGTGTTGGTGAGAGGTGAAGCCAGCTGGACTTCCTGGGTCAGGTGGGGACTTGGAGAACTTTTCTGTCTTACAAATGTTACCAATCAGCACTCTGTAAAAACGCACCAATCAGCGCTCTGTCGCTAGAGGGTTGTAAATGTACCAATCAGCACTCTGTAAAAACGCACCAATCAGTGCTCTGTGGCTAGCTAGAGGATTGTAAATGCACCAATCAGCTCGCTGTAAAAAGCACCAATTAGTGCTCTGTGGCTAGCTAGAGTATTGTAAGTGCACTAATCAGCACTCTGTAAATGGACCAACCGGCACTCTGTAAAATGGACCAATCAGCAGGACATAGGCAGGGACAAATAAGGGAATAAAAGCTGGCCACCCCAGCCAGCAACAACCTGCTCGGGTCCCCTTCCACACTGTGGAAGCTTTGTTATTTTGCTCTCCACAATAAATCTTGCTGCTGCTCACTCTGGGTCCGCACCACCTTTAAGGTAACACTCACCGCGAAGGTCCATGGCTTCATTGTTGAAGTCAGTGAGACCATGAACCCACCAAAAGGAATGAACTCTGGACATATTGGGATTACAGGTGTGAGCCCCCATGCCTGGCCGATACATCATTTACATTTTTTTCTAATAAAGCTGAATTGTGTCTCTCAGCTATTACACAAACCATGCTGATGATGGAGTTTTCTAGATCAGAGAGGTCTTGCCAAAGAGTGTATATCAACCTCTGTAATAGCAAAAATGGCCAGGAAATAATGTAAATCTCCATCAAACTATTTTGTCATAGGGTCAAAAAAACTAAAGCAATATATGCCCGCAGAGACAGTCAAACTCCTTTGCCCCCACACCCCCAAACAAACCTAACTTAATCATCTGCTCCACACAGGATCTAAACAAGATCACGAAGGAGGCAGCAATGAAGTCGGACAAGCTGCCTGGGATCAAGTTGCCTTCTAAATATGCTCAAAGTGGCTGCCCTCCACAGAGGGAGAAGATTTATGGGTATTAAGGAAAAAAGGAATTAAAATAATCAATACGAAGTGAATACAACACAGAACGACACTGTTACATGATCTTAAGTCCTTAAAATGCAAGAAATGCGGATGGATTATGCAAATAAAACAGAAATCCGAAGATGGCAGGAGGATGCCCAGGGTGGTCCAGTCAGGTCTAGTTTCGCATACTGCTCTCAGGTATGAACCCACGTCCTGCCCAGCCACCAATTCTCTCCCTGACGCCAGTTCAATGTGGAGGGCCCTAAAGACACTGGGACCCCAGCAACCCAAGGGTGGCTTTTTCCAGCAGGACATACAGACAGGAATTTACTCCCACAGGGCAAAGCAAAGGCAGAAAACAGGTGATTAGAGCTAAGGACTGTGGGGTCCAAAGACTCAACCCAGAAAGCGGGCCTCCCATTTCATGGAGGCAGAAACTGGACTAAGAATGCAGAAGGGACTTGATCAAGGGCACAGACAGGAAGGTGGAATCTGAGTCTGGACGCAGGGCCCTGGACACCAAGTCCAAGGCTCTCCCATGCTGCCTCCCATGGATGTGCCTGTGTTCCTGCATGTGTGTGTGTGTGTGCATGCACGTGTTTCATCAGCTGGAGCCAGCAGGCAAAGTGGACACACGCCGGGGCTGGGGATTTTACACGTTCCTTCCTGGGCACCATGGTGCCTGGTAAGGCACATTCCACACTAGTCCATATCACAGTCAGCCATACTGCAAACAGCACCGGGCCTGGCCCCAGGCAAAGGCTGCAAGAATGGTTCGAAGGCCATTTTCTTTCTTTTTTTTTTTTTTTTGAGACAGAGTCTCACTCTGTGGCCCAGGCTGGAGTGCAGTGGTGCGATCTCAGCTCACTGCAAGCTCTGCCTCCTGGGTTCACGCCATTCTCCTACTTCAGCCTCCTGAGTAGCTGGGACTACAGGCGCCTGCCACCACACCCGGCTAATTTTTGTATTTTTAGTAGAGACAGGGTTTCACCGTGTTAGCCAGGATGGTCTCGATCTCCTGACCTCGTAATCCACCTGCCTCGGCCTCCCAAAGTGCTGGGATTACAAGCGTGAGCCACTGCGCCCGGCCTCAAGGGCCATTTACAAATCCCAACTCACAGGTCCCACCATTCCTGACCAAGCCAAGAATTTCCTCCTCAGTGTTGAATGAAACACCACCACCACATTTAGTTCTGAACGTCATTTTGGTACCAGTACCACTTTGCATTTATATAGCAAGATTATCTTTCCCTAATAAATTAACATCTATTTCATGTGTTTTCAGTCTTTTCACAACTTGGCACAGTAGTCAGGACAGACGTCCTCATTTTACAGAAGAGAAAAGGGAGCACTGTCAAACGGCTCACTCTGTGTCCTGCCTCCTGCTGGCAGCTGTACCTTCTAACCTGGGCTTTTCCTCACTAGGCCTTTTTGCTTGGTAGATACATCAATCTACTGGAAATCCCTACCTAATCTGCTCTTATTGACGAAAACAGAGAGAAATATGCACCCGCGTTTCAGGCGGCAATATCACGCACGGGATACAGCCTGCAAACCCCTCTGAGCTGAGGTCCTCTGTGGGGGGTCCAGCTGACAGGTTGACCTCTAAGTCATCAAAAGTGTCCTTCTGTTTTTGTTTAAGACAGGACCTTGCTCTGTTGCCCAGCTGGAGTGCAGTGGTGCAATCACGGCTCACTGCAACCTTGAACTCCTGGGCTCGGGCAACCCTCCTTCGTCTGCCTCCCAAGTAGCCTGGACTACAGGTATGTGCCACTGTGCTCAGCTAATTTGTAAATATTTTGTAGAGATGGGGGTCTTGTTATATTGCACAGGCTGGTCTCAAACTCCTGAACTCAAGCAATCCTCCTGCCTTGGCCTCCCAAAGTGCTGGGATTACAGGCATGCACCACCACGCCCATCCTCCATGGTCTCCTTAAAGCAGAGATCACCCCTTTCTTCTCAGGACAAGGATGTTTGCTCATCTTGAAAGGCAAAAAAACCCCTCAGAAATGGAAAGAAAGATATACCTCAAATCCTCTCCTTAAAATGCTGGACAGCCAACATCTGGTTATCACTCAATATTTCTGATTAGAAAATGTTTTATGTATTTGGAAGCAGTTTTATGGAAGTAGCAAAGTATAGGACATTTTAAAAATCACTTGCATGCCTGTGTGAGATGGTCACAGCTGTGCTCCCTCATTCCACAGAAACATGGCCTGCAGACACATTTGCATAGAGTCCCAATAAGCAACTGCCACACACCCCCAGATGGCCGATTTGATCATGGGACACGGATGCAGGATGATAGTGAGGTTCTCTTTCCCTTTCACTGCTCCTAACACAGCAAACCTCCAGCCAGAACATCAAAAACACCAAAGGAACAGCCTGCTCTTGCCAGGCACCCCCACCTCCCCCATCCCACCTCCATCTGCCAATACCGACCTTCCAAGCCAGACCTCCCTCCGGGCACCTGGCTGGGAGATCCAAGCAGGAACCATGAGCACAGCTCAGGGCACCTCGGAGATTTTCAACTCTCCCAATTATCCTAAACTCCCTGGCTCGGTTCACCCAGGGTTTTGATTCTCTACCTCCATCTGACCAAAAGGTAACCCTGCACTTCTGTTGAGGGGGAGAGTGAGTAGATGGGAGCAGAGGTGTTACCATTTTCAAATATACACTTTTTTCCCAAGAGAATTAAATCATTTATTGATTACACATGATAATGAGTGATACACAAGCTTCATTCCCATCCATAATTTTATCTGGTCAGATATACTTTGAAATGTGGGATTCAAAGAGATGGACATGTTCTGGATATATGGTCCTTTAAATGCTGTATGGGTCTTAAATAAACTGCTTTCCGGAATGTATTTCATCAGAGGTTTATCTTACTGTGCATCCCAGTTTAAGCCAGCATTTGTTTTTTTTCTTTCTTTTCTTTTTTTTTTTTTTTTTTTGAGATGGAGTCTCACTCTGTTGTCCAGGCTGGAATGCAGTGGCATGATCTTGGCTCACCACAACCTCCACCTCCCTGGTTCAAGCTATTCTCCTGTCTCAGCCTCCCAAGTAGCTGAAATTACTCGGGAGGCTGGTGGCCATGCACCACCATGCCTGGCTAATTTTTTTGTATTTTTAGTAGAGATGGGGTTTCACCATATTGCCCAGGCTGGTCTCGAACTCCTGACCTCAGGTGATCTGCCCGCCTCTGCCTCCCAAAGTGCTGGGATTATAGGAGTGAGCCACCGCACCCGGCCTATTCTATTCCTTTACAAGGTTTAAAGAAAATAATAATGCTACTTATAACTTTGTATGGCTTCTGCTCTCCTTCCAACAACGTTGATGATTTGACACAGATCATGGGAGAAGAGGCTGATGGAAGACCGGGGAGCTCCCAGCTCCTTATCATGACAGATACAGGCTCTCTGCCAGGCCATCCTGGCCACAGTGATAGGGTCTGGCCATTGAGCCCTCTTTTTAAACACAGCTGAACAGTACACCGGGCCATGTTTCATTAGCCATTCAGTGCAACTGGAATCTCAAAGTGACCAAGCTATCCTACTTGCCACAGAGCTGGGGCACACGTGCAGAACAACCTCCCCAGCAAACTGAAAGGAAAAAGAGAGCACACTTAGCATTGAAAAGTAACTCTGACTCAGTATTTAAAGGACTTAAACTCCATCGGTGATCTGGGACACCGATGCTGCTCAAACAACCCAGTGACCGGTGGTCACGGCACCAATGCCCTGGGGTGATGTGAGCAGGGACTTCTGCTCAAGGCCATGTGGACATGCCCTGAGCCCTCTGCATTATTTGGCTCTCCGTATCCTAACGGGTAAGCAAGGACTTCTGCTGCCTCAATGCTTAGGTGGTTAGGTGGCTGTCCTCTGCCCTGCCTGCCTCTGTCCTCTGATTTCCAGTGTCAAGGACTTGGGCAGCACAGTTGGAGGAAACAGCCTTCAGTGACTAGCCTGTATATCTGCTTGGCGAAACTCCCAGACTTCTGGAAAAAACAGGGGACTGGTTTTGTCTTCCCTCCACATGGTACAAAACCTCCTGGAGATGAGCAGCAGTGTGGCTGATGGCTACCAGGGAGGTGTTTTCCAGAAAGATACAACTTTGACATAATATAAGCTAAATTTTGTCCCACCAGCTTGTATGTTTTTACTTTAACAATCCACCAGCACCTCATTATTTCAGACCTGGCTTCTAGTTATGAGGCCTTTTCATGAAGTGTCCTCATGAAACGTGGCCCCTGGCTTACCTTGGGATTGGTTCGCTGCTGCAATCTCCTCTCTTCTCTCTCTCTCTGCAGCCGCTCAAACTCCTCTCGAATTTCAGCAGGGGTTCTCCTCCTTTCCACAACCTATGCACAGAATCAAGATGGGAAGACAGTTGAGGACCCAGGAGGTAAGGGAAACGTACACAAAGAGCTGCAGCCATTGATTTTGGTGTGTGCATGCTGCCTGGGGTCCGGCCACAGCCTTTCCTCAGGAAGGACCCCAAACCATGAGTTCCACCATCCGATGGCTCAGGCCTGGGTGAGGGAGAGCTCACTGCCCTCCTGGCCCTTCCCAAGGTTGAAATGAGTTTTCACTCAGCTCTCCAGAGTGACTTAAACATTCTTTATTTTAGCAACTTATCTCTGAGGCTGCAGAAATCTTACAAGGAAAATGTCACCTTATGAATTTCTTTCTTTTTTTTCTTTTTTGAGACGGAGTCTCGCTCTGTCGCCCAAGCTGAAGTGCCGTGCATTATCTCAGCTCACTGCAAGCTCCGCCTCCTGGGTTAACACCATTCTCCTGCCTCAGCCTCCTGAGTAGCTGGGACTACAGGCGCCCGCCACCACCCCTGGCTAATTTTTTTTTGTATTTTTAGTAGAGACAGGGTTTCACCATGTTACCCAGGATGGTCTCAATCTCCTGACCTCGTGATCCACCCACCTCGGCCTCCGGAAGTGCTGGGATTACAGGCTTGAGCCACTGCGCCGGCCTACCTTAAATTTCATAGTGTAAATTTCCTAATGAATCTCAGATAACAAATGTTAAATATCAAGACGAAGGCAAGCTGGCTCTCCCTAGTGGTCTGAGACAATCGCTAGAGACTCCTTTTGAGCTTCTTGGACCAAGGATCTCGAGCTGTCGGGTCTAGGTGTTTTTATTCTGTTGTTGTAGAAACGGGGTCTTGCTATATTGCCCAGGTTGGCCTCAAACTCTTGGCCTCAAAGGATCCTCCCACATCAGCCTCCCAAAGTGCTGGGATTGCAGGCACGAGCCACCATGTCTGGTGGGTCTGAGTGTTTTCAGAATCATGGGACTCTTCTTCTTATAACAGTATATGAACCTTAGAATGTGGGCTGTCAGTTATAGGCTGGCGTAACAATACTCAGGTACCACACAGCAGACCTCATTAAACTCGGGGACGCAGAGTAATGTCGAGTCTGAGAAAATAAGGTATTCCGGCCTGGCGCGGTGGCTCACGCCTGTAATCCCAGCACTTTGGGAGGCAGAGGTGAGGGGATCACCTCAGGTCAGGAGTTCAAGACCAACCTGGCCAACATGGCGAAACACCATCTCTACTAAAAATACAAAAATTAGTCAGATGTGGTGGCAGGTGCCTGTAATCCCAGCTACTTGGGAGGCTGAGGCAGGAAAATTGCTTGAACCCAGGAGGTGAAGGTTGCAGTGAGCTGAGATCATGCCACTGCACTCCAACCTGGGTAACAGAGCAAGACTCTCTCTTAAAAAAAAAAAGAAAAAGAAAAAGGAAAATAAGGTATTCGAGGCCTAGCGCAGTGACTCACACCTGTAATCCCAGCACTTTGGGAGGCCGAGGCGGGTGGATCACCTGAGGTCAGGAGTTTGAGATCAGCCTGGCCAACATGGTGAAACCCTGTCTCTACTAAAAATACAAAACATTAGCTGGGCGTGGTGGCAGGTGCCTGTAATCCCAGCTACTTGGGAGGTTGAGGCAGAAGAATCACTTGAACCCGGCAGGCGGAGTTTGCAGTGAGCCAAGATCACGCCATTGCACTCCAGCCTGGGCAACATGAGCAAGAAACTCTGTCTTAGAAAAGAAAAGAAAAGAAAAGAAAAGAAAAGAAAAGAAAAGAAAAGAAAAGAAAAGAAAAGAAGGCATTTCAATTCCAGTTCAGCCCTTCTTAGCTCGTCATGAAAGGAAGACCATCTAGTTGACATTTCAAAGAAGTGGAAAGGCCACCGTGAAAGAGGCAACCGCACTGCACGATTTCTAAGGGTCCTGTTTATGGTGTGAAATTGTGTGCACCGGTGAGAAACACACAGTGTGGGAACAGGACAGAAACAGTGGTTACTCTTTTTCTATCACGACCAAAGTTATCAGATGGATGGGGGAGGGGGCAGGGGTATACGAAAGCAGATTCTGCCCATCCATGGGAGAAACACAGGGGAGTCTTGAGTTGCTGCTCACAGACTATCTAAAAAGGTGTGATGTGAGAAAAAGTTTCCTTGGAAATTTCACGTTTCAAAAAATAATTTTTTTTTTTTTTTGAGACGGAGTCTTGCTTTGTCGCCCAGGCTGGAGTGCGGTGGTGCGATCTCAGCTCACTGCAAGCTCCGCCTCCCTGGTTCACACCATTCTCCTGCTTCAGCCTCCCAAGTAGCTGGGACAACAGGTGTGCGGCACCACGCCTGGTTAATTTTTTTTTTGTATTTTTTAGTAGAGACGGGGTTTCACCATGTTAGCCAGGATGGTCTTGCTCTCCTGACCTCGTGATCCGCCCGCCCAGATTATTTTTTAAAATACAAGCTTATAGCAAAAAATCAATAGAACAGAAGGATAGGAAATAAAAAGTATGCGATTCCCCTTACCCATATTCCCTCTTCTCATGGGCTCACACTCATCTCACAGGCTCACACTCAATTTTTTTTGTATCTCTTCCTAAAAATTCTCTATGCATGCTTATGTACCTACGTATGTGCGCATATGCACGTGCACACACACATACACACATTCAATATAAATAAGATATTACAGGCTTTGTGCAACTTGATTTTATTTTTCAACAAATAAAAAAAAATACAAAAACGCATCCAAAAAATCCTAGGAACTCGTCCACTACTTTAAACATTAAAAATATTGAAAACATTTTCTTCTCTAATAACCCAATATAAATCAATAATTACTAAAAAGGGGGAAGTGGTTCTTTTTAAGGAAGCTTTAAAATAAAAAGATTGTTAAAATCATCCAAGAACAAACTAAAGGTCCTAAGTGGCATGACAGTGATTGCTCTGTGACCTCGCAAGGGCATTCTGGGTTCTATTTCGTGAACAAGATGCGTTCCCGCTGCCCAGGCTTAAAATCATCGAGGGTGCGTCACCTATCTACAGCACTCTCACTTGCCAATACCACCCATCCTGACATAGACAAAAGCAAGGTACAATTTTTCAAAGTTTCCATTATCTTCTCAATCTCATGTCAGCCCCTCCCTGCATCGAAAGAAAATAAAAATGAAAGAGCTTCAGGGAAATGTAGGTAATCAACTATTCCATTAAGTTTGAAGATCCAGAAAATATGCTTTAAAATACTTTAAAAATTATTCATGACTTTACAGCCCAATTCAGTGGACCTGACTGTGGAGCCACAGTTTCTCTGGACTCAGTGGATGGTGACCATCCCAAGGACAAGGAGGTCTAAGTGTGAGGCTGTCTGAATGCAGACAGTTCCTCTACATAGCTCAGAGGATGCAGGATGTTCCAATCTGGATAAAGAGATTTGATTTGACTTGATTTGATTTATTTATTTATTTGAGACAGAGTCTTGCTCAATTTATTTATTTGAGACAGAGTCTCGCTCTGTTGCCCAGGCTGGAGTGTAGTGGTGCGATCTCGGCTCACTGCAAGCTCCGCCTCCCGGGTTCACACCATTCTCCTGCCTTAGCCTCCTGAGTAGCTGGGACTACAGGCATCTGCCACCACGCCCGGCTAATTTTTTTTAGTAGAGACGGGGTTTCACCGTATTAGCCAGGATGGTCTTGATCTCCTGACCTCATGATCCGCCTGCCTTGGCCTCCCAAAGTGCTGGAATTAGAGGCGTGAGCCACTGCGCCTGGCCATTTTTTTTTTTTTGAGATGGAGTCTCACTCTGTCATCCAGGCTGGAGTGCAATGGTGCAATCTCAGCTCACTGCAAGCTCCGCCTCATGGGTTCATGCCATTCTTCTGCCTCAGTCTCCCGAGTAGCTGGGACTACAGGCATCCGCCACCACGCCCGGCTAATTTTTTTGTATTTTTAGTACAGACTGGGTTTCACAGTATTAGCCAGGATGGTCTTGTTCTCCTGACCTCGTGATCTGCCTGTCTTGGCCTCCCAAAGTGGCGTGAGCCACTGCGCCCAGCGATATTTTATTTTATTTTAATATTTTATTTTTTTGAGACAGAGTCTTGCTTTGTCACCTAGACTGGAGTGCAGCGATGCGATCTCAGCTCACTGCAACTTCCGCTTCCAGGGTTCAAGCAATTCTCCTGCCTCAGCCTCCCGAGTAGCTGGGATTACAGGCTTGTGCCACCATACCCAGCCAGTTTTTTTATCTTTAGTAGAGATGACATTTCACCATGTTGGCCAGGCTGGTCTTGAACTCCTGACCTCAAGTGATCCACCTGCCTTGACTTCCCAAAGTGTTGGGATTACAGGTGTGAGCCACTGCACCCGGCCTGGATAGAAATTTTATAATTGAGTGTTCTATTCAACAGGATATTAGTTTTAAAAAATGCAGATTTTAATGAAAGTTTGATTCGCCATAACTTTAATCAGTGACATAAGCAGGCCCATGAATATGCCCATACACTACTATTTTTTTCAGAAACAGGTTTGCTAGCTGCTGAGAATTAAAATCCTGGACTCAAACCCTGTAGGAGAAAAAAGAAAACAAAGCCTGGAAAGTGTGAAGCTTCACAAAGGCTGCAGCAGGAAAAGATTCATTTTCAGGAATTTTAGCTGTTTCATCTTTGAAGACTGAACTAACAGCTGAAAATTACTTTCTCTCTGTTACATTCTGTGATGAATTACGAACGCAAATAATCCAAAGGTGGCAGATCATTCCATTTTTAGTCATATTTTACACAAATTTTGCAAATAGTTGGTACATAATCAGAGCTAACAGCAAAGCCAAAATGGCCAGCCTTTCTGGAGCGGTGAAGACACTTAGCAGGGCAGGGCACTTCATTCTCAGCTCCCACAGGCCTCTGCCAGCCTTGATTATTTATATCTTCCTTTAAACAGAATACATGATGCCAGAGAGGGGAACAGGACTAAGCCAGCTGTGAGCCGCTCTTCTCCTTATCAGCAACCCTTACAGACAGAGGCATCTGGGAACACAGCATCCAAAGCTGCATGACAGTTGATAAATACCAGACATTTTCAATGTTTCTCATGGACAGAGTGTATCACATGCAGCTCATGAATCCATACAACTGCTGTTCACTGGAGCATTCACCAACTAGGTCTATCCCTATGCTAACCAGAAAACTGACTGAGCGGCCAGGTGCAGGGGCTCACCTGAGGTCAGGTGTTTGAGACCAGCCTGGCCAACATGGCAAAACCCTGTCTCTACTAAAAATACAAAATTTTGCTGGGCATGGTGGCGGGCGCCCATAATTCCAGCTACTCGGGAGGCTGAGGCAGGAGAATTGCTTGAACCTAGGAGGCAGAGGTTGCCGTGAACGGAGATCGTGCCACTTCACTCCAGCCTGGGTGAAAGAGCGAAACTCCATCTCAAAAAAAAAAAAAAAAAAAAAAAAGGAAAAGAAAACCGACTCAGCCCAGGAGTTCCAGACCAACCCGGGCAACATAGTGAGACCCCATCTCTACAACAAAAAAACAACCACCAAGAAGACTGACTTTATTGATGAAAGGAATGAGGAGATATCCAAAAGCTAGGTGGCATAATGGAAGGAGGACAGACAGGACCTCAAACCTCCTGGGAGACCTCAGGCAAGTCACCTTTCTAAGCTTCAGTTTCCCTGCTATAAAATGAGGAGGGTTAAGCGACATCATTTGAAAAGTGTCATCTGGTTCTAGCTAGTAAACTTTTTCTTCTGGGATAATTTTAGAAAATGATTTGGAAACGCTACAACAACAGTACAGAAATTTCTAGTATAGCCTGCACCCAGGTTCCCCCAATGTTAGCACCTTTTATAACCATGGAAGAGCTCTCAAATCTCAGAAACCAACATTAATACATTTCTACTAATTAAACCTAGGGTTCAGATTTCACTAGATTTTCTACGAACATCCTTTTTCTGTTCCAGGATCCAATCCAAGATTCCACGTTGCATTTAGACACGAGGTGTCCTTAGTCTTCTCTGCTCTGTGACAGTTCTAAACCTTTGCTAGTTTTTCATGATCTTGACCATATTACTGCTTTTAATACAGGCTGACTTTCTCATATACTATAAAACCGATGTCAGAGACAGGGAAAAGTAAAATATAAATAATGTAAAGGACTGCAGACAAAAACCAAACTGCAGATGATCTGGGCCGAAGGATGCAACTCTGGGTGTAATCTAACATCTGAAAGTGACACCTGCAGGAGATGAGTTACGTGGTTTCCATGGCAGTTGCCAGCCATTACCAGAATCAACCCTGTCAAAGTATTCACAGTTCAAGGTTAGATTTTTGCCATTCTGAAAAAATGACCAATTTCATTTTCAATGTGGATATCTGCACAAACATCACTAACCAACCTCAAGAAGTAAACAGTATGGCTGGTTTTATAAGTTGGGAATGGTTACATCTCATTCCTTGGGAATCCTCCCAAAGAATAACAGTCTCTAGAAGCCTTAAAAAAAAAGTGGGGGGGCTGGGCACGGTGGCTCACATTTGTAATCCCAGCACTTTGGAAGGCCAAGGCAGGAGGATCATCTGAGGTCAGGAGTTCGAGACCAGCTTGGCCAACATGGTGAAACTCTGTCTCTACCAAAAATACAAAAATTAGCCAGGCATAGTGGTGCGCACCTGTAATTCCAGCTACTCGGGAGGCTGAGGCAGGAGAATCACTTGAACCCCGGAAGCAGAGGTTGCAGTGAGCCAAGATCACGCCACTACACTCAGCCTGGGCAACAGAGCAAGACTCCGTCTCAAAAAATAAAAATAAAAAAATTAGCAGGGCGTGGTGATGCATGCCTGTAGTCTCAGCTACTTGAGAGGCTGAGGTGGGAGGATGGCCTGAGCTGGGAGATCGAGACTGCAGTAAGCCACGATCGTGCCACTACACTCTAGCCTGGGTGACAAAGTGAGACTCTGTCTCAAAAAAAAAAAAGTCTGAAAATTTACCTAATGACTGACAACTGGGCCAGTATTTTGTACATTCTAAAGAAGCTCCAGGGTTGGGGAGTGATTTCTAGTTGGTGGAGTACTTTGAGATCTTTGGATTAAAGGCGTCTCAGACACTCAGGATACCAACAGTCAATGCCCTTCACCCTTCACTGACTACCCATATGGTAGCCTAATAAATATGTGGTAAATGGATACCCTTCAGCAACTGAAGAGTTTAACAGTCTAAAAATACCAGCAACAGCATGAAGGGAATACAGCTTCCTCCCTGGAGTGAAAGCTATTATTGCAGTGAGAGAATCCTCATATGGAACAATCCATCCAGCTGTAGGAATTCCTTGAAGGAATGTTGATGCCAGCTTCATAGAATGTGCTTGAGTTCAATGAGACTTTCTGTGTATTATGAATAATGGGCTCAATTTTCCTATTGGATGTTAAGCACTAATACATATCCGAGTAAATATCTGGGGAGGTGTCTTCATTTAGTTTTCTTTGAAAGCATTTTTATCTTGCAGCAAAAGCTTAGTATCCACATGAAAAAAAAAAAAAAGCCAATTCTGATCTATGAGAACCTGACTTCCTTAGTTTACTAAAAAAATACGAAAATAATGTTTAACCACTTGCCACCCACGACTGTGCACTTATTTTTATTTTCATTTATTTATTTCATTTTTTATTTTTTGAGACACAGTCTCACTGTCACTCAGGCTGGAGTGCAGTGGTGTGATCATGGCTCACTGAAACCTCGACCTCCTTAGGCTCAAGCGATCCTCCCACCTCAGCCTCCCAAGAAGTAGGATTACAGGCACTCACCACCATGCCTGGTTAATTTTTTCATTTTTTATCGCTTGTAGAGATGCGATCTCACTGTGTTGCTCCAGCTGGTCTCGAACTCCTGAGCTCAAGTGATTCTCCTGTGTCAGCCTTTGAAACTGCTGGAATTACAGGTGTGAGCCACTGCACCCAGCCCTATATATTTGTATAACCACCATTTTGCGTGTGGATTTGCTTTGTTTCTAATGGGAAGATAATCTGGTCTGATGAGAGGAAGCCATACAATATTCTACCAGCAGACCCCAGTGCTCCACTGATTGGGATAATGCTGCTGGGGACTAAAAACCTAGTCTTTGAAGAGGGAATATGTAATGGGGTCCTACAGCTTTTCAGTGACTCCAATTGCTGACTTGAAAAATTGTAGCCAACCCACATCTTAAAAAAACAAAGAAGCTTTAAGGAGTGTATAAAGAGTGACGGGGAAATTGAATAAATACAACAGAATTCTACTTTCCTTTTTGGATGAGAAAATGCTAAGTTATTTGGCTTAATACCTAGCTGCAATGAACCAATGTGACAGGAAGCACTGCTATTCCCATCAAGCCAGAGGCCAAATACCAACTGCCCACTGGAGCCAGGAGGACATGCAGATGAGAAGAGCCAGACATAACGCAAGGGGGAGTGGTGGGGACTGGGACAAATTGGACAGCCCAGCCCCATCTGAAGGGCAAGGGCTCCTCAGATCCACTGTTACCAGATCTTCAGATGTTTCAAGAAAAGACAGAAGACTGAATTATCATGCAGAACCTCCCAGGGTTGAAATGTTAGCAACTAGAATTCACTGTGTGAGGCAATCAAAAAATGGCAACAGGCTGGGTGCGGTGGCTCACACCTGTAATCCCGGCGCTTTGGGAGGCTGAGGGGGGAGGGTAGCTTCAGGCTAGGAGTTTGAGACCAGCCTGGGCAACATAGAAAGACCCCATCTCTACAAAAAATTTAAAAATTAGCTAGGCATGGTGGTGTGTGCCTGTAGTCGCAGCTACTTGGGAGGCTGAGGTAGGAGACTCACTTGAGCCTGGGAGGTCGAGGGTGCAGTGAGCCATGATGGCACCAACACACTGCAGCCTGGGCGACAGAGCACGCGCGCACTCTCTCTCACAAACACACACACACACCAAAAAAGGCTATTAGTGGAATATGGCCCATGAGCCACCAATATGAAGCAGTAGTGGAAAGGCAGGAAAGGAAATAGGATCCTCTTTTGCTTTTCTTCCACTCCTCATCTGAAGGCCTTTACAAGGCTTTGATGCCAGAACTGGAAGAGACAGGCACGCATGCTTGAGACTAAACATTGAATGAACTTTGGCCAGGTGTGGTGGCTCATGCCTGTAATCCCAGCACTTTGGGAGGCCGAGGTGGGTGGATCGTCTGAGGTCAGGAGTTCGAGACCAGCCTGACCAACATGGAGAAACCCTGTCTCTACTACAAATACAAAATTAGCTGGGTGTAGTGGCGCATGCCTTGTAATCCCAGCTACTCAGGAAGGCTGAGGCAGGAGAATCACTTGTTGCAGTGAGCCAAGATTGCGCCACTGCACTCCAGCCTGGGCAACAAGAGCAAAACTTGGTCTCAAAAAAAAAAAAAAAACAAAAAAAACGAAGGAACTTCAAGGGTAATCTTACATGATGGTGAAAATATAACTCAACGAGGGTCAATTCAATGTTATTAAACAGACTAGCAAAATTTATTGGGCATCAGAACCAAGTTTCTTTCTTTTTTTTGTGAGACAGGGTCTTGCTCTGTTGCCCACGTTAGAGTGTAGTGGCGTGATCATAGCTCACTGCAGCCTCAACCTCCTGTGCTCAAGTGATTCTCCCATCTCAGCCTCCTGAATAGCTGGGAATACAGGTGTGCGCCACCAAGCCCGACTAATTTTTAAAAAAATGTTTTGTAGAGACAGGGTCTTGCTATGTTTCTCAGGCTGGTCTCGAACTCCTGGCCTCATGTGATCCTCCCAGCCTGGCTCCCCAGAGTGTTAGGATTACAGGTGTGAGCCACTTTGCCTGGGTCAGAACAAAGTTTCTTTAATGATACCTATATATCCCTGTAGCAACTTAAGGGTTTCACAACTAATCTTCATATTCATTTTTCAGATAGTAACATGGAAGCACTAGTAGCCCAATGACTTGCCCAAGACTCTACTGCTAGTCAGTGGCAGTGTGAAAGCAAACAAATTGTCTGGATTTTAGTGACTGCTCTCCCACAGCATGGCTGCCCAGGGCGACACATTTGCTATATATTTTGTTTCACTCATCACATTTGACAAAGCTTGAATATTATAATACATGAGAATTGAAAGGGTCATTACAGGCAATGCAACCCCAGCAACTCTGCTTCCATTTTGCTCACGTGCATAACATACTCCCATCTGAAATATTTCCTCACAGCAATTATTCAGAACTGAGGTGGAGAGAGAGGCACAGAACTGTGGAGGGTGGAAGGGAGTGTATATGGAGACAGAACTGCACCCTTGAAGAAATCGTCTCCCATCAACCCCCTGCTCCGCTTGCTCCCGCCCCACACCTGGGTTAAAAATTACTGGTTCGGTCCATCCCTCTTCCGTTTTACTTGACAGGTTAGGGAACGAAGGACAAGTCAGATGAGTGGCTGGCCCAAGTTCAGAGTTACAAAGTGGCAAAGCCAAGTCCAAAACTCAACCTCTAAAACAAAAATACAGGGCAAGGAAGGGGGCTCTAATGGTTTCAAATATTCCCAAAGACAATATTACAGATTGCAGGGTTTTGGGGAGATGTTCTGTAACTGTTTAATGACTTTTCTGGAACACCAGACGCACAGTTTCTCTTACCTCCCATCCTTCCATTTCCAGTCCTCTCTTCCCATATATATCATAGATGGCCCTGGTTTGGGGGTCACTAAGCACTGCAAATTAAAAATTAAACATGTTTATAAAATACAAAATTCACCTTCAGTCCTTCCTGAGAATACTGACATCATTAGGTAAGCCCATCTCCTGTTCTCCCTGTCTGATCACAATCTTCCTAGAGACCCCTTTCATTTTCTACACATCTTTCCTCCCAACTGCTTTTTCGATTCAACCTAGGATTTGTTTATTGACTTATTGACTGACAGGGTCCTTCTCTGTTGTCCTGGCTGGAGTGCAATGGTAAGATCATAGCTCACTGCAGCCTTGAATTCCTGGGCTTAACTAATCCTCCTGCTCTAGCTTCCCAAGCAGCTGGGATTACAGGTGTGTGCCACCATGCCCAGCTAATTTATTTTTTGTAGAGATGGGGTCTCACTATGTTGCCTAGGCTGATCTCGAATTCCTGGCCTTAAATGATTCTCTTGCCTTGGCCTTGCAAAGTGTTGGGATTACAGGTGTGAGCCACTGCACCCAGCTAATGTAGGATATGTTTAAAGGCGGCTACAAATGAGAAAAGTCAGATTTTCCAGTGTCCAAGTTACTCTTGATTGGAAGGTACAGCTACAAGGTGTACAAGGTGCACCATGCAGGAAGTGGCACGGGCTCCTGCATTGGGAAAGGACATGAACGTTGTTTTTAAGATAATTTGGTAAATTTCTGCCACGGTGTATAAAAGTACACTGACTTGAAAGAGTGGGTTCCAGTTTCTAAAGAAGCTTGCTATAAAAGTAGAAACAGGCTCAGATACTAGAAAAAGCTGATTTGTTATTTACTCTATAGAGTTCTGTTAACTCCAAAGACAGGCTACATTTCTTTTGTGCACTTCTCCTCTCTATTTGTAAATAATTTTAAAAGACAAAAACATCTCTTATCATGTTGTTGGCCACATCACCCAAAATACATCAGAAAAGGATTTCTCAGCTAACGGTGAGGGCTGTTCAAACGATATCCCAACTGAACGATATCCCAACTGAACTCAAATGTCAGCAAGGCCAATGGTTGTTCTCTTCCCCCTCTGCTTCACCAATTTCTGCCAAGACCTTTGGGTCTCTTCTCCCCTGACAGTTCCCATATATTTGTAGGCCTAATTTAAAAACCACATAAATGATACTATGCATAATCAAATCTAACGGGAAAGGAAGAAATGCTGGCCCCTGGAAAACACAGGAGCCAAACTTGTGTTCCTCTCCAGCATTTAATAAGGAATTATTCATTCACTATTTTACCTGAGTCTCCCTTTAAGCTAAACATGAGGCCAGGTCTGCTGTTGTGGCACTTTCACTAGCACTGGTAGGGTTTTTCTTTAACTCTTCCCCAGGTCTCCAACACAATACAAGCAAACTATGTGGCTAATTTAGACAACAGTAAAATTAATGCACCCATTTAGATAACAGAATACAATAAAAAGAACAGGCTACTCTTCACAACCGCCATGCAAATGATCTGAATACAGTTAAATTTGGTAATGACACTACACCGACTGTACACATTTATCACACACTGCAGCCTGATTTTCACTGGCCATTAAAATCTAACTTTTTGGTAAAACTATAAAGTGAAAAACACTACAAGCTATTATGTATACAGTGAGATGACTTTATGATTTTATAAAGAAACATATTATCTAATTTTTGGTCTAAGGAGCAAATCACCAGATGGTTCTGGAACAAATAACTTATTGTAGTTGATGTATATAACAGTGATTTAACATTTTTTTTAATTTAAATTTTAAAAATGGTGGTAAAATATACATATAATATTTACCATTTTAACCATTTTAAAGTATACAATTCAATAGCATGAAGTACATTTACAATGTTGTGTAACCATCATCACTCTCTATTTCCAGAACTTTTTGCCATCCCAGACAGAAGCTCTGTATCTGGTAGTGACTTTAATATTTTATAAACAAATATATCACAGAATGTTCTTTCTGACATACATAAGACATAAGTATAAAAATGTGAATCACTTGGTTCTATTTCCTATAAGCCTTCTTAACATCATTTTCTTTCTTTTATTACAACCGATAACTGCTTCAGAACCAATAAAATCACTTTTGGATGAAAAAATGTCCTTGTATCTTCTAACAAAAAAGAGAACAAAGAAACCTTCCCTGTAACGATCAGCCTTTTACCTATAAGAGTTCCCTTTAGAAGAAAACTGGTAAACGATTTAAAACTTGAGTATTCCCTTGCAATTGAGACTCTGTCTATTACCTCGCCCGGTCTCTCATTTTCTACTTACTGGACACGTATTGATTTCCAAAGCAAAATACTATTCTTTCAAAGGACCCTGTCAGTGAAAAGTACTAAACTAACCACCTGTTTTATATACCTCTAAGGACTCTCTTTTTCTATCCTCTACAAATCGCACCTCCTAAAAATCGAATATCTGTTACCAGGATGTTTCTACAAAGTCCGGCCCTCCACTGACCTTCATAAGCCTGGTGAACAAGGTTAAACAGTCGTTCCGCCTGTGACTTGAGCTCTGGGTCTCTGTGCTTGTCTGGATGGTAGAGCATACAGAGCCTCCGGTAGGCAGCTTTCAGCTCTTCAGAAGAGGCCTAAAGAAAGAAAAATTCAATTAGAGAACAATCAATGCTACTTAAACATTATCATCATCAGAATCAGCCTTGAAATGGGAACCCATCAGCCACGTCCCAATGTGTTTGCTCTCGACATACAGGATGTAATGAAGTTCGGTTTATCACCTCAACAAGGCTTCTTTTTGCCAGTTAATAAAGTGATCAATTACATACATCAATAGGGACTGGGTTTTGCTGGGAAGTGCTGCTATCCAATGAATGAACGTTTGGGTCTCTGGAATGGCTCAGTGTGCTCTGAGCTGAAACAAAAATGTCACAGAGACGTGCTAACTCTTTAACTTATTTGAAGTAAATCATGCCAAGGCACTCTAAACAGAACAGGTTCAGGCAAAGAAAAGCTATATACCATTAGACAGAAATGACATCAATTTAATGACATAACGAACATGAATCCTTGAAATTCAAAGACAAACTTGTAAGGCCCACGTGCACTCGAATGCAACCTCTAATTCCAGAAGGCAGCACATTCAGTGGCAGAAATGCTTCCCTAACCTGTAGTAACCAACCCTCCCCAAAACCCCCAGACCCCCTAAAAACCAAAAGGCATCAACTCTCCAATTCTCCTACGCAGGACATCTGAAGGTGTGGCACAAGGCAGACGGGCTCTGGTGTGCTTTAACCACAGTGGGGGGGGCGGGTGCCAATGAGGCAAACCCACATTCACTGTGGCCTGCCTCACAGCCACCAAGAGGGTCTCTAGACAGGGCCCCTCAGAGGCCTTGGGACACTGAGCGGGCTATGTGGCTGGCCCCGCAGGTCTGCTTTTGGGAAGTGTTATGTTTGATTCTAGAGGCTATTTTGGCCTATCAGGGGTGGTACTGGATGGGCAGTTCTACCCTTTGGTATATCAGTTAAAGAACATTTGATTTGAGGACGTATCCCCACCATTTTGACAACTGAAGCACATTTCTGGGTCACTGACATGCTAGAGGGGCCCCAAAAATCTGCCAACTGAACAGAAGAATAGGCCCAGGTCCCAGGAGGCGATGTGAGGATTGACAGTCCTCTAGGATGAGGGCCTGGAACACAGATCCTCAAAGAAAGAGGTCACAGAGACATAAGTTAGTCCTGGGACCATAATTACAAAAAAAAAAAAAAAAAAAAGATGACTGTATTCTCTGTTACTTCCACAATTTTTCAACATCTTTCAGTCCCAGGACTAATGAGCTTCTTCACCAGCAAAAAAAATACAATTTTACTGTACTTTAGTAATAATTTTTGGCCCAGAATCTAAATATTTTCTACAGGATTAAGTTATTCAGATGCTAGAAAGCCAGGGTATTTGTGCGAGTTTATCAGGGGTTCTAAACAAGGAATTCTGAAGGACTCCAAGAGGAAGACAATAAACGTGACTGGAAAGACGTGCAGAGGACATTGGCCCATCGGTCCCACATGCCTGAGGGGGCAGCGGTGCTGGGGCCCGGGTTCTGCTCCCTCAAGCCCATCTCCTCAGCCCTAGACCAGGCTCAGGCCAGCTTCATCTGAGGAGTAGGTGATGGCGTGGGTGACCTCCAGGAGCCTTCTGGCTCTAACTTTACTCGATTCTGCTATTCAGAAAAGAAACAAGGCTGGACGCAATGGTTGACACGTGTAGACCTAGCACTTTGGGAGGCAGAGGTGGGCAGATTGCTTGAGCCCACAGGTTCAAGACTAGACTGGGTAACATGGCGAAACCCCATATCTACCCAAAATACAAAAATTACCTGGGCGTGGAGGCGCTTGCCTGTGGTCCTACCTGGAAGGCTGAGGTGGGAGGATCACCTAAGCCTGGGGAGGCTGAGGTTGCAGTGAGCTATGACTGCACCACTGCACTCCAGCCTGGGTGACAGAGGGGGAAAAAAAACTAGCTAGACCCAAGCCATTCAGCTTGCCCTTTAAAGCAGGCCACAGAGAGCTTCCCGCTGGTTTGGAGAGAGGCAACTCTGCTGCATGCCATTTTAAAGTAGGAGCTCCTTGAAGGTTCCATGAACTACTCTGTCAGAATAGGGTCAAGGATCTTGCTGAATGAGCAGCTCCTGGCCTCTGAGAATTGGTGAGACCCCACTCCGCGGCAAATCTCTTTCTCCCATCTTCCCTTTGGTGCAGACTTCAGGGACGGCACTGCCAAACAGGGGCTGGCTGCCTGTCTTCCAGCCATGCTCATGTGGTTCGCTCTGGGGCAACACAGCCTTCCATTCTGCTAGTAGAGAATGCAGGTGTGGCAGTCAACGGCCCATGTTTGGATGCAGGATCTGTCACTTCCAAGCTTTGTGACCATGGCAAGTGAGATTTCTGGCATTTAGTCTTCTCCTCCATAAAAGGGGATGACAACCCTTGCAAGGACAGTGTGAGAATGAAACCAGACAGAGACTATGAAGTGCTTCACACAGTGCCCAACACACAGCAAAAACTTAGGAATTATAGCTCCTTTAAGCCCCTTTCTGTTTCATCACCTGCAAACTGTGGACAATAGTGCTTCTTTCTGAGTCTTTGTGAGGCGTAATTGAGATAATACAAGCATGAGTGCCTAACAATGTCCAGCTCATACTAGGACCATAACCACTTTTGTTATTACCATCATCACAATTCAGTTGTGGTATCTTTTTGGCAACAGGAGTACTGAAACTGGAACAATTCAGAGGGCACCGCCCTGGTGCATGGATAACGGAAACATTCATTCATGAAGCAGTCCTGCTTGTGAAAATTCATTGTGCTGTATACTCAGGAGATGACCACTTTTCTGCATGTATATTCTATTTCTATAAAAATACAAGGTTCTCTAGAAGAGGTGGGCCTCCATATTTCCATCTCTGCATTTTCTCCTTTTTCTTCTTGCTGTAGTGTTTTGTTTTCCTCCCAACTTTAAATGCATTTCTTGCTACACTTATCAATATACCACCTATACCAAACCCTGGTGTTTCAAACATAAATCATGGGAAAATAATCTTTTCCAGGTAGGTTTACTTATGTGATGATGTAAAAGGGACTTATTTTTTTTCCCACACGGCCATTACAAATCATTTTCTTTTTTTTTTTTTTTGAGATGGAGTTTCACTCTGCCACCCAGGCTGGAGTGCAGTGCTGTGATCTCAGCTCACTGCAGCCTCTGCCTCCTGGGTTCAAGTAATTGTCCTGCCTCAGCCTCCCAAGTAGCTGGGACTACAGGCGCACGCCACCATGCCCAGCTAATTGTTTGAATTTTTAATAGAGATGGGATTTCATCGTGTTGGCCAGGCTGGTCTTGAACTCCTGACCTCAGGTGATCCGCCCGCCTCGGCCTCCCAAAGTGCTGGGATTACAGGCGTGAGCCACTGCACCCAGTCACAAATCATTTTCTTTCTGCAAATTTTAATTGTCCTTTTTTGTGTCTCATAAAGTTACAAGTACTGGATTAGACAGATTGACTGACTCTCAGTTAGACTGCTATTTCCTGGTTATTAAAATTAAACTAGATGACAAGAGAGTAGAATATCTACTCTGCAAGACATTCTTTAATCTTATTAATAAATGGCTTAATATGCTATTAAGTAATGTAAATAAGATGTTTCATTTTTAATAAATATCACATTCAATAAAAGGTTAGATTGGTCCTTTCATTAAAACTGAATAGCTAAGGTCACTGGTTCGATATTTCATAAATGAGAACCTCTTTCACTCTTACAGAAATACTGTTATTTCAAAATGCAATGAGATTATCATTAAGAATGACACCTAAAGGTACATTCTTATCCTAAAATTCTGTAACAAAAATTAAGAAATGTATCATACTTTAAGTCTATAATCTTTCATCATCTCAATCACCTGGTTATATTTTCTGGATAGACTATATGTTAGGCCCCAAATTAAGTCCCAATAGACTTTAAAGACTGACATCATACAAAATATCTTCTCCTACCACAAGAGGATGAAGTCAGAAGTCAATAACAGGGCTGGGTGCAATGGCTCACACCAGTACAGTAATCCCAGCACTTTGGTATCCCAAGGTGGGAGGATCGCTTGAGGCCAGGAGTTCAAGACCAGTTTGAGCAACATAGCGAGATCCTGACTCTACAAAAAAATTTAAAAAAATTATCCAGGTGTACTTCCAGCACCTCAGGAGGCTAAGGCAAAATAAGCTAAAACATGTCTGGATAATATGTCTGTACCACGATTGCATTTGGTTAGGCTAGGCTAGATCAGTGGTTCTCAAAGTGTGGTCTGGGGCATCCCAGGAATCTCTGAGACCCCTTCAGGGATCCACAAAGTCAAAACTATTTTTCTAATAACACGAAGCTGTTATTTGCCTTTTTCACTCTCATCCTTTCTTCAGTGTACAGTGGAATCTTAAGGTTACAGGATGTGTGATGATCTTGGGAACAAACGTGAGCCTAAAAGAGGCAATCCTTCAAGATGGATCCTGACATACCTAAATTTAAAATAGTCAGGTGGCCTTTTGCTGACTAGAGGTCGCACAGAGTTTTCCAAAATCCACATCTTTTTATCTTTGGAGCTCACCCACCTCAATCAATCCGAGCTCCTCTGCCCCAGCCAATCAGGACTCACCTGTATCAACCAATCAGAACTAAGCAAGTTTCTATCCTTCATTTACATAAATGGACCTGACTGGGAACCCAGGCAGGAACTTTGGCTATAAAACCTGAGTTTTCCTTTTGTTCTCTGGAACCCACCTTTGTTTTATACTGGAGGCTGGGTTTCCCCGGTTTGCAAAGTATTCATTGGAGTAAAATCTCTTTTTTCCAAATTATCTTTCAGAGAACTTTTAGTTACAATATCATTGTTCTGATGTTTAATGGAATGTGTGTACATGTCTTATGTTTTCTAGAAATTTCTAAGGTTGGTATAAATACAAGAGTTTAAATAAATACAAGAGTTTTGAGATTAACTCAATTAGCTCTCAGTTCCTTGACTGTGCTATCGTTGGTTCTATTTGCGGTGATGTCTGTGTATCTATAACCTCATTATTGTCCAATACAGTCATTTTAAATCCTTAAACGTTTTCCTTGTGCTTCTACTGAAATACATTTGTATTTGTGTCTTATTTTACAACAATATTTTAGCAATTACTCAGTTTTAATTTCTGACTAAATATCGATAGCTATAATTCACATAAACAAAAGCTCTTTGGGATCCTCAATAACTTAATAACTTAAGAATGTAAAGGATAACATTAAGAATGTAAAGGAATAACTTAAGAATAACTTAAGAATGTAATAACTTAAGAATGTAAAGGAATCCTAACACCAAATAACTTAAGAATGTAAGGAATAACTTAAGAATGTAAAGGAATCCTAACACCAAAAAGCTTGATAACTGCTGGGCTAGATGATACTGCAGTAACAAACAATCCAAAAATTTCAATGGCTTATTTCTCTCTCACTTTACATGTCCATCTGAGGCCAGCTAGTACAGTTTGGCAATGTCTTCAGGTCCCAGGATGACACAGCAGTCATCCTGTGCCAATCACCAAGGCAGAGGGGACAGCAGGCTCCCTGGCTCACACTGGCATTTCAATGCTTGGACCTAGAAGTGACACACCTCACTTCCACTGACATCACCAGCTAGAACTAGTCCCAAGGTCTCACTTGACCACAAGGACACTAACTAGCAAGTGCAGTCCTACCATGTGCTGGGCAAGCAAAGAACCAACCACATTGGGTGAACGGTACTTATACCTACCATGATGATGATATTTAATTTGATACTTTGAAGACTGAATAGAGCATGCAAATAACAACTTAATAACACCTCATATTTATATTCACTTTGGGAATATTAAAGCCACCAGGTTTTTTGTTGCTTTAGCCTGTATTTTCAAACTCGAACTTCCAGGCGATGTATCTGTATTACTAAATTTCACCAATGAAGGCTCCACAAACTATATTCTACTGGATTTTGGGAAGTTTGCCTGATTACCACAATTGAAGATTCATTACTGTCCATATGTTCCCCAATAATCTGATGGAAAGAAACTGCATCAGCTCATAAAAACCTGCAGTGTTTATTATGATAGTTGGTGCTTACGCACTTTAAAAGAAAAAGCAGATTTCAGAGCTAATTAACACCAAGACAGCATGGGTGCTTTGTGCTGAGTAAGAGCTGTTCTACGGAGAGAAAGGGTGTCACATATTATTTGGTGTCATTTAGTAGATACTGATTATACTAAGAGACCAAGCCACTTACTTATCAGGCATTAAAAAGCAACCACTTAACTGGACTTGGTAAAAAAAAAAAAATTCCCTATTTCATTTTGTAAAGGTTCCAACCATATAGCCTGAGGCTTTACACAATACAGTCCCTTTTTTTTTTTTTTTTTTTTGAGACAGAGTCTCGCTCTGTCGCCCAGGCTGGAGTGCAGTGGCATGATCTCGGCTCACTGCAAGCTCCGCCTCCCGGGTTCATGCCATTCTCCTGCCTCAGCCTCTTGAGTAGTTGGGACTACAGGTGCCCGCCACCATGCCCGGCTAAATTTTTGTATTTGTTAGTAGAGACGGGGTTTCACCGTGTTAGCCAGGATGGTCTCAATCTCCTGACCTCGTGATCCGCCCACCTCGGCCTCCCAAAGTGCTAGGATTACACGCGTGAGCCACTGTGCCCGGCCACAGTTCCTCTTATTCCCAGCTCCGCCATATCCTGATGGCATTTTTCCTGCTCAACGCCCCCCTTCTCTCATTTTCATTCACATGTAGAATATCTTTGGAAAGTCTGGAAATATGGGATTCATCGTCAAACAGAAATAAACCCCAATGATGTATTTGGAATCATACAACAACATCAAGCACTGTGTAGACTGGAGTAACTCATTCTGTCTGACTGATCTCCACAGGAACAATGCAAGTAGAACAGGATTTAACGTGAGACTAACCTGTATCTACGGTACAAATGCAGCTCCATTTAATTGACAAAAACAAAACAAAACAAAAAAATAACCAAATACCATACAAAAAAATATATCTGATCCATCTGAAACTTGTTTTCTTTTACAAATGTCATTAGTGGTGCTAGTGCAAAAGGTGATAAAGTAACCTTTTCCCACCACAATAAGAAACATAAGAGGAAGATAATCAATATCTGCCAGATGAAAAGGACAAGCCCAGCGAAAGGGAAAAGCCATTGTTTCATCTTTTGGCATGCTCTTCAGTCCTGGACTGAGTCTCCATAAGCCCTGACTCACTCTGGAGCCTGAGGATAAAGGCATATGTTTGAATTTGCTTTCTTCCTCTTGTACCTGACTTAGATTTACCAAATTAACAACAAATAAATTCCTTCCAATAATAAGTTCCTCTAGAATTTGATTGCTAAAATTGCAATGTATTCCTCAAGAATACCAGTAGACAAGGTGAGTATGTCATTAGCAAATACTTATCCCTTCAATCAGTAAGTTTACTGAATGTCAACCGGCTTTAGAAACCACTAGGGGCACAAAAGAAATATAATATGGTCCGTAGCTCAAAGAAATTACACATAGATCCCTATCTATTTCCTATTCCCCACCCCCCAAAAAAACTCCATGCAAACATTGATTTAACTGAACAATATAAAACAGGAATGCTAACATTAATGAGGCAGAAAGAAGTTCACAGAAGTCAGAATGCAAAGAAAACTTCATGGAGGTGGTGAGACCCCAATGAGAACACAAAGGTGGACTCTGATCTGCTTTGGGTGTCCAAGATGGGCTGCAGCATTTCAGGGGAAAATAATAACAGGCCGGTGTTGGGGACAGAAACACAGAACACTGACCAAACCAGCAGGCGTAAAGGGGCATAAGAAGGCAGGAAGTAGGTAAGAAACTAATTTGGACACCCATCTGTCTGCTCAATGTATTCAGCAAACATTTGTTAAGTACCATTATGTGCCTGGCACTGTGCAGGGGATATAATGGTGACTCAGACAGCCACGGCCCCTGACCACACGGTGCTTCCTCTGCGGTGGAAGAGGGCAGAACATCACCACAAAGTAGCCAGAAAATACACAAAACATCTAATTTATACAGGGCTTTAAAAATGGAGCCAAGGAGTTTGACCCTGACCCAAGAAATAAGAGGAAGTCATACAAGGTTTCTGGGTAGAGAAATAATGTCACCAGTATTATTTGTTAAGATTAATTTGGTACAGCTTGACTGAAACAGACAACAAACAAACAAAAAACAAAACCAGAGAGAGCTAAAGGAAACAGCAGCAGAAATTCAAGGCTGAGGTTGTGCGGCCAGCAGCCTGGAAGCTGAAAGGAAATGAAGGATCAGAGTCTGCTGAAGTCCTAGAGGATTCACGGATCTACGGGACAGTTACTGAGTATGAAATGGAAAAGAATCAATGAGCATTCCAGGGTTTTGGCTCGAATATGGGTTAGGGAGAAATTGGGAGGTAGTCAGGCTTGGGGCAGAGGTGAATTTGAACACCTAGGTGGCGTGATGTCCAGAAGGCAGATAGAGATGAAGGGTTGAAGCAAGAGACTTAAAAAGGGGGCTCACGCCTGTAATCCCAGCACTTTGGGATGCTGAGGCGAGCAGATCACCTGAGGTTGGGAGTTCCAGACCAGCTTGACCAACATGGAGAAACCCTGTCTCTGGTAAAGATACAAAAAAACAGCCAGGCATGGTGGCGCATGCTACTCAGGAGGCTGAGGCAGGAGAATTGCTTGAACCCAGGAGGCGGAGGTTGTGGTGAGCTGAGATTGCACCATTGTACTCCAGCCTGGGCAACAAGAGCGAAACTCCGTCAAAAAAAAAAAAAAATCCAAGGAGGTGAGGACTGAACTGGAGAAAGGGCTATGTAAGGAGGACAGGGAATGTGCAACTGGCAAAGTGAAAAGGAAGGACCGAGACGCATCACAGAGCTTTAAAGGCTTGTCAATGGTGTCACAAATGCATTTACACAGATTTACAGCTAACAAAATAATTCCACTATTTCCTCACTTAATACTTTTAATACTCAAAACGCCTTGAGGTTGGTATCAGACTCCCATTTTACAGATAAAAATCCCGAGGATCGGAAAGATCAAGTGACTTATTGAAGATGGAGGAGGAGTTTATTTGGTTATGGACCCCTAACCCGAAAGATTGTTAGAAACTAATAATGTGTAGCCTAACTCAAACCAAACTTAGTTCATGAAAGTGAAAGGCAACATAGAAGGAAGAGGCGTTTACAATATATATATATACCAGATCAACGATTCATCCAAATTATATAAGTAACCAATAAAAGCCTTCCTTATTAATGGCTATGCTCATGACACTAATAGAAATACACGGCATTCATTTGACAGTCGCATATCCACTGCTATGTCAAGCATTTCCATGCACTCCCACTTCATTCCCACAAAAGCTCTACGACAGTAAAACTGTCTGGATTTTCTGGATGAACGGGCTCAGACAGGTTAGGTAATTTGCCCCCCACAAAACCTGCTAGAAACTCAAACTTGGATCTGACTCCTGCGGCTGTGCTCTCTATCTTCACAATGACCCCTTTTGAAGCTCCACCACTGTCCCAGGACATTCAAATCATCACCAATGAATGCTCCTTGATGCTTAAACACGCAAGGGGTGGGCTAGGTGATTTCAGTTGTCCTTCACTTAAAACCCCTGAATTGCCTGGGCGTGGTGGCTCACGCCTGTAATCCCAGCACTTTGGGAGGCTGAGGTGGGCGGATCACGAGGTCAGGAGATCGAGACCATCCTGGCTAACAGAGTGAAACCCCGTCTCTACCAAAAATACAAAAAATTAGCTGGGCGTGGTGGCGGGCGCCTGTAGTCCCAGCTACTCGGGAGGCTGAGGCAGGAGAATGGTGCAAACAAACAAAAACCCTGAATTCTATCACATCTTTGTTGAGGACAGAGGTCAGGCTGACCTACACTGATTTTGGAAGTTTGGCTCCTACAGCCATTTTAGGTTTCACTTTGGAAAGAGCTTAGCAGAGAAATAATCAAATCACAAATGAGTCAGAAAAGCTGAACAAAGAAACAGATAAAACAATTCTAAAAAGTTTCTACAAATAGGAACAATTTTTGAAACTTAAGTGAGTTCTACTTAACACAGAGTTAAGGAAAAAACTTACAAAACACAATACCTCCAAGATGGCAATATAAATTTGAAAAAAAGATTACACAATTAGTAACAACAGAATCCCAAAGACTGAAAAAAAAAAAAAAAAGCAGGAAGCACATCACCTGTAAGGTTTACGGGGCAGAGAAGGAATCAGGTCTTGCAGCACACATCTCGGCTACAATCACAGAATTCAAGAACAAATGGGCCCAAGGTGCAAAAATCCTGACTCCCAATCAGAGGTCATTGCAAGGGCTCAGGAAATCTTCTGCTACCATTGTACAACTTGGTTTTCATTACTCTTCCTGGTCATGTTCATATATATATTTGTTGCCCTTGAGACTAATAGAAAATCAAAAGGCCCCAGTCTCTAGAAACAAGCTCCAGAGTTGCACCAAAATTGATGGCTCAGATCCTATCTTCACAGTAAGAAATCGGCTTATTTCTCCCTAAAAGCCTGACCTTATACCTTCTGTCATTCGTGTTCATCCGTTATACCCTGCCTACTCATGCAGACTTCTTGTGGTTGATCTCTATTGGCTTGGCATTTTACTGCTGAAGAATTTTCTGGCTCCTGTCAACTAGGGAGGGTAGGCTGCACACTCAAAACATGCAGAAGTGGTTCCAACAGTCCATGAGCCAAACAGGAATCCAGCTGTCAGATTTTCATCTCGAAGGAGGTTCCACTCCAAGCTGCAAGCTCCTTCCAGGGACTGCAATCTGTACCAGGCATATGCTGTAACAGTGGTAATAATGCAGCAATGTTCTCAATTGTCTTCTTTTTAAGAAATGTGTGACTCCTTTAAAAAATATATGCTATTTTATTTTTTCATCTGTTGTCTTACATCCTTTCTTAAACAAAGGTGTAAGTAAGTAAAATTAAAATGAAAGGTTAATAAAAAGCAGACAATAAAATTCTACAGCCAAGCAAAGCATGTTGCTCTCATGTCCCGTTTTCCATTGTTTTATTACTAAATTCACAGCAAATACAAAAGTTTTCCATTGAATTCTCTTTAAGAAAGAAAATAAAAGAGGTGTTTTGGTAGATAATGCAAAATTAGAGCATTAACATTTCAAGAAGCAATTGTTTGAAATGCCCAAAGCAGAAAATAACTGGCTTATAGATCATTAAAGAAACACATTGTGAAATGTAACCTCACGTTTGCCAATCACATTATGAGATGACATTGGAAGTGGTGGGGCATCCTCAACAGCCCCCTCCCTGCACACAGGCAGCTTCTCTAAACTCCACTTCCCGGGCACCCTCTTGGGCCCACCCCTGCCCCCAGCTCTGCCTCCTCTCTGCTTGGCTCACAACTATCCTATCTTTACCCCAAACACCCAAAAAATGTTATCCTTGAGCCTGCACCCTACTCCCATACTTAGCCCCAACTTCCAGGAAAGCTCCCTATCCCCATGTCAACTTTCCAGGAAGCACAAGTTCAGAGAGATCACTGTCTTTTAAAAAGAACAAACTCAGTGTTTTGAACAGAAAGTAAAAAATGCTTCAGGAATTTTTTTTTTTTTTTTTTGAGATGGAGTTTTGCTCTTGTTGCCCAAGATGGAGTGCAATGGCACGATCTTGGCTCACTGCAGCCTCTGCCTCCCGGGTTCAAGTGAATCTCCTGCCTCAGCCTCCCATGTAGCTGAGATTACAGGCATTTGCCACCACGCCTGGCTAATTTTTGTATTTTTAGTAGAGATGGGGTTTCTCCATGTTGGTCACGCTGGTCTCAAACTCCCGACTTCAGGTGATCTGCCCGCCTCAGCCTCCCAAAGTGCTGGGATTACAGGCATGAGCCACTGCGCCCAGCCTCTTTTTTTTTCTTTGACAGAGTCTTGCTCTGTTGCCCAGGCTGGAGTCCAGTGGCACAATCTTGGCTCACTGCAACCTCCGCCTCCTGGGTTTGAGCAATTCTCCTGTCTCAACCTCCCAAGTAGCTGGGATTACAGGCGAGCATCACCACACCCGGCTAATTTTTTTTTTTCGTATTTTTAGTACAGACAGGGTTTCGCCATGTTAATAAGGCTGGTCTCAAACTCCTGACCTCAGGTGATCTGCCCGCCTCCGCCTCCCAAAGCGTTGGGACTGTAAGGCGTGAGCCACCACACCCAACCTCAGGAATTTCATAAACTAATGCTTAGCATACATTCTAGCACTATGATTTTTAGTAATATTACAAGTGGATAGCAAAGTTCATCCTTAGCCAGGATGAAGCATACCAAGTATGTCTTTCACATTTTTAAATTTATTTATGTACATGTATGTCTTTCACATTTTTATTTATTGTTATATTATCGTTTAGATGGATTCTTGCTCTGTCGCTCAGGCTGGAGTGCAGTGGTGGTGCGATCTTGCTTCACTGCAAACTCCATCTCCCGGGTTCAACCAATTCTCTTGCCTCAGCCTCCCGAGTAGCTGGGATTACAGACGCCCACCACCACACCCAGCTAGTTTTTGTATTTTTAGTAGAGACAGGGTTTCACCATGTTGGCCAGGCTGATCTCGAACTCCTGACCTCGTGATTCACCCGCCTCAGCCTCCCAAAGTGCTGGGATTACAGGCATGAGCCACCACGCCCAGCCTTTTATTTATTATTATTTTTATAGACGGAGTCTCGCTTTTTATAGACAAAGTCTCGCTCTGTCGCCCAGCCTAGAGTGTGGTGGTGTGACTGCAGCTCACTGCAGCCCCAAACTTCTAGGTTCAAGCAATCCTCCTGTAACCAAGTACCCCCATTTTTTTTTTTTTTTTTTTTTTGGAGACAGAGTCTCGCTCTGTTGCCCAGGCTGGAGCACAGTGGTGCGATCTCTGCTCACGGCAACCTCCACCTCCCAGCAGAGATTCTCCTGCTTCAGCCTTATGAGTAGCTGGGATTACAGGCGCCCGCCATCAAGTCTGGCTAAGTTTTGTATTTTTAGTAGAGATGGGGTTTCACCATGCTGGCCAGGTGGGTCTTGAACTCCTGACCTCAAGTGATCCGCTGGCCTCAGCCTCCCAAAGTGCTGGGATTCACAGGCATGAGCTACCATGCCCAGCCCCATTTTTTCTAAGAGATAGTTTAATTATTTTCTCCTCTCCCCCTTTCCCCGGTACCCTGCTTCCTACTTAGCCCTTTAGAAATGCAAATATAACCTTTCCCCTCCCCCTCACCAGACATCTTCTATGGGGCAAGTTCAGCTAACTACGTGCTCCAAGACGGATCTCTTGACAGTGGATTTGCAGACCAAATCATGTCCCCATGGCCACTTTTACTTCTTTCTGCCCAGGAAGATGCCAACTCAATTGCCAGTTAGATAAAGTACCCAGATAGCAGGGGGACCCCTGCCCTTGCTCATTTCCTCCTATACCTTATAAAAGTGCCTGCTTTCTGCTCTAAAAGTGAAGCGGTACAGCAGGACATCGTGCCCCTTCCCCAAGCTGACTTCAGAGTAAATTCACTGGCTTTGTATGCGCCTCACTCTTGTTAACTGGACTCTGCATGCGGTAAACAACTGACCTGCTTTTCGGCTGCACCTCCACCTTAGGCTGGACTACAGGTTACAGCTCATGCCACCATGCCCAGCTAATTAAAAAAAATTTTTTTTGGCTGGGCGCGGTGGCTCACACCTATAATCGCAGCACTTTGGGAGGCTGAGGCGGGCGGATCACAAGGTCAGGAGATCGAGACCATCCTGGCTAACACGGTGAAACCCCGTCTCTACTAAAAATACAAAAAAAAAAAAAAAATTATCCAGGCATGGTGGTGGGGGCCTGTAGCCCCAGCTACTCAGGAGGCTGAGGCAGGAGAATGGCGTGAACCCGGGAGGCGGAGCTTGCAATAAGCCGAGATCGCACCACTGCACTCCAGCCTGGGCAACAAAGCGAGACTCCGAATCAAAAAAAAAAAAAAAAAAAAAATCAGCTGGGCGTGGTGGCAGGTGCCTGTAGTCCCGGCTACTCGGGAGGCTGAGGCAGGAGAATGGCGTGAACCCAGATGGCAGAGCTTGCAATGAGCCGAGATTGTGCCACTGCGCTCCAGCCTGGGTGACAGAGCGAGACTCTCTCAAAAAAAAAAAAAAAAAAATTTTTTTTTTTAATTAAAGATGGAGTCTTGCTACGTTATGCCAACCCAGGCTGGTCTCAAACTCCTGGACTTAAGTTATCCTCCTGCCTTAGCCTCCTAAGGTGCTGGAATTACAGGTGTGAGCCACCCCCCAATCCTTATGTCTTTTTTTAAAGTAAGCAAAACTTCAAACTTATCAAAATCCAAGAAATAACAATATATATTAACTAAATACCTACTTATGACAGGCAATTTATATACATTCTCAGCACCTAGCAACGCACATACCACACAGGTCATCCTGGCCTACAGTAAGTGCTTAAGCCATTATTACCTGTTACCTACATTCTAACATTAAAGAAACTGATGGCCAGGTGCAGTGGCTCATGCCTGTAATCCCAGCACTTTGGGAGGCCGAGGCGGATGGATCACGACGTCAGGAGTTTGAGACCAGTCTGGCCAACATAGTGAAACCCTATCTCTACTAAAAAAAAAAAAAAAAAAAAAAAAAAAAAAATTAGCCGGGTGTACTGGTGTGTGCCTGTAATCCCAGCTACTTGGGAGGCTGAGGCAGGAGAATTGCATGAACCTAGGAGGTGGAGGTTGCAGTGAGCTGAGATTGCGCCATTGCACTCCAGCCAGGGTGACAGTGTGAGACTCCATCTCAAAAAAAAAAAAAGAAATTGAGAAACAGAAAGGTTAAATTACTAGCGTTGAAGCATAGAACTTCCAGAAGAGTAAAATGGGATTTGAATACTGGACTCCAGCTGCAAAGCCCTACATAGTGGCCTCCCTCTATCCCATTGTTAACTAAGAAGTACTGGTGCCTCCATTCTGCAGGTAAGTAGAGGCTGAGGTTAAATGACTCGTTGAAGGTCACACAAGAGGCAGGCAGCATGGGCTGAAATTCTTGCTTCTCAGCCTCTTGGCTTACAGAACACCCTATGGAATGCAGACATCTGAATAAGTTGTTTTTGGACAACCGAGGCTTAATTCTATGTGCCTGAGGCACACATTTAACTGGAGTCATTATAAATATCAAACTTTAACATAATGTAGTAGATGGAAAATGAAGGAACTGACCTTTTCAGAGCCATCTTTATTTTTTATTAAGACAAAATTAACTGCCCATCATGAAGTTTGATAAGAAAGCAATAAATGTGTAAACACACACCACCTCACTGCTTTAGGTATTTGAGTCGCTCAAATTGGCACAGTTGAGCCTTTTACATGTCAATTTCTGCAGATGGCTGAGTCAGTGGTCCTGATTGGAGGGTCTGCTGTCTCCTTCTTTGTGGGTGACTTTGACCCTAGGACAATCTTGCCAGTGACCAGGGGACCTTCCTCTACTCTTCTAGCCCTTCCTTTCCATCTGCAGCTCAAACTCAACTGTTGGGCCTCACTCTGTGGCTGTAACCTGCAGCTAAGGAAACCCCAACAACACACAATTGTGAAAATAATGATCTACCCTGTACCAGAGAAGGAATGAAAATGCAGGGACTTGGGGTAAACTTTTTACTGGTAGGTGATACTTTTGTACTTCTAGTTTCATGGCTGTTCTGGAAGGATGAAGATCTCAGAACACTGACCTCCATATATGGACTGCAAGAAAAAAACTATTTATTAACAACTTCATTTTTTACTTAACTGTGTTTTTCCAAAAGTGTTTAAAAGTTGAAAAGGAGGATGGCTCCTTAAGGTTAAAACAATTGGGACCAGAGGTCTTCAAACAGGTTACAAACACTGCAAAAATGAAATTCTTTCAAAGACAATGATAAAGTTAGAACTGTAGCCATTTGTCTTGGGAATAAATTAGGTTTGAAATGTGTCAATTAAATTTCCTAATTAATGGATCAGGTAAATTTAACTCTGATTTATAGTTAAGGAATCCTTTCTCCAAATAAATTTTGGAAAATCATCCTGGAAATCTCAGAGGAGTGAGATTTTAGGAACCAGATGATGCATCTAACACTAAACCAGAAAACCTGTCTGGCTTTGGTGTGCCCAGTGAGTGATAAAGTACTCCCTCCTCTCAGTGTGAGGCAGGCACGACAGATGATGGCCCTGCTCTGTAAACAGGAAATCTAGAAGGAGAATCATTAAAGATCATGTGTCTTGTCATAGGAGAACGGGGGGTCCTTTCCAGCTGCCTGCTTCACTCTCTCCAACGGCGGCAACAATGGGGTCTCCAACCTTTTAGCACCACGGACTGGTTTCATGGAAGATAATTTTTCCACAGACTAGTGGGAGTGGAATGAAACTGTTCCACCTGGGATCATCAGGCATTAGTCAAATTCTCATAAAGAGGACCTAACCTAGATCCCTTGCATGTGCAGTTCCCAATAGGGTTCATGCTCCTATGAGAAGCTAATGCCACCACCAATCTGACAGGCAGAGCTCAGGCGGTGATGCTTGCTTGCCCGATGCTAACCGCTTGCTTGCCCGACGCTAACCGCTTGCTTGCCCACCACTCACCTCCTGCTGTGCGGCCCAATTCCTAACAAGCCACAGACCAGTACTGGTCCATGGCCAGGGGGTTGAGGACCCCTGCTCTAGAATACAAATTTAAGGGGATATTTTAAAGTTTAAATCCTGGAGAGGGAGATTCTTCAGCTGATTGTTGACATTTCTATATTAATCCAATTATATACCTCTATTATGCTTATAATTTTTTTTTTTTTGAGACAGAGTCTTGCTCTGTCACCCAGGCTGGAGTGCAGTGGCGCAATCTCGGCTCACTGCAAGCTCCGCCTCCTGGGTTCACACCATTCTCCTGCCTCAGCCTCCTACAGGCGCCCGCCACCACGCCCGGCTAATTTTTTGTATTTTTAGTACAGACGGGGTTTCACCGTGTTAGTCAGGATGGTCTCCATCTCCTGACCTCGTGATCCGCCCGTCTTGGCCTCCCAAAGTGCTGGGATTACAGGCTTGAGCCACGCGCCCAGCCTATGCTTATAATTTTAAAGTAGGATTCCCTGGTTTTGTCTAGAATTGTTTCCATTTGAGATTTCTAAAGAAAACTCTCTGAACTCTACTGAACATTGAGAGTTTTGAGGACACTCTTTTGAAGGTACTTTGAAGTATCAGTGGGAACAGGGCCTTGCCTCTCACAGCTATACTTAAATGGCAACTACTCTAGAACTGACAGCAAACACACAAACAGGTATTAAGATATTCTTCCAACCACACATTAAGATTTAAGATTACTCTGACTTTTTTCCAACTAAATCACGTTATTTCAACTTCACGTTTGATTTCACACAAAAAATTCCAGCAAATATCAAGTTCAGACATCACCTTCAGAGCTTCTAATGGAATCCCGGGATGGAAAACCAGCACACCACACCTGAGTATGACATTTAACACCGAGTTTGCTGACGAAGACAACAGAAAGTGACTTCTGCAAGGGAGCATGTTTCATATGGATTTAACCTATAGCCATATAGCCATAAATATGGAAAGTGCCTTCACTCATTGGGAGAAGTAAAAAAAAAAAAAAAATTTAAGAAATATTTTTTGGCTGGGTGCAGTGGCTCATGCCTGTAATCCCAGCACTTTGGGAGGCTGAGATGGGTGGACTGCTTGAGCTCAGGAGTTTGAGACCAGCCTGGGCAACACAGTGAGACCCTGTCTCTACAAAAACTACAAAAATCAGCCAGCTGTGGTGGTGTGTGCCTGTAATACCAGCTACTCTGGTGGCTGAGGTGGGAGGATCACCTGAGCCGGGGAAGGTCGAGGCTGCTATGAGCCACGACTGCACCACTGCACTCCAGCCTGGGTGAAGTCTAATTATATATATAAATATATATATTTATATATAAATATTTATATCTATGTTTTTATATATACTTCATCCTTAAGTCTAATAACAGTGACAGGCCTGGCCAGGCATGGTGGTTCATGCCTGTAATCCCGGCACTTTGGGAGGCAGAGGTGGGAGGATCGCTTGAGCTCAGGAGACCAACCTGGGCAACACAGAGAGACCCTGTCTCTACAAAAGATACAAAAATTAGCTGGGTATGGTGGCATGTGCCTGTGGTCCTAGCTACTAGCGAGTCTGAGGTGGGAGCACCTGAGCCCGGGGAAGTCAAGGTTGCAGTGCACCATGATCCACCTCTGCACTTCAGCCTGGGCAACAGAGTGAGACCCTGTCTCTAAACAAACAAACAAAATTTCTTTGGCTCCCATCCGTAAGTCCAAAAACAATGACAGGCTCTACAGTTTCAGCAGTTTCAAGGTATACCTTTGACAAAATCTTCACCTAGGACTCTGGCTAAAACTATTACTCTAGACCTGCTTGATCATCTGCAGCAGCTGCCTACGGTTCAGTACGCCTGATAAATGGCTGCTCAATTACTGACAACCCAGACTAAGTACGAATGATTTCAGAAAGGCTGGCTTCATTTATTGCTTGACTTCTAAAAACTGGAAAAAAAGTATAACTAGCCAGACATCTTCATTTAAAGGGAAAGAGACTTAAGGCTAAATAAGTGATTAGCCCATTAAAACCTAGATGATGGGTTGATGGGTGCAGCAAACCACCATGGCTCATGTTTACCTATGTAACAAACCTGCACGTTCTGCACATGTATCCTGGAACTTAAAGTATAATTTAAAAAAAAAAGGAAAAAAAGGAGTGATTAGCCCGAAGTGTTGATTAATGAGAACAAGAACCCCCAGGTGCCCTATGGCAGCCTAACAAAATCTGCAATTCCCAAAGATATTTCACTGGACATTCTCATAGTACAGTGGCCCATACATTCGAGGGATTCTTTCATGAGGTGCTCAGTATCAAGCCTCTGAGCCCAAGCTAAGCCATCATATCCCCTATGACCTGCACATATACATCCAGATGGCCTGAAGCAACTGAAGATCCACAAAAGAAGTGAAAATAGCCAGGTCCTGCCTTAACTGAAGATATTCCACCATGGTGATTTACTCCTGCCCCACCCTAACTGGTCAATTGGCCTTATGACAATACACGCTCCCCGCCCTTGTGATAATGTACTTTGTGATATTCCGCCCTTAAGAAGGTACTTTGTAATATTCTCCCCACTCTTGAGAATGTACTTTGTGAGATCCACCCCCTGCCCACAAAAAATTGCTCCTAACTCCACCGCCTATCCCAAACCTATAAGAACTAATGATAATCCCACCACCCTTTGCTGACTCTCTTTTCGGACTCAGCCCATACGCACCCAGGTGATTAAAAAGGTTTATTGCTCACACAAAGCCTGTTTGGTGGTCTCTTCACACGGACGCGCGTGACACTCAAGGATACAGTACCAGAACTAGCAGCTTTGTAGTCCAAGGACTGGTAAGGTAAGGTGACAGACTAGCATGGAGCTCACAAGCTGGGCTCCAGAGTCAGACTGCCTGGGTTGAGTTCAGGCTCTTGCACTTTCTAGTAGTGTGACTTTAGACACACTACTTAATCTCTCTATGCCTTGGTTTCCTCAAGTGTAAATCAAGGGCTATCATAATACTTACCTTAAGAGCTATCCTCAGAATTAAATGAGATAACAGTACAAAGTTCATTCAGCATAGTGGTCCCACACAAGATAAGTTTGTATTATTAACATCACATAGACTAATATTTACTGACAACACACACTGAACCCGCTTTGGTTAGCATAGCCAAACTTGGCTAGCTTTCATTACCACTGGAAAACCTGAGAGATGGAATTAGGAATTCTCTGGCAGGGCTGAAAAGTCTGGACCCATCGGCTTAAAGAAACTGATCCACCTCATGACCTGACCCTGGAAGCCTTCTCGCCCTTCACACCTATCTCAACTCCAGACTAGTCAAGAACAAAGGAGTGTAGTGGGGCCCTACTACTGCCAGGCTATGTGAGACTCTCTCATGTTATCTTTTATTCGTTGAGGAGACAGGGTACAAGTGCTTGGTGTGAATGTTGAAGCTGTTGTTAGGGCACCACTTTTCTGGCCTAGGGCTTCTTCCTAATCTGCAGCCTCCGAGCCGAGGGTCTGTGTCCCGGAGGCTCTGCCTGCAATTTCTGGACATCGGGTCCAGGGGAATGAAAGAGGGCATGAGACGCATGCCTCTGAGGCTGGACCCACTTCAGAGGCAGAGCGTCCCCACGAAAGACTCGGGAACCGGAAAAAGCCCTAAGGACGTTCCCTAGTGGCCTTGACCTTGGTGGGTGAGACTCAGTTCGCCATCCTGCTGGCGGCGGGCGATGACACAGCCCCTCAGCCAGGACGAGTATGTGGGCTGAGCGCGAGACGGGGTCTCGGAGGACTGCTAACCCCACTACGGTGGCCTCCTCGGGGCCCCCGTTTCCTCTTGAGCGTGCGGGGGCCTCTGGCCCTACCCGGACACAGTGCACGCGGCGCACTGGCCTTCAGGAGCTGGGGCGGAGGCTGGCCCCGGAACCCCCGGCGGGAGGGTCTGGGCGGTGGGGACGCCTCCATCGGGCGGCTGGCGTGCACGTCGCCGGGGTCACGCGGCCTCCCCGACGGACCCGAGCCTCCCGTGGCGGGGGTGGGGCGGCCACCGCCAGCCCGGCCCTCCCGAACGACCGGGCTCGGCCTCAGCCCCCAGAGCGTCCAGCCGCTGGCCTCACCTCCCTGCGCACGTTCAGCAACGAGTAATAGTCTTCATTGTCCAGCTCCTCCTCGCTCAAGGCCGTCGCCATCTTCGCAACCTTTCACCCCGCCAAACCGGCAAGGCCGTGCTCAAGAGGGGCCAGTGATCCGCGTCAGGGACAGCGCGGGCCAGCCCGGCTGCGCCACAGCGGCCCCTGGCGGCCCGGAGCCGTCCGCGCCCGGCGGGAGTGCGCCTGCGCTTTGCGCCCCCGCGCGGCCTAGGGCGGGACGCGGCGCCTAGGCAGCCCTGGCGGGGTGACCACGCGGGTGTCTCTTCGTGCTCCCAATGGACGCGTGGCACGCGGCGTGGCTGCGTCCTCGGGGGCCTGAGATCCAGCCAGGACTCCCTAGGGCTTTTCCTGTACTAGAAAGGGAAACTTTGCTTTTTTTTTTTTTTTTTGAGACGGAGTCATACTCTGTCGCCCAGCCTGGTGTGTGTGCAGTGGCGCAATCCCGGCTCACTGAAGCCTCCACCTCCCGGGTTCAAGCGATTCTCCTGCCTCAGCCTCCCGAGTAGCTGGGACTCCAGGCGCGCGCCACCACGCCCAGTTAATTTTTTTGTATTTTTGGTAGAGACACGGTTTCACCATGTTGGCCAGGCTGGTCTGAGGCTCCTGAACTCAGGAGATCCTCGGCCTCCCAAAGTGCTGGGATTACAGGCATGAGCCACCGCGTCCTGCCTAGAAAGGGAAACTTTGAAGTCACCTCCAGGAGATTGTCATCCTCTGGGAGACAAACCCCTGTGATACCACCTGTTACCCCACTGGCCCCAAACTCCTGGAAGAAGCGCGAGGTGCCCCCAGTGCAGGGTGCATCCGGATCCTAGATATCCCCCAAATGACATTTGTTCCTACCTCCATTGTCTTTTCTCTTGGCCACCCAGAAGCCTTCCTGCCCAGAACAGGCCTCCTCATTTTAGTTATTTGTTATTGCTCTAATTTAGGAGCACCTGGCCATCTTTTCTGCTGCTTAAATGACAAAGCAATAACTATTTGGTTCCTGATATAATTGTCTCTGGCAGGCATGTGTACCTGCAGTCCCTACCCCAGAGCCATTCTCCTGTAAATTTCTCCCTTATAATTTATCGGTGGAGTCTAATTGATTTCAACCTGGTGCCTGCTGTTTGGTGCATTATTAAAGATGTCTTGGTTACAACAATCTAAATAATTTAAAGGTCTTCGAAATGACGCCATTGTCAAGGGAAGGTGGACAGCAGCCCACTCTTGCCACCTGTTTGGTTCCCGCTGACCTGCGCAAGTCTCAGAAACCTTTGTTGTTCCTTCACTAACCACCAGTCCATAGCCATCCCCGTTGCCCTTCATAAGCAGGTCTCCTGGGAAGCCCCGAACACCTGTCTGTGGATTTGAGAGGCTGATTTCTTTCTCTTTCTAATTTTTGGCCAGATGTGCACCATCTGGGCCTGTGTCTCATCCCTTCCAAGTTGCCCAGCCCTCTTAGGATCTTTTGGCATGAGACACTTCGGTGTGCTGAGACAGATTGTTCGGGTGGGTTGAGTCAGCCTGAAACAAACTGTCAGCCCAGGTTGTAAATTAAGGGCTATTTCTTTAGTTGTGTGAAGCTTCTCCACAACAGCTTCCATGGTCCATCAGCTCTTCCAGCAATGTTATGGGCTTTGCCTTTTTCTCCTTTGCAGAGAAAAGAGCTGTGGTTAGGGCCAAACTGCATGCTGACATTTGACAGTCTTTAAGAATTTCTTTCTTTTTTTTTTTTTTTGTTTGAGACAGAGTCTCACTCGGTCGCCCAGGCTGGAGTGCAGTGCCACGATCTTGGCTCACTGCAACCTCCGCCTCCCGGGTTCAAGCGATTCTCCTGCCTCAGCCTCCCAAGCAGCTGGGACTACAGGCGTGCGCCATCACGCCCAGCTAATTTTTGTATTTTTAGTAGAGACGGGGTTTCACCATATTGGCCAGGCTGGTCTCGAACTCCTGACCTCGTGATCCACCTGCCTCGGCCTCCCAAAGTGCTGGGATTACAGGCGTGAGCCACCGCACCCGGCCAAGAATTTCATACAGAGAGACTGGGGGTAAAAACAACAATGTGGAGACATTCCTTTTTCCCTTAGGTTTTTTTTTCTTTTTTCTTTTTTCTTTTTTTTTTGAGATGGAGTCTCGCTCTGTCGCCCAGGCTGGAGTGCAGTGGCACGATCTCGGCTCACTGCAAGCTCCACCTCCCGGGTTCATGCCATTCTCCTGCCTCAGCCTACTGAGTAGCTGGGACTACAGGCGCCTGCCACCACGCCTGGCTAATTTTTTTTTTTTGTATTTTTAATAGAGATGGGGTTTCACCATGTTAGCCAGGATGGTCTTGGTCTCCTGACCTAGTAATCCACCTGCCTCGGCCTCCCAAAGTGCTGGGATTACAGGCGTGAGCCACCGCGCCCGGCCTCCTTAGGTTTGTAGACATTAATTGGGCCATAATGCTTACTTGGGTAGAGAAGTTCTTTGCCATCCCTCCTCTGCTTTGGAAAACACAGCCTCTAGGAATTATATAAATGGAACATAACATATGTTTCACTACGCCCAGGTCTGTGTTTCTATGATTGAGAATGACCTGGTTTTTATCACCACTCAAACAAGATAAATAGTGACTCAGGAATGCTCTGTGGCTGTCCTCTCTTGGGCCCACGAGATTTTGTGTTATGGTTACTTGGAAAGTGGTGGTGATAAATAGAAAGCTAACTTAGATGCTCCACAGGCTTGAGGAATGTATCTGTTTCTGAGGCTGGCTCTCTCGTTTCTCTCCTCCAAAACCCTAATCTTCAACGGGCAAAATAATGGAAACCAAAGGCAGTACAAATTTATAAGTTAAAAACGCACATCCAACAAACTACTTACGCCGAGCAACTGACAAAACCCAGCTGCTTTAACTCATGCCTTGCACTTTGTTTTCTTTTTCTTTTCTCTTTCTTTTTTTTTTTTTTGAGACGGGGTCTCCCTCTGTCACCCAGGCTGCAGTACAGTGGTGCAATCATGGCTTGCTGCAGCCTCCACCTCTTCAAGCTTAGGTAATTCTCCCACCTCAGCCTCCATAGTAGCTAGGACTACAGGTGCCCGCCACCATACCTGGTTAAGCTTTGTATTTTTTGTAGAGACAGGGTCTTGCTACATTGCAGGGCTGGTCTGGAACTCCCGTCTCAAGTGATCTGCCCGCCTCAGCCTCTCAAAGTGCTGAGATGACAGGTGTGAGCCACCGTGCCTGGCCTTTTGGTTTCTTTTTGTTGGGTGAAACCACAAAACAGTCTGTAACATAGCTGTAAAGCAAAACTTAATAGGTGACATTTAAATATAAACTGATGTAATATATTTATGTAACTATACATACATGGGCATATGTATTTTATATTTACGCAAATATTATATGAGATATACGCATTTATGCAACTGCTAACAAATTCTCTCATCTTTATTTTATTTATTCTTTTGAGACAGAGTCTCACTCTGTTGCCCAGGCTGGAGTGCAGTGACATGATCTCTGCTCACCACAACCTCCACCTCCTGGGTTCAAGTGATTCTCATACCTCAGCCTCCCGAGTAGATGGGATTACAGGCATGTGCCACCACGCCCAGCTAATTTTTGTATTTTTAGTAAAGACAGGGTTTTGCCATGTTGGACAGGCTGGTCTTGAACTCCTGACCTCAAGTGATCTGATCACCTTGGCCACCCAAAGTGCTGGGATTACAGGTGTGAGCCACTGCACCCAGCCAATTTTTTTTTTTTAAGGTGGAGTCTCACTCTGTCTCTCAGGCTGGAGTGCAGTGGCACAGTCTTGGCTCACTGCAACCTTGGCTTCCTGGGTTCAAGCGATTCTCCTGCCTCTACCTCCCAAGTAGCTGGGATTACAGGCGCCTGCCACCATGCCCAGCTAATTTTTGTATTTTTAGTAGAGATGGGGGTTTCGCCATGTTAGCCAGGCTGGTCTCAAACCCCTGACCTCAGGTGATCCGCCTGCCTCGGCCTCCCAAAGTGCTGGGATTACAGGCTTGAGCTAGCATACCCGGCCCCATCTTTAAATAGTAAACATAAGAATATTTACCTCCACCATGATTCATATGCAGAATGACCCCAAAACATTTTGGCTTCCAGCACAGCTACTCTGTGTAGCCGCTCAGGAAGGTTTCTCTGTTAATGGCTCAGTCCAGTTCTGGGACCCTCCCTATAGCACTGGAGGTAGGTTGCCAGATGAAATACACTATGCTCAGCTATATTTGCATTTTAGATGAACAATGAAGAATTTTTTAGTATAAGTATACCAAGGACTGGGTGCAGTGGCTCATGCCTGTAATCACATCACTTTGGGAGGCCAAGGTGGTCAGATCTCTTGAGCCCAGGAGTTCAAGACAAGCCTGGGCCACATGGTGAAACCCCCAACTCTACACAAAATGCAAAAATTAGCCAGGCATGGTAGCACATGCTTTTGGTCCCAGCCACTTGGGAGGCTGAGATGGGAGGATCACCAGAGCCCGGGGAGGTCGAGGCTGCAGTGAGCTGTGATAATGCCACTGCACTCCAGCCTGGGTGACAGATTGAGACCCTGTCTCAAAAAAAAAACAAAACATATATATATATATACATACACACACACACACACACACACATCACATTGTATGGGGATGTATACATATACTAAATAACTACTTTTCTGGGAATCCTGCTTTATTTTTTTATTTTATTTTATTTTTTTGAGATGGAGTCTTGCTCTGTTGCCCTGTCTGGAGTGCAGCGGCATGATCTTGGCTCACTGCAACCTCCGCCTCCTAGGTTTAAGCAATTCTGGTGATCAGCCCACCTTGGCCTCCCAAAGTGCTGGGATTACAGGCGTGAGCCACCATACTGGCCAGAATCCTGTATTTTGATTTGTAACCCCAGCTGGAGGCCTTGCAGCCCTTCCCCCTTTTCCTGAGTAACGCTCCTGAGAGCAGAGGTGGGCAGCCTGCCCCACCCCTTCTATAGCCAGGCTGAATCCACACCCTCTCTATAATTCAGGAGGAAAAATTACCTATAATCTTTTTATTACTCCTTTGTCACTGAGTCCAGACTGGGATTTACTGCATGCTTGCCATTCATAGCCTGCCCGTCCTCTCCCTCATGAGCTCTGACAACCCTGCTAAAGGAGATAGGGAAAAAAGATCCTTTGCTTAAGGAAAGAAGGGGAACTTTGCCAGCATTCAATAATTAAATTTTCTTGATGTTATCTTCTTTCTGAGTATTCACTGACTAGTCTTTAGCCAAGATGATCATTACAGAAGGGTCGGGATACCCCGGGGGAAGAGCCACACCTGCCTCTTTGGAGATAGCCGCCCAGAGAGGCTGAGAATCTAACGCCACTCAGCATTTTACCTGCAATGTCATTCTTCCGTTGTGCCTGTGGGACTGGTTTTCACTGCTTGGGACTTTAGGTCCTTAGTCTCTATGTATTGATCTATCAAAATCCATCAGATCTCTTAGGGGTACCCCATTCCAGTCTGCTTTCTTGGCCGTTTCAGTGATACAGTCCTTTGTCCTTTGGCTCTGCCCAAAATTTATGTTGTCTCTGTTGTCAACCTTTCTATTCTCACCCAGGCTGTCAAGAGTAGGTGGAGAAAGTCTTGGAAAATACAGAGTTCGTGCTATCTAACTTCAACTGTACTGCAGTGTTACCTGGCAATCTTTTCATTTTCATCTCATATTAATAGCCTATACATTCCCCCCACCCTAGTGTCTATTCCTCTTATCCTTAAGTCTGAAGACAGAGTCCTGAAATGGGCACTAGAGTCTCAGCAATTCACAAGAGAGAAATGGGTGCTGTGCTAGTGAAAGTAACACTCAAGGCCGGGCGCCACATGAACACTCAGCGTGGCACGGGGCAGGTGCAGAAAAGAAACAAATTAGTGAATACACAAGATAATTTGAGATGATCAGTGTGTAAGTAAAATACAACATAGTGATGTAATGGTGGAACATCTCCGGTGCAGGAAAGGTACTCCACATTGGTTGGTCTGGGAAGATCTATCCCAGGAGGTGATTTTGAACTGAATGATGGGAAGGACCCAGCTTTGCAAGACCCAGCTTTGCAAGGGGGAAGAATCTCCAGGGCAAAGCCTTTGAGGCAGGAACAGGTTTGGTGTGCAGGACCAGGGAGAGAGCAGGTGAGCGCAGAGCTGACGAAGGTGGGAGAGTGATAGGAAAGGAGGTTAGAGAAGCCACACCAGGGCGGTATCACCAGGGGCCTTAAACATGGTGCTCAGCAATTGAAATTTCATTCTGGCCACAATGGGGAACCACTGAAGGATTCTAAGCAGGGAAATGACATGGTCTGATTTTTGTCCTACCTGAATGATCTCTCCAGGGAGATTGGATTCAAAGGAGCAAGAATGGAGGCATCCCCTCACCCCTACCCCATCAGAGGCTATTGCAGTGTTCCAAGGAACAGATGACGGTGGCCTTGGACTTAGACTCAGTCAGGAGCAATGGGAATGGTCACACATGGACCACACATTGGATTGGAGGCAACAGGAATTACTGATTGATTGGGCTTGGGGAATAAAGAAAAGAGAAGAATTGGTGGTTACTTCTATATTTTGGCTTGAGTTACTAGGTAGTAAGGCTGTTTGTGGAGCTGAGGAAGACTGGGGAAGAGGCAGGCTGGGGAGGGGAGTGACCAAGGGTCCTATTTTGTAGAAGTAGAGTTTGGTCTTTGTTGGACTTCTAAGTGGAAGCACCTACTGCTTCTCCTTCCTTTACCACTCACTCTTGGTGTTTTTTTTTTTTTTTTGAGACAGAGTCTTGCTCTGTCGCCCAGGCTGGAGTGCAGTGGTGCAATCTTGGCTCACTGTAACCTCCGACTCCTGGGTTCAAGCGATTCTCCTGCCTCAGCCTCCCACCATAACTAGATAATTTTTGTATTTTTAGTAGAGATGGGGTTTTACCATGTTGGCCAGGCTATTCTCGAATTCCTGACCTCAGGTGATCCCCCCGCCTCAGCCTCCCAAAGTGCTGGGATTACAGACGTGAGCCACCATGCCTGGCCACCACTCATTCTTGAATTCTTTGCTCATCCCATCATTTCATGAATATCACCTTCTCAAAGTTTCCTATTACTTCTTGAACCCAGTGGCCTTGTTTTCTTGCCATCTGCCTGGATTAGGCATTATTTAACAATATCACCTGACTTCTCTTCATTGTAACCTCTCTGTCCTTGGCTGGTGAGCTTTCTCTCTCTCTCTCTCTCTCTCTCTCTCTCTCTCTCTCTCTTTTTTAAGGAGATGGGGTCTCATTCTGTCACCCAGGCTGGAGTGCAGTGGTGTCATAATAACTCACTGTAGCCTTAAACTTCTGGGTTGACGTGATCTTCCCGCCTCAGCCTCTCCAGTTGCTGGGATTATAAGCATAAACCACCATGCTTGGCCTCTCTTAACTTTAATATTTCTCCAGATATGCTCCCCTTTCTTCTTCCTCCTGCCTGGGATTTAGGACCCTTGTTGATCTCGGTTCACATATTTTCAGCCTTATACCCTCCGGCTTTCCTTTATAGATCTTTGGTTCTAGTCAGAAAAATATATCGCTTATTCTCTGAACACTCCTTGAACGTCTTAGTTCTTCATTCTTTGCTGCGTCTCTGAGCTTCCATGTGGAGGTCATTGATCTTCAGCCCAAAAAACACCCTATGGAATTTCTCTGAGTTGGGGGGGCCTGCTCTTGGAGAACTCTCTCAGCTTCCGCTAATCTGAAAATGTCTTTTTCTTATTTTCATTAATAAAGGATACTTTCTCTGGGTAGAAAATTTGTTTTAGCAGTTATTTTGTCTTCCAGCACTTTGGTGATATCATTTCTCTTCCTTTAGGTTCTGTTAGAGCTATTGAATTCTTTCTTCTCATTTTGGGACTCCAAAAAAACACGGTAGACCTTTCAAGCATGTCATATCTGCTTTTTATTATTTCTTCTGTATCTTGCTTCTTTTTATTTCTATGGCTTCTTTGTGGATAGTTACCTCTGACCAATCTTCCACTTCACCAATTCGCTTGTTTTCCTAATTTTTTTTTTTTTTTTTTTTACTGCTTTATTGGTATAAAATGTGTCAACCGCCGGGTGCAGTGGCTCACGCCTGTAATCCCAGCATTTTGGGGGGCCGAGGCAGGTGGATCACTTGAGGTCAGGAGTTTGAGACCAGCCTGGCCAACATGGCGAAACCCCGTCTCTACTAAAAATACAAAAATTAGCTGGGCATGGTGGGGGGTGTTTGTAATCCCAGCTACTCGGGAGGCTGAGGGATGAGAATCACTTGAACCCAGGAGGCGGAGGTTGCAGTGAGCTGACATCATGCCACCGCACTCTAGCCTTGGTGATGGAGTGAGACTCTGTCTCAAAAAAAGAAAAAGAAAAACAAAAGTGTCAACCTAAAAAACAAAGAGAGAGAAGTTCTCCGAAAGAAAAAGGTATTGTTTGGGAATAGAGCATTGCAGTGGAAATATGCATGCCATGGTAAACTATGTGCATATTCAGACAGGAAGACACATTGTTTACAGGAAAAAATAAGGAAGAGATGGGGTGCAGTGGCTCACGCCTGTAATCCCAGCACTTTGGGAGGCCGAGGTGGGCGGATCTCCTGAGGTCAAGAGTTTGAGACCAGCCTAGCTAACATGGTGAAACCTTGTCTCTACTGAAAATTCAAAAAAAATTAGCTGGGTGTGGTGGTGTGCACCTGTAGTCCCAGCTACTTGGGGAGGCTGAGGCAGGAGAATCACTTTAACCCAGGAGGTGGAGTTTGCAGTGAGCCAAGATCGTGCCACTGCACTCCAGCCTGGTGACAGAGGGAGACTCCATCTCAAAAAAAAAAAAAAAAAAAAAAAGAGAAAGATTACATAATTGTTTTGAAATAATTATCCTTGCTACAAAGATCAGTAACAAGGGTGGCACCAGTCTGAGGTTGGACAGGCAATTGCCGAGCAGATGTCCTTGCAGAAGTATTTTTTGTGTAAGGTTGGGATGGCTGTTGCACTAGGTTGTGTTTTTTGCAACATTTGTGATAGTGTTTTATGAGGCATACAAGCATGAGAACCCTCTCTTCAGGACCTTCTCTGACTCATTTATCAGGGTTGGCCTTTTATTGTTGTTTTTTATTTTTTATTGATTCTGACAACTTGATTCTGATTTAAGGTGCAATAAAATGCATATATTTAAAGTGAACAATTTTATGAGTTTTGACACATGTACACCCATGAATCCATTAATATAATTAAAATAATGGACATTTCCAGCACACTCAAAAGTTTCCTCATGCTCCCTTATAATCTATTCCTCCCTTCACCCCCATGTCCAGGCAACCACTGGTCTACTATCTATTATTATAGACTAGTTGCATTTTCTAGAATTTTATATATGGAATCATATGGCTTGCTCCAATCCTGTATCTTCTCTATACCATCATTGTAGGATAACCCTTTTTCTCTCTCCAGTATTGGCATCCCTGTTTCCTGAATGCTCTGTTTCCTATTCTTTTGTCTGTTTTATTCCATTGTTTTGATCAACCAAGTCTTCTCACAATTTTTTGAGAACTTGGATATTTTTATTCCACCTGTATATTTGATAGTTTGATAGGTAGATTGTGTGGCTGGGTATAAAAGTCTAGATTGCAAAAATGTTTCCACAGACTTTTGAAGACATTATTATACCACCTTCAATTTCCCAGTATTGTTAGCACTAAGACTGATTCTGTCCTAGGCTTTGTAACTGTAATTTTCTTTCTTTGGAAGCATTGCTTTCATTCTTGGTGTTCTGAAATTCCATGTGATGTACTTTGGATGGGCGTTTTCTTGTTGTTGTTGTTGTTGTTGTTTTTGAGGCAGAGTCTCTCTCTGTCACCCAGGCTGGAGTGCAGTGGTGCGATCTTGGCTCACTGTAACCTCTACCTCCTGATTCAAGCGATTCTCCTGCATCAGCCTCCCGAGTAGCTGGGATTACAGGCGTCTGCCACCATGCCAGCCTAATTTTTGTAGTTTTAGTAGAGACGGGGTTTCACCACATTGGCCAGGCTGGTGTTGAACTCCTTACCTCTGGTGATCTGCCTGCCTTGGCCTCCCAAATTGCTGGGATTACAGGTGTGAGCCACTGCGCCCAGCCATGTTTTGGTCTTTTTTTGCGGGGCGGACTTCCCTCAGAGCTCTAGTAGTCTTTGGCTGTCTATTCATCGCAGCTCCATGTGCATGTTTGAAGCTATTCTTCTGGTGAGTGTCATGAAGAGTCATTAGGTCAGGTCCCCAGATGTTAGATCTGTAGATTTTCTTCCCCCTTGGGTGGATCAGTTTTATTTATTTATTATTATTATTTTTTGAGATGGAGTCTCGCTCTGTCACCCAGGCTGGAGTGCAGTGGCGCAATCTCGGCTCACTGCAAGCTCTGCCTCCCGAGTTCACGCCATTCTCCTGCCTCAGCCTCCCAGTAGCTGGGACCACAGGCGCCCACCACCATGCCCGGCTAATTTTTCATATTTTTAGTAGAGGCAGGGTTTCACCGTGTTAGCAAGGATGGTCTCGAGCTCCTGACCTCATGATCCACCCGCCTTGATCTCCCAAAGTGCTGGGATTACAGGCGTGAGCCACCGCGCCCGGCCGATGGATCAGTTTTCCCAGAGAGTTTTCCTCCTTTCTCCTGCCTGGGGAAGGTAAAAGCCCTGCAGGGGAAGGATCTGGGAATAGCATCTCAGTACCCAAATGTTCACAAAATTCCCTTTTTTGGAACAATATCTGGTGTCTAGCTATGTTTTGATATTGAGGCTCCAAAGTCTTCCTTTGGAGTTAATAAACTTCCCTTAGTGGTGGAGGTGGTGTAGTTGCATGGCTGCGTGGGCTGGGAAAGGAGATCTGGGGTTCTTATCTATTCTTTTTAAAGACTATCATCAACACTGCTGCTCAGCCTCCGATTCCTGACCACTCCTGGGTCCCGCAGCACAAACCAGCTTACTTTCCAGGTGGCACGGGCCCCTCCATTTTACATCTTCCAAAATTTCATTGATGTCTTTTGTCTGATATCATCTTCTCTTCCATTCCTTTTGTCCATAAGCATTTATAAATGTTTCTTTTTTTTAAAATTTTACTGAGATTTCTGGAGGGAACAAATGTAAGCTCTGGCATGAGTTTTCATCAGGAATAATGAAAGTCCCTTTGTACAACATAATATTATGCCACTTGTCCATTTGTACAACTTATATTTCATTTCCAAATTTCCTTCATTTAGAAATTTATTGGCCGGGCGCGGTAGCTCATGCCTGTATTCCCAGCACTCTGGGAGGCCGAGGCGGGCGGATCACTAGGTCAGGAGATCGAGACCATCCTGGCTAAAATGGTGAAACCCTGTCTCTACTAAAAATACAAAAAAATTAGCCGGGCGTGGTGGCGGGCGCCTGTAGTCCCAGCTACTCGGGAGGCTGAGGCAGGAGAATGGCGTGAACCCGGGAGGAGGAGCTTGCAGTGAGCTGAGATTGTGCCACTGCACTCCAGCCTGGGCAACAGAGCGAGACTCCGTCTCAAAAAAAAAAAAAGAAATTTATTTCTGGACCGGGCGTGGTGGCTCACACCTGTAATCCCAGCACTTTGGAAGGCTAAGGTGGTGGATCACCTGAGGTCAGGAGTTTGTGACCAGCCTGGCCAACATGGCGAAACCCCATCTCTACTAAAAATACAAAAATTACCCAGGCATGTTGGCGGGCGCCTGTAATCCCAGCTACTTGGGAGGCTGAGGCAGGAGAATTCCTTGAACCTGGGAGGCAGAGGCTGCAGTGAGCTGAGATTGTGCCACTGTACTCCAGCCAGAGACAAAGTGAGAACTTGTCTCAAAAAAACAAAAACAAAAACAAACAAAAAACTAAATTTAATTTCTCATTAGTCTGTAAACACCTTGAGAAAAGTGGTTGAAATATTTCTATTTCCAGCAGCATTGTGTGCCTAGCATACAATCAGTTCTTCGCGCATGTACCTGAAGGAATGTATTTAATGTACATAGTTCCCCCTCATCCACAGTTTCACCCTCTCAGGTTTCGGTTACCCATGATCAACTGCAGTTTGAAAACATTAAATGAGCCAAGCATGGTGGCTCATGCCTGTAATTCCAGCACTTTGGAAGGTTGAGGTAAGTGGATCCCTTGAGTCCAAGAGTTCAAGAGTGGCCTGGGTAACATGGCAAAACCTCGTCTCTGCAAAAAATACGAAAATTAGCCGGGTGTGGTGGCATGCGCTTGTCATCTCAGCTGCTTGGGGGGCTTAGGTGGGAGGATGGCTTATGCCCAGGAGATGGAGGCTGCAGTGAGCTCTGATGGTACCACTGCCCTCCAGCCTGGGCAATGGAGTGAGACCTCGTCTTAAAGAAAAGAAAAGAAATATATATTAAATGTGAAATTCTAGAAATAATCCATGAGTCTTTTGTTTTGTTTTGTTTTGAGACGGAGTCTTGCTGTGTCGCCCAGGCTGGAGTGTAGTGGCACGATCTCAGCTCACTGCAAGCTCCGCCTCCCGGGTTCACACCATTCTCCTGCCTCAGCCTCCTGAGTAGCTGGGACTACAGATGCCTGCCACCATGCCTGGCTAATTTTTTGTATTTTTAGTAGAGACGGGGTTTCACCATGTTAGCCAGGATGGTCGCAATCTCCTGACCTTGTGATCCGCCCACCTCGGCCTCCCAAAGTGCTGGGATTACAGGCGTGAGCCACCGCGCCCGGCCGAAATAATCCATGAGTTTTTTTTTTTAATTTAATTTAATTTTATTATTATTATTATTATTTTTTTTTTATTGATCATTCTTGGGTGTTTCTCGCAGAAGGGGATTTGGCAGGGTCACAGGACAATAGTGGAGGGAAGGTCAGCAGATAAACAAGTGAACAAAGGTCTCTGGTTTTCCTAGGCAGAGGACCCTGCGGCCTTCCGCAGTGTTTGTGTCCCTGGGTACTTGAGATTAGGGAGTGGTGATGACTCTTAAGGAGCATGCTGCCTTCAAGCATCTGTTTAACAAAGCACATCTTGCACCACCCTTAATCCATTCAACCCTGAGTGGATACAGCACATGTTTCAGAGAGCACAGGGTTGGGGGTAAGGTCACCGATCAACAGGATCCCAAGGCAGAAGAATTTTTCTCAGTACAGAACAAAATGAAAAGTCTCCCACGTCTACCTCTTTCTACACAGACACGGCAACCATCCGATTTCTCAATCTTTTCCCCACCTTTCCCCTCTTTCTATTCTACAAAACCGCCATTGTCATCATGGCCTGTTCTCAATGAGCTGTTGGGTACACCTCCCAGACGGGGTGGTGGCCGGGCAGAGGGCTCCTCACTTCCCAGTAGGCGCGGCCGGGCAGAGGCGCCCCTCACCTCCCGACGGGGCGGCTGGCCGGACGGGGGCTGACCCCCCCCACCTCCCTCCTGGACGGGGTGGCTGGCCGGGCAGAGGGGCTCCTCACTTCCCAGTAGGGGCGGCCGGGCAGAGGCGCCCCTCACCTCCCGGACAGGGCAGCTGGCCGGGCGGGGGGCTGACCCCCCCACCTCCCTCCCTCCCAGACAGGGCGGTTGGCCGGGCGAGGGGCTGACCCCCCCACCTCCCTCCCGGACGGGGCGGCTGGCCGGGTGGGGGGCTGACCCCCTCACCTCCCTCCCGGACGGAGCGGCTGGCCGGGCAGAGGGGCTCCTCAGTTCCCAGTAGGGGCGGCCGGGCAGAGGCGCCCCTCACCTGCCGGACGGGGCGGCTGGCCGGGCGGGGGGCTGACCCCCCCCACCTCCCTCCTGGACGAGGTGGCTGCCAGGCGGAGACGCTCCTCACTTCTCAGACGGGGCGGCTGCCGGGCGGAGGGACTCCTCACTTCTCAGACGGGGCATCCGGGCAGAGATGCTCCTCACATCCCGGACGGGGCGGCAGGGCAGAGGTGCTCCCCACATCTCAGACGATGGGCGGCCGGGCAGAGACGCTCCTCACTTCCCAGATGTGATGGCGGCCGGGAAGAGGCGCTCCTCACTTCCTAGATGGGATGGCCGCCGGGCAGAGACGCTCCTCACTTTCCAGACTGGGCAGCCAGGCAGAGGGGCTCCTCACATCCCAGACAATGGGCGGCCAGGCGGAGACGCTCCTCACTTCCCAGACGGGGTGGGGGCCGGGCAGAGGCTGCAATCTCGGCACTTTGGGAGGCCAAGGCAGGCTGCTGGGAGGTGGAGGTTGTAGCGGGCCGAGATCACGCCACTGCACTCCAGCCTGGGCACCATTGAGCATTGAGTGAACGAGACTCCGTCTGCAATCCTGGCACCTCGGGAGGCCGAGGCTGGCGGATCACTCGCGGTTAGGAGCTGGAGACCAGCCCGGCCAACACAGCGAATCCCCGTCACCACCAAAAAAATACGAAAACCAGTCAGGCGTGGCGGCGCGTGCCTGCAATCACAGGCACTCCGCAAGCTGAGGCAGGAGAATCAGGCAGGGAGGTTGCAGTGAGCCGAGATGGCAGCAGTACCATCCAGCTTCGGCTCAGCATCAGAGGGAGACCGTGGAAAGAGAGGGAGAGGGAGACCGTGGGGAGAGGGAGAGGGAGAGGGAGACCGTGGGGAGAGGGAGAGGGGATAATCCATGAGTTTTAAGCTGTGCACCATTCTGGGCAGCGTGATGAGATCTCTCGCTGTAAGCTTGATCCCGTCTGCAACGTGAATCCTCCCTTTGTCCAGCGCATCCAGGCTCTACCTGCTGGTTAGTCACTTAGCCATCTTGGTTGTCAGAGCTACTGTCATGGTATCACCGTGTTTGTGTTCAAGAAACCCTTGTAGTACTTAACATTGGCCCCAACTTGCAAGAGTAGTGATGCTGGCACATTGTTATAATTGTCCTATTTATTATTACTTATTGTTAATTGCTTACTGTGCCTAATATATAAATTAAACTTTATCATAGGCATGTAGTCTGTAGGAAAAAACAATATACATAGGGATGGGTACTATCTGAGGCTTCAGGCATCCGCTGGGGATCTTGGAACATATCCCCTGTGAATAAGAGGGGACTACTGTATGCTAAAACGGGGAGGAGAGAAAGAGCTGGAAACAAAAAAATGATGGAAGTGGAGAAGCCAGGAGATGTTTTCATTCACTGATAGGCAGAGGAACAGAGTTCAGATTTGAGTACCAAGGACCCCCCAGGAGCAGAACATTGCCAAGGAAAGCCCTAAGTCCCTCTTCCTGAACTGGGGTAGATCAGCCTTCTCCTCAGCATCGCTGATCTCGGGAAGCACATGGCTCTGCCATTTGGTAAGCTTCGTGTCTTAGTCCGTTTGGGCTGCCATAACCAAAGACTATAGATTGGGTGGCTTCAACAACAGACATTTATTCCTCACAGTTCTGGAGGCTGGACAACTCCAAGACCATGGCGCTGGCAGATGTGGTGTCTGGTGAGGGCTGGCTTTTTGGTTTACGTCTGTCTTCTGTTTCCTCATATGGCAGAAGGGCTGAGGTACCTCTCCAGGGCCCCTTTTATTTATTTATTTTTTAATTTTTATTTTTAGTGACTGGGTCTTGCTCTGTCACCCAGGCTGGAGTGCAGTGGCATGATCATAGCTAACTGCAGCCTCCAAATCCTGGGCTCAAGCAATCCTCCCACCTCAGCCTCTCAAGTAGCTGGGACTACAGGCGTGCACTACCATGCCCAGATAATTTTAAAAAATATTTTGTGGCTGGGCGTGGTGGCTCACGCCTGTAATCCCAGCACTTTGGGAGGCCGAGGTGGGCGGAATACATGAGGTCAGGAGTTCGAGACCAGCCTGGCCAACATAGTGAAACCTCGCCTCTACTAAAAATATGAAAATTAGCCGGCCATGGTGGCGGGCACCTGTAATCCCAGCTACTCAGGAAGCTTGAGCCCAGGAATTTGAGACCAGCCTGAGTAACATAGTGAGACCCCATCTCTACAAAAAATGTTTAAAAATTAGCCGGGTGTGGTGGCACATGCCTGTAGTCCCAGCTACTTGGGAGGCTGAGGTGAGACGATCGCTTGAGTCCTGGAGGTTGAGGCTACAGTGGGCTGTGGTGGCACCATTGCACTCCAGCCTGGGTGACAAAACAAGACTCTGTCTCAAAAAAAAAAAAACAAACAAACAAAAAACCTTCTGGGTTTTTGTTGGTCGGTTTGTGTTTTGTTTTGTTTCAATTTGTTTTTCTGTGAGTATTTTATCTTATGAAAATATTGAGAGTCCTTGGGGTGGAAAATGGAGGTGTTCTTGTCTAATGGGTATAGGGTTTCAGTTTTGCAAGATGAGAGTTCTGGATATTGATTTCACAACAATGTGAATGTACTTAGTGTTACTGAACTGTACACTTAAAAATGGTTAAGATGGTAAGTTTTATGTGTATTATGATTAAAAAATATATATATATATGGAGCCTTGACCCCTTGACTTTGGGTGGCTTTTTAATCCAGATACTTTGCTTCTATTTTTATTGTCATCTGGAAAGCCAAGCTGTAAGCAGAAATGCTACTGGTTAGTAAGAGATAGAAAGTTCTGGAACTCAGCAGAGTCACCATTGCTTAGTGCCATACCTGTTCACAGTGCTCACAGCTGGCATTACTAAATGAGTTTTCAACTTTAGAGAAGCACAGCTTTGATTGTATACAGTGGCTGGCCAAGGACTCAGGTCTTCAGTGTTAAAGCTGAAGACGCTTCTCGTGAGGCCGGGAGAGGGTTCCCAATCTCAGCACTATTGACATTTTGGGCTGGATAAGTCCTTGTTGTAGGAACTGATCTATGCATTGAAGGCTATTTAGCAGCATGCCTGGCTTCTACTCATCAGATTCTAGCAGCACCAGTCCCCGGGTGTGGCAGCCAAAAAATGTCTCCAGACATTGCCAAAACCCCCTGGGCACACAAAATTGCCCCTGGTTGAGGACCACAGGTGATGAAGCTGTCGGTCTCAATACACACTTCTCTTCTCCAACACTGGCTTTTCCTACTGCGCCACTGTGAGCAAAGATTTCTAGCTTCTAGAATAAAATGAATTGAAAGAGAAAAATATTTAAGCTAACATTTAAAGCAAGCTTGTCCAACCCGTGGCCCGTGGGTTGCATGCAGCCCAGGACGATTTTGAATGTGGTCCAACACAAATTTGTAAACTTTCTTAAAACATTATGAGATGTCTTTGCTTTTTTTTTGACGGAATCTCACTCTGTTGCCCAGGCTGGAGTGCAGTGGCATGATCTTGGCTCACTGCAATCTCTGCCTCCTGGGTTCAAGTGATGCTCCTGCCTTAGCCTCCTGAATAGCTGGGACTACAGGCATGTGCCACCACGCCCGGCTAATTTTTGTATTTTTAGTAGAGATGGGGTTTCACCATCTTGGCCAGGCTGGTCTTGAACTCCTGACCTCAGGTAATCTGCCTGCCTCGGCCTCCCAAAGTGCTGGGATTACAGCTGTAAATTACGGTGCCTGGCCTTTTTTTTTTTTTTGCTGAAGCACATCAGCTATTGTTAGTGTTTAGTATATTTTATGTGTGGCCCAAGACAATCCTAACAATGTGGCCCAGGGAAGCCAAAAGACGGGACACCCCTGATTTAAAGAATGCTTACAATGTGCCAGATACTGCACTGTGCTACCTGATTAATGATCTCATTTAATCTTTTCAACAATTATCTGATGTAATTATAGACAGCCTCATTTTACAGTTGAGGAAACTGGGGTTTAGAGAAGTTGAATAACAGTGCGAAGTGGCTTATGCCTGTAATCCCAGCACTTTCGGAGGCTGAGATGGACAGATCGCTCAAGCCCAGGAGTTTGAGACAAGTCTGGGAAACATGGCAAAACCCCGTCTCTACAAAAAATACAAACTTAGCCAGGCGTGGTGGTGCTTGTGTGTAGTCTCAGCTACTTGGGAGGCTGAGATGGGAGGATCCCTTGAGCTCAGGAGGCGGAGGTTGCAGTAAGCTGAGATCGCCCCACTGCACTCCAGCCTAGGAAGCAGAGTTCAGACCGTGTCTCAAAAAAAAAAAAAAAAAAAAAAAAAAAAGAGGTTGAGTACTCGTTCCAGCTCACGGAGCTAGTAAATAGAAAGACCAGGATTCAGACTCAGGTTTGTATCTTTCAATGACTGTTTTTATGTTTCCTTGGTTTATTTATGTTTTCTCTTTGAGATTAACTTATATGATGATGTTTCAGAGGACTTTTAGCCATAGGTGTGATAACACCAGCTTGATTTTAGAATTCCCTGGGATATGCGGCGTGTAGATGTTATCTGTGACCCATGAAGGTAGAGAATGTTTTATCGGCCACTCAACAGCTCTGACTCTTAAGATAAAGTCTCTATGAGTTAGGAGGTAAGTACATTACTGCCTACATCACTGCCCCTCTGGGAAAAATGTCGGTTAAGGGGCCACAGCACTGGTCCCCTTCCCAGTTGTAATAATGCTTGCATGTCCCTTAACCAGCAGAGGGCAGACTTGTGGTCCCAATGAACAGAAGCGTACAAAGAGACTGCACTTGAAGGTTTAGAATAGGAAGGGGGATGTTTCAGGAAAATGGCGCCCCCATCACCTGCTTGTGCAGAAGCAGGGCTGTTTTGTGGACAATGTGTTTGATTCTCTGGTTCTTTTCTCTTTTTCTTTTCATTTTTTTTTTTTTTTTTTTTTGAGACAGAATTTTGCTTTTGTTGCCCAAGCTAGAGTGCAATGGCGCAATCTTGGCTCACTGCAACCTCCGCCTCCCGGGTTCAAGCAATTCTCCAGCCTCAGCCTCCCTAGTCGCTGGGATTACAGGCGTGCACCACCGCGTCTGGCTAATTTTTTTTTGAGACAGAGTCTCACACTGTCATCCGGGCTGGAGTGCAATGGCGTGATCTTGGCTCGCTGCAACCTCTGCCTCCCGGGTTCAAGCGATTCTTCTGCCTCAGCCTCTCGAGTAGCTGGGATCACAGGTGCCCGCCACCACGCCTGGCTAATTTTATGTATTTTCAGTAGAGACGGGGTTTCACTATGTTGGCCAGGCTGGTCTTGAACTCCTGACCTTGTGATCCACCTGCTTCAGCCTCCCAAAGTACTGGGATTACAGGCGTGAGCCACCGTGCCCGGCCCTGGCTATGTTTTTTGTATTTTTTTTTTTAAAGTAGAAACAGGGTTTCACCATGTTAGCCAGGCTGGTCTTGAACTCCTGACCTCAGGTGATCTGTCCGCCTCAGCCTCCCAAAGTGCTGGGATTACAGGCATGAGCCACCACGCCTGGCCTCTCTGGTTCTTTTCAAAAGTGCACGACCTCCTTCCAGAAGGCTCACAATAAGTGGGCATACCACCTTAGTTCTGTTTTCCCAGTCCTGGTTTATCTTTTTGTATTTTTTTATTTTGAGACAGTGTCTCTGTCACTCTGTCAGGCTGGAGTGCAATGGTGTGATCTTGGCTCACTGTAGCCTCCACCTCCTGGGCTCAAGCAATCCTCCCATCTCAGCCTCCTGAGTAGCTGGGACTACAGGCACATGCCTCCACGCCTGGCTAATTTTTGCATTTTGTGTGGAGACAAGGTCTTGCTATGTTGGCCAGGCTGGTCTCAAACTCCTAGGCTCAAGCCATCCGCCTGCCTTGGCCACCCAAATTGCTGGGATTACAGGCATGGGCCACCACGCCCGGGCCTAGTCTTGGTTTTTCATTGTGAAGATGATCCTGGGCCTGAAAGTATTCCAGGAGCAAAGCCTGTTTCTGCCATGCGGGACACCATCAAGGAGAGGGTTTTCCTCTGCACCCTCCTTTTTGGTAGGTTCTCAGGGGTTCAGTGCCATGACTGCGAAGTCAGACCATGTGTTCAGGCCCCAGCATGCTACAGGAGGCCCCAGCACGCTACTGGAAGCAGGATGCTGGATCTAGAAGGTGATGGATGTATTAACATGAGGAAAGTCACTCACGTTTTTACCTCATGTAAAAGGAAATTACCAAGAGAATCTGCAGCCAAAATCCTGTCCAGACTGAAACTCTGATGAACTTACCCAAATCTTCCCTTTCCCAGGCTTTCCTGCATGACAGTTCCAGGAAGATTCAACAAAAGCCACGGCTTCTCTGAGTTTGTTGTTTCCTGGAGAAACAAGCTTTCACCTGCCACCTGGCCCTCTGTAGCTGCTTATAAATACAGATGTGGGTGGCAGAGTCATGCCAATCATGATAAGCTGTTCATACAGAGGCTTTTCACTCACTGTCCGTGTTACCAACAGTATCTTAGTAGAGTCAAGAGTTTTGTTTTTAAATTTTTTAATTTTTAAATAAAGATGAGGTCTCACTAGGTTGCTGCAGCTGGTCTTGAACTCCTGGCCTTAAGTGATCCTCTCCCACCTCGGGCCTCCCATGTTACTGGGATTACAGGTGTGAGCCACCACACCCAGCCTCAAGCATTTTCTTTCTTTTTTAAAATTTATTTTTATTATTTATTTATTTATTTTTTGAGACGGAGTCTCGCTCTGTGGCCCAGGCTGGAGTGCAGTGGCACGATCTTGGCTCACTGCAACCTCTGCCTCCTGGGTTCAAGCAATTCTCCTGCCTCAGTCTCCTGTGTAGCTGGGATTACAGGCACACACCACAACACCCAGATAATTTTTGTATTTTTAATAGAGATGGGGTTTTGTCATGTTGGCCAGGCTGGTTTCGAACTCCTGACCTCAGGTGATCCACCTGCCTTGGCCTCCCGAAGTGCTGGGATTACAGGCTTGAGCCACAGTGCCCGGCCTCTTTTTTTTTTTTAATTATAGAGACGGGTTCTCACCATGTTGTCCAGGCTGACCTCGAACTTCTGAGCTCAAGTAATCCACCTGCCTCAGCCTCTATAAATGCTGGGACTTATAGGCATGAGCCATTGTGCCTGGCCTCCTTCAAGCATTTTCAAAATTTCTTCTGAATAGGAGTGGTGGAGGGCTGTGTTGGAGCATTTCTCTTCTACCTCGTCTGTCCTCCTCACTCTCAGGTATGTCTGATTATATTGAAAGTTTAAGGTTGTTGCTAAGCCTAGTATGGTGGTCATTGGGGAGAATCCCAAGAACGTCACAGGTGCTGTTTCTTCAATGAAGGCAGAGGGGAGTTCTCACTCCAAGCAATGAGCTTACTCTAGAAACAGCCTATCTGTTGGATTCCTGCATTTCATATGAGGTTTGAGTAACTAGTTCCTTGCAAACAATATGAAAAGACAAAAGTTTCAAGGTTTAGAATCACCATGGCAACGCCCCAGATTCCCTGCCGTGCCCAGGTCTTGGAGTGGTAGGAACTGCTCATGCAATTTTTCCGAAATTGGCCAAAGCTTCAAGACCTACGGGGTTTCCCATTTGGTGCTCAGAATGTGAATTTTTTTTTTTTTTTTTTTTTTTTTGAGACAGAATCTTGCTCTGTCGCCCAGGCTGGAGTGCAGTGGCACGATCTTGGCTCACTGCAACCTCCGCCTCCTGGGTTCAAGCAATTCTCCTGCCTCAGCCTCCTGAGTAGCTGGGATTACAGGCGTGTGCCACCACGCCCGGCTAATTTTTTTTGTATTTTTAGTAGAGACAGGGTTTCACCGTGTTAGCCAGGAAGGTCTCCTGACCTCGTGATCTGCCACCTCAGCCTCCCAAAATGGAATGTGAATTTTTATAGTTGCCACGGCAAAGTCTCCTGTTATATGGGTATAGTGGGTTGAATCGTGGCTCCCAAAAGTGATGTCCAAGTCCTAACCCCCAGAACATGAGAAAGGGACCGTATTTCGAGAATGGGTCTTTGCAGATGTAATGAAGGATCTTGATATCATTCTGGATTGAGGATGGACTCTAGCTCCACTGACAGGTGTCCTTATGAGAAAAAGGTAGAGGCAGATTTGAGACACAGACACAGGGGAGACGGCCATGAGAAGACAGAGGCAGAGATTGGAGTGAAGCAACCACAGGCCAACAAGTCACCGATACCAGAAGAAGCAAGGAAGGAGTCTGTCCTACAGTCTTCAAAGGGAGCGTGGATCTACTGACACCCAGATTTTGGACTTCTGACCTCCAGAGCGGTAAGAAAATAAATTTCTATTGTTTTAGGCTACCAAGTTTATTACAGCAGGCTCAGGAAACTAATACTCTAGGTGACGTCTGCTCCTCCACCCCATGCCTCTGCATGCTTGGGTTACAACAGAGAGTGCTTTCCCCTTGGTTGAACAACACTTTTTTTCTTGAGAAAAGAAAACATAAGGGTAAAGCAGTTTTTGGAAGGGTTACTCAGCCAGCTAGATCGTCAGAATCAACTCTGGTAGGAGTGGGCCACAAACATCCATCCTAGGGCATCCGGAGAGAGTCATTCTCCCTAACAATAGCTCTGGGCATGGCTCTGTATTCGTCTGTTCTTGCATTGCTATAAAGAACTACCTGAGACTGGGTCATTTATAAAGAAAAGAGGTTAAATTGGCTCACGGTTCCACAGGCTGTACAGGAAGCATGGTTGGGAGGCCTCAGGAAACTTACAATCATGGCGGAAGGTGGAGGGCAAGCAGACACGTCCCACGTGACTGGAGCAGGAGGAAAAGAGAGCGAAGGGGGAGGTGCTGCACACTTTCAAACAACCAGATCTCACGAGAACTCACTCACTATCACGAGAACAGCAAGGGGGAAGTTTGCCCCCATGATCCAATCACCTCCCGCCAGGCCCATCTTCCAACATTGGGGATTATAATTTGACATGAGATTCGGGCAGGGCCACAAATCCAAACCGTATCAGGCTCCACATTTTGTTTCTTTGTTTTTTTTTTTCCCTGTCCTTCCCTCTACCTGAAGCTCATTTGAAAGCAAGTTTCCATTGCTGCTATTCCTTCCTTACTTTGGTCAGAATCCTCTTTTTGTGGTATCATAAATGGTTTCCATGGAAACAAAAGGTTAGGATAGAACAGTGCCAATGTGCATGTAAACTTCAGAATTAAACAAGGGCTGTTGTTTTTGCCTGTCATGGAGTTCCGTTCATTCTGAACATGTCACCGGGGACTTTGGAATGTGTATCCATAACTCCCTGATTTTCAACCACATTCCAGCCTGCCTGACTCATGAAGCGTGGAGCGACCCAGGAACATCCCAGCTCCTCATGTCCCACATTCTTCAGGCTTTCTCTTAGTTTTGGCATGTGCATGTAAATGTCAACAGGTGAGGTGAGATTTGCTGTAAAGAAGCAGATGGTCCCACAGGGTAGGCTGTGGGAGAGATGGAAGTTCTAGCAGGAGATATCACAGCCAAAGACTAGCAATCTAGGCTTATCATTTGTTTAGTGCGTCAGAACCAGTGAGTCGAGGAGGAAAGGAGACCCAAGGCTATGTGGTTGCCCTCACGACTGGGAGTTTACATTTGCTTCCTGCCAGAACCAAGGACATAGCGACCGATGTGCACAGACTTCTCCAAGGTTGTTTAGTCATTGGCAAAAACAGGCCTTCACCCATCCTTGAACTGGGTCCAAGTAACTGAGATGTGCCTGTAGTGGAGGAGCGCAGGTGGAGGTTCTGAGTCCCTGAAGCTCTGCATCTTTACTTTACAAGAGATGCTGCCTGGGAGTTCTTACTTCAGAGTAAGAGGGGTGGCCATGTTATCACCCAGACTAGAACACTTTCCAGAGTGAGAAGAGCCGCTATTAATTATAGGGCAATGGCTAGAATCTGGTCTGTCCCTGGAGAAGAGGGACATCTGACAACCCTATCTTTATTTTATTTTTTTAGATGGAGTCTCGCTCTGTCACGCAGGCTGGAGCACAGTGGTGTGATCTTGGCTCACTGCAACCTCTGTCTCCTGGGTTGAACTGATTCTCCCGCCTCAGCCTCTCAAGTAGCTGGGACTACAGGCGCCCGCCACCAGGCCTGGCTAATATTTGTATTTTTGTAGAGATGGGGGTTTCACCATGTTAGCCAGGCTGGTCTCGAACTCCTGACCTCAGGTGATCTACCCGCCTCGGCCCCTCAAAGTGCTGGGATTACAGGCGTGAGCCATCACGCCCAGCTGGCTATAACCCTATCTTTAGGCCAACTTGTACCCGGCTCCACTATGGAACTCAGTGTCGAAGTGCCCGGGCTTCCTGCCCTGGTTCTGGAGATGGGTGGTGGCAATGGCTGCACAACAGTGTGAAGGTAGTAATGGCCACAGAACTGTGCCCTTCACAGTGGCTAAAAGAGCACATTTTATGTTATGTCTGTTGCACCCCAATGAAAACAAATAGCAAACGTTCTGATATTCCCTCCAAACCAGCTGCTTCTGCTGACTCCTCGTCTCAATTAATCGCGGCTCTGTCTTCCGTTTGCTGAAGCCGAAGACCTCCCCGCTCTCTCAGAGCCCATGTCTGGCACATCAGCGAATCTCGTTGGCACTGCCGTCAAACACATCCATCTAGGATCTCCCCGCACTTCACGCCACCCACCGCGCTAGTCTGTGGATCCCTGTTTCTCTCTTGGATGTAGTAATAGTCACATAGCTGGACTTCTGCCCTGGCACTTCTTCAGCCCCTTGTTAGAGGAATCCTGCTAAATGTTGGATGATTTACCCCCCACCTCCCGCACCCCCCGCCACACACACATAGGAGCTCCACTGGCTCCTCATAACTCTCAGGGTGCCAGCCTGTCTCTGCCATGACCCGAAAGCTCTCCGTCATCTGTCTCCCGCCCCTCCCTCACTGACTCTATCTGCCACCCTCTCCCTGTTGTCCACGCTGCCCCAGCCCCACAGGCCTCCTCCTGTTCCTCAGACTCCCCAGGGATACTCCTGCCTCAGGGCCTTTGCCCTGGCTATTCCCTCCAGCTACAATGCTCTTCCTGAATCTGCATGATTCGATGCCCACTCCCCCATTCTCAGCCTGTCCCCACATCTCAGTGAGCCCTGCCCGGGCCACCCTGGAAAATCTCAGCATCCCAGGCTGGGCGTGGTGGCTCATGCCTGTAATCTCAGCACCTTGGGAGGCCAAGGCAGGCAGATTGCTTGAGCTCAGGAGTTTGAGACCAGCCTGGCCAACATGGCGAAACCCCATCTCTCCTAAAAATACAAAAATTAGCTGAGTGTGGTGGTGCGTGCCTGTAATCACAGCTACTTGGGAGGCTGAGGCAGCAGAATCGATTGAACCTGGGAGGCAGAGGTTTCAGTGAGCCGAGATCATGCCACTGCACTCCAGCCTGGGCGACAGAGCGAGACTCCATCTAACACACACAAAAAAAGCACTTTTTTTTCATCCTCCCAGCACTTCTTGTCCTCCTTGCTTCCCTTGTTTTTTTTTTTTTTCACATTCACACATATGATGATCCAGCATTCTACATATTTTATTTATCTTATTTATTTTCAGTCTTCTCCACTCAAATGTATGATATTTAAGGCAGGGGTTTTAAAATGTCTTGTTCTTGGCCAGGCATGGTGGCTCACACGTGTAATTCTAGCACTTTGGGAGGCCGAGGCAGGTGGAGCACCTGAGGTCAGGAGTTCAAGACCAGCCTGGTCAACATGGCGAAACCCCGTCTCTACTAAAAATACGAAATTAGCCAGGCGTGGTGGCGGACGCCTGTAATCCCAGCTATAATCCCAGCTACTCAGGAGGCTGAAGCAGGAGAATCGCTTGAACCTGGGAGGCAGAGCTTGCAGTGAGCCGAGATCACGCCACTACACTGCAGCCTGGGTGACAGAGTGAGACTCCATCTCAAAAAACAACAACAAAATAAATAAATAAATAAAAATAAAATGTCTTGTTCTCTTTTTTCCTCCAGTGCCCAGATCAGCGCCTGATATATACTTGGCACACAATAACCACTCTTGAAATTCATGAAGGAATCTGGACATTTAGGGGGTTCACAGAATCCGCCGCTTTTAGGGAAGATTCTCTGCCTGATGTGTGAGCGCTCTAACCTCTTCATCTGTGTTCAGTCCCCTTGCAATGCTTCTCTAAGGTCGGCCTACATTTCACTTAATTCAGTGGCTCTCCACTGGGGGCGCTCTTCCCCTTGCAGGGGACATTTGGCAATAAATGAATAAATGGGGACATTTTTGGTTCTTACAAGGGAGGGGAGAGGTGCTACTGGCATCTAGCGGGTAGAGGCCTGAGATCCTGCTATTAATAAATACCCTATGTCATGCTCTGGAAAGCTTCCCATAACAAAAAATTGCCTGGACAGATGTCAACTGTGCCGAGGCTGAGAACCCCGATCTACACTGATCATATTAGGAATGATCTGGTCTGCATTTAATATGAGGGAAGTCTTTTGAGGGCTGTTATGGGTTGAATTGGGTCCCCCAGTTCTTATGTTGAAGGCAAGTCCTATGCCCAGGACCTCAGAATGTGCCTGTATTTGGAGATAGGGCCTTTGAAATAATTTAATTGAAATCATTAGGTTGGGCACGGTGGCTCATGCCTGTAGTCCCAGCTACTCAGGAGGCTGAGGCAGGAGAATCACTTAAACCTGGGAGGTAGAGGTTGCAGTGAGCCAAGATCGCACCACTGCACTCCGGCCTGGGCCACAAGAATGAAATGTTGTCTCAAAAAAAAAAAAAAAAAAAAAAAGAAATCATTAGGGTGGGTCCTAATCCAATACGACTGGTGTCTTTTTTTTTTCTTTTGAGATAGAGTCTCGCTCTGTGGCCAGGCTGGAGTGCAGTGGCGTGATCTCGGCTCACTGCAACCTCTGCCTCCCGGGTTCAAGCGTTTTTCCTGCCTCAGCCTCCCAAGTAGCTGGGACTACAGGCACCCGTCAACACGCCCAGCTAATTTTTGTATTTTTAGTAGAGATGGGGTTTCACCATGTTGGCCAGGATGGTCTTGATCTCTTGACCTCATGATGCTCCCGCCTTGGCCTCCTAAAGTGCTGGGATTACAGGCGTGAGCCACCGTGCCCGGCCTTGGTGTCCTTTTAAAGAGGGGAAATTCGGACACAGGTGCACACAGAGGGAAGATGATATGAAGACACAGGGAGGAGACGGCCACCTTTTGGGCGTGATGATGCGTCTGCAAGTCGAGGGATGTCGAGGCAACCTCTGCAAGCTGCAAAGACAAGGAAGGATCCTCCCTTACAGCCACCAGGGAAAGCATGGCCTTGGGGATGCCTGGGTTTAGATTTCAAGCCTCCAGAACCACGAGAGAATATATATATGTTCTGTCATATATATATATATATGTGTGTGTGTATATATATGAGATGTATATATATGTCTGTGTATATATACATATATACGTATATATACACACATATATACGTGTATATATACATATATATGTATATATATACACACATATATACGTGTATATATACGTATATACGTATATATATACACACATATATACGTGTATATATATACACACATATATACGTGTATATATATACACATATATATCATATATATATATATATGTATATATCAGTCTCTGTCACCCAGGCTGGAGTAGAGTGGCATGATCCTGGCTCATTGCAGCCTTGACCTCCTGGGCTCAAGCAATGCTCCCACCTCAGCCTCCCAAGTAGCAGGGACTACAGGCACATATGCTATGCCTGTAATTTTTTTCGTGTGTATTTTTTTTTGTATTTTTCTTGGAGATGGGGGTTTCACTATGTTGCCCGGACTCAAACTCCTAGCCTCAAGTGATCCTCCCGCCTTGGCCTCCCAAAGTGCTGGGATTACAGGCATGAACCAATGTGCCCCACTGAGATTTCTGTTGTTTTAAGCCACACAGACTTTGGTACTTGGTTAGGGCAGCTGGAGCAAACTAATGCCAGGGCAGAGCCAGTGCTAAATCCAAACTTGATACTAACGGGCTCTATACCCTGTGATGATTAAGGTGTCTTGGAAAAAGAAAGGGTCTTACCAGGACAGTGGTTAGATACTCCCGTGGCAGGAGAGGCCAGAATGTGTAGTCTGTCGGCCATCATGAGGCTCATGACCTAGAGCTGGCCAAGAACACTTGTATAATAAATGTTCAAAGCCACCAGTCACCAAAGCCTTTCATGGGTAAATGACCCCAGCACAAAGTGTTTTTTGCTGATATTAACTTTGGTTCTATTTCAGATCAATAAAGGCAAAAACCAGGAGATCCCATAAATCCCGCTGAGCCTGTCATAGCTATCAAATTATACCCAGATAAAGCTTCTGGTGGCTAATGACATGGCCATCACCCAGCGTGGACGTGGGCAGGAGGGGCTCTCCGGGAGCATCTGGTCTGCTGTGGAGACACTTGTCATCTGGAGGCTCTGTGGCTCTAATGGAGGGTGATGCTTTGAACGCGACTATCTCCCCCATAAAAAAATAAATAAATAATAAGTATAATTTAAAAATAAACAAAGATCTGGATTTGCAGGCTACTTACTGTCGCAGGACCAAGATTAATGGCCAGTGGTAAGTTTTCGTGAAGATCTTCTGTAGCCCGATTAGCCGTGCTGGGAATCCGGAGAGATAATGTCTTTTCACATATAAAAGATCCTATTGATTTCCTGTTAGTATCATCCTGAAAATGTGCAGTGTATATCTATGAAGCAGAGACAATCTTCCATCACTTGTTTTATGGGAAGAGAATGGTTATTGTATCTCTTCCCATAAAATATAATCTCTTTTTCTCTTCCAAAATCTACTCGTCCCTCTGGGAATTTCCACTTGTAATCTGTGGAAGTGAATTGATTTTTTTATTTTGTTTTATTTTTTGCATGTGCCGGTATTTTTATATTTGGCTTCTCTACATTTTCTCATTGTTCTCTGGAGTCTGGCTTTTCTAGATTGTTATTTGAGGTTGTCTAAAAATAAGTAAAAAAAAAAAAAAATCAGTCCCATTGAAACACGCACAGCCATGTGCCCGACAGTGGGTGTCAGGTTCCTGTGACTGCTCCCACTGCGGTGCCCCACCTTTCTCCCCCGTCGGGGCCTGGCGTTTGTAAGTTCCTCAGAGGGCTTCGGAGGCAGTAAGAGGTTGCCTGGTGGGTTCCAATAGGATGCCGATGCAAAATACCAAGTTACTGAATGAAGGAAGTGCTCTTCCTGCTGACTGGGGTTCTCAGCGTTATGTCTGGGCATTGCTTCAGGATCAATTAAGACGCAAGGGCAGAGTCCTACATATTTAAATACTGTGCCCTGAGCAGCGGCTTCCTAAGCTAATGAGTTTGGCTGAGAAGACCCCAGCAATGCAGTCCTGTCCAGACCTTAAATAGAGAGCTTTGCAAACTGGAGCTCCAGCTATGAAGCCAATCCTCATGGTTCTGCCTGCACCTCTTTATTAAGGTAGCTCCCCCTTAATTCTCCTACCTACAACCGCCCCATGCTTTGAGGTCCAACCCCTCTACAAGCCTCTTCCACACTTTCTGCCCACCGCCGATTTCTCTCCCTTCCCCGAGCTCCTGTGGTAGTTAGGGATTGCACCATCCTGGCCAGCATTTAATTACTACCACCTTTTATTGCTCTCCGCTTATTGCACCTGTGCTATTTTACAGTGCTATGTGCTGCATCTTCCAGATTCACCTTGTTTTCACTCCTTCCACTTCCACACTATGCCTGGGGCCTATCAAATTTATTTTGCACGATTGACAGATGATTTTTAAATATATATATAATAGTTATATTGTATAGCATAAATATATATTATAAATTATAACATAAGTATATTATATTAACATATGTAGTATATATTTTAACATGAATATATAAGGTAAACGTAAATCTTGATGCTATGGTTCCCCAAATTCATATGAATTCATATGAATTGTAACCCCTAGTACCTCAGATTGTGACTCTATTTGGAGATAGGGTCTTTCAAGAGGTAATTAAGTTAAAAGGAGGTCATTAGGGTGGGCTGTAATCCCACATGACTGCTGTCTTCATAAGAAGAGATTAGGGCTGGGCAAGGTGGTTCACGCCTGTAATCCCAACATTTGGGAGGCCGAGGTGGGAGGATAACCCGAGGCCTGGAGTTCGAGAACAACCTGGACAACATGAAGAAACCCCATCTATACCAAAAATACAAAAATTAGCTGGGTGTGGTGGTGTGCGTCTGTAGTCCCAGCTGCTCGGGAGGCTGAGGCAGGGGAAACACTGGAATCCAGAGGTGGAGGCTGAAGTGAGCTGAGATCACACCACTGCACTCCAGCCTGGGGGACAGAGTGAGACCCTGTCTCAAAATAACAACAACAAAAAACAAAAACAATAAAAAGGGGCTCTGTGGGGGTAGCAACGAGGCTGGAGAACACTGAAGTTCTATCCCAGATGTAATGACAACAAAAAGTCCAAAAAAGTCACACAAAGCTAATGGTCCTTGCTCAGGAAACACTTAAGCCAACAGAACCCATAACGCTTTTATCTAGACTTCCTAGAACTGTACTCATTGCTAGGGATAAACTCAATTATCAAAACTCATTGACTCTGAAATGTAACTTGCATATACTGCTGCCCATTCCAATTCATCAGATAGGCAGCTGTTCCATGGTTAATGTAATCACTCCCTGCCACGTTATTAAACTGTTTTCTAAGTATGAAAGGATGACAGTGTGGGTTCTCTGATGCAGATGTGGACATTTGCCAGGTCACATCTGGCCAGGGGTTTGTCACACCATGACTTCATGAAGAAATCAATTCCCGTTTCCTTCAGCTGACCTTAGGGCCATCTTCACAGGCTTGATTTTCTCGATTGTAATATAAAAATTAAATTTCAGCCCATATGATTTATGTAGTGTTATTTCTTTTCTTTTCTTTCTTTCTTTCTTTCTTTCTTTCTTTCTTTCTTTCTTTCTTTCTTTCTTTCTTTCTTTCTTTCTTTTTTAGACGGAGTCTCACTCTGTTGCCCAGGCTGGAGCGCAGTGGCGCGATCTTGGCTCACTGCAAGCTCCGCCTCCCGGGTTTAGGCCATTCTCCTGCCTCAGCCTCCCGAGTAGCTGGGACTACAGGCGCCCGCCACCATGCCCGGCTAATGTTTTGTATTTTTTAGTAGAGATGGGGTTTCACCGTGTTAGCCAGGATGGTCTCGATCTCCTGATCTCGTGATCCACCCGCCTCGGCCTCCCAAAGTGCTGGGATTACAGACGTGAGCCACTGCGCCCGGCCGCCTATGTGCTATTTCTTTCAGAAGTGAACAGCACATAGTGCATGTTCACAAGGTCCCCACAAAGCAAGAAGGGGAAGGTCCATAATTCTGTCCAGCTTTTGTGTATAGAGACATTCATAGAAAGAGGAAGAGCTGGGCATAAAGTCCTATCCATCCATGCCTAGGGTTGCAGGTTACTCTCCAAGCCACATTAGCAGAAATGCCACTGGGCCAGGGCTAATTGCCAAGCAATCACACCCCAGGCCTTTGCTGGGGTCTTGTGCATGGCATATGTCTCTCCTAAGTCTGTGAGAATTAAGCTAAAGTCCTGGTGGGCACAGTGGTGCATGTCTGTAGTCCCAGCTACTCGGGAGGCTGAAGCGGAAGGATTGCTTGAGCTCGGGAGATGGAGGCTGTGGTGAGCTATGATTGCACCACTGCATTCCAGCCTGGATGACAGAGCGAAATGCTGTCACTGTCACACACACACACACACACACACACACACAAAGCTAAAGTCCTTCTGCAAAGTTTGGCACAAATTTCCTTGGACCCTTTCTGCTTCAGAGGCCTGGGCAGAGGGTTCCCCAAACACAGGACTTTACCGCTTTCTTAAAATGTGCCTTTCAATATTCAACATCAATCTGTGAATCCTCAGTAGATTTTTAAAAATTTTGGTTTTGGCCGGGCACGGTGGCTCATGCCTGTAATCTCCACACTTTGGGAGGCTGAGGCAGGCAGATCATGAGGTCAGAAGTTTGAGACCAGCCTGACCAACATGGTGAAACCTCGTCTCTACTAAAAATACCAAAATTAGCCAGGCACGGTGGCATGCGCCTGTAATCCCAGCTACTCAGGAGGCTGAGGCAGGAAAATCGCTTGAACCTGTTTTTTTTTTTTTTTTTTTTTTTTTTTTTGCGAGGGAGTCTCACTCTGTTGCCCAGGCTGCAGTGGAGTGGTGCAATCTCGGCTCACTGCAACCTCCACCTTCCGGGTTCAAGTGATTCTCCTGCCTCAGGCTCTGAGTAGCTGGGATTACAGGCGCACGCCACCACGCTAATTTTTTTGTATTTTTAGTAGAGATAGGGTTTCACCATGTTGGCCAGGCTGGTCTCGAACTCCTGACCTCAGAGGATCCGCCTGTCTCGGCCTCCCAAAGTGCTGGGATTATAGGAATGAGACACCTTGCCTGGCCTTAAAAAAATTTCTTTTTTTGAAACAGGGTCTCGCTCTGTCACCCAGACTGGAGTGCTGGGGTGCGATCATAGCTCACTGCAGCCTTGAACTCCCAACCTCAAACAATCCTCCCACCTTGGCATCCCAAGTAGCTGTTACTACAGGCGCGCCACCATACCTGTAAAATTTCTTTGTAGGCCAGACATGGTGGCTCATGCCTGTAATCCCAGCACTTTGGGAGGCCGAGGCGGGCAGACCACCTGAGGTCAGGAGTTCAAGTCCAGCCTGGCCAACATGGTGACACCTCGTCTCTACTAAAAATACAAAAATTAGCTGGGAGTCATAGTGCATGCCTGTAGTCCCAGCTACTCAGGAGGCTGAGGCAGGAAAAACGCTTGAACTTGGGAGGGGGAGGTTGGGTGACAGTGAGACCCTGTCTCAAAAAAAACAAGATTTTTTTTTGAGACTGCTGATCTCAAGCAGTCTTCCCACTTCGGCCTCCCAAAGTGTTGGGATTACACGCATGGGCCAGTGGATATATTAAATGCCCATGAGATAAGTGAATCAAGAAAGTGAGGCTAAATTTTCCCCATCAGAATATGCAAGCTCTTCCTCATTACATGCCTCCTGCCCGTCCCCCAACTTGCCAACACACACTGAGATTTTGGGTCTCAGTTCCCTATCTATTTTCGGAGAAAAAGGTGATTCCCTTGGAGTCCCTGATGCAGATGGATACTGTGTTGAGATGTGGGTCTCCTGCTTCTCTGAAGGTACAATTATTTTTCTTGTAAGGTTCCATAACTAGATTAATGAGTCAGTATCATCTAGTCGGATTATCTGTTTCATCAGAGATTCGTCATAGATTTCCTATGTTTCTGATCAGTTACCATGGATACCGCTTTTGTTATCACAGTTCTTTGTAACCAAAGGCTGCACTTTTGTGGGCTTCACCCACTGTAAAAATTAATCTGTGCAAAGCTCTCAGGATACACCTTGTTTGTTTGTTTGTTTTAAATTCTTTTTAATAGAGATGGAAGGATTGCAGGTCCGGGGTAGTGGTAAGGAGGGGAGCTGAAATAAATTTCCCATATGCCTGTTCATTATCAAACATTTGCATCTCATCTTCAACTCCAAGCATACATTTCCAGTGTGGTTTATGCTTTGGAGACATTTGACTCTGAGGATGCTGGGGTTTGGAGACAATCATTTCCTTCCTCCTCCTCTCATGCTCATCTCATCGCAGTAGAATTACTTGCTTAGCTGTCTGTCTTCTTTCTTCCCTTTATAATACTGTGGATTCAAGTTATCATTGTCTCCCCAAAGTGGCTCAGGGCACAGAGAGTTCTCAACATGTGTTCAGCGAATGAATGGCTCTTTTCTTGTATTTCTCTCCTCTTACTCAGCTGAAAAGTGCAATTACATCTAAGATCCCTGTTTAAGAAAGGACTCTTCTGGTCGTAAGAAAAAAAACAGGCCGGGCGCGGTGGCTCATGCCTGTAATCCCAGCACTTTGGGAGGCCAAGACGGGCGGATCACGAGGTCAGGAGATCGAGACCATCCTGGCTAACACGGTGAAACCCCGTCTCTACTAAAAATACAAAAAATTAGCCGGCCTGGTGGCGGGCGCGCCTGTAGTCCCAGCTACTCGGAAGGCTGAGGCAGGAGAGTGGCGTGAACCCGGGAGGCGGAGCTTGCAGTGAGCCGAGATCGCGCGCCAGTGCCCTCCAGCCTGGGTGACAGAGCGAGACTCCGTCTCAAAAAAAAAAAAAAAAAAAAAAAAAAAGAAAAGAAAAGAAAAAACCAAAAGACACTCAAGGAATGAGAGCCTGGTGGGTGATGAAGGAGATATCCAGGCACAGGAGCCCGGGAAAAGCCGGACAGGCGAATTGAAGTCTTGGAGCTGCAAAAGGACACTTCTGGATTTAGGGCTGCCCCAGGGGCCGCGGGAGCAGGAGTGTGTGGGTTTCACTCGGGTATTCTGCCCTTGACACAGTCATGGGCTCCTCCAGGCCTCCTGTTCCCTGCTCTCTCCTGCTGTGTCTCGCCTGTCAGTCTACATCTACTTTATACATTCATCCGATCCACATTTCTTCTCCTTCATAACTTCAGTTGCACAGGGCCCACAATGGCCTCTCTGGCTTCTTTCTGTGTTATAATGTTTAAAGGTCAACTTTTTTTCCTCCAAGTTTTATTTTAGATTTGGAGGTACCTGTGCAGGTTGTTACATGGGAATATTGTGTGATGCTGAGGTTTGGGGTACAATGGAACCCATCACCCAGGGAGTGAGCATAGTACCCAAGAGTCAGTTTTTCAACCTTGTCCCCCTCCTTCTCCTCTCCACTCCTCTCTAGGACTCCCCAGTGTCTCTTTTCTTTTTTTTTCTTTTCCTTTTCTTTCTTTTTTTTTTTTTTTTTTTTTAAGACAGGCTCACTCTGTTGCCAGGCTGGAGTGCAGTGGCACTCTGGTGAACTTCCCAGGCTCAAGTGATCCTCCCACCTCAGCCTCCCTAGTAGCTGGGACCACAGGCGTGCACCATCATGCCTGGCTAATTTTTTTTTTTTTAAATTTTTAGTCGAGATGAGGTCTTGCTATGTTGCCTAGGCTGGTCTTGGTCTCCTCAGGTCAAGCAATCCTCCTGCCTCCACTTCCCAAAGGTCTGGGACTACAGATGTGAGCCAACATGCCCGGCCCCCCAGGGTATATTGCTGGCATCTTTATGTCCATGAGTACCCAAATTTTAGCTCTCACTTATAAGTAAGAACATGTGATATTTGGTTTTCTGTTCCTTCATTAATTTGCTTAGGATGATGGCCTCCAGCTGCATCCCCATTGCTGCAAAATATATGATTTTGGAAGATGGAACACTTGAGGCCAGGAGTTCGAGACCAGCCTGGTCAACATGATGAAACCCCATCTCTACCAACAATACAAAAAATTAGCTAGGTGTGGTCGTGCGCACCTATAATCCCAGCTACTCGGGAGGCTGAGGCAGGAGAATCACTTGAACCCAGGAGGTGGAGGCTGCAGTGAGCCGAGATCATGCCACTGTACTCCAGCCAGGTGACAGAGTGAGACAAAAAACAAAACAAAACATGATTTTGTTCTTTTTCATGGCTGCAAATATCAACTTTTAACATTAACTGCCCCATTCTCTCAAGCTTACGGTTTCTTCCTTCAAATGCCCCAGGCAAGAATCTGATTGGTCCAGCTCATTTTTTTTCTTTTTCTTTTTTTTTTTTTTTTGAGACGGAGTCTCACTCTATTGCCCAGGCTGGAGGGCAGTGGCACCATCTCGGCTCACTGCAACTTTCTCCACCTCCCGGGTTCAAGTGATTCTCTTGCCTCACCCTCCTGAGTAGCTGGGACCACAGGTGTGTGCCACCACGTCTGGCTAATTTTTGTATTTTTAGTAGGGACGGGTTTCACCATGTTGGCCAGGCTGGTCTTGAACACCTGACCTGAAATGATCTGCCCTCCTCAGCCTCCCAAAGTGCTGGGATTACAGGCATGAGCCACTGGGCCTGGCTACCTCATCTTTCTAAACCAGGATGATGCGCAGTCCCTGGATTGGCTGTTCTAGGTCAGGAGACCCACAGTCCTATCAAATGTGGCTAAGGGTCAATGTCATATGCTACAAAACATGGCTGCCCATAGACAGTTTTCACCAAAGGATAAGGCGGGTCATGGGGACTGTCATTTAGAGTGGTGGGCAACACTCTCTCCATTGTGCAGCAGTGATGTGGTGCAGTGGTTTGACACCAGGTGGGCGGGGAGGGGGGCTGCTGAAGCCAATCAAGCTAATTCCACTCCTTCCCCTTGCCTATTCTTAGTCAAAGAATCCGAGGTTGGGCCAGCAAGTGGCATTCCTCTGTGACAGGGAGAGGTTCAGGGATGGGTCTGCAGATCAGTTTGATGTTTTCTCAAGGACATTGTTGGGAAGGAAATGTCCTTGTTTTTAAGGAACGGCCATAGGGAGAAGTGGTCTCTCTTCCTTTGGACATTGCTGTGCACAAATAAATGGGAGAGCCCCAAGCTGCGGCAGCCATTCTTACTTCTGCTCCAAGGATGACATCACCAGCTCAAGAGGGCAGGACTCAGAGCATGGCAGGGAAACTGAGGCAGAGCCAGTGGAATAGCTAGGTCCCAAAGCCCACCCTTTCTCTTGGCCTCCAGTCATTTGATCCAATAAATGTCCTTATTGTTTAAGCCAGTTTTGGGCTTTTGTAATTTGCAGCTAAAAGCATGGCTGGGAGTAGGGGGTGGGCTGGGTAGGGGGTGCCTGTGGGCCTGGTGGGGAATGCATAGGGTGTGATTTCTGAATATTATGCAGGGGGCGGGCCAGTTCCACAAGCAGACAGCCGAGAAGTCACAGAGGACCCTGTACTTGGCTTAATGATTTGCTGTCTTAAAATTCCTATTAAAATTTTTTTTAAATTTTATTTTAGAGATGGGCTCCAGCTCTGTTGCCCTGGCTGGAGAGCAGTGGTGCGATCATAGCTCACTACAGCCTCAAACTCCTGGGCTCAAGCAATCCTCTTGCCTCTGCCTCCCAAGTAGCTGGGACTACAGGCATGCACAATCATAGATGGCTAATTTATTTATTTTGCAGAGATCGGGTCTCAGTATGTTGCACTGGCTTCTCTTGAACTCCTAGGCTCCAGTGATCCTCTGACCTTGGCCTCCCAAAGTGCTGGGATTACAGGTGTGAGCCACTATATCCAGTTATACATTTTTAACAAGGGGCCTGCATTTTCATTTTGCACCAGGTCCTACGAGTCATGTAGACAGTCCCAGGCAGGTGACAGAACATTTAGAAAAGGAGTGTGTAGACTGTAAAGCACTATACAAAAGCATCCTGTCCTTCTCCCCAGGGACAAAAGACACTATGTGAGCCTCCTATGCCTAGTTTCATGGGTCTTCCTGCCAGCAAACCTCCCATCCATACGCTCCAACTGTCTGCTGCCCGACCCCTGATAGCCTGCACAGACAGCGGGTCAACTCCGACCTACTGTGTTCCCATAGGAACGTGGAGAGATAGGTAGAGAATTCATTATCCATTGAAGTTTGTTTTCCGTTTTTGGAAGTTTTGGGAAGTATAAGACCAAAGTTAAACTATTTAATTAACAGCTAAACAAATGAGTAAAGCGCACACACACACACACGCACACACACACGCGCGCACACACACACGCGCACAAACACGCGCACGCACACACACGCACACACACACACGCACGCACACACACACACACGCACACACTCACACGCACACACGCACGCACACGCACGCACACACACACAAACTACTATGTTTGCTGGGCCTGAATTAAAATCTACTGGTCTGGGCTGGCCATGGTGACTCATGCCTGTAATCCTAGCACTGTGGGAGGCCGAGGTGGGCTGATCACCTGAGGTTAAGAGTTCAAGACCAGCCTGGCCAACTTGATGAAACACCAACTCTATTAAAATACAAAAATTAGCTGGGCGTGGTGACTCGTGCCTGTAGTTCCAGCTACTCGGGAGGCTGAGGCATGAGAATCGCTTGAACCCGAGATGCAGAGGTTGAGGTGAGCCGAGATTGCGCCACTACACTCCAGCCTGGGACTCTGTCTCAAAAATCTATTTCTCTGTTCAGAATCTTCCTCTGCCTTTTAGGGACCTACTTTAGACTCACGGGCCCGACTATCCTACCTTTATCTTTGTGTGTGTGTGTGTGTGTTTCCCACTGAACGTGGGCTCATATGTCACAGGTGAAAAGAATGGCTGTCTGATTCAGCCTGTCCCTTCATCCTGCTCATGTAGTTCCAGCGAGTGAGTGTTACTTCGGAGATAATGAATGCATCCCATTTAGTGCAAAAATATACCTTGTCACCGGTCACATGGCAAATGTAGCCATAAAAAGTTAAAAATGCTATTATTTAAAATTTATTTTCTCATAAAAAATGGTTCCTGAAATGATCATAATTTGAAGAACTTACTTCATAGTTATGATACATTATGCCCGGGCCCAGGCCTAAGGCTGGTAATCCCAGAGCCAAGGGGGAGACCTCGGTCTTGGTTAGGACTAGGCAGCCTCGGTCCCTACCACCCCTTCCTTTACGGAGCCTCCACTCTATGTCTGTTTCATTTACATCAACCCAAAATTGTGACTGCAGATGAGCCCATTTTACACTATTGCCTCCCCATTCCCAAAATGGCTTTTTTGTTTTTTTTTGAGACAGGGTCTCACTGTCGCTCAAGCTGAAGTGCAGTGCTGCGATCTCAGCTCACTGCAACCTCTGTCTCCCAGGCTTAAGCGATCCTCACACCTCAGCCTCCCGAGTAGCTGGGACTACAGATAGGCATGCATCATTATGCGTGGCTCTTTTTTTTTTTTTTTTTGAGAGGGGGTTTCGTTAAGTTGGCCAGGCTGACCTCAAACTCCTGGGCTCAAGCAATCCTCTTGTCTTTGTGTCCTGAGTAGCTGAGACTGCAGGTGCACACCACCATGCCTGGCTAATGTTATTTTATCTAATTTTTTTGTAGAGACAAGGTCTTGCCACATCATTGCCCAGGCTGGTCTTGAACTCTGAGGCTCAAGTGATTTTCTTGCCTCGGCCTTCTAAAGTGCTGGGATTGCAGGTGTGAGCCACGATGTCTGGCCTCAAATGGCATTGTGTGTGTGTGTGTGTGTGTGTGTGTGTGTGTGTGTGTGTGTGAAGTTTGCAGGTTTAGAGACTTTTCTCCCAGTGGACTTTAATTCTCTTAGGTAAAGGAAAGGGCATGATGCTGGCTGGAATCCTCAGGATGAATGTCCCCTTTGTGCTTCATCAGGGGTTCCTGATCTTACTTTGGGGACCCCTCCTTCCCCCACTCCAATGATTGTCCGACCTGAGAGTCATCGAAGTGTGTGGATTCAGGAGGTTTGTGGTCACCATTTAGTGATCAGCCATGGTATGAGAAATCTCCACTGCTTCTGGTGCAGGCGACGGTGGGGGGCACCCCTGATAGAGCAGCACCTATGTTCCTGACAGTAATAAACATGTTTGTCCCTGCTATGCATGACATGGCACAAGCCTGCTAACAACTGCAGCTTAAGGAGAGCAGGGTTCTGTGCTGGGAACCCTACAGATGCATAATTTCTTTTCTCTTTTTGACCCTGTGCTCCAAGATGCATAATTTCATTATTATTATTTTTATTATTTTGAGACAGAGCCGAGGCTGGATGCAGTGGTACCATCTCAACTCATTGCAACCTCTGCCTCCTGGGTTCAAGTGATTCTCCTGCCTCAGCCTTCTGAGTAGCTGGGATTATAGGTGCCCGCCAACAAGTCTGGCTGATTTTTGTATTTTTAGTAGAGATGGGGTTTCCCTATGTTGGCCCAGGCTGGTCTTGAACTCCTGGCCTCAAGTGATCCACCCGCCTCGACCTCCCAAAGTGCTGGGATTACAGGTGTGAGCCACTGCCCGCTGCCAATTTCATTAATCTTTGTAACTATCCTGTGGGAAAATATATGCGTTTCCTACTCCTGTTGTAACCAATGATCACAAACATAGTGCCCTAAAACAACACATCCATTTATTATCTTACAGTTATGGAGGAAATGGGTCTTACTGGACCAAAATGAAGGCATTGGCCGAGCTGTGTTCCTGCTCTAGGCTCTGCAGGAGAATCCCTTTCCTTGCCTTTTCCAGCTCCCTCAGGCTGCCCACATCCCTTGGTTTGTGGTCCCCTCCTCCTCCTCTTCAAAGCCAGCAGTGCTGCCTCTTCACATCTCGCTCTGACCTTGGCGGTTGTGATCCCATCTCCTTCTCAGACTCTGACTCTCATGCCTCCCTCTTCTAAGGACTCTTGTGATCCCACTGGGTCCACTTGGATGATGCAGGAGAGTCCCCATAACTCACTCAACATCTTTCCATTTCATCACATCTGTAAAGACCCTTTGTGGACCGGGCGAGGTGGCTCTCGCCTATAATCCCAGTGCTTTGAGAGGCCGAGGCAGGTGGATCACTTGGAGTCAGGAGTTTGAGACCAGCCTGGCCAACATGGTGAAACCCCGTCTCTACTAAAAATACAAAAATTAGCCGGGTGTGGTGGTGCATGCCTGTAATCCAAGCTGCTTGGGAGGCTAAGGCAGGAGAATCACTTGAACCCGGAGGTGGAGGTTGCAGTGAGCTGAGATCATACCACTGCACTTCAGCCTGGGTGACAGAGTGAGATTCAGTCTCACCAAAAAAAAAAAAAATAAAATAAAAAAAGACCCTTTGTGATATGATGTCACACATTCACAGGCTCGGAGGGTTAGGAAATGTATTCATACATGGTTGTGGGCCATTATTCTATCGGTCACAGAAAGGTGATAGATAAATAAACAAACTGAGGCTCAGAATGACCTGCCCAAGGGCACATGGCTGATGTGGAACAACTGGGATTTAAATCCAGGTGTGTCAGACACTGAGGCTTACTCATTTGGGTCAGCGTGTGCCCTTTCTGCAATGACACTCTTTCCCCCAGTGGTTAGTGGGTGCCTGTACTCCCCAAACCCACTTGGCAGCACCCAAACTGAGTAACATTTTTTCACACCTGTATTAGGGTTCTCTAGAGGGACAGAGCTCATGGAATATATATATATATATAAATATATATATAAACTTAATACTTAATAAACTCCCCTTTATATATTTATATATTATAATTATATAATATATAATTATACATATTAAATTATAAATTTTATATAAATATAATTATAATTATATATTAATATATTTATATTTACATAAATATATTTATAATTAATTATAAATATATTTATATATTATATATTTATATATTTATTTATATATAATATGTATTTATATAAATATATATATTTGTATATATCATATATTATATGATATATATATAAAGGGGAGTTTATTAAGTATTAACTCACACCATCACAAGGTCCCACAACAGGCCATCTGCAGGCTGAGGAGCAAGAAGAGCCAGTCCGAGTTCCAAAATTGAGGAACTTGGGAGTCTGATGTTTCGAGGGCAGGAAGCATCCAGCACAGGAGAAAGACGAAGGCTGGGAGGTAAGCCAGTCTCTCTTTCCACATTTTTCTGCCTGCTTACTTTCTAGCCGAGCTGGCAGCTGATTAGATGGTGCCCACCCAGATTAAGGGTGGGTCTGCCTTTCCCAGCCCACTGACTCAAACGTTAATCTCCTTTGGCAACACCCTCACGGACACACCCAGGATCCATACTCTGTATCCTTCAATCAAGTTGACACTCAGTCTCAACCATCACAACACCTGATGCAAAGTCACAGGCCGTTGGCTTTCATGCCCACCTGTATGGTAAGGCCAGGATTCAGAAAATGTTCCTCAGTCCCCAAACCAGGACCTCACCACACCCGAGTCACCACTGCCAACCCCCAACTCCCATCCCTATTTGCCCTCTGTGCCTGGCGGGGGGTTGGGGGAGTTTGTTTTGTTCCTCAAAATGTGGTCCATGGGCCAGCTGCGTCGGCATACCTGGGCACTTGTTGGAAAGGCGGGATCTCGGCCCCACCCTAGATCAGCTTAATCAGAATCTGCATTGTAACCAGAGCCCCCTCAGTGAGTCACGTGCACAGTGGAGTTTAAGAAGCTCCTCCCTCCAGGACCCTGCTCCACCTGGGCTGTCTTCTCACACCTATTTCTCCTCTTCTTCTGCCACCTCCGCAGGTGTCTCGGCTTGGATTCCTGCAGCTCGGGAGGACACATTAGGGAAATGTCTATGATGCTCTTTCTGCCTTAGCTTGTTAGAGTTGGCAGCAGAAGAGGCCCCTCCTGGTAGCGCTCGGCTGGGCCCTGCAGCTGGCTGGGGGAGGCCTCTCTGTGGCCACACGCCTGAGGTCTGGGCTGGTTCCCCTTGCTGCTGCCTCTCTCCTGGGTGGACAGTGGTCTAGAGCTGTGCTGGGGGCCCCGTCCTTCCTCCTATGCACCAGGCTCAGCGAGAGGCAAAGGCGAAGGTGTGAAATGACTTTGACCTTGGTGTTTAGGCAGATCCCTCTCACTCTGAAAGTGCTTCAACATGTTGGCCTGGTACGTTCCGAGCACTGTGGAGTTTTGGCAGAGTGGCCGATAAGTATTTTTAGTTCCTTCCTCCTTAATGTTTGCCAGAAAACCACAGTCATTACTCATGAGGAGGAGAAGTTTCCTCCCTCCCAGGCTCCAGAAGAGTCCGGGCTTGCCCTCAGATGCCCACTGAGCTGCCCCTGCCTGGGCTTCTAAGCTGTCTTTGAAATCAACATAATGCTAACACCTACAATAAAGCAGGATACCATATATTTTTTAATAGACTAAGACCTGAGCTTTTTTTTGTTAATTAATTTGGTGTTTTTTTTTTTTTTTTTTTTTTGAGATGGAGTCTTGCTCTGTTACCAGGCTGGAGTGCAGTGATGCGATCTCAGCTCACTGCAACCTCCACCTCCTGGGTTTAAGCAATTCTCCTGCCTCAGCTTCCCGAGTAGCTGGGACTACAGACGCGAACCACCATGCCCAGCTAATTTTTTGTATTTTTAGTAGAGATGGGGTTTCACCATGTTGGCCAAGCTGGTCTTGAACTCCTGACCTCAGGTGATCTGCCCACCTCGGCCTCTCAAAGTGCTAGGATTACAGGCATGAGCCACCGCACCCGGCCTTTTTTTTTTTTTTTTTTTTTGAGATGGGGTCTCACTCTGTCACCCGGGCTGGAATGCAGTGGCACCATCTCAGCTCATTACAACCTCTACTTCCCAGGCTTAAGTGATCCTCCCACCTCAGCCTCCTAAGTAACTGGGACCACAGTCATGCGCCACCACGCCTGGCTAATTTTTGCGTATTTTGTAGAGATGGGGTTTCATTACGTTGTCCAGGCTGATCTTGGACTCCTGAGCTCAAGTGATCCTCCCTCCGTGGCCTCCCAAAGTGTTGGGATTACAGGTGTGAGCCAGCTTGCCTGGCCCAATTTATTTGTTAAAATTCTAGTAAAATATACCTATCATAAAATGTAATATTTTAATATTTTAACCACTTTTTTTTTTTGAGACGGAGTTTTGCTCTTGTCGCCCAGGCTGGAGTGCAATGGCGCAATCTTGGCTCACTGCAACCTCCACCTCCCGGGTTCAAGCCATTCTCCTGCCTCAGCCTCCCGAGTAGTTGGGATTATAGGCATGTGCCACCACGCGCGGCTAATTTTGTATTTTTAGTAGAGACGGGTTTTCTCCATGTTAGTCTGGCGGGTGTCCAACTCCCAACCTCAGGTGATCCGCCCACCTGGGCCTCCCAAAGTATTGGAATTACAGGTGTGAGCCACCGCTCCAGTCCTATTTTAACCACTTCTAAGTATACCATTCAGTGGCATAAGTATATTCACAGTTGTGCAACTATCACCACCATTCATTTCCAGAGCTCTTCATCTTGTGAAACTGAAACTCTGTACCCATTAGACAAGAGCTCCCCATTCCCCCGCCACCCCCTTATCCTCTGGAAACCACCATTCTACTTTCTATGAATTCCATGACTCTAGGTCTCTCATAGGAGTGTAATCATACAATATTTGTCCTCTTGTGACTGGTTTATTTCACTTAGCATAATGTTTTCAAGTTTCACCCATGATGTAGTGGCCTGAGCTTCTTAAAAAAAAAGAAAAGCCCGGGCGCGGTGGCTCACATCAGTAATCTCAGCACTGTGGGAGGCCGAGGCGGGTAGATCACCTGAGGCCAGGAGTTCAAGGCCAGCCTAGCTAACATGGCGAAACCCTGTCTCTACTAAAAATAAAAATTAGCCGGGTGTGGTGGCGGGCGCTTGTAATCCCAGCTACTCGGGAGGCTGAGGCAGGAGAATCACTCGAACCCGGGAGATGGAGGTTGCAGTGAGTCGAGATCACGCAACTGCACTCCAGCCTGGGCTACAGAGTGAGACTCCGTCTCAAAAAAAAAAAAATCACCCATTTAATTGATAGAGGAGGCTGGGCACAGTGACTCACGCCTGTAATCTCAACACTTTGGGAGGCAGAGGTGGGAGGATTGCTTGAGCCCAGGAGTCTGAGATCAGCTTGGGTAATATAGCTAGGTCCCATCTCTCCAAAAAATAAATAAATGAGACAGGCATGATGGCGTGTGTCTGTAGTCTCAGCTACTCGGTGGGAGGCTGAGGTGGGGGGAGGATCACTTGAGCCCAGTAAGTCGAGGCTGCAGTGAGCTATGATCACGCAACTGGGCTCCAGCCTAGGTGACAAAGCGAGACCTGGTCTCAAAATCAAAAACAAAAGCAAAAATCCATGATTGCATTTTTTTATTTTAGGCAACCAGTTTCTGGTTAGTCCTAGCATATCTGCTAAGGTAGGGCAGCATTTGCTTTCAAAAAAGGGATGGCCAACCAGAAGCACGCCAAAGGCAGCTCCCTACCACTTCTGCTCCTTGGGAATGGTCTGGGGAAAGCCAGCTGGGCACACCTCCCCTCTGCTCAGGAGAGTGAAGAAATCCACAGGGTTAGGGCTTAGACAGCTTTGCACAAACTTAGGGACCCCCAATTCCCTCTGCCAAGGGCAAAGTTCCTGCACCTTCAGCATCTTCAATCATAGTTCCCTGTGTGGATCTTAGTTTTAATGGCAGTACCTTCTAGACCACAAGGGACGCGGCTCCCTCAGAAAAATCTCACCATTGGTGGAGGGATAATAGCCTTAAGGATCTAGTTCAGTAAACACAGGATTCTTTTGTGATGTGCTTTCCAAACGAGGCACACACTTTGGGATTAATTAAACTATTTTCTAGCTGCTTGCCAGGGTAACCTTTCTTTTATGCTTCTTAGGGGGGCACACAACGTAAAAAGTCAGATCTATTATGTTCATGACTCGGAGGGAAAGATCTGGGACAAAATTACCTTACACACCATTTTTTTTTTTTTGGATGTTTTTTCTTTTCTTAAATTTCCTGATTACTGGATCAGATGGAGAGCTGTCTGAGCTGTGTGCTAGCTAAGAAACAGAGTCAACCCAGGAGAGGAGCAGTTTGGAATTAAAGGGATAGAAGCTCAGGGTGGGCGGGGGGGGGGTGACACTGATGACAGCATGAACCCCCAATTTCTTGGCACGCTCTTGGGGGGACAATAAAGAGGTACATGGGAGTTAAGTGCTGACTGTTGAAGCCTTGGCCCATGTTCTTATTCCAGGCTTGCTGTGTTTTTGAGTGCATGACATTTAATTAATTTTACAGTTCATTCTTTTCACCGTTCTGTTTTTGACAGTGTCACCCTCCGATCTCTCAGCTGGTTGGGAAAAATCTGTATCAGTCATTACCCTTGCTCAAGCCCAGACTGGGTCATCTGGCCACAGCAGGAGATGCAGCGGGCAACAGCAGCAGGAGATGCAGCGGGGAACAGCAGCAGGCATGGAGCTGAGACAAGATTTCACTGTGAAGACAGTTTCCGGGGAGAGGCTGGGTCCGAAGCTGCATCTCCATGTCCCAGGAGTACCTTTCAAAGCTTCCCCTGTCCTGGCCTCAAGCTCTAGGAGCTTTGAAAAAATGCTTGCATTTTGGGCCGGGCCTGGTGGCTCATGCCTGTAATCCCTGCACTTTGGGAGGCTGAGGCGGACAGATCGCTTGAGGTCAGGAGTTTGAGACCAGCCTAGCCAATATGGCGAAACCCTATCTCTGCTAAAAATACAAAAATTAGCTGGGTGGTGGTGGGTCAGCACCTGTAATCCCAGCTACTTGGGAGGCTGAGGCAGGAGAATCACTTGAGCCTGGGAGGCAGAGGTTGCAGTGAGCTGAGATCACGCCACTGGACTCCAGCGTGGGTGACAGAGTGATACGCTGTCTCAAAAAAAAAAAAAAAGCCTGGAAAATATGCTTGCATTTTGAATATCTATCTATCTATCTATATATTTTGTATCTGTAAAAGAAAAAATATTCAGGACTCTCTAAATGTATTATGCCATGTGGGGAGTTAAGCCCTGGAAACTCCCATAGCATGTATGCAACTTCTGCTCTTAGGTGATAGTTTAACTCTCTTCCTCATTGCTCTTGTTCTGTAAATGACTGGGAGAGACCAGAGACCAAACCTCCTCCCCTTCCAATCACTGATCTTTGTTGTAGATGAACTGCCTTCTTTATTGTCCCGTGCCTAACCTAGACCAGATGGGACAAAAGACCCCATGTCTATTACATCTTTAGTGTGGAAGGTTAAATATACCTTTCCCAAAAAGAAAGACTACCTCAACCAACCAGATATTGTAATTATGCATTAAACCTTATATAGAAAGACGTTGAGATTCTGTTCCGCTTCCCCAAGCTTTGTCTATATAAACAGTTGCAAACTTCTACACTTTGGAGCACTGACTTCCATTCTTTGGAATCTGTGCTTCCCAGGCAGCTCATCTTCAAACTTTGTGCCTGAATAAACTCCCTTTAAACCAGACTCTGACCATTTTGATTATTTTAAGTTGACATATCAAAATAGTATACATACAATAACAAGTAAAAAAAAGCAGAAAGATAATAATATTGAAAAGCGGCAATCTCACCCCAGTCCCCAAAGCGATTTTAACTGTTTCTTTCTTTAATTCTTCTGGAATTTCCTCTGCTGCTCTATGATCATACCTCTTGATGTGGTTTGGTTCTGTGTCCCCACCCAAATCTCATCTTGAATTGTAATTCCCACATGTGGAGGGAGGGACCCGTGATCCCCACGTGTCAGGGGAGGGAGGTGATAGGGTCATGGGGACAGTTTTGCTCATGCTTCTTTTGAGATAGGGTCTCACCCTGTTGCCCAGGCTGAAGTGCAGTGGTACTTCTCCTCTTCTCCTCCTTCTTCCCCTCCTCCTCCTCCTCCTCCTCCTTCTTCTCCTTCTCCTTCTTTCTTCTTTCTTTTTCTTCTTCTTTTGAGATAGGGTCTCACCCTGTTGCCCAGGCTGAAGTGATAATGAGTGAGTTCTCACGAGACCTGATGGTTTTATAAGGGGCTCTTCCTGCTTCACTTTCTCTCTCTCTCCTGCTGCCATGTAAGACATGCCTGCTTCCCCTTCCGCCACGATGGTAAGTTTCCTGAGGCCTCCCAGTCACGCAGAACTGTGAGCCAATTAAACCTCTTTCCTTTATAAATTACCCACTCTTGGGTAGTATCTTTATAGCAGTGTGAAAACAGACTAATACACCTCTCTGATTTGATTTATCAGTTTTGGACAATACCTTCCAACTCCTAAATAGGAAGATGAAAATTTAGCTCAAAAACATTCTACCTCTTCCCTCTCTGCCCTTTTCTCTCTTTTTATTTTTCGTCACTGCTTTAACGGATATATAATTCACAGGTCATAAAATTCACTCTGTTAAAGTGTACCATTCATTGGTTTTTAGTACACAGATCCACAAAGTTGTGCAACCATCTCTAAATCCACTGTGCACCATTCTCTAAAACCAGAACGTTTTTGTCCCTGCAAAAAAGAAGCCCCTATCTTCATTAGCAAGGACTCTTATTATTCATTCTTCTCAACCCCTGGCATCCTCACCAATGCTTGTTATTTTTCTGTCTGTCCTTCTCCTCCTTTTCTCCTTCTCCTCTTCTCGTTCTTCCCCTCCTCCTCCTTCTTCTCCTTCTTGTTCTTTCTTCTTCTTCTTCTTTTGAGATGGAGTCTCACCCTGTTGCCCAGGCTGAAGTGCAGTGTCATGATCACAGCTCACTGCCCTCAACTTCTTGGACTTCTTCTTCTTTTGAGATAGGGTCTCACTCTGTTGCCCAGGCTGAAGTGCAGTGGCATGATCACGGCTCACTGTCCTCAGCCTCTTGGGCCTCTTCTTCTTTTGAGATAGGGTCTCACCCTATTGCCCAGGCTGAAGTGCAGTGGCATGATCACAGCTAACTGTCCTCAACCTCTTGAGCCTCTTCTTTTGAGATAGGGTCTCACCCTATTGCCCAGGCTGAAGTGCAATGGCATGATCACAGCTAACTGTCCTCAACCTCTTGAGCCTCTTCTTCTTTTGAGAGAGGGTCTCATTCTGTTGCCCAGGCTGAAGTGCAATGGCATGATCATAGCTCACTGCCTTCAACATCTTGGGCCCAAGCCATCCTCCCACCTCAACCTTCCTCCTGAGTAGCTGGGACCACAGATGCACACCACCATGCCCGATTATTTTTTTAAAAAATATTTGTAGAGATGAGGTTTCGCTATGTTGCCCAGGCTTGTCTAAACTCTTGGGCTCAAGTGGTCCTCCTGCCTTGGCCTCCCAGAGTGCTGAGATTACAGGCATGAGTTACCTCACCTGGCTGTCTTTCTTCTTATAGCCATCATGATGGATGTAAAGTGGTGTCTAATTGTGGTTTTGATTTGCATATATCCCTAATTATTTTGAGCTTGTTTTTTCACGAGCTTATTGGTCATTTATATATTTTCTTTGGAGAAATGTCTATACAAACCTTTCAGTCATTTTTAAATTGGATTGCCTGTTTATTGTTAAGTTGTAACAATTGTTTACATATTCTGGATACTAGACCCTTACAGATATATGATTGCATATATTTTCTCTCATTCTATGGGTTGTCCTTTTTATTTTCTTGAATGGTGTCCTTTACATGACCAAAGTTTAAATTTTTAATGAAGTTCAATTTATTTTTTCTTTTGTCACTTGCACTTTTCGAGATGTTTCTAAGAAATTATTGCCTAATCCAAGGTCGTGAAGATTTTTTACTCCTGTGTTTTCTTCTACGATTTGTATAGTCTTCGCTCTTACATTCAGAGCTGATTGTGCCATGTGGGGAGTTAAGCCCTGGAAACTGTCACATAGCATGCTTGCAACTGCTGCTTCTTAGGTTATAGTTTAACTGTCTTCCTCATTGCTCTGATAGGGATTGTGCTCAATCTGTGGACTAATATGGGAGTTGGCATCTTAACAGTATTGTCTTCCAATCTGTGAACATAGATTCCATTTATCTAGAATGTTAATTTCTTTCTTTCTTGATTTCTTTTTTTTTTTTTTTCATAGAGGGGCTTGCTGTCTCCTCCAGGCTGGAGTGCAGTGGCACAATCATAGCTCACTGCAGTCTCCAATTCCTGTGATCAAGCAACCCTCCTGCCTCAGCCTTCTGAGTAGCTGGGACTGCAGGCATGTGCCACCACACCCCACTAATTAATTTTTTTTTTTTTGCGTAGAGATAGAGTCTTGCTATGTTGCCCAGGCTGGTCTTGAACTCCTGGCCTCAAGCGATCTTTCTATGTCAGCCTCCCAAAGTGTTGGGATTACAGGCATGAGCCACCATGCCCCACTATAATCTTTTTTATTTTATTTATTTATTTTTTTTTTGAGATGGAGTCTTGCTCTGTCGCCCAGGCTGGTGTGCAATGGTGCGATCTTGGCTCACTGCAGCTTCTGCCTTCCGGGTTCAAGCCATTCTCTTGCCTCAGCCTCCCAAGTAGCTGGGATTACAGGCATTCACCATCCTGCCCAGCTAATTTTTGTATTTTCAGTAGCGACGGGGTTCCACCATGTTGACCAGGCTGGTCTCAAACTCCTGACCTCACGTGATACGCCCGCCTCGGCCTCCCAAAGTGCTGGGATTACAGGCGTGAGCCGCCGCGCCTGGCCTATAATCTTTTTTATATGGATTCAATTTGCTAGTATTTGATTTGCTAGTATTTGCTGGATTCAGTTTGCTAGTTTGTAGAGCTTTTTGTGTATCTTCATAAGGTCTATTGGTATGTGATTTTCTTGTGATGCCTTTGTGTAGTTTTGGTACTAGGGAATACTGGTCTTAGAGAATAGGTTGAGAAGTATTCCCTCCTGCTTTATTTTTTGGGAGAGCTTGCTAAGGATTGTTGTTAATTCTTCTTTAAACATTTGGTAGAATTCACCAGTGAATTCCAGGCCTGGGCTCTGTGTGTGTGTGTGTGTGTGTGTGTGTGTGTGTGTGTGTGTCTGTGTAGAGGAAGGTTTTTGATTACTAATTCAATTTACTTACTCTTTATAGGTATCCCCCTCCCCTTCCACTTCCCCTCCCCCTCCTCCTCCTCCTCCTACTCCTTTCTTCTTCTTTTTTTGAAACAGAGTTTTGCACTGTCACCCAGGCTGGAGTGCAGTGGTGCAATCTCGGCTCACTGCAACCTCCACCTCCCGGGTTCAAGAAATTCTCTTGGCCTCGCACGGTGGCTCACATCTGTAATCCCAGCATTTTGGGAGGCTGAGGAGGGTGGATCACCTAAGGTGGGGAGTTCGAGACCAGCCTGACCAACATGGCGAAACCCCGTCTCTACTAAAAATACAAAAAATTAGCTTGTTGTGGTAGCAGGTGCCTGTAATCCCAGCTACTTGGGAGGCTGAGGCAGGAGAATTGCTTGAACCTGGGAGGAAGAGGTTGCAGTGAGACAAGATTCTGCCATTGCACTCCAGCCTGGGCAACAAGAGGGAAACTCCATCTCAAAAATAAATACATAAATAGTCCATCTTCACGGTATGATAAATCTGAGTGCTGGCAGCCAGCCTGCGGGTGTAACAAACCCGAGGGCCCACGCACCTAGAAGGTCACGATAAGTGAACAGAATGTAGAGGAAGGGTCAGCCCATAAAAGGGGAGAAAGTTTCATTATTGGGAAATCGAAACTTTAGCAGGGAAGGGGACCTGGGTCTGACCTTAAAGGGGGATAATGAAACTTAGGTGACGTCCAGGAAGACTGTAACCCCATCGTACTAGACCAATGAGCAACTGGGGGAGGGACTGTGTGCTAGGAGATCAATTACCTGCTGTAGCTGCCCTGGCTGTGCCTGCCTACCAGACACCCCATCTTACAAGACTTCCATTAAAAGTCTCACTTCCGCTGTTCTTCGTGTCTCCGAGTCTATTCTTTGGGTTTGAAGGAGTGAATATGTGTTTCTCACGCATGATAATTAGGTTTTCACGAGCATGTGTGACAGTGCCTCCCTCAAAACGAGTTACGACATCAGGACGTTACCCATCTGATATGAAATAAAGAAAAATAGAATAAAATAAGAAATCAAAATATAAGCCTATTAAAAGTTAGAAAGGTGATGGATAGAATAATTTAAGTACTGTAATAATATAAACATCAACCATTAAGAGAAGGGGAAAAACTCAAGAAAGGATTCAAGAAGAACTAGAAAATCTGGCTGGGCACGGAGGCTCAAGCCTGTAATCCCAGCACTTTGGGAGGCTGAGGCGGGCAGATCACTGGACGCCTCCCGAAGTGCTGAGATTACAGGCATTAGCCACCGCACCCGACCAAAAATGGACCATTTAAAACGTTTTCTCACATTATGCTAATGAACTGCAAAAGGATCTATTTTGATTTCTTGTATATCCACTTTCCACAATTTCATTTGATCCTCCACTTTGTCAGACAAGGATATTTACACCCGATTTTTCCTCCTCTCCATGTCACAACATCTATCAGTTTCACTTTTTAACTTTTTCACGTGTTAGTGCTTGTTAACATTTGTGTTCTGTCTTGCCAACACAACCAAGTCTTGGGTGAGATGTCTGCAGCTTGACTTTAAAAGTCAGAAACCCATGAACGGCTTCCCATTATGATACCATTCTCAGGTTTGTTGCCTGGTCCAGTAGTGAGCTGTACACCATTCTTCCAAACGTGAAAAAAAATCTGTCATGTTCCACTGATTGCTTAACGTTATGACACATTTCATTTGCTTCATTTGCGGGCCATTATTTCTTGTATACGCTTGTTTTTCCTAGAGTGTCTAATTGCCTTTCTTTTCCTTTTTTTCTTGCATGACTTGTGTTAATCCTTTTCTTAATTATTTTTTAAGCTCTCAATTATTCCATCTATTCTATTAAATCTCCTTTTTTCACCAGAGATCTTTCTCTGAGCACGCTCTGCCTTCCTGATCTAAACTGGACAGATGGTTGCTCACTGGCTTTTTTTTTTTTTGCGACAGGGCCTTGCTCTGTCTCCCAGGCTGGAATGCAATGGTATAGTCACTGCTTACCACAGCCTCAACCTCCTTGGACTCAAGCAATCCTTCTGACTCAGCCTCCTGTGTAACTGGGACTACAGGCTTGCACCACTGCCCGTGGCTAATTTTCATATTTTTATTTTAAGTAGAGACAAGGTCTGGCTATGTTGCCCAGGCTGGTCTCAAATTCCTGAGCTCAAGCGATCCTCCCGCCTTAGCTTCCAAAAGTTCTGGGATTACAGGCATGAGCCACCACACCTAGCTGCCAGCAGCTTTTTGAAAGCAATTTTCCCTCTGTCTTATCCCCAGTCCTTACTCTGTCCTCAGGCAGGTCATCTCAGCTCCTCTGAACTCTGGTTTTTCCCTCCTTCCTGGTTAGTCTCTACCTGAATCATTTCTTCTTCTGATTATTACTCCTGTCATTATGGAATTTTGCTTAACCTCAGTTTGCCCATCTCTAAAAGTAGCCTAGATCTTTCCAGAATATAACTTCAGCAGAATTTGGAAGAAGGTGATGGGCTCATATTGAAAATGTGCCTCAGAATTCCCAGAATGTGACATAAAATGAAGGGATTGATTTCATTGTTAATTTATTCTGACTTTTCCCTGGTTTTGACTAATTATCCATCCTGCGGGCAAGGTTAATTTTTGAATTTGATATCATTGTATAGGGTTCAATCAGAAAAAAAGATAATCAAGGTTAAATTGCTATACAATTAAGTTGTAGTTTTCTTTCCCTACCTAAAGTGGAAACATTAAGGATTTAATTCTTTAACATTAAAATTAATCCAAATATTGATAAATCTATCAACAAGTTTTTAAGGGAGATAATTTAATGCATAATCCCTGCTGGGTGCTTATTAAACATGAGGCTGCATATTCCAGGGGACAGAATTTGTGTTTGAATCAGGTGCTTCGTTGGAAAGATTTTGGCTTAATTCAACACATTTTTTAAAAAGGAAAAACAAATTGGATGTGCAAATCTTCTTTGTAAGAAAAGGGAAAAAATCATTTTATTATGAGCAGTAAATCAAGAAATCAAGTTCTTACATCTATGAGTCCTTAGGGGCAGACTGAAAAATCTCACGGTATCTCACTTCATGTCATGAAGCAAATGGTGGTGGGTTAAGTTCTAAATTTGCATGAAAAATTCAGGGCAGAAATAAATTAGGGTAAATTGAGGGATGTCAAAATCATATAAAAATTAAGATGAGGCCAGGCGCGGTGGCTCACGCCTGTAATCCCAGCACTTTGGGAGGCTGAGGCGGGTGGATCACAAGGTCAGGAGTTCGAGACCAGCCTGGCCAACATGGTGAAACCCCGTCTCTACTAAAAATACAAAAAATTCGCCAGTCAGGGTGGTGTGTGCCTGTAATCCCAGCTACTCGGGAGGCTGGGGCAGGAGAATTGCTTGAACCTGGGATGTGGAGGTTGCAGTGAGCCAAGATCGCACCACTGCACTCCAGCAGCCTGGGCAACAAGAGCAAAACCCAATCTCAAAAAAAAAAAAAACAAAAATTAAGATGTTTGGCAACTTTCAAGGTTTTTTTTTTTGTGTTTTGGAGACAAAGTCTCACTCTGTTGCCCAGGCTTGATCTTGGCTCACTACAACCTCTGCCTCCTAGGTTCAAGCCATTCTCCTGCCTCAGCCTCCCAGATAGCTGGGATTACAGGTATGCGCAGCCACACCCGCTAATTTTTGTATTTTTAGCAGAGATGAGGGTTTTGCTATGTTGCCGGAATGGTGTTGAACTCCTGACCTCAGGTGATCCACCCACCTCGGCCTCCCAAAGTGCTAGGATTACAGGTGTGAGCCACTGAACCCAGCCTGGACTTTTAATATCTTTAAGAAGTATTTTTGCCTTCATCAACACAAACCTTTGGACATATGTGCAAGTAACTACAAGAAAAATTACCAGTTCATCAAATGTTTGACTTGCCTGCCATTCTGTCACGTGGTAAATAAGGAAGAAATCCTCTCTCTTACCACCTTCCCAGATGAAATAGTTCATAGTTCTAGGCAAGTCGGCTAGGAGCTGTTTGTAAAGCAGAGCTAGGTACAGACAGATGCCATCCCAACGATAATGCTTATCACCTAGAACTTGAAATTGACAGCCGGGTGTGGTGGCTCACGCCTGTAATCCCAGCACTTTGGGAGAACGAGGAGGGTGGATCACCTGATGTCAGGAGTTTGAGACCAACCTGACCAATATGGTGAAACCCCGTCTCTACTAAAAATACAAAAATTAGCCGGACATGTTGGCGTGCGCCTGTAGTGCCAGCTACTCGGGAGGCTGAGACAGGAGAATTGCTTGAACCTGGGAGGTGGAGGTTGCAGTGAGCCTAGATCGTGCCATTGCACTCCAGCCTGGGTGACAGAGCGAGACTCCGTCCCAAAAAAAAAAAAAAAAAAGAACTTGAAATTGACACATCATGGGCTCCCCCCCTTAATTTATAGTGCAATAAAAGCAGTAATAAATGTAGGTGCACTTCACCTTTGCAAAGAGTTACCATTTTTACGATTTTGACAAGTTCACACTCCTGGTTTTACCTTCACACTATCCCAGGCTCAAGTATTTAATATTTAACAATCTGTATTCTATAAATAATAGATGTGCCTGTCCTCACAACTGAAGATCAGCAGCAGATTTTATTGTTGACAAGAGTGATAATGTTCTCTCACCTGCTTAACTTTTTATGTTACTATTAATTTCCCCTTTGTGGCCGAGGGTCCAGGGAGGGGTTTGGGTCATTCTGGAGACAAATGGGCTGTAATAAGGCACCTGGAACCAAGCATTTGGAGAAGCATGGATAACTCTATGATCATTTCAGCAGTCTGAGGTCACAGACTCATGCAAATGGTGGAGCTGGGTGGAGTCATCCTCTCACTTCCTATGACAGTGAGGCAGCTGCAGGTCTCCATCCAACAAACACTGGGCTAATGCCTACTAAGTGCAAAGAAGACCCTGTGGGACAGTTGTCTGTGAAGGGATTTGGCCAAGGTCAGACAGCTAATTCTTGGAAGAGTGAGTGAAATTCAATTCAGTTCAATAAATGGTTGGAAAACATTAAGAAAGAGAGTCCTGGCTGGGCACGGTGGCTCACACCTACAATCCCAGCACTTTGGGCAGCTGAGGCAGGAAGGTTGCTTGAGCCCAGGAGTTCAGGACCATCTTGGGCAATATAGATAGACCTCATCTCTACCAAGATTTTTTTTTTTAATTAGCTGAGCATGTGGCACACACCTGTAATCACAGCTTCTCAGAAGGCTGAGGTGGGAGGATTGTTTGAGCCCGGGAGGTTGAGACTGCAGTGAACCAGATCATGCTACTGTACTCCAGCCTGGGCAACAGAGGAAGAGCCTATCTCAACAAACAAAAAAAATAAATAAATAAAAAAGAAAGAAAGAAACAAAAGAAAAAGAAACACAGTCCTGGCTCTCAAAAAGCTTAGATCATATGAGTTCTCTGCTGAAAATTTCTACAAATGGATTTCTGCTACATTTATAATAAAACCCAAACTCCTCATCAGGGCCAAGTCCCCTTGAGTTCTGACTTCTTCTTTTTTTTTTTTTTTTTTTTGACATGGAGTTTTGCTCTCTTGCCCAGGCTGCAGTGCAGTGGTGCAATCTTGGCTCATTGCAACCTCCACCTCCCAGGTTCAAGCGATTCTCCTGCCTCAACCTCCTGAGTAGCTGGGATTACAGGCACGCATCACCACGCACAGGTAATTTTTTCTTTCTTTTTTTTTTTAGTAGAGATGGGGTTTCACCATGTTGGTCAGGCTGGTCTCGAACTCCTGACCTCATGATCTGCCTGCCTTGGCCTCCCAAAGTGCTAGGATTACAGGCGTGAGCCACCGCACCCGGCCTTATGTACATTTTTATATAAGGAAAACAAAGCTCGTAGAAGCCACGACTTGCCCAACGCCACCGTGTACCATTGGCAGTGGCAGGACCAGAGAGAGCCTAGCCCCGGCCATTCGTCCAGCGCCTTCCTTAGGATGTTCCCAAATTGGAAAGTAAGGCTGGAAACAAGAACGAAGGAAGCCAAGGAGTTTCTGCTGATACCATGATACTGACGGCCAAATAGGAATTTGGAAACAAACTCTAATTCCCTCGCCTATTTCCTTTTCCCTCTTGCATAGTTTACTGCTGACTATGCAATGGTTGGAAGAATTAGGCTCGATACTGGCTTCAGCCCGTCATCATCCTTACGGCTCTGAGGATCCCAGATCTTGTTAAATAATCCTCTGTAGCGTTTAATTGTGTCTTTGGGGAGGCTTGGATGAGGGGAGGCAAGCGAGGTGCTTCCAGTGCAGACTGTAAGGGGGTGCTCACTCTCCTGCTGTGCACACGCAGGGTGGGCACCCTCGAGTGGAAACCTCTGGAGACGCTGTACCTGGCTTCCTGGCTTCCTGGCTTGCCTCCCCCAGTCCTGGCTCTGGCCTTGGGTGCCCACCAAGCCTGCTGCTGGGGACGTGCTAGGTGCAGGGAGAGTGGTGTAGAGCTGAGTATTCCCACCTTAGGCTCGCCGTCATTGCGCCTCCATGTGGGCACAGTCTCGTTTCTTTTTTTTTCTTTTTTCTTTTTTTGAGACGGAGTCTGGCTCTGTCGCCAGGCTGGAGTGCAGTGGCGCGATCTCGGCTCACTGCAAGCTCCGCCTTCCGGGTTCACGCCATTCTCCTGCCTCAGCCTCCCGAGTAGCTGGGACTACAGGCGCACGCCGCCCCGTCTGGCCAATTTTTTTGTATTTTAGTAGAGACGGGGTTTCACCGTGTTGCCCAGGCTGGTAGCAGACTCCTGAGCTCAGGCAATCCTCCCGCCTCGGCCTCCCAAAGTGCTGGGATTACAGGCTTGAGCCACCGCTTCCGGCCCACAGTGTCTTTTCTCTTTACATTCGAGCCTCCCCTCCCCTCCCTGTGTCCAGCAGCAGACTCGGTTTATCCCTAGAAGACAGAGAGTTCCCACAGAGGAATTCTCTTCCCCTTCCCAGGGCCTGTCATTGCAACTCAGGGGGGCATTTTCACCCAGAGAAAGGGGCCTCAGGGGAGTAGTACAGAAAATGAGGGAATTCTCTCCCTGCTCTCGCCACAGCCTCTGCATGTTCACTGGGGCAAGTGGCTCCTCTTTCCCATCCAGGATTTCTGGCATTGGAAATTGGAAAACAGTCAGGTGACGTGTCTCATCAGGCCTGTAAGAAAATATTATCTGCTGCCAGGCATGGTGGCTTACAACTATCTCAGCACTTTAAGAGACCAGTGTGGGAGGATTGCTTGTGGTCAGGAGTTCCAGACCAGCCTGGACAACATAGGGAGACCCTGTATCCACCAAAAAATTTAAAAATTATCCAGGTGGTGCAGTCCTGTAGTCCTAGCTACTTGAGAGGCTGAGGTGGGAGGATCGCCTGAGCCCAGGAGTTTGAGACCAGCCTGGACAATACAAGGAGACCTGGAGTCTCTACAAATAATTTAAAAATTAAGGCCGGGCACGGTGGCTCACGCCTGCAATCCCAGCACTTTGGGAGGTCGAGGCAGGCGGATCACGAGGTCAGGAGATCGAGACCATCCTGGCTAACACGGTGAAACCCCGTCTCTACTAAAAATACAAAAAATTAGCCGGGCGTGGTGGCGGGCGCCTGTAGTCCCAGCTACTCAGGAGGCTGAGGCAGGAGAATGGCGTGAACCCAGGAGGTGGAGCTTGCAGTGAGCCGAGATTGCACCACTGCACTCCAGCCTGGGCAACAGAGCGAGACTCCGTCTCAAAAAAAAAAAAAAAAAAAATTAGCTGGGCATGGTGGCGCGTGCCTGTGATCTCAGCTACTTGGGAGGCTGAGGTGGGAGGATCACCTGAGCCCAGGAGGTCGAGGCTACAGTGAGCCATGATTGTTTCATTGCATTCCAACCTGGACTACAGAGTGAGACCTTGTATCTAAAACATAAATAAAATATGATATACTAAGTTAATGCTAACTCAGCACCCATTGCTCATAGGAAATTCCTGGCCATTGCCATTTTCCTTCAAATTGCAAGAACAGGCTGGGCGTGGTGGCTCAGCCTGTAATCTCAGAACTTTGGGAGGCTGAGGTGGGCGGATTACCTGAGGTCAGGAGTTCGAGACCAGCCTGGCCAACATGGTGAAACCCTGTCTCTACCAAAAACACAAAAATTAGCCAGGTGTGATGGTGGGCGTCTGTAATCCCAGCTACTTGGGAGGCTGAAGCAGGAGAATTGCTTGAACCTGGGAGGTGGAGGTTGCAGTGATCTGAGATGGCTCCACTGCACTCTAGCCTGGGCGACAGAGCAAGACTCCATCTCAAAAAAAAAAAAAAAAATTGCAAGAACATATCAACGAATGGCAAGATAATCATGTTAGATGGATGGGCCACCAGACTGTAGGAGTGGAAGAAGGGGCTCCTCCATGTGGTTCTGAACGCACATTTGGTAAACTTGGCAATGTCTCACTAAGCATACAGCTGGATTGCTGTACAGACTCAAACTATTATTACAAAAAAGGAAAAAAGACTGGGCATGGTGGCTCACGCCTATAATACCAATGCTTTGGGAGGCTGAGGCAGCAGGATTGCTTGAGCCCAGGAGTTTGGGACCAGTCTGGGCAACATGGCAAAACTCTGTCTCTAGAAACAATACAAAAATTAGGCCACTCACGCTGGCTCACCCCTGTAATCCCAGCACTTTGAGAGGCCAAGGCAGCCAGATCACTTGAGGTCAGGAGTTGGAAACCAGCCTGGCCAACACAGTGAAACTCCATCTCTACCAAAAAATTAAAAAATTAGCCAGGTGTGGTGATGCGTGCCTGTAGTCCCAGCTACTCAGGAGGCTGAGGCGGGAGAATTGCTTGTACCTGGGAGGCGGAGGTTGCAGTAAGCTGAGATCGCCCCACTGAACTCTAGTCTGGGCAACAGAGTGAGACCCTGTCTCACAAAAAGAAAAGAAAAGAAAAGAAAAAAAAATTAGCTGAGTGTGGTGGTGCGTGCCCGTAGTCCTAGCTACTCAGGAGGCTGAGGTGGGAGGAACACTTGTGCCCAGGAGGTCAAGGCTGCAGTGAGCCATGACGGTGCCACTGCACTCCAGCCTGGAGTGCAGACTGAGTGAGACTGTCTCAAGAAAAGGAAAAAGGGGCCGGGCGCGGTGGCTCACGCCTATAATCCCAGCACTTTGGGAGGCCGAGGCGGGCAGATCACCTGAGGTTGGGAGTTCGAGACCAGCCTGACCAACATGGAGAAACCTCATATTTACTAAAAATACAAAATTAGCCGGGTGTGGTGGTGCATGCTTGTAATCCCAGCTACTCAGGAGGCTGAGGCAGGAGAATCGCTTGAACCTGGGAGGCGGAGGTTGCAGTGAGCTGAGATGGCACCATTGCACTCCAGCCTGGGCAACAAGTGCAAAACTCCGTCTCAAAAAAAGAAAAAAAAAGAAAGAAAAGGAAGAGGACCAAGTTTTTATGCATTTGAAGCTTTAAGGTAGGCTACCATTTAGAAGGGTTTTCCCTGCACTGTAGTTAGAAAGAATCACTGATACATTAAAAGATGCCACGCCAAAAGAACAGTTGGTTTGATCTCACTCACGCAAACATTGGAAAAGCGAGCCTCGTGTTTGACTAGTGTTTAAAAACAACAACACTTGGCATCTTCGCCACTATTTTCCTCTGCAGAGAAACTTTGTACAAGAGGAGAAGGGTTTCAATATTGATGTTCTAACCGTTAGAAATTGTGTAAATCATCTGGTTGTGTTATGCTTGCCAGAGCAACTGCACATGTGTGCATGGAACTGGTGGAATACCTGTGATGAAACGCTTGGATGTGATCCTCGCTGTTTGTATGTGTGCATAATAAATAAACATAGACAGTTTTTTTTTTCTTTTTGTAGATATGGGGTTTCACTATATTACCCAGGCTGGTCTTAAGCTCCTAGGCTCAAATGATCTCTCACCTCAGCCTCCCAAAGTGCTGGGATTACAGGTTTGAGCCACCGTGCCCATCCTTATAGCCAATTTTTTTTTTTTTTTTTGAGACAGAGTCTTGCTCTGTTGCCCAGGCTGGAGTGCAGTGGTGCGATCTCAGCTCACTGCGACCTTTGCTTCCTGGGTTCAAGCAATTCTCCCTGCCTCAGCCTCCCAAGTAGCTGGGACTACAGGTGCACACCACCATGCCCAGCTAATTTTTGTATTTTTAGTAGAGACGGGGTTTCACCACGTTGGCCAGGCTGGTTTCGAACTCCTGACCTCAGGTGATCCACCCACCCCCCCTTCCAAAGTGCTGAGATTAGAGGTGTGAGCCATGGCACCCGGCCAGGAGCTGCATTTTTAACAAGTTCTCAGATAACGCTGATGCAGCTAATCCAGGGACCCCCACTTTGAGAACCACTGACCTAGAGACATATCCCACCAGAAAGGGGTGTGCACTGCATTACTCACTTAGGGACACTCCGACTCCTGACACATCTGATTTCTCAATGTTCTGGAGGTAGACAGGTATTTATGAAACTGTCCACATTTCGCAACAACAAAAACCTTGAAATCACCGCTTCACTCTCTCCTTCTGGCACCAAAGCCACATTGCCATTGATCCTGAAAGTGTCAGGGCATGTTTCGGCTGCCTTCTAGCTCTCTAACAGAAGTCAGTGGCTACCAAATTATCAACCAGGTCTATTCTTGACCTTCCAATGGCAGAGAAAATGGAAAGTACACTCTTGATTAGCAGCCTTCTGACACAGTGAAGCAGCTCCAAGTTCACGTTTGTCCTGAGTGAAGAGGCAAGAACCATGTTGGGTAGGGTCAGGTCACCAGGGAGAGAGCTGGCCCAAGGGACCCTGTGATGCCTGCCTTCAACGGCAAGTTTAATCTTCCCCCCATAAACATGCTTCCCATTCTCACAATCATTTTCTTTCTTTCTTTCTTTTTTTTTTTTTTCCGAGATGGAGTCTTGCTCTGTTGCCCAGGCTGGAGTGCAGTGGCGTGATCTCGGCTCACTGCAAGCTCCACCTCCCGGGTTCACGCCATTCTCCTGCCTCAGCCTCCCAAGTAGCTGGGATTACAGGCGCCCACCACTGTGCCCAGTTATTATTTTTTTTTTTTGTATTTTTAGTAGAGACGGGGTTTCACCGTGTTAGCCAGGATGGTCTCGATCTCCTGACCTCGTGATCCGTCCGCCTTGGCCTCTGGAAGTGCTGGGATTACAGGCTTGAGCCACTGCACCCGGCCTCTTTTTTTACAATAGAGATGGGGATTCTCAGTCTGTTGCCTAAGTTGGTCTCGAACTCCTGAGCTCAAGCAATCTTCCCACCTTGGCCTTAAGTGTTAAGTCAGAACACTTAATTGCATTCTAATGAAAGGCAAAAACTTTCATTCCAAACATAAAGCAAATACCCAGTTAAAACTTTCTTTCCATCAACCTGCAAACAGAAGTAAATGCCTGCCATCTTTGAAAACCAAAAAAAAAACCCTTGATTCTCTCCCATCCCACCCTATCTTTCTCACCCCACCTTGCATGGCCCCCCACCTCGGGGGCTTTGCTTTCTTACTCTTCGGTCATTCCTTGATCCCCTGGAGTTGGGCTTCTGTCCTTTTTACTTTTTTCTTTTCCTCTTCTTTTCTTTTCTTTTCTTTTTTTTTGACAGGGTCTGACTCTGTTGTCCAGGCTGAGTGCAGTGGCACTATCACAGCTCACTGCAGCCTCAACCTTCCAGGCTCAAGTGATCCTCCCACCCCAGCCTCCCGAGTAGCTTGGACTACAGGCACATGCCACCATATCCAGCTATGTTTTTCTTTTTTGTAGAGATGGGGTCTCTACAAATGTTGCCCAGGCTGGTCTCGAACTCCTGGACACAAGTGGTCCTTCCTTCTTGGTCTCCCAAAGTGCTGGGATTACAGGCGTGAGCTACCATGCCTGGCCTTCTGTACTTCTTTCTCCACAGAAACTGTGCTCATCAAAATTCCCAGTAACACCCAGGTTGGATACACATGTGTCCTCTAACTTGATTTTTAAAAATACTGTGGTAATATACTTAACATAACATTTATCACTTAAGCCACCTATAAGTGTGCAGCATGATGGCATTAAGCACATTCACATCGATGTGCAACCATTGCCACCATCCTTCTCTAGAACTTTTTCACCTTCCCAAATGGAAACTCCACACCTATTAAATAATACCTCCCCATTCTTCCCTATCCCCGGGCCTTGGCAACCACCATTCTATTCTCTCTGCTTCTGTGAATTCTACCACTCTTTAGGTACTTCGTGTAAGTGGAATCATACCATATTTATCCTTATCCTTTTTTTGCTTGTTTTTTTTTGAGTTGGGAGTTTCGCCCTTGTTGCCTAGGCACCAACGCAGCTCACTGCAACTTCTCCCTCTCAGGTGCAAGGGATTCTCTTGCCTCAGCCTCCCAAGTAGCTGGGATTACAAGCATGTGCCACCATGCTCGCCTAATTTTGTATTTTTAGTAGAGATGGGTTTCACAATGTTGGTCAGGCTGGTCTTGAACTCCTGACCTCAGGTGATCCACCCACCTCGGCCTCACAAAATGTTGGGATTACAGGCATGAGCCACGGCGCCCAGCAGTATTTATCCTTATATATCTAGCTTATTTCACTTAATGTCCTCAAGATTCACCCATGTTGTAGCATATGTCAGAATTTCGTTCCTTTTTACATCTGAATAATACTACATTCTGTGGGTATGTTACATTTTATTTATCCATTCATCCTTTGGTGGACAGGAGTTGCTTCCACCTTTTGGTTATTGGGAATAATGCTGCCATGAACGTGAGTGTACAAATATCTGCTTGAGTTCCTGCTTCCAATTTTTTGGGGTGTATACCCAGAAGTGGAATTGCTGGATCGTATGGTAATTCTATGTTTATTTCCTTGAAGAACCTCCATACTGTTTTTTCCAGCAGTGGTACCATTTTGCATCCCCATCAGTGATGCACGAAGCTTCCAATTTCTCCACATCCTCGCCAAGACTTGCTATTCTCTCTCTTTTTTTTGAGATGGAGTCTCGCTCTGTCACCCAGTCGATCTCGGCTCACTGCAACCTTCGCTTCCTGGGTTCAAGCAATCCTTCCACCTCAGCCTCCCGAGTAGCTGGGATGACAGGCACGCGCCACCATGCCAGCTAATTTTTTTTTATTTTTAGTAGAGATGGGGTTTCAACATGTTGGCCAGGCTGGTCTCAAACTTCTGACCTGAAGTGATCCACCTGCCTCGGCCTCCCAAAGTGCTGGGATTATAGGCGTGAGCTACCGCACCCGGCCGTTTTTAAATTTTTGATTAATAATCATCCTAGTGGGAATGAAAGTGGCTCTAGCTGGAATTTTCTGTGGCCTTTAACTCTATGGTACTTCCTCCTGAAAACCCCTGCTCACTTCCTTTCTCCACATTCCCTGATTTTCTTTTCAACTTTTCTGTTTTTTTTTTTTCTTCTCGGTCTCCAACCACCTCATTGACATCAGCATCACCCAGGGCTGCATCTGAGGCCCCTAGCTTCATAATCTCATACACTCTATAGAGCCACCTACTTTGTTACTAAAACTTCATTGATATTCTCACTTCACCTCACTTGAATGGTGGAGATGCTCAAATCTGTAACCCCCATCCAGACCCATACATCCAACCATCCACTAAACACAGAAATTAAAAAATATTTGGAAACTAATATTTGTGTCAGGGACTGGGGTGAGTGGCTTACAAGCACTTTGTCATTTCCACTTTGTTTCTAATCATTGAACACTCTCACCAACCCTATGAGGTAGGTTCTAGTATTAATCCCATATAGCCATTGAGGAAACTGAGGCTTCAGGAAACACCTGGTTGATATGGTTTGGATTTGTGAACTCATCCAAATCTCACGTTGAATTGTGATCCCCAGTGTTGGAAGAGGGGCCTGGTGGGAAGTGATTGGATCAAGGGGGTGGTTTCCCTCTTGCTGTTCTTGCGATAGTGAGTTCTCGTGAGATCTGGTTGTTTAAATGTGTGTAGCGCCTCACCCTTCCCTCTCTCTTCCTCCTGCTCCAGCCATGTGGGGCGTGTCTGCTTCCTCTTCACCTTCCACCATGATTGTAAGTTTCCTGAGGCCTCTCCAGCTATGCTTCCTATACAGCCTATGGAACAGTAAGCCAATTTAACCTCTTTTCTTTATAAATGACCCAGTCTCAGGTAGTTCTTTATAGCAATGTGAGAATGGATGAATATGCTTGCTCAAGGTCATACAAGTGGTGAGTAAGTTTGAAACCAGACTCAAACCAAGCCCACCCTAGTCCAAAGCCCACGTGTTTCACCACACCCCACCCCTAACCCCTTTATAACCATCTACTGACTATTCCAGACTTTGCATTTCTCATTCTGAGTTGTACGTATGTGTTTTCTTCCCTGTCTGTACCACTGGAATAGAATGTTTGAGGACAGGGACAATACTTTTTATTTTTATTTACTTTTATATTAACAGGTCTAAGCATAGTGTTTGGTGTCAGATAATATATCTAACTAGTGTTTGTTTAATATATGAATGAATGAGTGAACTGCATGCATTTCATACTATTATTCATGATCCCATAATACCAGCGTCAATGTTAGACATGCATGTCACATAAGCTTCTATTAAAGAAATTAACATGATTCATCTTTTTGTCTTAGAGATAAACTTTTATGATGAAATGTTATTTATGGGGAGAATCTCACAGGATGAGAACTGATAGATTTTTCCTCTCTGGACGTGGGTAGAAATGATAGAGAAATCATTCTCAGATGCTAAGGAGAGTAGAAATTTAAACTTTTAATTTCACTATTACTCAATTACTGTGCACTATTACTCAAAATATCTAATAATTATTGTCCAATATTTTGTGTTTTTCTTCAGCAGATAACTATCATTTAAATGATTTTTTTTTTTGAGACAGAGTCTTGCTCTGTTGTCCAGGCTGGAGTGCAGTGGCATGATCTTGGCTCACTGCAACCTCCGCCTTCCGGGTTCAAGCGATTTTCATGCCTCAGCCTCCTGAGTAGCTGGGATTACAGGTGTGCAACACAACGCCTGGCTAATTTTTGTATTTTTAGTAGAGATGGGGTTTTGCCATGTTGCCCAGCCTGGTCTCGAACTCTTGAGCTCAGGCCATCCGCCCGCATTGGCCTCCCAAAGTGCTAGAATTTCAGGTGTGAGCCACCGTGTCCAGCCTGAAGGATAACTTTTTTTTTTTTTTCTGAGATGGAGTCCCTCTCTGTTGCCCAGGCTGGAGTGCAATGGTGCGATCTCGGCTCACTGCAACCTCCAACTCCTGGGTTCAAGCAATTCTCTTGCCTCAGCCTCCTGAGTGGCTGGGATTACAGGCGACCACCACCACACCTGGCTAATTGTTTTGTATTTTTAGTAGAGAAGGGGTTTCACTATGTTGGCCAGGCTGGTCTTGAACTCAGGTGATCTGCCTGCCTCGGCCTCCCAAAGTGCTGGGATTACAGATGTGAGCCACCGTACCCGGCCAATGATAACTAATTCTAAAAGCAGAACTACTGCTTTTAAAAATGATAGATTTAACAAATACGTAGTTCATGCATGTTAAAATAAATAGTACAGAAGGGTTGGTGGTGAGATGCCTCCTTCCCATCTGGTGTCTGTCTCCTTGTCCCCCAGGTCTTTAATTCAGACACAACTCCTTTAACGTGCATTTCATCCTATTATTCGTACTATATATTCGTACTATTCCTTTAACAGTTTCTTTTCTTTTTTTTTTTTTTGAGAAAAGTTCTTGCTCTGTCACCTATGTTAGAGGGCAGTGGCATGATCACAGCTCTCTGTAGCCTCAAACTCCTGGGCTCAAGGGATTCTCCCATCTCAGCCTCCTGAGTAGTTAGGATTACAGGTGCAAACCATCACACCTGGCTAATAATTCTTTTTTTTTTTTTTTTTTTTGTAGAGACGGGGTTTCGCTATGTTGTCCAGGCTGTTCTCAAACTCCTGGGCTCAGGTAATCCTCCTGCCTTGGTATCCCAAAGTGCTAAAACTACTTGTGTGAGCTATAGCACTCGGCCTGTGGTTTCTTATGTATCAGCCCAGGGTATGCTCTGCACTCACAAGCATTTATAAATATCTCCCCTCCCCTGCTTTTTTCTAAAACAAATGGTAACACCTGGTTTTGTGCTTGGATTTTTTTTTTTTTTTTTTTTTTTCCACTTTGTGCTAGATCCTGGCAATTGTTCCATGAGCACATGGAGGGCAGCCTCATGTGTCTTCATAGATAACCAGCACTGCTCCAACTTTCCTATCAAAGCACCTGGAATGAGAGAAGCACACAGATTGCAGCAAGGACATTAATTTGAAATCTTCAATTTTATTTGCATTTCATGCCAACTTTCTATTCCGCTTCCCAATGCATTTGTGCTTATTTTAATATAAAAATCATAGTTTAAAACAGATGCTCTAGGCAGGTGCACCTTGTTTATCCTGAGGCTTACACCCCTCTGCAGGCACGTGCACCCTGATTTAAGAAGGACAGACACGTGAACTGATGAGATTATTCCAGTGATACGGTGAGGAAGGCAGGATAGGAATCATCAGCCCCTTCTAAAGATGAAGAACCTGGTGATCAGCAATGCTGAGTGCCCTGCCCCGGGTGCCACAGCTTGTGAAGATGCAGCCAGGAGGACACACAGCACTGCTGCTCTGTCCTGATAATTGGTCACACTGCCTCTCAGGATACAGACTCATAAATGCCGTGCCCATACATGCAAACTAAAGAAGACAGAAATGCAGGAGCTTGAAGGACTAACTGCAGCAGGGTTTACATGGAAGAGATACTTGCATTAAATATTTCGCTGATGGTCAGAACCTTCATGGGTGTGTAACCTTCATGGGTGTGGCAGGAAATGGAATTGGTACTCTTTTGTTTTAAAAACCAAACTTGCAGCCGGGCGCGGTGGCTCACACCTGTCATCCCAGCACTTTGGGAGGCCGAGGTGGGCAGATCACTTGAGGTCAGGAGTTCAAGACCAGCCTGGCCAACATGGTGAAACCCGTCTCTACTAAAAATACAAAATTAGCCGCGCATGATGGCATGTGCCTATAACCCCAGCTACTCAGGAGGCTGAGGCCACGCGAATCGCTTGAGCCTGGGAGGCAGAGGCTGCAGTGAGCCTATATCATGCCGCCGCACACCAGCCTGGGTGACAAGAGCGAAACTCCATCTCAAAAAAAATTAAAAATTAAAAAAAAAAACAGCAACAACAAATAAGAACTAAACTTGCCAGCACCTTGATCTTAGACTATCAGCCTCCAGGGCTGTGAGAAAATAAATTCATGTTGTTGAAGCTCCCTAGTCTGTGATATTTTGTCATGGCAGCCAGTGCAAACTCATACAATATCCATCCAAGGGGTACTTTTAATTCTTTATCTATTTATTTTAAATTTTAAATTTTTAAAAATTTTTTTGAGACAGAGTCTTGCTGTGTCGTCCAGGCTGGAGTGCAGTGGCGCGATCATAGCTTACTGCAGTCTTGAACTCCTGGGCTCAAGCCATCCGCCTGCCTCGGCCTCCCAAAGTGCTGGAATTACATGTATAAGCCACTGCTCCTGGTCCCTTTATCTTCTGTGTGAATGTCCTACTCCCAGAGCACTCTGGTTCCTTTGGACAGGGCTGGACTGGGCATTCATTCATTCGTTCATTCAGTATTTATTGCACACTGTCATGTGCCTGTCCTATCTAAGCACTAGGCACACAACATTGACTGTGACAAAGTCACATCATGGAGCTACTGTCTAATATCCCACCTCCAAAGTGACTGGCTCCTCAGTGTCCTCCCCAAGTAAGATATGGTAAACATTTATCAGGCAAAAAAAAGAAAAAAGGTACATTAAAAATTAATTAATGGGGGGTGGGCACCATGGCTCATGCCTGTAATCCCAGCACTTTGGGAGGCTGAGGCAGGTGGATCACGTGAGGTCAGGAGTTTGAGACCAGCCTGGCCAACATGGCGAAACCCCATCTCTACTAAATATACAAAAATGGCCGGGCGCGGTGGCTCATGCCTGTAATCCCAGCACTTTGGGAGGCCGAGGCGGGCGGATCACGAGGTCAGGAGATCAAGACCATCCTGGCTAACACAAGGTGAAACCCTGTCTCTACTAAAAATATTAAAAAATTAGCCGGGCGTGGTGGCGGGCGCCTGTAGTCCCAGCTACTCGGGAGGCTGAGGCAGGAGAATGGCGTGAACCTGGGAGGTGGAGCTTGCAGTGAGCCAAGATGGCGCCACTGCACTCCAGCCTGGGCGACAGAGTGAGACTCCATCTCAAAAAAAAAAAAAAAAAAAAAAAAAAAAAAAATTAGCCAGGCATGGTGAGTGGTGGTGTGCCCGTAATCACAGCTACTCAGGAGGCTGAGGCAAGAGAATTGCTTGAACCCGGGAGGCGGAGGTTGCAGTGAGCTGAGATCGCACCACTGCACTCCACCCTGGGCGACAGAGCAAGACTCTGTCTCAAAAAAATAATAATAATAATAATAAATTAATGGACTGGCTGGGTGCAGTGGCTCACGCCTGTAGTCCCAGCTGCTCGGGAGGCTGAGGCTGGAGGATCACTTGTGCCCAGAGATTGAGGCTTCAGTGAACTGCGATTGCGCCACTGCACTCCAGCCTGGGTGACAGAGTGAGCTCCTGTCTCTAAAAATAAATTTAAAAAAAGATAAAATGAATTAATGATCCAAATCATGACTTACAGGTGGTTCCAAATGGTTTTTTGCTTTTGTGTTCTTGCTTTTAAACACAAGCTTCTCTTGTAGATTGCCTTGCTTGATAAGATATTCAAGAAAAAGTGGCAGAGGTGGGTTCATATCAGGCTTCCCTAGGTATGCAAGTGGTTCCAGGTGCCTGGCATAGCCAGTTTGGAGGCTCAGGGCTCTGACAGCGCTCAGAACTATTCCTTTCCTAGGATGTGTACTTCCGGAGACCACCCAGATTCAGAGAAGAGCTCGGATTCTCCTAGTGCTGTTAGCACTGTTTTGCCTCTTGGCAGGGAGGATGAGGGGTAAGGCTGAGTGGTCAATGCCTGGGGGGTGTTGGGCGGCGGCTTCCCAGGCCCTCTAGGCTACTGGGTTGCAGAGAGTACTGGAGCCGCTGTGGATCCCAGCTGTGACTCATCCGCCTCCCTGAGTTTGCTCTCAGAATGTGCTCTCTGGACTTTTTCAGGCAAGTCTGAGTGGCTCATTGCAGATACCCATCATTAACGTGCCTTTCGCGCTTCTTAATTCCCTCCAGAACTTTAACAATCATTGCAAACACGGAAAGGGTATTCTTCCCAGAGAAAGACATTCATCATGACTGTACCCAACCGCTGTCTCCAGTGCAGGAATTGCTTCAGTTGCCAAGGGGGAGACGGAGCCAACAGGTATTTTTAAAGAGGCTCTATGCACTGGAGGCTCGAAAAGAAAATATCCCCTTTGAGCATTTAGTCACACACATCAAAGGAAACAACAGTTTCCATCTTCATTTGCATCGTACAGGCATTAGATGTGGTCCAGTTACACCAAGCTCTGCTTGAAAAGGCAGAAGTGCCAGTACTTTTCATGCCTTGACTGAGACAGAGAGAAAATGCAGCCAGGCAAATAATATATCACCCTGCCAAGGCATTTTCCATTTTTAAAAGGACAGAACAATTTTACGTTATTTCTGGAGCCTCTTTGCAGCAAATATCCCTTGACATCTGTTCTAGCACCCAGGCTGGCCCGTCTAAAAGCACTGGCTGGTCCCAGCCTGCTGCTCCTGGGTGTGCGCCGGGGACCACATTCTGCCTTGTGATCTTGAAGCTCCAGACGTAAAGGGGCAGGTGACCTGTTTTTTTTTTTTTGGAGCACAGGCAGACCGACCTCAGCTCTGCAAAAGTGGCCAATTAAGGCACCACCCTGGTGGAAAGAACATGGCGTTTCAGGTCACTTGAAGAGGCTGGATGGAGAATCAACACTGAGCTTTGAGCCGGTGCAATGAAAATATGCTTGGGAGGGCTTGACGTTTTTCAGTGAAGCTCCCAGGAGGCCCAAGAGGGTTCAGAAATAAGACAATGAATTGTGCTCAGCCTTGATGGTGAGACCTCGTGGGGAAGGGAGAAACACACACCACTTCTGGAATAAATTAGCACAAGACGCCTGGTGAAGGTGACAAGTAAACAAGATTTGGCACATCTGGAGAATGAAGATTGGGCTATTTGGTAAAATTTCCCGTACTGTTCCTTCCAAGGAGGCCTACGATCCACTTCTGGCCAAGTGTGAGATCCTTTTGTTAGAGGGCGAACTGTGAATTTTATTGTTTCTAATCCTCAGCCCTGGCTGGCCTGAAAAATCTCAGGGTGCTGAATGATTAATTCCAACCTGCCCTAGAAAACATTAGTCAGCTGGCAAAAGGAAATAGCCCAACTCGAAGGCAAAAGAGCAAATTGACTTTATCTGGGAGTGATTGTGTTTGACAAGAGGAAAAAGAAAGACATCTTTTGTCACTGAAGAAAATTGTGCTTTGAGAATCTTTGCACAAGTCTTAAGGCTGTGCTTTACACAGCTGCTTGAATTAACATGGAAATAATCCCAGCACCCCCTTTGCCCTTCCAGATAGAGAGCAGGGAAACAAAACTACATTTTCATACATTTACTACAGCAGAGTTTTAGAAATCAGGAGTTCCAGGTCTACTCAAGAGCAGCACTTTCATCAGCTAGGAAATTCTCTTTCAAGAAAACTATTTTTGAATTGCTATTTACTACTAAAATTTTAATTTTTCTTTTAAGTATTGTCACATAGGCAGCCTGATTCTTTGTGGGTGGAAAAGCGAGGCAGATGGGCGTCTCCTCCCATCAAAAAGGAGCCAATTTCCATTCCAAAAGGGTAAAAAGATCAGTATTGTTAAAATCATTCTTCTGGTTTAACATTTATCTCATGCCCACAGCATCCCAGTATGCCTAGAACTTGAAAGAACACGTCATAGGCAGGAAAACAGATGGTTTTGACTCAATCTATGATATAGATTTTTCTGTTTACATTTTTTCCCTTTATCAATTACAAAAAATTAACCCTCTTTTAAAAATTCTAAAATCTTGCTGGGTGCAGTGGCTCACGCCTATAATCCCAGCACTTTGGGAGGCTGAGGCGGGTGGATCACCTAAGGTCAGGAGTTCGAGACCAGCCTGGCCAACATGGTGAAACTCCGTCTCCACTAAAATACAAAAAGTAGCCAGTGTGGTGGCGGGTGCCTGTAATCCCAGCTATTCTGGAGGCTGACGCACTAGGATCACTTGAACCTGGGAGGCAGAGGTTACAGTGAGCTGAGATTGTGCCATACACGTGGCTAACTCCTTCACCTTCTTCCAGCCTGCTCAAATGTCAATTTCTTTCTTCTTCTTCTTCTTTTTTTTTTTTGAGACAGGGTCTTGCTTTGTCACCCAGGCTGAAGTGCAGTGGCGCAATCATAGCTTACTGCACCCTCGAACTCCTGGCTTCAAGTGATCCTTCTGCCTTTGCTTCCTGAGTAGCTGGGACTACAGGTGCGCACCACCACACCTTGCTAATCTTTTATATTCTTTTGTAGTGACATCTTGCTGTGTTGCCCAGACTGATCTAGAACTCATGGCCTCAAGTGATTATTCTGCCTCGGCCCCAAAGTGCTGGGATTACGGCATGAACTACTGGGCCTAGCCCTGCCCCGTCATTTTTGGGTTTTTTTTTTTTTTTTTGAGACAGGGTCCCACTCTGTTGCCAGGCTAGAGTGCAGTGGCATAATCATAGCTCACTATACCCTTGAACTCCTGGGCTCAAATGGTCTTCCCCCATCAGCCTCACAAAGCATTGGGGTTACAGGCATGAACCACCATGCCTGGCCTCAAATGTCAATTTCTTGATGACATTTATACTGACTATTCCTATTTAAAATTGCACCTCCCAGGCTGGGTGAGGTGGCTCACGCCTGTAATCCCAGCACTTTGGGAGCCCAAGGTGGGTGGATGGCTTGAGGCCAGGAGTTCGAGATCAGCCTGAGCAACATGGCAAAATCCTGTCTTTACAAAAAATACAAAAGTATGCCAAGTGTGGTGGTGCACGCCTGTAGTCCCAGCCACTTGGGAGTCTGAGGTGGGAGGATCATCTGAGTCCAGGGATGCAGAGGTTGCAGTGAGCTGTGGTTGTGCCACTGCACTCCAGCCTGGGTGACAGAGCAACACACTGTCTCAAAAAATAAAATAAAATCGCACCTCCCCAACTCTGGCACTCCTGGTCCTTTTAACCTGCTAATTATCTACTTTTATTTTTTCCATTCTACCTATGGCCTTCTTACATACTACAGAACCTGTTTATTATATTTATTTCTCCCCACTAGAATGTAAGCGCCAGGAGGGAAGGAAACTGTGTTTTGTTCATACGTTAACAGCACAGATGGTGCCTGTCACTGCGTAGGTGCTCAATAATGTTGAATGACAATGTCAGAAAAAGTTGTCCAAGGGTTAGGAATGAACGGGAGATTACTGGGTGACCTTTCAGCGAAGTGCCGAGAGGATCCTCCAGGGAGGATCTGATTCTACAAGGGTGAGCACCTTAAATTGCCTTTCTATAGACTAGGTGGAAATGGAAAACAGAGATCAGTGCAGACAACTCTTGCCCATAGATGCAACTATTTTTGTCCTGTAGAAAAAGATACTCCCAGAATGAAACTGTATTGCATTATAGGATATGAATCAATTTTGCATCTTTTAGCACACTTTCTTGTTTATCTTTAATATACCTTTGTTCTTCAAATTCTCATTTGACTCAGTTTTAACATCTTACTGGTTTCCTCATTAATTAAATAACTGAAGATAGTTTTTTTGTTTTTGTTTTTTGTTTTTTTTGGAGATAATTCCTTACATGTACTCACTTTATGTTTGTATGAGACTCATGATTTTTATCTCCTTAAAAATTATGATGAGGTAGGCCGGGCATGGTGGCTCATGCCTGTAATCCCAGCACTTGGGAGGCTGAGGCAGGCGGTTCACGAGGTCAGGAGTTCGAGACCAGCCTGGCCAACATGGTGAAACCCCGTCTCTACTAAAAATACAAAAATTAGTCAGGCATGGTGGCATGCGCCTGCAGTCCCAGCTACTTGGGAGGCTGAGGCCGAAGAATCGCTTGAGCCTGGGAGGCGGAGGTTGTAGTGAGCTGAGATCGGGCCACTGCACTGCAGCCTGGGTGACAGAGCGAGACTCCATCTCAAAAAAAAAAAAAACAACAAAAAACTTTATGATAATGTAAAATTGAATTATACTCCCTCCCCTAGGAAATCTTATCTAGTCTCATGGTTTTATTTATTTATTTATTTTTGAGATGGAGTCTTGATCTGTCACCCAGGCTAGAGTGCAGTGGCGCGATCTCAGCTCACTGCAACCTCCACCTCCCGGGTTCAAGTGATTCTCGTGCCTCAGTCTCCCAAGTAGCTGGGATTACAGGCACGTGCCACCATGCCTGGCTAATTTTTATATTTTTAGTAGAGAAGGGGTTTCGCCATGTTGGCCAGGCTGGTCTCGAACTCCCGACCTCAAGTGATCCGCTGGCCTCCACCTCCCAAATTGCTGGGATTACAGGCATGAGTCACCGTGCCCAGCCTAGTCTCATGGTTTTAGATTCCACTGAATGCTGATTACTCCCAAATTTGTATGTCTAGCCACAGCGTCTCTCAGGGGAATATGTACGTCAGATGCATATATTCAAATGCCTTCTTGATTTCTCCACTTGGATATCTAATAGGCATTTCAGCATTAGAATGTCCCAAGTGGAAATGTGGATTCCCACCCACTCCTAACTCTGTTCCTCCCCGAGTCTTTAAATGCAACACCATTAACTCAATTGTTCAGGCCCAAATCCCAAGAGTCAAATCTTGGCCCAGTGCATTTCTTTCTGTGTCTCACATTCAATCCTTCAGCAAAACCTGAGCAATCATTTCTACTTTCAACATGTAGCCAAATCCACCTACCTCTTAACACCACCACACCACCATCTTAGTCTAAGACCTGGACTCTGTTTTTGTGAATAAAGTTTTATTGGAACATAGGCATGTCACCTCTCTGCCCCCCTTTTTTTTTTTTTTTACATGTTGTCATGGTTGCTTTTGTGCCACAATGGCAGAGTTGAGAAGTTGTGACAGAGGCCATAGGGTTTGCAAAACTTAAAATATTTACCATCTGGTCCTTTACCACCCTTGATGTGGTGGGCTGAATAATGGCATATAAGATACCAAGTCCTAATCCCTGGAACCTGTAACTATTCCCTTTTTAGGAAAAAGTCTTTGCGGACATGATTAAGAATCTTGAGATGGGGCTGGGCGTGGTAGCCCTCGCCTGTAATCCCAGCACTTTGGGAGGCCAAGTTGGGTAGATGGCTTGAGGCCAGGAGTTCCAGACCAGCCTGGCCAACATGGCAAAACCTCTTCTCTACTAGAATTACAAAAATTAGCTGGGCGTGATGGCACACACCTATAATCTCAGCTACTCGGGAGGCTGGGGCACGAGAAGTGCTTGAACCCAGGAGGCAGAGGTTTCAGTGAGCTGAGATCACACCACTGCATTCCAGCCTGGACATCAGAGTGAGACTTGAGATGGGAAGATTATCCTGGATTATCTTGGTAGGCCCTAAATGCCATCACGTGTCCTCTTTAGAGAGAGGCAGAGGGAGATCTGACACATACACAGGGGAGAGAGGGCAATGTGAAGATGGAGCAGAGAGAGATTTGAAGATGCTAGCCTTGAAAATTGGAGTGATGTGGCTACAAGCCAAGGAATGCCGGCAGCCACTAGCAGTTGGAAGAGGCAAGGAATGAATTCTCCCTAGAGCCTTTGGAAGGAGTGTGGCCCTGCCAACATCTTCATTTGGCCCAGTGAAACTGACTTCAAACTTCTGGCCTCCAGAACTGTAAGGGAACCACTAAGGTAATTTGTTACAGCAGCCACAAGGAACTAAGACCCCTCATCTAAGCCACCATCAAGTCTTGATGTCTAATAATGTCCTAACTAGTCTCTCTGCTTCTCTGGCCTCCTTAAAGTCTGTCCTCCACATTATGGCATAGCGATCCTTTTAAAACACCAGGGAGATAACATTCCCAGCTAAATACCTTACATTGTTTTCCTAGCACCCTCAGAGTTAAATCCAAATATTTTGCCATGGAGTTGGAGGTCCTGTGTGGCCTGCTGATTCCTCCCTGGATTCACATGTCAGCAGTCCTTCCACACCTCCCTGCAGTTCCTACAGGACACTGACTGTGCACCTGCCACCCCACCCATAACCGCGTGGCTCACTCTCACTTCCTTCAGGTCTCGGAGAGAACTTCCTGACTCACTCTTCTAAAATAGCCTTCTTGGCTGGGCACGGTGGCTTATGCCTGTAATTCCAACACTTTGAGAGGTCAAGGCGGGCGGATCACCTGAGGTCAGGAGTTTGAGACCAGCCTGGCCAACATAGTGAAACCCCATCTCTACTAAAAATACAAAAAATTAGCCGGGTGTGGTGGCGTGCGCCTGTAATCCCAGTGACTCAGGAAGCTGAGGCAGGAGAATCGCTTGAACCCAGGAGGCGGAGGTTGCAGTGAGCTGAGATCGTGCGCTGCACTCCAGCCTGGGTGACAGAGCGAGACTCCATCTCAAAACAAAAAAAACAAAAAAAAACAAACAAAAAAAACCTTCTCATCATCTCACCCTTTCACATTATTTTTCTTCAAGCATTTATCATTATCTAAAGTTCAAATGTATATTTGTTTGTCTCTCCCACCTCCACATGAGCTCCACAAAGGCAGAGATTTTTGTCTGTTTTGTTCACTGCTGTATTCCCCGCACCTAGAATTAGTATCTGGTATGTCATAGGCACCCAATAATTATTTGTTGGATAGATGCATATGGTAAAAACATTTAAACCATATCAAATGAAGAGTAAGGGTTTTTTTTTTCTGCTCCATCCTCAGAGGTAATAGATTTCCTGTTGTCCTTCTGGAAATCTTTTCTGCATATAGAAGAATATATATACAATAAACCTTGTATCCATTTTTCACATCCAGAGGAAAATAATGTACATTATGTTGTGTGGCTTACCTTCTTTCAGTTAGACGTTTAAGCTGGAGATCTTTTCATAGCAGCACACACTGAGTTACCTTTACTTCTTTTTTTTTTAAATTTAAGACAGTTTCGCTCTGTTGCCCAGGCTGGAGTGCAGGCTGGAGTGCAGTGGTGTGATCTCGGTTCATTGCAACTTCCGCCTTCCAGTTCAAGCAATTGTGCCTCAGCCTCCTGAGTAGCTGGGATTGCAGGTGCATGTCACCATGCCAGCTAATTTTTGCATTTTTAGTACAAACGGGGTTTTGCCATGTTGGCCAGGCTGGTCTCAAACTCCTGACCTCCAGTGATCTGCTCGGCTTGACGTCCCAAAGTGTTGGGATTACAGGCGTGAGCCACCGCACCTGGCCATACCTCCATTTTTTAAATGGCTGCATAATATCCCACAGCTTAATACTTAAAGAAAAAATAAATTGCTTGTCCAGTTTGAAAAATGGAAAGCCTAATGATGGTGAAATGCCTCTGCGCCCACACCCTTTTCATTTATACCCGTAGATGGTAGCGGTCTGGTTTTCCTTGGGTGCTCCTCAGTGGTTTCCAAAGACTATGATGGGACAACTCAGCAGCGTTTCCCGTCAGGCACTTTGATAGGTCATTTTACTTTCAACAACTAAACAAAGTTTCCTGGGAAGACTGAGAGTCAAAAGAAACTACATTTGAAAGTGTGGCGTAAATAAGAAAACAAAAAAACAAAACTTGACTTGAGCAGTCTTACAATCTCCCTAAGCTGCATGGAGTGCAAGTGGGTTTGCTGTGCAGATGCTAGAGTCCCCTGGCCCCTCCCTCCAATCAGATTACTGCCCCAAGCTTTCTCTATACAGAGATTTCGGGGGGTTCCACTACTGAGGTCTCTCTGGGTCTCAGGAAGTAGAGGGGTGATCCTGGTCTACGAAATGCATTAATGTCCGTGGTCAGGAAGTTCTTTGTATTTGTCCATCTGAACCAGCAAAGCCCAATCTCTCCAACCTTTTCTCCCTTTAGAAAAGATCCATTTCTGCCGGGCGTGGTGGCTCACACCTGTGAGGGGTGAGCACTTTGGGAGGCCGAGGTGGGAGGATTACAAGGTCAAGAGATCGAGACCATCCTGCCCAACATGGTGAAACCCCGTCTCTACTAAAAATACAAAAATTAGCTGGGCGTGGTGGCACACGCCTGTAGTCCCAGCTACTCGGTAGGCTGAGGCAGGAGAATCTCTTGAACCCATGAGGCAGAGGTTGCAGTGAGCCGAGATCGTGCCACTGCACTTCAGCCTGGGTGACAGAGTGAAACTCTGTCCCCTTCCACCAAAGAAAAACCAAAACAAAAAGAAAAGAACCATTTCTTTGATCATGGGTTCAAATGCAATAAAAACTATCAGGCTGTAATACCAGAAGGCTCAAGAGGGAGTGGAAAGCCTCCAGTTTCAAAGGGAAAGTCCAGAAAAAACTGGACTGATTCTTAAAAGTAGTGTATGAAGGTGAGATACATTCCACTGAAGGCATTTAGGTATCACTCCAAGGAGGGTCTCTGGAGAGCAAGTGCACTTGGGCGTGTTTTATGTAATAGCTGGATGATGAGGGCAAGTATTATGATTATAACTATTGCTTAAATAATATCTCCTGAAACCCCAATGAAAAAAGATAATGGTCTGTTCTAGGTTTTAATTGCTAAAAGGAAAACAAAACTGTCATTCGTGGTGTGGTTGGTTCTCAGACCTACTGCTGTCAGTAAATACTGAACAAATGAAACTACAGATTCATTTCAAAATTTCAACAGATTCCTGGGCCACAAAGCCTTTCCCTTTCGTGTTCAAATGATATTTTTTTATTTTTATTTTTTGAGACAGACGTCTGCTCTGTCACCCAGGCTGGAGTGCAGTGGCTGGATCTTGGCTCACTGCAACCTCTGCCTCCTGGGTTCAAGCGATTCTTGTACCTGAACCTCCTGAGTAGCTGGGACTACAGGCATGCGCCACCACGCCTTGCTAACTGTTATATTTTTAGTAGAGATAGGGTTTTGCCATGTTACCCAGGCTGGTCTTAAACTCCTGGCCTCAAGTGATTTGCCCAGCTCGACCTCCCAAAGCGTTGGGATTACAGGCATGAGCCATCTCACCTGGCCGATATTTCAAGTAAGTTGAAATTCAGGCCTACTAGGCCCAAATATCTCATTATATTTGGGGTATCCAACAAATCTTTACTCTTGCATATTAACAGTAGACATTCTGAGATTATAATGCCTGACGTAATTGGGATGCAGAGAAGAGGAAAGGTGACCATTTGCAGGATAGGAAAACAGGGACCATCTGGTGAAGGGTTGGTTCCAACAAAGTCCACAAGTTTTCATTGTTTCATCTTGAAAAGGTAAGGGGACATAGGAGCTCTCTGTATGATTTCTTATCACTGCATGTGAATCTAATTATCTCAAAATTAAAAAAATAGTTAAAGACAAGGGGAGAAACTTTTTGGAAATGGAACTTTTGAATATTATTACTTTTAACCATGCAGCCCCTTGGTGGCTAAAGGAGGCACAGGTTTTTTGTTGCCCTGTGCAGGGGTAAAATAAGCTTGGGATGATGAGCTTCTCTTTTATTTTTTTGAGACGGAGTCTCGCTTTGTCTTCCAGGCTGGAGTGCAGTGGCATAATCTTGGCTCACTGCAACTTCCTCCTCCCAGGTTTAAGCAATTCTCCTGCCTCAGCCTCCCCGGTAACTGGGATTACAGGCGCGTGCCACCATGCCCAGCTAAATTTTTATTTTTAGTTAGAGATGGGGTTTCACCATCTTGGCCAGGCTGGTCTTGAACTCCTAACCTCGTGATCCACCCGCCTTGGCTTCCCAAAGTGCTGGGATTACACGTGTGAGCCACTGTGCCCGGCCTGAGCTTCTAAGTGTTTAAGCTTCTGAAATGGGTTTACTCCATGCTTTCCTCTCCCAATCCAGTAATATGGAAGCTTCGGTAACTTCCAATTTAAGGAAGCAAGTCCAAGCACTTTTATTTTTATCACCACCAGTAATATAAACAGCCACTTTACTTTGGAAAGCTGACCAGGAAGAAGCCTCTTTTGCACCTCTTTGGGGTCAAAAAGTAACAATTTAATATTCCCACTATTTCCCTTATATGTTCTGTTTCTGGACAGTAAAATTCTTTCCTTGAAGGACATTAGGGCCAAAATGGGCAAGGATTCCGAGATTGGTACATCGAGCGTTATCTTCCAACTCTCTTTTCTAAATGGGCTCATTTAGTAATGCAAGCTGCTTCCTTTACTTGAAATGCCCATCTCTTGGTTACCCTCCCAAGCAAACAGAAACACCAACCAGCCAGCCCCAAAAAGATCTCATTCTCTAGCCCAGTGGTTCCCAAACTCTTGAGTCTCAAGATCTTTTTCCACACTTAAAATTTAAGGATTCAAGCTGGGCGCGGTGGCTCACGCCTGTAATCCCAGCACTTTGGGAGGCTGACGCCAGCGGATAACGAGGTCAGGAGTTTGAGACCAGCCTGACCAACATGGTGAAACCCCGTCTCTACTAAAAATACAAAAATTAGCCAGGTATGGTGGCGGGTGCCTGTAATCCCAGATACTCAAGAGGTGAGGCAGGAGAATCGCTTGAACCCGGGAGGCAGAGGTTTCAGTGAGCCGAGATCGTGCCACTGCACTCCAGCCTGGGCAACAGAGTAAGACTCCGTTGGAGACCATCACGGACAACGTGGCAAAACCTCATCTCTACAAAAAATACAGGTGGGCATGGTGGCGCCCACCTGTATTCCTAGCTACTCAAGAGGCTAATTGCTTGAGCCCAGGAGGTTAAAGCTGCAGTGAGCCTTGATTGCACGGCACTCCAGCCTGGGCAACAGAGTGAGACCCTATCTCAAAAGAACAACAAAAAAGAGAATAAACCCATTACATGTCAACATAAATCCTATTTTTATGAGAAATACCTACATTTTCTAAAATAAAATTAGTGGTAAGTGTGAGATTGTTTTAGTTTTGCAAATCACTTTAATATCTGACAGTAGAAGACTGCTGGATTCTTCTCTGCTTCTGAATCTTCTGCATTCAGCCTGTTGTGAGATCACGTATCTTGCAGCCTCTGGAAAACACTGCACACAGAGTGCAGTGTTGGGAGAAATTGACATATCATTGCTATAAAAATAGTTCTGAAGTCAGGTGTGGTGGCTTATGCCTGTAATCCGTGCACTTCAAGAGGCTGAGGTGGGAGGATCACTCGAGCTCAGGAGTTTGAGACCAGCCTGGGCAACAAGGTGAGACCCTGTCTCTACAAAACTTAAAAATTAGCTGGGCATGGTGGTGCATGCTTGTGGTTCTAGCTACCGGGGAGGCTGAGGTGGGAGGATTACTGCAGCCCAGGAGTTCGAGGCTACAGTGAGCTTTGATGGCACTACTGCACTCCAGCCTGGGCGACAGAGCAGGACCCTGTCTAAAAAAGTTTTGACTTTTGGGTCCCTTGAGTCTTGGGGCTCCCTCTGCTCGACCAAGGTCCCTAGAGAACCACTGTTTTGAGAACCACTGTTGTGGCCTGAGGCTAAGGTAATTTCAATGGTGATGGTGTTGAGGCCCAGGTGATGTTTGTGACCTTCTCCGGTGTTCCCATCGCACCTGTCCTGCTGCTGCTTATGTTTGTGAACCTGGCCAAGTTGGGAGTCTCTTGAAGGAAGACACTCAACTTTATTCACCTTTCTTTCAATTTAAATGAGTGTTTTAATGATAAAAGTAACATAGAGGCCAGGCGTGGTGGCTCATGCCTGTAATCCCAGCACTTTGGGAGGCTGAGGCAGGCGCATCACTGGAGGTTGGGAGTTTGAGACCACCCTGACCAACATGGAGAAACCCTGTCTCTATTAAAAATACAAAATTAGCTGAGCATGGTGGCGCATGCCTGTAATCCCAGCTACTCTGGAGGTTGAGGCAGGAGAATCGCTTGAACCCGGGAGGCAGAGGTTGCGGTGAGCCGAGATTGCGCCATTGAACTCCAGCCTGGACAACAAGAGTGAAACTCCATCTCAAAAAAACAAAACAAAAAAAAAACCAAAAAACAACAACAAAAACAGCTATATTATAGAAAATAGGCAATTAAAAAAAACTCACTTATAATCCCCCATACGTCATTTATTTGGTGTATGTTATCAGTCTATTTTTTTTTTTTTTGAGGTGGAGTCTTGCTCTTGTCACCCAAGCTGGAGTGCAGTGGTGCGATATTGGCTCACTGCAACCTCTGCCCGCTGGGTTCAAGCAATTCTCTTGCCTCAGCCTTCCAAGTAGCTGAGACCTCAGGCGCCTGCCACCTTGCCCACCTAATTTTTATATTTTTAGTGGAGACGGGGTTTTGTCATGCTGGCCAGGCTGGTCTCGAACTCCTGGCTTCAAGTGATCTGCCCACCTTGGCCTCCCAAAGTGCTAGGATTGACAGGCGTGAACCACTGCACCCGGCCTGTATCGGTCTTTTTTAAAATGCAGTTTTTTTAGCCTATCATCTCACCTCATAAATGAACACCATAATTTTGGGTATTGCCCCCTCTATCTAGCAATGGGTGATTTTCTGTTTCTGATGTCTACAACTACCATAATGTTCCACTGTGTAGATGTAACACAATTTACTAAATACCCAATATTAGCACATGTAGGATGCTCCCAATTTTTTGTTGTAGTTAAGTACAGTGATCCTGTGAAGAATACCTTCACACATACAGCTTTTCTGGCATTTAGTGTTATTTCCTTAGAACAGATTCCCAGAAGTAAGATCACTGGGTCAAAAGATGCAGACATTTTTATGGCTTTTAATACATACTGTAAAATTGCTTTTCGAAAGGAATATACTAATTTACAATGCCACCAGCACTTCTTTTAAGAATCCGTTTCTCCACACAAATCGTCAACATAGGTGCTATTAAGAATGCTAATCGATAAAATATTGTCCCGCCGTTGTTAAAATTTTGCAATTTTTGAGGCTCATAAAATTAAAGTTTCTTGAAGAATGAGTGTGTAACACAAAACATTCTTTTGGGACATCTTTATTTCTGGAAAACCTAAGACATTCTTACTTGTGAAGACCAGAAAAAGAACACATGTTGTTAGGATTGGCACAGAATTCAGTGTGACAGTCAATCTTAATGCCAGAACACTTGAACGAGGATTTTTCACTTATTTTGCTAGTTGTCACCAACAGTAGCAAAAGGAAAAATAAAATGCGGAAGAATGAAATGTTCTTACTGCAAACCGTACAAGATCACATTGAGGGGCTGGAGCTCTTACATTCAACTTTTCTTTCCTTTTTCTTCTTTTTAAACAATTTGCGATTGCAGCCTCTCCTTTTGTTTCCGGTATTACCTGCCCAGGAGCAGAATTCCTTACTTTCTCCGGAGAGAGGCCGGTCCCTGGGAGCGCTGCCCAGCCACCCGCACGCCTAGCCGCCCCGAGAGCCGCACTCGGCGGACCCGGTTCCTAGGCTCGTTCCCGGGGCACCTGGCGGGCGCCCACCTCCCGGGGGGCACGTGCTCCCGTACGCAGCGCGAGGGCAGCGGGTGCCTGGCTATTTATTAGGAAAAGCCCCGCGCGGACTCTCCGGATTGAGGAGGGTGGGAAACTCGGCTGCCCAGCGCTCCACCCGGGCGGCCGGGGCTGGCGCTTCTCTGCTTTCGGCCGGCGGCCTCATCCTGGGACAGGCAACCATGAGTCATCCGCTCCGCGGGTCACATGGGCAACGTGACCAAAATAAAGTTTCGGTATTTTAAGCCGCCAGAAAAGGGGACAACGGAGCTCACCGGGGGCGGGCACAGGAGGCGGGCGCAGGCGGGCGGCGCCGGGGCCGTGGGGACGCGGCGCCGAGGGGGCGGGGCCTGGCGGGAGGCTCGCCCCTCCCCCACGGCCGGCAGCGACGCCCGGACTCCTAGGCAGTCGGACTCCAGGGCGCGGCACCCCTGCGGACCTCAGCCCCGAGGCCCCCCGCGTCCGGCTCCCCACCGGCAGCGGCGGCGGGCTGCGGGATCCCGGAGATCCCGGCGCGTCCCCCACAGCCACCGGGACCCCACGCGCCAGCAGCGGCTTCCCCGGGAACGTCCTTCAGCCCCGGGAGCACGCGGGAAAAGCCCCAGCGTGCCAATGAGGGAGCGCCTTCCTCATGACGGTCACGCTCGGGGGCGGGGCTTCCCTTCGCCGCTCCCGAGTTCCGGGAACCCCCTTTGATTGGTCTGGACGGCCTGGGAAACACTGTAGTGACGCCCAATCAAAACGCCACGTCTCGGCCTCGAGGAAATATTCCGTGTCGGGCCCGTCCTGATTGGACAGTTCTTTCGGGTTCTGGCCACTAGGAAGCTTTGTTTAGGTCCGGAAGGCGGGCTTTCCTGGGAGTGGGTGGGGAGGGGGCGTTGATTCTTGACCAATCCTTTCAGTCCGTTGGGTGGTGACCAGCCAATGGGCCGGATGGATAGGACGCTCCTCCCGGAGAGTAGTGAGACCCCTGGTGCGGGGCGATTGGCGGCGGGAGCGATGAGTGGCAGCCGCACGGCCCAACGGGAGCTGTGCGTGGGCCGCGGGGCGGGGCCAGGGCGGGTGCGCGGCGGCGGCGGGGTGGCTGGGCCGGCGGCGGCGGCGGTACGAGGCGCGCGCTCGGGGTCCCGGTCGCGAGGAGGAGGAGGATGTGGCGCGCGGAGGGGAAATGGCTGCCGAAAACAAGCCGGAAGGTAAGAGCCGGAGCGCGAGGGGCTGGGGGGCGGCGCGGCGGGCGGCGGGACCCGGCCCCGCCGGACATCCCGGGCATCGGCGGCGCCGGGCGGGAGCGCGGGGGCGCGGCGGGCGGGCGGGCGGGCGACCCGGCCGGGGAGGGGGCCGGCGGGGTGGGGGGGCGGAGCGCGGCCGAGTCCTGAGGTGACTCGCGGGGCCGGCGGAGCGCGGCGCCCCACACCCCACCCCCGGGGGCGGGCTGGGGCCGGAGGGGGCGGGGGGCTCGCGGGGCGGGGACCGGGCCCAGCGAGGAGGAGGAGCCGGCGGAGGGCCGGCGCCTCCCCCACCCGGACCGGGCATCCCCGCCGCTCCCGAGCCCGCTGCGCGGCCCCCGCACCCCCGGCGCTGGGTCCACGGTGGGGGCCGCGGGGCGGAAAGTTTATCCGCCTCGGGTCCTCCTGGCCCCGCGCCCCACTGCTCCGGGCCGGTCCCCGTCGGGCGGCAGCGGCCGGCGCTCAGCCCTCGCCGGCCCCCTGCTCTCCGGCGGGCAGGGCCAGATGTACTCTCTCCGGCACCCTCTTCAGCCCCGTGGACACCTCCCTGAGCGGGCGGGGGGTCCCCGAGCTTCTCCCCGCCAGGGGGACCCCGTCCTGCCGAGCGTCCCTCGGCCGAAGGGCCTCGTGTGACCCCTCCCCCTTCGCTTCCCGGGAAGGGAAGGGGGCCTGCGCAGCATCCCCGCCCCTCGCAGTCGTTCACATCCTACTCTTGCCCTTGCACCCTCACAGCCAGGAGGGTGGGGTCTCCGTTTCTATGGCAAGTGAGGATCTCCACACTCCCTTGCCCTTTACCTTCCGTGACCCCGATCCTTCCTTGGCACAGGGGTCCGTCTGATCTGCTCATCTTCTTTGGATTCTTTTGGGGCCTCTGCACACTCTCCGTTGACCCTTTTTGCCAGGACAAGGGGACTCAGGCTGCCCATGTTCTTCTTTCCTCACCCAGTGGATAGTGGGGGCTTGTGCAGCTCTGAAGTCATTTCTAAATAGGAAAGCAGACACTTCTTCCAGATCATGCATACTCTTACACTTTGCTGGGTTAGGGCGAGCTCATTTCCTAAATACCCTTTGAGTTGCCCTCCTTTTCTTATGGAGACAACTGGACGTTCACCGTGCTCCTTTCGCCATTTGTGTGTCTACACTGACTTGTTCTCTCTTCTCGGAGTTCCTTGTCTGGGTGAGAGTGGGCGCCCCAATAAGATGTAGGGCAGGGCTTCCATTGTGCCTAGTGCTTGAGTGAAAAGGGGCCACACTAGTTGCTCCTGTGTCTGAGGAAGACCGGGGTATATTTTTGCCTCCACTTGACTCTTGTGTCTCAGGAGGGGGCAACCTTCATCAGTTGACACTACCTCACTGGGAAAAGGGTCATGTGGCCTTGTTTTTTGATGTTTTGATTACTGTCTTCTGTGCAGTGAGAACCAGACTTTGTCCGTCCCACACTCAAGAGTCCTTGAACCTTTCCTGGATATAAACTTCCCGATTGTTTTTTGAGAGAACTCATATCCTCCTCTGTGGCTTCTGCTTCGCAGTCAGCCATATTTAGTGAGCCTGTTACTTTGACTTTTTCTAATTTTCTCAAATTGTATTCATGTTGGCTGGGTAAGGAGAAGCCATATGCCTTTCCATTCAGAAAAGGGAGTGTAGACACCCGTGTCGCCCACATGCCATCCTGGAAGAGGTTGCTTGTGTGCTCCTTGTTGTACTAGAACCTTCCTTTGGCTCTGGTGTTGTCTCTTGTGGGATCCAGACATTTCTTTAGATCTTGTAGCTTTCAGAAGGGGGAATTTGAATGCTTTCTGTTTTTTGCTGTTCCGGTTCTGCTTTGGAGAACCAGATCATGATGCTATATTCATTTGTTTACATATACATACATGTAGGTATACACAGATGAAATCACATTCATTACATATACAGTGCACAGGAAGTTGGAAGGGTCAGATGACTAGCTCTACATTTTGGGTGCATATGGGGACCTTTATGTGTAATGATACAGATAGATATTAACGTTGTTGGTAACTCTTCAGGCTTAGAAGCAGCAGCAGAAGAATCACGGATAAATGGCCAATTCTGACTATTCTTTGGTTTGTAATGTGTACTGTACTGAATAAGCAGAACGACATCCTGCGTGTTCACCAAGTCCCTGAATGTGCGAAGCGTACAGTGCCTGCCCATACGCATCGCAACTTTGGCGGTCTGAATTTAGGGGTGGTATTCGTTGCTTGATTCTGCATAGAGTGAAAAGTTCTTGATTTCTTTACTGCAGTGTAGGGGAAAGAGATTTCGTGTGTTTGGACAAACGACAGGAGATGGGTGAGAAGAATATGTTTTCCTGTGACAGAACTAGGAACGAATGACCGTAAATATGTCCCTTTTGTATTTTGGCCATTTAAATAATTGAGAGAGGTTGTGAAATTAGCAAAATGTACCTGTGGAAAGGCCCTCGACGCTTCATGAGAGGATGGGGAACGTTATTCTTCAAGTTCTTTTCTCTTGGACAGGGGAATGATTTGAGCCCTGTCGGCTCTAGTCAGGTGCTTTGCCTCCTCAGGTCTCCCTCCCTCCCTCCCTCCCTCCCTTTCTCCCTCTTTCACGAAATTCAGAATGGCTGCTAGCCGCTGTCACTCAGCAGGGAAGTCTTACTCTTTGACAGGCTTAGTGTGGAGACTCATCCTCCCCAACAAGTTCCGTTGGGCTCTGGGGCTTTGGCCTTTAAAACTGTTCTAGCTCAGAGGCTCGCTTTGCCTCAGTTTACTGTGTAAGGAGAAGTGGCTCATCGGAGATTGGGTCAGCGCTAGTTCTGTGACTTCTGGACTTTGCCTTTCAGTTAGCATTGAGTCGTCCAGTGGGCCTGATTCCCAATGTCAGAAAGTAGAGCTTTTGAGCTCATTTTCTTGTTTTTGGTTTTAAATGTTTTTATGCTGTTCGTATTCTGTGTCTGTAGTCAGCTTGATGGGATTGTGTATTTTTAGGGGGTGTTATTAGGGAACTTCGGAAAAACGAAGAGTCGAATACCTGCTGTAGATGGTGTAGACTCAGCGGAGTCATCCCGTTTCCAGTGGTGGTTCTTCCTACCGTTTCCTCCATGGCCCCATGGAGACTTTGGGAGTTTTCCCTGGTAAGCAGGGGGCTCCGTGCAAGGCGCAGTGGAAGGAAAAGTGGTAAAGATTGGTTGGAAGAAGACACTTGAGGTTATTGTCTGAAGCTGGGCCCTTTTTCTTGAGTTTGATGTGGTTGTGTTTCTGTGTCACTGGTCGCCACAGATGATTGGAAATTAGCTTTTTCCTTTTACCTTGTAGTGCAGAATGCTCTGTTGCAGTTGGGCAGACTAGACGGGTTCTCTGAACCACATAGTTTAATCTTTCTGTTCGACTTTCTGTTAGGACATGACTCTTTCCTCTCCTTCACCCCTTACCTCCAGTTTTTGGGACTAGGTTGGGTGACCTCTTCCTCCTTTGTCTTCTTGGAAACCTTACTTATCCTGCTTCTGCAAATGTTGGGTTTCTCCATCTCATCATTGAGTGGATTCAAAGTGTTGACATACACAGAGCAACCTCTACTCAAGGTCAGATTGGGTCAGCTTTTCCTTTTCAAAAGAGTAGTGTTGCTCTTACTTGCTCTTTGAGACATATTTATGCATCCTGCTCAGCTGTGTTTTCTGTTTCCTTAGTTTTTAGGCTCTGGCGATTTTAGGCTTTCCCCCAGAAATAGCCTATTCTTTAGAGAGTAGTGTTTAGTTTAGTCTCCTGTTTATGCTGGATGTCCGCCCATGTGTCCTGCTCGGTTTTTAATTCTTTGTGACTGATTTTGAGGTAGCCCATCTCAAAATCTTAACGTTTTTTTCCCCACTGTTTCATTACTTTGAGCCATTCTTCCTTTCCTGTTTGGGGGAAATACCCCTTTGTGTGCAGTTGTACTTCTTTCTCCTTTCCTTATGGAAAAAGCAGTAGAAGGTGATTCTCTTATTTTCTTCTGTTCCCCTCATAGTTGTGTCAGTTGACTCTTTTGTGGAACCTTTGAATTTGCCCTTCTGGGGAGAAGTCGTTTTTGTATTTATACTCCCATGACTGGAGTCATTCATTCAGGAGACCTTTACCGAGCTTCTGTTATGTACAAGGAGCTGTAGGGGGTGATGTGACTTTGCTTGAGACCATATTGGATCTTGTTAGCCTTTTATATTAATGACATTTTAGTGTATCTTTTTTTTTTTTTTTTTTTTTTTTGAGACAGAGTCTCACTCTATTGCCCAGGCTGGAGTGCAGTGGCACGATCTCGGTTCGTGCAACCTCTGCCTTCCAGGTTCAAGCAATTCTCTTGCCTCAGCCTCCCAAGTAGCTGGGATTACAGGCGTGCACCACCATGTCCGGCTAATTTTTTTTTGCATTTTTAATAGAGACGGGGTTTCACCATGTTGGTCAGGTTGGTCTTGAATTCCTGGCCTAAAGTGATCCGCCTACCTCAGCCTCCCTTGCCTCAGCCTCCCAAAGTGCTGGGATTACAGGCGCAAGCTGCCACGCCTGGCCTTCGGTGTGGTGCTTGTCTTAATGCTTGTCTTTTATATAGTCTTGCAAGGAATTTTTTTTTTCTGATTTTTAAGTTTTTGGATTGTTAACTTACAAAGATATAGTGTAATAGTGTGCTATCTTGTTGAACCTTTTTTCCTCCTCAGCAGGAGTGGGGGTGGTGAAGAGGGTGGGAGGGTGGACTGGGAGAGGCATTTAGCAGCTTTCCCCCAGACTGTGTGCAGAGTGTGAGAGAGAGAGAGAGAGAGTGTGTGTGTGTGTGTGTGTGTGTGTGTGTGTGTAGACAAAAGTAAAGTCAGCCTTCTTAATCTGATTGTGTAGGCATAACTTTTAGGTTGTTTAGATACATGATTGGTTGGAATGCTTATTTAATATTTGAACGGCAGCATCGCACTAGGCATTCTATAGAACATAGAGTCAAATGTATTTTTTATATAAGGAAGTGGTAGAAAAATATTTTTTTCTTCGGATTAACTGGTATGGTTCATAGTAGATAGTGAGAACTGTATGAGCTGCTGTTACATTTTCACTGCCATGAAGAATTATATCCAAATTTAATACCTAATTGATGCTCATTCTTAGGCTAGGCATCTGATATAATTATCACTTTTATTATATGACTTTTAATTTATGCTTTTTAATGGTATTATTATTTTTGTAAATTGCCTCAAATTCTTTGTGGGTACAGGTTAGGTATAAATAATGATAATAATAAAAATTACTAACAATTTGAAATACCCCTTTTCTTTTTTCCTCTATTAAATTAGATTTACCATCTCCACAACGTATATAGAAACCAATTCTGCTACTATTTCACTCTTGTGAAAACTCCTGTGTGAGGTTTGTAATATGTGGTTTGGCAGTATGAGTATGTGACTGAGTGTATTTTGTGTTGACAAGTGATGTGTGTGTTTCTTTTGCATTTCCATTATACAGATCTTTTCCTAAGGTGGTGTGTATCTTCTAGAATCATGTACCCTGTCCTTTTTTTTTTTTTTTTTTTAAATGTTCTAGGTGACTTAAATCCGACCTCCCTTTCTTTTCTTCGGCCTTTCCTTTTATTTTTTGTCCTTTCCCACATAGAGAGGTTTCTTCACTGACCTGTCATTATTATAAAAAAGTGTTTGTTAGATGTACTGTATTTGTAGCCTTTTAGTAAGAAGGGGATGCCCACCATCCCTTTGTCCTGTAGCACAAGGCATTGCTTCTTGTTTCCCTAAGAATAGGTAGATGGAATGAGATTTAAGCCAGAAGGCCGCTGGTAATAGTATTTGTAACTAGATAGCATCTCTAGATAAAACACTGGGTCCTTTCTGCTCTGGGCCTCCCCATGTAGGATTTTGGAAATTTTTTTTTGCTGCATTTAGCCAGCTTCTTTCTGTCTCTTTGGCTTGATACAATAAATTTCTTTAAGCACAGCCAAGTATATTATTTCATTTGGAGCCTTCATTTACAAGGAAGTATGGGGGCCTCTCCTAATGTTCCTTTGCCTGTTATATATAGTACTGCCTTTAGTTTTTGGTGTGTTTGAGAGTGAGAGTGAGAAGCATTCTTGCTCTGCTACTTTGTCTGTGTAACTTGAATAAGAGTGTACGGTCATTCACTCTATTTTCCAGATAGTGTATAATCTTTCTTTTTATTTTTCTTGAATACCTAATCAGGTTCGAGCTAGAGGTTGATCCGACTATCATATCCTTTTATTTTGTGCCATCCCTGGATATAGTGTCCCTTAGTCCTGTGATTAAGCCATGTTCCTATTTTGTCATTAGAGAGAGGGACTTACAAACATATAGATGGTCTCCCATGATAATTGTCATGCATTTATAAGGAAAGTGTTTCTTTTCTTTTTTTTTTTTTGAGGCTGAGTCTTGCTTTGTTGCCCAGGCACGATCTCCGCTCCCTGCAACCTCCGCCTTCCAGGTTCAAGCGATTGTCCTGCTTCAGCCTCCAAAGTAGCTGGGATTACAGGCGTGCACCACCATGCCCGGCTAATTTTTTTTCGTATTTTTAGTAGAGACGGGGTTTCACCATGTTGGCCAGGTTGGTCTTGAATTCCTGGCCTCAAGTGATCCGCCCACCTAGGCCTCCCAAAGTGCTGAGATTACAGGCATGAGCCAATGTGCCTGGCCGGAAGTGTTTCCTTGTATAAATTGACAATGGAGAGCAGTTCACGTGATGGGACAAAGTAAAGGGTGAGTAAAGGGTGGTTTTGGGTTTTTTTTTTTTTTTGCCATCAGTATGCTAGCTGTATATTTCTAAGGTTGTATTGCATCCTTCTGCTTTGAACACCATTGCTTGTAGAAGGTCATGGGCCTCCTGTGTAAAGATTGGTACTGTTTCCTGAGCATTTTTTTTTTTACCTCATTACCCTGGACTTACAGAGAAATATTATGTACCCCATTGCAAAGAGAGGCCAAGGGTCAGCCACATTATTTCCCCTTTTGCTCTTTTTCTGGAGGATTGTTCATTTACTTCGAACTGATTGACATGGCATAAGATGGAATGACTAGAGATTTTTTTTTTTAAAGGTTCCTCCATATTCAACCTCAGTGTTTGGCTCTATCCTGACATGGTTGCTTGTTCTCCTGTACATGAATCCTTTTGCAGTTACTTTCTTGTTTTTGTTTTTCAAATTTAGCCAGGGCTTTCAAGTCACGTAACATATCCTTTCCTGAGACTGTGAGCCGAAGGTAACTTCAAGGAAGATATGCTTGTTTGGGGCTGTATTCATCACTCTGCTCTCTACGGTTTTGTAGTTTTCATGTGTACAAAGTGACATTTCTTGAAAGAAACGTTTGGGGCTGTGTTCTTAATAGTTTTAAACATGTTATTATGTGGAGACTAAGTGGCAAAGGTCTCACCCCAACTTCATTTCTTCATACCACTCATATATATCTTATATATATATACCCCACTCTTATATATATATATACCCCACTCTTATATATATCTTATATATATCTCCCCTACCTGCAAATCCCAAAACAATAGTCATAGCAACAGAAAAGCAAAACCTTGTGAAGCCCAGCTCTGATTGGTTCTGCTGTGCAGTTCAGTCGCTAGTTTTGGACAGGTGCATAAGCAGATAATTTTTGGATGTGTAATATTCTCAGTGGGGCTGATGTGTGACTTTTGGGACATAGAGCATTCATTCGTTCAGCAGACCATGCAGTATCTCTTCCATTTTTTTCCCCTTATCAGTTACCACAAGGTAAGATTATGTATTCAGTCACTTAAAAACACTTGCAAAGTGGATTTTTCCCCATTTATTCCTATCTAACCATTGGAATAAATGTTGACAGTAGTAAATTACCATGTCCCTATTTTTGTGTTCAACATGTCTAAGAGAATGGGGAGCTAACTTCCAGTAAGGGCAGTACAGTCAGTCATGACTCTTTCTCCATGTAGCCTGTGCATTGTGCAGTGATGATTTATACTTTCAGCTAAATTTAGTGTCTATGATAAGGGATACATCAGATGTTTAAGTTCACTTAATCTCTTTTACAGTGTGCATTCAACAAGGTGTATTTGTGTCTTATATTAGAATGAAATGCAGATACAACCAGAGGTATTCTTTCAACGTAGAGAGAGAGAGAAAGCCTTTCTTTTTACAAGTTTTGAAAAAAAGTTATTGTCTATTTTTCCTTCATGGTGCTTGATTTAGATTGCCAGGAGTCATTTCTGAAGGTATATTAATACAATCAAGAATTAATGTTCTTAAAACTTAAATTTGTTTTTTAATCCTTTTCTGAAAAGTCATTTCTGAGGATATATGTGCCCTGTTGGTTTTCTGGGCACTTGGATATCAAATCATTTGGGAGTGATAATAAGAAATTGGTACAAAGTGTGAAATTATCAGATAGAAAGAAAAAAGATGTTATAGTGGAAAAAATTACTCATTTATGATTAAAAATAATCTCAAAGTGATGACTGGAAGTATAAATTCAGATATTTGAAGAAGAAATGGAATGTTGATAGGGTTATTGTATTGAATCAACACATGCACACGTATAAAGAATGCTCCCCAAAATGGGGACGCTTAGAGGACAAATAAGTTGATTGGATTGGTTTTAAGAAAAATATTGTTTGTCTTTTTAAAAAGTAATTGAAATAACCCTTCTTAGTGAAGAAAATGAAAACTTTGATGGAAGTTCAGCAGAATGGAATATTTAAAAAGATTCAAGAGAAGGATTTTTTTATTGCGAATCCACAAGGGGGTAGTGATGTTCTTTCAAAGATATTTGTGGTGGCAACAATGTGAGATGATCTCTTCACATTTTAGATTTACAGATAAAACTGGCATGTTTGCATTTTAACTTAATAAGATCTTCTTTTTAAAATGTTTATTGGCAAAATTGTTTATTGCTTAAATTAAAAAAAATCCATTTTGGGTGAATGGCTACTTTAAGCCATATGAATGGTAAAGAAGAGAGAATGTCCTTACAGTTTTGTGCTTTGGAGAGGTCACCAAGGATGTGAGGGTCACTGTTATTTTCTAAGAATGTAATAATCTTAAATTCCCTGGGAAACATTAGACATCTAGGAATCAGTTACTTAAGTGTCCTGAATAAAAGGATTTTAGTAAATTGTGTCTAAACTTTACAGAAGTTTGTATTACTAGTTGTATTTTCAGTGCTGCCGAGAGATGAAAAATATGAACAATCCATGCCACTAGCCACTTTTAATAGTTCTAAGTAAATCAAATTTTTATAATCTTTTTTATTAGTTTATATTACATCATTAGATAAAGGCTTTTTTTTTGTTTTTTTTGTTTTTTTGTTTTTTTGTTTTTTCTTCCCTCACATAAAAATTCAGGAGCTTTCTTCTGGTCACTGAGTTCCACCCCATATTATTCAGAATTACTTAAAATCAGGTGTGGTAGGCCTGTGCTGGGTCATTTTCAGTGGAGGACTGCCTAGCTGTATTATGCACTCATTTTTGAAAGTTATGCCGTGTGGTGGGAGAAAGATTTAAAGTTGGGGGGCGGCTGTGTCCTACTTATTTAGAGACACAACTAGTCATCACCTGTAACAAATGTGACTTCTTTTAAAACTTATTTTATCTTACTTTTTTTTAGAGACAGGGTCTCGCTCTGTTGCCCAGACTAGAGTGCAGTAGTGCAATCCATAGCTCACTGAAGCCTTGGCCTCCTGTGCTGAAATGATCCTCCTGCCTCAGCCCCCTGAGTGACTGGGACTACAGGTGTGTGTCACCATGGCTGCTTAGGTTTTTTTTTTCTCTTTTTCGTAGAGGTGGGGTCTTGCTGTATTGCCCAGGCTGGTCTTGAACTCCTGGTCTCAAGCAGTCCGTCTGCCTCAGCCTCCCGAAGTGCTGGGATTTACAAGTGTGAGCTACCATGCCCTGCCTAAAAAATATTATTTCTAACAATAACACAAAATAATTATGTGGTTTAGAAGTTATGATAGTTTGTGCCATATACATTGTATATTTTTCATTTTTGGTTTGTGGAAAAGGTTGTTAATTGAGCTTTTCTCTTTTTTTCTCCATTCCCTCATTCTGAGCAAGGAATGACTTTTTCTTTTATTTCCTTTACGAAATGACTTTGGTGTTTTAACATTCCAGAAGATACACTGTTTTTTATATGCTACTCTAAACTCTGCTGGGAACTGAACTATGACGTCAGCATTTTCATTCATGAATCTGATTCTTCTAAATTTTTTTCCTGTTTTGTATTCCTGAGCTGACTTCTGGCACATGCACAAATCAGTTTACCATTAGTCAGCCCATAAATCACTGATAAAAGGTAAAACAAAAGATAAGATACTGGAGTTATTTTGATAGTGCTATAGTTCTCATGCTGATTTGCATCAGTACAGTTTGGATAAGGTTTCTGGCTAAACAGATTGAAACCTAAAAAGTCAATTTAATTATCTCATGATTTTGTGACTTGAACTGTGTTGTGAACATATTGACACAATATTTTTGTTCTTACAGGAAGTTGAGAGTGCTATGCTATGGCTCCTTTGTTATAAAATAGCATTTCTTTTTTTTTTTTTTTTTTTTTTTTTTGGAGACGGTCTCACTGTGTCACTCAGTCTGGAGTGCAGTGGCATGATCTCTCTCGGCTTACTGCAGCCTCGACTTCTTGGGCTCAGGTGATCCCTCAGCCTCACAAGTAGCTGGGACTACAGGCACGCGCCACCATGCCTGGCTAATTTTTGTATTTTTTGCGGAGATGGAGTTTCGCCGTGTTGCCCAGGCTGGTCTCCAACTTGTGAATGCAAGTGATCCACCCACTTTGGCCTCCCAGAGTGCTGGGATTACAGGCGTGAGCCACTGAGCTGGCCTAAAGTAGCATTTCTTGTATAATTTGACTAAGTTGGAAGATTATATAATGCTTTATTTCAGAGAGGTTAGGCCTAGAGATTAAATGATGTTTTATTCAAATTACCTTTGTAATGGATTTAGATTTTTTTTTGGAGCATTTTCTTGCCTTTGACATATTTTAAATAACTTCATTGTTTGATACTTTTATTTTAAGATATTATTATTGTGGTGGAACTAGCCTAGTATTCCTTGTATTGGACTTAGGGTGCATCTACCCTGGATTGTGCACTCGTGTAGCTGTTGACTCCGGTTTCTCCTCTAGGGAGGTCACTGCTTGCAGTTCAGTACTACGTTAGAACAGTTCTTGAAGAAATCTTATTTGGAGTTTTCTTCTGCAGGCCAAATTTCAGGCTAAGCCTCCGGCCCATAGTATCTTTCAAGCCTGCTGTAGCTGATGAATGGTGAGCCGTAAAAAAGTTTATTTTCTCTACTTTCGTGGGGGATTTGCTGACTTTCTGGATACTCAATTGCCAAGAAACATTTAGAAATAAAACGTGTTATATTTAGGAATCATCATTTTAGCTAAATAATAATGCATGATTAGAATTGATGATTCAAGCTGCAACCACTTTGATTGATACCCAGTCTTACTCTTGAGATCACTTTTTTTTCTGAGACAGTCTTGCTTTGTCACCCAGACTGGAGTGTAGTGGCGTGATCTTGTGTCACTGCAGCCTCCACTTCTCGGGCCTAAGCAGTCCTCCTGCCTCAGTCCCCCAAGTGACTGAGGCTATAGGTGCGTGCCACCATGCCAGGCTAATTTTTGTAGAGACGGGGTTTTGCCCTGTTGTCCAGGCTGGTCTCATACTACAGGGCTCAAGTGATCCTCCTGCATCGGCCTCCCAAAGTGCTGGGATGACAAGCATGAACCACCACGTTCGGCTGAGATGACTTTTTATTTTTTATTTACTGGGTTTTTTTTTTTTTGAGATGGAATCTAGCTCTGTCACCCAGGCTGGAGTGCAGTGGCATGATCTTGGCTCACCGCAACCTCTGCCTCCTGTGTTCAAGCAATTCTCCCACCTCAGCCTCCTGAGTAGCTGGGATTACATGCATGCACCACCACGCCTAGCTAATTTTTGTTTTTTTTAGCAGAGACGGGGTTTTACCATGTTGGCCAGGCTGGTCTCAAACTCCCGACCTCAGCTGATCTGCCTGCCTCTGCCTCCCAAAGTGCTGGGATTACAGACGTGAGCCACCGCGCCTGTCTTGAGATGACTTTTTAAATGCCATAACAACTCACAGATCCTGTGTCCTCCCATTCTTAAATGAAACTAGAGCTTTGTGTTCCTTTAGGTTAAACTAAATTATCTAATAGGTAACAGAAGAGTGGTCTGTTAGCTGGCTTTCTCCTTTCAGTAGATTTGCTAAGAGAAAGGAAATAAAAGCAAGTAGACTGTGAATAAACATTGAAGATGACTTAAATGACATTGTTTTCCCTAATAATGAAATAATTTATATATTATTTAAATATAATTTCTATAAAAGAATCTATTTGCAAGTGATAATGAAGAAAGGAATTTTTTTTTTTTTTTTTGAGACAAAGTCTTGCTCTTGTCCCCCAGGCTGCAGTGCGATGGCGCGATCTTGGTTCATTGCAACCTCCGCCGCCTTGGTTCAAGCGATTCTCCTGCCTCGCCCCCCAAGTAGCTAGGATTACAGGTGCTGAACACCACGCTGGGCTAATTTTTGTATTTTTAGTTGAGACACCATGTTGGCCAGGCTGGTCTTGAACTCCTGACCTCAGGTGATTCACCCACCTCGGCCTCCCAAAGTGCTGGGATTACAGGTGTGAGCTACCGCACCCAGCCTAAAAAAGGAATATTTAATGGTAGAGGGCTCTGTAAAAACCCCCTAATTTTCAAAGCCATGTGCCACTGTAGAATTTATGAAAAGTTATGGGCTATTATTATTAGGTTTCAAAAAGTCTGGAATACTGGCGGTAGCATCAGAATTATTTATTTATTTATCTTTTGAGACAGAGTCTATCTCTGTCGCCCAGGCTAGAGTGCAGTGATGCAAGCTCCACTTCTCGAGTTCACGCCATTCTCCTGCCTCAGCCTCTTGGGTAGCTGGGACCACAGGCGCCCACCACCACACCTGGCTAATTTTTTTTTTTTTTTTTTTTTTTGAGACGGAGTCTCGCTCTGTCGCCCAGGCCGGACTGCGGACTGCAGTGGCGCAATCTCGGCTCACTGCAAGCTCCGCTTCCCGGGTTCACGCCATTCTCCTGCCTCAGCCTCCCGAGTAGCTGGGACTACAGGCGCCCGCCACCGCGCCCGGCTAATTTTTTGTATTTTTAGTAGAGACGGGGTTTCACCTTGTTAGCCAGGATGGTCTCTATCTCCTGACCTCATGATCCGTCCGCCTCTGCCTCCCAAAGTGCTCGGATTACAGACGTTAGCCTCCACCTCCACGCCTGGCTAAAGCGTTATCATTTTTATCTAACCCTGAACCAATCAGTGATTGGTTAGTTCTCTAGCTGTGAAGGCTTTGCACTTCCTAGACAGCTTGTAGAACAAGCCCACTTGGATTCCCAGCTCAAACTCTTTCCTTTTTACTATTTATTTATTATTTATTTATTCGTTACTTATTATTAATTAAAAAAATTTTTTAGAGACAAGAGTCTTGATCTGTCACCCAGGCTAGAGTGCCATCACAGCTCACTGCAACCTTGAACTCTTGGGTTCAAGTGATCCTCCTGCCTCAGCCTCCTGAGTAGTGAGGACTACGGGCGTGTGCCACCACACCCGGCTAATTCTTTTTTAATTTTATGGAGAAAGGGTCTTGCTATGTTGCGCAGGCTTGTCTTGTACTCCTGGCCTCAAGCAGTCATCCTGTCTCAGCCTCCCAAAGTGCCAGGCTTACAGGCATGAGCCGCTGTGCCTGGCTTGTACTCTTTCACTAGCTGGGAATGCTGGTGAGCAGGACTCAAGGATCCCAGCAGAGCTGCATCCTGTGCTGTCTTTGCTGCCACTTAGGTGGACCAGGAGCTAGAAGCCTTTCTCTCCATGGCCTCCATACCTTCTTTTACCAGATGGTATTTCTGCATTTATCACTCTTGATTCCAGCACAGCTTTTCCTCATCTTGCTTTTCTCAGACCTCAGCTCTTATGTAATGAGATAGTTGGTAGTCATTTTGAGGGGATTCATGTGTTGGGTAAAGGGTTTTCCTAGCGATGACCTCGAAAGTTCCTTCCCATTAATAATAATTACTATTAATAATTAATAGCAATAACTAATGATAAAACAGAACAGTTGCAGCAATATACTGTAATAAAAGTTGTGTGAATGTGGTCTCTCTCTCTCTCTGATTATCTTATTGTACCATACTCACCTATTTTTGGACCTTAGTTGACCGCTTGTAACTGAAACCATGGATAAGAGGGGGACTATTGTGTAAGGAAATGAAGTCGGAGATATGGAATTTCATTTCAGGGCTTGCTTTCCTGATATTCAGCTATTCTGTATAACTGTATCTTTTCCTTTTGAGGTCCTTGCTCCAGGACAAGAATAATATGTTGACTCAAGCTGTATGGGGGGATTTGAACTACAGACACTCAGATATCTCCTTTCTGAGGTACATAGAGGGCTTAATTTTTTAGGTCTGTCTGTTTAATATACTATATTTACTTTAAAAAACGTAGGCCGGGTGCTGTGGCTCGGTGCCTATAATCTAAGCACTTTGGGAGGCCGAGACGGGAGGATTGCTTTAGCCCTGGAGTTCGAGACCAGCCTGGGCAACATAGTGAGACCTTGTCTCTACTAAAAATAGAAAAAATTAGCCAGATGTGTTGGTGTGCGCCTGTGATCCCAGGTACCTGGGAGGCTGAGGTTGGAGGATTACTTGAGCCCTTGAGGTCAAGGCTGCAGTGAGCTACGATCACGCCACTGCACTCCAGTCTGGATGACAGAGTGAGATCCTGTCTCAAAACAAACAAAATGTAAAAAAATTTAAATTTATTAAAAAAGATGTACAACACCAAAATGTTCATAGTTATTCTGTATGACAGATCTGAGGTCTTTGTTCAGACATAGATGAGGGTTCATAGTTTTGGAAAATAGACTTAAATAATATATGATTACAGATGAAAAATATTTGCTAACCTCAGACTTTTTATGTTTAAGGTAGTATTTATATTCATTTAGTTGTACTTTCTGGAGTTGATTAATATAACTGTTATTAAAATCTATCGATTCCCAGTAATTCAGTAAATGAAGACTCTTCCTATTTAGAAACTCGTGTGGATTGGGGAGTTGCTGTGGGCCCACTGTCATTGATCATATCACATCTTCACTTGAACCTGCTCCCTGGGCCTCCTATAGGCCTCGCGTTTGGAGAGGCCGTGAACATAATTTATTTTTGGAAGTTTCTTTCATTTTTAAAGATACTGAGAGGCAAGTTGAAGTTCCTGGTGTTCGTGTAAACATTCCCTGCCTTATCCTTTCCATCTCAGCCATTATGAAATGTTCTGGCTGAATCATTTGCTTTCACAAAGCTTTGATGAAAGTTTCTTCCTCATTTGGTTTTCTTGATAGAGGCTGTTGTGCTAAAAAGAAAGCTATAACAAGTTAGAAGGGTGGAGAGTGGGCACTTAACATTTTTGAAGTACTTGTCTTTCTTCCTAGGGGTCCTCCAGAAATTGATCATAGATAACTTGACCAAATTCAAGGCCCAGAGATTTCTTCCAGGCATTCTGGGAGGGAAGGAACATCAGGCTTTCTGTACTGAATCTAATTATTCTAAATATTTCCCACTGCAGCTTGTATGAGTGTTTTCTGATGCAAATATGGTGATAGTGGCGACCTCTCTAACTGGGCTAAATATCCTTGACAGCTTTTTATCTGTCCTCTCCAAGTATTTTTAGTCTCTTTAGCTTCTGTGGCCATGTCTGGAGGAACTGAGGATGGATTTAGCTGCTCTGGTGCTGCTCCAAGTTGTTGTGGGTGCTCTTTGCTACCTTCGTCACTGTCCTGCCACAGTCCTGCCACTGATGAGGCTCCTGGCCCTTGTCATTTGATGAGGGAACATAAACACTTGTTTAATAAAAATAAAAAAGTCATGATTTTCAGAATGCTTTGAAAATAAGCTATGGCTAATGGTGATACACAATAGGAATGTCCCTAATTTCACTAAATTGTATGCTCAAAAAGGGTTAAAGTGGTAAATTTTATGTTATGCATATTTTGCCACAATTAAAAAAATAAAAACTTCAAATGGATTTGAAGCTTAATGAGAAAACTAGTTATAATGTCCTAACAGTAAATATATGGCCAATATTTTCATGACCCCAAGGTGGGAGGCTGTGCCTTAAATAAACTGTCAGAATCACACATTAAAAAAAAAAAAAAGTGATGGTAATCAGGCCCTGAGGTTCATTTATACAGAAAGTGATTTTTAGGTGAGATTTTAATATTTGCAATATTTATATTTGTAAAGAGGATTGGCTAGCTCATTCAGAAAAGTCTGAGGTTCTTAATAAACACTAGGAAACAGATGGTTTGGGGTTGATGTCAGGGAAGGTAAGCAGGCCGTGCTTTAGATTAGAGCACTTTTGATTGCAAGTCCCATGAGCCACACAGTTTAGGCCAAGTGAAAGCAGTTTTAGTCTAAGAAGAGCAGAAGCAATCGTAGCCTCTCGGGACAGAAACTGAAGTGCAGCTGGGCAGTGGGAACTGGATCTGGAGAGTCTGGAGTACATGTCTTCTCTGGAGCTGGGCTTTTTCCATTCACATGTAGCTTCCTTGCTTGAGTTACATGTAGTGGCCTTAGTCATGGCTCCTGCATGTCCTGACTCTAGTTCCAGTACTCATCATCATCTGACTCCCATTTCTATGGCTCAGTACAAAAATATTCAAGACTGGGTATTGGACTGACTCCTCTCAGCCATTTGCTTTGTTTCCATAGGCCAGGTGATCATCTCACTCTGGTCGACTATGAAAGAAGGTTGGTTAGATCCAGCAGCCTGCTGATCATTTAGAGGGTCTTAGAGTGAGAGGAGATTGTGTGAGAAGCTGGTTATCATAGCAGGGGGTCCTGGCACCTCAAACTCTGTCCCCATCAAACAGTGTAAAAGAAAAGATATTGACTCCTAAAGGAGTGTCTTATGTTCAGATGCTATAGAGTTTTGCAGAGAAAGTGTTCAGTGTAGCTACAGATAGAAGGCCAAGTGTCCTTGGTCAGCCAGCCTGGGTGTGTGTGGAGTAAGTTAGTGGTAGGTGTAGTAACTGTCTCAAAGCTTTTTCTTTGTCTCTCTCTCTCTCTTTTTTTTTTTTGAGACAAGGTCTTATTCTGTCGCCCAGGCTGGAGTGCAGTAGCACAATTTCAGCTCACTGAAGCCTCGACAGCCTGGGCTCAAGTGATCCTCCCACCTCAGCCCCCCAAGCTGAGGACTTAGCTGGAAAACACAGGCATATGCCACAACGCCCGGCTGATTTTTATGTTTTTAGTAGAGACAGGGGTTTCATTATGTTGCCTAGGCTGGTCTTGAACTCTTGGCCAGCTCAAGCAATCCACCTGCCTCAGTCTCTCAAAGGGCTGGGATTACAGGCGTGAGCCACCGTGCCCGGCCCCAGAACTTTTTCTTTGAATAGTGGAGAAGCAGAACACCTTGGAATGCTATGGTCTGTGCGGTCTTTGCCCTGTGGGTGTTCTCAGGTGGAATCAGGCAGTTTGGGTGATGTCAGTATCATTTGAGGTCTTCCACAGTTCAGCTATTTGGGTGGGCTTCCCCACTTTTCCCCTTGTTTTGGGTCGGTAAACATAAAAGGATGGAGATGTGTATCCTTAGTAAGAATGGGAGACGTTGCCTTCAGAATGGGTAGAAAGCAGAAAACAAGCGGGGAAGAAAACAGAAAACAGCCTCTCTTTAAGTGTATGTGGCTGCCTGTGTGCACAGTCCTTCACCTTTTCCTTAGTATATCCCTCCTGCCTCTGATCTCTTGTTGTTCTTGATTTTTCATGGTAGAAGGAGGAAACAAAATTATAGAAGACAGGTGGAATACTGTGAAAGAATAGTAGTTTGGAGATAACTATGTAAAGGGCTACTAGCCTGCGCACCGTTGAATTCTCTGAATTTACAGCTGTTTAGTCATTGATGTTTCATAGTGTTGACCTTGAGTAAATTCAGAAAAGCAATACTGAGTATGTTCTGCTAAACAAAAGAGGAAAGTGTATGTTTTTAAAGAAACAACCTTCACAGTGGTTTCAGTAGTTACAGGGATTTGGTTCTTTTTTAAATTATTTTATTTCTTTTTAAAGATGGTCTCACTCTGTCATCCAGGCTGGAGTGCAGAGGTGTGATCGTAGCTCACTGGCACCTTGAATTCCTGGACTCAAGTGATCCTCCTGCCTCAGACTCCCAAGTGGTTAGGAGTACAGGCATGTATCACCATGCCTAGCTGATTAAAATTTTTTTTTTTTTGGCCAGGCATGGTGGCTCACGCCTGTAATCCCAGCACTTTGGGAGGCTGAGGCGGGTGGATCTCCTGAGGTCAGGAGTTCCAGACCAGCTTGGCCAACATGGGTGAAACCCCTTCTCTACTAAAAAAAATACAAAAAGCTGGGCATGGTGGCGGGTGCCAGTAATCCTAGCTACTTGGGAGGCTGAGGCAGGAGAATCAGTTGAACCCGGGAGGCAGAGGTTGCAGTGTGTCGAGATTGTGCCATCGCACTCCAGCCTGGGAAACGAGCGAAACTCTTTTTTTTTTTTTTTTTTTTTGGTAAAGACAGGGTCTCAATATGTTGCCCAGGCTGATCTTAAACTCCTGGCCTCAAGTGATCCTCCAGCCTTGGCCTCCCGAAGTGCTGGGATTGCAGGTATAAGCCACTGTGCCCAGCCTGATTTGTTTTTTAATAATAGCTTAAGATGTAATTCATATATTATAAAATTAACCCTTTTAAAATATATAATTGAGTGGGTTTTCTTTTGTATATTTACATGTTTCGTGCAACTGTCCCCACTCTCTAATTCCACATTTTCATCACTCCAAAAAGAAAATCTGTACCCATTAGCAGCCACTCCCTGTTGCCTCCTCCTCCCGGCCCTAGTCAATTACTAATCTGCTTTATTTCTTTATGCATATTTATGCCTAGTGTGAACATTTCATATAAATAGAATCATGTAGTGTTTGTCCTTTTGTGACTTGACTGGCTTATTTCCCTTAGCATAATGTTTTCAAGGTTTTTATCTATGTTGTATGTAGCATGTACTGTTACTTCATCCCTTTTTTAAAATTAAAAAATTTTAAATTTAATATAATAGAGATGGGGGTCTCGCCATGTTGCCAGGCTGGTCTTGAACTCCTGGGCTCAAGTGATCCTTCTGCCTCGGACTCCCAAGTGCTGGGATTACAGGTGTAAACCACTACACCTGGCCACTTCACTCCTTTTATTTTTGAATAATCCTCTGTTGTGTGGATATATACCACATTTTGTTTATCCATTCACCAGTTAATAGACATTTGAGTTATTCCACTTTTTGGCTATTAAGAAAAATGCTGCTGTGAACATTTGTGTACAAGCTTTTATATGGACATATGTTTTCATTTCTGTTGGAAAGATACCTAGGAGTGGAATTGTGGTGTCGTAGTTAACTCTGTTTAACTTTTTGAGGAACTGTTTTCCAAACTTTTCCAAAGTGGTTAGATCATATTACATTCCCACCAGCAAGTATGAGAGTTGTAATTTCTCCACATTCTTGCAAACACTTGTTATTGTCCATCTTTTTGATTATAGCCATTGTTGTAGATGGGAAGTGGTATATTATTGTGGTTTTGATTTGCATTTCCCTAGTGACTAATGATGTTGAGCATCTGTTCATGAGCTTATTAGCCATTTGTATGTCTGCTTTGACAAATGTCTATTCAAATCCTCTTCCATTTTTGAATTGAGTCAATTGAATTTTTGCTGTTCAGTTGTAGGAATTCTTTATATGTGTTCTAGATATCAGTCCCTTATCAGATATGTGATTTCAAATGTATGATTGACATGTGATATGTGATTTTTCTCTGATTCTGTGTGGGTTGTCTTTTCGCTTTTGTTTTTTGAGAGAGGGTCTCATTCTGTCACCCAGGCAGGAGTGTAGTGATGCAGTCATGTCTCCCTGCAGTCTTGCCTGCCTGGGCTTAAGCGGTCCTCCCACCTTAGTCTCCTGAGCAGCTGGGACTTCAGGGGGGCACCACTGGTCTGGCTAATTTAGAAATTTTTTAATAGAAACGGAGTCTCTATATTATATTATGCCCAGGCTGGTCTTGAACTCCTGGGCTCAAGTGATCCTCCTGCCTTGGCCTCCCAAAATGCTGGGATTACAAGTATGAGCTGCTGTGCTGGCCTTTACTTTCTTGATAGTGTCCTTTGAAGAACAGAAGTTTTAAATTTGATTGTGTCCCATTTATCTGTTTTTTTGTTTTTTTTTTTGGTCACTTATGCTTTTGGTATCATAATAAGAAACCATTGTCATATCCAAGGTCGTGAAGGTTTACACCTGTGTTTTTTTGTTAGAGTTCTGTAGTTTTAGCTCTGACATTTAGTTCTCTGATAGATCTTCAGTTAATTTTTGTACACAGTGTGAGGTAGGCTTCCAGCTTCATTTTTTTGCATGTGGATATTCAGTTGTCCTAGCCCATTTGTTGAAAAGACCATTCTTTCCTCACTGAAGTGTCTTGGCACCCTTGTTGAAAATCAACTGACTATAAATCTGTGGGTTTATTTTTAGAGTCTTGATTCTATTCCATTGATCTATATGTCTATCTTTGTGCCATTACCACAATGTCTTGATTCTGTAGCTTTGTAGTAAGTTTTGAAATCAGGAACTGTCAGTCCTTTAACTCTGTTCTTCTTTTTCAAGATTGTTTTGGCTGTGCTAGCTCCCTTGTATTTCCGTATGAATATTAGGATCAGCTTGTTAGTTTCCACAGAAGAGACAACTGAGATATAATGGGGATTATATTCAATCTGAGGATCTATTTGGGGAGTTTAAATTCATTTTATGGATTTGCTGTATGCTTAGGAAGTCCTGGCTAACTCAGACACCCAAGCATCTTGCCTTAAAAACACAAAATTTTGTTTTAATTTATTGATGTAGTAGGCTGCCTTGGTGAAACACTGTAATTCACTGTTAGACTGGAATTGGACTTTTCAGGTTCTAAGAGAGCAAACAGCTCTTCCACGTAGCGTGTAGGTTGACTTCCTGTAGTAAATGTTTTTTTGATGTGAAAGTTTGCTGATACCTTGCATGTTTTAAAAAAAATGTGGTATTCTGGTTAATATACATTCTGGTTAATAGAGAACTAGCAGATTATATATATGAATATTTATCAAAGAGTTAGGACATGTTACAATAAAATTGTGACATTAAAATTTATATAATTGTTATTATTACTGGAGGAATCAGAAGATATTTTAGGACCTTGTAGTCCCGCAGGGGCCACGTGAACATTGGTTATTGTTATACTTTTAAGTCACTTCATTTACTCAACAAATAACAAAGTGCCTATCTGTGCCAGGCACAAGGAAGGACAGACCCAGTCTCTGTCCTTATGGAGCTAAGGGGGAGACGGACATTAATCAAGATGCCATATGAAATTTCAGCTGGGACTCAGTGCTGTGAAGGTGCGTGCAATATGTCATAAAGGGATTTGACTAATCTGCAAGGTTGGGGGAGGCTTCTTGAGAGCTCTGGAGGAAAATGGGAATTAATTGTGGGAAGAATTAAGGAGAAAAGTTCCAGGTAATTGGGTGAGTTTGTTAGTGAGTTGTGTGGAGATACTCTGGTTATATCCTGTTTATCACTTTTGGGAAAGAGTATCTGAATACTTGGCTCTGGCCTTTACTCTGTCCCTTAAATGCCTTGTGGCTGAGCAGGTACTCTTTCTGAGCTTGTTCACATACTGTTTTTTAAATTTCTGTAGCCATTTTTATTTACAGATACTTACATGAAAACATACAGAAATCTAGGCTTTTGGTTGATTGTTTTCATATAATTAAAAAATCATTCACTTTGGGAGGCCGAGGCGGGTGGATCATGAGGTCAGGAGATCGAGACCATCCTGGCTAACATGGTGAAACCCCGTCTCTACTAAAAATACAAAAAATTAGCTGAGCGTGGTGGCACGTGCCTGTAGTCTCAGCTACTTGGGAGGCTGAGGCAGGAGAATCGCTTGAATCCAGGAGGCGGAGGTTGCAGTGAGCTGAGATCGTGCCACTGCACTTCAGCCTGGAGGACAGAGCAAGACTTCATCTCAAAAAAAAAAAAAAAAAATTATTTCTTTGTGACCTTCCATGGTTAGCTATTTAGAACTGCTTTAGTGGTAAATTGAATACTTTTCTGAACATTTTTCCTAGACTTTGAAATTAGGAGTCATTTCTGTTTACACATACTTCAGAAGCCTGTCAGGGACAGAGTCTGTAGTGACAGAAGTCTGTAGGGAAGCAGATATGGATGTAAGTGATTCAAGACAAGTCATAATGCTTTAATAAGGCTCTGGAAGGGAAGATGGAAAGACTTCCGGGAGGAGGTGGAATTTGACCTGAAATCATTGACGGGCAAACATGGTAGTTGGAGGAGAAATTCCAAGCAGAGGAAATGGAACAGAGGCATAGAGCCAAGAGAGTACAGGGAGTGGGTGGAATTCATGTGCATATGGGTAGGTAAGCCTCGGAAAGTAGGTAGGGGTCATGTTGTTAGGGGCCTGAAAGTCAGACCGAAGAATCTGGATTTAATTCTCTGCTCAGGAGAGGCTTTTAGAAGTTTTTTTTTTTTAGTAGAGGAATGGAATTGATTGGATAAAGTCGATTCTCCTGAAACAGGTGCTAATAAGGGCCACCTAGTTACTTCTCCAGCTTCCTCTCTACAGTCACGTCACATTTTTTAGACTCTGATTGTTCCAAGGTCCCACAGTGTCTGGTGGTTTTAGGCCTCCCACATTGCTGTTGCCTTGATTTAGAAGTTGCACCTGCCTCAGGAACACAGGCACACACGCTCACCCATGCTCTTGCTGACTTTCTGTGTCTTCTGTGTTTCAGCTTAAATGAAACTTCCAATAGGAGAAGCCTTCTTGACCTTGCCCCTCTTTTCAGATTGGATCGGATGCCCTTCCTGTGTGCACCATAGCACTACGTGGTTTTCCTAGTCATGGCACATTTTAGTTTGCATTGGAGTTGCTTGTTTACTTCTCTTTCTCTCTCAATTAGATGTGCATTTCTGGAGGTAAGAGGCTTGAGTACCTAGACTTAGTAAATGCTTGTTGGCTGAATGAATGAATGAATGAATGAGCAAATAGGAAGGACTAGAGTCGGGAGAAAATCACTTCTGGCAAGAGTTGTCTGTAGAATTGGGGTGAGGAAAGAGCTCGCATGGCTGAGGAGTGTGTGTGTCACACACACATGCAATTTTGTGACTGACTGAATGTGGGCCTTGAGGGAAGGTGACTCCTAGGTTTTGAACCATAACTGGGGATTTAGTGAGGCCAGACTGAGATAGGGAAGACAAGGCAGGTATATTTGGGGAGAATGGCTGCAAAGGTACCACTGTTTTTCTTCTTCTTCTTTTTCTTTTTTTTTTTTTTGAGATGGAGTTTCACTCTTGTCGCCCAGGCTGCAGTGCAATGGCATGGTCTCAGCTCACTGCAACATCCACCTCTCAGGTTCAAGCAATTCTCCTGCCTCAGCCTCCCGAGTAGCTGGGATTACAGGCACCCACCACCATGCCTGGCTAATTTTCGTATTTTTAGTAGAGACGGGGTTTCACCATGTTGGCCAGGCTGGTCTTGAACTCCTGACCTCAGGTGATCCGCTCACCTTGACCTCCCAAAGTGCTAGGATTACAGACGTGAGCCACCGCGCCTGGCCGGTATCGCTGTTTTTAAGGCGTCATTGGGTAGCTTTAGAATGTGTATATACAGCGTGACATTGGAGATGTGGGTCAAAGATCAGGGAGTCCTTCATATCACCCTGCTTTTTTTCTTCATTGTTCTTCCAGAGGGCAAGGGAGGGAGCCTTGGTGCTGGAGTCCTTAGAGGTCAGCCCCCTGGGCTTGGGGCAGGGAGAGAAGGGCTGTGAGGAGGTCTGGAGGGGCAGATGCAGTGGCAGCAGCACAGCACAAAAGGTACAGACAGTACCTTTGCAACCAATGAATGAATCAGTTCAAAACAATTAGAAGTCACAGTTGTGAGTGAGATTGGAAGGGGAGCAGAGAAGGGGCCTGAGGGCAGAAATGTGATGAATGCTTACATTTTAATGCCACCAGAGGGGAGAGAACCAGTAGAGGCTGAGAAAGAATGGTCGGAGAGGTAAGGGAACAAGCAGAATATGAATTCAGGGTTGCTGAGTGTGGAGGGTTGAAAGGAGGTTGTCAGTCGTAATGCTGCAGAGTTGAGTAGACTGAAGACTAAGGAAGGGTATTGGTTTTGTCAATTCGATAATGAGAGAATAAAGGAGTAGAGATAGGGTGGATGATTATTTCAGAACCGTGGTGGCATATACAGAGTACTGGTAGAAATGATGGTGAAATGATTGATCCAGTCCAAGATGAGAAAAGAAACCACTGTGGCCTGATGGGCTGTGAGTGTATTAGTTATCTATAGCTGCTGTAACCAATCATCACAAACCCAGTGGCTTCAAACAGCCCAGGGTGGAATCTCCTGGTTCCCATGGGTCAGGCATTTGGGCAGGGCAGGGCTGGGTCTGCTGGATTGGGACTGCTGAACTGTGGTCGAGGTGCTGGCCAGGACTGGGCTCACCTTGGAAACCTCTGGTAGGGGAGGATCCACTTCCAGGCTCCCTTGGCCATTTGAAGGACTCCTTTCTTTGGGCTGTTGGGCTGAGGGCTCAGCTTTTCGCCAGCTGTTGGCCCGAGGCTACCCTCAATTCCTGCCCCAGGGGCCTCTGCAACACCATAGCTTGCTTCATCAGAGCCAGGAGGGACAGTCTCTAGCAAGACAGAAGTCACAGTCTGCCCATTACCTTTGCCATGTTCTGCTGGTTAGAAGCAACTTGCTAGGTCCAGCCCACACTCCGGGGGAGGGGGTTACACAAAGCTGTTAACAGTGGCTGGGCGCGGTGGCTCATGCCTGTAATCCCAGCAGTTTGGGAGGCTGAGGCAGGCAGATCACGAGGTCAGGAGATCGAGACCATCTGGCTAACACGGTGAAATCCCGTCTCTACTAAAAATACAAAAATTTAGCCGGGCGTGGTGGCGGACACCTGCAGTCCCAGCTACTCCGGAGGCTGAGGCAGGAGAATGGCATGAACCCGGAGGCGGAGCTTGCAGTGAGCTGAGATCGTGCCACTGTACTCCAGTCTGGGTGACAGAGCGAGACTCCGTTTCAAAAAAAAAAGCTGTTAACATCAAGAGGTGGGGATCATAGGAGGTCCATCATAAAGTTTGTCCTCCACCGTAGAGGGGTGGTGACGGGATTAGAAGGCATTATAACAGTTCTTCAGGTGAGGCCTTGGAGGATGCAGATGGAAAAACGGGAGCTTTCAGAGGCGGAAGTTTTGGAAGTGCAGTTCCAGTTGAAAGTTGGGATAGTCAGGTGGTGACGCTTCTCAGGAGGCCTTCTGTGCCCTTTGTCTTCATGTGCCTTCTATGTGCTCTCTCCTGTTAGACAAATGAACATTCTGTGTTACAGTTGCCACCGATAAATCCATCTGTCTGGCTAAAATGGAATTATTTACCAGCCAATTCCTGGCCAGTGGAGGTATCTGCCCTCTTGCCTTATGGTTTTGTTGAGGATCAAATGAGGTAATTCATATGAAGTGTTTTATAGACTACAAAGTAATATGCAAACAAAAGGTATTAAACGGTGCTACCTTTTTCTCTATGTTAAGTAGAACCCATGGAATTTAACTTACATTTTCCTTAATAACTTGGGTTCATTATGTTGTATGTAGCTTATTAAACTGGGCTTTATTTAACACTGTGATTTGGGTTTTTGGAGTAGAGAGTTTACTTTTATGATAAATGACCCCAAACTGCTATACCTTTCAAATCCTTGTGTCCCATTTTTATTGTTTAAAAAAACAATCTCACCTTGCCGTTGCCTGTCACTCTTTTGCTTCTGTGTGTCAGTTTTGAGCTACATTTTTTCCCCTCCGATTTGTTGCTTCTGATCTCTGGGCTTGGCAACCTGATAATGAAGCATATTAGAGCTGTGAGTAGTTTTATAGTAATCAAGCTACGAATGTGGGTCGGAGAAACTCTTCTCACAGTGGAGTACATAAGCTTTTGTGCATGGACTTCGTAAAATTCACTTTTGGCCTTCAGAGTGTTCTTGGCTTCCTTCCTAGTTCTGGCTGTGTTCGGATTAAGGGAGGTTCCCAGATAGCCGACCTCCATTCCGGGGCTGTGGCTGCCATTTTCTTGGCGTCCACCTCATTGCTCTGTTACGAGAAACAGTGTCATTCTCTTCTTTAGTTTTGATGAGGTTTTAGTTCTTTGGGCAGTAGCAAGTAGTGATAGGTGATGGTGGTCTGTGGTTCATGGACCAAAAAATGTTTGAGAGGCATGGAGGATCTTTAGACAAGATCACCTTCTAGGTGTATGTGGTAGCATTCTGTTCCACCGCTCTCTTCTCCTTCAGGATGTCTCCCTCCCAGCTAACCTGCTCGGTGTTCCTCAGTGGGAGCGTTTGCCTTAGCTTTCTCTCAGAGCATCGTACTTACTTTTTCTGCCCGCATTTTTGCATTGCTGCTTTGTGGAGAAGCGTTGCTGCATTATTAGGGAGAGAACCGTGTTTTCTTGTGGAAATCACACAGTAGTATGGGAGAACTGGTCTGGTTCTAATTCTGCCCCGTCCTAGCTTGTGGCCTTTGCCCAGTGCCTTGTTACCCATGTCTTGGTGTCTCCATTTCTAGAATAGGCTTAATGTGTGCTTTGCTACCTTTTAGGATCGAAATAAGATTTTATATATGAAAATGCTTGTTATACGTACATAATATTGAATAGAATGCCTAGTTTGTTGGGTTGATTTTGTTGATATTTTACAATGCTCTCTCTGAGGAGTTAAACAAAATTATCATTAGTATGGGTAACAATAAGTACTACTGAAACAATATCATTTTAAATGTTATACAGTTTTTTTTACTGAATGTATTCTAGTTGAATCTATTTGTACAAATGTGGACATTTAGTAAGTGCTCTTTGATTATTTTCAGACTTTGAGTATACTGGCTTCCAAGCCAAATTAAATTTATGAAAATTCTAATGATACTGTGATTCATATCTAGAAAGAATAATTTAAAAAAAACTGTAAAATCACTTTAAACATGCTTTACGTGCATCTCTGGTAATAGAGAATCAATTAATCTGATTTCTCAGGCCATAAATCTGGCTTGATATATTGTAATATTAGTTCCTGTGTCAGCCTCTTAGAACTTGAACTGTTTTGTAGTCTGTTCCAGCTACTTGTTTGCTTTTGAACTCAATTCTAGGTGTTGAACTCAATTTGAGAGCCTAAAATGGTTTGTGCCCCAATTACCTTAGAGGTTACTGTTTCATTTTTTTATTTAGCCTGCCCCAGGAGTAGGAAGTCGGCTACCTACCAGACTTTTTCCTTTTAACTTGACTGTATACTTTAATTTTTGTCTCTATCCCATGGGGGAGTTGTGAGGGTTATTATAGTATAGTAGCACTTAATGGCATATTTTAAACTTCTTGAAAAGTGGTAATATGTGAGCACATAATATTTTTGTACTGTAGCACATAATTTTTTCCCACACTAACCTTTTGTGGTTCAGAAAAAGAATAAAGTTACTTGGGCTTGGGGTACATGTTGAATTGCCCATCTCATAAAATCGTTAACCTGATTTTAGGGAGTGTCTCTGAAACATGTCTTTTGACAGACCTTGTGCTGTTTCTTATTTATTATTAATAAATTGATATTTCATTTATTATTCATAAATTAATACTAATTAAATAATTAATTGTGCTCTAGCCCCCAGTTTTAGTTTGGTTTTCTTGGTATCTCTGAAAACTGTTGAGTATTCCCCCTACTCCTTTTAAGTTTTTTTTTTTTTTTAAGCAGGTTTAAAGTAGCTTTTATCATATTCCTTGATTTCTCAAATGAATAGAGGGATAAGGTTCCTTTCTTTAAAAATATCTGCAACATTGCTGGACTGAGAGGTCGTATTTACAGTTTTTTCTTTTTAAAAATTTTTTTTAGAGATGGGGTCCTGCTCTGTTGTCCAGGCTGGAGTGCAGTGGCACAGCTCACAGCTCACTGCAGCCTTGAACTCCTGGGCTCAAACAGTCCTCCCGCCTCAGCCTCCCAGGTAGCTGGGACTACAGGTTCGAGCCACTGCTTGTTCAGTCTCTTGCTTTTGTCTCAGTGGCACAGTACCAAGACATAGCAAATCAAAGTGACCAAGAGGATGAGTGGCAATTCGGTGGCCTTATAGGAAGAGATGTGCTTGAAAACGACAGAAGGCTTTTAGTAAATTCCACCACCATCACCAGGACGAGAGACGGGACCATTTTTCCTTTCCATAAACTTAGGGGCTGGTTATTAATTTATGAATTCTATAAGTAATTTGAGCTTGTGTTATGTACCAGACATTGTATTAAGTATTACCAGAGATACTGGGAAGAACAAGCCAGACATCCTTTCAAGGATGCATTTGATAAAATCTCATTTTGAGTATGTTAGGAAAATATTTATTGGAGAAGGAAACCTCCTAGATTGGTTTTAGATCCCGAATGGCCTTAGGGATTGAAAATGGAGTTGTAGGTTAGCAGAGGACATTTCTGAAAGGAGTAACTATTTTGTAATTAAAAAGCAGTTTACAGAAGATACTGTGGCAGAGACTGCTAGTTGATCATGAAACCCATCTCCTTCTCTTCCTCCTCTTCCTGGGCATTTTCCAGTCCCCCTTGGAATCGTGACCAAATTCTAGCCAGTGGGGTGAGAGCAACGAAGTGTGCCACTTCCAGACTTGGCCCCTGAAACTCTTGAGGCATGGGTATCATGCCTTTTCCTTATCTGGCTTGATGCAGAGGGCCTAGTGACCTAGAAAGTCTTCTGCCACAAGGTAGAAGGAGCACAGGCAGCAGAGCCACTGCTGTGAGAACAGTCTGCCCACCAGGAGCACCTGTTTTGGACTTTACCTGAGCAAGAAGTGAACATTTTTGGTATTTGAGCCATTATACAGTTAGCCTCCCTAACTATCTAGGCACGATGCCTAGGATGCTAAGCAAAACTGGACTGAGAGGTCGTATCTACAGTTTTTTCTTTTTAAAAAATAGTAAAGGTGCTAAGTAGTAAAGGTGCTAAGATTCAGGCGCGGCTTTAATTCTGTGGAGACCTAAATATTCTTTGTCTTTATTTCAAAGAACGGTAAATACACTTTTCATTATGCTGTTTCTCTGTTCCAAAGCCTGTAATCACTTCTTACTATATAGCATCTTGTTTCATTAATCCATCTTCCAAAAACTCTAATATATGTATATATTATCCATATACAATGAATGTGCCTGTGTGTAACATCCTGATCTAGGTTCTCTGAGTGGAGACAAAATGAATAAAACATAGTCCATGGCTTCAAAGAGTTTCTGCTTGATAGCCAGGTAGTTACTGAATTTCCATACTGCTATCATCTGTCCCTTGTTTTAACCTTTAAGTCATATATTATTTTTTCATTACCTTTTTTTAAAAGTATTGTTTCAATTAGATAGTATACTTTTTGAAAACAGGGAATATATATTATAGAGCTCTGCATCTCTCCTCTTGGGTATTTCTTTTTTTTTTTTGAGACGGGGTCTCACTCTGTTGCCTAGGCTATAGTGCAGTAGTGCTGTCATGGCTCACTGCAACCTCGATCTCCCAGGCTCAAGCAATCCGCCTGCCTCAGCCTTCCATTTAGCTGGGACTGCAGGCACACAGTACCACACCTGGCTAATATTTTAATATTTGTAGAGACAGAGTCTTGCCATGTTGCCCAGGCTGGTATTGAACTCCTGGGCTTAAGCAGTCCTCTCGCCTTGGCCTTCCAAAGTGCTGGGATTACAGGTGTGAGCCACCATGCCCAGCCTTCTTGGGTACTTCCAGCAGAAACTGGGCACTATACTTGAGTAACCATCCCTAGAGTTTCTACTAATTATCTTGTGTGGATATTCTGGTATAGTTTTGTATTATGTACTAACAGATGAAAGTACTTTTTAAATCTTCTAGGAATTAGTGGAATTATGCTGTTGAGGAATGTTAGGATTGGAAGGATCTTTTATAGATCATTTATCTAATTCCTGATCTTTTAGTTTGATCATCTGGTTTCTGATACTCAAGGTGTGGCCATTAATTGCAGCATGGGCATCACCTGGGGGCTTGTTAGAGGCAGAATCTCAGGTTCTCCCTCAGACCTGTGAATCAGAACTTGCATTGAAAGAAGATCCTAAGATAACCCGCATGCACATTACATTTGGAGAAGTTCTGCTCAAGGTCAACTACTCATTTGACTCTTGAGAAAACTGGGGAAGTCAGAGAGTTGCCCAGTCATACAACTGTTTATTTCAGTGGTTCTCAACCTTGGATACATCTTGGGATCACTTGGGGACCTTTAAAAAAATACTGAGGCCTGGGTCCCATCCCCAGACATTCTGACGTAATTGGTTTGGGCATCAGAGTTTTGGAGATTTCACTAGATGACTGGCTAAGGCTGAGAACCATTGATTTGATTAATGATGGAATCCAGGTTTCTTCATGCTCTAATCAAGTATTCCTTCCACTCCACCATGGCTGTACATTCAGAAACAATGAAAAACATCCTATCAAATTTTTACAGTAATGCATCACTCCATTTCATTTCCTTTATAGGAATTTACCCCTATTGGATAGTGTCCCATTTACCATCTGTCTTCCCCCCACTAGAATGTATCTCCAAGAGGACAGGACCCTTGTCTGTCTTGTTCAGTGCTGTGTCCCAGCTTGCGAACAGTGTCTGGTACATGTTAGGTGCTCCTTTAATAGTTGTAGAACAAATGGAAGGAGCTACCATAAAGAAGGATGTGTTCTGTGAGAGGAAAACACAGGCTACTCTAAAGGTACCCTGTGGGCGAGAGGCTTCCTGAAGGGTGAGGGGTCTGAGTTGAAGTGCAGAATCAGCGGGGGAGGTGCTTGAAGACCTGCTTCTGAGGAAGGACTTGAACCCAGATCTGACTTGAAAGCTTGTGCTTTTCCATTCCACTGTGTTGTCCTGTGGACACAGTGGCTCACTGATTTGCCCGGACTTCTTAGTAGTGAGTGGTGGACTGGAACACACCACCGCGGCTCTGCAGGTGCTTAAGGCCAGCCCGCCTCCCTCTATGGCAGAGCCGCCCCAGTATTGCAGACAGGCGCCTAGAGGGAGATCAAAACACGAAGTTGTCCTGTGAAAGTTCCTGGCCCAGTGTTTGGCACAGGGGTATCTAGTACAAGGTAGCCCTTTCTTATCATGGAAGTTTTTTTGTGCTTTGGCTTGTTTTGAGAACCTATGGTTTTCAAAGATAGAATGACTTGATTTCAGTTTTAACTTTGGTTTCTTTCCTAGTTAACTATGGAGACTTCATTATGCAGTGCTGTGGAGAGAGTGTGATTGGTTTTTGTCTATGATATTTCTGTGTCATATGTTATTTTAGTGCCAAGTTCTTCCTGTTATTTCAGATATTCTGTCACTGATTTACTTATTGTTAGACTTTGAAGTTGGGTATAAAAATCCTTTTTTATGAAGCTATTCATTAGTGTGTCCCACTGAACCAAAGTGATTTTTAAAAACTTTTCACCTAAGACCATTGTTAAGATATCTCAAATGGTAATCTTATACCGTCAGTTTTTGATAATAGGAAGCCAGGAAATGTTAAGCCTTGAATGTAAGACATTATTTTTAACATCGTAAAATTTCAAGTTTTAATTCAGAAACTAAATTAAAATGAGGTATTACATTCATGTGATTAGTGGGCTGTTACTGGTGACTCTTAAAGATGTTACAAGAAGTCAGCGTGCTGCTGACTTTTCCCCTATTGGAGATCTTCCCATGAACCACTTTTCCTAAGGTATGATGATTCCATGCTCACAGTCATGGGTAGAAAGTAATGTTGGATTTTCCAAAGGATACATGAATTCCGAGCCTTGTCTAGTCTATAGGGTGAATCCTTGGACATGACTGTTACCACAGATGTTATCATAGTTAACTACTTTTTTTGTTTTTGTGTCAGGGTCTCATTCTGTCACCCAAGCTAGAGTGCAATAGCATGGTCATGGTTCACTTTAGGCTCAAATTCCTGGCTCAAGTGATCCTCCCACCTCAGTCTCCTGAGTAGCTGGGGTTACAGGCGTGAGCCACTGTGCCTAGCTCAGTATACTACTATTGGTTAAATTGGAGAGGGAAACAGTCCTAGAACAAGAGTTTTACAGAAATAGAAAAGAAAGAATTAAGGAGCTCATGGTTATCCTGGTAGCTAGGAGTCACATTATAGAGAAAGACTTTATTTATATGGACCCTGAAAACAATTTGACTTCTGAAGCACTTGATCATGGGCATAAGGGAGAGGAAAATTAATAATTCTTGGAAGTCAACTTTAGTCAGATTGCAACATTTTTTGGCATAAAAAACTCAGGCGCGGTGGGTCATGCCTGTAATTCCAGCATTTTGGGAGGCCGAGGCTGGCAGATCATTTGAGGTCAGGAGTTCGAGACCAGCCTGGCCAATATGGTGAAACCCCATCTCTACTAAAAATACACAAATTAGCCAGGCATGGTGGCGGACACCTGTGATCCCAGCTACTCAGGAGGCTGAGGCAGGAGAATCACTTGAACCTGGGAGGCAGAGGTTGCACTGAGCTGAGATCCCACCACTACACTCCAGTCTGGGCAACAGAGTGAGACTCCGTCTCAAAACAAACAAACAAACAAATAACAACAAATAAATAACTCAGGCAATCCTGTTTGTTCTTAGAAAATGTTAACATTGTTAAAGCTCACCCTCATTAACTATGGTAACAATAGTGTTTTGTATTTGGGTGGTACCTTTGAATTGAAAGCACTTGGGTATGTATTACCTAATCCTCCTCCTGCCTCAGAGAGAAGGAGAGAGAAGTATCCACCCGCCCTTTTTGGATGAGGTAGTACAGAGAGGTTGAATTACTTTCCTAAGGACAGCTAGTAAATGTTAGAACTGAACTCTTTATATTTTATTTTAATTAATTAATTTTTTGAGACAGGGTTTCACTCTGTCATCCAGGCGGGAGTGCAGTGGTGTGATCATGGCTCACTGCAGCCTCAACTTCCCGGATTCCAGCAATCCTCCTACCTCAGTCCCCCCAGGTATCTGGGACCATAGGTGTGTTGCCACCATGCCTGGCTAATTTTTGTATCTTTGGTAGAGGTGAGGTTTTGCCATGTTATCCAGGCTGGTCTTTAACTCCTAAGCTCAAATAATCCACCCGCATTGGCTCCGCAAAGTGTTGGGATTACAGGCATGAGCCACCACATTTATTTATTTATTTATTATTATTATTTTTAAAGATGAGGCCTTGTTCTGTTGCCCAGGCTGGAGCAGGAGTGTAGTGGTGTTATCATGGTTCACTGCAGCCTTAAAAGTCCTGGGCTCAAGCGATCTTCCTACCACAGCCTCCTGAGTAGCTGAGACTACAGGCACAAGCCACCATGCCTGGTAGCTTTTAAATATAAAATGTTGAGGGTGGTTGTTGAACTTGTAAACTATCTTTGGTTTTCTAAGTGTATAAATATGTGGTTTATAATGTAGGATGAATAATCTAAAATTTTATTTAATACTGCAGCCAAACAAAAAAGATATTTTTAGGACTGAAAATAATTGGCCGTCAATATTCAAAAAATTTTCTTTTTTTTTAAAAAGTTACCGTTGTGTAGGTTTTAGGTGAAATCTTTAATTTTATCTGAGTGAAGCAGCCTGACAGCCAGAGACCTTGTTTCTTTCCTGTTAACGGAATTCCCCTTGATTTACTTGCCATGCCATAATACTAGTTGGCGCTCTGCACATTTTTTGGGTGAGTCGGGTGTTGGGTTTATTGTTGGGAAATGGTTAAAAATGTTGTTGGTGTTGACTGAGCTTCAAAATGAATATGACATTGGTTCTTAGCAAAAATTTCCTCTATGTACAGCACACATACTTCCCATTTAAACAAATTACACAAGTTATGCATGTTCATCAGCACAGACCTTTTCTCACATATGTATCTAAAATTTTGAAGCAGCCTTAAGCTTGCAGTGCAAAGAACGGTTTCCCCCTGAGCCATTTGAGGATAAATTGCTGATAAGTTCCATCACTCTCAAATACTTGATCATGTACTTCCTACAAACAAGAACATTCTCCTCCATAACCACAAGAACAGTAATCACAACCAGGAAGTTAACACTGAGACATTCCTACTCTCCAGTCCTAAAGTCCTGTTGCTGTTTGCCAGTTGATCCAGCAATGGCCTTTGTAGAAAAATATCTAATCAGAACCTTGGGTCATAACTGGTTGTCTCTTCAATCTCTTAATACAGAAGAGTTTTCAGTCCTTTTAGACTTTCATGACCTTGACACTCTTGAGGATTGCAGGCCAGTCATTTTGTGGAATGTTCCTTGATTTGGATTTGTCTGATGTTTCCTCATGATTAGATTCAGGTTTTGCATCTTGGCAGGAATATCACAGAAGAGCCAGATTATATCTTTTTGAAAGATTAGTTTTACATTTTATTTTCTGTTTCCTTAGAGCGTTTCCCAAAGTGTATTCTGCGGAACTAGCACCTACTGTGTTCTCAACACCGTGCCACCTATAGAAGGTAGGATTTGAAAAAGCTTTTGACTTACAGGAAGGGGTGGGCTTGGCAGTGGCAGTAATTATCATCTAGTACAGTGGAAACAGCCTTCAGCCCGGACTCAGAAGACCTGGGTTCTGCACTTAACTGCTGTGTGATCTTAGATGAGTTACTTAATCCTTCTGGGGTAGCAAAAAGAATGCTCTCCTCATAAAGTTTCTGTGGAGATGAAAAAAGGCAAAAGATTTAATCACACGGAGAAATCAAAGCACTTAACAAATGTTTGATACTAATACAACACTTCTGTAATTCTAGTGTCCAATACCAGGTGACTTAGAGTAGGAGCAGTGTGGTATTTTGGGAAAAGCCACAGGTCATGTTTGAATCCCAGCTGAGCCACTCAGCAGCTGTGGATCTTGGGCAAATTAATCTGAGCCTCATGTTCCTCCTCTGTAAAATGGGAGTAATTAAGCCCTTGTGTTTTATCGTGAGGATTAAATGAAAGAGTGCAATGTAAGATCCTTTCTGGGTGCCTGATACACAGTAGAGTCCCACAAGTGCTTACTCCCTAATAAATAATGGAAAATAGATTTACTTAATCACATGTACCTCCAGTTGGAATTGAATGAAGTAGAGGAGGAGAGAATGTCCCAAAACCCAAATTGAAGTGATGGCTTACAGGGCTGCTGTGCCCTCACTTTATCTGTTCCCTCATACATATTTTTAGATTGAAAATGTAAATGTAGATAAACAGTGAGAAGTTTATTGAACCTGAGTTATGATTTGACCTAAGCCTGGACCCGAGATTTTGTAATATGATCAACAGGAAAAAGGTAAATCTGGGCTACCTAAAAATAGAAGCGGTAAGTTGATCATCACACAACTCTAAGAACAAGAAGGGGATTGTTAAATAGCAAAACTAATTATATTTTTCTACTTAAAAAGCTGTTAGTTTCTGTTTCTTTAACCTTTTAAAAATCTTTTGTAGAATTACTACTGGGTTTAATTCACTTTGGAGACTTTGGAAAAGAATAATGCAAAATCAGATCAGTGTTTGGCACATAGTGCTTAATTAATATGTATTTTGGATATATGGTGATTTGAAGGCCTTAGGTTAGTAATGGCTGTATTTGCTGCTGTGAGCATTATGCTGACTTGAATATAACAATATATGTTTATGTTTTCAGTTCCTATCCTACTAATTAAATCTAAGCACATAATAATTAGAGCTAAACAGAAAATTGTAGAGCTTCCTTTTGATTTTACTACTCCATGTTGTTGATCAAAGATATTCCCAATAAGATTTAGCAATTTGATACACTGTTATACCAAACTGTTTGAACAGTTTGGTCTAGAGTTTGAAAGATTAATCGTAATCAACTTGAATGAATAACAGTGTTCATCATTATTCATAGAACCAACATTATTTTTTATTATGAATCAAAGTAAAATGAATGTATCATTTCTAGATTAGTTAATATAGTTATAATTTACCTTGGCAGAAGTCACAGAATTTTCGAAGGAAAAGGTCAAATACATTTCTTTGGATTTAAGTAAAGGATTTGGCAATGTGAATCTCATTTTTTTGAAACAAAACATGAAAACAGTAATTCTGCTTTTTGTCTAAGTGAATGAGCATTTTTTTGCATATTGGAAAGTTATATTATACTACACCTTGTAGGTTGACTAGAAAGGATGGTTCGTTCTTTAGAATTAGAGTTGTCAGTCAAGCAAATCATCTGTCATTTTCAAGAGCCTCACTAGTTATTTTTTTATTGTGAAGTAGGTTAGAAAATTATTTTGTAAAGTCTAATACCATACACATATATTTTGTTAGATAATGATAATGAAGTGTTTTACTGTCATTTGGTTGACACTCCCACTTTTCAGTGTCAAAGTTCAACTATTTGTATTGAATACTGAATAATGCAGTGGAAACCAGTATATGCCTTAATTTTACTGTTCACTCAAGATACTATTATTAGGATTTGAAAACTGGTGCATGTGTTTAGTTATTTTATCATTCTTAGTTATCCCAAAACATTAAAAAGCAGATTTTAATTTAAAAACAGATTTTTATGCAGTATAGCCATGTAAAGTTCTTTTCCAGTGTAAAATCAAAGTTTCTCTGTATCCCACTTCACCTGTAGAAACACTGAAATTTAAAAATATGAGTTTTAACATTTTGCCTATTTGAAATTCCAGTAATTCTTTTCTCAGTATTAAACTCGCAATCCTTATAATGTAGTAGGAAAATTTACCCATTGTTATGTTTCTTAAAAACATCCAGTTTATATTCAGCGTGAACCTAAAATTCTGGAAATGGTACACTTTAAAAACTGATCAAGGGGAACCCACTGGCCAGTCATATTCCTGTTCCTTTTGACTCTGTGGCCACACCTCCGTGTAAAGTGTAATGTTTAGAAACTAGATTGAGAGAGTGCTTACACAGCCCTGCCCTTTGGTCACATTTACCACTGCCTGATTTGGTATCAGAGTGGAAGACTGAAGCCTTTTCTATAGCAGTTAATTGTGCTGTTGAGAAGAGTACCTTTATTACATAAATACCACACACACACACACACACACACACACACACAAACACACACACACGCACACTCTTTATATACCGCACAGTAGCTGGGTTCCTCGAAGAGGCTAAAAGAACAGAAAATTAACATCAGATTGTGATCACAAACATAGAAGCTGGGGTTTAAAACTCTGCTCGTAAGTGTTCAGAATTGTACTTCAAACTGATAGCTTTCTCAGAGATATGGCTATTCATATACAATTCAGAGCAAGCCCATCCATTGAGCAACCAGTATAGTGCCGTTTTCATAAAAGGTACCTGTAAATGTTGAATATTTGAATTGAGTATAGATTTTAGAATTTCACCTCTATTTTCAGAATTGTACATATCATGGGGGATTTTAAAAAATGGAAATAAAAGTACTTTAGGGGAAGAGAGAAGGGAGGTAAAGGCTCACGTGATCTGGTATTCTCTGCTTTAAAGTTTTATGGCCCGTGGAACCTCCCTCGGGAGGATGAAGTGCAGGGAGCATAAGCACATAAGATTACCGAGGTTTTATAGTGTGTAATTCATACAGAACTTTCTATGAACTTTCTTTTAGTTGAACAGTTTCCTTTTGGTTTCACAGGAAGATTTTTTGAAAGGTTTAATCTTATTTTCCTATTAAATTAAAATTTGAAATTCTTGAAAGCAGTCAGTTTTTAGGTTTTTAAAGTTTTTATACTGCTTATAGAAATAGAGGATGGGTATTATAATTCAATTGGTTATGTAGTTCATGGACCAAAAAAGATTTAGTATGCCAAAACTCTCTTAAGTTCATCTCCATAAAATCTTTCTATATGATGTAGTAAATTTTTTAGACTTTATTTCTATGCCCAATATTTTCCTTTTAAGATCTTTTCCTTGAGAAGAAGTGTGTTAATCAGATGAAAAATGTTTGGAGAGGATTTTGTGACCTTAGAAAATATTTTTTGTTCTTTGATGTTTTTCATCTGTTCAAAAAAATAGACTGTACTGAACAAAGCCGTAGTAAATAACTGGAAAAAGATATTGTTGTATTTCACTTTTAAGATTATTAACCAATGCCTGTATACTTATGTAAGGTTGCTTAATTGTAAGGCCTATTAAGTTATTTAATGACAGTAAATTTTATAGGGATTTGTGTCTGGAGAAGAATTAGAGATAATCTAATCTTGTTGATTTGGGAAAACTGAAACTATTAAGTAACTTACCCAAGGTCACACAATTAGAAAGTAGCAGAACTGGGCCAGATCTTGGACTCTTGACTCTGAGTTCAGTGTTATAAAACCTTATTATATCATGAAAAGTTGTTTCAACTGTGACTTACTGGAGCAAATTAAGTCTTTGATGTTTTAATGTGCAGCTCCTTAGTACCTAGTTATGTGTACCCTTTGTATATTGGGGATCTTATGTAGCATAAAAAGCCTGGGATGAATAATTTGTAACTTTGACCTAAATGTGCCAAAGCTTGTGAGAAATTTTGAGTCAGGCAAAGAAACTTTGTTATAGGAGTGAAAAAATAAATGATATGTAAGCAAACAAATGAGTGAAATAAATGTTATATAAAGGAAATGATCTCTTCTAGAAATCATCAGGTAGACTGATTATTAGGTAGTCAGACATACCATCTAGTCTGAAAGTAATTATTTTTTCTCTAACTCATTTAGAAGAGTTACATTTTGATGAAATACATTAATTATGTAGATATGTATATGTAAATCAAGTTAATTAAAATGATGATTTTATGTTCAGACCTAGAAAGGCCAGCTTCTGTATTACCTGAGTAGCTAACTGCAGGCTTAAATCCCTTATATTTATAAGATTTGTGATTTGCTTTTGAAAGGATAAATCTCTTTTATAGTCTAGGGGATGAAGTAGTATTTACGAACAAAATAGTCATATATTACTATAATTCTTCTTACCTAAGAAACTTAACATTTTTTCAACTGCTTAATAAAAGATTTTTGGGCTTTGTGAGGTTAATTTTATAATTTTTATGTGCTTCATCAAAACATGGGGAAAGAACCTTTTAAAATAACTTTCGGTTATGGGCAGCTGCGGGGATTTTCCCTGTTCACTCACATGTCAGGGAGCACAAGCCCGATCCTGTTTTAAATCCTCTTGACCAGATTCCTGCTGCCATCAATCTGATAAATGGGTAAATGAGTATTATTAACTAAGAGGAATAGTGGGGCCTCTGATGCTCTTGGTCTCACATTGACTAAACTGAGCTGCTATTTCTGACTTTGTCAGTGTACTTTAAAGGAGATTTTATCTATTATTTTCTCTAAATTTATTGTTTTCTTCTTTGTAGATGATCATGGGAACAGCAATAGTAGTCATGTAAAAATCTTTTTACCGAAAAAGCTGCTTGAATGTCTGCCGAAATGTTCAAGTTTACCAAAAGAGAGGCACCGCTGGAACACTAATGAGGTAGATAAGTTTCTTTTTTTAAGGGTATAATTATTTTAAGGGCAAATTTTTTAGGTTGCTTCACATAGTCCTACTTTATGTTAGCTTTAAATTTAAAATACTGATCTAGGAAATTGTAAATGACATTATTTAATCTGGATTTGACAGAAACCAACCAACATGTTTTTTGATCTGTCTCTGATCTGCTTGGCTTGCATTGAAAGATACACAATGTGCACGTTGACTTAACTAAAGTAGCATGAGTTTCTGTCTGTGTTTTCTTGCATTTTAGTGTCTTGCATTTAGTGGTTAACCCTGCCTGCATGCCAGTTAAACGTTAGTTGTTATGTCTTCATGAATTAATAAATATACAGTCCCACTGTTCCACAGAATGTGTAGTGTCTTGACAATGTGAATTTTTGTAGAGTTGGAAAGGGCAGGTTTCATAGGAGTGAAACAGCTTTTCGTCCTTTCTAATGAAGAAAGTTTGCTTAATGCTAAGAATTTTTATTAAGATTGAAGGCTGTACAGTAGATTATGTATTTAGCATCCAATTAGAAAGTAGATTTATGAAGTAGAATGAAAAAAGTTAATCATCTTGGATGATGTTTCCTTTTTTGGTAAATTTTAATCCAGGAGTCTTACTGTTAGGAGTGGATTGCTTTGTCATCTTTTTTATTTTGAAATCTGAATATTTCAATTTAAGGTAATACCCGTTTAGTGTGGTGATGAGAATTGGGTATACGTCCATCAATTTGGGAGTTATATTCCTTTAATTCAGATGGCTGGGGTTGCTGGTTTTGCCAAGTTCCATTTGTGTGCCTTGGCTCAACATTGATGTCCAAGTTAAAGCAAATTTAGCACCCTATCCTTATTGGACACTCAGTTCTGTTAAAAGACACAAGAAGAAAATAGTGCTGCCTATTGAGCCTTATTTTTTAAAGATTCTTTGGCGCTAACTACTTCCTGATTCAGAATGCTTTTGTTTTGCGTGGTGGGAGGTTATGTGGATAAAAGTCTCTTTCCTTATCACAGGTTAGATTTAAATACTCACTGGAACCTTACAGCTTTGTTAACTTGTCTCAACTGATTGTAAAATTCTTTGAAGGACTCTATGTTTTGATCATTTTCATAAATTACATTTTCCCGTCAGACAGAATGTTTTTGCTTTGACAAATGTTTGCTAGTTTAGAGGCCTGCTGTTTAACCAGTTATTTATTAACTATTTCAGACATTTTTAGACGTGAAAATGAAGTAGATATGCTTAAAATTAGTCTTAATCATAGTTTGTTACTCTTTCAGCAAAATAGTATTATATAATTTGGAAGCCATTTAATAAGTCGGAACTTGATTATGAATTATTTAAAAACTCAGTGTATTTCTTAGTATTCCCTGAAACGTAGATTTGATACCAAATTATTATACACGTTAGTTCTAGTTTATTTATAAATGTAACCCAACCCATAATAAGTATGTATTTTTCCATATTATATTTCCTGTGGAATTGGCAGCTTATTTATTTTATTTTTTCCCATGGACCCATGTCTTGTGGCAGTTTATTTTAACTATGATTTGACATTATATTTGAAACCAGAAATTGCTTAGTGAATTAAAATCAGTGGCCTGAAGAGTCTTATAAAGCTGGATGTAGCAGTGCTGGGAATTTAGTTGGTAGATTATTTCCATCAGTGGCTTCAAAACTTTTTGAAACTTTTCAGCATAACCCTTCAACTTTCACATGTTTAATAAAACCTCTAAATTATTTACATGTTGCACCTTACTAGTATATTAGATACGTTTTAAAGCATCCGATAAAGAATTTTTATAGAGGATGAGATTAAAAGAAAAAAATGAGAAGTTTTTCCTTATTTTCTTTCTGGACCTCAGTCCACATACTCCCTTGGAGGCCAGAGGCTGCCATAATTCAGATTACAGAGAGGAAAATGCATCCCATTCTCTCACTGGTGTAATGCAAATTTGAGGATCTAGATGGGAAAACGTGGATTGTTTTGCATCAGCTATCACTCATGCTGAAATCTAGGTAGAGGAGCGTATGTTCTGAAGGGTGGAGGCAGCAGGAGGTGGCACAGCTGATGGGTGAAGCCATGCAGCACCCTTTCCCTTGGGATGGGCTGTTCTTTCAGTTAATTGTCAGCTCAGCTGACAAAAGCTCCTATGAGGGAACTGAATTTACAGGTTGACTCATTTCTCTGTAGAGGACCTTGACTTTTTTCTTGTTTTATTTTTTGGCTTTGGAAAAATAGAGGAATATTAAGTGTGACAGCGAAGACTTACCCTACGAATTGTTAATTCTGCAGAATGTTATGTGGCGATGATAACCTGCTATTTTTTTTTTTTTAAACTGGCTTTGGTAATATAGGTGGAATAAAGCAATCAGCGGTGTTACTAAAGCACTTCTTTGATCTAGCTGGGAATTGGCATTTTCTTACGTTCTTCAGCCTGCCATTCTTCATGTTGACATGAAAACCTGAAGGAAACGTAGTTCAGTGGACTTGTTTCTCATTGGGGCTTTGTGGTCCTATGTCATGCTAAATCATATTTAGTCAAAATTGCCCGTGAAATCCCTTGACTTGCTCATAAAGTAAAGTTTAGTCAGACTGCCCTTATTAAGAGCCCGTTTTCCTTCCAGAGTTGGAATAGATTTCTGTGTTTTGGATGAGGACCACATGAAGTAGTTGGCTTGTATTTAGAAGCTGTGTTGTACAAAAACTCTATTTCTTAGATCCCACTGAAGGGGCTCACACTGGAAGAGGCGTGTGGGAATGCGCACAGTTGAGAGCACAGTAGATTTGTGTTTTCCATCTCACTCCCTGTACAGCATATGTTCACAAAGTAAGACTGGTGGCTCGAGCTGCCTGTATGAAATGTCAACTGTCATCTTTCTCTGTTCTCCATGTTCGTGTGTGCTCGCTCGCTCTCTCTGCTGGATGTGTACAGTTGAATTTCTGGGTATAATGTGACTCCTCTATACTAATAAGGAATTCCTTTACTCAGACCTGTGTTTAAATATTTGTGATTGTTTGAAAAAACCTTTTATACTGTGTGTGTTGTGAGTGAGATTGTGCTCATTCCATCCTTTTTTTTTTTTTTTTTTTTTTTTGAGGTGGAGTCTCACTCTTTCACCAGGCTGGAGTGCAGTGGCATGATCTTGGCTCACTGCAACCTCCGCCTCCCGGGTTCAAGCGGTTCTCCTGCCTCAGTTTCCCAAGTAGCTGGGACTACAGGTGCGTGCCACCATGCCCAGCTAATTTTTGTATTTTTAGTAGAGACAGGGTTTTACCATGTTGGCCAGGATGGTCTCCATCTCTTGACCTTGTGATCCGCCCACCTCAGCCTCCCAAAGTGCTGGGATTACAGGCGTGAACCACTGCACCCGGCCCCATCCTACCATTTATTGAGCACCTGTTCTTTACTACTGACTGGGTATTTTATATAATTATTTGTAAGCCTTAAAATAGTATTGCAAGGTGGGTAACATTTCCTTTTAGAGATGAGGGAGTGTAGGTAGACAGTAGTTATTTTTTGGTCAAGAGAGCATACTTGATAGAGCCTGTCTCTGAGCTTAATTGCATCTGTGTTGCTTGTTAATTCTTAGGAACTTTCATTCTATTGTTTACTCTATAGGAGTTTAATCAAAGGCCTACAAACCTAAACTACAGCAAGTCTATTCTGTAACGTAGTTTTTTTTTTTTTTTTTTTTTTTGGAGACAGAGTCTCACTCTGTTGCCCAGGCTGGAATGCAGTGGTGTCATCTCAGCTCCCTGCAACCTCCACCCCTCAGGTTCAAGTGATTCTTGTGCTTTAGCCTCCTGGGTGGCTGGGATTACAGGCATGTGCCACCACACCTGGATAATTTTTGTATTTTATAATTTTGTAGAGATGGGGTTTCGCCCTGTTGGCCAGGCTGGTCTCGAACTCCTGACCTCAGGTGATCTACCCGCTTCAGCCTCCCAAGGTGCTGGGATTACAGGTGTGAGCCACCGTTCCTGGCCTGTAATGTAGTTTTGAATTAAAAAGAGTTAATATAGTCTTAATATTGTGGATTCATATGCAAATGTTTGGTGAAGCTGAAAGTCACTAAAAGGAAGACTCTAAGAAGGTAAGAGAGATCGTTGGACCTACTTAAGCTACTTTTAACCTTTTCTAACCCATTGGAATACCTAAAATCCTTTCCCTTCTTGGATGTTATTTGCAATTGCAGAATAAATTAAATGTTACATCTGAAACCAAATCAATTTTAGATTGTGCTCCCGCAGCCACCAATACTGGTCCTCAGGTGGTAAAGATGACACAAGGAGTGAAGGTGATGATGGCTGCACTAATTATGGAAGCCAGTATGTATTGAACATCCTTTGTATGCTAGGCACTAGTGAGTCCTTTACATGAATCATCACATTTAATCTTTCAGTTAATCCTATGAGATAGATTATTTGACTATCCTTATCTTATAGATGAGGAAACTGAAGCCATGGATATGTTAACTAATGTACCCGCAGTCAGAGCCGGGAAGTGGGGGACGGGGGAGTTCAGCCGCTGCAGCCCGACTTTGAGTCCCATAATCCCTCATTTTGTCCCACAGAGCAATATCAAGTTGACTTTTCCAAGATCTTGTAGCTATTTAGTTCTAATCCTTTCGTTTTATAGAATTGTTTGGCTTCTTCATCTGATTTTAAAATGTTGTAACAAAGTTAATCTAATTTTGCATTATGATTTTTTAAAAAGTGGCAGACACTCATTTCTTAGGAAAGTAGTTTTGATTCCTTTTTTTAAAAAAAGTTTTCTCCTACGTGTATTTTGATAGTTTTGATTCTTTTTTTATTTATTTATTTTTTATTTTTTTTTTTGAGACGGAGTCTCGCTCTGTCGCCCAGGCTGGAGTGCAGTGGCGCGATCTCCGCTCACTGCAAGCTCCGCCTCCCGGGTTCACGCCATTCTCCTGCCGTAGCCTCCCGCGTAGCTAGGACTACAGGCGCCCACCACCATGCCGGGCTAGTTTTTTATATTTTTAGTAGAGACGGAGTTTCACCGTGTTAGCCAGGATGGTCTTGATCTCCTGATCTCCTGACCTCGTGATCCGCCCGCCTTGGTGTCCCAAGGTGCTAGGATTACAGGGGTGAGCCACCGCACCTGGCCTTGTTTTTTTTTTTTTTTGAGATGGAGTCTCACTCTGTTACCCAGGCTGGAGTGCAATGACGTGATCTCAGCTCACTGCAACCTCCACCTCCCGGGTTCAAGCGATTCTCCTGCCTCAGCCTCCTGTGTAGCTGTGATTACAGGCATGCGCCACCATGCCTGGCTAATTTTGTATTCTTAGTAGAGACAGGGTTTCACCATGTTGGTTAGGCTGGTCTCCAACTCCCGACCTCAGGTGATCCGCCTGCCTCAGCCTCCCAAAGTGCTTGGATTACAGGCGTGAGCCACGGCGCCCAGCTTAAAACAATTTATTGAGGTTTAATTTATGTATTACAATATAAACTGCACCCATTTGAAGTGCATAATTCAATGAGTTTTTGACAAGTGTATGCTGGTGAAACTACCTCCAAAATCAAGACACGGCACATTTCTATCACCCCATAAGTAGCTTGAGAGAGTATTTTTTTGTTTGTTTGTTTTGTTTTGTTTTTTTGAGATGGAGTCTCACTCTGTCGCCCAGGCTGGAGTGCAGTGGCGTGATCTCGGCTCACTGCAAGCTCCACCTCCCAAGTTCACGCTGTTCTCCTGCCTTAGCCTCCTGAGTAGCTGGGACTACAGGCACCCGTCACCACGCCCAGCCAATTTTTTGTATTTTTAGTAGAGATGGGCTTTCACCGTGTTGGCCAGGATGGTCTCGATCTCCTGACCTCATGATCCGCCCGCCTCAGCCTCCCAAAGTGCTGGGATTACGGACGTGAGCCATCGCGCCCGGCCCGATAGTTTTGATTCTTAATGACTATTAGTATGTGGACTATGGATAGTGAAAAAACTATATTAAAAATAGAAATTTTGTACCTGTGTGTAACTTGAGCATTAAGCCTGACTTTTATATTCAGGGCAAGGGAGAAAGAATGTATTAAACACAGAGCACATTCATTAAAGAACCTACTCTTGTTTCATAATCAGTTTGGTGTTCACATCTTCATCAGGTGAACTGCTATAAGGTTTCTGCATTTTAAGTTAGTATTTTTAAGGCCTAGAGCCAGAAATAATTATGCTAACACAACTGTCTGAATTCACAAATGACTATTTCATAATTACGTATATTAGTACTCCATATATGTTGTCCAGACTGAAAATTGTTTTGTTTAGTCATTAATTAGCTGTTTGACTTAAAATATAACTACTGCATTCCCTAGTCTCTGGATCTAGATTTCACTTGGCATTCTTCCAAAGCCAAACTAATGCAGCACCATGAACCTTTTATAATGAAAATGTTCTCCCTAAATATGTTCAAATCACTTTTGTGTGTTACTATTTTTGAACTAATGTTCTTTTTTTGTTTTTCCTGTAATACACAGTTTCTCTAGAGTAAGCAAACAAAATAGAATTCTAGTTTGTACTGATCCTTAAAGAAAGTTTCATCAGATGTTTTTAGTTGGTGGTAGCTTTAGAGTGTCATATTAAATGCATTTTTTAATGGTAAAAATGTCTATGTAGAGAGCAGTATAGGTTGATACATTCTAAGCCACACCAAAGCGTCTGCAGGAGAAAAAACAAAACAAAACTTGAGTAATAATTATAATGCTTTTTATAGGAGGAAACTTACTCTTTAAAAATCTTGAGTACTTTTTCCCCCTAACTTTTTATATTTAGGTAAGAAAAATGGCCTTTAACACTGTAAGAATTATTAAATAATAATTAATTTCAACTGTTTTTAACATCAAGCCACCTTATTTTTTTTTATTTTTTTTTTTTGAGACAGAGTCTCATTCTGTCACCCAGACTGGAGTGCAGTGGCACAATCTTGGCTCACTGCAACCTCCACCTCCTGGGCTGAAGCAATCCTCCCATGTCAGCTTCTGAAGTAGCTGGGATTATAGGTGCTCGCCACCACGGACCTGGCTAATTTTTTGTAGAGACAGGGTTTCACCATGTTGCCAAGGCCCATCCAAACAACTGAGCTCAAGCAATCTGCTTGCCTTGGCCCCTCAAAGTGCTGGGATTACAGGTGTGAGCCACTGTGCCTGGTTACCTTACCTTTTAAAAAATTTATTTAGTCTTTTTTTGGTGTCGATACATAATCTTGAGTGTTTCTTGTGTTTTTAATTTTTTTTCCTTTGTGTAACTTTGTGTTAGGTTTAGGGCTGTAATTTTTCAGTGATTGGTTTTTCTAGTGTATTTATATGTTATCTCTTTGAAATATAGACACACATTTTGGGGGGATCATTTAAGACTCTTCAGACTTCCTAAATGTGAGCTAAGCTGAAAAGCACCAGTACTCTAATCATAAAGGCAGGTGAGATATTTCAGTTTTGATGGCGTGGAAAGTCAGTTAACCTTTAGGTAGGGCTTGGTTTTGTTTAGCTTTTGGCAGGGCTAGTGGTTTGAACGGTCCCAGATTATTTTGTTCCAGGCAGGGCTTTTCTGATTAAATTGCAAAAATGAAAATGCATATAAACAACACAGAGAGCCAAGTTTTAAGAGTGACATTATGTGATTTTTGAACACAGTATATAGTACGAAGTTTCAAATTAAAAGTGATACTTGTGTAGCAGTTAGGTTAAATATAGTTCCTCTGTTTGCTTTGCTAGTGTGAAGTGAGATACATGATACTGAAATACAGGTAGGCACAAGCCTGGAGATCAGGCAGCCTGTGTCAAGTGTGCAGTGCCTCAGCAGCAGCAGCAGCAGCAGCACTCCACAGGATATATTGAAAAGCTGGGGCGGAATGTCCTCCCACACAGGTGAGGGGAGACAGGTGAAGGCAGGTTTGACACTGAGGAATAGTAAGAGAAGTAAATTGCACCCTCAGAGTACAGCAATATTTATAGCATTTGAATAAGATGTTAAAGAACATTTTCTTTTAAGGAAGAAATTCCTGTGGGTCTTCCTCAGTTTCAATCTAAACTAGTTTTATTATACTATTACTTCAGCATGTGGCACTTAACCTGGCCATAGTCAGTGTTCAATAAATATTTGTTGGATGAATTAACGTAAAAACACAAAAAACTCAGTATAAAATTAATTCTTGGAGTTCTTTTGCAAATATAAAACTCAGATATATGCATTACATAAAAAGAAAATACAAAACTAATAAAGTTTTATATTAACAGGGTTAGTTAAATGCAATAGATGATGTTTTGCCAAAACTAAATTGTCTCGCAACATGAGTATCATACTGACTGTTCTCAAGCAGGTTCTTTTGAATTTGGCATGCGGTACTATCTTGTGTCCTGCAATTATTTTATACTGAGAAGCTGTTTTTTACATATCAAGCATTTGTATAAGTCTGTCATTAAGCCTTGGCACAAATACATCATTTAGTTTTAAATTCACTTCTGGTTTTTCTCATTAGCCCAAGAAAAATTTAAATGACACTACTGGGTACTAGGGGAAACGTAACCACAAATCACAAACTTGAGCAATGAGTTTGTGTGTTAGAACATACTCGGTTCAGGTGTTACTTTTTCAGATTATACATTAAATTAAGATGCAAAGTTAAAAATTTTATATGGACTTACAGCCCCTTGATAATACTTCCACAGAGCCGCAGTTGAGAAACACTGCTCTCTTGGAAAGGGTGCAGAGCTGGTGTCAGAAGCAGATTCGAGTCTTGGCTCTGCCGCTACTCAGCTGAGTGTTGGGTAAGGCACTTAACCTACTTGGCCTCTCTTGGGTCTTAGGTGATGGCGCTTGGTGACCTTTGAAGATTTGTCTTTGAAGATTATTGTTGCTTTTGAAGGTTTTCTTTAGGAATGTTGGACTTTCCAGGGAGGCTTGGGTCCAGCTTCGGAGTTTATTTGATTAATTTTTTTTTTTTTTTTACTGTTAATCATCTTTTTACTTACTTTTAAGTTGTACAATTCAGTAGTTGTTTATTTTTATTTATAAATTTAAAAATTTATTTTTTAATTTTTATTTTATTTTTTGTTTTTTTTTTTAAAACCAGAACATTTACTGCATGACTAATTGTTGAAATTCTTAAGCTGATCAAAGTGCTCCAACAGCTGCCCTCTTTGGTTTAGGTGTTGTTTCCTCACGGAGTCCATGCCTGAATCTGTGGTGTACAATTTTTAGGTGCCTCGTTCGGCCAGTCCTGGTGGCATTTTGTCTTTTAGCCTTGGCACTCCAGTTATACGTCCTCCTGCACTTGGCGGGGTAGCCACATTTGCCACAGGTCAACTTCTGAAGGTGGTAGGCCTTCACGCCACAGCGGTGGCACAATGTGTGTGTCCTATTGCAACACTTTCCAAACGGTCATCTCACTTCTGTGGCTGAGACCAGAGAGACCTTTTTAATTTTTTTTTTTGAGACAGAGTCGTGCTCTGTTGTCCTGGCTGGAGTGTAGTGGCGCAATCATAACTTACCGCAGCCTCGACCTTCCGGGCTCAAGCTATCCTCCCACCTCAGCCTTCTGAGTAGCTGGGTCTATAGGCGTGTGCCACGCCCAGCTAATTTATACATTGTTTTTGGAGATGGAATCTCGCTCGCCATGTTGCCCAGGCTGGTCTTGAACTCCTGGGCTCAAGCAGTCTTCCTGCCTCAGCCTCCCAAAGTGCTGGGATTATGGGTGGGAGCTCCCGCCCACACTCGGCCAATTCAGTAGTTTTTAATACATCTACAAAGTTGTGTAGCCATCGCCACTACCTAAGTTCAGAACATTTTTCATCACCCCGCAGCCTTCTGGACTGAGTGGAGTCAGCATGCTCAGGGGTTGGCAGCATCTGTTCAGGGGGCTCGAGGTTCTTCTTTGGTGTCTTTTCAAGTTTCTATACCTGTCCAGTACTGAAGCTGGAATTGGAGATTGACCTTTTGTCCAAGTCATAACTTAATATGCTATTTCCTGAAACTGCTTTTAAGAAATGTTAAGGTGCAAATGAGGATCCAGTTTGGGCCCACATTTTTCTAAGTTGGATGAAGAGCAGTTGAGTGGAGTTTCTAGTTGCACTCGAGACTCTGTACTGTGCAGACAGTTTATTGGTGGAGTTGCCTCAGGATAAAAATACCCAGCTCTTCTCAGTAGTGGGTGGGAGACTTTGGGTGATGGTGATTTCCGTAAAGGAGAAGCTGAGCCTGGTTGGAAGGAAAAAGGAAGAATATACGGAGAGGCTGGCATTCTTTAGCTGAGTGGATTTAGGCTTGAGCTGGAGTCAGAATCACCTGGGAGGCTTGTTCAAACACAGATTGCTGGGCCCCATCCCCAGAGTTTCTGTTCCAGTAGGTCCTGGGTGGGGCCTGAGGATGTGCATTTCTAACAAGTGCCCAGGTGAAAGCTCACTTAGAGGAAGAATCTCAGCCTCCTGGAAGTGTGTTCTAATTAACTTCACTGGACTGTAGGCTCAGCTTTGCCATCCCCATACCACTCATGCATGTTTTGGTGTGCTTTGGCTACATAGGTTACAGTTGAGCTTTCTAGAGCTTTTTTCTCATGTCTTTAGCTAGTAGGCACCTAAAAGTTGTAGAATGCATAGGTTTTATTTTTGGCATTTATCTGAAGTATCTGTTCATGTCTTGACATATAGGAAGCTCTTTTAAAGTTTGGGTGGCAGTGGAGAGGGCATATAGAAGCATATTCTAATTTTTCAATGTTTTTTGAAAGGGTAGCATGAACAATAGTCTCCCCACTCCTTCTTCATATCCGTTTGGCTCAAGTAGCTGAAAACAGCAGAACCTTAAAGCTGAGTGTCACAGTCTGCCTGCCTACCTGCCTGTCTACCTGTCTACCTGCCTATCCAGCTACCTGCCTACCCACCTTCAAGTCTTTTCGAATACTGCCTACCCCAGGTTTCTGATGATAAATTCTGTTATCTTGGTAATTATGAAGTTATTTTGAAGGTTTTAAAAGAAGCTCCTAAAAAATAACCTAAGTTTTACAGTATTAGTGCTTTTAGAAAGCTGGAAAAGCAAGTGAAGAAACAACAAAAAGAAATCCTTTCTAGATGGATGAGAAACCACAGATGGGTTGGGGTGAATGCGATGAAATAGAAATGTGTGTTTGGGAGAGTGTTTTCTCTGTAAGGAAGAATATTCTCTGTAAGGAAGGCAGGCTATGTGGCTTTCATGAGGTCTTCTTAGAAGCTTCTGTGGTAATGTTCACTGGTCTGGCGAAGGGGGTAGACTTGAAAAAATTGTAAAATGGCGAGAACCTGGAATTTACATTTGGGGAGAAAAGAAACTGGGAGGCCCTTCAGCTCTGGGGAATTGGACAAGGTGAAGCAGAGTCCACATGTGTGTGTATGTGTGTGTATGTGTGTGTGCATGTGCGCGTATGTGCATGCATGTGCACTCATCCAGGTGGGGCGTCTGCGGTAGCACCGAGGTGGATTCTGAGGCAAGCTTCATTTGGCCCTGAGTTCATTTTATTGTGACTCCAAAGGAGTTCATGGGGGAAATAAAGGCTCTCATGTGCAAGAAACAAGGAAGCAGAAAAGTCATTTGACCTAGGCTAGAAAAGGCGGCCACCTCTAGTCTATAGTCAGAAGAGAAGCAGCTGTTCAGAGGGGCTGAGACAGGTAATGCTGGTCCCAGGCCAAGCCTCTTGAGGAAAGAGAACAACATTCCGAAATTCTGTGAGTAGCTCATACCCTGAAGGAGTTCTTTTTTTTTTTTTTTTGAGATGGAGTCTCTGTTGCATAGGCTGGAGTGCAGTGGCGCAATCTCGGCTCACTGCAATCTCCGCTCACTGCAATCTCCGCCACCCGGGTTCATGCCATTCTCCTGCCTCAGCCTCCCAAGCAGCTGGGACTACAGGCACGCGCCACCATACCCGGCTAATTTTTTTGTATTTTTTTAGTAGAGATGGGGTTTCACTGTGTTAGCCAGGATGGGCTCGATCTCCTGACCTCGTGATCCACCCGCCTCGGCCTCCCAAAGTGCTGGGATTACAGGCGTGAGCCACCGTGCCTGGCAGGAGTTCCCTTTTAAGATCGCTGTAGGAAGAGTCAGAAGGTCAAGGACAAGGCGCCGAGGTGCCTACCCTCTTAGTACTTTGTGTTGGGGAGTGGAGGCTGTCCAGAGAGGCTGGCCAAGGGGAGGCTCCCCCTGGGAAGATGGGGATCTTTTTTAGGTGGTGCTGCAAAGGGACACTTTTTCAGAGAGACAAGGGGAAAACACTCGCATATATTTACTTCTTTAGAAGTTGAGAAAGTTAAAAGAATGGGAAGATGCCATCTGCTTCCCATTTCTGAGAAAGGGTACATTAAAATAGCTTGAAATTAAGCAGAATGTATAAAATTAACGTCTGAGTATAGTCATTTCCCGTTTTTCCTGACACATCTTTCAGCTGTGTAGCAACAGATCCGCATTCCTGGTGTCAGAAGACAGTTGTTAATGTGCTAGTTAAAATTTTATTTTATTTTTGTACTGTTGAGCAAAATTTAGACTTAACTCTGTTTTATTTAAGAAGCATTTTTGTTAAATGCTTTAATTATTATTAATCAAATTTTTTTGTATTTAAGCAGTTTTCAACAATCTATTCCTCAAGCAATTCAGAGAACCTGCTGTGTGGTGATTATGTATTTTTTATTTCATAAATGGGGGTAGTGAGGCATAAGTGTTTTGGAATTAGCATTTGTCATCATCTAATATACTGTGTAAATTACATCTTTTCACTGTGTATTGTCTGGCTGCCACTGCTAGACTCTTAAGTTCCAGGTGGACAGGGATCTTATGCCAGGTGGACATGGCATACATGTATGTATGGCAGGCACTGTTCTAAGTATATACAATAGTCCCTGGAGTGTCCAGGGACTGTTCATTGAATGAATGAGTAAAGACTTCTGTCAACAAATATCATTTAGTCTAGTGCTCAAGTGGGCTGTAATACTCTGTTTCTGAATTAAACAGTCTGGCTTGGTGATAGTCACTGACAGCACCAAGCAGATCCATGGGAGCTACCCCAGAAAAGCTTGTGATGCAGAGGAGAGGAGCAAAATGTGCGCTCCCTGTGTGCAAATGGATTCCCACAACCACGGAAGGAAGAACTGCGGCAGACATGCTTGGTTCTTAATCTCAGACTCATCAGTCAGGGAATTCACTCCTGTCTAAGGGGCGAGTGAGGGTGAGGCAGGAAGCCAGCATGTCCCCTGTGAAGGAGCTCTTTCCAGGTAGAAGCATGAAGCCCAGGAAAGGCAATTTATACAGCACATCACCAATAGAGAGATGGCCAAACCACTCTGAACTCTACCATCTGAAGTGAACAATTTCTAATTATGTATCTTCAGATTTTTTTCTTTCAGATTTCTTTCTGATATATGTATCTACAGATATTTCTCTGTGCCGGTGTGGGCATTTTTTCTATATTTATTAACCCAGAATAGGTTTACTGTACATGTAGTTCTATAACCTGGCTTTTCTCTTAATATGTTATATATCTGTTAGGCATTTTTTGACAGTGATCCACAGCATCATGTTTGTTTCTTGATTGACTGAGACAGATTCTCTCTCTGTCACCCAGGCTGGAGTGCAATGGTGCGATTATAGCTCACTGCAGCTTCAAATTCCTGGACCCAAGAGATCCTCCTGCCTCAGCCTCCTGAATGGTTAGGACTACAGGCATGGGACACCATGCCTGGCAACGTTTTTTATTTTTTGTGGAGACAGGATCTTGCTGTCTTGCCCAGGCTGGTCTTGAATTCCTGGCCTCAAATGATCCTCTTGCCTCAGCCTCCCAAAGTGCTGGGATTACAGGTGTGAGCCATCGTGCTCAGCCAACATTATGTTTATCGACTGTTTATTAATGTTCCATTTAATTTTGGCTGGGTATGGTGGCTCACGCCTGTAATCTCAGCACTTTGGGAGGCTGAGGCGGGCAGATCACAAGGTCGGGAGATCGATACCATCCTGGCTAACATGGTGAAACCCTGTTCCTACTAAAAATACAATAAATTAGCTGGGCATGGTGGCATGTGCCTGTAATCCCAGCTACTCGGGAGGCTGAGGCAGGAGAATCACTTGAACCCGGGAGGCAGAGGTTGCAGTGAGTCGAGATCGTGCCACTGCACTCCAGCCTGGGCGACAGAGCGAGACTCTCTTAAAAAAACAAAAAACAAAAAACAAAAAACCCCCCCAAAATTCCATTTAATTTAATGCCATCATTTATGCATTCAGCAATATTTTTGAGGGCCTACTATGTGCCAGGCACTAGTTGGAGTTGCTGAGGGTATAAGATGAGGTTCCAATTCTCATGGAGCTTATCGTTTAGAGGGAAAACAATACAAAAGTAAACAAGTAGGTGAGGATTTCTGAGTGTGCTAAGAACAAAGTAGAGCAGGGTACTGAGGTGTGAGCACATCAGTAGATTTCGTAGGAAAGGCCTTTCTTAGGAAGTTATATTTGAGCTGAGAACTGAATGATAAAGGAAAGCCAGCTACTTGAGTATCTGGGGGAGGAATATTCTAGGCAAAGGTAATAGCCTGTGCAAAGGCCCTGAGGCAGGAATGTGCTTGCTTTGAGGAAATGTGAAAAAAAAAGTTGTTGATTGGAACAGTGTGGGGATCTGGCAGATGAGCTGGGTGAGGTAGGTAAGGGCTAGATCTTGTTGTGCCAAGTAGGCATAAAGAGTTGAGATTTTGGGTCGGGCACAGTGGCTCACGCCTGTAATCCCAGTACTCTGGGAGGCCGAGGTGGGCAGATCACCTGAGGTCAGGAGTTCAAGACCAGCGTGACCAACATGATGAAACCCCATCTCTACTAAAAATACAAAATTAGCCGGGCGTGGTGGCACATGCCTGTAATCCCAGCTACTCGGAGGCTGAGGCAGGAGAATTGCTTGAACCTGGGAGGCAGAGGTTGCAGTGAGTCGAGATCGTGCCATTGCACTCCAGCCTGGGCAACAAGAGCGGAACACCGTCTCAAAAAAAAAAGAGTTGAGATTTTGTTTTAAGGGCAACATGAAGTTATTGGAGGATGAGCTATTAGGAAGTGAGCAACATAATATGAAGCTTTATGTTCAAAGGCTTTCTTGGCTACTGTGTGGCAGTCAGGGGAAGCAGAGAGACCAGTTAAGAGTCTGTTGCGATAACTGGTGATCTTGGTAAGAAATGACGGTGGGGGTGGAGGGAGTGAGAAGTGGATGTATTTCAGAGGTGGAGCTGTCAATTCATGGGATTGGATGTAGGGGGTAAAGGAAAGGAGAAATTTTGTGGCCTCAGCTACTGCGTTGGTGCTGGGGCTCGTCAGTGAGACAAGGAAGTGGAGATTAAGAGTGTTCTTCTGGGATGTCCTGGTTGTGAGATGTCTGTTAGACACCAGAGTGATGATGTTGAATAGGCAACTTCCATAAGTCTGGGGAGAGGTCCTGTCTGGAGATAAAAATTGGAGAGCCGTCAATGCGCAGGTGACATTTAAAGCCATAGACTAGGTGAGATCACCTGGGATGCAGAAGATAGATGGAGAAAGGGAGACTAAGCCCCGAGCAGTGCAGGAGGAGCCAGCACAGGAGGCTGCAGGGGAGCCAGGGAGGCAGTGCTGAGGCAGGCAGGTGTGAAGTGGAAGCCAGGAGAAGGACATGTTTTAAGGAGGGTGCGTCACTTTTATGTTTGCTACTGTAACCAGTTATCACAAATTTAGTGGCTTAAAACAACACAGATTTCTTAACTGTTCTGTAGGTCAGTCATCTGACATGGGTCTCACTGGGTTGCCATCAGGGTGCCAGCAGGGCCATGTTCTTTATGGAGGCCCTAGAGAGGAATCTGTTTCCTTGTTTGTTCCACCTTCTAGAGTCTGCTTAATGTTCCTTGGCTTGTGGCTCCCTCCTTCATCCTTGATGCCAGCGACGTAGAGTCTTTGTGACCCTGCTCTCTTCTCATTCACTCACCCTGACCTCTTCTGCCTCTTTCTTCCACTTTTAAGGACCCTTTTAATTACGCCGAGTCCACCTGGATAATCCAGGATAATTTTCCTATTTTAAGGTCAGCTGATTAACAACCTAAATTCTATCTTCAGCCTTAATTCCCCTTTGCCTTGTGATGTTATTTATTTACAGGTTCTGGGGATTAGGGTGTGTATATCTTTGGGGTTCCTGTTCTTCCTTTCACAGAGGGTATCACAAAGGTTACTGGGAAGTTGGATAAAATGAGGACGGAGAAGTCATTGTTGGATTTGGTCAACTGATTAGTAACCTCAATGGGTGGTTCCAGTGGAGTGTTGGTGCGGTGGCCCAATGGGAGTGAGTTGAAGAGCCAGCGAGGTGAGGACGTGGAGGCTACACATCTTAATGGTTCTTGGTGGCAGTTTTGCTTTGAAGGAAAGTAAATAGTGGCAAGAATTACAAAGGAAAAGCACAGAGGACAGCTCTGAGAGGATGAAATGGGAGACGGAATGTGGAACAGAGGTTCAGGGACGACTGCTGGAAGGAAGGGGCATTAGTGTAGTGTCTACTGGAAGAGATTAACTGGATGAAGAACCTGGAGTGAAACCAAGAAATGGTTTATAGGGATGGGGACATATGAAAGTGAAATTCACAGGGTTATTTTTAATAGAACAGCAGAAGGTACTGATGACTCCTGTTGCTTGCGCCTGGGTCAGTGGACAGGATCCTTGTCAGCAGCCACTACAGGGCCCGCAAGCCCACCTCAGATGCTGTCATTCCACGGGTGGTGGCCAAATCTTTGAAGTCAGTGTAGAACCTCTGCCCTTTCTTCCTGGGGAGCCTGGATCAGCCATGATCTTGCCCAGACTCAGCGCCATGGTGGAGGGACATCTCCTTTCCTCTCCTGCCCCCCAACCACTTCCCTTACACTTCTGCTCTTCTCTCCTCACCCGCTAAATTGTAGGCCTGCCTCCATTTCTTTCTTTACTTTGTTACGTTTTAATAACATTTATTCACTCCACAACATGCTCACAGAGGTGGAAGACCAAGTTAGTGCAGACCCATTCATTCCTGGACCCAGTGGCTCTCAAGTGGGAGAGGTGCTGGTCTTAAAGGGTGTTTAGGAACAAGTGGGCGTCATAGTGAGTGTAAAAACGCCCTCGCCGTGAGGCTCAGAAGAGCCAGGCCTCCTCCTGCTCCTAGTCCAGTCAGTGCTCCTCCTTCATATGGGTGGTTCGCAGCCCTGCTGCATGTTAGACTCACCAGGACAGATTTGTAAACATATCACGACCTGGGCCCTACCACAAACTAATTCAACTGGAGTCTCAGGGATAGGGCCCAAACTGAGGATTTTAAAAAGCTCCCTAGGAGATTCTGAAGTGCAGCCAGGGCTAAGAACTACAGCCTTAAATCTACTGTTGACTGCTTTCAAAAGAAGTCTTCACTGTGCTTAAACAAATTGTGGTTAAAAGTAAGCAAAAGGGCCAGGCGTGGCGGCTCATACCTGTAAATCCCAGCACTTTGGGAGGCCGAGGCAGGTGGATCACCTGAGGTCAGGAGTTCGAGACCAGCCTGGCCAACATGGTGAAACCACGTCTCTATTAAAAATACAAGAAAATTAGCTGGGCATGGTGGTGCATGCCTGTAATCCCAGCTACTCGGGAGGCCAAGGCAGGAGAATTGCTTGAACCCGGGAGGTGGAGGTTGCAGTGAGCTGAGGTCGTGCCATTGCACTCCAGCCTGGGTGACAAGAGCAAGTCTCCATCTCAAAAAAAAAAAAGAAGGAAGCAAAAGGAAATCTGGAGGGGAACATTTGTAATAGGCAAGTGGTCATTATTAAATGTACAGTTATATTATTAAAATGTAGATCATTTGAATCAACTGACACGTCTGAATTTGGATTAAAACTCCTAAGCAGTATACGGTACTCAAAGCTTGGTACTGGTAGGGCACAGTTTGTTCATTTCTGTTTTTCACGTTGCCTTCTTTACACTTTTTTCCTTTCTGAATAGCCTAATATGACGAAGCAGCTATTTGTAACATGTGGGAATTATTTTTTCTTCTTTTCCTCCCATAGTCTGTCTCCATCTTTGAGCTGCTGTTCTTTCTACAGCTTAAGGTTCTTAGATGTCCATTCCATTCCCTACCCAGTCTTGGAACACTGTGAGATGAGCATTCCTGATAAGTGGTCATCCAATTTGGAAAGACAGTATTTTACAAGGTGATCAGTTTCTGAGGAATTTCAGTTAGAAAACTTTGTGTTTTTGGTTTGGTCAGGGAAAGATCCAGAAAAGTGATCAAGAGGTTAGCTCAAACCTGATATAGGGAGTTCTCAGAATAGAGATTGGCTGTTAATGGTCTCTTATAATTTTTTCCTTGAGGATAGTTTTATTAGTATGAGAGTAACTTAACCATCCTCATTGTGCAGTTCTTCCGCCTCAGTCTCCCAGGTAGCTGGGATTACAGGCACGCACCACCATGCCCTGCTAATTTTAGTATTTTTAGTAGAGGCAGGGTTTCACCATGTTGGCCAGGCTGGTCTCAAAGTCCTGATCTCAGGTGATCCACCTGCCTCAGCTTCCCAAAGTGCTGGGATTATAGGCATGAGCCACTGCGCCCGGCCCCAAACTTTTTTATAATTCTCTATGACATTGACATACTCCCACAACAGCTTCAGTATAATTTAGATGCCCTTATACATCTGCGTGGCCAAATTAAAAAAGACACCATCAGGTGTCAGCAAGAAACAGAGCAGGGGGAGCTTTCATGTACTGCTGATGGGAATCTACATTAGTTTAACCACTTTGGGAAACTAGAATTATCTATGAGAGTGGAAGATTTGCACACCATAAAGCCCAGCAGTTCTACTCCTTATGTATATTCTTGACAGACTGTATAGCTGTGAAAACTAATGAATTGATGAATATTCAAGAAGTGAGTAACTCTCACAAACATAATGTTGAGAGAAAGAAACCAGACACTCAGAATATATATTGTTTGATTCTGTATACAGGTTCAAAACAAAGGCAAAATTAATTTATGGTGTTGCAAGTCAGGAGATGTAGTTACCTTTGGAGAGTAGGGAGGATATATTAGCAGGGCTTCTGGGGTGTTGGTAATGTTCTTTCTTGATGACAGGTGTGATACACATGCACACATACACACAAATATATTTACAATTTGTGCTGTTTCCTGTTTGTATATAATATTTTAATAAAAAGTTCACTGAAATGGGGCTGGGCACAGTGGCTCGCGCCAGTAATCCCAGCACTTTGGGAGGCTGAGGCAGGCAGATGCTGGAGCCCAGGAGTTCAAGACCAGCCTGGGCAACATGACAAAACCATTGCATTACAAAAAAAAAAAAAAAAAAAATGCAAAAATTAGCCCAGCATAGAGGTGCGTGCCTGTAGTCCCAGCTACTTGGGAGCCTGAGGTGGGAGAATTGCTTGGGCCTGGGAGGTGGAGGTTGTGGTGAGCTGAGATTGTGCCACTACACTCCAGCTTGGGTGACAGAGTGAGAGAGACCCTGTGTCCAAAAAAAAAAAAAAAAAAAAAAAAGTTTACTGAAATGGTATATGGTGTAGAGTAGATTATTGAACAGCAGTGAGAAATGAGCAAAATACAGCTACATGCAGCACCATAGAAGAAGATTCTCACAGAATACATACGATCAGATTCTAGTTTTCTAAAGTTCAAAGAGTCAATGCTAAGCTATTGTTTAAGGACACATAAGTAACTCGTGGATATCAGTCAGGATTCAGTCAGGGAAGCAGAACCACTGTATTATGTAATAAGGGATTTATTTTTTATAGCAATAAGATATTTTACAACTGTGGGGAAAAGCTGGAAAAATGACAGTCTGGAAGGAAGAATTAGAGGACCAGAGAAGAGCCACGAAAGCACCTCTCCTGAAGCACCTGTACGGGTGGCTGAGTTAGAACTTGTGGGAGGCTCTGAGAAGCCAGGCATGAGCAGCTGCTAGAACGGGACCACAAAGGAAAGCTGATGAAAAAGTCTATGAAAAGCTATTACCTCTGCATAGCAATCACTTCTCTAGGTCTGCTGGCCAGCAGCTGATGGTCCAGGGGCTTCTGTTCGCTGACAAGGCCGGCAGTTGGGGGAAAAAGCTAGTGACAGAAGCAGCACGTGGACAAGCTGGAACCCTCTGGCATCTCCGTTTATATCTGCTACCACCTCTAACTACCTCGGCCCTCAGGAAGTAATGGTGGTTTTACTTTTCGCTTTTTAAATCTTGTCCAGATTCAGGGAAGGGAATCCTGAGAAAATTCTAGCCTAACCAAATTGAGTTAAAAGCTGCAATAGTGATGGTTGCACAACTCTGTGCATATATTAAAAAATATACTTTAAGTGAGTGGACTTTATGATTTGTGAATTATATCTCAATAAAGCTGTTATTTACTTAAACAAAACTGCCACATGTTGAAAACTTTAAAGAAACAATGTTACCATGGATGATTTAAGTGCTGCTTCTTGGAGATATGGAAGTTTCAGTTTAGTAATTGCTTCTTAGCAGGTTGTATCTATGTTACTCTACACTGCTATTCTTTGGAAAGCTAGAGCGTAGTAACTAAGATCTGTTTGTTAATGACAGACCTCAAGGTCTCCTGACAGGTCTGGGAATAAGTTTTGAAAATAGGTTAATGGGATATTGTATTAGTCCGTTCTCATGCTCCTAGTAAAGACATACCTGAGACTGGATAATTTATAAAGGAAAGAGGTTTAATGGACTCACAATTCCACATGGCTGGGGAGGCCTCACAATCATGGCAGAAGGCAAAGGAGAAGCAAAGGCATGTCATACATGGCAGACGAGAGAATGTGCAGGGGAACTCCCGTTTATAAAACCATCAGATCTCTTGAGACTCATTCACTACCATGAGAACAATATGGGGGAAACAGTCCCCATGATTCAATTATCTCCACCTGGCCCCGCCCTTGACACATGGGAATTATTACAGTTCAAGGTGAGATTTGGGTGGGGACACAGCCAAACCATATAAGATACATTTTCTCACTTTTCACCATGTATATTTGGTTTTAAAATTTGAACTAGGATTTCTTTACTTATACTTAAAAGTAGGTTTTACAGATTCATTAAAACTTTCATATCAAATCTGTTTTGATAATCTGAGATATTCTCATCATCTCAAACTATTGGAAAATGCCCTTATCTACTCTCCATTTACGTGGAGCCACTTTTCATTTGAATGTTTGTTATGGCTCTTTTTATTCTCTTTATAAGGAGACAATTGCCCAAATAAAGATATGCAGCTTTCCTGCCTGGGGCTGTAGTTGTACCATAGTAAGGAAATGGATATGAAGGTTTTTTAAAAAGTTCAAAAACAGAGTAGCTTGTATCATTTATATGCAAAAACTAGAAACATTTTTAGCTGTAGTTACGAAGACTTCTAGCTTTTTGTCAACTTTTTAACTAAAAGGAGTCCCAAAACACAGGTTATTTCTACATGGATTAAATTTATAATAATAAAGAATCATTAGTATTACTAAACCATATTGACAGAATTCTTGCTAAAACTAGGCTAGACAGACAAGGATGGATACTGAAGGTTGACACTGAAGACCTAGTTGGGAAGAGGATTCAGAGGAGCTTGGCTAGAGTTTGGTCAAGGAGACACTCTTGGTCAGTATGTAAGTCTGGCTAATTGGAAGTAAATAAAAGGCAGCCATAGTCTTGGAGGGAAGACAGACATAAAAAATGATTGCAATATGGTATAAAAGGTATAATAGAATTATAAAGTATGTGTGTATAAGATGTATCTGCGGCAAAAAGGAGCAGTGATGGTCTGCTTGAGCACATGAAGGATGGATTTTTTTTTTTTTTTGGAGACGGAATCTTGCTCTATCTCCCAGGCTGGAGTGCAGTGGCGCCATCTTGGCTCACTGCAACCTCTGCCTCCTGGGTTCAAGCTGTTCTTTTGCCTCAGCCTACCGAGTAGCTGGGATTATAGGCTTGTGCCACTGCGCCTGGCTTATTTTTCTACTTTTTAGTAGAGATGGGGTTTTGCTGTGTTGGTCAGGCATGTCTCGAACTCCTGGCCTCAAGTGAAGGATGGATTTTTTTTTTAAAAATGACACTAAAGCTGTATTTTGAAGATGATTAGAAAGTTTGCTAGGCAGACAAAGAGAATCAGCAAGAAAACTTTCTGGGCTGAAGGTACTACGTTTAGTCAAACTATTAATACTTCCTTTCCTGTGCAAAGGAACGGAAGAAGGAAGTAGTTTGAGTTGCTTGGATAATTCGCTATGGCTAGTTTAGGGTTTAAGGAGAGAGATGGATGAGTTAAGGTTAGAGAGTAGCAGCTAGATCATAGAAGGCTATGTATGCCACGTTGCGTTTAAATTTTGTTTTTTTTTTTTTGAGACAGAGTCTTACCCTGTCACCCAAGCTGGAGTGCAGTGGTGTGATTTCGGCTGACTGCAACCTCTGCCTCCTGGGTTCAAGCAATTCTTCCTGCCTCAGCCTCCCTAGTAGCTGGGATTACAGGCATGCACTGCCACCCCCAGCTAACTTTTTTTTTTTTTTGAGATGGAGTCCCCCTCTGTCACCCAGGCTGGAGTACAGTGGCGGGATCTCTGCTCACTGCAACCTCCGTCTCCCGGGTTCAAGTGATTCTTCTGTCTCAGCCTCCTGAGTAGCTGGGATTACAGGCACGCATGTGGCACCCAGCTAATTTTTTTTTTTTTTTGTATTTTTAGTAGAGACGGGGTTTCAGCATGTTGGTCAGGCTGGTCTTGAACTCCTGACCTCGTAATCTGCCTGCCTCAGCCTCCCAAAGTGCTGGGATTACAGGTATGAGCCTCCGCGCCTGGCCTAAGATTTTTATTTCTAGTAGAAAAAGAGTTTCACCATAGTGACCAGGCTGGTCTCAAACTCTTGACCACAGGTGATCCACCCACCTCACCAGTGTGCCAGGATTACAGGCATGAGCCACCACACCAGCCTGGGTTTACATTTTAACAGATTTTTTTGTTGTTGTTTTCTTTGAAGGTCTCACTCTGTCTCCCAGCTTGATCATAGCTCACCATAGACTTCAACTCCTTGGCCTCAAACAATCCTCTCATACCTCAGCCTCCAGCGTGGCTGAGACCACAGGGGTGCACCACCATATCTGGCTAATAGTTTTATTTTTATTTTGTAAAGACAGAGTCTCCCTACATTTCCCCGGCCTTGAACTCCTAGTCTCAAGTGGTCCTCCCGTTTCGTCCTCCCAAAGTATTGGGATTACAGGCATAAGCTACTGCATCTGGCCTTTTAGCACAGTTTAATCAGAAGAGGAAAATGAGCAGATTTTTATTTTATGCAGTTACCCTGTGGACCATGTAGAGAATGGTTTGGAAGAACGCTGGGAGTCTGGTGAGGAATCCATCCCAGAGGTAGTAACTAAGACCTGTTTTTAGACATTGGCAGTAGCGAAGGATCTGACTTGGGAGGTAGAGTTAGTAGCATTTATGTGACCTCTAAGACGTGATCCTGTCACACTTTTTCTCTACTCTGTTAGGTTCAGTACTTGAGGGCCTTTGAATTAAACTGACAGATGATAGATTAGCAAGAGAAAAGGTAGATTTTAATTTTGTAAATACTTAGGGGAGTTCACAAATAAATGTGACTGAAAAGAGTTGTTAGAATTTGGGGTTTATGCACCATCTTAATAGATGAAGAGGAGAGGGAGAAAGGGTACTTCCGGGAAAACAAAGAACTATTTGGAAAGATAAATGGGCTCATAGGAGAATAAATGGAAGCTGTATATTTTCGTGACATTTTCTGTTTGGTTGTCTTCTCATCTCAGATGATTAGAGTTGCCCCTGTGGGAAAGGGTTCATGACAATTGAGTTCTTTGAGTTCTTTTGGGAGGCTCTGCTTTTAGGCAGATAAGGGGTTTCAGGAACTCAAATGCCTTCAGCTCAAAATAATTTTTATGCTATAGTGGCTTATTCTGGATCCTTTCACGGTGAAGGAGAGGAGAAATTCCTGAGATTCTGGTTTGAGTGATGGTGGTACTGTAGATAATGAAATACATAAAGAAGAGCAGGTTTCAGGACATACTGTATTTTCATTTGTATGGTTGAGCTTGGAGCACCTGGGGAACATCTAGAGATCCTAGAAAGCAGTTGGATGTAGATTTGGGACCTAGAGAGAGCTCAAAGAAGCTGAGAGTACGGATAAAATTTTCCTTGGAGAGTAGGAGAATGAGAGAAGAAAGAGCTTCCAGAAATGAACTGAAGGAGGCTGGAAAATGAGAGAGGATGAAATGAGAGAGGGGACATAGAAAGGAAATTGAGCCTACAAAGGAGACTAAGAAGGAATAGTTGAAGATGAGGGGAGCTGGGAGAGTTACAGAAACCAAGGCAGGACATAGTAGCAAGGAGACTGAGCAATAGGGATCAGCAGTGCCAAGGTGCAGAGTAAAATTATAGAAGTGTTAAGGAAAAAAAAAATTATATATATATATATTTAGTATATGATAAAGGTACAGTTTTGAGGAGGAAATGGAGGGCTGTTTATTTAAATGGACATTTGGGACAATTGGCTTACCACTTAAAAAATATTAGGTTAGGCCGGATGTGGTGGCACATGCCTGTAATCCCAGCACTTTGGGAGGCTGAGGCAGGAGGATCACTTGAAGTCAGGAGTTCAAGACTGGCCTGGCCAACATGGCAAAACCCCGTCTCTACTAAAAATACAAAAATTAGCCAGATGTGGTGACGCATGCCTGTAATCCCAGCTACTTGGCAGGCTGAGGCACGAGAATCACTTGAACCTGGGAGGTGGAGGTTGCAATGAGCCGAGATCATGCAACTGCAATCCAACCTGGGCGACAGAGCAAGACTTTGTCTCAGAAAAAAAAAAAAAAAAAAAAGTTAGTTTAGGTCCCCACCTCATGCCTTATACCAAAATAAATCTAAAAATTAAATGTAGAAATTGAAAATAGTAAAAATATTAGGAGAAAACGTGGGTCAATACTTACTTTGTGTTCAAGTTAGGAAGGACCATACCCATTCTAATTATAACAGAAAGAAAAGACTAAGAAATTTTCATGTAAATCCAGCATGTCTGTGTGCTAAAAATATCATAAAATTAAAGTGTAAATGGCAAACTAGGAAAAGTATTTGCCATAGATTTGACAGGCAGAGGTTTAATATCCTTCATATCTAAATGATCTATCAAAAAAATGAATAACTGAAGGTTTCTGGTTAAGTAGGACTCATTGAAGATGTCTTTATCTTCCATCCTTCCAAAATTTTGATAAAATGACAGGAATTACAGAAGGGGTAGACCCACAAAGAGTGAAAAAGGGAGAGTAGGGAAGATTTTTCTGGTTGATGATAGACTAAGTTGTTGGGCCTTATTTCCTGCTGAGAGCAAGTCGAGATGATGGACAAAATTTAAAACAAAATTTATGTGAAGGAAATGGAGAGTTAACAAAATAGTGAAGATTTGTGGGTGTAAGAGGTGGGGCGTGGTGATGAGGTAGGGAAGCCCAAGATGTGAGACCAGCATTTGCAGTCATTTCTTTCCCAGAGGAATCTGCTCATTCCAGAAGAATTAGGCAGATGAGAAGCTGGACGGCTGAACAGAGTTTTTGTTAGACTCAGAGGGCGGAGGACAAAAATTGGAGTTTGGCTCAGATCAGGGAGCAGGAAAACTTCTTAGGCTTTGAGTAGGAGACCCAAAAGCCTATATCTTAGAGATAGTAGCTCCTAACAGGTATTGAAGTCCAGCTCCAGACCCTCTCAGTTCCTGGCTGGATCAAGGTGTTCTGGAAAGAAGCAAGTATAATTTCTTTCATTAATAGAAGAAGATAACATCACTCAGAACCTCAGATGAGCTCTATGTTTATTTACAATGTTTGGCACTCAGAAATCACCAGGCAGATGAGGATTTAAGACAATGTTACTGAACGCCAAGAGAAACAACAGACTATGGAAGTGGATCGACAGGGATCCAGATAGTGAAGTTATTAGAAAAGGGTAAGGTATGTAGTATGTTTACGGAGTTAAAAGATTAAGAATAGGGAAATTGGAACCACACCACCCCCTCCCCAGTAGAAAAACCAAATGTAAACTGTAGAGTTAAAGGACTGTAAATGAAATTAAGATGTCAGTTAATGGGTTTAGCAGTACATTAGTAATAAGTAGAAAACAAATGTTCAGAATGAAATATGGAAATAAAAATGGTCTGGACATACATTATAGAGTGAGTCTTAGGGATTCTGTGGAAAGGTCTAACCAACATGTAATTGAAATCCTAGTAGGAAAGGAAGGAGGAGTGCTGCAGAAGCAGTATTTGGAGTGATGATAGCTGAGAATTGTTCATAACAGGCAAAAGCCATCTCATCACAGATTTAAAAAATACTACCAGAAATCTAAGATAAGGAGAACATTTTAATAGTAACCAGAGGCCAGGTGCGGTGGCTCACTCCTGTGATCCCAGCTCTTTGGGAGACTGAGGCGGATGGATCACTTGAGGCCAGAAGTTTGAGATCAGCCTAGCCAATGTGGCAAAACCCCATCTCTACTAAAAATACAAAAATTAGCTGGGCATGATGGTTCATGCCTGTAATCCCAGCCACTTGGGAGGCTGAGGTGGGCAGATCAGTTGAGGCCGGGAGTTCGAGACCAGCCTGGCTGACATGGTGAAACCCTGTCTCTACTAAAAATACAAAAATTAGCCGGGCGTGGTGGTGCACGCCTGTAATTCCAGCCACTTGGGAGGCTGAGGCACGAGAATTGCTTGAACCCAGAAGGCAGATATTGCAGTGAGCCAAGATCCCACCAAAGTACTCCAGCCTAGGTGAGAGTGAGACTCTATCTCCAAAAAAAAAAAAAAAAAGTAACCAGAGAAAAACTACGTACTACATTGAAAAGAGCAGTGAGATTGACAGCTAATTTCTCAATAGATGTAATAGTGCATCCTTCTCAGAAGGCAATGAACTAATGTTTTAAAAATGTAAAAAAGAAGGTAAACAGCCAAACTAGAATGTTATACCCTTCAAAAGTGAGGACAAAATTATCACTTCTTTAGATCAACAAAAATGAGAAGGATTTAAAAGAAAAAGCCAAAACCCCAATTCTCTTTCTTCTACACTCACAAAACTTCTCATACCAAATGTGTAGGGTTTTTTTCATACCAACCAATTCTCCAGTTCTCTGTGGACTCCGGGTATTCTGCAATTTAACTCAATTTGGATACTAACTGCCTGGAATTACTTGCTTCACAGGTTGAGAGCTTGGCCTCACAAGATTGCTTAGAAACCAATTGCAAGTCCAGGTCTCCGATATTTCTTACCGACTGCTATGAAGTGATTCCTATAACCCCCTCCTCAGATTCAGTGATTTGCTAGAATGGCTCACAAAACAGGGAAACATTTACCTAGGTTTACCTGTTGATTATACAGAATACAATTCAGGAACAGCTAAAAGAGAGATGCATAGGGCAGGGTATGGGGAGGAACTCAGAACTTGCACACCCTCTCCAGGTGAGTCACCCTCCCAGCTCCCCTATGTGTTCACCATCCCGGAAGCTGTCTGGACTCTGTTGTTTGGGTTTTTATGGAGGCTCTATTACGAAGGCATGATTGATCAAATCATTGGCCATTGGCCGTTGGTTATTGAACTCAGTCTCTAACCTCTCTCCCTTCCCAGGAGGTGGTGGGGTGGGGAGCAGAGTGACAGGGGATGAAAGTCTGAATCCTCTAATCACATGATTGGTTGCTTTGGTAACCAGTCGCCATTCTCCCGAGAGTCCTCTCATCATAAACTCAGGTATGTCTGCTCTTCTTACTACCGTGTTTCAGGGCTCAATGCCAGGAACTTGAAATGAAGACCAAATATATGTTTCTTATTATATCACAGTATCACAGAGTTAATTACACCAGACCTGCACTAAAGGGAATAATAGAAAGATTGGTCTTTGGCAGAAGAGAAATGATCCTGCATGGCAGCTTTAAGATGCGTGGAAAAGTGAAGACCAAAGAAAGGAGAAATAAGATGGTAAATGTAAATGAACACTGTTGGGTAAAATAATTATTTGTGGTTTAAAATACACATAGAATTTAAAAATATAGTAGTAGCATATAAGTTGTGGGGGTGTTAAATAAAAGTTAATATCTTACGGTCTTTTCATTGCCCAGGAAGTGGTAAAAATATTAATTTACTTGAGACTTTGATAAGTCAAGGACACATGTTGTAATCTCTAAGATAGTCATTAAAAGAGTAGTAAAATATATGTAATTAACAAATTAATAGAGGGGAAATATGGAATAGTAACAGCAGTAGTAGTAGTAAAACTTGATTAATCTGAAAGAAGGCAAGACGACCAAAAACAGAAACAGAGCATGTGGGAAAAATAGGAAGTGAACAGTAAGTTGTTAGATTTAAACTTAGTCTATCAGTAATTATATTAAATAAAAATGAACCAAAATTTCTAATTAAAAAGCAAAGATTGGGAAATTGGATAAAAAATCAAAGCAGATCACAACTCTGTACCGCTTTCAAGGATGTAGAAAAGTTGAAAATAAAATGGTAGAAAAGCCATATTACTCAAACATTAAAAGAAAACTGGTGTACCTTTATTAACAAAGTGGGCTTTAGGGTAGAAATAATTGCTTGGGATAAAGACATACATAATGGTAAAATACTCAATTCAGTTCTCCAGGAAGTTACAACAGTTCTACCTCTGTATGTACCTAAAAACACTATCTCAAAATACATAAAGCAAGAATTAACAAAAATGACAAAGAACAGACAAATCTGCAATTCATAGTGGAAAGTTTTAATATACCGTCTTCATTAACTCAGAAACAAAGTATCAGTAAGGACATAGAAGATTTCCATAACATAATGAACAAACTTGACCTAATTGAAATCTCAGTGGGTTTATGTGTAATCTAGACGTACTACTGTCCTGTGCTTCATAACGATGTTTCAGTCAACAAGGGACTGACTAAATATATGATGCTGGTCTCATAAGATTTTATTGGAACTGGAAAATTCCTGTCTCGTAGGGATGTCATAGTGTCATAGTGTAACACATTACTGTTTCTATGTTTATATGTGTTTAGATACAGATACCTATCGTGTCACAGTTGCTTGCAATATTCAGTACAATAATACGCAGATTCATAGCCCAGGGGCAATAGGATATACCATATGGCTTAGGAATGTGGAAGGTTGTACTATCTAGGTTTTTGTAAGTACATCTTTGTGTAAGTACGTTTGTGTAAGTACATTGTCATCTTTGCACAATGATGAAATAGCCTAGTGATGCATTTCTCAGAATGTATCCCTGTTGTTAAGCAACAAAAGACTGTTGAAAATAAGATACATTCAAAATGAAATATGGAATATAATGAAATATGAAATACAACACTGCACCCAATAACTGTAGACTGTACATTCTTTTCATATGCATAGGGAACATTGATCAAAATTGTTGATTTATAGAGTAAATCTCAACAGATTTCGAAAGACTAAATTCAGAATATCATACTTACAAAGACAGGTTTAATATTTGAAAAATTGATCAGTATAAATCACTAAATTAATAGAGTAGAGCAGAAAAATCATGTGATAATGTCAGAGGTGCAAAAATTGCCTTTGGCAAAATCCAATACCCATTCAAAATGGAATCTCTTAATACATTATGAATGAAAGTTAACTTCCTTAATTTGATAAAGATTACTCAGAAAAATCCTATAGCAAACACCATGTTTACTGGTGAAATGTTGGAAGTTTTCTTTTGAGACAGGGAAAGAGAAGTTGTTTTCACTGTCACCAATTCTGTTTATTATTTTACTGGAAGTCCTACCTAGTTGAGTATGGCAAGAAAAATAGTACAGGGATGAGAAAGGGAAGAATAAAACTGTGATTTTGTAGATGACATGATTGTATATGTAGAAAATTAAAAAAAACCTCTTTATAACTTATTATAAATAATAAGCTAGGTTGCAAGATTCAAGGTAATTCTGGACACAATTGCAATTTTATATGCCAACAACAAACACAAATTCCAAATTTGTATCAATCTGGATCCAATCAGGAGAGAGAAACCAGTTGTATTAGTTTGTCCTCATAGGGCTATAAAGAAATACCCAAGACTGGGTGATTTATAAAGAAAAGAGGTTTAATTTGTTCATGGTTCCACAGGCGGTTCAGGAAGCATGGTGCCGGCATCTGCTTGGATTCTGGGGGAGGCCTCAGGAAACTTACAATCATGGCAGAAGGAGAAGGGGAAGCAGGCTTGTCTTACATCGCCAGAGCAGGAGCAAGAGAGAGAGAGAGGAGGGGAGGTGCTACACACTTTTAAACAGTCGGATCTCCTGAGAACTCAATCATGAGAACAGTACCAAAGGGACGGTGCTAAGCCATTCGTGAAGGTGCACCCCCATGATCCAGTCACCTCCCACCAGGCCCCACCTCCAGCACTGGAGATTACAGTGTGGACATGAGATTTGGGTGTGGACACAGATTCAAACTTCATCACCAGTAAATTGAAAGCAGCGTTTAATGTGGATAATTACTAATTATAACAGGGAATCGAAGTAAGGAGGGATTTGGTTAGGCTAGTGAAAAGTGAAGAGAATTGTAAAGAATATGAAAATAGCAGATAAACAGAGCAACTGCTGCCCCTGGGGCTGAGGTAGAGTCTGCAAGGAAGAGTCTCTCCTTCCCCCAGGACCAAGATCCAGACCTCATCCAGAGAGGGCATGGCTGGTTTACTGCATGGCCAAGAAGTTGCTGGCATGTCATACTAGTGGAACTTAATGGAAATCCACCCTCTGATACCTGCCAGAAGTTGCTCACTAGGGCGCCACACAAAAGCTCTTCATGGGGAGGTGTCTCACTGGAGGTACCCTGCTACAAAACCTCCAGAGTGGGATGCTGGGGGGAGCTGCTGGCTGCTGGGTATGGCCTGCTGTTGTGTGCTGTAGTCTCTGGAGGCTGGAGCAGCTGCAGGTGCTTGTAGAGATGGGTACTGGAGAAGCCACCTGCGTTGCAGGAGCTGGACGCCATACAATTAACACAATGTAGAGCAATCTGGAAGGCTGTATATATCAAGATGGCCAAGATGGAACCAGTGTTTTTTTTTTTTTTTCTCTGTGACAGATAGAATTATGATGCTTCCCCCTGCCGCTTTTTTTTTTTTTTGGTATTCATTCAGCATTTATTTAATGAATGTTGAGTATTTTCTCTATTCCAGACAATGTGTTTGTTACGAGATACATAACAGCAGACAAAATAGACATTGAACTTGTTTTTGCAGTTTATAGGCTGATAGGACAGTCAGTCATTCATCTGAGCTCTTTTGTGCCAGGCACTATTCTAGTCACTGGGGGGATAGATGGATAGATTAAATAGATTGGTTAGATAGATGGGATGGATGTATGGATAGATAGATGGATCAAGATAAAATCTTGCTTTCAAAGGGAGACAGCCATTGAGCAGATAATTAATTATAAGAATGGGTACATACTTACACAGTGCTATAAAGGGTGTAAGAAGGAAAAATACAGGCTGCTACAAGAGAGGACAATGTAATTCAGATGAGAAGCCAGGGCAGACTTCTCTTAGAAAGTGATATTTTTATGATGAAAGTGATGAGGAGGAGGTTAGCTTGGTGAGATGAGTGATCAGAGAAGAATGATCTAGATGGAGGGGAGGCTTGCGGGCAGACTTCATGATGGGAAGAGCTCGGCATGTCTGAAGTGAGGAGTGGGAGGTCTCTAGAGGGTAGGGGGAGGTAGAGAGTGGCAGGAGAAGAGGCCACAGCAGGGGTCATGCTACTCACAGCCATAGGCCACCTTGGAAACTAGGGTGTCCCTGTGAAGGGTTGCCCGTGATAGAGGTCTGAAATAGGAGATTCTTGGACTGTTTTGCTATTTACAGCCACCGTGTGGGGTGCTGAGTGGTCAGGGGATTGGAGGCAAGAATGGAAGTTGAGAGACCACTGGGTGCAATTTGCAGGAATCCAGTGAAAGTTAACGGTGGAGGTGGCGCCAAGGCCCAGCAGTGGAGCTGGAGATAACTGGATGGCTTGGAGATGGGGTTTGGAAATAGAGTCATTCAGAACTGGTGATGGATTGAGTGTGGGCTGGGAGAGACAGGGAGACATTGAGAATAACTCCCAGGTTTCTGGCTTAAGTCATTACATGGCATGTGATGCCATTTTCTGTGTACTTTTGTAGTGAATACGAATTACTTGTTCAATTAAAAAAGTAAAATAAGTTTGGATTTGCAGATGAAGAAGGCTTTGGTGACCAAACAAACAAAACCAAAGCAGTTGCAGTGAAAGTGAAGAGGTGGAGATAGTTGCTACAGACTACTGCAGTTCTGCATCTTCAAAGAAGCCAGAAAGTAGCAGGCAAGGTAGGGTCGGGCTGTAGGACAAGGACATGTGTTTTGTTTACAGAGTAGGATAGATGTGAGCAACTTTCATTGGGAGAGAGAGCTAGACCATAGAGGGAAGAGAAGGCATTCGTTAACTCAACAAATATTTGAATGTCTGTATGACAGGCAATACTCTAAGCTCTTGGAACATACAAAACATAAAAAACATTCCTGTCTTCTGGAGCTTAATGTTCTAAAGTGGGGACACTGAAAATCAAATCATGTGCCGAGTGCACTGTAAAAAGAAAAAAAAAGCCTATTAATGGGGAGATCTAGGGATGTTGAGGTGGGACGGCCAGAAGGATGTAATTTTATGTTGTGGGTGGCACTGATGGATTTGATGCCACTAGAATGCAAGATATGCCAGGGCAGAGATTTTAGTTTTACTCACTGCTGCATCTCCAGTTTAGAATGGTGCCTGGCACATAGTAAATGCTCAATAAAGAATTGCTGTGCGAATGAATTAATGATTCAGGATCCCAGGAATGGGAAGGAATGAGGAGTGGGATACTGAAGAAAGAAAGATAGGCCAGTCATAAATGAAGACATATTGTAGGGATGTTAGTACTGATATCTCCAATTCAAATTACAGTTGTTTTTGCTTTTAAAGGATTTTAACTGTTCAATTGTATTTTGAATTCTTTGAATTAGCTTTGTTTCATGGCATTCATTTTGTTTACTGTATGTTTCTTAGACACAGTAATATAGTTTACAGAACTACTTATCCTTAGGGACATTACCCACTTAAGAAGTGACTGTTTTCAGTATTATTACAATAAAATTGAGATTACATATCACTTTGTATATTGAGGTTCTGTTACAACCTGTCTTTTCAGCATTATCCTTAAAGTGGTGTGTGTGGTGGTGGTGGTGGTGGTGGTGGTGGTGTGTGTGTGTGTGTTGGGGGGGGGGTGTTGTGATTGTTTTATGCCCATTACAGAAACCAGTTTAGCCGGCATTATACTGGTGTGGTTATATATTAAATAAGTTAAATTTCTTGCAGCTACTCTTTTGATCAGTTAATTGGTCTGATCCTATAGTGGGTATTTTCATGGGTCTCTGCTAAGTTTAGCCTCACAATGATTTTGTGTGTCTGAAATCGTATTGACAGGCTGTAGCTCCTTCTAATTTATGCATGCGTGAAGAAGATTGTCCTCTATTTGCTGAGTCTTATGCTTTTATATGAGGACCCCAGTGTCGTAACTTTGCCATAACTCAGGAAGATCTAACTTCTGACTGTGCAGTATAGAGCATTCCTTTGTCTAAAAAAATAATATGGATGTTTTAAGACCATTCAGTCATAACTGGAAGCTGCCTTATAGTTAAAGGACTTTACATATTAATGAAGAAAGGGAACATACAAATCATTATGTCCTTTTTGCCATAGATTGCTGTCCCCTCCCATAGAAATTATCTTATTATATTTTATTACAACAGTGTATGTAAAATATATACTTATAAAAGTAATAAATGGTCTTTGAAAAATTCTAATAACAGGAGTGTAGAGATTATAAACTGATTTTATCCTAAAATTGTACATCCTAGGAGATAACCATTGTGAGCAATTTGATTTATATCCTTTTTTGGACTTTACAAATGCTTGTGTAAATCGCGTGTGTGTTGTATGTATATATGTTTGAGTGTACATACAAGAGGAATCATATACAGCTTCCCTGTTTTTTCCTCCCCATTTATACACCATGTTGTGGACATTTTTGTGTCAGTGCCTGTGTGTGGGTATGTGTGTGCATAAAGACATAGCACGGGTATGCCATAAAAAGTTTTCAGCCAATCCCTTATTGGTTGTCGTCATATTTTGCTCTTACAATAAGTGATGCACTTAACATCTCCAGTTATGTTCTAGGACAGAAGTGCTTGTCAGAGTGTAAATATTTGACATATGCCCTTAGAAATGTTGTACCAGGCCAGGTGCAGTGGCCACTCCTGTAATTCCAGCAGTTTGAAAGGTCTGGGCAGAAGGATCACTTGAGCCCAGGAGTTCAAGACCAGCCTGGGCAACATAGGGAGACCTGGCTTTACACAAAATAAACAAAATTAGCTGGGCATGGTTGTGCGTTCCTGTGGTCCCAGCTGCTCGGGAAGCTAAGGTGGGAGGATCACTTGAGCCCAGGAAGTCGAGGCTGCAGTGAGCTGTGATCGTGCGAGTGCACCCCAGCCTGTGCAACAGAGTAAGTCCGTGTCTCAAAAAAAAGAAAAGAAAAGAAATGTTGTAGAATACCAATTTGGACTCTCATTAGCTAAAAGTGAGAGCATCCATTTCCCCAAACCCTTACCAATGGTAAGTGTTGTCAGTCTTTTAAATCCTTTCTCAGCCCAACAGGTAGAAGACTCAGATCTCCTTTTAATTTACATTTCTTTGTATATTCCTGCAATTTAGCATGGTTTGACCATTTATGCTATTTTTTTGGATATGTTACTTTTTATAATAGTCTTCAGTCTTTTTTTCTAGTAGGTTCTTCGTTCTTTTTCTTTCTGATTTCTGTTTTTCTTTTAAAAGAAGTATGTATAATATTTCTCCCTTTAGTCATCTGTATTTCAGTCTTAGTTTTCTTAACTCATTATGTCCTCATGCCAATCCTATGAGTCATGCTCCCAAACTCTGAATCTTTTTGGCCTTGATGGCATGTGTACTTGGTCTTTCCCACACCAGTAATTAAGTATTCTCCCTAGATTTTCTTCTTTGTTTTGAATTTTTATCCTTAGATGTTTAATATAGCTGAACTTTTTTTATATGTGAATGGGATGAGTTAGAGCTCTAATTTCATTTTTCTCCAAATAAGATGGTTATTATTGAGTCATTGATCATTTTCTACTGATTTGAGATGTTGCCATTACCATGTGCTAAGTTTCCACAAATATGTGGTTTTTTACCTGAACTCCTTGTTCATTGATCTGTTTATTCTGTGCCTACAAAATTACCACATTGTTTTTTCTTTCCTTATACACTGATTTAGTTTTTGTCATTCTAACATATTGTAAAGAGGAAAGTATTGCTCCTATTCTGTTCTTAAAGGTCTATCAGGGCCGGGCGCAATGACTCACACCCGTAATCTCAGCACTTTGGGAAGTCGAGGTGGGCGGATTACTTGGAGGTCAGGAGTTCAAGACCAGCCTGGCCAACATGGTGAAACCCCATCTCTACTAAAAATACAAAAAATTAGCCTGGCGTGGTGGTGCATGCCTGTAATCCCAGCTACTTGGGAGGCTGAGGTGGGAGAACTGCTTGAACCCGGGAGGCAGAAGTTGTAGTGACCCCAGATTGTGTCATTGCCCTCCAGCCTGGGTGACAGAGTGAGACTCCATCTCAAAAAAACAAAACAAAAAAACCAAAAAACTGTCAGAAGTGGAGTGTGACTTACTTTTTTTTTTTTTTTTTTGGGTCAGAGTCTTGCCCTGTCACCCAGGCTGGAGTGCAGTGGTGTAATCTCAACTCACTGCAACCTCCACCTCCCGGGTTCAAGTGATTCTCGTGGCTCAGCCTCCCAAGTAGCAGGCACATGCCACCACGCCCGGCTAATTTTTGTGTTGTTGGTAGAGATGGGGTTTCACCTCGTTGTCCAGGCTGTTCTTGAACTCCTGACCTCAAGCGATCCGCCCGCCTTGGCCTCCCAAAGTTCTGGGATTACAGGCATGAGCCACTGCGCCTGGCCATGGAGTGTGACTTTACAGTAGAGATTCATTTGTCTAACATCTCTGTTACTGGTTTCAGTAAGATCACATCATCTTTTTTGTCCTTTGGCAGCAGAAGTTGTAGGTTAACGAAAACTAAAGCAACTTTTCTTGTCACTGAGATGGAATTGAAATGATCTCTAACCCATACTTCTTCAGCCATGACTTCTCACATCTTAGAACACATTAAAAATAAGAATATTTGTAGGACGTACTGGAGAATGAATGAGTATCCTTGAGGTCAGAAACCACTGGTCAGGGGTTAGCGTGGCTTAGTTCCCCTCACAAGGCACGTGTAACCCATTTACATTGAACTGCATGTCAGTAGGGAAGTGTTTAGGAAGTGCTGCTGTAGGCTAATGTTCTTCAACTTTAAAATTTTCTCATGACACGTCATTGTAGCTTGATATGGATTGGCCAAACTGCTTTAAAAAATTTTTAATTGTGGTAAAATATACATATATAAAATTTGTTGTCTTAACCATTTAAACATTCACATTGCTGTGCAACCATCAGCACCATCCATCTCCAGAACTCTTCTCATCTTGTAAAACCGAAACTCTGTACCCAGTCAACAGTAACTCCCCATTCTCCCTACCCCTCGCCCCCGGCAACCACCCTTTTACTGTCTGTCTGTATGAATTTGACTATTCTAAGTACCTCATAAAGTGAAGTCATATAGTATTTGTCTTTTTTTTTTTTTTTTGAGACGGAGTCTTACTCTGTCACCCAGGCTGGAGTGCAGTGGTGCAATCTTGGCTCACTGCAACCCCTGCCTCCCGGGTTCAAGCTATTCTCCTGCCTCAGCCTCCTGAGTAGCTGGGATTACAGGCTTCTGCCACAATGCCTGGCTACTTTTTATATTTTTAGTAGAGACAGGATTTCACCATGTTGGCCATGGTTGGCCAGGCTGGTCTCAAACTCCTGACTTCAGGTGTTCCACCTGCCTCGGCCTCCCAAAGTGCTAGGATTGCAGGCGTGAGCCACCACGCCCAGCCTAGTATTTGTCTTTTTTTGTGACTGGTCTATTTCATTTAGCCTTATATCATCAAGGTTCGTCCATGTTGGAGCATGTGTTAGCCTTTCCTGCCCTTTAAAGGCTGAATTCGTTATGTGCACACCACATTTTGTTGATTTGTTCATCCATCCATGGGTGCATGGGTTGTTTCAGCCTTTGGGTATTTTGAATAATGCCATGAACATAGGTGTAAAATCTGAGAGCCAGACGTCTTGAAAGAGTTTTGTTTTTTTTCTTTCATTTTTTAACTATTCCAATTTGAATTTAGCTTCCATTATTCCGCCAAACCTTCTTTCTTAGATCACTATTAAGTAGAAGGAACATTTTTCCTTTTTAATGATTTTTCAGACATACTCACCCACTTTGGCTGTGCCATCCTCCCTTGGCTCTTGGGATGGTGCATGCCCCCTGTTTCTCTCCCACTTAGGAGATTTCCTTTGTGACCCTCCTCTCGCATCATTTAAAGGTGGAATTTCCCCAGAGCTTGACCCTGGGCCTTCTGTCTGTGACCATTAAATGTGGGTATTTCTCAGCAATTAGAGCGAGGCTCTTTTCTTTTCCCTTGTTTTGGAAAGAAGAGAGTCAAAAAAGCTTAATCAAATAATCTCATCTTTTACCCAAAAAAGATAACTATTTTCTTCGGGAAAAAAGGTGACAAGAATATAAATCATCAGAATTACACTAATTTGTTTCTGAAGGAAATGATAAACTTTCCCCCAGCTTTGTTGAGGTATAATTGACAAGTAAAAGGTGTATATGTTCAAAGTATACAATGTAATTTGATGTGTGTGTACATTGTGTAATGATTAGCACAATCAACCAGCACGTCCCTCACTATACGGTGTTTTACTGTGTGTGTATGGTGGAGGAGAGGAGTGAGGACACTTAAGATCTGCTTATTAATTTGCTTAGCAAATTTCAAATAAACAATACAGTATTATTAGCTGTAGTCACCGTGCTGTACATTACAGCCCCAGAAAATATTCATCTTATAACCAAAAGTTTATACCCTTTGACCACCATCTCCCCATTCCCTCCCCAACCCCTGTGAGTTCAGGCCCTTCTCTATATTCCTTCTTATTCTAGGTGACCCCCATCTGCTTACAGAGATCCAATCTGCTGATGGCTCCTAGGTTTGTTTCATGAGGTCAGAGCTCTTTGCTGAGCCCCACTCCAGAGCTGCCTCCTTGCTGTCTATGCTGAGTGTCTGATGGGTGCTCCAGCCTCATGTCTGAGATAGAGCTTCATGATTTTCCTCCCACGTCCCCTTCCGTGTTCTCAGTGAAGGGTACTTGAGCCTCCCAGGCGATCAAGTCAAATTTCAGGGATCAGTTTTAAAGTAAACTTTTTAATTTAGGATAGTTTCAGAGTTATAGAAATGTCTGAAGAATATTAAGGAGAGTTCCTGTGCACTCCACACCTGTTTCCCCTGCTAACATTACTGTGGTACATGTTTCACACCAGTGAACCAGTACCAACACATTATTTACACTGAACTCTACACTTCATTCAGATTTCCTTAATTTTCCCCTAAAGTCTTGTTCTTTTTCAGAATCCCATTCAGGATGCCACGTTACATCTAGTTGTCATATATCTTCTTAGGCTCCATTAGACTGACAGTTTGTTAGATTTCTTCTTGTTTTTGTTGACCTTGACAGACTAAGTATTTTATACAGTGTTCTTCAATTTGGATTTGTCTACTGTTTTTCTCGTGATTAGACTTGGATAATGGGTTTTGGGGAAGGAAGACCACAGCGGCAAAGTACCATTCTCATCACATCATATCAAGGGTACCTGCTCTCAACATGATTTACTACTGATGATATTAACCTTGATCACCTGGCTGAGGTAGTGTTTGTTAGATTTCTTCACTGTAAAATTACTGACATTTTTGACACTTTCCTCTTCTTTTTATCTGTTTTGAATCCAAAACAATTCCTGCTGGTTCTTTTTCCCAAATAAATTTCCATTCTGTCCAAGTCACTCTTTGCAGCCACTGCTGCAGTCCAAGCCACAATTGCCTGTGCGCAGACGGTATTGAGCGATCTTCTGACTCATGCCCTGCTTGTGCCCTTGCCTTCTCCAGCCCAGTCTCCACCCAGATGCCAATGTGGTCCTTTTCAAATGCCAGTTGGTCAGTGGTACTCTTGTTCCCAAGCCTTTGAGCGGCTTCTTGTTGTACTTGAGATACCACCCCACCTTCTAGACACAGTCTGCCAGGCCTGCTTAAGCTCGTCTCTTGTCACCTCTCTCATCTCCTGCCAAGCCCCTCTCGCCTTGTCCTCTGTTCCAGCCACCGGTTTCTTGCCCGAGTCCCTTCAACACTCTCAGCTCCCTTAGACATGTCGTTGCCTCTGCTTAGAATGATGGTCGCCCTCCACCTTGGTTCCCTTGGGACCCCAGCTTACATGCCATTTACATGTTGTTTCTTCAGGGGACATTTCCCATCCACTTGCAGGGTCCATGGGGCACTCTTGCTGGGTGTTTCTGGAGCATGCCACACTGTACCCCTGATGCTGGGAGTTACTTGTTCTATGTCGGAATTGTTCCTCAGTGCTGGGGTGGACAAGGCTGAGACGTGCCTCGGCATGTCACTGTGTGTCCCTGTTACCTGTACTGAGCCTGTGCCAGAGTGGATGCTTGATAAGTATTTGTTGACTGGGTGAAATTTTTTAAAAATTAAAACATTTTTAATAGAAATGGGGTCTCACTATGTGGCCCAGGCTGGTCTGAAACTTCTGGGCTCAAGCAGTCTTCCCTCCTTGGCCTCCCAAAGTGCTAGAATTACAGGTGTGAGCCACCGTGCCCAGCCTGAATGGGTGGATTTTATCTTTTGAATGGAAAACACTCTTCATTTTTAGCATGCCAGTATGCAAAAAAGTACTTGAATTTATTTTTCTTAGTCCATTGATTTAAATCCCACATGTATTCTTTTAAATCTGTCACATAAGGTGCTGTGGTGGGTACAGTAGTGGATCTAGAAAGTGTGTTCAGCCTCTGCCACTCCTGAGGGCCCATTCATTCATTCTCTCATTCACCAGACAGTTACTGGGAACCTGGGTCTGCCAGGCCTAGTGCAGAGTGTGGGGTTATGAGGGCTTGTGAGTGAGCCTGTTGAGGGAGAGGGAGAAACTTATAGATCCTTCAGCATTTCCAGTTGTGGTTAGGATAGATTTGGGCGGATTTAGTTTGAATTCTGGCTCTACCATTTTTAAGATCTGCACTCTTGAGCTTAACCTCTACCCGTCTGCAAAAATGTGGGCAGCATTGTCTCCCTTGTAAGTTGTGGAAAGAATCAGCTAAGAAAAGGAATGTAAGAGGATCAGTATAATCATAGTAATCACAGAACTAATGGTTTTTGCCTTTGAGGTCCTGAGTACTAGCCTAAGTAGTTACATTAATTATTTTTGTTTATTCTCACAGCAACTCTGTGAGGTAGGGATGTTACTGTTCTCATGTTGTAAATGAAGAAAGTGAGACCTTAGTTGAAAAATTAAATACTTTGTCCAAGGCACAGAAGTAGTAAGTGGGAGAGCTATAACCTGAACCCAGGTTCAAGGACGGCGTGATTTTAAAGCCCAGAAAGGACTCCTTACATTCTGTGTAGCTACCCCATCTTCCAGTGTGGCTTTATTCTTTAAAGTTGTAAAGACTTTTTAGGTATCTTGGCATTTAAAAAAATGTAATAGTCTTTAGAGGGACGATTACCTTAAGCTATTATCAACTTGAATTTGTTTCTTTATTCACATTTTAGCAGCTTTGACATCTGTGACTTGGTGCCTGTGTTGAGGAGAGAGGGTATATGTTGGGACTGGAGGATGAAGTTTGAAGTTAGACCCATCTGGGCAGTATTTATCTTAAAGTGAGAATTGTGAACTTGTAATCAGACTCACCTGGAAGATTTATCAAAAACGTAAATTCCTTAACCACTTCTTTGGTACCCCACATTATAATCTCTTAGGGGTAGGACTTAGAAAACATTTTTGCAAGTGATGTTATTTAGATAGTGGATTCTTTTTCATTCTGAAGTTTGAGAATCAGTGAATAGAGGGAATGGGAAATGTCAACTCCTTGATGATCCAGACTGCCCTACAGGAAGCCAGTGGAAAGATGAAAGTGAACCCTGGTATGCCTGGCTAGTAAGTTTAAAAACAAGTAATGTGGAAATAAAATCAACAGTCGGTGAATTTGTCTCCCTGTTGTTTTACTTTTTATATTATTTGTGTTTGGGAGGAATTTGATTTGTATTTTATGATCATTTTTCCCTAGTGGGTAGTGGGGTAGCACGAGAAATGAGTGGGTCTAGACTATGATAGAGTTGGTGCAATGCAGCAGGCCAATCGGAAGAAAAAAATTTAAGCATATTTTGTGGATTAGCATGTCAGTTGCAAAAATAGGAGTATATCTAAAGCTGATTTCAGATAGTCTCTTTTTAGCGAAACTATGTCAGACTGTGCCCGGACTTTTGCTTTGGAAAATATGGTAATTTCAGGTTTGTGGCTAATTTGAAAATTAGTAATCAATACTAAGGGTTTTAAATATGTAGCATTTATGTGTTTATTATGTATTTCTATATTCATAAACATTGAGGATTCTTTTATTGTCTCATGTAACAAGAAGACAAGCAGCTCAGGGATGGCGGCTCCCGTGTGCTTCTCCATGATCTCTCAGCTTCCTTTGTGTGGATGGCCACAGCATGGCTGCGTGCCTAAAGCACGCGGAGAGGGCAGCATTCTTGTCTCAGGCTCCCCACCCACCATTCTTAAGCAGCTTTGTTGAGGTATAATTGGCATACTAAGTTGTGCATTGTCTTGTACATTTTGCAAGTGTGCATCTGTATACACCGCACAACCATTACCATACTATGATAATGAGCATGTTATCACTCTCCAAAGTTTCCTGGTGCCTTTTGCGATTCCTTCTGCCCACCCTTCTCCTCCTTTTGTGAAAGCTTTGATGTTTTTAGGGAAAAAAAAAGTTACATTATTGAGGATAAAATACTAGGTAGAAAGATATTTAACTTGTAGTTTTCGCTTTTTTTTTCTTTTTGAGGAGTATTGTGGAAATAATATGATTGTAGGTATAGGTTGCTGTAATATTTATAGAAAGTTTTGAGAAACAGATTCTCTGAACAGACCATCTTGGAAGAGTTTGACAGGAAATATATTTTCGGAAAGGCTGGAATAGAGGTGGAGATGGTGCCTGCTGGCAGGAGAGGGAGAGAAAGGGAGGACAGCACCTGCCGGCCACTTGCGGGTGAGCTACAGACATGAAAGCCAAAGGCTGCGCTTTTCTTTGGTTTTTCAATAGATGGCATTTTTATCATGCTAGAAAGACTAACATGAATTCTAACATGAAATGGTAATAAAAATGTAATCCCCACTAACTGTAGTGTATACATAGCTCAAGTGCATTTTTTTGTTGTTGAATGGCATGCTGGTGATTGATTTATTTATATTTATAGATTAAAAATAATAAACTTTGCTCTCATTGTAATCACCTCTTTTTTTTTCTTTTTTTTCCCTCCCCCAGAGACTGGGTCTTGCTCTGTCACCCAGGCTGGAATGCAGCGAGTGGCACAGTCTCAGCTCACTGCTGCCTCCACCTCCTGGGCTTGTGTTCCTTCTGCCTCAGCCTCCTAAGTAGCTGGGACTGCAGGCATGTACCACCACACCCAGCTAATGTTAATTTTTTGTGGAGATGGGATCTCCCTATATTGCCCGGCTAGTCTCAAACTTCTGGGCTCAAGTGATCCTCCTGCCTTTGCTTTCCAAAGTGGTGGGATTATAGGCGTGAGCCACAGAAGCGTGCCTGGCCTGGGTAGTTCTTTTTAATTGTTGAATATACTTGCTGAGGTTAGTTTCTGCTGCAGAAAGCATTATATAATGTTGAGTTAACAGCGATCTTGTAAAGAGTTAGTAGAATGTGTAAAGTTTTACCTGGGAGGCGGAGGCAGCAGTGAGCCAAGATCTTGCTACTGCACTCTAGCCTGGGTGACAGAGCGAGACTCTTTTTTTTTTTTTTTTAAAAACAAAACAAAACAAAACAAAACAAAACAAAAAACGACTGTATAGGGTTAAAAAACGACTGTATAGGGTTTTATTTTAATGGGTTTCTTCAGCTGTCTCCTTTTAGCTTCTATGACTCTGCATTTTCTTGGCTCTTTGTTTTTCATTTCTTTACAGTTCTTCCATGTATTTTGTTTTGAAAGTAATATGCCTGAGGTGAAAATGGCGGCATTTCTGTCATGATTTAACCTTACTAGAAATGACATTCTTTGTTCTTTGTCTGTTTAGTTGAGAAGTGAACCAATTCCCTGTGCTTAAAGTACTACTCCTTGGTGTGGGGCAGGGAGGGAGGGGGGAAGATTTTTAACATAGAATACAAATTGAGTTTGTTGGAAAAGGTATCCCTATAAAATGTTGTCCAGGTAGTTAGAGCTTAATATGGGTGATAATTTCCCTAGAAGAATATTCTTTGCTGTAACACTGATGACTTGATGGACTTGTGAAAGTGAAACTTGGTGTGTTTCTTCTTTCAGCCTCCATGTAACTCACAGATAGGGCAGTGTAGAGTAGATTTCCAGTTTTAGATTAAGGATAGCTTGTATCCTATGCAAGGTTTTGGGGGTTGGTTAGGGTCTTTGAGTATTTCCTGTCTAATTCACTTACTAGTTACAAAGAGACAAGCTGTAATGTAAAAAGTCTTCCTTGAGCTAGACTAGCTTTCTGTACTCTTTGATTTAAAAATACCTGGTAGTTCTGCCAGTTGGGGATTTGTTTGGGGTGAATGAAAACCCCTCAGGCTCAGTCTGTTCATGCACTGGTGTGTATTAATTCAGTCCATTCATAGTCATGAGCTGACTGTGCCTTATTGAAGAAAGGGAGGCTTCTGGAAGAGAGAGGAAGATGGATAATCTTGGATCCTGAAGCACTGCTGCTGGCGCCTGGGAGTGGGGCAGGAAGACAGGAGGTTCTGAAGAGAGGGCTTTGTATCCAAAGTTAAGACTTAGGCCAGCCCTTGATGGGGAGAGAAGCTACTCAGGCCCAATAACCTCAAATAGTTCAGGTTAAATCGACAGTTGTCAAGTCTAATTCCTCTTTACAGCATTATTTCTGTGGGAAAATGTGTGTGGCTTATATACTTGCCTCAGCAAACAGACCGGACTCAGAATCAGCTCTTTGTTGTCATAATTTAAGTGGAATTAGTTACTCCCTAGGGTTGCATTGCCCCTTGGATGGCTTCTAGCCTTCTTTTTACTTATTAAATTATATTCCAGGTTCCTTGACTGTGAGGGACATAGTAAACTCCTAGTAGCCTTTACCTTCCCCTCCCTAAATAGCAAACTCATGTAGAAAACATTAGCTAAAATCCTTTGCAGATTTTTTTGAAATCACCTAAAATGTTGTTATTGGCACCATTTCATTTGGAGCCATTTTGTCAGAACCACTAAGTATTTAGGTGAGGCGATTGATTTCATTCCCACGTGGGAATTTGGTTGGTTGTAATATTCAGGCACTCAGAGCAATTCCTGCCTGGACGTCACGTTCAGGTAGTCTGGTGTCTGAAACTTTTGGCAGAGATTAAGCTGATAGAAGATTTGGGCTAACATTTTTTAGTGTGTGAGTTGGTGAATTTTCAAGATGATTTAGAAGACTTTAAAAAAGCATCTGTGAATACTGCATCATCTTGATGTCAAGAAGAGATTGTTATTTAATACATACATGTTTTAGTAATGAAGGAGGTACATAGAGATAATTGATTTGAACCGGTTTACTTTTTCCCCTTTTTAATGCAAAATATTTTTGGGAAACAGAACTTGACTCGTGTTACACTACTCGCTTCTTGTTTTTTGTTACAAACATGCTGAAATGGTCTAAATAATGATGCTACTAAAACAACGTATGCATTGTTTTCATGGGGTGTTGATTCCTTCTGCAGTGTTCAAAATTACTTGCATGCCTCCGAGCAACAAACACATATGTGACAGACTTTATGTGAGATGAGCATTCCAGAGAAATGAAATGCAAGTTTACTTTTCAGTAGCTATGCAACTTAAAAAAAAAACATTGTGTTTTTTGAAACATGGCTTTAGGGCACTAACACTCGGACCGAGTGCATGAGCTCTGCAAGTTATTTTAACAAAACCTAATCACAGGAACAAACATCTGGCATTTATAGAGTTTGTTTATTTATTGATTGCCGTAAGCCTCTAGAAAGAATATTCTGTTTCTTTTAATAAAATCCTTTTGGAAGTTGTCTATATTTTAATATCTAAGTGTTTTTGGAATTTAGTTTTAACAAGGTTAACTCAAATGTTAAATTTATTGTGGGCTACAGCTGAAGTAGGAGAATGTAAGAAGAAATGGCAAGTGGGAACTCTTGTAAAAAGAATGGTAACTAAGTTCTTTTTCCTGGTTATGCTCCTGCCATTTACTCTTCTGTATGGCAGGCCATCATTTACACTGCTTTGTAGAATCTGCTGTCTAGTAAGCACTAAGGAATTTGGATCCCTAAACCAGGGAGCATATAGCCTGCTAAAGCTTAATTTTTAGACAGGAGACACTAAAGATGATTGTGTTATGATACTGTTCATTTTATATACTAGTGAAATGAATACTGAAATTATTTAGTATAACCATTAATTATAGTGCTTACCATTACTGCAAAGTTTGTCATGATTTGGGTGGTAGCTTCATGTTTCAAAACAAAACCATAGGTCTATCCTTTTAAAAAACATAAACTGCTTTAGTTTGTTAATGGGAAAAGTGAGTAAATAATAACACTTATTGATGAAATGAAGCCTGTCAGATACAGGAAAAACAAAACAAAAAACCCTTGTAGATATTCCTCGTGTCAAGCCCCTATTAATTCTGTGTAATTCCAGTAGAACTAGCAAGTTATTTTGCTTAAAATGTCTTTTTTTTCCCCTGTGCAGTGAAAGTTGAATGTGAGACCACATCTTAATAGATATAGTTACACGGTTTATTTTATCATGTATCACTTTATTGCTGTCTTCTAGAACATTGTTATACTAAATGTTCCAATAATGGAAATTTTATGCAGCTACTTCAAATGAAACAAATTTGCAAAAACTCAATTTTGGAACTCATTCCTTGAGGAGAGGAAAAACTCACCATGCTGTGACCACATTAGATTTCTGATATGTTGGCAACTTATCAAACACTGTCATTTCCAGAAAACAGGTTATGGGGTCAAATTGAAATATCAGCACTTTTGGTCACTTTCAGTTGAAGATATTTTAGGTTTTAATGATTGAATGGTTAAATTAAAAAAAAATTGTTGGTAACAGGTAATGAAAGTGTGGTTTTGTATGTAAATAAAAATGGCTCTACACGACATCAGGAATGATGGGGTTCAGTTACAGTGGAATCTTTTCAAGAGCTTGATTTTAAATTCTCAGAGATACTAGTTTTACTTACTGGAGCTCCTTTGTTTTGCAGAGATCATGATGCAGCCGTCCTTTTGGATTTCTTTTTAATAATGTGTGACCCTTCACCTTTGATCCCCTGACCTGCATTACCTTGGTAACCATTTCATTTTTTAATTTAATTTCATTTTTTAATTTTGGTGTACAAGCTGTAACATTTCATCTTTCAAAGTGTAACACGCTGATTTCCTCAAATAGAGATACCCCTTTGAGTGATAAATTTGCAAAATGCTGTCTTCATTTTCTGTATTAAAATTCATTTCAGTTTTAAAATAAAGTGTAATCTGTGTTTTCATCCTTTTAAAATTTAAGTTTAATGAGTGCATTTCCCCATACAGTATATTTCCTTTTTTATTCATGTTTTGCAGAAGCTGAATTAACTTGATATTTACGTATAACTTACACACACCCAGGACACCCATACCTCTTCTCTACTCCCAAACCACCCAAACCATTGCCCCTCACCTTATCACACATACACCCTCACCATCACCACCACCACCACCACCACCACCACCACATACCCTTTCCTCTGCAGAGTAACTTATCTTTCTTTCAGAAATAGTAGCAACTTGAATTTATTAGTCTTAGCTGCCACATTATACATCTTCAGATTATATTTTGTATTCTGAAGTATTTTGGGGAGAAAAAGCTTAGACTTTTAATTTTAATTTCATTTAAGGACTAGAAAAATACAAAGTTGCCTCATTACCCAAATTCACCTTTCCCCACTCTTTTAATATTTTATTTCTTTAATTTTAGGCATAAGTTAAGAACAAGCAATTTAACATGACCAAAAAATGTACTTTTGTCTCTGCCAAAACCTGGTCAGCCAGCCCTGGTAGTCTCAATACCAGATTGATTTCTGCCATATGCAATTTCATGACTGTTTTTCAAACAATGCATTTTTATTGTATTTCTCTTTTCAGAAAATTCTTAATCTAAAGCAAAACAAACCAAAACCGAAAGACAGAAACCAAACTTGAGTCAGTTCTTTGAACTGGCAAGATACTCCTTAGAAATCATGTCCTTAAAAAAAACATGTGAATTCTCTCAGCATGGCCCACTGAAGCACAGATTACTTTTTAAGTGTCTCATTATTTTATTCTCTAACATTTAATGCTGATGTTTTAATTGCACACAGCTGAAGCTGCTAAATGAGTACTGAAATGGATTTAAGTCCTCTTTGAGCTTTGTTGATACCTATAAAAGTTTATGTCATTCATTAGAACCACAAATTAAAATTAGTCGTGGTTAGCTGTTCACTGGCGATTGGAACTCTCACGAACAGTTTTGTTCAGGCTCACGAGCTTGTTCTTGCCTAGTATACTTGGATGCCTGAAAAGCTGCCTTTGGCCTGTTGGGTATGTTTTCTTTTCACAGAATTGCAAAATATCAGAGCTGAGAAATACAAATAGGTAAACCATCCTATGATTATAAAGCCCCTGTGATTTATAATGTCCCAGTAGTCAGGAGCAACTTTTTTGCTAAACCTGGAATTTTAAGGTGATTTTTTTTTTTTTTAAATAATGCTTTTCACAGTTGTGCTGGCATGTTTACCAGATCCCCAAAGACTTTTTTGCCTTAAGTATGTCCTTTATTTGTTCCTTTGATGCCATGTCCTTCTAGCACTAAAGGAATGGCATCTGGCTCAGTGGATGGTACATGGAAGCCATGTGGGGGGCCATGACTGCTTGTTGCCTCCATTCCTCTTGCTCAAGCAGCCCCAAACCGGCTGACCCCTGAGGGATGAGCTGGTTGATGGTCCCCAGGAGAGTCACAGCTCCCTGCTGTTGGAATCGGCTCCCCTGGGGCTCCCATCTGCCTTTGAGGTAGACAGTACTTTATTTGTAAGTCCAGTAGCAGCTGAAGAGAAATTAATAGGTTAAGACGAGAAAAGTTTTTAATTCTCTTATTTTACGATTAGATCAGTTAGATTTTCTTTAAAGTTTTCTGCTTAATACATTTTAAGATAACCTCATTTTTCTAAGAGAGCTAGTACATGGACACATTTATGGCTTATTTCCAATGAGCCTTGTTTATTTGGTTAGCATTTAGGACATTTAGTAGACTGTAAGCCAATGGATGTTTTTGTAAATGTGATTCATTGAGAAAAACCTTCATTTGAGAGTCAGGTAACCTGCTTTGGACTAGCAAAGTCTCTGGATATGTTACTGGTATCTGTTGAGGTAGTCACACAAAACTGAAATACTCCAACAGAAAGACTTCAGAAGACTTTCATTTTGGTGTAAAAACAGTGAAATTAGCTGTTTGACTTAAAATATAGGAGTTGTAAGACATTTCATCGATGCTACTTCTGTTTTATCCTCTGTGAAATGTAGATACTGTGTGTCTCCCACTTGCTTTTTAGGGTTGTTGGGAGGATAAATGAAACTGTATGACAGACACACTGGGAACTCAGAAGAAAGGTGCTGTTGAAACTGAACCTCATCCTATGGCTGTGCCGTTGGCAGGCATAACCGGTGTGCTGAGAGGCAGTGGTAGTGAACCCCGTGGTGAAAGGCCAGGACCATGGGCTCTGGAGCCAGGCTGCCTTGGTTCGAATCCCACCTCGACCTCTTGCAAGTGGTCTGACCACAGCAAATCACCCAACCTCTCTGTGCCTGAGTTTCCCCCTCTTTAAATTGGGGATGATAATAGTACCCACTAAAGGATCCTGGTGAGTTTTAGCTGAGCACATGTCCACAAAGTCCTTAGAGCAGTGCCTGCCATGTAGTGTGGCTGATCCTCACACCCAGAAAACCCCAGCAGGGGGACTCACACCTTACAGAAAATCAGGTTCGAAACCATTCCCCAGTAGTCTTCTAACACTGACTTAGAGACCCTTATATGTTTAGAGAGAGGAACCGAATAGTTTATGGTAATTAAGCTCCTCTAAAACAGATGCAAGTTCAGGTGCATAAAGTTAAATCTGGGTTTTTAATCTCTTAGGAAGAAAAGTTTAGATCACAAAGAGCTCCATAACCCTTTGTTGATAGGTTCTTTTAACTGTTTTTGGCTATGGAGGGACAAGGAAGGAAACCTGAGGGACAGACCCACCTTTTACCTGCTTAGCCTTTCTCGTTCCCTTTTACGCTTGGTAAGGTGTCTAGGGAGCTTTGAAGGAGTCAGAAGTGTTGAACTGTTTCAAGGTTTTCACCCAGCTGCGGGAGGCTTCGTTGTCCTCTTGAGTGAGGTGGAAGGGACATCACTGCCTTTCCTGAGTGTGTAAGAATGCCTGTTACATATTCATCCCAGGGCTTTCCATACATTTTAATCATCCACATTTACCTACAAGGTGGGTGGTATGTTCACCCCATTTTGCACATGAGAATGCTGATGCCCAGATAGGTTAAATAAATTCACCCAGGCTCACACCCTCAGTAAACTGCCAGACAGGCACTTAAATCCAAGTGCCATTCATATCACAGCACTGCTGCCTTGCATTGAGCTGCAAACCTGGCTGAGCCACTCCTAGGAAACGGTTTTGCCCTTTTAGTTGTAGGGACCTCAGCTGTACGCATTATCATCCTTCAGCCATCAGACCTTTTTTTGTTTTTGTTTTTTGAGATGGAGTCTCGCACTGTCACCCAGGCTGAGTGCAGTGGCGCGATCTCAGCTCACTGCAACCTCTGCCTCCTGGGTTCAAGCGATTCTCCTGCCTGAGTAGCTGGGATTACAGGCGCCCGCGACCACACCTAGCTAATTTTTTTGTATTTTTAGTAGAAACGAGGTTTCACCATGTTGGCCAGGCTGGTCTCGAACTTTCCTGACCTCGTGATTTGTCCACTTTGGCCTCCCGATGTGCTGGGATTATTGGTGTGAGCCACTGTGCCTGGCCCAGACCTTTTAATGCAACAGCGCCCCTAACTTCTGAAGGCCCCTAGCTGGCTTCAACAACCGCCCCTCTTCCTGCCCCCCATGGAGGGCTCTGTCATACATGTGTCACTTTTAGGGACTCTTATTACCAATGGCTTCCTTAATCCTGGCTGCACATCCAGATTCCTCTGTACAGCTTTTAAAATAATTCACTTTTTAAGAAACACTTGCCCCATCCCAAGACTCTTGTTCTAGAGAGATGGATAGGTTCAGAAATACAGGAAGTTTATTTTGTAAACAAGAAAACAAATAGGTCCTTACATTGTGCACATATGGATCTGTGCTTCTGGAGTGTGGGCCAATGCTGTTAATTCTGTAGTTGACTCCATTGTAAGGTAAAATGAGTTTTATGGGCCAGTTTAGTTGTTCAGCCAACAATTGTTAGTACTGTTTCTGTAGGAAAAGTTCCTGGCATCCACCCTGTAGAATACCATCTTCCATGAGTGAGCACTTGATCACCACAGAAGCCAGGTTTGAATTTAGTTAGAGTGAAATGAAGTAGAGGGCCCTGCTTGCTTGCTTGTTCTTTCATTTTTTTTTCTCTTCCTCTCTTTTATGGGTTTATCGTTCCCTTCTTTTCTTCTCCTTCGTAGTTCCCTCTTTCCTTGTTTTCTCTTTCTTCCACCATCTGGCGTATGTTTACAATGTATCTGTCATCAGACTGTGAGGTCCCTGAAATCCTTCAGGTGCCTACCACAGAGTTGACGTGCAAATGAATGTTTCTTTATTTTTTAATTAATTAATTTTTTTTTTTTTGAGACGGAGTTTTGCTCTTGTCGCCCAGGCTGGAGTGCAATGGTGTGATCTTAACTCACTGCAAACCTCCGCCTTCTGGGTTCTACCGATTCTCCTGCCTCAGCCTCCAAAGTAGCTGGGATTACAGGCGTGTGCCACCGTGCCCAACTAATTTTTGTATTTTTAGTACAGACAGGATTTCACTATGTTGGCTAGGCTGGTCTCGAACTCCTGACCTCAGGTGATCCACCCGCCTCGGCCTCCTAGAGTGCTGGGATTACCGTGGTGAGCTGCTGCGCCTGGCCAAATGAACATTTCTTAATTTGTCTTAGTATCTGTCTTTCAAAGAAGTAGGTACTGCCCGTCATTAGCTTGAAAATTGTCAGATTTTGTTTGTGATTGTCTGTCCTAACTTAGGTGGTTTATCTTGAAGATCTTAGGTAATTTAGCCTCATAGATTTAGATAGATCGAGAAATGGCAGGCTTCAATCACTGAATAGTACAGAATGTTGGGCAATAAGATGGATTTGGACCATTCAAGGGAGCACTTATGTCAGGCTTTTAGCATATCTGCTGCATAGTTTTTAGAGCTGGAAGGTCTGAGATCATCTGGGTTGGACCCTTCATTTTTGGTGGTGAGGAACCCACTCCTGAGAGAGAAAGGTGCTTCTTCGGTGCCCGCCTCCAGGCCAGGACTTGCCTCCTCCTCCTCTGTGTCCTTAGCTGAGTGAGAGTTGGGATGGCGGAGAGCAGAGGCAATGTGACCGCATAGCTGCTGCGATTAACTGCCTGCCTCTAGACATGTTGGAGAAACAGTCAAAGTAATCATCCTTCTGCGCTCCCCCTCCCATGGAAACAAATGATAGAAGGTTAGGGCAGTTTTGAGGGCAAGCGGCAGACTTCCTCACTGTGAAAGTCGGGAAGCTTTGGTTGTGCCCTAGACCCTGTCCTTTTGGCCTTGGCACCACCAAGTGGGCTGCTTTAGGTGTCCATCCTGATGGTGTTTAACCCTGCTTGAGGCTTTTGAGGACACTAAGAAACACATGGTGAAGGTGTGGAAGGATTTTTTGTCATTCCTCAATGAAGATCTGCCCTAGGTAGAAAGGGAGTTAATGAAGGAAAAGTCGGCAACGCTATTGCTGCACGATCAGGAAATAACAGAAAACGTCTCCCATTTGTTCTCATTTGTGGTGATTGTTTCCCTGGGAAACTGGCCGTGGTTACCATCACGCTGTGTGATGCTCCTCAGAATCCTAGAATTAGACGAGATTTTCCACTTTCCGCACACATCTTCAGGTGGGGTCGCAAATACTCCATATGACAGACTGTCACATACGCTGGCCACAGAACTTCAATTATTCAGGTTTGGATATCCAGCCCCTTTTCTCTCTTCTGTGTGGATCCTTTTGAGTACTTTATACCTCTAAGCCTTTCGTATTTCCAAAGGAGAAACCAGAATGACTTTTGTCACTCTTTTGTAATGGTGGGAAAAGGACTGGTAGGGGAAACTACCAAGGTTTGACCTGGGATCTACTTTACCTGCTCTAGTTCACCTTGGAGCATCTGACCATACATAGGTCCTTGCACATAGTAGATACTCAGCAAACATTAACTGTCTTTTCATTTCTCATTAGCACAGGTAATTAGGAACAGGAGCTGATAGACTGCACGTATCTGTGCAGAGATATATCTGTAATTAAAGTTTTAATTAAAGAAACACCAGACCAGGCAGATGGTTCTTATCCCTGCATCCTGTAAACCAAACAGCCGTGGCTTTTCGATCTTGCAAACATGCAAAGCTGAGAGTAGCAACATTCATGGTGGTACACCAAAGGGAATAGGTTGTCTTATAAACTAACCATAATCTAATTTTGGTAGCACTCTATGTGATGCCAGATTCAAGGATAATCATTGCAGTTTGAAATGAAAGACAATACATCAAAGTTATGTCCCAACCAAAGCTTTTAAGCCTCAAGTCAAGGGCATTACCACAGCCCAGCTCGTAGATCACAAGACGTGTGGTTTTGTGCTAGATCACAAAAGCTGACAAGGTGTTATTTAGGATTATCAGCTAAATACAGTATTAAATTAGAGGGCTATCATTCTGATTTTTCAGGCATTGCCACGGTATAGCAGTACAGAATTGAGAAGTGACTTGTACCTGCCTGCCTCATGCAGATCCTCTCAGCCATGTCACAGTGACCTTAATGGTCAATTGAGTGCAGAATTTGAAAACAAAAAACAAAAACACCCACAAAGAGTGACAGAAGACGACTTCTCTCATATCTTAGCACTTTTCCAGGAACCGCTCCCCCAAGGATCCCCAGCGATTTGTTCTAGTTCCGTTGCCATCAGCAGGAAGCTGGATCAGTAAGGGACGTGGGCAGATGGTAAAGTCCATGGCAGTTCACCATGACCGCTTGGGCTTCACCCATTCCATAACCCCCAGTTTCTTACCCCTCCTCAAAACCCTTCACTTTGTCACACATGTCATTTTCAGGCATTCAGTGCAGATAGGCAGCTGTGCAACGGGATTACATACTAGTTGATACAAGTATGTTTTTACCACCTACATCTCACTAATTCATTTTCTACTTGGTAGAACCAGTACTGAAGATGTTCATTTCTTTTATCACAGCGAAGAGTTTTAGTTTAGAGGCTAGGAGAGTAATTTCTACTTTGCTGAACAGTGAATTACCTTACCATCCCTGCACTTCTTTTAAAGGAAGTAGAGTTTCCGCTTGAAAAAGAGTCCATGTTATACCGGGATAAATATAAGGATCTTCACATTAAAGAATATGTCATCAAATGTAGAGCCTGGAAGTATTTTATCTTAATACCATCTATAAAACTCAGTCATCCTAGGAGAAATGTGTGTGTGTAAGTGTAAGGAGACATACCAAACCCACAAGACCCTGTGATGTGCTGTGAGCGAAGCCTGTGTCTTGGCTGGTAGACAGAAATGTGTCCATTACTTTCTGGCTTGGGGAAGACTTCAGGTATTTGATGATATGTCCTTTGGTTTCAGAAGTCAATTAAATCTTAGCTGCTCTGAGTAAACAGCCATTTGTGGTTGTGTTTAGAAAATACAGTAAGATCAGATTTGTGCTGCTAGGTATTAGGTTGGCATTTTACATGTGGAATTTGAACCGGACTATGAAATCTATTTCTTCTCTAATTTGGTTCAAGACCTGAACATGTAACCTTTGAGTATACAACACAGGTTTAGATTATAAAGGCTTCTTTTCCTTTTTTCTTTTTTTTTTTTTTTTTGAGACAAGGTTCTTGCTCTGTCACCCAGATGAAGAACCCGCCCACTGGAGTGCAGTGGCATAATCATGGCTTGCTGCAACCTTGAACTCCTAGGCCCAAGCAGGCCTCCTGCCTCAACCTCCCGAGTAGCTGGGACTACCTTTGCTGCTGCGCCTAATTTTTTTTTTTTTTTTTTGGCTTTGTAGAGACGGAGTCTCTGTTGCCCAGGCTGATCTCGAACTCCTGGGCTCAAGTGTTCCTCCTGCCTTGGCCTCCCAAAGTGATGGGATTACAGGTATAAGCCACCATGCCTGGCCCTGTGGGAGGTTTCTTATAAAGTGAAACCACTTGTTACTCAGAACGGCATTATGCCTCGCTTCAGGGTAGGAAATAGAGAAGCATCAGCAAACCCACCTGGAATGGTAGGCTTTTTATTTCTCTTTCTCTAGTAGGGTTTTTTTTTAAATTTTATTTATTTTTTATATTTATCTTTAATTTAATAGAGACAGGGTTTTATTCTGTTGTCCAGCCTGGAGTTCAGTGGCACGATGATCATCACTGTGACCTCAAATGCCTAGGCTTGCCTCTGGAGTAGCTGGGACCAGAGGTGCATACCACCACGCCCAGCTAACTTTTTTGTTTTTCTTGTATAGACAGGGTTTCACTATGTGTCCAGGTTGGTCTCGAGCTGTTGGCCTCAAATGATCCTCCTGTCTCAACCTCCCAACGTGTGGGGTTACAGGCATGAGCCACCAGGCCCAGCCTCTAAAAGTGTTTTTTTTTTTTTTTTTTTTTTTTGAGACAGGGTTTCACTCTGTTGCCTAGGCTGGAGTGCAATAACATGGTCTTAGCTCATGGCAACCTCCACCTCCAGGGCTCAAGCAGTCCTCCCACCTCAGCCTCCTGAGTAACTGGGACCACAGGGGCATGCCACCATGCCCAGCTAACTTTTTGTGTTTTTGTAGAGACAGGGTTTCACTGTATTGTCCAGGCTGGTCTCAAACTCTGGAGCTCAAGTGATCCGCCCGCCTTGGCCTCCCAGAGTGCTGGGATTACAGGCCTGAGCCATTATGTCCGGCCTCTAACAGATTTTAAGGAAGCTTTTGTTCTGTCTGATATCTGTATGATCATGGGAGGGGAGTGGAGTGTTCTGCCCACCCCAGAGTGACTTAAATTCAAATATTTGTTTGTTCAATAAATACTTATTGAATACCGAGTACTAGGCACTGTCCTAGGTGTATCTAGAATGAAGCAATAAACAAAACCATGTTATTCCCCTCGAAGAGCTTATTTTCTGGTTGGGGGAGAGGAATAATAATAAACAATAAACAAAAACAAAAATAAATAACAGTAATTGCGTGCTTATATATGCCAATTACATTTATTAACTCACTCTTCAGAATACTGAGGAAGTAGCTGCTGTCATTATCCCCATTTCATAGACAAGGAAACCGAGATACAGAGAAGTTGAATTAACTTGCTCAGTGTCACATAGCTAGTAAGTGGTGCTGTTGCATTCCTGTCCAGGTCATTGGACTCCAGATTTCATGCCCTTAATCACTGTGGTATTTTGTTTCTCTTTTAAAAAACTGCCCAATCTGTTTATTTCTAAAGAAGGAAAGAAATGTCAGTGATAGTGTGGTGAACAGTGCAGCAAGGTACACAGTGAGAGGGTTCTTGCATGTCTGTTTGTGCATGCTATTCTAGTGTGACTGAGCGGGTATCTCTCATGAGGTGAATTGAAGGAAGCAACACTGTGACCACTTGAAGGAAGCAACACCGTGACCACGTAGGTGTCTAGAGTGAGTATTCCAAGCAGAGGGAACTGCAAAAGCAAAGGCGCTGAGATAGACAGAGATAGATTTGGCAATGGCGAGAGAGAAGCCAGGAGAATGACAAGGAGGCCTGTGTTGCTGTGCAGAGCGTGGGAAGGGGCACGGGAGGGGAGGAGCCAGGAAGTAGTGTCCTGTGCAGCCCCGCAGGGCTTGGCACGGTCTTTTGGTTTTGCCGAAAGAGAAGGAAAGCCACCTGAGGATTTTTGAGCAGGAAAAAGACATGACAGAAAGGATCATTCTGGGCTGGGCATGATGGCTCACGTCTGTAACCCCAGCACTTCGGGAGGCCAGTGTGGGCGGATCTTGAGGTCAGGAGTTCAAGACCAGCCTGGCCAACATAATGAAACCCTGTCACTACTAAAAATACGAAAAATTAACTGGGCATGGTGGCGGTTGCCTGTAATCTCAGCTATACGGGAGGCTGAGGCAGGAGAATTGCTTGAATCTGGGAGGCAGAGGTTGCAGTGAGTGGAGATCGCACCACTGCACTCCAGCCTGGGAGACAGTGTGAGACTCTGTCTCAAAAAAATAAAAGTAAAATAAAATAAAATAATCACTCTGAATGTAGTGCAGAGAATCTTCCAGGGCAGGGCCAGCAGACCACAGCCCATGGCAGGTTCTGGCCCACTGCCTGTTTCTATATAGCTAGCAAGCTAAGAATGCTTTGTATGTTTTTAAGTGGTTGAAAAAAAATCAGTATTTTATTTCACATGAAAATTATATGAAATTCAAATTTCAGTGTCCAGTTCCAGTTCTATTGAAACAGAGCCACACTCTTGTGTGTATTATCTGAGGCCGCTTTTGAGCTGCAACAGCCAAGCTAAGTAGTTGTAACAGGGAGCATATGGCCTGTAGAGGCTGAAAGATCTATACTGTTTGGCCCTTTACAGAAAAGAGTTGTTGATCCCTGGTTTGGGATAGAAGTAGGGAGACCAGTGAGGAGACTGTTGCAAGAACTGATGGTGCCTTGGACAGAGCAGGAAGAAATGGTCATATATGGGTTATGTTTGAAAGGAAGAGCTGGTAGACTGTATTAATATAGGAAGAGTCAGGGATGATGACTGTGTTTTTGCACTGAGTAACTGGAAGAATGCTATTCTTCTTTACTGAGATCAGGAAGACTGAGAACAGCAGGTTGGGGAGGAGGGGTGAAGAGAATGTAGGTTGTGTTTTGCACCTGTTGACTGTAAGATCAGGTGGAGATGTTCAATAGGCAGTCGTATGTTTGAGTTTGTAACTTCAAGGAGAGGCTGAGGCTGGAGCTAGATTTTGAGTGTTTTCAGCATATAGGGGGTTCTAAAAGCCGTAGGACTGGATGAAATTTTTTAGGGAGTGTATACAATAGAGAAGTCCAGACATGGAGCCCTGGGACACCCAATGTTAAGGGGAAGCGGGTAGAAGGGAGGCAAAGGAGAATGAGAAGCAATCAGAGAAGGAAGACAGGAGATGGGGGTGTCCTGGAAGTGCATGTTTCTCTTTGCTTTGCTTTGCTTTTTTGAGACAGAATGTCCCTCTGGTCTCAGCTCACTGCCATTTCCACTTCCCGGGTTCAAGTGATTCTCTTGCCTCAGCCTCCCAAGCTGGGATTACAGGTGTGTGCCACCATGCCTGGCCAATTTTTTTATTTTTAGTAGAGATGGGGTTTTGCTGGGTTGGCCAGGCTGGTCTCGATCCCCTGACTTCAAGTGATCCACATGCCTTGGCCTCCCAAAATGCTGGGATTACAGGTGTGAGCCACCGCGCCCGGACAAGGAAGCTCATGTTTCAAAGCAGAGTGATATCTATGTCAGATGCTGCTAAAGCTGGAGCAAGAAACAGACGGGTTTCACTGTGGGCTTGGTAGCGGGGCGATCGTTGGTGACTTTGATAAGAGCTGTATGAGTGAAATGGTGAGAATAAAAGCCCAGTTCCAGGTGGTTCAAGCAAAAACGACTGGATAGGGAGCTGAGCTGGTGCTCTGAAGGAATTCTGCTTTCGGCAGCCTAAGTGTAGGGCAGGAGAGGGCAGGAGAGGGCAGGGAGTTGGATTTAACCTGGGATTAGGATTTTGCCAGGTGAGTACAGTGGAGGGAGGAGGCATAAGGGAGTTGAGCATTGCGCAGAAGAATCGATGTGAGGATTGAGGATAGACCATGTGGTCTAAGCCAGGCAAGGAGCCAGGAGGCATGAAGGAGCTGAGGGTCAGTAAGAGGTCATGGGGTCAGTGGATTCAAGGAATAGGATCGAGGAGTTGTTGGAGTTGGGATAGTCGAAGAGTAGATAGAGGGCTTGAAATCGGTATCATGGAGGGGTCAGTTTTGGTTACATCAAGGTCAGGGGCTCTGCTGTACAGTAGCAGTGTCAGTGAGTCACGTGTAATTTTTAATGTTCTAGTAACCATATTTTTAATAGGTAAAAATAAAGGAAACTAATTTTAATAATATATTGTAATATATTTTATTTTACCCAGTAAGTCTACATTACATGACCATGTAGTAAGTATAAAAATTGAGAAGTTACTTATTTTGGTATGAAGTCTTTGAAATTGGTATATATCTTATATTTCCATTACCTTCTAATTTGAAGTAGACACATTTCAGGTGCTCAGTGGCTGCCTTACTGGACAGCTCATGGGATGGTCATGGAGTGTAGTCCAGGATTATCACAGGGGAAGTGTTTAAAGGAACAAGGAGGTCGTGGTTCATGAAGGATTGGCCGTGTAGATCTAAAACCATTTCTCACTCCTTCTGAGGGGAGCAAGGCTGAAGAGGAAGGAGGGGACACCATGGCAGTTGGTAGAGGTCATGTGCTTCGATGGCTGAACCTAGCAGCCTTTTACCATGCAGAGAATTTAGCTTATTCTCTAGAGACACACACACACACACACACACACACACACACACACACACACACAATTTTGTTTGGCTTTGATCCACACAATGTGTTTTTAAAGATGAATAAAAATTGATAATATCAGGTATTTTTTAGCCTCGTAGGCCAGGAAAAAGTAAAATATTTTGAAAGAGTAAACAGGAGCGTCTCAGCAGCATACATGTTACTTTTCATCTTAATCATGTGAGCCTCTCATGAAAGCCTCCAAGGAGGAGGTTAATGGATGCCCCAATTCTGTACCTTTATCAGGTTTAAGCTTACTTCAGTTTCCCTTTAGTTTGTTGCCTGCAGTATCATAATTAACCAAAGAATTCTTCTCAAAAATTACCCTCAAAAATCCTACAAACCCCACTGTTAGGAAGCGAGCCCATTTTGAGGAAGTATTTGTGAACCCTGTGTTCTTGGATGCCTTATGTGTTGAAGGAATAATTACTTGTTCATTTTGTAGTGCTAAAATCCTGGGAATGCGCAGTCTAAGCAGTCTAGAGCATGTCAGTATCCCACCTTTGGAAATCTCCTAGGAGCATGTAGAGACTCTGGTTTATCATTAACTGTGTTGCTTTCCTATCTTTTACACAAAGTATTCTCCTTCCCGCACCATTGTATTCACATGACAGAAAGCTCAGTTAATGCCTTTTAGTAATAATGAAAGCTTACTCATTACATACATTTTCTTAAACTCTCTTTATTCTAATTAAAATGTTTCCATCTGATGAGGAAGTGTATGGATACCAAGAAGTGGAAATTAAGCAAGAAATTAAAAGAACATTAATGGCTTTCTTGTAATTTGTTTTGAGGTTTTTCTTCCTGCTAAATGGTGTTTTGCTTACAGAGTCACCCCTCACACAGAAATCTTTATGATGAATGGACTGGAATAAATCCCAGCAAAAGAAGAGCTATTTTATGATACCTCTTGTAAATTACAACACATGTTATGGAAGTATTTGCTTTTTTAAAAATATTAGCTTTTTAAAGGCATTGTTAGTATAATTAATTTGGCACACACACAATTCTAGTTTCTTTGAAAGTGAAGGTCAGTGTGTGTGTGTAGGGGATTAAGAAAATGAGAGTTCTGACATTTAAAAAATTATTTTCTATTTATACCTGAGTCATTAGAATGCTCAAACCATCCAAAGTATAACATTTAAACTTGCAGTTCATTCATTCCTTCAGAAATTTGCTGCTGAAACTTAAACTTTAACCAGCATAGCCAGCGTAGCCTTAACCAGGGCAGGTATTTGGTCTGCAGTAGGCAAGCCTTTGCCCCCATCCCTCGTCTTCAGGCTGCAGAGTCCACATGCATGCCATTGCTCTGGTGGGTTCTTTTTCTGGTCATTTGGACTTGTCTCTACTAATAAAGTATTCATTAACTTGAAACTCCTACCTCTGAATGTAGATGCAGGTGAAAGCAGAGAAATACCAAACCCACCCCTTCCTGATGAAGTGCAACATGCCCCACCCAGCTGCATCTCACCTGCTGCCTCCCCTCCTCCTCCCCTGATGTGTGGACACTCTTTCTGTCCGTTCCTACTTGCTGTTCCCTTCTCTGCACGAGTCCTTCCCCTGGAGGGCAGCCCGCATGCCACTCCTCCCATGCACCTTTTCTTGGGAACTGTGTTCAGTACAGCCTGTCCTTTGGTTCACTCTTACCCTGGGCACTGCTTCCCATGTCCTGTGCGGGCCCTTGCCATAGCATATTGTGATTTATCTCTGTTGGTGTCTTTACTCCACTCAAGTGGGAGCTCCTTGGGCAAGGGTGCTGGTCCTCCCTTATTTTTGTTTTCCTTGAGCCCACCATCTGCACGTGGTTATGGGTGGATGGATGGGGGAAGTGACAGTGGGGTAACATACCTTCAAGCCCAAAATGTAAACTTAATAAGTGTTTTGGAGGAAGAGAAGAATAAATACTGTTTTTGTTTATACAGGTCTTAAAATTTTGGTAGCAGAAAGCAAATGTGCAAAGAGCAATGGAAAACAAGTCAGAAGCTGCTGTCTGATTCCAGAGGAACTCGTATTTTATGTTAAAAAAAATGTAATTGACATTTGATTGCCTTGAAATCTTCAATTTGTTGTGCTGATATCTTAAGTAACTAATTATTTAGTTGAATAACTACTAGGGAAATAGGCCATAAATGTCACTCGTGCTTTCCTTGTAAGAAGCCCACAGCTCTTCTCGCAGCATGCTCTTTTCAGTACCTGTTCTAGGTACTTGTGACTTGTGAAAGTCACTGGCCTCTGCGCATTGGGCACAGGCCTGAAGGCGATGTTTTACTCACATTTTGTCCACTGGAATTAAACAGCTGTGCTGATATTCAGTTGATTTGAGGTTTGTTTGGAAATCAGTCCCAAATTTGGGAAGCAAATGAGACAGAACCCTCCACACCCTACCACATGCTTCCAGCTCATCCCATGAAAACTCATGAGCACAGTGTGGAGTGTTTTATCTACAGCCACTCCCTTTTTGACCCTTCCCCCAAAATAGTGAGGGAGAGAAATGAAAGAACAGATCTGGGGCTTGCCTTCAGCTTCACTGTGCATTTTTGGTCATTTTGGTCATTTTAGAAGTCATCTTTCACTTGTTAGGATGTTACATTAATTGGGAGATGCTAGTCGTTTTGTTCATGGAAACCAGAGTATCCCTTTGAAGTATTATATTCTTCTAATCTATGAAACTGGCCCAGGAAGTAACAATGGGAAGTGCTGGAAATGGAATTTAAGAAGTCCACCTTCTTAGTCCTGTGCTTAAGCAGAGAGTCTCTAGCAGGGAGCCTCTGCAAGCATTGTGTTCTGTTGTATCAATATGTACTTAGATATGTTAATCTGAATTAGGGAGTTGATTGTACATAATGACTCCCCTGGGTTGCTATGTTAGAAGAAAACCCAAAACTTAAGTAGTTTGCTGAATATGCATAGTAAGTAAAAAAATTCTTCCAAAATTAGTGTTAATTGAATCTGAGCCTTGATCTTCTTTGAACCTTTAATTTTTTATTTGATCTTTTAAAAAAGTTTTGTGGCCTCTTAAAGATAAAACCTACAACCCAATAAAAGTCATGCTGTAACGATTGCAAAAAGACCATTGTATGAGACCCAGTTTTGGATTATCATAGGCGAAGAAGTCAGACATATATGGTTGTATGTACATGTGTATAGTATGTGGGTGGGGGTAGATACATACCTGTTCATCTGTATACGTATGTGTGTGTTTAATATATACTTTAGTTTGCCTTTACCCAGATGTCTCCTCCTCTCTCTGCCTCTGGAAATGGGGCAAATTTTTCTTCAGTTAAAAACAGAAATAGAAGCGACGGTTTTGACCCATTTTACACCTATTTATTTCAGGCTCTCACCACACACTTGTTCATGGGCGCAGCAAAGAAGAGGGATCCACAGAGCTGGAGCCATGAGGGCTGACACATTGGAATGAAAGCTGGCAGAATTCGTAGGGAGAGCTTTCCCATCCTGCCAGCCCCATGTCTGGCTTTAAGACAGTTCTATTAGTGAATTAACTGTTCTCAAAACCCCAAATTAATTTGAACCGAATGTTACTAAAAATGAAATAGAATAAAGTGACCTACTCTTGCCTCATCCGGAGTTATTACGAAGGAGCTCCGCAGCCTGACTGAGCTCTGGAGAGCAGGGCTCTGTGCACACGCCTCCTGGTCCAGAGGCCTCCGTGACCATCCATGATGCCACTCTGTCCCCTCAGCAAGCTGCCTTTTTCTTCCTAGCACCTGCCCCAGCGGTGGTATGTTTTCCAGTCAGTTACCACCTGTCTCATCAGAATGGAAGCTCCATGAGAGCAGGGCCTTTGTCTTGTCCCCTTGTATCTTCAGTGCATAGGACAGTGCTGACACAGTGCAGAGTCTAAATAAACGCTGTTGAACGAATGTGTGGGTCACTTGCGTCGCATCCTTTCTGAATGTTTTTCCTTTAACTTGCCATTTATAAATACCTTTTCCAATGATAAAGCAGTGAAAGTTTGGAAAGAAGCATAAAGCTTTTGTTGTGATTGAAGTAACTGGAAGCCTAGTTCAGGGTGCTGTGAGAAGCTGGAGCATATCAGGACTTTGGAATTATGAATTACAGACTTACTATATGTGATGGTATCGGTGCCTCCTGAAGAAGTAGAAGACAGAGATGCATAGAAACATGAGTCATGTCTCTGGAATACTGTAATATCGACATCTAGTGAGAGTCTAGAAAGAAACATGGAGAAATAAAAGGGAGGCAGGAAACAGGCAAATACTTAGTGGTTCTCAGTTATTTAAGGTAAATTTTGGCATCGAGTAAACAAGATAAATCAAAATATTTTCTAGATCAAGTAGGCATTAACAAAGATATAGAGGAAACTTGGAGGCGATTACTTAGATAATACTAACAGAAGTACTTTTGTTCCAGATACCTCCACAGATGCCATGGTTACCCCGTCTTTATTCGTTGTGTGTTGGCATAGGCCAGAATACCAATATTGTTCTTAAAAACCTTTGAGGAAGTTTTTCTTTTTTTCTTTCTTTTTTTTTTTTAAGCAAAGAACAGAAACAAAACCAAGGAGACAGTATCCTGTGATGTAGGCTGTTACCTCAAGGTGAGTTTATTTGTAGCACTAACTTGTAACGAATTGTTTAAAGAACTGAAACTTCTTTTTAGGTATAGCTTATTTGTCAGATTTTGTTCATTTCAGTGTAAACTTCAGTTATTTATTACACACTGAGGGAAATCAACTAAAATCAGGAAAACCAATGTCCAATTGAACTTGAGTTTTATTTTGCATAGAGAAGTAACCAATATTTCTGATCAAACCATTAAAGCTGTTTCAGTTCCTTTTAAATAAAAGCAAAGGCTAAATTTTTTACATACCACAAAGCAAAATAAAACGAAAAAACCTTTGGTCATGATGCATTTTTTATTCAACTGATTGCTGAATTATTTTGATTATATAATCTTACACTCTTATGAAAGTATAACAAGTATGAATTTTCTGAGGTGAAGAAATAAATGTAGAAAGCAGTTAATGAGGCAGAACTCACAAATCTGTATTTATAGTTTCATGGCAAATAAATCATAAGCAGAGGATACAGATGTAAAGAAAAATTCTTGATTGCATTCAAGAAATGCAAGGTCGAACTAACTTTTTACTGAAATGGAATTGTATCGCTGCTCAGAGGGATGTGGGGAGTAAAGTAAGTGGGATGTGCTTAGAACAGCAAGCTAGGCCGCAGTGCGCACTCGTCAGTGTCTGCTGCTTGTCTTACGAGGATTCTAGCACAGAAGATTAAATCATGTTTTAATCATGCTTAATAAATGGTACTGTAGTTTTATTATGGTTAATGTCCACTTGTAATTCAATGAAGAGTGGCTTTTTAAAGCAAAGGAGAAATCAGCATGTTTTTCTTGGCGCTCTTATATTGTGTGTGTGTAGAAGATGCTGGGATGGGTTATCCATACGACAACCCCTGTGACCAGAGATGCAGGAGCACATGCATCACTCTTAGTTTTATTTTATTTGTTTTATATGTTATTTTCATAAATCTGAAGGTTTGATCAGCTTACTGTTTTTAGTATTTTCTGCTGCTGCATGTGTGTACCTTTAAGTTTTGTAGAATTAAATTGAAAATTTTGACCAGCAAATGCTTAAAGCCACTGTCAAAATTACATAGTTAGCACTTCATTGATTTGAAGGCTAGTTTTCATTCAACATTCCTGCAGTTTGTGTGTGACCTGATTTTAAAGAGCAGTTCCATGAGTTAGTGCCCTCTGGTGGCACACAGAGGACGTCAGGCAGAGAGGGACTCTGACCCAGGAGCCTTCCGGAGGCTCTGCTGAAGAGAAGCCAGTTTATGACTGGCCCTGTAATTTCATATTTTTTCATGTGTTCAGTGCTCGTCAGTTTCCTACTCCATTAAGCCATGGCCCTGGCATTGACTCAGTACCAGCTTTATAGCAAGTCTTCAGCAGCTTAGGTTGTGAGGGAATTTCCAGGTGGACTTGATATAAGAAGGGATTACCAATGTTGAGATTTCCCATGAGGAACCAGGACATCCATTTTTGGATGCATCTCTTAGCTCCTTTTGAAGAGCAGACCATGTCACTTCCTGGGTTAAGGAAGGAAGGCTCCCTGATGGCCTTTGAGTGACTGACTGGCACAGCTTGGGGTGGGCCTTCAGTGGGTTAGTCTTTGATAGGCCTTTGTTTCCCATTTTGGTCTTCCCTGGAGGGCAGCCCACCTTGCCCACTTAGGCTCTTGGACAGTTTTCTTTTTTTTTTTTTGTTGAGGTGAAGTCTCACTCTATTGCCCAGGCTGGAGGGAGTGCAGTGGTATGATCACAGCTTATTGCAGCCTTGACCTCCTGAGCTCAAGTGATCCTCCTGCCTTAGCTTCCTGAGTAGCTAGGACCACAGGTGGGGGCCACCATGCCCAGCTGATTTCTTAATTTTTCTGTGGAGTCGAGGTCTTGCTATTTTGCCCAGGCTGGTCTTGGAACTCTTGGCCTCAAGCAGTTTTCCTGCTTTCCTCCCCAAATGCTAGGATTATAGGTGATGAGCCACCCTGCCCAGCCTGCTTGGCCAGATTCTGTACTCTTTAGGCAGACCAAAAACTGAATCCTGTCATCACTCTGAAAAGTTGTGGGACCTCAAGAAAGTCACTCTTTCATGAGTTTCTTTAGCTGTGAAATAGTCACAGATTCTAAGCTGTCTTTTGAACCTGTGTCAAGAGAGAGTTGTGAGGATGATGTGAGATGATGTGTCTGAGAGTCCTGACACATTGACCTATGCAGACTGCTGCTAAAGACATTTCTCTTTCCTTCCTCAAAGGCAAGCCTCCCCACCTTGATTAGAAGGTCATTAAAAAGGAACTTCATTTGACAATAATCCCATATTTATAATGAAGTTGCTAAGATAGTTTGGAGTGCCCATAGATCCCTTACCTGGTTTCTTGTGCAATCCCCACTTTTATACTGTTGAGTTTCCCTGATGAGTTTTCATATATATAATCTCTGTGAACTTGGATCAAATTTGGCTTAAATGCCTATTTACCACTTTGCTAAGACAGAAATGTTTGCGCTCAGTCCCTGAATTCCATTGTAGATGTGTTGGCATTTGCTTCCAAACCATCCTTCTGGTTTTAGCTTGCCCTGTGTCTGTGGTCATTTGACATTAGAATAGCCTTCTGTGATCTTCCGGGATCTTAACACCTAAATATTTTCCCTGCTTGTACAGCTAATGAGTTGTGCAGCCTAAGGAAACATGGGGTAGTCAGTTTTCATCAGTATTTCAACTAGGCGTTTTTGCCATCTCATAGCTACTTCTCAAGCAATTACAATTTAAGTCAAGGTAGTAGCACCTGCATCTTCAAAAAACAAAACAAAAAGTTTTTTATCTTCAGAAATAAGGAAAGAAGCTTATTGGACTTCCCAATAGAAAGTCCACCAGCCAATTTTAATACATAAATAATCTATGATTAGCATTAGTATATGAAAAAAATAGTAGCAGCTCAGATTTTATGTACTTCTGCAGTTTAAGAAAGTGATGCCACAGACAACATCTCATTTGGTTTCTTAGCAACCCTGAAAGACCAGCAAGGAGAGCTTCGTCCCTCCCTTTTCATGAACCTGAATGTTGTAAGGGAGGCCAAGGAGTGGCCTGGTGAGACTGCACAGCCAGAGTTAGAGCCCAGGTCCACGTGAGTCATTGTACAGACACATCCTGAGCACCAGCCCACCCACTTCTGCCATCAGGAGGCTTTGAAACTGCTGTGGTTCCCCTCTTAAAATGGCTAACCTCTACTTCAGCAACCTTATTTATGCATTCATATACATAATCATTCTTTAAAGTCTAGTAGACAATTTTCACATTTTGTTTCAGCCCAGATCTTTACTAAATTTTGTGAGATCAGCATTGTTGGGCTTGAATTAACCAAACTTCGCCATACTGTGCCTTCAGAAATCCCAGATTGGGCGGGTTGTGAGTTCATCTCATCCTCTTCCTGACATTGACACTACCAGCACCATCAGCAGGCTCTGGGATAACTGCGGCCCCCTCTGAGAGGCTACATCTTGTTTGCGATCTGTGGGTTACATATTGTGCTAGAGATAAACCTTGACAGTAGAGACGTGTGACATATTTTTTACAAGAGTCACTGAGATACTTGAATGAGAAGATGATGTAGTTTGAAAAAGTGATAAATGGGCCAGGTTCTTGAGAAACTAGCAGAATGTCTTATTGAAACCTTGGGATCCAATCTGAAAACAGAAATGAGTCTTCCAAGCAAATTTTTTTCTTTTCTTTTTTTTTTTTTTTTTGCAAATGTGGTGGGGGTAGATGCTTTTATATAAATTCTATACCTGTTTCTGTGGTATAAAAATCAAATTTTGTCCTCTTTTGCCTCGGTTGGTTGGTTTCATTTTCAACTAGGTCTCCGTTTCTAACAGCATCTCAGGTAACTTTTCTGAAAAATGTGGGTTCAGAGGAGCTCATGTGCTGGTGGCTGTAGTGGCAGCTAGTTCTAGACTATGAGATCTCAGTGACCACTTTGGTGGGTGTTTTGTTTTAAATCAACAATAGAGGTGAATCTGTACTACAAAGTAAAATGTATGAGTAGATAGGTTTTCATGTTTTGAAGTTTTTTATCTTCAGAAATAAAGAAACAGCCTCATTAAAGAACTGTTAAAAAAAAAAAGAGCTGTGGCCGGGCGCGGTGGCTCACGCCTGTAATCCCAGCACTTTTGGGAGGCCGAGGCGGGCGGATCACGAGGTCAGGAGTTCGAGACCAGCCTGGCCAACATGGTGAAGCCCTCATCTCTACTAAAAATGCAAAAAATTAGCCGGGCATGGTGGCGTGCCTGTAATCCCAGCTACTCAGGAGGCTGAGGCAGGAGGTGGAGGTTGCAGTCAGCCGAGATCGCGTCATTGCACTCCAGCCTGGGCGACAGAGCAAGACTCCATCTCGAGGAAAAAAAGAAAAGAAGAAAAAAAAAGCTGTTTGTCTGTTCTAGCCTGGCACCTATGAGTTCTGGAGCAGCACCCAAAGCCAGTTCCTGCTGGCTTTCCTAGGAGCCTCTTTGGCGTGGGTGGGCGAGCTGCTCCCTTGCAGCAGTTTCAGATGTCACTTGAGAAAAATATTTGTTGTTGTTTGGTTGCCCTCTTCAGTTGTGATGCTTTTAGGAAGTTAGGAAACAGATGAGACAGTCTGGCTGGAATAAGAGGGTGGGTAACCACTGATCTGAGATCATCCCTGTTGATTAGGTTTGCAGAATTCTAAATGGAGATTGTAGCTTCACATGCGCACTGAGGGGGTTGTGCGTTTTCATAGGCTTATGTTCCATCGGGCTTCTGCATGATCTTGGAAGAGAGAGACTAGGTGTGGTTCTTGGCTCTGTTGGCTGGTGGGTTTAGCTGTGGATCACTTAAGAGACCCATAATCCTTGCTTTTGTACCGTTCTGTATTCCGTTTGTCAGGCTGCGAGGGAAGGGGGTTTGTGCTAATTTGTATCTTACTGACCCTGACTGGAAAAGAGATTAAGATTTTGGTTGTATAATTAACATAAATGACCAAAAATATCAAGCCCACTCCTCACACAGGTGACCCAGGCATCCAAATATTTACTCCAATGATTAGTGTCTTTCAGCTGTAGATGGGCACTTCTTTCCTTTCCTTTCTCCTCTCTCTTTTCTTTACCCACCAGATAGATTCACACTGAAAGATTAAAACAGGCTGTGGGATTTAAATGCTGAAAATGAAGATTGATGCTTTCAGGTGCCTTGTGGCAAGCACAATTAAGTGAACGGAGAACTGGGGCAATTGTTTATTTGAAGGTTGGTGTGACATATGAATGAACTTATTTTTTCAGTACCCACCCATCTACCCGGAACTGAAATAGGCATTTGGAGTAGGTTTTGCATTTTAGGTTCAATTTTAAGAACCAGCCATTCACTGTGAAAGCGAAGTTGCTGGGAAGTTTGTTTTAAGGATGATGCCACCCTCTATTTCTGTGAACCCAGTAAAAATAGCATGGAATAAAATTTAATTATGCTATACTGAATATTTCATGTGGAATTAAGGGGCAAAAGCTGCCTTTAAAAAGCATTAGGTTTGGAAAGAATAAAGGCTTTGTAGGTTCTTTGGAAGATACTATAATTAAAAGATTTGCTCAAATGTATTTTTCCCTTTTTGAAGAATTTAAAGAAATCCATCCCTCCCTTCCTAAATTGATTACCTCTCAAGCGTCAGCCCTTCTTGGCAGTAAATACGGTGAAGCTGCCGCTGTGCTGATTTGACGGCTTCTTTCTGTTAAATGTAAAATAGTTTTTTAATCTTCTGATTTAGATGTTTAATAGAAAGTAAACGTTTGACTTGCTTTGGTTTCTGCTGAACCTGTATTTAAATCCACACAAACAGTTTGAATAAAGTGAAAACATCACTGGACTAGCTATTTTAAACATTTCAGGATATAAGAATGCTAAATGGGGGTTCCTTTTAAAAATAGAAATGGCGGCTTGCATTTACATAATTACTGCTAACTAGCACAACATTTTAAATGGTGACAAACTCAGGGTAGAAAAAGTATCTGTTTTAAAAGCCTGGTAAAAGGAAGCAGAAAATGCTCTGTGAGCAGCTGCTTCAGATGGAGGGTCTTTGCAAAGCCGGGAGACCAAGACTTTTCAGTAGGGAGGGCGAGGTCAAGGGAGGAGGCAAGAGGTAGCTCAGGCAAACTACTTACAGGCCCTGAGCCTGTGTGTGGGCCTGAACTCACCCACCTTTCATTTTGGAGCATGATTGTCTAAGTATTAACACTTAAATCTGCCTTGGTGTCTGTCCGGACAGGGTGCAGTGTTCTCTGTCCGCTGTTAAAAGGTGTCAGGTGAGGGTTGAAGTTCAAAGTTGGTGAAAGAGCATGGAAGAATATTTATGAACATGAAGGCTGAGATTCACTTAACACAAACTCATCAGTAGTTCAAGCCAGAATCTCAGGCCTGTCCTTGATTCTGCCCTTTTTTCCCCATCCCAGACACCCATCTTTCTCCTTCCAAAATACATCCATCTTTGCACATCTCTGCTAGTACCACCCTAGTCCAAGCCACCTTCTTTTCTTTGCCTGGAGATCTGTCACATTTTCCTGTGTGGACTTCATGTCTCCAGTTTGCTCCCCTTGGAATAGATTCCCCATGCACTAGCCAGGGCAATCTATGAAGAATGTAAATAGGATTCGTTCACTAGCTTAAACCCTACAGTGACTTTCTATCCATTTGGAGTCCGGTCAGCATGAATAATCTGGCCTCTGCCTCTCCATTTCCTACCAGGTGCCTCTTCCCTCTAAGCACCCTTCCCATACGGGGAATCCATCAAACATGATTCTTTTTTGCATTCGCTGTTTTCTCTACCTAAAATTATTTCCTCTCCTCCCCATCTTTGTTTGCTGGCTCCTTTGTGTCATTCAGGGCTCACCTCAAATGTTATATCCTCAGAGAGACCCTCCCCCGATAGCCTGATGACAGGTGATAGTCCCCTGTCACTCTGTCATGTGGCAGTGTGGTTTTTTTCGTAGCATTTATTACTGTCTGAAATTGTCTCTTCTTTTTCTTTTTGTCCTCAGCTCTTCCCCATCCTATTAGCTCTTTTAGGGCAGGGGGCCCTGTCTATCTCCTTTTCAGCTATGTTCTGAGTAGTTAGATGTACCTGCAAGTGCCTAGGTATCCATTGATTAAATCAGTGCAGGAGCGGAACCCTGCAGATCACTAATGCCCAAGAAGAGCTCCCACTTGGTGGAACTAGCTGCCTAGAAGCTGCTCCTCAAATTCTTGCCCACATTTTTTTTGAACCGTTTGGGAAAAAAACTGCTCTAAACTTTGCCTTTTAGGGTTGAAAATTGAAATTTGGGGATTCACAGAATGCTTGTACTTAAACAGAATCAGCCTGTGTCCCTAGAAGGACATGAAATTCCCCTAGTTCACCCCAAATGAGATGAAAATATAATTTCCTAGCATTCTTGGTCCATAGTAGGAGTTCACCAGTGGCGATCTGCCTCTGTGTCCTTCCTGGGGCAGTGGGATGGCACTGCTTGCCTTTGCTGAAGACTGAATTTGAATTCCCTCAGATCCAGCCTTCGGAGCCAGATAGCATTTTCTGTGATTTCTCCTGTGGCGTGTCTGGCCGGGATGCTTTCTGTGTTGAATGTTCATTTTGGGGTTAGGTAGCAAATCTGTTAAGATAGAGATATTTGCGGAAATCTAAACTTTGGTCAGCCACTTTTCGTTTCATTAGTTTTCCACCTGGCAACATCCAAGCGTTCAGGAGGAAAACATGGTAATGGCTACTGATACCTAGGCAGTTGTGATTCCTTCCCTAAAGAAGCTGATGCAGAGGGTTCAATTAACTACTTCTGAGGAACCCTTTGCATCAGCTTCCTTAGGGAAGAAAAGAATCACGTTTCCAACTCACTGAGTCTCAAATGTATTATGCCACTCCAAGCTGTTTGTTGAAGTATTTACTTTGGTCTTGAATATACTCGTTGGGGACTGGATTGTAGAACTCAGGAGACCCATCTGCTTGGCAGAAGCTCCCCTGTGCAACTTTTCATTCTTGTTGCTGTCTTTATCAGGGCATTATTACAGTGATTGGGTTGTGCAAGGAGAAACAGTAACTTCCCAGTTAATTTATAGTGAAATGGACCTTTTTAGAACTGAGACCTAGAGATAAAGCCATGGAGCTGGAGGATTTCAGTTGCTTTTGAGTGAGCATCAATTCATTAGACTAGTTTTAAGAGAACCTCTCCCTTCTCATGTTTGACCAGAGCTGAAGATGCCTCGACTCTGCCTGGTTCCCCACTTGCCTGAGTAGAGAACAGGTTCAGGTAGGAGGGAACAAACAGGTTGAGCACAGGCAGAGTCAGGAAAGGGCCTGGCCTGTTCAGGATCAAGATGTGTGAAATGAAGGTGGGAAGATGGGGGTGGAAAATGGGTTTTGACCAACATATGGATGGTCTTGTGTGCAAGAAGCATGTAAGCACAGCAGATTGTGTTCCCATGGTGACAAGCTGCTGAGCCACTGTGTGTTTAGGGTCAGTGTGGGGCGGGGAGTAGTGTTGGAAGTCCATGTCAGTCATTGGTTTCCTAGTTAGTGCAAACTCAATAAGCCTGTATTTACTGGAAGCCATTTTTCTCATATATACACCCCCAGATTGTATATCGCTTTTCTGATTTGACTTTTTGGCTGATTGCTTTTGAAGTTAATGTGGTTTAGTCAACTGAATGTTCTAAACATCTCCCTTTACCTACCTGGTCGGTACTCCTGGTGAGTTTTTGAAAGGCAGTGTCTTTCCCACAGAGATTAATTAGAAGTTAGTGTGTGCAGTACACTTGACCCTATGTTTGACACACATTCAGTATATGGTGGTGATTATTTGTTTGAAAATGAAACAGAGCTCTCTGATGGAACCTGAAGAAGTGGGATTGGCACTTCTAGATGGATATATGGGTTGTGTTTAACTGCTTTGAATGTTAGTAAGGGAAAAGTATCCACTTACTATTGTTCATTTCTTTTTTCCCAGCCTTAAGAGCCAAAATGATTTTCTGCCCACAAACGTCTTGGTTTTCTTTTTCTAGCCTGTCTTTTCATGGCTAAGATATTTGCAGAAATTTCTGGCTAGCCACCAGTCCATAACTTTTTCTCTTCTTTGCAGACACTGTGTTTAGTGGTATCTGAAAAACCCTACGAATCCAAAGTTGTTTACCCTACGAAAGTTGAGATTCCAGTTCATTTGCTAACCTGCAGTTTCTTATTTCTTGTCTTGGTACTTCAGTTGGCTCATTAAATATTTCTTAAAATTGGTTGAGGAGCTTAAATATTTGTTAAAATTGTAATGTGTCCTGATTTAGAGGAAACTAATTATTATGTACATCTTACTAGATCCATCTGTTGCCCATTCCTCAGATACAGTGATAGAAGGAGAGAGAAATTCTGGGCCGGGCACGGTGGCTCAAACCTGTAATCTCAGCACTCTGGGAGGCCGAGGCAGGCAGATCACGAGGTCAGGAGATCGAGACCATCCTGGCTAACACGGTGAAACCCCGTCTCTACTAAAAATAGAAAAAATTAGCTGGGCATGGTGGCGGGTGCCTGTAGTCCCAGCTACTCGGGAGGCTGAGGCAGGAGAATGGTGTGAACCCAGGAGGCGGAGCTTGCAGTGAGCTGAGATCGCACCACTATACTCCAGCCTGGGTGACAGAGCAAGAGCCCATCTCCAAAAATAAACAAACAAACAAAAGGAGATAGAAATTCTGTCTCCAGGCAGATAAGTTATAGTTCATAGAGTGTGAGAGAATGGGCTCATAATGGAACAGTTATCCTGGGTGGAGTTGGTGCTTCGTGATGGTACAGATGCTTTCCAGGGATATGCTCAGGAAAGATACTGGAAAGAGATTTTCCTAAGTCTCATCTCAAATGAGCTTTGCTTTGCTTCAACTGGCCTAACTCAGCAGGCCCAGCTAGCCTGATACCAAGAAGGACCTCCAGCCTCTTGTTGCCTAGCCGACCTCCAAACAGGTAGCTGGCCAACATGGGGCCCCCTGGTTTGTTTTATTTTGTTTGATTTTTTTTTTCTTTAAATGGAATAGATGATCTAGACGTAGCACCAAGGTGCCCCTGTCTTCCATCACCTTCATGTACCTGAGTACCCACAAGCTCGCCTGTGGATCTGTAGGAAAACCAGGTAAGTCTCTAGGATCTGTGAGGTCATCGGTACCGTGGATGCTTCTTCAGGGTGGGGAGGGTTTGCTGCCATTGATAGCCCTGCACCATCATGGAAGCGTGCCCAGTCTGTTTCCCCATCTTTGATGCACTGTGGATGATAAATAATCATCACTGCTGTGTGATGGCTGAGAGGGATTCCAGCCAGTGTGTGCTAGGTTATAGTGTTTTCCTGATGGATGGAGCCTATTCTGGGAAGCAGCTTATTGTCTCACGTGAACAGGCTTTCTAAAATAAATGACTGCTTTCTTAATATTTTGAATCCTTTTCTTCAGCACATGTTTTGTTGCCGTGGTTTGAAAGCTTGCCAAATATATGCCTTTGCACAACTCCCTGTAGGGCTGGGTATACAATCAGACCAAACAGTGTGATTTAAGTTTGAGCATAATTGGGAATTCAGCAATCACTTGCCTTGCATTTGATGGAATGGCAGTGGAGTGCTTGAGAGTTACTTCGCTGTTAAAAAATTATATGTGTATAACGCGCACGCGCGCGCGCACACACACACACACACACACACACACACACACACACACAGAGTTTCACTATCTCATAATAAAGTTGTACCTGAAACCACTGGGCAAAAATAACACTAGCATGATAAATAATTGCTTGATTTTTGTGATGGAGGCAGGAATTAACTTCAACAAATCATAGCAGTTGATACTGTAGATATGACTGAGGACTTAAGTTATATAAGGTTGTGGAATGGAAGAAAATCACGTGGTGGCAGCAATACATTTTAAACACAAGCCCTTGTCAAGTCCTTCATCGGTTGATCTGTTTCCTTGTTTCTGTGTACTTTAGTAATTGAGCCATAAACTTGGTGAACTTGGTGTTGCCTCTGTGTTATACAAGCATCTTTGGATTTTACATTGCCAACACTGTGCGTGTTTGTTGCTGTTGGATTGTCAGTTACCTATAATTGAGACCTTTTCGTGTGTCTCTTTGCTGGTGGGAAAAATGCTGTCAACAGCCCCACTCCCTGCAGCTCTTTGAAAAGTCACATGTGAAATCCAGAGTTTGTTTACCAGGCTGAAAGAGATCACTTTACCAGAAGCTTACAGTAAATATCCAGGTGATAGAGCCTGGAGATACTAAACATATGCTGCTTCATTGCTTGGTACATTGGTAGTCATCAGGCCTGCCACCAGCACTGCAGACTGCACAGGACACAGAGGTGGTGTGTGGAAGGGATAACTTTGAAACTGTGTGTAAGTTATCATAGCCACCAGAGTTTCTTGATGGTGGCCTCCCGTTCCCGTGCAATGAGACAGCCTCCTGTCATCCCTTGTAAGATGGTGTTAATCTGACAAGAAAGGGAAGTAAAAACTCTGAGGTCAGAATTCTTAAGTTTTTTTTTCTGGAATTTTGGACACTTTCTAATAATTGAAAAGCACCTGTCTTTTGGAGTTTTAGACAGTCAAATTAATCTAACTCCAGAATTTAGCCTTTATTTGCAAACAACATGATTATGAAAAACCCATGGAATCTATATAAAAAAAAACCCAAGCACCTATGAGAATAAATGAATTCAGCAAGACAACAAGATACAAGATCAATTGTATTTCTATATATTAGCAACAAACAATTGGAAGAGGAAACTTAAATATCAGTACCATTTACAGTAGCTTCAAAAACTTCAGATACCTTAGAATAAAACTAAGAATATGTGTAAGACCTCTATGCTGAAAACCACAAAATATCTGTGAGAGAAATTAAGAGAAGATCTATATAAATGGAGGGCTATACCATGTATTGAAAGACTAAATAGTAAGATGTCTGTTTTCCCTAAATTGATTTATGAATTCCGTGCCATCCTACTCAAAATCTAGATAAACTAATTGCAAGGTTTTTATGGAAATGCAAAAGATCTAGAAAGACCAAAGCAGCTTTGAAAAAGAGCAAAGCTAGGAGATAGCCTGATTTCAAGACTTCCTGTAATGCTACAGTAATCAAGACAGTGTGGTATTGCAAAAAGATGGACATATAAATCAATGGAACCAAATAGGGAATCCAGAAACAGATCCACACATAGATGCTCAATTGGTTTTTGACAGAGGTGCAAAGGGAATTCAATGGAGAAAGGATAGTCTTTTCAACAGATTGTAATGGAACAACTGGACATTCATGTGCAAATAAAATGAACCTCAACCCATACCCCATACTGTATATAAAAATTAACTCAAAGTGGATCATAGACCTAAGTTTAAATCTATAAGCCTTCTGGAAGAAAACATGGGAGAAAGTTTTCATGACCTTGGGTTAGCAGTGATTTATTAGATATGGCACCAATTGTGCAATCCATAAGAGACAAAACATCAGACTTCCTAGAAATTAAAAAATCCTGTTCTTCAAAAGGTACTGTTTAGATAATGAAAAAACAAGCCACAGACTGGGAGGAACCTTTGTAAAACATACGTCTAATAAGGGATCCATAATGTATGAAGAACTTTAAAACCTTTAAAAACTTTAAAACAACCCAATTTAAAAATGGGCAAGAGAGTTCTCTAGACATCTTAGGATACACAGATGGCAACTAAGCACATGAAGAATGTTCAACAGCGTTATTCATCATTGAAATGAAACTAAAAACCACAATGAGATGCTGGTACACAGTTACTAGGGTATCTTCCCAAAATAAAACCAAAAAGACCCTGGTAATACCAAGTGCTGGTGAACATGTAGGGAAACTGAAACTCTTGCCTGGTGCGGTGGCTCACACCTGTAATTTACCCAGCACTTTGGGAGGCCAAGGCAGGTGGATCACTTGAAGTCAGGAGTTCAAGACCAGCCTGGCCAACATGGTGAAACCCCGTCTCTACTAAAAGTACAAAAATTAGCCGGGCATGGTGGTGGGCCCCGGTATTCCAGCTACTTGGGAGGCTGAGGCAGGAGAATAGTTTGAACCCAGGAGTTGGAGGTTGCAGTGAGCAGAGATCACGCCACTGCACTTCAGCCCGAATGACAAGGTGAGACTGTCACACACACACACACACACACACACACACACACAAAAAAAAAAATAAAAATAAAAACTCGTACTGGCTTTTAGGAATGCAGAATGCTACAGCCACTTTGGAAACAACATTGACATTTTCTTATAAGTCTACACTTAAGAATCTTACAAATCTGCATTTACAGCAAGACCCAGCAATCCCACTTCTAGGTATTTACCTAAGAGAATATAAAGTTATGCACCTACAGAAATTTGTATGGGAACATTTACAGCAGCATTACTCATGATGTTCAAAAGCTGAAACAACCCAAATGTCATTCAACTGGCCAATGAATAAGCAACTTCATTGGAGTACTACTCACAGTGAAAAGGAACAAAGTGACACAACATGGACGAGTCTCGAATGCATTATGATTAGTGAGAAGAAGCCAGACTCAAAAGGCCTGATTCTGTTTATGTGACCTTCTGGAAAAGCCAAAATTGTATGGGAAGAAAACATCAGTGGTTGCTGTGGACTGGGTTGCTGTGGGTGGGTCGGTTACAGAAGAGCACAAGGGAACTTTTTGAGGTGATGGAAATTTTCTGTATGGTGTTTGTGATTGTGGTTATGCAGCTCTGTTTGTTTGTCAGAATGTATGGACCTGTGCACTTTGAACAGGTAGTTCACAAAAGAAGTTATACACATGGCCAATAAGCATGTAGAAAGGTGTTCAACGTCAGGGAAATACAAGTTAAAACCACAGTGAGATGCCATCTATTATTAGAGTGGCTAAAATAAAAAAGACTATCAACATGAAATGTTGGTGAGATTGTGGAACAACTGCAACTCTCAAACATTGCTGGTTGGTGTATGAAGTAGTCCAACCCCTTGGGAGACTTGATTGGCAGGTTTTCTTTCCTGAAATTAAACATACATGTACACCATGATCCAACAGTTCCACTCTTAAGTATTTACTTTAGGAAAATGAAAATATATGTTCCCAAAAGAACTTATATAAGAATGTTCATATAAAGCCAAAAATAGAAACAGCCCAAATATCCATCAACTGAAGAATGAATAAATTATTACAGTGGAATACTGCTGAGTAATAAAAAAGAATGAACTACTGTTAACAACCATATGGATGGAGCTGAAGAACAGAAGGACATACCCTATGAATGCATTTAGATAAAATCCAAGAACGGATGAGACCACTCTATGGTGATCAAAAGTGTTTTCTTAAGAGTAGGGAGGGGAATTAACCGGAAAGAGGCAAGGAAGGTTTTGGGTGGTGGAAGTGTAGGCTCACTCCCATTTTGGGTAGTGATTACGTGTTTATACACTTCTTAAAACTCATCCAGCAGATGAAGATCTATACATTTTATTGTATGTTAATTATACCTTAATTAAAAATATATTTAAAACCCACTTTTACAGCTGTTTTATTGAATCCTAAGTTTATTTAGAACCATTTATTCTGTTGGGTCATCATTATGTGCATTTTGCATAACCCAAGTTTCTATGTGGTGCATCTTGTTGGCATTATCCAGTATTTTACTGAAGCACGAGGAAAGACTCAGCTTGTGATTGTGCTCTTGGACATGGCTCAGAGCTTCAGAATATCCAAGGAACAGGTGAGTAACCCATGTTTCTGACCCTGGGTCCTATAGGACCTGTCTTTATTTACCAGTTCACCATCTGTAGAACCTCAGTGTTACGAAGAAGTTGAAGACTTTCCATATGCCTAATCTTAAGGGGCAACTCCTTCCAGAAACTAATGTAGCTGGAATTCATCATTATGGATTGAGCTGGATGGGTGGGAAGGAAGGAACGGTGTGGACAAAGGATTGGAAGAGAGGCCCTTGCTCCAGTTTCCTGTGGACATCGCAGACCTTCTTTTTATCTGTACTCTCCATGGGCAGTGTCATCGTTGGGCAAGACTTCTATCATTACCACTCTGTTGACGATTCCCAAATTATCTACAGTTTATTCCTCTCTCTTGAGTTCAAACGACATATCCAGATATTTATTCTACCTTGCTCACTCTACTCAGCAATGTGCTGCCATTCTCATTTTGTGTAAGTTTCTCCTGGCCCTTCCCTGGTACTATTTTCTCTCTCCATTTCCCTTCCCATTCTTTCCTTCACCACAGAAATCGTGCATCTGCCTCCTCATTCCATTCAATAGGCACTTCTCATGTTAGAATTCACTGAACACGCTTAGTTATTAAATCCCATGGCCTCTTTTCAGCCCTCATCCTTCCTGGCTTCTCTGTAGCATTTGTTGATGTTAGCTGTCCTTTTCTTGAAAGGAGACCTGTCTCTCCCTCAGCCCTGGGACACCGTCTTCCTGCCTCACCATCTGGTCCCTGCCCCTTTCAAGGGCACCCTCTGAGATGGCTCTCCTGAGCTTTATATTCTTGGCTCTCTTTTCTTTTACTAAGAGCTCTCTGGACTGTTTTCTGATTTAAATTTCTGTTTATCTGCCAATGACACCCACATCTATATCTTTAGGCTCTCCTCCCCTGAACTTTAAGCCTTTTTTTTTCTTTCTTTCTTTTTTTTTTTTTAATTTTTGAGACAGAGTCTTCCTCTATCGCCCCAGGCTGGAATGCAGTAGCATGAACAACATAGCTCACAGCAGCCGCAGCAGCCTCAAACTTCCAGGCTCAAGCAGTCCTCCCACCTCAGCCACTCGATATCTGGAACTACAGGCATGCGCCACCATGCCCAGCTAATTTTTTTTTTTTTTTTTTTTTTTTTTTTTTTTAATTTTTGGCAGAGACGAGGTCTTGCTGTGTTGCCTAGACTGATCTCGAACTCCTGAGCTCAAGTGATCCTCCCGCCTCAGCCTTCCAAACTGCTGGGATTACAGGCGTGAGCCGCCACACCTGGCCTAAGCCTTTGTTTCGTATTGCACGCTGAACACTCCGACTCGCTGTGTGTCCAAAGCCAAACATTCTTTCTCCAACAGGTTATTCGTGTGGTTTGCTGTGTGTCCTGAGGCCAGTGGCCCACGCTTGCCACTCTGGGGTCCGCTCTGTTGCTGTGTGGCACTCCCTGGAGTCATGAATGAAGATCCATAAATTCTGCCTGTGAACTTCATGTTTTCTCCCATCTTCTCCATCTCCACTGCCCCAGCTTGGGCCCTCGTGAGTCCCTGAACTATTCCTGGGTCTCCTTGCCTTGTTCCTTTTTTTTTTTTTTTTTTTTTTGAGACGGTGTTTTGTTCCTGTTGCCCAGGCTAGAGTGCAGTGGTGCAATCTTGGCTCACTGCAACCTCCACCTCCCGGGTTCGAGCAATTCTCCTGCCTCAGCCTCCTGAGTAGGTAGGATTATAGGTGTGCGCAACCACACCTGGCTAATTTTTGTGTTTTTAGTAGAGACAGGGTTTCACCATGTTGGCCAGGGCTGGTGTTGAACTCCTGACCTCAGGTGATCCACCTGCTTCGGCCTCCCAAAATATTGGGATTACAGGCGCGAGCCACTATGCCCGGCCTGCTCCTCCTTTCTTTACCATCCACCTCTGTCTTGCCCCACCCCTGCCACCAGCCCCGCTTCCCTCTCATAATAAAGCTTCAGCTCCTAGTGGAACCCTTTGTCCATGCAGTCCCTTGGCCCTTCTGCACTTGGGTAAAGGCTTCACATTCAAGTTTCAGTTAAACTCTCCCTCTTCTCTGTATTGTCCGTGCCCCTGCCCCCTGCTTTGCGTTTGCATTGTGCTTTGTCTCTTATTAATAGTTCATGCAAGTATCTGTCCTCATACTTAGAGCTCTTTGGGTTAGTGCCTGCATCTCTTATTGCGTGTTCTGGGGCCAGATACAGGGCCTCATATACAGAGTGTGCTCGGTGCAGGGTTGCCAGAGTGCAGAGTTGCTGCCTGTGGACCCTATGGGAAGTGCTGCTTCATCCTCCCTGGAGTGGCTCCTGCTGCTGGTTCTGTGCCTGCAGCTCCCACACACGCCTCTGCTCCTTCAGATAGATGTCCTGAAGGGATGTGGAGCTGGTGTTGCCTGTGGGAACTCTGAGGCTCTGGCCACAGGAGCCCAGCACCTGCTTAGGATCGTGAGCCCTCCAAGTCACCCACGGTCTTTTCTGACAAGCCAGGAGCGACTGCTGTTTTATCTGGAAGCTTTCCAGTGGGTGATGCTAAGAAGAGGGATTCCCTCTTTCGTGTCATGTCAAATGGTACTCCCAGGTCCTCCTCCTCCTGGCAAGATGAGGGAGGAGGGAGAAGAATGGGGAGAAACCCCCTGCCAAGGGGTCTTTCTGGATATAGAGGTGCCAAATTTGTATAAAGGACTGTCTTCCCAATACTGAGCCCAGTGCATTTGTTGTGACTAGGCTACTGATGCTAGCTACTTAGAGATGGCAGAAAAGGCTCTGCTTTTCCTTCCTCACTGTGGCAGGGCCATGGGTAGTGGCCCTTCTCCCAGCCTTAAATCAACCAAAGAAGAGGCTCTATCCTAGACTGGCTCTACCCCACTGACACAGAAAATCAGGGTGGTGGCAGGTGCTGCAGGCAATGGCGGGAGATGTGCCAGGGACTTTGGCCATGGGAGCAATGGAGTTGGGCACTTTTAATTGATACCTTTAATAATTATTGTTCAAGCAACAGAAGGCAAAGTGGAATTGTTTCAAAGGCAAATTGGAGCAACAGGAGCTTGGAACTTGGCTCAGAAATGTGTGCCTACCTTCCCCACTCTGGCTGTTGTTCGAATATATTTTTCCTTTAAGTTTCCCTCCCCCTCATTTTCGAGTGCAGCAGTCTTTTCCCTAAAGGGAGTGAAAGAGGAAGGTGCTAAATGAAATATTCTCATGTAGTTATTATTTGCCTGGGGCCAGTTCAAGTTTCTAAAGTAAATCAAAATATGTATTTTAGCTAAGTTTAAAACCTTTCTGCCTTAGCCATGTGGGCAACTAAGGAGAAGCAGTTGTGACCCGCTGTAGAGGTGGGAGCTGTTGTCTCTCCCATCCCCCGCGTCCCAGCCCTGTGACATGGCCTTTGTTCTCTCGCAGGAAGTCTCGGGTCTGAAGAGGAAATTGAGATCCATCTTCGGGATAGGCAGGCATCATTTAAGATCTCAGTATTTAAATATATGTGATTTGTCTGTTCTAATTGCTTTTCAGTTTTGTTTGCTTTCTAAAAATCCGGTGTGTGGTTTCTGCTGTGTCCTTGAGTTGGTAAAACAGTAAGAGTTATAGGATGTTCTGGAGGCCGAGCAGCATCATCAACATTCAGTGTTTGCTGAGTCGCCAGACATCTGGGCTCTGGGATGGATGGAGGGACATAGTCCCTGACCTCTAGGAACTTTGTTGTAAGGAGACATGGCAAACGAACTTGCAGTCTCAGCAGCAGCTCTCCCGGCGCCCCCTCCTGCCCTCCCCCCGCTGTCCCGTGTTTCTACGCAGGGTGCATGCAGAGGTTTTCAAGTGTGAGTGGGTTGCTGCAGCTTGACTCAAGAACACTTCCCCAGCAGGGCATGCTCCTGGGGGAGTTTCACATGAAGGCAACTGAAGAATTCTGGCTTGTCCAGACCGCCGCTCTATGACCTTCAGTGAGCCAGGCACCGTTCGGGGCTTCATGGGACTCCTGCTGAATGGTGAGCCGGTGGTCCCCTGGGTCCATAGTCTCTTCCCAGTAAGACTGAAGGTTCTGAGTCGAGCAGCAGGTACGGGGCCAGCCTGCCCAGGGCGTAAGGACGACCACCCCTGGCCTGGGAGGAGTGCCCTCAGCCACTCCAGAAGTAGCGTGGGCATGTGCCCCGTGACTGGCAGACCAGTCAGCCCTCGGTGGGGCCCTTCCTGTCCAGCCCTTCTGCTCCTGCCCCACCTGGGAGCCACTGTGGTCCTCAGACCTGGCGCAGTTCCAGCCTCTCCCGCCCCACTGTCATTCCTGCCTGCCCATCACAGTGCCCACAAAACCCAGAGGCCTCCCAGCCCTATTGCCGTGGTGGTCTGCCTTCCGGCTCCCTCGCCAGCCTCGTGGCCTCATGTCTTGTCACTTTTTCCTTGCCTACTGGAGCCAGGCTGGCCATTTTTTCTCCCTCAGACGTGCCAAGTAAGTTGCTGTCCCTTCTGCCTGGACCCCCAGACAGTGCCCACCCTGTGACTTGAGAACCCCTTCTTTGCTCGTCACCCTTTATGAAGAAGACATCCCATCCCCTTCTGCCTGCATCATTTTCTTCCAGGCACTTAATGCTATCCGTCATCATCCCACGTCCTGTCCCCTCCAGGGTGCCAAGGCACACGCAGAGGGGCCGTTACTCCCCCTCACTCCCTTCACGCCTCTTGTGTCCAGCAGTGCCCACGGCAAGCAGGCTGACAGGCCAGGGTTCTTGCCTTGTTTCTCCACCATGCCCTCTGCTCTCAAGTTTATCTCCTGGCTCTGGAAATGCTGCCCGCTGCTCGCTGCAAGTGTGAAGCCAGAATATTCAAGAAGTATATTTAAAGTAAAAGTTGAGCATGCTTTCCCCAAGAAAAGGTTTTCATGTCAGTGAACTGGCAACGCGATCACCTCCTGATGGTCTACTGTCAACTGGAGGCTCTTAGGAAAGTGGCTCTGTCATCTTCTCCAGGGTTTGGTGCAGCCCAGGTTCATAGTTGTGGATTATAGTCCTCGTTCCTTTTCTTGGGGTAGAGAGTTAGGGAAATGGACATGAAAATTTTTAAAAATATGCTTGGTTCAACTTTGATAACATACCCTTCATGAGACTCTGGGGTTATGGCATTGTGAGCTCAACCCCAGAGCTAGGTAGGAGTCTTCGTGGAAGTGCTCCTGGCTTCGCCTCCCCTGCAGCTGCTCAGTGGGACAGCCTGTGCCAGGGCCCCTGAATGTGCAGTTCTCCACCAGGAGTTGTTATTGACAAGTAAGTGTGCAATATTAATTTAGCCAGATGCTGGCATCTTCAGAATCACACATGAGTATTGAGAAGTCATGGCTGAAACTGCTCGATCAATTTAAATTTAATTAAAAAGCATCGAATCAAAGAATAACATGGCGAAGTACAATAATAACCACAAGCATCTGCATCATTTTATATCATAATCCTTTTAAAAATTTTTTTCCAATGGTGACAGGTAGGATTAAGCAGGCTGACTTGCTACGTTCTCTTCTACTCCTCAAGAAAACAAGGATTTCCTGGCCTCTAAAAGAAAACTCAATTTATTTGTCTGCTTTGATCATCTGAAGTATTAGATGTGGACTGGAGAATCCTTGGGACTTTTAATAATTTAGATGAAAGGACACACAAAGTCACCTAATACTACTTAATAATACCTAGTACCTAATATTTGGATACAGTATGTCTGAATTACTTCCGAATACTTGTGAATTTCTAAGCAAAAGTATAGTTATTTCATTCTCAGGAACTCCCTAAAAATGACAAAGAAGTGCTTCTGGCATCACGAGGGAGGTTGGAAGCAGGCACAATTTGGAAATTCAGAGCCAGAAAAGGCCCATCTCCAGCAGGGTAACAGTTCTCAGGTTGGGGCGGGGGGCCTCTACCCTGCAGTGGGCTCTACAGCAGACCCTTGGGCTGGCAGACACAGCAGGCGGTAGAGCTGTGCCTCACAGGGGTTTGGCTGTATGGGATTGGCGCAGCCCATGGGGCGTGGAGGGCTCTGGTCTCCTAAGGGGCCTCTGCCTGCCTGTGAGTTTGCAATGAGGGACTAACTGGAGCAGGTGGGGTGACCCACAGGAGGTGGCCTGGGTACATTCAGCTCTGTCCTGGACTGATTCTGTGACCTTGAGGATGAGCCAGATACAATTAATCTGTGTGCACAAAAAGACTTGGGGAAAAGACTCCTGAGTGAACTTCCTGGGTCTCCCGGTTTTCAGGCTCAGCTCTAAGCAAGGATAGTGGTGACTTTTGGCTTTGGCCCCTCTGGTGTTAAGCTGAAGCCAAGGAAGTTTTCCTGCCTCTGCATGTACTTAGGCTGGTTGCCCCAAGGGTGGCCCAGCCTGTATGGAACTCTCTGGAGCAGCTAACCTGGTCCAGGTCACCAATCCTGAAAATCAGTTGGCCTTTCTCACAATGTGCCATTGTGGAATTTGCAGCAATCCTTGTTTGCTTTTGGCTTTATCTATATATTGACTAGGTGTTTGGGTCCAGGCCAAGCCACTTGCTGTCCTCTTGGAGTTGACATGCTAAGGCACTAGTACCCGTTATAGGGCCCAGGTGGCTGCCCAGCAATGCAAGGGGCACCTTGTTTATTGTTCTCCTGCTGGGTCATAATTAAGGTTCACTATTCAGATGATTCCAAAGCCTTCATGGGCTTGATCTAGGTGACCTGCTGGTTTGAAAGGAGAAGCTGTAGTCTCAAAACACCAGTATGGCAACTGTTTTTTTCTTCTTTTTACCCCAGTTTTCTTTCAGCTTCTGCATAGGCACAGAGTCACCTGGGTGGCCCCAAACTTCTTTTTAGCCAGGCTGGAACGTAACTTTGCAGGGTTCATTCCCTCTACTGAAATGTTTTTGCTACATTGGAGGCTCAGCTCATTTTTTGAGGGGAGCAGGGTGGGGAGGGAAATGCTGGTCTTGTTTCTTGAAAGGAAAATGCTAATGTAACTTGACTTGGGCCTGAGCTGTTGGAAAGCGGGTCTCTGCATACCTTGAGTCCCTCCAACATGTCACTATCTGGGAAGGTCATTGTGTCCTTGCAGTCCATCTTGTGCCTTTTCTGTTTATAGAGCGCAGCAAACAGGGTCAGGAACCCATGCTGAATATTTAATGAGGAAATATTTCAAAGGCGGAGGTGTGCTTGCCTGTCACCTACTGGGGCTATATGTGGGAACCCAAGGTTGCTGGATCCGTGGAGCTTTGGACCCAGGCCCTGGGCTGCTAGAACCCTGTGGCTGGACTTCAGCAGCTCAGAACCTTCTGCTGGGGGTGCTTTGTTCATAATTGCTCAACAGTGAGGAAATGGAAGTGGCGGGCAAGGAGTGGACTTGCCAGGGAGCTGTGTGTCCCCATTGCTCGCGTCCAGGATGTCATCCTAAATTGCAGTACATCTGCTAATGAGGAGACAAGGTGTTACCTTCCGTTTGGAGCAGCTGCATTAATTACATCCTCTCAGACATCCCCTGTGCCTACCACTCCTGGCCAGCTTCCTTTGTTTTAAGTTAATAGACCAAATTGGAGGGAAAGAGGGGAGGGTGTCCTTGGAGACCAGGTGCCCTCTGCTCCTTGAACGTGGTGAGGACGTTAGCTCAGGACTGGGAGCTGGTGGCAAATGGCAGGCTGGCTCTGTGAGGTGGTCCTTGGAGGGAGTTGGGGCCCAGGAGGCCACCTGCATGAAGAAGCCCACTGGAGCTGAGAGGACAGTACCTGGTGTCAGCTCCTTCGACCTCCCTGTGACCTTGTGGGGGATGAGGAGAAGGGGCTGAGCCATCCTCCTGCCTGTGAGTAATTATCGTCAACACGGAGAGAGAGATATGAGCCACAAAGCCAGAAACCAGAAAACAAAGGCCCTGTGCAGTGTCTTCCTGTGTTTGAGCCATCTCTGTAAGTGATCTTCCTGTGTTTGAGCCATCTCTGTAAATGATCTTCATGTTTGAGCCATCTCTGTAAATGATCTTCATGTTTGAGCCATCTCTGTAAATGATCTGTAAGACAGGTAGACCTTCATAGGGCTGAGAAGCCCCCTGTCCGAGGCCAGATCCACCCCTCCCTTTACCAAGTCCCCCAGAAACCCCGCTGGTAAGGTGCTGGCTGAGCTCCTCATCTGAAAAATGGGAAGGCCGAGAACCACCTCTCTGGTCTCTTGTGGAACCTAAATTAACAACTTCGAGTGATTCCCTCATGTGTTTCCTCGCTTGCTGTCTGCGGGCTCTGTTCCGCGAGCCCTGCATCAAGCATATTCCTGGCACACACTGAGGGCACAGGAGATATTTGATGAGCAGCTGAATGTGACAGTGATCTGCACAATGCTAGCTGCTAAGATCAACTCCCTTTGTCTTCCTGAATCCCTGCTCTCTTTCCCTTCTTTCTCTTATCTTTCCCTCCCCTTCCCTCTCCCTTCCCTTCTTTTCAGGCTATAGCTGAAGGGTGTTGTTTGTAGGATCCCCGGATTGGTGGGTGGCTCTAGTGTGACAGGCCTGGAGGGCTGAGCAGTGTGAGCCTGGCTTAAGGAACATAAGACAGACTTGCTTTACTTTTGCAGCTCAATTGCTTGGCTTTCAATCCCTGGATTAGTGGGTTTCATAGGAGCCTCCCCAGGAAGTCTTGCACAATGGAGTTCATTGGCTTGAGTAGCTGTAACCCTGAAGGTCAAGTTCTTTCCAACTGGCTGCTTCAGGATGCTTAGCAGGCCAGCGGGGTAAGCAGCAGTAGCATCCCCCTTTGTTTCTGAATGAGAAATTATTCCCAAGAAGTCACCAAGTGTGAAAATGTGTGTTGTCTTGCTAATGGGACACTAATGAAATATTAAAGTGGCTTTCTTCCTGTCAGTCTCCTGGGGACCACTCTATCCTCTGGATTTTAGTCTGTCTTTACATAAAGAGCCCCGGGGAATTAACATTTCTTGGTACTTTTCAAAATAACCTTGGTCTTTCTCATGCCATAGTAAAGAAGTTCATGTTTCCGTTAGATAACTGTCTGGCTTAGGGAGGGGCTCTGTCCCTCCGCAGGGGAGGAGGATTTTGGTCGGCCCTCCCAGCAGCCTGTCCTCCAGGCGGATGCCTGCTCCCAGCTCCCTCATGCCCCACCTCTGCCTCCCTCTCAGCAGAAGACTACCCCAGTTCACAGGGGAGGCGCTGTCATACTGCCCCACACTGAGCTTGAGCTGGGAGCCAGGCGTGCTGCCCGCCTCCATGCCCGTCACTGAATCCTCCCACTACCCAGTCGGCAGCTGGGAGTTGTTTCTGTTTCCACTGTGTGGGGAGGGAAGCTTGGGCACCAGGAGGTTGTGTGGCCAGTCACAGAAGCAGGATTTGAACCCAGCCCAGGCCCTGTGAACTCCAGCGCCCAGCGTGGAGTTATTGCCTTGCCAGCACCTCCCTGTTTTTGGCTACAACTTGGTCTCCCCAGGCTGCCATCAGCATGCCGTGACCTTGAGTGATTTACATGATCTGTGCTCAGGTTCCTCCACTCTAAATAAATTCCCTAAGTGCTTTCCTTCCTCTTCATGTTTGTAAACACTTCTGGGGACAAAAGGATGTGGAGGAAGGGGTCGTATTTTAGAGGCCAGTTTCTCCTTTAGGTCCATGCCCTGTCTTTGCTCTGGCGGCCACTGCTTGGCCCCAAGTCCCCTTGGCCTGGAGGGTGAGTTGGCCTCCCCACCCTCCGCTTGCTCTGACCCAGTGTGTGCAGTGCCACATGGCCAGACTGTTTCCATCAGGACGGTCAGAGCTCTGCTGAGGAGCCTGCAGAAACCTCCCAGATCTGCCTGCTTTTGGGGTTCCCTGGCCCTCCAGCCTTGTTGGGGTGCCCTCCCCAGCAGAGCCATCATGGTAACGAGGCATTCTTCCCCTAGTGGTCAGCACCCTGCTTGACCCCCTGCGTGGGGTACCTTGCCTCCCTTTCCCCCTGCCCCCAGCTTCCTCCTGCATAGACTCAGATTGACTTCTTCCCAGAAGTTTCTTCCTGCCCTGGGTGCTGATCTCTTCTTTTCCTGAGTATTTTCAAGTAGCTTTATGGATGAGCGTTTCTGTTTGATTCAGCACAAACTGTGCTGTGCCAGGCCCTGTGCTCAGTTCCAGAGATGGTGCTGAGGAAGGTCCTCAGGAGGGAGATTGTGGGAGGAGAGGACTACTAGATGCATCACAAAAGAGGCAGCGTGGATGTGGGTTCTTAAGGCAGAGTAGGATGTTTGAAAGGTAGAGATGGGGGCCTTCCTGGTGGAAGGGACTGCATGAGTACAGGCGTAGGAGCAGGTAATGATGAATTTGGAGGCAAATGAGTAGTATTTTTGTCTGGAGCACAGGATTTCCATCAGTGTCCTGAGAAAGGAGTAAAGAGGCTACAAGGCCAGCTTCTTCACTCATATCATCTCGTACTGCTTTTGGGACACTGGGCACAAACACACCGACCTATTTCTAAGATGATCCATTTGAGCATCTGCCTCCCTCACATTAATGTAGGTTGCAAAAAGGCAGGGCTCATCTCTTTTTTTTTTTTTTTTTTTGAGATAGAGTTTTGCTCTTTTTGCCCAGGCTGGAGTGCAACGGCGTGATCTCGGCTCACTGCAACCTCTGCCTCCCGGGTTCAAGTGATTCTCCTGCCTCAGCCTCTCGAGTAGCTGGGATTACAGATGCCTGACACCAAGCCCTGCTAATTTTGTATTTTTAGTAGAGATGGGGTTTCACCATGTCGGCCAGGCTGGTCTTGAACTCCTACCTCAGGTGATCTGCTGCCTTGGCCTCCCAGAGTGCTGGGATTACAGGCGTGAACCACCACACCTGGCCATCTCTGACTTTTTCACTGTTCTACCTCTGTGCACTTGATATATTTAACAGATGCTATATAAGGCTTTCAAATAAATGAATATGTACTCTGAGATGAGGCGGATTCTCTCACAGGCACATGCACACACGGCTATCGGCTGCCCTAGCTAGTGGCCATGCAATGGCCATTTTTTGTGGCCTCCGACTAGTGGTTAGGCTGTGTGGGGTGCTGTTTACCCACTGGTGGAACCTATTCCCAGGCAGGCCCCTAGGAAGGGGTGGCACATGTACATGGTTGGGACAGAGACCTTTTCCCTCTTTAAGGCCAGGTCTGGCTTGAACGAGCCAGGGGCTTTTAGTTTAGCTGGGCTGAGGCGCTCATGTGGCCAGGGAGATGCTGGGAGCCTGCAGACTCTGGGATGTTACTCTGCGTTTTTTTCTCCTCTCCCCAGAAACACGTTTTTGTCTCCATCTGACCAACTTTTTAATCTTAATTTATGAGCCTGCTGTAGCACCAGTAAAGACACACTGTACTGCCTGAAAGAATCACTGCTGAATTCTAATTCTGTGCGATTCAAAGGCATGCCTTTGGCCGGAGCTGCTTCAAGAATAAGCAGAGCGGGAGGCTCGGCCCTGCTCTGGCTCTGTGGGCTTGTCAGGAAGCTTTGCCCTGGCTGCCTCTTACGGGCCTCAGGCTTAATTAAGCCTTCTGATTTATTTTTCAATTCATTACTTTTTGAAAAAAGAAAAGCCACTTTAATGGAAGCTTTTAAAATCCAGACACTTTGGATTCCTCTACTTTGTCAGGCAAAAGTGGATTCGTCTAAGTAGTTTCATTAAAAAAGAAAAGCATATATTTATGAAGGTTTCAGAGATTAGATTTTTTTACTCCTTTCACTCCAGGAACCTAAAAGCCAAACTTGGAAAATAATTTTTGTGGTTAGGTATGTGCATTCACTCAGCCAAGAAATCTAGTAATTTCATAAGTACCCTGGATTTCTGCATTTTATAATTTCCCTGTCCTGTCTTCTTGGTGACTTGGGTTTTAATTCTTTTCCTGCCCAGCTTCCTGATGTGGGGGCATTGGTACAGGCTGTGGTTTGAGAAATTTCACAGGAAGAGAAGAAGCCAGGCCGGAAGGGTTTTAGTGGAGCCAAGGTGTTCAAGAAGGTGGGAGCAGTGCAGCCTGAAGCTAGAGAGAGTGGACAACGTGGTCTAGAAGGAGAGGACTGTGGGAGGGAGGGCTGTGCAGTGGAGGGCTCATCACAGGGCTTGCCGGAGAGGGAGGAGAATCACAGCAGAAGCAGCAGCCGGCCTCTGGTTTCCAGCCCTGTCAGCCATGGCCACTGGCGTGGTGAGGAAGATGGAGTCAGTAGCATTCATGGTCTCTAAGCAAGCAGTGATCCTATATGCTGGCGAAGCCTGTCTCTCTGACTGGGGCCTGCAGACAGGGGTGGCCCTGATGACTTCTCCAAGACCGTCTATCCTACAACTGAGTCTCTGACCCCACCATCGGTCATTCTTAGACTTCAGCATGGGGGACTGATCCCCTGGGGTCTGTGCATTAGGAGCCCTTGAATGTGCCCTAGCTGCTTTCTGGTGGGTCCCTGGCACTTGGAGTGGGTGGTGGAGCCCTGAGTCTCCTGGGCATGCCTGTGAGTGCTGTTCGCGGTCTGTTCCCAGGTGCAGACATCTCAGAGGCGACCAGGCTGCCAGAGAAGGGGACGAGAAGGGAGCCAGGGGCATGTGATGTCTTTGTGTTCTTCCTCTTTGCTTTCTCCTGCTATCGGGTGGGAATCCTCAGGACCACAGAGACCTCCGGGTCTCACCCTGCCTGGGCTGGATTCAGCTCCACCACCTGTCAGCGCAGAGCCCAGGGCGCTTCCCGGGCATCACAGAGTAGAAAGCTCATCCGTTTTCCAAGAAAGGACACTAAGACGATGGCCAAATTGAGTTAGGAGTGCCAGGAATCCAGATCCAGGAGCCGCCGGCCGAGTTCCTGTAAGGCCCGCCCCACCTCTGAATGACAACTGCTTTCCGAGTTTCTGCAGGGAAACCAGGCTGCTCTCCCCCAGCATTTACGGCAGCTTGACTTACAGGCCCTCATGTTTGCTGCACACTCCAAATCAATTCTCTCTCCTTCTTTAAACTTTTATCACTTTGCTGTATGAATAAGGCCACTGATTTTCTAGGTTCCATGTGCTTTTATATCAGGATTTTTCTTTCTTCTCTCCTACTTTCTCCACAAGCTTGTTCTGAACACCTGCTCTGTGTGAGACCCATGGTGGGCTCCCTAGGCATCCAGAGATGAACTGGTTGTGGTCCTGGGCCTCCAGGAGTTGGCACTCTAGGGAGGGATGGGGAAGTAGCCTCACAGTAGATACGTTTTCTGCTTTGTTCACCCATTGAGCAGATAGATACGTCATGGACACTTATTCCGTGCAGATGTCATAGCAGGTGCTGAGCTGTACAGGTGATGAACAAGACCAATGTGGACCTGAGCTTGCCGTGAGCTTCCACTGTAGGGAGGCGGAGGCCTGTTGAGGTACATGAGGGGACAATTACAGGCCATTCTGGAGCTCATAGAAAAGCCCACGTAGTCTGTGTGGGGTGGGTCAGGGAAGACTTCTCTGAGCAAGTGGTGTCTAAGCTGAGACATGAAGGATGAGTGAGAGTTAGCCAGGTGAAGGGGGCCAGGGAGAGAAAGATTGTTCCAGGCAGAGGGAGTTGCCCTATAAAGAGATGGCATCCAGGGAGAGAGTGGCATGTTCATGACAGTGGAGGAAGCCAGAGGGTTTGCAGTGTGGGGAATGAGCCTGTTCATGACACTGGAGGAAGCCAGAGGGTTTGCAGTGTGGGGAATGAGGGTGTGGCTGGTGCAGGATGAGGGTGGAGTTGTGTGCAGGTGGGCGGGATGCAGGGCCTGGTAAGCCGTGGTGGTTTAAATGAAGTGCCGTGGAGGGCCTAGGAGAGAGCCAGCTGATGAGATATCTGACTTGGAGAAGCCCAGGGTGGCAAGATTGGATGCGAGGAAACTGTTAAGAGACCAAGAACTTGCAATTATTAACCTAGGTGACAGTTGGCCCAGAGTGTGGCAATGGAGCTGGAGAGAAGTGACAGATTCAAGAGATTGGTAAGAAAAGGAATCTGTAGGACTTGGCCATCGATCAGACATTGAGGGTGGGGGGAAGGGAGGCGTTAAGGACAGCCCTGAGGTCTCTGTTTTGGCACCCACTGCCATGACCCAGGAGGAGCAGAGGAGAGTTCAGTTGGAGGCCGCCCTGAGACAGCCAGGTGCGGCTTTGCAGTAGGATTTATGGGCTTGAAATTCAGAGCCAAGGATAGCCCAGGAAATACAGATTTGGGAGTAGAGAGGAAGACCCACAGGAGAGGGCAGAGTGGGGTGGGGGAGGGGGCCCCGAGAAAGACGCAGCAAGGAGGGGAAGGGCAGAAGCAAAACCCATCGGGGGCGGGGGGGGACATCTACATGCCATCTTTGGTGCTGTGAACAAGGGACAGTATTTCAGCAGGTGGAGGCCATGGGTCACAGCGAAGACGTTCCAGGTAGCTGGACCAACATGACCAAGGTGGAGAGGCAAGAGGTGTCCATGCTGTCTGGGACCTAGGCTGGGTGGGGCTGGGTTAGGCCTCACATCTAGAAGGCCCCAAATGCCCAAGTTCTTGGGCCTTGCTTGCTTGTCTCTAACTTTCCTTCTGTGGCTCCTAATGGTGAAGGCCTCCCATGCTCCTGTTTGGGAAGAATTATGCAATTATTCCTAAATGGAGTGCATGTCAGCAGCCCTGGCACTGAAAAGGGAAGACATATTGGAGGAGGAGAAACCTTTCACCCAGCCCTAAACCAGCTGCTTCTGGAGAGTACTGAAGAAGAATAATATTTTTTTAATCTAAAAGAACTTTACATTTATGCTTGACTGAAGCACAGGCCACATTTGTCCTGGGAGCCAATGAGCAGACAGAGTTTGGGTAATCTATGCAAAGGCCCCTCAGCTGCCCTGCATCCATCATCCCAAGTGACAGAATTTACATCATTAATCATTGGCAGTAATAGAAAAGTCATTGGAATAGAATGTTGTCACAGATAAATGTCTCCCAATTGCATATAAATGTCTCGGCTTTACTGTACTATTTGTGCTTGAGAAATACTGTGGCTTCAAAACGGTATTTATCTGGCATTGGGAAACCATCAACGCCAGCCTGCCTTGCCGACAGCACCTCCCGAGGAACTCAGAACTTCCCCCGTGGGCCTCAGGCCCAGGATCGCTGCACATCTCTGCCCATGACAGGAGTTGGGCAGAGGGAGGGGAGGCTGGGCTCCTTGGGACTTCCTGGTGGATGACGCCTGGGGAGTTAGAAAACACTCAAGTTCAGTCATGCCCACCGCGTTCCCCCAGCCTGTCACCCTGTGGCTGGAGGGTGGCTTGCTGCCACTTGATGCAGAGAAGAAAGGAGGGTCTGAATCGGGCCCAGCAGAACTAGCCGCTCTCATGGCCTCAAATTCAAGGGTGTGGCCGCTCCAAAGGCACCACAGGCCACAGAGAAAGGAGAGGCGACCCTGCAAGCTAGAAGCCAAAGAGCTGAACATTGGAAGGCCTCCTTACCATTTTTGAAATGAAGCCCACAGTGGTTTTGGGCTGGCGTCTTTCTGTTTTGTGACCTGAAAACACTCTGTTTTTGGAAAGTGCAGATCTGCTGACACCTTTTTCCGGAGGTTTGTGTGTTTCTCTCCGTGGTGAGCCGCCCTGCCTCTGACAGGGCCAGATGCTGGCAGGAGGAGGGACGTGGCTTAGGGAGCAAGGCATTTTTTGCTCAGGTTTGAAGGAATTCTTTTTGTTTGATCCTTCACCTCTCTATCCCCTCAGGGGTCCTGCAGCCCTGCTGGGCCTGGCTGGAGGAGTGGGCCCCAGAGGCAAGGCAGGCAAGTCAGGGGTTCTGAGGCAGGAGGATGCTGCCTCTGGTGGATGGGCATGTGGGGCTGTGTTAAGGGTGTGCGACAGCCATGACCAGTGAGCTGCTGGAAGCTGGAGCTAGGTGTCTGAGCTGACAAGCCAGGGCAAGTTTTTGTAGAGTATATTTTAAGAGGTAGATCTCCTCTTTCTACAGGGAATTTCAGAAATGTCCACTTCTCAGATGTGGAAGTGATCTGAGACCAGCTAGCTGGGTGTTCCCAAACCTTGATGATGAAGACCAGTCAAATTTCAGAACGCTGGTGGGTGTATTAGTCTGTTTTCACACTGCTGATAAAGACATACCGAAGACTGGGCAATTTATGAAAGAAAGAGGTTTAATTGGACTCACAGTTCTACGTGAATGAGGAGGCCTCACAATCATGGCGGAAGGCAAGGAGGAGCAAGTCACCTTATGCGGATGGCAGCAGGCAAAGAGCTTGTGCAGGGAAACTCCCCCTTATAATACTGTCGGATCTCAGGAGACTTATTCGCTATTACGAGAACAGCATGGGAAAGACCCACCCCCCTAATTCAGTCATCTCCCACTGGGTCCCCCCCATAACACGTGGGAATTATGGGAGCTACAAGATGAGATTTGGGTGGGGACACAGAGCTAAACCATATCATTCCTCCCCTGGTCCCTCCCAAATCTCATATCTTTACATTTCAAAATCAATCATGCCATCCCAACAGCCCCCCAAGTCTCAGCTCATTTCAGCATTAACCCAAAAGTCCAAGTCCAGAGTCTCATCTGAGACAAGGCAAGTCTCTTCTGGCTATGAGCCTGTAAAATCAAAAGCAAGTTAGTTACTTCCTAGATGCTTCGGGGGTACATGTATTGGGTAAACACAGCTCTTCCAAATGGGTGAAATTGGCCAAAGCAAAGGGGTTACAGGGCCCATGCAAGTCTGAAATCCAGCAGGGCAGTCAAATTTTAAAGTTCCAAAATGATCTCCTTTGACTGCATGTCTTGTGTCTGGGTCACGATGGTGCAAGAGGTGGGTTCCCATGGTCTTGGGCAGCTCCGCCCCTTTGGCTTTGTAGGGTACAGCCTCCCTCCTTGCTACTTTCACAGGCTGTTGTTGAGTGTCTGTGGCTTTTCCAGGTGCACTGTGCAAACTGTCAGTGGATCTGCCATTCTGGGGTGTGGAGGATGGTGACCCTCTTCTCACAGCTCTACTAGGCAGTGCCCCAGTAGGGACTCTGTGTGGGGCTCTAATCTCACATTTCCCTTCCACACTGCCCTAGCAGAGGTTCTCTGTGAGGGTCCCACCCCTGCAGCAAACTTTTTCCTGGGCATCCAGGCATTTCCATACATCTTCTGAAATCTAGGCAGAGGTTCCCATACCTCAATTCTTGACTTCTCTGCACCTGCAGGCTCTAGAGTGTGTGAAAGCTGCCAAGGCTTAGGGCTTCCACCCTCTGAAGCAACAGCCTGAGCTATACCTTGGTCCCTTTTAGTCATGGCTGGAGCAACTGGGACATAGGGCACCAAGTCCCTGGGCTGCACACTGCACGGGAACCCTGGGCCCAGCCCACGAAACCATTTTTTCCTTTTAGGCCTCTGGGCCTGTGATGGAAGAGGCTAGCATGAAGACCTCTGACAAGCCCTAGAGACATTTTCCCCATTGTCTTGGGGACTAACATTCGGCTCCTCGTTATTTATGCAAATTTCTGCAGCAGGCTTGAATTTCTCCTCAGAAAATGGGATTTTCTTTTCAATTGCATTGCAAATTTTCCAAACTTTTATGCTGTTTCCCTTTTGAAACTGAATGCCTTTAGCAGCACCCAAGTCACATCTTGAATGTTTTACTGCTTAGAAATTTCTTCTGCCAGATAACCTAAATCATCTTTCTCAAGCTTGAAGTTCCACAGATCTCTAGGGCAGGGGCAAAATGCCACCTTTTTGCTAAATGTGGCAAGATGCCACTCTTTGCTAAAACTTAACAAGAGTCACCTTTATTCCAATTCCCAACAAGTTTCTCATCTCCATCTGAGACCACCTCAACCTGGACCTTATTGTTCATATCATTAAGCATTTTTTGTCAAAGCCATTCAGCAAGTCTCTAGGAAGTTCCAAACTTTTGCACGTTTTCCTGTCTTCTTCTGAGCCCTCCAAACTGTTCCAGCCTCTGCCTGTTACCCAGTTCCAAAGTCACTTCCACATTTTTGGGTATCTTTTCAGCAATGCCCTACTCTACTGGTACCAATTTACTGTATTAGTCTGTTTTCACACTGCTGATAAAAGACATACCCAAGACTGGGCAATTTACGAAAGAAAGAGGTTTAATTGGACTCACAGTTCCATGTGGCTGGGGAGGCCTCACAATCATGGTGGAAGGCAAGGAGGAGCAAGTCACATCTTACATGGATGGTGGCAGGCAAAGAGAGCTTGTGCAGGGAAACTCCCCCTTATAATCCCGTCAGATCCCCTGAGACTTATTCGCTATTATAAGAACAGCATGAGAAAGACCCGTCCCGCTAATTCAGTCTTCTCCCACTGGGTCCCTCCCACAACACATGGGAATTATGGGAGCTACAAGATGAGATTTGGGTGGGGACACAGAGCCAAACCATATCAGTGGGGCTGACCCAGGATGGCCAACTTCTGATTTGACCAAATGAGGCCATTAAAAGCCAGTTGTCAGCTACTGTATCATCATTTCATAAAATGAAATAAAGGAAAGAATATTTTGACACCAACAATATAAGAAGGCCATCATTTCAAGATACAAAATATTTCTTCAGTTGATTATAATTGGTTTTATGAAGGATTTGCTCCACTATACCTGTTTTTTTAACTCCCCCTTTTTCCTTATTTCTCTTTTTTTTGCCAAAAACTCACACAATTCTGTTCTGGGTCCCCAGGCCTCTAGTTTCAGATGAGCAAAAGCAGGTGCAGAGGGAAGGGACCTGGCCAGGGTCCACAGCTAGTGAGATTTGTGTATTGTTTCAGTTATTTCTGGCTTCATAACAAATCTCTCCTGACTCAGCAGTGTGAAACAACAGTCATTTATTATTATCACCTCTCTTGGTTCTGGGGCTGGCCCAAGCAGCTTCACTTGGGGTCTCAGTGCTGTTGCAGTCAGATAGTGGCTGGGCTGTCATCTTAAAGGCTTCTCTGAGTGGGTCTGGGAAGATGCAAGCATTTGGGGACAGAGCAGCCAGGGCTCCTCTGGCATCCCTTTCTCCATGTGGTTTTCAGCATGACGGCTGCAGGACAGCCACATTTCTCCCCTGGGGCCTCAAATGCATGTCCTGAGAAAAGCCGGTGGATGCTGTGTTGCCTTTCATGAACTGGCCTTGAAAGTCACACGGCATCCCTCCTGCCGAGTTCTATTAGTTACAAGTGAGCCATTAAGGCCAGCCTGTATTCAGTGGGAGGAGAATTGGCCTCCACTTCTTGGTGGGAGGAGTGCCAGAGGATTTGCAGACATGTTTTAAAACCACAGTGTGGATCCAATAGGCTAAGTCCAAAGCGCCCTAGGGAGGGCCAGGTTTTAATTTGGAGCGCTGGGATCTTGGAACACACCCCCTTCCGTTAAGTGTTCCAGGAATGAGTCTGCTGGAGGATCACTCCGGTGACGGTGGCAAGCTCTGCTTCCTGGTCCCTGCTTGCACTTGTATGAAGTGATAAATTTCACGAATAAGGTAGATTCCATCAAATAAGTATCAATTAAGCTGTTTTATGATCTAGTTGAGATGATGAATTAAAGTCGATTTAGATAAATGATCAGTAAAAGAACAGAGACTTCAGGAAGACAGCATAAACTCTCTGAATTGCAGGCACTCACTCTTCATCAGAAAGCAGCCTCCCACACTTGTGCACTTGTTGAGCGCTTGCTGTGTGCATAGATAGCACTGGCTGGTGCTGTCCGACCAGTGATGGCTGCAGTGGTATGTGGAAGCGAGAGGGGTCCCAGTTTGCACTCCTGAGTATCTGTGATCCAATTCGGGTCATCCCTGTGCCATCTGTTAGGATCTGAGTGTGGGAAGGGGGAGCACTGATCTCTTTTCAATCCCCATTCCTGGGTGTGGGCTACCTGCTTTCAGTTTCAGGGAACAGAGATGCCCTCAAGGTTCCTGTTTAGAGGGGTTTATTGTAAGAGTTCTCTGAAAGATGAGGAAGAGAACTAGACCATCCCAAAGCCACGAGGCCCAGCCCCTGGCTCAGTGCCGGCAGCCCTCCTTGTTGCTTCCAGGGAGGCCTGGCTTATTCAAGGTCCACAGGTGTGAAATGGAGGGTGGCGGGGCTGGGGGCTTCTGGTATGCAGGAAGAGGGCAGCCACACTGGTGGTTTCCTGTGGCGGTGAGCTGGGGGTGTTGGGGTCAGCCTGGGAAGCGGGGAGTCCATGTGAGTGACCAATGTCCTAGATCCTCTCCTTCTTTCATGGATAGTAAGCACCTGTCCTATGTCAGGCACGCCTCTAGAAACAGGGCAGTGAACAGATAGACACCTTTACCTTCCCATGAGACTGCCAAGAAGGTGATGTCCTCTCTCTGAATCCCCTAGACCTGCCAATTTGGTGGATAATTGTTTTCTATCACAGCTCTTGGCAAAAGGAAGGGGAAAAACAATTCCCCAAGGTGTAGAATTCACCAGAGAGAACCCCCATTACTCGCCCAAGACCATTAGGCTGGTCTGTGACTTCCAAAATGAAGGGGCTACCTGGTTGTGTCCACAAGAAGAAAATGGAGGCTTACCCAGAGTCAGTAAGAGACTGTTAGGAACGCAGGCTGAGCCTGGCTGGCCACACGGCATGACTTTGTTCATGTCATGAATATTTATTGAACACCTGCCACATGCCAGGCACTGTTCCCGGGACTGGGTGTGAATAGTGCACAAGAGGGAAGCCTCCCTGCTCTCTTGGCGCTTACCTTCTAGCTGGGGAGACTGGAAACATAAAGATGGTGCAAAGGCCGAGTGGAGAAAAACCAAACTGCCAGGAGGGGCTCAGGCTGGGAGGGGATCAGGCCAGCTGGGAGGGGGTCAGGCCAGCTGGGAGGGGGTCAGGCCAGCTGGGAGGGGCTTGCTGAGCGGACCTTGAGCAGCCTCCTGCAGGGTCCTGGAGTCAGTGGTGCCCACCCCACCCCTGAGCTGGGGCTGAGGGCTCCACGACTTTCATCCCCTTGGGGTGCAGGGAGGTGACCAGGGGCGGCCCTCCCTGGCCTGGCTTCTCCCTCTTTCACCCACTGAGTGTCGACTCTGCCTTTCTGATCTGGGTCCCTGTGAGGAGGAAATATATATTTAGACTCTTCTGTACTTTCCGTGGTAACAGCCGCTTTATTCCTGGTGAAGAATGAGGAAAATGGGTCAGCTGTATTTACTAAGAAGCATGTTCCAGCTTCTTTTCCGAGGCTATTTATAAACTTTAAAAAATGCGAGCTAAGTTTTTGCATCTTATTGGAAGCCGGAGTGCCTATGAATACCCTTTCTATTACTATACCGGGGAATCTAGCACTTCGGAATTGAAATGCGTTGAGTAGGGCAGATAGGAATCTTGCAAATAGTGATTTTGATGAACTCTGGCAGCCCACATTTGCCTCTTGGTCTGATTTCTCTGGGAGTTTTTTCATGTGACATTGGTGTAGCTTTCTTGGATATGGTTGGGGGGGACTGTGCTGTGGCTACAAACAGCTGACTGGCTATGCTGGCCCTTCACGGCCGGTGTGCTGACAACTTTATCTGGCCTTGGAGCCTTGAGGAGGGGCTGCTGCCAGTGACTGGGCCCTGCTTTTGACCAGCCTTGCACACTGGGCAGTGGGCAGGGGGCCCAAGGGCAGAAGGGCCTCCTGAGCATGGGGACTTGGAGAAGCCATTTCTGAACCTGCTCCATCCCTGCCTTGTCTCTAGGGGGAATGGGGCCATGAGGCCTCTAGAAGCTTCGCCTTGGCCCAGGCCTCTTTCCCACATTTCTTGATGGGCCAAGAGCCGCCAGCAGCCCTCCTGTCTCTCATGCCTCCCCTGCGCGTCATGGGGTTACACGTGTCCTCACACTGTGCCTCGTGCAAAAAAAGGGTCACTTCTCCCTTTCTCTCTAAGTGGCCTGACCTCGCTTTCGAGGGGGAAAGGCTTGGGGGTCCTACATTTTAGGCCCACTCTGGTGGATTTAATCGAATGGCTCAAATTGCCTCTTGAGGTAACCTGTGTTGAGGCTGTGCTCGATCTTTCCAAGTGCCTCCTCTCCTGCTCCCCTCGGCGCCTTGGAGTATGGGGAGGAGTGCGTCCCTGTAGCCTGGAGGTAGCTGAGGGAGGGGTCTCTGCCCTCCAGCCACTCCTTGGTACCCTCTCTGGTTCCTTCTGCAGAGAGGCTGGACTATTGAGCCCCAGGAGCAACTAGCCCCGTGGAGACTTTGCTGGGGAATCCTGGCACCCATAAGTGGAGCCCTGGTCCCACTGTTTATTTTCTTGGCTTTTCAATACCTCTTCCCAAGAGGCATCTCCATTCTGACAGTGTGAGGTCACTGGAGCCTGCAGGCCATAGGGCCCTAAGCTGTCCGCTGGCTGATCCATCACCAGGAGGCAGGGTAGTAGGGCAAGAGGATAGGCATGGGGCCTCCTCCCCCTCCCGGCTCCAGCTGTAACCCTGAGGACCTGACTTCCTCTCCTTATGCCTCCATCTCCTGTGGGTATCATGTCCATAATCTAAGTCACAGCCACCACTACTGCCACTTACTGAGCACTTAACTCTGTCCCAGGCGCTGTTCCTCCCTGTGTCATCTATGAACTGATTAAATCCACAGGGCAAAGAGGGCTGTTAGGAGAATGAAATAAGTTACTCAAAGCCACTTGCTCAGGACAGTGCTTGGTGGTTGTCACTAATGATCACTCTCATCATGCCTATCTGCCCCACGTTGGGAGGGGATGGGCCAAGTTCTCCCCAGAGCAGAAGTTCCCAAACTTTCTTGCATCTTGTACTCCAAGTGCCTCAGTGACCTACCTTCCTTTCCTCTCCTCTCCTCTCCTCCCCTCCCCTCCCCTCTCCTCTCCTTTCCTTTCCTCCCTCCCTCCCTTCCTTCCTTTCTCTTTCTTTCTCTGTCTTCCTTCCTCCCTCCCTCCTCTCTCTTTTCTTTTCTCTTTCTTTCTTTTCTCTTTCTTTCTTTCTTTCTTTCTTTCTTTCTTTCTTTCTTTCTTTCTTTCTCTCTCTCTTTTCTTCCTTCCTTCCTTCCTTCTTTCTTTCTCTCTCTCTTTCTTTCCTTCCTTCCTTCCTTCTTTCTCTCTCTCTCCTTCTCTCTCTCCCTTTCCTTTCCTCTCTCTCTCATTCTTTCTTTCTCCCCTCCCCTCCTCTTCTTCTTTCTTTCTCTTTCATTCCCTTCCTTCCCTTTCATTTCCTTCCTTCCTTCCCTCCTTCTCTCCTTCCTTCCTTCTCTCTTTTCTTTCTTTCTTTCTTTTTTTTTTTTGAAACAAGATCTGGCTCTGTCACCCAGGCTGGAGTGCATTGGCTCGATTGCAGCTCACTGCAGCCTTGATCTCTTGGGCTCAAATGATCCTCCGACCTCAACCTCCAAAGTAGCTGGGACTACATGCACCTGCCACCATGCCCAGCTAACTCTTTAAAATTTTGTAGAGATGAGGTCTTGCTTTGTTGCCCAGGCTGGTCTCAGACTCCTGGGCTCAAGCAATCCTCCTGCTTTGGTCTCCCAAAGTGCTAGGTCTCCCAAAGTGCTAGTAATGAGCCACTGCACCTGGCCTCGGTGATTATTTTTTTTTTAATTTTTATTTTTAGAGTGCAGTGGCACAATCATAACTCACTGTAGCCTCAAACTCTAGGGCTCAGGTGATCCTCCTGCCTCAGCCTCCCGAGTAGCTAGGACCACAGGCATGCACCACCATGCCCAGCTAATATTCATTCATTCATTCATTTATTTTGTAGAGATGGGATTTTGCCATGTTGCTCAGGCTGATCTTGAACTGGCCTCAAGCAATCGACCACGTCAGCCTCCCAACGCGCTGAGACTGCAGGTGTGAGCCACTGCACCCAGCCGCCTCAGTGATTTTTTTTCCTGATGTCCCTAGGCCAAAATAAATATCTAACAGTTCCGTTTATTAAGTAGTTAGATATAAACACCTTAATAAACATTTGTGTCCTAACAATAGCTGTTTGAAAATATAATGCACATAATTTTAAAAATTCCATTCTTAAATAACCAAATTACGAATGGGATATGTGTGCCTATCAGGCACTGGACAACTGTAAAATCCTGGGATCAGATTAGACACCAGTGCCCTCATTTCCTGTTTCATATTGATTTTTGTGAGGTACTCACTTTTTCTTTCAGCAGCCACTGAAACCCCAGCTTTACCATGGCCTGACATCCTCAGAAGACATGCAGGACAGTCTAATGGTGAAACTGTCCACTGCCTCAAGCTAGTGGGACCAGTGGTGTCCGGCAGATGTTAAGTATTGCTTGTTTCCCACAAAAATGTAAATATTCCTGCAGGTCTCCTGTGAGTTAGCAGAGGCTCCTCAGGCAGCCTTGGTGCACAGTTTGGGAACCGTGTTTCTAGTGACTTGTGGCCTTCCCCTAGCTACCCAGGAAACTGGCCAATAGGCCTGAGGCTCTCAGACTCCTACGTACCCATCTGGCAGTTGCAGGAGAGACGACAAGGATCCAGGTGTCCTGCCTTCTTCCTGCCTCCCTCCTCCCACAATCTCTCAGGACAGGAGGGGCCAGGCTCCACTCTCTCCGCTCCCCTGCATCCTGTTCTCCTCCTGCCTGGGGCATCAGCCTCAGGACCCAGCCACCAGCGCTGGAAGGGGCATCTTCTTTGTGGCCGAGGGAGAACTCGGTGATCTGAATCCTCTAGGATGTGGATTCAGAAAACCCTCCCTCTTAACAGAGCGCTTTCAAGTCTGTGGCCACGCTGCTGATGCTAACAGAAATCAGTCTTGCCGTTCAGAGCAGAGAATTCCCTTTGTTGTTTTGGTGCGTACGTGCCCTCTGCCTGAAGTACTGAAATCATTGCTTCAAAGGGCAGGGAGCTCCCCAAACCACTAGACTTATAAGACAGGGAGTCTGAAGAGATCAGAGAGAGAATCGGGTGTTCAGTGCCTTTGTGTTCAGCAGGTGCTTACGTCTTAGGGACAGGTCGACTGTAAACTCAGGTGTCTTAGGATAGGTGCTTCTGCTGTTCTAGCTCCCACACAGCCCCTCCCCTTTACCTTTATTCCCATCTGCCCTCCCCACCCTAACTCTCCCCTGGGAAGATGCCTGCCGTTGCCTGTTCCCAGAGAGCCCCTTACTTGCAGTTTCAGAGCCTGCTGCCTCACTCCTCCTCCCTCACTGACTTCTGTCAATTTGAAGATCTCCCAGCTCATTCTCACCCCAGGACCTTTGCACTTGCCATTCCCCCTACCTGGGGTTCCATTATCAGGCCCGTCCTTGGCTTGCCCCAGCTCATTTTCCAGGTCTCACTTTAAATGTTACTCCTTAAACAGCCCAGCCAAGAGCACCCTGTCTAAGGCAGGCCCCCAGCTCCTCTGTTTGCTCCTCATGGCCCTTTAAATGCAAGCTTCATCATGCAGGCAGAGACCACGTCCATCTGCATCTACCATGTTCACTGTTGTTTACTTAGCACTTAGTCCTGTGCCTGGCCCATCGGAGGCACCAGCAAGCGTGTCTGTAGGAGTGGGGCTTCCGCAGGACAGTGCTGCTTTTTATTATTATTTTTTTAAATAGAAGGGACTTAAGGGCCAATGACTTTTAATTCTGCTGAGTAAGATGTAGAAAAATTACAGCTACCATATATCATCAACATGTTGTAAAAGTTGGAAGGACATACTCTTAGAATAAAGAACAGTTCTTTTCTTTTCTTCTCTTTTTGTTTTGTTTCGTTTCGTTTCATTTCAAGACAGAGTCTCGCTGTGTCACTCAGGCTGGAGTGCAATGGTGCGATCTCGGCTCACTGCAACCTCCGCCTCCTGGGTTCAAGTGATTCTCCTGCCTCAGCTTCCCAAGTAGTTGGGACTATAGGCGCATACCACCATGCCCAGCTAATTTTTTTTTTTTTGTTTGTTTGTTTGTTTGTTTTTGAGATGGAGTGTTGCTGTGTCGCCCAGCTGGAGTGCAGTGGCGTGATCTCAGCTCACTGCTAGCTCCGCCTCCTGGGTTCACGCCATTCTCCTGCCTCAAGCCTCCCGAGTAGCTGGGACTACAGGCGCCCGCCACCACGCCTGGCTAAGTTTTTGTATTTTTGGTAGAGACGGGGTTTCACCATGTTAGCCAGGATGATCTTAATCTCCTGACCTCGTGATCCGCCCGCCTCGGCTTCCCAAAGTGCTGGGATTACAGGCGTGAGCCACCGTGCCCGGCCTAATTTTTGTATTTTTAGTAGAGATGGGGTTTCACTGTGTTGGCCAGGCTGGTCTTGAACTCCTGACCTCGTGATCTGCCTGCCTCGGCCTCCCAAAGTGTTGGGATTACCGGCGTGAGCCACTGTGCCCGGCCCTTAAAGGACAGTTCTTTAAATGGCATAACTTTAGCACTATTGAAAACCTGCTGTGTCGTCCCTCTTCTCACCTCTTGGAGGTTGGATGAAAATTCTCCTTCGGTCCATGAGCACCTAGGAGGTGCTGCATTTGCCCTCGGTGGAACTTAGTAACCCATTCAATGTGGTCTTGACCGTGCTCTCGTGGTATTTGTCCCCTACACCAGGCTGTAAATGCTGTGGCGGGACATGGTGTTTTAGGATGAGCCTTTGCACCAGGCTGTAAATGCTGTGGCTGGACACTGTGTTTTAGGGTGAGCCTTTGCACATGCTCTTCCTTCTGCCTCCAGTACCTTGTTGGTCTCTGGGTACCTCCAAGTTCTGCCCAGACGCCCTCTCCTGAAGCTTTGCAGGACTGGCCTTGCCTCTCCTCGATCCTTGGTAATCACTGTCGACTCGCCTGCCTGCTGGGATCCAAGTCTTCTCTGTTTTGGACCAGGGTGCTGGCGTACCATGTTCCCACCATTGTACACCGTCATATGCTGAAGGATGAAGGATGTTGGCTGGTGGCGACTTTGAGTATGTGGCAGAAACAGATAGGCCACCCTCAAGGACTCTACATGGAGCCCACTCTGTCTTTCTGTAACTGATTCTAATTTCTACTTCAGTCTTTCATTCCACCAGGTTACAGAAACAGAATCACATTTAATTGTGGGTTTTCTCAGCCAACAGAAAGTTCCTCCAGCCTCCTGGGTTTGCGCGCATGTGAGGAGCTCATGGGGGTTAGGGGTTCGGCCCTCATCACTGCTGTTCCCCAGCTCTCTGTACCCCTGTGCAGGTCTATGCTGTACCCCCCTTTGTCCTAACTGTGGGGTCTCTGAAGGGAAGGGTGAGATCCTCAGCTGCTTCCACACCCCTCTTGGGGAGCAAGGGACCATTTGGCTGTCCCCTGAACCCTAGCAGCCATCTCTGGTCTCTGGGGCTCACGGAAAAATGCTCATTGGCTCTGCATGAGGAGTAAGGCTCAGCCCCTGCTCTGGAGCTTGGGCCTCTCTGGAGTCTTAGCCCACTCTTCACCAGGCGTGGGAAGGAGCATCTGTTTCCTTCTCCTCCCTCAGCCTGGCTCTGGGCAGGGAGTGGCCCTTGCTGGCCTTGGCTCCGCCGCGTCTCCTCTGCACACATCTGGGCCCTAGCTTTTGAAATTCTAAAGCCACGGCTTTGATTCTTCTGTTCTCTGGTTCCTCATAAGGGCCCTTCCCTGGGGCATAGATGCCTCGGTCTGGTTAGAATAAAAGGCTACAAGGCATGGGGGCAAAAAGAAACCTCCGTTCATACCCCCAGTGGTTAACCTGCAGCTAGCTGCTCATCTGAGGGAAGCAAGAGGGTGTGGGCTGGGCACCCCTAGGGAGCTTACTTTTAAAATGTGCCTGTGGGTGTGGGTAAGTAAATGCAGAAGCTATTTAGCATTCTAGCTTATTTGGGTATTTTTATTTACTTAAAAATCTTAATTTTCAGAGGTAATATGTGTTCGGCGAGGAAAGGAAAAACAGGAAGGTGAATAGAATCAGAGTCACTTATCTCAGCACCTGGAGATGCCCTCATTCCATCCTGGCGTGTGTCTCTACAGGTAGCGTAGTAATAAAAGTAGTGGTAATTATAGTACTAAATGGAACACACACTTACCGAGGGCTTAGGAAGCGCCAGGCATTTTTTTAAAGAATCACGCAGATGATAATTTAGGAGGAGCCTTTGTACATCCTCTTCCTTCTGCTTCCTTGTTGATCTCTGGGTACCTCCAAGTTCTGCCCAACGAACTAACGACCCTGTGATGTGGATATTACTGTTTTCCTCACTGTACCAATGAGGAAGTTGAGGCATTAAGCATTCATGGGATTTGCCTACGCTACGTGGCTGGGCTGCCTCGCTGTGCACACATACCCCCACATGCCTGCAGATGTGCACATTAATGGCCAAGGTATAGAATCAGGGTTCCTGGTCTAGTTTCTTTTGGGAGAGAAACCATATCTTTGTTCCCTGGGGACTTGGTACCTCATTTGCTGAATGAATGAATGAGGAGAGGGGGATGCTTTTGAATTTGGATGCAAGCTTTTCTACCATCGGTCACAGGCAAATTACTGTTCCATTTGGCAATTATTATTTTTCTTTCCTGGGCTTATAACACCTGTACGCACTGGTGCCTCCTTGTGTGACCTCAGGGAACACCATTCACATTGTATTCTTTTCTGAAAACAGCTTTATTGAGGCATAATTGACATATAATAAATTACACATATTTAAAATGTACAACTCAGTGAGTTCTGGCATCACCATCGCCAAATCAAGATAATGAACGTACCCATCACCCCAGAAGTATCCTTGAGTCCCTTGGTGATTGCTTCCTCCAGGGCCTCCCCCCTCCTCGCCAGGCAACCACCACTCTGCTTTCTGTCAGTCTGTTAGTTAGCATTTCTAGGGTTTTATATAAATGGAGTCATACAGCATGTTGTCTTTTTTTGGGGTCTGGCTCCTTTCAGCATAATTATTTTGAGATTCATCCATGTTGTGTGTATCAGTAATTCATTTCTTTTCATTGCTGAGTAGTGTTCTGTTGTATGGATATGAGACAATTTGTCCATGTACCTGTTGATGGACATTTGGGTTATTTCCACTTTTTACTTTTATAAATAAAGCTGCTGTGAACATTTGTGTGCAAGTCTTTGCATGGACATATGCTTTCTTTTCTCTCGGGTAAATGCCTAGGAGTGGGATGGCCGGATCATATGGAAACTGACACGTTGCTTTGCAAAGTGACCACGCTGTTTTCTATCCCCACTGCGGGGTATGAGAGTTCCAGTTTCTCTACATCCGCGCCAACCCTTCCTACGGTCAGTCTTTGTCATTTTAGCCATTCTAACAGGCATGTGGTATATCTCGTCATGGTTTGAATTTGTATTTCTGTAGTAAATAATGATGTTGAGCATCTTTACCTGCATTTAGCCATACCCATGTATCTTCTTTAGTGAAGTGTCTATTCAAATCTTTTGTCCTTTAAAAAAGTCGGGCTGTGTTCTTATTATTGTTTTGAGAGTTCTTTATATATATTCTAGATAAAGTTCTTTATCAGATATATGCTTTGCAGAGATTTTCTTCCAGTCTGTGATTTGTCTTTTCATCCTCTTAACAGTATCTTTTGAAGAACAGAAGTTAATTATGATAATGTCAGTTTTTTTAAATCTTTTTTTTTTCTGTTTTTAGGGATCATGCTCATGGTGTTGTATCTAAGCAATCATCATCTTTTTTTTTTAATTAAAAAGATGTGGGTCTTGCTATGATGCCCAGGCTGGAGTGCAGTAGCTGTTCACAGCCTCGAACCCCTGACCTCACATGATCCTTCTGCCTCAGCCTCCTGAATAGCTGGGACTACAGGTGCATGCCATTGTGTCTGGCCATCTAAGCAATCTTTAGCTAATGCAAAGTCACAAATATTTTCTCCTGTGTTTTCGTTTCTTTTTTTTTTGAGATGGAGTCTCTGGAGTATAGTGGCATGATCTCAGCTCACTGCAACGTCCACCTCCCAGGTTCAAGTGATTCTCCTGCATCAGCCTCCTGAGTAGCTGGGATTACAGGCACATGCCACCAACCCTGGCTAATTTTTGTATTTCTAGTAGAGGTGGGGTTTCACCATGTTGGCCAGGCTGGTCTGTAATTCCTGATCTCAAGTGATCTGCCCACCTTGGCCTCCCAAAGTGCTGTGATTACAGGTGTGAGCCACTGTGCCTGGCCTTCTCCTATGTTTTCGTCTCAGAATTTTATAGATTTTAAAATTTAGGCCTATAGTCTATTTTCAGTTAAAGCATATGGTGTGAGGTATGGGTTGAGGTTCGTTTTTCATTTTTTTTTTTTTTGCACGTAGACATCCAATTATTTCAGCACTATTTGTGGAAAAGACTCCTCTTTCTCCACTGAATTGCATTTTGCCCCTTTGTAAGAAATCATTTATCCATATATATGAAGGTCTATTTCTGGACTCAGTTCTGTTAATTGATCCGGTGGTCTGTCTTTAAGCCAATACCCCACTGTCTTGACTAGTGTGGCTGTATAACAAGTCTTGAAATCCTGTGAATCTAAGTCGTGTTAGCTCTGCAACTTTATTCTTGTTCAAGTTGTTCTGGCCACTCGAGGTCCTTTGCATTTCCATATGGATTTTAGAATTGGCTGTCAGTTTCCAGCACAAAGCCTGCTGGGATTTTGATTGGGATTGAGCCTCACATTGCTCTCTGCAGATGGCCTCTTCTGGAGCTATGCCACCTGCTGTCCTGCCACACCGGTGGGTGTAGGACCATATGAGTGACTGAGGGGCCAGCGCCCGTGGTCGGCAGAAGGGGAGGTTATTGGTATTTAATAAGGCATTTTCAGAGACACTCTGCATTGACCTTAGGGTTTCAGGATGGGATGCTTTTGGCTGAGCCCAGGTGTCCTCTGAGAAATGTGGACCGGAAGGATGAGGCATGCTCCCGGAAGTTAGCATCGCTCATGGCCCTCAGTCAGGGCATGGCAGAGGAACCACCCCTCTTGTAAAAGAGGCACACACAGCCCTCCTGCTGTAATCTGCCCCATGTCACCTGCTTTAGGCATTCATATTTGAGGCTCCACGGATGTGGTGAATGGGTGCCCTGGGAGGATGGGTAAGGGCAGGTGTGGGAGGAATTTCCTTTCCAGAACATTCCTTTGAGGAGGAGAGAAAAGGAACTTGGCCACTGTGGACCCGCTTGGGCTAGCTGCGTGTCTCTGTGTGTTGCTGGCTGTGACAGGTACTGTGGAATCCTTGCCTTCCAGGGGAGACCTGTGGCCGGCAGGAGCTGCCCGAGATCCCGGGGCAAATGCCTCCCCTCCCTTCACCACCACCCCCTCCCCTCTCTCCCCTCTTATGCCCGCACCATGGCTTTACCTAGCCCTGCTCTTCAGTGAAGGTATCTTGCAGAGGGCGTATGGTTGGAGAGGAAGGCAGGGCTCTGAGGATGCTATGATGTGCCATTTCTTTGGGCTTTTCCGAGGACTGCTCACTTGAGGCTTCCCCTGGGGAGAAGGAGCTGTTAAACTGTCAAAATAAAAAGTCCACCAAACTCCTTAGGCCAGTCGAAAGCACCTAACTCAGACCACAGGCAGCAAGAGCAACAGATTTCCCTGCAATATGTTACAAGGGGAAGAAAAGACTATTGGGGAACTTAAAAGAAATGCAGGAAAAGTTTCAAAGATGGGAATATACCTAGTCAATCATACATTAAATTTGGGATTCATAAAAAGAAATTGTGGTGAAAATCTTCCCAAATAAGTTTTTATTCTAGAATTTGATGACAAATCTCTCACGGCGCTGGTTATCCCGTAGGTGTGGTATTCTGAAATACAACCCGAGGCATATATATTGTCAAATAATAAAGTATTATGAAACCAATCAGCTGTGAGCTCCCCACTTGGCAGTTTGGAAGTAAAACCCTTTCTCCTTTACAAGGCCAAGTGACTCTTAATTCTTCCCAGGAGATTTCACGTTAAAATGTGTTCACTGCCAGCTGACAAAAGAGGCGAGTCCAGATTTATTACCCTGGCACCTGCAGCAAAAAAAAAATGACGGATGATGAAAATATATTTAATTATCATTCCATGCCACATCTCTGTCTGCTCCAGTCGCGGGGCTGCAGCTGTTGGCACACACTTTATTTTAAAGTCAATGTGCTTATCTGGAGAGAAGGCTGCTCTCTGAATAAATTGACTTGAGGGAGGAAGGAAATGGCGATCTCCTCCAGACCCAGCTGAACAAATGCAGATTTGTATTCTGTGCGCCTGCTTTAATTGTCTAATCCGCCCGACATCACATCAGCTCTGGGATTTGGCTTTTGTAAAGAAAACATTTGCAAAAAGTAAACTTTTCCGTGGTTTTCTTGAGCCAAAATGAATGATTTTCCTTCCTGGACTGAAAAGTGCTGGCCGACAGTGGATGCTCATGTTTCTGCTGCAGGCACGGAAATCACTGTTAGTTGCATCTCAGAATGGAAGGAGCCCTAGACAGTCCCTGGTGGACCGTCTCCTTCACCAGATGGAGACCCCGCAGAGTCTGGAGGGGTGGGCTCAGGGTCTCAGAAGGTGGCAGGTCGGAAACTGGAGACCAGAACTTCTGGCTCCCAGGAAGCCACTGTGTTTTTGTGACTCGAGGCTGTCGGAGGTCTAACTGTTTAAGGTTATGCGCCTGAGCCTGGAGGATGGCCTCAGAGAATTGCCTTCCTCTTTCTCTTCCGTTAAAACCTTCTGGAAAATAAAAACTTGGGATGGAGCAGCAGTGCCCTGACTGAGGTGGAAAGCATCAGATTTCTTGGAGTGAAGTCTGCGGGGACTTAGGTTGGCTGCTGAAAGTCTGTGCCATTAGTTCCTGCCTATGATGTGTTGTTTTCGACAAAAGTAGCCCAGATAATAGGCAGTATCTAATGTGGCAATTTTCCTATATCTCTTCTTATCAGGAGAAGCCACTCGATGTTTTGTATATGGTGGGATTTAGTACAAAGTGATGGCATTTCCACTGAAATGAAATACAATCACTGGTTTAGCAGTTAGGATTCAGGGAGGAGAGATGATGCTGAGTGTTTCTGGTGGTGCCTGGTGTCACTGGTGGCCAGAGGCAGATGCCTGTGGATGGGGGCAGGAGGGGGATGAGGTTTCTGTAAATGGAGCTAACTCAGGGGTTGGGGGAGAGGGAGGCTCATTTCTCCTGACCTTCTCTTTGATGAATAAGGATTCAAGATTGTATCTGCTGAGCCTGCAGGACATGAGAACTGGGGGAGGAAAGAGAGCTCTGGCTTATGGATTTGGGCTGTGACCAGAGCTCTTTTGCCACCAAGCTTTTTGATGTATTGACCAGAAGTTACTATAAACCAGAGAGAGGGTGGGGCGTGGTGACTCACGCCTGTAATCCCAGCACTTTGGGAGGCCGAGGCAGGTGGATCACGAGGTCAGCCGATTGAGACCATCCTGGCTAACACGGTGAAACCCCATCTCTACTAAAAATACAAAAAATTAGCTGGGCGTGGTGGCAGGCGCCTGTAGTCCCAGCCACTCGGGAGGCTGAAGCAGGAGAATGGCGTGAACCCGAGAGGTGGAGCTTGCAGTGAGCCGAGATTACGCCACTGCACTCCAGCCTGGGCGACAGAGTGAGACTCTGTTTAAAAAAAAAGACAAAAAAAACAGAGAGAGGATTCCACTGCCGTCTCCATCATCATCACCACCGTCACCATTATCACCATCATAACCATCACTTATCACCATCACCATTCACCACTTACCATCACCATCACCATTCACCATTTACCACCACCATCACCATCACCATCATCACCGTCATCACCACCATAACCATCACTGTCATCACCATAATCATCACTTATCACCATCATCATTCACCACTTACCACCACTATCATCACCAACACCATCATCATCACCACTACCATCATCACCATCACCATCCCCATTCACTACTTACCACCACCATCATCACCATCACCATCACCATTCACCACTTACCACCACCGTCATCACCATCACCATCACCATTCACCACTTACCACCACTATCATCACCATCACCATCATCATCACCACTACCATCATCACCATCATCATCACCATCATCATTCACCACTTACCACCACCATCATCACCATCACCATCATCATTCACCACTTACTACCACTATCATCACCATCACCATCACCATTCACCACTTACCACTACCATCATCACCATTCACCACTTACCACCACCATCGTCACCATCACCATCATCATCACCATCACTATCACCATCACCATTCACCACTTACCACCACCATCATCACCATCACCATCATCATCACCATCACTATCACCATCACCATTCACCACTTACCACCACCATCACCATCACCATCATCACAGTCATCACCATCATAATCATCACTATCACCATCACCATTCACCACTTACCACCACCATCACCATCACCATCATCACTGTCATCACTACCATAACCATCACTGTCATCACCATAATCATCACTGTCACCATCACCATTCACCACTTAAACCACCACCATCATCACCAACACTACCACCACTACCACCTCACTTAATTTATGTATCACTTCTTATGTACCAGACCTTTGGAGAAATCCCTTAAATTGGTCATCTCCTTTAATCTCAGGGGGCAGATATTCTGCCTGTTTTACAGATGAGAAAACAGAAGTCTCGGTAAGTAACAGAACTAGGACTTGAAGCCAGGACTTGGAGTCCACTCTCATAGCCATACCTTTTTATTTAGGGGCTTTAAATATATACAGTACTGTTAAGATTTTATAGGATAAAAGGATGAAAGGAGACGTCAACTCTGTACTTTTGTCAAGAGAAATGTTTGAGGATGCAATAATTTTGAGTTTGAAGACTGGCCCATGGGGATTTCCTTTCCCATGTGGCTGGCAAATGGGGAGAGAGGTACCCCCCTCAGCTCTGGGGACCAGGGCGGCTGAGAGACTGGTTGGCTGGGGTCAGGGCTGGGGTGGGGAGGATGGAGGAGGCGCTGCAGAGAGCTGGCCCTGGGGACTTGGTTGCGTCACAGCAGGAGGTGGGGAGCAAAGGGGAGGTGCCAGGCTCTGCTCCATGCTGGCAGCCCTGGGGCCACGGCAGCAGGGGAGGGATGCGTCTGGGGCTCTTGAAGGCTTGGCTGGCGGGCCTTGGGAAAGAAGTCAACCATGCTGTCCTCCCAGGTCTCCTGGGCTATGTGAGCAGCAGCATGGCCTGTTCTGCTGTGTGTTTGTCCTGCTGGGTTGCCTTGTTTTCACATGGTCAGTCGGAGCTGGTAGGCTGGGCCAAGTGGTTCATACTCTGATCTCTCTGTCCTGGCCACACAGCCTCCAGGAAGCTTGAGCTTTGTTTTTCTGGCCTTTCATGATCTCCTCTGGCTCCCTGTGGCCCATCTGGGACTCTGGGTTTGGTGCTTGACTGCGGTATAGACTGACCAGTATTATGGCTTCATGCTTCTTGGCTGAGCTGCCCAGACACATGACAGGGCTGTGGCCACCAGAAGATGGAGACGTGTCACATTCTCCTCGCTGCCCTGCGGCCCCACTGTTTACATCAGTTCCCAAGACGTTTGGGCCTGACAGATATGAGTCTCTCAAAGAGCAGCTTTTAGCAGATATTTGTCATGCGTCCATTGTCCACCAGGCACAGTCCTCGCCCTGGGACCCAGCATGAATGTGGCTTGGGAAAACTCAGGGAGTTGCCATGACCCATAGGGCTGGCCCACACACTCACATGTGTTGTTATGAGACCCTAGGGCCTTTGGGATTTGGGTTCGTAACCAGAGGAGCAGGCGTGGAGCGTCAGAGGTCAAGGAGATGGACATGTCATCACTAGTTCAGCAGGGGAACTGCGGGCAAAGAAATTAATACTGATTTTATTTCCAAGTGAGGCTGATGACTCTCCTTTTTACATTAATTTTTATTAAGCATTTTATGTATTATTCCAAAACCACATACTATGCAGAGACAGTTTAGAACACATTATGGGTTGTGCATTTCATAATTATCATATGGCCTCAGTCCAGAATGTAGAAAAGAAAATAAACACAATCATTTTCCAATAGAAGGGAATCATTGATAATGTGTGGACAGGACTTGGAGCTGCCAGCACCGCCCATGGGCTCTGGGCTCAGGACCCAGCACAACTCCATGCACAGCAAAGTGGCTCCAACCTGTCCTCCTGCCATGGCCTCCCGTCCTCTCTGTCTCCAGCCTGCAGGGGTCCTGCTTAGCCTGGTCCCCTGTGGCGAGAGTTCTTCCTCTCCACCTTCTGCTGTCTGGACCCTATTTATTCCCTGGGGCAGGACTCAGCACAGAAGCCCTTCTTGCTGCTCAGATCTCACCTCAGAGAAGCCCAAACCCAAGCAAACCCCGGTCACCCTTCGTCACGGCGCAGGGCTCTGTTTTCATCTTGGCACTTCCTCTCCAAGGCTTCTGCCTAGCATCTGTCTCCCTGCTTCAATGCAAGCTCCATGAGAGCAGGCACCTTCTCTGTTCACCCCAGCACCCCAAGCAACTGGGCGAGTGCCGGGCACAGAGCAGGCATGAGCAGATGCTCGCTGGATGAATGCATGCATGACTGTGCATCTCCTCCACTGGACTGTGAGCTCCTCCAGGCCAGGGACAGCTCTACGTGGCCACATGGCCAATGCCAGCATATCCGTGTCTAAGCAGAAGTGTGTTGAGTTGAGTCCCCACCCTGCACCTGTGAAATCTTCAACTAGGTGCTGGGATGGAGTTTGTATTAGTCAGGGTTCTCTAGAGAAACAGGACCCCTACTATATATATGAATGATATTTATGTGAGATTTATAAGGAATGGCTCATGAGATTATGGAGGCTGAGAAGTCCCATGATCTACTCTCTGTGAACTGGAAACCCAGGAGAGCTGGTTTTGGAATTCTAGTCTGAGTTCACAGGAACACCACTGGTGTAAGTCCCAGTTCAAGGTCAGAAGACCAAGGCCCAGCTCCAGCAGGCAGGCAGAGAGAGGGTTCTGCTTCCCCTCACCTTTCTGCTCTACTCAGATGCTCAGTGGATTGGATGATGCCCCCCACACTGGGGAGGAAGCCCTGCTTTACTCACCTACTGATTCAAAGCCTAATCTCATCCAGAGACACTCCCACAGACATACCTGGAAATAATGTTTGGCTGAGTGTCTGGGAATCCTGTGATCCAGTCAAGCTGACACCTAAAATGAACCATCACAGAGTCCCTCCTGGGGACCTAGTGCCAGGCTAGGGTCTGTGAATCGTTCAGCAGAAAAGAAGAAATGGGCCTTTTGGGGGCCAAGGGTCCAGAGGAGTGACACTTAAGGACTCTAGGGGCAATAGAAACGAGGGCCTCAGTGTGCACTGGGGATTACTGGAGCCCTCGGAGTTGAGGGAGGCCAGAGAAGGATAGATGGCAGGTGTCCACACAGCCCCCTTCCTCACCGACACCCACCTCTTCATCTGCCAAGGCCGGGCTCAGCACTATCCCCCATTTGTGATGGACTCTGCAGGGTGTCCTGACAGGTGGGCACTGTGCTCACAGGCAGGGGATCCTCACAGGGAAAGGGGATCCTCAGGGGGAGGGGGGATCCTTGCAAGGTGGGGGGATCCTTGCAGGCAAGGGGAGATTCTTACAGGGAAGGTGTGTCCTCAGGTAGGAGGGACCCTCACAGGTAGGCATGACTAGTCTCATTTTCTGCCGAGGAGCCCACATGGCCTGGAAGTGCAGAGCAGGGATGGAACTGAGGTTCGCCGACTTCCAGTCCCTGGTGTTTCCCTCGTCCTGTCTGCTGCCCCTCTGGTATGTCTGAAGATCCCCATAGCTCTCAATAGCTGCATGTAGAGTTCCAGCATGACTGGGAATTGTTTTCAGTTGTCTGCGGGGCACTGGGCACAGCCGCACTTGAAGTCGTAGGACACCATTGGGAGACCGGGCTGTCTCCAAGAGAAAGATGCCCAGTGGCCCCCAAAGCCTTCTTGAATCGCACACTTACCCCAGCTCTCCAGCTTTTCCGAATCCGAGTCCCTCAGAGGCCAGGCACTGGGGTGTTCATTGAGCAGCAAGGAAGCCGTGACCGGGAGAGTGTGGGGACTTGGTGCCTGCATGTGGCTCCCCTAGACACTGACCCGAGGCACAGATTTAGGTGTAAATGGCCTATTTAGGAGGTCATCCCAGAAAACACATCAGGGAGGGTGGGGCTCCAGTCAGCCCAGTGTTAATGAGCAGGTTAGCGCCGTGGGCAATTGGGGCCCTTCAGTGACAGCAGGGAGCACACCTCAGGGTGTCCCCTGACAGGCGAGGAAGCTCTCGTCCTTCATGGGTGAGAGTCACTCCTGAAGTATTAGTACCTAGCACTTCTGGGCAGTCCTGCAGTGCAGGTGACCTCTGGAAGGGTGGAGGCCGTACAGGTGAGGCCTGCAGTTCTGCTCCTGTGCCCAGCCAGCAGTGCCTGGGATGGGCTAGAAGCCCATGTGTCCACTATAGGCATGGCCAGGGCTCTTTTCCATGACTGCGGAAGGAGAGGTGGGAGCCTTGGCTTGGTAAATGCAGCCACTGAAGAGCCTGAGAACCAGGAAAACTTGCCGAGGATGGACAACACTGGCCTTGCTCGAGTGAGTCAGGGCTGCGCTGCTGTCCTGGGAAAGCTTCACCCACGGGCTTCATGCAAGGCTGCCCCTGTCTATGCCCTGATTCTCTTTTTTCTTTTTTCTTTTTTTTTTTAAAGAAATCTCATTTTACAAATGGTTTTCTGCACATTCCAAGTGCTGTTCCCAGCATTTACACCCTGCTTCATAATTGGCCTATACAATACACCCTGTTCAGAATTTTTAATCAACTATGGCAAGTTGCCCCAGCAATTTAAATAAAAATATATAAATGAATTTAGTATTTTAATATTACAGTGACATTAACCTTATATATGTACTTAGCAATTTTGAACAGTATTACAATTTTATAAAATATTCTTCATTTGGCTGGTGGATAAACCCCAGAGTTAAACCATGGGCTCACTTGGTACTGTGGCTCATGCTATAATCCCAGCACTTTGGGAGGCTGAAGCAGGAGGATCACTTGAGTCCAGGAGTTCGAGAGCAGCCTGGGCAACATAGTGAGACCCCTATTTCTACACAAAAATAATGATAAAAAATTAGCTGGATGTGGTGGCCTATAATCCCAGCTACTTGGGAGGCTAAGGTGAGAGGATCACCTGAGCCCAGGAGATCAAGGTTGCAGTGAGCTATGATTGTGCCATTGCACTCCAGCCTGGGTGACAGAGTGAGACCCTGTCTCTAAAAAAATAAAAAATAAAACCAAAACAAACCATGGGCTCTTTGTGCCACAAACGGAGAAGGGAGCTGAGCCAGTTGGGAGGAGCACAAGCTGTAGCCAGGTCTGCCCTGAGAGGCCTGATAGTCTGAGTGGCCCTGTACCCCTGTGAGGCCAGTGTGGCCAGCTGTGATGGGCAGCACGGCCAGACACGATGTTTGCGTGTTTAAGGACTTCAGTCTGTGCTTGGACACTCTCACTCAGAGTGGCCCCTGGGCAGTCTGCTCTGGGCCGAGCAGGGCATGAGAAGGTGCCACAGGGCAGAACGAGAACACGAATGCAGAGGCCCCGGCTCCAGCTTCCAGTGATTTCTGTTGGGGGCCTTCGATGTCCTGGGCAACGTGCTGACCACTCTGTAAGCACTATCCCTGCTCAAGGTCACCAGCAACCTGCTTGTGGCTGGTGCCGTGACTGGCCCTCATTCCTTATCTCGTGGGACCCCATTAGCAGCGGTTAACACAGCCACTCCGGCCCTCCTCCCCTCCTCCCCTCCGTCCTTCCTCCCCTCTTCTCCTCCTCCCCTCCTCCCTGACCGTCCTCACCTGGCGTCCAGGACACCATGGTTCCTGGTTTTCCTCCCTCCTCTCAGCCTCCTCAGGGCTCAACTGTGGTCCCCTTGTCTCCCATTGTCTACCTTGGGGCTGCTACAGTCAGGAGCATTGAGGGTCCCTGTGGCAGAGGGGAGGAGGCACCTGATTTCAGAGAGCGGGGAAGTGCAACCTGTCCTGCACCAGAAATAGGTGGCGCCCCACACCTCCTCACTCATTTCCCAACTCTGCCCTTTCCTCCCTCAGCGTCTTCTCAACACGGCGGCCAGGGATTCTGCTTTCCTTTTTAAAGTTATTTTAAATTGTGTTAAATACACATAACGGGGCCAGGCGTGGTGGCTCACACCTGTAATCCCAGCACTTTGGGAGGCCGAGGTGGGCGGATCACGAGATCAGAGTTCGAGACCAGCCTGACCAACATGGTGAAACCCCCGTCTCTACTAAAAATACCAAAATTAGCTGGGTGTGATGGCGTGTGCCTGTAACCCCAGCTACTCAGGAGGCTGAGGCAGTAGAATCGCTTGAACCTGGGAGGCGGAGGTTGCAGTGAGCCGAAATCGTGCCACTGCACTCCAGCTTGGGTGACAGAAGGAGACTCTGTCTCAAAAAAAAAAAAAAAAAAAAAAGAAAAAAATACACATAACATAGAATTTTAACCATTTTAAGTGTCCAATTTAGTAGCATTAAGTACATTCACATTGTGGTACCATCACCATCTCCATCTCCAGAACTTTGCTATCTTCCCAAACTGAAACTCTGTTCCTGTTAAGCACGAACTCTCCATCTCCCTATCCCCCCAGCCGCTGGCACCCCTGCATTTGAATTTTTGTCTCTGTGAGTCTGACTCCTTTTAGAGCCTCAAATGAGGGAACCATACAGTATTTGTCCTTTTGTGACTGGCCTATTTCACTTAGCACAAGGTCCTCAGGGTTCATCCATGTTGTAGCATGTGTCAGAATTTTATTCCTTTTGAAGGCTGAATAGCATTCTATTGTATGAATGGACCACCTTTGCCTATCCGCTCGTCTGCCCAATGACACTTGGGTTATTGAGAACTATGCCACTATGAACATGGGTGTGCAAACAGAGTGACTCTTTTAGAACACAGGTCAGTCCGTGACAGTCCTCTGTTCAACCCGGGCCTTCCTGTTCTCTCAGTGGAGAAGCCCAAAGCCTTTATGATGGTCCCCAGGACCTGTACACCCCACCCCATCACGTCCTGCAGCCACACTGAGCTCCTGCTCTTGCTCAGACACATGGGCACACTGCTGCCTTATGGCACAGGCACAGGCTGCTCTCCTGTCCCCTCTGCCTGGACACCCTTCCCCAGGCGGTCCCATGCTGTCCTCCACCACCCTCCAGTGTTTGCCCCAGTGACTGCACCACCTGCCCCGGTCTCCCTGTGTCACATTGCGTCATAACCCTCCCATGCATTTCAGAGCCCCTACCTGTTTCTCTCGTTTAAAATAACATTTATCACTTTCTGACATACTACAGACAGTCTTTGACTTGCCGTGGTTCGTTTTGCAGTTTTTCCACTGTACCAATGGTGAAAGTGATACGCATTCAGTAGAAACCATACTTCGAATTTTGAATTTTGATTTTTTCCCAACTCTAGACTAATGGAAATGCTCTGAGCATATTTAAGGTAGGCAAAGCTATGGTGTTTGATAGGTTAGGTGTAGTAAATGCATTTCTGACTTAATGACATTTTCAGCTTACAGTGGGTTTATTGGGACGTAGCCCCATCGTACGTCGAGGAGCGCCTGCGTGTGGTTTGTGTTTTTATTATGTGCATTGTCTGGCTCCTACTCTGAGAGGGCAGGGATCTTGTGTGTTTTGTTTACTGATGTATCCTGTCCACCTAGAGCAGTATTTGGCATATGATGGGTACTCAAATACTTGTATGAATCAATGAATCTTTTTTGATAACAGCTTTATTGTGATATAATTCATATAGCTTACAATTCACCCATTAAAATGTATAGTTCCATGGATTTAGTGTATTCAGGCAGTTGTGCAACCATCAGCACAACCAATTCTGCAACACTTTTTATAACCCACAAAGGAAACCCTATGCCCTTTATAATTTTTTAATTTTAATTTTTTAACTAATTTTTTTTGTGTGTGTGTGACAGGGTCTCACTCCAGGCTGGAGTGCAGTGGTACAATCACGGCTCACTGCAGTCTCAACCTCCTGGGTTTAGGTGATCCTCCCACCTCAGCCTCCCAAGTAGCTGGGACCACAGGTGTGCACCACTACGCCTGGATAATTTTTGTATTTTTTGTAGAGATGGGGTTTCGCCAGGTTGCCCAGGCTAGTCTCAAACTCCTGGGCTCAAGTGATCCTCCTGCTTCGCCTCCAAGTGCAGGGATTACAGGCGTGAACCACTGTACCCAGCCACCCTATGCCTTTTAGCTGTCACTCCTGTCTCCCCGGGCCTAGGCAACCATTTTCTGTCTCTATAGATTTGCCTATTCTGGACATTTTATATAAATGGAATCATGAGATGTATGGTCTTTTGTGCCTGGCTTCTTTCACTTATCATAATGTTTTCAAGTTTCATCCATGTTGTAGCGTGTATCAGTACTTCATTCCTTTTTATTGCTGGATAACATCCTGTTGTATGGATTAAGCCACACTTTATTTGTTCATTCGTTAGTCGACGGACAATAGGTTTGCTTCCACTTTTGGGCTATGATGAATCGTACTGCTTTGACCCATCTTGTATAATCCCTTTTGTGGGGACACATGTTTTCAGTTTTCTTGGGCATATACCTAAGAGTGAAATTGCTCGGTCACATGGCAACTCCATGTTTAACCTTTTGAGGAACTGCCAGCCTGTTTTCCAAAGCTGCTGCACCATCTGAAATTCCCACTAGCTGTATAGGGGAGTTCCAGTTTCTCCACATCCTCAGGTGATATTATTGTCTTTCTTTCTCTTCTTTTTTTTTTTTTCTTTTTTTAGAGACAAGGTCTCAATCTGTCACCCAGGCTGGAGTACAGTGGTGTGATCATAGCTCACTACAGCCTAAATACCTGGGCTCAAGCGATCCTCCTCCCTAAGCCTCCTGAGTAGCTAGGACTGCAAGCACATGCCACTATGCCTGGCTAATTTTTAAAAGATTTTTTTAGAGCTGAGGTCTTGCTATACTGCCAAGGCTGGTCCTTGAACTCCTGGCCTTCTGAACTCTTGTCTTAGCCTCACACAGTGCCAGGATTACAGGGATAAGCCATCTTAACTAGACCTATCTTTCTTTTTGATTATAGCCATCCTACTGGGTATGAGGTGGTATCTCATTGTGGTTTTGATTTGCATTTCCCTGATGATTAATGATGTTGCATATCTTTTTATATATATTTGTGTATCTTCTTTGGGGAAATGTCTGTTAGATTCTTTGCCAATTTTAAAATAGTATTTGTCTTTTTATCATTGTGTTGTGAGAGTTCTTTATATATTCTAGGTACAGATCCCTTGTCAGAGATAGGATTTGCAAATATTTTGTCCTGTTCTATGGGTTGTCTTTTCACTTCCTTCACCGTGTCCTTTGAAGCACAAAAGTTTTACATTTTGATGATGTTCCGTTTAGTTTTTCTTTTGCTGTTTGTGCTTTTGGTGTTATAACTAAGAAACCATTGCTTAATCCAAGGTCATAAAGATTTACTTCTATGTTTTTGTCTAAGAGTTTTGTAGCTGTAGCTCTGACGCTTAGGTCTTTGATTTATTTTGAGTTAATTTTTGTATACAGTGTGAGGGAGGGATCTAACTCCATTCTTTTGCATGTGGACATCCAGTTGTCCCAGCACCATTTGTTGAAAAGACTCTATTTTCCCCCATTGAATTATCTTGGTATCCTTTTTGTAAATCAATTGGCCATAAGTGTGAGGGTTAACTTCTGAACTCTCTATCTCTGTGCAGTGATCTGTATGTCCACCCTTATGCCCGTACCACACTGTCATGATTACTATAGCTTGGTAGTAAGTTTTGAAATTGAGAACTATGAGTCTTCCAACTTCTTTTCGCTTTTTCAAAATTGTTTGAAATCTTGTTTCAAGACTGTTTATTATTTGTATATGGGAATGCATCCCATGGAAAACATGGGGTGTGTTTCCATTTATTTCCATTGTCTTTAATTTTTTTTTTTTTGTTTGAGACAGTCTCACTCTGTTTGCCCAGGCTGGAGTGCAGTAGTTCAATCTTGGCTCACTGCAACCTCCACCTTCTCGGTTCAAGTGATTATCTCATCTCACCTCAGCCTCCTGAGTAGCTGGGATTACAGGCGCGTGTCACCATGCCTGACTAATTTTTTTTTTTTTTGAGTAGAGATGGTGTTTCACCATGTTGGCCAGGCTGGTCTTGAACTCCTGACCTCAAGTGATCCACCACCTCGGCCTCCCAAAGTGCTGGGATTACAGGCATGAGCCACCACCCCTGGTCTGTCTTTAATTCTTTTCAACAATGTTATATATAGTTTTCAGAGTATAAGTTTTGCATTTCTTTTGTTAAATTTTCCTAAGTATTTTATCCTTTTGATGCTATTACAGATGGAATTATTTTCTTAATTTTATTTCCAGAATTTTTCATTGTAAATATATGGAAATGCAATTGATTTTTGTTTGTTGATCTTGTATCCTGCAACCTTGGTGAACTTGTTTATCAGTTCTAATAGAGTTTTCGTGGATTCTTCAGGATTTTCTACATACAAGATCATCTCATCTGTGAATTGAGACAGTTTTACTTTTTCCTTTCCAATATGGATACCTTTTGTTTCTTTTTCTTGCCTAATTTCTCCACCTAGAACCTCCAGTACAATGTTGAATGGAAGGAATAAATGAATCTAAATCCTAACGTCATGTCAGTAATTATCATGTTTATTCCCATTTTACAGATAGGCAGACTGAGGCTTAGAGTGGGTAAGTAAGTTGCCCAAGGGTGTGTTACAGCCGAAGAGCTGTGGGGCCAGGCCAGAATTGCTGTGTACAGTCTGCTTGCTGCAATGCCTTTCCCCCAGCTGCCATCTTCATATATGGTAGGCATTTGGGGGAGGTACCAGCCAACCTGGTGGATGACATTTAGAGTTTAGTGAGAAGCTCTGGAAGTCTCACTGGTAGCACTAAGCTCCTCTCTGTGTACCGGCTGCTTCCCATATGTACATGCGTAGGTAAGAGCAAGATAGAAATGACAGCACTTGTACATTCCACTGAGGGCTTTCTCATCAGTGTCTCGTTTCATCCTCTTAGCAACCCTGTCAGATAAGAAAGATGAGTTTTATTGTCCTCCATTTACCGATGAGGAACTGGCACTTAGAGAGCTCAAGTGACTTTCCTGGCCTTTGGGAAATGTTGGCATGGTGGGGACAGGGTGGGGCATCATGTGTGTTGATTATCTTCCCTATGTTAGACACTATGCTGGACAGTTGCTGTATGGCGTATGGCTTAATCCTCACTCAGCATTATTATCCTCTTCCCACAGTTCAGAAAATTGATGCTTAGAGAGCTTAAGTAAAGTGCTCCATGTACTCAGCTCAGAAATGGCAGGGTCTCCCCTCAAACCCAGGCATTTGACCCCCAAATTCTACCTGCTTTCCTCGGACCACAAGGCCTGAGGTGATCGAAGAAATTTATTAAAGGGAAACAAAGATGGATAAAAGAGCAATTCCCACGAGGCCAGCCTTGGCAGGTGCTGTTGCTCCCTGACGTGTGTCTCCTTGTGTGTTATCCCCCACTTTAGGGTTTAACTGTATCTTGAGAGGTGGGATAATCTTCCAGGGAAAAGCAGAGAAGGGGACCATCTGCTGAGGCAAGGGACCTGTTCAAGCAAACTCCTGTCTTTTCTGAGATAAGTCTGACTAATCCGGTCCTTGTGACTAATCCACTCTGAGACTTTATCTTTAGAACCAATGATTAATTTAAATAGGCTAAATTGTTCCATTTCAGCCCCCATACTTGAGTGTTCCTGGGGGAAGTGGGGTTAGGGCAGGAGGGTGGTGCCTGGGAGTTGTGAGGGTCCTCGAACTGTTGGAATTTCAGAGTTTCTAGCAGATAGGGCTGGGGCCAGATCCCACATAGGAACTGCAGCCCTTTCTGCTGACATCATGGGAGATCCCGCTTTGAACGCCCTCGAGGGCAGACATATGCAGGGGGTCCCCATTCTATAGACCCCGTGAATCATGCTGTGGGTGAGAATCTCTGCAAGACGATGTTGGCCTCTGTGACTTTCCTTTCCTCTTCCACTCCAAGAGCCAATATTTTCCTCCAAGATCACAGAACTCCGGCTGAGCGCTGACGAAGCTGTAAAGTGCTCTAGAAAGGCTGCTGGCGAGGAAATTCACCCATCCAATCCCCCTTCAGACCTTACCTCCTGAAGACCTGGATTGGAGAGGCTAGAACCCAGATGCCAGAGTCAGATCCCTGCAGCTCACTCTCTGAATGACCTTGGGCAAATTTTTTAGTACTTCTGAGCCCCAATCTTCTCACTGTAGAGCTAACCTAGTCCAACAAGTTCATTTTTCAAAAGATGACATTAACGTTGCATCCCCAAAGCCACACAACAAGTAAGTGCAAAAGGGAGGGCAGTGACCAGGCCTTCTGCCCTCGGCACGCCAGGCCCTTCTGCGTCATTATCTCATCTGGTCCTCACTGCCAGCCTCCGGGATGCTGGCTGCATCCCCATGGGACAGGAAAAGGCACTGAGACTCAGATGCGTGGGTCATGCTGCCAAGCCACACAGCAAAACGTGGCAGAGCCAGAATGGGCTCTACGTGTGCCTGATTCCAGGCCCCATGCAGGCCCTATGACACCCAAGGAAGGGTGAATCTGTGGGCCTTTCTCTCTGCTGGCCCTTAGTTCAGCCTCTGGCCGTTGCCTCACGGAGGCTGAGCAGAGGTCTCATCTGCCCAGGGGCAGGGGATGGTGCTGGCTGGGCGGAGGCAGCAAGGAGGGGGACGGCCTTCTCATGTTCCCAGCCCACCCTTCTCAACACGCCCTTGCTTTGCACACAGGCCTAATTACCAAGAGGAGTCTGGGGCCCATGGAGGCTGTCAGTTCCTGCAACATCACAGCAGCCTCTTATCTTGATGGGTGTGTGCTTTTGTTATATTTTTAAATTACAGACAGTGAGAGTATTCCCTTGGCATCCAGAGCTGAGAGCTTTGGGACTTTGAATGGTGGAAAAGGAACCCAAGTGCCTCTGTGCCAGGCTTCCTCCCAAAACTCATATCAGAATAGACTATAAGAAGCAGCAGCCCCATAGCTCAGTGGATTAAAACAGCAGAAGGCGTTTTCTCACTCCTGCCACATGCTCACTGCAGGTGGGTGGCCAATCAGAGACCTGGCTGATGGAGTATTGTTGGTCACTGTGCCAGAGAGAATGTGGAGTCCTGGAGGCCTTGAACTGATTAGTAGGTATCCCAGCCAGAAGCATTGTGCTCCTTTGCAGCTCACTGGGCAGAACTGGTCCCATGCACCCCCACCCCCCAGCCCCACCAATCAACCACAGTGCTACGAAGGAGCACTCCCGTCATGTACCACAAAGCAGGGAGAACAGGTCATAGCATTAATGACCGACAACTACCACTGGGGAGAAGTAGGACCAGGACGCTCTACAATCGGATGCCCAGGGAGGGGCTTCCTGTCATGGGCTGGCCACCAGCAGGAGGTGTCCAGCGTGTGTTCTGAGGCCTGAGCTGGGCTCCTGCAGGGCATCTGTGCTGTTGCTGCTCATGGAGACCTGAGGCAGTGGCCTGGCCTCTGCCTGGAGTGGAAGGAGGAGGCTGCACAGTTGACCTCCTTTTGCTTTTCCTTGTGGTTTTGGGCTGGGAGTTGCAGACAACCTTTCTATAGCTGATTTGGGGTCAAGAATCCCCATAGGACCCAAGACAGGTCCTAGAGGAGGGAAATGTGTTTGTTCCCACTTTTTTATGGGGTCCAGTGGCGAAAAGGATAAAAACTCACAGTTAAAACAGGAGTCTGACATCTGTCTGCTGGGGAGGCCACAGGTGGGGGATCTGGATCAGATGGGATTCGTTCCTTCATTCATTCAATAGGTATTGAATCTTAGCTTTACATTTGTGTAAAGTGACTTTAGGTAAGTCACTTAACCTCTCTGAGCCTTAGCTCTCTCATCTCTAAAATTTGAGAACTATTCCATATCTCACAGGGATATTGTGGGGATTGAGTGGGATAATGGATGGAAAGTCTCTGGGAGAAGCCTGGCACATATTGGATGCAACAGATTCCTGTTTAAGGAACAAATGTCTCCGTTTTCTCCTCCATAAAATGAGGGTTATAAGAAGCGTCTTTATCCCCCAGGACTATTGGGAAGAACAAAAAAGAGACCATTTCCATAAAGCTCCAGCCCCCACAGACACTCAGGAGACCCCAGTCTCCTCCTGGGTTCCACGGGTGGGAGGCTCTAGGGGGACCATTCTCCCGCCTCCTCGGCCATCGGGCTATAGCTCCCCAGAGTGGGTCCAGGGTCCGGAGCCTTCCTGGGCCCTGTCCGAGGCCCAAGAGCCTGTCCCCTTTCCTGCTGAGGCTGGAGCAGAGAGAGGTTAGCCCCAGCCTGGGAAAGGCCTCTGTTGTCATCCTGCGGGGTTCCAGGGTGAGGGTGCATGCAAACTGTCAAGCGCAGTAAGACTGTGAGACATGCCGTGCGAACTGTGAGGTGCTGGATGAGGGTGAGGTGTTGCGTTCCGTCTCTGGGTCTGGACTGGCTTCCTGCTGCTCCCTTGAACCACAGCCCCAAACCCCATCTCCCACCTGTCCAGCCTCTGCCCAGTGAGTCCCACTCTGCCAGCCTGCCGTCTGCATCCCACTGTGCCTTCTGTCAATGGTGACAGTTGTGTAGAGAAGGAAAACAATACTGGGTGGTTCAGATGTTTCTGGCATCAAATGGGATAACATAGGCCGGGCACGGTGGCTCACGCCTGTAATCCCAGCACTTTGGGAGGCTGAGGCGGGCGGATCACGAGGTCAGGAGATCGAGACCATCCTGGCCAACATGGTGAAACCCTGTCTCTACTAAAAATACAAAAAAATTAGCCAGGCATGGTGGCGGGTGCCTGTAGTCCCAGCTACTCAGGAGGCTGAGGCAGGAGAAAGGCGTGAACCTGGGAGGTGGAGCTTGCAGTGAGCCAAGATTGCACCACTGCACTCCAGCCTGGGGGACAGAGCGAGACTCTGTCTCAAAAAAAAGAAAAAAAAAAAAAAAAAGAGATAACATAGTGAAGAGTTTTCTTTGGGAATAAATATTATTTAAATATGTATTATATTTTAGCACAATCAATTTCAGTTGTAAAAACAACTATTTGGCCAGGTGTGTCTCACGCCTGTAATCCCAGCACTTTGGGAAGCTGAGGCAGGTGTATCACTTGAGGTCAGGAGTTGGAGACCAGCCTGGCCAACATGGCGAAACCCTGTCTCTACTAAAAAATACAAAAATTAGCCAGGTGTGGTGACGGGCATCTGTAATCCCAGCTACTAGGGAGGCTGAGGCAGGGGAATGGCTTGAATCCAGGAGGCGGAGGTAGCAGTGAGCCGAGATAACGCCACTGTACTCCAGCCTGGGCGACAAAGCAAGACTCCATCTCAAAAAATAAAAAACAAAAATAAAAACAATTATTAATTGCAGGGAACTTGGAACATACAGAAAAGAAAAGAATTAAGAGGAAAACAGGGATCCCCCGGATCTCATCACCCAGAGGCCACCGTGGTGGACACTGGGTTCTGTTTCCTTCCCGCCGCCTTCCGAACCCCAGGGCATATGTGTGTTTTGCTTGTTTCATAACATCGGGTTCATATTTTTTGTAGCTTACTTTTTCACTTGATACCATATTGTCAGCATTTCCCTCAGTTATTAAATATTCTTTGCAAACATGATTTGTAATGTTTGCCTGATAGCCCGTCCTGCATCTGTCCCGTCGTTTTCTCTCCATATCAGTGTTGCAGCTTCCAGGGATTCAGTATAGATTCCATTCGTGGAGCCGAGCCCAGTCTGAGACCTAGAACAGATTCTAGAAACTGTCGAGAGCTCTCTCTTTTCACCATGCATGTCCCTGGCCCTTGTGAGCCATGTGGAGACCTGGAAGGACTTGGAGGGGCCAGGGTCCAACCCCGGGAACGTGGCCAAGATCTCAGTTGGTCTTTGTTCTTTCTCGCCGCGTGAGTCCCCTGGTAGCCTTGGTGGGGGTCCTTTCACCATCATACCCGGAGGCTGTGGCTTCAGGCCTGGGTCTGGATCCCACCTAGCAAGTCCTTCCTTGCTCAGGGCCGCCTTGCTCAGGAGGGCTGGCTTAGGACCGAAGCCCAGGCCCCGCAGGGAGCCTGCCTGCTCCTGAATTTCCCATCTTCCTGACCTTGGAATCCACTTTTCTTACCTCCTTGTCACCTCCTTATGCCCAGAGTTGGCTTTGATTGAGGGACTCTAATATAAGATGGAAAAACCCAAGGGTATGAAAGTCACTGCACTTTATAGCCTTTTAAGGGCCTTTTAAAAACAATGTTCATTCAATTTTTTTCTTTTTTTTTTTTATGAGCTTTCTGGTACGTACAGCACATAATCCTACATAAAATGGCTGAGCACGACACTGGCATAAACAGCCGGTGATGGGGTGGAAGTCCGTGAAACGACGGGTTTGCCTCTGTGGGAGAAGCCGCAGTCTTTCAGCACTGAGCAGGCTCCGGATTCCAGGGCTGGGGTTGCCAGGTCTTCTGAGTGCTGCTGACCTGAGGGCGGCACTCGAGGGCTTGGGTCCTTGGGGAGGGACGCTCAGGCCCCTGCCTGGGAAGGATGCCTGCGTGGCTTGAACCCTGACCTCCACCATCAGCCACATGTGCCATTTGGGACTTGTCCTTTTTCTCACCATTTCATGAAAAGCTTGTGTTGCTTTTGCCAGCCAGCCAGCCAGCCAGCTGGGAAAGCTGGTCCCACATCATGGCTTTCTAAATGACGCCCTGGCTGGTCGCCTGATGATTGAGCAGGCCATGGTTAAGGCTCTTGACAGCACGTCCAAGGGCCAGGTGCCCCGTGGAAAGACTGGAGCAGACTTGATGTCAGTTCCCCAGCTGTTGTGGGGTTGAAGGGGATTTACCCTGCAGGAGTAACGCTCCTATTGCTCGAGCTGTTGGGGTGTGGACGGGGGAAGCTCCAGCTTATTTATCCTCATAAACCATAGTGCTATCCCCTTTGTCCCACGAGTTCCAGTATTTCATTATCCAAAGTGGATCTCCTAGGCTGCCTCCAAATTGCACACAATGATTTTGTCAGATTTTGAGGTCTGAGTTTTCCTTTGCAGAATAGGAAGAGTCACTCTGTCCCAGCCTTGCACCTGGTACATAGTAGCCCGAGTGGTGGGGAGTCTGCCAATGAGATGATAAAAGACTCTCAGAGGTTAAGGCTCTTGCTCAAGGCCACACAGGAGACAGGCTCTGAGCTCGGGGGAGCCCGACCCTTAAGACTAAATCCTCAAGGACCGCGAGTGCCTTTGAAAGCCCTGCCCCGCCGCCTGGGCAGCTGGAGTGGGAGCCACGCAGGCAGGCACTTGTTTCTGAGCACAGCTGAGCTGGCGGGGCCCTGCCACCTCCTTGGACGCCGCCTTCCCTCTGCTTGCCTGGGACGGGCTGGGGAGCAGCCTCGTCTATGGTGCAGCCCTCCCCTTCTCAAGACCACCCTGACCTTTCTCAGCATGTGCCTGTTTTCCAGGTCACCGTTTCGATTTCGCTTCACTTCCTAGTGTTTATTCTCCTCCGTTAGAAGAGCTTCGTGTTTATTGATTGTTGTCTCCGGACCTTCAATTTTTGTCTGCGGCTCTGGCAATCTGGAAATGAGTCTTCCACTTTCATTAGCCACCCTGTTCTGAAGAGCATCCGACCTTTCCCTAATCAGTTCCAGCTAATCATGGCCAGTGGCTTTGGATGAGCTGGGGTGGGGGGTTGGGGGAGCAGGGACAGGGGTTGCCAAGAGGCCCACAGGACCTCCCCTGGGGGTAGACGATAGTGACGGTGATGATGATGATGTCAGCACTGGGCGTGCACCCTGCTATACTCTCACCATCTCCCCTCACCCCTCCACTCCTCTTCCCTGGCGCCAGAGGCATCTGACCCTTAGGAAGCTAGGGGCTGCAGTGGGTCAGAGTGAGAACCACGGTCAAGCTGAGGGGCCCCTGCTTGTCTATAGCCAAAGGCCAGGTCCAGGAAATAGTACTTGGGGTTTGGAGTCGGGGGCTTTGACTCAGATCTGGGTGGAGTCCTGGCCTTGTGGCCCTGGACAGGCTATTTACCTTCTCTATAAACTGGGGATAACAAGAAAGCCTCAAAGCTTAGGATGGCTGTCAGGTGTGCGGTGGCAACCAGTATTACTACTATTGTTGTGACTGTTGAGTCAGATCAGGTTTCTCCTGAAGGCCCTACCTGGAGTGATGTTGCTGTGCCCGGTCCCTAGCTCCGTGCCTGGTAAGATGTTCACGGGGCTTAGTGAACACGTGTCTAGCTGAGCCCCACTGAGCTCTGATGGGGGCATTTTGTTGCTTGTGGAGCAAGAAGCCATTTGGATGGGGCAGAGGTCAGCTGCCAGGACTGTGTGGCCTGACCTCCATCCTGCACCATGCCCAGCAGAGTCAAGGCTGTCAGAGGGATTTTCTCCCGCGGGTCTTCCTGTGCAAATCAATAACCCTTCAGGCAGCAGCAGGGAGGGAAGCATGCACTGAGGAGGCAAGGGTCAGGGCTGTTCCTGCAGCTTCCGGCAAGTCCTTTGCAGGGTTTTTCAGTATCTTCCGCTCGAGCAGGTGCTGCAGCAGAGCCTCAGATACGTACTGAGCGTCGCCTCAGTTTCATGCACACCGCTTGGGGCTCCCCAATCCCTGAGTCCAGAACCACCTGGAGGTCTATTGCATTCTGGCCCCGGCAGCTCTCCATGGAAGCAGAGATGAACTAGCAGGGCCAGAGGCTGCTCACTATGGTGGGGTCCCTGATCTCCTATCAGCACCCTAGTTTCTAGTAGGAATTTGGGAGGCAGAAAATATTCCCCCTTCCCTCCAGGTGAATACTCAGGTGCATACTATGTGCTTGAAGCTCATGGCCAACCTCAGAGGCTGATGGGGCCTTGTGGGCTTTCTGGAGAGCTCTGCAGGGTCCCAAGTGTCATTTCTCCCTTGCCCCTGCTTGATGCACGGTTTGTGAGTACTCTCTTTGGCTGGTCCTCTTCACTCTCTTGTTTACCATTTGCTGTTAACAACAGTAATTACAGTATAGTTGTGAGATGAAAACATGACTAAATTATGACACTGCTTGTGTAACAATCTCTTAAAACTGACTCAGAAGGCAACAGCTGCACAATTAGGCTATAAATTCTCTTAAATGAACTTGTCGGTGGCAGCAGTACCTGTGTGGCGGTGTTGTGTAAGAGATAACCAGGCTTAATGGGCTTGGAGAGGGAGCACCAAGGATGGCCTCGTAAAGAGGGAAACTTTGTTCTTTGTCATAAACCACTTGTTCTCTTATAAAAACAAAGGGCTCAGTGTTGGCCCATTAACTCCCTCTGTCTGTCGGGACTGTGGGAGCAGAGCATCTGCCTGACAAGCTGACACCAGGGATGCTTTCTGCCTTGAGGTGTGGCTTTGTTTGAGGCTCCTCCACCCTCATCCCGAGGAGGCATGGCCAGCAAGAGGCCTGGGTGGGATTAGTTAGTTAGTAGCGGTCGGGCCAGCATGGCCTTGGTGGGGGCCCAGCTGAGCTGCTGCAGTCTTCCCAGCTGGGCTGCGAGGCCTGCCCTTCTTATGCTAAATGACAAACTTCAAGACAAAACCCACGAATCAGAGCGCCTTGGATGTGGGGCTGGGACCTAAGAAACCATGTGATTCAACAGAGGGATGATGGAGGCTTGCTTCAGATGCGCTCTTTGGGAAAGAAGCATGTATGCCGCAGATCTAAGGGGGAAGGATGCAACTGATGAGGTGTTACAGGATGCTCTTACCCCACCCCAGCCTGAATGTGGCCAGCACTGGGACTGGTGATGCTGACACTGGGGGCCCTGCTGTCTGCCTCCAGGTCAGCTCTTAGCAGCGTATTCACTTTCTGTGGCTGCTATCACAAACTACCATAGACTTGGTGGCTTAAAGTGACACAAATGTACTATCTTGCAGCTCCAAAGGCAGAAGTTGGGTCTTGATTTTGACATGGGTCTCGGTGTTTTAAAATCAAGGTGTTGGCAGGGCTGTGTTCTATTCTGGACTCTGGGAGATAATCCGTTGCATTGGCTTTTCCAGCTTTCAGAGGTCACCTGCATCCCTTGATTGGTGGCCCCTTCCTCCGTCGTCAAAGCCAGCACTGGCAAGTCAAGTCTCTTTCAGAGAACATCATAGTTCTCTGACTCTCTCTTCTGCCTCTTCTTTATCTTCCATTTGTAAGGACTCATGTGATTCCATTGGGTACATGAGTACACTAAGGTGATTGTTTCCATCTCGAGATCAGCTGATTAGTTGCCTTAATCACATCTACAGTCTTAATTCCCTTTCACCATGTAACGTAGTATATTCACAGGTTTTGAGGATTATGACGTGGACATCTTTAGGGGGCCATTATTCTGCCTGCCACAGGCAGGTGGAGAGTAGGGCTTTGAGCCAGCTTGACTTTTGTGCCCTCTGAGCTGGGCACAGGCAAGGATCAGACGTGAGGAAGCAAAGCTGAGCTGGTCCTACAGGAAATCAGAGAGAGAACAGCCTCTCTGTTCCCTCCCGCCTGTCAGCACTGGACTCGGCCTGCACCTCAGATGTCACTTGCATTTTCTAGGGGCTCCCAGTCAGAGACAGGGTGTGGTCTTTCGTGAACAAAACCCAGGAGTGGACATACCCCATGGCTTCCCAGACTGTGTGGGAGTCTCCCTGAATGAAAATGGTAAGTGTGCACCCTTTCCTTCCTGGAGAACCTAGCATTAGCATCCACCTTTCCCCTAGGCCCCTCCCTGGAGAAGGTGCAAATCGGGAAGCCTGCTGGTATAAGATAAAGTTCAGCTTTAACAGTTTTCAAAATAAACGAACAACACACAAACTCCAGACGCTGCACAAACCCACCAGCAGGGAGTCATGGCCACAGGTTTTGAAAACTTTCACCATTCTGGGATTGCAGAGCGTCTCATCCGCAGCCCCGGACCCCCTGGCCACCTCTGCTCTTTCATCCCAGCCTGGCGGAGAGGCAGCTGGACTCTCCTCTCGGACAGGTTCTCTGATGAATTTCCAGGCATCTCCCTGGACCTGTCCACACAACAGATTTCTGGAGCGCATCCCCAGGGACCTCCAGCTCCAGGCCTATTACTGAAGTCCGTCACCCAGAAAATCTGTTGACGGAACCGTTCTCCCTGAACTGCAAGCAAATTGGGAAATTTGAATGTGACGCAATAAGCCTGCAATAAAACAGAGCCTCCAAGAAGTGCATGAAGCGAATCTCCTCCCAGCCTAGTCCACCACCCCTCTGCAGCTTCCCGAGCTGTCACCCTCCAGGGTGGCCACATACAGTATTTATTTTTTTTAATTAAGCTGCGTTGCTGTGTGGCTCACCCTCCACAGATGCTTTATAAAGCCCAGCCTTGTAAGTTGCTGAAAGTTTTTATTTTTTTTTAAGCGGATAGTAAAATTAAGCAGTTATTAGTATTCACGAAAAATGCTCGTGGCAGGCTTCGCACACGTAATGAGAAGCCACCTGCAGTTCAAAGCAGTACTTGATAATGCTGTAATTAGATTTGAGATGCAAAAAAGCTCATTAAAATTAAATAACATATTTGTCACTGTTTTAAGAGGTACAGATTGCCTAGAACCATGCTGGTCTCTTGACCTTGAGTATTTTGGCAGAGTCCTTGCTGCCGACAATTCAAAAATAACATCAGCAATTCTGCAGAGAGTCCTGAAAACATGCTCATCCTTGGTTCAGTTTGTATTGAAAAAATTATATAGATATCCAGGGGAAATCACAGATTTGTACACAGTGTGTTCTGGGAGAAAAGGGTGGCCACAGTCCTCTCTGAGCCAGTAGCTCAGACGCTGTGAAGAAGAGATGGATGTGTGCCTGTGGGAGGCTGGGGCAGGTGGAGGGGTCCCCCATAGGACACGGGGACACTGTGAGGGAGTTTGCAGGAAGCGGCGGCCTTGGGCACCACTGCTTACCACTAAGCTGAGCTGGATGAAGCCACTTGCTCAGAGCAGGCCCAGGGCGACTGGTAATCAGATTGTCAGTCAGTGTTTCCCGGGTGCCTACCGGTGTACCGGGTCCCGGGCAGGGGATGGTGGGGCCGCAAGTGCCAGTGAGATTTGCCTCAGGCTGCAAAAGAGGTCATAGCCTCATCACGGAGATGAGGCATAAAGTCAGGTGCCAGGAAAGTATTTATTGTTAATAAAAGTAGCTAATGTTGACTGAGCGTGTCTTTCATAGTAGGTAGCCAAGCGTGGCATGCATTATCTTAGGAATCATCTCCATAGTCTGTGAGACAGCCCTGACTGCCCCATTTTCCTTGAGGTTACGTTGCTCTTGTAAGGTCACTTCACTAGTAAGTAACTAGTAAGCCCAGAGCTGAGCCGGGTTCAGATTCAGGTCTGGCCTTCTGCAGCACCCCTTCTGCATGAATCACAGAGTCACTCAGGTCCCATGGGCAGAGCAGAGAGACCCAGGGTGGGAGAGGACACACATGAAGGCACTCACTGAGGACCCACTCTTCACCAGATCCTGCTCTAAACACTGCGTGCCTGTTCATCATTGTATCCCCATAGCAACCCTGTGATTCCATTTTACAGATGAGGAAATTGAGGCATGAGAAATTAAATAACCAGTCCCAGGTCACCAGGTAGTTGGTGGCAGAGTTAGGATTAAGCTCTGACCTTGACTGTTATTCTATGTTTAATTTTTCTTGAAATCTGTAAAGCATTCTATAAAGGTAGGATGTAATTTAAAAGCAATTATGATGATTTTTGTTCTTGGAGAAAGAAAATGCAAGTTGCTTTCAAGGGGCAGAGACCAGAGGAGTTTTCCTGGGGGCAGAGAGCAGTTAAACGAGACGTGAGTGGAGGGGGCCAGATGGAGGGAAAATGAGGCCAAGTTAGAAACAGAGGCCTGGCCTGGGCTCCAGGGACAGTGTGGGCCCCCATTTTGGAGGAGCTGCGTGTCCTCCAGGGCAGGGAGTCATTGGGAAGGCAGTCTGGGCCGACTGCCCCTCCTCCCGGTGGCTGGATTGATTTTCCAGGCTGACTCTCTTGGCACTGGGTCCAGATTTAGTTCTGTGGAGAGCTCGTCTTTCAAAGTCCAGCTCAAATGTCACCTCCTCGGCAAAGACTCCCCCACCGCCTGAAGCAAAATTAATCACTCCTCCTCCATGTCCCACAGCACTCTGTTGATACCTCCGGAATAGTCTTATCACATCGGACACGGATTTATGTGTTTACAAGTCTGTCTCTCCAGCTAGACAGCGACTTCTCGAGGGCAGAGCCCACTCTGCCTTTGTGTCATTGTGCCTGGGGCAGTGCTGCGTGTGCAGTGGGTGCTGAGGAAATGATGCATACATGGAGGACCAGTGGATGGTTTAATTTGATTTCAGTGACCAAGCACAGAGCTCTTACTTTGTGCAGGTCTTGTTCTAAGCTCTTTACATATGTGAAAGGATTTAGCCTTTATAACCCCATGACATCAGTTAGTTCTATGATGAGCCTGTTTTACAGGTGAGGACACTGAGGCTCAGAGAGGTTGTGTAACTTCTCAATATCATACATCTGGTAAGTGGTAGAGCTGGGAGTTTTAAACCCAGGCAGCCTGGAGTGAAAACATCTGCTTAAAGTGATTTTGTAGCTACAGATTGTATATAGTGATTCTTATTAGGGGAGTTTCTGGAATGAATTCTCATTTCACTCTTCTTTTCCCTAACTTGTCTGAATTTAGGAAGGTTTGGAGAAAGCGATTGGGCTGCGATGCAGTTAAGTTTCCTTTGTTGTAAGCCGTGGAAACCAACTCTAGCTAAATTAAGCTAAACAGGGATTCTGTTGTGAGGATCTAAGTAGCTTGCAGAAGGAGCACGCTGGAAGGAAGGGCTTTGGGGAGGCCAGAGGGACTGACCTAGCGGGAACTGAAGGACAGACTTGCTGGGATGAGCTCTGCACGTCACGTCCCTCCCAGTTCAGGCGCCACCATCGTGACCGTGTAGGGAATTGGGGTGCTGGTAAGACCTTGGGTGCTGGGCCGGCAAGAAGGTGCGCTGCCTGCCGACCACCATGCGTTCCTGCTGGCCATTGCTTGGGTCCTGTGTTCACCCTGGGCCCAGTGGCAGCCTGGGCTGAGCCGGGGGCGTGAGAGCCCAGGGCTCTCAGTCATGTTTCCTTGACACATAGTTCTGGAGTTTGGGGCGGGTGGGGAGGGTGAGGCTTCTGAAAGGAATATTCACTGGCAGTGACCTTTCTTAGGTTTTTAACATTTTGAGGGGATTGATTGAATTGATCCAAGCCCATTCATTCTCGGTCTCCAAAGGACATGAATACCGCAGGACCAGCCCAGCTTGAATGTTTGAAAACTGGGTGCAAACGAGGACTAGACTGATTCTTTCTCACCGGGCTTGCCCCCAGCCTCTAAACTAGAAGGGGCGTCTGGCTGGGTGTCCCTGGGAGGACGGCCAGAGTGCGCCTTGCTCAGAGGTTGTTGCAGGGAAGCCCCTTTTCCTGGGGAGGGAGGGAAGGCGCTGTGCATCTCTCCCCGGCGGCCAGTCCAGCGTCTTCCGGTATGGCAGTCCTTTGCCCTGTCGGGTCAAAGCCAAGCCCCCTCAGCCTCCGGGCTGTCCCCAAACGTGTCTCCCTCGCGGTGTCCGTGGCGCGCAAGAGCCTGGAGCCTGCTGCTTTGGGCCTCACGCCTCTGTCTCATGCCTCTGCCGGGGCCCCGATTTATTCAGGACACACGTGTGCTCCGAGTGCCAGATACATGGTGGACCCCGACAAGGCACGCAGGTCTCAGACAACAGGTGACGCTGTGTCCCCGGCCTGTGCAGCGGGGACACCCACCTCATTTTACTCCCCCCAGGTCAGCTGGTCCTTGCTGGGAGGCTGGTCCCTGGGGCGAGGGGCCAGGGGCAGCTGGAGGAGAGCGCCTGCCCCTCCCCACCCCGCCCCGCCCCTCCTCCCTTCCACTCCCCCTCTGGGCCCGCCCTCCGATTTGGCCTCTTCCCCGGGCCCACCCTTTCTATAGCCCCACCCTTTCCGTTTTGGTTCCTCTCTCCCTGCCAGCCCCGCCCCCTCAGAACCTATCCCGTTTCCTTTATGGACCTGCCCTCGTCTGGTCCCATCCACCCATCTTGCCCCGCCCACATCCAGCCTTCCCACCTGGCCCCACCCCTCCTTTTTGGCTCCGTTTCACCCGCCCCGCCCCTCTGGACCCACCCCTCTTTCCTCTGTGGACCTGCCCCTGTCTGGTTCCACCCACCCACGTGGCCCCACCCACTCCCTGCCTTTTATCCTGCCCCTGCCCCATGGCTGGCCCCATCCTCCATCCCTTTTCGTCCTTGCCCACCGAGCTCCTCTGGACCCACCCCTCTTTTTGGGCCCGCACCCATCTGGCTCCTCCCACCCATCTGGCCCCACCCACTCCCCTGCTTTCCATCCCTGCCTTGCCCTGTGACTGGCCCCACCCTCCATCCCTTTTGGTCCCTCCTTGCCTGCCGAGCTCCTCTGGACCCACCCCTCTTTCAGTTGGGGCCCCGCCCTCATTTGGCCCCTTTCACCCGTCTGGCCCTGCCCATTCCCACCTTCCACCCTGGCCCCGCCCTGTGGCAGACCCCATTCTCCATTCCTTGTGGCCCTTCTCCTCTGGACCAACCCCTCTGTCCATTAGGGCCCCGCCTTCATTTGACCCATCCCACCCTCTGGCCTCACCCACTCCACCTTCCATTTTGACCCAGCTCCTTGGCAGGCTCCAGCCTCCATCTCTTTTGGCTCCTCCTCACCCGCCCCGCCCCTTTGGAACTACCCATCTTTCCTTTATGGGCCCCGCCCCATCTGGCTCCTCCCACCCACCTGGCCCCCCCCCCCCCCCCGCTTTCCATCCCGGCCTTGCCCTGTGACTGGCCCCGCCCTCCATCCCTTTTGGCCCCTCCTTGCCCGCGCCGCCCCTCTGGAGCCACCCCTCTTTCCAATCGGGCCCCACCCTGTTTTCCTGGCCTTCAAGCTCCCGCCTGGCGCCCCGCAGCGGCAAGCGTGATTTATAGGCCGTCTGAGCCGTGACCTATAAACCCTGTTCTTCAGGGGGTGCCTTTCTTGGATTAAATGCCTCTAAAGGAGCCTCTGTCTCAGAAGTGTCATGTAGAATGTTTCCGCTGACGGAGAACATGACCTTTAAAACCCCGAGTAAAGGAAGCAGAGCTGCCAGGGGAAGCATCGGGCAAGGCGGCGCCTCAACCCGCCTGCACCTGTCCGCTCTCCGACCCCTCCCCAGACCTGGTGGGGCGGGCTGCTGACCTGGCTGGGGGGGCGCGCTCCCGGGGCCTGGGGGCTGGGCGCGGCTCGGGGAGCTGCGCTTTGCGGACTGGAGGTGGCGACCGTGCGAGCAGAGACGCCCCTCACCATGGGCCAAGAGCCCTGACCCTAACAATGGGAAAGGGCCAGGGCCCTTGTTCCACTTCAGTTTCCTTCCCTTTGTGCCCTGGGGGACACTGGGTCCTGCTAAAGGCTGGGGCGCCTGTCGCAGAAGACCCAGTGTCCTGGGTGCTCTGGGTGAGGCACAGCGTCCTGGGTGCCCAGATAGGGGTGCAGAATCCTGGGTGCCTGGTTAGGGGTACAGAGTCCTGAGTGCCTGGGTAGGATACAGAATCCTGGGTGTCTGGTTTGGTTGCAGTGTCCTGGGTGCTTTGGGTGGGGGCACAGTACCTTGGGTGCCCAGGTAGGGGTGCAGTGTCTTGAGGATCTGGGTAGGTTCAGTGTCCTGGGTGTTCATGTAGGAGTGCAGGGGCCTGGGTGCCTGGGTAGGGGTGCAGCGTCCTGGAGGTCTGGGTAGGAGTGGTGTGTCCTGGGTCTGTATAGGGGTGCGGAGTCCTGGGTGTTCATGTAGGAGTGCAGTGTCCTCGGTGCCCCCGGAGGGTGCAGCGTCCTGGGTACCTGGGGAGGGCGCAGCGTCCTGGCTGTTTTGTACAGGGGCACAACGTGATGGCTTCTCTGGATGTTCCATCTGCAGTGTCTCAGAGGATGTCATAGAACTTGGAAGAACTGTGCCTAGGTCCCACCTTTTATCTGACACTGCAGTCTTTGTTTCTTGGGTGGAAAAGCCATGGCTGCCTCTCTCCCAGGTTGGAGAAAGCATATTTCTGGTAGTAGCCACTCTGTAGGTCCATATGGACACTTTATACTAAGGAGGCTACATTTTCTTATTCTCTTGCCCCCACAGGCTAATGTCACAAGTAGAAACGTGACTGATACACTCATTCCTTTGTACACTTTTATAAGAAATCCCCGCAGACGCTGTTTTGCTTTGGTCCCTTTGAGGTGCTTAGAGGAGTGGCTGGATTCTCCAAGAGGCCTCATGCAGGAAGCACTCAGTATATGTTGCTTGTGAGATGCCGCCAGGGATTCTCTGGAAGGAGGACCAGGAGATTTCTATGGAGAGACGAGTCAGCTGAAGGCCTTTGTGGATGGAAGTAGGGGACTGTCTTCCACCGTGTCTTTTTTGAGAGCTGGGAAGGAGAGGCCGGGTCGGCTGGGAAAGAGCTGTCTTGTGTTGGAGGGGCTTTGAGCCCTCCTCCAAGGGTCGCAGAGCAGCAGGTAGAGACTTAGAGTCTGTGCTAACAGAGAGGGAGGGTCTTGTCTGGGAGACTTGCCTGACCCTCTCTTACTTGGGTGCATGGTGCTGGCAAGGAAGAAGCAGGGCCAGCGGAAGGGCTGTATTTCTGGTGAGATGTATTAATATGTGAAAGCCACTTCGGGAAAAGTAGTGAGTGTGGTATGAGCATGAGTGTGTGTGTATGACTTTGTGTGCTTGTGTGTGTCTGTGCATGTGTGCATGTGTGTGGGCACGTGCTCCTGGGGGCATGCACATGTTTAAGTGTGTGCTTGTGTCTGTGCATGTGTGTATGTGTGTGGGTGTGTGTGTAGGGGGCACGCAGCCAGCTCTAACTTGAGCAGAGGCATTCTGTTGTTATAAATAAGGCTGGTTTTTATATTCCCATTTGACCAGGGAGTGCAACCAGCAGACCAAAGGTAATGCATTTCAGCTGCCTGTGGGGGAAGGTAAATGTGGTTTATTAGCCCCCCTGGCTCAGAGGGGGCTGGGCACTGGTAGCAGCTGAAGCAAGGCGGCTCTAGATGGAGGGAGGGGACAGGTTGGTGATTGTGTGCCCTGGTTTCTCTAAAGGAAAAAAAATGGACGTGCCGCCTGTTAGCTAATCAACAGTGAGGAGAAAGTCCTGACAACAAGTAAAGAAAACTTAGCTGGCAATAAAATAAGGGACTTTTTATGGTGGTTTTTATGAGAACATTTTCGCTTTGGGAGTTATTAGAGTTAGTGCCGGTTGTGACAAAAGCTGCATTTGCATATCGCCGTGATGAGGTCTGGATGGAGCCTGAATGCGGCATTAACTGCATATCAGAGACCCTTTCAGAAGCCAAACAGGATGACATTTATTGCAAGCTCGATGCCGCACGTCTGGCATTAGTTACTGCTTGTTGTGTCCTGTGGAAACTAGATTTTCTGTCTTGGGATCTTTCTGGGACTGGTCGCAGCAGCTTCCTAGGTCAAGAACAAGCTAGGGCTTTGGGAGTGTGTGGGGGATCTCGGGGATGGGGAGGGGACACCATCGGGAGAGGAGAAGGAGTTAGGCTTCACAGGGCTGCGCGCTGGCCAGGTGCCTGTCACAGGCTGACCTAGATGAGACTGCCACTCTCAGATTCAAGCCCCACACCAGGACAAACAGGAATTTTTCCCACTTTTTTAATTTTTAAAATTACGATGTAATTAACATATCACGCAATTTACTCATTTTAAGTATTCAATTCCATGGCTTTTAGTATATTCACAAAAACGTGCAACCATTGCCCCAGTCTATTTTAGGACATTTGTGTTACCCCAAGAGAAACCCCTCACTTCTTAGCCGTCACCCCAACCCCCTCATCCTCCCTAGCCCTAAACGACCATACATCTACTTCTGTCTCTATTGATTTGCTGCCTCTGGTCATTTCATATAAATGGAACCATACAGTATTTTTCCTTTTGTCTCTGGCTTCTTTCCCCCAGCAGAATGTTTTCCAGGTTCATTTATGCTGTGGCACGTGCCAGAACTTCATTCCTTTTTATGGCTGAGTAATATTCCACTGAACAGATACGTTCTATTTATGTATTCATCAGCTGATTTTCCCTAAACACTTTTGAAACCTTTTTTTTTTTTTTTAGAGACAGAGTCTTGCTTTGTTGCCCAGGCTGGAGTGCAAGTGGTGTGATTTCGGCTCACTGCAACCTCCACCTCCTGGGTTCTAGCAATTCTCCTGCCTCAGCCTTCCAAGTAGCTGGGATTATAGGCACATGCTGGCATGCCCAGATAATTTTTTTGTATTTTAGTAGAGACTGGATTTCACCGTGTTGCCCAGGCTGGTCTCGAACTCCTAAGCTCAGGCAATCCATCCTCCTCAGCCTCCCAAAGTGTTGGGATTACAGGCATGAGCCACCGTGCCCGGCCAAAACCTTTTTTATTGTAAAAGATACTCATGAAAAAATTCATGGTTGAGACTGGGCACGGTGGCTCACGCCTGTAATCCCAGCACTTTGGGAGGCCGAGGTGGGTGGATCACCTGAGGTCAGGAGTTTGAGACCAGCCTGACCAATATGGTGAAACCCTGTCTCTACTAAAATACGGAAGGTAGCCAGGTGTGGTGGTGTGCACCTGTAGTCCCAGCTGCTTGGGAAGCTGAGACAGGAGAATTGCTTGAACCCAGGAGGTGGAGGTTGCAGTGAGCCGAGACTGTGCCACTGCACTCCAGCCTGGGTGACAGAGTGAGACTCCATTTCAAAAACAAAAAAACCAAAAAATCAGGGTTAAGCCCATTGGAACCCACCTGAATTTTTTCAGAAAATGGAGTTCTAGATTGAGGGAGACATAGGGGGTTGATGAAGGGAGTGAGATGGGGTGGGGTGGGGGGTGGAACTGCGTTTCCTCTGGAAAACATAGAGCCCATGCTTTGCACCTCCCAGCTCCCCACCCGCGAATGTGGCCTCAGGGCTGACTCCAGGATTGCTGCTAGGGTCCTGGGAGGGTCTTTGTTGCTTGCCATTCAGAGAGCATTCTCTATCTCAGGGGACCTTCAGCCACTAGGTTTGAGGATTCCCAGGGGATGTTGGTGTGGTTGAGGGCTCTAGGGCAGCTTAGGCTGGTGGCCACGTGTTCCTGCCTCACATCCGCTCCTCTCCATGAGCTCTGGCTGTGCTGTGTGGTTCAGCCAGCATTTGAAAAGTCTGGGCTGAGGCTGCTGTGGAGAGGAAGCAATTGTGCATTTCATAGATGGTGACATGCATCTCTGCTGAAGGCTGAGAGTGATATTGGAGGAGGCACAGTGGGCTTCTGCCTGGCTCAGATTTAGGGAGAATCTTAGGGCAGGGGGTGAAGTCAGAATGTCCTATTTTTTCTCTTCCAGAAAAATCGGTAGGATCCCTGGGTGACTCAGCTCTTAGTCTTAATTATGCTGCTATGTAAATATTTCTGAGGTCTCTTGGTTTTCTCAGTTGGCATTATATCACAGTTAATAACCAGAGGGCACATTATAAATATGCAAACTAGTAATAATGCTTTAACTCGAAGAACATCGATAAATTGCCAAACTGAGCTGGCAGCGTTCAGCAGCTCATTCCCTTTGCTGTGGAGATAGCTTCCTCTACTCCTGCATCATGGAACCCACGAATTCCGTTGGCCCCTCCCTGCCCCAGATGGCACCCTCAGGAGCAGTCGGCTGTCCGCTTGGTGTGCCGAGAAAACGGCTCTTAATGTGGCCCCGGGTGTGTTTTCCAGCATCTAGAAATCTCCCAGAGAGAGCAAGGCATGTATCGTGGCTTGCCCTCCGCTCTTTCTGTGCTGGGACAAGATCGGAAGTAGAGTCTGGAAGGATGGCCCTTGCCCCTCTCCCGTCCTTTATTTGGTTGGAAAGATCATAGCCCCCACGGTGGAGATACCGCCAGAGTTCTCCTCCCCGCTCCCTGCCTTGTATATGGCCTCAGGAAGTCACGTCAGCTTCTTCATCAGAAATTCATTTATATGACAAATGTTTACTGTGTGCCTACTGCGTGCCAGGTGCTGTGCTGGGCAGTGCATATGGTCCTTGTCCTCATGGAACTGATGTTAGGGTAGGAGAGACAAGCAGGCAGTAGTTAGGATTGTGATCGATGTGTGTCTCGGAAGCACAAGGGGTTACTGGAGCACCTGTTCAGGACGTATCATCCATTCCCGGTGGGTCAGGAAATTCTACCGGAAATTCTACCGTAGCAAGTGCTATCTAAGTGGAGATCTGAAGATACCCTGGCAAAAGGAGACGGATAGAGAGAGTGGAGGTGGGGGCTTGGGGGAGGCGGGTTACAGGGAAGAACATCCTGGTCAGAGGGAACAGAATGTGCAGGTGCTTCAAGGAGAGAATGCGGGATGTGACTAGGGAGCTGCAAGTCGCCAGTGTGGCTGCAGCATGGAGCTAGTGGAGGACAGGTGTGCTGAGGTGGGCTGCAGAGGCACGGGGCGAGGGGGTGTCTGTCTCCAAGGAGCTAGTCTGTCTTGCCAAGTTGAGGGACATTTAAAGGGTTTGACTTTATCGGGACAGAGAGGGGCCAGTCTTGCCTTAGAAAGCTCCTGGTTGTGGTGAGTGGACCAGAAGAGGTCAAGAATGGCAGCTGAGATACATAGGGGTCCTTGCTTGGCCTCCGTGGGCATTTTCAGTGAGGGCTAAACCAGATGCCTTGTCTACCGCAAAGGGCACTTGTTGGATCAGCCCGAGCCATGCTAAATCAGGCAGCTTCTGAGCAGGATGCAGGTTGGGGGCTCTGAACTTGGAGTCTGGGCAGGAAGGAGGTGGTGTTTGTGGTTTGTGGAGGCGGCAGCGGGATGCCTGTGACCTGAGTGGAGCTAGAAGGGGCAAGGAACGCTGCAGAAGTAAAGGCGGCCAGGTTGGGGGAGTGAGCGGCTAGGTTGGGTGAGGGTTCCTGGGCTCCAGCCGTTGGACTGCCGCTTGCCCTGGAACCTGGTCCGGCTCCTCCCCCGGATGATCACATCTGCTTTGGGGCGGTGAGGAGGGCCCAGATGATGTAGTGGGAACTGGTGGTGCCCAGTGAGATGAGCTTTTTCATGCAGGCCTTGGACTTCAGGCTTGTTCCAGCTCAGTGCACTTTTCCTGCCTCAGCTTCCTCATCTGTGAGATGGGCACCTACCTTTGGGGTTTCTTTGCAGGCTCTGTGTCTTCCCATATTTACAAAATAAAGGTTGGATGGGTGTTTATTGGCCTTCAAAGCCAGTGTAGGCCTACGATTTAAACTTCATCCACATTCCTCAGCAATGGGTGTAGACCATAGTTAGATGTATTTTAAACTTTTTATTTTGAAATTTATTTATTATTATTACAGGAATTTGCAAAGAGAGTTCAGGGGGCCTCATGTAGCCTTGGTCTCCTTTCTGCAATGGCTTCATCTTACCTGACAGTATCACAGCCAGGACCCAGATGTCGATACAGTGCACATGTGCAGTTCTGTGTTGCTTCATGTCACACGTGCAAATTTGTGTCACCACCACCACAGTCAAGGTGCAGAATTGTTCCATCTCCACAGACATCCTCCCACCAACCCTGTGTGGTCAACTCACCCTCTCCCTCCCAGGATCTCTAACCCCAGTCAACCACTAATTTGTTCACCATCTCTGTAAGACTATTTTAAATTACAAATGTATTTTTGTTATAAAATTATATAATAATCTTCCAGAAATTGAGGGACATGGAAAGAAAACATTTCCATTTCCCTACCACTCTCAGTGATTTCAGCGCATCTCTGTGCCTTTTTTGGTCCACATGCATATATTTAGTGTATCTGTAATCCTAATGTGTACGGGACCTTATGTCCTGCTTTGCTTGCACGACGTGCCATAAGCATCCTCCATATGTATTGGAGCCGTGGAGTGCTCACAGACAGCATTCCAGGAGGCGGAATGGGTGGCAGGGAGTGGGAGGCAGCAGAAGGAGTGGAGGCCGGTCCCAGACCAGCATCGGTGAGGAGGTAATGGGGGTTCTTGCCAGGCCAGGGACTCTCGGCTTGGAGGGGGTCACTCCAAGGGCCTGGCAAAGGATGTGGCGACAGGACCCAGGGACTCCACCTGAGGCCTGAAGGATACCGTGAGTCTGAAGACTCCACAGAACTGATGTTGGGATGGGAGAGACAAGCAGGCAATAGTTAGGAATGTGATCGATGTGCATATCAGAAGCACAGGGGGCTACTAGAGCACCTGTTCAGGACGTATCATCCAGTCCTGGTGGGTCAGGACATTCTACTATAGCAAGTGCTATCTCAGTGGAGATCTGAAGATAACCTGGCAAAAGGAGACAGATGGAGAACAGAACAGACCCAACAACCTCAGGAGAATGAACAGCCAGGTGTTCCCTGAGGCCAGTGGTAGTGTCTGCATGGACCGTTGCTGGCTGTGGTCCTCTGCAGGGACCACTGCTGTGTCTGTTTCCAGCCTCTCCTTTCCTAAACCAGGCCGGCCCTGTCAGCCTGGCTCCAAACTTCACTCCCTGGCCTTTGGAGGGAAGACCCTCTGGTTCGGGCCTTCCTTCCTTCTCAGGGCTTTGGAAGCCCCTCTTCTTTCCAAAGGGGCTTGGCTTTCTGTCACCCAGCAGCCAGCTCCATTGTGGTCCTAGGAGTGTCAGTGAGCACAAAGCAGACACAGAAGAAACCTTGAAGTAATTAACAGAGTGAGCATGAGACGTTCCTGCTGGAGAAGAGCACACGATGGGCCTCGCTCCTCATGCTCCCCACTCCTGATGAGTAATTACACGTGGCTGTCTGGGAGTGGGAGTATTTATAGCAACGCCTCTTTTGCTGGAGTGTTGAACTTTCTTCTTTGTGGCAGCACGCTTATAAAAAGGTAATCAAATAGCAGACGATCGGATTGTATCCGTGTCATTCTGCTGCCACTTTAATGAGGACTGAGAATAAATAGAAATCCTGAAATTGTGCTATCCCAAACTGTTTGCAAGCCCCTCAGTGGGGGAGTCCGGTTTGATTTGGTTTTGTTTTTACCACCCCCACCCTCACTACTAATTTTACGTTGTCTTTGGAGTTGCTCAGGGGCCAAAGTGCCTTCTGGGTAAGTCTCTAACCGAAAACTAGATCCACAGGCAGGCCTTTTATTAAAAGGCATTTAATGACTCTGAATTCCTTGTTGTGTTAGAGCTGATTTGGGGCAGGATAATGGTGTCTGTGGCTGGGATAAAAACCCCCATGACCATCCTCCATGCTTATTAGGTAAGTGATTGGTGTGGATTCCTGCTCTCCGAAGGAAAAAGGAAAGAGAAGAAAAGGCCAGGCCTGCCTGTGGCCGCCCCCGGGTCTCAGCAATGGCATTATCACTGCTAACCCAGGTGTGACTTGGCTCCGCTGCCATTGGCGTCAGCAAGGCCCGTCAGCCTCCCCAAAAAGCCAGAGCTGGCCTGGAGAGAGGAGAGGAGAGCATCGCGGGCAGGTGCTGAGGGTTGGCCTTGTGTTCTGGACAGGCCGTGAGCAGGAGACTGATCGTCTTGATGAGGTGTGCAGGGCAGGACTTTGTAATTTGACATTGTTGGAGAAGGAGGGGCGGGGGTAGAGTGAAGGCCCCAGAAGGAGAACTGGGTCAGAAGTGTCCTTTGCTTCTCATTTTCCTCCCAACAAGGGGCTTCCCTGTTGGGAAGGTTTGCTAAGGCAGGGGGGTTATTGTGCAGAGAAGGGGGTGACTGCCCTGTCACCCCAGTGGTGAGGGAACTTGGCTTTATGACATCTAAGATTGTGAGCCTATGTAAATTGCAGGGAAGAGTAACAAGTAACTGAAAGTCCCGTGTGTGCTCCTAGTGACACACCTGGCCGGTTGCCTTTAATAAAGGCAGAAAAACCTCCGTTAAGACATTTACTCATGCCTTTGAGTAAATTAATATTGATTTGACATTCGACAACTGTTTGAATTTTTACTTCTTTTTTTTGCATCTGGAGAAAGGATCTGTGTTTAGTAAGCACTTCTGTGTGCTGATTTCTGCAATTAGCCTTTATTCATCCCTTGCCTGCCGTGTGCCAGGCTGCTCTTTCCCAGCATCAGGGTGCTGACCAGGCAACACGGTCCCTGCCCTCGGTGAGCTTATGTTCCAGGAGAATGGTGTTGAGGCAAAGAGGGAAGTCCTATCTGGCTGTCTTAGGGGCTGGCAGTTGGCCAGGGAAGTGCTGATTAGAGGGGCCAAAGCCTGAATTCTGCCTGTGCTTCCTGGCTGAGTGTGGAGTCAGTGTAGACGTCTTTCTGTCTCCAAACACAGCCTGAACCTAATTGTTTCTTTTACTATTATTATTGTTTTGGTAAGAATGCTAAACGTGAACTCCATCCTCTTAACAGATTTTTCCTTTCCTTTTCCTTTTCCTTTTCCCTTTCCCTTTTTTGAGACGGAGTGTTGCTCTGTTTGCCCAGGCTGGAGTGCAGCGGTGTGATCTTGGCTCACGGTAACCCCCGCCTCCCAGGTTCAAGTGATTCTCCTGCCTCAGCCTCCCAAGTAGCTGGGATTACAGGCACCCACCACCATGCCTGGCTAATTTTTGTATTTTTAGTAGAGATGGGGTTTTGTCACGTTGGCCAGGCTGGTCTTGAACTCCTGACCTCAGGTGATCCATCCACCTCGGCCTCCCAAAGTGCTGGGATTACAGGCATGAGCCACCACGCCTAGCCGTCTGAACAGATTTTTAAGTGTACAACATGTGTTGCTATCTTTAGGCATGATGCTGTGTGGCAGATCTCCAGGACGAACTCATCTTGCATGACTGAAATTTTATACATGTTGAACATCAACTCCCTATTTCCTCCCCCATCTAGCTCCTGACAACCACCACTGCAGTCATTGCTTCTAGGGGTTTGACCATTTTTGATACCTCACATAAGGAGAATCATGCAGCATTTGTCCTTCTGTGACTGGATTCTTTCACATAGCATAGTGTCCTCTGGGCTCATCCATGTTGTCACATGCTGCAAGATCTCCTTCTTTTTGAAGGCTGAATAATATTCTACCATGTGTATATCCCACGCTCCCTTTATGCACGCATCTGTTGGTGGACATTTAGGTGGTTTCCACGTTTGGGCTTTTGTGAATAGTGCTGCAGTGGGCACGGGAGTGCTAATATCTCTTTGAGATTCAGATATGACTTGTTTTGGATAAATACTCAGAAGTGGGATTGCTGGATCATATCCTAATTTATCTTGACAGTGGCCACGATTCTGAACCTCTTTGGTTTTGTCATCTGCTGGGTGACACCGACCTTGTAAAGACTCAGCCCTCACCTGGACCGTGGCATTCTTGGTCCCATGGCTGTTCATGTGGCCCTGAGAGCGAATGAAAGTATCGCCTCATCTCCCTTCTACAGTGGCTGGCGGGAGGTGGAAGCTAGTGCTGCCTCCTGCCCCACCTTCCCACAGCCGGGGAAGGGGCTTTCACGTTTCTGAATCTCAGCGCCAAAAGGAACTTCCTCTGTCAGGACCCACTTTTGTGGAAGCCTGTGTGAAATGTGATCCTCAAATCCAGCTTGAAGCTGCGGTTGAATTTTTGTGGGGTTCTCATTATTTAACGTTTGGCCCAGAATGGCATTTGTCTGAAGACAGACAGACAGGCTGGAGCTTACTGGGGGCCCACACAGTGTGTGGAGCTCGGTCTGGGCTGCTCTGGTTTGTAATATATTGTTCTCAGTGCCAGGAGCTGCAGCAGCATCTCCAGTGAGGAACAAGGAGAGGGAGGAACCTGGGAGCAGGAGGGGAAACCCGGAGTCGGAGAATCCAATTTTTCATACAGTAACAAAACAATACAGTTGTGTATTCCCATAATATCCCTTCAGTTTCTTGGGGTCTAGGCTTGCATCTATTTTTAAAAACACTTGGACCAATAATTCTGCTTTATGCAGACCAACTGGAGGGTCTCTAGCTTGGAGATTTAATGTAAAATAAACTCTAAATGGGGTGGCACACAGCATGGTGGCCTGCAACTGTAGACAAGCAATTTTTCTTAAACAAGCTGAGGGATTGAAGTAAATGATGGTGGTGTTCAGTTCTGTCCCAGAGTTGGGAGTGAGGCGAGGCCAGGGAGATGGAAGGTCCAGGCTTATCCAACCTCCTGTGCGCTCCCTGTGAATGTTGGTCGGGCAGGGAGGCTGCTCGGAGGGAGTCTTTGAGGAAGCCGACTCCTCTTACCTGCCGCACGGACGTCCTGGAAGACAGTCTGTGCATCCAGACTGGGGTTTCCTAGCACTTTGGAACTGGGCTCAGAAGGCTTCAGTTTGGCAAAGACGCATTGCATTTTGCAGGTTCCTTTGATCACGGCCCAGGTGGGGCCACATCCCCTTAGAATACTTTTCTCTGTCTTCTTCCCTTGGGCTTAGACGGCCTTTTGCCATCTAATAATAAAAAAAATTTATCTGACAAATATCAAGTATTTGTTGGAATAAACATAAGGCTTGCTATCTTCCTTGGACAAGGGGAAAATAACTCTCCTTCACTTCTGACGAGTTTACAAGATACAAGTTAATTTTTGGACAGATTATCCTGCCAACTTAAATTATCAATAAATCACCCTGCCACCCATGGTCCTTCTCGTGAAGGAGGCGCCATCTCTGTTTTCTGGGGGAGGATGCTGCAGGGCTGAGATGACGGGGCCTGCCTCGAGTCACACCAGAGCTGGAAGGTGGCAGAGCTGGAAGCCGAGCATTCCACACTGTCTCCCCCCACCACCATCAGTGTGAGCCTTGGGGAAAAATAGGGACGTTCAGCATGTTGTCCCTGCTCTTGCGGGGCTCAGGATCTTTGTAAGAGGAACAGGAGTAAACCCTGAAAATTTCGGTAAAAATTAAGAAGCAGCGGAGTGGCATGGTTAGCGTCACTGCATGCAAATTGTCCTGTGGCTTGCTGCTTTGTTTGTTGTTATTGTTTGTTTTTCATCAGACTGTGGGCTCTTGGGGATGCTCCTCTGTGCGCTGTTTGCTGTGGAATTCCCAGGAGGGACGGTCATCGTTTGTTGACTGCAAGAATGAACGAATGCTACGAGAGTCTGGGGAGCTGGGCCTTGAAGGATGGGCATTTGTTGGGCAGGCTGAATGCAATGACAGTTGTTCAAGCTGATGGGGAGCGTGGCAGGAGAGGAGGAGGTGGAGCCTGCTTGGAGCATAATAACGGCTTCATTGAGACAGAATTGTAGGCTTTAGATGGGTACAATTCACTCATGTAAAGCCTACAATTCAGTGGTTTTAGTATACTCACAGAGTTGTGCAGCCACACTACAACCAATTTTAAAACATTTTAATCGCCCCAAAAGGAAGCCTTGTACTCCTCAGCTATCACCCCCAAGCCCCCAACTTCCTCCCAGCCCTTGGCAACCACCAATCTGCTTTCTATCTCTATGGATCTGCCTATTCTAGACATTTCATGTAAACAGGATAGTGCAGTATGTGGCCTTTGGTAACCGCCTTCTTTCACTCAGTGTCATGATCTGTTCTTCCCTGCCGCGGCGAGCGTCAGTACTCCCTTCCTTTCCGCTGCTGAGTGACACTCTGCGATGTGGACAGAGACCAGAGCATCTTGAATGCTCACTCGAGCCAGGCACCAGGATGCCTAAAGCAAAGCTGTTGGAGTCAGACTTTGACCTAATTGAGTTGGGGTTCCAGGAAGATCAATCTGATCATGGGACAAAACGAAACAGTCAGTGCCTGGAGGCAGAGGCCCCGCTGAGTCTTTCTTGGGCTTCTTGGAAGAAGGCCACAAAGGTCAGGACGAGGAACAGCCGGAGAAGTGTGACTGCATGCATGTCAAGGAGAACTCATCAGCAGGACCTCCTGCTGTGTGTGTGTGAGATGGGGCAGGGAGACGGATCTGGCACTTCTGGCCTGGAAAACTGGGCCTGGGGTGAGGATTGTGTGGTGGCTGATGGGAAGGGGAGAAATAGGCGTTTCCACCTGTGCCTTGCCTTTCAGAGTGTTGGCAGGCACAGAGTTCAGTTGGCTGCTGGACTGTGCAAGGGGGACGTGGGAGACAAGGGATCCCACAGAATCCATCTTTATGGAATCTACCTTTCAGAGAGAGCAGATCCACGTGAAAGCCAGGCTCTCGGGAGCAGTAGAGCATCTGTGATGGACCCTAGGTGAGTGGCTTGCCCAGGAGGAAAGGACATGGGCCAGGATGATCCAGGAGGGCTTTCTGAGAGGGAGGAGCCAAGCTCTCCGTGAAGGATGGATGTGCCGAGCATCAGCAGAGGAGGGAAGAGAATATTCCAGACATGTCAGGCAAATAGCAAGCACAGGGTGATATGGTTTCGCTGTGTCCCCACCCAAATCTCATCTTGAATTGTAACTCCCATAATTCCCACTTGTTGTGGGAGGGACTCAGTGGGAGGTAATAGAACCATGGGGACGGGTCTTTCCCATGCTGTTCTCGTGATAGTGAATAAGTCTCACAAAATCTGATGGTTTTATAAAGGGCAGTTCCCCTGCACATGATTTCTTGCCTGCTGCCATGTAAGACATGCCTTCTCTTCTCCTTTGCCTTTCACCATGATTGTGAGGCCTCCCTAGCCATGTGGAACTGTGAGTCCCTTAAACCTCTTTCCTTTATAAATTATCCAGTCTCGGGTCTGTCTTTATTAGCAGCGTCAGAACAGACTAATACACAGGGGCACTGGATGGGGGAGAAGGTCGTGTGGGTCGGGTCCTGCTGTTGGAAGTTGCAACCTGCGGAGGACATCGGAGAATAAGCTGGGCAGGCTGGGTGCCATCAACAGATGCCGATGCCCAGCACAACAGTAACTACAGCTCTTGCCGCATACTTCTGTTCACTCGGTGCCAGTGGGGTTATGTTGGAGCCAAGTACTGGGCAAAGCTTTTTTTTTTTTTTAATTTGAGAAGGAGTCTTGCTCTGTTGCTCTGTCACCCAGGCTGGAGTGCAGTGGCGCAGTCTCGGCTCACTGCAACCTCCACCTCCCAGGTTCAAGAAATTCTCCAGCCTCAGCCTCCCGAGTAGCTGGGACTACACGTGCGTGCCACCACACCTGGCTAATTTTTTGTATTTTTAGTACAGACGAGGTTTCACCATGTCAGCCAGGATGGTATCGATTTCCTGACCTTGGGATCCACTCGCCTCGGCCTCCCAAAGTGCTGGGATTACAGGCGTGAGCCACTGCGCCCAGCCTGGACTAAGCTTTTTTAAGCATATCATGTCATTTACTCTTCACAGCAGCCCACTGGGTAGATTGGGTGATTATTACAGCTTTAGAGGTATGGAAACCAAGGTTTAGAGAGATTGAGTGCTTAGCCTAAGTCACGTATCTAAAAAGTGCTGAACCTGGGTTTTAAAAAATTTTCCTTTGAGTGTAAACAAGCCAGTAGTATGTGGTATTTATACACAACAGAGTACCATTCAGCCATAAAAAAGAGTGAGATCCTGTTATTTGCAACAGCATGAATGGAACTGGAGGTCATTATGTTAAGTGAAATAAACCAGACACAGAAAGACAGTCTTCACATGTTCTCACTTCTTTGTGGGATCTAACAATCAAAACAGTTAAACACGTGGAGGTAGAGGGTAGAAGGATGGTTACCAGAGGCCAGGAAGGGTAGTGGGGGTGTGGTGGTGGTCAGGGCGCTGGAGATTGGCTAATGGGTTAAAAAAAATAGTTATAATAGAATGAATAAGACCCTAGTATTCGATAGCATAACAGGGTGGCTAGAGTCAATAATAACTTAATTGTACATTTGAAAATAACAAAAAAAGTATAATTCGATTGTTTTAACACAAAAGATAAATGCTTGAGGGGATGGATTCCTCATTCTCCGTGATGTGATTATTATGCACTGCATGGCTGTATCAAAACATCTTATGTACCCCATAAATGTATACACCAGGCCAGGCACGGTGGCTCACGCCTGTTATCCCAGCACTTTGGGAGGTTGAGGTGGGTGGATCACCCGAGGGCAGGAGTTTGAGACCAGCCTGGCCAACCTGGTGAAACTCTGTCTCTATTAAAAATGCAAAAATTAGCTGGGCGTGGTGGCAGGTGCCTATAATCCCAGCTACTCGAGAGGCTGAGGCAGGAGAGTCACTTGAACCCAGGAGTCGGAGGTTGCAGTGAGCTGAGATTGCGCCACTGCACTCCAGCCTGGGCAACAGAGCGAGACTCCATCTAAAAAAAATACATATATATAGTTAATATTATATTTTTATATTTTATATATTATAGATATATATATATCTACAATGCACCTGCAAAAATTAAAAATTAAAGTCAGTAATAATGACCGCATGTTTTAGACAGGATGGATGTATTCTATTGGTGAGTCTAGGAAGCATCTAGAGATGACATTTCAACTCAACAAACATTAATTGCTCGGTGTTTGGGATACAGAGCTGAGCAGGACACCCTGGACCTGGAGGTACTGGATGAGCATAGAAGAGACAACCATCCCTGTCTGTCTCCACACCCGTCAGTAAATGCTTGTGTGGTGGATGCATCGTGAACAGGCAGGTATTAGCCTGGGGAGCTCGCTCTCCCTTGCACCTGGCTGAGTGGGCATCTGAACAAAGACACAGAGGAGACAGGCTGAGGTGAGGTTCAGTACCCCTTAGTGAGTTGTTGGTGTGGCTGGAGGAGGGAGTGCGGAGGACAGCAGGGGAAGGAAAACGAGAGGGAAGCTAGGATGTGGCTGAAAGACATTGGGGAGAGCTGGAGGGGTGGACCAGGCCTGGCAGGGCAGCCCCATCCCTGCCCCCTTGGAGGAAGTTTCCTGAACTCTCCCAGCTCCTGCACAGGGTCTCCGGCACAGGGGGGCTTCCTAGGTGCTGCTCCCTCTCCCACTCTGCAGGCAGCTGCCGCCTCCTCCAACTCCTGGGCCTATTTTGCCCAGTCAGGGCCATTCAATTCTGCATCAAGGTGCTAAATGGGTCTCCAGCAGCTCCAGAGAAAGATCCATTTAAACCGTGTGCATATGGGGAGGAGTCTCTGGGAAGAGCAGCCCTTGTTGGATTCCTGCATTTTGCAGCCTTCTGGAACTGAGCAGCTTTTAGAATTTCAAGCCACAATTTGTATTCAAATGAAGGTCATTTGAAAGGTGTAACATAGTAAACAGCCATTATTTCATTTTGATGGTGGCACTAAAATTATAGTGTTGGTTGAATTATTTTAGTGTAGGACCATTACCATCTCCCTAAAACACTTAGAGGCGTTCTTAGAACGCTGCTACCATCCTAAAATTAGAAGAAAACTAAAAATCATGAAGCTGAGCTGGTGGTGGTGTAGCTGGGGGAGAGGACCCCCAGTGCTTGGGACACTGTCGCCTCATGGTGGCGTAGCTGGGGGAGAGGACCCCCGGCACCCGGGACACTGTCCTCTCATGGTGGTGTAGCTGGGGGAGAGGACCCCCGGCGTGTGCAACACTGTCCCCTCATCTAGCTTTCCTGGCTCTCCACAGCTGTTTGAGGGCTCAGCCCACTATGTGCGCATGAAGACGGGGGAGTCTCAGTGCTGTGAATTGTGGGACATAGAAAAACGCACCCCCATCCCACCTGTTCCTCTGTTATTCAAGTCCTTAAAATCTCACTATTGAGACCTTACCCCCATGAGCTTTTCTTTCAGAGAGAAGCACCCTTGGAGGGCGTGCCTCTTACTGACAGCCCCTCCAGGAGCACTTACTGGAGAAGCTGTGAGTCCTTTGCTCACCTGCAGCTGTGCTGAAGTCTCGCCTGTTGGGGGCCTACAAGTCGGGGTGGAGTCGAGGGCAGGTGCTGTCTTGCCTGATGGGCCCTTACCATTCTGCTACCATTGGACATCCAGAATCCTCTGTCTCCCTCCTTAGGCCCGGGGCTCCTCTCTCTGGCCAGCCAAGGATGGAAGTGGCTGGTATTAGGTGGGCTGGAGGGGTGGGATCCCCTTTAGGGACTCTGCACTGCATTGAAGTAGCACCGGGAGTCACGAGCCCGTGGAGTGACAGACCCAGAGAGACTTACAGATCTTCATTCTTCATGGGGCAGATCTGGAAATTGAGGCCCTAGAGGGACGTGACTTCTGTTAGGTTATACAGTGATTTGGTTTGTCTGTGTCCCCACCCAAATCTCATCTTGAATTGTAGCTCCCATAATTCCCATGTGTCTTGGGAGGGACTTGGTAGGAGGTAATCAAGTCATGGCAGGGGTGGGTCTTTCCTGTGCTCTTCTCATGATAGTGACTAAGTCTCAGGAGATCTAATGGTTTTGAAAAGGGGAGTTCCCCTGCACACACACTCCTTTGCTTGCCACCATGCGAGATGTGACTTTGCTTCTCCTTTGCCTTCCGCCATGATCATGAGGCCTCCCCAGCCATGTGGAACTGTGAGTCCATTAAACCTCTTTTCTTTATAAATTACTCAGTCTTGGGTATGTCTTTATTAGCAGTGTGAGAACAGACTAATACACACAGCAAGTCACAGAGGATACGAGATTGAGCCTAGAGCCTTGGGCTTCCTTTGCTGTCACTGGGTGTGTGGTTCCCTCATCGGAAACCCTTGGAGTCAGTTCTGTTACAGAATTCAGAACTCTCTGGATTCCAGAGGAGTAACTGAGGGTACGTGCTGGCACAGTCTCGGTGGCTCTGAGAACAGCCCCCAATGAGCAAACGCACTGATATTTCTGCAGTAAGACGTAAATACACCAAGTGGGACCAATAAGGGCAATAGATGATGTCAGTTCAGATTAAATGTGGCCACTAAAAGGTGCCAAGTTGAAGAAAAAGACATTGGATTCCTGGAACTTTTAGGATTTCAGAATTTCCAATAAAGGATGTGGCCATTTCTAATAGTAGCACGTGCTCCTTGAAGAAAAGCTGAAAAATTCAAAAAGTACTTTAGAAGATGGTAATTGCCCCACATTTAATCAATTTACAGATTTTTACTTATGTATTTTTACATAGCAGAATTTCTTACTCTGTACAATTTTGCACTCTAATTCTCATTATTATTTTATTTATTTTTTTGAGGCAGGGTCTCACTCTGAAACCCAGGCCGGAGTGCAGTAGTGTGATCATGGCTCACCGCAGCCTTAACCTCCTGGGCTCAAGTGATCCTCCCATCTCAGCCTTCTGAGTAGCTGGGACCATAGGCATGCACCACTACACATGGCTAATTTTTAATTTTTTTGTGGAGACAAGTTCTCCCTATTATGTTGCCTAGGGTGGTCTTAAACTCCTGGATTCAAGTGATCCTCCTACCTCAGCTTCCCAAAGTGCTGGAATTACAGGCATGAGCCACCATGCCTGGCCTATTATTATTTCTGAGACAGAATCTTGCTCTGTTGCCAGGCTGGAGTGCAGTGGTGCAATCACAGCTTGCTGCAGTGCTGACTCCTGGGCTCAAGTGATCTTTGTGCCTCAGCCTTCCAAGTAGCTAGGATAACAGGTGCACACCACCATGCCCCACTAATTTTTAAATTGTTTTGTAGAGGCAGAGTCTTGCTATGTTGCCCAGGCCTCTCTTAAACTCCTGGGCTCCAGTGATCCTCCTGCCTCAGCCTCCCAAAGTGCTGGGATTACAGGCATAATGTATTTTTTTGACATTTAATACATGATGTATTTTTAATTGCATTAGATAATAAATGTTTTTCTATGTTTTTAAAGAAACATTTGGATGGCTGCACAGTGTTAGGAAGCGGGCCTTCTTGACTCTCAGCCTGGTGCTTTTCTCCCTAGAGCACATGCTGCTTCTCCAGCTAGTTACACTGTAAACCCACAGAGCACTCCCTGAGTGTTCTCTGGTAGGTGCGCCGATGGCCAGTGTCTGGGAGATCCCCTAGGAGTCATCCCAGAAGCCTCCTAGAGCAGCAATGGGGAGAACAGTCTTTAGGGCTGGAGATGATGGACAGAGCTCCCAAGCTGTGCCCAGGAAGTGACATTTCCCTCTCCCATGCTGGCCACAGGCAATTGGGAATCCCATCAACTTGGAAATGAGGGCAGATCCTGGAGAGGCACCTCTCATTGCCTGTGACATGGAGAGCGGGAGGAGGGGCCAGAGTGGGGGCCTTCAGCAGGCTCCTTATGGGGGTGGGTGGCACAGCCCTTGGAACAAGTGTTTCCTGCCTGAATTTCACCCTCGGGAGGCCCTTAGCTACTTCTTAAGTGTCCCAAGTACTTGTCTCATGATCTAGCGCCCTTCCCCAAAGTCACAGGCAGCATGGCCCCGGGTTCTGGCTCCCTGTCCCCACGCAGTTGGCAGAGCATGGCTTTAAGCTCCTCAGTGCTGCCTAGGACCCCCTCCTGGCTGCCTCCCCCTTCACTCCACAGGGATCCTCGCTCAGCCCTCTGTGCGTAGTGGCTCTGGTTGAAGGTGCTGGCCGTAGAGGGGTGGGGAGGGGTGGGGAGCAGGAGCGATCCTGCCTCAGTGGCCCAAACTCATAGGGCTTGGTGGGGACCAGGCCAATGCAGGACAATTGGGCCTGGTTTGTGGGCCTCCTTGTCACTCTCCCATGAAGGAGTGAGTAGGGTGGAGGGAGGATTATTGGGCTAGGAGACTCTGGAGTCCTTTCTGGAGCGGGGAGCCTCTGAGGCTGACCCATGTAAACTTACCTTGATGATTCATCCTCCAAAACTCTGGGGATTGGGAACAGTCACCAGGACTTACAGAACATTCCAGATTGTGGCTCCTGTGTGCTGTCTTTATCCTGTGTTACTCTCCCCTCAGGCAGATTGTCCAAATGTAAATTCCAGAAAGAATCTAAGAGTATGTGCGGGGAACCTTACATTCCTGGAAACTCATTCTATCTTGGTGCCATGGTCTTAGAAAATATATTCATTTTCAGAAAGAGCTAGTGTCTATGTCCTGTGGAGCCCCCTCTACTTCTACCTGCCTTCCCTCCACTACGTTCCAGCTATACTGGCTGCCTTTCAGCTCCAGACGCTCCAACAGTCAGGGCTGTGGCACCTACTCTCCCTCTTCTTCCCCTTCCTCATCACTCTTACTAAGTCTCAGTTTAAATCTCAACCCCCTAAACCTACAGGCACCCCTGTCATAATCTGTTGTCATACTATATGCTTTTCCTTTGTAATACTTATCACAATTTGTCTTTATATATTCATGTTAATTTCTTTTGTATTATTTCATATTTATCTTCTTCACAAAGCTTCATGGAGGCAAGTTCTATAACTAATTTGTTTACTTCAGTAGCCCAGTAGCTGGTACAGAGCAGGCACTCAATAATTGGATCTATTATTTGATGGAAGGATGGATGAATGGGTGAGTGGATGGTTGAATGTATGGGTAGGGGGATGGGTGGGTGGATAGAGGGTTGGGTGGGTAGATGGATGGTTGGATGGATAGGTGGATAGATGGTTGATGGATGGATGGATAGATTAATGCATACATAGGTGGATGAATGGGTGGGTGATAGATGAATGGGTGGGTGGATAGAGGCTTGGATAGATGAATGGGTGGATTGATGATTGGGTGGGTGGGTAAATGGGTGGATGGGTGGGTGGATCGAGGGTTGGGGGTGGATAAATGGTTGGGTGGATGAGTGGATAGATGGATGGATGGATGGAGGGATGGGTGGTTGGGCAGATGGATGGATTAATGAATGGATAGATGGATAAATGGGTGGGTGGATGGGTGGATAGATGGATGGGTGGGTGGGTGAATAGATGGGTTGGTAGATGAGTGGATAGAAGGTAGATGGGTTGGTAGATGAGTGGATAGAAGGTAGATGGGTTGGTAGGTGAGTGGATAGAGGGATGGGTGGGTTGATGGGTGGGTGGAAGGCTGGGTGGGCGGATGGCAACATCAAGTACTTTGGGAGGCCGGGGACTTCTGCATTGTAAAAGTGCATAAAGGGGTTTCTTTCTTTTCATGGAGAAAATTTCTATTCTGAAAATGGCAGCACATTGCCTGTTGCAAAGCCAACACTTTGGGAGGCTGAGGTGGGCAGATCACTTGGGGTTAGGAGTTTGAGACCAGCCTGGCCAACATGATGAACCCCGTCTCTAACAGAAATACAAAAATTAGCCAGGTGTGGGGTGGTGCGGGGCTGAAATCCCAGCTAGTCAGGAGGCTAAGACAGGGGAATCACTTGAACCTGGGAGGCGGAGGTTGCAGTGAGCCGAGATGGCGCCACTGCACCCTGCCTGGGTAACACAGTGAGACTCCATCTTAAAAAAGAAAATACTCACAAAAAACAACAAAGAAATGTCTCCTGGGTGAGTAGGCTTCAGGCAGGACCTGGGCCAGTGGCCGGATGGCCATTGACTCTCTCTGCACGTTTTCCCTCTCTGTACATCTGCATCGTCTTTCCTCAGCTGCCGATGGCTGGGTTCTGCTCCTCAGTCCATCTGCCAGACACCGAGTTCAGACGCGTCAGGTCAGCTACCTGAAGAGGCGACTTTCAGGGCCTCAAATCCAATGCCAAATTCCTGGGGACGACAGTCTGGAGTAATCTATTACCAGGGCGCTGGGGTCACACATTCGGACTGTGGGAGGACCCTGCTTCCCAGAGAAAGGGGTCGTTGTATCTGCCACACCAGTTTTACGTAGACTGCCTATGGGTCTGACTTCCAGTTTTGGCTGAAGTTCTCACATCCCGTTTGATGACTGCCTGGCCAGATGCCTGTTAGGTCCCAGGCCTGGAAGCCCACACCGATTACAAGGCTGTCCCCTAAGCTACAAGCCCGGGAAACCTGCCCATTTGGAGCTGTGAGTGTAGGGGGCGTGGGGCTGACTTGCAGAGCCAGGCCAGGCTGGCTGTAGGAAGAGAACTGCAGCTGTAGCTACGGGGGCCCCTCAGTAAAGGCGTCCTGGGTTTGCCCAAGAGAGCTGCTCCCTGGGCCTGTCAGATGCCCACTGTGAATGGGAGGAGCTGGCATCTGAGTCTGACAGATGATCTCTGCTCCTCTCCACAGCCTGGCTTTGCAAGAGGCAATGTGCTGCCATTTTCAGAATAGAAATTTTCTCCACGAAAAGAAGAAACCCCTTTATGCACTTTTACAATGCAGAATCTAATTTAGGTTTCAATAAGGGAAGGAACCATTATATCACCCTACTTCAGTGCTTTTTGTCATTACGTTATATTTTTTAAAATACTTTCATCGGGGACCCGATATACACTTACAATCTCTCTGCATTTATTTTCTTTTAAGAACACATATAATAAAACTCAAAGTTAATAGCACGAAAATAATTTCTACAATAACAGTTGTAGCAAATCTTCGAATTGCCAGGGTGAAGGTGGCTAGACAGAGTGAGGCAATTACGTCTATTATTAGCAGTGCACGGGGAGGATTGATGTACAGTGGGCTGTGTGTGAGCAGAAGCCTTCAGACGTGAACTACATTTTAATAGTGAAATTCTCATAGATTATAACTTCCTTCATTAACATTTTCACACATCGCTGACTAACAAATGAGGAGAGAGGCCTTCTGCACTCATAGATTTATTATGCTTGGGATGCTCTCTGCACCTCTGTGTATGGGCAGGAGCTTCGTCTTCTAACCTCTGACTACCGGCGATTAACTCTTTCCGGCCCTACCTGTTTCCTTCAGGCACGGAAGAACATTCTGGAAATACTGGCTTTGCACTTTAAGACTTTTACAAGGTGGTTCCTCGGGACAGCCCCCACTGGCTGCTCCCTGCCGTCTTTCTGTGCCTTTCCCCTGTTGCCCTGCAGGTGGGTATCAGAGGACGGAGGGTCTGGGGGAATGAGTCAGGCCAGATTTGGGCTCCATCCGTCTGCTGCCATGTCTCTCACCAGGAGAAGCAGAATCTGATCCCTGCTCAGGTACTTGAGTTGCTAAGTGGGGCGAGGCAGCTCTGAGCATCAAAGGATGGTTGTTTGACACAATTATTAGATCTCCTATTAGCAAGAGGAGTGAAGTGGTCTTCTGTCCCCTGCGAGGCAGGGGATACCACCCAAGATGTGACAGAGGGAGTTTTGGGGAGGGCTCACTGGGCAGAGAAGGGGAAGTGGGCTTTGCCGTCAGGATCCAGGTGAACTGACTTTCCAGGTGCAGAGCCTTGTCCTAGGAGAGGATGAACGATTTACAAAGGAGTCGGATGCCAGTGCCCGCCCTGGAGGGATTTGAGGTTAAGGTGGGAAAATCTTGAGGAAGGGACAGTGTTTTTAGGTGATTTGTCAACCATCGTCCATGGTTGTACCTGCACTGTGAGGCGAGTGCTGGGGCTTGCAGAGAAATGCCATCTTCTGGTCACCCCATTAACCCGGGGAGGCTTCCTGGAAAATTCTGTGAGTACTGGGGCTCCAAGATGGTGGTTCCTGGTGGTTGTCTGTACCTGGTACCAAGTGGGTTAGAAGGGTGCTGTGGACGTGAGTTAATGCAGGGAGCAAACCTCCCAGGTTTGGAGCTGGGCGTTGAGTTTCCAGCCCATCCTTCCTGATGACGCACTCCTGCTGGTTTCTTTTGGGGACACAAAGCCTTGGTGACTTAGGACCCAATATTCTACAAGTTTGCTCTTGGGCATATCTTGTGGTGTTTATTGGGCCCCCAATGGCATATGAGACCCCCTAGGGCCAGGTTCCCCAGCCCCTCCGCCCCCACTTCCCATGCTCATTTGTGTGTCTCTGAGTTAGGGTATTTTGGTAAACTCTTCAACAAGATTGAAATTGAACCCAGGGGTTTTCAGTCCTGTCTGCATATTGTCATCACTGGGTAACTTTTAAAAACTAATGCCAGGGCCCACCCTCAGAGACTGTTTTGTTTTTTTTTTTTGAGACAGAGTCTCACTCTGTCACCCAGGCTGGAGTGCAGTGGCGCAATCTTAGCTCACTGCAACCTCTGCCTCCCAGGTTCAAGCGATTCTTCTGCCTCAGCCTCCCAAGTAGCTGGGACTACAGGCATGTGCCACCATGCCCGGCTGATTATTTTGTATTTTTAGTAGAGACGGAGTTTCACCATGTTGGCCAGGCTGGTCTCGAACTCCTGACCTGAGGTGATCTGCCCGCCTTGGCCTCCCAAAGTGTTGGGATTACAGGCGTGAGCCATCACGCCCGGCCAAAGACTCTTTTAAATGGTCTGGGTGGGGCTCTGGCATTGCTATTATTTAAGAGCTCCCAAATGATTCTAGTGTCCAGTCCAGGTTGAGGACCACCAAAACCATTTGGCAGGTGATCTGGCCTTTAGGTGAATTAGCTGGAAGGAAGAAGTTCTGACCGGAACAAACAGTGAGGCTGTGGGCAGATGGGGATGCATTTATAAAACCCCTTACTTTTTCTTTCTGTCTTTTGCAACCTGTAGATACTCGTTGCTATTGGATGCAATGTGGGAGGCACAGGACTAAATCCTGTAGGTCGTTGAGGAAAGGGCCGCTTTGCTTTTGGTCCCGGGAATCCAGGTTCCCCTTCTTCCCCATCACTCCTTCCTTCCCCCTCCATCCCCAGCCTGTGCTGTGTGGTGCCCACCCCAGCCTCATGGTCCCCAGGTGGGCATCATCCGCAGCAAGAGCCGGCGTCTGTCATCTTTGATCTCCTCCTGTAACTCTGTAGGGCTTAGCCAGCTCTGCTTGACTCCAGCACCAGACCAGCAGCAGGAGCTGCTCTGCTTCCCATCCCTCTTCCCTGGGAACATTATCCCTTAAATAAAATCAATAGACCTGGGACATGCTTGGAATCTAGAAGCTAATCTTTCCTAAGTTCCGTTTTCGTGTCAGAGTTCTCCTAGTGGCCACCATTGGCTGTGCAGTGATGGGATGTGGGAATGAATCCATGGGGACCCCCAGTGCAGTCTGGGGAGGTGGTGCGGGTGCGCTGGGTGATTCTGCTGGGAGAAGGGCCGTGACGCTCCGAAAGCTGGTGCTGGGCTTCCTTCCACTGCACAGGGCTCCATCCTGCATCCCGGCACCCCACCAAGTGTTAGGGAGTGCGGGAGGCAGACCTAATGAAAACCCGGTTTCATTTTGCATAATCAGGCACTATTGAAACGAGCCTTTCAGTGCTGCTTGCTGCAAATTAACAATCTGACTTATATACAATAAAAACCCGAGTATTGTACAAAGTGATACTTCTTAGGTAGTGGATACACAGATGGAAATTCATTTAATGAACTACAAGTCCCTGAATGGATTCTAAACTTCTTGTAATTACCCTGGAAAGAACCCTAGTAGAAGCAGAAAAAAGCCTTTTGGATTCCCCCCCACCCCCTACCCCTGCGCCACGGCAGTTGGCTTTCTCCATCCTTCAGGTTGCTTTGTCGGAAATGAGCATCATTCTGTGAAGAGTACTTGGAGTCCCGTCCAACGGGTTGGGCCGCATGTGGATGAGCAAACCTCATTCCCCCTCTCCAGGTTCTGAAAACAGTGTGATTTGTAAAGGCTTTGGTGCTGAACCAAATGCATCTTAAATGGTATCGTAAAGAGTTTAACCCATCACCCCAGCATCAGCCAGTGAACAGTCTGGCTGGCTGCCCGAGGGACTGGGGAGACCTGCTCTTTGTAGCACTGGACTGACTGAGTCTAGACTGAGCCAATCCGAGGCAGAGACTCAACCCTGCTCCTGGTAGTTTTCTTTGAAAGATGGTGTCCCAATGGGGAGGCCTTCAGAAGAGTTCCACTAGGCCAGGAGTCACTTTCCCCTTTGATAAGGCAGGAGGGGCAGGGGACATGACAGGGCAGAAGTTCCTTGGGAAAACCAGAGCAGAGCCAGGTTCCAGCCCTCAGGTGAGCCATCTCCCACCTCCACCACCACAGCCTGATGCAGGAGCCATCTGGGACCTGCCTCTTCCAAGGAGACAGTTCCATGGAAGGGGGTTAGGGACGGATGTGGCATCCACAAGGAGTGCCACACTCGATAAGTATCCCAACCTGTTCCATATTTATTATGGGCAACAATTTGACTAACGGAGAATTTAGATTAATAACATTCAGGCCAGAGAAGTAATTTCCTTTGAGAAAGCGATTTACATGCGCTCTGCCAGAGAGAGCCGTGGCCGCTCTCTTGTCATGTCAGCTCAAATAATGAAGTTGAAAATAACATGGAAGGTTAATAGGTCCAACTTATCTCTTTAGAACTGAAAAGGAAGATTTACAGTGTGGAGGCTGTTTTGCATATTTCCAGTGGGAATTGAAAGTTTTTTTTCCCCAAACAAGATTTATGAGAACTCACCGTTCAAGGTATCTGCTCTGTTATTGCTCCTAAGTGAGGCAGTAAACCTCTTCATTTGGGTGGATGCCCCGGGCTTTAAAGATAGCTGTCTTCCCCCACGTCACTGGCAGGGGTGTACTGGAATGCTGGCATGGGGGTGCTACCTCGGGAAGAGTTTAACTTTGAAAGGAGAGTCAACTGCTTCTGACTCTAGGAGGTCACATCCTTTGTTTGCTAATGACTAGAGAGAGGATTAAACATTTCCATTACCTAGACCTTTCAAAACATTTCTTGGATTTATTTTGCCATTATTTACTGACCTTGGGGGGTGAGTCCTGGGCTGGAGGAATAGAGGGAAAGGGAGCTGGGTCAGAGCAAGGAGAATGGGGGAGTGGGGCAGCAACATGACCTCTGCATTCCAGGCAACAAGTGGGTCTTTCAGGCTCTCACTTGCTTCTTAACTGGCTTCCCTGGAAAGCTCACCCAAGCCCTTCTGCTAACATCTCACTGGCCAACTTCATCTGCAGACGGGCTGGGAGGGGCAATCTTTTGCTCAGCACTTTCCTGCCCGTAATGAAATTGGAGTGTGTTATTTAGGAAGAATGGGAGAGTGGATATTGGTAGGTCACCAGCAGTCTTTAGCTCAAGTGTTTAGTTCATTTATTTTCAATCTTTCTTGTTTTCTGTTAAATGCAAACTATAAATTGTCCTTTAAATACTGCTTTAGCTGTGTCTCACAATTTTTTTTCTTTCTCCCAAACATTATACTGAAAAATTTCAAACGTAAAGAAGAGTTGAATTAGATATGATATATCCATCACTTTAACAATTTGCTATATTTGCTTTATCCCATATTCATCCATGTATCAATTCATCAATCCATCTTGGTTTGATATATTTCACAGTAAATCACAGCTAACAGTACATGTCGCCTCTAAATATTTCAGCATGCATATTATGAACTGTTTATTTACTTTTTAAGGTAAAATTCCTACAGTGAAACACACAATCTTAAGTGTGCCGTGCGATGAGTTTTGACAGATGTGTCTACCCATGTAACCCAAACTTCTATAAAGACACAGAACATTTCTATCATCCCAAAAGGGTTCCTCTGGTCTCTTCTTAGTCAATGCTCTCCTACCCCCAGGCAACCAATGTTTTGATTATTTTCACCATTAGTTATTTTTGCCTATTCTAGAACTTTATGAATTCATATAACATGTACTTTCTCTCTCTCTGTCTCTCTCTCTCTCTCTCTCTATATATATATATATTTATATATATATGTGTGTGTGTGTTTTAATCTCAATAGCTTTTTGGGGGTACAAGTGGTTTCAAGTGGTTTTGGTTACATGGATTAATTTGGTGAAGGCTGAGATTTCAGTGCACTGGTGACCGGAGGAGTGTATATTGTACCTAATACGTAGCTTTAAACATGTCCTCTTTTAGGCAAGGCTTCCTTCATTCAGCATGTTTTTTGAGATTCATCTGTGTTGTTGCAAGTATCAGTAGTTTGTATCAGTAGTTTTTTTTTCCTTTTTATTGAGAGTAGTATTCCATTGTATGAATGTACCATAGTTTGTTTATCCATTCATTCATGGACATCTGGTAGGTTTCCAGTTTTTGGCTATTATGAATAAAACTGCTGTGAATATTTTGTACAAGTCTTTTTTGGGGATGTGTGTTTTTATTTCTTTTGGGTAAATGCCTAGGAAAGAATTGTTGGGTGCTGTGTTTTCTTTTTTTTAAAAGAAACTGCTGGATGTTTTTTTCCCCTAAAGTGGTTGTACCATTTCCACCAGCAATGTATGAGGATTCCAGTTGCTCTCCATACTCACCAACATTTAGTGCTGTGACTCTTAATTTCAGCCATTCTGATGGGTGAACAGTGGGATCTCATTGTGGTTTCCACTTGCATTCCCTGATGACTAATGGTATTTTCCATGTGTTTATTAGTCATCCATATATCTCCCTTTGTGACATATCTGCTCCAATCTTTTGTCCATTAAACATCGTGGATTTCCCTTTTGTTAGTGGGGGCTTGTAGTTTATATATTCTGGATACAGTTCTTTGTTAGCTATATGTTTCACAAATATTTTCTCTTAGAATGTGGCCTGCTTATTCATTTTTATTTTTATTTATTTGTTTATCCATTCATTCATTTATTTTGAGACAGAGTCTTGCTCTGTTGCCCAGGGTGGAGTGCAGTGGAGTGATCTCGGTTTACTGCAGTCTCCCCTTCCTGGGTTGAAGCGATTCTCCGGCCTCAGCCTTCTGAGTAGCTGGGATTACAGGTGACCACCACCATACCTGGCTATTTTTTTTTGTATTTTTAGTAGAGATGTGGTTTTGCCATGTTGGCCAGGTTGGTCTCAAACTCCTGGCCTCAAGTGATCCGCCTGCCTCGGCCTCCCAAAGTGCTGGGATTACAGGCGTGAGCCACTGTGCCCGGCTTTTGTTTATTGTTATAATGGTGTTTCTTTATGACCAGAATTTTACATTTTGCTGAAATATATTTTTTATGATTTATTTATTTATTTTTGAGCTAGTCTTACTCTGTCACCCAGGCTGGAGTGCAGTGATGCAGTTATGCCTCACTGCAGCCCTGACACCTGGGGCTCAAGCAATCCTCTCACCTCAGCCTCCCGAATAGCTGGAACTACAGGTGCACACCACCAGGCCGGCTAATTTTTGTATTTATTTTTGTAGCAACGTGGTCTTGCCATGTTGCCTAGGCTCGACTTGAACTCCTGGGCTCAAGTGATCTACCTGCCTCAGCCTCCCAAAGTGCTGGGATTACAGGCATAAGCCACTGTGCCCAGCCTGAAGTTTATCACTTTTTTCCCTTTCTGATTATTTCTTTCCATGCCTTCTCTAAGAAATCTTTGCTTATTGTGAAGATATTCTCCTATGTTTTCTTCTAGAAGCCTTATAATGCTAGCTTTTACATGCAGGTCTGTTGCTCATCCATTTTCACACTGCTAGAAAGAAATACCTGAGACTGGGTAATTTATCAAGAAAAGAGGTTTAATTGGTTCATGGTTCTGCAGGCTGTACAGGAATTGTGGCTGGGGATGCCTCAGGAAACTTTCAATTATGGCAGGAGGGAAAGCAGGCACGTCTTACATGGCCAGAGCAGGAGGAAGAAAGTGAAGTGGGAAGTGCCACATACTTTTAAACAATCAGATCTTGTGAGAACTCACCTGCTATCATGAGAGCAGCAAGGGGGAAATGCGTTGCCATGATCCAATCACCTCCCACCAGGCCCCTCCTGCAACACTGGGGATTACAATTTGGCATGATATTTGGGTGGAGACACAAATCCCAACCATGTCACCATCTCAGATTAACTTTTATGTATGGTGTAAGGTAGGAGACAACATTGTTATTTTCCATAGTGATGTCTAGTTGTTCAGCACCATTTGTTAAAAAAAGACTTTCTTTTCCCCATTGGATTGCTTTGGCACCTTTGTCTAAACATTAATTAACCACATAAGGGTGGATCTATTTTGGTTTCTATTCTTTTCCACTAATCTATTTGTCTGTCCTTATACCAGTACCTCACTGTCTTGATTATTGGAGCTTTATAATAAATCTTGATGTCAGTTCTCCAACTTTACTTTTTCAAAATGATTTGACTATCTTACCTCTTTGACATTTTCATATAAATTTAGAATCAGCTTGTCAATTTCTATTAAAAAAACCTGCAGGTATTTTCATTAGGATAGTGTTATAGATTATTTGGAGAGAACTGTCATCTTTAAAATACTGAGTCTTCCAGTCCATAAAGGTGGTATATCTCTTATTTAGGTCTTCTTTAATTTCCTTCAGCAATGTTTTTAGTTTTCAGTGTGGAGATTTTGCACATCTTTTCCTGAATTTATTCCTAGGCATTTTATGATTTTTTTTTTAGACACCATTACTAAAATCCCCAATTGAGATAATAGGTCTATTTCTCTCTTTATTTCTGTCAATTTTTGCTTCTTGTCTTTTGAGGCTCTGTTATTAGGCACATGCACAATTATGATTGTAATGCCTCCCTGATTAATTGCCTCATTTTTCACTATGAAATGTCTCTACTTCTGGTAAACTGTTTGTCTTGAAGTCTACGCTACATAGCCATTTCCAGCCTTCTGATGTTTGTGGTTTACATGGTGTATGTTTTTTTATCTATTGCTTTCTTTGTCTTTCTATTTAAAATGTGTTTCTTGTAGACAGCCTATAGTTTGGTCTTGCTTTTTCCTACATTCTGACAATCTCTGTTTTTAAACTGGAGTGTTTAGTCTATTTATATTTAATATAATTATTGATATGTTTGGATTTAGGCCTACCATGTCGACATATATTTTCTGTTTATCTCACTTGTTTTTAATTGCTCTTTGGGTTAATTGAATGTATTAAAAATAATTTTAATTTGTTCATGCCTCTTTGCATGTTTTGAATTTTTTGGTGGTTGCACTAGGGAATGTAATGTATATTCTTAACTTTTCACAATCTACATGTAGTTAATATTTGTATCACTTTATGTAAATTATAAGAATCTTGCAACTATATTGTTTATATCTTAATTTCTTCATGCTATACTTGTTATATGTATTATATCTATATATGCTATAAGCCCCATAGTGTATTTTTTCTTTTTTTGCTTTAAACAGCCACATGTGTTTTATGACAGTAGGAGAAGAAAATGGTATCTTTTATAATCATACTTTGGAAGATCTTTGTTTCTTCCTGAAATCAGAGTTCCCATTTGTATCATTTTCCTTTGGTGTGAAGAATTTCATTTAACTTTATTTCATAGGGAAGATTTGCTGGTGGTGAATTTTCTTATATTTTATTTTTCTTAACATGTCTTCATTTTGCCTTACTTAATGGTGGATTTTTCACTGGGTGTAGAATTCTGAGTGGACAGTGTGTTTTTCTCTCAGCACATTAAAGGTGCTGTTCTCTTCCTTCTGGCCTCTTGTTTTTGATAAGGTGTTCTTTAGCATTTGTGTTATTCCCTGCGGAACGTGTCCTTTATTTCTGGCTCCCTTCAGAATTCTCCCTTTATCTTTGGGGTTATTCACTTTGACCATGATGTGCCTAGGTATTATTTGTTTTGTTTTGTTCATTTTGTTTGAACTTCTTTTTTTTTTGAGACAAGGTCTGGCTCTATCACCCAGACTAGAGTTCAGTGGCACAATCTCGGCTCACAGCAACCTCCACCTCCCAGGCTCAAACGATCCTCTCCCCTCAGCCTCCTGAATAGCTGGGACTACAGGCGTGCACCACCATGCCTAACTAAATTTTGTATTTTCTGTAGAGACAGAGTTTCGCCATGTTGGTCAGGCTGGTCTAAAACTCCTGGGCACAAGTGATCCTCCCGCCTTGGCCTCTCAAAGTGCTGGGGATTATAGACATGAGCCATTGCACCCGGCCCGAGCTTCTTGATTCTGAAAATCTATGCCTTTCAACAAATTTGGGAAAATTTTGGCCATTATTTCTTCAAATTGTTATTCTGCCATATTCTCATTGTCTTCTTCTGGGACTTCAATTATATGGATATTTGACCTCATGTTTTTGTTTTTTTAAAAAAATAAATCACCAAGGCTTGTTCATGTTTTTCAAACTCTTTTTTTTTCCAGATAGATCAGTATTTATCGGTGCCAGCACTATTGACATTTTGGGCCAGTCATTATTTGTTGCATGTGGGAACTCACTTGAGCACATTTACTTTAGATCCTTTAAAATCTTTTTTTTCTTTTCTTTTTTTTTTTTTTTTTTTTTTTTGAGATGGAGTCTCACTCTGTCGCCAGGCTGGAGTAGTGCAGTGACATGATCTTGGCTCACTGCAACCTCCGCCTCCTGGGTTCAAGCGATTCTTTTGCCTCAGCCTCCCCAGTAACTGAGACTACAGACCTGCGCCACCACGCCCAGCTAATTTTTGTATTTTTAGTAGAGACGAGGCTTCACCATTTTGGCCAGGATTGTCTCAATCTCTTGACCTCGTGATCCGCCTGCCTTGGCCTCCCAAAGTGCTGGGATTACAGGCGTGAGCCACCGCACCTGGCCTAAAATCTTTGTCTTCCAATTTCAACATCGTTTTAAAATACAAATCATTATTATTCAAGTATGGTGTGACTAACAGATCGGGAGATGATTGCTTTTGAAAAGAAAGCTTGTTACAATTCCAAGAGGAAGGGGTACTGCCTGCTACGGGGGCACATGGGAGAGCACCAGGAGTGGTCAGAGGTGGAGGGAGCAAGGAGAAGTATGGATCAGAGCCTTTGCTGTGGTTTCTGTGAGAAGGGCAAGGCCAGGCCAGGCAACTTAGACAGGCATAAGACTGGCTAGTTCAAACAATTTTGGTGGGCTCTGAGCGAAGGGGCTGTCTCTTGCTGCCTGGTACCTGGCCCTGGGGCAAGTAGGGCAGGGGAACAGTGGTATGAGTGAGAGCTCACCAAGGGAGGCGGGTGTGGCGTGGGCTTCAGAATGGTTGGTTTGCACATGAAAGGGGCATTCCTTGGCAAGGCATTTGCTATCTGCAGGAATTGTCTAACCCTGGGAAGTGCGGTCCTTTCTAGAGTTAGCAAAGCCCCAAGACGTCAAAACATCAGAATAAACAGACATCTTCATACAAAAATTTGTGTCATCTCAGAGTCCATTGATTGATTGCCTTTTCTCTTGAGTATGAGTTGCATTTTTCTGCTCATATATCTTGTAATTTGGGACTGGATTCTGGACCTTGTGAATGATACGTTGCAGAGACTTGGGATTCTGTTACGCTATTCAGAATAATATTGAGTTTTTGTTTTAGCAGATACTTCGCTGAGTTCAAACTATAAACTCTGTCTTGTCTCTGCTGCAGCAGAAATCTCTGTCCAGGTGTTTAGGCCTTAGGTGGGCTGCTTACAGTCTATTCCATGCAAACATAATTCAGAGATCAGCTGGAGATTGAGGCAGTTTATGCACAGACTTTGGTGTTCTCCCTCTGTGGCTCTTTCCTTTTAGGGAGTTCCCCTTTCATTTTCTAGCTGCTGTGGTTAACCCAAGCTCTCCTCTGATTCTACAAAAAGTAAGACTTCAGTTTTCTATCTGAGTATTAGCTGCTCTGTGACACTGACTGGGGCCTGCCTCAGGCAAAAAGCTATTTAAAAAAAAAAGAAAGAAAGAAAGAAAGAAAGAAAAAAAGTCACAAACCCTCAGAAACTTACCCAGTCTTATTCCCTTCTTTCTACTGTCCAAATCCCACCCATTTCTGCCTGCCTTTGGTCTCTCTCTATTGTCCTCTGATTAAAAAATATATATATTTTAAATGTTGGAAGGTTGGTCCAACAAGAGCTACTTCTCCATGATTGAAAGTGGAATTCTATGTCTCATGAATTTTGACACATAGTGATTTTCCTGTGTTCTAAGTGTTCAAAAATTTCCCTTACGATTTTTTCCTTTAACAAGTATCACTGGGATGTCTTTTCGCTTCCAGATGTGTCGGTTTGCAAGCGAACCTTTTGTTGGTAATTGTAAGCATTCTTATGTTACAGTCTTACGTGTGGTTCCTAGGACGATGATTCTTTGGCATTCACCGAAGCTTCCCTTGTGGCTCAGTGCATGTTTAATTTTTTTGTGAATGTTCTACACGTACTCAAAAAGGATGTGCATTCTCTGTTGGACGAATTTTCCGTGTATTTATTAGTTAAACCCTAATAAATTCCTTCATCTTTGTTTTTTGCTTTGTGTGTGTGTGTGTGCGAGCCATCAGTTTGTGAGGGGATGCGTTAAAGTCTCCAACCAAACCTACTGATTTATCTATTTCTTTTTGCAGCCCTGTCAGATGTTACTCTGCATTTTTTGAGGCCAAATTCCGAGGTGCATATCTTTTCAGGATCATGACATCTTCTTGTGTTAGTTCCTTTCGGAAGCATGTCGCGTCTCTCCCTATCTTACCTGTCCTTTGGCTCTTCGGGCAGCCTCTCAATTTCAGGTTTTTACACATCTCTCTAATTCTGGGAAATTCTTGGTTATTAGTTCTTCATACAGATTCCTCCATTCATGTTTCTGTCCTCCTGGGTCTCCTGTGACATGGATGTTGACAGGTCGTCTTCTGTTTTCCATATTTCCTTTCTTTTCTTTCTTTTTTTTTTTTTTTTTGAGACAGAGTTTCGCTTTTGTTGCCCAGGCTGGAGTGCAGTGGCTCGATCTTGGCTCACTGCAACCTCCACCTCCCGGGTTCAAGCGATTCTCCTGCCTTAGCCTCTGGAGTAGCTGGGATTACAGGCGTGCACCACCACGCCTGGCTAGTTTTTTGTATTTTTAGTAGGGACGGGGTTTCACCATGGCCAGGCTGGTCTTGAACTCCTGACCTCAGGTGATCCGCCCTCCTTGGCCTCCCAGTGTGCTGGGATTAAAGGTGTGAGCCACCGTGCCCAGCCTCCTTTCATTTATTACAAATTTTTTTTCCATCTCTTTATCTTTTTTTTGATGCATTCTGGTAAGCTCCCTGTTGTGATCTTAACCTCACTAAATTATTCTTTGGCTGTGTACTGAGTGCCTTTTTTTGTTTTGTTTTGAGATGGAGTCTCGCTCTGTCACCCAGGCTGGAGCGCAGTGGCACGGTCTTGGTTCACTGCAACCTCTGCCTTCTGGGTTCAAGTGATTCTCCTACCTCAGCCTCCCGAGTAGCTGGGACTACAGGTGCGTGCCGCCACATCCAGCTAATTTTTTTTTGTATTTTTAGTAGAGACAGAGTTTCAACATGTTGGCCAGGCTGGTCTGACCTCAGGTGATCCGCCCATCTCTGAGCGCTTTCTTCTAGGAATAAGATAGAATAAGTCTGCACCTCCAGCAGGCTTCTTCCCCTCATCTGAGTCCAGAGGGAGCCCTGGAGCTCTGCGTGCTCTCCGCACATGCCATGCCACTCCCTCTGCGTCACATGTCCCTCTGCCACCAAGATCTGCTTTTATCCCTGTGCTCCTCAGTCACCAGAGGGAGCCCAGACTCCCAAGCCTGTCCCCAGGGAGACCTGCCCTCAAGGTTTCTTTGAGAATCCACTCCCCATGCACTTTGCCTTCTCCATAGCACCGTCTGGTGCACCTTGCGTTTCGTCTCTCTTGCCAAACGTAAGAGCCACGGAGGCAGCACTTTTTGTCTCTTTTGTCCTGTAACATATCCCTGGCATCTTGCTGTGGCGTCTGACATGCGGTGGATGCTCAATAAATATTTGCAAAATTAATCAATAATTATACTGTAGTTTTATTTTACCTATCATGTTTCTTTTCATAAAGCTACCTTTTATTGGACATCTATGTTCAAAAGCAGTGTTAGGATCTTTACATTTATGACATTATTTAAATATTCATTTATTCATTTCTTTCTACCTTTTTTGTATTGTAAAATACACATAACATAAAATTTACCATTTTAAACTTTTTTTAGTGCACAGTTCAATGGCATTAAGTACATTCTCACTTTTGTGCAGCCATCATAGTCTCCAGAAGTTTTTCATTTTCCCAAACTGAAACTCTGTGCCCACAAAACAAAGCAATTATGTTTCTATAGCCAGCGTTTCCAGTGGCTTCTTCCTATGACTGCCTCTTCCCACTCTGTGTTCCCAGTGTCTTCCCTGATCTCTTTGAGGATATCTGCTTATTTTGAATTCTTGTTCTGGTTTGCCTCTTAATTCTGCTTCCTGATATAAACATAGGGTTTGTCTTTGTGTTACGTTGTTCTTGCACTGAGATAAAGAAATGCCTGAGACTGGGTAATTTATAAAGAAAAGGGGTTGAATTGGCTCATGGTTTGGCAGGCTGTACAAGCATGGTGCTCATCACTTGGCTTCTGGAGAGGCCTCGGGGAGCATTTATTTATTTATTTATGAGACAGAGTCTCACTCTGTTGCCCAGGCTGGAGTGCGGTGGTGCCATCTTGGCTCACTGCAACCTCTGCCTGTCAGGCTCGGGTGATCCTCCTATCTCAGTCTCCCAAGTAGTTGGGAATACAGGTGCATGCCAGCATGCCTGGCTAATTTTTGTGTTTTTGTAGAGACGGGGCTTTCCCATGTTGCCTAGGCTGGTCTCGAACTACTGGGCTCGAGTGATCTGCCTACCCCAGCCTCCCAAAGTGCTAGGATTATACCGTACCCGGCCGGGTCTTTTTTCTTAGAGCGGTTGTACTCCTTGGATGTTTGGTTATTTTTCCCTGTGAGCCATAGCTGCCTTGGAGGGTCATACAGGTCTAGGCCAGGGGCAGGGCCTGCACCCTCACTTGTGCTCTTTCTGGTGAGTTCTAGAGAATTGGGGGTGGGGAGTGAGGAGAATACGTTGGTGATAAAATCTGGTCTTGATCATTCCCTGATTTCAGTCTGCTTTTTCCTCCCTGTAGTGCCCTGGCCAACCTGACCCTGACAGGTTCTTTTCTGAGAGCTGCCAGCCTCTATTGCAAGTCCCCCAACCAAGGGGTGGAGAAAGAGAATCGAGTGTTCAGGGGCCACCCTGCTGCCAGGTTCCACTGTGATAGACTGTCTGCGTTGTCTGGGCCCTGGTACCAGCTGGTGCTGGGTGAGGGGCTGGTGCTTCTGCTCTTCTGTGGTCCTCGCTCTAGGGACAGGATGGGAGATGTGTGTCCAGGGCAAGATGGAGTGGGGAGCTGGGCCACCGAAAGCTGGCTTCCTTGCAGCCTGCTCACCCTGGAGCTGGCGCCTCTTTCACTTCCCGGTCCTGCAGCCCCCTGCGTGGGGAGGACCCACTCATGCTTGTCTTCCCCAGGAACTTCTCACCATTTCTACCCAAGACTTTCCTCTTGTTTGGGGGCATCTCTAAAATATGGGGAACCAGCCCCTGCGTCAGCCACTGTCTTGCTAGCTACCTTTGTCTTTTGAAGGCCACAGGGCAGGGGAGTAGGTTTAAAATGGCTCTGCTTAGGATGGGAAGTTGAAGAGGCAGGACAGGAGCGAGGTGGGGAGCATGTCTTATGGAGCGGGGCCTGGAAAACAAGCAGTGGAACAGTCTGGCTGTCTCCCCACAGCCTGTGGAGCAGGTCAGCTTATGGGGCTCCTATCCTGAGAGGGAGCAGGTGCCTTGGCCCGTGGAAGTCCAAGGTTCTGCATGATGTGGCCTCTCTTGGCTCTGACTTTGGGTGCTTCTGACTTGTTTACCACATATGTTTCCTTTCAGGTTCATTCTTCCACATTCCCACCCTTACCTGTTGACCTCCCCCAATTCCTGCTCATCTTTTTGTCTAATGAGCTTCTGGTGACTTCTAATGGGCACCTTATGTTTTAAAGTGGTCAGATTTGTTTCAGAGAGAGAGACTTTGTGGGAAGCCACAGACATGTTTTTATAGAATCCCAGTGTCTTTGAGCAGAAAGGGGCTTTAGAGGTGACAGGTCCCATTGCTCTCAGATTATCTTATATTTGACTCACTAATTACTCATTTAAGAAACCCAGTTCCCACACCGATAGGAAAAACCCTACCCTTTCTTTCAGTTGTCACTTACATATTTATAATTGTCGTTATATTTTTAATTTCTTTAGTTTTAAGGCCATGAGTATCGGAGTAATGGTGATGGGAGAAAATTTGCTGGGGAGTTCTTAATCATCGTGAAAATCCCATGTTTTCAAAGCACTTCTCACCACTTCAAAACCACCAACTCTCTAAACTCCATTTTCAGAGCACTTCTCACCATTTCATAATCACCAACTCTATAAACTCCAGGAGGATAGGAGTTTGTCTTTGTGTTCACTGCTGTCTCTCCAGGTCCCAGGACAATGCTCTCTACGTATTTGTCAAGTGAACAAATGACACCGTTAGTAACCCTACCTCTGAATCCCATCTCTTAGCTCCACCCTGCACTTGAATATTTTCAGAGCTGAGGAGCTCACCACTTTGCACGCTGACCTGCTATTTCTGCAATAGTATAAATGGTCAGCAAGTTCTTGTTTCTGCTGAGTGTAAATTATTCACCTTGAATATACATTATCAGTCCTGCTTCTGTCCCCTGGAACCACAGAGAATTCCATGAATTCATCTCATCCATGAGGGCGTTTCTGATATTGACGACAGCCAGTGTGGTCTCCCTAGGATGTCTCCAACAAGCACATGTCCCGGATTTCACGTCTTCTTCAAAGGATGCTGGTCTTCACCACCTTTGTCATCCTTTTGGGAGTGAGCCCTTGTTTACAGCACTGATTTTATATGTGGTAATGACAACTAAACACTGCATCACCAACGTGGCTTCTGATCAGAGCAGAGAGGAACGGCTGTGCCACCTTCCTTCTTCTTGACATTATCCTTGATTAATGCAACCAAGCTAATGCCTTCTGCGTTTGCACTTAATTACAACCCTTTTTCTTTCTTTCTTCTTCTTCTTCTTCTTTTTTTTTTTTTTTTTGAGACGGATTCTCCCTCTGTCGCCCAGGCTGGAGTGCAATGGCGCTATCTCAGCTCACTGCAACCTCCGCCTCCCAGGTTCAAGCAATTCTCCTGCCTCAGCATCCTGAGTAGCTGAGATTACAGGCGCCTACCACCACGCCTGGATAAATTTTTGTATTTTTAGTAGAGATGGGGTTTCACCATGTTGGTCAGGCTGGTCTCGAACTCCAGACCTTGTGATCCACCTGCCTCAGCCTCTCAAGTGCTGAGATTACAAGTGTTAGCCACCGCACCCGGACTAAAACCCTTTTCCAAATAGATTCTCCCCTGTTCTGTACCCCAATCAGGAGTAAAAACCCCATGTTTTGAACCGAGGTGCAGTGTCCTATACTTGCCCCCAGCACTGTGGGATACGGGAGTCAGGAGACCCACCTGCATTACAGACTGGTGATGGTGATCACATAAAACAGCGCAGTGGGAAAGTGCTTTGAAAGCCATGAAGAAGTCTAAGGCTGCCTATTATTGCTGTGTAGCTGGTTTATTCTATCATAAACCCATTGAGGTCTGTTTAAATTGTGTGTTGGCCCACCAGAATATCAGCATCCTTCTCAGTGTTGTTATTCACGGGGTCTAATAAGAATACTTTCTATGACTTCATTTAAGCCATTGATAGAAATGACCGACAAGACAGGGCTGAGGGCAAAGGCCGTGGCACATACTTGTGGGGTGACTTGGATCTATCATATCGCTCCATCCTTTGCTAGTTCAGTTACTCAACCGACAGTGCATCTCCTTGATTGTACTACCATCTAGCCCATGTGCCTTCATCAAATTTACAGGGATAACATGATGGCCTTTGCTGGCTGCCTTGCTGAAATCCAGAGGCACTGCCGTCTATGGAAATGCAGGTTCTATCAAAAGAGGGAACGTGCCGGTTTGCCATGACTCACTCTTGACGATGCTGAACAGGCTCCTGGAGGCCACAGCTTCTCCCTAAGCGCTCCCCAAACCTGTAATGGCCAGCATTTCAGCACAGAGGACAGCGCAAAGAAGCCATGAGGACTCCTTGAAGGAACATGGTAAAGAGCATGGTAAATTGCTGTGCTCGGACTCAGGGTTTCTGAACCTTGGCACTATTCACATTCTGGTCTGGGCAATTCTTTATTTTAAGACTTGTCCTGTGCATTGCAGGGTGTTTAGCTGCATGCCTGGCCTGTGCGCACCAGATGCCAGGAGCACCCCTTGCTCAGTTGTGACAACAAGAAATGTTTCTAGGCATTGCCAATCTGGGGGCAAAATTGCCCCTGGTTGCAAACCACTGGTCTAACTAAAGGAGAAGGGGCCAGAAATATTTAGAACAGTGATACCTGCCCCACCACCACTACCGCAGTTTCTGGGTGTGCCTTCAGAATAACATAGATTTGTTATATCTGAATTGCATTTTGCAGAGGTTAGTATGGAAATGGATTTGTATGCTTTGATTCTGCTCTGTCAATGTAGAGTAATGTGGCCCAGAATCATGTTTGGTGGCAGCAGGGGTGCCAGGCAGGGAATGATCCCTGTAGCATAGATGGCTATGTTAGTAGATGGTCCACGTGAGAACACGTGGAATTCGACACGTCGGCTTAGGGAGGTGCTGATGGAATCCCAGCACTTACCAGTACATGCCTAGAGCGAGGGAGCTCCTGGACTTTATTATTATGGTCTGGAGCAGCAAAACTAAAAAAGATAATCTCTCCTGGGTGTCTGGTTTTAAGGAATCACTCATGCAGGTAGGTTGGTGATCATGGGAGGCCACAGAGGTACTTTGTTCAGAAGTTATTGTTTCCATTAGAAAGAGTAATGATTTTCATATACCAGCAAGAAAAAACCCATGTTATCATAGGCCAGGGATGAGAATAACAGGAAATCTCCAAGTTTACGGAAGTATCTGGTTTATGCCCTAGGAGGTAATAGGAGTTGTGAGAGGTGGGTCAAGGCCTGCCAACACATGTCAGACAAGAGATTATTCATCATTGTTATTTTTGTTTTGAAAATTAACTCCCCGAAAGGGTCAGGTTGTGCTGTGCCTCTCGAAGGTGTAATTCCACTTTAAACTGTAAGCTGTTCTGAGATGATTTCAGCACAAGAACGCGTTTGGTTATGGAACATGATTTCCCCAGCTTTCCTTGAAATAAAAAATTGCCCAACATGCTTAGGAAATGGGAATTATGGTGGACACAATATTATTTTCTAGGTGGATCACCTTATAAACGAAAGTTCCGTCATCCAGTTAATGGTGAAAAATTGTCTATTTGAAGAGAGAATAATTGCCAAGGAGCAGGGAGGCCAGTGTTATTGTTTTTTCTTTTCTTTTTTTTCCCTCAAAAACAGGGCTTTGATATCCATTGCATTTCAATTGCATTTAGACTTTTGCATGAGGCAGCTAGGATCCCAGCCAAAGAACCTGGGTCTGGAACCTGAAAGTGGGTTATGAAGAGGAGGCAGCTGCTCTGGGTTGGCTTCTGGAAGGTTGAGCTGGGGCTTGGCCAATCAGCTGGGCAGAGCTCAGGTAGTCCCATTTTATTGCTAGAATGTTCTCATAATCCCACGGAGCCTTCAGAACTATGTGTTCTGCTTGCTTTTTTTCTTTCTAATTTCAAGTCTGTTTGTTGTGAAATAAAGCATATATACAAAAAAGTCTACTAAATGGAAATATGCCGATCCATGAATGAAAGTATGAAAACCACTTAATTCAAGATTATATCATGCCAGCACCTCAGAAGATCCCCTTCATCCTTATCCCCCATCCTCCTCAAAGACAACCACTATCCTGATTTCCAACATTATACTTTTTCAATTTTTTCAATGTTTCCTATTTTTAAATTGTATTTATTTATTTATTGATTTGGAGATGGAGTCTCTTTCTGTCACCCAGGCTAGAGTGCAATGGCACGATCTCAGCTCACTGTAACTTCTGCCTCCCAGGTTCAAACAATTCTCATGCCTCAGCCTCCTGAATAGCTGGGATTACAGGCACATGCCATCACACCCGGCTAATTTTTTTTTGTGTTTTTAGTAGAGACGGGGTTTCACTATGTTGGCCAGGCTGGTCTCAAACTCCTGACCTCAAGTGATCTGCCTGCCTTGGCCTTCCAAAGTGCTGGGATTACAGGTATGAACCACCATGTCCGGCCTCAAAGTTTTTTAGTTTGAAAAAGTTGTAAACCTACAGAGAAGCTGCAAGATGATTACAATGCCACCTGTCTACCCTTCACCTAGGTGGACCAACTGTGACTATTTGCCACATCTACTTGATCTCACCTGGGAAATTCTTAGCCACCCACCTTGGAAGCTGGCTTTTGGGCCATCAAGTGACACTCTGGCCGGTTTTCCAGACAGGCACTCCATTTGCTAAAATCCAGCTGGTTCTGAGTGGCCATGCAAAGACTCCTGGTAAAATGAGGAGGGCTACATCCCTTTGGAACCTCCCAGGAGTCCAGGTTCAGTTCTTTGGGAAAAATAGTTTATCAATCCATCTGTGAATTCATGTATTAATTTCTCCCCCTGCCTTTCCCTCCCTTCCTTCTGCCTTCTTTTTCTTCTTGCTTTTCCCTTTCAAGAAATACTTTCTGATCACTGTGGGCCTCTGTGGCAGGTGCTGAGGATGTGCTCGTGGGTGAGATGGGCCTGTCTTTGCCTTCACCATCTATCTTCTGGGTATGGGGGAAAGCTTGATTAATATCTAGGCAATGACAAAAAGTGGTACACAAGGAAGTATGGGATACAAAGGGAATACATAGGTATTTCCTACGTACGTAGGTATTCCCTCCAGTCTAGGATGGCTTGGGAAGGCTTCCTCGAGGGAGGGACCCCAGTCCAGAAGGACACAAAGAAGAGAAAAGGGGAAAAGTTGTTTCTGGCTAGAGCTACTTTGAGTCCTGTGTACTTGAGTACCAAATGGATGCGGCACTGAAACACATACAGCCATTTGCAGAATCCAAGTGGCTCAACAGGGTCTGGAGGGGTGGCCCCTCAGTGGAGGGATTGCTGCCCCAGATCTGGCTGTACGGAGTTGGTGTGGGATAGACCAGGGCAGGGTCTGTTGGCGGATTTTGGTGTTGGAAGAACAGAGAGGACAGGGAAGGTAGCATTGGGTGTGGAGCATTTGGAAGGATGGAGAAGCAGGGTGGGGTCTGTGCCAGTCACAGTGTCTCTGGGTTTAGCTAGATGTGGAGGAAAATGGGAAGGGCTTCGTAGACCTGCCCATAGTATTTGGGTTTGGAAATTTTCCAGATTTAATTCTAGTCTTTCCCTGGGCAATGGGATATCTTCAGATTCTCCCAACTCTATCCTTAAAATCCTGGATGGTAAGATCTGGTAGGCAGAGAGATTTTTAAGAATAGAGTTTACTTTTCCCCATTAAAAACTAATATATGCTTATTACGGAAAATTTATAAAGTACATAAAAGCAGAAAGAAGAAAATAAGAGGTGGTATTTTACTGGATTGTGGATTAGTCCTAGAAATTCTATGGAATGGTGGGTGGCCAGATTTATTCCATTCATTGTTTATTTGATGGGAAAAAAACCCAAGCAGCCCAACCCTGTACTGTTTTCAGAATCACCCCAAGGCCTGGGTTCAGAATATTAGCTTGTTAATTATCAGGAAAATGATAGAGCTGAGAAGAAATTCACCCATCTCTAAGGCCAGCTGGAGAACCCAGTTGAGGTGGGCTGAGATGGAAATGACCTTCTCCAAAGCACTGAGCCCCATGAATCATCCCTGGGGCACCTATTAGCTGTGAGCTCCATTCATCCTTCCCGGAGGACTGTCCCCACCTGACCGGTCACAGCTCACCCCAACCCAGAGCCTCTGAGGGCTGGAGCCTCTCTCCATCTGAGCCCTAAGCTTCCTTTTCCCCTTGTTCCCACACTAACATTCTATGATTTCCCCCTTAACCTCTTCATGACATCAACCAGTGGAGACCTTGTATGATTTCTAGAGTTCTTTTTTTCCCGGTTGGAGGACTTACTTATTTACTCTGGTTGACATTCTGCTTTCTTTCAGGAAGGATTTGTGAGAGCCTAGCACAAAATTCACTTTCTTAACAAGAATGTCAGATGGTAGTAAAAAAAAAAAAAAAAAATAAGAATTTTTGGATACGGTATTAATAATGTTACGGAATGGGCTTTCAGTTTGGCCACAGGTGTCCTGGTAGTCAGGGCCAAGGGGATGGATGATGGCTCGTGGTTGTTTGGTGGGCACCATGCTACCTCTGAGAAGAGAGGTGCTCTGCTGCTGGCTGCGGCAAGGAACTGATCACATAGGATCTCACGTGGGGAGCATCGACCAGGAGAGGGGTCCACATTGTCACAGCAGCTTGGAGCGTGGAAGCACACATATAATCATCACTTAACTAAAGCTGAGGCCAGATAGAGGAGACTTGGAAGTGAGGGACCCGAAAATGGGAACCCTTGCTAAGGACACAGGCAGCTGTACGCCAGAGCCTGTGGGCCACCCCGAGGAAGTGACCCCTATGAGCCAGCCTTGTGGGGCAACAGAATGTCACACCCAGGTCCTTCCCTCGCCTCGAGAACCCCAAGCGAATTCCCACTTCCCACAGGAAGTAGTTCAGACCCTTGGGATACCTGGCGTGGTCCTCCTGACCGGGGCTCAGTTTACCTCCTGCTTCAGCCCTTACTCGCCTCCTCCAATCCCAAACTCCTCCCATCCTCAGGTGACCTGGTGCTTGACCCAGACTGCCGAGGGGTGGCCGGGCCCTGTCAGTGCTGCGGAGGTGAGCTCCTTCTGAAAGGACCCCCTGTGGGGCTCCCGGGGCGTCGCTTCTGCCTCTTCCAGTGCTTTCCGACCCTGTGCTTTTCTACCGACTTCTGGGCCGGGTCATCCACTCCTCCAGAAGAGAGGCCAGGGAGCATTCCATCAGCCCCACCTCTCCAGAGGCCCGGCACACAGTAGGCACTCAATGGTTGTAAACTGTATCCACCTACAAAGCCCCTAGAGCTTGTGAGACCCGGGAAACAGCGTTCCATACAATTGAGTGACAGAGCCCTGCGTGGAAAGGGAGGCCCGTGTTGGTGCCCTGTCCTCATCCAGTGGGAGGGGAGGAGAGACCTGGAAGGAAGATGGGAGTCCCACCCCAGCCTGCGTGTTTCTCTGGGAAACAGGTTTCAAGTGCAGGGAGGTGGTGGAGGGCTGACTTCATGGCCAGCACTGTCCTGGGCACCGTGGGTCGTGGAAGGGAGGTGGAGCTCGGTTTTCCGTCTGGGCCTCAGGTGGACTCAGAGGAGGTTCTTAGAGAACCATACAGGGCATATCAGGTAAGCACGGGTACACAATGCAGAGAAACAGTGCTTGCTGCAATTAGAGAAAGCAGAGAAATAGGAGCTGGAGTGGTCACTAAAGGCACGAACGGCCTTGACGGTGGAGTGGGGAGAGGCAGACACATTGCCGGCACAAAGAGCATGCTGGATGACAGGTTTCGTGGCTTGTTTGTTGCTTTAATTGATGTGGACAGGGGATTCCAGGTAGGAGAATCCAGGCAGGCTAGGAAGGAGCTTGGCTCTGTGTGGGGCATGAGAAGACGTGCTGGTCTTAGCGGAAGGTCCCCAGAGGAGGGGAGGCTCAGGGGCCGGCAAGGTGGCTGAGCCTCGAGCACCCTCCACAGAGCACCGTGCCAGGGGCCTGGGGCGCATGTTGTAACCTGGCTGTCTACACTAGATGAATAGAACTTTCACAGGTTAGTGGCTTCATCTTGATTGTTTAAATTTCATAAGGCGTTGGGACCCCTTACGAGTAGCTCTGAAAGGGAATGGATTGCTAATAAATGCAAACTGTAAAATATTCATTTGAGATGATTATTTTATATTATTGCATAAGTGCAAAATGAATGAACTTTCTGCTTACTTATGGTGGAATCCACAACCATCTGAGCTATTTAGTGAATGAAATATTTAACCTAATTTCTATGCCTTAAGTGACCTAAGGATAAATGTTATGGTTTAATGTTTTAGTGTTAGAGAAGGAACTAAGGGAAATAAACAGACTTCGAGGCCTCCTGCTGGCTTCCAATGGGGAAGGAGCATCTCCTGGGCCAGGAGTCCTTGGGAGCCTCCAGCATCTTCCCGCCCCTCACGGAGGGTCAGCGGCCATGCCCAGCCATGCTGCCAGGACCTGGGGAGAGCAGTACCCTCAGCCCTCACTCTCAGGAGCTCAGGGCTGGGGAGGGGACAGCAGGGGCCTTGGCCATGTCCCTTCCCTTTCTGGGCCCCGTTTACTCCTCAGAACAAGGCAGGCTCGGACCAGGAACTCCTGGGGCTGTCAGCTCCAATGTGGCAGAGTTGTGAGTGCTGGAGGCTGCTGGGAGGTTTCTGGGGGGCTAGGACTAGGATGGCTGCCAGGACTTGAGGGTGGAGGCAGGGACAGAGATTCCCCAGAGGCGGCATCGTGGGTGGGAAGGCAGGAAACCCGGGTCTGTGTCCTCCTGGGGCAGTGTGGTTCCAGGACCCAGGTCCAGCTCAGTGGCCAAGGAAAGCCCTTGCCTGCCTGGGCCTCTCTGTGCTGCAGTGTCCCTGTCCGGCCCCCTCTTCACTTTTGCATCTGATGCATCTGCACTGCCAGGGCTGCCAGGCCTGTTTTGCTGCCAGGTGCCCTGTGTTGCCGTAGCCCTTGAAGAAGGACCACCGCAGCCTCAGAAAGGGGCAAGCATCACACTGCGGCATCACGGACACCTGCAGCTCCAGGAAGCTCGGGGGCGAGTGTGAGCCCTGCTGCTTCTGTCCCCCAGAGCCCCGGTCCGGGCTGCACTCCCAACCTTGCCTCCCAGCTTGACGTGCACTGCTGATGAGTTGGTCCGTGCAGAGCCTCTAAGGCAGCTTGGACATGGGGAGCTGTGGGTTTGGTCCTGCTTTGTGCCCAGGGCTCTGGGTTCAGGTAGCCAGTGCTGAGCCCTCTGTCACTGCAGCATGGGGCTGCTTTCCCTGCGGTCCTCGTGCTTGGGCTCTAGCTTGGTCCAAAAGGCTTTCCTCAGGGAGCTCCCCATTTGAGCTCTGGGCCTTGGCAGGGATTGGAGCACCATCCCTTGGAGGTGTTGGCGCTGTCCAGGTGCCGGCCAGTGTGGAAGGAGCTGGCTGCTGAGGATTTACCAGCCCCTTTTGGTTACCAGGCTCAGGCACTTGCCAGGGGTTGGTTGGTTTGTTTCTTCTGGATTTGGATTTGTCCCCAGGACAGACGTCCTTGGGTCTTACCAGGAACCATGGCCTGCAGGACACTGCTGCGAGGAGGGCTTCCTGGAGCTTGGGGAAGCTTCAGTCCAGAGAAGACAGAGGACTTGACTGAGCTCATGGTCAGGGAGTGTCAGAACGAGGACCAGGACCCCAGGGCCGGCTCCTGGGCCGCCCCCTCACTCGGCGTCCAGTGCTCAGGCCTCTGGGCTCTCTCTGGCCCTTGCTTGGTTGAGCTCAGCTGTGCTCAGTGACTTTGGGCCACGGGCTGTGGCGTCACATCCTCCAGAGCCTTCTCTGGTCACTCCCAGGTCATGTCAGTCCTGAGGATGCCAGGAGACGCTTTCTGAACACAGTCTGCGTCCTTCCTTATTTTTTGTTATCTTGGCTGTTTGACAAATAGACTTTGGAGGTGGAAAGACCTGAGTTCAAATCTCGGACCCACTACTGACCAGCTGGGTGACGTTTCATTATCCATAACATAGAGAAGATACTGAGAGTCCATGAGACACCACACAGAAGGCTCATAGCATGGGGCCTGGCACCGAATAGGTGCTGTTTACGTGATAGCTTGTATGGTTGGCTCTCCACACCCACCCTCACTGCCACCCCCAGCCCCAGCCTTCCTTTGTGCCCGTTTCTGAGTAGTAAGATTTCTTACTAACAGTTTCTTGTACTCAGCTTCCCCATCACCTTCCTTCCATTTCAGCAGAACCCTCTGGAGTGGAGCAAGCGATGGGAAATGCTCTTATCAGGCACCTGGGACCTAAGCAGGTGCCCTAACCAGCAGCAGCTGAGCACTGAGCCCTGGGAACACCTGTGCCCAGGTGCAGGTGCTGGTGAGGGTGGCTGCCGCTGTCCAGCCCTGATCTCTGGGGCAAATGAATGTTCCAACCCCAAACATCCCCACAGCGGTCCCGACAGACGCCTACTGGTTTGGCAAGCACTGTCGTGCGTGGGAGCTCTGCTTACTGGCTTCTGTCTTGGCATGGTCTCTGCAGAAGGAAGCCACTGCAGACTTGGTGGCTGGTCTTCGCATTGGGTTGAAGGGTGATTCAGTGTTCCAGTTTGGATTGTAACTGCTTTATTTTTTAATTGTTTTTTTGAGACAGAGTCTCGCTCTTTTCGCCGAGACTGGAGGGCAATGCTGTGATCTCGGCTCACTGCAACCTCTGCCTCTTGGGTTCAAATGATGCTGGGATTACATGCATGAGCTACTGTGCCCTGCCTGGATTGTAACTACTTTAAAAAACCCTTCCAATGCTCCTCAGTGCCCCTAGAATAAGCTTCTAGACCCTCAGCCCTGCCGGCATGCCCATTCCCATCTTTCTAGCGCCCTCTGAGACCCTTCGCCCTCCTATCCACTCTGAAGATGCGGAGGACCTACCTTGACCTTCCCCCCATGCCATGAACATGGCGGGGGGGCCCTCTCCTCATTCCAGACCCAGCTCTGGCATCACTCTTCTAGAGGTGGTCCCAGAGCATCCGTGTCAAAAATCCCCGTCCCAGTTCCCAGCTTCATCCCTGTCTACTTCCTTCATGACGTTTATCACAGTTTCTAGCTATTTTATTATTTGTTCCTTTCCTTTTTGGTCCACGTCCCCCACTACAGTGTAACCTCTACAAGGCGAGAAACTCTGCCCACCTGTCACTGGTGTGTCCGCAGTGCCAGCTCAGAGGCTGGCAGGCAGAGCCGCTCATTAATATATGCTGGCTGTGACCTTGCCATTCCCAGTAGTTCCGATACCTCCAAATTCCGAGATTACAAACATCCCACTCTTCAAATACCACATCCAACATGTCTCTCCGCCCCACTCCTCCAATTTCCCCTGATGCCCCTGAGACTACAAGCCCCCAGTGCTCAGGGGGCCCCTTCCCAATCCTCAGACTTTCTGGCCCTGTCTCAGTTCATCATGCTCACTGGGGGAAACCACAATGCTGGGGAAACCCAGCCCTTGCCTTGCCCCTTGTCCATACCTGTGCAGCCGGAGAGACACCTGCGGGTGTGCTGATGTCACGGTTCAAGTTTTTAACCTCATGTGGGCCCATGATACTGCCCGGTCAGGTGCTGGTGGTCCCCGTCCACGCTTCCCATTCTCCAAGGTGACTCTTAAGTACCTTCACCCTCTCTCAAGCCCCCAACACTCCTCCCGCCCTCTCTCTTAGCTGTTGACCTTGCCAGGTAGAGATAATTGAAGGAGAACTTCCTCCAGCTCCTCCTGCCAGATCTGCCACTTTCTTTCTGGTCCCTGTGAGGCCCTGGCTCTGTCCACTGCTGCTCTTGGTCCTGCCTCCTGGGTTTCTGGCACCGGTCTTTCTCTCCTCCCTGGATCTTCCCGTCAGCATACAAACATGCCACGATTTCTCCCATCTTAAAGACCCTCTCTAGACCTCTCCCTCCTCCAAGCCAGGCCCCCTCCTCTCTTTCTCATTTGCAGGCAGACTCTTGGAGAGCCGTCCACAGGGCTGAGTGCTGTGGGCGCTTCTCAGTCCTCGCCCTTGCCTGTCGGCAGCCTGTGACGTGGCTGATTGCCCCTCTCTGTGACGCACTTCCTTCCCTTCGTGCCACCTCACACTGGCTTCCTTTCCTCTCACCACTGGGGCTGCCCTTTCTCTTCCTCAGTTTCCCCCCACTCTGAATTCTGTCTTGCTCCTGGGCTCTGTCCTTGGATTCCCTGTCTGCCACTTGTGTGCAGACTCACATCTCTAAATGTAGCTTCCCGCCATGTGCCTGCGGGCTGGACTTCCCGTCTGAGCTCCCAACTCACCGTCCAGCTGCTTCTCGGGAACCTCCACTTGTCTCGGGTATAGAACCTGAGTGTCTGTAATCTCTCCCCACATCTGATCTGGCTGCTGCTTCCCAGTAATGCCAACTTCATCCTGCTAGTGTCTTGGGCCAAAAGCCTTGGGATCATCCCTGAGTCCCCTCTCTCGTCTCCACACGTCCAGACCTTCAACAAACCCTGTGGCCGTGACTTCAAAACACACTCGTCCCTCATTGCCTTGTGCCGCACCTCCTCCGTGCCAGCACTTCTCGCTGGGGAAGTTGCAGACCCTTCTACCATTCTCCAGGCCCTGCCTTTGCCCTTCTTCTTTTTTTTTTTTTTTTTTTTTTTGAGATAGAGTCTCGCCAGCCTGTTGCTCAGGCTGGAGTGCAGTGGCACGGTGTTATCTCACTGCAACCTCTGCCTCCCAGGTTCGAGATTCTCATGCCTTAGCCTCCTGAGTAGGGATTACAGAAGTGTACCACCATGCCCGGCTAATTTTTGTATTTTTAGTACAGATGGGGTTTCGCCATGTTGACCAGGCTGGTCTTGAACTCCTGGTCTCAAGTGATCCACCCACTTCAGTCTCTCAAAGTGCTGGGATTACAGGCGTGAGCCACCACACCTGGCCCCTTTGTCCTTCTTGAGTCTTTTCTCAACCCGGAAGCCAGAGCCATTCTGCTAAGATCAGGCCTGGCCGTCCTCAGTGCTTAGGTAAGCAGAGTGTGGCTCAGCTGTGCACTGTTCCTGGCTGCAGGTGGCAGAGGTGGAGTCAGGGATGGAGCCAGGAGTTGAACTTTGGAGTGCTGGACTCACCGCCCCCCTGGTGTGGACAAGCCCCTCTGTGATCTGCTGGTTCTACATTGTGTTCTTGGTGAGGAGGGCAAGGATACTTTTGCAATTCTCAACTTCTGGGAGCTGGCGGAACTTCCCTTCCTGTCTTGCCTCCACTCCTCAAGGCCTCAAACTATCCCATAATGCTCGGCTTCCTTGTGACTCCTCTTCTTCAACCCCAACGACAAGCAGCCAGCTGAGAGCCTCCTCCAAAGTCAGAGACAAGGAGCTTGGCAGTGGACCTGCTGCCAGAGGCAAGGCCGTGATCTTGGAACATGGAAGCCCAGCACATTTGCTTGTCCTAAAAATACAGTTCTTAAAATAGACCAGTCCATGTGGGAGATAGGGAACCTGTCGAGTGCGGTTCTGAAGGGCTTGCTCTGCCAAGGGGACCGGCTGGCTGGGGCAGCGCCTGGGCAGGGCTGTGTGCCTCAGAGGGTGCCCTCAGCCGTGGCAGAAGCCACAGCCTGGGTTTGGGGTACCCTGTCTGGCTCTTGTTCTTCAAACCCCATCCAGAGGCAGGCCGGTCTCTTACCTGCTCGATGTCTGCACATAGGGAAACCTGAGTTGAAGCCGAGCCTTGGGTTAGGCCCTGCAAAAGCTGCAAACAACAGTTTGTGTTTGGGGTGTGAGGCTATAAACAGCCCAGGAGTCCTGAGGGGGTTGGAGAGTTGGTCAACCGTGAACAAGCTGGAGACTGGCTCCTTCTTCCTGGGGATCCCAGCGCCCACTACAAAGGTGAACTCCTTTTTGCTCCCTGCCCCAGCCTGCCCCATTAGACAGGGCATGGTGAGGCGAATGGCTGCAGGGACTGAGGCCTTTCTGTAACTAAAGCCCAGCCCAAGTATAGGGAGCAATGGCCGAGCTTCTGTTTTAAGGCAGCAAAACAGCGTGCGAGCTTGGTCCCTTAACACGGAGTCTGGAATTGTTTCTCATAACCCAACGCTTGGCTTGGTTTCAAAAAGGAAGCCTCTCCTCTCGGGTATCATGACCAGGCTCCTCGTAAGAGGTGGGACTCAGCCGAGGGGGCCAGTCTAGAGGTTACACATTCTGAGCTACCTTTCGGGGTCTGTGGACCCTCTCAGACCCTGCAGCATGTCGGGGGCCGGGTGGGGGAGCGGGTGGTGGCATCAGTGGGTTTCTGATGAATGCCTGGAGTTGTTTGTATAATTGGGGCTCTGTGTGTCTTTTTTTGGAGGAAGAGCTTCTTTCACATTCCCTGACTCAAAAACCACAAGCTAAATGATCTGTACATTGTCCTCCAACTCTGAGAGCCTCTGATCCTATTATTCCAAGTCAAGAAATTTTGAAAATTACAGGATAGAATTCTTTCTCAGAACAGATGCTAGGGATTTGTAAGTTTCCATTCCCTGTGCTGCCCTGGTTTGCTGGATGGACGGATGTCTTGGAATTTTCAAGACCTCCAGTCCTCAAAGAGGTTCTTCTCACCTGCTGTCCTGGTGAGCTGCATGGGCCTCCCTCCATGGTGACTGTGTTGTTGGACCGAGTGGGATCAGTTGAGTGGGAGGCGCTAATGACCGGATTTCCTACGTTGTCCCCTGCTCCCCTGACTCTATTCCTCACTGAGCCAGACAGACTCACCGCTTCCAGTGTCTGTGGCATGTTCCCACTGTCCACCCTCACGGTTCACATTTTCTGGAATGTTCTGCTCTTCCCCCTGTCCAGGTCCTGTGTGTCTTCAGGGTCTGGTCAGATGTCTTCCGGTGAGGCTGCAGCTAAACTTAGCCTGCCCAGCCTGCCTCTCCTCTGAATGCACATAGTGTTGACATTTTTTTCAGTTTAAAAAATTTTATTTTAAAAATGATCTTACAGTTAAATTGACGTTTTTGGGGCTGTGCCGTTCCATGACTTTTAACCCATGTTAGCACTGCCACAAGTAAGGGACAGGGCAGCTCCACCACATCCTGCAGTGTATTCGTCTGTTTTCGCATTGCTATAAAGAACTACCTGAGACTGGGCAATTTATATAGAAAAAAGGTTTAATTGGCTCACATTTCTGCAGGCTGTACAGGAAGCGTGGCTGGGGAGGCCTCAGGAAACTTAGGATCGTGGCGGAAGGCAAAGGGGAAGCAGGCATGTCCTGCATGGCTGAGGAGGCCTCAGGAAACTTACAATCATGGCAGAAGGCGAAGGGGAAGCAGGCATGTCCTGCATGGCTGGAGCAGGAGGAAGAGGGTGAAGGGACAGGTGCTGCACACCTTCAAACAGCCGGATCTCCTGAGAACTCACTATCATGAGAACAGCAAGAGGGAATCCTCCCCTATGATTCAGTCACCTCCCCCAGGCTCTTCCTCCAACATTGGGGATTACAGTTTGACATGAGATTTGGGTGGGACACAGAGCCAAACCATGTCATGCAGCCACACCCTGCCCCATCCTAACCCCCCGAAATCACTCATCTCTGCTCTGCCACCATGGGTTGGTCTTTTTGAGAATGTCAGATGCAGGCTGGCTTCTTTCCCTCAGCCTGACACCCGTGAGAGCCGTCTGAGTTGGTGTATGTGTCAACAGTTGGTTCCTTTCAGTGGCTGGGTACGCGTCCTGTCTTATCCACATGTTCTCTTGGTGAATTTTGCCTCATTGTGTGCATGTCCTATGTCACTAGATGCAGGGAGGCAAGGGCAGCATGTGGTTCATTTTTATAACCTTTCAAATGCTCTGCAAACAGTAGGTGCTCAGCTGTCGAATGGGTGAATGAATGGACCACAATGGGTAACAGGAAGGGGAAATTAATTTTACAGAATTTTGTATTTCCTATATCCTAAAAAATCTCCAGTAAACATAACCCTTAATTTCCTGAATTAAAAATGATTCATGCTGGGCGTGGTGGCTCATGCCTGTAATCCCAGCACTTGGGGAAGCCAAGGCAGGTAGATCACTTGAGGTCAGGGATTCAAGACCAGCCTGGCTAACATGGGGAAACCCCATCTCTACCAACAATACAAAAAATTAGCCTTGCGTGGTGGCAGACACCTGTAATCCCAGCTACATGGGAGGCTGAGACAGGAGAATCACTTGAACCCAGGAGGTTGGAGGTTGCAGTGAGCTGAGATTGCACCACTGCACTCCAGCCTGAGTGACAGAGCGAGCCTGTCTCAAAAGAAGAAAAAAAAAAGGAAAAGAAAAAAAAGATTCATTGCCTCTCTGTATTCTGTTAGTAGCCGAGACAGGAGAAAAAGCAATCAAGGTAACCTAATAACAGGGATTTCCTTCTCCAGACTCCCTCCCTGCCTACTCACCTTTCTGTCTCTTTTTCTGGTAAGTATTTCCCTGGCCATGTCCTGGGACCTGTACACAGGTGCCCACTTCTTACACCCCACCACTGGGAGTCTTCGACAGCTCTCACACAGAAGAGGAATACTGTGGTCCTGGAAGTTGCTAGGTAGGCCCCGAGTCCCAGTTGTTTCATTTCTCAGGACCTCCTGGTGCTACAGAAGAATGAAACAGGCCCCAGACTGGAAGTTGCCACACATGCCTTGTGATGCTGGCTCTGATGGGCCTTGCTGTGTGATCTTGCTTAAGTTGCTTCCCCTTTCTGGTCTTTATTTTCATTACCTTATTTTGTACCCATTGATTAAAAGATGAATCTGAAAGAGATGGTTTCTGTAGTCTCTTCAAGCTCTGAAACAATATGATTTTGTGAACTCACATACTCATACAGACATAAACACAAGGAGGATTTGCTAATGAACTTCTTCGTTCTTTGCTAAATATAAATGCCTTGCTTGTGACCACAGAGGTTCAGGTGCTCCGTCAGCGAGTATTTAAGTACCTACTATGTGTAGGTTTCAAACTTGAGGCTTTAAGTGTTTGTAGGAAATGGAAACACTGTCTGATGTCTTTCTAGTCTTTAAATGAGGAGTGGAGAGGTAAGGAAGAGGTGCGTGTTATCATGGCCCTGTCTCATTTGTATGCATCAGTCCTCTTTTTCTTCTGCTTCCTTTCCTGGGATCGCCACATTCTTGTTGGTGTCTTACAGACAAACCTGTTCAGGACTGAATGACCAAGTGCCCCAGAAACATGGGTTGGTGTGGGTGGTGCCCAAGCCTGACCCCTGCCTGTTTTCTCATACACGGTTCACGTTGCCCCCAGCAGAAGTGGAGAGTAAGGGGCTCACTGGCTATTTCTCCAAAATGCGTTGGTTGGTGTGGAATTGGGTACAACCTGGTACTTTCTGTGAGTGTTGAGGGCCTGCTCCTCCAGGCCATGGGCCATGCCTTCCAAGGTTTTTTGTTTTTTTTTTTCTGAGACATGGTTTCACTGTCACCCAGGCTGTAGCACAGTGGTGCGATCTTGGCTCGCTGCAGCCTTGACCTCCAAGGGCTCAAGCCATCCTCCCGCCTCAGCCTCCTGGGTACCTGGGACCACAGGTGTGCGGCACCACGCCTGGCTAATGCCAGGGCTTTTTAACAGATGGTCTCAGGAGTCTCCTTTGTGGAGGTTCAGGTCACTCTGGGGATGGATGGAGCGGGGGCTTAGGACTCCTCTCTCGACTCCTGGGTCAGAAAGTGACTCCATCAAACAGGCATTTTTATGGTCTCAAATGGGTTTAACAAGAAAGAAGTCATGGAGGCAGTGAATGAAGACACAGATAGTGAGGGACACGGACCTACTGGTGGCTCGCAGTGCTTATGATGTAGGGGTTGAATGTCTTTTGTCTCCAGCAGGCTTGCCTTGAGGAGAGACACCATTTTGCCATCATCTTTACCCCCAGAAAGAACAGGTGGGGAGATTTGTGTAGGACTCTTTTTCCCCATATGGAGAACTCTATGGCCATTTTACAAACATTCCCCATCCTTCCAAATCCTCTCTCCCGCTTCTCCTTGCCAAGTTTACACTGCCAATTATACTAGACTAGCAACAAGGAGCTTGGAGAGAAGGGCTGCTTTTAGAGATGCCATTCCAAGTGCCAACAAGGTGTTCTCGATAACCGGAATCAGCACCGCTCTCCTTCCTGTCATGTAGCCCTGGTAACCACAGAGCATGTTTATGCTCGGGGAGTCTATTTCCCGTTGTTGGGGTCGGAACCATTCCTGGAGTCATTTCTTGGTTTTAATGCTCATCCTTTCCCTTTCCAGCCATTAAAGCTTCTGGCCTAGAAAAGCCTGTCTGGCTAGCCTGACCTGGTGCTCCGTTTCTGTTATCTCTGATCAGCAGCGGGGAGGGCACTGTGGACAGAAACATGTTAGAGAAGGCCCGTCTGCAGAGGGGCCCGAAGAGACCCGAGGACACCCTCCTGGCTGCAGGGTGCCTGTTCCTTCCCTGGTTCTGTGCACCTCCATCCTGGCAAGAGGGCCTTGGTGGGCGGGGTGGATGCCCGCATGCCTTTGGTGCTACCATGACAAGGTGGCCCTGGCCCGGGAGTGGAGCGGTGCCTGGGTTCCGCGAAATGCCTCAGAGCCATGACTTTCTGCTTCTCACAGCTTCTTTAACTCAGTCTCTTAGTCTTCCCCTGAACTCGCGGACACTCGGGTTCTCTGACCAGCATGTTAAGGGTTGGGCTGGGCAGCCTCTGCAAAGGTCTTCTTTACTGTCAACTTGAACAGTTTCCATAAGGTTGTGTCGGGGACACCTAGAAATAGGTTCCTTTGAACAACAGTATGCTCGTTGACTACCAAGACCTTCCAAAAGAGTGAGAGATTGGGTTGGGGATGGGATTTCAGGCTGTGTGTGTAAATTCAGCATGATCCTCCATGTGGAGAGGAGACACACTGGTGAGGGCAGCTCCTGGTGGTGGGGCAGGGGTCACAAAGCTCTGAAATGAACAGTGAAGTCGTGGAGGGGCCCTTTAGCAGAACCCAGGATTGGGGCACCAGCGACCCTTTCCTTCCCAGGGGGAAAGTGGTTCACTGCCAGAAATGCTTTAGAATCGTTAGAGGACAGGAGATCAGCTACACAGATGATGAAACTGAAAGCCAGGGTCTGTTTGTTCTGCTGCTGAGCAAACTTGGTAAAAATGTTCATCGAGATGGAAAACAAGAACACAGACACACTGTGAGCCTTTTGACCTTTGCCTTTGACCCGGAAATGTGACTGTTTCCTGGAGAAAGTGAGTTCACCTGTGTCCCTGTGCCTGTGCCTGCCACAGCCCCGCCCAGCTCCCCGGCACCTGCTCCGACTCCAGCTCTCATGGAAGCAGTGTTTTGCGATGAAGTCTTGGAAGCCAACAGCTCTCCTTTCTCCTCTTTCCCATGTGTGGTGTTTGTGATTCCAGAAATAAGTTGGGCTCCACCCTCAGAGTGGCAAGCATTGATGGTTTCTCATTCAGGGGCTCACTGGGGATTGCCTGAAGCCAATGCTGGCATGGCTGGGCTGCCTGTTTCTCCAGGAGGGCCGTGATGGCACATTTGTGTCAATATTACCTGCAGAAGAACTTTCCATCTTTTATAACAGGCAATTCTGTTCAGGAGTATGAATTGGAGCCAATTAGGGCTAAAAGTAGATTCCAAAATATATACAGTTATATGGCATATTACGATGTTTTGGTCAACAACTGATTGCATATACCACAGTGGTCCCATAAGATGCTAACGCTATATTTTTACTATATCTTTTCTATGTTTAGATATGTTTAGATACACACATACTTACCATGTGTAACAGTTGCCTACAGTATTCAGTATAGCAACATGCTGCACAGGTTTGTAGCCCAGGAGCCATAGGCTGGATGAGTCTAGCCTGGGAGGGTAGGAGGCTATCCCCTCTAGGTTTGTGTAAGTATGCACTTTGTGTAAGTACACTATGATGTTCACACAATGACAAGATCGCCTAATGACACATTTCTCAGAATGTGTCCTTGTCATTATGGGACGCAGGACTGTATAGGCAACAAACAGATAAATTGACAAATGATTTCTGACCACCCCCTACTGTAGGCTGAGGGCTCATGCCCCTCTGAGGGCTCCTGTAGGAGGCTCTCCTGCCTCTGATTCAGTGCTGGGGGCAGAGGGGGCTGCAAATTGTGGGCTTAGCCTTGAGCTGCGATATGGGGCAAGATGATGACATGGGGAAGGACCATGATCAGAGACAGAGCTGGAGAGGGACCAGGGCTGACCCCAATGCCACAGGAAGTGGCTGGAGTTGTTCTACCCTGGAGGGACCGGAGCTGGGGCTTACTCTCACCAGGGTGTTGTACAGAGGCAGGTGATCCCCTGATTGTCCCCACTGGGCCACCAGGCAGCCCTCACCTGTCCTTGGGCTAGAAGAGCACTTCTTCTCCATCCCAGGCTTAGGCAGTGCTTGTGCATCCTGCAGGGGTGTGGGCCACCCCGGCCTCGGTGCACCCTGCTTTTGACCATTCTTCGTGCTGGAGGCGAGGAGTGAGTCTGGGGACCTGCCCGGGGGCTCCATGGCTGACACAGCTGGCCATACAACTGCAGGTGTCAGAGATGTTTTGAGAAACTCCCTTCAGGGCAATCAAGCCCTTGCCAAGTGGAATCACTCTGCATTTACATGGGTGGCTTCTGAACGTGGCCGTGATGAATTGTGCTCCGGCAGGGCCTCGGCAGTGAAAAATGGGGCGGTGCGATGGAGTAGGAAGGTGCGGGGTCTCTGCTGGGCTGGAGCCTGCACCTGAACCGGGAGTCTGGAGCCACTGGAAACAGTGGGTGCCTCCACCAGCCCCGGGGGAATGCACAGATGTGCCCTCATCGCTCAGCTTCTCTCTTTGTCTGTCTGCTCCCTTCATGTGCATCGTCTTTTTCTGATTTTCCCTCTGTCTCTCCAGGCTGAAATGCAGCATCAAACACACGCTCTCCTGCTTTCTTGCTTTGTCTCTCTTACACTTCTCTTCCCTTCTTTCTTATTCGATTTTTAAATTATAATCAAAACCACTGGACAGTGAGCACGGGCAGGAGGGACATTGGATGAGGGTGGATGTGTCACTGTCTTGATTGCGGTGACAGTTTCCCAGGCATGCGCATGTGTCAAAACTTAGTGTTGCACACCTCAAATATGTGCAGTTCCTTGTGTGTCAGCTGTACCTTAATAAAGCTATATTTAAAATCCCCCACTCATTTTGAGTAGGAAAGCAATGAGAAGATGTTTTTGAATATTTAACTTTTAGAAAAGCCTGTATTCTGCTTCCCTGTAAAGTAGAGGGAGACAGAGACCCAGCAGGGGGCATTTCTTTCTGGGGTTTGAGCACTGGAAGATCATTATTAACAGTGCAACAGCCACCGCCGTTCAGTGAGTGGTTTATTCGGTAGGACAAGCCTATGCAACAGCCCTTGCATTTGTCCCAGAGACTCAGGGAGGGTAAGCAAAGTGACCTGCCCAAGGCCACGCAGCTGGTCAGGGGCAAAGCTCTGCTTCCCAGCAGGTCTCCCGAGCGTGACTCCCCTCCAGTACTAGTTGTGGGATGGGACAGATGCACCTGGGAGTGGCTGGCAGAGAGTGTGTTGGCAATTGTTTAGCACTTACCCTTGAGATTTAGTTTGAGATTGAAGAAAAGATGGTCTCTGCTTCTCTGGCTCACAGGCAGTCACCCCCTTCCTTTCCTCCCTCAGCCACTTATGCATTCCCAGCAGGGTACCTTTGATGCTGGGGGAAGGACTCTTTATGATCCCTTCCCTCCAGACTTTGGCTGGCTGGCTGTTGAGGTGAGTGGAAAGGCCACAGGATGACTCTGCCGTGGGTATTGGGTGGGCCAGTGGTAGGGGCTAGCTGTGCAATCAAGAGGCTATGAGGAGTGAGGTTTCCTCTTGGATTGGCCTTCTAATTAGTCTAGGATGACATAAAGAAGCCTCTCTTTTAAAAAAAGGCAAATTTGGTCAGTTCTTGGTTTCCAGGGTTTTGGAATGTCCAGGCAAAATTGCCTTGGCACCTTCTGAAATCCTAGAGAGGTAGTGTAGCCCACTTGCTGGGGCTGACTTCTGTTGCCAGCGCCTCACCTCCATCTGATTGCAGGGTATTGGTTGGCCATATGCTTCAGGGATTTGAAGGAGGGTTACCTATGTCTAGGGCTTAACGTGTTCTTGGAGAATATTGGGCAAGAGTATGATTCCCTGAGTCTGGGGGAAGGAGGAGCTCCAGTGGAACTTCCAGTCAAGATGCCAACTATGCATATGTGGGAATCTCTGTTCTCTCACTCTAAACCCATAGAAATGTTGGATTAGTTATAATAGCAACAAAAACATAGCTGAATTCAAAGGTGAGGTTGGGAGATTTCCAGGTGCCGGAAGCCAGGATGAAATTTAGAGTGCAAGTCGAGTGGCCTTACTGGAGTTTCCACAGTAAACCCCTTAAGGGCTGAGGTTTCACAGGCCCCAGGGAGCTGGAACCAAGTTTCTTGTACAAAACTGGGAACAAGAAGGGACTGTCTTTTCTGTCATCAAAAAATAGAAAAATTCTTCCCATTGGCTCAGGAACACGGTATACCCCAGTCCCCCAAGCCGTAGCTTCTAAGAGTTTCCTTCAAGAACGAGGGATACCAAGCCTAAGCTGTATATAGATATGAGACCAAATCCTGCACTATCAATGTGGGCAGAAACTCCGAGCTGAGAACCTAACATAAAATTTGGTCCCGAATTAGTGGTACCCTTAAAGCTGTGTCAGATGTAAGCGTAAAACTTGTTATGGGGGATGATTCCTCAACACAAGGCACACATGAGATTCCCAGGGGAAAAACTGGGGGACTCCCAATGTAGATAAGCCCTTAGGCAAAAATTACAAAGCAGACTAGCAAATTGACCACCACGGGAGATAATCCACAAATGCTGTGAAAGGAGAATTTATGTTTCAGAAACTATAGACAACAGAGCAATCTGAGAAGGCTGTTAGATAGATCAGATATGTGTAAAATGTTTGAAGAGACAAGAAATAAAATCCATAAGACTTGAATAGGAGATAATGGGATGAAACAAGTGGTTTTTTTTAAAAAAAGAATCAGTTATTCTAGAAATAAAACATGTAATAATTGCAATGAAAACAAAACAAGATGCCAAAACCCTTCTAATAGATGGGGATAAACAAAAGAATAGACATATTTGCTAAAGAATGAGTTAGTTAAGGCCAGGTGTGGTGGCTCACGCCTGTAATCCTAGCACTTTGGGAGGCTGAGGTGGGCAGATCACTTGAGGTCAGGAGTTTGAGACCAGCCTGACCAACATGGTGAAACCCTGTCTCTACTAAAAATTCAAAAATTAGCCGGGCATGGTGGCAGGCGCCTGTAATCCCAGCTACTCAGGAGGCTGAGGCAGGAGAATTGCTTGAATCTGGCGGGGTGGAGCTTGCAGTGAGCCAAGATTGCGCCACGGCACTGCAGCCTGGGGGACAGAGCGAGACTCTGTCTCAAAAAAAAAAAAAAAAAGAAAGAAAGAAAGAAAGAAACAAATAGTTAAGCATAAGATGGTCCTGATGAGATCCACCGAACTGTGGTTTAGGGAAGTAAAGGCGGAAAATGTGCACATGAAGGTCCAGCACATATCTAATGGGCATCTCAGAGGAGAAGACAGAGACAACAGGAGGGAGGCATGCTTGAAAGCAATACGGCTGGAGGAATAAAGACAGACGTAAGCCTTCCTACTGAAAATGAACATGGAATTGCAGGTGGAATAAATAAAAGCAAAAATCCATGTGTGGGCACATCAGGGTGAAACTACTGAACACCAGAGATAAAGAGATACCTTAAAAAAACCACCAGGAAAACAGCGACAGTGAGACCTCATTAGTTTGGGTAAATATAAAATGGGGAAAATGCAAGATAGGGGCTGGCCTGCTGTCTGTATTTTAGTATGTCTTCCTAAAGGAATAAATAGGGTAAATAGGATACTTTTGGTTCTTCAGTCTGCAATCAGTCTGCACTAGCAGTGTGATGCTGGCCTTTAAGAACAAAAGCATCTGTGTGTATCTGTTCCAGTGTTTTTGAAGTTATTGTTCACCCGATGTGTTTCTAGGGCCGTGTCTGCTCCATCGACACCTTTCTGGGATGAACCTTCAAACATGGGCTGTGGGCCTGGGATCCCCTCGACAGGTGCTGCCAAGAATGAAAATGTGATCTTTGCAGGGTGCTTACCTCCTATTAATAAGGAAAAAAGCAAACTAAATTAGTCTTGGGAAGTAAAGTGCCATATGAATCAGCTTTCCTCACTCCGAAAATAACTTGCTAAGAATTTATGATCCCCTAAGTTCTGCTGATTTTTTATATTGTTTACTTTCCTCTCCAAAATATCAAATAATTCACAGGTGGTATGTATGGTGGCTGTATGGATAATTTGAAATGAGAAATGGACAGCAAGAGAAATTTCCTTCTAGGGGGTCAGTGCTGGGGTGACTCCCTAAGACTAATGGTGCTGGATTAATAACCTGGGGCTGCTTCAGTATTCATGGCTTGTTCCCTCTGAAGGCTGGGATATTTCCCACTTTTATGTCCTGCACAAAACTGTAAAGCAAAGATGGTTTCATTGCAGCTATGTGCGTAATGAGATGCGCAAGAGCTGCTCTTGCCCATTAATCAGCGTTTGGGGGAGGCTTCTGGAAGCCTGACCTATTGCCGCGGTAGCTGATCTGAATGCAATGATTTTTCCCCTGTGGGAGCCGAGGCTGCAGGACCTGAGAGCTGGCTCTGGCAGCCTGGGGGCCCTGGCCATGAAGTTGTACTGCAGAGAGGAAGGGTGGTCCCATCATCAGGGCGCACAGGCAAATGGCTGGGGTTTCTCAGATGAAAAGGCTGCAGGGCCTTGGAAGGAACCATAGGATATATGGTTTGCAAGAGACCACCTATTTCTGGGGTCCATCTCGCCAGCCCCTCTGGCCTTACTGGGGTGGGGGAGGTAGAGGAGGGTGGATGTAGCTACATTCAACAGGGATTTGAGTGCAACTCTGTGCCAGGCACTGGGCCAGATGCCGGGGAGAGAAAGCTGAATAATTCAGACATTCCCTCTCCCATTAAGGTGCTCTCAAGGGTGTGGGGGGAGGCAAACTGCTGATTTCAATGAACTAGACTGGCGAGGTGGGAGAGATGTGAGCAGCACACAGGTGACTACTACTTACCAGCTTTGGGGATGGAGTGGGGGAAGAGGGGCATTGTGGTTTGAGAAGGCTTCCGGGAGAAGTAATGTCTGAGCTAAATCTAAGGAGTAATTAATATTTGGCCAAGAGTCTGGGTAAAATTGCTCATGCCTGTAATCTCAACACTTCGGGAGGCTGAGGTGAGCAGATTGCTTGAGCCTAGGAGTTAGAGACCAGCCTGGGCAACAACATGGCAAGACCCTGTCTCTACAGAAAATACAAAAGTTAGCTGAGTGTGATGGCGGATGCCTGTGGTCCCAGGTACTTGGGAGGCTGAGGCAGGAGGATTGCTTGAGCCCGGAAGATGGAGGCTGCAGTGAGTTGTGATTGTACCACTGCACTCAAACCTGGGCAACAGAGCGAGACCCTGCCTTAAAAAAAAAAAAAAGAAACAAAAAGATTTGGCCAAGAGCAGGAGAGCAGGCCCATGAAGGTGGAAGTGAGATGTTTATCCCAGCAAGGGACCTGCAAGGGATGAAGCTGGTGGCAGCACAAAGAGCGAGGCGTGAGGCAGGCAGCAGTGAGGCCTGCGGAGCCTGGGTAGTGGATTGCTGCTCAGGCCCTGTGAGAATTCTGACTTCATCATGATATTCCTATATGTCCAGGGGGGGAGTCATCCGTGGCACGGCCTCATGTGTGATTCAGAATGTATTGTGGGAGTGGCAGCCCCGGTGGGAGAAGGGAAATGACTCAGGAGAGCAGGTCTGGATTTCCTGCTACCTGTGGCTCCCCTTGCCAGAATTCTGATATAAACTAAGACTATAAGATTAGTTTCAAAAGGTTTTAGAGACCTTCATGGGGGCTTTCCAATAACAGGAAGATAAGGACCGTGAGGAACATTTCTCTAACTTTAGACCCAGAAACTAAGGGCTGGGAGGATGGGTGGCTGCTTTTTTTTTTTTTTTTTTTTGAGACGGAATCTTTCACCAGGCTGGAGTGCAGTGGCGCGATCTCAGCTCACTGCAACCGCCGCCTCCCAGGTTCAAGCGATTCTTGTGCCTCAGCCTCCCAAGTAGCTGGGACTACAAGCACGTGCCACCACATCCAGCTAATTTTTCTATTTTTAGTAGAGACGGGATTTCATATGTTGGCCAGGATGGTCTCGATCCCCTGACCTCATGATCCACCCACCTCGGCCTCCCAAAGTGGTGGGATTACAGACATGAGCCACTGTGTCCGGCCAGTAGCTGTTTTTACCTTTTCCGGCATGACCTTTTTCTGGCTACTTTAATGTTCCTTCCCAAAAATGTCTTATCTTTATGGTGGTGGCTTTTCTTGAGACGTGGCAGAGTCAGGCCTGGGCTGGACTCCTTCCCTGGGATTCATGTGAACCATGGTTGAAGTCTGTGCTTCAGGGCTCCTCCATCCTTCTTAGATGGCTTGAGAAGAGGGTGGGAAAACAGTTGAAGAAGGGTCAGTGATACAACGTTATCTTTCTCGCCTCTGGAGATAAAGTAGAAAAAAAAGAAATGTCTTCGGTTTGTATTTGGATACACACATCACTCACTAGCTGCTGAGATCCATGATAGCATCATGAATATCAGCATTAAAAGGCTGCTTTGAGGATCAATAGCAATGCTTGCACTGCATTTAAATATCTGCAATTAAGGTCGAAGCCTGAAAACACGACTCCTGGGAGGCCCACGAGACCTGGGGGAAGGGACAAGTTGAACCTTAGTTATATATTTCAATGACCTAGAGATCAATATATGCCAGATCACATTTTCTTTCTTATCTGTTCTTTAAATCTCAATCTTCACTTGGGTCCACATTTTCAGGGTACTCCATCAGCTTGGTGTTTTTGGTGGCAGATGCGGTGACGCCCTGGCTGGTAGTGTTTGAACCTGGCCTAAAGGACATCTGAGTGAGAGTTCAAAAGACGGAAGCATGGCGGGGATATCTGTGCTGATACACAGAGGGGGAAAATTGGCACGACCCCTCATGCAAAGCTGAAAAATGTGGGATAGATTTAGTCTGACAGTGGGCGTGGAGGGAGATTCTAGCAAGTCTTTAATGTGGGATGCAGCCATCTGTCTTCCAGAGTTATGAAGGTTGGGCATGGATACAAAGACCCTTAGACTTTTTATTTGTTCCCTTCAGTAGTAATGCTTAGATGTTCTTTTACTGCCAACCAGAGATATTATTTCTTTTTCTTTTTCTTTTCTTTTTTTTTTTTTGAGACGGAGCTTCACTCTGTTGCCCAGGCTGGAGTGCAATGGTGCAATCTTGGCTCACTGCAACCTCTGCCTCCCAGGTTCAAGCAATTCTGCTGCCTCAGCCTCCCGAGTAGCTGGGACTACAGGCATGTGCCACCATGCCTAGCTAACTTTTGTATTTTTAGTAGAGACGGGGTTTCACCATGTTGGTCAGGCTGGTCTCGAACTCCTGAATTCAGGGGATCCACCCACCTCAGCCTCCCAAAGTGCTGGGATTACAGGCGTGTGCCACTGCCTGAAATATTCTTTAGTATATTTCTCCCTGACACTTTTCTGGGCCCAAGTTTATGGCAGAAACTAAGCCAAGGAGAAAAAGAAAGAGCTGTCAGGCATTTCATTGTCTTAATTGCGGAGCACAGATATTAGTGTCAGTGAGTCTCTGCGTGGTAGAGCTGGTGGTCAGAGTGGACCTAAAGCCAGAAATCACAGCATGAGCCAATGAAACTGCTGAATATACTCAGCCTCTTGGTTTCTCCAACTTCTGAGGCTGTCTCTAGCACAGGTGTCTTCATGAGGTCCCTGGTTGCCCTCTGAAACTATGATTTGATTTCCTGCATGTTCTCCTTCTTGCTGCCGTCCATGAATCCGAGACCTGCTTTCATGGTTATCCTTTCTCCTGATGTTTCTCTGATCATCATAACTCTTGGCTGCCATGCCCCACTCTGGCCTCCCTGGAGCACTGTCCATTCACATGCCCAACCTGTTGAACAGAGGATCCTTGGTATTATTGTGAGTCATTTTCTGACCCCACAGCCCTGCTTTAGAGTATTTCTTTTTGCCTGTCCTTTGCACGTGCTCAGTAAGTGTTTGGACTGTCAGAGGTAGGTGGATAGGCAAAAATCTCTGCACTCATGGTGTTTATATTCTAATGGAGCAGAGAGACAATACGCAAATTGTATATTGTACAAAAATGCGACATGTTGTCAGATAAGTACTAAGAAGGAAAATATAGCAGAGTAAAAAGACAGAGAGTGATATGGCACAATTTCAGAGACATTTGAAAGTGGAAAGTGTTATTGATTTGGAATGAGGTCTAGATTCAAATCCTGATTCCCTTACCCTCTAGGACAACTAACTTAACCCCTATGAGCCTCAGTTTCCTTATCCGTAATATGTAAATCATGTTTATTCTTTAGGGTTGTTAGAGGGTAACAAGGATTATAGTTTGAGTATGGTGCCTGAATATGGGCGTAATGCATGTGAGCCTTCATTGCTCTTATGAGCACCATTATTTTTGTCACTATAAAATCAAGGGCTCGGCTGGGCACGCTGGCTCACGCCTGTAATCCCAGCACTTTGGGAGGCTGAGGCGGGTGGATCACAAGGTCAGGAGATCGAGACCATCCTGGTTAACACAGTGAAACCCCGTCTCTACTAAATATACAAAAAAATTAGCTGGGCGTGGTGGCGGGTGCCTGTAGTCCCAGCTACTTGGGAGGCTGAGGCAGGAGAATGGTGCGAACCCAGGAGGCAGAGCTTGCAGTGAGCTGAGATCAGTGCCTGGGTGACAGAGTGAGACTCTGTCTCAAAAAAAAAAAAAAAAAAAAAAAAAATCAAGGGCTCTACTGGTCAGCTGCATTGAACAGGCTATTCTTTAGCTTGGAATCTTCCAGTGAGTTTGCAAATATCAAGAAATCTCTCTCTCTCTCTCTCTTTTTTGCATAGACTATGAGCAACTCAACTTCTCTAGAACAATGTTTCTTGAACTTTTTGGTCTCAGGACCTCTCTTACACTCCTAAAAGTTATTGAGGAACCCAAAGAGCTTCTGCTCATGAATTACAGCTATACTATTTACTGCATTAGAAATTAAAACTGAGAAATTATTAAAATATGCAAACTTATTAAAATTACAGTAATAAACTCATTTTATGTTAACATAAATAACATATTGTTTAATGAAAAATAACTATACTTTCCAAAAACAAAACAAAATTTAGTGAGAAGGGTAATGTTTAACATTTTTGCAAATTTCTTTAATGTTTGGCTTAATGAAAGACAATTGGATTCTCATATCTGCTTCTGCCTTCAGTCTGTTTTGGTATGTTGAAACAAATGAAGAAATTTAGCTTTACACAGATGCATAATTAGAAAAGGAAGTAGTATTTTAATAGCCATTTCAGAGAATTGTGAATATTTCTCTTTGTTACTATATCAAAACCCTACAAGCGGTACTTTCTTAGATGTTAGTTGCAGCGCAGAATCTGATATATGCTGTCCGCAGAAGCCCACCTTAAATAAAAAGACAAAAATAGTATATTTTTTTGTATACAGTTACATTAAAATCCATTGGCCTATCCTTTTTTCAAGGGGATATATTTTAATGTGGATCTTGGAAAGATCTTTTATCCTGGCATTTTGTCACAGCAGTTGTTTTGAAAATATTGGTTCCCTGAGTTATGCAGATCTTCCACATGTTGACACGTTTTATTATACAATAACCCCCACCCCAAAATGGCTTTGTTATTATCAGTACCAAAGTCCTCAGAAAAGTCTTTACATTTTGCAAGTTGTCAAGTTCACAATGGTGAGCACAAGTTTTTCCCAATTCTAATTCTTACTTAAAAACTCACATTTTATCATTGGCAACAAATATGGTCAGTTGAAGTGATAGTCTGCCCAATACCTGTCTGTTATTATTAATAATTTCTAATTTAATTCCATTGTAGTCAGAGAATATACTGATAAATGAATTCCTTTTTTTGTGAATTCATTTAATTCTTTTAAATTTATTGAGACATATTATGGCTCAGAATATATGTTGGTAAACATTCTGTGTGCATGTGAAAAGAATGTGTATATTGCTGTTAGAATGTTCTACAAATGTCAACTAGGTCAAGTTGGTTGATGGTGTTGTTCAAGTCTTCTACATCCTTAATGTTTTTTTTTTTTTGAGATGGATCCTTGCTCTGTTGCCCAGGCTGGAGTGCAGTGGTGCAATCTCGGCACACTGCAAGCTCCGCCTCCCGGGTTCACGCCATTCTCCTGCCTCAGCCTCCCGAGTAGCTGGGACTACAGGCGCTCGCCACCATGCCCAGCTAATTTTTTTTTTTTTTTTTTTTTTTTTTAGTAGAGACAGGGTTTCACCGTTGTTAGCCAGGATGGTCTTGATCTCCTGACCTCGTGATCCACCTGCCTTGGCCTCCCAAAGTGCTGGGATTCCTTAATGTTTTATGTTTACTTGTTTTATTGATTATTAAGGGAGGGATACGGAAATCTCTAATTACAGTTGTAGATTTGTCTATTTCTTCTTGTATTTCTATCAGTTTTTGCTTCATATATGTTGAAGCTCTGTTGTTTCATAAACATTTGTGACTGTTATGTCCTCATGACTAATTAACTTCTCTATAATTAACTTCTCTATTATGAAATGACTCTTTTTATCTGTAGTAGTATTTTTTGTTCTGAAATCTGCTTTTTGTGATATTAACATAGCCATTGCAAATTTCTTTTTATTAGTGTTGCAATGGTATATCTTCTTCCATTCTTTTAGTTTTAACTTATTTTTGTCTTTTCATTTAAAGTGGGCTTCTGTAGATAACATATAGTTTGGTCTTGCTGTTTAATGCAGTCTTGCAGTCTCTGTCTTTTTTTTCTTGAGACAGACTCTCACTCTGTCACCCAGGCTGGAGTGCAGTGGTGCAATCTTGGTTCACTGCAACCTCCGCCTCCCGGGTTCAAGTGATTCCCCTGCCTGAGCCTCCAGAGTAGCTGGGACTACAGGCGCGTGCCACCATGCCCAGCTAATTTTTTTGTATTTTTTAGTAGAGACGGGGTTTCACTGTGTTAGCCAGGATGGTGTTGATCTCCTGACCTTGTGATCTGCCCACCTTGGCCTCCTGAAGTGCTGGGATTATAGGCATGAGTCACCACGCCCAGCCAATCTCTGTCTTTTATTTGAAGTAGTTAGACCACTTATATTTAATGCAATTATCAATATGGTTAAGTTTCTATTTGTTTTCTGTTTCCCCATCTGTTGTTTGTCCCCCTTTTCTCTTATTTATTTATTTATTTATTTATTTTTGAGATGGAGTCCTGCTCTGTTGCCTGGGCTGAAGTGCAGTGGCATGATCTTGGCTCACTGCAACCTGTATCTCCTGGGTTCAAGAAATTTTCCTCCCTCAGCCTCCTGAGTAGCTGGTATTACAGGCACCCACCACCATGTCTAGCTAATTTTTGCATTTTTAGTAGAGACAGGGTTTCACCATTTGACCAGGCTGGCCTTGAACTCCTGATCTCAAGAAATCCACCTGCCTCGGCCTCCCAGAGTGCTGGGATTATAGGCGTGAGCCACTGCACCCGGCCCCTTTTCTCTTTTTCTGCCTTCTTTTGGATTAACTGAACATTTTTTTATCATTCCATTTTATCTCTTTTGTTGGCTGGCTTATCTATAAATCTTTGTTATTTTACTGCTTGTTTTAGAGTTTTTAGCGTCCATCTTTGACTTATCATAGTCCACTTTCAGGTGATGTTATACCACTTCATGTATAGTATAAGAACCTTATTATAGTATAATTTCATTTCTTCCTCCCCATCTTTTTTTAAATTCTTCTCATACCTTTTACTTATAGATTTGTTATAAACCCTGTGATTTATTATTTTGCTTTAAGTAGTTGTTTATCTTTTTAATAGATTTAAGGAATAAAAAGTCTTTATATATACCCACATCTCTACCATTTCCAGTGCTCTTCATTTCTTTGTGTAGATCCAGATTTCCATCTGCTATTTTTTTCCCTTCTGCCTGAATGAGTTGCTTTAATATTTCTTGTAGTGCATGTCTGCTGGTCATGAATTCTTTCAGTTTTTGTATCTATAAAAAAGTATTTCACTTTTGTTTTTGAAAGATATTTTCAATGGATAAAGAATTCTAGGTTGATAGTTTTTGTTTTTTCTCTTAGCACTTTAAAGAAGTTTCTCTATGTCTTCTGGCTTGCTAGCATAATTTCTGATGAGAAGTCTGCAGTTATTCATATCTTTGTTTTTCTCTGTACAATGCATCCATTTCCTGTGGCTGCTTTTAGGATTTTTTCTTTATCACTGGAGTTAATCAAGATGATTATGATGTGCCGTGGTGTAGTTTTCTTATGTTTCTGGTGCTTGGGGCTCGTTGAGCTACTTGGATATGTGGATTTATAGTTTTATCAAATTTGGAAAATTTTGGCTGTTAGTTTTTCTATTTGTTTCTGTCCCATCTTCTGCATAGGGAACTTTTACATATATTAGACTGCTTAAAGTTGTTGCAGATACTCTATTCAGTTTTTTCTTTTTCCTGTTTCATTTCCTGTCTTTCAGTTCACTAATATTTTCTTTAGTGGTGTCTAATTGTCTGTTAATTACACCCAGTGTGTTTTTCACCTCAGACTGCATCTTAGGTTTTCACTGCAGTTTGCATCTTTAGAAGTTTTACTTGGATCTGTTTAATTCTCCCATATCTCTTTTTAATGTTTAATCTTCATACCCACTAATTTTATCAGTGTATAATTTCTGGTTTGGTTGTGATTGATTTTTCTTCTTATTATGAATCATATTTTCCTGCTTCTTTGTATGCCTGGGAATTTTGTCTTTGATTCCAGACATTATGAATTTATCATATTGGGTACTGTGTACATGTTTATTCTTGTAAATATTCTTTTTTTTTTTTTTTTTTTTTTGATACAGAGTCTCACTCTGTTGCCCAGGCTGGAGTGCTGTGGCGGTGATCTCGGCTCACTGCAACCTCCGCCTCCCGGGTTCAAGCGATTCTCCTGCCTCAGCCTCCTGAGTAGCTGGGATCACAGGTGTATGCCACCATGTCTGGCTAATTTTTGTATTTTCAGTAGAGACGGGGTTTTACCATGTTGGCCAGGCTGGTCTCAAACGCCTGACCCCAAGTGATCCACCCCCTTTGGCCTCCCAAAGTGCTGGGATTACAGGCATGAGCCACCGTGCCCAGCCTATTCTTATAAATATTCTTGAGCATTGTTCTGGAATGTGGTTACATTATTTGGAATTAGTTTAACCCTTTCACATTTCGCTTTTATGCTTTTTTAGGTGGGTACAGAACATCATTGAGTTCAGGGCTGATTTTTTTTACCCACTACTGAGGTAAAACTCTACTGAGTACTCTCCCCTATGCCCCATATATTATGAAGATTTTACTCTTGTTAGCGGAAACAGGCACTATTTCTGGTCCAAGTGTGAGTGACAGTGATTGTTGTTTTGTTTATTTGTTTGTTTGAGACAGAGTCTCGCTCTGTTGCCCAGGCTGGAGTGCAGTGGTGCGATCTTGGCTCACTGCAACCTCCACCTCCCAGGTTTGAGCAATTCTCTGCCTCAGCCTCCCAAGTAGCTGGGATTACAGGTGCCCACCACCACAGCCAGTTAATTTTTGTATTTTTAGCAGAGGGGGCTTTCACCATCTTGGCCGGGCTGGTCTTGAACACCTGACCTTGTGATCCACCCGCCTCGGCCTCCCAAAGTGTTGAGATTACCGGCGTGAGCCACGTGCCCAGCCGATTGTTGTTTTTAATCCTGTTAAAAGGTGTTACAAGGCCTGAGATAGTTTCCTCATACACGTGCACTGATCCATGTCTATTTGACTACTTGAAGCAGCCTCTGCACAGCTCTGGAGTTCTCTGTGTGTCTTTTTCCAACACTCTGCCCTGTGACCTCTGGCTGCCTTGGCCTTCTTACATTCTTAGTTCCTTCTCAACTCAGGAAGATTGCTCGACTTAGGATGCCCTCCTGTGCCATGGTTTGGAAACTCTATAGCAAGAAAGCTGGGGCAGTCCCGGGGCTGACCTCGCCGTTCTTCACTCCCAGATGTCTGATATCTAGAGAACTGATGTTTCATAAATGTTGTCGTTTTTTAGTTATTTTAAGCAGGAGAGGACCTCTAGTCCTTCTTACTCCATCTTGGCCAGAGGCAGAAGCCCTGCCAAATACCTGCATCTAAAGAACCATAGTTTTAAAAAAAATCAGTTGTTTTTTTTAAAATAAAAATTGGCATTCCATGAAAAAAGTTGCTCATTTAGCTTGTAACTCAGTCACACAAATGCTTTTCTTCAAGACAACCATCATACTTTAGATTGCAGCAGAAGTGTTTTAAAAGCACATTAGAAGTGATGGTAAAGACCACAGTTACTTTTGCACCAACCTAAAGAATAAAAGCTGTCATTTTTGGCTGGAGGCGGTGGCTCATACCTGTAATTCCAGCACTTTGGGAGGCTGAGGCAGGTGGATCACCTGAGGTCAGGAGTTTGAGACCACCTCATCAACATGGTAAAACCCCATCTCTACTAAATGCAAAAAATAAGCCGGGTGTGGTGGCACGCGCCTGTAATCTCAGCTACTTGGGAGGCTGAGGCAGGAGAATCATTTGAACCTGGAAGGCAGAGGTTGCAGTGAGCCGAGATTGCGCCATTGCACTCCAGCCTGGGCAACAAGAGCGAAACTCGGTCTCAAAAAAAAAAAAATCTTATTTTGATTGCTTCATTAAGGAATTCTAAAGTAAAACTGGCAAAGCGTGTGTGCATGTGTGTGTGTTTTTCTGTAAGCACATGGCAATGAAGAATATGTGATTACCAGTACAGTTGGTTGCTACTACCTTGATTTGTGGTGAGGCCCCAGCAGTTTTACCCACGGTTGCTTTTGCTCCAGCAGTGCAAATGCCAATACAGTGAAAAAGGCAAATCAATTCTTGGTGTTTTACAAAAATGGTTCTGACCTCTCTGTCTCCCAAAAGGATCTCTTAAGGATGCCCGAAGGGTCTGCAGACCATATTTGGAGAACTGCTACTCTACAGACAGCCTTGTATCTGTGTACAGAGACATGAGCAAGAATGTTCTGTGTTAACAACGTTTACACTAATAGAAATTCGGAAACAATTTAAAGTTCATCAGTAGTAGAAGGGGCAAATAAATTGCAGTATTCTTATATAATGAAATAGTATATAGCAGTTGAAATGAATAAGCTAAGGCTGTGTGTATATATGTATAAAGATCAAAATTCAGTGGGGAAAAAAACAAGTTGCAAAAAGAAATGTACAGCACGGTACCATTTATATAAGCTTAAAACGTAAAAAATATTTGTTGTTTATGGACGCCTACGTATATAGTAAATAAAAACTAAATGGAAGATAGCAGCTGCCTCTGAGAGGGAGGGAGGAGAATGAGATGGGCAGGTACAGAGTAGCTGCAGTTATATCTGTAATTCTTTTTTATTTCTAAAAAATAAATTGGAGGATATCTAGTGAATTTTTATGACAGAAAATACGATTGGTTGGCACGCAGGTTTTTATTAGATTATCCTCTATAGGTTTTGGAAAGCTTGAAGTCTTCCATAATCATCATCATCATCACTGAGAAATAGAGAAGAAGAGAGAATGTGTGAACACATGATGGATTCTCAGTTCTACGTGAAAACTGCTAAATGAATACTAGTTGGCGAGCCCACCACGATTATTATCATAGTGCTAACAGCTGCCATTATGGAGAGGGTGCGATCAGCCAGGGACCTCACCTAGTTTCATATTCAGCTTTATTATCACCTATGAAGTAGGACTTACGATCCTAATTCCACAACAGAGACGACTAGCATTCAGAAAGGTTAAGTTACATGCTGATGTCATGCAGTGAGTCAGTTATGAAGTCATGATTGGAAACTAGGCCTTTTGGGTTCAAGGTTTGTGCTTTTTCCATTCCGCTAACATCTGAGGTGATTGGCTTGTTATCTGAAGTTACTCTGTTTTTATTTCTCTTTCAGCTCTTCTTCCAAACCTATTTTCGGGCATAGTTTGTTACGTTTCTGCTAAGCGAGTTGGCTCTATCAATTACAGTATTTTTGTTGCCACAGCAACAATAATGCAGCCATATTATTAGGTATCACTACTGTTTTGTTCTGCTGTGAGCTTCAGCCAGGCAGGTGCCCTGCTATTTGCAGAGGTCTCTCTTCGTGGCTGTGGCTTTCTTGTCTTCGGGGTTAATTGCGTGGAGGCTGTGTTTCAGTGAGGCCTTGGAAGTTCGGGGCTGGTACTACAGCCTGCTATAGGAAGACTTCTTCATCGGTTTTATAATGGGATCATTTATAATGTCTTAGATAGTAAAACAAAAGAACCTTTTGAGTTTGTTGATGATAATATCCTACGGACACATCAAGCATTGTCTAAAGATTTACTTGAACTAATTGAGTAGATGATGGAAAGAGAGACGATACACTTGCTCATTTGTTTAGTTCTTTCTACTTGCAGCTGTCTGATAAAGAAAAACGGAGGTAGAATGCTTGAGATTGCATGAATGCTTCTGGGAGGATGGGTTGGGATTTACAGAGTTTAAAAACAGAAGTTTGAGAGTTTCATAGGCATGTTTACCTGCCAGCATCACTGCAGAACCAGGAGGGGTGCGTGAGGCAGAGAGGCAGGCGGAGGAGCAGGGAGAGGATCCCACTTGAGGTGGCACGTTGGCCTTTCCCTGTGCTCCGGCTGGAATCAACGAGGCATTTGTTCCCTGCCCAGCCCCAATCTGTGCTGCTTTCTCTCTCTGCTGGGTTCTTCGCATTGGGCTTTATGCTACTTCGAAAAATGGACAGTGTTTTCGTTAAGTTTTAGATAAATTTAAAAACAGGCCGGGCGCGGTGGCTCACGCCTGTAATCCCAGCACTTTGGAAGGCCGAGGCAGGCGGATCATGAGGTCAGGAGATCGAGACTATCCTGGCTAACACGGTGAAACCCTGTCTCTACTAAAAATATAAAAACTAGCCGGGCATGGTGGCAGGTGCCTGTAATCCTAGCTACTCAGGAGGCTGAGGCAGTAGAATGGCATGAACCCGGGAGGCGGAGCTTGCAGTGAGCCAAGATCGCACCACTGCACTCCAGCCTGGGCAACAGAGCGAGACTCCATATCAAAAAAAAAAAAATGCAGCTTTGGGAAACAGTAACTGACACACACTGTTACTAGGAATATATATATTGGTTTGATCTTTATTTTTTTTTTTTTTGCCATATTTTAAACACAATGGTTAAAATTACTGGCTTCGGAGTGAAATTGCTATTTTCCAGCTGTAAGACCTTGGGCAAGTTACTTAACCTCTCGAGGCCTCAGTTTCCTCAACTATAAAATGAGGCTACGTTAGTGCCTACTTAATGAAGTTCTCGTGAGGAGTTTACAATACATGAAAAGTGCTTACAGGAGTGTCTGCACAGAGTAAATGTGCAGTGGGTGTTGCTGTTATTATTATATATTAAAAGTCAAAGTGTTGATTTTCTTTAAGTCAAATTCATATTTAGAAATTTTTCCTATAAAAATGTGATCATGAGCATTCAAAGGCATATTTACATGCATATTCATTGTGGCATTGTTTGTCATTGCAAAGTAACCTAAATGTCCACCAGTGGGGACATCATGGTGCACCCATAAAATGGAATCTTGTGTAGTGGTTAAAAAGGATACAGAGATCAATGCCATATATTAAGTGAAAAAATTAGTTTTTCTGCCATTTCAATTTAAAGATTTCAAACGTATTTCAAAAATATAACAAAATTGAAAGAGTTTTGCAATGAAACCCATAAACCCACCAAGTAGCGCCTGTGGCTAGCATTTCATTTTACCTGCCTTATCAATATTCACCCTTCTGTTTTCATCCATCCATCTTGATATTTTGATTCATTTCAGGAAGGTTGTACACATCAATACACTTTCTCCCAAATATTTCAACAGGTAGGAATATCATTCATTAGAGTTCACAGTTTGTTCATATTTCTTTTGAAACATTAGTTTTTATAACAATACAGATATTGTATGTACCCATTTATATAAATAACAAAGGCTGGGCGTGGTGGCTCACGCCTGTAATCCCAGCACTTTGGGAGGCCGAGGTGGGCAGATCACTTGAGGTCAGGAGTTCGAGACCAGTATGGCCAACATGGTGAAACCCTGTCTCTACCAAAAATACAAAAATTAGCCGGTCATAGTGGCAGGCGCCTGTAATCCCAGCTACTCAGGAGACTGAGGCAGGAGAATTGTTTCAACCTGGGAGGTGGAGGTTGCAGTGAGCCGAGATCCTGCCACTGCACTCCAGCCTGGGTGACAGAGCAAGACTCTGTCTCAAAAATAAAAAATAAAATAAAATAAATAAATAACAAAGATGTTTCTATATGCCAAGGGTCATAGCAAACCACTTCTGGTGGTAATTTGCTGGAACAGGGTTACTGAGCAATGTGACTTTTACTTTATGCTTTATATACTTCTGTGTGAATTACGCCATTTAATATACTGTTGGAGTGTGGCGTCATGGCTGCCACCTTCCCACTTTTCTTCCTCCTCCTCCTCCTCCCTTCTTTTTTACTATCATCATCATCAAACCTAGTTATACAAAGCTTTGCTTCCCTTGCAAAGCTACAAAATGCCCAGGCAACCCTTGTAATTCTTGAAGCACAGGGGACAGAAATGGAGCATTCTTTGGATTAGAGAGACTTGTGTTGTCCTTAATTAAGTCTGGGGTCCTTTCTGATACCTTGGTTTGAGGACTCTGAATTAAAATTAATAGCGCTTCCTTTCACATCTGAACCATTGTCCAAGAGCCTCCCTCATTTTAGTGAGATATTGAAAAACAAATGGAGATATTTGGAAGACGTGTAGGTATGTGGGGCGATTTATCTCAAGGGGCGTTCTATTCTGTGAAATGCTCGAAGCTAATTGGCATGTGGCTAATGGGAATCGCTTTAAAGTCTGAAACCAAAGTTCTAAAAGGCAGAAAGATGAGGCGCTTAGATTTGTTGCAATTAGGTATCCAAGCACCTAAACCCACTTGATAATTTTCTCTTCATTTCTGTGGGCTGTGGAGTGTGGGAGGAAAATGGGTAACCTATAGGGGAGTGGGAGTGTGAGTACAGACTTACATATAATTTACTTTCCTGGAAAGATATAGACAAGTCATTTCAATTGCCTTTTTTCTGGGGGCGTGTACCCTACAGATTCTGCTTGGAGTTGGTTGGAGTCCATTAGAAGTGGCAAAACATTTTTTTTTTTTTATGGAGGAATTCAGGAACTTTTAGAGCTTTGCAGTGCATATTTTAAAATATGTTAAGTGCTATCAGAAGGCTTGGATACTTCAATCTTCTTTAAATAAATGGATTTTACAATTGCAAAGTGGCGACTTTTCTTTTTTTGGGTGGCAACTCACCACAGCCCCACCTTTCAAGTGAAATTTTAGACACGCTAACTGTGATTTTTTTTTTTTTTTGGCTTTTAGCATTTTGGAATAAAGTCGAAAGTTTCAAAAGCTGCCAGCATATTTCAATTTAATCTGCTGCTGTGTTGTCTCTTGATAGCGTAATGCCAGGGCTACAGAGATGTTTTCACGATGTAAATAATTTGTGTACTGTAAGTTGTCTAAACACGGCATGCGTGTGATCCGGTGCAATCAGATTGCTTGGATATGGCTTTACGTGACGGACTGTAATGGTTGCTTCGGAGTCATTAGAGCCTAGTATGTAAATAATCCACATTTTAAAATTGTCTTAAATGTGCTTAGACAATGGATGAATGCCTCCTCTGGATTCATTAATTCCATCAAGAATTCACAGTTCACAGCACCTGAAGGCATCAGCCTGCTTCTTCCCAAATGAGCTCTTGGCACTGTCAGCTTGCCCGTCTCCCAGGTGTACCCGTAAGCAGGGAGTCAGGGGTCATCTTTTCACCTTGACATGTGCAAGGTCATGACCACAGCCAGGTACAATACAGAATAAAACCCTGACCTAGGACTTTCTGCCTTGGCCATGGATCTCCCTCTTTTTTTTTTTTTTTTTAAAGACAGAGTCTCACTCTGCGGTCCAGGCTGGCGTGTGCAATGGCGCGATCTTGGCTCACTGCAGCCTCTGCCTCCCTGGTTGAAGCGATTCCCCTGCCTCAGCCTCTCGAGTAGCTGGGACCACAGATGTGCACCACCATACCCAGCTAATCTTTGTTTTTAGTAGAGACTGGGTTTCACCATGTTGGCCAGGATGGTCTCGATCTCTTGACCTCATGATCTGCCCGCCTCAGCCTCCCAAAGTGCTGGGATTACAGGCATGAGCCATGGTGCCTGGCCCTCCCTCTGTTTTTTAAGACAGGTGCGTGTGGGCGCAGGAGGCGGAGGGCCCTTATGCTGCCCTGGCATTTTGGAGGAGCAGGGAAATGAGATAAAGCTGCAAAATGACTCCCTAAAAGTTGGCCCCAAGCCAGTGCGGGCGACGGTGTCAGCCACCCTTGGTTCATTTTCTACACGAGGCCCCACACGGCCCCGGAGCTGGAGCTTCTACCGAAGGGTTGCCCTCTGTCCCCTTCTCGGCTTCCTCTGCAGAGGGGCTCAGAGCCAGTCCAGTCAGACCTGCGAGGCCTGGGCTGTGGCTGCTGTGGCTTTGCCAGCATCTATTGTCTAAGAGGGCTGGGGAAGCTCACTGTTTGAAACACACACACACAACAGAACATAAATCAGAGGCAGAATCTTTTAACATTTACAGTTTTAAGTGAAATTCCTGTTGAGAGTCTCTTAAGCTAGATTTATATCTGATTTTGCATTGAACTGTGTCGTTATGTGGGGCTGAGAAACTCTTACGAAATTAAGCATAATGCGAAAACATGCTGAAAAGACAGTTCTGTAGAAATGTGAAACATTATTATGTTATAGAATATTGGAGTGAAGAAATACGCATAAAGGCACAATTACCATGGACATTTTCCTTTTAATGATCCTTGTACAATCCTTGGCAGAAAGGTTTGCTGACGTCTCCTCGTAGATAAAGGAAAATTGAGACGATATTGATATTCTACATCCGTTTTGAATTCCAAAGAATATCAGGAGAGCGAACCAGTCTGTCTTCATATTCAAAACAGCAAGGCCTAGACTATCTCGATACCTTGGGAGGATCTGTCATTAGTGTTTGGGGATTTGACTGAAGCCTCCACACTATGGACAGACCAAGTGGTGGCAATAATGTGTGCAGGGGTTAACGTCTGAATGCTCTGATCTGGAAGCTTCTAGAAGCTCCTAGAATGGGTTGAGGTTGTTGGATGCTTGTCCCTGGAGAGTTTTTAGGGTTTAAAGCATCTGTCTAGAATGTCTTGAGAGTGTCCTTGGGGATAGGGTGATAGAGGTGCTTGCTTGTGCTAAGGTTTGTTCCAGGATACCCTGTTCAGCTTTGTTTTCCACAGGAGAATTCCCCTCCTCCAGCCTCTGACTTCTGCTGCCCTGGCTTAGGGCTAAGGGGATATTGATCATGGCCCCTGGGATTTTATCTTTCCTTTCAGTCTCCAGAATGACTCCCAAAGCAGATGCTGCTTCTCTTGCCTCCTCGTCCCCCTTCCCTGGGCTGCCCTGGCACCATAGCCTGGGTACCCAGTGTACCATGGAGTGTGGGCAGAAACGCTGTTTCTTCCTCTTGTTCCTGGCCGACCTTCTTCTCTTGGCTGGGACTTGTGATTCCAGTGGGGGGAAAGGAGCCCAGTTTCCCTGCCTCTCCCTGTTCAGCCCTGGAGCAGCTGGAGCAGGGCTGGTGGTGGCGCTGAGATCGCAAGCCTTCCAGAAACCCTTCCTCCCCCTGAGCTCATGGCAGGTCCCCTGGCAGGGGGAAAGCTTTTGCTAAAAACCTCCCTGAGCCCGTGCCCTCTAAGCCTGGCATTGAGATGCCACCAGCTGGTCGGGGGAGGGGGAGCAGCAGCCGAGATGCCGCCCCAGGTTGGAGCGCGGAGGCCTTTCGCATTTGCTCTGGAAGCATCATCTGAGAAGCCCTAGCGGGTTTTGCTCAGGGTCAGGTGACAGCCAGTCTCCTCCCTTCAGTAGGGCTGGCAGCAGCTCCCGACTCACAGTTCCTTCTCTTCTGCTCTTCTCAGAACCTCTTAAAGGACCTCTAGGCGTTTGTTACCTAGAGTTGCTTGAAATTAAGCTATTTAATTCTAATTTGGCTGTGCAATATCTGATTCTTGACCACCAGAGGTCACTGTAATAAGGTAGAAAGCAGGTGTTTCTGAGAGTCTTCAATGTGTGGTTGCCTCAAGAAAACAAAATGAAATCAACCAAACCACCCCCCAAGTTTCTTCACTGGCCTGGGTGTGCTGCAGTGTGCTCTGGGGCATGGACACGCAGCCCCAGCTTTCTCACTTGTGGAAGGTCTGCCCAGCTGTGGAGCCTGGCAGGACGGGACAGGTGGCCACTTAGGGAACATTTGACTGCCAAGGCCGCTGGCACAGGCCTCTGGGCAGGCTTGCTTTCATAGGATGGTGGGTGCATCGGGGCCTCACTCAGAGGCAGGGGCCCTCCTCTTTCCCCCACCCTACGCTCACCCTGAGCTGCATTCTCAAAGTCCATTTCTGGCAGCAACCTGGGGTTAGATTTTCTTAGGTTAATTAGGCTTGTCTGCCTTACCTTTCTGTGTGTGCACTTGAGTGTGTGCATGTCTCTGTGTGTGTGTGTGTGCACGTGCCTGCTCCGTCAGGTGGGGTCAGTAATAGTGCTGTCCACCTACAGCTATTTGGTGTTAAAAGGAGATGGTGCATGATGTCGGGTGCTTAAAAGCACAGGGCTTGTTTTCCAGCTAGTGTCCGGGAAATGTGAGCCATCAAAATTCTCATCCAGAGGCTCGGCGGAAAACATTTACCCCGTTGCAGAATGGCTTCGACTCTTTCTCAGACCCACCCTTCCTGTCCTCTTTGGTTGGTCATCTTCCTTATATGGTGACGTTTTTCAGTAGAACGTAAGAAACGCCTGCCTTTATTAGCAGTGGCTCCTGAAGGTTGGTTCCAGGGAAGCTGTTTTCGTCTTCGGTGGGTGGCTCACGGGAGAACATTAGGGCCTTGGGGGTGCAGTTTGGCAGGCTTTGCATTTAGCAAATACTCGGGCCCTCAGGCTAGAGCTTTTGTGAGACTGCTCACGCACTGGTTTCTCTTCCAGCTCTAAATCCCCGAGTTGCCGGAACACAGAGAAATTAGAGATGCATGTGATCTCCGCAGGGGGCCAGGCAGCCAGGGGAGAGGGTGGTTCTGGATGCAGGAGCTCACATTCCTCACTGGGAACATTTGGAGGATATAGGTCTAGGGGAGGGTGACTGTATTACCTGGATCCTCCAGAGGGCCATTAGGGCTGCCAGCGGAGGTCAGGAGCAGTGATCTACGGGAGATGCTGCCGCCATCCCCTTCAGTGGGAATTTCTCCTGGATGTCTCTGCAGAAGGCACGTGGGTGTCACATATGCACACACATGCATGCACAGCGCATGGCTGGGGCTGCAGAGCAGGCGCCCCAGTGTCATGGACCCTGTGGCCACAGCTGCTGGGCCTGTTCACACACGGTTGGGACTGGCCAAGGGTCTCACCCAGACTAGACGGGAATGGGGGAGACCCAGAGAGACGCAGAGCAGTGCCGCTGGGGACCCCGGGGACTCAGAGCAGTGCCGCTGGGGACCCTGGGGACTCACAGCAGTACTGCTGGGGACGCCGAGGACGCAGAGCCGTGCCACTGGGGACCCCGGGAAAGCAGGGCAGTGCCACTGGGACCCAGATCATGCCCCTCTGCATGTAACCGATGGCACAAACACCAGGCCTTCAGCAGGGCCATAAGCATCTGAGGCTAGGAAGGCACATGCGTGATTAGCAGATGGGTGATGGGGCCTCTAGCGGGCAGATTCTGTGGTGGCGCTGAAACAGGAGACGTCCTCTCCGACCTTGGAGACCTGGCATTTGGAGCCTGAATGAGCCAGAGACAGGAAGCCTGTCCCTCCCCTCTCTGGGCGACCTTCCGAGGAGGCATCAGCTCTTCCCTTGCTTTGGGGAGGGAACTTACCCTGCGTGCAGTCCTCCTGCCCCCCTGCCTGGCGCATCTTTCCCCCTCACGTCCTCTCCCCCACTCCCTCCTCTTCCCGCCTGTGGTTTTCTTTCCCATTCCTGTCTGCCAGCAGTGCCTCCTCTCCCCATTAACATCCCGCCATTTTGATTAAAAAAAAAAATCCCCCAAAATAAAAACTCATACTTGTTTCTATGGGCTTCCTATGTTTCTTTGGAAGCAGCCTCTTCATAAACCCAGTGAATAAATCTCTTCAATTGTTGAGACTCCTGTAAGAGAGTCTGGTGAAGTATAGCTTGTACCTGAACACTGCGCAAATGAGTCTATCCTGTTTTTAATCATGGGCCAGAACTAAGCTAATGTTTTATGTGCTTCTCTTTTAAAATCCTCCTAAGGACCCCGAGAAGCCAGCACTAATATCATCCCCACGTTTTAGACGCAAAGCAGTTCAAAGTGTTTAAAAGATAACTTGGTGGTGGTCACCCAGCGAAAGGTGGCAGAACCCAAAAGCTTGCTCCTTATCCACTGTGACTTGGCCTCCAGGGATGAGACCAACCTCTCCTGGAAGGGCATTGCTGTTGCTAGCCACACCTGCCCGTCTGGCCCCCTCCTGCTGTAGTTGGAAGCATCTTTCCTGTTCATTCTGTCCTCAGCTGAAATAGCAAACAGCTGGTCACCATCCGGCACCAAATACCCCCAATACCTGAGACTGCATGTCTGACTAGTCATTAATTTGTACCCCCCAGCAGGCCAACCTCAAACTCTTTAAACTTTATATATATCTACATTTGAAAGATTATTTTTATTCCATTAGAGCCGTTACATCCTTATTGTAGATGCCCTTAGCAAGAAGGGTTTCTGGAAGGGGAGGCCCTAGAAGGTGACTATCGGTACTGAATCCTGGTTCTTTTGATTCCAGATATGAAATTGGCTTTTAGAGCACATTGTGCTGATTAAGCCCAAATAACACCACATGAGTAGATTTTAAAAGTCTCCTCTTGAAGACGTCCTCTAGCATCTGTTGTTGGATTGTGTGGCTGATACGGGCTTGGAGTTAAGCACATCCTTCCTCGATACTAGTTCTCTCTTTCCATTAAAAAATGCAAATGCAGAGGCCTCGAATGTGCCCGATTTAGATGTTTTGATATGGAAAGGTAATGTTAATAAGGGCATTTGGCAGTGATGCACTGAAGAAAATAAAACAGACGCATGGTTTAGGTTCTGCTGTTCCTTCCCAAACTGCTTTTCCAGGCATCCAAAACCCAGCTCTTCTGAAAGGGCCTGGGATTCTCCAGTGGGTGCCTTGGTTGGGAGGGGACCCCTTCATGAGAATCTCCCTCTTCTCTGACCTCTCTCAGTAGAAGTGCACAGAAAGTCTGATCTCAGATCTGCCTCTGCATATTAATAGCAATATTATGTTTAAATTGAAAATTTCATTTTTCCTGCCTGGTGTGCAGGCAAATAATTGAGACCTAATTTACTTTATTTAATAAGCTAGTAGCCAATGTAGTTAAGCCCACACTGATAAAAACTTGGAGGGCATTTGTTGACAACCTCCCACATTTTTCTGGCTGGCTTGGTTGGACCTGGAACAGCAGGAGGCCAGGATACCAGAGCCTCCCAAGTCCCAGAGAACTCCCAAAGGGTCTCCCAGCTGCCGGAGGCTTCCAGAGGGAGGGAGTGCCACATGGGAGCTGTCCGTGGTTCTTGTGGCTGAAATTGGCAGGGCTCCATGGTGCTCACTGGCAAGGGCTGCAGCAGCCTGGGGCTGCCGTCTGTGTTCCATCCCGGATGCAGCTGATGTGCTCACTCTGCAGACATTTCTTAGTGCCTAACTCTGCTGGCCAGGTGAACAAGGCCCTGTTTTTCCCTTGAAGATCTCATGGTTCAGTGGGAGAGACAGTGGGAGAGAGGAGAAAGTGACTAACTCCACTTAGGAATGTGTGTGGTTTAGGGGCAAGAGTGTGAGTTTTGGACTCATGTTCTTAAATGCTGACCTCAATAAATATGTTTAAATTCTTTGAGCCTTGATTTTTCTTATCTGTAAAAATGCAAGTACAGATAGTAGAGCTTTTCTTCCAGCTTGTTAAAAGGAGAAACTATAAAACCTAATGTGAAATGCTGCCATGGAGCAGTGACCATCACAACTGCTGCCGGAGTAGACATGGGAGATAGCCTTAGCACTGAGAGTTGATATTTCTGTTTTTCCTCCTGGGTGCCCATGGTGGAACTCTTCCTCCCTGCCCCCTTTGAAGTTAGGAGTGGTTGTACAACTGACTTTGGCTCATGCAGGGTGAGCAGAAGTGACATGTGTGGTTTGCTATGTGCCCTTCTCCTGACTCAGTAATCAGGGCTGCTTGTGCTGAGGTGGAGGCTCCAGCAGCCTGGATCCCTGAGTGACTACATGGAGTGGAGTCTCCTCCCCCACAACATGCAGGGGATGTGTGGTGTGAACAAGTGGCTTTTTGTTGAAGCCACTGAACTGTTAGGGTCAATTGTTATTGTTACTGCAGTATAACATCTTGTCCTGACTAAAGGTTCAGGAGGATAGATTTTCTCCCTTCGGTGAGAAGGAGGGTACTCCACAGACAAGGTTACACTTCAGCACAGTCTTAAATCAGGACTCTGCATTCTCTAGATGCAGGAGGGGATAAGGGAATTCCAGATGGAGGAACTGGCACACGCAGGACCTGAAGGATAAGGTCTCTGGCTGTCAAGTAGATTTACATTTCTCCATTGTCCCTCCTCTCTTCCGCTTACCTTTCTTTCTCTCTTCTCCATTCCTGTCCCCACCCTTCTTCAGCTTCCTCCCTTTCATTCTCTTTTCTTGCCAGGTGTCCTGAGGCTCTGAGTGACCCTAGAAGTTGCCCTTTAACTGGCCAGTGTCTCCAAAGTGGTTGCATGTCTCGAAGCTCTTTGCGGCCTCATTTCCTCCTGCTCATTGGTTGGCTTTGGCTTTCTCTCTCTCTCTCTCTCTTTTTTTTTTTTTTTTGGAGGTTACTAGGATTAGAGATTGAAGCTGATAAGTGCAGCTTCTCCACTTGGTGGGTGGTGATGGTGGTGGAGCGTCATCCGAGCAGGGGATATGCCTGGATGTCATCCACCCAGGCTGAATGCCTTCCCAGCAACAGAGCTCTGTGACTTGGGGTGGGTTCTGTATAAACCCTGAAGCTTCTATCACCAGGTGACTTTTTCTAGTATTCATTGACAAAGAAGAGATTTTAGGACATCTCTCACCCTACCCCCTAGCTGATTCCCTGTTTAGCCAGTTGGTGAAGTCTAGGCTGAGTCATTCTGAGAGCAGAGGAAGCCCTTGGTCATAATGGTGCAGCCTGTCTGGCCAGGCGAGGGGAGGGGGGTGGTCATGGAGGATTTCAGCGGGGAGGGTGGAGGCTTCCTGGACTTGTGGGGATCAAGATTTTCTCTTTTGCTGGCTGGCTGGCCCTAGAGCTGTGCTTTATTAAGATCATTTGAATATTATGGCTTTAGGAACAGAACCTATTAATAATTGTGACAAGGAGAAATTGTAGAGCGTGGAAAAAAGGGGAAAAAGAGTCACTCCAAGGTAAAATAAACCACCACAATTGGAAAGTCCAGGTAACTACCAGAGTGAGACAAATACTACCTAGAGAGTCACAGTGGGAGCCATTTGAAAAACAAAGTACAATTAAAAGTTTAATTTTTGATGGAATTAGTAAATTAAAAGTTTCAGGAATGGGTCTTCTCAGGAGAGGGGAGCGTCTGCTGTTGGCTTTGGTGTGGCTACGCCAGCTGGGCCCTAATCTCAGCCTTTGCCCGGAGAGATTCTGCAGCACCTGCCGAGTGAGCAGTCATCCCATTTGAGCTCTGTAAGAGATCCAGCGTTCCTCTGGGAGTGTCCTGAGCACGCCCACCACCACCTGTCCCTGAGCCTTCCCTTGCAACAGTCTTGCCTTCCTTTCATTCTCTTCTCAGCTGGTCTTGAGTCCGAAGTGAGCGGCTTCCTTTGTCGCTTGGGAGCTGCAGCTTGCACCGCACTCAGGTGTAAGGACCTGCAGGTGTGTGCAGACACAGTCTGTGTGTTCCTCAGAAGGAATGACCACTTGAAGCAGAGCTTTGTGACGAGGCCTTCCCCAAGTGCATCTGAGAACGTTCACAGGACTTCTGAGACTCTAAGATGAGCCGTCAACCTGTGTTGCAAATCTCCTCCAGCTTTAGGAATTAGTTTAAAATTAAACTTACAGACAGGCCAAATCTCCCCAGACTCAGGCCGACTTAGGAAAGTACAATGCGTGGCTTCATTTTAACAAGTAGTTCCCTGATACGGTACATGAGGAAAATGCTGCTGAACGTCAGCTAGTTAACTTGAGGACCCAGCATCAGCCATTCTCCGGACTGCGAGCTCAGCTTGTTTCAAGTCTGGGGGTTCATGTACGAACTACAGGCTGGTTCTGGGGTCTCAGCCTAAGCTGAAGATCCGGCGGGGACCAATATGGACAAAGCATAGAGGAAACTGCCCAGTCAGAAAGGCAGTGAGCCAGAAGCCAAGATGTTCCTTAGGAACACCCAGGGAGGGGGCAGCGTCAAGGCCAGGGGGTGCAGGGCCTGCCAGCTCACCTGTCTCCCACCTTCACGTACATCCTCTATTCTGGGAAAGTGTGATCGATCCTGCTATGCATATTGTTGCATTCCATCTTCATTTTGTGTCTCTTGATTGTTGGGGTTTTTTGTTTGTTTGTTTTTTTGTTTTGAGATGGAGTCTCGCTCTGTTGCCCAGGCTGGAGTATAGTGGCACAATCTCTACTAACTGCAACCTCTGCCTCCCGGGTGCAAGCGATTCTTCTGACTCAGCCTCCTGAGTAGCTGGGATTATAGGGGCCCACCACCACACCCAGCTAATTTTTGTATTTTTACTAGAGATGAGGTTTCATCATGGTGGCTAGGCTGGTCTCGAACTCTTGACCTCAGGTGGATCCACCCGCCTTGGCCTCCCAAAGTGCTGGGATCCCAAAGTGCAAGAGATTACATGCCTGGCTCTCTTGGTTTTAAAGAAACAGCAGCTATTAAGTTCAGATGCTTTTCTAAGTGTTTATTCATCCCATGACTTAGTGTGTGTCAGGCACTGTCCTGGACACTAGGATGTGGTGGTTAAAGCAGCCCAGAGTCTCTGCCTTCAAGGAGCTGATGTTCTGGTGGGAGGAGGGCATCGGGGGATCCTCAGTGAGGAGTAAATGTCACGAGCCCAGTGGGAAAGTGAAGGAGGGAATGGGGTCCAGCGGGGGAAGGGAATCCCAGGGACATCTGGGCAAAGACGTTCCCAGGAGGGGACTGCAAGCGCGGTGTCCTTGGGGCGGGATTGCACTGGGAGTGTTTGAAGGTCAGCCGGGAGACTGCGAGGCAGGAGCTGGTGGAGAGAGGACGTGGAAGGAGGTGAGGCCGGGGAAGTGACCGGCAGGGCCACGGAGGACTCAGGCGGCTGTTCCCGGCCTGCACCCTGGTCCTCCATGGTGGTGAAGGGCTGGGGGTAGGACCACAGCCTCCTTGTCTTGCCTTCCTGGGGAGATGGGGCAGGAAGAGAGTCTGTAGATAATAAGCTGCCTGCACCCTGAGCTACTCCAGAGACGGCATCTGTCTGCTCCGGGGCCAGGGCGGAGAAGCCTGAAGCTGAGTCCCTGGGGTGCAGGGCCCACACTCTGGCTGCTCATTGCCACTCTGGGTCCCGACCGGGTGTGGGTTCAGATGAAGACTCTCAAACAGGCCTTGGCTGCATCAAACACATCGCGGGGGTGTGGAGTCTAGGGCTGAAGTCACGGGGTAGACTTCAGACTTCTGCAAACGTCACCTGGCAGTGCCCAGTTGAGATATCTGTCTCGGCAGTACCAGGCTATTTGAACATGTCTTTGTAGGTTTATCACCAAGGTAGAAGAGTTCATTGTCTATTTCTTAGGTGAGGGACTCCAATTTGTGGAGGCAATGGTGGGGGTAGGGTGGGTGGAGGAGAGAGTATGGTGGGGAGGGGAAGGAGCCCCAGGGGGCCTTGGCCTCCACGAGTTTCTAGTCCTTGTCAGGGTGAGGCAGGCGGAGAAGAGGGGACTCTGGGAAGGAGAAATGGGAACATCACACTGGGGTATTTATGGGAGCCGTGCACAGGAGCGCTGGCCATTCGTCTTGAGGCCCCACTGCAGGGAGCAGCGCTGGAAGCCCGGCCCTCTGTACTGTGTGTTCCCAGGCACAGGGAGAATGACTGTGCTGCCTCTTTCCGGGGTGTAATTTGAGTTTGCATGTGGAACGAGGCCCTGGCCCCTAAGTCAGCCCCTTTATGTTTTGGTCGTGATTGGTGAGGCGCTGCGGCAAGGTGCCCACGTCCCTCTGGTGATCTGGAGACACGGTGAACAATGTCGACATTGAATATGTTGCCAGGAGTGCTTAGCGGAAGGTTGATACAGCACCTCGGGTCTGAACGTTCTCTCCCAGTGCTTATGAGCTGAAAATCTCAGAATTGAGGCAGGCAATTTCTGAGTTCATTCAGAACGCAGTGAGCTGTTTGGGAGATGGCCACGTGCAGAGGCAGACGGCAGCTGACGCAGGCTTCTCCGGTGACACAGTGACCGTTCAGCCCCAAGAGAAGGCAGTAGGGAGATTACCTACCGCTACTGCAGACTCCTTCCCAGGCAGACACTTCCAGACCCACTCTTCGCTACATCCTGGAGCTGCGTGGGGTGGGCAGGTGGGGCTGCACGGACGGAGACCTCTGGTTCCTCTTGGCCCTTTGGCCTCCCGCTACCCAGCGCTGTGAGTGGGGTCTTCCAGTGGGTCCTGATTGCCAGGTCTTGAGCTGCTTCAGGTGCCCCCAGCCTGGGTGTCCGAGGTTGCTGATGCACTTGGGGGCTCAGTTGCTGTTGGTGCTTTGATAGACTGTCCCTTCTGAGGAAACATCCCTGCCAGGACAGACTCATCCCTGTTTGCCAGGACAGACTCATCCCTGTTTGCCAGGACAGACTCAGGACCAGCCTGTGACAGAGGCTGCTCCCTCTGGATTGTATTCATTCGAATAGGTGGTCCCGTTAAACCCAAGATGGTGCTCTGTGGTGTCCCAGTCTACCCTTGCCCCTGGACTCCAGTTCCTGTAGGGCTCTGTACGCCCCCTCTCCTGACCCTCCCACCCCAGCTCCTGGAACATTCTGTGTTTCCTTGGGAACCTGCTGCACTTAGCAAAGCCCCCTCTCCGCAGCCTCCCCCTTCTTCCGCTCAGGGGCTCTGGCTCTGCCGTGGGGACACTGCTGCCCTTCAGCCCTTTCAAGTGGAGGCTGTGTTCTCCTCTCGGCCTGAGTGTTACTGGGCCTTGGCATGGGGCGGGGGGGTGGGTATCCTTGGTCCCCAGGGCCACTTCTAGTTCACTGTCCCCCCTTGTCCTTGAGTCTGCATCTTCGGCTGCTTCACGCCCCACTGCTGCTTGTGGGGCCACCCTTGGGCCCTGGGGCCATTCTTTTTTGCTCCCTGATGGTCGCTGGCGGGTTCTTGTCCAGCCCTCTCCTGTGTTGTGGTGTTTCGTGTCGTTCTCTCCGACGACACCTTGGTTTCTCAGTTCCTGGGCTTTCTCCCCTCTAAAGACCTCCTTGTTCAGCGACTCATCCCTAGGCCCTGGGTCTGTTCTCTGTGGCTTCCTGCTTTACCATCTCAGGTTCCAGAAGCCCATTCAGACTACCTGGCCTTCTCTGCCCACTCCTCCCAGTGTCTACAGTCCAGCCACGCCTCAACACCAGAATCCAGGGACCCTCGGTGTCTTTGTGCTGCCCCAGCCATTCCTGGTCTCACACCCTCCCCGACTCAGCTCAGATTCCACAGGTCCCTCCTCGCCCACGTGCCTTCTGCATCGGGCCCCTTTCCCCTCGCTCACATGACCAGGTGCGTGGCTCGTCCAGCTCTACTCATACCTGGTTCTCCTCTTGGGCTGTGCCCACACCCGCCCAGTACCTGGTTCTCCTCCTGAGCTGTGCCCACACCTGCCCAGCAGCCTGACTGGCCTTCAGTTCCCAGCACCAGCATCAAGTGCCCCCTTGGCTCTGTCTGATTCTCCTCCGTGCTGTCCCTCGACCCTCCTCCGTGCTGTCAATCCATCCCTGTCTGGCTCTCTGGTCTCTTGGGCCGGGCCGTCCCCTCTTATCCCTCCTCCACCCTGCTCCCCTCCCCGCACTCCTCGCAGCTGCTGACCTGCTTTCCATCGCCCAGAGCAGAGGAGACAGGGGCAGTCAGAACAACACTGACACTGCCCTGGCTTCCCCCTGCCAGCCTCGCCCGGCCACTCTGCTGAGGGAATGGGAAAGAGCGGACACAGCCATGCAGGGGAGGAGGGAGCTCGTGGGGGCGGCTGGAGGGATGGACCCTCATGCTCCTTGCCAAGGGCAACTCTTCACTCATGAACTTGACCCTGTCCCTTTGGCCAGTTCCAAGTGTTTGCCGCCGCAGCGTCCCTTCCCTCTCCTGCGGTGGCAGCTTCTTTTCCTTCCTTCCTGGTTCTTTCCCATCAGTGTCTGCGTATGCTCCCATCGCGACTCACTTCCCTCCAGTTCTGTTTCTAGTTTTTCCTTCACAGCAGAGCTTCATCGAAGCTCTATGCCCACCATCATTAGTTCCGCTGTCTTCTCGCGGCGAGGTGTGATGCGGGAGCGTGGCAGCCCCCTCTCTGGTCTCCTGCATCACTCCTGCCTCTGCGCCCTTGCTCTAGAACCTTCTCCACGTGGCCACCCAAGAGGCCTTGTTAGAATGAGCGTCAGATCATGGCACGTCTTTGCTCAAAGCCTTTCAGGGCCCCCTTCTCACTCAGGATAGATGCTGAAGTCCTCACTGTGACAGGATCTGCACCCCCACCCGCCAGGGCCCCTCTGAGCCCATCCCCTTCCCCTTCCTCCCTCACTCCACTCTGGGGACACAGGCATCTTGGCCACTTCTCGAAGCAGGGCCTTTGCCCTTGCTGGTCTTGCCTGCAATGCCCTTCCCCAGGTATCTGCCTGGCTCCCTCTCACTCCCATAGAAAGGAATTTTTAGGTTTTACTGTGTCCCCAGCGCCCATAGCAGGGCCTGGGACCTGGTGGTTGGTTGCTCAGCATGTCTCTGTGAATGAATGAGTGAATGAATGCTGCGTGGAATCTGGAGTCTTCCTGGTGGGAGACAGCCCTTAAAGCAGTATCCCTGGCGCTGTCTCCTCCTCTGTTAGCCTTACCCATCCTGGCCTGCCCTTGCCCATTTTGGGGACTTGCTGCTCCTGCTGCCTCTGCTGCACATGTGTCCTGGGCTGGGGGGTCCCTGTGGGTAACCCTGTCACCACTTAGCACAGACCATCGTCCTCACTGCCAGCCCAGCCTCTGACTTAATTACCACTGGAACTTGGGTTGCACAAACAGGGGTCCCCTGGGCCTGCCCACTTGATTTCCTGCTGGGAGACCAGCAGGGGCTGTTCTTACCCTAAGTTTAGCTGGGATGTGGGGAGTGGTGGCTTCCCTGCTGGCCCATGGACAACTCTCCTTGGGGACAGCTCATGTCCTCCCCCACAAGGAAGGAAGGAGAAGAGAGGCCAGGCCGCCTCTGCATGTCTGGGTTTCTATGACGAGAAGCAGCCTCCTGGGTCTTTCTGAGCTTGAGAAGCACTGATGGGTGAATTCAGGCTTCATTCCTGCTGGTGCACATCATGCACATCTTCGCCTTTTTTTGATTCTCTATTTTTCTCTTTCATTTTTGCATGGCTCAGTGGAAGCAGCTAATGGGGGTTCAGCAGCAAGTTCTCTCCTCTTAAAGATGGGCTGAGCCTGACCTGCAGTTGCTTGAACAACTGGACAAGCCCTGGTGGGGCTGTGCATGCCGGTGGTGAGGGGGTCGTACAGGAGAGTTTTCAGAAGGGATGCCTCCTGGCAGAGAGCGACTGAGGGGAACAGGCAGTAGCGTGACCTTGGAGTCGGGCTGTGCCACACTTGAGTTACACGGACACCACTTCCGGCTCTGTGACCCGGGAGAGCAGCCTCTGGCCTTCAGTGTTCTCATCTGCAGTATGGGATGGTATATGAGTCCACTCTCGCACTGCTTTAAAGAAATACCCTAGACTGGTAATTTATAAATACAAGAAGTTTAATTGGCTCACAGTTTGGCAGGCTGGACAGGAAGCATAGTGCCGGCATCTGCTCAGCTTCTGGGGAGGCCTCAGGAAACTTACAATCATAGCAGAAGATGAAGGGGAAGTAGGCTGGTCTTCCGTGGCTGGGGCAGGAGCAAGAGAGAGAGTGGGGAGGTGCCACACACTTTAAACAACCAGATCTTGCGAAACTCACTCGCTGTCACAAGAGCAGCACCGAGGGGATGCCACTAACCCATTCACGAGAACCCTACCCCCATGATCCAGTCACCTCCTACCAGACCCCACCTCTAACACCAGGGATAACAATTTGACATGAAATTTGGGTGGAGACACAGATCCAAACCATATCAGATAGTAATAGCACCTAGCTTGTTCAGTTGTTAGGAGATTAATGAGAATGTGTGACCAGCACATAGTATTAACTGGTAGCTCTTACTAAATTAAGGAAAGCCCCAGAATTAAGAACCAGAGCCTTCCCTTTACAGCAGTGTTGAGCATCTGTGCACAGCACCTCCAAGTCCTGGGTTGGTTTGGCTCTACCTCTCAGTGGCTCCAGCCTGACTTAGCATCCCTGAGTCCCCAGTTCTTCCTGCAAGGAAAGGGGGCTGTCCTCAGGAACAGATGAAAGAACACACAAAAGAGACTCCCTGAACTCTAACACACAATACACGTGTTAGACTGTTGTTACCTATTCTTATTGATTTCATCAGCAAGCATTCACTGTGTCCCTTCTGTGCCGGATGCCATGGGAAGTGACAGTGGCCTGGATGGAGACCTGGCCTCGAGGTGGGTCACCTGAGTGTCCTGTGATACCTTCACCTGGGTGGCTTGGCCCTTATCAGGAGGCTGCGGCAGCATCACAGTGGGAGGCCCTCTGTCTCCCGCCAGTGGGCCCCAGTCCGTTTGCTCACTATTTTCTATCCCGGAGTTTACCTGCCCAGGCACACTGGGGGCCCAGGCCACGTTCTCCCCTCCCTGCCATGAGTCTTGATGAAGTACTTCAGGGCTCAGCAAATTTTGGTCAGAGGTGCCCTTCTGCAGAGCCCTCTGAGTTACAGCGAGTCCCCTGCCCCTTCCTCTGCACAAGGAGGGCTGGTCAGAGGTACCCCTCTGGGGAGTCCTCTGAGTTACAGCGAGTCACCTGCCCCTTCCTCTGCACAAGGAGGGCTGTGTCTTCCTCTCACCTGAAGATCCTGTGCCTTTTGCTCTTCTCTGCACGACTCATGTGGGGCCTGGGATTCTCACTACACTCGATATGGGTGGGAGATGAACTTATAATCAGAAGGACACAGAGCTGGTCCCCGGGGCCAGAGGCTAGGAGTGACAGCTCAGGTGATGTGGGTTACACAGCTTTAGGCTCAGTCCTCATCTGGAGTCAGCCAAGAAAATCGCATTTCACACACATGCACAGTTTTATGGCCTCTTTTGATGTTTCCTTGGTGGTTTTGAATATTTAAATTTATATTTTCAATAATTTATTTTTAACCCCTCAAGTAACTGAACCTGCCACGAGAAGATGCAGCCCCCAGGTGGGAAGGGGGCTCATGAGCTGACCCATCAGGCTGAGGCCTTGTGGGATCACCTGAGAGGCGTTTTGGAGTAATTTCCTCTCCATCTCTTTTTATTTTAAAAAATAAAAAATGTACTCTGTTAAAACAGTGACATAAGACAAATGGTACAGAATGCCAGCTGTGAGGATTCATTGATGGATGAATTTAACCCATGTTTATGGAGTGTCATGTCTTTGGTGCTGGGAAAAACAGAGAGGGTGACTTAGTCTCCCTCCTCAAGGGAGGAGCTCAGAGTCAGGGGATGGGGAGGCAGACCCCCGAGGGACTCCCAGAGCCCACCCTTGGAAAGGAGAGATGAGTTGGTGGTGGGGGGTGGGTGCCAGGAGCCTTGGGAGATGGGGCCTGCACTGCTGGGAAAGTACCGAAGCTTGTGATCTTTCAAAGGAGTTTTGACAGGTGACCAGACACAGATAGATGGTGTCTTTCCCTCCCAAAGCTATAGGGGCCATGAGAGCCGATCGTCTCATCTCTGGGTGGTTCCGCTGGGACACCCCTCAGAAGACTCTTGGTTATGAACCCCAGTGTCAGCATCCCCCGCACTCATGGTTCACTGGTTCTTCCCTAGACCATGACCTCTTCTCCTCCTGTCTGCATGGCATAGGGCCAGGCACTTCCCACCTGCATGGCTTAGGGCCAGGCCCTTCTCTCGGGTGGGGAGGAAAGTGAGAGAGACCGAGCCCCTGGCCCTCTGCTCTTCTCCACCAGGCCTGAGATGGGGGTCTGGGCTCCTTTCTATGTGTTTGCAATCCAAGGTCCTTTTGGGAATTCACCTGTTTGGAAGATGAATCCTATCTCCAGTTTTGCCTTTGGGTTTCTCAGCTTGGAGACACATGTGCGCGGCGAGCTCCCGTCCCGGTTCCCCTGGGTCCTGCAGTGTGCACAGGAGCAGCCCTGGGATGGATCTTTCGAAGCACCTGCGTCGCAGCCAGAACAGGGTTTTTAAAAAATCAACTATACAGGTATTTAAGCAGGGACTAGGGTGGATTTTATGGCCCTCCGTGTGGCAGGCAGCAGGCTTGGCTGATTCTCAGGGCGGCGGGGTGGCCCTTGCTGCAGTTCAAGTCACAGTCTGTTGCGGCTGCATTCCATTTTTCCCAGAGAAAAGGCCAAATGTCAGGGGCCTCCTAGGTGCCTGGGAAGATGTCCAGCTGCCCAATGGACTAGTCTGACCCCGACAGGCTGAGAGCCTGTCATCGGGCTGGAGGCATCCAGGTGAAGTGGTCCACGGAGCTGGCATTTCGTTTACACTTATGTGAGGCCTTTCTTTGAGCCTCTTAGACAGTTAGTCCTGACAACATCTGGGTTGAAATACAGATGAGGTTGTGGCATAGCAAGTCCCCTGGCCCAGATATAGTCACGGTTTGCTGTTGATCCAGTTAGGAGACCTCCGCTTTGGCCATACAGCCTTCCCTTCTGAGCTGGGATGGTCCACCAACTTTTGGAGCCACAGCTGGTAAGGAGACTTCCTATCTGAGGATGCCCCCTTCTCTGGACCCCCAGATCCTGACACCAAGCCAGGCCAGGCCAGGCCATTTTGGTGTTGCAGAATGTGTGGTGGGGAGTAAGAGCAAATTTCTGTTCCAGAGGCAGGGAGGGGACACAGAGCACAATCCTGGCTGATATTCCCTGGGGTAATGTCCAGGCAGGACGGAGACCGGCCCCTTCCTCTCTTTCCCCTCACACCAGATGGCTATGGCCCTGCCAGACATTGGGGCTGTGGGCTGCTCAGGACCCTTTCCCCAGCACCCCGCATCACGACGCATCTAGAATGTCCAGGACACGATTCTCCTGCGGACTCCGATGGCCACCCCCATTCCCCCTGGGGCTGAGAGAGTTCCTTGCCGTGCAGATTTGTTTTACACTCAGGATGTATTCCTTGGTCAGAGATGGGAGACGGTTTTCTCATTTCTGTCTCTTTTTAAGAGAAAAAGTGGAAAAAGACATCCAAGCACTTTGTTCGTGGACCACTTTCCTGCCTGTGGAGTCGTCACCTGGCATCCTTGCTTCTGGGCTGGTAGAAACCAGACGCAACTCATTGCTCTGAGTTGGTGCGACTGCTTGAAAGGCCGGGGCAGGTGCTGATGTAGTTTCTTGGTGCAGAGTGATGCCCAGTAGATGTCCATGGAATGAATGAATAAGCAAAGAATGAACAAGTGATGTTTAATGAGTAGGGAGGAGGGGGTGCCTCTGTGGGGTGTTGGAGTTCCAGGCACAGAATCCACTGAAGGCCGGGCTCCCCTTTGTCAGAGGTGACGTCTGGATGGGCAGATTTGCCAAAGTTCTAGGGTCTGAACATAGAGGCCAGGACTTATTAAAATCTGCTCCTTTCCTTAAACTAGCACATTCTAGCTGTTATCCTGGTGCCATAGAAGGATGAAAAATATTTCTGAGAAATCAGACAACTTCCAGTGACTAAAGCTAGTCTAAAGAATGGTGTACACACACACATACACACACACACATACACACACACACTCTCTCTCTCTTTCTTTCCTGTTGGGTGTTTTCAGGCCATTTCTGTGGCTCTGTAGGCCAAATTCTAGACTCTAGTGAAAAACCCACAGACCTGAGTTCGTGGGCTGGCAAGCTACACGTTTGGCTCATCTGAGGTCCTGGAGGGTGCAACGTCTGGGCCACCATCCGGGTTCCTGGGCTCTCCTTTCCATCCTCACCAGGCTCCTTGGGATCCCCCAGTGCCTTCCTTTCCCATCCCAGGCTGCTGCTGCTCCTCTCATTCCCAGATGTTTCTATCTCTCTAGACAGGTTTGGGAGAAGGACTTCTTTGAAGTTCCTGCTTCCTTACTGACCTCAGAGACTCAAGAATGGTTCATTAAAATAATTTTGTCAAGGAGGTGGTGGGTGGAAGAGGTGGGGGTAACAAATCTGGGGAAGTTAGAGGAGTTTAAGAAATCTTGGCGGGGCATGGTGGCTCACGCCTATAATCTCAGCACTTTGGGAGGCCAAGGCAGGAGGATCACTTGATCCCAGAAGTTTGAGGCCAGCCTGGACGATATACCGGGACCCCATCTCTACAAAAGATTTTTAAAAATTAGCTGGGCACAACGATGCACACCTGTAGTCCCAGCTACTTGGGAGGCTGGGGCAGGAGGATCGCTTGAGCACAGGAGGTCGAGGCTGCAGTGAACTATGATCATGCCACTGCACTCCAGCCTGGGCGACACAGCAAGACCCTGTCTCAAAACAAAACAAAAAAAATGAACAAAAGCTTATGATATGATCACCGTCGTGGTACCCTTGTTTCTTAAGCCTTGTTCGAAGGATGACCTCTTTTCTTCTTAGGGGAACTTTGTACTATTTATGCCTGAAGCAATCAGGGAATCAGGTGTGTTGAAAATAGAATAGAAATGGTGGTATTTATTGAACTTTTTATTGTGTTGGGCACTTATGCTTAGTGCTTTAAAGATATAATAGGATCTAAATCTCACAAAATGCTGAGAATCAGATGCTGTTATTACCCTTGTTTAGAGAGGAGCAATCTAAGGCTCAGACCACACGGCAGATGTGCTGAGGAACCCAGGTTTCAGCCCAAGTCACCAACCCCAGCCTGGGCAGCCGCCACAGCTGCCCCTAGACCAGGCCCCAGATCCCTTGGGACTTCTGGCGTAACTTTTATGTGCATAACCTACAGGCCTGTGAGTCTTAAGTGGGTAATTTGCATGATGGGGACCTTAAGACTGGCAAAATCCTTTCCTAGGGGGTGGTATGAGTATGCTGTGGCTGCCATAACAAAGCACCACAAACAGGACGTAAACAGCAGAAACCAACTGACTCACAGCCCTGGAGCCCAGAAGTCTAAGCTCAAGACATCAATAGGGTTGGGCTCTCCCGAGGCCTCTCTCCTTGGCCTGCAGACGGTGTCTTCTTGCCCTGTCCTCACATGGCGTTTCCGCTGTGCACACGGCTCCCTGATGTCTCTCTGTGTCCTCATCTCCTCTTCTTGTGAGGACACCAGTCATATTGGATCAGGGCCCACACTGATAGCCTCATTTTAACTTAGTCACCTCTTTAAAGACTGCCGTCTCCAAATCCAGTCACATGCCGAGATGCTGGGAGTTAGGGCTTCAACATACACATTTTGCGGGGGACACAGTTCAGTCTGTGACAGTTCAGTCATTTGCTTCACATAGGCGGGGTCCCCTTAGGGTGGTTGCTTTTCTGCCTGTACACGTGTCTTAGACCCCTTGGGAAAAGCACAAGCCCAGAGCTGCCAGTGCAGGCGCCCCTGAGGTGCTCACGGCCCTGCGGCTTCCTGTCCCTTGACTTTTTGCCCCACCTGGAGCAGCAGACATTCTCTTCCGATTGCGGAAAGTTTTGAGGCCTCTTGTATAACATAAGACAAGGCTTCTGCATTGAAATTGTTCAAGAATTGGGTTCCAATTTCCCAGGAGCACGGAAAGCGTTGCCAGGAAAGCGGAGTTGCTGGCGATTTATGTCGGTTTTTCTGACATAACGAAGATTTCCCTTTGTTTTTTTGGAACCGACTGGAGCGTGCTTGCCAAAAGAGCGGCCTCAGGAGGAGCAGATCATTTTCTCTTGTTCTTCCTCCTTCTTTTTTTATTCCCTCTCAATTTATTTTCAGGTCAGAGCTTCATGAGGTCGCTGAAGCTGTGAAATCTGACAGACTCACCATCTGAGCAAACAGACTGTCCAGGAACAGGTTTTATTTGGCTCGCTGAGGAGATGTGACAGTCTGGGAAAATCCTCGGTCTCTGTATTTTGTCTTTGCCCAAAAGAGTTTGGTTCGGTTTGACAAATGTTAACCAAGCTCCCCCCTCCACGCCAGGGGCGATGCCAGGCACTGAGACCCGGTCCTGCCCGGAGCAGAGCAGAGCCGCTCACCCTTGAGGGGTGCCCTGTACAACTCCACAAATACGTGTCCACCGTCCTGCTGGTCGCCAGCGCGCACAGTTGCTAATCCGTTGAAATACCTCTGTGGCTGCTGGCGAGCGGGTGTCACCCGAGCTTCCAGTGCCCATGCTGCGCTGGCCTGCATCATTCTGAGTAGCGGCGTCTGTGCCAGACCAGTTGTTAAACATTCTGAATGTCACACCTGGTGGAGGGTGTGTGGATGAGAGGGGCTCGGTTGAGTACCAAGTGTTGGGGAAGGCCTTTTGGAGAGGTCAAGACCAGGCCAGATTTTGAGCAGGAGCTCAGCAGACAGGCCAGGGAGGAACAGGCAGATATTCACTGTCAGCGGCGGAAACCAGCTGTGCAAAGGCCCTGAGGCAGGGAGAGCAGGGTGGGTTTGGTGGGGTGGTGGCGGCAGAGGAGGGGGTGGGGTGGCGGGGAGAAGGGGCAGTGCCAGGGTGGAGAGAGAGGCTGGAGTAGGGGCAGTGGCAGCAGAGCAGGGGGTGGCGCTGGCAGAGGAGGGAGCTGGGAAGAAGAGCAGGACTCCCTTGGGGCTGGTGTTTGGTGCCAAAGGCCATGAAGAGTGAGCAGAGGGCTTTAATTTGACGGTGTATGAGGTCCTATTATATTAAATTTTATTTTTTTGAGACCGAGTTTTGTTCTTTCATCCAGGCTGGAGTGAAGTGGCACGATTTTGGCTCACTGCAACCTCCGCCTACCGGGTTCAAGTGATTCTCCTGCCTCAGCCTCCCGAGTAGCTGGGATTATAGGCGCCCGCCACCACGCACGGCTAATTTTTGTATTTTTAGTAGAGACGGGGTTTTGCCATGTTGACCAGGCTGGTCTCGAACTCCTGACCTCAGGCGATCCACCCGCCATGGCCTCCCAAAGTGCTGGGATTACAGACGTGAGTCACCGCCCCCGGCGGTCCCATTATATTTTTAAAGTATATATATTGATTTATATTCCACCTTTGTCTAGAATGGGTTTAGATTCCTGAGACATAGATAATATTGTGTCATGAGTTATATATTTAGGGTAAATTATAAGGAAACATAGATTACAGTCAGCTAATGTAAAAGTTTTTAGTGTAAAAAGTGAGCAAGAAGAAGATAGAATGAGGCAGGATCAAAACACAGAATGAGTGACAGGGAATGGGCTGCCCAGCCCGGGGGTGAGTCTCGAGCGGCCGGTGCCAAGAAGGTTGCACAATGGCTGGGCGCCGGGGAGAGGTGTGGAGAAAGGGGCTGAGGGCTTACACGGACAGGCACAGGCTCCACCGAGCAGCCGCGCTAAGGAGCTGTGGGGTGGGGAGCCGTGGGCCCGGGTGTGGGGGCTGCAGAAGACGGAGGGTTGCAGGGCGTTCGTTTACTGCCGTCTGCCTCAGCCATGAAGTCCCATAAATTGGGTGGCTTTACCCAACAGAAATGCACCCTCTCATAGTTCCCGAGGCCCGACCTCCAAGTCCAGGTACCGGCAGGGCCAGGCTTCCGCTGGGGCTCCAGGCGGATCCTTCCTCGCCCCTCCTAGCGTCTGCTATTCACTGCCTGCAGCTGCTTCACTCCCGTCCCTGCTCCATCTTCACGCGGCCTCCCCCAACCTGTGCGTCTCTGTTTTCACGTGGCCTTCTTGCAGAGACGTCAATCACATTGGATTGGGGCCCATCCTACTCCGTTATGACTTCATCTTAACTAGATGACATCGCAAAGCTCCTATTTCCAAATAAGGGCACATGCGTGGGTACAGGGGTTAGGACTTCAACATATCTTTTTGGGGAACACGGATTCATTTTTCTCACTTCCCTAACAAAATATAAACTGCAGGAGGCAGAAAACGTCGCCGACTTACTCACCATTGTGTTCCCAGCATCTCTGGCAGGATGCTGATCGGATAACCAGTGCCCGAAAAAATGTGGTTGTTGAATTTGCTCCCACTTTCTTCACCCCCTAACATCAGGTCAAATCCGGCCTAGAATTCCTAGTGGAAAGACAGGGACGACTCTTCCGCAACACCTCTCAGACCCGTCAGTGTGCTGAGGCGCAGCTTCCCAGAGGGAGGTGTCATCTGCAGCGCTTTGCTTACCCGTTTGACCACGACACCACCGCACCTCCCTGCCCTTTATCTTAGCAGGGCATCTCTGGAGAGAATGTTCCACGGAGCACACCTCGGGAAACACTAGTTTAGCTGCATTGCAGATTGGAGGCAGGGGCAGACTACCTTCTAGACAGAACTTTCCAACTCTTGAAAGATTTCTTCTGAAGAATTATGGCTATATCTCCTCCCCTGTAGCCTCCCCTGCTCTGCCCTCTGCTTTTGGTCTTAAAGCTATTTTAGATCTGAAATACCTTCCCTGGACCTACCATTTGCATTTGGACTTAGATTATTAGACATTTTCTTCTTATAAAAATCAGCAAGTTGTACCTACAAAGTGGGAGCAAATTCAACAACCACACTTTTTCAGGCACTGGTTGTGCGATTAGCATCCTGCCAGGGATGCTGGGAACACAGTGGTGAATAAGTTGGGGACATTTTCTGCCTCCTGAAGTTCATATTTTGTTGGGGGAGAGAGAAAAATAAATTCATGTACTAGTCTGCTCAGGCTGCTGTAACAAAATACCATAGACTGGGTGGCTTTAACAGAAGACATTGATTTCTAACAGTTCTGGAGGCTGGGAAGTCCAAGATTAAGGCACTGGCAGATTCGATTCCTGATGATGGCTCTGGCCTGGCTGCCAGGTGGCTGCCTTCTCATATGGTGGGAGCCTTTGCCTTCACCTTCTCCTCCTCCTCCTCCTCCTTCTTCTCCTCCTTCTCTCCTTCCCTCCTCCTCCTTCTTCTTCTCCTCCTCCTCCTTCTCTTCTTCCCTCCTCCTCCTCTTCCTTCTTCTTCTCCTCCTCCTCCTCTTCTTTCTCCCCTTTCCTCCTGCTCCTCCTCCTGCTCCTTCCTCTTGTTCTTGTTCTTTTCTTCCTCTTGTTCTCTCTCTCTCACTCTCTCCCTCCCTCCCTCTCTCCTTATGAAGCCATTAATATAATCATGAGGACACCTACCTTCATGACTTGTCTCATATTAATTAGCTTCTGAAGATCTCACCTCCAAATACCATAGCATTGGGGGTTGGGGCTTCAACCTATTAATTTTGGGGAAATACAATTCAGTCCATAGCAGTCAGTAAATAGATAAAGCGAATTTCCCTGGTGGGAAGTGCTGCAGAGGAAGAAGTGCTGGGAGGAGGGTGATGGTTGGGGAGGGAGGGGGTAGTCCCTGAGGAGGCAGCAGTTTAAGCTGAGATGGGAAGGAAGAGAGGAAGGTGGCCAGTGGAGGGCCAGGAAAGGAGGATTTTGGGTGAAGAGAACGGCTACAGCAAACAGATGGGAAAGACTGAAGCATGTCCCGGGACTGAAGGAAGTGGGGGCTGGAGTCCAGAGATTGCAGAGCATGCTGGTACTGGAGGGTGGGGGAGGTGGCAGGAGTCCCATTCGGGGCATGGTGGGGGCTGTAGGAGGACAGAGGAGTCCATGGATGTATTCTGAGGTCCTGTTGGTCTAGGAGCTGGTTGGGTGACTCCTGCTGCCATCTAGGCAAGACATGGCAGCCACTTAGATGAGGATCTGGGAGGGGAGAAGAAGAGAAGAGGACAGCTTGGGGATGTCCCTCAGAGTTAGAACCAACAGAGTTTGTAGGTTTTCAGCTTCAGTACCTAGGTCACCAGCAGTGTCATCTACCGAGAAGGCAAAGCCTGGGGAAAAACAGGTTTGAGGAGGCAAATAAAAAAATCTCTGTTGCACACGTTACATGTGGGATGCTCTTTATACAGCCAAATGGGGAGGCCACATAGGCTAGCAGATCCTGGGCCAGGAGCTCCCAGAAGGACCTAGGCTTGAGACCTGAGTTTGTAAGTCATCAACAACATCTGGCAGGGCTCAGGCACTTAGAGGGCAGGGGAAGGAGGAGGAGATGGTGATGGGGCAGAGGAGAAGGGGGAACCAGTTGTTGCAGGAAGATGGACAGCCCATGAGGTTTCCCAGAGGGCCTGGCCACTGAGAAGCTGAGATAAGAGAATGGCGTCATTGGATTTGGTGACCTAGAGGTTCAGAGTGGCCAGCGGGAAGTTTTGTAGTGAATATAGAGGAGACGAAAAAGAATGGGGATGGGAATGGAGGAAGGAGAGAGGGCTGGAGGAAGAAAGGAAGAGAAACTAATTTTGACTGGGCAACTATGCAGAAGAAAGCCCGCTTTAGGAGTGAGGTCCTGGAGGAGGGGACAGGAGATGGGATCCAGGGCGCAGCTGGAGGGATTCTACCTGGAGCAGGTGGGGGTGCTTATTTCATGGCCATAGGAGGGAAGAGAGAGGAGACAGCTGCACCTTGTTGGAGTCCATGTCAGCTGATTGGAAGAATCCAGAAAAGGGAGATGGGTCCGTGGATAGGTGGAAGCCCTAGGTCAAAATATCTGACTGCAGAAAAGACCAGTCAGGGAAATAATGATTTTTCTTTCAACCTGGTAAAATAGTTTTCTTCTGTCAAAGAGCAAGTGGCCTTTAAGGCATGTTTATCTATTCCCTTACATTGTGAAAGAGTAAAGCAGTCTTAAGACTGGGTGTGAAATGGAGAAGAACGCAGCACTGGCTTAAACTTGACTGTGCCATTGGCGCTTGCTGGCAGCAGCTGAGCCTCAGGCACCCTGAGCAAGCACAAGGCGGAGAAATGAGACCTGCTGGTGCTTACACCAGAACTGACTGGCAACTGGGAGGGGCTGAGCCTGGGATCTGGGGCCACTTGAGCTTGACCTCATACCTGTTTATGTCCTAATTGCTTGCTTCCAGTTCAGCCCCTCTTCTCTGAGACCATCCTCTCCGAGGGGTCTTTTCTCTCTGGCCCTTTGATGCTCTACAAATCGTCTCCTTTCTAGTGGTTCCCTCTTCTTCTCCCAGGGCAACAGCATCACAGGGGCATCCCTGGCTCCTGGGGCTGTAGCTGTTGGCCTTGGCCCATGCTTAGGGCCTTCCCACCCTCAGTGTCTCATCTCAGGTGGGCTGGCTATGCACCACCCCGGGATCTACAGTGTGGGACAAGGCACACACACTTTTGATTGATAAACAGGGTGTGTCATTTAAAGAAGTTGAGACAGATTTTTCTGGTCCCTGGTCAACACTGACTTAGAAAGATCTAAGAAAATCTATAGATCAGATTTTACTGCTTTCAAGATAAACGTGCTTACATTTTCGACACAGAGCATCAGTAACCTCTGAAAATGAAATGCTTCCCCTCTTTCCCATGTTCTGGATGGATTTGGTAGAACTTGCATCAGGCTGCAAAGTGCATGAAGTTGAAGCTGACTCCTTGCTTAAAGAGAAAACCTTAAATATTAAATGTCCATTTGTCTGTTAAGTAAACAGTTGCATTCTTTCAGAAGTCCTGATGCTAACAACATCTGCGACACGGGACGGTCAGCTTCCCAAATGGCTGTGTTAGCCCCATGTTCAGGGCCTGGACTTTTCCTGAATAATAGGTAAAGCCAAGGGAAGGAAAGTTTTACTTCCTTTCTGGGCTAAATTGTCATCTGGGAAGCATCATAGGCTCAGTTTAGAGGAACATGGCATTGTCCTTTACCCAGGTGACTGTATTTGCTATTTTACATTGGCTTGATTAGATCAAGGCAGGACATTTGTTATCGCTGACTCTCAGCCTGGAAGCAGCATCTAATATGTAAGCAGTTGACTCCTGCTGGATGGGCACATAAACTGGGTGTCATGTTATTAAGATGTGGTGAAAGGTAGACACCTTCCCTGTGCTTGGAATGCCCCAGTCCCCACACGGGGCACCCCCTTACCCATAGCACTGTCTCATCAGAAGTTGGCTGGAGTGTTGGGAATTGGAAGGGCAGGGAGGTTGTTGGTAGGGCTGGTAAATCTATGGCATGGAAAAGGTGGAAGAGTTATCTCTGCTTCCTAGGGACGAAGGCCTCTCCCGGGGCTGGGAAGTTCCTGTCCCTTGTACTCAGGGTCTCTCTTCCCTGGACAGTGCTAGACAAATAGGACTCCTTTAACTCCTTAGGAAGTTCCCTGTCTTTAAGCATTGTCTTTCTTTAAACAGGCTTCAATGCAACCAATTAGGTTCTTACTTGCTGAATTCTTCTTCTTCTTCTTCTGCTTCTCTGAGATCTGAGGGGGATTTGAATGATCTTGACTCTGTTCCCAACCAGCCTCTTGGTTTAATTCCAGGATTCATTCATTCAACAAATATTTGAGTATCTGCTGCATGCTGGGAACCATGTTCCTTGCAAGGCATACGGCAAAGAACAAGGTAGATAAGTTCCTCGCATTTATTGTGTGTCTATTTGTCTATTTTAACCCAGAACATCTTCTGAGAGGATCAGTTTTACCAGGCAAGGGCAACTTTTGATGGTTTCCCCAATAGCATTCCCGTCTTATTTCTTGCCGACAGGACCTTGACTGTGTTCAGGTGTCAGTGGCCAAATTCTTGGGGAGATGCCAGGGCCCTCTCCAGTCCCAGGGGATAAACCTAGATCCGTCTAAGCCCATCATGGTCAGTGATTGGTTTAGGGGCGGCCTGTAACTCAGTTATTGCCAGTGAGATGGCTAGGCACTTCTAGGACAATTTCCTGGCTCTTAAAAAAGGGTGTATGATTTCTGTCTTCTGGACTTTGGAAAATGTGATGGTTATGGGAGGCCGCTATGGTCACCTTGCAGCCATGTGGGTCCAGCCCAAGGTCATAGCATGGTTGAGCCGAGAGAAGGAACCCAGCTGACATCAACCCTACCTCCAGACTTCTTGTGACATGAGATGGTACATTTTCCTTCTTCTTTAAGGTAATTTAGGTTGGATTTTCTGTAATTTTGCAGCCCAAAATATCCTACTTGAAAGCAAAAGACATCTGCCCTCGTATTCATGCAGCGGTGTGGTCGCTTTAGCCTTTCTCCAGGCTCATTGTGTTGTGCTCAGTTTTGTACACAAGTACGTTCTTTTCTAAATGGCAAGACGCTTAAGATGCTTGGATTTCCTCTTCCACCGCCTCTCTCCAGCACAGCACTGAGCTTAATATCTTGTATGTCGTGGGATATCAATAAACGCTTATTGAGTTGAATTTGAGTTTTACGGACATGAGTTTAAATTTGGTGACTACCCACGGGCTTCTGAGAAATTATTGAAAGCCAATCTATGGCCCAAAGAGAGGACGGCCTGATCAAGGCATGTGCTGTTGGGCCAGGCAGACCACGATGGGGATGAACGTGCCCTGTGTGAGGTGCCAGAGAAAATCCATCATGCATCCCGAGCTCTGTTTTTTATTGAAAAATCCATTTATAAATAATCTGGACAAATAAAGTAAAAGGCACTTTATTGGGATTCAGAAAAATTCATGGCTACTGAACATCCGGCCAATTCAGCTCCCAGCTCCCAATTAGCCTGCCAGGGCCTCTCTCAGTGGCAGGGGCCCTGCCAGCCACTCGAAAGGCTGCCCTGGGACTATGAGTCATTTTCTTATTTCTTAGCATGCTGGGCGTGAAAATCTTCTTTCTCTTTCTTATTACATGCTAGCACTTACCGGGTGCTTTGGCCAAGCAGATATATCAGCATGTTTTTGTGCAGATAATTGACAGTGGAGCAGGAAGACACTCTCCTCTAAGTTGCTCCCTCTCTTTGTTCACTCGCTTGCTCGAGAACCCAGGGACGGTGGGAGGAATGGCCAAGCTGGACGCAGGCCTGGCCTCCGCAGAGCTGGCGAGCAGGAAAGGCAAGTTTCAGACACCTCCTGCCATGCCCTTGACCCTGCTGGGCCCCCGGTATCCTAGGAGTGTTTTCCCATTTCCGGCCATGTCTTTATTTTATGATTGTTCCCTTAACCCAAAGGCAACTGGGAAAGATTGTCATCCTTCACCACGAAGAGGCCGTTGTCATTTAGTGAGTACCTACTGCATGCCACATGCTATGCAGAAGGTGGTTGTTGCTTCGTCTCACCTAGCCCTCCCAGAGACCCTCCAAGGACAAATATGAGACTCAGAGATGTTAACTGACTTGCCCAGGGTCACACAGCTTGTAAGTGGTGGAACCAGAATTAGAAAATGCAATTCCTTTTTTTGGAGCCTCACCTCCTTCCATCGGGATCACAGTGATCATATTTTCCAAACTGAAAATGGGATGCAGGGGGCCTGGCACGGGGCAACGGGGCAATCAGTAGTTGCTGGGAGAATAAACACACGAATTGAGCCAAGGGTCAGCCAACGGGACAGGTCTTTTGTCAGCGGACCGTTTGGGCCATCTGGTCCCAGGGACCACAGGGTCTGTCTGCCTCTCCGTAGGGTGGGCTGTGGGTAGTGGGGTGCCCGTGAGGGGAGAGGAACAAGAGAGCCTGGACAGCAGGCTCTGGGGGTGCTGTGGCCTCTGAGAGTGGAGTGGGAACAGGGGACTGGCAGAGGAGCTGGTAGCGAGGGCTTGTGTGTGGCTGCTAACTGGATCCATTTGCCAAATCAGCAAAGTTTGGAGCTGAGACTCCAGACTTACCCTGGGCCTAACTTGGGAAAATATTACGCAGTACAAAATAAAATTAAACAGTATTAACCACAGGCCCAAATTGCACCTATATTTTAAAAAGCATTGTGCAGCTGAGACTTATAAAGCCCGGCACCAGCGTGAGGCCATCTTGGTTAATGAGAGCTCTGCGCCTGCTACTCCTTGCCGCGGCCTCTGGTTCACGTCCTCTCGCCCTCCTCCGCTGGGGATGTGCGGGGCCTCCGGTGAGCCGCAGCTCCCTCGGAAGGATGCACCCTTTGCTCTCTGGAGCAGGACGGGCTTTTCTGAGAGGCGGGGCCCGAAGTGTCCGGAGCCGCCAGCCTCAGGGGCTGCACTGGCCTCTCCTTTCCTCTGCCCACACAGAGAACAGCAGCATCAGATGGGGGCGGGCTCAAAAGGGCTTCATAGGCGCCCCGACATCGCAGCTACGGAGGGGCCAGAAAGGAGGCGTGGATATTGTACTGCACTTTCTGGACTTTCACGGGAATTCATGAAGGAGCCTGAATATGCAGCAGCCACATCTGGGTTTATTTCAGCTTGGACACTAATTCATGTTGGGTCCCGTAGTAAATCATTTTTCATTCAGTTACTTGTTTTTCCTCACTTGAAAAATGGGCGTGATACTGGTGGTCGCTGTTGTCTTCCCGCAGCGATAGAATGAGGCTCTGCAGTGATTTCTTTTCCTTCCAAAGTCGAAAGCTCCTCTGGCTTTGCACAACCTTTTGAGCACGACCTTCTCTCTCATCACGGTGATGCCTGTTGCCCCCTAGTGGTCACCAGCAAAGGGAGTGGTTGAGCCGACGATCCCAGGTTGCAACTCAGACCCAGGCCTGGCCCTGAACCCAGGTCTTCCTGCTGGTTCCGAGGCATCTCTGGGCAGGGTGGGTTATAGGGAGGGGACCAGAGAGGGAGTCCTCCCAGTCGCCTCCACCAGGCAGCCCTCCAGCTTGTCAAACTGTCGCCAGCAGTGTTTTCTCAGCATGGAGATTGTGTGTGAGTGTTAAGTCTAGAAAAATCACTCAGGCAAGGCAAAGACTTGCTTTGGTGCAGGGGACTGGAAAGCAGATGTGCTTTTTCTGGCTCTGAACACTGAGGGGAAGTGAGCTTTGGAAGAGAGGCGCTGACTTGGTGTGTGTTTTGGGGCAAGAGGAAGTTTAAAGAGGGACAGTCTGAGCTTGCTCTTTGCAGGGGCTTGCTTGGAGGCCCACAGGCTGGCTGAGCATGAGAGAGAGTGTGCCAGTCAGAGCCCGCAGACTGATGGCTTGCTTAGGAGTATGGACTGGAGCGAGCCTCCCCCTCCTCCTCCTCTCCTCAAACAAGGTCATCAGTGACAAATGCACAGGAGATGGTAAAGGTGGATTGGGGAGGATTTGGACGTGTTTCTTCTGACCTTGATGGGGCCATGTCCCCTCTATTTGTAATCTTGAGCTAGAACAACTGACAAATGGCCTGATAGGTGACAAAAGCAAACAATAGACTCACTTGAAAGATACAGTGAATAGAATTTAATTGAATTTTTTTTGGTACAGACATTGATTTCACCCTGTAAGATGTATGGAGTAAATCATTAGGGGAATTAATATACATTAAAATGTAGTTTATTATCATGAAACTTTTATTGTGCTTGTAGTTGTGTTTTTAATTATTATTTTAATGACTTTCTATATTTCAAATCGTGATAAATCTATTTTTTAAAAATAAACGGACTATAGTTTTACAAGGTGATGTGTAGTGCAGAGCTGTTGATGAATATTGCTCCTTCATTAATGAGAACCAACAGATTAGAAAGACTAAAAATGGACCGATTTACGCACTTTTTAAAAAGCCAATTAATATCTAACCATTAAACACAAATGTTATAGATTAGTCTCACTATCTTATCTACTCTCTGGGCTCCTATTGGATCATTCAGAGATTGACTCTTTAAACCAAGTAAGTGAAGGAGGCTCTAAAAGTGGAAATGCCTGGGACCAATTAAAACAAAGGATTTGGGCCATAATGTGCTGAAAATACCCGTGTCCTCCTGCCTGGGGGGCCATTATCCAAATGAGCAAAGAGGACGGAGGTGTTTGTCCAAGCTGTCTTTGAGGGATGAAGCAGAGGTTGGCTCTGCTGGTAGGATCAGGGTTTTGGGTGATTTCCCCAGTGGTGAAGATGGACTCGTACTGGCTTTTCTGCATTGCATCTCCTGAGCCTTCTTGGAATCAAGGGCAAATGCTTGTTCTGTGCTTTGTGGGGCTTTGTGGGTACCCCGCTCTACATGGAAATCAGCCCTATGACCACTCTCAATGCTGACCTATCCCAGCTGAGCTGAACGACACGTGGTTTTACTGTCATGGCAATATGTCCTCAGTTTTCCAATTCAAACATCTTATTTCAGATACTTGGTTCCATTAGCCACATGGGGGCTTATACCATCTTCCTCCCTGGCTGTGTGCTGGTTGGCTATTTCTGACTTTTGAGGTTGTCAGGCAACATGTCTGGGCAGCCAGAGGCAGGGGAGTATGGATGCGAGGTGTGTGGGCTCCGGAGGCACGCATCCCAAATCTGAAACCTGGCACCAGCATTTATTGTGCGACCTTGAACAGATTTACTTGCTCATTCATTCATTTATCCATTCATTTCTTCATTCAATATTTATGAAATCTGGGTGCTGTTCTAGGGATTGGAGATATAGCAGTGATCAAAATGGAGAAAAATCTCTGCATTCCAGTGAGGACTAGAGAAAGGCATTCAACAAATAGTATAGCAAGATGCAGAGTACACTGCAGAACGTCAGGCAGGACTATCGACTGTGGAGAAAAAAGAAAGTGGGGTGGAGGGCCAGGCAGTGTGTCAGGGGATGTTGCTATTTCACAGGGTGGTTAGGGAGGCCTTACCCAGAAGGGACCATTTGAGCTGTGACCCAGAGGAAGTGAGGGAGTGAACCGAGTAGGATTCTGAGGGAAGAGTTTCTTCTAGGCACAAGGGATGCAGGTGCAGAAGCCCTGGGGCAGGAGCCTGCTGTCTGTTCAGGGAGTAGCAAGGGGACTGTGTGGCTGAGTGGAAGGAGTAGATCAGAGGAATCCTGGGGCCAGATCATGCAGGACAGATAGGTCATTGGGAGGACCTTGGCTTTGAGTCTGGGTGAGATGGGCACTCCTTTAAAGGGTCCCCCTGACTAGTGTGAAGAAGCAAGAGTGTAGGCAGGGAGATCCAAAAGGCAGATGCAGTCATCTAGATGGGAGGAGGTGCTGGTAGCTTGAACCAAGGCGGCAGCAATTAAGATGGGAGAAGTGTTGGATTTTGGCCATATTTTGAAGGTAGAGTGAACAGATTTGCTTCTAATGTTTCCAAAGGAAAGGGGACAAGGATCAGTCTCAGATGTCTGGCCAGAGTCACTGGCAGGGTGGTGCTGTCATCTACTGAGGTGGGGGGAAGCTACAGAAAGAAGGGGTGTGAGTGTGGGTGTGATGGTAGGTTCATGTGTGAAGCATGTAAAGTTTAAGATCCTAGAAGATATTTGGATGGAATTGTTTAATAGGCAGCTGGATATAGGAGCCTGGAGTTCAGAGGGAGAAGTTTAGGCTGAAAACATAAATTTTGGGGTAGTCAGTGCAGAGATGACGTTTAAAGTTCTGAGTCTGGGTGAGATGACTGGGGAGGGAGTGGAGATGGTGAACAAGGCCCAGGGGAGATTTGGGGCAATCTGATGTTTAGAGGACAGGGGGATGAGGAAGAACCAGCAAAGGAAACTGAGAAGCAACAGCCAGAGAAAGCAGAAGGTCAAGAGAGAGTGAGCTTGTTAGAGGCTAAGTGAAGATGACGTTTCAATGAGGAGAGAGGGTTATCAAAAGATGCTGGTAGGGCAAGTAAAATTAAGATTAAGAATTTGCCATGGGCTTTGGCAATGTGGAAATCATTGATGACCTTGACAACAGTTGTCTTGATGGAATAGTGGAGGTAAAAATCTGATAGGAATGGGCTTGGGAGAGAATGGAAGGAGAGAACTTGGAGGCAGGCAATATAAACACTCTGCAAAGGAAGTTTGCTTTGAAGGGGAGTATAAGGATGGAATAGTAACGTTTCTTAACTCTTAAAATTCTATTTCCTGATCTGTAAAATGGAGACAAAGACAACACCTCTATCACAGAGTTACCAGGAAGATTAAATGAGATGTTATTGGAAACTCAGTGCTCAACACATAGTAAGGGCTTAAAAGGTTTGCTGGTACTGACTGCTGCCTGTCTGATTGAGGAGTGGGCAGGAGGATCTGCCCTGGTGTTTCTGTGTCCTGGGTTTTTGAAGGTAATCTCTGTTACTTTACCCTCCTGGGGTTGGAAGTCAATCACAAGTTTGGGTAAATTCCCCATTTTGGCAGTTGTGAAATGACAGAAAGATCAGAAAGTCAGAAATCCCACACTCCTGCTAAGTGGTGGCTTATCTGTATGGCTGTGCAAATGAAGCACGCTGCTTCCCTCATTCCTGTATTCAGTTTTATTGCTTGTCTTGCAAAATGGCACATTTCAAGATTAAAGCCATTTTGACTTTGAGTTACTGTCTTTGAAGTATAGGATTTCCTAATTATAAAAACACATACTAATTGTAGAAAAATAGGAAAATAGAAGAAAATATGCAGAAAAGAAATTTATCTAAGGCCTCCTACCCAAATCCAACTGCTGTTAATGTTTTAGTGAATTTGCTTCCAATACTTTTATGAACTCTTTAAAAACATATTTGAGATAATACTGTTATATAGTGTTGTATCTTGCTTTTTCTCCTCAATGTTGTTAGTGTAAGCATTAAGTTCTTCATTAATGTTTTTAATGGCTATGTGCCAGGGAATCTTTACATTTTCCATCTCAACTTATATCCAAGTGAAATGGTAGGAATAGTTAACCCTTTTATAGCATTCACTGGATTCCAGGCCCTGTTTTAAGTACTTTACATAAATTAGCTCATTTAATTCTCATAACTACCTTCTCACATAGGAACGATCATTATTCCCAGTTTACAGTTAGAGCCTTTAACACACATTAAAGCCTTTCATTGGGTGTGAGGACCAAGGATGAAGGGACAGACACCCTTTAGCAGACAGTGTTGCCTTCCATGTGAGGGCTCTGGTGAGCTGGCATGCAGTCATGTTCTTCTTGAAACCCCTGTGGAGCTGGAAGTAGAGCTGGAGACATGCCTCCTACTTCAACTTTTCAGGAAAAATATCCAAACAGTTTTGGTAACTGTTAAGTGAAAACAATAACAACCTATTCCCAGCTCTCCCTTCACAATCTCTTTGTGGTTCTTATTCTGTATTTCTCTTGATTTACATCTTGTGTTCTCTCCTACCGCTGATTCTTGGTCACAACTTTGGTCATAATTCCTGCAAAAAGTGGTCGGGAGTCTTCAGTGTCCAAGGGTAGAAAGAAGAAACTGGGCCCTAGAGCAATGGTTTGCCAAAGCTATGTCCTTAGCAAGTCGTCAGAAATGTTAGTTCATGTTATAACCCAGAACACATATACATATATTCATTTATGATGATAATATCTGGACAGAAGTTTCAGGAAACAATGTTACCTATGGTGCACTTTGATACTTTCCACTCCACTCCGTTCCATTTGATTAAAACAATACCAATTTCCACTTTAAATTGGTTTCAGGACTCACTGGTTACCACAAACTGCAGAAGTCAAATTGCTGCCCTGGAGCACAGCGTTGGTTCAGCACCAAGGACAGCAGCCCATCGCTCCCTTCCCGGCCCTGTGCTCTTCCTTCCCTGCTGTCACATTTTGGTTCCTTATTCTGACTTCTCCAGCCTGTGTTGACCTGGCTCTTCTTTGACTTCCCGTGGTGCACTTTCAATCTCAGTGATTTTTTTTTTTTTTTTTTGAGACGGAGTCTTGCTCTGTCATCCAGGCTGGAGTGCAGTGGCACTCTCTCTGCTTACTGAAACCTCCACCTCCGGAGTTCAAGTGATTCTTGTGCCTCAGCCTTCCGAGTAGTTGGGATTACAGGTGTGTGCCACCACGCCCGGCTAATTTTTGTATTTTTAGTAGAGACGGGGTTTCGTCATGTTGGCCAGGCTGGTCTTGAACTCCTGATCTCAGGCGATCCACACACCTCGGCCTCCCAAAGTGCTGGGATTATAGGTGTAAACCACCACGCCCGGCCCAATCTCAGTGATTTTAGACCCTAACTTAGGTGCCTGGTCTTCGTAGATCATAAGCTTATTGGAGAGAAGACCTAGGTTTTCACTATGGCTTATGTTCCCTTTAATGCTTGACCCAGATCTCCAGGGAATTAGTGGAACTTTAAAGATGAGGATAAGGATAATGCATCAGGGTTCCTCTCCTGGGAGTGTTGCTGGCTGCAGATCTGCTGGGACTGACTTTGTAGACTGTCATCACGTTGGACAAGAAGGGCCTCGTTTTATTGGAACCTCTTTCTTTTTCACAGGACTGGAAAAAAAATTTAGTCCTCCTCCTCTTGCTATTGCTCTGTTGTAACCCTTTGAAAAGCAAGCTCCCTTTTTATGGCTTTGACATTATTGCATCGCTGAATCACAAGGTTTTCAGGAAGATATATTTGATTGTGTTTTTTCCCTGCAGCCCATGCTGCTCTTCAGGTGACACAATATGAGCTTTTGCGCTCCTTATCTTTCATCTTACTCCTTGATAACATTAACGAGCAAGAGAAGAGGAATAAGATATCTCTTCTTTTCTTTCTAATAAAATCTGAGGTTCTAAGGATAGGGCCCATCTGGTTAAAGGGAAGACTGATATAGACTTATCAGTGGTCAGTTTTTTTGACACATCCACCAATTTTAGTTTGAACTAAGTCCTCACGTGGACCCAGGCTCATGTCTTTGGGAATGGGGCACTGGCGTGATTGATTAATAATATGTGAGTGTTGGAGCCCAGTCCCATTCTGCTTTCCCAAGCAGTGGCAACATAGCAGCGGGTCTTCTGAGTCATGTGTCAGCTAGGAGGGCTGTGTTCATGCATATGTTAAGGTCTTCTGAGACCGACCTCTACTCCTCTTCAAAGCAGGGTAGAACAATTACCTCTGTAAAATTCATGAATTCTCCTCCTGTTTACTCTTCAATTCCAAATGCTCAAAGCTGGGTTGCTTGTTTGTCATGTGGGATTCATGATCACAGGTGTTAGCAAATAAAGGTGGTGACTAATCTGAACTTGTCTTATGAAGGCAGGTTATGAAATTCAAACACTATTGAAATCCAAACACCTTTCATCTATTAATGGCCACCAGTGGCCTATAATCAAGTCACACTCTGTTAGCTACACAATTACCTTGTTTGTTTGAAGTGTGAATTAAGGATTTGAGGCATTTGCTAATGAATCTTACTTGCTCCCTACTTTGGCTGAAATCCCTGTGTTTTCCAAATGCAGGCAGTTCTGGAATTTAAGGAAAGGTTTTTTTTTTTTTTTTTTTTGGATCCTATTTTCTCCCTGTATGAAAGAAGCTTCTGTTTTGCTTTTGCACAGATGGAAAGAAGCAGGCTCTCACACCCTCCTTTCCCACTGGACTCTGCCTTGATTTCATTCTCAGTTTTGTAACTCGTGGAAAGTGCCTCCCCGTTGCTGCAGTTCTAATGGCTCTCTCTGCTTGAGTGTTGTACCCCTTGTATGGGAGCAGAGGGGAGTGGTGGAGTCTCCCCGTTTGCCAGCCTCCTTTGATTCTCTCTTTGTGACTCTTCTCTGGAACGAGTTTCTTTTGTAGATAATGGGATTCCATTATGGGTGTTAGGGCTTCTCTGGAGCTGTCAGCTGTGAGGGAAGATAGGAGGTTTTGATCAATGGTTTCTGCTTGTATCTTGGATGTGTTAATTTTAAGATGGCTGGCTTCTGTTTTTATTAGTTTTATTGGGTTTGTGTTGGGGGAAGGGTTAGGATGAGCATCGGTGTTTTTCTGCAAGGAAACGTGGTTGCTCGGAGTTAGGTGGCTCTGCTGTACTTGGAGGCTGGAAGGGCCTGGAGCGAGGCAAAATGCCCACTTCTGCTGTGTTCCTGTAGGCACCAGAGCTGTTGTCTGCTACCATGAAAGCCTTTTCTGACTTCTTTGAATGACTTACGACCCATTTCCAAAGGGCTGTATTGGTTAATGTTCTAAAGCAGAGGTGTTAGTGGAGCTTTTCAGCATTGTGGGTGGGGTTATTTATGGGTGGGAAGAGCTTGCGTGCACACACACACACACACATACACACACTCTGATATAAATTCCTGATTTATTTAGCCATGGATTCAGAATTTATCTCAAAGGGACGTGGCTACACAAAGACCAAGTGGATGCAGCATATTTTTGCATAGCTTATCCCTTGTCCTTAGTTCTTAATGGGAGTTGGCAGTGTGTGGCTGTCAGTGACACTTTCTACGCACATAGAATCCTGCCAAGGTTGAAGAAGAAGCCAAATTCTTGCAACACTACTTCTGTTTTATATTCAGGTTTATATCACTGTTCTGGAAGGACTTATAACAACAATCTGTGCTCTTTTAGGCTCTTCTGATTCTTGAACTGAACCTTCAGATCAGCAAGTCTGCATCTTCATCTGGGGGTAGAGGTGAAGGAGGGTTGGTGTTAAGGAAGGCAGAATCGGTATTGAGTCGTCTTCAGACACTCTCTCTCCCTCTCACTTTTTGTTATTTGAGAAAATCTGTATCTCTACGGGCTTACGATAGCCTGTCTCTGAGACAACAATGACACCCTCAAAGTTTTAACCCTGTTTCTTTAGGCTGGCTATGTCCTTCATTGAAAGATTGCTGACCTCTCAAAGAATAAAATAAAAGTCTAAAAATTTATGATGAGACTTTTGCCACTGGCTGTGATGGAATAACTAGGACTAGATTCATCCTCTTGCTACAAACAATGATAAAACTGGATAAAACCTGTGAAATAAATATTTTCAGCTATTAGATGATCGTCAGAGTAGGACTGTGGTTGCTAAGAGAAGACTGTAAACCATACAATCACTTTGTATTTCTGCATGGAGGCATTTCAAGACTGTATCTTCAGGGAGGTATTCCAAGAAGAGTACAGTGATCTTGTTGAGCTGAGGAGACAGATATCAGAGTTTGGAGAGGTTGATACATCTAGAATTTGCAGGGCAGAATATCATACAGGAGAAGGCCTGGCAAAGAAAGTGCTCTAGAAACTTTTATGGCTCTCCTGGGATGTTCTGTTGACTACTAAACCATTGATGAGTGAGGTGAAACCCCACAAAACTGGACAAAGTGCACATAGGGGCTATAAAATTCACAGAGCTCATACAGGACTCGGAGGTATTTGCATTCTGACCAGCCCGACTGGGGAGCTGTCCTTGAATATTTGGGACATTCAGTAGAGACTCCGGAAGGAAGAAGCAATAATAGTAGGGTAACAACATTTCTGGAGTAAAACGTGCTGTAGACCCACCTTTACAGAGATTAAAAATAAGCCTTGAGAGGGTCAGGCTGATCCACAAGTAACTTAAATAACTGCCAGAGTAAAGCCTAAAGCCTAATGCTCTTTAGTTAAAGATATAATTGCTGACAGTTTTCCAAACTTGACAAAAGCTATAAACTCACTGACCTGAGAAGCTCAACACACCCCAAGCAAGGTAAATACAAAGAAACCACAGAATGGCACACACAGTATGATCAGATTTCTTCAAATTAGTGATAAAGATTTTTTTTTTCTTTTTTAAAGACAGAATCTCACTCTGTCATCCAGGCTGGAGTGCAGTGGTCAGTCTTGGCTCACTGCAACCTCCACCTCCCAGGTTCAAGCGATTCTTGTGCCTCAGCCTCCCAAGTAGCTGGAATTACAGGCACACACCATCACGCCTGGCTAATTTTTTTTTTTTTTAAGTAGAAATGGGTTTCACCATGTTGGCCAGGTTGGTCTCAAACTCCTAACCTCAAGCGATCCTCCCACCTCGGCCTCCCAAAGTGCTGGAATTACAGGCATGAGCCACAGTGCCCAGCAAGAAAAAATCTTAAACTCAGCTAGAAGAGGGGAAAAAGACAAATTATAGACAAAGATAAGAATTTTTGCAGACTTCTCATCAGAAATCATGCAAGCTAGAAGACAATGGAATGGGATCTCTTGAGTGCCGAAAGGGGGAACAGTCTGTCAGTGTAAAATTCCGTATAGAGTAAATTATCCTTACATGGTCCTGGAAATTGTTTTACATCTTGAATATGGTGATAGATACATAATACATTTATGTGTTAACATCTACTGGACTTTACATTTAAAATGGGGTACATTTTATTGTATGTAAATTATATCTCCATGATGCTGATTGAAAATAGGTTTTAATCCCTGAAATATGGGATAACACAATTGTAGTAAATGAAGTAATACCTATAGATTCATGGCACACATTAGAGGAAACTGAGGCACAGAGCTATCATGTGACTTCCCCCAAATCATACAACCAAAGGGAGATGGATTAACTTTTTCTATTCTAAAAGAAATGTTTTTTTAATCTCTCAAAATAGGTGGATTCAGGTCTTCTCACAAACTAAAAGGTAGGACATATATTCCTCCAGTGCCTTTCAAACTATGATCTGGCTGGCATCTAGGAAACTTGCTATAAAGACCTCAATACGGCAATTTGATATCTCCTCCCAAATACATGCTGCTTCTCTTTCAGGTATTTTTTCATTCTCCCTCTACCTTTTAGTGTGTTTTCTAGGATTACACATCAGTGAGATTGTAAACATCTTCAGCACTGTGGATTTATTATTATTATTATTATTTGAGACAGAGTTTTGCTCTGTCACTCAGGCTGGAGTGTAATGGCACGATCTTGGCTCACTGCAACCTCTGCCTTCCAGGTTCAAGCGATTCTCCTGCCTCAGCCTCCCAAATAGCTGGGATTACAGGTGACCACCACCATGCCAGGCTAATTTTTGTATTTTTAATAGAGATGGGGTTTCACCATGTTGGCCAGGCTGGTGGATTATTCTTATATCAGTCAGGATCCTCTCAGGAGACAGAAGCATGTTTGGTTATTTGAACAGAAAATTTAATATATAAAGACTTTCTAGCTAGTAGAAGGGTGGTTGATTACTAATGGAGATAAAAGAGAATTCTAAGTGTTTCCAAAATATCAGGGGTAAAGCAGCAGCTGCTATCTCTAGGCTGAGGAAAAGCAGACAACAAATCAAATAAGGACTAGAAGACCCTTCCTGACATTGGCCAAAATTCAGACCTCTTCAAAGAGTGCATGGCTACCAAAGGAACAAGCTGCCTGCCAAAGGGCCTGGGCTGGAAGTGGTCTGTAGAAGTGGCTCATTGTCACTTGCGGATGTCAATTAGAACAGAGCTGGTCTAAAGCAGCCTGCCAGTGGAGGGACTGTCTCCTGAGGGTACAGCTGGAGCTCATCTTCATGGCCACTGGACTCCACTCTGAATAATAGTGATGATTATAATAATAATGATGATGGTAAGAGGTCTGCAAGGGATGTGTCTTTGCCACTGTCATCTTGCAGGTTCACGTCGTTGCTGTCTATTGACGAAGCTTCACATTCTGCTATGCCAGCAAAGGAGAAATATGTACAGGGTCCAGCTTCAGTATCACAAAGAAGGACAAAGAAGGGTGAAATTGGAACTCAGAGATAATAATAAACTGACGACTGGAACAATATCAAAATAGAAGTTGGGGCAGTCTTGGATCTGGCTTCATCAGTACATGTCACTGTATTAAGGGGCAATGAGTGTTCTGGTTAGCATTGCACTGTTTTAAAATCTATTTCTTTCTGGATTGCCTATATTGGTTCATGGTCTTACAGTGCACCCAGTTTCCAATGCCATAAATATCAGAGTAGGGGCCCCAAGGTCAAGGGCCTACAAATCCAAGCCGGCCATGACAGTGGAGAAAGCCAGCAGGTTGAGGTGGTGGTCCTCTGGAGCTCTCAGGCCCATCCAAATGGACAGCAGCTTCTCAGCGCCAAGCAGTGGTTGCTGTGCAGCATGTGGGCCTGGGGTTGCCAGACTTTATTTTTCAAGAGAAGCTGGAAATCCCTGACCTTCAATCTTTAAACATTGGCAGATAAGCCAAATGGGAAGAAGACTGTGTGGACCAAGCAGGCACATCTCTGGGTGGAGTCAGTCCTTGGGCCGCCAATTTGTGACCTTTGCTTCTGAGATGTCCTCACTGCCTCTCATTTCCCCAGCCATTTGGTTTCAAGCCCCATTTACCTTGCTTTTGAAAACATTCAGCTTTGTTCCATTTTCCCCACTCCCATGGCCTTAGTGCAGGATCCTATTGCCTCTATCCTGGGCTGTAATCATGGTCTCCAATCAGCGGCCTCTTCTCTACCAGGCCACCACCAGAGTGATGTTTCTAAAAAGCACAGCTAGCCAGCCGTGGTGGCTCAGGCCTGTAACCCCAGCACTTTGGGAGGCTGAGGTGGGTGGATCTCTTGAGGTCAGGAGTTTGAGGCCAGCCTGACAAACATGGTGAAACCCCATCTCTACTAAAAATACAAAAATTAGCTGGACATTGTGGTAGGTACCTGTAATCCCAGCTACTCAGGAGGCTGAAGCAGGAGAATCTCTTGAACCTATGAGGCAGAGGTTGCAGTGAGCCAAGATCATGCCGCTGCCTTCCAGCCCAGGTGACGGAGCAAGACTGCATCTCGAAATAGATAGATAGATAGATAGATAGATAGATAGATAGATAGATAGATAGATAGCACAGCTCTTTGTGTGGCTCCCATCTACTTAAAAGCCTTCCCCTGGTTCTTCGGGATAAAACTCCATTGCCTGGCATTGAATTCCTCCACAGTTTGGTGCCTCCCCCTCCACCTGGCTTTGAGTTCTGCCTTTCTATTCCTTGTCCTGCGGACTCTCATTACTTTATATTACTCAGATTTCCCTGAACACATTTGCTACTCCCATTTTCCTGCTTTCACTTATGCTCTTTCCCTTCCCTGATACCTTGACCACTTGTCTGCTGGGCAACCTACTCACTCGTCAAGACCCAGTTGAAATGTTAGCTCCTTGACACAACCCTTCCTTCTCTTCTCAGTATGGACACATCGTCCGTGCTGCTAATTTGGCACTCCTTGTCTGTTTTGCACTTGAATGTGATAGCCCTGGATCCTGCACCCCATCTGTCTTCCCAGCTGTATTTCCCAGGGCCGTTACTCATGTGTCTTTGTATTGTTAGGGCCTTTCATAGTGCCTGGCATATTGTAGGTGCTCAATAATTCATCGAATGGTTGAACCAATGAGTAGATAAATGAATGAAAGACCGGGTGAATTGCTTCTTTACTGACTCTGGCTGTGGATGTTTCTGTGGTGGCTCATTGTTTCTTCACTGATTGGTAATTTGATAGTCATAAGAATGCTTTACTATGTCTCAATAACAGACAGCCAGTGGGGCCAGGCTTCATTTCAGAAGTCCAGGCTGTTAGGAATTTATTCTGAATTGCTAGTTACCATTTTGTAGACAGTCCTCCAGACACCCTTGGATCCTTACAGTCTTAACCACTGCCACTTTCATAAACTGTCAGAGTAGAGCTACGTTGCATTCCATGCAAATAAAAAAAATATAACCCATTTTTCTATATGCTAACAGTTGATGGCAAGAGTTGGTCATTTTGAAAGCAAGATTGGGGATGTTGGTTTAGACCTGTGGGTGGGGGGTCCGGGATATCCTGTGCAGGGTGTTGGCTTGGCCAGCTGGGTGCTTGGGAAGTACATCAGTGGACAGGGACAGGAATGTTCAGACGGGAGCCCTGCCCTGTTGGACCTGGGTTGGACTATTTATCATGGGGGAGGGCCCGTCGGCTTCATGCACAGGTGCCCTGGAGAAAGCCGGTGGGGAAGATGCCACTGGGAGAGGGCAGGGCCTGGTTATTTATTTATTTAAATTAAGGCCAATTATTTTTTGTCAAGTGCAGCGAGTGGTGGATTCTGGGAAAACTTGCTTTCACCGTAAACATATTGGTTAGAAGTCATTAATATGACATTCACACATCCCTAATAAAGTACATAACACAGAGATCTGGCACCACTGAAATACCCAGAGGACATTAAGTATGAGTCTTAAAACCAAGAGGATTGGAAACAAGATATTTTTACTTCTCGTTTGGGAGTAATATAATTGCATTTTGTGGCTCTAGCAGATGCTGGGGCCAGCTGCTAGGGGAGCCTTGGCTTTTTTTTTTTCCCTTTATTCCCCCTCCTCAGCTTTGGTCCCTTACAGATAAAACCCTTATGCAGAACTCTCATAAAAACCAAGCTTTAAGAAATTATACTTTGGTTGAAAATCCATGTTTCTATGTGCAAAATATATCTGAGACTGTATAGACTATAGAGAGATTTTTATTAGTTGAACTCAGGAGATATTTGTATAAATACATATATATATATAAATATATGTACACACATATATACATTTGTTGTTTTTTGTTTAATTTGTTACAGTGAGCACTAAAGACCTTTCTCCCTCCCTGACATTGAGCCTGTATCTTGAAGACAGATGGAGGACGGACTGTCTGAGAGACCTATGGGGGACTCTGCTTTTTCTAAGGGCTGCTCCAGGGGAAGCTGTGGGAGGGGAGGCTGATCTCTCTGGGCTGGACCCTTCTATGGGGTTGAGACAAAGCACAGCCTGCAGTGCATAGCTCCTTCTGGGGAGGGAGTGGGGGCAGCAGAGAGAGCCGGGGCTGAGAAGTTGAGGTGAATCCAGCCCCTCTGAGAATTGCGTAGCCCTCCCTGCACAGACGGGAGCCTCCCCACACACTGGAGGGGACACGGCTCGTCACCTCAGAGGTGGACCGAGGGGGGCAGGGGGCCCTGCTCTCCTTGAAGCGTGTGCTATGGAACAGCTTCCTTCACATGTGGGACGCGGAGGGTGCAGCGGGGTGGCTGCCGTTGGCTCCAGGAGGCATATGTGTTTGCGGGTTCCTGTGATGTCTGCATCTAGAGCTGGCCATCCAGTACGGCGGCCATGTGTGGCATCAAGCACCTGAGACACGGCTGAGCCCAGCTAGAGGGGCTGGCTGTCCGTGGGAAACACACAGGGACTTAGTAGGGAAAAGAGTATGAGATAGCTTGTGACTACTTTTTAAAAAATTAGTAAAATCATACTCTCTTGGATATATTGGGTTAAAGTATAAAATATTATTAAATTTTCTTCTCTTTTACCTTTTAAAATGTAGCTTCTAGAAATTTTAAAAATCTTTTTATATTTTACTTTTAAGTTCTGAGATCCATGTGCAGAACGTGCAGGTTTGTTACGTAGGTATACATGTGCCATGGTGGCTTGCTGCACCCATCAACCCGTCATCTAGGATTTAAGCCCTGCATGCATTAGGTATTGCTTCTAGAAATTTTAAAATGACACACGTGCCTTGTGTTGTGGCTCAGGTTCTATTTCCATTGGACAGTGCAACTCTGGCACTCACAGATTGGCCAGAGCTGCCTCCTGAATGAGGGGCACTTAGAGGAACAGTGCTGTGTGACCTCTCACGTAGGGCCCGAGCCTCGATGGCAACTGGACCTTTGTGCATGGGAGCCTCAGGCATGGGCTCTTGAGGTGACATCCTTTGGAAGAGAACTTCACAATCTCTCCTTCAGCTCTGCTGTGTCAGCAGTCATCTTCAGACACAGGAACTGTACGGGGCTCTACAGTGACAGACGGACTGAGACACACACCCTCCCTGAAGACTGAAAAACCAGGAAGGGAGAACCACCACCCACATAGAGCTAGCAAGAGAAAGTCTGAGCAGTGCAGCCATTGCTGAGAACGTTCCAGAAGCTGCAGTGCACTGTGGAGGGAGACAGCAAGGGAGACTCCCCTGGGAGGGGCTGGGCGATGAACAGGACCTGACAGGTTATGTGGGCAGAGCTGGCACATGGGCGCTGAGGCGTGAAGGGCAGGAGTCAGGTTGGCACAGCAATGCATGCTCACCTGCCAGCCCCCATGGGGCAGCCTCTGCCGTGACCCTCCAGCCCTGCTGGCTCCCAGCTGGCTGGCTCCTGACATGGGCTTTGCAGTCCTCTATCAAAACCCATCAGCTTGGGGACTGGATGGTGGGTGACCATTGCCTCTGGGTGGTGGAGATGGATGCATGGCAGCACGGTGTGTGACCAGGCAGTGACACCAGGTGCAGCATCGCAGTCCCCAGTCCTGCCCAGGCCTCCCTTCCTGATGTGTCTTGTTTGGGGCCTTGGGGAAGGGCCCACCTGCCTCCCTGGTCTGCAGGCACCAAACTGTATCTGCTGAACAGATACAGAGGGGCCTGTCTGGGACCCTGCCAGTTTGTTCTCCAAAGCCCCTGCAGCACATAGACGCCATACCTTGGCGGCCGTTTTTCTACTTGAACGTCCAAAGGACAAACTAAACATTTAAAATCTGCAAGCTGGACAGTCTTTGCTTTGGAGCCTGCAGCAAATTTCTTCATCTTGACAGTCGAGTCATTCTTCTCAGCATCGATGTGGTATTTAGGATCCGGGAGGAGGAGGAAGCTAAGGGAGCCAGGGCACTGGGGAGGCCGCCGGGCACGCACACACGTGGTCCTTAGGGCTCAGGGGCTGTCTGCGTGGGTTGGATGGCTGGAATTTCCTTCCCCCTAATGCCACATCTGGCTGGATGTTGATGCCTCCTTCTTCTTTTTATTTTTATTGTGGTAAAAGACACATAACATAAAATTTACCATCAGTGGTCATTAGTACATTCATGAGGATGTGCAACCATCTAGCTCCAGACATTTTCATCACCCCAGAAGGAAACCCGACACCCATCAGCCATAACTCCCCATCACCCTCTTCCCCCAACCCTTGGCAACCACTAATCTCCATGCTGTCTCTATGAATTTGCCTATTCTAGATATTTCATATAAATGGCACCATGCAACACAGGGCCTTCCATGCCTGGCCTCTTCCACTCAGCATCATGTTTTCAGTGTTCATTCATGTAGTAGCCGGTATTAGAACCTCATTCCTTTCTATGGCTGAATAACATGCCGTTGTACGTCTGTGACACATTTTGTTTCTTCATTCATCCATCTGCAGATACTTGGGGTAGGTCCACCTCTTGGCTACTGTGAGCGATGCTACTGTGTGCATGTGTCTGTGTTTTTGTTTGAGCACCTGTTTTCACTTCCTTTGGCCATGCTTTTGCCCCAGCCTCCTATGAATCTTTCAAGCCAGACTTGTGTTTGAGGGGCTGCAAGTGCAGGGGAAGGAACATGCACGCCCGGAGAGTGAGGAGTCCTGGCCTGGCTCCGCCATGAACATGCTGAGCTTGGACAAGTGCTTTTCTGTTCTATACCTCGGTTTTTTTCCTCTGTCAAGAGAGATAGACCAGACCTGTGTTTTCATCTGCCGCCTTTAGGGTCCTAGGTTTGTGGACCTCTGGGGGAAGAGAGAGAGGCCAGACAATTGAGCTAAAAACCTTTCTTTTCACAACTCCTTCCCCTCGTCGGCGGGAGCATCTCCCGCTCTGTGTGTTGCTTTTTCCCTGCTTCCTATGATGTTTTAAGCAAAGGGCTCCATGGAGACAAGGAATTTTGCCTATCACTGAAGTCGAGGATCTTATGAGTTGAACTAGGCTTTTGGGGTGGCAATAAGCTTGATCCTGCTGGAAGGAGAGAATCCCCCTGAAGGAGATTCAGTCTGGACTCCTCCTGGTCCACTGAAGGGAGGTGGGGCTGGGAAGTGACCCTGGGTCAGTGGGGAGCAGGGAGCTGTCAGCCTGGGCTGGGAAAAGTTCAGTTCCTCACTCATCCAAGCACACTGTGGCTGTCCCTTCTGAAATTCAGAGCAGTGGTGCAGAATGTGAGCCTTGGAGCCATTCTGCATGGGTTTGGGTTCTGGTTCTACAGGTACTGGCCATGTGACCTTAGGCAAGTCACTTAACCACTCTGTGCCTCAGTTTCCACACCTGTAAAGTGGCCATGGTTCCTATTTCATAGTTTGTTATGAAGATTAAACGAGATGGTCCCACATAAGTCCTAGGGCAGTACCTCCACCACCTTAGCATTGGTGACATTGATGGAAGCAATGACACAGATGGTGAAGTCCTTCTCCCCACAATCACTCTGAATTTGGATGGCTTTTACATGGCTCCATGCCATTTAGCACCAAATACTTTGTGTGGTTTTCGTTCTTTAGCGAATCTCCCCAAACGAGTTCCTGAGCTTTTGCAGGGCGGGCTCACCTGTGGTCTGCCCATCTGGTGAGGGGGTGGCCTGGGGAAGGGCCATGGGCTGGGAAGGCTGGGCAACAGGGGCCTGGCATTATACGGGTAACTCAGACATGCTCCACCCAGCCAGGTTCATGCAGCAGCATGGGACAGTCGATGGCGGGTGAGTCCATCTTTGGGGCCCAGCCAACCTGAGCACAACAGAGATGGGAGCCTGGGCCTGTGCATCAGCTTCCTCGGAAAGGCTTCTCTCAGAGGGGCTCTGTGTGGGAGGTGTCCTGGATTGGGAGAAGCAAAATTTACCTTTGGGGTGGAGGAGGGAGTGGCGGGTGATGTAGGTAGTTCTTACATCAGCGTGATTTCCTGGGACCTCTGCTTGCTTGAGAGAAGCTCATTAAACATGACGTGACCCCTGCTAAGTTTGGCCACAGAGGTGACCCCGTAACAGCACTTACACACACTATCATGTTGACTTGCCTGTACCCATCGCTCGACTGTGAGCTCTTTAACTGCACGCTTCAAAGTGGTCCTGTTCCCTTTCTGGTATACAGTAGATGCTCAGTAAGTGTTTGTAGAGTAAACACAGAAGGCAGTAAGTAGTGCCAGGAGTTTTTCCCCTTCGGCGGGCCATAGCAGTAGGAAGCCCTGTCAGGCTGGGGTGAGCGTTGGCTGAAGGATGCCCATGAAAGTCTTCTTTGGATGTCCAGGGTTTTGGAACAAATCACATGTTTAGAGGTTGGGATCCACTGCACCTCCCATCCCCTGGGCCACTAAGGGTCACTTCTCTCAGCATGGTCCTGAGCAGGGGCATGGATCAGGGGGTTCCAGCTGGCACAGCCTATTCCTCTGGATACCAGATCTCCTGAAGTTCAGGTAGATAAGCTGATGCACGTGACAAGTGGCTTAGTAAATCCACGTACTGACTCCAGCCGCAGTGTGCTCTGGTTTTGTGAAGCCAAATGAGAACCAATTGACAAACCAACAACTCTGAACGGTCATTCCGATGTTACCATTCATTGTCTGCAGGCGTGGGCACGTGGTGCTGTCCGGGGTGGTGGAGGTGACAGATGATGATTAATCCAGCAGTGGTGGCAGCCTCTGACCTGGACCATTTTGGTACCTGTGAACTCATCGGGCTGCTAGACAGGTGGCTCACACCACGTAGATCTTATAACGATTCATGGTAGCTATTGTTTGGGGCTTGTCCTCTGCCAGCCAGTGTATTTAGAATGATCATTCCTTAGAACTGCCTCGTGAGCTGATAGTCTCCCAGTTTCATAGGAAACTGGTCTAGACAGATTAGGTAATGTGCTCAAAATGAGACAGCTAATAAGAGGCCGTGCTGGTACCCAAAGCCAGGGCATTGTTTGCTTCCAATGCATGTGCTCTTAAGTGTGTTACTATTTTGCCTTCCTACAGTGACATAGAGTTAATTAAATAATTGGCAAAGTTTTAGTCAGGAACTGCTGCATTTTGCTGCTTTTAAGCTCCTGTGTCAACTATCTTCAGTGACACACACACACTCTCTCACTCACGTGTGCATGCATATTTACTTCTGCCATGCACGTTTTTCCTAGCCCCATCCCATCCCATCCCATCCCATCCCATCCCATCCCATCCCATCCCATCCCATCCATCCGGCCATCTGTCTAACAAACACTTATCAGGTGCTTCCTATGTGCCTCAGGACACTGTTAAGTCCAGGGGATGTGTCAGCGATAACGTGTTCCTTATCCTTCTCATGCTACAGTGGGGGATGTTATCTGAGTAAACAAGCAATTAGAATGCAGAGTGATAAATCCTGCCAACTGGGGGAAGGTGCCAGTGCCACCCAGGCAAGCAGTAGGGATAACTGACGCCATCATGAATAGTTAGGGAGGGCCAGCCAGAGGAAGGATCTATCTACAGTGAGACCTCAGGGAAAGATTTTTCTAAGGAGAGGAAATAACACGTAAAAAGGCTCAGGGATGAGAGAACAATGTGCTGGTTGATCAGCTGCTTATTTATGATTTCTTCAGCTGCAGTCAGTGATAGAAACTTGCACAGTGAAGCAACTCTATTTTTGCTATAGGCTTCTGCTTCCCAGGTTCTTTGTCAGGTCCAGGCTTCCGGACAGAGGTGGCTTGGGCTCTCAGTTCCCAATCACTGGCTGCCTTGTGGTGGCCGGCTCCATGGGATGTCAGGCCTTGATCTCCACTCTTGGCCTGTGGTGTTTGGACTGCATGGCATCAGGGGCATTTTCTACTCTCACCTGCTCTGCTTACCGGGCTTCTCTTCCTTCTCAAGGCCAAGTTTAGCATCTCTGGTCACTGGTGTCAACTCCATTATGTCCCAGCTGAAAGAGGCTGCTCGCCTCCAGGCAGAGGGGCTGCTACCTTCCCAGGAGCCCTCTAGGAACCCCGGCTGCAGAGAGAGCTGAGGTGGAGGCCTCCCCTCTGAATTTTCCTGATAGTCAGGGCAGGAGCTGCGTGTTGTAGCATCACCAAGATCAAGGGAGACATGTACTAGTCCAGCCTTAATTTAACTTACAATCCCTGCCAATTTCATGTTAGCAGATCCTTTCGGAGGTGGAAGTAATGGGCCATATCATGCCTCGAGCTGGAGCAATGACTTATGTTGATGTCACTCACTGGCTTTTTATGGAAATTATTAATAAATCAGTAATTCTATCTGCAGTGATGTTGTTGTGTTTATAAATATTTAATTTGCCTTCAGATGCCCACATTTTCCTCATCTTTACCTTAAACTCTGCTGACGTTGCTCTTCTTTTGGATGTGCCGCTCACTAGATTTAAGTTATCAGTAGTGGGAAAGGTTAACTTATTTCTCCCCGTTTCCTCTCTGGAATATGGCTTTATCGTGTCTTTTCTTTTTAATCTTTGTGTGATTTTGGCTCAGGGGGTTGGGGATGAAGCTGAGAGAATGCGACGTCTCTTGTGACAGAGATGAAAGATTCGTCCAGCTTCAGAAAAGGACGAAACTTTCCAATTATGGTCTCGCATCGTGGAGAATTGTTGTTGTTGGCATGTGTTTTTCCCTCCCTAAATTAATGACATTTAGAATCTGAAATGGTGTCTGATGTCTTCCTGCCACAGAGAAATATTTTTGTCCTTGCCACCGACTCATCTTTTGAGGCCCAGTGCTTTGATTACTACCGTGTGACAGGTTGAATGGAAAGGCCTTAAAAAATCAAAATAGAAACAGAGTCCAAGTCGAGTATTTCTCTAGCAGGGATGGAGTTCCAGGCTCGCAAATGAAAACAGCAGCTGGGAAACAGCAAAAACTTTCTTACCTCTCAGGATCCAATGTGAGCTAATTGTTGTTATTATCTTTTTATTCTTCTGTTTCAGGAAATTGCAGCTTATTTAATAACATTTGAGAAACACGAAGAATGGCTAACCACCTCCCCTAAGACAAGGTAATGTCCCAGATCTTGCAGTTTTTCAAATGTGTACCATAAGTGGATTGATTTGCATTGATTACCTGATTTGGCCAGTGAATTCATGGGCAACGAGTTGAAAATGCCATGTTGTGCTGGATGGCTTTCGACACTGAGGTCTCATTCATTGACATAAGACTGTGGCAGTGAATACGATCAGATGGATTAAAAAGAGTGCAAGTGCCATCCGCCAGTTGGAACTTTTAACCTGACGGCTGCATCCTTCAGCCGGGTGCTTGGAAGGCTTCACAGGCAGGAGCCTCAGGGGAAGTTTATTTTGGGAAATTGCTCGCCTGCCACTAGTGTTCTCTAGAAACGTGCTTTGAAAAAAGAGAAACCAGCTTAACTGCCCACTTTTATCTCAACTTGTCTACAAACTGAAAGTCAAGTTCTTGATTGGTGGTAAAGAGATCCCCCCAAATCAGAAGCAATGGCTAAGCTCGCAGTTTATTATGCAGTAAATGTCCTTGAACCTGCTAACTGCCGCAAACACTTAGCTTCTCTCACCACTTGGGAATAGAGGGAATTAGTGAAAATATAGCTGACCTGCGTTCCGCCAGCACCAGTGATGTTACCATCTTGTGAACGGTGATGTTGGGACTTAGGGTTGATTTTAAAAGGCAGCCTCTTTTGGTCCTCCCCAACTCTAGGTTTTTATTTTTGGAATGTTACAATCTAGAGCTTCGGAAATACATGGCCACTCTCTTCCAATTGCCGTAAGTTTTCTGTTAGCAGTGACAGGACCCAGGTGTTTATTAGCTGGCGGGGTGGTAGCTGGAGTGTGGTTTACACAGGATGCCTGGACTGCAGGCTTGAACTGAAGTGGTGGAATGTCCAGTTGGTTTCACGTTGGACAGAAGCCCCAGAGTCCCCAGGTTTGTTAGGACCAGGGAAGGGTTGAGTGTGTCCTCTGTGCCCGTGGCCCATCAGCTTGACCTGTTCATCCTTCCTGAGTCATGGGAAAGGTCATCCTTGGGAATGTTTATTCCTTCTAGAAGGTATTTTAAAATACCACATTATTAGGCTGAGATATTTACTGGTTAGCATCTTTTAGGTGAGGGCACAATCCTCCCCTTTGAAGGAGGCTAGAGGGCATTGTGGAAGGAAGGTTAGTTATTGAGGCTCCCTTCCCCAGGTGGCTCTGAATGGTTCACCTCTGGCCTGAGAATGGGAGGAGAGTCTGTCCGCAGGAGTCCCCAAAACCTCAGCCTGCTGGAACCATGGTTTTTCCTTTGCTATAAAATCAAATAATTTATATCAGTCAGCTTTTGCTGTGATAATTCTGTGTAAGAAACGACCTGCAAGCTTAGTGACTTTAAACAACAAATCTTTATTTTCTGCTCATGGGTCTGTGGGCTGCCTGTGGCTTTGGGTTGAGGTCAGGTCTGCTGTGTGCATCATTTTGCTGTGGGACCTAGGCTGAGGAAGCCCCCTCTGCCTGGGAAGTTGGCGTCTCCCAGAGGAGGGCAGAGGCTTACAAGCCCAAGGCAGTTGATGCAGGTGCAGTTGAAACTCCTGCTCAGATGTGGCATCATATGTCATGCCTGCTGATGAATCCACTGGCCAAAGCAAGTCCCCTGGCCAAGCCCAGTAAGAATGGGGCTGGGAAGGACATCCCTCCACAGAGTGGGGGCAGGGGTGGGCGGTGGAGAGGATGGGAATACAGTGCACTATTTGGTGAATACGGCCATGTTAAACTAGAGAGCCTGACATGCTCATTTCCCCTTTCTTCTGCGGCATCTTCTTGGAGGACATCATTCTCAAACTTGAGCAGGCATCAGAATCAGCTGAGGGCTCATTAAAATGCGGGCCCCACCCTAGGGTTTCTGATTCAGCAGGTGCGGTGCAGGGGGCCTGAACATGTGTTATTTCTAACAAGCTCCCAGGCAGTAGGATGTGGCTGGTCTGGGACTGTACTTTGAGGGCCACTGGCCTAGTTTTCTGGGGGAGAAGGAGGCTTATCTGATTTCTGCCTCTGGACCATTTCCTGACTTCCAAGGGTGGCCCTTATCTCAAGCAGCCGCCAGCCTCTCCTTGCGCCCTTCACTCTCCGCTGAAACACTCCTTGAATCTAAGTGGAAAGAGAAGAGCTCCTCCTTAGCCAGAGAGGGAGCTTCTCTGGAATGCGTCCTGGGCCAGACATCTGATTTCAGATACGCAGACCCGTGCTGGGTTTCAGCCACCCTTTGACGGCAGAACAGTAGAACATTTCAAGGCAGCGGTTTTACCTCGAGTTTCAGCCTTTGGAATTTGGGTTACAATTGAGAAGGGGATGTCACTCAGGGTCATGCCTGACTCGCATGACTTTCTGGAATATACATAGAGCCAAGAGACCCCACCCCGAGGCACAGGGTGTGTGCCTGGCAGAAGAAGGAAGGTGGGTTTCAGATGTGGTCAAGTCCGGGTTTGAGTCCTGGCTCCGTCACTCAGTGGCTTTGCGACTGTGAAAAGGTCATCTTAGCTCCTTTAAAAGCCCTGGTTTTTCTTCTTCATATAGAAAATGGAGTTGCTGTTGATCCCACCCTTGCTGGGTCACGATGAGGATTGAATGTGGTCACGTTTCTGATTCTGCTTCCCATGCCGTCGGGTCTGTCCATGCACAGGTGTCACTGTGCCTCTTATCTGTGGGGCAGTCCCCAACCTGCTGGATGCTTTGACTTCGACAGGCGTCTGCCAGGATTTCTCTGGGTTTGGAAGGACGAATTTCTTTCCTAAAGGCAGAGGGTGAAGACGGAAGGTTTCCTATTAGTATTATAATATCCACTCCATGTTTACACTTGAAAGCTTCTTGTCCCAGGAGAAGCAAAACTTGCTGTGGTTGTTCAAGGACCTTCCTAAATTAGTTGTTGAGTTGTGTTTGGATCCCCACCCCCACCCCATCTCTAGTATTGAAATTAATTGGTGCAGTTAACTGCTGAGTTCATACAAACTGGCCTCCTGGTATTAAGGAATTAATGACACCAATACTCTGCTGAATGAGAAGGCAATACAACTTCTGTTTGCTGCTGCCGCCGCCACTGCTAATTTCATTTTAGAAAATTAATAAAAATGAATTGCACCACTGACATTTATAGAGTTTCCTAATAAAATGATACATTGTTTGTGTGGAGGAATCCCTATTAAATTAATTGTTGTAATCAGTTCACATATAGATGTTGGTATAGAAGCTGCAGAGGGGCCCCCTGCTTGTCTCTGTGGCTTGCTGCTGGCTGGGGGTTATAAATATAGTCCTTGCTCAGATACTGCCCTAATTACAGAGAAGGCCCCGGGAGCCCCAGCTCACCTGTTTAATAATGAGGTGTGCTACACGGAGGCTCCCAGGGCTGGGGACCCTGGGGGCAGCCGCGGTATCGCAACAGAGCTGAATGCTGAACGTTCAAACAGCCCGTATTGTACTCTCAGCAACTGGGACCTCCGGTTTGAAAAATCACCCTGCGGAACGTGTTTTTTTGGCACTTGCTGTGTGCTCAGTGTGATAATAATACCATTTGGAGACCCCAGGGAACTTCATGCTCCCCACCCTGCCAGGTGAATTGAGAATCTTGGAAAGAAGAGTGTCCTCTGTCTAGAATGTTCTCCCAGCTCCTCCTGCAGGCCTTGACTGGGTGTCCCTTTCTCGGGGAGGTGTCCCTGGCCATGCAGTTTAGTCTCACCCCCACCCCCACCCAGCCAGCCCCCTTTCCTCCTTTCTTGTTTTACGTTTCTCTGGAGCACTCATCGCCTTCTGACACACTGTGTCTGTCGCAGTTGCCTTGCCTAATTTATGTATTCATTACTTGACCCACTCCAAAGTGTTAGCACGAAGAGGAGAGGGATTTTTAGTGGGGCTTGTTCATGGGGCACCCCCAGCTCCTAGAACAGTGTGGACACCTCCCAGACCCTCAAGAAATATCCATAAAATGAACAAAAGTGACATAGAAAGGTGAGCCTGAGTGTTGTGAAGGAAGGGACCTGGTTTTCTCCACTTCAGTTTTTCGGGTATTTCTAGTCCCAGGATTGTCCGGTTGAGCCAGCACTGTGTTCTCTCACACCGCCCATGGGCTGGATGCTGTGCTTTGAAACCCTTCTGGCAGCTCTGCCAGGTATGGAAGGTACGTGCCCTCCTGGGACTGCATGGTGAGTCCGTGCTAGAACTGGAACTTGAACCCAGTATGATCTCACTGCAAAGCCCATACCCTTTGCTTTTGTGCCTGTGAAGGTTCCCAGGGAGCCCGTCAATAGCTCCTCTATTCCTCTCCGCCTCTCACTGCCGTGAATTCCAAACCAACTAGGAGAACCAGGCTCCAGGCAAAGGTTCCCTTTGTCAGTAAGCGTGGCTCATACGTGCCAGCCAGAAGGGTGTTCTACACTGCCCTCTGAATTGGAGTTAGCCCCCCAGTCACAGGCAGTGTGGAAGAGTGGCACACCACTGCAGGGGAGCAGGTCCCTTTCACCAGAGGGCAGGGAACCGGGCTGAGCCCAGGACAGGCAGACAGCTGCAAAACTGAGCAATCCCAATCATTTATTCCTGCTCCCCTGGGAAATACGCAACCTTCCCTGGAAGCCAGGAACACACAAAGCTCAAGATTGAAGTAAGAGCATGTCCTTCCCAGGAATCCTGTTTATACCCGTTAGAAAGAGGCTGGAAAAGGCTGTTGATTATCTAATTAATTAATTAGATTGATATAGATAGCACCTCCACATGGAAGCACTAAGGGTCTCATAATAGAATTTTCCTATGATGAACACTAAATGCCTTTTGGTCAATAAGCAATAAAACAGCCCAGTAGAAGGAGGGGGTCTAGAAGGAAAGGAGGAGAAAAGTGAGCCCTGAGTTTCAAAAAGACTCCAGTGGCTCAGAGAGAGCTTCCACTCTCCTCCTCCTGGTTTCCTGACCCCATCCGTCCATTCCGGCTTCAAATGCCCAGATCTTTCCCCGCCCTGATGGTGGTGGACATCAAACTGTGATCCTCTGCTCTTTCTTCCCACATTCTCCCTTGTGGGGCTCCCAGGACTCCCCGACACCATGGTCTCACCGTCAAGTCTCTGTGGATCATTCCCCACATCCGACTCTGTCTCCCCGGCACCTGCATGACGTATTATGATCTCCAGCTCGCCATCTTCTCCCCTCCTTCCCTGACTCCCACTCTGCTTTCCATCTTCTGACTTCCCTGGTTCTAGAAGAGCCACCTCGTTTGTGGAGATGCCAGAGCATACAACTTGGACTCCAGGTGGCTCCTTTTTCTCCTTTGTCCCCTGCATCTCATTAGCCACCAACTCCGTCAGTGTTTCCGACTGTAATTCACATCCTCATTTTCGTATGTTTTCCCCCAGGTTCAGCTGTGTCCTCACTGCCACTGTTACGCTTGGAGTATTGAAATATCTCCTACTAGGTTTCCTTCTCTAAGTCGAACTCCTCCTCCCCATTGGTTTGCCTGAAATATTGCTTTGATTCCATCGTTATTCTACTTGGGAGCCTCAGATACTTCCTGGGAGCTGAGGTTGACTCTCCAGTGATGTCGTTAAGGCCATTCTTCTGTCTCAACCCACCCTTTTCCGTTTATTTTCCTTGACATCCCACCTCTAGGTACTGCTACAACTGGGGAGCTGCTGGCTGCTCTCTGAATATCTTTCTTGTCCCCCACTTTGGCCTTCACTTGGCATTGCCCTCACCTCGAATGCCCTCATGTCCAATCTGGTCTGCCTCTTCCTGGGAGCCTTCCCCAAACTCACCAACTCAGGGCGAGCCCTCTTCCCTTCCTGCTCCCGTAGCTGCACGTGCTTTGTTGTCGGTTGTTTGCCAATTCAGCTGTCATGAGTGAGTCTTTCTTCCCCAGTGGGGTGGCGGGTTCCCCAAGGACAAGGTCATGCTGTCCCTTTTATCTCTTCACAGCCTGTGTGCAGGGAGGCCAGGGCTTTGATGGGGTGGAGTTGGGGGCGGACAGAGTGTGGATGCATTGCACAGCAGCAAGTTTGCCCAGGAGGCAGGAGTGCCAGTGCCTGCCATCCATGGGGTTCTTTGTCCTAGACAGCCCTTGGGGTCCCGGCATGGTGCCAGCCTATGAGCTGAGGCCTCTGCCTAGAAAGTCAGTGTTATCAGGCCCCAGGCTGGTCCTGGTGCAGTGGGGTTTGTCTTTGTTCAGCCCCATTGTAAGACCCCTGGCAGTGACCTGTTGGTCACCTTTAAGGCATCTGCTCTTTGGGACAGACAGAGGACTTTTCTAAGGAAGCCCCTATTCCTGGTAAGGCTGCTCGAGTGACTGGAATAGAATTGCAAAAACCATTTAAAAATTCCCAGAGCTGAAAAGAAATGCAATTCTGACACCTGCTGCAACCTGGATGAAGCTTGAAGACGTTATACTCAGTGAAATAAGCCAGACGCAAAGAGCCACACATTGTGTGATGTGCTGACTGAGGGATCTAGAATAGTCAGCTCTGGAGATGGAAAGTAGATGGTGGTTTCCAAGGGCTGGGGTGGAGGGAGGGAGAAATGGGGAGTTAGTGTTTAATGGGTACAGCGTTTCAGCTGGGGAAGATGGGTGGCAGTGATGATGGTGGCAGAGCAATGTGAATGTGCTTAATGCCACTGAACTTACACTTAAAAATGGTGAAAGTGGTACATTTTATGTTACCTATATTTTACTACAATTAAAAAAAAATTCCTGGAGTTGCCTCTGTAGCTCTTCCTCAGGTATTCAGCTGGGCAGGATTGGCTGGGGTGGACGAATTGTGTGTGTGTGTGTGTGTGTGCACGTGCGCGTGCGTGCGCATGCGTGTGTGTGCATGTGCAGGGGGTGCTGTTGGTGGCCAGAGTTCGGAAGGGCAGTTTTAGATTTAGAGCATTTTAGGACTCTGCACTTTGGAACTATGCAGGAAAAAGGAAACTGGGTCAGCAGTGGTTTCCACGTGGTAACCTTTGCATTATGCACTGAACCGGGAACGCACTTCAAATTAACACAGAGACGTGTCACGTTAGGTGCGTGTCAGCATTTTTGTAATGTATCACAAATCCTTGGCCAAGGCCATTGTTGGCCAAAGGGCAACTGCAGGGTGAGGGAGTTGGCGGGTGCCACATCTGTCAGAGTTCCCAGGGAGCCTCCTGCCCGAGGACTTCCTCGCAGGGTACCTGTCACGTAGTTTTCATTTGTTTCCGGGGGTGGGGAATGAGCTGTGGCCTGTATCCTGATGGAGTGTCTGGCGGTGTCTCGACAGTGGTAGGGAAGTCCCCAGTCTCTGCATGGAAATAGGTCTGCCCCAGATTCCAGTTATCTTTATCCTAGTTAATCCCAGAATACCACATGTCAAAGCAGGGGCAACCCACGGAGGCCACTCCTCACATCCCCTCCGTGTCTAGGAAGTTGGCCGTGGCGGGGGCACTGATGGCCTGGTGGGGTATTGTCACATACACTGGGCTCCTGATCAGAGGACATGTGAGCCTCATGTGACTTCAGTGGGCTTAGCCACCTGTTGAAATGGCAGCACCAGTCCAGGGCTCATGTCCCTGGCACAAGAGCTGAGGGTTGGCCTCCATCCCACCCCTCCTCACTTCTTGGGGCCAGGAGTGCAAGTTCCCGGTGTCCTGGAGGAGCCAAGAGGGAAGTGTTGATGTTTGTGTCTCTGATTCCTCCCTGGGTTAGACAGCTACGACCTGTGGCTCCTGCCCACCCCGCCACCCCCATGCTTTTTAAAAAAATTTTGATATGGAGTCTCGCCATCAGCCAGGCTGGAGTGCAATCGTGTGATCTCGGCTCACTGCAACCTCCACCTCCCAGGTTCAAGTGGTTCTCCTGCCTCTCAGCCTCCTGAGTAGCTGGGATTACAGGTGCCTGCCACCACTCCTGGCTAATTTTTGTATTTTTAGTAGAGATGGGGTTTCACCCTGTTGGCCAGGCTGCTCTCGAACTCATGGCCTCAAGTGATCTGCCCGCCTCGGCCTCCCAAAGTGCTGGGATTACAGGCATGAGTCAGTGCGTCCGGCCCTCCCTTCTTTTATTTTTATAAAAATTATACGTGTACATAGTTTAGTATGTCAAATGGCCCTAAAAAACTTGTAAGAAAAGATAGCAGCCTCTGCAGTACAGCTCAATCCTGTTTCCCAGGGGCGGCTGCTCTCTGGTCTTTTGGTTCTGATATTTACCTCCAGATTTCTAAATATGTTGACTCTGCTGTTTCTTGATTTGTCAATTTTAGACATCATCTTCCGGCTTCCTCAGATGCTAACTGAGGATTTAGCTTTCTTACTGTGTCCACTGCCTGGCTCTTCCTTACCTGGGGGAGGGGCTGGTTAATGGAGGGAGCCAGCTTTCTGTTGGTAACTCTGAGGTTCAGCATCTCTACATTTTTTCTCTGGAACCATCCGGGTTCTCCTGAGAAGGACTGGTCGATGTGCTGCCTAGTTTGAGCTGGCCTGGCTGCTGGTGGTCTGGGAGCCAAGCAGGGCGAGGGGCTGGGAATGTCAGCATTGGGTATGAGAGCTATCACTTAATTCTCCCAGTTTATAGCCTGTGTTTCTTGCCTCTCTTCTGCTGTTTCCGAGTTCGGAGTCTTTCCAGACTCCACCTCTTCAGAGAATCAATGTGTCTCCCGCTGGGGCAGAGGCCAGGGGGTGGTTGCCTGTCTGCTCAGTGTAGACGTGGGACCCCGGGAGGGTCTATTGCCCCCTATACAGATGTGTGAGCTCCCTCTGCTTCCCACCCCATTCCTAACTTCTGCCTTCCGTGGCACCTACTGCTTCCAATTCACGAGTCTTCTAGGGGCTTGGCAGGCGGGTTAGCGTGTTGTTCCTGGGGTCCCCTGCACGGCACTTGGGTTTTTGCTTCCTAGATTCAGCTGTGTCAGTTACCAACCCTGCATCTGCTTCCCGTCTCTCCGGAATGTGTTGGCGTCTCTTATCCACACTCGTCTCTGTTCCCCTTTGGCTTTTCCTTTGTGGATTTATATTAGTTTTCATTCCTTTACTGTCACTGGTGAAGATGAGCGATGCTTAGTCCTCCCTGTGAGCCCTGTTTCTTCCTCACTGGCCTTTGCCCAGAGTCGTGCCGAGTGGGACCCACTCCCCTTGTTTTCTCATTCTTCCTCTCTCTCCTCTTCGTTTCCTGCTCACTCTCAAGTTAACTTGCTGTTTCACTCTCTTGCTTTTTTCTCTTTTTCCAAGTCTTTTTCAGTCTGCAGAAAGAAATGCCTCAAAGTGCAGTTTGGAGGTTTCTAAGTGCGCAGCTGCTCAGGGCTGGGAAATCCTGCTGCTGACATGCACACATGCTTCTTGTGTGTGAGGCCCCAGGTGCGCAGCCCGACCCACACCAAGCCCCGGCGCTGGCCTCCTGTCCACCTTCTTAATGCACCATTCTTAGTTTAGAGCCTTTCCTGGCATTGGCACAGGGGCGTGGTGTGGCCTCTCCCTGAGCAGAATTTCAGGGATCTTGGGGACGGCCAGGGCCATCCACTATGCTGTGCATGTCCCCTAACAGTGGGATCTCGATGGCTTTTATTTTTACATGGTTCTGCATGTGTCTTCTTTGGATTTTACTGGGACAAAAGCCTTCGCGGCAGAGGCTTCGTGCCAGGGTGCCTGTGATGCACGTTGGGGTGCTCTGACACCCCAACAGGAGACTGCCCGCCCAGGGTGACCCTTGCCAGCATCTCTAAGCAGGACACCTGGCAGTGAATACTTCCGAGAATGGAAAAGCCCCCTGGCACTGTGCCCACACTGATCGATAAGTATTTGCATGCCCTGTCCGTGTCCATCGATGGTCATTTTGTTTTGTTTCTGGCGCCCCGCAGGCCCCGCAGTTTATTCTTAGCATCTTCAGCCCTGTCTCCTTGGTTTGGAGAATTAGGACTGCCTGGTATTTCTGTCACGGGCGTGGATTGGCATCTGTGGTGTTTCCTCTGGATCAATTCTGATCTAATAAATTGTTACTCGCTGCCCATGGAAAGGGAAAGGGAGTTGGCCTGCGGGCCTTGTGGCATTATGAGATAGGAAGGCGAGTTCTTGGAATAAAGGACTTTTTGCAATTCATAAGTTTCTGTGTAATGAGTAATCACCAGATCATCTGGGGGTTCTGGGCTGGAGATTCTCCCCCTGTGCTGTTTGGCTAGGAGGTATTACTGTCTTTGCTATTCTTAGATTTTCCACAGTCCTTCATTATGGAGCTTTCTAAAAAAATTAAAAATAAACCAAAAACAAAGGAAGGAAATCTTTTCTGGTTCTCCAACTCTGCTGCATATCCCACTTTCACTTGAGCTTTTGCTTTGCGTTGTGTGTGTGAGCTTACACACATGTATGCACATACACACACAGCACACATGTAGACACATATGTGCGTGCTGTGGCACATAGAACCATACACGTGCACATAGATACACAACTACACATGTACACATGACACATATGCATGAACAAATTTGTAACACACAATACATGTGTGCACACAGCACAAACACATATACACATGTACACATGTAGGCACATACACACATATGCATGTGCCCAGGCAATACAGACACGGAGCATATACATGCACATATACACACAACTACACACATGTACACACAACACACATGCACAAGCAAATATTCAACACATAATGCATGCATGCAGCACAGAAATACACATACATATACATACATGTACACACATGCATAAATACACAACACACACACACACACACACACACACACACACACACACACACACACAGCTTCCTGTATTGGTCACTGTTCTCTTGTAAGAAGTCTCTGGGAAAATTTTTCTTCGTTATGTGTCTTAGCGAGTTGAAATTTTTTGGGTAGAGGAAATTTTCTCCTCGAAGAAAAAATTAATTATTCTATACTGGCTACTCCTGACCTCACCTGGCAGGGAATTTATTGTTAATTAAGCTGTTTAGTTTGAGGTGACTCTGGTGGGGAAGAGGGAGCGAGAGTCCAGGACGGGGCAGCCACGTCCGGGAGGGGAGGGTCCTGCTCTGCTGAGGACAGGGGAGCTCACTGAAGCATTGGTGGCTGGCGTTGTGACTTCCCATCACTCTCTCCACCGGGATGATCTGTAGGAATTCAGGATCTGAGTTTTTTATTTTGGCCTTTACCTGCGATGGAATTGAATTTGCATGTAGAATGGCAGCTGGTGCCTAGGCCGAGGGATCAGAGAAGTCAGCCCACTGTCAGGTCTGGAGAACGACGTCTAGGCAGGTGATGAAATTATGGAAAGAACAAATGTATGCGCAAGGATGGAGGAGGGAAAACAGATGAGACACTTTTGCTTCTCCCCAGGAGCACAGCCTGCACCGTGAAATGTGCTATTTCCACATATTTTCACACTGAAAATCCACGGCCCTTCCACCTCCAGTGTCATGGGCTCGCTCTAATTAATTCAGTTCACCAGTGTTGGGCGATGCTGCCCTTCTGATGCTGGGGGTTGACCGTGCTCTGTTTGGGGAATGGGTGTCATCTTCTCCCTGGGTTATGAGCGAGCCCTTTTATTCCTGAGCTGCGTGACACCGAACTGTCACCTTCTTTAGTTGTTGGTTGGCACCCACTCTTCTCTTTACTCGGTGAATACCTTCCGACTGCTTCCTGTGTGCCAGGCATTGTGCTGGGCATTGGGACATAGTGGTGGTGACCAAGACAGATCATTTATAAGAATTGCAACTTTGGGGAGTGCTACAAGGGTCAAGTGCAGGGAGAGGCTGCCCCTCTAGTGCATGGGGTGGGGGAGGTTGGGCTGCCTTCCAGAGGGGCTGCGGGGTGCAGTGGGGGTTCCCAGCGGGGTGGGGGGTACCCTTGAACAGGGTACCTACCTGAGTAGCTATTATTAACACCCTTGCCTGGTTGCCCTAGGGATGGACAATGAACTGGAAGTCCAAGGGTGAAAGTAGAAAGAACCCGGGAGTGCTCACATGCCAATGTAGATTCCATTTTACGGATGGGAGGACTGAGGCACCGTCTGTCTGAGAGGCACATATACACACAACTACACACATGCACACACAACACACACATATATACACAACTACACACGTACACACAACTACACACGCACACACACAGCACACACACCTACACACACTACACACATGCACACACAACTACACACATGTACACAACACACACTACACACGTACACACAACACAGATACACACTACACACGTACACACAACACACAACTACACACATGTACACACTACACACATACACACAACACAACTACACACATGTACACACAACACACATGTACACAACTACACACACGCACACACAACTACACACACGCACACACAACACAACACATGTACACGCAACTACACACATGCACACAACAGATACAACTACACATATGTATACATGACACACATGTACACACCACACATGTACACACAATACATTACACACATGCACACACAACACACATAACTACACGTACATACAACGCACATATACATACAACTACACACATGCACACACAACTACACACATGTACACACAACACACATACACACACACACAACTACACACATGTACACACAACACACAACTACACGCGCACTCACACATACACACAACTACACACATACAGCACACACGTACATACAACTACACACACGCACACACAACACACAAGTACACACATGAACACAACACACTACACACATGTACACACTACATATGCATACAACACACACAACTACACAGATGTACACACTACACAGATGTACACACAACACACATACACAACTACACACATGTACACACAACACACATAACTACACACGTACACACAACACACATATGCATACAACTACACACATATACACACAACACACATGCACACACAACTACACACATGTACACACAACACAACTACACACGTGTACACACAACACACATACACACAACTACATACATGCACACAAAACAAATATTCAACACAATGCATGCATGCAGCACAGAAACACACACATATACATACATGTACACACATGCATAAATACTCAATACACATACACACACACACACACACACACAGCTTCCTGTGTTGGTCACTGTTCTCTTGTAAGAAGTCTCTGGGAAAATTTTTGACTTATCCTTGTCCTGTTAGCTGCTGTCAGCAAAGACGCCGTGGAGTCTGACCTTCTGAGTGTGGAGAGCCAGAGGAGCTCTGGGGGAACTGGATCCCCAGAGGCTCCAAGCACCAAGCTTTGGTTCCCCTTGAATGCCAGCTGCTCAGATTTGGCTGATGTCAGACCCACCTGTCCCAGTGTCCCCTAGCACTGTGCTCCTTTTAAACTTTCTCCCACTCCCATCTCTGTGTGCTCAGCCCCTCCCCTTCCAATCAGACTGTCAACTGAGGCTTCAGGAGAGAAAGTGGTCTCCAGGGACAAGGGGTCGTGCTGGCTGTGGCAGCTTCACATCACGGGCCCATTTACATGTGAGAAAACTGTTATTGATGATGATGATGGTGACGGATAATGGAGAGACTGCATGGGGGGAATTATTCTTAGATATAATTGCCAAACTTTGAATTCTTTTTTAGCTGTGATACAGAATTCCAAGGTGAGAAAAAAAATCTCTCCCTTCACTTTATGAGTAAGTGATTTGGTTCTGCTCCTTCTAGAAAAATTCCAGCCTTAACCCCATCTATCCCATCAGTGTGTGTCTGGGAATATCTCTAGTTACGCCATTTCTCTGGTGCTTAATTTCTTTACCCAGTGCCAGAGGGTCTGCAAGGATATGTATGAGTTTTGCAGTTTATTAATTTTGCATTAAATAATTAATAGTAAAGTTAATTGATGAATTATTCAATTTTCAGGTAAAATGGGATGATAAATATTCATAACTTATTTTATTAAGGGAATTTCCATTTCTTATGTCATTAAATCTAGATTAACAAAGGCTGATTTTAAATGAAGATTGAAAACAATTGTGTTTTGGAATTAATTTACCAAGTTAAGGTCATTGCTTTGTGAGTTTACCCCCTGCCAGAAAGTTCGGGCTTATCATCTGGAAAGGTATCTGAATTCGCAGAAGTCACATTGCCATCAGTTAGGAGAATTCCCCAGATCTGCTGGGAACTTCCCATGAAGGGCATGACAGGCCCACGGTGGGGTGGCTCGGAGGCAGAGGCGGATCTGCGGCCTTTTCCTCCGTTCCACTGAGCACTGGGCTGTTGCTTTGAGCTGTTTGTTGTCTTCTCAGGAATTGGAACACAGTTTATTATTAACATTAGTTCATACATCCCAGGGAAGGAATGATAAGGTGCATATGCCTCAAAGTTGATTTTAAAATAACTTTGGGGCCAGACACAATGGCTCACACCTGTAATCTCAGCACTTTGGGAGACTGAAGTGGGCAGATCACTTGAGCCCAGGAGTTTGAGACCAGCCTGGGTAATATAGTGAGACCACCGTCTCTACAAAAATACAAAAATTAGCTGGGCATGGTGGTGCACCTGTGGTCCCAGCTACTCGAGAGGCTGAAGTGGGAGGATCACCTGAGCCCAGGAGGTTAAGGCTGCAGTGAGCCGAGATCACGCACCGTACTCCAGCCTGGGTGACAGAGTGAGACCATGTCTCAAAAAAAAAAAAGGGTTTCCCCAGAGTTTTAGGAGGTGTATGAAATGATTTCCTATCCACTAATGCTCTTAGTCAAGGGTTAACTACAGTTTCAGTTTTTATCTGTGTTTTCTAGTTATCTTATTTCTTTTAGACCTGGTTTATGTTAATTTGTAAAACTGCTTAGATCACAGACCCACAGAGTGGTGGTGAGAAGTTTCTGAGTATCTTACAGGCTGCTTACAACTTGCAAAACCCTTCAGATCTGGGATCTCAATCCTTTTAACAACCTGCAAAGTAGGTAATGCCTGGGGATACACTGAGGGAGGGAGGAAGGGAGAGAGAGAGAGAGAGAAAGAAAGAAGGAGAAGAAGGAGGAGGAGGAGGAGACGAAAGAGGAGGATGAGGAGGAAATAGAGGAAGAAGAGGGAGCAAAAGAGAGGGAGGGAGATGGAGGGAGAAAGAAAGATCCAGAGTAAGCCACATCTCACATTCAGTTTTCTTTCTCCTGTCCGGCCACTTCCCTCCACTCACGGATGAGGAAACTGAGACCCAGAAATTATGTGACTTACCCAAGGTCACTTCAGCTAATTAGGTACAGAAGTTGGGACCAGAGCCCAGCTCTTTCTTTTTCACATTTGAGTGCTTTTTTCAACTTCGGTGTCTTTCTTAGCGCTTTAAAATAATTTTTAACCGCCCCCGAGTAGTGGAGCGCTTGGGAGTATTTATAGCCCCGTGGAACCGCGTTTCTCTGCTTCACCAAGTGTTCATTATAATTTTCCAGTGAAACTTGTTTGCTCTGAGGAAGTTGATCCTACGGTAGGCCTTCATTTCAGAGGAGAGCATTTGATGTTGCATCTCATGAACCTGCTCTCCTAAAATTATCCCTAATTGGCTTGGAAAGTGGCTTCCAACAAGCAGATGGCTTAATATCTTGACTTTCTGGTGTGACTCAGGGAGGCACCAGGATTAGATCTGGCTTGAGATAGTGGTCTTGTTATTTGGAGGATGAGATGCTATCAGTAATGTGCAGACTGGAGTGGCAGCCTCTGGGGAGATGTCGTGGAAACCGCCAGGGACAGCTCGTGTCATCAGGGATGTCAGATGGCAGGTGGGGTGGGGAGAGGGGGCCTCGAAATGCAATTCCATAATGTCTAGCGTTAGTCAACAAGCCATTATTGAGTGCCTGCTGCGTGCATAGGTTTGTAGTAGGCACTGTGGGGTTACAAAGGCAGTGGAAAACATGGCCCCTGATCTAATTGGAAAGACAAGTCACACATATCTGAGATAACTAGAGAGAAGTTCCCAGACGGCACACGCAGGAGAGCCTGGTGTGTGTGCATGTGTATGTGTGTGTGCATGTGTGTGTGTGTGTGTGTGTGTGCGCGCCCACACACACAGCTGTGGGAGGAATGCAAAATGGGGCCAAGATCAATTGGATTCAATTGATTTCGTTGGGAAAAACAGCACAGCAGCATTTGTACGGGTGAATTTCAATCAGAAAACCGTGAACTTTGGTGGGGAACGGCATGCCCTGATAGGGTCGGGAGAGACAATGCTTGGGCTTTTCTCATTCTTAAGCCACACAGAGAGCAGATTAATTGGTGGCGTTGACATAAATGATGAGAAGACTCTGGAGGCCATGGAATGCAAGAAGATGGGACAAAAGCCGAGAATCCCTGCAGGAGCCACCTCCCGGAGGGGCGGGTGCTGCTGGGATGCCTTTTTTGTGCACGCTCTGTGGGAGCCTGGCCGGGGCTCAGCCAGGCAGAGCTGTCTCTCCCAGATCTGCTCCCTGAGCTGCAGGGCTGTCCTCCAGGGCACAGCCTAGCCCCCATTTAGTGAGTGTCTAGATGGGCACTGCGAGGCTAGAGGGCCTTTCCAAGCAGGGACTCCAGCCCATGTCTGTCTGTTGAAAGCCTGTTTGTCCCACTGCACCCATCAAGCTAATGGGACCATAAATGGAAGTGTTTACAAGGTCACCCTGATGGGTCACTGGAATCATCTGCCTGCTGACTTCTTCCTACACTTGAGAAGGGTGCCTCTCAACCAGAGACACAACCACCCCCTCGCTCAGTCCCCATGGGACATTTGACAATGTCTGGAGACATTTTTGGTGGTCACCATGGGAGGGGCCAAGCTGCTGGCATCTGGGGTAGAGGCTGTTGATGCTGGAAACCGTCCTATGGTGCACAGGACAGAGCCCTGCATGAGGGAGTTAGCGAGCCCCAAATATTGATGGCAAGAATTCAGTGAAGATAATTCCTACCGAAGCGCTTGGTGGTCAAGAGCCGGGCTCTGTATATGAAGCCCAGCTCTTCCATTTAGTAGCAGAAAATTACCTTCTCACCGTGCCTCAGTTTTCGCATCTGTATAATGGGAGTAATGATAGTACATATTGTTGTGAGGAGTACATGAGTGAAGCGTGTTAAGAACTTAGGGCTTAGTGTCATTGGTGTATTCATGATGATGATCTCCCCAGGAATCTGTTCCAAACCGCAGACCCAGATGGCCCTGGGCTCTGTACGCACACAGCCCAGTTCTTCCTCACTTCTGCTTTTGTGGTTGTGCAGAAGGACGGCCTGAACTCTCACATCATCCTCGACTACCAGAAACGATTCAACAATCCTTGGGGTGAAAAAGGTTCAGAGAGGAAATAGGGGAGAAAACTCAAAGAGTCCACATCACAGCATTCAAGAAAGAAGAGCATTTTAAATAGGAGATGGTGGTTAAGAGAGTCAAATGCTGCATGGGAAGCCAAGCTAAGAGCCCAAACTTATTTATTTATTCATCCAACAAATATTTATTGACAATCGTATTAGTTACCTATTGCGCTAATTTTATAGTTACCTAATTGCCTCAAAACTTAGTGGCTTAAAATAACACTTATGTATCATTTTGCCCTGTCTGTCAGTCAGGAATCCAGGACAACTTAGCCAGGTCTCAAGGTTTCTCTCGGGGCTGCAGTCAAAGTGTTGCTGGGGCTGCAGCCTCAGTTGAACACTCGACTGAGGCAGGATCCACTCCCAAGCTCACTCATGCATTGTGGGAGGATTCAGTTCCTTGTGGGCTGTTGAGCTGAGGGCTGAACTCCTTTCTAGCTGTTGGCCAGAGGCTGCCCTCAGTTCCTGCCACATGGGCCTCTCCAACAGGGCAGCTTGCTTTATCAGAGTGAGTTAGCAAGAGACTACGAGAGGGTGAGCAAGACAAAAGCCAGAGTCTTTTTGAAAATAAATCTCACAAGTGACATCCTTTCATTTTGCTGCCATCTGTTTCTTAGAAGTGAGACATTAAGTCCAGCTCCTGTCAAGGGGAGCTGACCCAAAAGGGTGTGGCTTCCAGGAGCAGGAGTCATTGGGGGCTCCCTCAGATGCTGCTGCCGCACTATGCATTACACGAAAGCACTGATAAGAGGGGCAAAGTGTAGGAAGAACAGGCCACAAACTGGGAGTTCATCATGGCATCAATACGCACTCTCTGGGTGGCACTGGGCAAAGCATTCTTGCCTTTCTGGGGCTCAGTTTCCTTCTCCTTACAATGGCTGAATTGGATTCAGGGATGGTGAATATGCATGATCCATTGATGCCCAGAGCAGACATCACTACCCATGGTACAATCTTCTGTGAGCTGGGTGCACCCTCAGAATCCCTCCTAACACAGCTCTCGTTTCAGACAGACACGACTCATTGATCAGAGATAGCACTTGTGTTGAAATCCATCTGCCATCCCTGTGCAATCTGCAAAGAGACATTCTGTGCTTATGGCTCCACAGACCACCGATCAAGATGTCACAGTAAAAACGGGCAGATGAATCGTCCTCCCATTGGCCTGAGTGAGAAAGCTGACTCCTTAGTGTTTGAGGACTGGGGGTCCTTGTTCTGTACCTCAGCACTTTCCTTCCCAGAAAGTACCCAGTGTCTAGATGGGATGATTCAGAGGGGACGCTGCTGAGGAGCACTCGGGGTCTGAAGCCCATCGTGGGATTAGCTTGACCTGATGGGGTGGGCTTAGCCCCACATCTTCTGTTTGGTTTCTTATGGGGGCAGATTTGGCCTCAGTGGCTCTGCTGCCTATGGTGAGCCGGGAAGTGAGCATGGGTCTTTCTGGAAATGAGCCCGAGGTGGCCTGAGGTGTTTCTGCATTCAATTTATCTGAGTTTCAAGTGATTCATCCTGTTCCTTCCTGGATCGTGTTCCTGGGCTCCAGGTGATGGCTTAATTTGCTTCTGAAATCTGGATCCCACCCATTCACTCTCTTCCAGTAGCTGCTGGGGGCATCCTGTTAACAAGAAGCACAGCACATTTTCTGGGCCATGTAACCCTTTATCCCAACCCATTAGAATTTTCAGCACCCCCCTTCCCCCCTTTTTTTTTAAGTTTCTTTTCCTGAAGGGCTAGAATGTTCTGAGGCAGCTTAATAGACATCGATTTGCAATGATTTTTAGCCACTGTGCTTCAGGAGAGTTGAGGAGCTGATGATTAATCCTCGCAACAGCTCTTCCCTTTTGTTTTAAAATGACCTAATAGCTGAATTGCCCGAGCAGGCCGGGCCAGTCTGACCCAGTTCAGCTCCTTGCCTTCTGCTGCTTCATTTAAATGAATCTGCGATGAATTATTCAGCCCTGCTACGGGGGAGAGTGAGTGCTCCTCCTGTAATATTTAATCAGCAACCTGGGAGGACAGCGTCATCTTTACAGACAGCTGCTGCTCACTTAGAGGCAGATGAATGAGTGTTCTTAGAAGCTGGGTCGGATTCCTGCCTTTTCAAGGAAGGTGGCTTGTCCTCTGATCTCAGAGGGATGGCGCTGCTCCTCGGGTTCACCCGTGATCCCTTTGGTCGGTCCTCTTTCTATGTCAGCAGAAAGCAGCCCCCAGGGCCTCCCAGTTTAGGGACTCTGTGCGACCTCGATTCCCAAATGTGCCCCCTTAACTGTAGTGTCCTCTCCTCTATGTAACAAACCACTGAGAACTTAATTGCTTAAAATGACTGGAACGCATTGTCTTACAGTTCTGTATGTTAGACGTGTGACCCAGGTCTCACTGAGCTGAAATTAAGGTGTCAGAAGGGCTGCGCTCCTTCTGGAAGCTCTGGGAGGAGAATCCATCTCTTCACCTCTTCCAGCGGCTAGAGGCCGCCTGCATTCTTTGGCTCTGGGTCCCTTCCCCCATCTTGAGAGCCAGCCACGGAGCATCTCTCTGGCTCTCTTTCTCTGACCTCCTCTCCTGAGTCCCCCTTCTACTTCTAATGACCTTGTGATTACATTGAGCCCAGCTGGGTAATCTGAAATCATCTCCCCATCTCAAGATCAGCTGATTAGCAGTCTTAATTCAACTTGCCAACTTACTTCCCCTTTACCACATAATCTAACATAGCCACAGGTTTCGGGGATTAGGACATGGACATCTGGGGAGAGGGGTACATGATTCTGCCCTCCCATACCTACCATTGCCCTGGCTTCATCATCCCTGGTTTTATAGAAATTTCTATTGAGAAGAAAACCTCTGAGAACCTTCCTGAGCACGCTGTCTAATCCAATATTAAGAGCATGGGCTCTGGGGACAGACAGGCTTGCACCCATCTTAACTCTGCCATCTGTGAGTTCAGAGAATGGTGTTGGACACATGACGGCTGATGAACAGTGGACAGGTTGCTTCACCTCTCGGAGCTCCTGTAAAATGGGTTTATGGCTGGTTGGGGTGGTTCACACCTGTAATCCCAGCACTTTGGGAGGATGAGGTGGGCAGATCACGAGGTCAGGAGATCAAGACCATCCTGGCTAACACGGTGAAACCACATCTCTACTAAAAATACAAAAAATTAGCCAGGCGTGGTGGCACATGCCTGTAGTCCCAGCTACTCAGGAGGCTGAAGCAGGAGAATCACTTGAACCCGGGAGGTGCAGGTTGCAGTAAGCTGAGATTGCATTACTGCACTCCAGCCTGGGCGACCGGGCAAGACTCCATCTCCAAAAAAAAAAAAAAAAAAAAAAAAAAACCGAAGACTGAACTCCCAGGGCTGCTGTAAGATGAACTGAGCTACTGTGTGGAAAGGGAGTGGCTCTAGGAAGCAGCCTATGAGTGGCCACCGTCACTATGGCTGTCACGTATCTCTGTTTCTGAGTGTATGGGTCTCTCTCTGTCCAGAAGGGGGTGTTGGTATCTTATTAACCCCTTATCTGGAGCCTTTGTAGGGGAGGCTGTGTGGGTCGCCGGTGCATTTGTCCAGTGGCACGTGCATTTGTTGCAGGACCGCTGCGTAGAGCTGCTGGCTGCTGGGCTGTCCTCTTTGGTCACCTCTCACATTGGGCTTCCTTCAAACCCATTCTCTTACTTTTAGGACATTGGACTGTATGACCCTTAGAGACATGGATGGACTTTTTTCTTTGTATCCCTCACAATTCCTGTGGGTAATTTTAATAACACCCATATTTCCATTAGTTTTCCTTGATTCCTCAAAGAGCTTGGCCATTCCACCATGTTTTTCTTCACTATAAGTGGTTAAGATTGAGATGATTTTCCCCATTTTACAGACAGAGGATGAAGCACTAAATGAGCTGCCCAAGGTTCCATGGCTGACCATGGCCGAGCCGAACACCAGCCCCAGATCTGACTCCAGATGGAACGCTCTTCCCTTAAGGGTCTAGCTCCCCACTCTGACAGACACCCAGCGGATGTTGGCTACTTTGGATAAGCCTTGAGGCCTCCTCCCTCCCGCTGTGTGTCCCTCTCCCTTTGTAGGAGCACATTCTGGGGCCAGCAGCCTCCCGCTCAGACTTGCCATTGAACACAAGGGCAGGGTTACAGTTACACGCTGCTGAATTGTCCCTTCTGGCTTGTGTGTCTCAGGGGCCCTGGGTCTCCCAGGCCCTCTGTCTGCCTCTCTGACATCAAAGATCAGGAGGTGGTGCTTTGATCCCACGGGCCATTTGTTTGTTTCTTCCACTTTCCAGATCTCACTTCCTTGCGCGGAGGTGGGGCTGCTTTGGGCTCAGGCTTCTTGCTTTTTGGGGCTGCCCTGTTGAATGCGTTGATGCATTTTCTCATGCTGCTTCCTTCACCCCATTGGTGGAAACCTTTCCCGGCAGCCTCACGTCTGCTTTTCAGGTACTCTGGTTCCATCTCTTCCGGCCTTTGCATGTGGGGCTCTCAGTTTACCCTCAGAAAGTGTGGCATCAGCACGAGAAGCAGCAACTTTCTGAAATGCAATGTGTGCAGATAAATTATTCAGTGAAACCCAGTCTAACTTTATTAAGGCCAGAATCATCCTTTTCTGTCAGAAGCCACAGACAGAGGCTGGATCAACAAGAGGCCCCAGGACCTAGACAGCACCCTGGGGCCAGAGGATCGTGGTTGGCCGTGGGCTGGTCACTGCCATGTGGGCTTGGGTTGGCCTTCCCGTATGTTTGCTTGGCCACGTGCCTGTGTGGCCATTCTGACCAAGTGGGGTGGACGGCAGAGACACTCAGGTGGAGAAGCCAGATGCGGCCCCCTTGGAGAGGGGTCATCTTTACTTGATTCCCTTGGTCTGGAGAGAAGGATCTAGGGGCCAGAGTGGCTCCCGGTCAGTGTCTAGGAATGGAGAGGGAGGAAGGAGGGTCTCGGGCAAGACCTCCCCCAACAGGCAGACCAGGGCAGTGCCTATTTATTCATGGCATTTCACATCATAAGAGAGTTAAAGAGTTTGTGGCATTTTAAATGCTTTATAGATTAATTTATATTCTAACATGGTAATGAGGAAGCGGCTTTTGTCCAAGAGGTGAGATATGCAAAAATAACCTTTAAGTTTCCCATAATTAACCTTTAATGATATTCTCTCACTTTAGCAATATATTTTGTGCTTCAAAAATGTAACAGATAGAAAGGAGTGAGTGCTTCTTGCATCCAAGTGCCTGGCAGAAATGAAGTCACTTTGGTGAGTGAGGTTTTACTTCTCCGTCCTTTGGTCCAAGGCTACTGGGAGGGTCAGATGGTGAAATACACACAGGAAACCTTGGCTTTGTGGCCGTATTGGTCTTTCTTTACATCATCGGCAAGCCACTGTTTCGGATTCTTCAGGGCTGGCCTTCCCTCTTCACAGCCCCTCCCACCACTGCTGTAACCCACGAGCCTGCTGCACGCAGGGCCCACCCCCCATCCTCTCTCCTTGGACTTTGGTGAGATTTGACCTTGTAGGTTCATTGACCTTTTGTCAAAGTCCTCTTCTGTTGATTCTGCAGAGCACCTAACATGTGCCAAGGCCCTGAGCTGCTGCCCTCAGAGTTATGTCTAGTGGGGGCCTCAGACACCCAGACCCAGTGGCAGCAGTGGGAGGGAAGGCACCACTGCTGTGACCCAGGGTACCCTGTATTAGTCAGGGTTCTCTGGAGAAACAGAACCAACGTGTGCCTCTGTGTGTGTGTGTATGTGTGTGTGTACATACATATACATAGACCACGGGTGTCCAATCTTTTGGCTTCCCTGGGCCACACTGGAAGAAGAAGAACTGTCTTGGGCCACACATAAAATAGTCTAACACTAGTTGATAAGCCAGAAAAAACAAAAAAAAGAGAATCACAAAAAAACTCATAATGTTTTAAGAAAGTTTATGAATTTGTGTTGGGCTGCATTCAAAGCCGTCCTGGGCTGCATGTGGCCTGTGGGCTGTGGGTTGGACAAGCTTGACATAGGCAAAGAGATTTTTTATAAGAAATTGGCTCCTGTGATTATGGAGGCCAAATAATCCCAAAATCTGCAGTCAGCAAGGTGGAGACCCAGGAGAGCTGATGGTGGTGTTCCAGTGTGAGTCCAAAAACCTGAGACCCAGGAGAGCTGATGGTGGTGTTCCAGTCTGAGTCCGAAAACCTGAGACCCAGGAGAGCTGATGGTGGTGTTCCAGTGTGAGTCCGAAAACCTGAGACCCAGGAGAGCTGATGGTGGTGTTCCAGTGTGAGTCCGAAAACCTGAGACCCAGGAGAGCTGATGGTGGTGTTCCAGTGTGAGTCCGAAAACCTGAGACCCAGGAGAGCTGATGGTGGTGTTCCAGTGTGAGTCCGAAAACCTGAGACCCAGGAGAGCTGATGGTGGTGTTCCAGTGTGAGTCCGAAAACCTGAGACCCAGGAGAGCTGATGGTGGTGTTCCAGTGTGAGTCCGAAAACCTGAGACCCAGGAGAGCTGATGGTGGTGTTCCAGTGTGAGTCCGAAAACCTGAGACCCAGGAGAGCTGATGGTGGTGTTCCAGTGTGAGTCCGAAAACCTGAGACCCAGGAGAGCTGATGGTGGTGTTCCAGTGTGAGTCCGAAAACCTGAGACCCAGGAGAGCTGATGGTGGTGTTCCAGTGTGAGTCCGAAAACCTGAGACCCAGGAGAGCTGATGGTGGTGTTCCAGTGTGAGTCCGAAAACCTGAGACCCAGGAGAGCTGATGGTGGTGTTCCAGTGTGAGTCCGAAAACCTGAGACCCAGGAGAGCTGATGGTGGTGTTCCAGTGTGAGTCCGAAAACCTGAGACCCAGGAGAGCTGATGGTGGTGTTCCAGTGTGAGTCCGAAAACCTGAGACCCAGGAGAGCTGATGGTGGTGTTCCAGTGTGAGTCCGAAAACCTGAGACCCAGGAGAGCTGATGGTGGTGTTCCAGTGTGAGTCCGAAAAATCTAAGAACCAGGAGAGCTGATGATGTTGTTCCAGTCTGAATCTGAAAGCCTGAGACCCAGGAGAGCTGATGATGTTGTTCCAGTCTGAATCTGAAAGCCTGAGACCCAGGAGAGCTGATGATGTTGTTCCAGTCTGAATCTGAAAGCCTGAGACCCAGGAGAGCTGATGGTGTTGTTCCAGTCTGAAAACCAGCAGGCTTGAGACCCAGAAAGAGTCAAGTTTAGTCTGACTTCAGAGGCCAGAAAAGACTCACGTCCCCATGCAAGGCAGTCAAGCAGGAGGGCATCTTCTCACTCATGGGAGGGGCAGCTTTTGCTTTTATTTGTTCTATTCAGGTCTCCAGCTGATTGGATGGGCACATGAGGAGGGCAACCTTCTTTACTCACTCTGCTGATTCAAATGTTAATCTCATTTAGAAGCACCCTCATCCACACATCCAGAATCATGTTTGGCCAATATCCAAATACTTCGTGGCCCAGTTAGATTGACACATAACATTTTACCCCTCACATAAGATGACCCCTCATGTAACATCAACCCTCATGCCCTCCTGAGTCTGCAAGCCTCTCTCCTTATTAACTTTATGGGTTTTCCCTGTCTTTCCTCCTTGCCTTCTACCCCATGCCTTCAACCACCATCTCTTGACGGGTAACCTCCAGTTCTTCACCACTGACTCAGCTAGGTTGAGTCATTAATCAGTTAATTTTAAAAAATCACTTAAAGTAGGGAATTGTACTTGTAGGTACATAAGTTAAAAATTTAACTTAAAACCTATAAGTGAGTATGGACTTACCAATCTTTCGAGGCAGGGCAAGGTTTTCTTGGTTTTCCTTAGTGTGGCCTGCTGTTTGTGGGTGAGTTCTGTCTCTTTTCACAGATCACCTTGTAAGACCTTGCCTACAACTTCTCATTTAGATTTCTTCAACATGGAGGGGCAACTTATGGACACACTGGTGAAGCAATCAGAGAATAGAATCCTTCTAGAGTTTTATGAACCATCCCCCCCAATATTTTACAGCTGAATCCACCCACTTTAATTTCATAGCATTCCTTAAGCAACTCACTTTGAGTCTTGCTAAGTATTTGACTTAGTTTTCTTTTCTTTCTTTCTTTTTTTTTTTTTTATGGAGTCTCTCTCTGTCTCCCAGGCTGGAGTGCAGTGGCACGATCTCGGCTCACTGCAAGCTCCGCCTTCCGGGTTCACGCCATTCTTCTGCCTCAGCCTCCCGAGTAGCTGGGACTACAGGCGCCTGCCACCACGCCTGGCTAATTTTTTTTTTTGTATTTTTAGTAGAGACGGGGTTTCACCGTGTTAGCCAGGATGGTCTCGATCTCCTGACCTCGTGATCCACCCGCCTCGGCCTCCCAAAGTGCTGGGATTACAGGCTTGAGCCACTGCGCCCGGCCAACTTAGTTTTCATAGAAATAACTACTTTTTTTTTTGACAGAGTTTTGCTCTTGTTGCCCAGGCTGGAGTGCAGTGGCACAGTCTCGGCTCACTGCATCCTCCACCTCCCAGGTTCAAGTGATCTCCTCCTGCCTCAGCCTCCCAAGTAGCTGGGATTACAGGCGCCCGCCACCATACCCAGCTAATTTTTGTATTTTTAGTACAGATGGGGTTTCGCCATGTTGGCCAGGCTGGTCTTGAACTCCTGACCTCAGGTGATCCGCCCGCCTCAGCCTCCCAAAGTGCCGGGATTACAGGTGTGAGCCACCACACCTGGCCTATCTTTCTTTTTATACTCACATTTCACTATTTTCTATATTTTTTATGTAATTACAATAAAGAGTACAGCCAGCACAGCACGTTTGGGGATAAACAGAGCTGATTCTCAGTACACATAGAACTCAATTGATGAAGCAAGAAGTGCATGGCAGCCTGGAGAGTAATGAGCACCTGTGGCCCGTGTGCTGGTGAATGCTCAGTGGTGGGGAGAAGGGTTGCTATGTCCTAGCACTTACCAGTTTCCATGGGGTAACCACTCCTGCCATGGATGACTTCCAGTTACCAGTGATTAAATAACCTAACTGGCTCAAAACCCTGAACGTTTAATAACTGGCTCCCCCCTAGTGGGCACGGGTGACTCTAGCACACCACTGCCTACTGCCTTCCAGTGTTGAGCAGAGGACGGCCTCTGGCGCTGGCTTATGCAACTCCTTAAAGACCAGTTAAGGGAGTGTCTAAAAATCAGCATATCTCAGCCATAATTGGTCTTCACTCAGCCACCAGCTCCTCCTCCTTTGTGTTTCTAATTCCTGCTCCCTGGGGATGGCGGACTCTCTCGCTTCTTCCAGCCAATTCCCGTTCTGCTGTGGTCATCCTGCTGTCCCTACCAGGCCTGCCCACTCAGGCAGCCCTTTTAACTCTCCTGGCTTTTTATTCTTCCTACAGAACTCCTCTGTTCTGTGTCCCAGCCCTTTCGGGACCCACTAGGCTTTTGGCTGACTAATTTAATCAGCATTTTCAGCCGAGGTGTTGGCTTACAAAGGCTTCATTACCTCCAAGCCTGGAGGACAGGCTGACTCATGTGGGCGGTTTGGGTCTCAGAGCATCCGTCGCTCAAATCCTCATGCCTGTGGTTGTCTCTATTGATGGGTACAGCCAGCTCTGATTGCTGGGAAAATAGTTTCTAGATCCAGCCACTGTTCTTCTTGTCACCTGAGGGCATTGCCTGATGGAGGGACTCTAGAGTTGGGAGTACAGGAGTGGCAGGGGTCAGAGTGGGACTGCAGATTCTTGGCATCCTTTTTTTTTTTTTTTTTTTTGAGACAGGGTCTTGCTCTGCCACCCAGGCTGGAGTGCAGTGGTGCAGTCTTGGCTCACTGCAACCTCGATCTCCTGGGCTCAAGTGAGTCTCTCACTTCAGCCTCCTGAGTAGCTGGGACCACAGGAGTACATCACCATGCCTGGCTAATTAAAAAAAAAATTTTTTTTTGGAGAGTTGGGGTCTTCATGTGTTCCCCAGGCTGTTGGCATCCCACAAGAGTGGGATGGCTGTTGGCTAGTACCATTCTGACGCACAGCAGAGAAGTTTGTCTGAGCTTTGATGCTTTTGATTCTACTCAAAAGGTGGTTTTTGGAGTCAGAAATGTTTATGACTGTGTCTCTACACATCGTTTGAAATTTTTTATTGTTAAAAAATGTGTGTCCCGGTGCGCTAGATGAATAGCAGCCTGTTTGCTTTTGCAAACATACACTCCACACCCTGAGTGGGGAATATGGTTTGGTGGCACCAGAACCATTTGTGTGTCAGGGACTGAGGCAGGAGACCTTGATGGAAGGGAGGGAAACACAACGGGAACCTTGCCATTGAGAGGCTCCGAATACAAACCCATTTGTATAACAAGCTGTGTTTGTCAGAAGACGAGCTGACTTCAGAAGCTGATTTTTATGCTGAAGAGTAGCGTGCGGCATGTGTAATGAACAGAGTTTATCTTTGTGTGGGATGAGAAATAATTTGCTAAGCCAGTAACTCCTGTATTTCCCGGATACCCGTGCAGTTCACATGCAGCCTGGGGTCTGGAGAGCAGGAATCGCCTTAATTCACAGAGCTCTCCAAGGACCCCTGATGTCAGTTCAGATTTCAGAAATTAAAGGATTAAATGCTTTCTGTGTTCTCTGAAGACTTGCTAGCACTTGATCTGTTTCATTAAAACGACTCCTTTGGTGCAGTCTCTCCCCAAAACCAATCAAGAGCCACTGCGGCACTGCTGAAACCCCACCTTTCTGTCCAGCTGTTGTCTAAGCCCGAACCCAGATGAACACCAGTGCAGAGGGTGTTGGAGAATCCTCAAGAGGTCAACATGAGTATTGTATTAAACATGAGAGACACAAACCACAGGGCTCCTAACCTCCCCATACCCCTCCTCTTGCCGAAACTAATATAATCCCTGGAAAGGACAGCAGTGAACAGCGGGGGGCATCATTTTTATTTCTGTCCTGCCAAATCGGAGTTCTGGATAGTTAACATGGAAGAACCCCTGAGCCGAAAACATACAGAAGAATGCTTGTTATTGGCAAGAAATCCTGTTGTTATTAAGTTACTCTGCGATCTCTCTTCTGGGCTAATTGGTGGGTAGAGTGGGCAGGATGAGGAAGAGGGCTTAGGAGAGGCCTCTTGATGCCAGACTAGACAAGACTGAATTTCTACCTTTGGAGAATCAGGGCATCTGATATAACAATACAACAGTAACAAAGGATTCAGCTGCTGTTAATGGGAGACTTCCTTGCAGACTTTCTCACCTGGGGTTTCATAAGAGAATTAAGCCGTACAGAAAATGATGTGCGTGGCCTTTTCTCAGTCCTTCTGAGGATGGTGCATAGCTAGTACCATTCTGATGCACAGCAGAGAAGTTAGTTTGTCACCATGGATACCTGTGGGCCAAGTTAGGGCTGAACTCCCCCAAGGAACCCTCATGAGAACCTTTCGACCAACTGTCACATTTAATCCTTACAACCACCCCGAGATAGGTATAATTATTATCACCATTCTACAGATGAGGAAACCGAGGCTGAGTAACTGGCTCAAGATCACACAGATGGCAAATGGAGGAATGAGGACCAGAACTCAGATCTGTCTAACTTGGTGTTAGTTATCTGTTCCTCTGTAACAAATTACCCCACACTGAGTGGCATAACACAACACATGATCCTTATCTCACAGTTTCTGAGGGTCAGGAACCCAGGCCTGGCTTAGCTGTGTTCTCTGCTTCAATGTCCCTCATGAAGCTGCAGTCAAAGTGTCAGTTGAGGCTACGGTCTCATAGGAAGGCTTGGCTAAGGCAGGACTGGTGTCCAAGCTCACATAGGCCTGGCAGGGTTCAATTCCTCACAGGTTGTTGGACAGGGGCCTCAGTTCCGTGCTGGCTGTGGGTGGAGACCACCTTTAGTTCCTGGACATGTGGGCCCTTCAAGGTGGCTGCTTGCTTCATCAGAGCCAGCAGGGGAGAGAGAGCCTGCTAGCAAGATGGACGTTCCTGCTGGCCGTATGTGAACAAATCACAGAAGTACTATCCCATTGCCTTTGCCGTTCTGTTGGTGAGAAGCAAAGCTCACATTCTGCCCACATTTGGGGGCCAAGGGACTGCACCAGGGTATGGAGCCCAAGAGGTAGGGATAACGCAGGGGGGATCTTAGGCTCTCCCCACCACAGATCCCAAAGCCCATGCTCAGGCCTTGCTGCCTCCCTTTGTGGAGTAGGAAAGACCCAACTGGATGATGATTCAAGGATCCTCCCTATGGGTCAAGAGGTTTAATCGCACTGCCTGCTTTGAGGTGATACAGTTTTCATTGTCTGCTACATCTCTGATGTTATCAGGGATGGAATTAAAATCTCAGAGCCACACTTGTGATTAAGGTATCATTAATCATTTCATAAAGTTATCTTTCAAAGAGAGTCGGCCTTCAGCAGAGATGTCAGGGCCAGGGTTGTTTTGCAGAAGTGCTCTCACTTGTGGCAACTAAGAAGAGCCAGCAATTCTGCCAGTGGTATCTAGCCTCTGTACTGCCTCCTAGGGGCCTGGTGGCCACAAATGGAGGAAAATAAAATCTTCCAAGAGAAGCTGCATCAACCACATTACCTGGAGGATCGAATATGGCATGAAGCAGAGCTCTGTGTGCATTTCTGGCCACCAAGTGACCCTGGCTTTTTGCCAGGGCTGGCCGAGGACTGGGTTTAAATGGAAAGGAACATGAGCTATGTGTGTAACTGAAAGAACATGAGCTATGTGTGTAATTGAAAGGCCCCGTGGGATCCCAGTAGGGCATTCTGATGGGTGCTATAGACAGTCATAAAAAATAAGTTACAATTTCCGATACACAATGGGTGGATAAGATGGATCAAATCAAACTCTAATGTGGTCATAAGTGAGATGTTCCAGTGAAGGGAATGTTCTGGTTGCTAGAGAACAGCCACACACTTTCCCACAGAAATGGTCAGTCACAAAAGAACTGGAGAACTCTTGCGGTCATGGGTGAAGTGCATGGAGGCACACATAACAGGAGAGCTGTGATAACTGACCATTACTGCACTTTTCTCAGATAATTCAGTAGGCACTGATGGGCTATGGGGAGGTCAGATCACCTCAGTGCCCAGGGGGTCTCTGGAAAGAACAAGGCAGGGTTCTGCTCTTCCACTGTGCCTGCTGAGGTAGGGTACACAGCCCGAGACGGGAGCTGGCACGGCGAGTTCTGGCAGCCCTCCAGAGCATTCCCTAGACTTGGCTGTTGGTGCTGAGGCCTGGCTGGGGACCCACAGTGGAGCAGGGAGAGCCGCGAGGGGGGTGCCACGTGGCTCTTTGGGAGTGACTCTGTGTCCTGAGTCTTATGGGCATCTGGCAGGGTGAGAGGCTGGGTTCTAGGGGAGGGCACTGCCTTTGACCCTCTTCCTCTCTCTGATGTCACCTTCTCCTTGGGGCTCCTATGGCTTGTCAGTCACTCCCCCTGGCTCCTCATCCCTCAGGGCATAGGAAAGGCCCTTGGGAATGCCGGCCTGCAGAGCAGGGATGGGCTTGAGGCTGTTTCCGGGAAAGGCCATGGAGTGTTCTGGGCTCTGTGAGTGTCCGAGGGGAAGCTGGTGGTACTGTGCACGCTCCTCTCGCCCTCCCTGTCCCTAAACAGGACTTCTTCCTCCTTCCACCCTTGCCCTGTTCTTCTTTTAGAAGCATATTAACCTGTCCCCACTGTCCCTGTCATCCCTGTCTTCCTCTTGCCCCCGCCTTGAGCTTTATTGGGACATGCCAGATTATATTTGCACAGCCACGTGCACCCCAGGGATGAGTGAGAAGCCACCCCCACCCCTAAGAGCTCCAGGTCTGGAGGAAGAAATGGAGACAGCTCACGGAGTGAAATGTAAGGAGTGTGCATATTCGTAGGGGGTGCCTGGCGATCAGAGCACTTTAGGGGATATTTGAATGGATGGTCCCTGAAAGTGCAGTGGACAGACGGGAGGACACGTGCCCCTGAGGGATGGCATGTAACAAGCAGCAGAGCAGGCAGGCACTTCGGGTGCCGTTCTGTCCACCAGCATGCCGTCTGAGCATAACTTCCCCTCTGCAACAGGGCTTATTTCCTAGCCAAGTCAGCTCTCAGGAAAGTGTCTGCAGGTAAGGCTGATGGAAGCTCAGGGCTTCCTTCCTCAGGGCTGTTGTTGCTGAGTGTGGCTCCACGTCTGATGCTGGAGTGCAAGGCCGCCCCACCCTGCGCCTCCCATGCCCATCTTCACTCCGCAGCCTCCCTGCTGCTGAAGCCAGAAGCTTGGTGTCGCCCGAGTCTCCTCTCTCCCTCCATCACACCTGCCTGGATGCTCTTCTGTCTTGCAGACATCACAGTGGCCCTCACTGGTCTCCCTTTTATACCCATCCCCAGCCATTCTCCCTCTAGAAGTCAAGGCGCTCTGTAAAAGTGTGTCTGCCCATGTCACATTCCTGTCGAAGCCCTGGAGGACTCCCAGCTCTTCTGGGATGAAACTCAAGATCCAAACGTGGTCTGCAAGCCCTGCACACACGTGGGGCTCCGGGCCATCTTGCCAGCCAGCATGATGGTTGGGCACCACGTGAGTTTCCAGGAGCTGACCTGACAAGTTTCCACATCTGGGTAGCTTCAACAATAACCATTTCTTGCCTCATGGTTCTGGAGGCCAGAAGCCTGTTTCCCTCTTTGGCTTGAGAAGGAAGCTCTGTTTCATACCTAGCTTCTGGTACCCTCAGGTGTTCCTTGGCCTGTCGGTGGCTGTCTCTTTCTCGTGTCTTCATGTCATCTTCCCTTTGAATGTGTCTGCCTCCGTGTCCAATTCTCCCTCTCCATAAGGATGCCAGTCATCTTGGAATAGGGCCACCCTAATGATCTCGTCTTGTCTTGATCATCCGCGAAGACCCTATTTCTCAATGTCCCATTCACAGGTACTGGGGTGGGACTCTAACATATTTGGGGACACCATTCATCCTATAGTAGGTGCCACGTCTGCTGCGTGCCCCTGCCCTCTCCACACCTGCTCTCTGCCCTTGTGTGAGTGTGCCAGGCTCTTTCTCACCGCTCGCCTTCACCCAGGCACATGTGGCAGTCCCTCTGCTTTGGATAAGCCCTGGGCACCCAGCCTGGGTAGTACCTTGGCCCCTCTGAGCCCTGGTCACTGCCCTCACTCCCGATTCCTTCATTGGGGATGCCTGTTCTGGCCCTTGACTTGTTTGGAGAGCCCTGTTGTCACCCCCACAGCCCCTCAATTCTCCTTTGTGGTATTTTCCTCCACAGCCTGACCCATTCACTGCCAAGTCCCTTTGAGGGCACAGTGAGAACCAAGGCCTTGCAGAGGGAGAGGTCTGTGGGGTTGCATCCAAGTCCAAGGGCAGCCAGGGGAGGTGGCTGTGGGCTTCACGGGGAAAGTGTCTCATGGGGTTGACCCAAGGGAGTGAACTTGGGCTGGACGTTCCCATGAGAATGTCACCCCACAGCTTCTCAGCTGCAGGAATGCGTCTTGGCCAGAGGTGGGTTGGGCTTGGGGGCACAGATGTCTCACCTCGCAGCTATAGTGGTGTTTCCAGGTAGCCTGCTGGGTGCCTTGTCATTCTCCGCATTTGTCACTGGGTCCCAGTGAGTGACTCTACTGAGTGGGAGAGACTGAAGCAGCGTCTCAGGTCTGCCCTTGGCAACAAGCTGTTCTGGCTGGGGCCCTCTTCTGTGTTCTGTGCTCTTTTCCCTCTCCTGGGACGAATCTCCTCCCTCCCAGACACCTGTCCCCTGTTGCGTTCCCACCGTAGGTGCTACCGACGGGTGCAGCATCCTCCCTGCACACACACTGTCCCTCCCGTTGTGGAAGCAAATTCCCTGCTAGAATATTCTATCCCGCCTTCGAGGCCTGGATCAAATGTTACCTCCTTTCTGATGCTTTTCTCCACATTTGCAATCAGAGTACGTCATTCCTTCTTTGCCAGGAATGTCATGCGCCATGTGGATGGCCCTTCTGCAATGGGAACTCGTGCCCTAGACGCTTATCCTCTATCTGCCCCTCGCTTGACTATAAAGTCCTTGAAGTCAGGACTGATGTGCTGATCAATACTTTATATTCCAGATGGGGGATGCCCAATGGATTTGCTGACTGATCTTTCTGGCTCTGCCGTCAGGAAACGTTAAGCAGATTCCTTGAAGTTTAGGGTCATGGGTCTCGTTCTTGAGTCCCCACGGCGAAGCACGGCGCTGACAGCAGGAGATGGCTTAGTAGGTGTGCATGGGACGAATGAACTTGTTAGCTGAGAAGATTTAACGTCGCCCTCCCCAAGTTTTCTGCAATTTAGTGGTGAACTCTTAAAGAACAAAGATTTTAAGCACTAGATAAATACCATTTTATTCGTGGAAGCCTAGAGAAGTGGGAGTCAGGAAGGGGAAGGGAGGAGATTTTGTCGGGGGAAGTTTTCCCAGTGCCCTTAAATCCACTCTAAGTGCCGTCTCTGCTCTGTCCTCCTAGCTGTGAGCACCCAGGGAGCTCCGAGCCTGGTTTCTGTCATCAGATTGAATATCTGATTTGTAAGAAGTGGAAAGTCCCCATCTGTTGTCCCTGCTCCCTGAGTAGAGTTCCAGGAAGCAACGCCTCTGCATCTACACCGTGTTAAGATGGAGGAGGGCACGCTGAGCCAAGCATGGGAATCAATCTCTGACCACTTGAATGGGGCTGCCCTTCCTCCAGGTCACCCTCCTCCACGTCAGCCTGGGGGACACTAGAAGTTCAAATGGATCTAAGGGAGCAGACTGTATTCATTCATTCATTCACTCACTCCCTCATTCATCCATTCATCAGGTGTTGGTTGAGCCCCTCCTGTGTCCCAGATGCCATGCTGGGTGATGGGGAGACAGAAGTAGATAGGACCAGTTCCTGCAATGTGAAAGTTCGGAGTGATTGCAATAGAGCCAAACAGACCGTGTGTTCAAGGTCAGCCCAGAGACCATGATGGGTGGCATAAAACATGGCAGTTGCTTACCCATCCATAGGCACCTACGGAAACACTTCCTGGAGTAAGGGACAAATAAGCAGAGGCCCCAAGGAGGAGTAGGAACTCACCAGCCAGTGGGAAGGTGGAGGAGGGACAAGGGCATTTCAGGTGGGAAACAGGATTGCAGAGGCTAGAGGAAGGAGAGCTGGCCCCGGGGCGACTGGGGGCTGGCGGTTCAGCAGGAGCAGCATGTAGGGTGAGAGGGGCTGAAGGTTGAGGGAACAGGCCCCTGAGGGCCTCATACATCACCCAACCTGAGGAATTTGGGCTTTGACCTGAAGTGAAATCACGGGACAGAGGTTCCAGGGGTCCCTCCTTTCCATCTCTCCTCCCCAAAGCCTCAAAGCCCCAACGCCCAGTGTGTTAGTCCATCTTTATGCTGCTGATAGAGACAGGCCTGAGACTGGGTAATTTATAAAGAAAAAGAGGTTTGAGGTTTTAATGAACTGACAGTTCCACATGGCTGGGGAGGCCTCAAACTCACAGTCATGGCAGAAGGTGAAGAGAGAGAATGAGGTAAGAGAGAGAATGAGAGCCAAGTGAAAGGGGAAACCACGTATAAAACCATCAGATTCCATGAGACTTTTTCACTACCATGAGAACAGTATGGGGGAAGCTGCCCCCATGATTCAGGTATCTCCCACTGGGTCCCTCCCACAACACTGGGGAATGATGGGAACTACAATTCAAGATGAGATTTGGGTGGGGACACAGCTGAACCATGTCACCCAGCAGTCCCGCAAACCTAACAAATGCCTGCCTGTCTTCACCTCAGATGGAACGGCCCTGATTCAGCTTTCCCCATCCGTGCCTTCTACCCCCTCCCTAATTCAATCTGCTGCAAGCCTCTTTCCAGGCAGCTAATGACACAAGGGTGTTTAATTCTGAACTCTGCAATCTCAAAAGATTAAATAATGGATTTTGTGATCTGCCAGGCTCTTTCCTGGATAGAATGATAAGATATCAATTGGAAAAATTTAAATATTGATGAGTTTTAACTTTTGTATTGATTGGGCAGTGACATATTTTAAATAATGATTCACATTAAAAATACAAGGGTTCCTATTGATCATGCAGCATCTGGTTGTATTAAAATAATGAATAATCTTTAGAACTTACTATGCTTTTAACATTTTGTTTTTCCTAGTAGCTGAAGATCCAACCAATGCATAGCTTGCAACACCTATTTGGAACCTCATGCATCTGTCTGCCCATGCTTTTCTGTCGCTGCTCAGGACTGCCATTTCTTTTTTATGTTTTTTTGAGAAGGAGTCTCGCTCTGTCACCCAGGCTGGAGTGCAGTGGCGTGATCTCGGCTCACTGCAAGCTCTGCCTCCCGGGTTCATGCCATTCTCCTGCCTCAGCCTCCCGAGTAACTGGGACTACAGGCGCCCGCCACCATGCCCAGCTAATTTTTGTATTTTTAGTAGAGATGGGGTTTCACTGTGTTAGCCAGGATGGTCTTGATCTCCTGACCTCATGATCCACCCACCTCAGCCTCCCAAAGCGCTGGGATTACAGGCATGAGCCACTGTGCCGGGTCCAGGACTGCCACTTCTTTGTAGGGTCAGGCAGCATGGGGCCTGGGAGACAGGGGGCTGAGCCCGCAGACGTGGGGCTAGCCGAGCAGCTGGGCACTATGCAACCCCAGGGGAATTCTCTGATTGTTCAGCTTTTTCTGGGTGCTTGTGGCTCCAGGGGTGAAGGGAAGGCCAGAGGGGCTTTTTTTTTTTTTTTTTTTTTTTGCTAGCCGGAAGCCGTTCCTTTAGGATCTACGATGGGAAGTCTTCAACCGTTGCACCCAGGGACCTTGCTCACCCTCCTTGAAGTCACCTTTACTCCTCTTGCTTGGACTTCTGACCATGTTGTCTCAAAGTTTCCAGGCTGTCTCTTCATCTGCACTGTTACAATCCTGACTTTCTTCACTCATCGCTAAAAATATTTCCCTAGGGCCCTCAAGGAGTCTCAAGACTCAGGCAGTTAATGGGAGTGGAACTGCCACCTGCTGGTGTTGATATGTGCCGGTCACCTTGCCAGCCTCTTCGCATTCATTCACCCTGCATCCGTCATTCATTCACCCAGTGCAGATTTATTAAACTGACTCCGTGCCAAGCAGGCACGATGCTTGTCCATAGGAAGCTTAGAATGTAGAAGGGGACAGATGTTAACAAACAGTTAATGCTTGACTATTAATTCCAAGTGTGATAGAACCGGCACAGGAAACAGGCAAGAGGACCTAGCCTCATCAAGGGTGACATGCAGGAAACCGCTAACCTAGCAGGCCTGTTGGTTGTCCTCAGAAAGCCCTCAGGCCTATCCTTAGGAAGGCCTCTTGCAACTTTGGCTCTTGGCTGGTGTCCAGGAACTTGATTGGTAAACCGTTCTCTATTCTGACATAAAACCTTCACTAAAGGATTAGAGCGGCTCACAGTGCCTAAACTGCTTGTACAAACCATGCCGTTTATGCCGAGCACTGGCTTTCCTTCTTGGGGTGTGGAATTTTGGTATGTGCTAAGCAGAGGATGCCTACATGACCCCCAGCAGAGCCCTGGGTGCCGAGTCTCTGATGAGCTTCCCTGGCAGACAGCACTTTGTGAGTGTATCACACCCTGTTGCTAGAGGAATCAAGTGCGTCCGGTGTGACTCCCCTGGGAGAGTAGCCTTGAAGCCTGTGCCCGGTTTCCCCCTACCTCGCCCATGTGCCCTTCCCTTGGCTCATTTTTCTGTCTCCTTTTGCTATAATAAGTCTTCACCATGAGTACAACCATGTGCTGGGTCCTGTGAGTCCTTTCAGTGACTCACCAAACCTGGGGATGGTCTTGGGGTTCCCCAACACGGGTGGCCAGGGAAGGCCTCCCTGCTGAGGTGACATTTAGCTAACACCTTAAGGAACAGTAGGTGTGAGATAGCAGGTGTTAGAAAGCATCCTTGGCAAATCCAAGAGCTTGTGCAAAGGCCCTGAGGTAGCAACAGAAACAGGGTTGAGTGGTCAGGGCTGTTGGTTTGGAGGATTCGGTGTGAGATGGGCTAAGAAAAGTCAGATCATGTCAGGCCTTTTAGCCATGGTAAGGAATTTGGGTTACCTTATTTCTAACTTTTACAGAAGCCCTACAAAGTAGAAAGGATTAGCCCTATTTTTTTTTTTTTTTAAGATGAAGTCTTGCTGTCACCCAGGCTGGAGTGCAGTGGCACGATCTCAGCTCACTGCAGTCTCTGCCTCCTGGGTTCAAGTGATTCTCCTGCCTCAGCCTCCCAAGTAGCTGGGATTACAGGCGTGTGCCACCACACCCGATTAGCTCCCCCTCCTTTTTTTTTTTTTTTTTTTTTTTTTTTGAGACAAGGTCTTGCTCTGTTGGCCAGGCTGAAGTGCAGTGGTTCGATCTCAGCTCACTGCAACCTCTGCCTCCCAGGTTCAAGTGATTCTCCTGTTCAGCCTCCCGAGTAGCTGGGATTACAGGCATGTTTCATTATGCCCAGCTAATTTTTGTATTTTTGGTAGAGACCACCTCACTATGTTGGACAGGCTGATCTTGAACTCCTGACCTCAAGTGATCCACCCACCTCGGCTTCCCAAAGTGCTGGGATTACAGGCATGAGCCACCACGCCCAGCCTAGCCCCATTTTTAAAGAAGAAGACTATAAGGTCACTTGCCCAGGCTCCCACAGCTGGTATGTGGAAGGACTTGCCATGAATTTGGGTCCATCTGGCTTCTATTAGGTTGGTGTAAACTGTGATTACTTTTGCACCAACCTCATAGAAAGCCTGGGTTCTTTCCATCAGACCTTGTTACAGACCAAGACAGGACTTGAGCCTTCCCGAGAAAGGTTACCGAGAACACTCAAGCCAGGTTGCTGTCTCTCTCTCCTTTTCCTCTGGGTCTGCTCTGTCTCCAGGACTCACTGCTTTAGAATAGTACCATGTTCTGTCACCACTGAGGGGAGGGGGAGCGTTTTGTGACCAAGAGTCTTATCCCAGGTGTCAGAAGTTCTGCGCTGGAATCTTAGCTGTGTGAGGTTCTTACTCCAGGCAATACACTTAATTCCTTTTTGCCTCAGCTTTTGTATCTGTGAAATGGAGACATTAATAGTGCTTAATTTGTTCATTTATAGTTTTATCAAGATGTAATTGATGTAAATAAACTGTATTTAGAGTGTACAATTTGATGAGTTTTGACATCTGTATATATTCATGAAACCACTACCACGATCAAGATAGTAACACATTCATCACCCTAAAAGTTTCCTTGTGCCTTGTGTAACTCATCCCTTCTGTCCCTCTCCCATCTCTAGACAACCACTTACCTGTTTTCTGTCACTATGGATTAGTATGCGTTTTCTAGCATTTTATAAGTATGATATCAGACAATAGTTGTTCTTTTAGATCTACCTTCTTTTGTGTGTGTGTGTGTGTGTGTGTGTGTGTGTGTGTGAGATGGAGTTTTACTCTGTCACCCAGGCTGGAGTGCAATGGTGCGATCTTGGCTCACTGAAACCTCCACCTCCCAGGTTCAAGCCATTCTCCCGCCTCAGCCCCCCAAGTAGCTGGGACTACAGGCACGTGCGTCACTATGCCTGGCTAATTTTTGTATTTTTAGTAGAGACGGGGTTTCACCATGTTGGCCAGGATGGTCTTGAACTCCTGACATCAAGTGATCCACCCACCTTAGCCTCCCAAAGTGCTCGGATTACAGGTGTGAGGCACCATGCCCAGTCAAATCTACCTTCTTATAATCAGCATAGTTATTTTGAGGTTCATACATATTGTGTGTATCAAAAATTCATGCCTTGTTTATTGCTGAGTAGTATTCCGTTTTATAGATATGCCACATTTTTGCTATCTATTCACTTGTTCGTGCATAGATTATTTTCTACTTTTTGGCTATTACAAGCAAAATTACATGTACACATCTTTGAGCATATACCTTTATTTATCTTGGATAAATACCTAAATGTGGAGTGGTTGGGTTGTATGGGAAGTATATTGAACTTTATATGAAACCATCAAAGTATTTTCCTATGTGATTTTTGTGTCATTTTACTTTTCTTCCAGCAGTGTATGTGAGAGTTCCCTTTGCTTCACATTCTTGCTAACCCTGGGGTGGTCAGTTTATTTACTTATTTAAAAATTTTTAGCTAATCTAGTGTATGTGTGGACGCATCTCTAATGACGGATGATGCTGACAGTCCTATAAACACACTCTTCCCATATATCTGTTCTCAAGAGCTGATAATCTCTCCAACTGTTTGTCTGTTTGCTATCCATATATCTCTCTTCTGCAATGAAGTACATATTCCAATCTTTTGCCTCTTTAAAAAATTGGAATGTATTCCTATTACTGAGTTGTAAAAGTTCTTTGCATATTTTAGATATGAATTCTTTGTTGGATATATATTTTACAGATATTTTCTGAGTTTGTTCCTTGCCTTTTCTTTTCTTTTTTTTTTTTGAGACGGATTCTTACTCTGTCACCAGGCTGGAGTGCAGTGGCACGATCTCGGCTCACTGCAACCTCTGCCTCCCGGGTTCAAGCGATTCTCCTGCCTCAGCCTCCTAAGTAACTGGGACTACAGGCACGCGCCATCATGCCTGGCTAATTTTTGTATTTTTAGTAGAGACGGGGTTTCACCATGTTGGCGAGGATGGTCTCGATCTCTTGACCTCGTGATCCACCCACCTCGGCCTCCCAAAGTGCCAGGATTACAGGTGCGAGCCACTGCGCCCGGCCGCCTTTTCATTTTTATAACAGCGTCATTTGAAGAGAAAAGGTTTTAAATTTCGGTGAAGTAAAATTTGTTGACTATTTTTTCATGGTTCATGCTTTTGGCATCATATTTAAGAAGTTAATAAAGGAAGAAATCCTTGTCAAATCCAAGATCATTAAGATTTTCTCCTAGGTTTACAAGAAGTTTAGTAGTTACCTCTTATAGTCAGGTCTATCATAGTTTCAAGTTAGTTTTTATGTGTGGTGTGAGATGAGGGTCAAGGATCGTCTTTTCTTTTTTTTTTTTTTTTCTTGCTGTGGCTACCTGATTATTCCTGCACTATTTGTTGAAATGATTATTCTTTTTCCATTGAATTGCCTTGGCCCCTTCACTGAAAACCAATTCACCATGTATGTGTGAGTCTTTTCCTAAACTTTCTATCCTGTTTCATTTTTCCGTATGTCTCTACTTATGCCAATATCATACTTTATTAATATAGCTTTACAACATGTATTCAAATCAGGGGTGTACATATTCCAATTTTGGGCCGGGCTTGGTGGCTCACGCTTGTAATCCCAGCACTTAGGGAGGCCGAGGCGGGTGGATCACCTGTGGTGAGGAGTTTGAGACCAGCCTGGCCAACATGGTGAAACCCCACCTCTACTAAAAATACAAAAATTAGCCGGCATGGTGGCACATGCCTGTAGTCCCAGCTACTCAGGAGACTGAGGCAGGAGAATCGCCTGAACCTGGGAGGGAGGTTGCAGTGAGCCGAGATCGAACCACTGTACTCCAGCCTGGGTGACAGAGTGACTCTGTTACACACACACACACACACACACACGCACACACACTCCAATTTTGTTCATTTTCACAATTATTTTGGCTTTTCTAAGTCATTTTTCATTTCCATATACATTTTAGAAATTTTAACATCAGCTTATCAATTTCTGCAACAAGCCTGATAGGATTTTAATTAGGATTGCTTTGAATGTATAGGTGAATTTGGGGAGAATTGACATCTTAATAATATTAAGGTCCCCTTCCTCCTTCCCTTCTCCTTCAACAGAGTCTTGTTCTCTTGCCCAGGCTGGAGTGCAGTGGTGTGTGATCATAGCTCACTGCAGCCTTGAACTCCTGGGCTCAAACGATCCTCCCACTTCAGCCTCCTGGGTAGCTAGGACTACAGGTGTGTATCACCATGCTCGGCTGATTTTTGTATTTTTTGTAAAGACAGGGTCTCACTATGTTTCCCAGGATGGGGGAATTGACTTTTAATTTTACATAATTATAGACTCTCAAGAAGTGAAAATAGAACAAAGAGGTTCTCTGTGAGGCCAGGGTTGGTGGCTCCTGCCTGTAATCCCAGCACTTTGGGAGGCTGAGGCTGGTGGATTGCTTGAACCTGGGAATTTGCAACCACCCTGGGCAAAAAAATAGATTCTGCATGCCTTTTATCCAACTTCCCCCAATAATAACGTATTATATAGCTATAGAGTATTATCAAAACCAGGAAATTGACATTGGCACAATACTATCAGCTAGACTAAAAACCTTACTGAGATTTCTGCTGTGAGTTTTTTTCATGAATGGATGTTGGATTTTGTTGAATAGTTCTTCTGTACCTATTGACGTGATCATATGATTTTTGTCTTTTAGTTTGTTAATAGGGTAAATTACCTTAATTGATTTTCAAATGTTAAACCTACATTTTATCAGCCTATGTTACATTATTATTTTTATATATAGCTGGATTTTATTTGTTCATATCTTTTAAATATTTTAACATATGTGTTTGAGGGATATTTTTCTGTAACTTTCTTTCCTTATAACATCTTAGTCTGGTTTTATATCGGGGTAATGCTAGATTTAGAAAATTAGGAGTGAAATGTTTCTTCCGCTCCTATATTCTGGAAAGGTTTGTGTTGAATTGGTTATATATAATTGTTTGGTAGCATTCATCAGTGAAATACCAGTTATCTGGGCCTGGAATTTTCTTTGTGCACAACTTTTTAACTGTACATTTAATTTTAATAGGTAAAGGTCTATTTAGGCTATCTAAGTCTTTATGAATAATCTTAGTACTTCGTGTCTTTTAAGGATTTGTCTATTTAAGTTATCAAATTCATTGCCGTAAAATTATTCACAATATTTCCTTATTACCTACTTAATGTCTGCAATAACTGTAGAATGTACTCCCTCTCATCCCTTATATTAATAATTTGTGTCTTCTTTTTTTTCCCTTATCAGTTTTTCTAGAGGTTTATCAATTTTATTGAGCTTCTCAGAGAGCCACCGTTAATTCCATTGATGTTTCTGTCAGGTATCACTGTCCTGCACTGTCAATATGTGAAAAGTCTTGTTTCATATAGTTTGTCCTTTGAGAAAAGTTGTGTAAGGTGGGAAGGTAAATCCAATCCTTGTCCTCCCATCATAGGTAGCAGCAGACGTCCTCCGTGATTTTCAGGGCTATAAAGGAGTTCTGTGGTGAGAGAGTGGGAGAACTCTGTTAGCTCTAGCTGAACTGTGTCCTTTCCTGAGGTTACTACTCCCATGTGGCCCTCTCAAATGGTGGATGTTTTCTCTCTCACACTTTTTGTTTTATTATTAGTACAATGATAGAGTCATAGATTATTTGGTAACAGTTTTACTATGAAATAAGTTTTTTAAAATAATGTCAACTCTTGATTTAGATACCGAGGGTATGTGTGCATGTTTGTTACATGGGTGTATTGTGTGATGCTGAGGTTTGGGTATGGATCCCACCACCCAGGTGGTGAGCATAGTGCCCAACAGGTAGTTTTTCCACCCACACCTCCCTCCCTGACTCCCCCCAGGTAGTCTGCAGCGTCAACTGTTCCCATTTCTATGTCCATGAGTACCCAATGTTTAGCTCCCACTTTTAAGTAAGATCATATGGGATTTGGTTTTCTGTTCCTGCATTAATTCACATAGGATTATGACCTCCACCTGCATCCATGTTGCTCCAAAGGACATGATTTCATTCTATTTTATGGCTGCATAGTATTCTATTGTGTATATGTACCATATTTGCTTTTATTTTTATTTATTTTTATATGTTCTGAGACAGGGTCTTGCTCTGTCACCCAGGCTGGAGTGCAGTGGTGCAATCATGGCTCACTTCAGCCTTGACTTCTTGGGCTCCAGCAATCCTCCACCTCAGCCTCCCAAGTAGCTGAAACTACAGGCCTGTGCCACCATTCCTGGCTAATTAAACAAATTATTATTATTATTATTATTTTAGAGACAGGTCTCACTATGTTGTCCAGGCTGATTACAAACTCCTGGGCTCAAGTGATCCTTCCACCTTGGCCTTCCAAAGTGTTGGGATTATAGGACTGAGCCACCATGCCTGGCCCACATTTTCTTTATCTAATCTACCATTGATGGACACCTAGGCTGACTCCATGTCTTTGCTATTGTGAACACATGGTAGCTAGTAATCCCATTACTGGGTATATGCCCAGAAGAAAATAAATCATTCTATCAAAAAGACACATGCAATTATATGTTCATGGGATTACTAGCTACCAATAATGAGAATGGTAGCTCTGTCAACAGAGTAAACAGAGAATCTACAGAGTGGGAGAAAATATTTGCAAAGGATGCATCCAACAGAGGTCTAATATCCAGAATCCATAATGAACTTCAACAGATCAACAAGCAGAAAACAAATAACCTCATTAAAAATGGGCAAGCGACATGATGAGACACTTCTCAAAAGAAAACATACAAGTGGCCAAAACACATGGAAAAATGCTCATCCTAATGAATCATCAGAGAGATACAAATCAAAACCACAGTGAGATCCTACCTCACACCAATCAGAAGGGTGATTATTAAAAAGTCAAATAAGGCCAAGTGCAGTGGCTCATATCTCTAATCCCAGCACTTTGGGAGGCCGGGGCAGGCGGATCACCTGAGGTCAGGAGTTTGAGACCAGCCCGGCCATCATGGTGAAACCCTGTCTCTACTAAAAATACAAAAAATTAGCCAAGCGGGGTGGTGGGTGTCTGTAATCCCAGCTACTTAGGAGGCTGAGGCAGGAGAATTGCTTGAACCTGGGAGGCAGAGGTTGCAGTGAGTTGAGATTGTGCCACTGCACTCCAGCCTGGGCAACAAGAGAGAAACTCCGTCTCAAAATAAATAAATAAAATAAAAAGTAAAATAATAACAGATGCTGGTGAGGCTGTGGAGAGAAGGGAACAATTATACACTGCTGGTAGGGATGCAAATTAGTTCAGCCCCTGTGGAAAGCAGTTTGGAGACCTCTTACACTCTTGGTGCTGCAGGACCTGGAGGCCATGTAGGCATCTTCCTCCCACCTCTTTTTCACTCCCAGGCCATTGTCATCCATCTCATTTCATCTTCCCTGAAAACCCTCCTGCTGCTTTGAGCCTCATGCCTTCAAGCTTCTACCACCTGTTGCCTTTTCTCATTGCAATTATTACAGATTGCCTGATTTGCTCTCCCTCATTCCTTGAAGATTTTAGCACCTGGATCGCTGTCTCTTTCTGACTCTCTATCTGTCGTAATTCATGATGGTTTTTAATATCCACACAGAGATCCTTTCAAAACCCAGGAGTACCAGCGACATTAAGTAACACTCTGTGCTGTTACAAACCAACCTGGAAATCTCAGTTGCTTAACCCAATAAAAGATGATTTCTTGCTTGTGCCAAATCCAATACACCTCTATGGTACTTACCTGGCTATACCCCATGCCTGTTCAAAGCCAACTTTTTACTTTCTGAAGGCTTATATCTCGCAGCCCAGTGTGGCTGGAGAAAAACAGGTACCTGTGCTAACTGGTCTTATTTTAAATGTATGATCCCTACCCCAGGCCCTGGTGCTATAAGATTCCACACACTACTCTGTCCATACCTGTGCCAAACAATATCATGTGGTCTCCTCTTTCAGACAGCTCCTCTTCCTCCTCCACACTCTCAGCTTTTGGCCCTGCTTCTTATTTCTCTGGGGGAATGGAACAAATCAGAAGGGAATTTCTGCATGCTCCCAGCAGCATGGCTGCCCACCCCTCTGTGTCTGCACCCACACGGCAGCCTTCCTTCCAGTTCTGTGGATGACCTGTTTGTCCTGGCTGCAACCACCCCTTTCCTTGTGTGCCAGATCACATTCCTTCTCTTTTACTCAAGGGCATCACTCTGCAATTATTCCCTCTCCCTCCTTCAACCTTAGATGTTTCCTGTCTATTGGATGATTCCTATCAGCGTTCCTATTGTTCATACCCTATCTATCTGTAGTATTCCCTATCTTGAAAAAAAAAAGCCTTTCTTATTGCTACTGCCTGTCTCTCTCCTTCTGTCTGCAGCACAACAGCTTAGATGTACCACATTGTCTTATTCATTTTTTCTGGTTACTCCCCTCCAGTTCACTCTTAAGCTGTCTGGCTTTTGCCTTTACTCTGTGGGAAAAGCTCTTGTTAAGGCTGCCAAGTGCAATAGTTGAGTATCTGTTCTCATCTTACTGGTCGATGAGTGGCATTTGACATGACTGGCTGCCTCTTCCTCGTGAAACCGCTCTGTCCTGGCTGGCTCCTTCCTCAGAGACTGCTCCTTCTTTGTCCTGCTAACCCCTTAAGGCTGGAGCGCCCAGGGTTCGGTCATCATCTTCTCCGTTTCTCTACCCAAATGCTCCCTGGTGACCTCTTAGCTTTGCACACTTTTTACATGCTGATGACCTCAAATGTGTAATTCTAGCCCTGGCTTTCCCCTGGCCTTCAGATGCATCTATCCACCTGAGTGTCAGATATCTCGGACTTAAGCGTCTGAACAAGCTGTTGATTCATCACCTCTTACCAAGCTGCTACCCTAATCTTTCCTGTCTCAGAAAATGGCAACTCTAACCTGCCCCGGTGCCTGGGAGTCATCGTTTATTGTATTTTTTCTTCTCTTCCCTCCTTTAATCCATCAGCAAACTTGTGGCTCCACCTTCAAAATAGATACAGAAGCCATCAACTTATTCGAAACCTTCACTGCTTTCACTAGAGTCTATCCCACCCTCACCTTTCTCCTGAACTGTTGGTAGAGCCCTCTTTTAGGATTTCTTTTTGACATTCATCACCGAATCGCTGAAAGACCCCCACCAGCTCCTGTTCTACTCAAAGTCTAGAAGACCCTGCTGGGTCTGGCTCTTGCCACTTTTGTGACCTCAGCCCAACAGACCTTACGTCCAGCAGCCCAGTGTGGCTGGAGAAAAACAGGTACCTGTGCTAACTGGTCTTATTTTAAATGTACGATCCCCCGCTCCAGGCCCTGGTGCTACCCAGAGATTCTGCACACTACTTTGTCTGTACCTGTGCCAAACAATGTCACATGGCTCCCTCTCTCGCACAAGCATCTCCTGCTGGCCTGCTCTGCTCCAGCTGAAGCTTGAACCCTGCACTCCTGCCTCGGAGCTTTGGCACTTCCTGCTTCCTCTACTTGGTATGCCCTTTCCCCTGATATCCTGAGGCTCCCTCCCTCGTTTCCTTCAGGCAATGCCTCAAATGTCACCTTCTCAAGGAGGCTCAACTCAGCCACCCTACAAAGAACAGGACCCCTGTCCCCACATCCCTTCTCTCCATCTCCCTCCTCTCCACTGCCCGGCCATCTGGGGGCTGCTGTGTCTTCCCTGCTGGAATATCGGGCAGGTATGTGGATGCTGGTTCACTGCCATGCTCCCTGGAGCATAGAATCATGCCCAGTTTGTCATAGGGACTCAGTACATTTTATTTTATTTATTTATTTTTTTGAGAGACAGAGTCTTGCTCTGTTGCCCAGGCTGGAGTGCAGTGGCACAATCATGGCTCACTGCAGCCTTGACCTCCTGGGCACAAGTGATCCTCCCACATCAGCCACCCAAGTAGCTGGGACCACTGGTGCGCACCACCACGCCCAGCTAATTTTTAAAATTTTTTGTAGAAATGGAGTCTCACTATGTTGTCCAGGCTGGTCTCATCTCTAACTCCTGAGCTCAAGCAATCCTCCCGCCTTGGCCTCCCAAAGTGCTGGGATTCTAGGTGTGAGCCACAGTGCTTGGCCCATCTTTGTAGCATGAATACCTTTTAGCTCATATCCTCGATTAGTGACATAGAAATACCCTGCCACAGTGTAGCATTGGCATTTAAATGCCCTCCTTTAATATTACGTTTCAGAAATTAAATATGATGACTAAAAAGAATCACAAGATTTAAATATGCATTTTTATGGATAATTAGAAAACAGTCGATGCTAATTTTGAAAAATTCAAACTCTACAGAAATGCATAATAAAAAGTGAAAGATTGTCTTTTCCATGTTTTCTCCCATCCCGCCTCCCACAGGCATACACGTCTTTTGATGATGTTGTGGGCATCATTTCTCTGTAGAGATAAAACACATACATGCCAACATTTTTAAAAACTGGTATCTTGTTTTGTATCTAGCTCACCTTTTTTTACTTACTTAAAAATATACTGAAGATCTGCTGGGCATGGTGGCTCACACCTGTAATCCCAGCACTTTGGGAGACCAAGGCAGGCGGATCATTTGATGTCAGGAGTTTGAGACCAGTCTGGCCAACATGGTGAAACCCTGTGACTACTAAAAATACAAAAATTAGCTGGGTTTTGTGGTGTGTGCCTGTAATCCCAGCTACTCAGTAGGCTGAGGCAGGAGAATTGCTTGAACCCAGGAGGCAGAGGTTATAGTGAGCCAACATGGCACCACTGTACTCCAGCCTGGGTGACAGAGCAAGACTCTGTCTCAAAAAAATATATATATATATATATAATTTTATATAAATTTATATTTATAAATATATATTTATATTTATTATTTGTTTATTTATATTTATTTATTATTTATATTTATTTATAAAATAAACAAAATATATTTTTATAAATATAAATAAACAAATATATAAATATAAATATATATAAATATATAAAATATTTAGAAAATTATATTTATAATATTTATAAAATTATATTCATAATATAAATATATATTTATATTTATAATTATAAAATTATATTCATAATATAAATATATTTATATTTATATTTATAAAATTATATAATATATATTTATATTATAAATATTATAAATCTATGGTATATAAATATTTTATATATAGATATATAAATATATCTCAAAGATCTTTCTATGCTGGTGCCTCTAGACCTTCAGAAAACCCTCTCCGAGGCTGTGGTGGGTGCCCAGCAGCGATTCTGCTTTGCCCCTCCTCCTTTTTCCAGGGGCATGTTTGCTTATTAAGCTCGCAGTTTAAGAGCCCCTCCCTGGAAAGTCTGGATTCTCAGAGCCTCTGTGACATTGCCCACTTCACACCCTTCACAGAACTTTTCCACACAGTTTTCCCTTTCCTCCTGTCTGTCTGCAGCCTTGCTGCTTGTCTGCCTGATTCATTGGATGACATATTCCTTGGCGACTAGGTAGTGTGTGTCTTTTGTAGTCTTGTGTCCTCCATAGTTGTGGGCTCAGCGGATGGTTGTTGGGTGGATGGACGGATAAATGGGACAATGAAAAGATGAGCTTCTCTTCTGTTTTCTCCCTGAGCAGCAGTTCGCAATGCTTCGTGACTCAAATTGTGCAGGTTTGCTGGCCGGGCGTGAGCCTTTTTATTTTAGTCCATCAGGGAAAGTGGCTGGCTCATTCAGCCACAGTGTAGCATTGGCATTTAAAAATATATCAAGAATGACAATAAAGATTAGTTACCATTTATTGAGTGTTTACTCTGTGCCTAAATGCTTTATGTACATTATCTTCTTTACTTTTTCAACAATCTTGTTTGAATTAGGTCCTATTATTATCTCCATTCTGTAGAACAGGCTCAGAGAGGTGAAGTACTTTGCTCACAAATGCACAGCTAGGTGTCATAGGGAGGTAGCTAGGTGGTAGCAGAGCCAGGATTCGAACCAGGGCTGCTTGATCCACAGTCCAGCTTCTCAAGCCCAACCTTGTACTTCTGTGATGGGGAGCCAGGTTTGTGTGGAATTTTGTCTTCCTATAGAGACTGGCTGCATTTTTAATTGCAGAAAACATGCAACCTGTGATGAATAGATTAACATGGCAACTTTTTTTTCCCCTGAGAAAGTGGTACTTTAATTTGCACATAACATTAATAGTGAAGAGACTGTCTCCAGAGTAAGTAGCTCCCCTCCACCCCTCCCCCAAGCCCTTATAGGACTTCAAAGGGGTCAACTCCAGCTCTCTCACTGCTTGATTTCTTTGACTGCTTTTCTGCTTTAGCAGTGAGAAGGCAATGAGAAGATGGACTTGTGAGAATTCACCCAGGAGAATAAGCAACTGGGTCTCAAGTGTTTTGTTATGTAAGCAGTAAACACTGTGGACAGCATCATCTACTGTTTGTCAAACTCAGCCCTGGGTTCTACAAAACTGAGTTTAAAAGAAAAAAAAAGCTATCTGTGGAGATTTTGTTAAAGGTTCCACTTGGTTAGCATGCTTGCAATGCACACTGTAACAAAGCTTTAATATAATTAAATTTTAAATTCCATGTAGAATCTAGTGGGTAGGCAGATGTACCGGTATGTTAAACTTTATGTCGCTTGAAAATGGTTTTCAAGTACATCAGAGGGAGACCATCCAGCTGTAAAATTATCTGCTTTATGATGCCGCATCACAGCTCTGATCTTTTTCTTTTAATTAAAAATGTACCTTAAAGTTGAACCATCCCCACTCTCTGCTACCTTTTCTTCCTTTCTGTCTACCGACAGAAGATGAAGTAGCATGACTGTTCTGTGAACCTTCGGGGATGTTTATGCAGGAAATAACTTTTCAATTAAATATTAATTTTTGTGGCTCTTCAGCTGGACTCGGCCCCTCTGCAGGCCAAAGGGTAGCTCCCTCTGTATATGGTGCTGTCCAGGTTGTGAGGCCTTTGGTTGGTCATACCTTCTAACCTCTTGCAGCCAGTTCCAGAAATCAAGAGTCATAGAACCTTGCAAAGGTGAAAAGGTGATACCCCCTGGGCTCTTCCTGACTTGCCAGGTGTGACCGGCTTCAGAAGGCATCTGTTCTCACAGTGGCATGTCAGGGTCCTGCTCCTGTCCCCCAAACACCTTTCTTACTATAGCTTTCTAATGTCTGATTTCTTTTCCTGGAGAATGTTATCTCTTTAATTTGAGGTCTCATTCTCTGTTAAAATATGGACCACTGGTGGACAGCACTCACCAGTCATTATCCCCTTGTCATGGCTAACGTCTCCAGATCGCCCATGGAAGATATTGGATGCTGGTGCCCAGGAAATGGCCTTGGCAGAGGGGAAAAGACATAGAAGGGCACACTAGGTGCAGGGATTCCCCAGGGCTGGCTCTAGGTGTGGCTAATGAGCAGTCGTCAGCATCAGCACACTCAGCGTTACTTTTCAAATGAGATCAGTCCTACCATGCACCTACTCTGGAGTCTGGCACGCAGCAAGTGCTGGGTAAATATTAGCTATTATTGAGATTATGAATATTTTATTACTCTAATTATAATCAGATCCTGGTAGGTTCTTTTAAGTATCCTTCTGGAACCTGCCAGCTGGCAGAAGGATGAGAGACAGGCAATGGTTACATGACTCCGAAGGCCTATTGACTGGTCATCAGACGGGAATGGAACTTATGGATCATCTCATTTCATGCTCCTACTTTTGCAGAACAAAACCAGGGGCTTGTGGTAGAGAAGGGCCTCAGTTAGGGACACACAGCGAGCCATGGCAGAGTTGGGTCCTCTGACTTCCCCTGCTTTTTTCCTGATGTCTTGGCTGCTCCCACCTCACGCTAGCTTCCTCTGTGCTGGGAAGGGCCCTTGCTAAGCTGCTTGGATCCAGCTCTTCCTGGTACCCCTTCTGTTACTTTGTTGGGGTGAGTGCCCAGATGTTCCTCTGCAGTCTTGGAGAGCCCTGCTCTACTGCCAGCACCCTCCCAGGCTGTGGGCAGAATGAATGGCCAAAGAGGGTGTCCCTGAACCTTAAAGAACCTTCCAGTTTCCAGCAGCCTCTCTGCTTTCTTTCAACTCTGCTAAGCAGCCAGTACCATTCACTCCCTGTAGCAGGAAAGGTCCTTTTTTCCTCTGTGCTGGAACCCAGTTGTGATGAGACTATTTGAAAGCAGTGGTCCACGAACTGCAATGATGGGGAGACTACCACCCAGCTCGGCCTCCAGGTCTGTGATGATGGGCAGGTGATGTCCCCTCTGTGGGCAGAAGGTGCTGCTCTAGTTTGGATGTTTGTACTCCTAAACCTGTTACAATGGGATCCTAATGCTGGAGGTGGGACCTAATGGGAGATGTTTGTGTCACGGGGTGGATCCTTCATGAATGGCTTGGTGTCATCCTTGCGGTAATGAGTGAGTTCTTGCTCTGTTAATTCCTGTGAAAGTTCCTCCAGGAGCTGGTTGTTTAAAAGAGCCTGGCACATTCCTTCTCTTCCTGGCTTCCTCTCTTGCCATGCTGGCTCCCTTTAGCATTCATCATGAATGGGAGCAGCCTGAGGCCCTCACCAGAAGCAAATGCTGGAGCCATGCTTCCTGTACAGCCTGCAGAACTGTGAGCCAAATGAACCTCTTTCCTTTATAAATTACCCAGCCTTAGCTATTCCTTTTAAGCAACACAAACAGACTAAGACAGGTGCCTTCCCTGAAACACGAGAGGCTGGACCCATTGGCTTTCATGGTGCTTTTGGGCCACACACATTGATTCTAATTTGGCATTTTCATGCCTGAGCTGTCTCAGTTTCTCCAGTCTAAGGTTCACATTGGGGAACCTGGATCTAGACTTCTCTCCCTCCAGGTGACCCCAGAGGGAAGACAGGCTGCTGGACTAAGTGCAGGCCCCTCCAGGGACCATGAGGAGAAGGAACAGGTAGAAAACTGAGCAGAGAAAACCACGGGGTGCAGCTCCCATGGTGGAAGGTGGGGTCGTCAGCAGCAAGGCGGGGTGGGCCGAGACTCAGGCACACTCCAGGGAGTGAGTGTGAGGAGTGAGCCCAGCCCTCAGAATCCTGGGCTAACAGCCATCCATGGTATACAGGTAGCAGCCTCCATTCTCATCAGATATTATGTATTTGGAAAATGAATCTTATCCTCAAGTATTAGTCACTGCAAGAAGCAAAAACCTTCCTTGAGACACTTTGGAATGTTCCAGAGTCAATGTTGTTTGGAGTAAGATGTATGAAACCAAAATTAATGACATTTTGCACACCCAGACAAACTCCTAAGTGCCACCCATTGGCTTTCTCCCATCTCTGGGTGCAGCCTGCTTTTCTGGTCAGATTATTCTTTCGGGCAGTGCAGGATCTCCTTCCGCCAGGAGCTCCTTCCAATACCTTCCAACCTCCAACTAACACTGAGGTTCTTCTCCCAAAGGATTCAGGATGCCCTGGGTATTGTGTCATACCATCTTCTTACCTTTTACAGTGAGGTCATTGCAGAACTACTCAGCTATATAGCAAACACTCCCTTTCCTAGTGATGGGATAAAAGTATTTATGGTCTACCTGAAAATGTTGACTTTTAGGGATTCAGATAAAGTAGTTAAATGTCAACTTATACTAAGTGTACTAATTTCATTGTATGAACGCATATAAAGTCATATGTCTATACACTAAAGTATTTGTAGAAATATGGCTTTTTTCCCCATCCTTTAATTCTGTGAAATAGTTTCTATTCAAGTTCTTCCTGTGCGTGTTGTCATCCACAAAGCCACTCTGTGTGTCATCAAACACAAGGACATTTTTACTTCTCTGTTGTTTGAGATACACCACTTTTTGAATCTAGGTATGCAATTTTAATTGCATCTGTCTTAAGTCAGGCTGCCGTAACAAAATACCACAGACTGGGTGGCTTAAACAACAGACATTTATTTTCTTATGTTCTGGAGGCTGGAAGTCTGAGATCAGGGTGCCAGCATGGCCAGGTTCTGGTGAGGGCTCTCTTTCTGGCTTGTGGACGACTGCCTTCTTGCTATGTCCTCAGATGGCCTTTTCTAAGTGTGTGTGTGTGTGTATGTGTGTGTTTGTGTGTATGAGTGTGTGTTTGTGTGTATGAGTGTGTGAGAGACAGCAAGAGACAGAGCGAAAGAGAGAGTCTCTTTTCGTTCTAAGGCCACCAATTCTATTGGATACAGACCCTATCTGACCTCATTTAACCTTAATTACATCTCCAAATCCCTATCTCCACACAGTCACACTGAGGCCACTGAGGGTAAGGGCCTGAACATATGAATTTTGGGGGACACAATTCAACCCCTCATGCTATCAGGACCGATATATATAACACTAGGCAGGATTAGAAGATTTGCCTTGTCGGTGTAGTTTGTGGCTTCAGTGTTGTGAGGACTTACTCTCATTTTCAGAACTCGTTACGAGACTTGTTTATACAGATATTAGGACTTGCAATTGTCAGGTCACACCACTCAGAATAATTACTAAAAACTGTGTCAAATGTATTTGCTTCCTTCTACCAGTCCTGTCTGGTAATCTCTATAAGCATCCCAAACTAGTATTGATTGACGTCATTTTGGCTAATGGGTCTTCTCCAAAGAGTACTTTATTGTTTAAAGTAGAGCCATTGAGAATGTTCCCTATAATTTGAACAACCCTAAGAATTCAACTTTAAGCTGGTCATTTGTCCTCCACAACTACCTGGTGAGGCAGCACTTGCTTTTTCTTCCCATGTTACAAATGCAGACAGGAAGGCCGAGTAACCTCTCAAGCTCTGCAGCGGTTGGGAGGCTGAGCTGGCCTTGACCTGGATTCGCTTTCTTCTAGAATTGGGTCCCTTTCGGTGCCTCACTCTGCTCTGGGGGAAGTAAGGGAGTGAGGTTCAATGACGTGGCCAAGATCTTTCAGGGGACGAGGGGCAGACTGAGTCCTCTATCCAGGGCCCTTCTCAAAGCCATCATGGATCTCTTGGAAGTATTAACCCCAAGGGGTGGAGATGCCGCCTCTGAGCTCCTGTCACCTTCCCAGGCCCGGGAGGGAGAGCATCTTTCCGCACCGCTCCTCTGCGGCTTATGTGGGATTCCACGTGCCTCTTTATCTTGCATTAAATAATGGTTTTAGTGGGCTGCCAGCTTATTCATCTATTGTATTTATGGAAACTACTAAAGACTTCAAAAAAGGGTTTAATTCAATGTGAGGTTCTATCTTTGAAGAAATTTGTTTAATAGTGCAGGGAAAATTGGGCTTTTAATACAGGAGGAGCAGAACCTGCTCTGTAACTTCAGAGAGAAAATGGAAATCGAGACGGGAAGTACCAGAGAAGCCACTGGGCTTGGAAGGAGGGTGACTTGGGAATGAGCTGGAGCTGGGCCCAAGTAAAGCCCTTCCTAGCCTTCCCTCGTCTCTGTCTGTGTAGGGAAGGCAAAGACACAGGAAAATGACAGCTTAGTGTCCGGAACCCTGGGGTCACTGCAGGAGCTGGACTCCAGTCTGATTGCATAGAGCTGTAGTAACCCATGAGTCTGTGAGCACAGAGGGGCCGGGACGATTGCAGTCATCCGTGTCTCCCGAAAGCACAGTGCCTGTGGCTTCTAGGCTGCAAGCATGAAGCCTCCCATTGCAGAGGGGAAGAGGCTGCCCTTCAGCGAAATGTGGAGTGGGCTGAGGGGATCTTGGGTACGGGGTTTTAAAAAACGTAATCCTGGGTTCAAATCCCTGTGCTGCCCTCTATGACCTGTGACCTGGGTCAGTTTCTTTATGTCCCTGAGCTTTGGCCTTCTTGTCTATGTAGCAGAGATAATCTCAACCGTCTAGGTGGTGGCATGCATGAATGATAGCTTCTATTTACTGAACACTTACTACGTGCGTGGCACTATGCCCAGTGCTTTAATTGGATCTTTTTTTTAAAATGGGATGATTGTAAAGGCCGGGCCGAGGATCTCCCCTGGGGATGGGCAGTCATGGTGCTTCCCCGCCCTGGGCAGCTGCTTATTCCAGAAATTGCCGTGGGCCTGCAATCCTGCTTGCAACACCCCTCGCAGCAGGAGCTTGGCAGCCCCTGAACCCGGTGCCTGCTCATGAGCCAGTCTCCCTCTTGGCTTATGTAGATCAACCAGAGCCTTGGGATATGAGAAGTTAATTTCCACATATCCTGGAGGGGGAAGAAGCACGTATGAAAGAAGTGAAGAGATAAGAATGTGTAGGAAGGTTATCTTTCAATTAAGAAGGGCAGTAATGCTTCCCATCAAGAGTCCTGTCGGGGAAAGTCTGGGAATATCTGTTTCGGTGCTTTGCTGAGAACCAGTTAGGTGAATTCTGTGCTGGTGGACACTGCCGCCCAGCAGGACACTCATCACCATGGCCTTCCTTGACCCCGGCCACGTCCTGCCGGCTCCTCCTCCTTGAACACCAACCATCAGGTTGCCAGGACCTGTCCCCTGGGGCTGGGTCCTCACTGCTTCCCTGGGACCGGCTGTGTAGGGGTTGATGTGGGCAGTCAGAGGGGGTAGGGAGAGAAGGGTTTGGCGTATTGCACACACACAAACACACACTCAAACATAAACCATGCACACACACACACTTGAGCATCATGCACACATATATACCACACAAATATACACCATGTGCACACACACCACACACACATATACCATGCACACACAAACACAAAGACACAACATGTACACAGACACTCAAACATATGCCGTGCATACACATACACATCACACACTCAAATATACACCATGTTCACACACATCACACATTCAAACATATGCCGTGCACACACACAGAAAGTTACAGCACGCACACACGCACTCAAACATGCACCATGCACACACACTCATACACTTTGCACACACACTCAAATGTATATCACACACATGCACACAAAAACACACTCATGTACAGCATGCACACACACAAACACACACTCAAATATATACCACACAGCCAGGCATGATGGCTCACGCCTGTAATTCCAGCACTTTGGGAGGCCGAGGTGGGCAGATCACAAGGTCAAGAGATTGAGACCATCCTGGCTAACATGGTGAAACCCCGTCTCTACTAAAAATACAAAAACAAAATTAGCTGGGTGTGGTGGTGAGCACCTATAGTCCCAGCTACTTGGGAGGCTGAGGCAGGAGAATGGCGTGAACCCGGGAGGTGGAGCTTGCAGTGAGCCGAGATCGTGCCACTGCACTCCAGCCTGGGTAACAGAGCGAGACTCCGTCTCAAAAAAAAAAAAAAAACACCCCAAATATACATCATGCACACACATTCATATACCATGCACACACAAACACACTCAAATATACACCATGCATGCACACTCACACACTCAAACATACACTATGCACACGCAAACACAAACATACATCACACACACGCACTGAAATATGCACCATGCACACACACACTCATACATCACACACACACTCAAACATACACCACAAATACACATACTCAAATATGCACCATGCACACACACATTCATACACCATGCACACACACAAACTCAAACATATACCATGCACACACACACTCATACACCATGCACACACACAAACTCATATACCATGCACACACACAAACTCAAACATATACCATGCACACACACATTCATACACCATGCACACACACAAACTCATATACCATGCACACACACACTCATACACCATGCACACACACAAACTCAAACATATACCATGCACACACACACTCATACACCATGCACACACACAAACTCATATACCATGCACACACACACTCATACACCATGCACACATGCATGCATAGAAATATGCACCATGTACACACTCAAACATACATCACACATACACCACACACTCATACACCATGCACGTATGCACACAAACACACACTCATACACCATGCACACACTCAAACATACACCACACACACGCACACACACTAAAAATACACAATGCATACACACACGACACAAATGTACACCATGCACACATGCACACACATGCTCACATATGCACCATGTAGACACACACTCATACATCATGCACACACACACCACACACTCACACATACACCATGCACACACACAAACATACACCAAGCACATGCATACACATACTACACAGTGAAATGTATGCCCCCCACACACACACCACACACTCAAACATACACTACCCACACACATACACACCACACACTCAAATATGCACCATGGACATACCCCAAACACACGAATCCACCCCCTCCCCCCCCGCCACGCTCCCCGCCATGCTCCTTCTTCTCCCTGTGCTGGGCTTTTGGAAAGAGCCAGGGGTCTGCTTTTGTTCTGAATCCCCATCCTGCTGACTTGCCACCGGGGTGTCTTTACCTATGGGGGGAGTGGGTCCAGTCCCCACGTTGCCACCTTCTGAGTGAGCACCAAGGCCCTCCCATTGCAGTTGGATGTGGCCAGCCGGCCCATTCAGTCCAAGTGCCCAGGAGCCCAGTGTGCCCTTCCTTTGGCTCTAGCTCCTCCCTCCCCCATCAGGGGACCACTGGGGCACTAAGTGTGGTGGCAGAGGGCACCATGTGGGCTGTGACCACCTCTCTCCAGCAGACTGGGGGGTGCCTGCAGAGCACTGACTGCCAGTGGGCAACATTACTCTCTGGCCTGCCTCACCATTGGGCTGTCTGTTCACTTGCTTCTCCCAGCTCAGTTGTGGTCTCTGAGGTAGGTCAGAGCCTGGGCTGGCTTATCACCAGGTCCTGGGCACCTGCTCAGGATGGAGCACAGAGAAGGCCTTGCTGGCAGCTGTCAGGGGTGCGTGTGTCCAGTGGAGTGGGGCTTCCTGCCCTGTGGGCACATTCCCGAGGTACGGGGGCCTGGTGTTTCCACAATCATCCACTCCCTTCCAGCTGCCCAGGGATTGGGGTGTCGGGGCGTAGGGGCTTCTCTGGGGGTGGGTACAAGTCCCTACTTGCCATTCCCCAGCTAAACTGCCACTGAGTGGAGAGGGCGGCTTTCCCCGCAGGGAATTGGGAGTCCCAGATGTCTCCCTTCTGCGCTTGGGAGGGGTGCTCCTCCCTGAAGGACAGGGTTTTTGCTTCTGAGCACATGGGCCTTTTGCTTCTGAGCAGGAGAAAGACTTTCTGGCAGGGCACCGTGGTTCACGGAAGGTTCTGACCCTGCAGGTGGGCTTCGGCGAGACTCTCACGCAAGGGACTTTGCTCATTTTCTGCCCCTCTGCTGCCATCAAATGTAGCAGAAAAAAATGTGTGTCCCTCTCCAGCCCCTTGCTGTAGGAATGCCAGCTTCGGCTCAGGCTGGTAGTCTGGTTTCGTAACGGCCGTGTGGCCGCGGGTCAGGTGCTTCACCTTTGGGCCTGGGATAATCATGCCACCTCCTGGGGCTGCTGGGGGATCCAGTGAGCTGATTTCCATGAAGGCGGAATGTTGGCGATGCGAGTTTTTAGCTAGTCCCCGACACACACTGAGAACAGGAAACGAGCCACTGGGTGCTCAGCTCTCCAAGCACGGCCGTCCCTGAGTGCTGGGGGATGGGCAGGTCCAGCCATGTTCCCGGAATAACTCCGGCCTGGGCGGCGGCCAGCAGGTCAGAGCTGGGCCAGAGGTGCCGACGGTGCCCAGGGTAAGGGGATGCCGGGAAGACGTTGAAGACAAATGTGTGCCTGTGGGGAGCAGCATGTTTATGGCAAATAAAACTCCTGATAACGATTCACGAATCCTGGCAGCCCTGCCTTCCTTGCCGTACCTGGGGGCTTGTACTGCCAGGGGAGGCTTCGTCTCATTTCCTTCACTGCTGGGGAAGGACTGCCCAGGACTCAAACAGGAAAACTGAGCCTCGGAGACGTTCAACTCCAACAGGGAGCAGCAGCCGCTGCTGTTCGGTCGCCCAGCGGCCTCCCTGGAGGAGAGTCCCTCAGTGATGCCTCTTCAAAGGCTCTGCGTGCTGCCCACTGTCCGTAAGGAGTGAGGCAGGTGTGGTCAGAGTGCCTGGACCCGCATCGCCCTTTGCCTCCCCAGCTGCAATCTCACTTGCTCACTTGGGGGGCTTTGGCTGAGCTTTGCAGGTTGGCCTGGACCGGCAGGTGGGCACAGGCCCATTGCACCTGACTGGGTGTGATTAAGGAAACAGGAATGGAAATGCTTCTCCAACTGGAGGAAGTCAGAAAGCCACAGGGCATCCTCAGACGAAACCCCTGCTTCCTCCATCAGAGCGGGGGCAAGCAGATGGGGAGGGGAGATGCTTTTCCTCAGAGACACCAATGCCTCTACACCCAGGCCTCTCCATGCAGGTGTTATGGACATTCCAGGCTGGATAATTCTTCGTTGTTAGGGCCATCCTGGGCATGGAAGCATGTTGAACAGCATCCCTGGTTTCCACCCACTAGATGCCAATAGCACCCCCGACAACCAAGTGTGTCTCCAGGCTTTGCCCAGTTCCCTTGAAGGGCAGAATCACCCCTCACCGAGAACCACTGCTCCACCCAATGCAAAGATGTAACTCTCGGCATGTTTAGGACCAAGTATTGGGATGTGCAGAAGGACGCGCAGGACGTGGAACCCTGTGTGCTTGGGTCGTGGCCGTGCCTTCCGGATGCTTCGAGGGAAATGACCTGGCTCCTGGTCAGACATAAAAGTGGGAAGTGTATTTTCCCTCTGATGTTGTCACTACTGGCTGGTGCCGCAGACGGACTCAGAAAGCACCGTTTCATTTTGCTCGAGTAAAGAAGGCAGGCGCAGAGTGCTGCTCATATATTGATTGACTCATCAAATGATCTGCTGCAGCTGCCTGCATTTGTTTACAGGGCGAAAATTAATGCCACAGATGTTTACTGTATAATAGGATTTGAAATCTGTTGGGGGGAGCACCCGTTGAAACCATTGGGCCAAGAATGAGAAAAACACTTTGCATAAAGGAGGATTTGGTTCACTAAGTAGCACACGGTGCTTGCTGTCAAATGCTAACAAGAAACATGGGCCTCCTCTCCCTTGGCCAGCGCTGGCGTTCGCGCCTGGCTCCCTGGCTTTCTTCTACACTGTGCTTTGATGTGGCACCTTCCAAAGTGTTTTCATGATGGAGAGGGCTTCCTCTGAAATGTAGCACCCGAGCCTAATTAACTGATGCGTGATTCTTCATTAGCATCTGGGCAGGCCTGGGGCCCCCAGTTCCCTTTCCTTCCTCGGCCCCTCTTTGCAGCGGGCAACCCTGGATTGCCCAGCGAGGCTGCCTGGCCCTTGGGTGTCTGTGTCTGGGGTTCCCCTGGTGACCCCACCAGCTCCTGTTGTGTCCCTGCCTTCCACTGCCTGGAGCCAGGTCTCTGAATGAATATAGCCATCCTCCGAGACGGGAGCTGCTTTTTCTTGGCACAGCATCTAAGCCCTGCAACCCTGAGTGTCTTGACGGCACAGCCAATTCCTCGCTATGCCCAAGGGCTTTTCCCAGGCATCAGGGCAGACAGGGACCCCCAGTGCTTCTTAGAGCCTCCTCCAGAGGAAATGGCTTTGGGGTGTGTCTCCCAGTCGAGGACGGAGGACATGGCAGGCTGCTGGTGCTCCTGGTGACCATTGGGAGGCCCTGGAGGGAGCCTCCTTCCCAGGAAGTTTCCTTCCAGTGGGTTCGAGTGTGCATACTCCGTTTGTATTTTCACTTTCCTTATGTTTTTCTCTTCAGCCAGCTCTGATTGGATTCACCACAGATTAACATTTTCCATTATACGTTATAATGTGTTTTTTTAAAACCAAATCTCCCTTCACAGATTGCTGTCTTTATAATATAGGAATTATTTCTCAGTCACTTTAAAAGTCCTGCTTCATTAGCTTGGTGACTGTTTGGTAATTTGCAAAGTCACTTTCGCAAGTTTTAATACTGCCCGGTTGAGGATCACAGCAATAAATGTATTAGGTTTGAATAGTGTTATGATTCTGTCTGAAGTGAAAAAATTAGAATCAGTCATTAGCTCTGACCTCAGCATCAGCCCACACCGTGCAGGAGATGATGCAGATAGATGATGCGATCACAGCCTCCGCCATGGGAAGAATCCTGGGTAAGGCCTTGGAGCCCTTTGTCTCAGCTCTTTGCCAAGACTCGAAGCAGTAGCTCCTACATCTCCAGTACCTTCCACGTTTCTGTTCTCCTTAGAGTGGCTTAAAGCTCCCCCTTCCATATAAGTCTCTCATGTCTAGACTCAGCCCTCCAGGGAAGGCAAATGGAGACTTTGAAGCCCCCAACCTTGGGCTCCCCCTCCAGCTTTTTTGACAGATGATGGTACCTGCTGAGAGAATGTGACCAGAGGCTTTCATTGGGATTTTGGGGGCCATTCTGTTTTCTTCCTCCTCCTGTGTTGAGGCCATCTCTGAGCCATGCTGAGAAAACAGGGAGGTTGCCAAGGGCAGAGATGTCCAGCCCCTGCTCTGAGGCTGTCAAGTGCCTCCTCAGGGAGAAGGGGAGGGTGCGCATTGCTCGATTTTGCTCAATTCCCAGCAGGCTTCTCCACCTCCCAGGAGGCGCCTCTGAGTCCCTCCCAGCCCGAGACTCTTTCCCCCTGGAAGAGAGGGTGGGCAGGCTCGGGGAGAACCCCAGAGCCTCATGTGGCCATGTCGTGTTTCATTTGCCCTGATTAATTTGGCATCTGTATGAACCAGAGGGAGTGGTGCTCGACCCTAACCTTTCACAGATGTTCCAGGCCGAGGTTTTCTGGCAAAATCGATTTTGACATTTTGATAAGAACCGTTTTGCTGTGTTCTGTATTTTGAATCTTTGACTCTAAGCTGTTCTGAAAACCAGCTGTGAAGCTAAATCTTGTTTGTAAAATCTGCATACTGCATCAGCAGCAGAAAACGCCAGAGCCTCGAGGTCATTTCATAGACACTTGAAGCAAGTTAGGTGGGATGCGAGGATATTGAATTGCGGTGGTTTGTCAGACTTCTGCCATGGGAAGCATTGTGAGAGATGCATAATGAATGTCTTGAACCCTCTTCTGTCTCTTGCAGTGTTTGGAATGCAAAAAAAATTAGACCTTTAATGGAAAGATTTGGTATTCATGAGAAAGACAGAGTCCCTACTACTTAGGAAACTTGGTTGCCTTGTAAAACAGAACATCTGTATCAGGAGCACGGTGATCTTTTGTCATTTGGTATAAGGAAAAAAATTAAACATTGGATTGGAAACATTTGAGGTCACTGTGTAAAAGGCACACACCTGCTGTCCAAACTGAAGTTCTCATTTGCAAGCGTTATTTGAGGGGGAAAAGGAGTGGTTTCCAAACTGCCTTAGCTTCCAAAGAAATGGCTTGCTTCCCTGCCTCCCTGCGTACCTGCACTCAGAAGGAGGCTCTGTTTCCTGCTTCACTGTCGGAGACCTCCTGAAGAAATAACACAAACCGACGGGGACAAGCAGAGTATGCAAGGAGAAAGGTCCAGAGCCCAGGCGGGAGGGAAAAGATGAGGCGAGTGACCGGCAACCTCCCACCTGCTCTTTCTCACAGCAGACAGCCAGTGGGAGGTGATCTGGTGGGCGGGGACATTGCAGCTGCCCTAGGGCTGCCTCTGACATGAGGGCCACTGCAAGTTCTTGACCCTCTTTGTCTTTCTTCCACCGTGGGTCCCTTGCATGACAGGGACGCATTCTAGGTCTTGGGAGCATTTCATGAATGACAGTGGACATGCTGTTAAAAGGCTGGATGTGGCCCCTGAGAAGGCTGCATGGTGACACCAAACAAAGACCAAAGGAACCAGGAGCCACTAGGCCTGGGCTCCGGCCACGATTCTGCTCCTGGCTTCCTCTGTGATGTGGGCACAGCCATCTCCCTTTGGGGCACTGGGTGTCCTGTGTGTACCTGGGGACAGTGGGATGGATGAGCAGGGCCCTGGAATTTCCGAGTGCCTGTGGCAAGCCATTGTTTTCTCTGGAGCATCACTGTACAGTTAGGGTGGGTTTGTGGCAGGTACTTAGAGAAGTCCTAGTAGGAGACAGCAGATCAAAATACAGGGAGATGCTGGGATCCACCCACTTTATAGTTAAGGGGTACCCTTTCTAGAGTCAGAAGATGAACAGATTGACCCTGGAGGTAACCCCCACCCGAGACTCCCGTCTGTAGGTGTTGAGGTTTGCATTTGATAGCAGGAAAAGGTGCTATTAAGATCCTGGAGTCATTGATAAATGAGGGGTGCATCAGTGAATGAGCCTGTCTTAGATTTCCTCTCTTTTTCCTTTGTGAGGTCGATGGGGTTTATCTTCAGCTCTCCAGGCCTCCTCCTCTGTCCCCTTTCCAACCCCGCCATCACTTCCCATCTCTGGGCACTTAGATCTTTCACTGCTGTCCACATCCCTTTCTGGCAGGAGAGGATCTGAGAAATTGACTCACACTAAGGCAATAATGAATTTATGTGTAATCTGTCCTGTGCGTGTGATACTTGCTCTAAAGAGGACTGGATGAAGAGAGTACGCTTGCCTGAAGGGAAGGGGTGCTGATGGTGGGGTTCCAGGCATGTGACACCCACCCGAGTTCCGGGATGCCCTCCTGTCCCCCACACCAGCCCGGAGGCTGGAAGCTCTTGGGAAAGGAGACTGGTCAAGGGCTTGTGGGCAGTCTCTTTGGGTTTATTGGACTCCAAATCTTTACTGTCCAGGAGTTAAAAGGTGATATTCTTCCTCTCAGCTCCTCAGGGAGTCCATGGTTTGGCTGTGGGGAGAGCAGGTCTGTTTCCCTGCAGAGCCCCTCCCCACTCCAGCCGGGCTTGTGGGTGCCAGCATGGAGCCTGCAGCCTCTGCGTGTGCACATCCTTCATTAAATATCTCTCCTGTCCTGTGGGCAGAACATCCCCTGACCAGTTTGCAGTCTGTCCACACTGGGCCCTTCTCCAGCCAGGATGAGTAAAAGGTACACGGCTGAACATCAGTGCCAGTGAGTGAGAGGCTACAGAGGCACGGAACAGGATGGTGGCAGAGAGGTCCCTGGGAAGCCTGTGCCGGGGCAGCAGGGGTGTGGGGGGCTGTGGGCCGGAGGAGGCAGCATCACTGTGGACAGGCAGGAAGGTGGCCTCGGGGGGAAGGGGACAGGGCAGAATGAGCCTTTCCCAAAAGTGAGACACTCAAAGCCTCGTCATGCCGGGCAGCGCCCATCCCTGCCTACCTGTCCCTTTTGCTGTCTCGGAGGGAGCCTGTGGGAGGGAGGTCGAGATCCCAGCCTCTGTGAGGGCACCGTTGGGGGGGGGATTGGGCAGGGAAAAGAGTGGCGCCCACAGAGCAGGACACGGAGAAGCCTTGAGCTGGAAATAAGGAGGCCAATATCTAGGCCTGACCTGTCATTAACGAGCCATGAGGCATGAGGTCTTTTTTTTTTTTTTTCCAAGAGATCCTCCCACCTCAGCCTCCTGAGTGGCTGGGACCACAGGTGGGTGCCACCATGCCTGGTTAATTTTTAATTTTTTTAGGGAAGAGGTCACACCATGTTGTTCAGGCTGGTCTTGAATTCTTGAGCTCAAGTGATCCTCCTACCTCAGCCTCCCAAAGTGCTGGGATTACTGGCGTGAGCCACTGCAGCCAGTGAGCCATGAGGTCTTGAGCAAGGCCGCCCCTCTGTTAGAAGTCCCCTTCTCTATGCCTCATGGTTCCACAGCCTGGGGTACCCCAGCTCCAAATGACACATCTCCCTGCGTTTGCTGTGCACGTGCCTGGGTGTGGGTGATGCTGATTTCTAATGCATTTCTTCATTCATTCAGTTCCACATTTATGGGGCATCTCTTCTAGAGCTAGCTCTGTGCCAAAAAGGAGGTATAAAGATAAATAGAGCAGGCGCGGTGGCTCACAGCTGTAATCTCAGCACTTTGGGATGCCGAGATGGGAGGATCACCTGAGGTCAGGAGTTTGAGACCAGCCTGGCCAACATGGAGACATGTTTAATAGAGACATGGCCAACATGTCTCTACAAAAAATACAAAAAAAAAATAGCCAGATGTGGTGGCACGTGTGATCCCAGGTACTTGGGAGGCTGAGGCAGGAGAATCGCTTGAACCTGGGAGACGGAGATTGCAGTGAGCTGAGATCGCCCCACTGCACTGCAGCCTGGGCAACAAGAATGAAAACTCCACCTCAAAAAAAAAAAAAAAAGATAAATAGGAGAGGGTCTCTATCTTCAAGGAACCCCCAGCCTAGTGGTGGAAGCAGATAGATACATGAATGGTGAAAGTTAAAGTAATGTAGGCAGGACAGTGAGAGAGACATGTGGGATCAGAGAGACAGGCGACCAGCTGGCCTCTGAGGGCCAGAGAGGGCTTCTCATCAGGGAGGTGATGTCTGAACTGAATTCCCTTCAAAATGAGCTCCCTCTGACCTGCACTGACTATTCACAGATATTCTAGGGCTCCTACCTTGTTTGCAAGAAGCTGAGCCACACGCCCTGGTGAATACAAAATAGGGTAAGGAATTTTTTGGCCAGTTGCCTGCAGCTTTGCTAATCCTGATTGAGCATTCTTCATACCAAGACCAAGACGATTTCAGAAGTATCTGTAGCATGTGTAACTTCTGTCCTTTTGACTGTTTTGGGGACGACATTTAATTTTATGGCAAGCAGATCATTCATTATTTCAGATGACCCGGATGGGCTCATACTTTGAACAGTTTAGACAGTCTTGTCTTCACTGCTAGCCCTATTCCTTTCTTGCTAAGTCCTCCACTACCACCGCCATACTCACCCTGGCTTGCTCCTCTTACTGTCACCAGTGGGTTATAGGCCAGCAGAAACTGTAAGAGACGGGCTTTCAGAACAAAAATTCCCAATCACCTCTCTGTTCCCAAGAAAATCAGGGATCAGAAAGAATTTTTATGCAGAAAAAAGTATTTGACAACACTTAACACAAAAATTAATAATAAAAACTTTTGGCCGGGCGCGGTGACTCACGCCTGTAATCCCAGCACTTTGGGAGGCTGAGGTGGGCAGTTCACAAGGTCAGGAGATCGAGACCATCCTGGCTAACACGGTGAAACCCCATCTCTACTAAAAATACAAAAAAAATTAGCCGGGCGTGGTGGCAGGCACCTGTAGTCCCAGCGACTGGGGAGACTGAGGCAGCAGAATGGCGTGAACCCGGGAGGCAGAGCTTGCAGTGAGCTGAGATCGCTCCACTGCACTCCAGCCTGGGTGACAGAGTGAGACTCTGTCTCAAAAAAAAAAAAAAAAAAGCAGAAACAAAGAAACAAAAAACAAAAAAAAATTTTTTAGCAAGTTAGGGATAGAAGAGCCCATTCTTAATCTGATAAAAGGTAGCTATCAAAAGTCTGTAGCACAGGCAAATGGAAACTGAAACCAGAATGAGATATAACACACCCACCCTACTGGTGAAAATTTTAAAAGACTGAGGATACCATAAGCTGGCAAGGTTGTGGAACAACAGGAAGCTTCATACATTATTGATGGGGATGTAGATGGTACGAACAATTTGGAAAAGTACCTGGCAGTTTCTTAAACTAAATATACATCTATTGCATGACCCAGCAATTCCTCTCTTGGACATCTACCAAGAGAAATGAAAACATATGTTCACAAAAAGACTTGTATGAGAATGTTCTTGGCAGTTTTACTCATAGTCACTGAAAACAGAAAGCAACTCAGGGGTCTACCAACAGGTGAGTGGACAAGTGGAGGTATTTTTGTACAACAGAATGCTGCCCTGCAATAAAGAGAAACACATTTTGGGGGCCGGGCGCGGTGGCTCACACCTGTAATCCCAGCACTTTGGGAGGCCGAGGAGGGCGGATCACGAGGTCAGGAGATCGAGACCATCCTGACTAACACAGTGAAACCCCATCTCTACTAAAAATACAAAAGATTAGCCAGGCGTGGTGGTGGGCGCCTGTAGTCCCAGCTACTCGGGAGGCTGAGGCAGGAGAATGGCGTGAACCCGGAAGGCGGAGCTTGCAGTGAGCCGAGATTGCACCACTGCACTCCAGCCTGGGTGACAGAGCGAGACTCTGTCTCAAAAAAAGAAAACCAAAACACGTTTTGGATACATGCCACACACATGGATGAATCTCAAAAATGTCATGCAGAGTAAAAGAAGCCAGAAACAAGAGTACATGTTATATGTTTCATTTATATCAACTTCTAGATTAGGCAAAAGTAATTGGTGGTACAAAATGATCCTAACCATGGCTTCCTCTGTTGTGGGTGATGGTGTCTGCAATTTACTGGGAAAAGACATAAAGTAACTTTCTTGAGTGAGTACAATGCCTGTATCTTGACAGATGTTGGATTGCACAGTGAGGCGCATTTGTCAGATGTGTCCCATGATGCATTTGAGATCCATGCATTTCACTCTGTAAAATTTACTTCAAACAAACAAACTGCAAACAAATATTGAACTCTAGCTAATGATATGCCTTTAGACTTGTACTGATGTTGGCAATTTACTCTGAAATGCATCAAAAAATAAAATGGATCGATGAATGCACAAAAGGATGGCTGGATGGATAGTTACGAGATAGAGCAAATATAGCAAGATGTTAATTATAGAATCCAGGTGGTGGAAACAAGGGTTTCCTCTGTAAAATGCTTTCAGATTTTCTGTATGTTTGATAGTTTTCATAGTAAAATTTTGGAGGAAAACTGAGCAATCTATCTTTGGATTCATGCACATCTGGTAAAACTAGATTCTTAAAAATGATGGGAATTTTATGCACAAAGATCAGGAAGGAGGTTTCCCTTTGGGTTAGGCTTGCTAAGAGTGGGGCTCAAAGAAATACCCACAGTGGCTTAATGTGGACGATTCTAGTTCCTAAGTTGGGGTGAGGTGGGGGTGGGGTAATGGGTCTTCTTTTATTTAAACTTTGTGCTTTATAAATACAGAACACACATCTTTCTATGTATGAAGTGTTACGTACTATTTTTTTTTTAATTATATGGCTCTTAAGTTGTTTTCTTTTTTTAAAGGAAATAGTGGGGTCTCAGGAGTAGGGCAGTTCTGTTTTTAATAGGCTTTAAATGGTTTGGGCCTAAGATGGGCTGCCTTTCATCACCAGGGTGAGCTAGAGTTCAGGAGAATTTTGACCTTATTTGATTGCAAAACTTCAAAGTGATGGGCATTTTCAGTATGCTTACTTTTCAATGTGAGTAGAAAAACATACAAACCAGAACAGCTGGAATTTAAACTCTGGTAACACAGACCTCAAGTCCGGTCACCTTCCCTTCTCCCTGTCAGCCAGTGATCTCACTTTCTACTTCTCCAGCCCAAACAGAAGACAGGAAATCAGACTGTCCTCACCCATGCCCCACAGGCTACCGACTTCCCTGTGTGCCTTCCGTTCTCCACCTCCCTGAGCTCTGGATCCCACCATTTTTTCCTCTTCATCTTCAGTTTTGTTTTCGTTCTTGTTTTTGTTTTTGAGACAGGGTCTTGCTCTGTCACCCAGGCTGAAGTGCAATGACACAATCATAGCTCACTGCAGCCTTGAACTCCTGGGCTCGAGCAATCCTCCCACCTCAGTCTCGCAAGTAGCTAGGCCTACAGTTGCACAGGATCATACCTGGCTAATTAAAAAAAATTTTTTTTGTAGAGATGGGGTCTTGCTGTGTTGCACAGGCTGTTCCCAAACTCCTGACCTCAAGTGATCCTCCTGCCTTGGCCTCCCAAAGTGCTGGGAATTACAGGCATGAGCTACCACCCCTGGCCTTCTGGACAAATGTAGAGGATCGCCTTGCCCCTCCGTGCCTACTTCATAGTATTGTTCCATAAAGATTAGAATGGTTCCTGGCACATAGTACACTTTCAGTAAAAAACTTAGCTGTGGCTGGGTGCAGTGGCTCACAACTGTAATCCTAGCACTTTGGGAGGAGGCTGAGGTAGGCAGATCACTTGAGGCCAGGAGTTTGAGACCAGCCTGGCCAGCATGGCAAAACCCCATCTCTACTAAAATACAAAAATTAGCCGGGCATGGTGATGGGTACCTCTAATCCCAGGTACTTGGGAGGCTGAGGCAGGAGAATCATTTGAACCTGGGAGGAAGAGGTTGCAGTGAGCTGAGATCATGCCATTGCACTCCAGTCTGGGCAACTCCATCTCAAAAAAATAAAAGCTGTTATTATTAATGACTTAACTCTCCCTATCATATATCCTTTCTATATCTTCAGCTTTACTCCCCCTGTCCCTCCCCAAATGTCCTGAAATTGTCCAAAGTGGCTGTCTTTACCTTGTCACCTGGCCCCCACCAACGACCTCCTGGTTGCCATCGGACGTTTCTCAGTCCTCGTTTCTTTGACTATCTCGGCAGCATTGATTGGACACTCTGAGCCCCGTTTTTTTTTCTTGAAACAGACTCTTCCCTAGGCCCTCTGGAGTACCATGCTTCCTGGCTTTCCTTCCAACTCCCTGACCACCTTCTCTCTTCTCTTTGTGACCTCCCATTCCTATGCTCATCCCTTCTATATTTGTGATGCTCAAGATTCAGTCCAAGGCCTCCGTTTTCCTTACTTTAAAAACTTTCTTTGGGAAATTTCATCTATTTTTATGGATTTTGTTTCAATGATGACACACAGTTCTCTGTCTACAGCCCAGGTAGTACCACTAAGTTTCAGAACAGTAACCCCATTTGACTACTGACCACTTCCCCTTGGATTCCCCACACTGTTTTCCTCTCTCCCCTGACATGCGTTTCTCTTGGGTTCTCTTTCTCAGTATATGGTACCATCCATTTGAGTTCTCCTCCCTGCTCCAATCAGTCAGTTGGTCCAGTCATTCACCACTTGTGTTGACTGTACCTCTGATACCTGGAAGTCACTTCTTTCTCTCTGTCCTTCTTAAGCCCATCTGAGTTCAGGGTTCCATGATCTCTTTCCTGTATTGCTGCAAAGGCTTCTTCCTCTTCTCCTTGCTCCCTCTCTTGCCCTCCTCTACTTCATTCTATAAACCTCAATTCTGTGTATGTCATTCCAATACTTAAAACCTTTTAGTGCCTTTCCTCTGCTCTCAAACAAGATCCAAACTCCTGAATTTGTTCACAAGGCAGCACTCATGCTGGCTCTAGCCTCTTTCCCCACATTCCTTTCATCTCTCTGTGCCCTTTTCCTATGGGCTTTCAGGTCTCTGTTCTCTCTTCCTGCAGCCCTCCTTCTCCACCCTGCACAGTTAGCTCCTGCTCATCCTCTAGTGCTCAGCTTCACAGTCACGCCACCCAGGAAGCCTTCTGTGATCTGTTTCCTTCACTCATGCAGCAAATCTCCATTGAGGGCTGATATGGTTTGGCTGTGTCCCCACCCAAATCTCATCTTGAATTGGAACTCCCACAATTCCCACATGTCTTGGGAGGTGATTGAATTATGGGTACGGGTCTTTCCTGTGCTGTTCTCATGATAGTGAATGAGTCTCAGGAGATTGGATGGTTTTAAAAACAAGAGTTTCCCTGCACAAGTTCTCTCTTTGCCTGCTACCATCCATGTAAGACATGACTTGCTCTTCCTTGCCTTTCACCTTCTGTCATGATTGTGAGGCCTCCCCAGCCACATGGAACTGTAAGTCCAATAAACCTCTTTCTTTTGTAAATTGCCCAGTCTTGGGTATGTCTTTATCAATAGCACAAAAACGGACTAATATAAGGGCCCATTCCATCCGGGCACCAAGGGTGGAGTGGTGAAGGACGGGCAAGGGTCTCATTCTCAGAGCTGACAGCCACTGGGGAAAGGCAGTAAGGGGCAAGCAATGAATCTGATTGGCTCCAATAGTACAATAGCAATGAAGAAAACAGGGCAAGGTGTGCAACGCCAAGCTTACTGTGTGTGTCTCTCTGTGTCGGCAACGTCAGATCCTCTCGCCTGAGAATATCTGAACTCAAACTTGAAGGAGATGAAGAAACTAGCCCTGCAAAGATTAGAGGGAAGGACAGCCCTGGCAGGAGGAACATGTAGAAGGCCATTGGGCAGGGGCGTTTCTTGATGTGTTAGAGGAATAGAAAGAAGGCCAGGGCTTCTGGAGTATGGTGGGTGCAGGAGAAAGCAGGGAGCTGTCAGGTCCCAACAGTTGGCTGGGGCAAGACCATGTATGGTCTTATAGGTCATGGTAGGGAGCTAGGATTTTATTTTTGGTGCAGTGGACGCCATTCGAAGGTTTTAACCAAGGGAGTTCCACAGTTGGACATAATCCTCATATAATACAATTCAAAGAGTACAATTTGATGGTTTTTAATATATTTACAGAGTTGTGCAACCATTGCCACAGTGTGTCTTAGAACCCTAATCAGTTTTCATCATCCCCAAAGGAAACCCTGTACCCATCAGCAGGCACTCCCTTTTCCCCCCAGCCCCTCCAGCCCAGGGCAACCACAAATCTACTTTCTGTTTCTATTAGACTGATGTATTGTGGACATTTTATATAAAAAGAATCATACAATGGGTGGTCTCTTGCAACTGGCTTTTTAAACTTATGGTAATGTTTTCAAGGTTTATTCATATTTTAGCACTTATCAGTAAGTACTTTGTTCCTTTCTATGGCTGAGTAATATTTTGTGGTCTGGAGGGACCGTATTTCATTTATCAGCTCCTCAGTTGATGGACATTTAGGTTGCCTCCTCCTTTTGGCTAATACAAATAATGTTTCTGAGAATCTTCCTGTATGAGCTTCTGGATATGTGCCTTCCCTTCCCTTGGGTATAGACATAGGGGTGGAATTGCTGAGCCATGTGGTGACTCCGTGGCTGATCTTTTGAGGAGCTGCCAAGCTGTTTTCCAAAATGGCTATGCCATTTTATGTTCACACCAGAGGTTTAGTTTTGAACGTTTTGGCAGTTCCAGATCTCTCCTGCCATGGAAAATAGATTGTAGGCAGCAAGCGGGGAGGCAGGAGGACCTGTGAGGCACTAAGGGAGGCTGGATGGGCCTCTCTGCCTTCAAGATTGTGTAACAATAGTCCCTGAAACCATGCTGAGGAGAAGAGTGAGGCTGAACAGGAATGATGGGGAGTGAATAAACCATGTGGTTGGAAGTCCTGCTCAGCCCGAGAATGACTGGGTGATAGTCCTGGTGCCAAAGACCTAGAGCCACAGATGCTGGTCCGAGAAGAGGTTTGCAGTGGTGGTTTCAGAGGTGGTGCTGTTATTGGTGGCTGGAGGTGTGGGTGGCCAGGCTGGGGTGGGGGGAAAGGTCACTGGATGGGGGGAGACCAAGGAGCGGGAGGCCGGGGGGTGGGTGGGTCATCATATGGATGTTGAGGTCATCCAGAATAGTGGCAGGGGTGGACCTGGAGAGGAAGAGAGTGACCCAGGCCTGGCAGAACAGAGCAGGCAGCACGGCCAGGAGTCCACAGATGGCAGTGATGGGAAGCGAGGGACGGCAGTGATATGGAATGGCACCGGCTTCCAGGGAACTGGGGTTTTGATGGAGGAAGCAGGAGAAATACTTTGGAATTGGTAACAGGGAACAAGGAGGACATCAATTTAGCTCTAGGCTCTGCAATACTTGGGGTATGGGAGAAAAGATGGCATTTTGGGAGTCCTAGAGAGATGGGGTCCTTGGGGAATGGCAGGTTTCATCTGAGGCCTGACCTGAAAGCAGGTGGACAACGGTGAACAGTATGTCAATGATCCTCTGCGGGACCCAAAGCAACATGGTCGAAGGATTGGGGAGGGTGCGGGGAGCAGGCCAGGGAGGGACAGTGCCTGTGCAGGAATTCCCACTATATGCTCTTAGCACCTGTCACATCCTTATCAAGCTCTACCCTAATTACTGGTGCACTCGTTTTCCCTTTAGACTGTACATTTTGTGTTATAGAGAGCATATCTTTTTATTCCTTGCTGTAGCTGCAGTTTCTAGCACAGATATGCTAGCACCTACTATGTGCTCAAAAATGTTGGTTGAATGGGTGAGAGAATGCTGAGCTCTTCCCAGATGCCATCACAATGCCAGGATAGCAGTTAGCTGAGGTTTGGGGAGGAGGGTGTATAGATTTAGAGGCTTCCCCACTCCTCGCTCCCCACGTTTCTTCTCATTCTGACTCTAGTGTAGAAGTCAAGTCCATCCTATATTTTATCTCAGAAGTTTTGGCAAATAACAAGGCATGCAATATTGACTAAGAGCCTCCAGGATCCCACAGGCCCCAGTGGGCCCCATTACCAGCTATTTGGAAGTTGAGGCAGACAGACTGAATTGGGTCGTTGAAGGAGTTTGCCAGTTTGTGGTGGGAATTGAGTTGAATTTATTATCATTTTTGCCAGCAACCCTTTGCCACATATTTATTTAATCCAAGGATTCTAGAGAAAGCTAGGGGTTTGATGGGCAGGTGGCTGGATGCCAGCGTGGCCCGTGTTTGGGCTGGCACCCCTCACTCCACTTGGCGCTTTATTCCAAAGCTGTGGCACCCCTGCAACACACAGCAGCCAGTGTCTTGGGGTCTATGCCCGTGCCTAGGACTGGCCCATCCTGTCATGTGCGGAATTGGGCATCTGGTCAGATCTCACAGGAAATGCTGAATTTATATTTGCAGCTTTGAAAGCCAGGGAGAAACAGAAATGGACAGATCATTTGAAAATTCAAATTATTTGTTCCTTGTTTTTGCAGCGTTTCAGCCAGTAAGGTTTGTTTCACCTTCATAAAGGATGATTAATCGAACTAAGAGAAGAGCCCTGTCTAATTGTGTGTGGGTGTGTTTGGGGCAGTGTGATCATTGGAACACCAAGAGAATGATGCAGACAAATATTTATGCCCTCTTTGTTTCCTATTTCAATGGTAACATCATCTGTTAAAGTATTGCTCTTTGCAGGAGTATCCTGCATTAGAATGCTCGTCCCTTTGTCCCTTTCGGAATTGTCACTTTTCTTTATGAGAAAGTGTTTGGAAAAGCTTCTTAAATAAAATGTAGCTGAAAAATGTTGAAAGCACGACAGTAATAAAGTAGACATCACTGCCTAGAAAAAACGATCTGCTTTTGAAAAGAAAAACTACATTGAAACTGGCCAAATCACTTCAAATGGCTAGATTGCAAAATCATCCCAGGATGGATGAATGTTGTCAACATAGAAATGAGTGGTTGGAGATCTTCATTTGAAATGCATTATTAATTACTTCATAAGATGATACCTACAGACAAGCATAGAGAATAATGTAATGTACAGCTGTTTACCCACCACTTAGCTTTCTTGATCAAATCTTACCCTTTGCCCCATTTAATTTGATTTCTTAAAAAGAAAGAAAACATAATGTATACACATAATCTTGATCTAATTTCCTTCCCTCTGGCCCCAGTGATAGTGTTTTTCACCCTCATGCTTCTTTTCTTTTCTTTTTTTTGGAGACGGAGTCTCACTCTGTCACCCAGGCTGGAGTGCAGTAGTGCGATCTCGGCTCACTGCAACTTCTGCCTCGCAGGTTCAAGCAATTCTCCTGTCTCAGCCTCCCCAGTAGCTGAGACTACAGGCACGCACCACCATGCCTGACTAATTTTAGTATTTTTAGTAGATACGGGGTTTCACCATATTGCTCAGTCTGGTTTCGAACTGCTGACCTCAGGTGATCCACCCGTCTCGTCCTCCCAAAGTGCCAGGATTACAGGCGTGAGCCACCACGCCTGGCCACATATTTTCATTCCAAAGTATTTGCAATACTTTTATCACATATTTATGTATTTATTAACAATACATGGCATTGTTTTGCAGATTTTAAAAGTTTATATGAGACCATCCAATATTCTCTTGCAACATTGTTCTTAAGTGTTAGATCCTTACAGAGAGATGATAGAGAGAGATAGGGGTGTGTGTATGTAATAGGTATTATGTATCTTACATATGTATATCATAACAAGACATACATATATTTCTAGTTCACTTATTTTAACTGCTGTATAGAATTTTATTGCATTAACATTTATATGCTAGTGTCTCTCTAAGCGGGGGGGTGTGTTTACTTGGATACTCTCTTTTTTTTTTTGAGATGGGGTCTCGCTCTGTCGCCCAGGCTAGAGTGCAGTGGCATGATCTCGGCTCACTGCAAGCTCCTCCTCCTGGGTTCAGGCCATTCTCCTGCCTCAGCCTCCCGAGTAGCTGGGACTACAGGTGCCCACCACCATGCCCAGCTAATTTTTTGTATTTTTAGTAGAGACAGGGTTTCACCATGTTAGCCAGGATGGTCTCAATCTCCTGACTGCGTGATCTGCCTGCCTCAGCCTCCCAAAGTGCTGGGATTACAGGCGTGAGCCACCGCGTCCGGCCTACTTGGATACTCTCATATTCCTAAAAGTGGAACTGTTGGGTGGTAGAGTACCTATACCTTCAGCGATTATCATTGCTGTCCAAGATGTTTGTATTGATTTATGGTCCCAACTACAAGTGGAGTGTGTGATGGTTCCCATTTCTTCACATTCCCATCACAGACTTTGTCTTCATTTCTACTTTCCTTGCTACAGTGAGGCTGAGCTTCTTCTCATAGAGGGTTATTGGCCATTTGGGTTTCTTCTGTGAATTGCCCATTCTTTTCCTTGCTATTGGATTGTCTGTCTTTTAGTTATTGATTGATTTGCAGGGATTCTTAATATTTTCTAGACCCTGATCTTGAGTTTGCTCTATGCATTACAACTGTTTTCTTCATTTTGATACTTTTAAGAAAGTGTTCCTAATGGTGTCTTGGTGGGTAGAAATTCTTAGTTTTGATGCAGTTTTTTTTTTTTTTTAAATTGAGATGGAGTCTCACTCTGTTGCCCAAGCTGGAGCGCAGTGGTGCAATCTTGGCTCACTGAAACCTCCACCTTCTGGGTTCAAGTGATTCTCTTACCTCAGCCTGCTGAGTATCTGAGATTACAGGTACCCGCCACCCCGCCCAGCTAATTTTTGTATTTTTAGTAGAGATGGGGTTTCACCATGTTGGCCAGACTGTTCTCAAACTCCTGACCTCAGGTGATCCACCTGCCTCGGCCTCCCAAAGTGCTGGGATTACAGGTATGAGCCACCGTGCCCGGACAATGCAGTTTAATTTAATTTTATTTTTTATGTTAGTGCTTCTTGTTCTTGTTTACTAAATCTTTATCCTAATCCATAAATATTATCTTCTAAATAGTTTAGGAGTTTGGTTTGGCTTTCACATCCAAGTTTTAATCTATCTAAAATTCATTTTGTGTAGGAAAATTCTCCTTTTTTTCCGTGTTGGAAAGAGGTGTCCCATGCATTGGATGAGTCATCCTTTCCCCAGTGATGTGCATATGTCAAGTCTGTCCATAGATGATTCCTGTCTTATGTCAAGTAGCTGCCTGTGCGTAGATCTGTTTCTGGGCCCCTTATGCCATCACTGTAGTCGTCAGTTTGTCTATTCTTGTCTCAGCACACCATCAGTTCAGTTGCTGTAGTTCACTGTAGCTTGGAAATAAGTCTTCACAGGTGGTTGATCACATTCTCCTCTCCCTCCTACCACTATATATATGTTCTGCATTTCACCTATTCTTGGCCTTTGCTGTTTCATGAACATTACGGAAGATAATCTTGTCAAAATCCTCAAATTCCTATGGGGAGATTTTGATTGGAATTACATTAAATCTGTCAGTTTGGTGAGAATTGACCTATTTAGGATATTGAGTCTTCTTTTTTAAATTAATTGGTTAATTAATTAATTAATTAATTTTAGAGACAGAGTCTTGCTCTGTCACCCAGTCTGGAATGCAGTGGGGTAATCATAGCTCACTGCAGCCTCGAATTCCTAGCCTCAAGTGATCCTCCCACCTCAGCCTCCCGAGTAGCTAGGACTACAGGCATGTGCCACCATACCCAGCTAATTTTTACCTTTTTGGTAGAGACAGGGTCTCACTATGTTGCCCAGACTGGTCTCAAATTTCTGGCTTCAAACAATCCTCCCAAAGTCCTGGGATTACAGGTGTGAGCCACTGTACCCAGCTGAGTTTTCTATCTTTGAACAGAAGATCTATCTTAGGTTAAACACTAATAATTTATTCTTATAAACTTTAGCTTTTAAATTGCAATTATGTGTTATTTTAAAAAGTATATTTTCTGTTTGTTGCTATTGTATATAAATTAATTTATTTTTTGTATGTTGACCTTATGTTAGGCACTTTGGTGGAATCTTTTAATACTTTGCCTCTAGATTCTTTGAATTCTATGTAGATAATTCACACTCAATGAATATTGAGAGTTCTTTCTTCATTCTCAACCCTTAGAGATTTTATTTCTTATTCTTGCATTACTGAGCAGATTAGAACTTCTGTTGTACTAGACTTCTATTGTATTAGAAGTTCTTTTTGTTTGTTTGTTTGTTTGTTTTTTGAGACAGAGTCTTGCTCTGTTGCCCAGGCTGGAGTGCAATGGCACGATCTCGGCTCGCTGCAACCTCTGCCTCCCAGGTTCAAGCAGTTCTCCCATCTCACCCTCCCTAGTAGCTGGGATTACAGGCGTGCACCACCACACCCAGCTAACTTTTTGTATTTTTAGTAGAGACAGAGTTTCACCATGTTGGCCAGGCTGGCCTGGAACTCCTGACCTCAGGTGATCCACCCACCTCGGCCTCCTAAAGTGCTGGGATTACAGGCGTGAGCTACTGCATCCAGCAATTGTACTGGAAGTTCTGATCTGCACAGTAATGCAAGAACAAGAAATAAACTTGAAGTTCTAGGACAGAGAACAAGAATAGAACTAGAAGTCCTAGTACAACTTCTAGTTGAGTAGAAATATTAATAGCAGGAACTCTTGCCTCATGTCTGATTCTAAAGGAGATTCTTCTAGTGTTTCATGGTTAATAGTAATATTTGCTGTAGGGGTTTTATTTGTTGGTTGGTATAGTATAAACTCTTTATTAGATCAAGGAAGGTTTCTTCTATTTTAGTTTGCTAAGAATTTTAAAATCACAACTGGATGTTTAATATTATTGAATGCTTTTAATGTCACTAGTAAGAATAATCATATACTTTTTCTCCTATAATCTGTTAACATTATGAATTATAGTTATTTTCTAATATTAATCTAACTGTAATCCTAGGATAAACCCAACTTGTTCATGGTTTATTATTTTTAGACATTACTGGATTTGGTTTTCTAAGATTTTGTTTAGGAGTTTTGCGTCTATGTTCATGATTTATAATGGCTTCTATATTTCTTTTCTCATGATATTCTTGTCAGACTTAATGTCAAACATGAGTTTGAGGCCATGGAATAATTATGCTGTGGAATAATTTGTGTAAGATGATGATTTGGATTGTTACCTGAATATTTAATTAGAACTATTTAAGTGGTACCATCATCTGGACCTGGTAATTTTTATCTACTGCTTCTTTTTTGTGTGTTTACAAGAATATTCAGGTTTTTATATTTTCTTAAGATGGTTTAGATAAGTTTTTTTAATAATTTGTCAATTTCATTTAGACTTTTTTTTTGTTGAATGGAGTCTTGCTCATGCCAGGCTGGAGTGCAGTAGTGCAATCTCAGATCTCAGTTCACTGCAATCTCTGCCTCCCAAGTTCAAGTGAGTCTCCTGCCTCAGCCTCCTGAGTAGCTGAGACTACAGGCATGCACCACCACACTCAGCTGATTTTTGTATTTTCAGTAGAGAAGTGGTTTCACCATGTTGGCCAGGCTGGTCTCGAACTCCTGACTGGACTTGAGCTGGGCTCAAGTGATCTGCTCTCTTCAACTTCTCAAAGTGTTGGAATTACAGGCATGAGCCACTGTGCCTGGCCTAAGCTTCTAACTTATTGTCATGATATAGTCATATATCCTCTCAATAATTTTTTAATATTTGAAGCTTCTCTGGTTATGTTCTTTTCACTCCCAATATTATCCTTTTTAATCAGAATTTTGTCAACTGTATTGTTCTTTTCAAAGAACCAACTTTTGACTTTGCTGTTTGTATCTATTTTAGATTTGTTTCCTGTTTTGTGAATTCCGTTTTTATGCTGTTTTCCTACTTTCTATTCTTTGAATTTATTCTACTTTCCTTCTTCTAATTTCTTAAGCAGGAGCATTGGTTCATTAATTTTAGCTTTCCCTCTTTTCTATATGAACATTTAAATGAACAATTCCTTTCTAAATATGTTTTAGCGTATGTTCCATGTGTTTTAACATGTAGTAGTTTGATTATCCTTCAGTTCGCAATGTTTTTTAACCTCCATTATGATTTCTGTTTTGAATTGTATAAAATGGGTTTCTTTTTTTTTTTTTTTAATTTTACTTTAAGTTCTGGGATTCATGTGCAGAATGTGCAGATTTGTTACATAGGTATACATGTTCCATGGTGGTTTGCTGCACCCGTCAACCCATCATCTAGGTTTTAAGCCCTGCATGCATTAGGTATTTGTCCTAATGCTCTCCCTCCCCTTGCCCTCCAACCCCGACAGGCCCCAGTATGTGGTAGTCCCCTCCCTGTGTCCATGTGTTCTCATTGTTCAACTCCCACTTCTGAGTGAGAACATGCAGTGTTTGGTTTTCTGTTTCTGTGTTAATTTGCTGAGAATGATGGCTTCCAGCTTCATCCATGTCCCTGGAAAGGACATGAACTCATTGTTTTATATGGCTGCGTAGTATTCCATGGTGTATATGTGCCACATTTTCTTTATCCAGTCTATCATTGATGATCATTTGGGTTGGTTCCAAGTCTAAAACATATTTCTTAATTTCCAAACATATAGGGTTTTTTCTGGGATCTTTTTGTTAACTGATTTCTAATTTAAGTTTTGGTCTGTAGTTCACTTCATTGTTATTTGGACAATATGATGCTAGCGGTTTTGAAATTTTTTGAGACCCAGTATTGGTTCCAGCAAATATGGAACATGGAATGTTTTCCATTTTGTGGGTGCCATGTTCTAAGTGTTTGTCGAATCAAGTTTGTTAATCATGTTATTCAAATTTTCCTTATTTTTCCTGATTTTAGTTTCAGTTTGACCTATACTGAGAAAAGTGCCCTAAAAATCTCCCCTTTTAATGGTGGATTTGTTCAGTTTCTCCTGGTCTTCCCTTCAGAGCTTTCCTTTATTGACTACTTCACTTTTGAAAAATGTTTTCAACCTGTTCTCCTGGAACGTGAGGAAAATGCAGCTTGTTCCTTGTTCCATTTGTCCAGTGGCCAGTTCAAGAAAGGTTGGACCCACATCTATCATTTCCATCAGCAGTGAGCTGTTCAGAGTATGTGCAATTGCCTTGGTTTGGAGACATGGCTGCACACATTTAGGACTCTGGCTTTGCTCAAGCTGTTCCCCTGCACAGAATGCCTTTAACCTCTCCCTTTTCCCTGCCCCTTGTTCACCTGGTGAACTCTTTCTCTTTCCAGCCCTGCTCAAATGTTACCTCCTATTACGATTATTTGTTTCCACTTCTGCCTCCCCCAGTATCTCAGGGCCAACACAGACCAAGTGGTCAACAAGTATTTATTGGACTGAAATAGTTTCTGCTCTTAAGGGACTCTTTTCTATGAATTATTCTCCCCTGCCCCCAATCAAATCCATCCCTTAAATTTTAAAAAACTGAGATGAAATTCACATAACATAAAATTACCCATTTTAAAGTATACAATTCAGTGGCATTTAGCACGTCCACGATGTTGCGCAGTCACTGCTACCTAATTCCAATGTGCTTTCATCTTCCCAAAGTGAAAGCCTGTACCCACGGCTCAGGCAGTCCCTCCCTGGTCCCCCTCCTACAGCTCCTGGCAGGCACTCAGCTGCCTTCTGTCTCCATGGATTTGCCTGTTCTGGATGTTTCATAGAAATGGAATCATATAATATGTGACCTTGTTGACTGGCTTCCTTCACTCCTCATGCAGTTTCTGAGGTTTGTCTGTGTTGTCGCACATGTCAGTGCTTAGTTCCTCTTCGTGGTGGAATAATTGTCTATTGTACTGGACCACATTTTGTTTATCCATTCATCTGCTGATTAATATTTGGGTAGTTTCCCATCCCTGTTCCATTTTTCCTTTTCTCTCACTCAGCCCCATCATTCAGCATTTTGCTTTTCATTGTCACGGGACAGGTTCAGGTTGAATCAAGTGGAGGTGGAGATCTTGTCCTGTGACTTCTCTTTTTTTTTTTGAGATGGAGTCTCGCTGTTGCCCAGGCTGGAGTGCAGTGGCGCTATCTTGCCTCACCGCAACCTCTGCCTCCTGGGCTCAAGCGATTCTCCTGCCTCAGCCTCCTGAGTAGCTGGGATTACAGGTGCCTGCCACCACGCCCAGCTAATTTTTGTATTTTTAGTAGAGACAGGGTTTCACCGTGTTGGCCAGACTGCTCTTGGACTCCTGAGCTCAAGTGATCTGCCCACCTCGGCCTCCCAAAGTGCCGGGATTACAGGCATGAGCCACTGTGCCTGGTCCCCAATGACTTCTTAATCCAGGAGAGCTTCTAGGGAGGTGAAGGTATGCGGAGCATGAACAACAGCATGACAGGCCTTGGAATGATCATGGTGGTCACCAAAGGGGGCAGGGCATGGAGCGACTTAATGAGCACAGAGAGCCTGAATTTCTGCACACACATCTGATGAGGGATGCCCAGCCTGGGGATGCTCTGTGATCTTTAAACAACGGTCTCACTGGGCAGCTGAGCCTCTCAGCCAGCCTGATGTTTTCATTCTTGCCAGGCTTTCCCTGGGGAGACAGGAGGACACTGGACTCAGCAGAAAGAAGGACATTTGCTTGCTAGGACCATGCCCGTGATGGCTGGCATCCCCGGGGCCCTGGAGGGTGAGGCGTGAGGGGCAGTGACGCAAATGCACGATCTCCTCTCATGGTGGGTCTTTGCAGACTCTCCGTCTGCTATCCCCAAGGTTTGGGAGCAGCCAAGTGTTTAATGATGTTCTGCACCAGCAATTTTAGACTCTCGGAGCTAAAATTAGATCCCTTCCTGGTGCCTCGGGGAGGATGGGCTGGCTGTGTCCATCCATCCCGTGCTGGAGCGTGGCTGGGGACAGGCTGTGCGGGAGGCGCAGGGGTGAGGCTCCGAAGCAAGAGCAGCCAGACGCTGCGTCCCTCCTGTCTCTTCAGCTGCGCCTTCCTCAGGAGAGACAGAAAGAGCCTTTGGCTGCCCTCTGTCCTCTTGAGGGTCACTATGTCTATGTTTGCATCCCAGCTTTACAGCTTCCCAGTTCTCTGGCCTCAGGCACATCATCCTAAACTGGGCACGATAATCCCCCTGAGGCGGAGTTGTGAGCTGAAATGAACAGAAGGCAGAGCGGGGTGCAGGGCCTGGCCGTGACTGAGGCTCCACGAACGCTGGCTCCCTTCTTAAATTTTTGTGGAACTGTGGGAACACACAGTTTAATTTTTTTTTTTAAGACTGATTTTCACTCTAGTCATCCAGGCTGGAGTATAACAGTGTGATCTTGGCTCACTGCAACCTCTGCCTCCAGGGTTCAAGCGATTCTCCTACCTCAGCATCTCAAGTAGCTGGGATTACAGGCACGTGCCACCACACCAGGCTAATTTTGTATTTTTAGTAGAGATGGGGTTTTTCCATGTTGGCCAGGCTGGTCTCTTAATTCCTGACCTCAGGTGATCCACCCACCTCAGCCTCCCAAAGTGCTGAGATTACAGGCGTGAGCCACCGTGCCCAGCCCAGAGCTTAATTTTTTTTTTTAATTATTTCTTTCTAGCCTTCTTTACATGGTCCCTGGCTTGACTGGGGGTTGGGAGGTGCAAGGAGGAAGGTGACAGTTGACTTTCCTTCCTACAAAAACTCAACATGGCTCAGTGGACTGGACCCCAGCAGAACTTAGCAGAACCCAAAAAGGCCCAGTGGAACCCAGGGGACCCACAGGGACTCAACAGGACCCAGCAGGTACCAACAAAACCTAGTGGAACTCAGAGGGGCCCAGCCTTTACCATGGGTTACCTTTGACACCAAGGTTCCCCCACCCCTACCCTTCAAGATACCTGGGTACCTTTCCTTGTCATTGTGACTGTCAAGCCCTCTAATCAGTCCACACGAGAGCCCCTCCACTCCTCACCTCCCACCTCCCTCTCCCTGAGGAAAAACAGCTGATCAGGGAGCAGTGCAAAGCAAGCTCTCTGGGCCTTATATCCCCTGAAGGAGCAGCTCTGTCAGGCCGGGAAAATGGTTGTATTATTCTTCTGCAGAACTTATTAGATTAGAAACTTAGTACAAACAGCCCCAGCTGCAACCGCTATACATAGTCACTATCAACAAGGAAAATTTATGCTTTAAAAATAAAAAGAAACTCAAGTGCATTAGTCAGAGTGAGGAAGCGTTCACGAAAAAAGGTTTGTTCTCCAAGTAAACAGCCACAATGGAATTGTAATCAAATTTCTTAATTATTTCTATAAATCTTGGGAACATAAAAATACACAAGGCCCTTTTTCAAAAAGTCACTGTTTGCAAGTGCCTTGGATGAGAGAAGAGGTAACCGAAACAGCTCTGGCATGACTGGAAGATTCCAGAAGGGGTGAAGCCACGATTCGGGAGCTGAGAGCACATTGCCTCGTCACAGACCAGGAGCAGAGGCTGGGGGGACCACTTCTGAGGGGGCGCCACGAGAGCCGCATTTAGGGCGACTGCATAAAGAACCTGAGACCCAGTTCTGCAGAGCTCAGCTTCCTCCAGTCACGAGAGGCCGTGGACGAGCAGGAGGCAGGTGGCCCTGGGGGGCCTGGGAATTGGGAGGAGTTAGAGCTGCTTCTAGGGAGGCAGGAGAAGCTGGGCATCATTGGTGCCCCACGGCCCAGGCGAGGCAGAGGTGCCCTGTCTGTCCTCGTCAGGCAGGCAGCTTGTGGGTCTGGGATGGTTTTTCCCTGCTGTGTGTCTAAGGCAGAAGAGATTGGCCTGACATCCGGATGTCCCATCATGCCTTTCCCCAGGATTAGGGAGCAGTTCTTTTATAAACTATGTTTGAAACTAATTTAGAAAATTAGAAACATAGAAAAAAAATGTCATAAGTTATCTTGGTACATCCTGGTGTGTGTGTGCGTGTGTGTGTGTGTATGTGCGTGTCTGCAGGTGTGTAGGACAGGAAAGTACAGGAGTGGGAGGGTCAGGCACTCTGGCCCATGTGCCCAAGCACACACTTGGATGTTGGCACTTTTCAGGTGTCCAGGTGTTGCCTCTTGTCCCAGTGGACACTCTGGGAAGGACAATAGACAGGGTCGTTGACATCTGGCCACGGTGCGGCTGGCAGTTTTAATGCCATAGAATATGTGATGGAGACAGATGCATGTCAATAACATAATAAAGATATTTTTCCATCCACAAATGTCTGATATTGGAATTACTATTCTTCTGTTTTCTGTTCTGCTATAACCTGCTTAACTCTTCAAGAAAGCCAGAGTATCTTGTTTGAACAGTTGGCCACACGCTCGCATGATAACACAATTCCATTAAAACATTCATACCTTCAGCAGAAAGGCACCCCGCCAAATGCTCTATGTGTTGTATTAAGCCATAAGCAGAATTAAAGTGCGGAATCCCAGCCTTTCCAAATAGTGCAGGAATTGCGTGGGGGGCTGCAGGCTGGGGAGGAGCAGGCAACTGCACTGTTAAACCCCAGGTCCAAATCCTGCAGCCACCCCAGCCGCTTGAAGCGGGGTATCCCCTGGGATCAAACCGTTAGTCCATCAAACACTGCCTTAGTGCAAAGCCCTGTCCCTGGCCGAGGCTTCTCCCCTCCCCTCTGGGCAGTCCTCAGCTGAGCAGAGCAGGTGCCCTTGTCCTTTCAGCCCCCAGGTATTTGCAGGTCCTGGACTGACAGGCTTTGCCTGAAGCCATGTGGGTTTCAGAAAGGCTCTTTCCTGCCGATTTACACTGTGACTTCACAAATAAGCTATTTTCATGGTCATTGATCTTGTCGGTGGTCCCTCACATTTCCCCAGATCATCTCTAAGCAAACTCTGAAGTGGGTCAGCAAAGCAGCTCCCCCCAGGGAGGGCAGCCTGGAGCTGCTGCAGCTCCCACCACCTGACCTTGGAGGTATGCACCTCACTTGGGCTATTCTGACCTCAGATTCCTCCTCTTCGGTAATTGGGGTATAGCGGGGATAGATACCTCTTGATTCATGTTAAAACAATGTAATCCTTTTGCAATGTGATGAGCTGCCCCTGCTGCATTTTGTCAGATCAGAGTTTTGCAACAAGGACTCTCTTAAAGTGAGATGCACTTGTCACTGCAGCTGGATCTTTCTGTCCGAGCAGGAGGAGCAGCGTGAAGGTGAAACTGAAGGGAAGAAGAACCCACACTCAAGGCATTCTGAGCTCTGTGGTAACCAGAAGCCCTGGGTGACTGGGGTGCTTGAGGGAGATGTAGGCTGCTAACTCCTTCCACTTTGGTGTCTGTACAGAGGGAGGGACCTTTTCCAAGGGAACAATGCCTTTATGTTCTGGAAGAGTTCTGTACTGAGCCCATAGGGTATCCTTAGGCCTCGGAGTCAGGGGCCTACACATGCTAAACTCCAGCTGCTCTTTGAGTCTAGACACTCGCTCCAGCTCCAACTGCTTCTGATTCTACAGCTCGTTCGCACTTTTTCCTGGTTGCCCTGGGTTAGCCATTGGGATAGACAGATGCTGAGGGCATAGGAGCACTCACGGGTTTCTACTCTGGATCCTTCCATAGCATATTTAATCAAGACATTTTTGCAAGAATAGATGAATTGGGAGGCAGTATAGTAAAGCAATGACAATGTGAATTGTAGCAATGGTCAGGCCACCCCTGGCTGTGCCATCTTGGGCAGGCCCTGTGACCAGTGTCCACAGGAGAGATTGTTGTGGACCAGGCCTGGAAGTGGCATGCATCATTTATGCCACTTCCCACTGGGCAGAAGTGAGTCACAAGGCCCCACTAGATTGCGGAGAGGCTGGAAAATACAGTTTAAAAATGTGCCCAGGAAGAGGAGGAGGAAACCACATTGCTGAGCATCTGCATAACGGGGTGCCTGGGGCTGGCTGGGCAATAGACCATGCCCCCTCCCCTCACAAGGCCCCTCCTACCCACCAAGGCTCCTTCCCACAGAGGCCCCTCCCACACACTGAGGCCCCTCCCACCCATGGAGGCTCCTCCCACACACCGAGGCTCTTCCCACATACTGAGGCCCCTGTAACACATCAAATCTCCTCCCCCATGCCAAGGCTCCTCCCCACACAGTGAGGCACCACCCACACACCGAGTCCCCTCCCACACACTAAGTCCCCTTCCCAACACGCAGGCTCCTCCCACATGCTGAAGCCTCTCCCACACATTGAGGTATCTCCCACACACTGAGGCTTCCTTCAGCACATCAAAGCCCTGTCCACATACCAATGCCTCTCCCCCAACACAGAGGACTCTCCCACACACTGAGGCCCTTCTCACACACACAAGTCCCACTCACACAGAGGCCCCTCCCACACCCTGAGGCCCCCCCACACACACTGAAGCCCCTCCCACACACTGAGGCCTCTCCCACACACAAGTCCCTCCCATATTGAGACCCCTCCCACATACTGAGACCTCCAGTGCATCAAAACTCTCCCCATACCGAGGCCCCTCCCATACACTGAGACTCCTCCCACACACTGAAGCCCCTCCCACACATTGAGGCCTCCTTCAACACATCAAAACCCTGCCCATATACCAGTACCCCTCCCCACACACAGTCCCACACATTGATTACCCTCCCACATACTGAGGCCTCTAACATGTCAAAGCCCTGCCCACACGCCAAGGCTCCTCCCTACACACAGAGGCTCTTCCCACACACTGAGCCCCTTGCCACACACAGAGGCTCCTCCCACACATTGAGGCTCCTCCCCACACACTGCGCCTCCTCCCCATACACTGAGCCCCCTCCCTCAGGCGGAGGCTCTTCCGACACAGAGGCTCCTCTCCACACACGGAGGCTCCTCCCACACACTGAACCCCCTCCCCACGCGTGGAGGCTCCTCCTACACACTGAGCCACTTCCCAAGCACTGAGGCCTCATTCAATACATCAAAGTCCCGCTCACATGCCAAAGCCCCTCCCACACATTGACCTGCCTCTCTTCCTGAGAAGTCCCTCCTGAGGAAAAGGCTTGAACACTTAAAAGAACAAGGAGGTCCGTTCTCTTTTCTGTATAGCTTTTGTTCCTCTCTCTGTGCTCAGGGCTGCCAGAACTGGTGCAGAGTGTAGGGCCATAGGAAATATCCCTCACTATTTCTCCCCACCATGCTCTATCTCTGCCACTATTTTTAAAATGCTCTTTTAAAGGGTTTGTCAACAGTTATCCCCCGTTTGTCTCTGCCCTGATTTATATTTCTAGTGACTATTAATTGCCTACCAAATGAAGGCTCAGCATTTGTAATTAGGCTGGCAAATTCTACCTGACATCTTCGGCTCTGTGTTGGGGCAGGAAGGGAGCATGTGTTAATGGTGTTGAACTAAGCCACACCCCTCCCCCAGCCCGCTGATTAACCCCAGGTTCACTAATCAATGAAGTCTAACTGATTCTCTTTGCATTTACATCCTGCCTTGACTCTTAGCCAAGGGCTGAGGGCTTTGGTTCCAAAATGCTTTCTATGCCCAGAGAGGATGCCTCTCTGCCTTGTTCCTGCAGAAGGAACTCTCACCCTGAATGGGTAGGGTGGGGGTTCCGTAAAGAGCTAGAGGGAGAAGGGCACTTGCGGAGTAGCCAAGCTGCAGAGAGCTCCCTGTAGCTGTTCTGGAGAATGAAGCCCTCCTCAGCCTCCTTTATAAAAAGTCTGCCATAATTCAGCTGAACACAACATGGTACCAAGAAGCCACAACCTCAGGGATTTCCTTGGTTTTCTGTTCTGTTAATCTTTTCAAAACACGATTGGATTGGAAGCATCCATTCTCAGCCACAGCAGGTTGCTTGGCAGTGGCCGTGGAGGAGCTGTCCAGGATGCTGGCTGTGTGAACCAGGGAACAGCCCAGGATTCATGTATACTTATTGGCACAATTGGTGCCCTAAGTGAGGAACACCAGTACCAACATCCCAGGGTGTCTTCATGACCAAGGCGAAGCATCTCTGTGCCCCTCTGTGGTCATTGCTTCCAAATACATGAAAGGACAAATGATGATATGGGTTCTGCCTTGCCCACAGCAGGTGCTCAATGACTACACTCAGAAAAATGGCTGCTAATAACAATTCAAAAGAGTTATATATCAGTCACGAATATCTATGCATGAAATAACACAGGAACCACCTTTATAAAGCAGATACTGCAAAAGAAACCAGGAAATGCAGAGAAAACCACTAATAATGGGAAAATTTAACATACCACATTCAGCACAAGGCAGATGAAGTGGAAAAAAATAACAATGGAATCAAGAAGATAGGTATTATGGAGATATAGATATCTTTATGTATACATTTATGCCACAATAATATAGAATATACTTTCTTCTCAGGTATACATGGAGCATTTACAAACAGTTATATATTAGCTCACAAAGAAAATTTCAGTAAGTTCTATAAGGTAGAAATATTATAAACAATACTTTCTAACCACGGTGCACTAAAACTGGACATTATTAACAAAAAGATGAAAATACCCTATCATCTGGAAATGAAAAACAACCTATTAACTCTTGGATGAAATGGGGAAAGCAAATTAAAAATTAAAAAATAATCATAATGAAAACACTACCTACCAGAATGTATGAGATATATTTAAAGCAGTGATTGGAAGGAAATTCATATCCCTAAATGCTTTTATTAATAAAAACACAAAAATGCAAATAAGTGAACTAAGTTCTTACCCCAAAAGCTAGGTAAAGAAACACAAGGTAAACCAAAAGAAAGCACAAGAAACATAATAGTAAGGATAAAAGCAGAAAATAGTAAGATAGAGAATGAAAGAACAGTAGACCTGATTAGCAATCCCTAAATATGGGTTTTTAAAACATTAACAAATGAATGAAACCCTTGCTAGCATAAAAAATGGAGAGAAAGCACAAATATATGAAATAAATGACAAAAGAGACATAACCATTGACATAGAAGACATTTTTAAAAATTATGAGATTAGGCCGGGTGCGGTGGCTCACATCTGTAATCCCAGCACTTTGGGAGGCTGAGGCGGGTGGATCACCTGAGGTCAGGAGTTCGAGATCAGCGTGGCCAACGTGGTAAAACCGTGTCTCTACTAAAAATACAAAAATTAGCTGAGCATGGTGTCACGTTCCTGTAATCCCAGCTACTTGGGAGGCTGAGGCAGGAGAATTGCTTGAACTCGGGAGGCAGTGAGCTGAGATCACACCATTGCACTCCGGCCTGGGTGACAAGAGCGAAACTACATCTCAAAAAAAAAAAATTATGAGATTATTTTGTAGACCTCTATTAAAAATATGAAAACAGTATCAATTTGGTATAGGAAGCTTAAAGCTTAAATAAACCAATTTCCATAAAAGATCTAGAAAAAATCCTGAAGGAACTACCCCAAATGTCACTAGACTTTTTTTTTTTTTTTTTTTTTTTTGAGACCGGGCCCCCCTCTATCATCCTGAAGTGCAGGGGTGTAATAACGGCTCACTGCAGCCTCCATCTCCCAGGCTCAAGCCATCCTCCCACCTCAGCCTCTCAAGTAGTTGGGAATACAGGTGTGTGCCACCACAGTTGGCTAATTTTTATATTTTTTATAGAGACGGATTCACCATGTTGCCCAGGCTGGTCTTGAGCACCGGGGCTCAAACGGTCCATCTGTCTTGGCTTCCCAAAGTGCTGGTATTACAGATGTGAGCCACCACACCTGGTCCAAACTTTCAAAGACCAGATATTCTTCATTCTTTATTAATTGTTTAGAGAATCGAAAATAAATGAATGTTTTCTAAGTCTTTCTTGAAAGTAAGTACTACATTGACACCTGAATCTGAAAAGGCAAGTACCAAAATGAAATTACAGAACAATATCACTTATAAACTTATAAATATTGAAGTAAAAGTGCTAAACAAATTATTCGTAAACTAACCAATACCGCAATAAGAAATCAATGCACCATGACCAAATGGTGTCTTTTTCCCAGGAATGCAAGGTTGGTTCAACATGAGGAAATCTATTAGTGTACTATATTAAGGTATCTAAGGAAAAACATAATGATTATCTCCATAAATACTGAAAACCCTTTGAAAAAATTCAATATGCATTCCTGATATATCATTGAAGAAAATAGGAATAAATAGATGCTTTTTTAACCTGAAAAAATATTTGAATCCTAAAGTCAGGATGCTTGTTGATGGGAAAACACTAGAGGCATTTCCACTTAAAGACCAGGATCAAGGCAAGGATATTCATTATCTCTGCTACTATCCCACAATTGTACTGGAGGTATTAGCAATTAGGTAAGATAAATCAGTTACTGGCATGAATATTAGAAAAGAAGAACCAGAACTATCTCAGTTTGCACATGATATGATAGTATACTGGGATAACCCTAGAGAATCAATGATAAAAGTAAATTAAACAATAAAATCATTATGGTAGCAGGAAAAATTTAACATATAGAACTTATTAACTTTCTTGTACATAAATAAGAACCACATAAATAACCAGTTTGAGGACGCAATAGCAACAAAGAAGATACTTAGGAATAAACTTAGAAAGATATGGGCAAAGCCTTGATAAGAAACATTTTTAAGCTCTTCTGAAAGATGTGAAAGTAGTCTTGAACAAATAGAAAGACATCCCTTGATTTTGGATGGATTGATTTAACATCATAAAAAAGTTTGTCCCAAGTTAATTTATGAATTTAACATAATCCCAGAGAAAGTATCAGTAAGTTTTTTTATGGAGCTACACAACTGATACTTAAGTTCATATGAAAAGACAAACATGCAGTAACCACGATAACCCTGCAAATTAAGAACTACTGGGAGGAATAGCTCTACCAAACATTAAAATGAACTATAAAGCCTCTATAATTAAAACAGTATGGTGAAATTGATGCATGAATATTCAAAATAGCAGTAGAATTGAATAGAAAGTCTTGAAATAGACCCCAAGTTCATATGGAAATTTAGTATATGACAAAGGTGGTATCTCAAATCACTGGAGCAGAGATTACCTTTTCAATACATTGTTCCGGGATGACCAGGCAGCCTTTGGAAGAAGATAAAATTAATGCATAAGTTCCAGTATACACAAGAAAAACTCCAAATGGATTGAGATCTAAATATAAAAGGTGAAATCATAAAAGTACTAGAAGTGGCTGGGCACAGTGGCTCATGCCTGTAATCCTTGCACTTTGGGGGGCCAAGGCAGGTGGATTGCTTGAGCCCAGGAGTTCGAGACTAGCCTGGGCAACATGGCAAAACCCTGTCTCTACTAAAAATACAAAAACTAAGGTGGGAGGATCACCTGAGCCTGGGGAGGTCGAGGCTGCAGTGAACCGTGATCGTGCCACTGTACTCCGGCCTGGGTGACAGAGTGAACACCCCATCTCAGAAAAAAAAAAAAAAAAACACTAGAAGAAAACATGGGTGAGCTTTTCTGTAACATGGATGTAAGAAAAGGTTTTCTAACAATGACTCAAAATCCAGATGTAGTTAAAGAAAAGATTGACAAGTTTGATTACAAAAGTCCATGATAAGCACAGTCAAAATGCAAATGACTTTGTAGGAGAAGGTATTTGCAGCATATATCAGAAGTAAAGGGTTAATATCCCTGATATGTAAAGAGCTGTTATCATTGAGGAAGGGGTACTTGATAGAAAAAATGGGCACAAGACATGAAAGATAATTCACATCAAGGATATACAAATGTCCTTTAAACAAACGAAAAGATGTTCAACATCACTCATAATTAGAGAAATGAAAATGGCTTTGAGCTGTCATTTTTAATCTGTCAGATTGGCAAACATGAAAAAGCAAGGCTGTGAAGAGACAAGCAATCCCACACATTGCTGGGGGACTGCAAATGGGCTTAGCCCTTTTCAAGGGAAGTGTGGCGATTGTACTCGTCTGTTTTGCATTGCTATAAAGGAATACCTAAGGCTGGGTAATTTATAAAGAAAAGAGGTTTGTTTTGGCTCACAGTTCTGCAGGCTGTACAGGAAGCATGGTGTCAGCATCTGCTTCTGGTAAGACCTCAGGAAACTTTTAATCATGGTGGAAGGGAAGGGGACCTGGAGTGTCCGATGGTGAGAGAGGGAGCAAGAGAAAGAGGAGGAGGTGTCATGTACCTTTTAACAGCCAGCTCTTCTGTGACTTCGTTACTGAAGGGAGAGACCAAGCCTTTTTTGAGGGATCCCCCCCAATGACCCCAATAACTCCCATCAGGCCCCAACTGCAACTTGGGGACCATATTTCAACATGAGATTTGGAGGGGACAGATATTCAAACCATATCAGCAATATCTATCATAACTGCTTATACATTTACATTTTGACCCAGAAATCCCACTTCTGGGAATTCACCCTTGAAGATATACCTCAAAAGTATGAACATCCCCACCCACAAGGTTATCCACTGCAGCATTACTTGCAATTCCAAAATATTGGGAACAACCTGAATGTCCAAACACAGTGGGGTGGTTGAATAAGTGCTGGTGCATAATGCATAGTACATGGCACAGTGGATACTATGCAACTGTGAAAAAGAAAGAGGATGGTTTCTATGAACTGGCATGGGGTGTATCCCAGGATACACTAGTACATGACAAAGGCAAAGAGCGGAAGAGCATCTGTGGGTGGGAGTAGGGACTGAAGGCAGGTGAGCATGAGGACAGTTCTTGGTGTAATGCTGGTGAGAGTTGCACACTCTATGCTTTCTTAAATCTCATCAGACTGTACACCTATAGTGAGTAAATTTATGATATGAAAATTGTACCTAAACAGAGCTGTTAAAAGGACATCTTTATTATGCCACTGTTTCATATTAAAGAAAGTAAAATAACTTTATCTGCAGTAGCCAAGATTTGGAAGCAACCTAAGTGTCCACCAACAGATGAATGAATAAAGAAAACATGGTACATCTACACAATGGCGCACTATTCAGCCATAAGAAGAGTGAGATCCTGTCATTTGCAACAACATGGATGGAACTGGAGGCCATTGTGTTAAGTGAAATAAGCCCGGCACGGAAAGACAAACTTTTCATGTTCTTGCTTATTCATGGGAACTCAAAATTAAACAATTGAACGCATGGAGATAGAAGGAGGATGGTTACCAGAAACTGGGAAGGGTAGTAGGGGCAGTGGGGATGGTTAATGGCTATAAAAAAATAGTTGGAAAGAATGAATGAGACCTAGTATTTGCTAACACAATAGGGTGTCTATAGTCAATAATAATTTAATTGTAATTTAGAATTAACTAAAAGAGTATAATTGGATTGTTTGTAACAAAGGATAAATGCTTGAGGTGATGGACACACCATTTATCCTGATGTGATTTTTACACATTGCATGCCTGTATCAAAATGTCTTTGTACCCCATGCATATATACCTACTATGTACCCACAAAAATTAAAAATTAAAAAAAGTAAAAAAGTAAAATAAGAAAACATACACAGATCTGTGTAGTTTAGTAAAAAAGAAATATAGGAAAGGTGAGTTAGAATCTAATGAGATTGATTACTGATGGGGTTGTTGGGACCAGGGTTGAAAGGATGGGAGGATGGGAAGGAGACAGGAGACAGAAAGTTAGATTTCTCTGAGTATATCTGTTTATATGCTTTTGACATTAATAATCTTGTCAATATTTCAAACTAAAAACATCATGGGCTAGAGACGAAGCCTAATGTGGAATAAAAACAGAAACAAACGAAAGCAGCCGTATTTCAAATGGATAAAAAGCCATGCTGAAAGTTGGGGGCAGCTCCCCAAGTAACTTTTGGGCTCTGTATTTTGGCCATGTACCACCAGTCTAATAAGAGGAAACAACTGTAAAAGAAAAATATATGGCTACTGTAGTAGGGTTTGTTTTTTCAAGTGATGTGGATTAGCAGTTCTGAAATGATTTATATTCAAGATTGAAGAAATATGTAAATGTATTATAAGTAATGGGAGCCATTTTTTCCTCTCAATCAGTGAAGGGAGTTACACATATGGAAAGGTATAGAAGGCTAGAATTAGTCCTGTGGTGTTGGGTTGGAATTTGAGGTATCAGTATGAACACATATATACACACAGAGAGAGTTCTAGAAATATAAATGCATGTATTAATGTAGCAGTCTGCTAAGATAGCCTAGAGGCAATGATGTCTCAGTAGTAAACCTACCACCCTGATTTTTTTCTTAAATAACTTCTCCACTAAAAGGTAGCAGGGTGATATGGTTAATTCTAGGGTTAGGGCAGAGACAGTACAAATGAGCCTGGAAAAATTTTGACCAGAAAGTAAGGGAGAGCTGACACACTCATGGAGATGTGGTAAAAGACACAGAGCCAGGCAACTACTGGTCAGAGCTGTAATAATTGAGCGTCAAAATTAATATAAATAAGTGAAAAAGAAGGAATAGTGTTTCTTATAGTAGATTGAAAATGTAGAAGGAATTTACATAGTCCTGACATATCTCCCCACAAAGTTCTTACTAATTTCAAAGGGGGAATTACAATTTTACATTGAAGAAATATAGCAGACACTACCTGAATCAAGTGATCAAAAGTAACATCGTGAAATCGGGACAAACACACAGCTGTGGCTCTGGTTTGAAGAATGAAGGACCTGACATCGTTTCTGTGATATTCCTGCCCAAAATGTACAACCTGAACCTAATTATGAGGAAACATTTGACAAACCTAAACTGAGTGATGTCTACAAAATAATTGGCCTGTACTCCAAGAAAAATGTCAAGGTCATGGAAGAACTGTTCCACATTAAAGGAAACTAAAGAGATACAAAAACTGGATGTTCGCGTAATGCTGGATCGGATCCCGGACCACGCGAGTTTGTGTTCTTTTCTTTAGCTCTCAAGGGCTTTATAGGACGCTTGGTGAAATTTGAAGGTCTGTGGATTAGATAATATGTTTTATGTCAGTGTTAATGTTCTGATTTTTAGGGAATACACAGTGAAGAGGTACAGGGGCATCGTGGCTTTGCCTTACTCTAAAACAGTTCAGAAAACAATGTGTATGTGGGGATATATTTGTGTGCATGTCTGTAGGTAGAGAGGGAGAGCAAAAGAGCAAAAGAGAGAGAGGGAAGGAAGGGTAAAGAAAGCAAATGAGATAAAGACATTTGGGGAATCTGGGTGAAGGATATACAAAAATTGTACTATTTTTGCCAATTTTCTGTGTCTTGAAGTGTTTCAAAATAAAAATCTATTAAAAAGTGGGCTAGTATAATATCTTTCTTAGTAGTGTTAAGGATTAAATGAGATAATACCTACAGGTGCTAGTGCTGGGACCTGGACATAGGAATTACCAAAGAAATGATAGCTTTGATGATCAGGAGTGATGGCCTTGAGGGTATGTGTGATGCTGGCTCTGAGTTGATCTGTTGGAGATGTCCCTTTCTTATTGGGGGATGACAGATGGCAGCCTCCTTTATGGCAAAAGCCCTGATCTGAGAATCTGGTGACCTGGGTTCCCATCAGCTCTGACACCCACCTGCTATGTGACTGCAAGTTGGCAGTCATTCAAGTTTCATTTTGCCGGGGCTGGTTGGGGGGAGGGTACATTTTCTTAGGCTTACTTTAGAATGAGTTTTATTCATTCATTATTTAATTTATTCACGCATTAACATCTTTATTGAAAACTATGTGCCAGGCACTATTCCTTGCAATAAGCCAGGTCCACGGAGAATGAATGCTGTAGTTTAGGGGAGAGAAATATACACCACGCTGGCAGTGTAGAGAAACGTGCACAACCAGGTAAATATTTCCTGGTGAGGTGCAGTTCAGGAGTCTTCCCGGCGGGGGCGTGAAAATCAGTCTCCCTAGTGGGGTGTAATTGAGGAGTGTTCTGGTGGGTAAAATTCAGAGTCTTCTTAGTAGGGGGTAATTCAGAGTCTCCCTGGGAAGTCAGTGCTCACTTGGTCTGGGAGAAGGGCTGGAGGTGCTCACCTGTGATGGGGGGAATATAGGATGGGCAGTGAAGCCATGCTGGTCACTGTCCTGACAGTATGAGAGAGTGGCTGGGGCACAGGGCAGGGTGGGTGCGGGGGCATTTGAACCAAGATTGAAAATGACTCCAGGTTTGCAGAGAGGAATATGGGCTCAGGAAGCAGTCCCAGACTCAAGAATCCTGACCAGTGCCAGCCTGCAGAGTTTTTACTGGTCTATGGCAAGATATGGGAAATGAAGACAGTGGTGGTGTCTGCATACTCACTGGGAAGGATTGCCAACTGCTGTTTCTCGGAAAGAACTACTTTTATGCCCAAGCTCATTTTTTAACATAAAATACACATTCTTTTATGAAATTATATTGAAAGCAGATGGTGATTTTTTTTAACGTCGTTACTTAACAAAATAAAAAGTTGTCAATCCTATATTTGTCTCCCCATTAAATTTTTAAAAACTGGATCATAAAATCTAAACAGCTGGGAACTTAAGCATTCTAGACTTCCTGAATGAAGTTTCATGGTAATTTCTGGTTTTAAAAGATGTATTTTAAAAAATGAATATAATATTTTTAACATACATGAAATTATAGAGAATAAGAGGCACATCAGTTCACCTGCCCTCTGGATTTCAGAAAAGCCCATACTTCCTGGCACCAACCTTCATTATCTTTGCATTTTCATTTTCACTGATGATTTGTTTACCCACCCTTTCCCCCTCCATCCCATTAGAGTGGGACCTGGCTTGAGGCCAGGGTCTGTATTTGCATGCAGTTATTTTGATAGAACTCTTTTGGAGCTCCTTCTTGGAGACAGCTCTTTTGATGCAGGAACATTGGGATGGGCCCTGTATTAGTCTGTTATCACACTGCTATAAAGAAATACCCAAGACTGGGTAATTTACAAAGGAAAGAAGTTTAATTAACTCACAGTTCTGCATGGCTGGGGAGGCCTCAGGAAACTTACAATCATGGTGGAAGCTAAGGGGAAACAGGCACCTTCTTCACAAGGTGGCAGGAGAGAGAAGTGGGCAAGAGGGGAACTACCAAACACATAAAACCATCAAATCTCACGAGAACTCACTCATTATCCTGACAACAGCATGGTGGGGGGAACTGCCCCCATGATCCAATCACCTCCCACCAGTCTCTCCCACAACACCTGAGGATTACAATTCAAGATGAGATTTGGGTGGGGACAGAAAGCCTAACCATATCAGGGCCCAAACAAACCATTAAACTTTTAAAAGGAAATTGTGGTGAAATGCACCTAACATAACATTTACCACTTTAACCATTTTCCACTGTACCATTCAGTGACATTAAGTATGCTCATATTGTTGTTCGACCATAACTACTATTATTCTGCAGAACTTTTTTGACTTTCCAAACTGAAACTCTGTACCCATTAAACAGTAACTCCCTCCCTCTCCCCTAACCCTGGTAACTATTGTTACACTTTCTGTCTGTATGGATTTGACTACTCCAGGGACCTCATACAAGTACCAATACATACAAGTATTTGTCCTTTTGTGGCAGACATATTTCACTTAGCTTGTCATCTTCAGGGTTCATCCATGTTGTAGCAGGTATGAAACTATCCTTCCTTTTTAAGGCTAAATAATATTCCACTGTATTCCATATTTTGTGTAGCTGCTCATCTGTCAATGGAAATCTGAGTTGTTCTCTACCTTTTGGCTATGTGAACAATCCTGCTATGAACATAGGTGTACACATGTTTGTTCAGTTCTCTGATTTAATTTCTTTGGGGTATATATCCAAAAGTGGAATGGCTGGACCATGTGGCAACTCTGTGCTTAATTTTTTGTGGAACCATTATACCATTTTCCATAGCAGCAGCACCATTGTACCTTCTCACCAGCAATGCACAAGAGTTCCAATTTTTCCACATCCTCACCAACTCTTGTTTTTTGTTTTTTAATAATAGCCATGCTAGTAAGTGTGAAGTGGTATCAAACCATCACACTTTAAGCTTCACATTTTTGTCAACAGGTAATATACAAAGCTGGTGTCTGTTCTCTATCCTGAATCCCATCCTCTCTTTGGCTTCATGCTCTCCTTCAGCCTCAATTATTGTTTCCTGTGCACAAAGTTGTACATAAAATACTTTCTGTGTGGTTTCTAACAGGGAAACACTGTAGAAAGCCTAAATGTCCATCAGAAAAACCAAGGTTAAATAATGTATGCCACACAGAGATTGGAAAATACCATGCAGCAATGAACAAGAATGAGCTATATCTGTAAGTGCTGGCATTGAGTGAGGTCCATGACATATTGCTAAGTGAAAAAAATCAAGCCATACAAGAGCACATTAAAAACTACACGTCTGAATATCCAGAAACTACAGTGAACTCAAACAAATTAGCAAGAAGAAAACAAACAATCCCATCAGAAAGTAGGCTAAGGACATGAATAGAGAGTTCTCAAAAGAATATATAGAAATGGCCAACAAACATATGAAAAAATGCTCAGCATCACTAATGATCAGGGAAATGCAAATCAAAACCACACTGTGATACCACTTTACTTCTGCAAGAATGGTCATAATCAAAAAAATCAAACAATAATAGATGTTGGCGTGGATGCAGTGAAAACGGAACACATCTGCACTGCTGGTGGGAATGTAAACTAGTACAACCACTATGGAAAGCAGTGTGGAGATTCCTCAAAGAACTAAAAGTAGAACTACCATTTGATCCAGCAGTCCCACTACTGGGTATCTACCCAGAGGAAAGGAAGTCATTGTACAAAAACTTTCACACTCATGTTTATAGCAGCACAATTTGCAAATGCAAAAAGGTGGAACCAACCCAAATGTCCATCAGTCAACGAGTGGATAAAGAAACTGTGGTGTGTATGTATTTTGGCACCATCTTTTTACACCTAGTAAGAAGGAATGAATTAATGGCATTTGCAGTAACCTGGAGGGGATTGGAGATTATTTTTCTAAGTGAAGTAACTCAGGAATGGAAAACAAACATCGTATGTTCTCACTGATGAGTGGGAGCTAAGCTATGAGGATGCAAAGGCATAAGGATGACACAGTGGATTTTGCGGACTCGGGGGAAAGGGTGAGAAGGGGTGAGGGATGAAAGACTACAAATTGGGTTCAGTGTATACTGCCTGGGAGATGGGTGCCCCAAAATCTCACAAATCATCACTAAAGAACTTACTCACGTAACCAAATACCACCTGTTCCCCCAAAACCTATGGAAATAAAAAATTTTTTAAAAATCAAGCCACAAAAGAGCACATTAAAAACTACACATATGAATAGATATATGTCTATGTACACATATCTCTGTATGTGTAATACATGTGTGTATTACACGTAGCATATATAATGATGTACTATATGTAAATGATTCTTATACGTGTGTAGAAAATAATCATGATGTAACATAAATGTACATATAACTTTTTTAAACACACAGAAAGCTCTGGAAAAATAGGCAGAGTTAGTTGACTGTGATTACTTCTGAAAAAGAGACTGAGGTGAGTAGCGGAGGGGAATTTCAATTTTTACTTGTTATGCTTCCAACTGTTTGAGTGTTGTTCCTTTTTTAACAAGAAGTATATTACTTTTGTAATTTAAAAAAATAGAAAAAAACAAATATAGTAAGCCCAGCCTGCAAGTCATAAAACACAAATCCTCAATCATGGGGCCACACATGTTTTAGGTGCACGTAATGGTAATGCATTATTCTAATGCGTACTGGGAGGCAGACTCCATTCTAAGCACTTGAAATAACCTAGTTTCCCAGAAAACTACACTATGAAGGAGGTTATCCATGTTTTACACATAAGGATATAAGCTCAGAGAGGTGAAGTTACCCACCTAAAGTCACACAGCTAGTGAATGGTGTGTAATTAGTGCTTTAATGGTGAGACTTCTTTCTTCCAGACAGGTACACTGGTAATTTTTTAGAACATGGATTTTAACTTCTGATTTATTTATTTTTTTACATACTGAGATAGTGCAGGTTGTGTTTGTAAGATTCAAGGACCATTAGGGTCTCGCATTTTGTTTGTTTGGCTTTATTTGAACACAGCTCTGATTATAAGAGCCCTTGGGCATGGGAAGAGTGCCAGGAGCTTGTCAGCCATCTCTATCAGAAATAAATGGTGCTGTGTTTCTTTTTAAATAAAGAGAATTACTGGGTAGGACACCCCATAGCTTTGTTCTGAATTCTAGATGTAAATGGAGACTTCATAGTTTATCCTAAAGTTGCTGTTGAATTCTCTAATTCTGGATATAAGCGTTCTATTGATTTCCCTCTGCACATGCACCATGCATGAATTGCTCCTAGAAGGCTGAGTGGCGGACATGGTATGCCACCTTGCACCATATTATCAATAGTGTTGCGTTTTCAAGAAGCGTTGTTTAGTTCCTTTACAAATCATCCTTTTCTTTAAATTAGCTCTCTTGGGTGGCACCATCTTTTTTACACCTAAATGAACAGATTTCACAACAAAGATTTCTAAGTGCATCATTTTGTTAAACTCTTAAAACTGTTAAATTAATAAAATCAGCTTAACAGAACCCTGATTAGTTCAAAATTGCTTTAAATTTGGTCATTAAGTTTCAGGGAACATGTAATTTTCTCCACATCTGGTACAGCTGCAAGGCGTGAGGGATGAGGACACAGTGCTGTAACAAATACAGAGGATGGGGAAGAAACGCTTTGTCATCGACAGTTTCTGCACTGCTGGTTTGCAGTCCCCAGGAATAAGCTTCCTGAGGAGACATTAGGCCTTGTGTTATTTCTCTAAGAACGTCCCCTTCCTGCAGCGAGAAGGCCAATGCAGAACCGCTGGGCATCAAGAGATCTGGGTTCACTTTTTGAGAACCCTGGGAACTCACTGTGTCACTAGACACACATTCCTCTCTCTGTGCCTCAACATCCCATCTGGGAAATGGGCTGATGTTCTTGAGATCCTCTTCCATTAGCTTGTTGGGGGCTGGGACTGGTGGGGGAATAGTGTCATCTTTTGCTAGGAGCTATTGGACACATCTGAGATGCATTATTTGGATAATCGCATGTCAAGATGCATTTGTCTGTCTTCTTGGCTACAATGCTCCTGGTTCTGGCTCTTCTGGTTGGGACTCCAGGATCAGGTCTGTGAGATGCTGACACTGATGTCGCTTGCGTGGTAGCAGCCAGCCTCTTCCTCTGCATCTTTCTCCACTTTGGGGTCAAGGTTTGACAAGCTCCTCAGCTGACTTGGTGTGCTATGGCGTCTGACCTGGCTGAAAGCCATGACGCTTGGCCTTTGGTTGGGATAGCACCACTTGATTCATCACTGGCAGCTGCGGAGGGGCAGAGCGGAGGGAACATGTCAGTACTTTATGGGCAATCCCAATGTGAGAAGGGACTGAGGCCGGATAGCCCAGTGGTGGAAATCCCGTCATTGTAGAAGGGAGGGCCTGGGATCTCAAATCTGGGAATTTTTGAGTTAGATCTAGAACCTGAGGCTGGAGGCAAGTTGGATGGAACTGTCTGTGCTTGTGGCCGCTGCTAGCCATTGAGCCGAGTGCCACCTGCAGGAGCAGTGATGATGGGGGTCAGGCCCAGCCCCTGAGTGCACGCTGCCCGCCAGTGTGTGCTGGGCATCACGGCCCCCTCACAACCCTGCAAGGTAAGACGTGTGACTCCCATTTAACAGATGAAGGAGCGAGCCTAGTGGGATTATGTAGGTTACATTGTGAGTCAATGACAGGGTTAGGATCTGAACCCAGGAGTGAGGAGTGAATGCAGCGTCACCGGAAGGAAAAGGAAAGAAGGAGAACTGGAGGATGATCTGTCTCAGGCAAGCTTTAGTCTGAGGTTCTAAGTCATGCTGTGAAGGTCTCTGCAGAGTCACTCCTTGGCTTCATTATGCAGAGAGCTTGTAGCCAGGTGGCACTGGGCAGGGGCTCATCCCAGGTGCCTAAACCCCACATGCATCAAAACTTAGAGGAGACCAGCGTCTTCTGCTGGTCCTTTAAAAATAGTCATTTGGGCCAGGCACAGTGGCTCACACCTGTAATCCCAGCACTTTGGAAGGCCAAGGCGGGAGGATCACCTGAGGTCAGGAGTTCGAGACCAGCCTGGCCAACATGGTGAAACCCCATCTCAACTGAAAAATAAAAAAATTAGCAGGGTATGGTGGCAGGCGTCTGTAATCCCAGCTACTCGGGAGCCTGAGGCAGGGAGAATTGCTTGAACCAGGAGTTGGAGGCTGCAGTGAGCCGAGATTGCACCACTGTACTCCAGCCTGGGCGACAGAGTGAGACTCTGTCTCAAAAAAAAAAAAAAAGTCATTTGCTCTGTAGTGTCAGTTTCCAAGTCCCAAGTCTCCCATGAAAGCCAAATGCCTTCTGATATTGATGGTACTTCAGCAGGTGACTGCAGCCCAATTGTATCGGATGTTTCTGATGACAGCAGATAAGTGCCAGTGAACAGCTAAAGTTCAGTGGCACTTACCTGCTGTCATCAGAAACATGAGGGGAGGGGATGGGATAGTGGAAGAAAGGACATAGGGAGGTGAAGGACGCAGACCCTGAAGACAAAGTCCTTCCACTCATGTGCCCACCTGCAGAAGGGGGTGCGGAAGCTTGAGCCACACACAGAGGGTCTGGTCCCAAATGCAGAGAGCCCAGGCAGTGGCTTTTCTGAGGGATAGAATGTGAGCACTTTGGATGTCTGGAATTCTGTAAGAACCCAATGGAAAGAAAATATGAGGTTTGGAAACTTCTCCTCCGAGTGCTCCTTTAGGTGTTCAGGTGGATTTTACAGAAGAGGCTGACGGCCCGAAGGGGAGGCTAGCCATCAGATTTCCATTAATGTCTCCCACCATCTCTGAGGCCTAAATGACAGGGTTCTTGAAGACAGCAACAGAACAGTGGTAACCTATATTTTATTCACTATCTTTCATGCCCTTAGCATCATATCTCACTGATACGTAGATAGACACATGTGAACGGAAGCATTTTATACGTAAACGTAGGGATGTGTGTGACCTAGATTTAAAGGATGCATATTAAAAGAATTGTACCTAATAATATGAACTATTTTTGGCCCATGACATGCGGCCTTTAGAAGCATGACAAACCAAAAACACTTTTACCAAATTCCTTCCCTTTACAATCCCCTACCGTCCTCCTATCTGGTCAAAATATAGCTACTTTTTTGGTACGTTGGTTTTAAAAACAGCTCTGTCCTCCAAAGATATGGCAAAGTTTTCTAGTTACTGTTTTTTAATACTTCCTGGTATTCTTAGAGTCCACAGCTTTGAGTGCAGCTGGAAAACATCTACACAGAGGATATGTTTGGACAGGTATTGAATATAATAAACTATATTTAAATATTTATACGTGAAATTTTTTTTTATGGTGCTGTTCTTTAAATCATTGAACGAGGTCCTTTCATTTCTCCAAAAGATATATGAGCACTGTCTTTTGGCATATAGATCATTTTTGCCTTTGAAAGATGTCTCAGTTAAAAATGATTTCTACAGATGATCTTTTACATACATTTGTTATTGTGGTGAGCGTTACATCCTGCTGTTTTACAGCGATACTTGGAGGATTTCTCCTGAAAATAGCCCTTTATTTGTGGCAAGCTGAAAGGGAGAGGGCAGGAAGAGGACTTGCGATATTTCATCTGCCTAGAGCTTAGTAAGGAGAGGAGAGGGCCGTGCAGTCCCCAGTATGACCCTCCTTCCCTGTGCTCGGGAAGCAGCTTGAGGCTAAGAGAAATATTGGGCTCTTCTCTTCTGCTAAGAGGCTTAGAATTCTGTGATTTTTATTTTCTGCTTCTGCCTGCAAGGCCCTCCTTCTCCTTTGTCAATTTGAAGAGCTCTCTTTCTATTCCTAGCAGTTATCTAGATAACAATCATTTGTTTTTGAGATTGATTCCTATAAACAGTACGTGGAGCATCTCATGGACTAAAACGTGGTAAATTGTCAAACTTCTCAGAGTAGGAAGATGTCTGCTGGCTAGGTAGAAGGTTTCTGGTTTAATGGTGAAAACAGCCAAACACACAAATAAGCAAACACGCACATAAACCACCAACTAACCCAGCCCAGCAGCAGGCGAGGTTTTCTGTCGTCCAGCACGTGCAAGAGAAGGGCTGGGCAGCTTGATGGACATTTGTGCCGTCCACCTTGCAGGCATATGGCAGCTCCCACGTTCTCACACCATTCGACATTTGGGGTGACCAAGTCATGCACTCTGACCAGTGAAATGCAAGTGGAAATGACAAGTGCGACTTCATGGCACAGATTTTCGGAGTCCAAGTGTTGCTATACACATTCTCTGCTTGTCTTGGCTATTTGGAAGCACATTCAGTGCTGAGCTTCCCTGGGCTTGGTGGCCGAGTGGAGTGAGGAGTGCAGACTCCCCAGCTGCCCGTAGTGACCATGGGGCACAAGCAGGGAATAGAGCTTTCCTGTTACAGCATCATGGCCTCACCTGTCCTGACTGATGCAGGTGGATACCAGCAGGCAACAGTGGTTGGCACTGTGACACTCTCCCGCCACACATGGCACACTCACCTTCAGCCAGGTGCCCGCACTGCTCCTGAGACCACTCTGACCCCATGAGGAGGTTGGCTTGTGAGTGCTTATATTTAGCCAGCCATTGCTCACAGCAGAAGGATAAAGGGGTTCGATTAAGAGAGCTTGTGGGCTGGGCGCAGTGGCTCATGCCTGTAATCCCAGCACTTTGGGAAGCCAAGGCAGGCAGATCACCTGAGGTCAGGAGTTCAAGACCAGCCTGGCCAACATGGTGAAACCCCGTCTCTACTAAGAATACAAAAATTAGCCAGGCATGGTGGCACATGCCTGTAGTCCCAGCTCTTAGGAGGCTGAGGCAGGAGAATCACTTGAACCAGGAGGTGGAGGTTGCAGTGAGCTGAGATCATCCCACTGCACTCCAGCCTGGGCAACACAGTGAGATACTGTCTCAAAGAAAAAAAAAATGTGTGATACAGTTTGGATTTGTGTCCCTACCCAAATCTCACATTGAATGAGAGGAGGGGCCTGCAGGAGGTGATTGAATCACGGGTCAGGTTTCCCCCTTGCTGTTCTCGTGATAGTGAGTTCTCAGGAGAACTGATGGTTTAAAAGTGTGTGGCACTTCCCCCTTAGCTCTCTCTCTCTCTCTCTCCTACTCCACCTGGTAAGACGTGCTTGCTTCCCCTTTGCCTTCTGCCATGACTGTAAGTTTCTTGAGGCCTCCCAGTCTGTGAAGCCTGCAGCACTATGAGTCAACTAAACCTCCTTTCTTCATAAACTACCCAGTCTCAGGTTGTTCTTTATAGCAGTGTGAGAACAGACTAATACAGTATGTGTGAAGAAAACATACATTCTTAGAGATCTGTTTGCCTGCTCTCACAGAGCCCCTGACCAGTGATGGGACATTCCAGTTAGCAGGAGAGAGGGTGTGGTGGAGCACAGCGTGGCTGGAGGAAATCACTCTAAACGGGCTTCAGTGCACTAACAGATTTTGGAGTGATTTATATGAAAACAGTTTAAAGCATTTACTAGCTGTAGGAACTAATTTCCAATAAATCAGACAGGATTCCCTTGGGAACCAGAAATAAATGAGGGCAAAAGAAATTGCTAAGGGTTGTTGAGCAATAAAGAGATGGGTTCTAGATACCTTAAAATGATATTTAAATGGACAAAGTTGATTTAGCTGTCTTCTCTCATGTCTAGGAGTAAGATTGAAGTCCATAGCATGTCATTATGACCAGGAATTATTCACCAGGAGACCTGCAGCATTTCATGCACATTCCGCTGAATGGCAATTTTAATATTCCAGTTTCAGTCCTCGGTTGTAATGAAAAGGCATTAATTGCTTGGTTCCTTGCAAAGTCTGTAACAAAAGTGTTCCTAGAACAAGTTCAAATTTGGCACACAAGGCAGAACTTTTATGATCTAACGTTAGTCATTTTTTTTCTAATTAAGAATTTTTAATGCATATATATTTTGTGATCTTCAAGTTCTCAAGTAATTATTTCACACACACGGGTCATCTGGCATCGTGCCATGTGTCTTGGAAAATGCAGAAAAATAGAATATCACTGTGGTCCTTGCACTCTGGAAGTGTACATTTCATAGGAAGATGAAGCTGTGACACCCTCTGAGAACACTGAAGCCACACGTGTGTGTCAAATGTGAGGATGGAAGGACCAGCAGCCAGGAGATGCTGACATTGCTTCAGGGAGGTGGAGGCCAAACAAGGGGCTCTGAAGCACTGGCTAGACTTGGCCAGAGTGGGGAGACAGCTCATTGTCCCGAATGAGCAAGACCTGTGGCCAGAGCTGGATGCAGTTTCCAAAGACCAGGAGATGCTCTCTCAGCTGCCCACACAGGGTTCGGGAGACATCTGTTCTGTTAAACATGGACACTTCTTGTGACCAGGACGTAGCATCATTTCCTAAAGAGGTGGGGGCTCAGAGCTCCCTGGGACCAGGGGGATGACTGTTCTCTGTTTTAGGAACCTGCGTGTGGGATGTTCTTGGGAGATGTGAAGAGAGAGGAAGGAAAGGACACTCAAATTATTGTCCCCCACCACACACACACACACACACACACACACACACACACACACACACACACACAATCTACTTGCTTATTTATCTGCTCATTTCATTGACGCTTCCCAACAACTGGGGTATTTTTCATTCCCTTTTCCTAGTTGAGAAGAAAGACTCCGAGAGGGTGGAATCCTACCCTAGGTCATTTAGCTGGAAGGTTGCAGAGTGGTCTTCAAATCCAGGTCATGCCCCTTTTCGGGACACTGGAACATTCCAATCAACAGCAGGGGAAGCCGTATCTTCCCCTGCTAGACTTGGCCAGAGTGGGGAGACAGCTCATTGTCCCGAATGAGCAAGACCTGTGGCCAGAGCTGGATGCAGTTTCCAAAGACCGGGAGATGCTCTCTCAGCTGCCCACACAGGGTTCGGGAGACATCTGTTCTGTTAGACATGGACATTTCTTGTGACCAGGACGGAGCATCATTTCCTAAAGATCCCCTGCTAGAACTTACTGATAGTAAGTTCTAGGATATTGGGGTGACCCAAACCCAGGAATCCAGTTTCTGCCCTTGCCTTTCTCTTGCATAAAAGGTTGAATTGTGCCTCATTCAAGTGCATGAACTTCCCCAGGCCCTGCTCAGTGCATCTAGTAGAGCCAGGATGTCCCAGCTGACCCTGCATTTGGAGGCCTGGAGGTGGGCTCACCACAGTTTGCAGCTTAGGTGTGCCCCCACTCCCCTACCCCCGACCTGTCACTGGTCCTGACCCCAACTCTTCTGGAATCACGTGGTGTGAGTGGTACAGGAGGCCTCTGCTTGCAAAGCTGGGTGCTGACCTGTGTGTGCCCCTGATGACTCCTGTGGACCGTGTTTGCTGCTGCACTTCAGAAGGTGTCAGGAATGTGTCCCTTCCATGTCTCAGCAGCCCTGGGTGCTCCCGACATCACCCTGAGAAACCCCCAGGACCTCTCTGGGTCTCATTTCCAGAGGGTGTCTCCATCACTCATACCCCCTTGGCCACGCTGCGCTGGCTTCTTTGAGCCTCTGCTAAGAGGCGAGTGGCAGCTTCCACCTCTAGGACCTCTTCTTGCTGTGACTCTGCTTGGGACCATCTTTCCTGACACCCATAGCTTCCCTTGTTCCTTCAAGTCTTTGCTTAAAGTCTCCTTCCTGGCCAGATCTTCCCTGACCCTGGCCCTCTGGTTTGGGACAGATGCTTGCACACCGCTGCTCCATTCCTGTAGTGAGTCTGGGGGAGCCCTCTGCAGGCAGGGAGCCCCGCGGGCAACGCTGGATGCAGGCAGGAGCACACAGGCCCCCAGGCTCCAGTTCTTCTTCCCTACTCCTGACCTTTTTCTTCTCCAAAGCACTTACTCCCAGTTGACATATTGTGTGCTGGCTTGTTTGTTTTGTTTATTGTCTCTTCCACCGCCTCCCAGGAGGGCAGAGGTGTTTGTCTTTTCCCCCCCACTTCTCTCCCCTAAGCGCCTGGAGGTTTGCGCGGCACGTGGTGGGTACTGTCTCCATCTTTGCTGAAGGAGGGAAGGTTCCTTGTTTACTGATGCCCCCCCCAACTCCTGTTCAGAGGACAGGCGAGGCCTGGGACTCGGATTGGAGCCCGCCCCCACGCCTCCACCCGCTGGGCATCCTGCCTGGAGAAGCCTCCTCATGTCTGACTGTGGGAAGCAAGCTGCGCTCAGCGGGGCATCAGTTCCAAGCGGAGGGTAAAAGGGAGCCAGGCAGAGACCACTTCTTTTGTTACTCAGTCCATGCGAGGTGGTGGCGTCAGCCCTGCTTCAGGGAGGACGCCTGCTGCTCAGCGTCCCTTCTGCAAGGAGCTGTGGGGACCCCATTCTCTTTCCCAGACACGGGCACCCGACCCTAGGGCTGGGAAGTCATCTGCCCCCATGTCCTGTGCCTGGTGCACAACCCCCTTCCCCTGTCCTTCTCCGAAGCACCAGCCGCCGCCTGGAAGAATTCTTCCCTCCCACCCAAGGCAGCGGTGGGCACGCCCAGCCCTTGGTCCTGTTCTCCAGGGAACCCAGCCGTGTGCGCAGGGAGAGTTTCTCAGTGTGGCTGAAATGTATCCAAGGACGCATGGGAACTGGCCGCCCAGTGCAGTCCTGCAGTTGGTGGAAAGGAGGATGGTGGCTGGGGAGGGAGGGTGGGGAGTGGGTTTTTAAATTTTAAATGTTATTATACAATATTCTAGATATACAAAAAGATAAATAACAATAAAATGGATAGCCTCATACCCGCCACCAGCTTGAGAAGTAAAACACAGTTATTGCGTACCTGGCCCCATCCTCCCCAGAGCTAACCACTGTCATGAATGTTTATACACCTTTGCTGCATGTGTATATAGATGAGGATAATTTTCTTTCATCTGCTTTAGAACTTTATATAAATGACATTGTACTGCAAGCATGCTTTTTTAATTAAAATTTTTATTTGAAACAATTTCAGAAAGTTGAAAAGTTTTTTAAAACATACAAGTACCATTTGTATATCATTCGCCAGATTTCATAGTTGTTCACATTTCACTATATATACTTAATTATTCTCTGTGTATGTGGGTGTGTGTATATATATGAAGTGGTGTACATATGTAACATTTTAACACTCTTTTGAAATATTTGAGAATAGATTGAAGACATGAAGCTTCTTACCTCTAAATATTTCACTGTGTGTTTAAGACCAAGGACATTCTTGTACATAACCACGTCTTATACATAACCACAGTACAAATATCAAAGTCAGGAAATTAACATCAATGTGATACTATTATTATTTTATCCTCATCCCTTACAGAAATTTCAACAATTGTCCCAGTAATGTTCTTTATAGCAAATGAAAAACAAATGGTTGTTTGAGTTTTGGTCCTGGATTCAATCTGGGATCATGGGGCGCATTTAGTTCCAGTTTCTTAATCTGGAAGAGTTCTGCCGTCTTTCTTTTTCTTTCTTGAATCGGACATTTTTGACGAGTACAGGCCTGCTATTTTGCAGCATGTCCCTCAGTTCTGGTTTGTCTGAGGTTCCGCATAGATTAGATTACACAGTGTTGTCCAAAATACTACGGAAGCCATGTTATGTCCTTCTCAGTACCTCATATCAGGAGATTTGCGCATTGCTGGTTGGTGTTAACTCATTGCTTGATTAAGGTGGTTGCCTGCCAGGTTTCTCTACTGGAAAGTACTGTTTATTTTTTCTAATTAATAAGTATCTCATGAGGTGGTACTTGGGGACTGTGTGAATATCTTGTTTCTCATCAGGCTTAAAAATTTTGAAAAACAGCTTTATTGTGATGTAATTCACGTGCTGTACAAGTCACCATTTAGAGTGTACAATTCAAAGGTTTTTAGTATATTCACATAAATGTGCCCCCATTGATTTTAAACATTTTCAAAACCTCCAGAAGAAATGCCATGTTATGTAGCCATCACTTCACTATCTCCCCATCCACACTCCCCACCGCCAGCCCTCTGCAAACATTAATCCACTTAGAGTCTCTATAGCTTTCTCTGTTCTGGACCTTTGTAAGAATGAAATCGTATAATATGTGGCCTTTGGTAACTGTCTTCTTTCATTTAGCATCATGTTTTTAAGGTTCATCCACATTGTAGCATGCAGCAGTGCTTCATTCTTTTTTATGGCTGAATAATATTTCATTATATGGATATAACTCATTTGGCTTCATTATATGGATATAACTCATTTGGCTATTATTAACCATGATGCTATAAACATTTGTGCACATGTTTTTGTGTAGACATATTTTTTTTCATTTCTTTTTTGGGTATCCACCTGAGTAAAATTGCTGGGTCACATGGTAACTCTGTGTTTCATTACTTGAGGAACTGTTAGACCTAGACCATTTTCCACAGTGGCCACACCAATTTACATTCTTACCAGCAGGGTATGAGGGTTCCAGTTTCTCTGTCAACACTTGTTATTATCTGACTTTCAGATTCTCATCTTCCTCCTGGGTATTAAAGTGTCATCTCTTTATGGTTTTGATGTGAATCTCCCTGATAGCTAATAATATCAAGTGTCTTTGTGTGTATATTTGTATATTTTCCATTTGTATTTCTTCCTTAGAGAAATGTCTATTCAGAGGCTTTGCCTATTTTTAAATTGGGTTACCTGTCCTTTTTATTATTAAGTTGTAAGAGTTCTTTATATATTCTAGACATAAGTTCTTTATCAGATATATAATTTGCAAATATTTTATCCTATTCTTCCACAGTTTCAATTTTTTTGGTGTCCTTTGAAGCACAAAAGTTCTGTGTTCTGAAGAAGCCCCATGTGTCTATTTTTTATTTTGTTGTTCATGCTTTTGATGTCATATCTAAAAAATGCTTTGCCAATCCAAGGCCGTGAATGTTTATACCTATGTTTTCTTTTAAGAATTTTAGTTTTAACTCTTTCATTTAGCTCTTTGATCCATCTGTTTTGAGTTTATTTTTGTATATGGTGTGAGATAAGGATTCAATTTCATTCTTTTGCATGTGACTAGCTAGTTGTCCCAGCTTCATTTGTTGAAAAGACTATTTTTTTCCCAGTTGAATGGTTTTGGTGCCATTGTCAAAAGTCAATTGATGACAGCTGTATGGGTTTATTTCTAGGCTGTCATTTCTATTCTATTGATCTGTACGTCTCCTTTGTGCTAGTACCACATTGTCTTGATTACCATTGCTTTGTAGTAAATTTTGAATTCAGAAAGTGTGAATCCTCCTACTTTGTTCTTTTCTTAGTATTGTTTTGGCTATTCTGTGTCTCTTACAGTTTCATATGAATTTTAGAATCAGCTTGACAATATCTACAAAGAAGTCAGCTGGAATTCTCACAGAGATTGAATTGACTCTGTAGAGCAGTTTGGAGAGTACTGATATCTTAACGATGTTAAGTTTTCTGACCCATGAACATTGAAGTTTTTCCATTTATTTAGGTCTTTTTAAATTTGTTTCAACCATGTTTTATAGTTTTTGCAATGTAAGTTTTGGACTTCTTGTAATTATTCCCAAATAGTTTATTATTTTTTGTTAAATTGTGAATGCAATTGTTTTCTTAGTTTCACTTTCAGATTATTTATTGCAATTGGGTAAAAACACAATTATTTTTATATATTGATCTTGTAACCTGCAACCTTGCTGAATTTGTTCATTAGTTCTCATAGTGTTTTTTAGTGGATTCCTCACGATTTTCTAAATAAAAGATCATCTCATCTGTGAATATAGTTTTATTTCTTCCTTTCCAACCCGGAGGTCTTTTACTTATGTTTCTTGCCTAGTTACCCTGGCTAGAACTTCCAGTACAATGTTGAATAGGAGTAAAAGTAGACATTCTTGTCTTGTTCCTGCCCTAGGAGAAAGCCAGCCAGTCTTTCATCATTAAGTATATTGTTAGCTGTGGGACTTTTGTAGGTGTCCTTTATTAGGTTGAGAAAGTTTTCTTCTAGTTGGGTGTTTAGGCATGAGGATTTAGTCAAATTCTTTTTCAGCGTCTATTGAGATGATTCTGTTTTTTAGTCTATTGATTGATATGATGCATAACTTAGTTGATTTTCAGATGCTGAACCAACCTTGACTTCCTGGGATAAGTCTTACTTGGTCATGGTATGTAATTCTTTTTACATGTTGCTGGATTCAGTTTGCTAGTATTTTGTTGAGGATTTTTTTATCCATACCCATAAGAGATATTGGTGAATAATTTTCTTATAATGTTTTTGTCTGGTTTTGGTATCAGAGTAACACAGGTTTCATAAAGTGAATTGGAACATATTCTCTCCTCATATTTTTTGAAAGAGTTTGTGAAGAATCACATTCATTATTATTTACATATTTGGTAGAATTCAGTGGTAAAGCGACCTGGGCATGGGTTTTTCCTTGTGGGTAGTTTTTTTTTTTTTTTTTAAATTGCCTATTCAGTCTTTTCATTTGTTATAGGTATTAATATATTCAGACCATCTATTTTTTTTCTTGAGTCAGTTTTAGTAGTTTGGGGTCTTTATAGGAATTTGTTCATCTAAGCTATCTAATTTGTTGGTGTACAATTGCTCATAGTATTCCTTTGTAGTCATTTTCATTTCTGTACGGTTGATAATACTGTCCCTGTTCTCATTTTTGCCTCTAGTTATTTGAGTTTTCTCTTTTTTTTTTCTTGGTCAGTCTAAAGATTTGCCGATTTTGACATTTTCAAAGAATGAGCTTTTTGTTTCATCAATTTTCTTTACTTTTCTTTCTTTTTTTTTTTTTCGAGACGGAGTCTCACTCTGTCGCCCAGGCTGGAGTGCAGTGGCGTGATCTCGGCTCACTGCAAGCTCCGCCTCCCGGGTTCATGCCATTCTCCTGCCTCAACCTCCCGAGTAGCTGGGACTACAGGCGCCCGCCACCATGCCCGGCTAATTTTTTTTTTTGGTATTTTTTAGTAGAGATGGGGTTTCACTGTGTTAGCCAAGATGGTCTCGATCTCCTGACCTCGTGATCCGCTCGCCTCAGCCTCCCAAAGTGCTGGGATTACAGGTGTGAGCCACTGTGCCAGGCCAATTTTCTTTATTTTTCTATTCTCACGTCATTAACTTCCACTGTAATATTTATTATTTTCTTCCTTCTGCTTACTTTTGGATTAGTTTGTGCCTCTTTTTCCAGTCTTAAGGTGGAATATTAGGTTATTAATTTGAGATTTTTCTTTCTTAGTTTTTTCTGAGTTCCTTTAATATTTTTGGGGGAGAAGAAGTTTCACAGCATCCCGTAAGTTTTGGTATGTTGTGTCTTCATGTTTACCAATATTCGTATTTTTTTATTTCCCATTTGATTCTTAAGGCATTGATTATGTAAGAATGTGTTGTTTAATTTATACATATTTGTGAGTTTCTCCCATTGTTTTTCTGCTACTGATTTCTAATTTCATTGTCATTAGAAGACATACTTTGTATTATTTCTATCCTTTTACATTTATTGAGGTATGTTTTATGGCCTTGCAGATGGTCTATCCTGGATAATGTTTCATGTACCCTTAAGAAGAATGTGTATACTATTCTTGGGTAGAGTGCTCTAGAAACATATGTTAGTTTGTTGGTTTATAGTGTAGTTCAGATCTTCTGCCTTCTTGCCAATATTCTATCTAGTTGTTCTATCTATTATTGAACCTGGACTATTAGAGTCTCCAAATACTATTATTATTATTATTATTGTTATTATTTTGGGTCAGAGTTTCTTTTTTTTTTTTCTTTTTTTCTTTTTTTTTTTTTTTTTGAGGCAGAGTCTTGCTCTGTCACCCAGGCTGAAGTGCAGTGGCACGACCTCGGCTCACTGCAAGCTCTGCCTCCTGGGTTCACACCATTCTCCCGCCTCAGCCTCCCAAGTAGCTGGGACTACAGGTGCCCGGACCACGCCCGGCTAATTTTTTTGTATTTTTAGTAGAGACGGGGTTTCACCATGTTAGCCAGGATGGTCTCGACTTCCTGACCTCGTGATCCACATGCCTCAGCCTTCCAAAGTGCTGGGATTACAGGCGTGAGCCACCGCGCCCGGCCCAGAGTTTCACTCTTGTTGTCCAGGCTGGATTGCAATGTTGTGCTCTCCGCTCACTGCAACCTCTGCCTCCTGGGTTCAAGCTATTTTCCTGCCTTACCCAAGTAGCTAGGATTACAGGCATGCGCCACCATGCCTGGCTAATTTTGTATTTTTAATAGAGACGGGGTTTCACTAAGTTGGTCAGGCTGATCTTGAACTCCTGACCTCAGGTGATCCACCCACCTTGGCCTCCCAAAGTGTTGAGATTACAGACGTGAGCCACCATGCCCGGCCTCCAACTACTATTATTGAATGGTCTACCTTCATCTTCATATCTATCCATTTTTTCTTCATGTATTTTGGTGCTGTGTTACTAGGTGCATTGTGTTTATAATTGTTATATCTTCCTGATAGATTGACCATTTTATTTTTATGAAATGTCCTTCTATCTCTTGCAACATTTTTTTAAAGTCTATTGTATCTGACATGGTATAACAACTCCAACTTTGTGTTTGCATGACATATTTATTTTCATGCTTTTACTTTCAACCTTTTTGTGTCTTTGAATATCAGATGTGTCTTCTGTGAAAAAACTTTTTATTTCTGTGTAGTCCTGTTCATCAATCTTTTCTTTTACTGTGTGTGTATTTTTGAGTCATAGTAAGAAAACCTCTTCCTACATCCAGATCAAAAAGAAATTAACCCAATTTTCTTCTAGTACTCGTATGGTTTCATTTTTTTTCTTACATTTAATCTTTGATTCATTTAGAATTCATTCTTGTGCTTGGTAGGAGATACTGGACTTAATTTTTTAAAATTGTTATTCAGTTGTTCCAGCAGCATTTATTTAAAAACATCTGTTTTCTCCAGTAATTTTAGAGGCCACCTTTATCGTATACTGAGTTTCCAAATGTGGTTGGGGCATATCTGGACTTCTTCTACTCCACTTCTCTGTCAACTCATACACCAGTATACACTGTTTTAATTATGAAGGCTTTGTAGTATTTTTAGTGTCTGGTAGGGCTTATGTTCCCATTGAGGCTTTTCTGTGTTCCTGGCTATTCTTGAAGGTTAATTTTCCCACATGAACTATAGTATCAATTTGTCTAGCTCCATAAAATTGCATTATATTTATAAATTAATTTAGGGAGAACTGGCATTGTGATGATACTGAGTTGTCTCATCCAAGAAGAATTTATGTCTTCCCATTTGCTGAGGAATACTTTTGTGTTATTTAGTTTTGAAAGGTTTTCTCATGGAGGTTTTGCACATACCCGAATAAATTTATTCCTAAATAGTTTATCTTTATTGTTGCTATTATACATGGGAGTTTCTTTGTAGTACTGATTTCTGAGTGCCAGTTTTATATTCTGCTAGTTTACTGAATCCTTTTTTGTGTGTTCGAGTTATAATGTGCTTTTTTCCAGTATATTTTCATGAGATTCATCTTTGTGGATGTTTGTAACTCTATTATTTATTTTCACTGCTGTGTACTATTCCATTGTATAAATATATCACAGGATATTTATCTGTTTGTATTTGGATGGACATTTAGATTGTTTCCCATTTGTTGAAGTTGTCAAGTAGTTTTCCAAAGGCGTTAATTCTGTTCTCACTCCTTTCTGTAATGTGGGAGCCTCTGTTGCTTCACATTTTTACCAACATTAGCTATTGTCAATGCTTAAATTTTGTCAGTCTGAGGGAGTGCAAATGGCACAGAAGCAGCATGCTTTTTAATGACTTCTCTTAAGTCCTTGGTTTCCAAATTCTGACCCAAATGCTGCTTCCCACATGGACACAGTCTCCATGGATTGCACACCCCACCCCCGGCCTGCTTCTTCTAAGTGCCCCTCTCTCATTCAGTGGCTGCTGGTAGGAGTTGAGAATGGCAACGCTGCTTTCCTAGTCTCCTGAGAGGGAAACACACTTCTGTAAAAATTAAACACTTTATTAGCTGAGAAGTGTCTGGCCCTGGTACTGGCCTCCTAGAGGAATTTCTTTGCTGACTTACTTGCATTATATCTGTTGTATAATTATCAACAATCAGCATCCACTGAGTAGCATCTTGTACCTGACACTTTACTAGGCTCTGAACAGGGCTTAGTGATGAATAAGACCCAGTTCCCCACCACTCCTGGGGCTTTCCACCCGCTTGGAAGAGGAGACATGTTTACATTAGGTGATATCGCTGGATAACACCAGTGATACCCAGTGAGCGTGTCAAGGGCCAGGTTGCTGACACTGACAGGGAGGTCTGTAGAAAATGAATGTGGAAAGAAAATCTTCTATCATATTATATTACAAATTCAGGAGGAAAATCTGTCATTGAATGTTTTCTTCTTGTTTTAAAAAGCTGAATTCATTCTGATAAAAATGTATATACCACCTAAAAATATACACTCTATTTTTCCAACCGACACAATCACCCACAACTGAAAATTGACCTTGGAGCCCTGTCCCACCTCTAATGGGTGGATCTAGGATCAACCCTATTTCTAAAGGGGTACATTGCAGGATCCTGGGTCACGAGGCCAGTGGCTGGTCCAGTTGTGGCCTTGACTCAGGTGTCCTTCCCTTATTTCTTATGACCAAACCACCGGCTCTGTGCTTCTCCATATGGTGTGGTCTATTCCAAGCTCCTGGTATCTTGTGGATCCAAGACCTGCCTTTATCTCCCCAGTCTTCGTGAAATAAGAGCTCTTCTCTTCCTTTAGTGTTTGGGGCCCTGCTACCTCTCCTGGGCATTTGAAAGCTAAGTGCCCACTCACCTCAGGTCCAGGGATGTCCTCCATTAGCATTTCCCTCATTCTGCTGCCCAGCAAAACCAGGGTTAAACTAAGGTTTGGTTACAGCATATGGGTAAGAAGTTTCCATGCTCAATAAAATGCCACGTCATCTACTTTATAAAAGGGTAACACATCCCTTCCGAGCTGGAAGCCTCTCTCTCCATGCTTGCTCCTCTTGTGGCCAACAGCACACCCTCCAGGCAACTGGGGAGCATTGCAGGTGTAGACCGGGCTTCCGTCAGGCAGTGCTTTCTGGCAGAAGCCAGCTGGCTTGTGCAGACATCTTGTCCATAGCCTTGACCTTACTGGATACACTTGCTAACCTCCCAGACAAACTGATCCAGGCTCATGAAAGTTGGTTTGTTCTTTGGTTTGTTCATTGTGCATTCATTCATTTGTTTGTTCATTTGGTAAACACATACTACATACTTCATTGAAAATTCTGCAATGATCAGGTCAGTCAAAATGCACACACACACAAAGAGCCTCTTTCTCCCTTTACCCTATTGAGTATTGGGTACCTTATTGGGCATCTGAGATGCTGTGGAATTTTTGCCAGAATTTTACCTGTTTGTCTACCCCTGTGCTAGGTGATGTGAAAGCTACATAGGGCAGGGGCTTGACTCTTGAAAACCATGTGATTCTGTTGAAGGTGTAAATCAAGCCAGCCCACAGGAAGCAATGAGTCAACATGTGCACCTCTGTGTTTTGCTCTTGTGGGTCCGAGAAGAGGCGCTTAAATTGCCCAGTGTTCATTGAGGGCTGCCGTGGGTTGGGATTGTTTCCTAGAACCATAGCTGAGCCTTGAAGAGTGGGAAGGCTTTAGACAGATTCTGGGGAAAGGTGTCATACCTGGGGAGAATAACTTGACTATGTGGGCTGAGAGTAAACATAGTGGGTTCTGATGATGTCGAAGGGACCAGCTTGATGATATGTGTTGTTTCACATGTTAAATCCTTGGGACCTCCTACTTGACTAGATCAGCACTTGAGCCCTTCGTATAGAAAGCTATGTGCTACAGTGACCATTGCTGGGCCGACTGGCTGGCATGGGGCTGTGGTTGACTCTGTCCTGGGTGGGGCCGTGGAGACACCATAGTCTATTCCTAGTCTGGCCATGATACCGAAATAGCCTTTAACCATGATTCAAGGCCCCACCCTTTCTCCTATGTGATTGTTGTTTGAATACTTCTATTTTGTTGTTGTTGTTGTTGAAACTGTAGGGTAATTACCCTTGTCCTTAATAATTGCTTTAGTTTCCTTGATGCGCAGAGATGCTCTAGAGTCTACGCTGTTAAAAAGAGGTTAGGATTAAGTTTTTCAACCTGCCGCTGGTGTGAGAAGGATGTCTCCATGCCAATTACTGTCTTCTTGATAGGATTAGTCACTGTGTTAATTGCTACTCAGAAAAACTGCCAAGTTTGTTGTTTTAGACATTGGCTTTTAAAATATTGCAGATGTCATCTCAAATGCAAATTGTATTTGGTATTAGAGATAACTGTTGATCTATTAACACTTTGGGGTTGATTCATATCTGAGGCTGTGTGAGTAAAAGGAGTCTCACCCTTGGATTAATTGCATCTTTGATGGTGGTTCCAGAACTGGGAGGGGGAGGCAGCTGTCAGGTCTGTTTCTTGGCACTCTCTTTGAGAGAACCCAGAGCTCTGTCAGCAACAATCTGTTGGAATTGGCCAGCGTAATGTATGAAACAACCTCGTTCTTCAGCTCAAGAGCATCACCTACCTACTCCACAGGTCGCAGTGGTTGGTAAGCTCCTGGTTTACCTTGAATGTTGACACTCCAGGGAGGGTCAAATGGCCACAGAAGTTCTTAATCCTTAGAGATTTCCGAGTCAGTAGAACCTCCCCATTTTGGACCAGGAAAGAATAGAGAATTCTGACATTACATAGCATTTAATTTTTTATTAATGTTTTATTTTTAAGTCATTTCAAGATTTCAGAAAAGTTGTAGGAATAAAATGAAGAATTCCCATATGCCCTTCACGCAGATTCCCGATATTAACATTTTATCATATCTGTCTTATCATTCTGTATGTGTGCATGCACATGACTGAACCATTTGAAAGTAAGTTTCAGACATGATGCCCCGTTAACCCTAAACACTTCAATGTGTATATCCTGAGAACTAGGACATCCTCTTGCATAAGCCAGTGCAATGGTCAAAGTCAGGAAAATAGTACTAATGCAATAGCATTATCCAATCTGTAGACTTTATTCCTGCAACCAACAATATCCTTTATTAGCAAAATACAATAATAAAAACAATAGTCTGTTGTAGGATCCAATTCAGAATCTCACGTTATGTTTAGTTTCCATGTCTCTGTAATCGCCATCAATCAATTCTTCAGTCTTTGTCTTTCATGACCTTGCCATTTTTGCAGCATACAGGCCATTTATTTTGTAGACTGTCCTTTGGTTGGGGTTTGTCAGATGTTTCCTTAGGACCAGATTCAGGATATGCAATTTTGGCAGGAACACCACAGAAGCGACATTGGGTTGTTCTTAGTGCATCGTGTTAGAAGGTGCATGGTTGCCTGCCCCTTTACTGGGATTGTTGACTTTGACCATTGGTTAGGATGGTATCTGCTAGGTTTCTCCAGTGTAAAGTTATTGTTTATTCTCTTCATAATTAATTCGCATTTTATGGAAAAATAGTTTAGGTCTGTGTAAGTAGCTTGTATTTCATTAAACTTTTACCCCTTGATTTAGCATCCATTGATAATTCTTGTCTGAATCAATTATTATAATGCATGCCAGATGGTGATTTTTCTCTAAATTTATTTATTGTTTAGTACTCTGTACCAAATTGGAAAGCTTTTTGCTTTCTTACATTTATTTATTTACTCATTGATTCGTTTATACCCATATGGACTCATGGATTTCTATCTTAGTGAGTGACATTGACTAGATTATGTTGACTGAGTTACATTCATTAGGTTATATATTTGTCCAGTGGTTTATAACCTAGTTGTTTTGGTAATTATATTGTCACAGATTTGGCCAATGGAAGCCCTTTCAATTTGGCTACTGTGTCCTTTTGACAAATCCCCATAATATTTTTCCACAACATTTTATTATGAAAAACTTCAAGCATAGAGAACGTTAACAGATTTTTTTCAGTGAACACTCATGTACCTATCACCTAGGTTCTTTAATGAACATTTTATTATGCTGTCTTTATCATAGATCTATTCAGCTATCCACCCAGCAATGCATCTTGTGTTTAAATTGCATTTCAAAGTAAGTTGTAGATGTCAGCACACTTCATCCATAAACACTTTGGCAGGCATGATAGTGTCTCGACTTTAACATTTATTTACAGTTCTTTTACTCAGCAAAACTTACTTACAGTGCAAGGTACACATAGTAAGTGTACCATCGAACAAGCTTTGACCAGTGCATGCACCTGTGTGACTCAGACCCCTATCAAGTTGTAGAGCATTGCAGCCAGTTCAGAAAGTTCTTTCATGTTTCTTTCTAACCAGTTCTTTCTCCATCGTCTTCAGCAGCAACCGCTGTTCTGATTTTATTCTCACCATAGATTAGCTTTACCTGTTCTAGCACTTCATCTAAATGGAACATGTGCAATATACATTCTTTTGTATAAGGATGATTTCACTCATTATTGTGATTTTGAGATTCATCCGTGTTGTTGTTATCAGTGGTTCTTTGCACCCGTCATTCTTTGAGCGCTTCCTTTTTTCTGGTCCAGCAAAATGTCCCAAGGTCGCCTTCCACTTCCTCTCACCAACCCTGGGATTAGCTCAATCTCTAATGAGCCCCGGCTCCTTTCAGCAGAGAATGGTTTCTGAATTCCAGCTGTGTGCCTTGCGAGTGGTATGCCATTGCTTCTAGACACTCTCTGCCTTAGTAGAAGAAGCTAAGCAATGCATGTGTGAGGATACATTCATAGATACACAAACACATATATATCCACACCTACTTCTAAACATCCGTGTTCATGGATGTGTGTAAAACCATGCATTGTGATGATACCAATTCTAGTCCAACATCACAGGGTTCCTCCTAGCCGTTCATCTTTCCATATGTGGCACTTTCTTTTCCAACATGGAGAAATTTTCCTGAGTATATTATTGTCTAAATCCTAAATATATATAAAATAATGAAATAAGAGTTAACCTATACCACTGAAGAAAGCAAACCTACCAACTATAGTTCAATGTTTGTTTATAGCACTTTTTCTTTAGCCTGAGGGCATATAATCAAAATACTGTGTTCATAAGCCTTTTGGGTTAATCTCTACCCCCTTTCTCTCTGGTTATGTTATTCTTGGAAATAAAATATAATTAGGCTCTTTTGTTTTTTTGCTTGTGTTCTATTTTATGGTCTCTCCCCATCCTTGTTGATTTTTTTAAGGATGGAAAACATTAACATGTTTATAAAAATCAAAACTATGCAAAAAAGTTAGATCCAGAGACGTGTCACTGCCCCCATCCCTCCCCACACATGGGTAACCACTCTCATTATTATCTCCTTATCTGTTTTGTGTTTCTTTGCTGAGATAAGCAGATACATGTATACTTTCTTATTTTCTCCTTTTTTTCTTACACAAAAGACAGCTACTATAAATACTCCTTTGCACATTGCATTTTTTTAAATTAAACTTTCTATTTCAAGACAACTGTTGATTCACATGCAGTTGTAAGAACTAATACAGAGAGATGATCCATGCACCCTTTGAGCTGTTTTTCTCAATGGTAACATCTTGAAAACTATAGTAGAGTATCACAGCCAGGATACTTGATGTTGGCACAATTAAGATACAGAACATGTCCCTCACCTCCGGGGTGCTGCAGGATGCCCTTTTTAGCCACACCCACTTCCTCCCCTCCCCTACACCCTCTTTGACTCTTTGCAACCCCTAATCTGTTCTCTATGTCTATAATTTTTATCATATCAAGAATGTTATATAATTGGAATCATACAATAAATTACCTTTTGGAATTGGCTACTTTGACTCAGCATAATTGTCTCGCGATTCATCTAGATTGTTGCATTTATTAAGAGTTTACTTCTTTTTATTGCTGAGTGATGTACCATAGAATGAATGTGCTACAGTTTGTTTAGCCCTTTATACATTGAAGGACATCTGGGTGTTTCTAGTTCTTGGCAATTACATATAAAATGTCTATAAACATTTGTGTACAGGTTTTTGTGTGGTCACAGATTTTTATTTCTTTGAGATAAATGCCTAGGAATGCAGCTGCTGGGTTGTATGATAACTACATATTTAGCTTTTAAAGAATCTGCCAAAGCACTTTTCAAAGTAGCCGTGCTTTATTTTCCCACCAGCAATGTACGGATGACCCCATTTCTCTGCATCCTTATCAGCATTTGGTGTTGTCACTATTTTTTATTTTAGCTCCCCTGACAGGTGTGTAATGTTATCTAATCGTGGTTTAAGTTTGTATTTCTCTAATTGGCTAATGATGTTGAACACCTTTGCATGTGTTTATTGCCATCTGTATATTCTCTTTGGTGAATTACCTTTTGGAGTCCTTTGTCCATTTTCTAATTAGATTATTTTATTTTTTATTAAGCTTTGGGGGTTCTTTATATATCTTAAATACCAGTCATTTTTCTGAGAGGTGGTTTGCAAATATTTTCTCCTAATTTGTATCTTCTTTTGCATCCTGTCCTTCACAGAGCAAATATTTTTTTTCTTTTTTTTAAATTTCTTTTTTTTATTATACTTTAAGTTTTAGGGTACATATGCACAACGTGCAGGTTAGTTACATATGTATACATGTGCCATGTTGGTGTGCTGTACCCATTAACTCATCATTTAACATGAGGTATATCTCCTAATGCTATCCCTCCCCCCTCCGCCCACCCCACAACAGGCCCCTGTGTGCAATGTTCCCCTTCCTGTGTCCATGTGTTCTCATTGTTCAATTCCCACCTATGAGTGAGAACATGCGGTGGTTGTTTTTTTGTCCTTGCGATAGTTTGCTGAGAATGATGTTTTCCAGCTTCATCCATGTCCCTACAAAGGACATGAACTCATCATTTTTTATGGCTGCATAGTATTCCATGGTGTATATGTGCCACATTTTCTTAATCCAGTCTATCATTGTTGGACATTTGGGTTGGTTCCAAGTCTTTGCTATTGTGAATAGTGCCACAATAAACACACATGTGCATGTGTCTTTACAGCAGCATATTTTATAATCCTTTGGGTATATACCCAGCAATGGGATGGGTGGGTCAAATGGTAATTCTAGTTCTAGATCCCTGAGGAATCGCCACACTGACTTCTACAATGGTTGAACTAGTTTACAGTCCCACCAACAGTGTAAAAGTGTTCCTATTTCTCCACATCCTCTCCAGCACCTGTTGTTTCCTGACTTTTTAATGGTCACCATTCTAACTGGTGTGAGATGGTATCTCATTGTGGTTTTGATTTGCATTTCCACAGAACAAAGATTTTATTTATTTTTTTCTTTTTTTGAGACAGAGTTTCACTCTGTCACCCAGGCTGGAGTGCAGTGGTGCAATCTCAGCTCACTGCAACCTACACTTCCCGGGTTCACACCATTCTCCTGCCTCAGCCTCCCAAGTAGTGGGGACTATAGGTGCCTACCACCACTCCTGGCTAATTTTTTGTGTTTTTAGTAGAGACAGGGTTTCACCACGTTAGCCGGGATGGTCTTGATCTCTGGACCTCGTGATCCACCCGCCTTTGCCTCCCAAAGTGCTAGTATTACAGGCATGAGCCACTGTGCCCGGCCCAAAGATTTTAATTTTCATGAAGTCTACTTTACCCATTTTTCCTTTTATATGTTGTGCTTTAGGTGTTAAGTTTAAGAACCCTTTGCCTAGTCCTAGTTCCCAAATTTTCTCCTATGTTTTAAGCCCATTGTCCCTTCCAAGTTAGTTTTTGCAGGTGTGGAGAAGACTTTGGTGGAGACTTTTTCTTTCTTTCTTTTTTTTTTTTTTGCCTGTGGATGTCTGATCACTCTAACACCAATTGTTGAAAAGGCTATCTTTCAACAAAGCTATCTTGAATTAATTTTGGCATTTCTGTCAAAAATCAGTTGGGTGTATTTGTGCAGGTCTCTTTCTGGGTTCTCTATTCTATTGGTTTATGTGTCAATTCCTTTGCTAATACCACACAGTCTTGATAACTGTAGCTATATAATAAGCCTTCATCTGTATCCTGACATTCTTATTTGGAATATTTGTGTTTTCTCATTCTTTGATGAAGTTTAGCTTGTGATTATCCTATTTTTTAAAAAAAAGACCCGAAATTTTGGTTAATTTGACCCACCTCATTTATTTCTACATCTAACTTTATTTTCCCCTTTCTTATGGTTTTGCTGTTGTTCTTCTTCTAGCTTTTTGAGCTTAGAATTTTAAAATTTTAATTTTTCATTTTTACTAAAATAATGAAAAAGGCTATGAATATTCAGTCCGACCACTGTTTTAAATATGTCTCATAAATTCTGGTATGTAGTTTTTTGTTTGTTTGTTTTCTGAGATGGAGTCTCACTCTGTCGCCCAGGCTGGAGCGCAGTGGCGCGATCTCAGCCCACTGCAACCTCCGCCTTCCAGGTTCAAGCGATTTTCCCACCTCAGCCTCTCGAGTAGCTGGGACTACAGGCACACACCACCACACCTGGCTAATTTTTGTATATTTAGTAGAGACGGGGTTTCACCATGTTGGCCAGGCTGGTCTCAAACTCCTGACTTCAGGTGATCCTCCCACCTTGGCCCCCCAAAGTGCTGGGATTACAGGTGTGAGCCACCGTGCCTTACCTGGTATGTAGTGTTTTCATGATCACATGTACATTTTTGGAATTTCTATTGCTTTAATTTTGAAAAGATTTTTAACATTATTTTCCAGTTTTATTAGACTGTGATCAGAAAATATTTCTTTGTAATATTTCTATTTTATGAAATGCATTGATTATCACCTAACACGTGACCAACTTTTGTGAATATTCTATGTGTACTTAAGGAGAAGGTATAGTAGATTCCCCATCTACTAATAGGTAATTCAAGGAAAAAGTATGAAGTATGACTGTATTAGTCTGCTCTCACATTGCTATGAAGAACTACCTGAGACTGGGTCATTTATAAAGACAAGAAGTTTAATTGACTCATGGTTCCACAGGCTTTACAGGAAGCATGGCTGGGGAGACCTCAGGAAACTTACAATCATGGCAGAAGGCGAAGGGGAAGCCCGCGTGTCCTGCGTGGCTGGAGCAGGAGGAAGAGGGTGAAGGGGGAGGTCCTGCACTCTTCCAAACAACCAGATCTCCTGAGAACTCACTCACTATCACAAAAACAGCAAGGGGGAAATCCTCCCCCATGATTCAGTCACCTCCCCCAGGCTCTTCCTCCAACACTGGGGATTACAGTTTGACATGAGATTTGGGTGGGGACACACATGCAAACCACATCAGTGACAAATTGATTTGTCAAGGAAATTGATTATATTGTTTAGGGCTTCTGTGTCCTTACTTATTTTTTGTCTATCTGGTTTCTCTTGTACTGACAGCGGTGTGGTAAACACACTATTCTTAGTGTTTTCATCTATATTTCCTACAGTTTCTTTCTTTCATTTTCCTTCCTTCCTTCCTTTCTTTCTTTCGTTCTTTCACAGAACTGTCGCCCAGGCTGCAGTGCAGTGTTGAGTTCTCGGCTCACTGCAATCCCCGCTTCCTGGGTTCAAGCAATCCTTGTGCCTCAGCCTCCCGAATGGCTGAGACTACAGGCAGGTACCACCACGCCTGGCTAATTTTTGTGTTTTTAGTAGAGATAGGGTTTTGTCATGTTGGCCAGGCTGGTCTTGAACTCCTGACTTCAAGTGATCCACCATTCTTGGCCTCCCAAATTGCTGGGTGTGAGCCATCAAACCTGGCCTATATTTCCTACAATTTCCTCTCCTGTAAAAGTGGTTGTAGTCTTGTTTGGTGCACTAATACTCATTATGGTTATATTTTTATTGTGGAATGTGATTTTTAGCATTAGAAGGTGTCATAATGTTGTTTCTTAAATTATACTTATTCTACTTTGATATCAAGATTGCAATACTTGTTTTGTTATTTCCATTTGCCTCATATGTCTTTGCCATCCTTTTAGTTTTAGGCTTTCTGAATCTCTTTGATATGGTTCGGCTCTGTGTCTCCACCCAAATCTCACCTTGAATTGTAACAATCCCCATGTGTCAAGGGTGGGACCAGGTGGAGAAAATTAAATCATGGGGACAGTTTCCCCCATACTGTTTTCATGATAGTGAGTCCTCACGAGATCTGATCGTTTTATAAGGGGCTTCTCCCCCTTTGCTCGGCACTTCTCTCTCCTGTCGCCATGTGAAGAAGGAAGTGTTTGCATCCTCTTCTGCCATGATTGTAAGTTTCCTGAGGCCTCTCCAACCATGTGGAACTGTGAGCCAGTTGAACCTCTTTCCTTTTATAAATTACCCAGTCTCGGGCAGTTCTTTATAGCAGTGTGAGAACAAACTAATACACTCTTTTTAAAAGTATGCCTCTTATATATAACATATAGTTGGATCTTTCTTTTTAAGCCAAATTGAAAATTTTTTTATTTTCATAAGTAAACCCATTCACTTTTATTTATATGTCCAATATGTATAATATCTTATATAATAAATGCAATGTGTATTATGTTCTACTTGCTGTACTTGTCTTTCTACATGATGCATTTTCTATACTCATTTAATTTCTTTTTATATATAAGAAATTCTCATTTTTAGTCTAATGGGTACCTTTGTACTCATTACCTTTAAAAATCCCTTTAGTCTCTTACTAACTTTTACCATTTGGTCTTTCAGTTGTTAATGGAGTCTCTTGACTCCTACCTGTTGCTTATACAAGCATCACTGAGCTTATTCTGGTTTTGTCTTTCCTTTTTTTGTTTCCTATCATTTTGTAGTTGACAAAACATATATAATCTATGTATGATTCTCTTAACCTTAGTTACACACTTAATTTAGGTCCATAATTAAATATATTAAATGTTCCCCATAAGTTCCTTTGCCAAAGAGTCCCTAGTCATCTCCTGGTTGGATGAAGTTAATTTTCTAGAAGATTCCTTCAGAGGCGCCTGTGGGTACATCACTCAATTCTCCCATATTTTAAACTCTTATTCTGTACCTCTGATTTTTGAGGGTCTGCTTCGCTAGATATAAAATCTTTGAGTTTTATGAAACTGCTGCTCCATCCTTGCCCCACCTTCTAAGTTGTTTTTGAGAAGGCTGACAACTGTCTCTGTTGCCCTTATAGTAAGTTATTTGATCTTTTCATTTACAAGCGTTGAGGATATTTTTCAAATGCATCGTTGAGGTTTTTAATTCAGTTTGTAGTGTTATGACACAGTTCCTCCCCCTCCACCTTATGGTTGGGATTTTGGGGTAAGTGTCGTATTCTCATTTTAGTTTTTTTTCTTTCATAGTCTTCTACAGATGAAGACCACTTACATCGCCACATTGAGTGGTTCGTGTGATTTTTAGTTCAAGAGCTCCCTCTTCTGTCAGTGCAGCGAAGTGCAGTTTCTTTATGACTGGTTTTTGGGGGAGGGGCGGGAGGAGTTGAGGGTCCTTGGATGTATCATTATTTTTTGTTTTGCAGAATCCTAAATGCCCACATCTGGCTTCTCCCTCCCTCCCCTGCACATTTGCCAATGCTGCCCCTGCCTACCTTTAAATCACTTCCTTCTAGTCCATATTCTGGTCTATCTGGATTCATTTTTGGTATTTTCTTCCCTGTAGGATGTACTTTCTCTTTCTTCAGGTAATTGTAATTTATTCCTAAACTCTCCATGCTCGACGTCTGCCTTCATTGGCTTTTGGACCCATCTTATCCTCTTGCTCTTTATAAAAGTTCTGGGTGGGAACTCAAGAATTTGTTAATTTGATGTTTATAGTGTCTCTTTTTTCCAGTCGTGTGAAAGGTGTGTGGGATTTGTGTGGTTGTTTTTGTTCTTCTTGTTGATCTGTGTAGTTTTCAGAGGATGCGTTGGGAGATTTGAGTTTTTGTGGCTATCATTACCTTGGCGACCTGGAAGTCCCTTACGTGGCATTTTAGGAGACGTGTGCAGTTATATCAATTTCAAGTACAATTGTAACTCAAGCCTGTTATGAACACCATCTTTTCATGTTAATTGTACCATAAAAGAATCTTGAGGATATCTTTAAAAGGTCTGCTCTCTTACGAAGGTGAAGTGTCTCCCCTGTAAGCTTGTTTACACCGGCATCTGTTCAGCCAGCCCTTTTTCATAGACACTTCAGCCAAATACTGGCGTGTTTTCCGTTTCTGTGTTTACGGTTGGACTCAACGAGCCTTTTACTATTGTGGCATATGGGAGGGAGCGTTGCCATTCTGCTGCCAGGGGTGAGTGTGATCTGGTGGCTGTTACATTGTGTATATGCGAGTAGGTCTCTATCAAGAAGGGACCCGCCATGCTTACCTGGCACGGGAGATATACCAGGATCCTGAAGGTGGTACTCCCAGGGTGAGGCTTATCCATTGTGCGCCAGATGTGTTGACCCTTGTGATTTCCCCAAATGTGGGAAACTCACTGCATCATTTGTGGTAGTGGGGGACTGTGTCTGTGCTCTCTCCTGACATTTGAATTTTTTCTTAAAAAAAAAAAAAAAAAAAAAAAAAAAAAAGGAGACACACCATCTTCCATGGACTGAATATCTGTGTTTCTCCAGAATCCATGTGCTGAAGCCTTAACCCCAGTGTGATAGTCTTTGGAGATGGGGTCTTTGGGAGGGAATTAGGTTTAGGTGAAGTTGTGAGGGTGGGGCCCCATGATAGGATTAGTGCCCTTATAAGAAGAGGAAGAGGGGCCTGGTGTGGTGGCTCACACTTGTAATCCCAGCATTTTGGGCAGCTGAGGCAGGAGGATTGCTTGAAGTCAGGAGTTTGAGACCAGCCTGGGCAACACAGGGAGACCCCATCTCTACCAAAACAAAGAAAAAAGAAGAGGAAGATACTAGAGCTCTCTCCCTGCTTTGTGAGGACACAGTGAGAAGGTGGCCGTCTGTAGGCCAGGAAGGGAGCCCTCACCAAGAATGGAACTGGCTGGCATCTTGATCTCAGACTTCCCGTCTCCAGACCTGTGAGACATAAATGTCTGCTGTTTAAGCCACCCAGCCTCTGGTACTTTGTTACGGAAGCCTGAGCTAACTCAGATGTCAGCCAACCATATTTTTACAGCATTCTCATACAAAGCCCGAAACCATAGTCAGATTCAGCGCTGCGTGGCTTAGGGAATGCGCCACGCCTGACTCATTGCAGGGGGTCAAGAATGTTTGTGAGATGAATACATGGAGTATCTTTGTTCTGGAAATAGACCACCTATGAATTATTATAGTAGAGAAATCCCAGGCCTCCTCGAAGGACAGGGAAAACCTGTAAAGTGTCTGTACTTTGGGCCCAGAGGAATAATGGAAAGAGGCCAGGCACGCTGGGAAATTTCCATTTACAAACCCGCCTTCTGCTGGGTTGAGTCTCGCCTGCTGTGGGCTCAGGGATCCTGGCCTGGCCTATTTTTTCTCTGGGTGGATACCCCATTCCCGGGAGCGTTCAGATCCCTGAAGACAGCTTCTGTCTCCTCCGAGACCACTGCTGAGTCTTGTCACCTGGTGTTCCCACAGTGCCACCCTGTCTTCTCTTGTTCTCTGTGGGTTCCAGAAAAAGGGACCACCTCGGCTCTGTGGCTTTGGATCTCTCCAGAGGAGGGTTAAGGCCTCAGATAGCTTCTCCAATGGGACACAGCCAACATCTGAGCTGCATTTTCAAAATGAGAGCCAATCTTAGGCTGAGTCGGACAGGGAGAAAGGAATTGTGCTCGGGCACCCAGGTGGCACCTGCTGTCCCCTGACCTGGCACCACGGGCCCAACTTTGGGTTTTAACTTCCCACGAGTGCCTGGACATGGAGAAGAAGTGGTGGAGAGGATGAGGACATATGGGGAGCGATCTCCAGGGTCACTGAGGTCCTGTCTCCTGCCTCCCGCTCCCTAGGGCCCTCCAGCTGGGCCCAGGAGGTCTCCCTCCCACCTGGTTGTCAGTCAGCTTCTGCTGTGCCCTCACGGGGAATTCCTCCTAGAGCCCACCAGGTGGGAGAGCCAGGGCAGCAAGCACCGAAGGCCGGCACGGCACCAGCACAGATGAATGGCCCGGCTTTCTCAGAACCCATCCCCTGGAACGCTGGAGGCAGTGCAGGAAGGGCCGGGTTCTATGAGAGGACCTTAGGCAGCAGGAATACTCCATGACAGCAGAGATGCTGGGGCCTTTTCCCCAGAGCCTTATTCTTTTTTTTTTTTTTAATCTTTAGACAGAACTCTCATTCACAGCATTTAGTTACTTGTTCATTCATTCATCATTCATTCACTCAAGCACTTGATGGGTATTGCACTCTCCTACCTTGTGCCAGAGACTGTGTGAGACTCGGAGAGTTGGTAACACACCCAGAGTCTTGCCTTCGGGGGCTTTCACGAGCAGAGCCATTGCTCCGGCTTTTGGGTTTCCATAGTGTGCATTAGCCTTTGAAGGCCTCCAGGAAGTCCCTCCAGAATCAGACCTGTTCCATTGTGTTCACTGAGAATTCTGCAAATTTCTTTGGTGATGGGACTTGATTCTTCTTTATATGGTACCAGGCAGACCAGTGAATGCGTCGTGAAACACCTCTCCAGGCCCGTGGAATGGGGTGGGGAACGCTGGGGTCTCAGTGTGAGCCTGGCCTTTGGATTCAGACAGTGCTGAATTACAGTCTCAGCCCTGCTTCTTGCTGGCTGTGGGGCTGGGGCCACATGAACCGGCTAAGCTTTGGCTTTCTCAGAAATAGTTTGGGGATAATGATTCCTGCCTAGTGGGAAGATTAAATAAGATAAAGGAATGGCAAAGTTTTATCCCATGGTCAGGGAGGATGGTGACTGCCTTGTGCCATGGGTGACCCCTGCCTTCCTTCAGAGGGCATGTGCACAAGCTGGTGCATACACACACACACACACACACATACACACACACACACACACACAGGCTTCCTGTAGTCCTCGGTTGCCTGGGAGGCAGCAGTGACTCTGCCTTCTAGAAGTCGTCTGAACTGTCTGCTTTCCAAACAGGGGCGACAGGACTGTGACTCGAGGTGATGGGTTGCTGAACTGCTCTGCTGCCAGACACATTTTGCTGGCTTCTCATAATGTCACTGAGATCTGGGAAATGGACCAAGCACGATTTCCAGCTAAATGAAACACTTTGGGGCCATCAGCTAAATAGATGATGCTTTTGAGAAAACCCCATGAGCATTGTGTCAGACAGGCCGTGGGACCCTGCAAGCCTGTCTTTTTCTGTGCTCGTCTGGGTGATGAGACATCGCCCGGGCTGGTTCCATGAGCACCTCTGGCTGTGAGGACCTGCGTCTTCTGTCTCAATGCACCTGCGGGGAGGCTGAGATTTGATCCTCATGGAACATTCAATCCTTTCTGCATCTCGCTGTCTTCCTGCCCTCCTCTTTCTCCCTTCCTCTTGCCTGACTGTTGACTACAAAATAGGATATTATTTAGGAACGTGTCCTTGCCTCCCTCCCTGGCTCTACATCACCCCATGACATAGTGGCTGTGCTCAGGCGGAGAGTGAGTTATGTTTCTGTGGGCAGGAGTGGGTCATGAGTCCTGAGTCCTCCCTAGACAGCCCCAGCCCTTTCTCTTTGTTCCAAGGGGCCCAGCCACCATATTGATTGTTTCATCCCTCTGCACTGCCCAGAGCTGCCTCCTGGAGCACGCTCTCTTCTTTCCTGATGGCAACGGTCCCACCTGATGGCAATGGTCCCTGGGCCAGAGGATGCCCATTGGTCTTCATGGAGAGAGCTTGGGTCAGGCCCACTTGGTCTCCAATCCTGGCTTCGCCGCGTGCCAGCTCTGCAGTGGTGCCAGCTTATCCTGCTAAGCCTAGCTTCCTCTTCTACGTGGGTATATCTGCCTCAGGTGCAGCTGTGAGGATCCGGGGTGATGCTCATGAGGTGCCCGGCACCCTGTGTGGCACAGAAATGACCAGAAAATACCAACTCACCCAATGCCAAGTCTTCACTGTCCTTAAGATCTCAAACCTTTTTTTCTTGATCTTCTTCCCTTGATGACCAACGCTCTTGTTCCTCTCGCCCTTGCGGGCCACCCCCTCATACATCTTTCCTTGGGCCACAACTTAGGCCTTTGCCTTGCCTTTACTTACCTGTTGATCCACCCACCCACCCACCCACCCACCCATCCAACCATTCATTTCTTGCTTCATTCATCCAGTGATGTACTGAATGTTTCCTACATGTGTATGTCAGGCTAGGGTGAGCAAAGCAGATTCAGTGTCTCCCTACCCTAAACTTAGTGCAGGAGAGGATAGAGACAATGGAACAGGTGCATGTGCGTGTGAGTATGTGTATGTGTGATTGTGTGCGTATGTGTGTGAGTGTATGCATGCGTGTGTGTATGTGTGTGTGAGTGTGTGATGGGAGGTAGGTGCTAACAGGGAGAGTCTTGAGAAATGGATACTAGGGTCACCTAACAGGGTCCTGAGGGGTCAGGAAAGCTTCATAGAGGAAGTGACTCTTACCTCCTTGAGCAGATATAAGCAACCTGAGGCCAGGGGTTGTGCTTTCTAGGGCCTCAGAACACCAGCATCGTCAACAGGTGAGTGCCTGCCATTTATATGAGGCCCTGGGTTTGCAAAGAGGGATGAATATGCAACATAAATAGTAATGCAAAGGGACAGTTAATAAATACTTGTCCGATGAATTCATGGATGCATGTGCCATTGCCAGGCTTATATTTGCTAAGCAATCTTCCCAGCATGTGTTAAATCTCTGACTCACCATGAATAAGGAGCTTAGAAGAGCTCATTTGAGTTTCCACGTGGTTCATGAATATGCAAGCGAGATTCCTTTTAATCTCAAATTTTATTTTATTAGATGTATTTACATGTATTTATTAGTTCTCAGGTTTACCTTGGGGCCTATGGGATATTTAACGAAGGTATCATCCCATCTTCACTGCAGTTGTTAGAGGGCGGGGTGGAAGATTGCTGAATAACTCGATCACCCCAGATGACCAGAGATCTTCTGGGTGTGTAATGACCACAGACTAATCTTAATCATAATCACTACCATGAACCCACATGACATGCAGTTGTATAAAGGATGGGGCACCTTAACGTTTGTAGCACCTTTACATAAAGCCAGAGTGCTCAAGCCATCCTGGACCTCACCCGATGGGAGGGAGAATGATGCTCTGCCAGGTGGAGGCCTTAGGTCTTGTCAGTCTCCTTTTACTGCAGGAGAGGCTGCAGGCTTAGCTGGAAACATAATCGCTGCTCAAGGTCAGGCTGTGCCCAGTGGCCGAGGCGCTTGGTGAGCTTTCCACTGGATGGCCTAAATTTGCACCGCTCTGCAGGCTCTCGTCCCAGTTGGCAAGGGCGCCACAGCTGGATGGCTCAGCGTCCACCCAAAGGGAAGTGGAAAAACCAGCAGCTGGCTGAATCTGAGAAGGTTTTCATGTTCCCAACGAGATCCAAGAGCAAAACAGTTTTCTGAAACTATTTTCCACTTGCTAAAATTAAGGTTATTATTATTATTTTTCAGGAATCTGCTGTGTACGGGTTTTATTTTTAAATGTCATCATCGTTTTGTACAGGAGCACAAAACTCATGAATTCCGTCCCTGCTCAAGCGGGGTCCCAGGTTGGAGGCGTGACACCCGCGCCTCTCCGCTGGTGTCATTGATTGCTAAGGGCAAGGCTCTAGGGTTAGTGGGGACCTGATGAAAGCCCACCTGGGGCTCTTGATGTGGGAGTGTTTGGTGGATATGCCTCCCTGCCCCGCTCCCCAGGGCCCTGCTCCGTAGCTGCTCCATGTCGTCTGGATGGTCCGTTGGCACCCTGCCCACCGCACTTCAGCTTCCCTTGCTGCCACCTGCATGGGCTGCTGCCCTGATGAGTCTCGGGTCACATGAGCTGCATCCTTATTGCCGCAGCCAGCAGATGGCAGAAAGCGCCTTGACCCCATCGTCTAGTGTCTCCTTGACTGAGATGAGGAGGCTGGAGGAGAGGCTAGGAAGAGTCAGGAAGGGGCTGTAAGGGGCCAGCTGGGCAGGGCACTGGAGCCTGGGGCAAATTCTTACTGATCTTGGCAGATCTCTTTTTTTTTTTGAGATGGAGTCTTGCTCTTTTGCCCAGGTTGGAGTGTGGTGGCACGATCGCAGCTCACTGCAAGCTCTGCCTCCCGGGCTCATGCCATTCTCCTGCCTCAGCCTCCCGAGTAGCTGGGACTACAGGCGCCCACCACCATGCCCAGCTAATTTTTATATTTTTTAGTAGAGACGGAATTTCACTGTGTTAGCCAGGATGGTCTCGATCTCCTGACCTCGTGATCCGCCTGCCTCGGCCTCCTAAAGTGTTGGGATTACAGGCGTGAGCCACCGTGCCCGGCCAGCAGATCTCTTTTATTACCCAGAAAGACCTCTACTGTCACCCTTTCCCTCCCCACCAACAATATCCTGGGAGCCTTTTCTCCGAGTGGCCCTGGGAATTCTTCATTTAAGGCATTGGATTTCCCTTGGAACTTCCCTTTCCTGGGGTTGTGGGTGGGGTGTTGCTGAGAACACCTGGGAGGGTCCATCAACAACCCATCAAGAGTGGCGAGGCCGGCACCCCAGTGCAATGTGCCAGCGGGGTTGACAGCTACCCCAGAGGAAAGGGTGGAAGCTCAGACACTTAGCAGGATTTCGGGGGTTCACTTCTCTGCATCAGTCCCTCTTTGGAGAAGGTCACAGGCGCATGATCATAGACTTTTGGTTGGCTCAGAGTTCCCTCGACAGTGGCATTTCCAGCTCAGAAGTTCAGGGTCTAGTCTCCCTGCAGGAAGATGGTGAGTGACAGAAACACATCCCCTCGACTGTTCCAGTGTGGCTCCTCTGCTCATCCCTACAGGGTTCCTGCCAGCAGCGAACCTTTCCGAGCCACTGATTCCTCATCTCAGGGGTTGGGATCCTAGCATCCCCTTTTGGGGGTATCCTAGGATGGCAGATGTGGGATGGCCTGGCGTGTTCAGCCCAGTGCCTGTCCACAGCCCCTTGAGGCAGGTGTTTCCTTCTTGCCTTCTCTGGCTTTGAGTTCAGTTGTCCCCACATCCCCTGAGGATCCAAAAGGGGCTTTTTAACTCTGCTCAATGAGAACTTTCCTTGAGGCCAAACACGTGCCTCCAAAGAACCCACTTTTAGGGGGCATGCAGGCCAAGGTTTATTGCAGTAAAAGGAGGTGACACAAAGCTCACTGCCTCCCCCTCAAATTCCCGCCCCGCCACCTCACCCTCATTGCCTGCCCCTCGTGGAATTACAATCATCTGCTTGTTATTTGTGATTTCCACTTGCCTTCAGGCTGTTCCAGGCAATGGCTGAGTTTCATCACCCTTACATCCCTAGGACTGGGTGCAGAGCAGGTGCCCCGTGAATGCTTGCTGAGTTCATGCTGTAATCCCTGTCCTTTAATTTCATTTAAATTAACATCTTTCTCTCTGATAAAGATAGAACAGGCTCATTGAAGAACATTCTTACCACACAGAAAGATACAACAAAAAGCAACCAACTTCACAAACATCCTCTGAAGTCCCATTTCCCAGAGATAGCCAGGGTCAAGGTTTTAGAGAACTCAATGCTTCCGGACTTTTCCTTATGTACACATAGACATATAGGTGCTGGGTAAGTGAAGAATTCTATAGAAATGAGATCTCACCATGCATTCCATTTTGCAATTTTTTTTTAAATAATGGAGCTCTTTCCATGTTAACAAATAGAGATATGCACATTTTTTCTAATAACTATCTACTATTCTATCAATATCCTGTGATTCATTTACCAAAGCAGTTAACTGAAGCCTTTTTTATTTTTTATTTTTTTTTTGAGATGGAGTCTCGCTCTGTCACCCGGGCTGGAGTGCAGTGGCACGGTCTCGGCTCACTGCAAGCTCCGCCTCCTGGGTTGACGCCATTCTCCTGCCTTAGCCTCCTGAGTAGCTGGGACTGCAGGCACCCACCACCACGCCTGGCTAATTTTTTTGTATTTTTAGTAGAGACGGGGTTTCACTGTGTTAGCCAGCATGGTCTCGATCTACTGACCTCGTGATCCACCCGCCTCATCTTCCCAAAGTGCTGGGATTACAGGCGTGAGCCACCACGCCCGGCCAACTGAAGCCATTTTTAGGGGTTTTCCACACTCTTCCTATCATAAACTAGGCTGTGGAGAATGTCACTCTGTCCGTCTCTGTGCCCCTGTCCGCCCAAATTAGTGGGACCAACCCCTTTTACAGGACACCAACCCCATTTATAAGTAGTTTACAGGATGCTACTTTGCTTCTGTGAACTTATCCCTTTGTTTTATTGTTTTTCGTTTTTGTGAGATGGAGTTTTTGCTCTTGTTGCCTAGGCTGACGTGCAATGGTGTGATCTTGGCTCACCGCAACCTCTGCCTTCTGGGTTCAAGCGATTCTCCTGCCTCAGCCACCTGAGTAGCTGGGATTACAGGCATGCGCCACCATGCCTGGCTAATTTTTTGTATTTTTAGTAGAGACGGGGTTTCTCCATGTTGGTCAGGCTGGTCTCGAACTCCCAACCTCAGGTGATCCACCTGCCTCAGCCTCCCAAATTGCTGGGATTACAGGCATGAGCCATTGCTCCCAGCCGAACTCATCCCTTTGTAAACGTCAAGTTTCTCCTGTGTGGGCCAATGTTCCTGGGGGCTGCCTGGGTTTCCTAAAATGGGGGTAATGATCTTTTATGACAAGGGGCATCCTGAGGAGTGACCAGTGACTGAGAAAACCTGGTAGTCTCTCTTGCTGCAACAGGATTGTATGCTGCGTGAGGACAGGAAGGGCTGTTTCTTCTAGCCCCTCCCCTCCCCAGGACTCCTCACCCAGGGCCCCTGCACATGGGGACTCGGGGTGGCTGCTGACTGCAAGAAAGAAGGGCCAAGGCGGGAGCCCCAGGCTGGCAGCGCTTTGTCCCTCAAACCTGCCAAAGGTTGTCGCCAGGCTTTGCACTCATCTTCTCAGCCACCTAGCTCCCCTGGCAGTAAAACATTATTTTCTATGAAATGATATGTCTGACATTTACCAAATTTTTATGTGACAATTTAGAAGGAACTGGTTGCATTAAACAGCCTTATTAATATTGCAGTAACATGATTGGGGAACATCATGGCTGTTAGACCACAGGGCTCTGATTTATAAGCTCTGGAGGCACAGAGGTCTCCATTGACCAAAACACCTTCAGCTCAATTCATGTATGGTTATCGAAATCCAGAGATGCAGTCCTGTGATCACGCAGCCCGTCAAAACAAGGGTGGTGTTGCGAGCTCTTCAAGAACTCCGGACTCAGCCGGGCATGGTGGCTCACGCCTGTAATCCCAGCACTTTGGGGGGCCGAGGCGGGCAGGTTCATGGCAGTAGTCAAGTGGGGCTCGTGCATGTGAGCCCTCGGCATAGCTCCTGACTCTCACTTCGTGCTCAGCAGGTGTGGGCTCTCACTGCGGTTCCAGCAGGGCCCTGTGGTCTCTGTTCCCAGCCCCAGTTAGGAACACACTGGAGATACTTTTGGAGACTCTTCTAGATCTGCAGAAGACCCCAAGATAAAGGGCTGTGGCTCTCCCAGGGGTTTTCAGCCCTCTGGGGACAGACATGTGGAGCAAACTGTAATGAAGCAAGAGCACCTACAGGGGCCTCGGACCGGGGATGGCGTTGCGGCACAGGAGGGGTGAGAACCTGCCAGCAGAGCAGGAGGCAGTGGCATTCGGGATTGGCCCTGAGGAACCAACCAGGATGCTGGACTTTGGCCAGGGGATGAAGCTCTGGGTTTGAAATAGGAGCCTCATGATCCACAGCTGCCTTGGGGCACTTTGGACTAAGGTGACAGTGTGTGCTGTGACACCAAGGCCTTAGGGCACATTGTGCTGCTGGAGGGGGATGGGTTTGGGTCAGGGGGCTTAAGGATGCATGGGAAGGGGCCACAGAGCAGGCTGAGCCCAGGGGGAGGGCTCTGCACACAGCCCAGGAATTCCCTTCACAGCAGTACAGAAAGTGTGTGCGTCAGGACAGGCATCTCCCTGGAGCAGGTGGAGGGGAGCCCAGAGGGCAGCCCCGCAGAGTCCAGGAGGAGATGATGAGGCCACCCCAGGGACAGCAGGGCCTGGGGCAGAGGAGGGAGAGTGGAGGTGAGAGCAGAGGGGGCTGAGAGAGCTCTAGGGGACAGGGGTTGCTGTCCTTCCATCCTCCCTGGGCCTTCTGCACGGCTTTGCCCTGGCACTGTGGGCCATTTCCCAGATTTGTAGAGGTTGTCAAATGCACCCCTGTTCCCAGGGAGCCGGGAAAGTGAGGGCAGATGGTGAAGTGTTGCAGGGCTGGACCACGAGGCAGCTGGAGGCCAGGACAATGGACTGGGCAGGGTTGCAGGGCCAAGTGCAGTGGTGAGAGCAGGTGAGAGGAGGGGAGGGGAGGAGGGGGGTGTGAAGGGGAGAAGGAAGGAGGGCAGGAGGAGGGGAGGGGAGGGGAGGACCAGAGGAAGCGGAGAGGAGGTGGGGGGGTGAGGAGGGGAGGATTGGAGGATGGGGATGGGGTGGAGAGGGGGAGAGGAGGGTGAGGAGAGGAGGGGAGGGCAGGAGGAGGGGAGGCTAGGAGGAGAGGGGGAAGGAGAGGAGGAAGGAGAGAAGGAGGAGAGGGGAGGAGGCAAGAGCCAGTCTGGAGGGAGCGAGCCTGTGAGCCAGGAGCACAGAGGGCGGGGGTTGGGCCTCAGCGTCCTTCATGAAGAACTCAATTCTTCAATGGCAGAGGATGTTTCTTTTTCCTCTGGTTATAAAACAGTTGATGTTCTTTATAGAGAAGTTGAGCTACAGATAGGTAAAAAGAAGAAAATAGCCCGCATAGTCCCCCGGCTCCCCGATGACCATTGGTGAGAAGTGAGGCCTGGTATTCACAATGACTCACATCCAGATGTTTCTTCTTGGGGTTTTGAGAGGCCGGTTGGGCTGAAGCTCCAAGGAATGACCTGAAGGCCCTGGTGAAGTGTTCCTGGGGCGCTTTCACCCCAAGGAGCTCTGAGCAGCCGGAGAAGGGGCTGAGGTATGTGGGCCTGTGAAGGACAGGAGCACCCAGAAAGCCGGTTCCTAGGGTGTCCCCCCCCACCACATCTGGGGAAAGCCCAGCCTGGCCTGGCTCCTGGCCCGGCCCTGAAGCCTAGGTTTGAAATTGTGGCTTAATGATCCACAGCTGCGCTTTTGGTTGCCAGCGCCCTCCTGAAAAACTAAAGAAGGCCTTAGCAATTTGAGAGAGCTCTGGGAAGCAGGAATGAGGCCGGGGTCTGGGGAGGAGGGTGGAAGAGGAAGAAAGAGTCTTTGAGGGCACTGGCAACCCCCAGCTCTGAGCCTGTGCCCTCTCCCGGCTTTCTTGGGCTCCTGGGTGCTGTGGATCTTGGCTGGGCTGCTGCTCTGGGCTGACCCCCCCCCCCCGCCCCGCAAAGCTCTGTGGAAAGCGCCTTACCTGCTTATCTCCCGCCATCTGGAACATCCTCCTGAATCTCTGCCTCATCGCCCATCATCTGTACCAAAAGCCATTCCTCTGATTCTAGTGTTAGTCCTGGCAGAGTGGCTGCAGTTGGCTGTCTTAGGTGTGCGAGAAAATCATTGTTTAGCCAAGGAGGTGGAGGGTGGAGGGTTATCCCTCAGGCTCTTCAGCTCGGGAGCCCATGCCGGAGAGATCTGGGAAAGCATCCTTATTTGTTGGCCCAGGTGAAGAGCAGCCAGGCAGGGCAGCCAAGGTGACTCCTGGACCCAGCCCCAGCCCCCGGGAGCCACGCCAGTTGGGGAGATGGCATGAGGGACTGGCGCCCGCAATGTCTCTAGGAGCTGTTGGCTGAGGGTGGCTGAGGCCCTCAGTCCTGTCTTGTTGGGGGCACACAGTGGGATCCTCTCTCCTTGAACCCAGAGTCACTCAGCACCATGCTCGTGGCTGAGGGAACCAGTGTACAGAGGGACCCCCCAGGAGCCTGGAGGGTGTGGCAGCAAATAGGAGCCATGGCTGCATCCAAGGTGGAAGGAGGCCAACTGGGTCACATGGCAAGAGGGACTCCCAACTCAGGGTGCAGTCGAGTCTGATCGTGGGATGAGAGCCCCGGTGGCTACCTCCCTAAGTAGGATAAGCAGCCCCCGGGGGATCTGCCCAGGCAACCTCCTGGCCCCTTGACGTGGGCCTGAAGCTTGGAAATAGCCTGATGGTGTCCAGGCAAGGGCTGAGGAGGAGGATAGCAGGAGAGTCCAGGGAAGCCAAGCAGGCTGGCTCAGGGGGCCGTTGCAGGCACTGCGTGACCCCAGCATTCATCACATACTGGCTTAATGTGTGTGTGTGTGTGTGTGTGTGAGAGAGAGAGAGAGAGAGAGAGGTTTTATTTTTTTTGAAAGAGTCTCGCTCTGTCGCCCAGGCTGGAGTGCAGTGGCATGATCTCGTCTCGGCTCACTGCAACCTCTGCCTCCCAGGTTCAAGCAATTCTCCTGTCTTAGTCTCCCAAGTAGCTGGGATTACAGGTGCCAACCACCATGCCTGGCTAATTTTTGTATTTTTGGTGGAGGCGGGGTTTCACCATGTTGGTCAGGCTGGTCTTGAACTTCTGACCTCAGGTAATCCACTCATCTCAGCCTCCCAAAATGCTGGGATTATAGGTGTAAGACACTGCACCCGGCCGAGATTTTCAATCAAAGCTGCTATGTGGCTCCGATGAGATGGAGATGACAGCTCCCCTATGCGGCAGCCAGACCTGGGGCCAAGCGCAGCCTCCCTCGGGTCACTGCTTGGCCTCTGACATGTGCTGTCCTCTTCTGTCAAATGGGGATCTAATCCTATTGAACAGGATTGTGCAGGTTAAAGGAAAGGCTTCTTATAGTGCAAACAAAGCAAGCATGGCCTCTGCCCTCACAGAGACTTCTTGGAGCTCAAACAGAACAAATGTGGCCTCTGCCCTCATGGAGACCCCAGCAGCAGGGATGGCTCAGCCTGCCAACTTTCATGTTGGGGGTGCATGCGATGCCGGGGAGGACTTGGCTGGGAGACACCACCCATCGGAGGCTGGTTTTGTTCTCCCTGAGTGGGTGGTCCCCGCAGAGAGAGCGGGGCCTGTTAGAGGACTCCAGGGCAGAGGTGCCTTCCTGATCCAGGACCCTCCAGCCCTTTGTCTCTGGCCTGTGTGGCTGGGGGACACCACGTGGTTGGCCAGCAGATGGAGGGACAGTTGCCTGGAATCCCAGTCTCAGTGGCTGAGCAAGGCACCCTGGACTCCCCAGGTGTGGCTGTGCTGCACACGGCTGCCCCGGCTTCTCAGCACTCATGGCCGGCTCTCGCTTCCCCGGAGGCACCGACATCTGCCTGTTCATCCCAGTTGTCCTGTTTGCTTTGGAACCAGGAGCATGATTTACGTCCGAGTGCGTTTTTATGTTTTGCACCAAAGGTTTTAAACAGTTCCTAGACAAAACAATTCTATTTTAATGCACAGAATTCCTATCTTGGGTTATCTTCTTTACAGCCATATATGTTTTATTAGTTTATTTTTATTGGCCTATCTCCTTGCTAGAACATAAGCTCCCTGAGGACCAGGGCACACCTGTGTAGCACTCTGTTCCCGGTGCCTACCACGGGGCCAGGCACGTAGGGAGCCTCCAGAAACAGGTTGAGAGGGTGCACAGACCGGTGTTTGCAGGGGCCGGCTGTTTATGTAGCTCTCCCTTTGTGGCAGCTACTCTCCGCCCATCTTTCTCTTAATAGTTATGGATTATGGAAAAGAAGAACAAAGCGCATTAAGAGGTTCCCCTACATTTGATTTGAGGAAGTTTTCATCCGAATGGCTCCATTGATTGGCCTTTCGCGTGCAGCCTTATTCCCTTCTCACAAAATGAATATTGCCTTGTCTCCTTGAGAAAAATTGATTTCAGCCAGAAAGGAGAAGAGCAAACTCCCTCCTCCTGCTCTTCTTTTTTTTTTTTCCCTCCCACCGAGACGGAATTTATCTCTTAGGTAGGTGGGGGGTAGAAATAGGAATAATTGGACCAGAAGCTAATTCCCAGAGATTCATTGTCTCGAAAGCTCCCACCAGAATGTGAGAAGCTTGCCTTGAATTGCATGCTAATGATAAATGACAACTCTAACAGACCGTCACATTGAGATGTTTAGTCCTTCCTGCTAGGAGATGACACATTAATTTTCTCTCAGATTTACATTGGATTCTTAATAAAATATCGGTGTTGGAATATGACAAGTGAGGGGCCACGGAAGCACCAGGCACCATTTGGGAGGCATGGACTTTGGCCGGAGGAGACTGCGGTGGGGCTGAACATGAGCCAGGCGCTGGGTGGCATTGGAGCAGGGCTCCCATCACTGTGCTGGGATGGGGCTTACGTGACCTGGCTGCACCAAGCAGCAGGAATGGCTGGTCCTCTTTCTTGACTATAGTGTTGAATGCAAAGACAGGTGATGCCATTAATTCTCTCTCATCTTAAACCCCCTTTTCTTTGGCTTGTCACTGACCAAATGCTTTCAGCGTAATAAGTGAAGTTTTCTATTTTTAAGAAAAGTTGCTGTTTCTTGATTAATTTGCTCATTTGATGAGGACTTATGGAGTGTTTGCTGTTTACAAGTTATGAAGGTAGAGAGGCAGAAGCAGCAGCCAGACATGCCAAGTCTAAGTGATCATCCCACTTCCCTGCTTCAAAACCTCCAGTTGCTTCCATGGCCTCGAGAGCAATGTTCGGAATTCTCGGAGGATCCACAAAGCCCCGGGATCTAACCCCTCTGGACGTGCAGTTCCCTTTGTCTGGAAGGCGCCTCTCCCCGTTCTTTTTGGCTGACTTTTACTCTCTTTAATCCCTCGGCCTACTATCACTTTTTCAAGGGGCCGGGGAGGTGGGGGTCATAACCCCTCTGCCCTGGTCTGGACCCAGCCTCTCTGTAGGATGCTGTCAGGTGCCCTCTGCTTTTTCTTCCTTGCGCTTACCGGAGTTGCACTCTCCAGGTTAATTTATGCCGTCTTACATTTTATGCTACATTTGTATTAAGATTGGAGTCCTCGCTTTTCCTTCATCGCTGTTAATACACGTGTACCCTTGGTTAATTCGTGTCTCTCATCACTCTTACAGTAAAATCCACCCTGGTTCAGGAGCCCAGATTACTTGGGGTGAGCCGCTCTCTCGCCCCGTCTCCTGCCCCTGCCCTGTTCTTTGTCTGCCAGCCTCTGCCAAGCTTCCTCTCCAAACCTGGGCCTCGCCACGCTCTCTACCGAAAGCCCTTCCAGGGAGCCAGCATTCATGTCCTTGCCTTCGCCTCCGCTTCCACCCAGATGCTGCGTCCTGGGAGAGGCCTCTTGGCTGCCCATTGCCACCCACTCACAGCTGTTCTCAAACCCACTCATTCGCTATCTCTGGTGGGTCCCCTTTCCCTCCTGCAGCTCTGGGGCCTGCCCAGGGCGGGCCTCTGTGCGTCATTGTTCTTCCTCCCTACCGGACTGCAAGCTGTGCAGAGGCAGGGCTGTGGCACCCTCAGCACCCGGCGTGAATGCTCAGCCGTGATAGCTGCTCAGTAAATATTAACTGAACAAATCAGTGAACGTCAGCGTAGAGTTTCAAGCCGAGGCCCTGGGAGCCCTGGGAAGGTGCCATGAAGGAGGCGTTCCTCCAGTCTTGCTCTGGAGCGAGTCTTGGTCATTACCATCTCTCCAAATGGGCAGCCTCTTCTTTTCAGGGACCTCCAGAGACAATTTATGTGAACAAACTGTGGCTTAACGATCTTGGGAAATTGGAAAATACAAGTTGACCTTTTTTTTTTTTTTTTTAGATAGAGTCTCACTTTGTCACCCAGGCTGGAGTGCGGTGGTGTGATCATAGCTCACTGCAACCTCCACTTCCCAGGTTCAAGCGATTCTTGCACCTCAGCCTCATGAGTAGCTGGGATTAAAAGCACCTGCCACCACACCTGGCTAATTTTTGTATTTTTAGTAGAGATGGGGTTTCACCATGTCGGTCAGGCTGGTCTCGAACTCCTGACCTCAGGTGATCCTCCTGCCTCAGGCTCCCAAAGTGCTGGGATTACAGTCGTGAGCCACCATGCCCAGCCAAAAATACAAATTGATTTCTGACTCTGAGTTCTGGAAGCCCTAGCCACCCTTCATCCTGTTCTCAACTCTCCACAAAGACATTGTGGCCCTTAGAGATGGAATCTAGGTGTGTCCCGACCCGCCAGGTTCTCCTCTTGCTTGGTTGTTCGGGATCAGCCTTCCTAGGGTTATAGCGAGGATTCGATGAGACTGACTGCATGAAACACTAGCTACAGGATAGTGCCATTGGCTATCCTTGCTTTTATTCAGAAAAATGAGGCCGGGCGCATGGCTCACCCCTGTAATCCAGCACTTTGAGAGGCTGAGGCGGGTGGATCATTTGAGGCCAGGAGTTTGAAACCAGCCTGGCCAACATGGCGAAACCCCTGTGTCTACTAAAAATACAAAAATTAGCTGGGCGTGTTTGGTGGGCGCCTGTTGTCTCAGCTACTTGGGAGGGTGAGGCAGGAGAATTGCTTGAGCCCAAGAGGCGGAGGTTGCAGTGAGCAGAGATCATGCCATGGTACTCCACCCTGGGTGACAAAGCGAGACTTTGTCTCCAAAAAGAAAAGAAAAATGAAAGCACACGCTGAATCTCTGGGAACGAAGCTCTTCGGAAGCACCAGCTTCTGGGCCCTGCCCATTGAACACGGCAAAAGCAGGAGCAATCACGGCCGTCTGGTGGCTTGTGGGGGGCTTTTAGGCCGACAAATCTATCTAGTCGTTTGTTCTCTGATAAGAAAACCTCTTTTACGATTTTCAATTTGCCCTTATTTTAATGAAAAGAAGCTGGGATTGGACCGCCCAAGAAGGAGCTAATCAAATAAAGCAAATTGGTGCTACCTTCTCCTTGTCCTTATTATTCGTATGGCTCTAGCTGGAATGTATTATGAGAAGCAATTGGTTTTCATATCTGGCAGATTGCAGCCTGGGCCGGGCCTGTCAGCCTTCTCTTCCCCCTCTTTTCATAAACAGCTGAGAGTGGCCGGGCTGCGGGGTGTGGGGGAGGACACGGAATGCTTGTAACCAGTTTTCTTGCTCCTTGTCCCCCAAATCGTGAAGACCCCTGTAAACAAGTCAGAGGAAGTCTCCAGGTTGAAAGTTAGTAAGCCAGTTCCTTCCTGTGAGATTCGGGCTGTCGCCGTGGCTTCTTGAGGTTCCATGTGGCGGTCCTGTCAACCTTGCTATGTGCAAGGCATCAATTACTGCCCTCGCTGGGTTTGTGCGAGGGAGAGATAAGCAGAGGAGACGTTCCTTCATCGCACTTTTTCCCTCCCCTTGCAACAAAAGGAAGAACTACAATTTAAATCAGGCTCAGCCCGCCCTTGCTCTGTATGAAGTGTTTTGCCATGGGCGGTTCTTGGGCTCCCCAAAGTACTATGAGTTGTTGTGACTGTAGAAGGGGAGGGGTAGCTGGGGCGTGCCAGGGATTTGAAACAAGACATCAGGAGGGGGTGCAGTGGGGCAATTCCCTGGTTCTCCCCTTACCGGCTGTGCGACGTTGGGGAAGTTACTTCACTTCTCTGTGCCCTAAGCCTTCTCACCCTGTAAAATGAAGATAGCAATACCCAGCTACTAAAGTGACTGTCAGATTAAAATGGAACATGGGTGTAAAGGGCCCTCCCCGGCACCTGGCACAAGGTCCATGCAGAATAAATGGCAGCTCTTCTCATGGTCGCAGTTGTCCTGGTTGTTACTGACATTTTAGTCCAGGCCACGTACCTCTAATGGTGCATGGAAATCAGGCCATTCCGTGTTGGAAAGATCAGAAAGAAAGGTGCAGGTGCATGAAATATGTAAGCTGCAATAAAGGGTGACATTCCTCATTTTCCAACTGCCCACTGGAACAGAGATTCTGCACTGGCCTCAGGAATAGTGTCCACTCTTCTAGGACACTGCAGGCCCTGTCTTGTCACGGGAGCCTGATTGACATTTGGGGTCAGGGCTGGGAGGCAGTTGGAACTGCATGAACTGCCTTTCCCTCCAGCCAGGCCCTTCCCTGTGCCTTGTGGCAGGAGCGATAGGACCAAAGGCATTGGGAGGAAACAGTGGAGCTGACCTAGGGTTTGGGTTCCAGCTGGAAAAAGAGTTCTTTAGAAGCCATCCAGATACTGTTCCTGGAGTCCCACTGGGAACTGGGACATCATCTGTTCTTAAAGGGGTGCTGCAAGTAACAGATCTTATGAATTCAGAGGAGCAATAGCCGGTCAACCTGAACAGAGCTTATTGCACAAAATCTGCTGCCTCCGGGCCAGGGCTGGGGGAATGGGCTGACAGGAGAAAGATCCACCGCAAGTCCACGGCTCACTGGAATAGCAGGCTGGGTCTCAGTTGTCTGCACAGATGAAATTGGTGGTTGTTGAGGTCCTGGAAATGATCAGTTAGTGACAGAGAAAGTGGGGGTTTGAGGGAGAGGGGCCATGAACCAGACCTGTTTTGGATGCATTGATTTCTAAAGCAAGACGCTGGAAAGAGTGTCTACACTTTTTATTTTGCAGAATTAACCTAGTCTTCGATTCAATCCCCAGTTGCTCCATAAATTTCTACTTAATATCCACACGCAAAACGTCTCAAGAACACATCACCCCTCTGATCTTCAGTTATTAATCATCTTTTATCTACCTAATTTGAAAAAGATCACTCCCTAAAGTGATAGGTGAGTCTGTGAGCTGCAAGTGTTTGGAGCTGGCCTCTCCCATGGGTGGGTTTGCCGGCTACACCTTACAATGCACCATTTCATTACTCTCTCAGTCCCCTCATTGTTACTCCCCACAGGGGAACCCTACAAAAAGAGGACAAGTCTGTTAGTTACAGAGAACATGTGCTATATGACAGGCAGCACACCGGGCACCTTACACACATCCTATTCACTAAAACAGAGAGACCAAGTAATTTGTTCAAGATCACACAGCTCTTAAGGAGCTGAGCTAAAATTTAAGATACAACCTAGATCTCACTCCAAATCTCATAATCTTCTTTTAAAAAACATACTATTATGGAAAAATTTCAAACATCTACAAATATAAACAGACTAGCATAATGAATTCACATATACGTATCATTCAACTTTAATATGGTCAGTCTTCTTTCTTTTTTTTTTTTTTTAAAGCAAAAACATTTTGCTATGGAAATACTGGATGGTTTTATAGGATTCAAAGGGAGAGATACATCTGAAGCTTGGGCACAGAATGGCAACAGGGATGAGACTCGGTGGTTTAGAGCAAATGGGCTGAAGTCAGATAGTCTGGATTTGAATGTTGACTCTCACGCTTACTAGTCCTCTGACCTTGAAAATTTGCTTAACCACTCAGTGTACTCAACTCTAAAATGGATATAAGAGCAGTGCTTCCTCATAGGTAGTTCTGAGCATTAAGCAGTTAATGTACGTGAAGAATAGAACATGGAATGACCAAGACTCGCTGCAGAGCAAGACTGGAGGAATTCCTTCATGGCTCCTTCCCAGGGCTCCCAGGGGCTCAGCTTGAAACTCTACGCTGATGTTCACTGATTTGTTCAGTTAATATTTACTGAGCAGGGCCAGGTGTGGTGGTTCATGCCTATAATCCCAGCACTTTGGGAGGCCAAGGCAGGCAGATCACCTGAGGTCAGGAGTTCAAGACCAGCCTGACCAACATGGTGAAACCCTGTCTCTACTAAAAATACAAAAATTAGCGGGGCGTGGGGCATGTACCTGTAATCCCAGCTTCCAGGGAGGCTGAGGCAGGAGAATTGCTTGAACCCGGGAGGTGCAAGTTGCAGTGAGCCAAGATAGTACCATTGCACTCCAGTCTGGGTGACAGAGCGAGACTCCATCTCAAAACAAAACAAAATATATTTACCGAGCAGCTATCGTGGCCGAGCATTCACGTGGGGTGCCGTGGGTGCCACAGCCCCACCTCTGCACAGCTTGCAGTCCAGTGGGGAGGAAGGACAATTTTATATCAGTGCCCGCTATTTGGTAAGCACTCAATAATTGTTGTTTCTTTGAATTCTTCTTGTTATTATACCATGGTCAGTCTTATTTCATCCATACTCTCCCATTCCTTCCCTCAACATTATTTGGAAGCATCTCTCAGACACTGTATAATTTCATCAGTAAATATTTCAGTATACTTCTCTAAAAGATAAGTTCTCTTTTAAAAAAATACTTCTGCACTACACTGATCACTGTTACAAATGAATAATAATTCTAAATCTCATTACATACCCAGTCACTGTTCAACATTTCGGTTGTTTCACAAATGCCATCTTTCATTTTACAGTTTGTTTGGCTCAGACAGTATCCAAGTAAGGTCTACATATTGCAATTGGTTGATTATTTCTTTGACTTTTTCAGGCTATATGTTCTCATTCCAGCACACTCCTGCTCTTTTTTTCTCTCTTACTTACTCATTCTTCCTCAGAGAATTGGTTAAAGAAGCCAAGTCATTTGCCCCGTAGAGTCTTCCATAGTCTGGATTTTGCTGACTGTATCCCCATGGCATCATTTACGATACCATGTCCCAGCGCCCTCTGCAGATTGTAGAAAGTGGAGGTTAGAGCAAGAGTTCTCAATAGCTTCAAGGTCAATTTTTTTTTTTTTTTTTTTTTTTTTGCAGCAAAATGTACTTCCATCAGGGGATGTCTTAGTCCATTTGTGTTGCTATAATGGAATACTACAGACTGGGTAATTTATAAACAATAGAAGTTTACTTGGCTCATGGTTCTGGAGGCTGGGAAGTTCAGGAGCATGGCGCCTTGTGAGGGCCTTTGTGCTACATCATCGCGTGGTGGAAGGTGGAAGGGCAAGAGAGGGCAAGAATGAGAGAATGAGAATGAGAGAGGAGGAGGGGGCCACCAGACTCACTTTTATTAAAAAAAAGCCACTCCTGTAATAACTAACTCACTCCCAAGGTAATGACGTTAATCCATTCATGACCTAATCACCTCTTATTAGGCCTGACCTCCCAACAGTGTTGTAGTGGGGATTAAGTTTCCAACACATGACCTTTAGGGGGACACATCCAAACCATAGCAGAGGACATGTACTATCTGGTTGTCTCTCTTTTGTGATGTCAGCCACCATTGATGATCCATGCCCAGATCCATTAATTCATTAGGGATGACAAAACAATGATATTTTAATTCTCTCATTTCTTCTTCATTTATTGGCTGGAGTACTTTTATAGAGAAAGTTCTTTCTCCTCCTATTTGGTAACTCAAAAGAACAGTTTGTACAGGAAAGGCAGGATATGTGGCCTAATTCTCCTTTTCTTTTTTTATTTTTTTAGTTTTCAAAATAATGTATTGGGTCACTAGCATCTTCCAACAATGAGCAATTAGTTTTTTGTTTGTTTGAGGACTATTATGAACTCATAGATTTAAACATATTTAATGTATTTCAGTCGAATGTTGATGTTCAAATTGTCCCATCTTTGGTTAGTGGGAGCCTCTTCAAGTTGGTTCCAGAGTCTTTTTTTTTTTTTTTTTAATTGAGATGGGGTCTCACTCTGTCACCCAGGCTGGAGTGCAGTGGTGCTATCTCGGTTCACTGTAACCTCCGCCTCCTGGGCTCAAGTGATTCTCTCACCTCAGCCTCCTGAGTAGCTGGGACCACAGGCATGTGCCACCACACTTTGTTGTAGAGACAGGGTTTTGCCATGTTGTCCAGGCTGGTCTTGAACTCATGAGCTCAAGCAATCTGCCCTCCTCAGCCTCCCAAAGTGCTGAGATTACACACGTGAGCCACCACACCTGGTCTGGAGTCCTTTTCATATTAGCTTAAGTCTTCCATACAGCTAACATCATACTTAATGATGAAAGACTGTATGCTTCCCCCTAAAATCAGGAACAGGGCAAAGTGTTGATTCTCACCGCTTCTATTCAACATTGGACTGGAGGTGCCAGCCAGTGCAATAAAGCAAGAGAAAGAAAAGCATCCACAATGGGAAGAAGAAAGTGGAGTCACAGGTGACTTAATTATATATGTAAACTATCCTAAAGAATCTACAAAAAAAATTTACTAGAACTAATAAATAGGTTTAGCAAGGGTCACAGGATAAGATCAACATACAAAATTCAATTGTATTTCTATATAGTACAAATGAACAATCCAAAAATAAATTGAGAAAACAATTTCATTCATAATATCTTCAAAATAATAAAGTGCATAGGATAAATGTAAGTTACAAAGTGTAAAACCCATATATTGAAAACTACAAAGTCTTAATGAAAGAAATTACGGATTTACCTGGGTAGAAAGACATTCCATGTTCTGCAATTGGAAGTGGTTGGAAGACTCAATATTGTTAAGATGGCAATTCTCTCAAAATTGATTTCTAGATTCAGTACAACTCCAATTAAAATTCTAGCAGCCTTTTTTCCTCAGAAATTGTCAAGCTAACCCTAAAATATATATGGAAATACAAAGGACTTAAAATAGCCAAAACAGTTTTGAAAAAGAAGAACAAAGTTGGAGGACTTATAGTCCCGGATTTCAAAACTTATTATAAAGCTGCTACAATCAAGATAGATAGTATTGGCATAAAAATAGACAATGGAACAGAAGAGAAAGTTCAGAAATAAAATCATATGTTTATGGTCAATTTATTTTCAACAAAGGTGCAAAAGCAATTCAGTGGAGTTGGGGGTGGAGAAAATAGGCTGTTTAAATTTAAAAAATGGTGCTGGGACAATTGGATATTCAGTGACAAAAATAAACTTGACCTTTATCTCACACCATATGCAAAAATTCACTCAAAATGGATCATGACCTAAATGCAAGAGCTAAAGATATAAAAGATATAGAAGAAGACATAAGACATGTTTATTACCTTGGGTTCGGCAAAGCACCCTTAGATGAGACTAAGTACTATTCATAAAAGAAAAAATTGATAAATTGGAACTTACCAAAGGGGAAAATTTTTACTCTTTTAAAGAAACCATCAAGCCATTAAGGAAAAGAGGGACAAGTTATGGATTGGGAGAAAGTATTTGCAAATCATATGTCTGATAAAGGACTTGTATCTAGATTATATGTAAAGAGCTCTTAAAACTCAAAAAACAAGAAGGCAACTCAATTAAAAATAGGCAAGAGATTCAAATAGATTCAATGTCTATCTGAATGGCTAACAAGGACATGAAAAGGTACTCAACATCATTAGTTATTAGGGAAATGCAAATTAAAACCACAATACACTCACTAGGATGCCTATAATCCAAAAGACAGATAATGTCAAACGCTGGGGAGGATGTGGAGAAATTGGAACCCTCCTCCATTCCTAGTGGGAATGAATGGAAAATGGTGCTGCCATGTTGGAAAACAGTCTGGCAGTTTTATTTTTATCTAATAAGATGTAAGTATCTTTCACATATTGTTGCTGGGTTTTCAATCATGGTTAAGAAAGTTTTCTCCACTTTCAGGTTATAGAGAAATTCACCTGTATTTTCTTGTAGGGTAGGTATGATTTTATTTATTACATTGAAATCTCTGACTGTTTAGCATCAGTGCTGCTGTATGATGTGAGGGGTAAACCCATTTTGGTATTTTCCATGTGCCTTCTAGGTCCCCCAATTTCACTTATGAAAAACTTGACCCCTTCAGCCAGGCGTGGTGGCTCACGCCTGTAATCCCAGCACTTTGGGAGGGTGAGGCAGGCAGATCACAAGGTCAGGAGATCGAGACCATCCTGGCTAACACAGTGAAACCCCGTCTCTACTGAAAATAAAATAAATAAATAAATAAATAAATAAATAAATAAATAAAAATTAGCCGGGCATGGTGGCGGGCGCCTATAGTCCCAGCTACTTGGGAGGCTGAGGCAGGAGAATGGCATGAACCCAGAAGGCGGAGCTTGCAGTGAGCCGAGATCGCACCATTGCACTCCAGCCTGGGCGACAAAGCAAGACTCCATCTCAAAAAATAAAAAATAAAAAAAAGAAAGAAAAACTTGACTTCTTCTCCCACTGACTTGAGATACCTCCTTGATTGTGTATACTGAATTTGTATGTGTAAGTGGAATTATTTCTGAAATTTCTATTCTGTTCCATTGGCTTGTCTCTGCATGTGTAAATTCCATACTTTTTAAGATATAAAACTTTTCTCATACGTGTTAATAGCTGGTAACGCTAGCCCCTATGCCTTGGTCTTCTTTTGGGAGGTTTATTTGGCTATTCTTAGTGCTTCTTCCTTTCAAATAAACTTTACAATAAAATGTTCTAGATCCAGAAAAAAAATTACTGATGGGATTCTCATTGTTATGACTTCACATTTATAGATTAACTTGGGTTTTCTTCTAGGGTTTTTATGGTTTTAGGTCTAACATATAAGTCTTTAATCCATCTTGAATTAATTTTTGTATAAGGTGTAAGGAAGGGATCCAGTTTCAGTTTTCTACATATGGCTAGCCAGTTTTCCCAGCACCATTTATTAAATAGGGAATCATTTCCCCATTGATTGTTTCTGTCAGGTTTGTCAAAGATCAGATAGTTGTAGATACGCAGCATTATTTCTGAGGGCTCTGTTCTGTTCCATTGGTCTATATCTCTGTTTTGGTACCAGTACCATGCTGTTTTGGTTACTGTAGCCTTGTAGTATAGTTTGAAGTCAGGTAGCGTGACGCCTCCAGCTTTGTTCTTTTGGCTTAGGATTGACCTGGCAATGTGGGCTCTTTTTTGGTTCCATATGAACTTTAAAGTAGTTTTTTTCCAATTCTGTGAAGAAAGTCATTGGTAGCTTGATGGGGATGGCATTGAATCTATAAATTTTTCAGGACATAGGAATGGGCAAGGACTTCATGTCTAAAACACCAAAAGCAATGGCAACAAAAGCCAAAATTGACAAATGGGATCTCATTAAACCAAAGAGCTTCTGCACAGCAAAAGAAACCACCATCAGAGTGAAAAGGCAACCTACAGAATGGGAGAAAATTTTTGCAATCTACTCATCTGACAAAGGGCTAATATCCAGAATCTACAATGAACTCAAACAAATTTACAAGAAAAAAACAAACCACCCCATCAAAAAGTGGGCGAGGGATATGAACAGACACTTCTCAAAAGAAGACATTTATGCAGCCAAAAAACACATGAAAAAATGCTCATCATCACTGGCCATCAGAGAAATGCAAATCAAAACCACAATGAGATACCATCTCACACCAGTTAGAATGGCGATCATTAAAAAGTCAGGAAACAACAGGTGCTGGAGAGGATGTGGAGAAATAGGAACACTTTTACACTGTTAGTGGGACTGTAAACTAGTTCAACCATTGCGGAAGTCGGTGTGGCGATTCCTCAGGGATCTAGAACCAGAAATACCATTTGACCTAGCCATCCCATTACTGGGCATATACCCAAAGGATTATAAATCATGCTGCTATAAATACACATGCACATGTATGTTTATTGCGGCACTATTCACAATAGCAAAGACTTGGAACCAACCCAAATGTCCAACAATGACAGACTGGATTAAGAAAATGTGGCACATATATACCATGGAATACTATGCAGCCATAAAAAATGATGAGTTCATGTCCTTTGTAGGGACATGGATGAAGCTGGAAACCATCATTCTCAGCAAACTATCGCAAGGACAAAAAACCAAACACCACATGTTCTCACTCATAGGTGGGAACTGAACAATGAGAGCCCATGGACACAGGAAGGGGAACAGCACACACTGGGGACTGTTGTGGGGTTGGGGGAGGCGGGGAGGGATAGCATTAGGAGATATACCTAATGCTAAACGACGAGTTAATGGGTGCAGCACACCAACATGGCACATGTATACATATGTAACAAACCTGCACGTTGTGCACATGTACCCTAAAGCTTAAAGTATAATAATAATAATAAAAATAAATACATAAATAAATTAATTAATTAATTAACTTCGGAAGATTGACATTTTAATGATCATAACTCTACCTAACCAAGACATGTTTTTGCATGAATCAAAACCTACTCTTGTGTCTGTTAGAATATTTTTAGAGTTTTTCTTTTAGGTTTTGGGAATTTCTTGTTAAATGTATGCCTAGGCATTTAATTTTGTTTTTCTGTAGTAAATGGGGACTTCCATCATTTCATCAATCTATCTAGTCAATAGTTTATATTTTAATTATTTAGCCAAGATATATATATATATGTGTGTGTGTATATATATATATATCACACACACACACATACATACATACATACACACACATACATACAATGTCTATAAGCTATTGGCTGATAATCTATAAGCCAATAGCATATAGATGTTTCATATATTTCTGTCTTATATATAATATATATTATACAGTTTTACTCTGTGTAATCTACGCAGTCTTACTGAGACTGTATTATATATATAATACATATAACAGATCTTATAGAAGATGTATCTATAAGCCAATAGCTTATAGATATTATATATATACGATATCTTTCTTGGCTAGATAATTAAAATATAAGCTAACTTTATACCCATTTCTTTACTGTTATAATTTGTAGTAGGTTTCCATTGATCCCCTGACCTTTTTGCCATGTTGCACTGAGCGCTATTGGTTTTGCTCGCTATTAGTCTCTTAGATAAAAGGTTTCCTTGGCTAGATACCTCCCTAGTGAGAATAAAGCTCCCTGTTGTCCCCGTATTTTTCTTGACATGCCTCTGCACGGCTGCAGTGGAGGTCTCGGAAGGTTTCCCTGTGGCTGTCTCACACCATCAGCCTTCGTTCAGCTTCCCCAGAAGGAGATCCCGAGATGAAGACTTGAGTGTGAACAGTTTATCTGAGAAGCCATCCCAGGAAACACCAGTCAGGGCATGTGGAAGTGAAAGAGGAGGAGGAGGAATGCAAATGAAGGGCCATTCCCCCTGCAAGTCACCACTGTGGGAACTGGAGCTAACAAGCAGAGGGGAGTTTCACATAGGGCACTCAGAGCGACCCCCTCCACCGGGCAGGGAAGCCTGAGATTGCCCCAGAGTGACCCCAGCCACAGGGAAAGGAAGCCTGGGATTCACCCATGAAATCCCTGTCTATCGGGTAAAGGATGCTTTCAGGGTGGTAATGATCACCCAGCAGGTGGAGCAGAACGGAGACTGGCCCCACAGCCTGTGCTAGCCCAGCAGCCTCAGGGGCAACTCTGGAGTCAGACCAACTCAGCGTGTATCCTGCCTGAACACTTTGTGGCTAGAATGGTTTGATTATATGCTGGGAATGATAATAATACCTACCTCATAGGGTGGGTGCAAGGATGCCAATAATATGGATCATAGTTAAGGGTTATAGGTATAAGTACGGATATAGATTTAGGTGTAGATGATACAGACACGCAAGTGGCGTGCCCCACTGGTACCGGGCACACAGTAAATCAACAATAACTGGAAGTGGGTGGCATTATTAAGTTGCAGGACTTCCATGCCTGCCCCATGAAGCTTCTGTTATCCTGTCTGCCTGCAATTCCATTCCTGTTTTCCTGCTCTTCTTGTGGGGAGGGGGGCTATCTTTTATGCCATCATGAAGTGTGTTAAAGCCCTCCCCTGACTGGGCCCTGTGGTCTAGCCCACCTGTCATTCGTCCCAGAGCAGGACCCCACTTCCCTCCTCCTTCCTCTGATCCCTTCCCACCAGCTCTGACCTGCTTTTTTTTTTTTTTTTTTTTTTGACATGCTTTGTGCCCCAGGCCAGAGTGCCGTGGCACGATCTCAGCTCACTGCAACCTCTGCCTCCCAGGTTCAAAAGATTCTCCTGCCTCAGCCTCCTGGGTAGCTGGAATTACAGGTGCCTGCCACCATGCCAGGCTAATTTTTTGTATTTTTAGTAGAGGTGGGGTTTCACCATGTTGGCCAGGCTGGTTCCAAACTCCTGTCCTCAAGTGATCCACCTGCCTCGGCCTCCCAAAGTACTGGGTCTGACTTGCTTTTGATTCTTTTCTGGGACGGCAGTACGGCCTCATTTTCTTTGCCTTGGGGGCACGTGGGCCCTTCTGCAGCCTGTCTTTCTCCTTTGCTGTTCCTAGGACCCTGAGTTGTGGTAAGGGCCTTCCCCATCACACAGAGCCGAACAAGTTCTAATAAAATCAGATTGGTGGATTAAACACTATTAGGTTGCTCATTATTGCAAGTTAAAATGATGATTCCATTTATTAAGGCCATTTAAGCTGGACACTTAAGTTCCCTGTGGGATTGTATCCTGCTGAAAGTGCCGGATGACAGGGCTACTCTCAGAATGCCAAAGGGCGGGTCACCAGAGGAAGGTGGGTTTCCTAGGGTGAGTGCAGTTGCGATTCTGACTGTGTACATGACAGTGTTTGAGAGAGTCCTCTCTCTGTGGGTCATACCACTTACGATGTGGGAACGGTTTGCCTGAGTACCCTGCTGAGGTTATTAGTCATATTTAGAAAGGGCAAGGGATGGAACAAATCACAGTTCATGTCTTAGCTCACAAGAGGCTAGATTGGATCAACGTCCAGTCTTCTCCTTGGATGGAGTATCTTCATTCTCCAGTCACAGAAAACCCATCCACAGAAGAAGACCCGGCATTGCCACACTCTCATGAGTGTCTTCATTCTTTTTTTGGAGAGAATGAGCCACACGCAGAGCCCACCTGTTTCATTAAACAAGTTCCCTTGCTTATTCCTTAGGAAGTGGTCCTAAGCACAGTCCGTGGACCTCAGGCACCTTCTAATGGGTCTTTCAGGGGCGGGGAGGGCTTACAGCACGGTGAAGATTAAGGACAAACATCTAGAGAGGGGCTGAAGCGGGAAGAGGCTGACATCGTTGGCCCCACATGCAAGCCTACCTGCCATTTAGAAATGGAAGTGAATTGTAAGGTTTCCAATGCAGACTTGTAAGCAGGAGACAGATACCAGCGGGTGACAGCATTGTGACAAGCGCGTGGAGCCATTTCCTGATTGTTTTAGTCGATACAGACTTAGGGAGGAAACCAACACTGACACAAACCAATTGTGCCCTGATCGGGAAACAATGAAGTATCGGGAGTCGCTGTTGAAAGTCTGTAATTTCCAGCGGAATTGCTGTTTAGTCATCATATTGCCGCTGAATGACATAGTGGGGCTGGGTGGAAACTACAATTAGCTGCAGTCACCCTGGTGGGACTGTTTTTTTCCCCCCAGACAATAGAATATGAAGCCATCAACAGCCAATGTTCTGTGCTGCTTGTGAAATGGCCCATTGTTCGTAGCAAGAAGAAAAGAAAGGCGCTGGAGGGTCTTGCCCCAGCCCTGCGGGGGACAGATGGCTGACTTATGGTTTCCTCGCCTCCGTTGTAGCAGAGCAACATACAAGCCAGGCTGAAGAAGCCCCACTTCATTTGCCTTATTTGTGTAAAGAGCTCTCTGGCCGTGGCTGAGAGTGAGGTGGCAAGCCTGCACTGGCCTCGTGGTGCGCAGAATCGCTGGCATTCCTCTTCCCCTGCTGCACGTTCAGGTGCAGAGTGGTGCAGCACTGCGTGGGGTGCTGCTAGATTTTGGGGGAGTCTTCCTTGACGTTGGATCTGCCCACAGCTACTGAAACTTTATTCTGAAAGTGGTTTATCACAGCACTTGCCCTCAGCTGCTAGAGGGGTTTAGTTCTTTCTCTCCTTGGGGTTTCCAAACCCAAATATGTGACCTGACCACCGCATCTGCAGATATGCACGTCATCAGCCTCTCCTCTCTGTGGTGGACGCGTGTTTTCTTTTTGGCAAATTCAAGGTTCTTTACCTTTTTCATCATCACACGAATGACCATCTAACTCTTAGCATTTAGGGAGCAAGCCGCTATTTCCCTGAGATGCTCTGGCTGTGGACTGAATAGATGACTTTACCTGGCAGTATCTGAGACCCCTGACAGCTGAAGCCTAAATGGGAAAGAATCGGGTACTTAGCTTGCTTGAGAAGCAAGACCGCAGATGCTCTTTCATATCTAGCAGTAATCTAAATGCAGGCAATGAACCAACAGCATTTGGCCTCGGTGAACAGCTCTGCCATCGGTCTGTTCTTAACATAGTCATCTAGCGTCTGCGTTAAACTTATTTATTTCCTAATGCTGGGTGATGGATTAAAAGATGTGTAGAAAATCCTTCCACAAGAGATAAGATATTGCAGGCTGCCACGACACCCCTGGCTCTTTTTGCTTTCTGTCTCTGTTTTGCCTACTTTTCAGTGCAGAGCTCAGGCCCCCACATCGTATATCCTGATTACTTTGTGGTTATTACTGAGGGGATGTTTTTTAAGCCTATCATTGACACATTTAATTCATTAGGTACCAAATCCAAAGCAAATTTTGGCTGGCCATAAAACATGGTTAATCCAGGGAGATGCAATAAAAGGTGAAAAATTATGTTCCAGCAAATGTGGAATATTGCTTTTCTGTAGAGACTTTTACTGGTCGATGATATCTTTCTTCATAAATTTTTCTTCTACTTGGTACTCTTGGTAACTTAACCATTTGTTGTTTCCAGACCACAGAATGGCTCAATGATACTCTACAACAGGAAGAAAGTGAAATACAGGAAAGATGGGTATTGCTGGAAAAAGAGGAAAGATGGGAAAACGACCAGAGAGGACCACATGAAACTCAAGGTCCAGGGAGTGGAGGTAAACAGCAGAAAAGGTTCCCTTGGTGCACAAATGTCATTTGCAGGCTGCAGTGGAGAATGGAATTGCTTGGAGTAATTTGATGCGAGTCACCTCTGTCCAAAGAATTTTTGTTTGCCAAGACCCTGGTTTTTGCTTTTGTTTCGTTTTTCTACCTTCTTACCCTATAGTCTCCATTCAAGTTTTCAGTGAAACTGGATTGAACTAAAGCACTCCTGTTTCTTGGGAGTCATTGCTATATAGATGGGGATTTGCAAGTTTCCTGTGGACTCATTTGTTGTATTTATCACGGAAGAGCCTCTGGATGCATTGAGAGTTTGCAAAGTGTCAGGGAAGAGGGGAGGCAGCGTAAGGAACTTCCCTCTTGAGGTGACCCTGGCCTCCCCCTGCCAAGCTGGCAGGCCCCTCACAGAGCCTGGCTTCACCCCCTCCACCGACAAACCCTGGGTGTGTCAGCCTTAATAGAGGTTTGAGATCATTAGATGGGATCACAGGTGTGCATGATTCTTGCATGGTTGGGGTCCTGCAGAAACATCTTGGGATCTTGGGCCGACTTCGGGTTTTGGCCCTTGGGTAAAGACTGGTTTCCTTGCTGTTGTTTTCACCCCACAGACTCTCAACCTTGGGCAGCCATGGAGAAATTCCCTTATTCCTCTTTGCCATCGTTTGAGGGCCTGAGCCATGTGTCACAGCCGTAGAGGGGGAGGGCATGAGTCAAGGTGAAGTCTTGGCCTGCTGGTTAACTAGCATCCACTTCCCTGCGTTCCTAACTGGTCCTGGGAAGGAACTTCCCCTGGGAACAGGGAAGGCATTGCCTTGGGCCCGGAGCTGAGAAGCTGGCTCGTGATCCACCTGTTATTTCGAACGGGTCAAAGAGAGGCATTCTGGAGTCTGTTGGTGTGTTGAGTTTGCGAGCATACAGGATGGATAGCTGGGACCATAAACCCACTTGAATTCAATGTGTTACCCTTCCACGCCAATGTTTTTTGTGACATGCTTTGTCATGATGACTTTTTCCGTATAAATCATGTGCTTTTATGGCTGTTAAAAATAGCACCAAATGGCCTGTATTATATGACCTCACAGAGGGATGACTTTTGTTTTATGTTTTTTTTAAATACCTAATAACAATGCTTTATGGAGATGCAAAAAGAAAAGCCTCTATCCAAGAAATTCCAGTTCCTGCATTCTCCTGTGCTCAGTGTTTGCACAGTGTGGTTTAATTGACTGCACAGAACATTAAAATGCAGATTCCCCCAAACACACTGCTCTGGGCGCACCTCTAGGACGGTGACCGCTGATCGTACAAAGGCATTAGCCATCATCGCAGGGAGCCAAAGGAGGGAGGGCTTGGTTCTTCCTGGGAGGACCCTCATCTCCTACGCTGGAGGGAGAGGTAGAGAGTGAGGCAAGGCTGGGTGGGGCCCCCGAACAACGAGGCTGCTCGCACCGGGAGTAATAGGGCTGCGGGAATTCAAACTGGAAGTCACGGCAGCTCCTGTGCCCGTAGGCCCCTGGTATATTTCATCTTTAGTAATACGTACATCAGGAACTTCTGCTCGTGAGTAACAGCCGGGTGGAATTCTTCCTCAGCAGCAGCTGAGAAGCCGAGGGGAGAAAACAACCCACAGTGTTCGTTTTCTTTCCTCATGTTATAAATTAGAGTTGTCACTGGATGGAATCAGAATGATTTATGGCTATTTGTTAGGCCATATTTGTGTTTGGAGTTATTTGTGTGCTCATACTTGCAGGCAACAGTCTGTCCCCTCAGAACTTCGGGAAAGGGAGACGGGCAGGATGGGGAGGGGTTTCCATGACCTCCTAACATGGATGGCAGTGTGGGCAGCGGGAAGAGCCGGTGACACGATGCTTGCTTTGGGTTCTCAGAGAGAGGCCACCTACTATGATGCATTATGTGGTGGCCTTGCCCGTGAGCTCAGCGAGTTGTCCCACTGAGCCACTCAGCAGATATCGACCCTGTGTGCCTACTCTGTGCAAGGCACTATGGTGTCAGCAGAGAGAACAGGAGTCATATTCTCTGCCCCACGGACTCATGGTCAAGTTGAAGAGGCTTGAAGTACGTGAGGGTCATCAATAGTGCTGAGACGCAGAGCAGCCTGGGCTTTTATGATAAGCATCCCGGGAGTGCAGAGTGGGCTGGAATGGTCAGAGACACTTCCTAGGTCAGATGGGATACAAGCTGAGCCCTTAAAGTCGGGTGGGACTCTGTGTGTGTGTATATATGTTTGTGTGTGTGTGTGTGCGTATGTGCAATTTACATATTGTTTGCAGTTTACCTTTTCCACTCTGCATTGTGGTCTGAGCTGTGTCTATGTTGATATTGAGGTCTCTTCATCCCTTTTCACAATCCTATAGCATTCTACTATATAAACACTTGAGCCGTTTCCCTGGCCATAGCCCCCACTTTAGATTCCTTTCAGTTTTTTAGCATTATAAATAACACTTCAATAAGTGTTCTTATACACGTCTTTTTGGGCACATAGGCAACCTGGACCCAGAATTGCTGGGTTATAAGGTCTGAGCATGTTCAGTTTATTAGACACTGCCTTATGGCTGCATAATTACATGCCCACCAGAACTGGCGATTACAGTTTTCCCCACATCCTCTCGCTTAGTGATAGATGAGAGATGGTACCCCCTTTTATTTGAATTTGAGTTTGTCTTAATTATTAGTGAGGATGAGTGCCTTCTTATGTTAATGGGAGCCTGTTGCTATGAATGGTCTACCATGGGCATGGACATGGATTTTTAAACAGCCCTGAAGAAGGCCTTTTCAGACAAGATCAACCCCCACATCTCACCAGCATTTCTGCTGCATTACCTCTGATCTGGACCAAGGGTGGGGAAGCCCAGGGGGTGTGCTCTGGCACAGTGGGTGGTTGGTCCTTTCCACCAGGAAATTGCAACAGGGATTTCCATGGGGCTTTGTACCTCACAGGAGGAGGGGGCTTCTGAGTTTGGACTCTGCGTCCGTCTTTGGTGGATTCAATCAGGTGGTTCCCATAGACTCAGCATCTTCATCACGTCAGGCACGGCGCCAGCCAGCTACTCTTCTGCTGGTTGGGGTGGACAGTCCTGCACAGGGTCTTGGAGCTGTGATTTTTCTACCACCGGGGCTGTTTTCCTCAGTTCAGGGGCATGATAAAGATATTTGGATCTACCGTTTAATATATCACTTGCTATAAGCCTTCCCTCAGGCCAGGAAAACTTCCAGCCCTGTTTATGGAACTGTTCAGCCATCTCGCTTCTTTTGTTCTCAGAGGCTGGGGCCCTCTCTACACACGGCAATTCAAAGGCACATTGATTTTCTCAGCCAGGCACAGGATGGGGGCAGCTGCTTTTGAAGCTGACGAGCTGTTAGGTCCATGATTAGTTGTCTTGTCTGCAAGCCAAGGAGAAGCTAGCTCGATAAGGTTTCCAGGGATGACAAAGGTTGGCAGGAAGGAAAAAGAGGGTGGTTGCGATGTCACTGTTTCAGGAGATGAAATCTCAGCAGGTCTGGAGTTGGCCCTGCACCCCATACAGATTTATGCCAGCTTCTTTGGTGCCTGACAGTGTGGAGGAGCTTTGGGAGTGGGAGACTCTCAGAGAGCGAAGAGCTGGATGTGAAGCATCACCCTGGTTCCGGGGTCACTGCAGCTTTGTGGTCGGATGAGCTGAGGGAGGTTAGTCAGAGGTGATGCTGTTCTCTGGGCCACACTGGAAGAATTCCTTCCAAGTTCATGATACTTTTCTCTGGCCCCAGAAGCTTGTGGGGCTGCCTTAGGTCCTGTGTCCGCATCTCTCTGCTGAGAGTGCTGGGTGTCCCAGAACCCAAGGCAGCTCTGGGCTCTTGTCCTCTCCAGTTTCTTTGCTGCTGGGTTCCCACAACAGATGGGAGCCACACAATTACTACTGAGACAGTCATGGGCTTACACATTTCCTATATACCAGGTATATCATCTCATTGAATCCTCATAAACACATCCATGCAAAGTACATGGTATTATACCCATTTTATAGATGGAGAGATTGAACCTCAGAGAGGGTGTCTCTTGCCCTACGTCATACCTCAGTCAGTGGCAGAGCTGGTACTTGAGCCTGGGTCTGCTTGGTTCTAAAGCTCAAGCTCTTGCCATTATATCAGTTCCTTCGGGGTACTCGGGTGGGGCCTGTAGACTTTTCAGATGAAGTCAGCACCTATTTATTTAGCACACATCCTTCCTTCATCCACTGGGGATTGGAGGCTTTCTATCCACCTAGTATGGCAATAGGTGCTGGGATGCAGTGATGTAAAGAGAACGTGTGGTCCCCTATCTCATGGGGAGACTAAAAAAATCAATCATGCAACCCTGATGCAGGGTTTTGAGGGCTGTGATAGAATTACAAGGCCCTGTGTGGGGGATGCAGGAGGGGAACCTGAGGCCGACTTGGCCTGAAGGAAGTGACATGAGCATAAGGAAGTGGGGTGCGGTGGGAGCGGGTCAAGTGACAGAGGAGGGCTGGGAAATATTAATGAATAGAGTCTGTTGAGAATCAGCCAATGTGACTTGAAGCAACAGGCAACCAGAATCGTGATGGGTCAGTATTTCCCCCAGGCCTATCCAGACCAGGTCTTATCCTCCTAGCAACGCGGCCCTCTCGGCTCTTAAGGCGTGACTTGCCATGGATGTTCTGCCTTTGGAACCAGTGGGTGGTCACAGCACAGAGGCTGTTGGTTTCATGGCTGTCACATGCACAGAGACAGCCCTGTCCACTGAGCCTGTTCTGTGGCAGAAGGAACCCCCTAGCCTGGACCATCTTTGGGTGGAAACACCAGCCCCTCACGTCTGACTGTCATTTTCAGATGTGAAGAGAACACACAGTGTTGCTGATGTGTTTGTATTGCCTGTAAACAACGAAGAGTTTCTTTGACTTCTTAACTGCCTTAAAGCTAGAAGCCCGGCATTAGGATGGCAGTGGTGGTAATGAGGTTATGTTTTGAGACTTGGCCTCATTAGAAGTGATGTTCTTTATTTGGGCACTTAGGCCACATATAAAAAAAAAAGAAAGCACCTCTTTTAAAATAGGAATGATATTGTAGTTACTGCATTAGGAATTAACAGGGCATGAAATAACTGTCTGCCCTGTGGCAATGCCAGATCATTTCAGCTCCGCTTGCAGCCATAAGATAAATTGGTATCTTGCTTGCAGCCACTGGAAAACATTTTAAATAGCCAGCCATGAACATGTATGGTGCCCAAATCAAGTTTGAAAAACAGCAATAAATAGATAAAGTGGAGGTAAGGTGCCTAATGAAATGAATGAGGGGCAGGAGCTCACAGAAGGCAAACAAACCAGCAGGGAGGCGCTGCGTGTTTCACATACAATACGTATTTCTACTTTTAGTAAAAAATCATGTGTCTCACGAACAGAAAACCCAACACCGCATGTTCTCACTCATAAGTGGGAGATGAACACTGAGAAGACATGGGCACAGGGAGGGGAACATCACATACCTGGGCCTGTCAGGGAGTCGGGGGCTAGGAGAGGGAGAGCATTAGGAGAAATACCTAATGTAGATGACAGGTTGATGGGTGCAGCGAACCACTGTGGCGCGTGTATACCTATGTAACAAAACTGCATGTTCTGCACATGTACGCCAGAGCTTAAAGTACAATTAAAATAAAAAAATAAAAAATTATAATAATAAGAAAATTAAATTAAAAGAAAAACATGTGTCTTCGGTCTGTGGACAGATTATTTTACTCCATTACCCTCCAGCCTCACTGTGCACCCACCAGTCCATACCCTACCGTATTCCTCATTCAGAAGCTGTTTTTTTCCCACGTCTAGGTCCACATTGTCTTAGCCTCATAACTTCTGATTCTCCCCCGCCCCGCCCCAAGGCTATCTCCCCTGATCTTCTTTAGCCAGAAGTGATGATTTCCTCCCCTACATTGCCGTTGCTTTCCATCTGTACCCTTCTTAAGGAAGTGTTCAGGTTGCCTTCCTATCAGCCTTGTCCAGTTCAAAAAAGATACATCGAGTATTTATTTTCTCCCTGCTAGAAATCCTGTATCTGGTATCCAAATCTAAGTAACAAGGAGTCTCCACAGAGTGTCTACAGAATCTACCCCACACGACCTTGCTCTGGGAAGTAGATTTGCCCAGTGACTAACTGCTTCCACAGTTACACTTCCTGCAAACCTCACCCCAACCCTGTGATTCAGTCCTGGCAGATACGTTTATCCTCGTTGGTTGTGCATCTGGGACTTGAACCTAGGTCTTTGGTTTCAGAAGTGGGGCTGCCCCTCCTGTCTGGCTTCAAGCCCTGCTGGTTGAGGTGTCTTAGTCTCATGACCGTTTCTAGTACAGGGAGCGTCTGTTCAGGGGCACCTCAGGGAATCTCCCGGGGCTCTCTGCTGGCTTTTCATCATCTGAATTTTTGTGCCTCGTTCTGCTGGTATACTAACAAGTTAAAACTTAATTTCCTGTTACCTGGATGTGTTTTGGTAGAATCAATTCAGGAGCTCAAATCCATAGTTCTTCCTTAATTTCTAATTACTTGGCATCCCTGGTGACATGTTTCTACCCAATTCATATAATTAAAAATTTAACTAATAAATAACATTAAGCTAGCTCCATTTTGAAGTAGCAAGAGCAGCCCTAGGCCGGGCACGGTGGCTCATGCCTGTAATCCCAGCACTTTGGGAGGCCGAGGCAGGCGGATCATGAGGTCAGGAGATCGAGACCAACCTGGCTAACATGGTGAAACCCCGTCTCTACTAAAAATACAAAAACATTAGCCGGGCATGGTGGCGGGCACCTATAGTCCCAGCTACTCGGGAGGCTGAGGCAGGAGAATGGCGTGAACCCGGGAGGCGCAGCTTGCAGTGAGCTGAGATCGCGCCACTGCACTCCAGCCTGGGCGACAGCGAGACTCCGTCTCAAAAACAAAAACAAAAGCAAAAACAAAGCAAGAGCAGCCCTTTCTGTTTGCATCTGCTGAGTTCACAAAGGCCTGGCAGGGTGCTGGTTTTGCTTCTCCTTCTGTCTTAGCCACATCTAGTTGCTATCACAAAAGATCATAGACTGGGTGGCTTAAACAACTGAAATTTATTCCTCACGGTTCTAGAGGCTGGGAAGTTTAGGATCAAGGTGCAGGCGGATTTGGTGTCTGGTGAGGGCCTGTTTCCTGGTGCATTTTGGTGTCTGGCGAGGGCCTGTTTCCTGGGCATTTTGGTGTCTGGCGAGGGCCTGTTTCCTGGTGCATTTTGGTGTCTGGCAAGGGCCTGTTTCCTGGTGCATAGATGGCCATCTTCTCACTGCATCCTTACATGGTGGGAGGGCAGGAGGAGCTCTCTGGGGTTCCTTTTATCAGGGCACAAACAAACCCCATTCAGAAAGCCTTCACTCTCACGATCTGATCACCTCCCCAAAGCCCCACTTCCACATACCATCGCATGGCGGGGGCGGGGGTTGGTTTTCATCATATACATGTTGGGGGAACACAGATTTTCAGTCTTCTTAAGGCTCTCTCTTCCCTAACTACAGCCAAATGACAAGAGCAGCAGTAATCACAGCATCCTTTTTTGAACTTTTACTGACTATCCAGTCCTGTGCGCATCATCTTATCTGCATCATCTCATTCAGTTACTTGGTAACATCCCTATCAGGTAGATACTATTGTCATCCTCATTTCATCCACGGTCTGCAAGACAAAGACACAGCAGGTCCCTCGCTGTCCACTTCAGTGGTTGGGAGTTGGTCCCCAAACACACTGCATAACTGGCTGTCACTCCTCAGTTGCAATTTGATCCAAGAGCTGTTGAGTCCTATACATTCACACGAGAGCTTTCACTTAGGAATAACAAGTTGTTTATCTCCTCCCAGCATGAACTGCCCATTTCCATTTGTCCTGAAGCCGTAGCTTCCGAGCTTCCACGGCACACCCACTCTGGCAGCGAGGGTCTGTGCGTACTCTTGCTACGCAGGCCAGATTGTATGTTGCCAGATTTAGTATGTACATGCACAGACATGTGTGCATACACACACAAGGGAGAATATTGATGCCCAGTTAAATGTGAATTTCAGATAAACAACAGTTTTTTTTTAGTACAAGTATGTCTATATTAAAATATTGTCCGTTGCTTTTGTGGAACTCACAGTTTGCTGGGCATCATGTATTTTATCTGACAACCCTCCAAGCATCAGAGCTGTTCCTTTGAACCTTTGCAGACAGAGGTTTGTCTGTTTTGGATATTGGTCCCATTGAAGACATGAGGAAGTGAGTTGGTTTATCTCCAGACACATCATTGATGTGGGGACCATAAAAGGCAGGAAGGACACTGGCCATTGCTGAGGAGAAGACACGCTAGCAGGTTGCTAGCAAAGCCAAATGCTGCCAGGGCTGGGGACTTTCGTGCTCCCTCTGAAAAGTGAGTCCTGGATGTTTCTCAAATACCAAAACGTGAGGACTTCCAGATACCCAGATCTGGTGCCGTTAGATGCTGCAACCTGGAGAAATTCAAGCCTTCTTCTGCCACTGGTGTTGGGGGAGAAGCTTGTTAGTAAAAGATGTGCCAGGAATATGTAGCAGGAAGTGTGATTGTAGTTTCTGCCTTCCTTGTATCTCTGGTAGATGACAATACATACAATATTTTGTAATTTCCTTTTTAAAACTTGATATGAGCCTTATTAAGCTAGAAACTCCCTGATGAAGGTAGAGCAGCAGCATATCAACTTGGTGTGCTGAACTTGTACTTAATTATTATCATAATAGTCCCTCAACATCACTGCACGTTAGCCCATAAGGACAGGAATGGAAATTTTAGCATATTCAGTTACAATGTAAACCCTTGAATACCACTGTCGAAATTCACCAAGGGCCATTCTCTGTTTGGTCCCCAACACACAGCAGGGACTGAGTGAGGTATTACCCAGGTCACACAACCTGGATGTTTGCAAGCATAATTTACAGCCTCACCCAGAAACCGGGCAGGCATTGGAAGACCATAATAGATACTTTTCCCCTTGGTAAGTGACCAGACATGGTTATTTGCCTTGGGTGAAGAGTAGCTCTGGCCATCACTTGACTGAATCATCAAATATTGATCCTCTCTGCATCTTTCATTGCTGGGGAACGTTGCTGGGGAAGTTTCCTCCCGTCATTGGCGGCTGTGGCTTATGTCCGTGTGAATTTATGCTCAGTCAGCACGAATCTCCAGGCTTGTCCTCGGATAGTCGCGGCCATTCACTTTAGTTGGCGTGGATTAGGCACCAGCAGAGGGCAGGGATATGGCTTACGGGCTAAGTAGGCTCATACCACTCTGCTTCCCACACGCCGGGGCAAAAATCATGAGGAAAACAGGGTGTAAATGAAGGGCTCTTTTGCCACCAGTAGGAGCTGGGGAGAAAAATTTTACCAAACGAGTTAAAGAAGGAACGAGCTCCTCACGCAGCAGCTCTGGTGAGGCTGCTTTGATGGCCGCTGGCTCCGGCCCCTTGTTTCCTTCTGTGCGGGTGTGTGGGTTTCTGGCTGCTGAGCTTCCCTGTGGATGCCCTCCCTCACTGCAAGGCCGGAGTGGAAGAGGGAAAGCAGGTGATTTCATGAAAGAGCGCCTTTCTGCTTCATGAGGTTTTTCTCCTGGACAGATGAAATAACCTTCCACGTCCTCCTTGCACTTCGTAATTCAACAGCTTGTAACTCGCGCAAAACCTGAGACCGGCGCAAATACTGAAGCGGTCAGTATTGCTTCTTGCTACCCTCAGTGTGGTCCAAAGATTGGTATGTTCAGCATCACCCAGGGGGTATTAGAAGTGCAGAATTTCAGGCCCCAACCCAGATCTACAGAATCCAAGTCTGCGTCTTAGTATGAGCCCCAGGTGGTTCACACACACTTTAATTTGGAAAGGATTGGGACACGCCATTCTGTTGTTGCCAGTAGGGTCCTGCCTCAGTGCCTTGCCCCCAGGCAAGTGGTTATTTATTTATTTATTTTACCTTGTCTTAAGAGAAAAGTCCAAGGGAAAATTTCACAAGTTGCTCTGGCAATTTATGACTTGACTTCAAGCACCTTTAGAAAATATCGAATTGAAATCTCCAATGATATGGCTGGAGCTTATCATTCTTTATTCTGCCCTTGGCAATGAGCGATAGAGAATAGCAGGTTTCTGAAATCAGAACACACTGAGTGGCGATGACTAAACAGTTCCCTCAGCCTTTGTTCTCTGGGTGAAATGGTCCTGTTCTTCCATCCTTTAGCTCCTCTGAACGGGGAACTTGCCTGTCTGTTCACTGCTATAGCCCAGTGCTTGGCATGGCACCTAGTATTGAGTACCTTTGGTGCCAAATAACTACATTTTTCAAAAGAATGAAAGATTTTGAATGAATGGACCTTTAAAACAAAGGGCCAGACAGTAAATCTTTTCAGTTTTGCGAGCCAGACTGTCCGTCCCAACAATTCAATTCTGCCATTGTAGCATGAAAGCAGCCATAGGCAATAGTCAAGGAATGGGCGTGGCTGTGTTCCAATAAAACTTTATTTACAAAAACAGACTGTGGGCTGGATTTGGACCATGGATGTAGTTGGTCCACTCCTGTTTTAGATTATGGCCACGGTTTCTAGAAGGAGTGGGGTGCTCTGTGTATGTCCTGCTACTCATGTTTACAGCCGCCTGATGCTATTCATACTCAGCTTATATTTCTGCAATGAATGTATACTTTTATTTACAACATACCTGGTGAGGTTAGGGTTTCTTCTTTAATGCATGTAGCATAGGCTTGTTTGTTTCTTCTTGAATTGTCCTCAGCCTGAAAACATTAGGCAATGTCTCTTGCAAAGGAGAGTTTGAATGTGGGAATTGAGAAATGTCCTGTTTCTCTTAAAAGCTCAGGGCACTGCTTCATGGCATTGTAGAGAGGGCAGGGCTAGTCCCAGTGATACACTCTGTGTTCTCCTGTCTAGTGGGGATGGCTGAGCCAATGGCATGTGTCCTTGTTGAGACCAGGTGGGTTAAAGGATTGGGGTGTCACAGAAGATAGGCTGAAACTGCCTGCATCTTTAGGCGTGCAGTGCTTTGAATGAAGCCTGTATGTTGCTGGATGCAACAGAGTCCCCCTAGAATAGTGACCGATGGGAGGGCACAGATGCTATTTGTCCATGTTTAAGTATTTACATGACAGCACGAGAAAACTGGAGAGGCTCTCTTTCATCTTTGCTGCCACAATTTACCTACAGTTTATGATGGATGCGAGAGGTAGACATTTATCACAAAAGTGTAAGAAATGTTGACTCTTCATGAATTGATTACTTAGAATGTATTTTATTAAAGATTCTAGGTGGCATGTGATAAACTGAACCTCTGCTGGTTTGCAGCTTAATGATTCATGCATCTGTGGTGGTGATAAGGAAATCAAAGATTCGGTTTGCCTTTTCAGAGAAAGAATATGGATTATTATTAAATCTGGAATGGGCCTCTTGAGAATCCTTCCTTAGGGAGCGTACATATCAATACTTTCTTCTCGATGTGAGAATTCTAATGCTTCACTTATGGAAACATAAATTCCACAGCAAGTGGCTGCGGGTTCCTTCCTTCCCTCTGGTTCCTTACATCCTTTGTGCGTCGAGGATGCGTTTTTATTCCTTAGTTAGTACCTGGCATTCATCGTTCTTTAGTCTCCATGGTTTTGTGTTTCTATTGATAACTTTTAATGCTAAGAGCTCTGTTGAGGTCTATGTTTTGCAGCAGCTGAGATGCTGGTAGAGACCAGGATGGTGTATTTGCCTGTCATCCCATTGGCTTGAAATTTCCTAACAGATTGGGTTAAGTCTTGGAAAAGACTAAGAGTAACTATTAGATCTCAGATTTCCAACGGAAGTGAGGTCAGCTCACATGGGATGTAGAATGTTACCCTGAACCAATTCATGCAGAAGCCAACAAGGCCGCCAAGCACATCTAGTGAGTTGCATCTGGACCAAGGACAGCAGATCAGAATGCCCCGTTTCACTAGGCTTTGCGGATGGTGGAGGTGGAGGCATTCCTGTTCTCAAATAACAGAGTCAGGGAGGGCTTTGCTGAAGGCATCCGGCATGTGGCGCCCCAGCCATCACCTCAGGACAGAGGATGCAGGCGGAGCTCCCAGGTAACATTCAATGATGAATAACAAGCCCACAGGCTTACAGTGACATTAACGAGGTGTTGGCGTTGTCTGATAGCTTGAGTTTCAAAATACTGTGTGACTTCTTTTTCTTTCAAAAATATCAGACAGAGGTTAAATACTGTAATCTTTTCCATAGGAGACTGTGGGAAAATAAATTGGGAAACCCCAAGACTCCTTGTTTTCCCCCAGATTCCTTACCCGTCTACATGCTGTGCAGCAGAAGCAACGCTTAATCCTTTTATATGATGTGGTGCCCTCACACTGGTATTTTACTTAAACCCTTCATTTTGTTGGATGCTTTTATACATGGAATTAGACCTAATTGTCAACATAATGCCATATTAAGTTTAGTTTCCCAAAAGAGTAAACACTGAACTGCTCGGCAATTATTTCTTACACACAGAATCTGCTTGGCCTTCCATGGACTGATCAGTCCATGAACAAGTGAGTTTTGCTGCTGACTGCTCATTCTTTCATCACTGTGACATAGTTCAAAGAGTCTTAAATGGGCCGGGCGCGGTGGCTCACGTCTGTAATCCCAGCACTTTGGGAGGCCGAGGCGGGCGGATCACCTGAGGTCAGGAGTTCAAGACCAGCCTAGCCAACATGGTGAAACCCCGTCTCTACTAAAAATATAAAAATTAGCCGGGCGTGGTGGCGCAAGCCTGTAATCCCAGCTACTCAGGAGGCTGAGGCAGGAAAATTGCTAGAACCCAGGAAGCAGAGGTTGCAGTGAGCCGAGATCACGCTGTTGCACTGAAGCCTGGGGGACAAGAGCAGAACTCCACCTCAAAAAAAAGTCTTAAATTATAGCTTCCACCTAAAAGGTGGGCAGAACGAGGCTGCCTTGATCATTGCTTTACAGCTGGTGGGGTTGCTCTGTTCTCATCAAACTCATTTCCCCTTTGCAGGAAACTCCTAGGACACCCCTTCAAGGGACACCAGCCTGGGCGATGCCATTTCTTGTTGTTGCCCAGGTTGCTTCTGTCACACCAGCACCTAGCACAGTAAGGCTTGGTGTGTGTTTCCTGAATGACTGAATGCACGTCTGAGAGCTGCTGCTGCAGCACTTCTGGTGTCTGATGAAGGGTGGTTGCTTCCTCCCAGTGACTGAGCAGATGCGTGTGTTGACATTGGCAGAGAGGTCGGGTGCCAGCAGCCTCCTTCCAGGTGCAGAACCGATCACACTTGCCTTTTCCTGGAAGGCGGTTGGTTAAGTAAACCTTATTGAAGTAGCTCCCCTCCCAGATTAATGAATACTTTCAGACATGATATGAAATGTTTGGAAACGAGATGCGACACGGTATTTTGGCCGCATTTTTTTTTTCCCTTTCATAACACCTGGCAACAAGATTCTCAGGCTAAATACCAGACAAGTGTGCGCTTCATTATGTATAGTAACTTCGTCTATAACTTTTTTTAAGCCCTCCAGATGGAAGCATGGTATAAATGTGGAGAGGCTGAGAAGGGGAAATGGAAATAAATGCACTAAGAAATAAAGAATCTGTTTTTTATACTTTCTTTTGCAAATAGTGTTTGCCGTGACATATTGTGAATGGACTGAATTATAACAAAACCAGAAATGAAACAGAGCTCGGGGGTAGGGAGAGCAATTGTTACACTTACTTTAACTGATATAATGCAAAGCAACGCTTTTTACACTCAATTAGTTTGTACATTGTGTTGGACACAAACCAGAATGCAGAACATTTTTGGGTTTTGTTTTTACATGATTAAGGGAGATGAGATGAAATAAATTCAGTGAATTATCCTCCGTTTCTTTTAGGTCTGAGATGTTTTTGTTCTGTTGTTCCTCACCCCTGGTATTGAGTGCATAACCCTTTTTCCCGGGTGTAAGGAGCTAGAGAGCCCAATATTTGAAAGCCCAGAGATCTATGGGCTTTCAGTAGAGTTCCTTCTTCCACTTTAGGGCCATCTTTGGCTACATAAACAAGGACACGAATCAGAGCTATTTACATCTGGCATTTTACCATATTCTGTGCTTAGAATATCAGAAGAGGCTAGCAAGCATGATCGAAGCCAACAGATGTTAGTGAGCATTTAGGCAGCAAAAGTATTTCCAAGGCTGTATATTTCAAGATCCTTGCTTAATTCATTTTGCTTAATTATACTTTCTTGAATTTTTAATGCTCCTAATATGATAATATTAAGAATTGCAGTGTGTGGTTATGGATTGCTCATTTCAATATATGTTAGATATGAGGGGATGTGTGGGTTAATGCTGAGAGCCAGGAACAGATGAACTTGGGGGTCAGCTCAGTGTCTTTCCTGTGCACAGCTCTAGTTGTCTCCTCTGGGAGGGGCCCAGGAAGGGCCTGGATGCTCCTGCAAAGGACGCTTCTGCAAAGGATGCAGAAAAGCATTCCTCAAACTTTCATGTGCAGACAGGTGCCCTGGGGATTCTGATTCAGTTGGTCTGGGTGGGGCCTGAGATGCTGCATTGATAGCAAGTCCCTGGTGCAGCTGATGCTGCTGGTGCCACGGATCCTACTTTGTGTTGTGGAAGTGAAGTCAGTTGTATTCTACAAAGGCTGCTGATCAACAAGTACCACACACAATGGAAGAGAACAAGTGCCTGCCGATGGAAGCCATGCCTGTGATACCTGGCACATGCAGTTTCCTTCTGGCGCAGGAGTTGTGGTCAAGGACCTTGGTCAGACTCTTGTCTTTTAAAAAGATCATCCCTGCTTTCATGTGTGCAAAAGGAAAGCCACGTGTGTAGAGCACTCGGTGATTCTGTGTTTTGTATTCAAAACCACAAACACTAATAAGAAAACAATAGGAGAAACCTGTTAGGTATAATATCCAATTATAATTATTTTTACTCCAAAAAGCACATCAAATAAATAATGCAGTTTATGTTACTTCTAGAAAATGCGGCAGCGTTAGTTAATTTACATAAATTATACAACTCATTATCTTTGTTTATAAAAAGACTTAGCAATATTTTGGCTTATGGATCTGAAAGGGGAAAAAATATCGCAGACTTCAGTTCAGTGTAATTTTCCTTTCCTGCACGGCCACCTTTTTATTTATTTACAGAAAGAGCATCTGTTTGACAGATCCCCTTAGGAGTACTGCCCTTTCCTTTTGATGAATAGAATGCCTTAAGTTTGACTTTTGTTTATAAAAAGCCAAATAAATACAAGTGAATTAATCCAAGCAGCAAGAGAATGCTCTGAGTAGCAGTCGCGGCTTCCTTGGCTGACACCAGGGCCTGCAGGGGTGGGGAGGGAGCCTCAGGGGCCAGGGAGCCGGGTTTTTCTGGCCTCGTGCTTGTCTTTTCTGCTGCAGAACTTCTCAGGCAGCCTCGAGTTAGATGTGCCAGTGCCACCCACTCAGGGTCAGCTCCTGAGCAGGTGAACTGTTCCTGCGCTGTCCCAGCCAGCAGCCATGAGCCACATGTGGTGGTGAGTCCTGGAAATGTGGCTCATCCAAGTGCCATGAGTGTGAGACCCACACAGCTTTTCAAAGACCTAGCATGAAAAGAAGCCACTTTTTATTATTTTAGCTTTTTAATTTTTTTTTTTATTTGAGACAGAGTCTCATCTCACTCTGTCTCCGAGGTTAGAATGTAGTAGCACTATCTCAGCTCACTGCAACCTCTGCTTCCCGGGTTCAAGTGATTCTCCTGCCTCAGCCTCTTAAGTAACTGGGATTACAGGCACCTGCCACTATGCCTGGCTAATTTTTGTATTTTTAGTAAAGACAGGGTTTCGCCATGTTGGCCAGGCTGGTCTCGAACTCCTGACCTCAAGTGATCTGCCCACCTTGGCCTCCTAAAGTGCTGGGATTACAGGTGTGAGCCACTGCACCTGGCCAAAAAGAAGCCACTTTAAATAACCCATTAATATTTTTGTGGATTACATGTTGAAATAATAGATAAAATATATTATTAAAATTCATTTTTCCTGTTTCCATTTTACTTCTCTACTGTTGCTACTAGCAAAGTTTAAACATGGCTTTATTATATTTCCACTGGACAGCCCTGGGCCTGCCCTAGACTAACAGAGAGGCTGGAGACCTAGATTACTCTTAATCACACCCATTACCAAGACTCTGATTCTTCCACTGGTCCTGCGTCAGGCTCTGACTCATAATGAGAAACAGGATACGGCTCAGTGACAAGGGTAGGGCTTGTTTGATGGTTTGCTTGGAGACTTGAAAGGCACCTGGGAGAACAACATAGTGTAAGAAAGTGGAGCTCTCTTCCCTTGACAGTACTTGGCTGTTGCTTCTAGCTTAAATATTAAAGTCTCTGCTGGTGGATGGAGGAGCCCAGCTCCCAGGTTGTTTCAAAGTGGAAACTGGTGAAGCCTAAATTTGCCTTCATTGCTTATGCAGATCCAGTAGATTGGCAAGAGAACAAGCCTGCCCCGAGGCAGGTCTGCAGAGCGGGGGCGTGCTTGGCAGAGGAGGGAACAAGGAACATGGTTCAGTTGCGGCCAGACCTAGGCCTGGCCATGTGCCAGGGTGCCTGGACTTTGGACACCGGTGTGTTCAGAGTGTGATCTGATACTAGCAGGACTTCTGGCTGGGAGCGCCACTGTGGGTCCACCACAGGGACGGCCTGGGACCCCAGAGCCCTTTCCCTCATAAGACTTGGGAGTTAGAGACAAAGGGATGTCTGCCATTTATCAGTTGATGGTTAATAATTTAATTCTTCCCTGCATCCATTTATTGAAGAAACATAAGTCCACGATGTGCCACACTTTGCTAGGCACTGGGGATACAGTAATGCACAAAACAGATAGGTTCTTCACCCTCTCGAAGCTCCCAACTTGTGGGAGCGGGGAAGAAACAGACAGGACAGAGGAGTGCAAGAAGTCCCTTAGGAGCCCTGAGAGAAGGACTAGAGGACAGTGTGCAATGCATATGCCTAGATGACAAGTAGTGGCCAGGCACTGGCCCTTGGTGACGGAGGAGGCAGGAACATTTGGCCTGTGACTAAGGGAGGAAAGGCCATTGCTGCAAAGAGCTGGGCAGGGCTTTCTTGGGGACAGGACAGTGGATGCCCTAAGGCTGGAAGGACCTTGGTTGCTCTACTGCCAGAAAGGGATCTGTGGGCCTGGAGAGCAGTGGACAAGGAGGGGGCGCGGTGGAGGGGCCAGGACCCAGGTGGCACAGCAGGATCAGCTGTGGTATAGATCTTGGATTCTGTTCTAAGTGTCATGAGAAGCCACTGATGGGATCGTAGCAGGGGTCTGGAAGGCAGTGGGGGAGGTTCTGGACAGGTAACTTTGCTTTATGCTGAGTGATGCTGGATATGTCCCTTAGACCCTCTGGCTGTTGGCTTCTTCATCTATGGAGTGGAAAGGCTAAGAGAGTGGAAGAGAGGTGGGCCAGAATGTTCTCCGAGGTTCCTTCCTATTTAAAAGTGCCATGATTTGGAGAGATCCCAGTTTTTTTCCCTTCTTGGAGTAGAGTTACCTTTATGGCTTCTGGGATGGATTTTAGATGGCTTCACAGTGCCAGCATTTCTGTGAAGTCATCAATTCATATCCATGAGTTCTTTGGCTTCATAAGATAAAAGAAGACAGAATGCACAGGACTGTGTTGGAATTGCCATGGAGTGCCTAGGTTTTCACTCAGCAGTTCCATGGTGAGACCTGTGCATTGGTAAAGTTTTAGGAGCTTTCTGGGTCAATGATTCTGCACATCAGCAGGATTGATCCCCTGGAGTTTGTGCCTCTATTAGGGGACTAAGAGGGCCCCTGTAGCCAGAGGCTCCAGAGGCTCTCTGTAGCAGTGTGCCAGATGCCTGTGACATACTCCATATTTAACTGTTCAGACCTACCAGCAGGCCAAGGGTTTTAGTTCAGAGATTCTGAGCACCTCACTTTGCAGCTGGGGAATCTGATGGAGCTCACAGAATAAACAAATCTGTGGTAGGCTGAGGGGCCCTGTGATGGGCTTTTGTCACATGCTGATGAGTCATTTGCTGAGATGGCAAAGGGATTGGTTGTCATGAGGGCTGCTAGTGAACATTGGGATCTTGGGGCCCTGACACAGCTGGTGAGCAACATTCTGATGCATGTTCCCCTGCCCCTCTCAGTGAGGAAGCCAGCTGAGCATCTGCACAAAGCTTAAGAACCCAAGGGGTAGAGCTAAGTGCTAATCTGACTCCCTCTTGGACACCTATAAAAATGTCCAGAGGCTTCCAATGGCCATGGCAAAGTAACTGGTAGTGAACTTATCATCCCACCCAAACCAACTAGAACACTGGACACAATATAGGAAACAACTATTGTTGGATAATGGACAGCAGGCAGGAAGGACTGTAATATCTAAGAGGAGGAAATAAACAAGCTCTGGCTTTCTGGCTGGAGGCATTTTCCAGACAGTGCATGGGGGTGAGTGGCAACCAGGCAGAGTACAGCAGTGTAGCAAAGTTGAGGAGGTGACAACTAGAGTTTGGGGAGGCTGAGACAAATGGAATCCATAGGGTAGAGTGCTGAAGAGTACAGAGGAGAAGGGGGGGTCAGCAGAGAAAGAGGTCCAGAAATCTGGATAGAAGATGTCCTTGATTCTTTGGCTAAATACTAAGCTGTGTATGCATCATGAAACTGTATGAGGTTGGTCAAAAGACAACCACTGTGGGCCAGAAGCTAAAACTTCTCAGGGTTCACACAGAACTGGGAACCACTGTGAGCCAGAAGCTAAGACTTCTCAGAGCTCACCCAGAACTGGCAGATGTTCAAGTTCAAACTAGTCGGTGTGAAGAGATGCTAATGAACACCTGGGTATTCCACAGAGACCCCAGAATGATCACATCTTAATAATGGAGCTAAACTCTCCCTGGAGTGAAGACAACTCCAGACCTACCCTAACAAAGCGTATAAACAAATCAAAATGAGCAAGCTGATCTGCAAATAATGCAAGTGCCTAACAAAGCTAAATCCAAAATTCTTTAAAGTAAGACAACGAAATCCACACTCAACAGTATATCATTCACAATGCCCTGCATTCATTACTAAACATATAAGGAAACAGGAAAATATGACCTATATCCAGGAGAGAAATCAGCCAGTAGAAAGAGGACCCAAAATAACATAGATATGGAATTAAAAGACAAGAGCTTCAAATAATCTATTATAAATATCCTCAGCCATTTAAAGGAAAAGAAGAACAGAGTGAGGTGAGAACCATAATATATAAGAAGAACCAAAGAGAATTCTTTGAATTGGACAATACAATATCTAAAGTGAAAATGTCACCAGATGAGTTATCTATTGATATGTAACAAATAACCACAAATGTATCAGCTTAAAACAACACACATTTATGATCTCACAGTTTCTGAGGGTCAGGAATCCAGACATGGCTTGACTGAGTCCTCTGCATCAGGGCCTCTCACAAGGCTGAAATCAAGGTGTGAGCCAGGGCTGAGGTCTCATCTGAAGGCTTGACTGAGGAGGACCTGCTGCTAAGCATTCTTGATTGTTTTACAAAATCAGTTCCTTGACAGATGTTGGATCAAGGGCTTCAGTTCTTAGCTGACTGTTGGGCACAGGCCACCTTTGTTACCTTGCTATATGGACCTCCAATATGGCAGGTTGCTTCATCAAAGAGTGCAAGCCAGAAAGATAATAGAGAAAGTTTGCTAGCAATATAGAAGTCACAGTTTTTTGTAACCTTATTACAGAAGTGACATCTCATCATCTTTGATGTATCCCATGAGTTGGAAGCCAGTTATCAATATGCCCAGAATCAACAGGTTGAGATTACACAAGGGATTGAATACCAGGCAGTAGATTTCATTTGGGGTCATTTTAGAGTCTGGTTATCGCAATGGGATTAATACCAGATTAGACACAGTGGAAACAAAAGATAAGTGAACCTGAAGATAAAGCAACAGGAACTGCTTAAACTGAAGCACTCAGAGAAGAAAGGTAGGGGGAAAAATAATAGAGTGTGGTAGAGTATCAGAGAACTAGAGAGCAACATCAAATGATCTAACAGACATATAATTGGAGGCCCAGACCATGAGGAGTGGGTGGCAGAAAAATAGTTGAAGAACAGGTGGTCAAGACTTTTCCAAATGTGATGAAACTAAAGAGTCACAGATCCTAGAAGCAGGAGAAATACAAAGAAGAGAACATCAAGAAATATAATCAAGTTTGCTAAAAACCAGCAACAAAGAGGAAATCTTTTAATTAGGCAGAGAAAAACACATTACAAAGATAAGAATTACCACTGATTTCTCATTACAAACATTGCAAGCTGGAAGACAATGCAACATCTTTAAATTGCTAAAAGGAAAAACCTAGAATTCTATATTCAGTGTGCATATTCTTCAAGAGTGAAGGTAAAATAAAGACATTTTTAGACCAAAAAAAGTGTTGCTAGCAGATCCATACTACAAGATATATTTGCTAGCAGATCTATACTACAGGATTTATATATATACACATATATATACATATATACATATATATACACATATATACATACACACACACACACACACACACACACACACATATATATATATATATATTTTTTTTTTTTTTTCTTGTGAGATGGAGTTTCACTCTTGTTACCCAGGTTGGAATGCAATGGTGTGATCTCGGCTCACTGCAACCTCTGCCTCCCAGGTTCAAGCGATTCTCCTGCCTCACCCTCCCGAGTAGCTGGGATTACAGGCACCCACCACCACGCCTGGCTAATTTTTTGTATTTTTAGTAGAGAGGGGGTTTCATCAAGTTGGCCAGGCTAGTCTCAAACTCCTGACCTCAGGTGATCCGCCTGCCTTGGCCTCCCAAAGTACTGGGATTATAGGCATGAGCCACTGTGCCTGGCCTACAAGATATATTAAAGGAAGTTCTTCAGGCTGATAGAAAATGTTACAGGATGAAAATTCCTATTTACATAAAGGAACGAGGAGCACTAGAAATGGTAAATATGGCTGGACACAGTTATGTGCTCTTGTAATCACAGATACTTGGGAGGCTGAGGGAGGAGGATTGTTTGAGTCCAAAAGTGTGAGGACAGCCTGAACAACATAGTAAGACCCTGTCTCAAAAACAATGGTAAATGTGTAAGTAAATATAAGATACTTTTATTCTTGGTTTAAAAACACTTTCTTGAAAATATAATTGGCCAAACACTTATGGGAAAGTTATAGCTCTTAATGCCTATATCAAAGAAGAACACAGATCTTAAACAATAACCTAACTTTATATGCAAGAAGTTAGAAAAAGAAAATGAAACCCAAAATCATCCAGGGGAAAGTATTATGGACTGGATGTTTGCATATCCCCCCAATTTTTACATGCTGAATACATAAGCCCCAGTGTGGCTGTGTTTGGAGATGGGGCCTCTAAGGAAGTAATTATGGTTAAATGAGGTCATAGGGATGTACCCTTGATCCAATATGATTAGTATTCATTTAAGAAGAGACACCAGAGAGCTCACTCTCTCTGTGAGCACAGACCGAGGAAAGAGGAAAGGCCATGTGAGGATGTAACAAGAAGCTCGCCACCTACAAGCCGGGAAGAAAACTCTCATCAGAAACAAATTTGCTGGCATCTTGATCATGGACTCCTAGACTCCAGAACTATGATAAAATAAACTTGTGTTGCTTAAGGCATGCAAGATGTGGCATTATGTTATAGCGTCCTGAGCAGACAACTATAGAAGGAAGTAGTAAAGATTCGAGTGGAAATAAATGAAATTGAGAATGGAAAACAATAGAGAAAATCAATGAAACCAGAAGTTGATACTCTCAAATATCAACAAAACTGGTAAACTGTTAATTACACTGAGAAAAGAGATAGATAGATAGATAGATAGATAGATAGATAGATAGATAGATAGATACAATACCCCCAAAACTGAGAAAAGAGCTTAAAAAAAAGATCAGTAGATAGATAATATGAGACCCCAAAAAGGGAGAAAAGAGCTAAAAAAGAGATCAATAGATAGACAGATAGATGGATAGACAGACAAATAAAAGACCCAGGTGACTAAAATCAGGAATGAAAGGGAGAACATCACTACTGACCTTCTAGAATAAAAGGATTATAAAAAGAATACTATGAACAGCAGTATGCCATCAAATTAGATAACTTAGATGAACAAAATCCTAGAAAGATGAAATGACTGCAGTTTACTCAAGAAGAAACAGAGAATCCGAATAGACCAAAAACAGAGATATTAAATTTAAAATTTTCTGACAAAGAAAAACCAAGGGTCATATGAATTCCCTGGTGAATTCTACCAAACATTTAAAGAATAATAACACAAAATATTCCAGAAAATAGAAGAGGAGGGAACATTTCAATTATATCTATATACATGAGCAATAAACAATTTGAAAATCAAATTAAGAAAACAATTGCAGTTATAAATAATAGCATCAAGAAGAATATAATATTTAGGGATACATTTTTAAAATGAAGTTTAAGACTTGTAAATGGAAAACTACAGAAATATTCTTGAAAGAAGTTAAAGAAGATCTAAATAAATGAAAAGACATCTCATGTTGTTGGATCACAACACTTAATATTGTTCAGATGGCAGTACTCCCCAAATTGATCTACAGATTCAACGTAATCTTTATCAAACTATCATCTGGCTTTTTAAAAGAAATTGACAAGCTGAACCTAAAATTTATATGGAAATACAAGGGACCTGGAATAGTTAAAATCTTTAACAGAAGAACAAAGTTGGAGAACTAAAAATTCTCAATTTCAAAACTTACTGTAAAGCTATGGTAATCAAGTCAGTGAGGTATTGGCATAAGAATAGACGTATAAATCAATGGAATAAAATTGAGAGTCCAGGAGTAAGTCTTAGCATTTATGGTCAATTGATTTTCAACAAAGGACCAAGACAATTTAATCATGATAGAATAGTCTTTTCAGAAAGGTTCTGGGGCAACTGGATAAACACATGCAAAAAAAAAAAAAAAAAAAAAAAAGAAAAGAAAAGAAAAGAAATTGGACCCCTGCCTCATACCATACAGAAAAAATAATTCAAAGTAGATTATAGACCTAAATGTTAAGAGCTGAAACTATAAAAGTCTTAGAAGATAACATGGGAATAAATCTAGTGACTTTAGGTTGAGAAATGATTTCAATGTTTAACATTCTGAGGAATTCTTAGAACTTAACAATTAAAAGAAAAATAATAGAAATGGACACATAATTTGAATAGATATTTCCCCAAAGAAGATATATGAATAGCCAATTAACACACGAAAATATATTTAACAGCATCATTAATCATCAGAGAAGTGAAAACCACAACAAGATACCACTTCTTACCCACTAGGATGGCTATAACAAAAAAAGAGAGATAATAGTAAGTGTTCACACACGTGGAGAAATTGGAACCCTCACACACTGCTGATGGTGATCCAAAATGCTGGTGCTGCTGTGGAAAACATTCTGGCAGTTCCTCAGAATGTTAAACATTGAGTTACCAGAAGACCCAGCAATTTCACTCATAGATATGTACCCAAGAGAAATAAAAGCATATTCACAGAAAAACTTATACCATTATTAATCATAGCAACAAGTCAAAACAACTCAAATGTCCACCGACTAATAAACAAAATGTAGTCTATCCATACAATGAAATATTACTTGGCAATAAAAAGGAATGAGGCACTGATAACATGCCACAACGTGGATGAACTTCTAAACGTTATTCTAAGTGAAAGAGGCCAGTCACAAAAGACCATATATTATGTGATACCCTTTATATGAAATGCCCAGAATAGGGCAACCTATAGAGACAGAAAGCAGATTAATAATTGCCTAAGGCTGGAGGTGTGTGTGTCAGGTAGGGATGAGGGGTGACTGCTAATGAGTATTAGGTTTCTTTTTGGGGTGATGAAAATGCTCCAAAATTAGCTTATGGTGACAGTTTCACAAGGCTGTAAAATACTAAAAGCATTGAAGTACACTTCAAAGAAGTGACGTTTATGGTGTATAAATTATAGCTCAAAAATATGTTTAAAATAAGATAATTGATTGTCTAAAACATAAGTAATAACATTATATAGAAGCAAAGTGTGTGACAACAATGATACAAAGGAAAGCAGAGGGAAGTGGAAGTATATTGTTGAAAGATTCTTACATTTTTGGTGAAGTGCTCTAATATTTGTTGAAGGTAGAATACTATGATTGAAGATATATATTGCAAATCCTAGAGCAAACTACTAAAAATGAAGAGATATAGGAATAAGCCAATAGTGGATATAAAATGAAAGACTCAAAAATATTCAAATTAATGAAGTCAGGAAAGAGGAATATGAAACAGGACAAGTAGAAAACAGTGTTAGATGGTAGAGATAAACCCAGCCATATACATAATTGCATCAACTGTAAATGGCTTAAGCATTCCAATTAAAAGCTAGAGAGTATCAGACTGGACAAAAAAACCATAATACTCAATGACATGCTTTCTACAAGAAACACTTTAATAATAAAGGCACAAATGGGTTAGAAGTAAAAAGATGGGAAAAAATAGAGTGTGCAAATACTAACCATAAGAAAACTAAAGTGAATATATGATCAAGCAGAGTAGACTTCAGGACAAGAACTATTACTCAAGATAAAGAGAGATATTTTATAATGATAAGAGGGTCAGTCCGTTAGGAAAACATGACCGTCCTGTCTATGCACCTAATTACACAGCTTCAAAATACATGCCAAAGTGACAGAATTGAAAGGAAGAATGGATAAATTTCACAATTGTAGTGGGAGATTCTTTTCTCAGTGATGCATAGGAGACAGGAAATCAGTAAGGACATTGAAAACTTGGATAACACTATCAAACAACTCGATCTAATTGACATTTTTGAAATAAATACCCAACAGTGGCAGAATATACATTCTTTTCTTACACATAGAACATTTATTAATATAAACTATATACTGTGTCATAAAACAAATCTCATTACATTTAAAAAGATTACTGCTTCTCTGACAGTAACTGAATTAATTTAGGATTCAATAGCAGAATAAATATCTGAAAAATTCCCAAATATGTGGAAATTACACAACATACTGCTTAAGGTAAAAGAAGAAATATTATAAAGGAAACTAGAAAATATTGGCTGAGCGTGGTGGCTCATGGATGTAATCTCAGCACTTTGGGAGGCCAAAGCGGGCAAATCACTTGAGGTCAGGAGTTCGAGACCAGCCTGGCCAACATGGTGAAACCCCATCTCTACTAAGAATACAAAGATTAGCTGGGCATGGTGGTGGGTGCCTGTAATCCCAGCTACTTGTGAGGCTGAGACAGGAGAATTGCTCGAACCCAGGAGGCGGAGGTTGCAGTGAGCCGAGATCGCAACACTGCACTCCTGCCTGGGCAGGGAGACAGAGTGAGATTCCATCTCAAAAAAAAAAAAAAAAAGAAGAAAGAAAATATTTTGAAATGAATGAAAATTAAAACCCCACATAGAAAATGTATGGAGTACAGGGAAAGCAGATATTAGAAGGAAATTTATAGTTTGAAGTGCTTACACTATATTTACATTAAAATCAGTAAATGTAATTGATATTAACAAAGGTTTAAAATGTGACCTAAACTTTTACATGTAGAAGCTAGAGAAAGAAGAACCAATTAAAACCAAAATAAGTAAGGAAAAAGGTAATATTAAAATAAGAATAAAATAAATGAAATAGTAAGTAGACAAACAATAGAAAACATTAATAAAACAAAAAGCTATCTCTCTTCAAAGATCAATAAGTTGAAAAATTATAGCTAGCTTGATTAAGAAACAGAGAAATATACAAATTATTAATATGAGTAAAAAGGATGCATCACTACAGATGCTATACACATTAAAGGTAACCTAAGAGGTGTCAGAAAAGGATATCATGAAAATTTTATGGAAATAAATTTGGCAACTTCAATGAAATGGACAAATTTCTTAAAAGATAAAAATTCTTAAAACTGACACAAAATGGAAAATCTGAGTAGCTCTATATTTATTAAATTAAGTTTGTAATTTAAAATCTTTCCCCAAAAAGAAACCTCCTTCATGGTGAATTTGATTTAAAAAAATTTAAGGCAAGAATAATGTTAGGCTTACCAAACATTTTCAGAAAATATAGGATGATAGAACACTTGTCAGGTCATTTTATGACACCAGGATATCTGATACCAAAACCAGGTAAAGACGTTACAAGAAAACTACAGACCAATATCTCTCATGAACATAGATGTAAAAATCCATAACAAGATATTAGCAAATGGAATGCAGCTATAAGTAAAAAGGATAATACACCACGATTAATTATGTTGATTGAAGGTGTGCAAAGTTGGTTTAACATGTGCTAATCAATGTAATTAATTGTATTAACAGAACAAAGAATATTGACCATATAATCATCTCAACAGATGAAGAAAAAGATATAATTCCATACCCATTCATGATTAAAAAAAAAAACCTTTCAGCAAACTAGATATAGGAGAGAATTTCCTCAATCCAATAAAGGAAATCTACAGAAAGCCTACACCTGATCATATATATATATATATATATATATATTTTTTTTTTTTTTTTTTCTTTTTGAGACAGAATCTTGCTCTGTCACCCAGGCTGGAGTGCAATGGTGTGACGTCGCCTCACTGCAACCTCCGCCTCCTGGGTTCAAGCAATTCTCCTGCCTCTAGCCTCTTGAGTAGCTGTGACTACAGGCGCCCGCCACCATGCCTGGCTAATTTTTGTATTTTTAGTAGAGGAAGGATTTCACCATGTTAGCCAGGATGGTCTCAATCTCCTGACCTCGTGATCCGCTTGCCTCGGCCTCCCAAAGTGCTGGGATTACAGGTGTGAGTCACCGTGCCCAGGCACCTGATCATATTTAATAGCATATTCTTGTACTTCCTTCTAAGACTGGGAAATCATCAATGTGTCCACTTTCACTGCTTCTATTCAATATTCTACCGGAGGTCCTAGGAAGTTGAATAAGGCCAGGAAAAGAAATAAAAGGCATACAGATGGAAAAGAAAGGAGTGAAATTCTTTTTATTTGCAGACAACATGATCATGTGCATAGAAAGTGTTAAAGAATCTAATAAAAATTACTGGAACTAGTAGATGAATTTAGGAAGGCCAAAGGAACAAGGCCAATATTTTTTTGAAGTATATTTTCACATATTTGCAATGAACAATTGGAAAACAAAGATAAAGAAAAATACAGTGTAAAATAACATAAAATATTCCTTGAAATATTTTAGGATCAAATTAACAAAATATGTAAGACCTGTACCCTTAAAACTATAACACATTGCTGACAGAAATTAAAGAAGACTTAAATAAATGGAGTGATATACCATGTTCATGGATTGGAAGACTCAGTGTTGTTAAGATGGCAGTTCTCTCCAAGTTGATCTATAGCTTCAATGCTATCCCTGTCAAAATCTCATCAGACTTTTTTGTAGAAACTGGCAAGCTATTTTTAAAATTTACATATAGCATAAGAATGACCAAGAATAGCTAAAAGGATTTATAAAAATCAAAGTAAAGTTAAAAGAATTGCCCTACTTAATTTCAATACTTAATCTAAAGCTACAGTAATCAAGATGATGTGATACTGGTATCACTGAGTTGATATTCCAAAGAGGTAGATTTCAGGGTTCAGTTTCTGAACTTTCTGAGGAGCCAAACTAGAGAACTAAATTAATCTTTCCAAGCAATGGTGTGTGTGTGTGTGTGTGTGTGTGTGTGTGTGTGTAAGAGAGAGAGACTCATTCTCATTCTCATTCTCATTTTTGAATTAACTTACAGATAAACTGAGTTTCCCAAGAAGGCCCTCCATGGCAGACTATATATCATCTCCTCTCTATCTCCCCCTTCTCAGAATAAAAGCAGTTTTTTCTTCTTTATGGTTTGAAAATGAATTTATATTTATTGTAGAAGACTTCAGATAGTAGATAAAGACAAGGAAGACATTGATATAATGGCCTATGATGTCCATCTTTCTGAATGCTTTTCACATACACACACATACACACACTTTTTTTTTTTACTAAAATAAGGGGTTATATCATATATGCTATTTTGTATTTTTTTACTTGACTCCATGTTAAGTGATTTACATATTTTTAAATGACTCTGTGTGATATCATATACTTAACCTGTTCACTGACATTAGACATTGAGACTATTACTACTATTTGCCATTAGAAATCACACCGTGAGAAAGATCCTTGTATCTTTATTTATAGTAAGCCCTCAACAAATATTTATTTGAGGAGTTACTAGGTACCAGGCTTTTCATACCTGAACAATTGTTTTCTGGAGAATATTCCTAGAAATGAAATAGTAGTGCTGGGTTAAACGATATAACTGCCTAAAAATTAGCTCCATATGGCTACATCATCCTTCAGAAAGGCTGTGTTAATTTACAACTGCTCTAGGGATGTTTGAGAAGTCCTGCTGATTAACAAACATGCCCCACCCCACAGGACTTGGCGCAGGGTGGGGGCCACACCTGGTGCCTAGTGTTATTGACTTAGTGATGGGTGAAACCTTTTGTTCAGCAAAAGTCATTTGTACCACATCACCATGGGGATGTGTGTAAAGCATTCATCTAGCTCATGGAGGGGAACTGTACAGCTCACTCTAGTGTCTTCTCAGAGTTCTGTAGTAAGTTTTCCAACTTGCCATTCTGCCATTTATTAACTACAACAATAAAAAAATGGAAGCTACCCTTTACTACAATAAGTGCTTTTCAGGCATTATCTGAATTTTACAACAACTCTGCAATGTTTCATCGATGAGAAACTGAGGCTCAGAAAGTTTAAATAATTTCCAAGGTCACTTAGCTCGTCACAGATCCGTGGATCAAATGCCAGGGTCCAGCTCTTTCTCTAAGTCCAATCCTGAGTTTTTGACTTGAACTTGTCAGTCTTCGTTTTCTAATCATCCTGATTCTGGGGTTCATTTACTCTAGAAATATTTATTGAGCACCTTCCACAGGCCAGGAAGGGGAATAGTGGAGAGCTGCGTTGACAAGGTCTTGGCCCTCACGTAGCTTCCAGTCCGGTAGAGGAGATACAATTTAATCATCCAATTGTATGAAAAAACTGTGATTACTGCCATAGAGGAAAAGTGCAGGAACTCTAAGATCTGAGAGCAGGAGGATATGATCTAATCTGGGGATCAGAGAGAGAAGCTCTGAAGAAGTGATGTTTCACTGAGGTTGCCAGTTAATGGGGCTGGGGAGGGCCATGAGGAGAAGGGGAAGGCATTTGGTGGGGGAAAGGGATATGCAAAGGCCCTGGGGGCCTGAGGAAGTGTGTGCTGGAGGAAATGAAGGGTGGGCAGTTCAGGTACTTAGAGCGCAGAGCCTGAGGGGGCTGGTGAGCAGGTGGGCACTGAACCCCGCAGTGCACCTATGTGAAAGTGTTTGGAATGTAACCTGAGAACGATGGGGCCCATGAAAGCTTGTAAGCAGGGCAGTGTCATCCTCTGATTATTGTAAAAACATTGCCCACGCTTCTGCCAGGCACATCCACTGGGGTGGGAGGCAGATTCACATGGGAGGGATGACTTATTGGTTAAAATAGGTGGTCCCAGTTCTGTTTCTCTTCTCCTTATTTTTCTTTTCTGGTGAGTTTCTTCTCCCTGTGCTAACATTCTGGGCCTCAGGCTTAAGTAAGAGGCAGATGGCCCGGGTCTTGGAGCAGGGAAGCCAGGGGACCGGCAGCCCCAAAAGCTGTCAATGTCATAAGTCATCCTTGCAGAGCCGCAGCCACCTTCTCGGCAGAATGTCAAGCAGCTCGGTACGGGGAGCAGCTGCTCTGCATGGCTCTGAGCATTGTCAGAACACCATAAACAAAATGGTCAGGTTTCTGCAGAGATAACCTCCTGGCCTCCGACCCCATGCGGCACCGTGCCGAGGGCCAAGCTCTCTCTTCGGCATCTGTTTTTGGTACTTCCAAAGCCCACAGTGTGGGGCTTTGGGACGTTTTCAGCCTGAATGCTAAAATGCCTGGAATCAAGGCAAGAGGAGGACTTTGAGAGTTGGCTTCCCTGTGTCTGTTCCCTGGAATGAGAAGAAGCCTGAGCTACAGCCTCAGGTTACTGCTGGTGGTCCCTCTAGACCAAAAAAAAAGAACTTGCCAAGAGAGACCCTTAGTATCCAGAGTCCCCTCCTCTCCTGGGGTTGGAAGGGAGAGCAGGAAGAGGGAGTGGCCTCTATGCCAGCCAGGTCCAGAGCGGGAGGGAGTGAATTGCACCAGGGAAGGAGCCTGCTCGTTGCTGGTAGAACTTGCAGCATCCAGACAGACCTCTCAGCCCTCTTTGGATGCCTTTATCCTTGCAAATGTCAGAGATGCTGGCTTTGCAAAAACCAAAAACCAAAACCCAGTAACCAGTCTTCCCAGCCTGATGTGTGTCTGTGCCCTTTGCCCACCTGGGCACTGAGGCACCAAGGCACCTGGCCTCACACTCATTTCCTTTGCCCCATCTGGCTCGCCAGTCAGCGAGAAGCCCTCTGGTTTTCTGAATTGCGCCCACCAGGGAAGGAACACTGAAGATTTCATCTAGTCAGCTTTCCCTTGGCTCATTTGAGGAAGTGCTAGAATGCTTCCCAAGCTCCCTGCTTATAGGGTAAGACCCTCCTGTCCCAAGTATGACATCCCTGGGGTTAGTAAAAGTCTATGACCTTAAGAAGAGGTTTCTGCAGAAGCAGCTTGGCTCTGGCTGTGCACTGCTGAGTGTAATGGTGGCAGGATGCTAAGGGTGGGCCCAGGGTGCCACGTGGATGTCAGAAAGAGCAACCAAGGGCAAGCCCTTCTTGGAGAGGCAGCATTATAATTGCCATGTGGCACCGGTTTGCAGTCACTGTTCAGGTAATTGCTTTGTAATTGACTGCATCACCTTCTTCCTGTTTAATAAATAGCACAAATGAAACCAACCCGCCAGTGGTGGGATTGTAATTCAAATTCCATTGACTATAGTTGCGCATTTTTCATTTAGCATGTAAAGGCAGTTTCTATGTAAATTATTTCAAAAGGTTCTCCATGGACTAATGACATTAGCGTCTGGAAGGATAGGAATTGTCATAGTAATTGATAGGACAATGGCGTGGTGCATCATGGAGAAAGAAATTGGCGCTGTAACTTGTACACTTTTTAAAAATAAAGCCAAATTAGGAGAGAACTGCTGAAAAACAAAAACACATATTTCATAAACAAGAATCCAAAATGTGACACATTTGTTTTGACTTAAAGAGCCAAATTATTTACAAACACAGAATTAATTATTCCATTGATGAACTTTCTGCAGAAAAATTATGAGCACTGGCAAATATGGACATATTCTCTTTTTATTCACCCAACCAGCCACTTTACCTAAACAAAGGGTACCTCTATGTCTAGTTCCCCTACTGGCAGCAGAAATTATATTAAAGACATTCGTTCAGTTTGAAAAACACAGACTTGTAACTTTTTTTCTTTATAACTGGCAGAATATTAATTCTGCAAACCAATTCAAGAATCTCTTTGAAATGTGGCCTTTTGGGTTTCAAGGTTGTAGGTATATATTTAATAAATTGAGTTGCTTTACAGTTAATATGTCAAAGGCCTGGTCTGCCACATGGAGAAAATAAAAGTTGTAGAAACAAGAGTAAAACCTTATTACCAGGTAGGTAGATGTCCTGAAAAATTGGATTTCATCCCCTTGAATTTGAATCTCTTGTAAATTAAATATTCAGGGAAAGAGAAGTCAAAGCAGCAAAGTAGGAAAACAATCAAAACTTGAAAACGAGCATGTTCTTAAATGAAAGAATTAATCATGCTAAATTAGAAAAAGTATTAAAATAGTTTTAGATTAATGCAGACTGTGAGTATCAATATAATTGCAGCAGCTTAATTTGGCATAAAAAGCATCTAATGAAATATTTTAATATCACTGTCCATTCAATTTACCAGCTTGAATTTCACGGGGTATTAAGTGGTTTTTAAATTATCATTGCAAAATTTTCCAAATCCATGTGGATTTTTTTTGTTGTTGTTTATGGAAGGGGAAAGAAATTGTGTGTGTGTGTGTGTGTGTGTGTGTGTGTGTGTGTGTGTGTGTATGATTAATGAGTCTAAATCCAAATTTCTACTTTGTGGAACGGGTAGAAACCAACCCCCTGTTCTTTCCCATTGTGCCAGAAATCCATGTTCCTCCGCTTCTTGGACCTCGGCCACCCAGGGCCAGGGCTTTCTGTGTCATCCTGAAGAATGCACAGCTGCTCCCAAGGAGAGTCAAAGAGCAGAGAGGAGCCTTAGCAGCTATTTAGTTCAGCCCTTTATTTTGCAATGAGGGAGATGATCACTCCACCTTCTTATAGAAAGAGAGCTTTAGGGAGCCTCATTTCTTCTGGATTTTCTGACTCATAGACTATATTAAAAATACCTCAGTACACTAGAGAGGAACTCCAAATGGCAATTGTCGAAGCACGCTTGCCCAGGGATCCTGCAGGCCCAACCACCTGTGTCGCCTGACATGGCATTTTTCTGGTTTTCCAGTAGCTCCAAGACTGGGTTCTTCCATGCACCCCATCTGCTCTTGCCCCTCTGCCCAAGTCCAGCCTTCTCTCTCCTCCAAAAGTCTCTTTCTCATTGCCTGTAGCTCTCACCTCTCTGATAACTGCCCCCAGATCTGGAAGAGCAGAATCACCAGGCCAGCAGGGACCAGCGACTGCCAGTTTACTCAACTGGACGGGTGGTTTCTATTCTTCATCTCAGCTGAATTTCTGGGTAGCATTTGATGACAGTTCATTTCAGCCTCTTTCCTGAAACTCCTTTTCTAGGCTTCCTTGACCTAGAAATCTGAGTCTTGGTGACCTCTCTGGCCACTCCTTCTGGATCTAAAGCTCTAGAAGGACTCCACGTGAAGGCTGAGTAAAGAAGGATATGCCAGAAAGGAGAGTTGGGGCTGCCCTCCCTCAGGGAGCCTGCAGTGAGGGAGGGAAATAGATTGGGCAGGGGGTGGCAGTGGGATAGAGGTGACTGTATTTACACAACACTGGGGGACAGAGGGATATGGGTTTGTTGCCTATGGCCATCAGGAACAATGATAGTTTTCAAACAGGAAAGCTGCAGTCCTAACACCCTTGTGTCTCGTGACATAGCCTTTTTCTGGTTTTCCAGTAGCACCAAGACAGGGAGCTCCAAGACAAGGACAATATGACAAAATGTCCGCAAGATTCATGTAGGATGATGCTCATTACAGCAGTATTGATAATAGTGGGAATTTGGAACAACCTAACTCTTCAATGATAAGGAACAAGTTAAATAAATCATGGTACTCTGCAAACATTTGTTGAATAAATAATTATATAAAAGAGCATAAAGAAGAGTAAATACGAAAAAAAATCTCTAACCTCACCGCTGCAGGCAAGGATTTTGTGTATTCTCACCCTTCTCCAACCTCCACCAAGATGCACTTTACACACTGCCACCCCAACTACAGGAGACACCCCACCTGTGCTTTTCCACATAATATTATGTTGTGCATGGTTTCTCATGTCCTTGCATATGCTTTGTGATCCCATCTTTGAATGGATGTATATTGTTCTGTGGTCAGCCCTCCTCAAGTTTTGGGCAAAACTGTCTTCCTTTCCCGCTCTCTACTTTCTCCGAGGTTCCAGCTCATCCATACCTACAGCTCCAGTGGTACTTGCACACAGGTGACTCACACTGCTCTATTTCTGTCCCAGTCCTCTTCTCTGGGCTCCAGATAGGAGAGTCAACCACCCATCCCATGGTGGATGTCAAATGTTCACTACTTGACGTCTCCCCTTAGACTCTTTGGACTCCCCTAAGTCCAAACCCCAAGTCATGATCTTCATCTTCAAATATCTTCATTTCATGAAAGGAAGCACCATTCATTCAGTTGTGCAAGTCATAAGGCTGGTAGTATTTCCTGATACCTTCTTAGCCCTCTATCACCCCCTTGTCCAAATAAACTCCATTCCCTTTTCCTCTGGGAGCTGTAAAATCCAACCTTTTCCTCTATCCATCTCCTTGGTCATCATAGCAGCCCAAGCTACCACCACCAGGACATCATCTTTCTACATGGACTGCTTGCCCCAGCCTGTTCTCCATGCTGCAGCTGAGGGGTCTTTCCACAGTGCAGACCCCATCAGTCCCTGCTCCGTTCTTAGGGTGAGATTTGTGGCTCTCTGGTTAGGAACTAGGCATCTGGAGCCACTTATCCAAGTTGAGTCCCAGTTCCTCTTCCTCTCCCTACCTGTGGGGCTTGCCCCTGTGCTCCCGTTTTCTCATCTATGAGGATTAGTGAGTCAATCACAGCCACTGTCCTTAGATCAGCCCTGCCACATAGAAATGCTGTTTCGGTATTTGCTGCTGTTCTTCTTCTTCTTCTTCTTCTTCTTCTTCTTCTTCTTCTTCTTCTTCTTCTTATTATTATTATTATTATTATTATTATTATTATTATTATTTCTGAGAAGGAGTCTTGCTCTGTCACCCAGGCTGGAGTGCAGTGGCGTAATCTTGGCTCACTGCAACCTTTGCCTCCCGGGTTCAAGCAATTCTCCTGCCTCAGCCTCCCCAGTAGCTGAGACTACAGGCCCGTGCCACCAGGCCCAGCTAATTTTTGTATTTTTAGTAGAGATGGGGTTTCGCCATGTTAGCCAGGCTGGTCTTGAACTCCTGACCTCGTGATCTGCCCGCCTTGGCCTCCCAAAGTGCTGGGATTACAGGCGTGAGCCACCACGTCCAGGCTTGCTGCTTTTATTTTGCTATTGTTATCTGTAAAATAGAGACTGTAGTGAGAAACACATGGGTTAATATGGGCAGAATGCTCACAAGTGTGCTAACTGCAGAGTAAGTCCTTCATGCGACGTTTGCTGTGGCTCCTGGCATTCCAGCCTCTCCTGGGCCGTGGGCTTCTTCCTTCCCTGTGCTTAACTGGATCTGCAGTTCTTGTGCTCGCCACATGCCCACCCACCACAAGGCCTTTGCACGTGTTCTGCTCCTGCCTGGAACACTTTCCTCGCTTTACCTCCTTCTTGCACTCTTCAGGTCGTAACTCAACAACTTCCTGACCTCACTGATGGGGCCACTTCTCCCTGGTGGGGCCACTTCTCCCTGGTGTCTGGTACTCCTTCCTAGAGAATCCACAGAACTCGTGCAAGGAAGGATAGCCCAGTGGAGGGAGCCCTCCGCTTTCCAGCTCCATATGTGGGGACAAGACACAACTCAAGCAGCCCTCTGGGAAACCCATTGGTTTCCAAGACCCTCCCACAGGGTGCTTGGTGGCCTCTGGTGGCTGGCCCTCCAAGGCTCCTTTTGGTCCGGCGGCCCCAGTGGCCATGCGTCCTAGAGAGAGATGTTCAGCCTGATGGGAGAGAGGGATCCAAGGATAGATTGTTTACAGGCAGCTCACTTCCATGCACCCCTGCCCCTATCACCACTGATGATGAGAAAATGAGTCAGTGAGAGCCCATTTCCTGTTCTTTGTTTTCTTTTAATTTGAGAGAAGATGGAGAGAATCCTTGTCAGGTAATTACACCCCAGACTGGAAGGTATTGGAGCAGCTTTCCAGCCAAGTCTGGGACTCGCACTGCATTTCATGGTGGGTGGCGCTGATGCACCTTCGGGAAGTTCTGCGACGTGCAAGCTGACCCTGGCCATGGGGCTGCCTCTATGGGAACATTGTAGCCCATGGCACTATTCACTTGGGCCTACGGATGATCAGTGGTTCTCGCCAAACTATCTGAAGGGAGTTCCCAGTGCCTCGCCTGTCTCATGGCAGCTCCTCTGAACAGATGCTCAAAAGCTGCCTTTTTTTCTTTCTGAAATACAGACCACAGATTCTATGGTCTTTAAAGAGCTGAGCTATTTTAAAGATGTTGGTACAACAGAACCCTCTAACCTAAACATCACATAAGGGGAACTCGGCGCACAGGTGAACCAGCTCCAAGATCTAGCCTATCTCTTTATTCTAAACCAGAGATTCACATGGGCCTGCTTTTGGGGTGAAAGTAGGGCCCCTGAGCCCATAACGACACCTGTGTACCTGGCAGCCACTATGATTAGGTGTCACCTGTTTGGAGCCCCACTGATGGCTGAAATCCCCACCTCAAAAACTAGAACCAACAGGAGGCTCATGATAGGGGTGACCATGTACATTTCTAAATCTGCTACAAATTCCCAGGCCACATGTGTCCTCTTTTCACAGTGTAGAGGCCAGGAAAGAGACCTGCCCGCTAGCATGCTTTCTCTAAATCAGCTGTTTCAGATGTACCCACCACCGGGCCAATGGAGCCTGCTGTGTGCCAAGCACCATGCCAGATTCTGAAGACTCAGGGACCAGCGCCACATGGTCTCTGTTCTTGAGGTGTGCACAGCCTGCGTGCTGAGGGGATGAGTGAGCCTGCTGGTGGGGGGCAGAGAGGAAAGACCTCACAGGGAGATTGGCATGTGATTGGGCCCTGAAGGGTGAGGAGGAGCAGGTCAGGCAGAGATGGGCATCTGGTGGAGTTGATGGCACAGGTGGAGGGGCGGAGGCGCCAGGGTGTGCCACGTGCTTTTAGAGCTGCCCCAGCAACGATTCTTGATTTGAGGTCTATGGGTGGTCCTGGAAGATCGTCATGGGGGTCTTCAGCTATTGGTGGCATTTTGAAGGTCCAAACAGAGATCTTCCATGACAGGTGCATCTGTGGCCGTGGCATCCAATCTCTTCTCTTTGGGCTGGAATCATGAACGTTCAGGGTCGTCACCCTCACCCTGCTGTCATCCTCTGAGGCTGGGGAGATGTACCTGTGGCTGACGTTAATGCACAGAATCATTGTAGTATCAATGCAGGATTTTGGCAGCAATGCGTTTCTATAAGAAGTGGAGATATTTGGAGCTGCTGGGCTAGAGTACAGGTGTCGTATCTCAGAGCATGTTAGGCTAAGATTGTAAAGGGTCTTAAATGACCCCAAATATCCCTGCCTAACAGTCAACAAGTTAGAGATTTGGGGAGCTATTGAGGCTGAGTGGAAAGAGTGAAAATCCCAGCTCTACACTTCTGAGTAGTAAGATATCAGGCAAGTTATTTAACTTTCCTAAGCCTCAGTTTCCTCCTCTGAAAATGAGGACAGAGGTGCTCTGAGGACTCCAGATTGTTATGGAGAGTTTAGCTCAGTGCCTTCCATCGACTTGACACTCAGTAAACAGAAGCTGGAGCTACTCTTACCTCTATCACTGTAAGTGTCAAAATTGTGATGGTCACTCTGAGACTTACTCCATCAGTAAGTAAATTAACTCATCTGATTTGATCTAGCAGAGATCAGCTGCCTGGAGCAACTGCAACTTTTTTTGGAAGATCAGAGAATGAGGAAAAGCTAAGTTATTTTTATCAGGAAACACTCGGCAAGGAGAACAGGCTTGGGGTAGAGAGAGAGGTGCTACCGAGAGGGATTTCAGCAGGCGGGGCAGTGTGACCTCAGTGAGCAGCCAGGGGGAGACAGGGCCCAAGGGCGCCCCTGTGTTCTGCAGAATGCATGGCAGTGTGATTCAGGGAGAATATGGCCATCATTGTGAATTTGTTTTAGGTCTCAAATCGGATGTCATCTCCCTGTGATGGTGTGGACATGGGGCGATAGTCATCTGAGAGGGAAGACCTCTGAGCATCACATTCTCATGAGATTTGTAACTGCTCTTGGGACTGAGTTGAGCTATTCTAACCAAGTTCCTCTACCTTTCTCCCTTTCCTTCTTCTCCTTCATCATCATCACCACTGATATTTTTACACGTTGTATTGGTCAGGCTAGGTTAGGCCATGTGCTGGTAATAAACAAGCCCTTTCCTTCTTCTTCTTCTTCTTCATCATCATCACCACTGATATTTTTACATGTTGTATTGGTCAGGCTAGGTTAGGCCACGTGCTGGTAATAAACAAGCCCTGGAATGCCAGTGGCTTAACAAGTTCAAGTTTATTTCTCACTCACATTGCAACTCTTGTGAGGCAAATGCTGCATCAGAGTGGTTCCCCTCCAGGTGGTGACTCAGGGATCCTGGCTCCTTCTATTGTGTGGCTCCACCATCCTAGAGTCCTTGTTTCTCATCCCTGAGGACAGGGAAGAGAGTGAAGGTGTTGTAGCAGCCAGGCCTGGAAGTGGCATACATCAATTTTACCTTCATTTCATTGGCCAGAACTCAGTCCCATGGCCAGTCTAACTACAGAGGAGGCTGGGAAATACAGTCTTTCTTTGTCCAGGAAGAGAAAATTATCCAGTTAGTTTGGTGACTAGTTAGTTTCTGCATGTGTGTATTATCTCACTTAATTTTCTAGAGAACCCCATGGACCAGGTGCTATTATTATCCGTATTACGTATGGATAACTTGAAGTACAGAGAGGCCACCTGACCTTCCCTGATAAGCAGTGGAGCCGGGATTCAGGAATAAGACTGTGTGACTCTGAAGCCCACACTCGTAGCGCTCTGCGTGCTGGGCACCGTGGGGGTATGAGAATACACGGCACAGTTCATTCCCACACAAAGAGCTTATAATCTAGAGTGCTTTCCTAACAGGAAGGGGTTGCTTTTTGTCTCCAGAGCACTTTATCTCTATTTTACTTTGCATTGTGGTTATTTAATTGATCTCCTCAACTAGACTTGAAGTTTCAGAATTAATGTCAGACGTTCATCTCTGCATTGTCCATAGCCCAAAGGATACTTAGTGAACACTGGTTGAATGTTCAACCACCAGTTCAACCACACTGGTTGAGTGTGGGCCGTTCAGTCAATAGAGAGTTTGGGGTTGTGGGCATGGAAGAGGAGAGGCAGGCAGGAAAAGACTCAGGACAGGGCAGTGTGCTGGATGCAGGAAAACCAAGGGTGAATCAAAAGTTGAGAAGGAAGAGTTGGTGAATTGTGCTATGAGCAACAGAAGCATACTGGGGAAGAGGACTGAAAGAGAGCAGTAACCGTGAGATCCCTGGTGCCCATGCAAAGCCCAAGAAGTGATGAGCAGAAGCCAGAAAGCTAGGGCTGGAGCAGAGAGCAGTGAGAGGTGGCTGCAGCCAGCACAGGCGGCTCTCGTGAAGCATTTGGTATTAGCGGGAGAGTTGGGGAAGGAGGATCAAAGTCAGGATGAGTCTATTAGTCTGTTCTTGTATTACTACAGAGAAATGCCTGAGATTGGGTAATTTATAAAGAAAAGAAGTTTAATTGGCTCCTGGTTCCACAGGCTGCACAGGAAGCATGATTCTGGTATCTTCTTGGCTTCTGGGGAGGCCTCAGAAAACTTACAATCATGGTGTAAGGCAAAAAGGAATCTAGCCCTTCACATGGCCAGAGCAGGAGGAAGAGAGGGGAGGGAGGTGCCACACGTTTAAACAATCAGATCTCATGAGAACTCACTCGCTGTCATGAGAACAGCACCGAGGAGGAAATCCGCCCCCATGATCCAATCACCTCCCACCAGACCCCACCTCCAACACTGGGGATTACAATTCAACATGAGATTGGGCAGGGACACAGATCCAAACCATATCAGTGAGGGTGGGAGTTTTCCAGCCTCTTGTGTCTGAGCAAAGGGAAATGAGCAGGAGGGGTGAGAATGAAAAATAGAGGGAGAAGGTGTGGTTTCAAGATCCAGTCCCAGACGACAAAGGAAGACAAGAGGATGAGATAACAGGAGAAGGACTGTCCTTGGAGAGGAAGGGGCACCCTGTCCTCGGAGGCAGGTGAGAAAGAGGAACAGGGGCTCCATTTCCTCATCTATAAAATGAGATGCCCCGGTTTGCACTCTCACCTTCGTGTGTTTGTGGGCATCCTGGGTTGAATAGTATCCTCCCAAAAGGCATGTCCACCCTGAACCTCAGAATGTGACCTTCTTTGGAAATAAAGGCTTTGCAGATCTAATTAATCATATTAAGTGAGGTCATGCTAGATTTGAGTGGGCCCTTATCTAATGACTGGTGTCCTTAGAAGAACAGGGACCTTTGGATAGGACACACAGACTCAGGGCAGGCATGGAGAGACTGCGTGAAGACAGAGATAGAGACTGGAGGGATGTGTCTTCAAGCTGAGAAACACCCAGAATTGACACAAGACTGGAAGCTGGAAGAGACAAGGAAGGCTCCTCCCCAGAGCCTTCAGAGAGGGCGTGGTCTTACCAACACCTTAATCTTGACCAAGCCTTCAGAGAGGGTGTGGTCTTTACCAACACCTTAATCTCTGCCAAGGCTTCAGAGAGGATGTGGTCTTACCAACACCTTGATCTTAGACTTCTGGCATCCAGAACTCTGAGACAATAAATTGCTCTTGCTTTAACCCACCCAGTTTGTAAGCAATAGGTTATGGAAGCCCTGAGAGACTGATATAGTGGGGAACATGTGAGGTGCATTGGAAAATACTGGGAATTGTACAATTGCCATGAAAATGTGCAGCATTTCCATCAGAATGATTATCAAGTCCATCGTGTGGACATGGCCTGGCAGAGGGAAGGGATGGGGTGAGGAAACTCGGTTCTGCCTTTGACAGTGCCTTCCTTTGGCCTGGAGCTTTTTCCTGCATCATATTCAGTCCCTCTGGATTTAGGTGATGAAAACACCATGTTCTCTTTCCTTACGGGTTGCCCCTCACCTCAGCAGAAGCAGTGCATGTCCCTGAGTTTTAGATTTGGAAAGAGAGATATATGTGGAGTAGTGGATGTTACTATATGTCACCCAGCTTTCCACCTGGGCAGGGGACACCTGCCTTCAGTGAGAGTAACTCGGGGCCTGGGATGTTCACTAGAAAGTTCCATACCTCTGGGTCTCTGTTGGGCCATTTTGCATTTCCAAATTATGTGTTGCAACCACCCCCCCCATGCACGTATTGCTTTTATCTTCCTGCGTGTATTGACACACATTTTTAGTGCTTTCTCCGCATATAAACTGACTGCTATCTTTAGCTTTACTTGCTGCGACGTAAATTATTCTCATTTTATTATTATTACCATCATCATTTTCATTATCACATGATGCCAGCAAGTGCTGTGGCTCTCGGGGACTCTCCGACAGATGACAGTCATAGAATGAAACTCCCAATGAATAGAAAACCCCTAACATTTATTCCATCGATACTTTTACCAACAAGTCTGAGGTTCCTTTTAACTTTACTGTCCTAAAATGTCCCTCATTTTGCAAATGAGGAAATGGGGGCTCCTGGGGGGGTGAAGTGACTCTCACAGGATCACTCAGCTCTCAGTGGCAGAATGGGAACTGACCCCTGGTTTCCCCCTGCAGAGTGCAGTGTCTTTTGTGTGGGATGAAACATGCTCCCAATCCCATTGCCACATTCCTCTTCTGAGTCTGCCGGGACTGCTGTGGAAGGTGCTCAGTGAAGCACTGGTGGGTGGGCTGCCATATCTGGGTTCCTTGCAGTGCACCTACTGAAAGCCTAGAAGGACCTTCACTCCATGACAGACACAGTACCCAGAGGCTGGGAAAGTTAGGGACGAAGACGGGCAGAGACAAAGGGGGTGCTGGACTCTGGCAGGATCATCCATCGTGCTGGAGTGGGGAATCTCCCTAGAGTGTATCTCGGGAGAGTGCCATGTTGTTAGGGAGAACCTAGGCTATGGAGTCAGCCTGACCCAGTTCTGCGCTGGAGTAGTTACGTGAAAACAGTGGGCCTCAGTCTCGTCATCTGAAATGGAATTTCAGTGCACAACTCCTAGGAGTTGTTCAGAGATGAATGTTAAGTGCCTGGCCCAGAGCCTGTTCCCAGTTGGCTGAGCTTTCCTCTGTGTGCACGCCCCTCATCACACCAGCAAATGGTCAGCTTGTCTTCTGGGCCCTAGCGATGAATTAAGCGCTGCTGGGAGATCCCCTCTGGGTGTTGCTTCAGCTGCCTGACCTCAGGAGGCTGATATCACAGCAACAGCACTCACTGGGCTTTAAGCCTTCACATTTCTTTTACTGGCAGAACTGGAAGGGCAGAGAGCCTAGCCCAGGAGTGGGTGGCCAGTGAGAACTGGGCAGCCAGCCTGGCTCCACTCCATTGGCGGCATTGCCCTTGGACAGTTTTGGTTGTCACCCACATTTGGCTTCTTAGCTGAAACTCTAGAGGTACATTCCTCCTTCCAACAACTGTCTGGAAACAGGAAGTGGTGCAGGGAAGAAAACCAGATGCCAGCTTCCCCCGCTGTTTTGACTGGGCTCTGTAAATGGAAACAGCTGAGAATACTATCCAAGGGTGCGTGTGCCCATCTTAAAGCTGGTGTGTGCATTGCAGGGAGGATGCTGGGTGCAAACATACTCTGACGTTTATATTGAATATTTTAGTTTGCAGAAATTCGCAATTAAATCTACTTTCCACCTACACTTTGAAAAATCCATTTATAGAAACCAAATCAAATTGGAGATCTAAGGACTGGTGGCCAGAAATGAAATATTTTTAAAATAAAATATATGGAGATTGAATTGCTGAAGCGCTGGCTTGTTCTGCGGCTTCCTGGGATGTGAGCTAGAGGGAAGGCTTATTGGACAGAGCCTTCTCTGGGGATCAATTATGAACTACTCTTACGTCCTGGCAGTTTCAAAAGGGAAAAAAAAAGTTCTTTGAAAGAACTTATTTAGCAGGCAGAGCCAATATTCTGTGTTTTCTTGAAGCCACCTTGTATTTCAGCTTCGGTGAATATGTGTGTCTCCTGTGGATCTTTATGGGAATTGCTTGAACACTCCGGAGAGGCTGGATGTGGCATTAAAACCACCTAACCTTTGCTCCCCCAGCCTCGCCATTCATCCTGAAGACTTAATTATTTCTCGAAAGATGATCCATACGGGTACTGCCTTTTTCTTAGGAATGTGAGCCCAGATGCTGAATTCCCCACTCTCCGTACTCAGGAGAGAGAAGCTCAGACTCAGCTCTGGCTTAAATTTCTGAATTGATCCCTGATTGAATTCCTCCTTTGAAAATTATCAAGAGCTGCTTAGTTTTTTCCCAGTTCCTATGAGGGATGCCAAATCCTTGCATGCGTTTCTGCACTCCTCTGCACCCACGGACCACTCAGAGAAAATGCAACCATTTTGTTCAAGTGAGTTCTTATTGCCCTTCATGGGCTCAGTTCCCTTTGAGAAGACAACTGATCCCATGCCACGTGTTTCCTGCAGCCTCGCTTCCGCCTTTAGGAAGCAGGCAGAGGAATTCCTACAGAGCACTAGGCCACCCCAGCGCCACCTCCCATGTCACACCAGGCAGAGGTTGGGTGGGATCTCTGGGAAGGCATGTCCTCCCTGCCTCCTGGGAATCCTGGGGAAGAACCACCCTAGGAAGTGGCAAGCTCCGGCGGGGTGTCCTACTCCCTGCTGGGTCACTGGAGCTTCCAGAGCCCAGGCTTCGTTGCTTTTCTGCTGTATTCCTGCCCCCTTTCTACTGCTTTCCAGTGGACAGGGACGGGGTGGGGCTGCCTTCCTGGGAAGGGATTGCGCTGCAGAAGCTGGGGCTGGTAAAGGCTGGGGAGCAAATGCAGACCTTGTCTGGGTGATGAGAGACCGCCACTCGTCTCCAGGAGCTCCCGCCAGAGGCCTGCTGTGACAAGGGATAACGTGCTGGCAGGCCACTTGTCCAAGAGAATCATTCCTTCCTGCACCTGGACACTGTTTCAGGGCTGGCATTTCTCTGGCACTCGGTGTGAGCAAAGCCCATTTGGTCGTTTGTCAGTGAAGACAGAAGAGTCACAATGAGCCGATTTATAGAGTACATGGGGTGTTGTGGGGCAGAGGCCCGGATGGCTCCATGATCCATGTGCATGTGTTCCCGGTTTTGTTTGTCATTTGCTTTCTTGCCATCCACTGGGAAATGTATTTATCACTACAGTTTGTATAATTTGGTGGTCTGTTTTCATCTTTTACAAGCAAAATGCTTGGTATTTCAATAAGATTGAAGGGGGGTGGAAATAGATTGCATCCCACTTAGGACTCTCAGTGGGGGAGTCTAAACATGAATTATCCCAGCTTAATGCTTCAAGTTATTGGGGTTCCCCTGGGGAGCATCTTCTTGGTTCTTGTAATGTTGCTGCCTCCCGATGGCTGCCCAGGGTTTCCAGCTCTCCCGTGCCCCTCGCTTTTCTCTGAAAACTCGGCATGCCCCGGGGGGCCTCTTTGGAGCCTGTTGGAGGAGATTTTGTAGTAATGAGCATTTGGCTTTTGTAATCCTTTTTCTGCTTCGTGCTAGCAGCCTCGCACTTCCCACCTGTTAAAGCTTGCAAAGATATCATCGGCAGGCATTTTCCCAGGGGAAGCACAGTTGTGTCCAAAGCCCAGAATAATCCAGGCTTTCCTCATTTCTATGCAGAGGGCGTTAGTTGATCCTGGTGCCCTCAAGAGAAGGTCCCTCCAGAACAAGCTCACCCTCCATCACAAGCACTGATGATGGGGGTGCTCAAGCTGGGGCAGGGAGAGGCTGAGAGGGGATAACCCAAGGTGGCAGGAGGCTCCCTCGGTGGTTTGTGGTGGGGCTGTTCTGTTCAGCCAGGATGTGGCCCTTTCAGGGGTTTACGCTGTTTAACACTGGCTGAGTGTCAGGACTGGGGGGCTATGGATGGTGAGCTTCTCCCTGGAGCTGGCTGGTAGGGAAGTTCAGCAGCTCTCTGGATGTTATGAAACCACGGAGAGGCACAGTCACCTTAAAAGGACAGCAGCTCTCACTGGCTGCTAGACTGCCTCTGATGGAAGGTGTCTGCAAGACAAAGGAGAGGCTGCGGGCAGCAGTGTGCGGGGGACAGGTGATCTTGGCCAGCATCCTGCTTGCTCATATTCCTCGGTGAGACCAGCTCTGCAGAGAAAGGGCTGCTTCAGCCCTATTCACCCAAAACCTCAATGTAGAAACCACCCACTTTGCTCTCGTTCAGCTTCCAGAGGGAATGCTGTCAGTGACACAGCATTCTGGTCCCTGGAGTAGTGGGTTCTTGACATTAACGAATGGGCATTGTGATTTTATCCTTGTGCCTTATGAACTTGGTTAAAGATTTGACAGTCACTGTCAGAGGCTGCAAGTCATGCAGGGGCTTCTGAGCCTGCAGGTGAGGACCAGCCCAGACCAGGGTGAAGTCTCAGAGAGACTCTCCGTGGACCCTTCACCAAATGGCCTCCAAGGCAAGGCCCTTGATCACAAGTGTGTCCCTGGTTCTCCCTGGTCCTCTCGCATCTGCCCCGTGACTCCCGACTCCCCTCTGCACTTGGTCTGGTCTCCAAGATCGTTCTGATGTGGACTTTCCTCCTTGTCTATGCTGGCAGACCTCAGGAGGAATCCACCACCTCCGCTTTGCTGCCAGGCCAATCACTGATAGCATCAAGCACACTGGCTTGAAGTCAGACTTCAGGTGTTCAAATACTGACTCCACCTTCACTTACATCTGACTCGGGCAGTTATGTAACCTTCTGGCTTTGGGGTTTTTTTTGTTGTAAACAGGGACCCTAATGGCATCTGCCTCCCTGGAGTTGGAAGCTGGAACGGGGCAACACATGGACAATGCTGGGAACAGTGCCTCACACATGCCCGTACTCAATGCTGTCATGGGACCCATTCCGGCCCTGTCTCCTACATTGCATCTCCATCTGTGATCTTTCACTCAGTGCCCCGGGGTTGAGAACTAAACCCCTCTACTCATTCTCACAAGCAGGCCTTTTCCTCTTCAACCAGATTGTAACTCCCTGAGGGGAGGGCTTGTTGTGTGTTTCCTTTGGATCTGCACAGTGGTACTTAGCAGCGTTCTAGGCACCTGGTAAGGGTTTGAGTAAAACAGACTGATTGGATAGTTAGTGATGCTGGGAATCTGGAGTGTGAATTAAGCAGTATATTCCAAATTACTTCCAGGCGTTCATCATTTCAGTATCACACGGCCACATGGGAAAATGCCCACTGTGTGAAATTTATTCATCAGTTCAACAAATATTTATCGAGTACTTTCCATGGCATGGTTTTGGTTCCTGAAGATTCAAAAATGAACAGACAGAAAATATCCACGCCCTTGTCACTTACCTGCAGCAGACTGACAGTGGTCAGATACAATCTCAAGAGGTGATCAGTGCCACAGAGAAAATAGAGCAGGGTGTATTGGTTATCTATCTCTGTGTAACAAATTATCCCCAAACATAGCAGTTTAAAACAATGCATATTTATTATCTGACCATTTCTGTGGGCTGGGGCCAGGCATAGCTCTGCTGATCCTCCCACTCAGGGCTCCTTACAAGGCTACCGAAAAGGTGCTGGCCAGGGCCGTGGTCATTGCAAGGTTCAACTGAGTCAAAATCCACTTCTAAACTCGATCATGGGGTTGTTGGGAGGATACAGTTTCTCATGAGCTGTTGAACTAAGAGCTCAGGTTCCAGCTGTTTGGTGAATGCCATGTGGGCCTCTCCATGGAACACAACAGGAAAGCTTGCTTCATCAGAGTGAGCAAGTGAGAAGAGCCAGAGAGAGTGAACACGCCAGGGACCTTGAGTCACCATCTTCCCAGTAAAGTAAGTGCCATTAGGAACCCCACTTTACAGACGAAAATGGAGGCCCAGAGAGTTAAGTATTTTGGCCAAGGTTACATAACTATGTAACTAGTGAGTGGCAGGGCCGAGGTTTGATCCCAACCTGTTTGGCTCCAGTACTTGTGCTCCTAACTACCACAGTGGACCATTGCTCTGCCTTTTAGTTGCACACACTGTCTGCTGCAGTCTTCTTGACAAGAGAAGATGATGACTCAGGAACTTCAGCAGTAGTGGGGATGGGAAGAAGTGGGTTGACTGGGAATACATTTTGAAGAGATTGTTGCTAGAACTTCTTGATAATTTGGGTGTGGGAATAAGGTGAAAGAAAGATGTTAACAATGATCCCAAAGTTGGGTGCCTAAGAAACTGAGTGAATGACGGTGCTATTCCTCAAGATAGAAGATGATGGTAGTGGAGCAGGTCTAGGGGGAGAATAAAGAGTTCTGTTTTGGCCACGTCAAGGGTGATGTTCAGATGTAGATGTCAAGTGGCCCATTGAATACATATGTCTGGAGCTCAGGGGAGCAGTCAGACCAGAGATACAGACTTTTGTAGTCATTAATCACGGATGACCACCGAGAGAAAGAGTATAAAGGAGAGAAAATGACTAAAGACTTAGACCCCTGACACCTAAAACATTTAGCTGCCTGGACAAAAAGGGAGAGCCAGCAAAGGAAATGGAGACACAGGGGGCAAGAAAACCAGGAAAGCATGGTGACCTGGAAGCCAGGTGAAGAGGGGCTTCCAAGAAGGAGGAAATGGTTAGCTGTGCCAAATGCTTGGTGAGAGGGGATGGAGGACCAAATGGAAAAAGAAAGCTACAAAACTGTATTTTCAGAAATGTCCTAATTTTGCAAAAATAATTTCTCCCTGCCCAAAAAGAGTAAAAAGCTCTTTGAGTTTGTTAAATCTGTAGTCCAATTTTAATCCATGAACATGGTATATCTCTATTCTAGATATTTTAGAAGATATGTGGTAGGGGAGTGTGGGTTATGTTGTTTTCTATAAAAGGTGTTGAATTTTGTTCTGGCAGGTCAGTTAATTACTGGCAGATCCTCTTGGTCTGGTCAGGCTTGGTTTGAATCTTTATTAGAGTTGGTCCATTTTTATTTTGCCCTTATTCCTAGGCTTTGGCCTTTCCTGTAGGGTATAGTCCTTGTTCCTAAGGCCTGGCCTTTTGGGGAACAAATGCCCAAGGTACTCAGCAAGGGTTCTCTCGTCTGGCTTGGCCAGAATTCAAAGCTCTGCCAGCTCTGCATGACTTCTAGTATCTCTGCTTAGCTTTCAGTCTTATAACAGCTATGGAGTTTTGCCCTGCATGTGGGCAGTTCTGCCCTCAACCAAGTACTCACAGGGTACCTCCAGGCAGACTTCTAGGGCCTACTTTCTGCACAAGATTCTTCTCTCCAGAGCCCAGACCTGTAAGTTCTAGCTGCTTTAGCAGCCCCAAACTCTTGATTTTTGCCTTCTCCTATAATCTAGGCTGCTGTGCCCCATCGTCCTGCATAATGGGCCAAAAGGCTGGGCAAACATGGGGCTTATCTTGTGTGTTTTTTTTCTGGCAGAACCACAGTCCTGAACTGCCTGTTGTACAATCCCTACAAAGAGTAGCCTCAGATATTTTTGTCTAGTTTCATGATTGTTTACAGCAGGAGGGCAAATCCAATCCTAGTCACTTCATTGTGGCAGGAATCAATATCTATTTGGTTTAATGTTTACCATTCCTTCCCATTCCCTATACCAGCTCATCACCCTTGTCAGCGGCAGTTCTATATATGTTTGTAGTCCTTTCAGTTGAAATAAAATTGAGTCAAACAATTTATAATCTGAAATGAACAAAGACCATGTAAATTCTTTTCAGTTGCCTTTTTAGGCTGGTATCTGTCTGTAGAGGACTCCCAGGGAAGGATTCTCAAGGAAGACTCAATGGGAAGCCTTTGGATGGCAAGCTACAGGGCTGAGTACGAGGGTGGCCTTCCTGTGCGGGGTGTAGGATTAGCATCAGAGAAACAAATCAGGAATCCCTGGGTATAACAGTAGGGGCTGCATTGTCATTTTAGCCTTCTCCAGAGATGCATGATCCACCCCCCACCCCGCAGGTCTTTTCCTCTCTATGAAAGTCACTGACAAGTTCCTGTGGATCCCCTGGGGTCCCCAGGAATGTATTTCTACTCTGAGGGCCAGTGAGTATCTTTTTCTTGGCCATGAGCCATGAATAGAAACGGGACCCTTAATACTGCCTGACCTGCCACATGCAGCCCTCTCTTCTGGGACTGTCTACACAAGTACATTTCCACCATCTACAGGGGCGGAATTCCGGTCATTTGCTACAGGGGAAATTCTAGATTTTTGTTTCTAAAGGGCCCCAGGTTACCAAGGTCTCTTGTATATTAGAATTTTACCACTTCTCTCTGGGGGAATTAGGTATTTATCAATACATTTTGTAATATATATTTACCAAATTGTTTATCCAGCAAACTTTTATTAAGCAAATGCCAGGCATTGTGTTAGGTTCTGAAGCTCTCCCAGTTCCTTATCCAGGGCCCCAGGAACGCACTCAGGGACCATTTCAGACACGTGGGTGAGTCAGTCCCTAATGGGCTCAGAAGAGAATCACCAAAATGTTTAAGACAGAACAGTCCCGAGCAGCCAACATTTCACCCTTCCTTCCTCTCTCTTCCCTTGCCGACCAGACCCAAGGGTTTTGGACTCAACTGTTTCCTTTTGTAGCAATGAGCTAAGGAGGCTATTTGCTTTGACTAAGGGGCCAAGATGATGAAGTCAGATGTCCTGAGTTTGCATCTTGCCTCTCCACTGACTTGCTGTGTGACCTTAAGCAAGTACCTTCCCCTCTCTAGGTCTGCTTCCTGAAAATTCAAAGTCTCTGAAAATTCTGTTTTAAAATATGTGCTGGAGGTGGGGAGACCTGATTCCCTGCCTAGTGCTTCCTTCGTTTTCATGGATTCTTTATTAAGCAGATATTACTTCTTCATAATAAAATCGTATATGAAACAATGACTTGATTTCTTTATATGAAACATACTTTGTACATCTAAAAATGTTGTTGAAATCATCTGAGCCTCTGAGCAAGAGCTTCGCCTTTGACTCTGAAGCCAGTGCTGTCAGCAGTTTCTCCCCCTTAATGTAATGCTGTATGTGACTCAATATGAACTAAGCAGGGGGTGGGAGGTACAGACCACCCCAGTAATCCAGGCTTTCTCTGGAATTCTCCCACTTGTTTATAGTCTGGGCAATTTGCCTCCTGCTGCTGCATGACTCAGACTCGGAGAGCTTCCAACCTCGCAATGAGCCAGCGGCTCCCCGGAGTCAGACGCTGGCCCTTGTGTCTCAGGCTCCTGGAACCTTCCGATTAAGCCTCCACTTCCATCTCCTCCCTGGCCACATTCAGGCAGCAATGCCCCAACCCCACACAGAGACACACGCCCAATCAGTGCCCTGTACAAGCAGGGACTGTGGGTGAGAGGGTACAAGGAGGTGTTCCAACCCCTCACTGAGACAGGATTTCTAGCCCCTCTCTTTGGTTTGTGTCATTTTGCTTTGAAATGTAAGTTGACTTCTGATCAGGGCAGATCTCAGTTTTATAGGACCTTGTGTAAGAATAAGCAATACAAAATAAGGAACACAAAATGAGACCTAGAGTCTTAGAAGGGGCCCGTGCAACCAGAGGTGCCCCGAAAGCTTAAGTGTCATTGACTTCCTAGCAACCCTGACTGTGGTCTGATTCCTTTAAGATCCAGAACAACTGCTCCCTGTACCTTAAGTAATTATCATTTAGAATAAAGTCAGAAAATTGCTTGCTGTCTGTTTATTTTAGAATCAAGCAGCTTCTGTATAATTTGAATTTGAGATAGCATTCTTAAAAAAAAATTCCCTTCGCAATAAAGCACCAGATTGAATGTCCGATGAGTCACAAATGCCCTTCTGAAAACAGCTGCATTAGAGGGACTCACTCAGAAAACATGATTTTCCTTCCTCCAAGGGTCTCCCCTAGACCCTGGCACAGAATCACCCTGGTCCCCACTCTGGTCCTCCCTTCCAGGCTCATTCCTGGTGCAGCAGATCACTTCCACATTTACTGCATCACATCCAGCATCAATGTTTTTAACTCCATGAATTGTTTAGAAAATTGTATAGAGGCCAGGCGCAGTGGCTCACGCCTGTAATCCCCATACTTTGGGAGGCCAAGGCAGGCGGATCACCTGAGGTCAGGAGTTCGAGACCAGCCTGGCCAACATGGTGAAACCCCGTCTCTACTAAAAATACAAAAATTAGTCAGGCCTGGTGGTAGGCATCTGTAACCCCAGCTATTCGGGAGGCTGAGGTAGGAGAATCACTTGAACCCGGGAGGCAGAGGTTGCAGTGAGCCAAGATGGTGCCACTGCACTCCAGCCTGGACAACAAAGAGCAAAACTCTGTCTCAAAAAAAAAAAAATTGTATAGATATTGATTAAAGCAGAACCCTGAAAGATGGTGAATGATTGGCAGGCAATGAGAGGAAGTGTCGTGTTGTCCGTTGGTGACATTTGCAAACTCTCCTGGTTTAAAGTGATTCCAGAGCAACTTTATTTCCATAGTCTGTGTTGCACTCAAAGTAAATATTAATTCCATTATGCCATAAACTTTTATTTATCATGACAGCAAGTCATAAAGTTCTCTTACTAGAATATAGCTTCTAAATTGCATATCATAGATGAGATACAACACACACATTGGATTCTAGCAGCAATTACCCACCATCCTTTATGCAAGTCGGTATTAAATGCACTTTCTAAATATGAGTCACAGTCTGAGCTTATGCAGAAAATCTTCCATGGCTATTACCCAGGAGCCCAGAAATATGACGTGAGGGTGACAGAGGAGCCACAGCCAGCAGGGGCCAGACACAAGGATCAAAGTGCACCTAGTCACCCGGCAGTAATTCATCTGAAGCATTCTTTGCATATTATGGGTCTGACTTTTTAAATTACGTAAATTGCTCATTAGAAGTGCCTTGTAATTGCCTTCACCTGCGGTATTGCGAGAGGTGTAGATTTTAATTATTCTTTTTTGATTTGTAATGTGGTTTGACTTTTTCAGGGTGATAGTTTGGAAAAATACAGATCTGCTCTAATTGTTGTACCAAGTGAAAATAGATGGCTCTGTTGATCAACTTCCTTGACTTTGTGGTGGAGCGTACAAAGGAGTCTTATAGTTTCCCAGCCCTTGTTGATGACTGAGGGGCTTTGCCCGTGGGGCCCGGGGAGGATCCCTGTGAGCCTGTAGTGCTGGTGCCTTGGGCTCAGCCAGCCCCTCAGATGACTTGTGTGGAGCCAGGCAGTGTGTTCATGTTGGATGTAACCAGATCTCGGGGGAGTCTGCTCACCTCTTCCCCACAGCATGGATAGGACAGAAAAAGCCAAGGCCCATTCATCATCTTTGAAGACTGGGACAGACATGATGAGTGCTGGGGGCGCCCAGGTCCGGGGTGCTCCTGGGATGCCTGCTGCAGAGATGCTTTTCTCTCTAGCCCACTTCTCGAGGGCAGCCTGGCCTCCTGCTACCCAGCAAGTGCTCTCACTTCCTGCAGCACAGAGGCCTCCACCTGTCCAGCCCACCCTGAGCCAAGCTGCTCTGGGCTCTGGAACGGGCTGCAGGCTTTCTCGGGCCCCTGGGCCTGGCCCCCTGTCATCCAGCACACGGAATTGATGAGTTGTGAGACCAGAGCTGTGGCTTCGGGGGTAAACTTCCAGGACTCGTTCTGGCTCATCTGCAGCCATGGATGAATAAAAACTCGATCAGGACGCTGGTCTTTGAAAGGCAGCTATTTTAGGACTCACTTTTGGAAAGGCAGGGGGATTGTTTTTCCAAGACAAAATTATGCATTTGTCAATACAGCAAAAGCATCGACTGCTTTCTCTTTGGTGGGGGTGGGGGGTCTCTTGCCTTAATCATTCTCCATCAGAAAGCTTTGCTCTTTGAAGCCTGGCTGGCATTGGGCTTCTGTGCATCTGCCCACAGAGAGATGCTCCTCAATCCCCTCCCGCACCTGGCCCCACTCTCCCTTTTTGGAGCAGCTCACCTCTCACCGACAATAACAGGGAGAACCTTTGTGAGTCTAGGAACGGTTTTGTCATAAAGCCCCCAGCCCATTTCCTGTCTTTTCATCCCCTGTTTTATGCATGTGGCATTCTGTTCCAGGCCAGATTGCTGTGACATGAGAAATACCCGAAATATGGGCTGCCACGGTGGCTGTCATTAACCAACCACTAGTTGTGCCTTTATAAATTTTTACACACCGCTAAATTATAAATATGCAATGCTGCGAGTAATGAAATATGCACCTCTAATAACTGCAGTTAGAAGATTTGTAATTCTGCCTGCATGTGCCATAAACTGGGAGGAGTTGGGGGGCTTCATCTGTTTCCCATTTGGAGCCCCTATTGTGCTTCTCCCCATCCCAGAGTCCCTCATGAGGGTCTTGCGTCTCAAGGGGACCCTTTGGGGGAGCCTCTCTCAGGTATTGGGCTTCCCCGCTTGATGCCTTTTCTTTTGTTGGTCACATGGATTCAATAAACGTGGTTCACTAGCACCCACCATGTTTCAGACCTGTGCGAGGCTGGCAATCTGCAGCAGAATTAATCTTCCAAATCGTCATTTTGGGGAGATGAACAAATTACCAGGCAATGACAGTGCAGTGTGATGAGGGCCCAAGGGGAAGGGTACCCAGGTGCTGTGGGAGGCTAGGGTGACCCTGAACAAATTCTGTAATCTCTCTGTGTCTGTGTCCTCATTCATGACTGAGGACAGTACCACCGCCTTCCTCTTGGTGCTGCTGGGAGCATTATATGAGTTACGACATGTAAAGCATTTATTTAGAGTGGTGCCTGGCATACATTAAGCACTCACTAAACATTAACTAGTATAAGCACCGTTATTATTACTTGACTTCTTCCTGTCTTCTGCCTCGTAGTTGAGATGGTGCCTAGAGCACTCTCTTCCTTCTTAAAGAGCATGGCTTCAGCACCACAAGCTTTGAATTAAAGAAACATTGAATTTTTGTCCAATACAGAAATATCTTGTCTTTATATTGATATCAAAAACAATCTGTTATAAAAATGCAAACAGTATAAAACTGTATAAAAAGTCCCCCCTAAATCCAATGTATACATACACACATGCACAAATATGTTTATGAAGCTGAGCTATACTCTATGTCTCGTTTTTAGCCACAACTATATAGTGGACATAATTTATGTCATACAAATTAGTACATTTTACCAGCGTAGGTGTTATTTTCTTACCCTTTTGTTGGATGATTACATCGTTTCCATTGTTTCATTGATCCCACAAGTATTACTGAGCAGCTGCTAGAACCCAGTGTTCTAGGTGCTGGAGCTGTCCTAGCCCTTGTTGACACAGTCTAGAGACAAGGGATGAGCAGACAATAAGAACTAGAATATGTAGCATGCCAGATGGTCATGAGAGACACAGGGAAAAACAAAGCAGAGAAAAGGCATGGGACGTGGCTGCAACTTTAAATCCAGTGGTCAGGGCAGGCCTTACTGAGGTGACTGGAGAGGAAAGAGCTGAAGGGGTCAGGAGCCCTATTGAAATCTGGGGAGAGGCTTTCCAATTACAACAGCAAGCGAAAGCCTTTGAGATCACAGAACAACCTGGACAAGTCCTAAAAGCTTTGTACTAAGGCAAAGAGGCCAGACACAAAAGGACACACACTGCATTCTGTGGTTCTGCTTCTCTGAGATCTCAGAATAGGTAAATTCAGAGAGACAGGGATTAGAGTAGAAGTTCTCAAGGGCTGGGGGAGGGGAGGGAGATGAAGAGTTATTGCTTAAAGGAGGCAGAGTTTCTGTTTGGGATGATGAAAAGTTTAGGAAAAGGAGAGTGGCAATGATTGCACAACAATGCGAACGTCCTCAATGCCATTGAATGGTGCACTTGAAAACGGTCAAAATGGGAAATTTCATGTTATGTACTTTCTACCACTATTTTTTAAAAAGACCTCGAGATGGGAGTTGGTATTGGATAGAACGAATGCACAATGTTTAAATTAATGAACATTCTGTTAATGAATAGTTGTTTCTAGTCTTTTGTTGTTACAAGCAATATTTTAATAATATCTGACAATTATTTTATACACATATGTCATTTTACACTTATGTGACTATGTAAAATAAATTATAGAAGAGGACAGTTTAGACGATGGACTGTGTGACTTTTTATTTTCACAGATATTGACAAATTGTCCTCCATAGATGGTAAATTAAATTACATTCCAGCTAACAGTATGTGAAATCATTTGTTTCCTCAAGCCCTTATCAAAACATTGTGTTATCAAAGCTTTTTTTTTTTTTTAGGTCTGACATATAAAATGGCTCTTACAGTTTTACTTTAAATTTATCTTATTAATGAAGTTGAACATACTTCTTTTCTATTCAGAAATTTGCAAATCTTTGTATTAGATTGTTGGTTTTTTTTCTTATCGGTTAGAAGATGCTCTTTATATATTACAGAAATTAACTTTTCTATGATATATAGTAAATAATTTCTCAGCTCATAACTTGATTTTGCTTTTTAATATTTTTTCTAGACATTTAAAAAAGTGTAAGTAGCCAAATTTATCTCTTTTCTTTCATGATCTCTAAAATGTATGACATAGAGAGGCCATTTCTTGTTCCAAAATTACAAAAAAATGTTTTTGGTATTTTAATATTTTTATTTTTTTCTTAATTTAAATCTCTGAATGATTTAGAATGTATTATGGTAGAAGGGACAGTGTCAATATATTATACAACTTTATTTTTCTTCTCCAGATAGCTGCTCAAGTGTTGCCAAACTATTTATTGAATCATCTACCTTTTTTTCTTGCTGGTAGGCATGTGCCTTCTCTGTTATATACTAAATTCTGAATTGTATTTGGATCTATTTTTGGACTATCTATTCTGTTTCAATGAATTGTCTGTTTATCCACATTTGATTGCCACACTCTTAATTATTGTAGTTTTCTAATACATTTTCATATTCATGAAGGAAGTCCACCTTTATTCCTCTTTTTCAGAATGTTCTTGGCTACTTCTGCTTGTATTTCTCTAATACTCTTTGGAATTAGACTGATCTAAAACAAAACAAAGCAAAAAACCCCCCACTAAACCCCAGCTGGTATTTTTACTGGAGTCACGCCCTTACCTTACCCTGAAACCTATTACCACTGATCTGTTCACCAACACCATAGGTTTTGTCTTTTTGAAAATGTCTTATAAATGGAATTATACTATATGGAAACTTTTGAGACCAGTACTTTCATTCTGCTCAACGTTGCCATTCATTACTTTTTCATTGCCGAGTAATACTCCATTGTATTCATGTACCAATTTGTTTATCTGCTTCCTGGATATATAAGTTTGGGATGATCATGAATAGATGTTCTACAAATATTTATATATAGGTTTTCATGTAAACAGTTTTCATTTCTCCAAGGGAAACACTCAGATGTGGAATGGTTGCGTTAGATAGTAAGTGTATGTTTAACATTGTAAGAAATTGTCAACACATTTTTATTATTTTGATTTTGTGTGTATTTTGTTTTTTGGCTATTTTAATAGGCGTGTACTGGTATCTCATTGTGGTTTTAATGGTTTGCATTTCTCTAATGGTTAACGATGTTGAACAACTTTGCATGGGCTTATTTTCCATTTCTGTATCCTCTTAAGTGAAGTATCTGTCCAAATTTTTGTCCATTATTTATTGGGTTGTTTGTTTGCTTGCTGTTGAGTCAGATATGTGATTTGCCAATATTTTTAACTAGTCTGTAACTTGTCTGTTCATTATCTGAAAAGTGTCTCCTAGAAGAAAAGTTTTACAATTTCGTTGAAGTCCTATTTAGCGATTGTTTCTTTTATGGATTCTGTTTTTGGTTTTATGTCTAGCAAATATTTGCTTAACTCCAGGTCACAGATATTTTCTCCTATGTTCGCTTTTAAAAAGTGTATGATTTTACATATTGCACTTAGAGCTAGGATCCATTCTGAGCTAACTTTTGTCTAATGTGTGAGGCTTAGGTTGAGGGTTCTCTGTTTTTTTGTTTTTGTTTGCATTTAGATGTCTTATTGTTCTAATACCACTTATTGAAAAAAAAATCTTCTCCATTGAATTTGCCTTTGCACCTTTGTCAAAAATCAATTGTCTGTATTTGTGGAGTTTATTTCTATTATGTCTCTTGTGTTCTATTCATTTTTGTGCCTATCACATCACCAATACCACATTGTTTTCATTACTGTAGGTCTATATAGGTCTTCAAATTGGTTAGTCAAATTTCCCAAAATTTAGTTTTCTTTTAAGAAATTGTTTTGGCTATACTAATTACTTTGCCTTTCAGTATACATTTTTGAATCAGTATGTCTATAGTTACAAAAAGAATCCTGCTGAAATTTTTATTGATATAGTGTTACATCTATAGATCACTTTGGGGGAAACTGGAAACCTTTCCTATGCTGAGTTTTCCAATATGTGACCGCAGTACAATCAGCTCTCCATATCTCAGATTCTACGTTGGTGGATTGAACCAACAGTGGATCAAAAATATTCAGAAAAAATAACAACAATAACAATAATACAAGTAAAAAATACAGTATAACAATTATTTATATAGCATCTACATTAGGTATTAGGTATTATAAGCAATCTAGAGATGATTTAAAGTATATGGGAGGGTAAGCATAGGTTATATGCAAATACTATACCATTTTATATAAGGAGCTTGAGGATCTGTGGATTTTTATATCCACAGGGGTTCCTGGAACTAATCCTCTGCAGATGCCAAGGGACAACCATATATCTCTCCATTTATTTAAGTCTTTAAAAAAATTCTTGTTAGTATTTTGTAATTTTCAGCATATAGATGCTCTATATATTTTTTATTAGGTTTTTACCTAAGTATTTCCATTTTTGAGCTATTTTAAATGGCATTTTTTAAGAACTGGTTTTCACTAATTCATTGCTAGTATATAAAAATACAACTGAGTTTTGTGTGTTCATCTTGTATCTTGTGACCTTGCTAAACTCACTTGAGTTCTAGGATTTTTTTTTTTCTGTAAATTTCTTAGAATTTTTTGTGTGGGCAATCATGCTATCTGAAAATAGGGGCAGCTTTTCTTCTTGCTTTCCAATTTACAGGCTTTTATTTCTTTTTCTTGCCTTATTGCACTGGCTAGGGTTTCCCTACAAAGCTTATGTGAGAATGGACAGTTTTGCCATGTTCCTGATATTAGAGGGAAAACATTCAAGTCTTTCACCATTAAGTATAAAGTTAGTTGTAGGGTTTTTTTGGTAGATGCCCTTCATCTGGTTGAGAATATAATAATGTTTTTTCTTCTTTAGATTCTTAACATGGTAAATTACAGTGATTGATTTCTGGATATTGAAGCATCTTTGCATTCTCAGGATAAATTCCATTTGGCCATAGTATATTCTTCTTTTATATGTTGCTCAATTTTATTTTCTAATATTCTGTTGGTGATTTTTGCATTTCTGTTTCTGAGGGATATTGGTTTATAGTTTTCTTTTGTGGTACTGTCTTTGGTTTTGGTATCAAGATGTTACTGATCTCATAAAATGAGTTGGGAAATATTCCTGACTCTTCTGTTTTCTGGAAGAGTTTGTGTAAAATTGATACTATTTCTTCTTTAAACATTTAGTAAAATTTGTCAGGGAAACCATCTAGGCCTAGAGAATTTTTTTTTTCAGAAAGTTTTAAACTACTAATTCAATTTATTTAATAGTTACAGGACTATTCCAGGGTTGTTGTTGTTTTTTTTTAAATCTGGGTGCATTTTGGTAGTTTGTGGTTTTCAAAGATTGGTTTATTTCATCTAAGTTGTAGAATTTATCTATGTGAAGTTGTTCACTGTTTTCCCTTATCTTTTTTATGTCTGTGGAGTCTAATATCTAGTCTCTCATTTCTGATATTGGTAGGTTTTGTCTTCTTTCTTTTTCCTTTGTTAGTCTTGTGGAGAAGTTTATTAATCTTATTTATCTTTTCAGCAAACTAGCTTTTGCTTTCATTGATTTTCTCTATTTTTTTCATTTTCAATTCCATTTGTAATTCATTCTTATTTTACTATCTCCTTTTGGCCTGCTTTGAGCTTAATTTGCTGTTATTTTTCTAGTTTCTTAAGAAGGATGCTATATTATTGATTGAAACCTTTCTTCTTTTCTAATGTGAACATTTAATAAGATGAATTTTCCTCTAAACACTGCTTTGGCTGTATCCCACAGATTTTGATACATTATATTTTTATTGTTTGATCAGTTAAAAATATTTTCTAATTTTTTTGACCTATGGGCTATTTAGAGAGTTTTCAATTTTCAAATATTTGGAGATTTTCCTGTTATCTTTCTGTTATTGATTTCTAAATTAATTTAATCATCAGGGAACATATTTTGTAGATTTCAATTCTTTTAGTTATTTTAAGGTTTGTTTTATGACTCAAGACATGATCATGGTGAATATTCCATGTATAATTAAAAAGAATGTGTATTCTGCTGATGTTGGGTAGCGTACTCTCAACTATCAGTTGGAGTTGGTTGATGGTGCTATTGAGTTGTTCTATGACTGATTTCTGTCTACTCATTCTATTACTGACTGAGAGAGAAGTACTGAAGCTTCCAGCTATAGTTGTGGGTTCGTTTAGTTTTCCCTTCAGTTCTTTCAGTTTTTGCTTCATATATTTGAAAGTTGTTATTATGTATGTACATGTTTAGGATCATTATGTCTCTTTTATTATTAAGCAGTGTCTCTTTTTATCATGGTAATTTTCTTTGCTCTGTAGTCTACCTTGTCTGATATTAATATAGCCACTCAAACTTTATTTTCCACAGCATTTGCATGGCATATCTTTTTCCATCCTTTTACTTTTAGCCTACTCATATCATTATATCTGAAATGCATTTTTTGGGAACAACACATCGTTGGGTCATGGTTCTTTGCTATTCATTCTGACAATCTCTGTCTTTTCATTATTGCAGTTAGAAAATTTTTTTTTTTTTTTTTTTTTTTTTTTTTTGAGACGGAGTCTCGCTCTGTCGCCCAGGCTGGAGTGCAGTGACACGATCTCAGCTCACTGCAACTTCCGCCTCCTGGGTTCAAGCAATTCTCGTGCCTCAGCCTCCCAAGTAGCTGGGACTACAGGCGCCCGCCACTACGCCCGGCTAATTTTTTGTATTTTTAGTAGAGACGGGGTTTCACCGTTTTAGCCGGGATGGTCTCGATCTCCTGACCTCGTGATCCGCCCGCCTCGGCCTCCCAAAGTGCTGGGATTACAGGCGTGAGCCGCCGCGCCCGGCCTGAAAACTTTTATTCCTTTGTTTTTGTTCCTTTGTTTCCTCTTTCCTGCCGCCTTTTATGTTATTTGAACAATTTTTAGTATTGTATTTTACATATTGTGTTTTTTTACTATATCTCTTTGTATAGTTTTTTAATGGTTGCTCTATGGGTTACAATACATTCTTTTTGCAATCTACTTAGAATCAACATTTACCACTTCAAGTGGAACATAGCAAGCTTAACATCATACAGATTCCTTTACTCCCTCACCCCTTATATTTTAGTTGTTTTATATATCATATATATATATATAAAACCCCAGTAAGGAATGTTATAATTTTTGCTTTCAACCATCAAAAATATTTTAAACTACTTGAGAATAATTGTCTATTATATTTACCCAGATCTTTATTAGTTCTGTTGTTCTTCCTTCTTTCTTGATGTTCCAAACTTACTTCTGGTATCTAATTTTCCTTCCATCTGAAGAACTTCTTTTAGAAATTTCTTAGAGCAATTCTAGAGAATTACTTGTCTGCTGGCAACTAATTCTCTTAGTTTTCCTTCACATGATATTGTCCTAATTTTACTTTCATTCCTGAAGGATATTTTTGCCGAATCTAGAATCCTGAGTTGACTGACAGTTCTTTCTTTCATCACTTAAAAAATGTTTCACTTCTTTCTGGCCCCTGTAATTTCAGAGGAGAAATCTTCAGCCATTCAAATCATTGTTCCCCTATGGGGTCAATAACTTTTTTCTGTAAAGGGCCAAATGGCAAGTATTTTTGTCTTTGCAAGCCATACAGTCTATATCACAACTACCTAACTGTGCCATTGTCTCACTAACACAGTCATAGATACTGCATAACAGAATAGTTATGGTTATGTTCCAATAAAACTTTATTTACAAAACAGGCAGTGAGCCAAATTTGGCCCAAGGACCATAGTTTGCTGACCTCTGCCTGGAAAGTAATGTGTCGTTTTTCTCTGGCTGCTTTCAAGATTTTTCTTTTTCTTTTCTTTTCTTTTCTTTCTTTCTTTCTTTCTTTCTTTCTTTCTTTCTTTCTTTCTTTTTTCTTTCTTTCTTTCTTTCTTTCCTTTCTTTCTCTCTCTCTCTCTCTCTCTCTCTTTCTTTCTTTCTTTCTTTCTTTCTTTCTTTCTTTCTTTCTTTTTTTTAAGACAGTCTTGCTCTGTTGCCCAGGCTGGAGTGCAGTGACACGATCTCAGCTCACTGCAACTTCCGCCTCCTGGGTTCAAGCAATTCTCGTGCCTCAGCTTCCCAAGTAGCTGGGACTACAGGTGCATGCTACCATGCCCGACTAATTTTTGTATTTTTAGTAGAGATGGGGTTTTGCCATGTTGGCCAGGCTGATCTCAAACTCCTGGGCTCAAGTGATCCACGGGCCTAAGCCTCCCAAACTGCTGGGATTACAGGCATGAGCCATTGTGCCCAGCCAACAAGATTGTTTTTCTTTGTCTTTAGTTTTCAGTTTGATTCTGATGTATCTGATTATGGATTGCTTAGATTTATCTTGTTTGGAGTTCACTGAGCATTCAGATCTGTAGGTTTACGTCTTGTGCCAAATTTTTGAAGTTTTTGATGATTATTTACTCAAATATTTTATCTGTATCACAATCCTTTTCATCTTCTTCTAATATTCCAATAACACAGATATTAGGCCTTTTGGTATCATCTCATAGTTCCCTAGGCTCTGCTCATTTTTTAAAATCTTTTTTATTCTCTCTTATTCAGATTGGATAATTTTTATTCAAGCTCACTTTTTCCTGTAATCACCATTTGGCTCTGTAGCCCACTCAGTGAGTTTTCTGTTTGGGTTATGGTAATTTTCAGTTCTAAAATTTCCATTTGGTTCTTTATATTCTCTACTTATTTTCTGAAACATTTCATTTTTCCATTTGTTTTTAGAGTGTTTACCCTTACTTCTTGGAACATTTCTATAATAGCTGCTTTTAAGTCTTTGCCAGATAATTCTACCATCTATGTATCTATTTCTATGAAAGTTGAGTTTTTTTTTTCTAGTTGTTATTATGCCAGCCAATTTTGGATTTTATTCTGTGCATTTTGAATATTATGTGATGAGACTCTAGGTCATGTTGAGATCTAAAGGAGAATGTTGACATTTTTGTTCTCATAGGTAATCCAGCCAGGTGGGTTCAGGCTGCAGGTTTCAGCCTGAACTTTTGTGGACTGTGCTTTCAAGGTTAGTTCTGTTTTCAAAGCCTTTGTTGTCCTGTGTGTGGGACCTAGGGGCTGTCCTGTGTGTGCACCATACAGTGGCCAGTCTGGGGTGTGGGTGTAGGTTATCCCGTAGTTCAGTTCTCAAAGTCTTTGGCATGCTGTTAGCATCAGATCCATGCATATGCTGCTTGAGGTTGAGCCCAGGAGTTTATAAACAATTTTGTGAGATTTTCCCTCTCCACCATCTCCTTGGGCCTCTCTTTTTCAGTCATCTGGCCATAAAGCTGGGATTTTAGTTACCTTGGTCAGTTGTACAGATGCCATGACTGCACCCACATCTGGGACCACAGCAGTAGGTTAGAGAGAGGAAAGAAAGCAACATGAGTTCTCCTTACCTCCTTGGGATCAAAGGTCTAACTATTGTGAGAGAGTTTCCCTTCTTTCATGGTTTTAGGCACCTGTGGGCCTCACTGTTGCTGCCATCACCACCCAGGATTGCCTGGGGGCTGCAGTGCAAGTGAATGGATAAAAGAAAAAAAAAACAAAAAACGGGATTTCTTCTGCTCTCTTTGAGTGTCCAGAGCCTGTTTTCTTGCTCCTTGAGCTGCAACCAGAGCTTACCGTGGCTCTCTTTCTACAGTCCAATTCCCAGTTTCAGGCTGCCTGGAGTCCAGACTCAGGGATGAAGGAGGAATAGGAAGCTCGTGGCTCTTTCAGGGGTGTTTCTAATTCTGGTCTTCCTCCTTAATTTGCCTGCTCCTATGTACCTTTCAATGTCCTCAGATTTGCTGCTTCAACATCAGTCCAGGTTTTATAGCTGCATTCAGGATGCTCACTCCATCTTGCCTGGAACCAGAACTGCTTCCATATACTTTTGCTCACTTTCCAGGTGCTGTCCTCTCTGTCCCTAACTGACTTTCAGCAGGGTTTGTTCTCCTTTGGGCTGCTTCCAAAAGGGCCTTCTTTTCTTTGATGGCTTTATTTATTTATTTTTTCCACTTCCTTCCTGAGCTCTGCCAATTCATGTTTTATTCCCCTTTGATGTGATTTTGTGCCTTTCCTGAGCTTTTGTGTCTCTGCTTTGAGTTTTTGTTTTAAAGAAGCACTTGTTCATTATTGTTTGAAGTTGTGGTAGTGTTTGGTCAACTATTTTTAATGGCTCCATGACATTTTCTTGGTGAGTATCCTACATTTATTTATTTCTATCTCGTTACTCCTTTTTTTCTGTGTGTTTATACTAATTGGATTATGGTTCCTTTCTTGTGATTCCTGTCTTTCGATAAAGTGGATCCCACTCTCCCACCCCCCAGAACTACTATGAAGGAATTTCTTACGGGTTGTGATCTAGGGTAGGGCCTCTGGCTAACATGAATTTCCTCTGAATCATAAAGGTCCTTAGACACAGAGCTGTGTCTGTATTTGTGAACCTTTCCCTATCTCCAGCCAACAGAAATCAGCAGCTGCAGAGACAATACTACCAATTCAATTTCTCTTCTCTACCATCTCCTCTTTCCCTCTCCCATATCCAGTTCCCTGGACCAGCCTATGAGTCCTGGCGGTACTCTGCTGCCAGTCTATGAATCCTGTTTTCATTTTTCTGAACAGAAGCTTGTTGGTTTTGTGCCTCGGGGCATGTGCTCACTGTTTTGATGAACTGCACTCCACGGCTTTGCCTGAGAGCTGCAGCGGTAGACGTCCTCGTTAGGGATCTTCCTGTAACCCTGTTAGACCTTTATTGCATTGGTCGGCCCTTCTCCAGACACTGTTAAAAGAGATTAGAGATAATTTCTGGACATCAAACCTAGAATTGGTATTTTTCTTTTTCTCCTTAGCATTGGGGCAGGGGTAATTTCCTGGAGGAAAAAGGAGTAACATCATATTTACTCCACTATATGAAAGTCAGAGTTTGGGTATATTTATTTTTAAAATATGATACATATTATCAAATTGCCCTCAATAATCTTAGATGTCCTTATAATTTTCTTTATAAATTTAACCTGATTTACTAGGAAAGAAGTACGTAGGGAGACAGACAGTGCCTGTGAAAAGGCTGGAAGGCAGGTTTGGAAGGTGGGCTACTTAGCTGCAGCCATCGGTCATCCTTGGAAGGCAGCGAGAAAGCAGTGCGGAGAGGGCACATCAGAGCTCTCAGAGGCACAGAAGGGCCACTGAATCCAGGGATTACATGTTTTGAAGACAGTTTTGCATCAGGAATCTAGATTCCCACCCACAGCAGGCCAGGCAACCAACCCTAAAATTCTTAAGAGACGATTATTTGCAAAGGCAGAAAGTTCATCCCCCGGGAGGGATCCATTCCTAGGCTGAACAACTCAGTTACCAGCAAGTTCTCACACAAATGTGAAGTCTATATACCAGTTATTTTGGTCACTTGGTGCTGTTCTTCCATCCAGAGCACCCCTGGAATCTGTTCCTCTCTACACATAGGGCAACCGTTTGAGTACTGAAGCAGGGTCCTCCAGCAGATGACCTTCCCCAAAGCCAGCTCTGCAGAGGACAGCAGTTCTGGGTGAGCACACCCTGTATTATCTGGGTCAAAGGCCACAGCTCCCAGTGTGGGACATGGAAGGGGTCCAGGGAGGGCCTTGCAATGGGAGCCCCAGGGTTTGGGATTTTGGATGCTCTCAAATGTATCCTTGTGGGTGGAGACAGTCCATTTGCATTCCATGTAGATTCATGCCCTGTGTATCATGGTGCTGTTTGTGGTTCCCAACTGCCATCTCCAGTCCAGGCATTATTAACTCTTTTTTATCATGGAACCTGAGTGTCTTAAATGATGGTTCCCAATAATTCTAAACCAAGTGAGCAAATAGGCTGTGATGGAAGAGACAGAGGGAGCTGTGAAAAAGAACAAGAGCAGAGCTTTTAAATCACCATGTGACAAATGGAATCGTGACTTAGGTTTCACAATTGAGGTGGCTGATTTCATGTGCTATTGACAAATCTTTCACATTTCTGACAGTTACAGAGTTCCCCCTCTGGAACATAAAGTCTACATTCATGGAGGTCAGCTTCAGGTACACCACCCCTAAGGCCTGACAGTACTTTGCTGTGCATCTGAGATCTGGCAGAAACAGCCTCTGACCACCAGAAAACCTAACTTTTCTTCCAAGTCCCAAAGAGATTACAAAAGTTTTAATCATCCTGGGACTGTCTCTGGCTGAAGGATAGATATGACCTTGAGACATTGACAAGAAGAATGATTAGATTCAGTGAAAAAGAGAGCAGGGATGAGGATGTTGAAGGGGTTTTGACTCAAGGGTCAGTGAAGGGTGCAGAGAAGACAAAGAGTGAATGAGAACATGTCTGGAGGCTCAATTTCATTGCCCCTTCTCCTGGAAAGCAATTGGCAGCTGCTGACTTGCAGAGCATCACTTGGACCAGGGTTCATGTTGAATCTACCCACGCACCTTAGGACTTTGTGCAGCTGGAGAGAGGGTTGTTCGGGGCTTGGAGCTGCAGAAACATTATTCCTGTTGTCAGCTGAAGAAAATTGTCTGGATATAAAGGATAGGCCTTGGCCTGACTCTATTTGTCGGGGAGGCAGAACTTCACTTGGCATTTTCTTTTCTATGCAAAGGATTTGAGACCTAAGAGAGGGAAGAGATGAGGGAAGACCTTTTCGCCTTCTCCATTTCTTTCCCTGAATGTAGACTGGTTCAGCAGCTCAGGGTGAAGCCTGGGAAACAGGCCTGGCTTTTACCGTGGTGAATCACTTATTGGCTGGGTCAACATGGACAACTCTTTAAACTTTCCTGAGCCTCAAATGCCAGATGTGGGGATTCTGTTCTGTAGGACCTTGTTTTTGTGTCCTGAGGCTGCCTTAACAAAGGATTGCAAACTGGGTAGCCAGAAACAACAGAAATTATTGTCTTATAGTTCTGGAGTCCAAAAATACAAAATCAAAGCGTGGGCAGGGCAGGCTCCCTCGTAGCCTTTAGGGGTGGATCTTTCCTGGCCTCTCCCAGCTTCCAGTGGCTGCAGTGATCCTTAGTGTTCTTGGCTTATAGATGCGTCACTGCACTCTGGTGTTCTCCCTGTGCATTTCTGCCTTCATGCCATCTCCTCCTCTGTCTTCATCCATTCTCATGCTGCTGTAAAGACACTACCTGAGACTGGGTAATTTATAGAGGAAAGAGGTTTAATTGACTCACGGTTCCATATGGCTGGGGAGGCCTCAGGAAACTTAACAATCATGGCGGAAGGCTAAGGAGAAGCAAGCTTGGACCTTCTCACATGGTGGCAGGAGAGAGAAGTGTGGAGCAATGGGAGAAGAGCCCCTTATAAAACCGTCAAATCTCATGAGAACTCACTCACTATCCTGAGAACAGCACGGGGGAAACAACCTGCGGTGATCCAATTACCTCCCACTGCGTTCCTCCCATGACACACAGGGATTATGGGGATTAACAATCCAAGATGAGATTTGGGAGGGGACACAGCCAAACCATGTCATCCTCCCTGGGTCTTCACATGGCCTCTTCTATTGACACCAGGCATTGGATTTAATGCTTACCCTAATCTGATATGACCTCTTCTTAACTAATTACATCTTCAGGGCCTCTATTTCCAAATAAGGTCTCTTTTGAGGTTCTGGGTGAACATAGATTTTGGAAGGACTCTATTCACTTGGTATGGATCCTTTAAAGATTAAAAGAGATAACACAAGTGAAGTAGTCAGCAGAATGCTTGACGCACGGTAAGTACTCAATAAGTGGTATTTATTGCTGTTGCTGATGTTATTGTTGCTTGTACCATTCATAGAATCCTTTCCAGGTGGCTGTACTATTAACATCTAGTGTTCGTAACAATTCTGTTCGTTCATTTAGTCGCAGATGTTTATATGCCCAGCAATCTGCTAGACTGGGGGATGCAGAAATGAAAGGCCTGGCCTTTTGTTTTCAGGGAGTTCACAATCTGGGGAGGAGGCAGACACACACGAACAGCCTGTGCTGAGATCCTCAGGAGGGGAGGGTGGCCGTGCCCAGATAGGATGGGAGGAAGATGCTCTGGGGGAGGCCTCCTGGACAGATCAGGAGGATTCTCAGAGGCTTTTGAGCTGAAACTTGAGGGTGAGTTAGGATTCCCCCCATACAAATGGGGTACAGCAGTGTATGGGAGAGCGGCAGAGAGTAAGAGAGCACCTATTTGTTCACTCAGTGGCCATGTGGGGCCTCAACTTCGAAGCAAATTCCGTCCTGTCTGCCAGGGGTGAGGAGGTGGTGCAGAAACAAACTATCAAGATGTGGACCCTGTTCTTGGAACTGGATGGACAGGAACCTGCTGTAGGGAGCACAGCCCCTCTGGAGACCAACACTGTGAAGGGAAGTTGCTCCCTTGCCGGGGGTACAGGGAAGGAAGGCCTAGGATGGGGAAGGGACCACAGCAGGCCTGCGGGAGTAGGAAGGAGGCCAGGGCGAATCCCCAGGAGGCGTGTGGTCCTGGGACAGCCCACCTGACTCTGATCTTCCCCATCACTTAGTCTGGGACCTGGAAGCTGGCAGCAGCTTAGGTTAGTTAGCTGTTAGCTGTGGCTGTTGAAAGGATGACAACTCTGTGATCCACCTGTGTGACACTGAAGAAGTCACTCAACCTCTCTGTGGCTCCCTGTCCTCATCTGCAAAATGGAAATGATGATAGAATCACTGTGAGGGTTCAGTGAATTAATACGTGTCTAGCCCATAGAACAGTGCTTGCCACAGTAAACACTGCTTACAAGTTTGCTCGTGTTGTTATCTAAGCAAAATTCCCAATCAAAGGGCTTTGAAAATGAGCTGGCAATGACTCTTTGTCGGTGCTCTCTCAGTTGTACTTGATGCCTTTAGACACAGGAGGCAGAGAAGATGGCACAGGCCTGGAAGCGGTTGAGCTGGATGACATCCACACGCAGGTGTCCTGTCTGAGCCTGTGCCCTGTGTCGGTGACCAGTCAACTGGCATATCCTGAATGGAACACAGCCCTGGGCAACTTAACAAGGGGCTAGAGGGCATAAGTTTCAAAACTCTTTTTGGGGATATTTATAAGAGACACTTGCATTGGTTAAAAAAAATAATAATTGTAAAGTGACCAGAGCTACAAATTATTGATCTTCTCTGTTCCTTTCCTGCCTAGGGCACATTTCTTGATCCTTTTTAAGCCAAGGGGAGATGTACTTGCTTTGCCTATTGAGGCCCTTCCTACCACCCAGGCTCTGATGGCTCAGGTGCCTTCCCTATGGATGGCCTGGGGAAATGGGCAGGTATGTGGAGCTAGCATGCTTGAAAGAAAGGGGGTGGGGGAAGATGACGGCAAGGCTGACGTCAGGGCCCAGTGTGCCAGTGCAGAAGCAGGGAGGCCCCATCCCTGGCTGGAAATTTACTGCAGCTCAGAGAACAGGCCTGTGTTCCTCCAAATAAGGCAGAAATTTTCCTGCATTGCTAGTTGTACAAACACAGGGAGGCACTGAGCAGTGGCAGGTGGCACTTGGAGATTTTCTGAATTTCAGGCATTGGGTCAGCCCGTAAAGGCTTCCCTGGGGTATGGTGGACTTGGTCAGTGACTGGTTGGCTGGAAGTCTCTCTCCTGGGTGGTTACCTGGTATATAATGAATAAAATATAGCACTGGACAACTTAACAGGGAATGGGAGGCGAAGGCCAGTGAGTTTCACAGCCATTTTCAGGGGATATTTACAAGGGACCCTTACCTTGGTTAAAGAAAAATGTAATGTGACCAGAGCTACGTATTTCTGATTTTTCGCCTCCATCTTGGTATCCAATGAATCACAGCTAATATGAGCTCTGACTGTATGAAAGGGGTTTTCTTAGTTGACCACTCAGCTGAGAGAGCTACCAAATCAGAATTCCACAGGAGAGGATGGTTGGGTTCCTCAGCTATTTTGGAGGATGACATAAAATGTTGCAGAGGGAGAACCCTTCTCTGCAATCAGACGAGATTTTCCTCATTGTTCTGCAGGGCCTCACATGTTACCAATGAAAGCCAGCTCCCTGGTGCCACGCGTTTTACTCATTGCTGGATCCCTAGGGCCTAGCACAGTGCCTGGAACATGCACGTGCCTCTGGGCATATTCAGTGAATGAATGAACAAGGGAATGGAGGTGGGTGAAGGTGGACTGCTAGGGAAACCGGGAACATATGAAGGCAGCACGAAATCGTGTGTGTTGGGGTGAAAATGGACGACTGGAGTCTCAGCTTATTGAATTGTGGGTAATGTTCATTCAACTAGTCAGTCAAAGGATATTTTGGGAAACTTCTTATACCAGATACATTTCTTGCCTTCATGGAGTCCTCAGTCTAGGGGAGGGGGGAAGGCAGACACTGAATGACCAGCTACATGATTAATTACTTATGTACATTTGTGGTGGGCACTTCAGAGGAAAGGTGCAGGGGTGAGAAAGTGGCATTTACATGGAGATCTGAAGGAAGGTTGAGGGTGAGATAGTGATATGGTTTGGATCTGTGTCCCCGCCCAAATCACATGTTCAGTTGTAATCCCCAGTGTTGGAGAGGGGGCCTGGTGGGAGGTGATTTGATCATGGGGGCAGATTCCCCCTTGGTGCTATTTTCGTGATAGTGAGTGAGTTCTCATGAGATCTGGTTGTTTATAAGTATGTGACATCTCCACCCCGCTTCCTCCTGCCCCGGCCATGTGAAATGCCTGTTCCTGCTGTGCCTTCTGCCATGATTGTAAGTTCCCTGAGGCCTCCCCAAAAGCTGATGCTGCCATGCTTCCTGTACAGCCTGTGGAACCGTGAGCCAATTAAACCTCTTTTCTCTATGAATTACCCAGTCTCAGCTATTTTTTATGGCAGTGCAAGAATGGACTAATATGGCTAGTAAGGAGGAAACACATACTGGGCATCAGGATATAATCATTCATTCATTCACTCATTCAGCAAATAATTACTGAGCAGCTACCATCTGTCAGCCGCATTCCAAGTCCTGAGAAGATTCAACAATGAGCAAAATAAAGTCCTTGCTCTCAATGAGCTTAAAACAAAGCGTAAAGTTTGTGCGTCTTTTGTTAGATTTATTCCCAAAGAGTGGATGTTTTTGATGCTATACTAAATCATTTTTTTTTTCCTTGGCATACTAAAAATTTTGTTATTTATTCTATGGCTGCCAATACGGAGAAATGCAATTCTTTTGTGTGTGTGGGCCTTGTACCCAGCATCCTTGCTAAATTTATTTACCCAGTCTAATAGCTTATCTGCAGTACTCTGGGTATTTTCTACATATACAATCATGCCATCTGCAAATAATGAAAGTTTTATTCAGTCCTTTCTGATCTTTATGCTTTGATTTCTTTTTCTTGCTTTATTACACTGAGTAGGCTCTCCCACCCAGTATCAAGTAGACGTGGTAAGGTGATTGTAGGCATTCTTGTCTTGCTCTTGATCTCAAAAGGAAAACTTTCAATAATTCACCTTTAATTACGATACTTGCTGTAAAGTTTTAGTATGTATTCTTTATCAGATTGAGGAAGTTCTCTTCTATCCAGCTTTTCTCAGAGTTTTTGTTTTTTATTGCAAATGAAGATTGTTATCTGTTCCGTATGAATGAAAATGTTTTCTGATTGAAATAGAAGAGATCACAGTCATCGAATCAGTTGGCCATATGCTATGTATCTGAGGCTGTAATAATCCACTCTAGGAAAGACATCTGGCTGGTGGGTGTGATTGATCAGGGTTGCTACTCAGTTGAACTTACCATAGTCGATAGGCATCTTTCAGGATCCATCTGGTTTCTGCAGGGTCTACGTTGGTGAATTAAAGACATGATGAGGACCACTCCCCTGCTTCCTTTAGATCCTTAAGGGTGGCTGTCATCTCCACTATCCCCCTGGGCTGTGCTGTGTGTGTTTTTTTTTTTTTTTTTTTTTTTTTGCTATCTTAGCCAGCATGGTGAGAGGGATAATTTCAGAGACTTTTGCTTGCCTTTTCCCTCATGTACCTCACAGACCAAGGGCCCAATGTGGGGCTGTACCAACTGTCAAGAAGGCTAATCCCAGTTACACATTCAAGAAGAGGAAATGACCATCAGTTGGGCCCATGGGCTCAGTGGATCCATTGTAATGAGACTTTGGGCAGGACTCCATTTATGATCAGGCTCCTAATCCAACAGGGGGCCTACAATGACACCTGGGGTCTCTGAGTCTCAGATCAACTTGGACTCTGTGCCAAACCATCCTCAAAATACTTGGGTCTTTCCCAATGCATAGTTACCCAAATAAATGGCAGTAAGCCCCTTGGTGAAGGAATGGGGGAATGAGCTCATTGCATGTACTTGCTGCGGAATTGCAGGGTCCTTTCTCTTGGGCACCTGCCCATCTCTTTTTCCAACAAGTTGCAGGTCTAAAAACTGACTTGGGTCCAGAGATTGGTAAGGGATTGTGAATTTTTATGGAAGTGACTGTCATCAGCCTCCCAGGCATCCAACTTTGATTTCTTCTACTCAACAAGGCCGTTGGCTGCCACTCTGACCTTGCTGCTCATTTTGGTAGTTGTGGCTCCTGACTTCTGATGGTTAAGCACTAGCCTTTACCGTTTTGGGGTCCTATTGCACCATTGCTATCAGCAAGTCAGGTTCTCTGTCAGCCTCTCCTTCTGTCAGCCCTCCATCCCTGGCCAGCAGAGGGGAGCCACTGCTGAACTTCTCAGTGATGCTTGGCCCTCTCACTGGCACAATCCTTATGACCCTGGAGAACAGTGTGCTGTTTGGTCTTTCCTGTGGAACATGCTCATCCCCAGGTATTCTGGGCATACATGGTAGATCCATTGTAGCATGCCCAAGCTCCTAGGCCCTTTAATCCCTTCTTCTGCAAGCTGTCAGGGCTTTTCTGACATTTCAGCATCTCTTTTTGCATATTTTAGGAGCCATCCCAGTAGAGAGTTCACACCATCCCCAGGGATCCCTACCATGGTGTTGGACATCAGGAGAGTACCTCTTCTCTATCCAATTTTTTGGTCAGGCCCACTTGACCAGGCTTCCTCAGAGTCCATCCCCCTTTATCCTCCCTCCTTCCTGGTAGCACATGTTGGCTAGAACTTGCACCTCCTTCTCCTTTCTTATCAGGCCCAGCACCTCCCCTGCTGGGTTACACCACCACGTAACCCTAGGCCCAATAGTTAGTAGGGAAATTGGGAACATATCTTGAGTCGAGGCACCAGTTACCTTGCAGGAGAGAGACCTCTGCACTGTTTTCTAGAGCAGGGGTTTGCTAGCTCTAGTAGGGGAGGGGTGGATGCTTCTGCAGGCCTGGAAGATTTGGAAGAGTCTGAAGAAGTCAAATTATTTGGGGGCATTTGCACAGATGTCCCTATCCCCTGTGTGGGGGTTATCAATTTTTTGAGCCCGGTGTCTGACTCTGGCATAACAAACCTGCGTTGGTTGCCTGTCTAACCTGCTTTGCATCTCTGCTACTTGATCGGTTAGATCCTAGGCTTGGTCTTGGGCTTTGTCGGCCCCACAATCGAAGGCTCCCTGGCTTTCTCATTTGGTTTCCAATTGCACATTAATTGGGCTGTTTCTGATCTTTCTGTAAAGCGGAGGTCAGTGAACATTTTCTCAAAGGGAGAGATGGTAAATGTTTTAGGCTTACTAGCCATATGATCTCTGTTGCAGCTACTCTGTCTTTGTAGAAGGCAGCCAGAAATGGTATGTAAATGAATGCGTGTGGCTATGTTCTAATAAAACTTTATTTATAAAAACAGATGGCCACTATGGGCAACTGTGGCAATAGCCATCCAATCCCATCATCCCAACAAGAATTCTCAGACACTGCTGGTGGGGATGTAAAATGCTCAAGCCACTTTCTGTTTCTTTTTGAGTCACACTTGGTTGTTTGCATTTTTCTAATAATTTGTCCATTTCTCCTAAGTTTTCAAATGAGTTGGCATAAAGATGTTTATAACATTGCCTTATCTTCTTAGTCTCTGTTTCATCTGTACTTATGTGTCTGTTTTGTTACTAATATTGTTTAATTGTACCTTTCTTCTTCTTCCCTTAATAAGAATTACCAGAGATTTGTCAATATCAGACTTTTCAAAGAATCAGCTTTGACTTCATTGATCCCTTCTCTTGTATGCTTGTTTTCCATGTCATAAATTTCAGCTCCTCTCCTTTCCTTTCCTTTCCTCCCTCTTCTCTTTCTTTCCCTCCCCTCCCCTCCCCTTCCTCCGTTCCTCCCTTTCCCCTTCCCTTTTCCCTTCCCCTTCCCTTCCCTCCCTCCCTCCTTCTTTCCTTCTACTTTTTGTGTGTTGATTCAATTTTTCCCATGTGTCTATTGTTTTATTTTGTTCTATTTCTTAAGTTATTGTTTTTTACTCCTTTTTTTAAAAAATTAACCTTAAAGTATATAACTTTTTTCCTCAAAGTACTACTTTAGATGCATCTAGAAGTTTGGGTCAGTAGCACCACTGTCACTTAATTCAATATATTTTCCAATTTTTACTTTTATTTCTTCTAAGATTTATGGCTTTCTTGAAGTATTTCAAAGTTTCCAAATATATGGGGAGGAGGAGATTTCCATTATATCCTGTTTAGAAAAATCTTCCTCCAGATATCCATGTGGCTTGCTCCCCCATGGCCTTCAGGTCTTTGCTCCGAGTTTACCTTCTCAGGAAGGAAATCCAAACCACCCAATTTAAAATTGTAAAATTGTGCTTCCTTAGTACTCCCTACCCCTAGCCTGGGATGATTCTATTTCCTTTATTCTTCTTTTTTTTTTTTTTTTTTTTTTTTTATCTTTTTGAGATGAAGTCTCACTCTACTACCCAGGCTGGAGTGTAGTGGCACGATCTCCGCTCACTGCAGCCTCCACTTCCCAGGTTCAAACAATTCTCCTGCCTCAGCCTCCTGAGTCGGTGGGATCCTATTTTCTGTTTGTTATTTCCCCTGCTACTAAAACACTAGAACGACCTCTCTAGAACATACATTCCTTTGAAGGCAGAGATGATTGTCTTCTTTTGTTCACCGTTGTAGCCTTAATGCACAAAGCACTGTCTGGCACTTAGTAGATCTTGAATAAGTAACTGTTGAATGAAGGAAGGACACATTTATTAAAAATTTCCATCCAATTGCCCTGTGGTCGTGCTTTGTGAAATATAGTTTCTCTCAAATTTGATGAGACTTGATTTATGGTCCAAAATGTGTTCCATGTATGCTTGAAAAGGATGTATGTTCTGTGGTGCAATGCCCTATATGTTTGGTCAGATTTATTAATTGTGTTATTCAAATCTTTTCTATTCTTCTCCTTTTGTCTATTTGATCTACCAAGCACTAAGACATGTATATTAAAATTTTCCCATTATGATGATGTATCTGCCCATTTCTTCTTGAATTTCTGCTTCTGCTCTATGTTGCTTTAAAGATTTTAAGGCTATATTGTTGGGTGTACACAAGTTCAGAGTTGTAACTTCCTCTTGAATATTTCATCAATATGGTGATCCTCTTTATCTCTAGTAATGCTTTTGGCCTTGAAATCTATTTTATCTGCTTTCTTTTGCTTAGTATTTGATCTCTCTCTTTCCATTGTTTTATTTTAAACATTTCATTTCCTTGTGTTTTCACTATTCCAGGTTTAAATAGCATATATAAAGATTCTTAAAAAAAATCCAGGCTAGTAATCTTCTATTTTGAGAATTGAATGTATGTACTTTGGCTGTAATTATTGATTTGTTTGAATTTATTTTTTCCATATAGCACTTTCCATTTGTTGTGTTTTTGTTTGTTTTGCATGTGATCTTTTTTCTTTCCTTCTTTCGCCATGTTTTCAATTGAGTTTTGTGTTTTTCCCTTTTCCATTTTAAAATGTCTGTGCTCATCCTGGCCAACATGGTGAAACCCCATCTCTACTAAAAATACAAAAATTAGCCAGGCGTGGTGGCAGGTGCCTATAATCCCAGCTACTAGGAGGCTGAGGCAGGAGAATCACTTGAACCTGGGAGGTGGAGGTTGCAGTGACCCGAGATCGCGCCACTGCACTCCAGCCTGGGTGACAGAGGGAGACTCCATCTCAAAAAAAAAAAAAAAAGTCTGTGCTTAGAAGATATCCTTTATTTCTATTTTTCAATGGTTACCTTAGAAATTCCAACATAGATATGGTACCTTAACAGGGCCTAAGGTTAATCTACAGTTTGACCATCCTTTTGAACAATCCATGACCAACCCCCACCCAGGCCTTCCTCACTCTACTAATGTGTTCTTTCTGTGAAGACGTTGATTATATCTTGATTTTCTATACCCCTCCAAAATAGACATCATTATCATTATCATTTTACACAATTAATATTTCCATTCTTCCCTTCAACAGATACTTATTCAACATTAAATTCCACGCACTGTTCTAGGAACATAGGAAACACAAGGAACAGAGAAGGCACAGGTCCCCACCCTCATGGACTTGACATTCTAGCTGGGGTGACAGATTCTAAACAATAAACATCCACGAGGAAATGATAGAAGATATCAGAAGGGGTCATGACTGGGAGAAAAAGGTAGAACAAGATAGGGAGGCTGGGAATGCAAATGGCAGTTTTCTGTGGAGTGCTCAGGGGCGGCCTTGAATGGAGGCTGGAGGGTGCCAGGAAGAAGCCATGTCTGCCTGGGAGGGGAAACACTGAGGTGGAGGGACAGCCAGTACAGAGTTTTAAACTGGAGCATGCTGAGCACGTTCAAAGACAGCAAGGAAGCCAGCGTGGCAGGGCCAGCTAGGATGCTAATGTAGTAACCCAGAAGAGAGGTGGTGATGACTTGCTCCAGGGTGTAGCCAGGTGGATGGGGAGAAAGGGGTCTTGGACTTGGCACAGATTTCCTAATGGAACAGAGATGGGGTAGAGTCAAGCTTTTTTCTGCATGTTTTTGTCTTGAGCACCTAGAAGAATAGAGTGGGCAGTAACTGAGATGAGGAAGCTATAAGAGAAGCAGTTTTGGAGGAAGCATGGGAGATCTGCTGTGGACATACTGCATTTGAGATGCCTCAAAAATTCAGAGGGGCCACTGGACCCCCAAGTCTGGCATTTCAAGGGCAGATCCAGGTTTGGTTTGTTGTTGGTGGGTTTTTTTGTTTGTTTGTTTGTTTGTTTTATGAGGCAGAGTCTCGCTCTGTTGCCCAGGCTGGAGGGCAGTGGTGTAATCTTGGCTCATTGCAACCGCTGCCTCCCAGGTTCAAGTGATTCTCATGCCTCAGCCTCCCAAGTAGCTGGGACTACAGGCGTGCGCCACCATGCCTGGCTAATTTTTGTATTTTTAGTAGAGACAGTGTTTCATCACGTTGGCCAGACTGGTCTTGAACTCATGAGCTCAAGTGATCCGCCTGCCTCAGCCTCCCAAACTGTTGGGATTACAGACGTGAGCCACTGCACCTGGCCGACAGATCCAGGTTTTGTGGACCTTAAGCTTATACAATTTTGAGAGCCTTCTTTAAGGAACAAAACATAAAATTACATAAAAACCAAATACAAGGGAGGGCCAGAAACTTTAGCTCCACTAGCTCTGCAGAGAGCTGCCTTACAGCAGTTGAGGAGAAAAGCAAAGCTGGAGAGATAAATGTGTACGTCATCAGCAGGGAAGTGGTACTTCTAGTTGAGAGATTGAATTCTGTCCCCCTCAAAAGACATATGCAAGTCCTAAGTCCCAGCACCTGTGAATGTGACCTCATTTAAAAATAAGGTCTTTGTAGATATAATCAAGTTAAAGTGAGGTCAGACTAAAGTGAGCTGTAAATCCAGTATGACTGGTATCCTTAAAGGAAGAGGGAAATTTGGACACAGATACACAGAGGAAAAAACGTGAAGTGATGAAGGCAGAGAGTGGAATGATGCAACTCAAGCCAAGGAATGCCAAGTGTTGCCAGCAAGCACCTGAAACGAGATAAGAAAAGATTCTCCCTCACAGCCTTCAGAGAGAACATGGCCCTGCCAGCACCTTGATTTCAGACTTAAGACTTCCAGAACTGTGAGAGAATATGTTTCTGTTGCTGTCATCACCCAAGTTTGTGGCACTTTGTTATGGCAGCCCCAAGAAACTAATACAATGAGGGAGTGAGTAGGAAAGAACATCAGAATCAGCCCTGAGGCTTGTCAGGGACATAGGAGGTCCAGGAAAGCAGGTAGAGAAGATATGACCATGAGGTAGGAAGGACCCCTCAGGAGAAGTGCACTGTGACAGCCAAGCGAACAAAAAAGGATGAAGAAGGAGGAGGTGATATGCTGTCTTCAGGTCACATTCAAAGAGCCCTGAGAACTGGCCATTGATTCAGCAATGAGGAGGTTTTTGACAAAAGTAGTTAAGTGGATAGGCGGGGGGGAAAGTCTGTTGGAGTTGATTTAAAAGAGACCAGGAGGAGGCCGGGCGCAGTGGCTCACGCTTGTAATCCCAGCACTTTGGGAGGCCGAGGCAGGCGGATCACGAGGTCAGGAGATCGAGACCACGGTGAAACCCTGTCTCTACTAAAAATACAAAAAAAATTAGCCAGGCTTGGTGGTGGGCGCCTGTAGTCCCAGCTACTTGGAGAGGCTGAGGCAGGAGAATGGCATGAACCCGGGAGACGGAGCTTGCAGTGAGCCGAGATCACGCCACTGCACTCCAGCCTGGGCAACAGAGTGAGACTCCATCTCAAAAAAAAAAAAAAAAAAAGAAAAAAGACCAGGAGGAAAGAAATGGGAGACAAGTAAGTAAAGATGTCTGTTTTTAGGGATAACTGCAAGGAAAGCAAAGGAATAAGGTGGTAGTGTTGGAGACATGAGGAGAAGGTTTTTTTAAGATTGAAGAAATAGCAGCATGTTTCCCTGCAGGTTGGAATGATCTGGTAGGGAGTGGAATATTGATAATATTAGGATACAGCAGGCAGGAATACTGCTGGAGGAATGTCCTTGATTAGGTAAGAAGGAGCACAGCTCATGCATGGGAGGAGGGACTGTTTATGTTTTCTCTCCATTCCACCACTTTATTTCTCATCATTTTTTCTTACATCTCAGACCTTCCTTCTGGGATCATTTTTCTTCTCCCTGAAGTATATTCTTGAGAAGCTTCCTTTCTGGAGTCTTGTTGAAAGTGAACTCTCAGGTTTTGTTTTGTTATTGAAAATATCTTCATTTTATTCTCATTATTTCAAGATTGTTTTGCTGAATATACAGTTTCAGGTTGACAGTTCTGTTTGTTTGTTTTTTTTTCCCTCCCAGCACTTGAAAATATTAGTCCAGTGTCTCTTGAGACTTATTGTTACAATTGAGAAATCAGTCGTCATTCTAATTGTCATTTCTCTTTGACTCCTGTTGAGGTTGTCTCTCTAGCTTTGTGTTCCACATTTTCACTGTGATGTACTAGGTGAGGGTTTGTTTTTGCTTTTCCTGACTGGGATTCACTGGGCTTCCTTCTCGAATTTGGTGGCTGGCTGTCTTTCAGAAGCTCTAAAAATTCTCAGACAGGTCGGGATGATGGCTCACACCTGTAATCCCAGCACTTTGGGAGGCTGAGGCAGGCGGATTGAGCTCAGGAGTTTGAGACCAGCCTGGGAAACATGGCAAAATGCCTTCTTACAAGCAAAAAAAAATTCTTTTGCTCCTGTAGTGGTTATGCTCCTGTAGTCCCAGCTACTTGGGAGGCTGAAGTGGGAGGATGGCTTGAGCCCAGGAGGCAGAAGTTGCAGTGAGCTGAGATCCTGTCACTGCACTCCAGCCTGGGAGACAGAGCCAGACCCTGTCTCAATAAATAAATAAATAATAAAAAATAGAAATTATCAGACAAACTCAGTTATCACCACTGCCCTGTTTTTCTCTCCTTCTTGAAGTCAGATCATTTGTATTGTACTCTGCTTTCTGCATCTTTACCTCTATTTTATATGTTTCAACATTTTCTCTCTGTATTGGCTTCCTTAGTAATATCTTTTTATTTGTCTTTTAACTCATCAATTCTCTCTTTGACTATCTAGTATTTTCTTTACACTGAGTTTTAAATTTTAGTTATTGTATTTTTTATCTCTAGAAGTTCTATTTACCTTTTCCCCCCAAATCTGCCTTGTTGGTTTGGAGATTCTCTTGTTCCCTTATCATACTTTCATTTTCCTCCTTTCTTGCTTTAAACAGATTAAACAAACTAATTTTATATTATGTTTTTGATAATTCCAATATCTGAGTCTTGGCAGATCTGATTCTTAACTTTTCTTCTTTGTGCTGGTTCTCACATATGGAGAATTGAGTCCTCATGTGCTTGGTTATTTTTACCTTATGACCTTGCACTCCAAAAGCTGCACCAGAGACAAAATCAAAATGCCTTAACTCCACTTAATGCATCTTCATCCTTCCTAAATCTGCCCTTAAAAATCCAAAGAGTGTGATTATCTTCACTTTACTGTAGGTCATAGAAGTGTTAAGTCAAAGAAGTTGAAGTAACATCTTGAAAAAAAAAATCCCAAGCTCTAAATTAATAACTTAATGTAACTTCTAATTATGTTGGAGTTACAAAATTTCTTTCCCTGGATGAACACAAACTATGACTAAATGTTTTCTAAACAATTAAATTTAATATTTTGACCAATTAAGATGTTGCAGGTGTGTTCAAAATTAATTATTATTTTTCTTAATTTAAGACGTTTTTCATTAGTGGAAAGAAATTCCAAAATTTGACACCAAGCTTAGAACCAAGAGATTCTAAAATTCTTTTAAAATTTTGCCAATTTATGTCAAATTGTCTCACCTATGACCAAAAATGCTTTGCTCTCAGGCTTTGTTTTTCTGAAAACTCTTTTTTATGTTTCTCCCGTGGCTAATCTCTCTAGAATCTGAGACCTGACAGCTGAAGGGACTTAGAGGTCCATTTCTCCCTGAAAGCTGACCACAGACCATTCAGAAAAAGTGATTTCCAATAAATACCCTACGTGTGTGATGGTATTGAGATGAGGGAGGTAGATTGTTCAATTACAGAAGCGATACCCCATCTCTTCTATGTGTAACCCCAAATTCATTGCTACTGAGGTTCTATAATGCTAAGGCTTGCAAAACTATCACTTTTACAGATAATGAAATGAAATCCCATTTAATGATGATTATCCCAACACAAAGAGGGTTTTTCCTTTTTTATTATTATGAAAATACGCAACTGGCAAAAATACACATGATACAAAAAGATATGCAGTAAGAAGGCTCTCTCTCCCACAGACCCTCCAGGCCCATGCTCATGGGTAACAACGGCCACAGATAGATTTCCAGGCTGTTCTTGGGGCACCTCAGCCCTCTGCTTCTTTCTTCCCCAACACTTTCTCTCGGGCTTCTAGGCAGGCAGCAGACATGGAGATAGGACTGGTGGTCGTGATGCTTAACCTTGAGCCATTACTACCAGGAAGGGAGGGAGAGAAACTTGGGTGTACTGAGTGCCAACTGTTACCAGGCTGAAATCCAGGCTCTGCACGTGAGATCTCTACTCCACAGAGCAACTTACAGAGGTGGGAATATAGTATGGTGAAATAACAGAGGGTCCAAGACACCAGATGGCCAGCCCCCAGCACAGGCTTGTAATAGTCGCAGGACCCGGATTCAGCCCGCTCTTGTTTGGACCACGCGGCAGGAAGAGGCCTGACGGTGCAGCTGCTGCTGGGGAAGAGACACGTTTGTCGTGCCTTTCCTACCCGGAGCTCCCCTAGCATCCTCCTCCTTGGCTGGGAAATGGAGTGTACGCCCCCTTCTGAGGATTCTTCTGGACCCAAATGTGAGTTGAGGCCAGAGATGAGGAACCAGGAGCACCCACATGTACCATGGGTGAACCCCAACAGGATTGGGGCATTTCACCTCATTGAATCAAATCATTCATTGCACATTTGAGTTGACCCCAGTCTCGGATATCTGAATTCTAGATAAAGACATTACCCAGGACATGTGAACATGTACTGGAAAATATCAGGCAATGGTTCAATCACAACTGTTTATACTAACTGGCTGTTAAGTTATAAGAGAAAAAAGTATTAAATGCCAACATGGTTTTCTGTGTTGATTCTCTCTTTGATGCAGGGAATGGATATGACAGTGAAGCCTGGCCCGCAGGAGCTGTGTGCATCCTATCAGCCAGATACTGGGGGAAGCAGGCAGGGCTGGCCTCATAGTCACACCACCAGAGTCAGGCTGCGGCCACATCGTAGGGCTTTGGGAGGCTGGGGCTGTGTTTGGTTCATGGGGTTAGAGTCGGGTACAGTGGCTCATGCCTGTAATCAGCACTTTGGGAGGCCGAGGCGGGTGGATCACCTGAGGTCAGGAGTTCAAGAGCAGCCTGGCCAACATGGCAAAACCCCGTCTCTACTAAAAATACAAAAATTAGCTGGGAGTGATGGCAGGCACCTGTAATCCCAGCTACTCGGAGGCTGAGGTAGGAGAATTGCTTGAACCTGAGAGGCAGAGGTTGTGGTGAGCCAAGATCATGCCATTGCACTCCAGTCTGGGCAACAAAGCGAGACTCCACCAAAAAACAAAACAAAACAAAACACCTCAGTGAGGTCCCCCATGCCAGACTTTCAGAGGAGAGCGAGCCTATGGGGCCATCATCGGTTTGGCCAGGTACCCCTGAGGGCAGCAGCAGCCCTCATGCGGGTCTCAGGACCCCTTTATACGCTTAAAAATGAATGAGGATCTCACAAAGCTCCATCCTTATTGCATTCTTTTGATTATGTGGGTTACATCTCCTAATATTCACTGTATTTGCATTAAAACTGAGGAAAATTAAAACAAGAGAATACACAAGCACTGCACATTCCATGAGCTGCCAGACCATCAGCATCATCACATCCAGTGGCGTCTGGAAAATGCTGCAGCACACACAAGGCACATCACATGCTAGCATTATTATGAGCAGGGTCTAGAACCCCCTGGCCATGCTTTGAGAACCTCTGCCCTTGGCACCCCCTAGAGAGCTGACCGTGGTCAGAACCATGTGCTCAGCAAGACAGGTAACCTCATGCCTGGGTCAGCAGTTCCTCTTGGTTTTCTACCTCTTTGACCTTCTCAACTGCAATGGATGGGGACATGGGGAAGGTGGCCATTGAGGGCTGCTGACTCTGGGTAACTTACATGTCCCTCGTCCTTCTTATTCTGCTTTGGATGATCCCACAGAGCTCTTTTGAGGTCTTTGTATTTTGACAGCAGGAGGCCCATGACAAACTATTTGGGATTCAAGACTTAGACGCCTCTCCCCAACCCGTTTGTGCAGAAAGATTGGCTTCCCCCACAACATAAATGTCCACACTGAAACCCTGTAACTCCATCCTTATTACACGGTTCCAGGGAGACTCTGGGATCATGCTTCACAGTTGATGTTTGTGCACCAAATGGAAATGCAGCAAGAGTGCACCAGGTCTGGAGAGGGGCTGCTGGTGTGGGGCCTCTGAGGGGGCCCCGATCTGCCAGTCACTCTGAGTTCCCTGTCAGGAGACTCATAAAGAAGGCCAGCGAGGACTGGGAACACATGTTTATTTTATGAATGACTTCGGGGAAAGAGGAGAAAAAAAATCCTCCAGAATGTCATCCAGGAGGCTGTGTTCTTTTTATTATGTTTTGTCGGTAAACAAAAAAAATGGCCACATTTAATACTTATACCAGTCCTGTGGGATTTCTCTGACTAATGTAAAATGACAGTTGTCACAACATTCTATATAAATACAAGTCTGTTTGCAGGAGCCTTTTCTATTTTTAATGTAAACCACACCTAACTCGCTCTGAAGAATTGTACCCTTGGAATTTAGAGTCCTGTCTGTTGTCTATTCACGGGACTGTATTGTCTTAGGAGCAGCCCGGAAGAAACCAAAGACATCCAGAACTTTTTAGTTTAACGTGAGAATTATTCACCTAATTTTCCCGCAGCCATTGTGTTACTTAATTTATTGTTGTGTGGAGCTGTATGGTGATGTCGCTAATGAGCGACACAGTGTACTTGGTGAGCCAATCCATAATTTAGGAGGCTGCTGATGATCTTTGTGCTGTCTGCAGGCTGAGCAAAGCAGGCAGTAAAAATAAAGAATATACTTACAGTTTATAGAAATGAGCACACACCCGCAGATACACACACACACACACAATACCCATTACTAGGCTTGCAACCCCCATGGTTGCACGAAGCGTGAGCTTGTGTGCTGAGAGGTGCAGGGAAAGCTGACCGTAGGCTTGATAAGTTCACAGTGGACTCATGGCCACTCTGTTGTGGACTGTCACACTATGGAGAGTTGGTGGAAGAAGTTGGCTTCCATGAGAGGGGGCAAGTGTGAAGCCCTTTATGGTCTGTTTCCTTGCATTCCTCAGCCATTTATTGCTGCACCCACTCCAGCGGGCATGAGCAACAGAATCCTCTTTAGTCCTAGTGGCAGGTCACCCAGTGACTGGCATTCAGGAGCTAAACTGATTGATGGTAAACTTGATGATGTCGCCCTTCTCTGCAGTTTTTGGACAGGGATAGCAAACATGTCAGAGGATGACTCTCAGGTGATTATGAGCTTCCCTGTCGAGGTTGGGCTCTGCAAGCTTTGGCAATTGACATGAGTTGAACCTAGTTGTCATTCCTGCCGGTGAGGGAGAGACCCGCAGGGGAGTCGGATCTGACACGGGACCCCACGCTGCAGAGTGATGATCGCATAGGCACGCCTTCCTGCAAGGTCACAGGTGGAACAGGTGGAGAGAACACACCGTTCTCTCTGCTGTGAAATTCCCTTTGCACTGGGAGATTTCCCGGCAGAGGTCCTACATTTCGGCAGTGAGAAATGTCAGGGGCTCCTGCCATGCGCAGCCAAGGCATTGGATCTTCATATTGGATCCAGGAAGACAACTTTGTGAAAGGAAAAGGCTGAGGGGCTTAAATGCTGCTGTCGTCCCAGCTTCTAGGGAGGCTGGGGTTACAGCCTCCGCCATGTTGCAGATTCTCCAATAAGCATCCCGGTGATCTGTGTGCCTTGCAGGGGCGTGGAGCCTGGTGTATTTACATACCACGGACTAGGTTTAAAAATCAACTTTAGATTTGCTTTGCCGTTTGCAGTCTCTTGAATAAAGCATTTTTGTAGCCTCCTCAAAATCCTCTCTCTGTGTTTACATTTTAATGGGCATTCCAGTGAAATGGAGGAATTTTTTTTTATTACTTACATTTATCAAGGAAAGAGGTGGGGTTGGAAACTGCCAAGCAGCAGGGCCGCCTCTCTTTAGACTCCTGGGGCTCTCTGCTCTCCAGCCTGATGTGGGCAAATTGTGTCACGTAGCCAGGCAAGTGGGAAGGAGAGGAAAGGCCATTTTAATCTGGCTTTTAAATATACATCCCTGAGAATTTACAGAATTTTAAAATAGTACTTTAGATCTCAAACATCGCTGAAAGAAATGAACACGTGTAAGAAGAATATTAAATTGCACTGGTCTACGTGGAAAGTAAAGTCTGTCACATGTAATGAGGTATCATTCCAGAATTGTCCTTTTGGAAAAGAAAGGGGGAAAAAAATCACTCTCCCTGCCAGGGCAGAGGAGCCCTTGACTAGTTCTTCATCACAAATACTCTTGGAAGGAGGGTCCTAAGGTGACCTCTCCATTCCTTGGCAACATTTTCGGGACAGTTTTGGTTTCTGTGGCTGCGTAAGGGGAAACCCCTCTTGGATCTTGGGCACAGAAGCCACCTCCTGGAGGCAGTCAGTTCTTTTGGATGCGGAAACGGAATTTCTGCTTACCCTAGCATGTAGCTAATATTAAGATCTTCTTGTGCAAAGGGCTCCCCTATCACAGTTGAACATACAGTGTCATAAAACTGGGCCAAGGCAGCTTCCGGGGCTTTGCATGTGTGGAACTGCCAGTGTTTTCATCTCCCCCGGGGGATGTCTCTCTTGTTCCTCCCCTGACATTCCCAGGAGATCCCTAATTAAAGCTACAGATACGGTTTAAAAATATACTCACCAGATGTTAGTTTAAAATGACCTATAACTGGCAGCAGAGATGGAAGAGGCTGACGGTGTCTGAGGCCTTCCGGTCGCCTTTTCCTAGGCTGTCATTCGGTATGCAAATGAAGCCCAGCAGAATCTGAGAGCCAGCTCTGCCAAGCCATAAAACCAACTGTTTTGAAAGCAATGCATCAGTAATTCTTATCACCTGGCATCTGGAGTGCGGGAAAGCTCCCTTCCTAACTAGAACATGTCATAGCATGACTTAGGAGGAAGCTCTCATTTTGCACTCCGCGGACAATTTAAACTGATGAATCTGCTTGCTGAAGCTCATACAGATCCCTTTAGGACAAACCATTTTTTAAACCAAATCCAGGCTCTGAGACACCCCTGCTATGACTTTACTGGACCTATATACTACGGAGAAGAGGGCTTGTTTGGCAGCACAGCTTTTGTGTGTGTGTGTGTGGGGGGGGGGGGGGGGGGTGGGGGTGGGGGGTGTCAGACCCCGAGGCTACCCTTCTGGGGTTTTGTTTAGATTCTTCTGTGCAAGTTCCCACCAAGTTTTCAGTGAGTTAGACTTTCAGGGTAATCCCGGTTTGCCTTGCAAAGCTGAGGAAATGAGGAATGTCATGGGTATCAATATCTTTCCTGAGAACTGAAATTTACCAGTAGCACATTCCTATCGGGCATTTATCAAAACAAACATATAGGTCAAATGACCGTTTACTCAGCAGCCACCTGTCAGTGCCTTGGGACGTCAGCAGTCCCGGGGATGCCCGTCAAAGCAGCTGAGTGATCTCGGCCCTGAACATTGCCAACTTCCCGCCTGATGCCCTGGAGCTGAGGCTCCAGCTTGAGGCTTCCCAGTGCTTTGGATAAAAAGATGGGTCTGCACCTGAGAGCCATATACATCTCGCTCTGGGGAGAAAACCCAGGCAGGGCTTTCACACAGAGGAAGAGTGAGGCCAGGATTTATACTCAGAGAGGATGGGCAAATAGCATTCACGCGTGTGTCCTCCAGGGTGGAATCTGCCAGGCTGACTTACAGTGCAGGAATTTTGCCAGTCAGTGGAGGTAGATGTGTTTATAGATAACGTTAAAAAAAAAAAAAAAGGCAAAAACCAAGACCTCTGCAACCTTGGTATTTGAAACACAGAACACGGGTTTGTGTACTAAGTAAAATGTGGTTAAATAAGATTAATCTATTGATGGTGGGGAAGAGAGCCTGTAAGGCAGATTGGGTGTCTCAGAGGCATAATTATTTATCAAACTAATTAAAATGTAACCACCGGCTCATCGACTCTGGAAACCGGCTTTCCTGCCCAAGAAGCAGCCCTCTCCTGAGCACCTGTGATTTTATTTTTCATTCATTATCCCACTGAAACACAAAACAAAGACCCAAATTGGCCACCTGGAGTGGCCGCTCTCACCCTCTGCCTGGCCATGGCCTGCCTGGACTGGGTGTTGGGGAGGGATGCATGGGGACAGTGTTGTTCACAGTGTGGGTGAGTGAGTGAGCCCACCTGGTCCCCCATGAAGCCCTGAGATGCCAGGAGCTCTACTGGCTGTGGCCTGGGGCTGTGTGATGGAGAGCACGTGTGTTCATCAGCGCCCAGAGGCCTGGGCTATTCAGTTGGGCCATCTCTGCAGCCCAGAGCTGCCTGGTAGGGCTTTGCCATGGATTCCTGGCTTGGAGGAGTCATGATTAGCATGAACTTGCAAACCCAGACCAGGCGAATTGACTTGGGGGTGATGAGATGCACCAGCTGGTGGAAGCAGCTTCTCTCTGGCCATCCTTCCAGAACGGAGCAAGTTTCCTGGCCCATAGTCCCTGCTTCCATGACCACCCTGGCCTCTCAGGAGCATGTACGTGTGATTGCAGGGGTGGGCAGGGAGAGGACACTTAGCAGAGGGAAGAGGCACAGGGCTTGTTACATAAATGACTTGGGACTGTTGAGCAGGTGCAGAGAGGTCTGTTGAGAAATGAAAGGCAGAGAGCCTAGCCCAGCAAGGCCAGGGCGAGGAACCTGGCAGGAGGCCTTGACTCCTTGATCGCATTTCTCTGTTTCACGTCCCGAGGTGGGCAGGGGGCTGGGAACCTCCCCTGCAGAGCTAACCACTGGGCCTCCTTCACAGAGCTCTCTCGGGGCCAGCAACAGGGAGAAGGCCATGGCCCTTCTATCTTCCTCACTCCTGTCCTTTGGAGTCCCCACATGTGTGCCAAGGAACTCAAGGCCAGCGGCCCCCTCCCTATCTTCCTCTGGATCATAGCTCCTAGGTCCCATCCAGGAAGAAAGAAAATGAGGTGGCAGGTCCAGAAGCCTTTTTGCTTTTCTGTTGATTTATGTCCCTGAGGCCTCTGAGCAATAACTAATACATGACTTGAATACGATCCCTAGTGATCTGACCTCTCTGGGGGAGTTGCTTAGGCAGATTACGGCAGATGATTGAGCAGAATGTTGGTGAGTCCGTAGTGGCCTGGTGGTTCTAGGAGGCCTGGCTTAGAGCCAGTCCATCAATACCTATCACCTTGTGAGGGGGACGGGGACTAAGGACCTGTGTCCACCCGACTGCCACATCGTCCTCTTCCTTTGAGGGGAGGTAAGCACCCCTTGCGAGGTTAGGAGAGGGCGTGTCTGATAGGCATTGCAGTGGTTCATTTCATCTGTCAATTTGACCCGGCCGTGGTACCCAGATGTCGGTCAAACACCAGTCCCGATGTCTCTGTGAAGGTATTTTGTAAATGTGATGAACATTTAAATCAGCAGACTTTGAGGGAAGTGGTTGACCCTCCGTAATGTGCATGGTGGGCCTCATCCAATCACAGTGTGGGCCGTGGGCTCATCCAATCACAGTGTGGGCCGTGGGCTGCATCCAATCACAGTGTGGGCAGTGGGCCTCATCCAATCACAGTGTGGGCAGTGGGCCTCATCCAATCACAATGTGGGCGGTGGGCCTCATCCAATCACAATGTGGGCGGTGGGCCTCATCCAATCACAATGTGGGCGGTGGGCCTCATCCAGTCACAATGTGGGTGATGGGCCTCATCCAATCAGGGAAAGGCCTTGAGAGCAGACCGAGGTTTCCCTAAGAAAAAGGAGTTCTGCCTCCAGGCTGCAACCTAGAAGCGCTGCCTGAGTTTCCAGCCTGTTGCCTAGTGGAATTTGGACTCAAGATTACAGCATCAACTCTTACCCGAATTTCCAGCCCGCTTGTCCGCCCAACAAATTTGGGATTTGTCAGTCCCCACAATAGATCGTGTGAGCCAATTCCTTAGAAATAAACATGTATATATATATGTATTATATGTGTATATATACTATATATAGCTACATAACATATATACATATATACATATATGTACATATATATTATATACACACAATAGGACTACATATATATTGTCCTATTGGTTCTTTTTTGCTGGGGAACCCTGACTCTTACAGAGATGGAGGTGCCACTTCCTCCTCCAGATTTTGGGGCTTCTGCTCTTGACACCTCAGTCTCCCTCCTGCTTTGGTACTCACCCAGCACCCAGTCCCGTTAGGTCCCAGAAAGAAGGATGCAGAAGAAGAGAGTGCACCCCCTTCCACAGAAACAAGTGTACACCAATGACAATGCCACCTATAGAGTCATGCCAGGTAACAAGGGATGAAGGCTACTCATGTAGGGCCGGGACACGGCTGGCACAAAGGGATTGGCCTAGTTCTGGAGGGTTTGGAGCCGTCTGCCTTTGAGTACAGACTGTGCACCAGGAGCATCGCTGAGCTTTTCCATAAAGCCCACCATGTACGCAGGAATGGACTCCTTGTGTCAATGCATCATCAATTCATGTATTCAAATATTGATTGAGCACCTGCCATGTCCCTGATGCTCTTCCAAGTGTTGGAGATAGTGAACAAGACAAAGCCCTGCCCTCATGGAGTGCACATGGGAAAGGCATTCAGTCAAGAACTGAAACATCAGCGATTTTCAAGTTGGTGTGTGTGCCACGAGAAAGAAAAAAAGTAGGATAAGGTGATGAAACTACAGTGGGGAAGGTGCCTGTGCAGCGTAGATGGACTTAACGCCACCAAAACATGCACTTAACGGTGGTTAAAATGGTGAATTTTATGTGATGTCTATTGGACTAGTCCGTTCTCACACTGCTATAAAGAAATACCTGAAACTGGGTAATCTATAACGAAAAGAGGTTTAATTGGCTCACAGTTCCGCAGGCTGTACAGGAAGCATGGCTGGAGAGGCCTCAGGAAACTTTTAATTATGGTGGAAGAGGAAGCAGGTATGTCTTACATGCCTGGAGCAGGAGGATGAGAGAGAACAGGGAGGCGCTACACACTTTTAAACAACTGGATGTGGTGAGAACTCACTCCTATGACGAGACCAGCGAGGGGGAACTCCGCCCCCTCCCACCAGGCCCCTCTTCCAACATTGGGGATTACAATTTGACATGAGATTTGTTCAGGGACACAGACCCAAACCATACTGTGTATTTCAAAAAGTAAGTTTACAATGTTCTGAAATGTATCATGGTGGTGATTGTGCAACTCCGTGAATATACTAAAGCCACTCCATTGTATGCTCCAAATGGAAGAATTGTACGGAATGTGAACTCCATCTCAATAAAGCTGTTTAAAGAACAAAAGACAAAGCTAGGTGAGTGTGGAGTATTTCAGATACAGCAGTCAGGGAAGCCCTCTCCAAGGAGGGACATTTGGTCAGAATTATTGTCATCATTTTTCAGATGAGTGTCAGAGAGGATGAGTGACTTGCCCAGAGTGGCAGGTCTAAGACGCACACCCAGGCATGTCTCCTTCTAAGCCCTTCCTGCCCTGCTTGGCCATTCTGAGTTTTTTTCCTCTCTTCTCAAAGCACGTTCATGCTGATCTCACTCTGTTTTGTTTGTTTGTTTGTTGGTTGTTTTTTTGTTTTTGTTTTTGTTTTTGAGAAAGAGTTCTTGCTGTGTCACCCAGGCTGGAGTGCAGTGGCGCAATCTCAGCTCACCTCCACCTCCCAGGTTCAAGCAATTCTCCTGCCTCAGCCTCCCAAGTAGCTGGGATTACAGGTGTGCACCACCATGCCCGGCTAATTTTTGTAATTTTAGTAGAGACAGGGTTTTGTTATGTTGGCCAGGCTGGTCTCAAACTCCTGACCTCAAGTGATTCACCCACCTCAGCCTCTCTGAGTGCTGGGATTACAGGCATAAACCACTGCACCCAGCTGATCATCTCACTCTCTTCTAGGCATCTTGATTTTCTATCTTGTCTCCAGCAGACATAGTGGGAAACAGACATTCAGAACCTGACCCAGGGTCCCATAGCCAATGATAGGGCCCCAGACAACACTCTATCCCAGGAATCAGCAAATTTTTTTCTGTAAAGAACCAGCCAGTAAATATCTTGGGCTTTGCCAGCCATATGGTCTGTGTTGCATCAACTCAACTTTGCTGTTATGGAACAAAAGCAGCCATAGACGATATGTAAACAAATGGATGTGGCTGTGTGCCCATAAAACTTTATTTGCAAATACAGGCAGCAGGCTGAATTTGGCCCACAGTTATAGTGTGCCAATTGTTGTTGTAGCTTGTCATTTTCTCTTCTCTGGAAAAATGCCCTGGAGAAGGTAAGACTGGAGGGAGGCTTAATTCTTCCTGCCCCCACTAGCCTACCCCCGACTTATGCTTGTGTCCAGGAAAAGGCATGTGAAGTGCTTCATGCAGCCAGATTCCCCAGAGGAGCAATACGAAGCAGGACCCCTGTCAGATGCAGACATGTCTCTATGGAGAGACCAAGACTAGGGGAGGGCCCAGGAAGTAGCCCTTTCCCAAATGGTTGCTTTCTCCTATGAGCAGCTAATGTGCTGCCTGCCTGCCTGCCTGCCTCCCTCCCTCCCTTCCTTCCTTCCATCCTTCCATCCTTCCTGGCTTCCATCCGTCACCTATCCATTTATGCATTAATTTATCTCTCTGAAGATAGATGAATCCATCTATTCATGCATTCTTTGCTTCTTCCATCCATCTAGCCATGTATCCTTCCACCTGTGCATCCATCCATCCATCCATCCATCCATCCATCCATCCATCCATCCATCCATCCATACACTGTCTCATTCAAAAACATGACTTCAGAGCCTACTCTGCACCAAACAATGAATTAGACCACAAGAATTCAGTGGAGGACAGGACACAGTTTCTGTTCTCAAGGAGTTCACACCATGAACAAACCCATACGTAGTCCACAAACCAAAGGAGTGAACGCCATGATAAAAATATGGTATTCATAAGCCTAGGCTGTATATTTATGGAAGGAAGTAGCCTGGGCTGGCCAGGGTGCTTTTCATGATACAAGACCTTCCTTCTTAGGCCATGCCAAGACACAGCCTTGATGGCACTCCATCACACTGCCTCAAGACACCAGCTCTCTGACCACAAAGGGTCTCCGAGGTGGAACATTTCCTAAAGGGCTGTGGGCAGCCTGCACCCTGAGCTCTGGCTCATGTTTGCTGGGCGTGGAGCTGCCTTTCAGCTGTGCAAGGCCTCCAGCTTCCCCATGGCTGGAATAGGAAAGAGCTCCTTCCCAGGCATGTGGGGACCATGCTGAGGAGTGTCTGGTGGTTGGCAGGTGGGGGCTGCCATGAGGAAGAGAAGTGGAGCCACTGTTCTCTTCCCACCCACAGAAGCAGGTGACCAGCCTGTGCAGCCTGAGAAGAATGAGACACCCGCCAGGAGGTGGGGCACAGCTGTCATCCTGTCCAGTGAAACGAAAATATTTCCATTCTGTTTGATATCTAAGAGCAAACAAAGTAGGTGCGAGATTGTCTCTGGTAAGGAAGAATATGCCAAGCTCTCTTGTTGGGGCTCTGAATTGAGCTGTCACCCAGCCTGGAGCTGGCTCCCCTGCAAATGACGACGAAAGCAGCCCCAGCTGGCATTTGCCCAGCCATGGGGTGGTGGTGACCCCAGCCAGCCCGGGCTTCCCATGGCTGCCACCAGCCTAATGCCTGCATGATTGTTCTGCCGTAAACATCATCTGTGTGTGCGTTATCTTCAGACAGTCTGGGCTCAGCATCTTGGCCAGGGTCCAGTGCTTTCTCTCTCCACAGAACTCAAAATCGTGACTGTCTTAGTCTCCATAGGATAAATGAGAATTAAGTTTCAGAAGGGGCTCCAGGAGCTGGCCTCCTGGGGAGGAGGGCAGGCCAGGCTGCTCTTCTTCCTCGCCTCCTCCCCCACCAGGGCCCATCATGCTGGAGGGCAGATAACAGTGAGGAGAATCCTTCTGAGTGTAAGCACACCATGGAGTGGGGCCTGCTCTGGCCTAGGAGCTGTTTGTGTGCAATACCTCAGGGAGTCTTCATACTGACCGTAGAAGGTAGGTGCCATTATCACTGTATTTTACAAATGCAGAAACTGAGGCACACAGCAGTTTCCTCATTGAAAATAAATGGGCATGGTCTCTTTTAAGTCTGCCTCTTGAGGGCAATATCTGGGAGCGGTCCCAGGTCTCAGATGGCCTAGGGTGGAGGGCAGGGTGCTGCACCCACATGACCTCAGAAGAGCTCCAGGCTCCACGACCTGTCCAGAGGCAGCAAGGTGGATGCAGAGCCCGGGGGTCCCCTGGGCTTCCTGGATTGAGAGGCAGTCCCCCTCCACCCTTTTAGCACTGACTCAGCTGGCGATTCCTCTCATGGTTCCAGGATTGCCCTGATGAGCCATCATGGGGGCACAGCAGCAGGATTCCAGTCCTTTCCCTGCTAAATGGTTTCCTGTGTGGGAATTGAGGCTCAGGTTGTGCCTGGAGGAGTGAGACTGGGACTGAAGCAGGGCTAGAGGACCCAGGGGTCTGGGATGGGAAGAAACCACCCCCATCATCATGGCAGGGTGCCCATGGTGGCCCTTGAAGAGTGGTCCCCACATCTTAAAATCCTACAACACTTAGAATCCTAGAACATAGGGCTGGAGCCATGTTAGAGAGCAAGTAATTTGACCCTAATATTGGAAATAAGGGGAGAATAGGGAAGAAGGAAATAGAACAGAAGACCTTGTCTAAGAGACCCAGGAGGTCATTGGAGAGCTGTGACCAGAAACTCAGGTAGCTGAAGATGGAGCCATCTTGAGGCCGAGGGCCTGAGCACTCCCAGGTCTGGCTGGCCAGTGGGCAAACTATTCACCTCCCCAACTGTTTTCTGCAACTTCATGCCTGGCCTTCAAGAGGCATTTTCCACTTTCCCTGGGACCATCAATCAGACACGGAACTCCTTGCTCCTATTAAGGCCTGAGACAAGTGCCCTCTGCAATCAGTGGGCACCAGTCCTACAGAGCATCACACAGCGCCAGCCCTCTCTCCTTTTCTCTGACCCTACGCATGGCTAAAATATTGTCCTGTGGATAGGAAATGAAAAGGGTACAACCTTACTTCTTCAAAGATCGCCCAGTCTAGCCCAGAGGTATAATAAAACCCCAAACTTTCCTTTCAGGACTCATCTTTCATGAGTAATATCTTTCCGTGTTAAGTGGTAGGCACACAATGGTGAAATAAAACACAGGGCTCAGCGACTCCGATGGCTTGGGGTGTGGGAGGGGAAGGTTGCCTTTATGGTGTGAGTTTCCTGTGCCTCAGCTCTCCTGGATTGTGGGGCTCATGGCACACGGGTGATTGATGACAACATCACTCTCCATCATTCAATTCGGGAGATCCCTACCAGGGGCATCTTGGCCACCTCCGAGGCCATATTGGGCTGGAACCTCCATTATCTGTGTAGTCAGGTGTTTGCATTTAAAACAAAGGAGGAATTAGAGTAATTAGATGAATTATAATCTTCAGTTCATGACACACTATTGTTGTTGTTTACTTTAGAGTGTTTGTTTAAACATTCTAACAAGGAATGCCCATGACCTGCTGGTCAATCCAAGAACTAGGACATTACCAATTAACTGTGTCTGCCACGGGCTCTTCTCTGTCCCTCCCCGACCTTCCCACCTCCCAAAGGTCATCACAACCCTGAATTTGTGCTTACATCTCCCTCCTATTATTTCAGTCTTATGACTTATAAGTGCATCCTTAAATACTACCTTGTTTACTTTTTGCCTGTTTTTGAACTGTATAAAAAATGTTTTGTCCCTTCTGTGGTCTTCTGGGGTTGGCTTTTGAAATTTAACATTGTGTCTCTAAATCTCATTTATGTGGTTGATGTGTAGCTAGAGTTCATCAATTTTCGCAGCTGTGTAATATTCCCCCGTGGGTCTCTACCACCATTCACCGAACTCTTCTGCCTTTGGGCATTCAGTGGTTTCTAGTTTTGTGTTAGAAACAGCATTGCCCAGAATAGTCATCTTTGTGTCTGTCTCCTAGGAGACAGTGCTTGCTGGGTGGTCCAGTTATCTACTGCTGTGAAACAAACCATCCCACACAACCACATCATGGGTGTTGCTGTCGGGCTCAGAGGGGTAACTCTGATTTGTTCCACCACACTCGGGACCTGAGATGAGATGATTGAGGGCTGGACCCTTGGAGCCGGCCTGAAGGGGCCTGGGCCTCTTTCTCCCTGTGGAGGCTAAGACCTTTGCATGTGGTCTTTTCACCTGGTCTTCCCTGGCATAGCAGCTCAGGGCTCCCAGAGTGAGCTTTCCAGACACCCAGTGGAAGTTACAGGCTTCTTAGAGCCAACCCAGAAGCTCAGAATGTCAGTCCTACCACATTCTATTGATGAAGCAAGTGACCAAGGCTGGCTGGATTAGAAGGCAGGGGAACTGGATTTCACCTCTCAGTAAGAGGCATAGCAAATGTAGTTGTCTTTACTGGATTCCATGAGACTCATGAATATTCATTTTTACAAGTTAACTCAAGTTGTTTTCCAAAGTGATGGCCAATTTATGGACCCATCAGCCATGCATAAGTGATTTCCAGGGTCTCCACCCTCTGCGCATGAGGTCAGACTTCTTAATTGTTGCCAGTTGAGTGAGGATGAAAGGGTGTCTGACCCTGGCCCTCACCAGCATTTCCCTGTTCACGGGTGAGCAGGGCCCCTCTTCCTGCAATTATTGGCCATGTGTTTCTCCTCTTTCCTGCTCAAGTCTTTTTTTTTTTTTCTTTGAGGCAGAGTCTCGCTCTGTTGCCCAGGCTGGAGTGCAGTGGCGTGATCTTGGCTCACTGCAAGCTCTGCCTCCTGGGTTCATCCCATTCTCCTACTCAGCCTCCCCAGTAGCTGGGACCACAGGCGCCTGCCACCATGCCCGCCTAATTTTTTTTGTATTTTTTTTAGTAGAGACGGGGTTTCACCGTGTTAGCCAGGATGGTCTCCATCTCCTGACCTCGTGATCCTCCTGCCTCGGCCTCCCAAAGTGCTGGGATTACAGGTGTGAGCCACCGCGCCCAGCCTCCTGCTCAAGTCTTTTGTCCATTTTTCTGTCAAGTTGTCTCTTTCTTCTTGTAAGAATTCTTTATATTTTCTTGATAAGAATCCTTCATCCCTTTTATATGTTGCAAATATCTTGTATTTTTCAGTTTGTAGCTTTTCAGCTTCTTTAAGATGTCTTGTTGAATAGTTCTTACTTTTAATACAGTCAGTGTTCTCAATATTTCACAGTTAGCACTTCTTAGTCTTGTTTCAGAAATCCTTCCCTATCTCAAAGTCAGGAGGATATTCAGCATTATTTTCCTAAAAGCTTTAAAGTTTTGATGTTGACATTTGAAATCTGGATCTATCTGGAGTTGATTTCATCTGTTGTTGTTAACCCCTTTGGGGATAACCAGTGCTGCCAACTCCTTTCCCATGATCGCCTGCTGTCTCTGACACATCAGCCATGGTGGGCCCATCCTGATAGCCTTTTTGTTTGTACTTTGAAGACTTTCAGAGTGACTTAGGTGAGATGATGTTGTATCCATAGGAAGCTTGTTTGTAAACCCCGGGGCTCACTTTCCACTTCTCTGATTCTTTGGGGTGCCAGTCCTGGGAATAACAGGCTGCTAGAGCCCAAACTCATGCCAGAGTTTGAGTGCTTACACCCCCATGCCAGGTGGCTGGGAAGATTATGCCCCAGTTAACGACATCAGGGCTGGGCATGCAGTCAGGGCTTCATGCCTGAGAGTCAGCAGGCTGACTTTTTAAGAAATGGCCATAGTCACTTGGGCTAAGCTGCTGCCACTGACCTACCTGCCTTTCTGCTCCTAAATACATGAGAAGAATCCCACCGCATCTGTGGAAATACAGCAGGAGGGAGAGCTCCAGGACTCTGAGAAATGTCAGGACTGCTGAATCTGAGGAGGTGTTTTGGGGTACAGGGAAACCCTCTGTAGGAGCCTTTCTTTGGTATTAGCCACAGTAAATCCCTAAATACCAGAGAAGTCCAGGGACCAGCCCAGCTGGCAGTTGCATTTGGGAATTAAGCTAAAGAAAGGCTGGTTGCATCAGTTGGGCTCACTTTTAGTGAAGTCAATGTGTTTATATGGTTTGAAAGCTCCTGGGGTGAGTTAGTCCATCTTACCAAGGCCTACAGCATATCTTCCTGGAAGCTATGAACTGAGAAGAGAAAAGGACACTGGAATCATGGATTCTGGTCCAGAATCCATGCTGCCTTGCTGTGTGACCTTGGACAGGTTTCTCTCCCTCTCTGATCCTCAGGTTACTTCTCTCTAGAATGGAAGGGGTAATCAGTGCCTAGGCAGTTCCTCAGATTCTCCTCTTTCTGATTGTCTCTGGATCTGTGACGAAGGCATTCGATGACTCTGAGCTGCCTCCTGCTGAGGACGGGGGAACTACAGCAAGAAAAGGCCCAGAATTAGCCTAAAATGTAAACAGCTGAGAGCTTTCTTCTTAACTGGGTGAAATTTTAAAGATCATAATACACCTCTACACTGGCCTGCAAGCTCAGCCCATAAGACTTCCCCCCTTAGGGATGGTGTCCATCATTGAGTCCTGTTTTGAAAATCAAAAGTATTTTTAAAATGGAATTTGCGGGGAAGAGGGTAGAAGTTAAGTTTGCGCCTCCAGAAGCAGGGTAGGCTTAATCTAAGGGGACTGTCATTCTCCCAGCTCCATGGGGCCTGGCAGGAGGCGGCCCTCTCAGTGCTCTCGGCCCTGAAGGAGGCTGTTTGGTTCTGCCCCTCCTCCTGGGTCTGAGGGCAGGTGGCACCCCCAGCAGAGACCAGCCCCATTTACCCCAGGAGGTTGGGCTCCTTCCCCCTAGTTTCTTGGGTGCCCTCAGGGGCCAGGCCTTGCAGCTGAGAGCAGAGAGTCCCAGCTACACTCAACTGTCACAGACTGAAGGGCAAAGTGCATCTGGCAGCCAGCACGGATGTGTTGTCCTCTGACTCTGTAGGGTGACCTGTCCCATATGCCTCAGCCGTTTGGGGACAGCCTCTGAAAGAGCCAAATGTTCCTCTCCAAACTCCGTAGCAATAGATGGTGAAGAGATTCTGAGCTATTTATGGTCAGGAGAGATCCGGCTGCCTCATCCCGGTGGCAGCGTCTGAGTAACATTCCTCGGTGGGGAGAGCGGCGGATGGTTCTCAGAAAGAATCGAGGCTTTGGGCACACATCACTGGCCTGTCCCCACTTCGTCTTTCCACAATGAGGCCCGGACTGTTCCATCGGGAAGGGGCTTCTGGACTCATCCCTCATTTTCTCAAAGGAGAGCCAAGCTCCGGAGAGGGAGTGGCCCAAGGTCACAGAGTGGTCCGGTGCCCAGGCAGCTCCAGAGCCCAGCCAGTCGGGCCTCTGCCGTCACACCAGCCCCAGGGTCACGGGCTTTGGCTTTGATTTGTAAAGATGTTCTCTTTCACACCAGCCCCCAGGTCACAGCCTTTGGTTTTGATTTTTGAAGACGTTCTCCTCGCTTGCAGGGAGCTAAGCCTTCCTTGGGTCACTTGTATTGGTTTCCATAGCAAATTACCACAAACTGGGTGGCTTAAAAGCACTGAAATGTTTTCTTTTCAGTTCTAGAGGCCAGAAGTCTGAAATGAAGATGTGGGCAGGTGGGTTCCTTCTGGAAGCTCTAAGGCAGAATCTGTCCCGACCCCTCTTCAGCTCCTGGTGGCTGCCAGCAATCCAGGACCCCCCCGGCTTGCAGCTGCGTCCCTGCATCCTCCCCAGCCTCTGCCTCCATCCTCACTTGGCAGTGTTCTTCCCCGTGGCTCTGTGTGCCCTTTTCCGCCTCTCCTAAGGAAGCTGCCATTGGAGTCAGGCACGACCCTAATGCACTATATCATCTCCATCCTTAATTCCACCCACAAAGACTGTATTTCCAAATCAGGTCCCATTCATAGGCTCTGAGGTTAGGATGTGGACGTATGTTTTGGGGTGCCATAATTTATTCAGCTTAGGAGGACAGTGGTTTGATACACCGTGTAGAGGACTGGACCTCACAGCAAGGCCGTGGGACAGAGGCAGCTCTGGCGAGGGACTGACCAGGGGCTGTGCTCACTCGCAGGGCCTCTGGTGTCTCTGCCTCCACTCTGCATGCCTACCTCTCTGTCTTCTCACTGCCCCCCAGCTTTGTGTTCCCTCTGGTGTCCCCTTTCTCTTCGTCTTGTGGCCTCTGGTTCTCACGCCTTGCCTCAATTCCTCCTGGCCCAGCTTCAGCGTTCTGGCCTTGGTCTCGACGACTTCTTGGCTGCAGTTTCTGCTGCTGACTGCCTCATTCCCATGCCCATGCTGTTTCCCAGTTGGGTTCCTGAGCAAGGAGGTCGTGCCAGTCATGCCTGTCTTCTCACATGGGCACAGATGACACCCCGCCAGGCCAACCTTGGATTGATGGTCCTGGGGGTCGTGGGGCCCACTCGTGGTCCAGACAGCAGGATGGGGCTGTGGTACGAAGCATAACCACCTCCACCTGGCCCTTGGAAGGTGCAGGAACATGGCAGAAACAGGGTAAAGGTTCGGCCGCCTACAAAGGCGACTGCGTGGTCCCTGCAGGAGAACTTCCAGGGCGAGGATCCAACTAAGTGGAATTGTCAAATTGTCAGTTAACTGAAGTATTTCCAGTTTGAGAGGAGAGAGCAAGAGATAATAGGAACCTGGAGAAAAAGCAGCCACAGGGGGTGTTCGGCTTCAATCCAGGTCCGTTCACCCCTTACGTTCAAAACAGCAAATTTCAGGAATGCCACAGTCCGTTAAGCATCAAAGAGAGATGGGGCCACCCACGTTCACTGTATTACGACCCTCATTAGACAGAAAAGGACGTCTGTGATTGAGGAAAGATTTTCCAACGACATCCCTCAGTTGCCCATCAAAGTTGCCTACTTCTCATTTCCTCACCTTCTGGGTCTTCTTCGGGCTCTCCTGGAGTCCTGTGTGTTATTACTCTGCTGTTTTCAACTCAGCCACAGTGAATCATTTCTTCTTACCAAGTTGTGTAATCCCGTCATTTGTCTGTAAGAGATTCCATCCCAGGGCATATTGTGTCCCCGTGCTATGGGCTTAAGACGGCAAATCCGAGCTGTGATATAAATGTAAAAGTCATTCCCGTTCTCCTCGAGCGCATGTTAACGACAGCACAGAATAGTGATAATTAGATGAAGCATCATTTCACACCATCACCAGCGTGCTTTACATTTATTTATCGCCATTCTTTTCTCCAGCATCAGCAAAACAGAGACTTGTACGATATCCCAGAGCATCCAATGGGGCACCGTCCTGCCACTGTTAATTACCACCTTATGAGCGCACAGAGCCCAGCACTCACCTCTAGCCGCTTTCTGGGGGCCTAAAGGGGAAACTCACTCCCTGCACATCTCTGTCCCTCCATATCCCAGACCTGTCTGTCATTGACATGTGTCCTCTGTCCAGCTGCCTAGGGCTGATCCCATGCCATGTGTGTACTCTGGCTGCCATGACAAGGCACCGCACACGGGGCGACGTACGCAGCAGCCTTGATTTTCTTGCAGTCCTGGAGAAGCGAAGTCTGAGATCGAGGTGCGGGCAGGGCAGGTTCCTCCTGAGGCCTCTGTCCTTGGTTCTCTCAGGGTCTTCCCTCTGCCTGTGTCTGTGTCCTCATCTCCTCTTATATAAGGTGACCGGTCAGACTGGATCAGGGCCTGCCCTCCTGACCTCACTTTAACTTTATCATCTGCGAAGACTCGCTTTCCAAAAAGGTCACATTCATAGGTTCTGGGGCTTAGAACTTTGACACCTTTTCACAGGGACACAATTCACTCCATAACAGTCCTGAAGCAAGATGAATCTGAACCTCATGTTCAAAGTAAGCCCTGGTGAGCCCTGGGCCTTGGGGGCCTCCTGGCTTCACTCCTGTATAAGCCCCGGTGAGAACAGGAGGGAACTTCTGGCAGAAGGGAAGAGGGATGGGGTCTCAGCTTGGGCTCACACTGGGCTCTCTGTGTGAGTATCTTTGTCTAAAGGTGCCCTGTGTGGGCAACTTTACAAGTATCTCACCTATGGATCCTCAACTGGGCTGGGGACCTTGGCAAGACCCTGCCCCAGCCTCCCGAGAGGGGTGCTCACTCCTGTGGGCTCCCCAGGCACCTGCTCTTGTTCTCCCCCACTATCCCAGCACCCATCCCCTGCCTCCCACCTGTGTCCCCCACACTGAGCACCCCTCATTGGCAGGAACAGTGGATGCCGGATTCTCTCTGTGTCCTAGAGCCCCAGGAGGGTCCCCAGGAGCAGGAGCCACAGAGAGATGTTGTTTTGCAGAGAGTCCTCCTGCCCCTATACCCGCCAGGTCCCCTGAGACCCTCTATGTCCCTGAACCCCTGGGTGCACAGTCACATAGTTGCAGGTTTGGATGAGACCTGGTGTTACCTTTTATTTTGTTAATCTTACCCTCTCTTATTCCAGAAAGAACTCAAGGTGGAAAAGTGTAGCCTCTCCGTTTCTGCGATATCACTGCTAGAAGCCAGCCGTGTGGCCTTTGAAAAGCTCCTGTGAGGAGCCACTTGTTTAGCCTGTTCCTTTACCGGGAAGTTCCAACTGTTAGAAAATTTCATTTTTTTTTCTTTTCACTGAGTCACAATCTGTCTGCCAGGACTTCTAACTTCATATTGAACTGTTAGTACAGAATGGTCAGGTATTTTTAATAAAAGGAAGTCATATGGTGTGTGTGTGTGTGTATGTGTGTGTATGAGCATCTGGGTACCTGTGTATATGCACAACACATATGCACCATGCTTTGTACAAAAGAGAGCACTTCTTGGATTTGGGTCTCTGTCCCTCCACATTCTGCCAGGATCCTTTTAACTCCCGTAGGGGATGAGAAGGGAGTTGCTGCTGTTTAAAGATCAAATCTGCTTTGTAGCCTGTGTTCCTTACACGTGGCCCAAGCTTCCAGGGCTTCCCGGTAGGGCACTTCTCTGCCCCAGCAGCTGCCCATGGGTCCTCTAGGCCCATCACGGGTGGGGCGCATTCCTGCTTTGGCACTCTGAGGTCCCTCCTGAGCATTTTGGTGGTGGCAGACCTCAGCGTCGTAGGAAACCTAGGAATTGTGGGGACTAGGCAGCGTGACCCCCAGGACTTGACAGAGACAGGGCCATCTGCCAAAGTGAGCATTTTCTCAGGGAGAGCATCCATGGCCTCACGCTTTTCCCAGGCACGATCCTGATGTCTGAGGAATGCCTTTCATCCGGGGACTGCGCAGAGCTAGTGAATTGTTCTGCCTTCTTAGTGACGCCACGCACTCAGGAGCTGGAAATAGCCAGGTAGGAACTTCTAGCAAAATTATGGCCTGAATGCCGCCAGGCTCCTGAGCCGGCCCACATGCAGATCGGGCAGGTGAGGCTGCTCTGCTAGAGAGGGCCAAGGTACCTCCCACGACTCAGTGGTCACTGGCCAAGGAGGGAGCCAGTCCCACCATCCAGGAACTGTTCTTTCAGCAGAAGCAGCAGGTCGGGGGACCTCTGCCCAGCGTGGAGGTCAGTGACTGAGCACACACAGGTCTTCGGCCAAGGCTGCGCTCTGAGTCCAGCTTCCATGGAGGCAGGCCATTCGGGGTGATGGACTTGGACATGGAGATTGGAGAAACACATTCCATTTTCTGTCGAGGGCATCGTCCCCTCTCACCTACCTGTCTGGCCGGGGTCGGATCAGTCAGAGGGCCTTCAAGGAGCCGTGGTCATTTGGAAAGTCTAAAAGGCTCTGCACTCGGAGCTGTGCATAAATCCCAGCGTTGCAGGATAAGATATGATTACAGTATATTATGTGGGCTTGACATTTATGGCAAGTATAAACAGAGCGTTATTACTACCAAATCATGAGCCTCCGACCAAGAGGAAGGCAGCGCTGAGAGCACGCAAGTGAGAAGGAGTTTTTATACAAAAGAGAACAAAGTGATATGCTGCCACTTTTAATATGCCTGCCATGAAACAGAAAAGCAGAGAGCAGAAAATTGAAACCATCGGGAAAGCGCCAGGTCCAGGATGGCCCAGACAAAAGTCACTGCCGTTGAGATAAGTGGCACTGGCTCCCCCGCCATGGCTGGGCCAGGATTCCAGGAGAGAGGGAAGGAGGAGGAGAAGGAAGCAGGGAGAAGAAGAGGGAGGAGAGAAGGAGGAAGTGGGCGGGGGGAAGAAGGAAAAGTGAGGAGGGGAGAGAGAAACGGCTCCTGGGTGGTAACTGCATCAGCATTGTTTTTCCCTCCAGTTATTGGGAACCTGGGCTTCCTGGGTCCTTTCCAAAGGGGCGTCACTTTTGTCATCTGGGAGGTGACAAAAATGCATCTGAGTGCAGGTGTGCCTTGGCACCCCCTAGAAAGGGTAATTGGGAAGATTCTGCAGGTTGGATTTCACCATGTGTTTATGTCCTGGTGTCTGCACAAAGGCCCGACATCTTGTCGGGTTATTAACGGAGACACAGTGGCTGAGCTGATGACTCTGTCCCAGCTCCAGGCTGTGTGTGGCGTGTGTCTCTGCAGGTGTCCTCACTGATTTCCTCTCCAGGGCAGACTCCTTGGCCATCCACCCATGGGCCCCTTTCCAGGAAAGGGATTTTTAAAGTAAATGGTCATGAGCCACATGTCTTCTGGGCCTCCTGGCCTCAGCCCAGCAGGCTCTGCTCCTGCATAAGCCTCTGTGAGTGCAGAGGGCCTCTGGTTGCTGGGAAGTGGGGTGGGCTCAGGTTGGGGTTTAATTTGGGGGTGGAGACCTTTCCAAGTATCTCACCTAGAGGTTACACCTCCTCCCTAGCTGGACCCATGACTCTTGGCAAGGCCCGGATCTTGAGGGAAGAGCCAGGGAGCTGGGATGAAAGCTCTTCCCACTCCGTGTGAGCCAGCCTCATCGAGGAACAGAGGGACAGGCCTACGGTGCCTCCTCCTTGGGATTAATGCAGTTAGGATGAGATGTCCACGAAGTCCACAGAGCATCTGTAGGTCCCAGGCTCTGCATGAGACACTCAGAGGCCATCGCCCTTGACCGCCTGGTGAAAGGAATGGAGACAGAGAACCCAGCAGTTGGGAACCTCGGGGGTCAGCCTAGGTCATGTGTGGGCTTGGCCACATCCAATCACCTACCCTCTCGAAGGCACAGTTTCCTCTTCTGTAACACAGAGATCATAATTGCACAATAAAATTACATGAGGGCAGGGTTGCACCTGCTCTTCCCTGTTGGCAGCATAGTGCCTGGCCCATCTCAGCCACCAAATGCTGTCTCTATACAGAGAACCCCTCATTTATATCTTCAACTCTAACCTCTCACCTGAACCCCAGACTCCTGCATCTAGCCACCTATGCAGTGACTCCTCTCCAGTAGCTAACAGGCCTCCCAAACTTAATACAACCAAATCTGAACTCTTTTTTTTTTTTCTTTCTCTCTTTTTTTTTTTGAGACGGAGTTTTACTCTTGTTGCCCAGGCTGGAGTGCAATGGCATGATCGTGGCTCACTGCAACCTCCGCCTCCCAGGATCAAGCAATCTCCTGCCTTAGCCTCCCGAGTAGCTGGGATTACAGGCACACACCACCACACCCAGCTAATTTTGTATTTTTAGTAGAGATGGGGTTTCACCATGTTGGTCAGGCTGGTCTTGAACTCCTGACCTCAGGTGATCCACCTGCCCCAGCCTGCTAAAGTGCTGGGATTACAGGTGTGAGCCACCGTGCTGGGCCTGAACTCTTTTTTAAATTTTATTTTATTTTTATTTTTCAACATTTATTTTAGGTTCAGGGGTACATGTGCAGGTTTGTTACATGGGTAAATTGTGTGTCACTGGGGTTTGGGGTACAAATGATTTTGTCACCCAGGTAGTGAGCATAGTACCTAATAGGTACTTTTTCGATCCTCACCTTCTGCCCACCCTCCACCTACAAGTGGGCCCCACTGTCTGTTGTTCTCCTCTTTGTGACCGTGTGTACTCAGTGTCTGGCCCCCATTTATAAGCGAGAACATGCAGTATTGGTTTTCTGTTCAGGCATTAATTTGCTTAGGATTATGGCCTCCAGCTGCATCCACGTTGCTGCAAAGACCATGATTTCATTCCTCTTTTAAGGCTGCGTAGTATTCCACGGTGCATATGTACCACATTTTCTTTTTCTCTTTTTTTTTTTTTTTTGAGACAGAGTCTTGTTCTGTCGCCCAGGCTGGAGTGCAGTGGCACGATCTTGGCTCACTGCAAGCTCCACCTCCTGGGTTCACGCCATTCTCCTGCCTCAGCCTCCCAAATAGCTGGGACTACAGGCGCCTGCCACCGCGCCCGGCTAATTTTTTTGTGTTTTTAGTAGAGATGGGGTTTCACCGTGTTAGCCAGGATGGTCTTGATCTCCCGACCTCGTGATCCGCCCGCCTCGGCCTCCCAAAGTGCTGGGATTACAGGCTTGAGCCACCGCGCCCGACCTACCACATTTTCTTTATCCAATCCAGTGTTCATGGGCACCTAGGTTGATTCTGTACCTTTGCTATTTTGCATAATGCTGCAATGAACATGTGTCTTTGCGGTAGAATAATTTATTTACCTTTGAGTATATACTCAGTAATGGGACTGCTGAGTTGAATGGTAGTTCTGTTTTAAGTTCTTGAGAAGTCTCCAAACTGCTTTCCACAGTGGCTGCACTAATTTACATTCCCACCTGCAATGTACAAGCATTCCCTTTTCTCTGCAACCTCACCAGCATCTGTTATGTTTTGACTTTTTAATAATCGTCCTTCTGACAGGTGTGTGATGGTGTCTCATTGTGGTTTTGATGTGCGTTTTTCTGATGATGAGTGATGGTGAGCATTTTTTCATATGCTTGTTGGCTATGTGTATGTCTTCTGAACTCTTTCTAAATCTCCATCGGATGTATGCCTTCCAAATTGTCTTCATCTGGGCTGGGTTCAGTGGCTCACACCTGTAATTCCAGCACTTAGGAAGGCTGAGGGGGGTGGATTGATTGCTTGAGCTCAGAAGTTTGAGACCAGCCTGGCCAACATGGTGAAAACCTGTCTCTACTAAAAATACAAAAATTATCCAGGCATGGTGGTGGGTGCCTGTAATCCCAGCCACTTGGGATGCTAAGGCAGGAGAATCGCTTGAATCTGGGAGGTGGAGTTTGCAGTGAGCCGAGATCACACCACTGCACTCCAGCCTGGGTGACAGAGCAAAACTCCGTCTCAAAAAAAAAAAAAAAAAAGAAAGAAAAAATTAGCCAGGCATTGTGGTGTGCACCTGTAGTCCCAGCTACTCGGGAGGCTGAGGTGGGAAGATGGCTTGGCCCGGAGGGGGTCAAGGCTGCAGTGAGTTGTAATGGTGCCACTGCACTCCAGCCTGGGCAACAGAGCAAGACCCTGTCTCAAAACAAAACAAAATAAAACAAACAGAAAAACTCAAATCTTCTTCTGTCTACCCATCCATTTTCTCTAAAAACCAAGGAGTCAGCCTGAATTTCTGTCTTTCCCTCTCTTCCTTATTTAATCACTCAGCCAACCCTTACACCCCTACCCCCAAAATATAGCTCAAGTCCATCTGCTTCTTCCTACCTTGACTGCAAAAGCCCTCTGCCAAGTCTTCCGCAATCCATTCTCCACTCAGCGGCCAGGGCCATCTTTTAAATACATGTATCAGGTCTTAATACCTCCTGTCTTCAGATGCTCCAGTGGCTTCTATTGTGGCTGGAGTAAAATCTAAACCCCTGCCATGGCCTTCCACCCCTCCCCTCTCAGGTCCACACTCTAGCCTCATCTCCCACCAGCCTCCCTCTTGCTCCTCCCTTGGCTCCGGCTCACAGGCCACCTTGCTGGTTCTTGGCGTTGCACATCTGTTCCCACCCCAGGGCCTTTGCACATGCTTTTCCCTCTGAATACTCTTAATCCAGATTTTCAATAGCTGGATCCACTCATGAAAGGACTAAGCACAAATGTCCCTTCTTTGCTCTCAGGAAGATCTAGGTATGGCATCACTGTGCATGACTTGGGAACAGAAAGGTTCACCAACCATCCAGAAGGCTGGAGAGAGCTCAGGCAGGGACTGTTGAAATAATGGAATGTCAAGGCCACTGTGGGCAGGATGATTGGACGGGTTTGGGAGGGAGGCATGGAAGCCCGAGGTGTCCCTGGCTTCAGCAGGCTTGCTGCTTTGGCTGGGGTGTTCTTACACACCTAGAGGAGCCCCAGGCTCTGCTGTTCCCTGTCCTGGATGAACATGCCTATGAAGAGGTGTGTGCCCTCTGCAGGCAGTTCCTGGGGCCTCTGTGGAGGCCTTGGGCAGGGCTCAAGTGCCCTTGGCCGACAGGCTGGGATGCTGAATTGCACCACACCTGTCACACGCTGCAGGATCTTCCTGCCTGGCGCTGGGCTTTTGCTGATGCTGTTTTAGCACCATCCTGAAATTGAAGCCACACCAGGTGATCTTGAGTGAGACCTGCTTTTTGAAAGATGTGTCCCCAGAGCCTCAGAGCCTCTTCCTCCTGGAGATGCAGGTGGAGCCTACAGATGGTTCAGGGAAATTTGGAAGTGTGCATGAGTGACTGCCACCGCCTCCTCCTCCAGTCTCTGAATCCCAGTGAATGGAGATCCCTGAACCTATGGACCATCAGCAGGCTGTCTGTCCCCAGGGTCCCTCTAGCATGTCAGGGCTTGGCTCTGCAGGTACCCAGCCTGCCCCATTCCTGGTGGCTGCTTTTATAGGGAAACAGTAGAATGTTGGTTATGAACAGGGCCTTTGGAATCATTTAGACACAAGTTTAAATCCTGCCTCTTCCATCTACTGACCAACCGAGGACAAATTACTTAACTTCTCTGAGCCTTGGTTCCCTTCTCTGAGATTAGGTGGGCATAGTACCTGCTTCCTGGGGTTGAGAGGATGTGACAGGATATCTATAAAGCCTTGGGCCCGTGGAAGCTGTGGTTCATGTCAGCTGCTGCTGTGATTGTCCACACTCAGCTCCCTTCCCCCCTTCCCTCCCATCATGGGCTTTTCAATCCATTCCTAGTTGAAGCAGAGGCTCCCCGGAGTCCATTCATTCTGGCATCTCCAGCTCCAGGTGAAGGATATAGCTATGCACAGACCCTACTGGTGCTCTGGTGGATTTCTCGGCTCAGGGAATTTCAGGATGAAACCAAGGGCCCTGCGATGTCATCCAGTCTCCTGGAGCATCCTACAGGGAGGAAAGAAGGCATCGAGGGATGCCCCGCCCTCCCATTTTTTCATTCATGTCTTCCTCCCTGAACACTGCATGGAGCCGCTATAGCCAAGAGCCCAGGACCCAACCTCCCTGCCCAAGCCTTGCCCTTTTTGGCTCAGGAGGGGCCATCTGGGCTCCTGGTGAGGAGGGGGGTGAGCTGATTTAGGGGGCAGCGAGGCAGAGGAACTGAGTTGCCCCCTTGCCGGGCTCTCAAGTCCTGGCACTGCCCCACCTGGCTGCAGAACCCTGGGCAACTCACTTACCTCTCTGAGCTTCCATTTCTTTGTAAATAGGGGTCACGATTTCCATCTCACAGGAATGGTCATTCTTTCATTTAATACATGTGAGAGGGGTAGGGATGAGGCTTGGAGGAAGGGTTTGAGCTGGCCCCTCTAAGCTATCCAAAAAATTTCACTCTTTATCTAAAGGGCCCTGGAAAGCCATAGAAGAGTTTCTGGTTTGCTTGCTTTTGTTTTTATTATTATTTTTATACAGATGTCCTCGTCCATGTGTGTTTTTCGTCCTTAGGGTCTTATGACTCAGTGCTTCTGGACCTTTCCATGGGGCCTGCTCCTTTTGATTCAGGGAAATCCCTGGAAAGGACTCCATGCAGTGTCTGGGCAGAGTGCCGGGCTGCTGGAGCTTGGGGTCCCTGCTCCCAGGTCCCTGTCCCCACCTGGAATGAGATAGGAGACCAACAGCATCTTCCCTAGAAGGCTGATCTCCCTCAGGGACTCTTTGGATGGTGACAGACAGGGCCCTGTGTTTTCTGGACTATGCTAAAGGGCTGCTTGTGTGCTGGAGGGATCTGGGGGCTCCTTTTCAAAATGAAGGTCCAAGCCCAGATCTTTGTGGAGGGGGGGAATGGACACGGAGAACAGCCCATATTTCCCAGTTCCTTCAAGTTCTATTTGCAAATAAAGAGGTTAATTGGAAAGGTTGTAGTCACTGGTCACTGGGGCTACAAAAAGCCCCACGTCCTCCCTTTTTTCCTCTGGTACCGAGGAGGTGAGCTTTTCGGTTGCTTTTCTGAATCTGTAGCTGAAAACCTTGACTTGATAAATGAGATGTAACCTTGAAGTAAATTTGCCTATTATCTAGAAGTCATGGAAGCAGACACTAAAAATGGACTCCATTTATTTTACGAGAAGTCAGAGCATGTCAAGCTGCTCATAATTAGTAATAAACTCATCTCTGCTTGATGACTTTTTACACTGTTTGTATTTTTTATTGATGTAGTCACGCTTAGGTGGCCATCACTGGAGGCGGGCAGTGGTGGGGCTGCTTCCGGTGCGGAGCCTCCCTTCCTCCTCCAGCGTCCCTGCATGCCCCGCGCCACCCCTGCCCCGGGCAGCCCCGGCTGCTCCTTCATCACAGAGCCCAGACTCGCCTCGTCAGACTTGGCTACCTCTGTGAGCTTGCAGGAATAAATCTGAGGTGCTGAATATAGATATATTTTCCTTTCTCCTCCTTGGAGAGCAGTGATTTGCAGCCTTTTCTTGTGTGAGCCAGCCACCCTCATGTGACTTGATAGGCACATGGTCAGGGGAAGTTGCTGTTTCCAGACCTAATGAGGCCTTGGAGTCTTGTTAATGGGGCTCCTTGCTGTGGAATGTGTTGTTTATGGATGGACAGGGTGGCCCCGGCTTTGTCTCCTCAGCCCCATGCCAAGGAGTGGATCTCTGATGGGCAGCAAGGGTTGAGAAAGAAGCAGAGGAGCCTCCAGCCCTGGGGGCCCTGGAGCCTGGCAGCTTTGGCTATAAAATCTCACCCTTCAGCAGCCCATGTGGCACACTGGGAGGTAGGAGCCTCCCTTCTAGAAAGTTCTAGAGGCTTTCCCTGTCTGCAGAGCCTGGGATGGAGCAGGCTCACGTGCATAAGAGGGGCTCTAGGTGGGACAGGTGGAAGAGTCCTTTGTGGTCTCATTTGCTCTTGCTCTGGCGATAAAGCCCTGTTATCAGTCATGGGTACCAGGTGACCCTTTTCCAGTGAGTCTCTGGAGACCCAGGGGTCAGTGGGGAGCCAGCCTTTCCTCATCTCTGCCATGTGCAGGGACCATGGAGAAGGGCATGCTGAGTGGGTCCTAGGCTTCATAAAAGAGCTGGGCACCTGGACAGCACCATTCCCAGTACAGAGAAGGCAATCGCTGGCCTCACCAAACTGTGCTCTGGTGAGGCTGGAGAGCCCCTCCCCACCCCCTGGTTTTCTCTTGGCCTCTTTGGTGCCCTTTACATTGGGCCCTGTGAACAGGACGCAGAGGACTCAGGCAGCCCATCCTCCTAGCACCACAATCCTCCTCATCCCTCACCCCATTCGACGGCACCTTTTCTTGAAGCCTTTACTTAGAATTCAGCTCCCTCTTCCTGCTCTCCTTCTGCAGTTTGTGTTTCACTCTTTTGTAGCAGGAAATGTTCTGGAGCATTGTCATTTGCAGACATGAGGCAGTCTGCAGATGGGCCAGTGGACCATACCCAGATGCAACAGCTTCCTGAGAGCTGGCATGAGGGCTCCAGCCTGTGTTCTTGGAATACAAGCTCTGAAAGGGTACAGGGTGCGGTGTTTGCATGATAAGCAGGGAAGGTGAAACTTGTCCCTTCTGAAGTGGGGTCTGCGTGGGGTTTTTCAGAGCTAGTGGGTTGGTTTGCTAGGGCTGCCGTACCACAAACGGCGTGGCTTAAACATGGGAAGTGCATTGTCTCATGGTTCTGAAGGGTGAAAGTCTCAGATCAAGGTGTGGGCAGGGCTGGTTTCTTCTGAGGCTGGGAGGGAGGATCTGTCTTGAGCCTCTCCCCTGGCTGCTGGCATGTGCTTCAGTGTTCCTTGGCTTGTAGAAGCATCACCTTGTCCTCTGCCTTCATCTTCACGTGGCATTCTCCCTGTGTGTGTGTCCAACCCCCACCTTTTTATAAGTAATCAGTCATATTGGATTAGTGTCCACCCTAAGGCCTCATTTTAACTTGATTACCTCTTTAAAGACTGTCTCCAAACAAGGGTTCATTCTGAGATACTGGAGGTTAGGACTTAGCATGTAAATGTTAGGGGACTCAACCCATAACAGCTACAAAAAGGGAGGTGCATCCTGTTCACATGGGGGCTGGGACTCAGCCCTGGGGCAGGTTCTGGAGGTGATTCCCACCACAGCCATGCCAGGACAGGACCCCTACACTGATGCACTGGAGTGTAAATCCGAGGAGATGGTCTTTGCACTCTTGTGAATCAGGCTCAAATCTCAGGTCTACCATTCACCAGCAGGTGACCTTGATCAAGTGGCTTAACTTCTCCAAAGCCCAGTTCCCTGTTTGCAAAATAGGGTTAACACTACCTACCTTGGAGGATTGATTGATCTGGGATCAAATGAGGTCAAAGATGACAAGCCTCGGTGTGCCCACATTGTGCCAGGAGCATGGGAGGTGCTCATGCCTTTTGTGGCTCTCTCAGGACTGTGTAGTCCCTAGAGCTGTTTCTTTTCACCCTGTCCCTCTTAGCCTTGTCCCATTCTGGCCTGGCAGAGTGAGCAGGCTGTGCTGGCCTGCACAGGTGCAAGGATTTGCAGCAAGGGAAGGTGTGATGAGAACAAGAGGCCATCCCTCTCCTGCCACGCCTGCCACTTTCTCCACGCCGGAGTTGCCTGCACCAATTGGCAGTCGGGACACACAGCAGCTGGGATGAAGGGAGTTTACTGCTGAACTTAATAGGGTCGTTTTCTGCTTCACATAAATCTGTCTGTGCTCAGCTGAGGATCCTGGGTGGCTGGTAGAGCAGCCATTGTTAATGGACTTGTCCCTGGAAAACGGGGCTGTGGGTGTTAGAGTGTTGTTCTGGATGTTTCTTCCTTGGGAAGGGAGAGGATTTAGTAATAGAAGCTCAGTTTGGCTCTTCCGTTGCTGCCGGCCTGCCTGGCCAATGGGCTGCTTTGGGCAACAAAATAGGAGTGGCGCCATATTCATTTGGAATCTGTGATCCTGCATCATGGCAAGTCGTCATCCTTGGATGGAACAATAGGGTGGGTCCTCAGTTCTCTCTGAACATTCATTGAGTCGTTTGCTCAACAGATATCTGCTGAGCTGTGAGCTTGGGCCAGACCTGTCATCAATTCTGGTCAATGCGAACAGGACAGATTTGGTCCCCAGTGTCATGGAACTAAGAGTCAACCAGGGAATCTTCAGGGGAGAAGTTGGTGGCCAGGAAAAGCTGGGGAGGTGACCTTCTAGCTGACATTTGTTGGGCGAGTCAAAGCTGGCCAGACCAGAAGGGGAGGCTGGAGAAGCCTGGGACACCTCCTGGAGCCACATCCTCTTCCTTCAGGGACTTCTGAGATCCTCCCTGCTAGCTGTGTAGAAGGAACCAGAATATCCAGGTCCTGTGTACCCAGCCACCTGAGCAACTTTTCCACAGTGTGACTTTTTTAAAAGTCAAGATGAATCTCATTTCATGCAATAAATATTAACCTGGAAGGTTGGGGGTACATTAAACTTTTATGCATGGCAATAAATTTCTTATGCAAGAGAGGACTCACTACTAGTTAAAGAAATTTGGGGTGAAAACTGCCTTGGTGGGGATTATCCCGACTCATCTGTTTAGCAAGTAACGTAAACCGAGTTTCCTTCAAGCTGGATTCCTGTGTGTTAATCATCTTTGAGCCTCTGTTTCCTTTCCTCTCTTTCTGCACCTGTCATTTGATTCCTCAGGCCCTGGGGCTGCCTTCCTTCTGGGGTCCTCTTTGAAGAAGAATCCTTGATATCTGCCCTCTAGGAGTTTAATATTTCTTGAATGCATAGGCCATAATCCATACATATGTCTTAGAAAACCAACCCTGAAAATTTTCTCTATACTTGGACAGGGCCAGAAGGCCTAATTTCAAATGGTCACACCTACTTGCAAATGATCCAGTGTCTTCACAAGGGCTTGACACATGTGCCCTGCCTGCTTCATGTCCTGGTCATGTGACTTTATAACTAATGTTTATCCTGTCTTACTAGCATTTCTCTTATGATTGGTGGGCCTGGGTAGAATTGATGAACTTGAGCAGAGTTGGTGGACTTGGGTAGTGCTGGTAAACTTGGTTAGAGTTAGTGGACTTGGGTAGAGTTAGTGAACTTGGGTAGAACTGGTGGACTTGAATAGGATTATTGGACTTGGGTACAGGTGGTGGACTTGGATAGAGTTGGTGGACTTGGGTACAGTTAGTAGACTTGGGTAGAGTTAGTGGACTTGGAAAGAGTTAGTAGACTTCAATAGAGTTAGTGGACTTGAATAGAGTTAGTGGACTGGTGGAATTTAATAGAGTTGGTAGACTTGGGTAGAGGTGGTGGACATGGGTACCGATGGTGACCTTGGATAGAGTTGGTGGACTTGGGTAGTGGTGGTGGCTTTGGATAGAGTTGGTGGACTTTGGTAGGATTGGTGGACTTGAATAGAGTGAGTGAACTTGGGTAGAGGTGGTGAACTTGGGTAGGACTGGTGGACTCGAATAGAGTTGGTGGACTTGGGTAGAGGCAGTGAACTTGGATAGAGGTGGTGGGCTTGGGTAGGATTGGTGGACTTGAATAGAGTTAGTGGACTTGGGTAGAGTTAGTAGACTTGAATAGACTGAGTAGACTTCTGTGGAGGTGGTGAACTTCGGTAGGACTGGTAGACTTGAATAGAGTGAGTGGATTTGGGTAGAGGTGGTGGCTTTGGATAGACTTGGTGGACTTTGGTAGGGTTGATGGACTTGAATAGAGCGAGTGAACTTGGGTAGAGGTGGTGGACTTGGATAGACTTGATGCGTGTGGGGCAAAGACAATTAGTGGAACATAACCATTTATGCCAACCCTTCTAGCTCGCAGAGGTGCTCTGTAGAAGAAGAAAGACATTGCGGAAGTTTTTAAATAGGGACATGATACCAAGTTTGAAACGTGAGAGAGTGAGTAGGAACTGTGCCCTTGTCTGACCCAAGTGCTAAATCAACAGGAACATGGTGCCCACTTGTTACATCACTCATGGACATGAGCTGGGCTGTTTTTCTTGCATCCATTTCACTGGGTGATTAATATCTCTTTTAATGTTCAGCTGCAGTGAATTCTTAACAAATTATTTTGTAACACATTGAAATCACTTTGTAAGCTCTTTGTTAACACCTTTAAGAGGGCTCTAGCTATAAAATATTACTTTATCATCTTCCCGTTGCAGGACATTTGATGTAACACTCGTGTCTCGGAGGTTGTTAATAAATAATGGATGGAGGAATGATCTGGGGGTGACCTTTTGTAGAACATCATCTGTCAGCCGAACTTCACTTAATCCTTCCTCTTACGCTGTCTTCTGGCTTTCAGGATATAGCAGTTTGCAAATCAGGTGGTTTGGTTCCTGCCAGTGAGTGACATTTCACAGGATGGGTGACATCGGAACGATTGGCCTGTGTGGTTGCCTCTGGGACCCTCAGAAGGATTTAAGCCCCGTGATTAGCAGGTCTATTTTTGGCCACCAAGTGCAGGAGGGAGGGCATCTGGTGTGTGTCTCATCTTGGCTGTGATGAGGCTTGGCTGACCCCAGCAAGGACTCTCCATGAGTGGAGTGTGGCAGCGCTGTGGTTAGCTGGCCAGGTGAGGGGTGTTTCTCCAATAAGCATTTGTAGATCTGCCCTCTACTAAACCTGCTTCACCCTGGTAGCCCCCCTCAAAGGCATAGCAAGCCAGAGTATCCCAGGGACCGGGAACACTTGGGAACAGATGCCTGATAGAGAGTCACAGAACCATAAAGTCACGGGGGCTAAAGCCAGAGAAACCAGAGTCCAGCCCCATCAGCTTACAGAGAGGGACTGAGGTCAGAAAAGCCGAGAGTGCCTCTTCCAGGGTAGCTCATGGGTTAGAACAGATTTTTCACTTGACTCCTGAAACTGTGGTCCCTTTAGCCAGTGCCCTGCCTCACAGGATGACTCTAGAGTCACTTCATTCATTCATAAACAATGCTTATCGAGTGCTGACTCTATGCAGGTGGTGTGCAACATCCTGAGGACACTGCAGGCAGCGAGACCAGCGAGGTGTCTTAGTCCATGCATGGTGCCAGAACAACATACTTTAGACTGGGTAACTATAAACAACATACATTTAATGCTCACAGTTCTGGAGGCTGGGAAGTCCAAGATCAAGACACCAGCAGATTTAGTGTCTGGTAAGAGGCTGTTCCTGATAGATGGCACCTTCTATGTGTCCTCACATGGTGGAGGAGGGGGCACACAGGTTCCCTTGTGACTCTTTTTTTTTTTTTTCTGAGACAAGGACTTTCTTGCTCTGTCACCCAGGCTGAAGTGCAGAGGCACAATCCTAGCTCACTGCTTTCCTGGGTTTCTTGTACACAGATCAGACCTATGAGTGCATGGTGGTCATTACAGCTTCAACCTATGCTAGAAGGCAGGCGTGAAGGAGGCTGCAGCTGCAGATATGGGATGGTGGGAGGCTTCCCTGAGGAGGGGATGTCGAAGGTGAGAGGTAGGATGCGTGAGATGCTTTCTGGGCAGTGGGAGAGGGTATCCCAGTGTGCTGTGGGCTCTGGGGCTGCAGAGATGCGTGTCTGTGGAGTTTGGATAAGCCCCATAAAAACACTCCACACAGTGCTTCTAGAATCAGTCGGAGTCCATGGCACAAAGCAAGGGCTCAGTATATACTGAGTGAATGGATGAATGAATGAATGAGTGAATGAATGAATGAGCCACCTGTCAAACTGCTTTCTCAGATCAGTCCAGTCAGGGGAATGGCGGTGGCCATGGGCTTCTGTAGTGGATGTCCTTAGGCTCGGTGTGGCTGGTGATGAAGGACTGAGAGTCATCCCAGAGAGTGCAGAACACCTCCCATGACCTTCCCCAGAGTCCAAGCCCAGGGAGCAGTTGTGACATCCAGCCAAGCTCACACTTGGCCTGGAGGCCGGACCCCATGAGGACCAACCTGTGGTCTTCAGAGGTTGTCGGGAGGGAGGCCCCAGTGGACGCTGAATTCCAGCCTCTGTCTGGAGGCCTTTGAGCAGCAAGCACCTGGTGGCTGCGCTGTGGATGGGCTTGATGGTCTGAACCCATAACACCCATTCAGGCATCAGAAAATCACCCTCGAATTATCTCTAGAGTTTTATTTCCTAGAATCCTGAATAGATCACATTTTATTGTTGAATACTGAAATCTCATTACTTTAGGAAGTGCTATTACTGGGCTATTACTGGAAAGGAATTCCTCTCTCCTGTTCTGATTAAAACCTCCTGTTCATATTTAAAAAATAATTTCAGACCTTTTTTTTTAATGCTTCTAAAAGTATAAACGTGCAGCCAAGCGTCTTCTTTCCCTAGGCCCCGCGCCTGGGTGTGGACTTCCCTGGGCCTGCTGGTGGAGAGTGAGCGCAGCTCTGCAGAAGTAGAGACACCGGAGTCTCCTCCTGGACCCCCTTCTTGGAGAATGATCCCTTTCTTTTCCTCTGGCTCAGTTGCTTCCTAAGATTCTAATGACAGTTCTGGCCAAAACAGGCAGCCCCCGTTACCACTGGTTTGAGACTTCAGCTCTGGCTTTTTTCACCAGGAACTGATTCTGGGATCTTGGGGCATAGGGTCCAAGATATGGCTTCTCTGCTGACTGATGGAGTCAGGGGAGCTGGTTCCACCCAGAGCAATACGTGGGGATGGGTGGAAAGCACTCCTCCGGGCAGCTCCTGCTCCTCTCTGGAGGCTGCTCCCTCCGCGCACAGGGTCATCAGCTTCCTGCGTCTGAATCCCCAACCTGGGGGTGTCCTCTATGGCCCTCTGGGCTCACTTGGCACTATCACATGCCGAGCCCACTGTGTCATGAATATTACCTGGTGACTTGCTCCTTTCTCCTCCTCTGGGACTCTGCCCGTTCTCTGTGACCCCAATGTACTTGGCACAGGGACTGGCATGGGGCACTCAGAAAATATTTGTCAAATGGATGGTGGAATTCACCAGCACCCAGAAAGCAGTGTGATTTGGGGAGTTTTATCAGCGAGTGGCCATGTGACTCCCAGGGGCAGAGGGGATGTCTTCAGCACATCTCCGTCCCTTTGCCAATCACACCCTGCTCAGTAGAGCCCACCTTGCCTGTCCTCCTCATTGCCTGCCCTGTTCTTGCCTGGCCGCACTGAGCTCCACATGAGGTATATTCCACATGGACACAGGGGAGGTGACCCCCTTCTCTCCAGGGCTGCTCCTCCAAGGCCGCGGGTTGCCTTGGAGAAAGCTCAGAATAGCTGTGTGGCCCCATGCTGATGCTGGGTGAGTGTGCATGTGGCTAGAATTCTTTTCTGGACTCTTGGCAAATGGAATTATTTACAACCACCAGGGCCAATATTTCCCTGCTCCGCAGATGATTTGCAGCAGATGAAGTAGATGCTCTCTCCTTGCAGAGAGCTAATGATAACATTGAGCTCTTCCCACCCCACTGATGTGTCTTTGATGGCACAGCTGTGGATATTTTTATTTGCCCAGTCAAGTCGGCTCCTCGGTGCACATGTCTGAAGTGAAGGCCCTTGGGCTGCAAGCTGCAGAGGGCACTGGCGCCAGCCTTGTGCGTTGACAGGAGACTGCAGGAACCCGCCAGCTTGGTTGCTGGCTTCCTGAGCTCTGTCTGTGGGTTCCCTCCCTGGAATGGACAAGGGGGAGCAGCCGATTTCTGATACAGCTCATCTGTCTGGGTCACTGGTTCCAGAAGTTAATTTTGGATGGAACTTCACAGGCACCTGGCGTCTGGTTATGCAAAACCTGACCTTTGGCTTCACTCTGGGGCCTTCCCTTCTCCTCACCCCAGGGCTCCTGCTGCCTCCCTCTCTGTGCCATTCTTTCCTCTTAAAAAAAAATATCCTGCTGACAGGAGCTTTCTAACTTGTCATTTTGGAGATCATCAACAAATTCTATAGAGAGGTGACCTCCATTATGAGAAAGAGACGGGGAGTTGGCTGGGACCCAAGCCAAGGAGCTGGAGCCTCTTTTGACTGGCAAGGTGACATTGAGTGTCATATCAGCATTCATGGCCAGCTCTCTTCTCCTCAGAGAGTAATTATTTCTTTCAGAGCGAAAGGTCCAATTTGCTGTAAAGAACAGAGCCCCAGGTAAAACGAAAGAGCTATAAGCTCCCCTGACATAAAGGAGACCAGACTGCCCCCGTCCCCAGCCCTGCTCACTCCACATCATAATGGCCATTTGGCCAGATTTATTATGTTTACTTGTACTTCCTTCCTGTCATAACACATTAGGGTGGTTGCACATTGCATGGGTGAGGCCGGCTCAGCAGGTGGAGCTGAACACCTTGCAGCTGACACTGGCTCTTGTATCCTTGGCCAGCACCTGGCTCTGGGCAGGGATTGAGATGGCACCTTTGGAGAAACACTGGGAGAGCTGATGCCTGGCATTTGGGGCCAAGCTGAGCTCTGGGCCCTCTGCACTCTCCTGGTATTTCCTCTACTCCTGGGACATTACAAGAATAAGTGGCCTAAGTCTGTGGCCTTGGATGCCAATACCACGATAGATGTCATTCACTGAGTGCTCACCCTGACCCAGATCATGAGACACTGGGCACTGATGGTTTTATTTAGCACAGGCCCTGGGCACTCATGGTTTCACTGGGCACAGGCCCTGGGCACTCATGGTTTCACTGGGCACAGGCCCTGGGCACTCATGGTTTCGTTGGGCACAGACACTGGGCACTCATGGTTTCGTTGGGCACAGACACTGGGCACTTATGGTTTCACTGGGTGCAGGCACTGGGCATGGATGGTTTCATTGGGTGCATGCCCTGAGCACTCATGGTTTCACTGGGCACAGGCCCTGGGCACTCATGGTTTCACTGGGTGCAGGCCCTGGGCACTCATGGTTTCATTGGGCGCAGACATTGGGCACTCATGGTTTCACTGGGCGCAGGCACTGGGCACTTATGGTTTCATTGGGTGCAGGCGCTGGGCATGGATGGTTTCATTGGGTGCAGGCCCTGGGCATGGATGGTTTCATTGGGCACAGACACTGGGCACTCATGGTTTCATTGGGTGCAGGCACTGGGCATGGATGGTTTCATTGGGTGTATGCCCTGGGCACTCATGGTTTCACTGGGCACAGGCCCTGGGCACTCATGGTTTCATTGGGCGCAGACACTGGGCACTTATTGTTTCATTGGGTGCAGACACTGGGCATGGATGGTTTCATTGGGTGCAGGCCCTGGGCACTCATGCTTTCATTGGGCGCAGGCACTGGGCACTCATGGTTTCATTGGGCGCAGGCACTGGGCACTCATGGTTTCACTGGGTGCAGATACCTAGCACACAAAGCAGTCCTATTTGCCCATCTATGGCTGAGCAGAGTGAGCTCACAGTCAGTGACCCCTTCCCAGGCCCCACCCCCACTAGCACAGGAGTTCCCGCTGTGTGCACCCATGGCGTGGCTCTGGGGTGGCTCTGGGTGGCCCTCATCACTTGGACTGCCTTTTCTTCTTTTCTCGTCTGCCCTCCCCTAAGCTGTAGCTCCATTTCTGTCTTGCACGCTGCTGCAGCTTCAGCACCCACCGTGGTACCTGGCTCGCTGTGGTGTTCCGCACATGTTGTTAAATTTAAATTGTTAAATGATTGGATGAGCCTGACGTGAGATGAGGACCTGCCCAGAGTCATCCAGCTGCTCATCCACAGAGCCTGGGCTGTCCTGCCACGAAGCCCTTGCCAGTCACTATGCCTTCTTGACTTCCCATGGCACCATGACTGTCACACTGCACTGTGGCACAGTGTACCTCCACCTTCCTCCTTCTGCTTCTGTTTTTGGGAGTTCAGTCAAAGCTGACATGTTGCCCAAGACTAGAGGGGAGAGTTTGGAGGCCGGAGAGGATGGCCAGGTCCTGGGTGTGGAGGTTGCTTCCTGCCCCTCCTCCTCCCCCACCACAGGGGCCTGGAGAAGGTAGGGTGGTGTCCTCAGTGAGGATGGTCTGAAGGGGGCCCAGGAGCAGAGGGAGGAGTCATGGTTGGTTGGAAATTAGGACAACCAATGCAGGAAGCTCTCTGTCACAGCTTGCCCATTCTGTAGGTGAGATCCGTGAAGGTCAGGAAGTTGAATAACCTACCTAAGTTTATCTGGCTACTTAGGGGAAGAACAGAGTTCAGACTTGAACTTGAGGTGCCCTAATGAGTGTAAGAGTTTGAGGGGGTCATTCACAAGCATACCCTCGCTTCTGACACTAAGTGTAAATTCAGGGCAGGACCACTCTGTGGTTCCATAATTCACTGAAGGACTCACAGAACTTGCTGAAATCTGTTATGCGTGTGGTTAAGGCTTATCAGAGTGAAAGGACACAGATTAAAATCAGCTGAGGGAAGAGACACATGGGGTAGGGTGCAGACAGGTTCTGGGTGGGGATTCCAGCCATCCTCTATGGGTAAGTTGTGGGACCACTAGCGTCTCCCCACAGCCTGTGTGTCGGTGTCGCCAACCAGGAAGCTCGCTGGGCCTTGGTGCCCAGTCTTTACTGGGGCTCACACATAGACCTGGTTAGCTACCCACATGTCTTCAGCCTCCAGCCCTGCCTAGGACAAGCTGAGGTCATGGGACCCCAAACACACCCCCTTATCACATTGTTAGACTCTCGAGCATGGCCCAAAGCTCCAAAGACACTCTCACCTGATCAGTCCCCTCCTAGGAGCCCAGGGCACAGCCCAGACCTCTCTGTGGGTAAGGTTAATTCTTGATTGAATAGAGTACTATGTAGGAGAGTGTCTAGGAACTAAATTCGGGCTTATTCCCTGATAGACTCTTCTCACCCCGGGTCAAGGTACTTCAGGCCCTTGCCATGGCCCACTGGTGACGTGGGTCCCTGCTGCGGCGTTCAGGCCCCTTGCTTACATCACGGCACTTCTCTCTTTTCCAGACTGACAGCAGCAATCACAGTCACATTCCACAGCCTCTCCAGCACCCAGCCAGCTCTCCGCGGGGGCAGCAGGGACTGGTCCACCCAACAACAGCAGCCATGTCCTCACCTCTTGCTACAGCAGCAACTTTATTTGATTTGATGTATATGAAGAAATAAAACTCAGAAGTCAATTGACTTAAACATGGAACAATGCAGCTTGGTTATTATGGTGTATGCTAAATTTTAATGGCATTTAGAAAGCGTTTTGTGTGGTAGAAAATAGAAGCAAACCCATCAAACCCCAACTATGCTCTGTGTTTTATAGTGCAGAACGTTTTTCTGCTACAATCCAAAGACTTTAAAATGTAATAAGGTACATTTGAACCCAAGGGTTTTAAAATCGATGTAAGAAACGTGCACATCCAGAAATGGAGTAAAATAATCCATTACTGTCCGGGTCGTATTCGAGGGAAGACACACATTCCTGGAAAGGCTTTTAACATTTCATGTTCCACAGACTCTTATTTATTGACACGTATTAGTGTTCAAGGATTAATATATCGCTAAGTGAGAAAGAAAAGTGTGGTTGGGAGGGGTTTTGATAGTCGGCGTTCTTGGGTTTCTTGCTATTTTTGAATGCATTTACTCAGATATATTTAAAATCACATGCCACATAAATGGATATATCAATTGAGAAATAAGGCAAATTTTCCATTCTTACATTTCATTAAAAACACATTCCGACTGTCACATGTCTATATCCCCCTTGTCCTTCCCACCAAACATGATTTTTCAGAGCCCGCCATTATTGCCCTGGGTCCTGGGATATGGCACTTTCTTTTTCTTTCTTTCTTTTTTTTTTTTTTTGAGACGGAGTCTCACTCTGTCGCCCAGGCTGGAGTGCAGTGGCGCGATCTCGGCTCACTGCAAGCTCCACCTCCCAGGTTCACACCATTCTCCTGCCTCAGCCTCCAGAGTAGCTGGGATTACAGGTGCCCACTACCACGCGCAGGTAATTTTTTGTATTTTTAGTAGAGACAGGGTTTCACCGTGTTATCCAGGTTGGTCTCGATCTCCTGACCTTGTGATCCTCCTGCCTCGGCCTCCCAAAATGTTGGGATTACAGGCGTGAGCCACCGTGCCTGGCCTGGATGTGGCACTTTCTAATGCTCTGGGTTTTGTTTGTTTGTTTGTTTGTTTGTTTGTTTGTTTCGAGATGGAGTCCTGCTTTGTCACCCAGGCTGGAGTGCAGTGGCGTATCTCGGCTCACTGCAACCTCCACCTCCTGGGTTCAAGTGATTATCTTGCCTCAGCCTCCTGAGTAGCTGGGATTACAGGCGCCTGCCACCCCGCCTGGCTAATTTTTTTTGCATTTTTAGTAGAGATGGGGTTTCATCATGTTGGCCAGGCTGATCTCAAACTCCTGACCTCAGGTGATCTGCCCGCCTCGGCCTCCCAAAGTGCCGGGATTACAGGCATGAGCCACCATGCCCAGCCACACTCCATGTTTTCTATCGCCCTGTCTGTATTTCAGAGTTTCCTGGCCGTCCTCATCAAAGGTGCTCAGGAGTTTCTATGGCTCAACACAGTGTGAGAGTTCTCAGGAATGGCCCGGCCTCTGTGGGTGGTGCAGCAGCTGCCTGCAGAAATCTGCCCACATCCCCGACATTCATTTGACAGATGAACCCGTTTCCATGATCTTCAGTTTAGGGCTGAAGAAATCCTGAAATCTTCTGGTTCAGTGGTTCTCCACTGAGGATGATTTTGTCCCCCCACTCCAGGGACATTTTTGGTTACCATGACTAGGAAGTAGAGGGTGGCCCTCTGGGCATCTGATGACATCTGAGATCTAGGAAGGTTCTGCATCATCTCAGATCACACAACTGGCCAGTGGCTGAGATGGAGCAAAACTCCTGGAGTCCAGACCCAGCCTGGGGAAGTCCTGGGCTGAGCGTGCACCTCTCTTCTTTACTGTTGCACCCCTGCCCCACCCGGGCTCTGACCTCTCCCTGAAGCTTCTACGCCAGTAGTGTGGCTTGGGCTCACAGTGTCAAGAACAGCCAGGTCTTCCTGGGTTGAGGCTGCCAGGCTTAGCCGTCCTCCTATCCTAAATCCCTCCCCAACCTCCCTTAATCTCCAGCCACCGCCAGAGCCCATCCTTGCCCTTCAGAAGCTGCTCTCCTTCGTGCAATATGGGTGAGGCCATTGCAGGTCCTTTAGGGGACAGCACAGACCTGCTTGATGCCAATAAGCACAAATCTAGGTAAGACTGAAAATGTTGGTGAGATTTTTGTGAGTATCCTTGCTGTATGTGTTTAGTTTTTTGTTTGTTGTTTAGTTAAACTAGCATGCAGTTTCTTTTTCAAAAGCTCAAAAGTATCCACATCCTACCCCACCGTCTAGTCGAGCTGCACGTCTTTCCTGGGCTGGGTCTGTTGCAGGCTGATCACTGAGCAGCTGCGGACGTAGTGGGCCCGTGATTGGGCATCTCGCGTTATTACGTAGCCTTGCCCGTGAACACGTCTCTGTGTTTCTCAATCAACTTCATCACCGTCAGTGTTAATAATTACAATCGCCACAGTGATGGAGCCCCGTGCCAGCGCTGCCATGAGTGCTTTGTGTGTAGGAGCTAATTTGATACCCACAGCAGCCTTGGAGCCCCATGTGCTCTTATTACCCTGTCGCACAGAAGTGATGCACAGAGAGATGAGACACGTGGCTTCCGGTTGCAGAGCTAGTCGGCAATAGGACCAGGATCTGAACCCAAAACAGCCATCTAGAGCCGCCCGCATAGCCACCATCCTACAATGCTTCTCCCTTTCAATGGCTGCACCCTGGTGGAGCAAAGGGGCCAGGCCCCATTGAAGTGGCCCTGGGCCAACCAGGTAGTGCTTCCACAGTGCCTTTACTCAGAGCTCTGTCACCAACCTGGTGTCACCGTAGAAGCTCCACAGGTTCTTGCCAGCTCCTTCCACCCCAACATGTAGCCTGCAGGAGGCATGGGAACCAGGGGAAGAAATGAATTGGTGATTCTAGTGCAGAGTCTGTCAATCTTGGCTCTATCAGCCATGGCACTGGGTCATTCTTGGTTGTGGGGGGCTGTCCTGTGCATTGTAGGACATGCAGCAGCATCCTTGGCCTCCACCTCCTGGAGTATTTCTACCCAGTAGTACCCCGTCTCTGCCAGTCGTGACTGCTAAGCAAGTCTCCAGACTTTGCTAAATGTCGCTGGAGCTGCCAAAGCTCCAGCATAAGCAAGGGTTTTGCTAAAGCCCAGGATTTGATTCGCTGTGGATTTCAGTTCCCCCAGCCCCAGGGAGCCCCGAGTTGGCTGCGACTGAATGAAGTGAGACGTGGGCCTAGGCACTGTGCGCAGATGGGTGGGAGTGCTCCACCTCAGTCCACCGCCTCTCCCCTACTCGGGGGAAGCCTTGTAGGGTGGTGGCTACGTGGCCTCCACACTGCAGCGGGGGAAGGTTGCACTCAGACTCACTCTGAGTCCCACAGAGCAGAGGAGCCAAGAGACAACAGGAAACCCAAAACAATGATCACCTGCTTCCAGACAACTTTGCTTTTTTGCCTTGTGGGGAAACTTATAAATTATTTGGAGAGCAATATTAGTCTTTTTGCTTCTGAAAAAGGTTCTGCATCTTTGATAGAGCCTGGTTTTGAAACATAACTCACAGAGTTGTACAAATACCCCATCAATAGTGCAGTGGCTCATTTCATTGTTCTCAGTGCATGGAATCTTCATTATTTGCACTGTTGATAAAAGGCAGCATTTTCAGCAGATCTGCACTACTCCATTTAGCTGAGAACAATGATTTATTCCTCCCTCACTATTGGACATCCTCAATTTCCTTGGGTAATAAAGAATGCTCCCATGGATGGGATGAACAGGAGCGACCGGCTGCTCTGAGCCTGGCAAAGTCAGGAAGAGCAAGAAGGATCCTGACTGGTGGCTCCTGCCCAGGGAGAAGGACCCAGAGCCTGCCTCCCCGCCTCACTGGCAACCACAGCCTGTGGTGGAAGTCCGGAGTTAGTACACGTCATTGACAAATTGCCCAGGAAGCAGCCGGGCCCCTGATGGAAAACTGCCCATCTCAGCACAGACAGTGCGCCTGGTCCCAAACGCTCCTTTCTACGTGGAGGTGAAATTCGAATAGAGCCCTTATTCAATACCACAACTCAGGGATGGGCAAAGTTGTGAGCATGTATGCATGCCTGCTCTTGTTTTCTCCGTATTAGAAAATTCACAGACTGCTGAGAGAGGGAAAATAAGAGTAATAGCTTCAAACTGGAAATGGAAGAACTTTCACATTCAACACAAAAGGGAATTGTTGCAATCCTAGGGCAAACGAGAAAAGAGCCCAGCCTGCTGCTTAGCAGAGGACGCAGGCATGGGGAGAGGAGGAGGGGCCGCCAACAATGACAAAAAATTCTGCCTAGCAGTTTGCTCCATTGCAGCCTTGCCTGGGTGGAAGGGAAGAAGATTGGAGACTTCCAGCACCTTGGAACAGATTAATGGCTCTAGAGATGCCACACCTATTGGTGGATGGCTTCTAGCCTTACCTTTACAAGGAGCCAAATATAAGGAAGCAGGCGTGCGGCACCCCTGAGCAATGGGCATGCACGCTCACCAGATACCAGGACACTGGAGAGTTGTGTGCGTGGAAGTGAGGGCTCAAGGAACTCTCTGGGCTTCTTACCAGCCTCTAGGCCACTCACTATTCATGCTGTTATTACCCCCACGTTGCAAGGGAATGAAGCTCAGAGATGAGACACGTGGCTTCTGGTCGCAGAGCTAGTCGGCAGCGGGACCAGGATCTGAAGCCAAAACAACCATCTAGAGCTGCCCATATAGCCTTCACCCTACAATGCTTCTCGCTTTCAATGGCTGCACCCTGGTAGAGCAGTGGGGCTGGGTCCTGTTAAAGTAGCCCTGGGCTAACCTGGTGGATGCGATAACCAGCAGATAGCCACCAGCCCAGCCAGGTCAGACCCAGAGATGAAACACTGTTTCGTTTCTTCCCTGCATCCCCTGGGGTTGTCTGCAGGGTGCTTGCAGGGCTCCTTGGTAGAGCTACTTTTTCCTAGAAGGTTCTAGAAGCAGAGGATGAATGAATCTGTGGCTGGGTCCTTTGTGTTGGGGCATTAGGAGTTGAGATGAGCTTCTGGGAGATAGGGCACCGTGGGGCACATTTTAGAGAGGACGCCAGTGCATGCAGGGCCATTGTCCTCAGCTTCCAACCAAATAACAAGGATTACCCAACCCAGCCCCTGACCCGAAACCACCATTGGCCACACCCTAGAGACTCCAGTGGGGCCCTTGAATCACCTCACCAGGCAGGAGCAAAATCCTGTTTCAAAGAGTAATTGTTGCTATGGCAACTGGCCTTATGCACTCACCTGGTTGCCACTGGGGGACTGAGGCGGACGCACATGGTGTGTTGGCAGAGAAAGGAAAAAATGCCAGCCCTGGGACCAACACCCGTGGGGACAGGCAAGGGAGTTGAGGTGTTCAGCCATCAAAACCCATCTTCCCGTCTGGAGCAGCAACAGGCCGGGCCTTCCCCTGTGCAGGCTGGCACCACTGATTAGGGGACCTGTGTCCCCATGGTTACCCAGGCTGGAGGATGGCAGTAAATACTGGGGCCTCGATTCCAGGCAAGAGATGTTAGACTCAGGTTTGTTTGTGAATGTGAGAATTGGATATTTCCTACCATAAAGGCCTTTCCATTAATTAATGCAAACATTAAAGCTTTATAGAGCTGGCTTCTTCTAAGTCACCCTTTGTCAACAGAGACAGGGTGGACAGAAGGGGGCAGGGAGAGGTACCCTGTAGGACAGGAAGCAGCGGACTGGGGCAAGGGCCACTCTGCTCTTCCCAGGTGGGGCCCTTCCTATCAGGAGGCAGGCCTACCAAGGGGTCTCCCAGCTGCCTCACCAGCTCGCTTCCCTCAGACTAAGAGCCCCTGAGTCCTCAGTTTTTAAAACACTAATAGGGAGGCCAAATAAATATTTCAAGGTCACCTAAGGGCTCCCTTGGGTCTTGTTTATTTATAGCATCCTGGCCACCTCCATCTAGAAATGTTTCAAAGTGCAGAAGTATGAATAGTAAGAAGGCAGCTCTTCATTTATTTATTTGGTTATGAATGTATTTATTTTCGCTGTCTCTGCCAACTCGAAGGGCCTGGGCATAACTGGCCAGCACATGGCCCTGCTCTGGCCCTTGGCATCTGCCTGCTTGCTCAGGGAGCATCTAAGTGGAACTCTGCATTGCATTTAGTCCTCAGCTGCAAAAAGGAAGCTAGTTAGCTCCAGGGGGCTCGCGAGGAGACTGTACCTGCCACCACACATACACGTGAGCCAAGGTGTGCTGTCATCCTGGAGACCCTGGCCCAATTCCCTGGAGCATCTATGGAGACAGAGTATAAGCAGTGCCTAATTTAGTGAGTCCAGCAGTGTGGACGTTCCATACCAGTGAACTCATGCAGCAGAAGGGGTCAGTATTAGCTGGGCTTCATTGTCCTCCCTCTATTCCTGGATGATACCGCCCTCCTAAGAGGTAAGTGTCATCACACCCATTTCATACTAGAGACTGGAAGAGATCAAAATTGTAGCCCCAGGTTGTGAACATGGAGGATGGTGGAGCTAGGACTTGAACCTGGCTCTGTCCGACGTCTTCCCCTGTCTCAACACTGGTGTCTCTTTTGCCCTGGAGATGGAAGCCAATGGTACTGTCTGCCCAGGATTGGTTAACATTTGTCCCCAGCCCTTGCCTATGTGAGCAAAATGACCTCTCAGATAGGCTGCTCCCTGGGAGCTAGTCTGTCCTCAGCCTGTGTCCAAAGGCTCTAATGGATGAGATCACAGACCGGATCACAGATTCGGATCTGTCTGGAAGTGCTGGACCCCTGCTGCATGTCCATTCTGAAAAGTGCTCTGCCCAGGCAAGATGGCACTCAAGCTCCACTCTACATTAATTTAATTAATACAATTAATTTAGACCAAATCTAGTCTGTCCAACCCAGTCCCAACACATAGGGAGCACTCGCCTGACCGAGGGCTGAGGGGCCCCCTTCACCTCTCTACCCCAGGAGAGACCTGACCACCTCCCAGAGTTCATTCATTCAAGCATTTACTAGGGACTTAAAAAGCGCAAGGCACTGGGAATACAGCAGCAATTAACACCGTCCTCGCTATGGGGAGACAGACAAGTAATAAATGTGTAAGAGCAGCAGTGAAAAGGCCAGGTGTAGAGGGGACCTCTGGCATGGCTCAACCAAGAGTCCGGCCCTGTCCTGCGATTCTTTCAATGCCTCCCTCCTCCTTACTGTTCTCTATTCTCAGGCCGACTTCCCTGTGTTAGTAAAATGACTGTAGTCATCTCAGGCCCCAGATATTCTCCACTGTCCTAAAGAAGAGAGAACCTCTCTTTTCCCAACCATTGGGTAAAAAGTCCGAGGTTTCGCTCTGGATCTGTTTAGGTCCTCTGACCTCCTGAACCAATCACTGCAGCTAGTGGATACAATTCATTTAGACTAAGGATTGACAAACTATGGCCCATGAACCAAATCCAGTCCACCATCTGCTTTTAAAAATAAAGGTTTTTGAGGAGGCCGAGGCAGGTGATCATTTGAGGTCAGGAGTTCGAGACCAGCCTGGCCAACATGGTGAAACCCTGTCTCTACTAAAAATGCAAAAATTAGCCGAGTGATAGTGGTGTGCACCTGTAATCCCAGCTACAGGGGAGGCTGAGGCAAGGGAATCGCTTGAACCCGGGAGGCAGAGGTTGCAATGAGCTGAGACTGTACCACTGCACTCCAGTCTGGGTGACAGAGTGAGAGCCTGTCTCAAAAAAATAATAATTAAAAAAATAAAGTTTTATTGGAACCCCTCCATGCACATTTGTTTACATATTGTGTGGCTTTTCCAAGACTATGGCGGAATCAAGAAGGCGCCATAGAGACAGTATTGCCTAGAAAGCCAAAAAGATGTACAGAAAAGGCCTTTTACAGAACAAGTTCGCAAACCCCTCACTCAGACACATCTGAGTCTGTCCTGGGAGATGGTGTTAGAGGAAATTCTCCCAATTGTAGTGAGCTTTACATAAGTGCTGGAGGGCAGTTGATCTATGCACTGTAGCACCTGCTATTCCTGTAGCCATTCAGCCAAAGAAGCCTGACGGCCTTGTATGTAACTAACTGTGTGCTCTGCCAGAGAGATCCTAGCTTCAGAGAGAGAGAGGAAGCCGTGTTACATAATCAGAGTAGCCAAAAGCAAGAAGCAACCCAAAAGTCCCTCCACAGAGGAATAAACAAAATGTGCTCTATCCATACGATGGAATAATATTCACCCATAAACAGGAATGAAGTATGAACCCACGCTACCACCAGGATGAACCTGAGGACGTATTGCTGAGTGAAAGAAGTCAGTCGCAGCAGGCCGCACATGGTGTGTTTCATTTATGTGAACGTCCAGGCAAATCCACAGACACAGAAAGCGGGTGGGTGGTTGCCTGGGGCCGGGGGCAGGGAGGAGTGGGGAGGGGCTGCTTCAGGAGAATGGGGTTTCCTTTCAGGGTGATGAAATGTTTTAGAACTAGACAGTGGTGATGGTTACACAGCTGAGAACATCCTAACATCCACTGACCTGTACACTTTAAAATGGTGAATTTTATGATATGTGAATTTTACTTCAATTAAAAAAAAATCGGAGACCGAGTCAGAGGCCGCACTAAACTATGGGGCTGGTGGGGGATGAGGCCTGTGGGCCCAGCAGGTGCATTTAAAGTGGGGACCCAGGGGCCAGGGCTTCCTGGGAGGGACTTTATTCCAGCTTTTCCTTAGCTCATATCTTGCACCGGCTCCTCGAGGCACCCCATCCCCATCCCCACTCTGTCTCTGACTTGCCTGGGTGGCCTGACAGTGGCCTGTGCGCCTCAGGGTGGCACCTGCAGGCACCCTCCTCCCTGGCTTTCTTGAGCACCTGATGGTGAAATGCCACCATGCATGACAGAGTCTATAAATTTGCCTGCAGGTCTGGCATTTATGTTTGGCACCTTTGTAAAAATATTATTTCCCATTGCTACCCAGTTTTTATAATGTCAATATACTAAGATCTACCTCTCAGTATTACAATTTATACACAATGCTGCTTTCTTTATACCCTAGAGCACATGTGTTTTTCTAACTTAGCTTTCAAAAATAGTTGATTTTCAAAGAGATGTCGCAGGAGACTTGCTGTTGGCAGTGAAATAAGTTTTTTTATTGTGGTCTGGAGCAAAATATGTGATGGAATCCTTAATTGAAATTCACCTTTAACATTCAAGTTATATTTTTATTACAATTTGAATCCATTGTGAGGGATCGTTATCTGCAGAGATTCATTTCCTTCGGGAAGTTTCTTCTTTGGTGATGTAATTTAAATTCAGGGAGCCGGGAAAAAACACCAGCGTCTCGTATTTCAAACCGCTGGCAGAAAAGGCTGCTGGTGTCAGTGCCCAGGAAACCGTAAAACAAAGCACTTTCTCTGTCTATGGATTGTCTTCCTGTTGCGTCCTCATCGGGGCATTCTGGGGCTTGTCTGAGCTTCTTAACCAGCAGAATTCCCTAGAAGGCAAGGGCAGTGGCCGTCTGAACTGGCAGGCAGCATTAAAAGGGGACTGAACTCCTTCACTGTCTTTGTTTCTGACACCTCGCTTTGATCTCTTGGCCTCCCGATGCCTCTCCTTGCCTCTTCCTCCTAAGGACAGCTTTCCTTGTGTTCTCATTTTCCAAACAACACACATCAGCGAACCGACAAAGCCTGTCTGCGTGCGTCTGCCTTGCGCCATGGAGCAGAGACTTGAGGCTGCGGCCAGGCAGAAACAGGACTGCCAAGTGAGCGGTGGAGAAAAAGGGCTGTTCTTAATCAGTAGTCATCACTTTGTGGAGGATAATGGCAATTTAATTAATTGCCCAATGCCAGTGCTGAAGACAGGGTCTGCAGGAACATTGCTAGAATTTGAGGAAATTATTACAAATTGTGCATTCAACTCTTAGGATGAATACCAAATCCAGACATCATATGTTTTAACATACCTATTATTTATATGCAAATCTGGCTCTTCAAAGAGGATTTCCCAGGAGCCCATGGGGTTAGTTTTCCTGTAGGCTCAGAAAGTGACTGTCCATTTGCCCGGCACGTCCCTCTCCTCTGGTATCCCAAGGAAGGTTGCCCAGTTAAGTCCGGGTCCGGTGGCTCACGCCTCTAATTCCAGCACTTTGGGAGGCTGAGGCAGGTGAATCACCTGTGGTCGGGAGTTTGAGACCAGCCTGACCAACATGGAGAAACCCCGTCTCTACTAAAAATACAAAATTAGCCAGGCGTGGTAGCGCATGCCTGTAATCCCAGCTACTCTGGAGGCTGAGGCAGGAGAACTGCTTGAACCCAGGACATGGCGGTTGCAGTGAGCCGAGATCATGCTGTTGCACTCCAGCCTGGGCAACAAGAGCGAAACTCTGTCTCAAAAAAAAGAAAAGAAAAGAAGGTTGCCCAGTTGGATCAGATTTCACCACTTCTGGCCACTCTTCCTCTTTAGGGCCTAGTTCCATCAGGTCTTAGTAAGAATGTGGCATAAATACAGTATTGGTAGAAATAGTTTGAAGAGTCTTTCTGGAGCCAAGATAACAAACAGTCCTCCCTTCTGATGCCAGGCAGGGTTAGGCACTTTGGGCTCTATGAAAACTACCTTGCCTGGTCCACCCAGCTGATCTGATCATTCTGGATTGCTAAGCAAAGCTGTCAGGGTGGCACATGCTTGTGAACAGCAGCAGCAGTGGCCACGGGACAATGAGAGCAGTGGCTAGTTGGAATTTATTGAGCACTCACTCTGAGCCAGACTCTGTGCCAAGGGTTTTATCATAATGCCCTAAGGTCATGCAAGGATGGCAAAGATAAGCTGCTTTCTAAAGAAAGTGGTTAGGAAAATGTGCTCTGGAGTCAGACAGGCTGTATTAAGATAGGTTCAGCTGCAAGTGACCGAAAACATCATAATAGCGGTGACTTAAATAAGACGGTTTGATTTTTCTTTTTTTTATTTTTTATTTATTTATTTATTATTATACTTTAAGTTTTAGGGTACATGTGCACATTGTGCAGGTTAGTTACATACGTATACATGTGCCATGCTGGTGTGCTGCACCCACTAACTCGTCATCTAGCATTAGGTATATCTCCCAATGCTATCCCTCCCCCCTCCCCCAACCCCACAACAGTCCCCAGAGTGTGATGTTCCCCTTCCTGTGTCCATGTGTTCTCATTGTTCAATTCCCACCTATGAGTGAGAATATGCGGTGTTCGGTTTTTTGTTCTTGCAATAGTTTACTGAGAATGATGATTTCCAATTTCATCCATGTCCCTACAAAGGACATGAACTCATCATTTTTTATGGCTGCATAGTATTCCATGGGGTATATGTGCCACATTTTCTTAATCCAGTCTATCATTGTTGGACATTTGGGTTGGTTCCAAGTCTTTGCTATTGTGAATAGTGCCGCAATAAACACATGTGTGCATGTGTCTTTATAGCAGCATGATTTATAGTCCTTTGGGTATATACCCAGTAATGGGATGGCTGGGTCAAATGGTATTTCTAGTTCTAGATCCCTGAGGAATCGCCACACTGACTTCCACAATGGTTGAACTAGTTTACAGTCCCACCAACAGTGTAAAAGTGTTCCTATTTCTCCACATCCTCTCCAGCACCTGTTGTTTCCTGACTTTTTAATGATCGCCATTCTAACTGGTGTGAGATGGTATCTCATTGTGGTTTTGATTTGCATTTCTCTGATGGCCAGTGATGGTGATTTTTCTACCTGGGAAACGATTGGTTAGAGGGTTGAGAACTGGCTGGGCAACTGGTTGCTCATTAGAGTCCCAGCCTCCAATAATGCAGTACCACTGTCCTCAATAGATAGCCTTCACCTCATGGCACAAAATAGCTGCTTGAGTTCAAGCCATAGTGCCTGCATTCCAGCCAGCAGGAAAGGAGAGAACAACGCTTTTGCCTGTATCCTACTGGCCAGAATGCAATTGCAGTCACATCTAACTACAGAGGAGGGTAGGAAATGTAGGCTTCACTCTGAGTGTCCACATGCCCAGCTAAATTTGGGGATTCTAATACTTAAGGAAGAGAAAGCTGGGCAAAGGGAAACAGATAGCTATCTCTGCCATAGAGTTAGATGCAAAGTTAGTTGTTTTCCTTGGGTGAATTGGGATATGTCTTCTGGATATCATTTCCTTATCTATGAAATCAGGTAAATCTGGTACTTGGAGAGGATGTGCGCTAATTGCTCTGTGATGCTTAGCGTAGTACCAGATGTAAACATGGGCCAGAAGGATGGAAGGCGTTGCCATCATTCCCCAGGACAGGCACAGCCCCTGGTTCTTCCATCTGAGGCCAGCCTCTAGTACTAGCTATGGGGAATTGGCAAGCCAATTAATTTATTCTACACTTCATAGTTTAAATACTCTGCCACATTTGAATTCCGTAATAAGCCAGTGTGATTGGTGTTCTTGCCCCCACTGTAGCAAGGCTGGCCCAAGGACTCAAACCCAGATCCCTCCAATGTGAAATGCGGCGCTCTTTCATTTCTCCATACATTGATGAGCCCTCCTGCAGGCAAAAGAATAAAAGGACAACAATATTTGACATAAAACATTAAGCACATGCCTCTTTGTTGCAGTGATTTCTTAGCCTAGATAGATACTTGCTTCCTAGATGATAGATAGATAGATAGATAGATAGATAGATAGATAGATAGATATTCCTATAGCCTCAAAGGTTGAGTCTAGGAAATTTTGAGAAAATGCTTTCCTTTTGCCAATGAGTTCATTTATTTATACAACCAGTATCTATTTACTGAGCAACTAGTATGTGCCAGGCACTGTGCTAAACACTGGGAATATAATGATGAACAAAACCAGACCATCTCCATGCTTGTGTGGAGCTTAGCGTTCTATGTGGGAAGAAGTAAGATAATCACATGATCATAAAAATCAAGGGCATGCTTGCCTGGAAATTGTACACTGAGACCACATGGAGAGTGTGGGTCGTAACCCTGCAGGGCTTCCTACGCCATCAACACACTAAGACCTTTGCCGCAGAAAAGGAAGAAGGAGGGCCAGGACGGACATTGTTGCCAAATATAAATAGTGAGAAAAGCATTTTATATTCCCTAAGGCTCCTTGACACCCACTGAACATTTCTCTGTGCACTTACTCAGACGCCTAATTATTCATTTACTCCTTCTCACTCATCTAACGTGTGTAGTATAGCAATCTGGAATACAGACTCCGGTGCCAGTTAGATTCAAACCGGTTAAAACCCTGGTCCTGTCTGCCCAGTAACTAACCTTGGACAAGTTAGGTTAACTTCTGTGTGCCTCAGTCTTCTCATCTGTAAAAATGGGCGTAGGATATCTACTTCATAGGGTTGTTGAGAGCATTAAAATGCATTACAACATATAAGGCACTTAGAACAACATAGGGCACAGAGTGAGCTCCATGTAAGTGCTAGCTCAGGATGATGGGGGTGAGGTGATGGTGGTGATCATGGTCATGGTGGTGGTGCTGCTGCTACTGTCGATGCTGTCGAACAAGATGATGGTGATGGTGGTGGTGGTGCTGGTGCTGCTGATGTTGTTGAAGATGATAAGAATGATGATGAGGAGGAGGATGAGGATGATGGAGATGATGATAATTTTGATAAGGAGGATGAGGGTGATGAGGATGATGATCGTGGAGGATTCTTGAGTCCCCACCATGTGCCAATGACACCCTCGGTGCGGGTATGCAGAGAAGAACAGAGAATCTGCCCCCATTTTTCCAGTATAGTGGGAGCAAAGTCCAAAGGTGACCACAGAGCCCCATACATGTAATGGAGCAAAGAAGGGCATGGAACTCCCTTCCCACTGAAACACAGGACGGGACTGGGCTGCCACGCCCTGCTCCAACTCCCAGTGCTAGATCCACCCTGGGAAAGAAAAGGTGGCAGGGGAAAGCTGTGGCTTCTCTTGCAGGAAATACCATGGGAAGGCTTCTGTGCCAGGGATGTGGGAAAAGGGGGAATGGAGCGAAAGATGGCTGTTGGCTCCATTCTGAAAGCACCACCTGCAGCACAATTTGTACTTACTGCTTCTGCCAGAGGTTTGAAAGTGGCCGCAGCTTCACGGTGGCTCAGTGGCTTGGTTCCAGTCCAACTTTCCGGGGCAGCTGGCCTGGTGCAGGAAAGGGGAGCAAGCTGGCCAGGGCCCCCTAAGGCTGCAGACCTCACCTGGATGCTAATCCTGAGTGCCTGGGTAGCTTCTTCATGTCCACTGCCCTGTGGGCCCTATACTGTGTGTGATGATTGATATGAGTCGATGTGTGGGCCTTGGAGGGCCTTTTGTGAATCCGTGGCTAATTTTTTGGCGAACAAGTAGATCAAATGCTTGATATTTCCCTTTTTGTTATTCAAAATTAAAAGAAATTTGTACCTATCAAAGCAGCAAGGACACACATTAGATAAATCAATCTTTGCCATTTTGTCACTCTTAATTTTTTGTTAATTTAATTAGAATAGAGATAGTCAAGTCTAGGTGTGCTAAATCACAGACCATAAAATTCTGTAAATCACTTCAGCATGTAACTGGGTGTGCGTGTGGTTGCTAATTAGGAGGGGCAGAGCTGCGGCTTTGGAGATGAGTTCCTGGCAAGGACCCTGGGTTGGCAAGGAGTGGAAAGACTCCGGGGACATGTCCAACTACCTCTTGGGCCACTGAAGCCTCTGCCTCCCTGTACCCGTCAGCGCCACTGCCCAGGGATGGTTCAGCCAGGCGAGCGTGGGGATGGGCCCAGGACTCACAGCCTCTCCTTTCCTGTGTGAGCTCCCAGGATAGGACATCTCTGCAGGAGGCAGTACTGCACCAGCTGGAAGTTGGACCACCCAGCTTCAGCAGAACAGCCCTCCTATGCCCCCTGCCCATCCTGCTTGCCTGTTCACTATTTTTTTTTTTTTTTGAGACAGAGTCTCGCTCTGTCACCCAGGCTAGAGTGCAGTGGCGTGATCTCGGCTCACTGCAACCTCCGCCTCCCAGGTTCAAACTATTCTCCTGCCTCAGCCTCCTGAGTAGCAGGGACTACAGGCACATGCCACCACTCCCGGCTAAGTTTTTGTATTTTTAGTAGAGACAAGGTTTCACCGTGTTAGCCAGGAGCCTGTTCACTATTAACAGGACACTTGATTTTGCCGGTCAAACCACTGCAGCAATATTTCCAGAACAAATACAGCTGCTTAGACATTTGCTTTTGGCGTTTTACGTTTCAAGTTGAATCTGTTGATTTCGGCCTTGCTGTTTGAATAGCGTCTCTGCAGGTTTATTCTGGGCACTTACATTTCCAAATGTGCAAGTACTGGGCTCGCGGGCCAGTGTTTGAAGTGATGGGAGCCAGACAGGCCAGGGAAGGGCCCTTAGAGGCCACTCCTCACTCACAGGGAGAGCCCCGGGGGGAAGAGTGCTGCCTGGAGAGCAGCAAACACCAGGAAAAAATGAGGCTGCAGAGGCCAGGCCAGCCCCGAGGCCTGTTGGAGACATCTCTACAGCGTGCTCCACCCAGCACGATGCTCCCTGCTTTCCAAAGTGATTCTGGGGTGCCCGCTCCCCAGCACTTTCTCCCAAAGCTCAGCTCTCACCACCCACTGCTAGCCACTCTCTTCCACATTTGGCCTCCCAGCACTGGGCGCCTCTGACGGTCTGATTGAAATCCGAGGCCCTCACTGGCCATTTGGTTGTGTCCAGTGCGGTGCTGAGCTTCGTTCCACATGCAGGAGCCTCACTCACTCGCTCCTTCTGGGCTGTGAGGGCCTCTGGGCACCTGGGTGTTGCGTGTGCCTCCCCCATGCTAAGGGTGCTGCAGAAGCCCACCCTGGCTCCTCCAGGCTCCTCCGCTCCCCCAGAGAATGAAAGGCATTGGCCCCCCAAAGGAAGTCTGGCTTCACAGGGACCATTGTCAGGCAGAGACACATGCGCACAGCCCCAGCCCGCTGGAAGGCCATCTGTTGTCAGAAAGGTTGCGTTTTGAGCCCGTCTTTTCATCTGGGACAAGTTTGTACTGAACTGGCCACATTTGTGCTAAAGACATGGTTCGTAGTCAGCTTCGCAGGCCCAAGAGGCAGAGCTCGGTTAGCATCTTGTGCAGAGTCCCCGTGATGCCCTGACTCATCATGAGCAGCCGCCGTCACCCAGCTGAGCTGTACAGCGAGAGAGAGATGCAGTGTCCGGAAGACTTGGGCCCTCTGGGAGGCTGTAGCCACTCAGTCATCCCTGCCAAGGATGGTGGGACAATGGCAGTGTCAACCTTGCCAAGGGGCTGGGTTTCCAGCCATGGCTGGGCCCTCAGCCTGCTCGGTGGAGCATCTCATCTCCCACCCCACGGTGGATGTTCTTGGCCTTCTCTCTCCAACTAACATCTGCCAAGGCCTCCTCCTACGCAGCGATGCCTCCCTTCCTCCTAAGAAGGCCGTGCACCTTGACGATGGGCAGATGGGGTTGGAGGCCCAGCCCTCCCTTCCCAGCACGTGACCTGCTGCAAGTTACTTGATCCCCACCAGCCTCCACCTCCTCCTTGGTAAAACACAAGTGGCAACAGCTCCTGTTTCCCAAGGCTAAGAAGTCAGTAGGAAAATGCATAAAAAATACTTTCCCGGGTCACTTGGCTCCTTCCTCCCCTCCTAACACCCATACAGGCCACTGAAACTGTTCTGAGAAGTCCCTGTTGCCAAGTCAAGGACTTTGGTTCCATCTCACGGCAGTCTCCGCTGGTGACGTTCAGTGCTGCTGCCTGCTCTTGTTGCCATGGTTTCCATGATGCTACATCTCCGGTCCCTCTTATGTTCCTAACTGTTTGGTTCCCAATCTTCTTTGCTGGCTTGCCCTGAAAGTCAGCAGCCCCTGGAACCCTGCCCTTGGCTTCCTTCTCTTCCTGGGCTCTCTTCCTGGGTCTGTCTCTGGGTGGAACTCACCCATTCCCATGGCTTCAGTCTCCCCCCTCCAACGGGAGACTTCTCTCCCACAAATCCATTACTCCAGACTGGGCTCCTTCCCTTGTGTATGCTGTTGACCCCTCTCATTGAACAGGCTTGGACCCTACCCTGCTTCCTCCCATCCACCAAACACCTCTTCACCACCATTTCCACCACCCAGTGACTGGCTTCTCTCTCCCACCGACATGGCACCACCACACAGCCACCCCAACCAGGAGACCTCACAATCCTAGTTTCTGCTCGCCCTTCACTTCCCAAATCCAATCCCTTATTAAGAAATTCCCATTCTCTTCTCCCATCTGTTTTCCATTTCTGTCCAGGCCAGGCCGTGGGGTCTCTGAGCTTCACGGCTGCAGCTGCCCCTGCCAGCAAGCAGGGTCCCAGCTGCCCTAGACCCCAGCCACTGTCCTGCCAGGGTCCCAGCCTGAGGCTCACCCAGCCCAGGTGCCTCCTGGGGCCTCTCGTGCTTCTCTGCTTTTCTTAAAGCTGGAGGCAGGTTAGCGTCAACTAACACACACAGAGAAAAAGCTGCAAAACAGGTTTTAAAATGTGCACGGTGTAAAAATGATAGTGGGAGTTTGGACACAGATGGGTAGGAGGTTATGACAGGGAAAGAATTTTGCTTAATCTTGGAATGAAAAATACTCTGATCCTGGCAGAGTCCAGTCAGAAGGAATTTCCAGCAAGATCTGTCTTCTTGCCACATTGTCTGCAACACAATTGATCTTTGCTTTGATTGCTTTCCCCTCCCTCCCCCTCACTTGGCTTTTCGCAGATAATGTACAGAAAGCCCCTTTTTGTTGTTGGAGCGGTTTACTGGGGGAGGCCTTCAGAATCAACATCCAGCTCTCCCAGTGTGACCTCCCCCTTCCCCTGCCAAGTCAGAGATGGGCTTTCTTTGTCTGTGACTTGAGATCTTGGAGGGCCTTGGGTTCCAATCTGAGCCCTGTCACTAGCCTTGGGTGGATGATCACTCTAAGGACCAATTTCCTTTTTCATCTGGAAAATGGGGATAGTAGTCCCTTTCTCCGGGGGTCGTTGTGAGAATTAAGTGAAATGACACAGGGCTTTAATGGATGGTGCTGCACCTGTTGTCATGGCCACTGTGGATGTGAGCGGCAGAGCTGCAAACACGCCTTGCTCCTCTGAGGTCAGCCCATGCCGGCTGCCCTTTGGGTGCCAGCCAGGCCGTTGTGCTGCAGGGAAGGGAGGAGAGGAGCCTCTCTTCTGGGTGAGCCAGACAAAAAGGAACCTCTCGTGGCGTTTGTCCCAGCATCCTCTGACCGTGAGCCTTCCGATGTGCCTGCCTGGTATGAACAGAAACGTGGATCCAACCCACACTCCTTCCTGATTTCAAACGTCCCTGTGAATCGGATGGGACGTAGTTAATAGCCCCTGTCTTCCTGGAAGGAAATGTTCAGGGAGGACTGGTGTTGGGAAGCTAGAGGGGAGGCGGCCCGGCCTTGGAGCCCAGCCCTGTTGGTGTTGCTCTCTTTGGCCCTGGTGAACGTCCTGGCCTTGGTCTCCTGAGTCCAGGGGGCCTGGCCAGCAGCCTGCCTTCCTGAGGCCCAAGCCCCTGGTTCTGACTGCTGATGCGCCTCCTGGGAGCGTTCCTGCCCATCTCCACTTGGAGTTACCAGGAACTGAGTTGTTGGTTCTGCTGGCAGCTCCCATCCTGTCCCATGGGGGGTTCAGACACGGAGACCAGTGCTGGAAGGCCCTGAGGCCTCTGAGCCCTCCAGCCAGAGCCAGGGTGTGCCCAGTGCATGCACTGCTGTGTCTGCCTGGGCTGGTCTCCCCACCAGACCGAGCTTCCTGCCGGACTGGGGCAGGGCCCTAACGCTCTGTTGTTACACTCTCCATCCCCGTGCCATTCAGAGCCTCCCAGCACTGAGTAGGCACTGCACGGCGAGAGGGAGGGGGAGGAGGAAGGGAGTCTGGCTCTGTGCCTGTCCCCGGCTGCCTGGCTCTGACTGTCAGAGTCACTCTGCAGCAGCACAGAGCGAGTCCGCTGGGTGCTGTGAGACGACCCTGGAGAGATCCTCCCACCCCCAGCTGTCTCTTCTCTAGCCTGTTGCCCCCAGCTCCATCCCTCCTAACCCTACCCCTTGGCCAGCTCTCTGGGCTCTGGGCTCGGCAGGAGCCTCTTTCCCCCATGGGCTCAGTCAGTGCTCCCCCTGCAGCCCTGCTGGGTCTCCCTGGAGCTCACCATCCGGACTCGGGCTGTGTGGGCACTGGAGTTCTTGATGTCACACACGTCAGCGTGTTCCCTTAGCACTGTGTGAACACGACCCTGTCCCCTGGCCGGCCTGGGAGATGGCAAAAAAGAATGGAGTGGCTCCCTGGCAGGAAGTGCAGGAAGGCAGGGGCACAGCCCCATTGCAGCACCCCTGCCAGCACAGGCCAGCTTCTCCACTGATTTGCCCTTGACTGTTCCCTTAGAAACAGACATGAGTGGCCACAGGCCGAACGAGGCTCCGTGGAGAGAAGTGGGGGCAGGTGGTGGGTGGGTAATTTATCTTACTTACTGTAGGGTGTGGGGGTAGAAAGCCAGGGCTGAAAATCTTGCTTCTCTAGGAGGTGACTAAAGGCCTTCACAGTGGTCTGGACAGGAAAGGGTGGAGTCCAAGCACAGGGTCCCCAGAGGAGTGTGGTGAGGCCGAGGGAGGAGGGACCCAGGCAAGGGAATCTTGGAGGAGAAGGCAGGACAGTTAGCCCAGACTAGGGTGGCCGGGGCAGGCTCTGTGAGGCTGCTGTTGGGGGTCCCGTGGCTGCAGAGAGGTTTGCTTTCCAAGTCAGGGCCACTAGTTTCCCTCGGATGCTATTTGTGTCCCCCGCCTTCCATTGTGATGCTGCACAATAACTTTTACAGCCTGGCCTGGTGCCTGGCCTGCAGCCCTGAATCACTGATTCATCTTTACCTGCCGCTTCCCTGCCGGACGGCTCTGGGTGCAGGAGCCAAGAGCCCGGGCGACGGCGCAGGGCTGGTTCCTTCCCACTTCTGCCCAGTCACTTCCCCACCCTCTGAGGACCCTGGAGAAATTCAGCCAGGGCCTGGGCCTCTAGGAGCTGCCAAGCCTCCCTCTCTTAAGCAAAGCGAGCTTAGGGTTCACAGGGCCAGAGCAAGAGGGTGACACAACCCGCCCAGGGTGCCTGCCTTCTCTAAGCATCTGACACAGCTCAGGGACCTGCTGTCCTCAGGCTCATTCCAGGTGGGTGCCTTGGCCCTGGGCCTCAGACCAGCCTCCCCTCAGAGCTCTATCTGGACCCTTGTGATGGATGCCATTACTTGTCTGACATGTCCCCAAAGGAGCCCGCAGATCCCACTGCCAACGCCAGTACCAGTGCACGGCCCAGGATTGGCCCTGCTGCTTACTACTCCTGAGCCCCTGCAAGTGAGTTCTGCTCTCTGGGCCTCAGTTTCCTCCTGTCTACAACAGGGTCGCTAGTAGTGCCTGTGGCAGTAGGGTTGCTGTTCAGACACCCAGGCTGTGAAAAGTTCCTGGAAGGGACCCCACCCTACAGAAAGCACTCAGTACCAAAGAAAGCCTCATGGGTGTAAATGAATCTGCTCCACTCTGCAAAGAAAAAGAGCACCTCTCCCCCACATGCATTCCTACGGGGCTTGCAGCCCTGGTGCCCTCACTGGCTGCCATTGAGAGCCTGTGCTCTGCACCGCCCGCCAGGTGTGCCAGGGTGACGTGACTCCACACCAAGCACTGGGGGCTGGACTTGTTTAGCCATTTCTCTCAAGATGGCCATTTCTACACTTTCATGAGAAGGAGGCCTCGCCTCCGTTGGAGTGGCTGAGTGGTGCATCCAGCTGGTTCCTGGGACTGGGGACAGGTTTTAGTGCTCCGAGAATCTGGGTTGTTGTTTTTTTTTTTATGGAGTTTTGCTCTTGTTGCCCGGGCTGGAGTGCAGTGACGCGATCTCGGCTCACCGCAACCCCCACCTCCCAGGTTCAAGTGATTCTCCTGCCTCAGCCTCCCGAGTAGCCGGGATTACAGGCATGTGCCACCATGCTGGGCTAATTTTGTATTTTTAGTAGAGATGGGGTTTCTCCATGTTGGTCAGGCTGGTCTCCAACTCCTGACCTCAGGTGATCTGCCCACCTCGGCCTCCCAAAGTGCTGGGATTACAGGCATGAGCTACCACACCCGGCTGTATCTGGATGTTTTATGCATCCCTTTACACAGTGTGTGTGTGTGTGTGTGTGTGTGTGTGTACATCTTCAGCTGATCCTTCAAAGTCTGTGGGTTTTATTGTCATCCCCTTTTTATAGATTAGGAAGCTGCTGCTCAGACGGATTAAATCATTTGGCCCAGGTCATATGGCTAAGGGGCGCTTGGTGTCCCGCACTTCTGGAGATACAATTAACATATGGTAAAAATTCCGACTTTCTGTGGCCATTCTGAGAGCTTTGGCAAATGTATGTGGTTTCCATCAGCTTGGTCCAGTGATCACCACCACAATCAATATGGAGATGGTTTCTATCAGCTCAAAAACTCACTGCACCTCTTTGTCAGATAAGCTGCTCGGCGTACTCCAGCCTCTGGGAATGAATGGCCTGTTTTCAGTCCCTATAGCATTGCCTTTTCCAGAATGTCATATAAATGAAATCATACAGGATGTGGCCTTTTGAGTCTGGCTTCTTTCGCCAGACATAATGATCCTGAGATTTATCCATGTAGTTGCATGTATCAGTACTTCCTTCCTTTTTATGGGTGAGTGGTGTTCCATGGTGTGGATATACAGCAATTTGTTTAACCATTCACCTATTGAAGGATGTCTGGGCTGTTTCCAGTTGACATTACATGCCAAGGACTCTACACATTTGCATACAGGTTTTGGTGTCATCATACATTTTTATTTCTCTTGGGAAAATATATAGAGGTAAGATTGCCAGGTCGTATAGTAAATCTGTTTAACTTAATGAGAAACTACCCAACTGTGTTCCAAAGAGACTACTACTTTGCATTCCCATCAGGAATATATAAGAGTTTTAGTTGGCTGGGCACTGTGGCTCATGCCTGTAATTCCAACACTTTGGGAGGCCAAGGTGAGAGGATTGCTTGAGGCCAGGAGTTTGAGACCCTCCAAACCTCAACATGGTGAGACCCCCATCTTTTTTTTTTTTTTTTGAGTCAGTTTTGCTCTTGTTACCCAGGCTGGAACGCAATGGTGCAATCTCAGCTCACCGCAACCTCCACCTCCCAGGTTCAAGTGATTCTCCTGCCTCAGCCTCAGGAGTAGCTGGGATTACAGGCATGTGCCACCACACCCAGCTGATTTTGTATTTTTAGTAGAGTCCGGGTTTCTCCATGTTGGTCAGGCTGGTCCCGAACTCCCAACCTCAGGTGATCCACCTGCCTTGGCCTCCCAAAGTGCTGGGATTACAGGCATGAGCCACGGCACCCGGCCAAGACCCCCATCTTTACAATTTTTTTTTAATTAGCTGGAGGTGGGCGCAATAGCTCATGCTGTAATCCTAGCATTTTGGGAGGCCAAGGTGGGTGGATTGCCTGAGCTCAGGAGTTCGAGACCAGCCTGGGCAACATGGCAAAACCCGTCTCTACTAAAAATATAAAAAATTAGCCGGGTGTGGTGGCAGGCACCTGTAGTCCCAGCTACTTGGGAGGCTGAGGCATGAGAATTGCTTGAACCCGGAAGGCAGAGATTGCAGTGAGCCGAGATCACGCCACTGAGCTCCAGCCTGGACGACAGAGACTCTGTCTCGATCAATCAATCAATCAATCAATCAATCTATAAGCTGAGTGTGGTGGTTAGTGCACACCTGTAGTCCCAGCTACTTGGGAAGCTGAGGCGAGAGGATCATTTGAGGTCAGGAGTTCGAGGCTGCAGTGAGCTATGATCGCGCCACTGCGTTCCAGCCTGGATGACAGAGTGATACTATATCTCTTAAAAAAAAAAAAAAAGTTTTAGTTGCTCCACATCCTTGCCAGCATTTAGTATTGTTGTTTTTAAAGCTATTCTAATAGGTACATAGTATTTCATCAAGATTTTGGTTTCCATTTCCCTAATGACTGATGTTTTTTCATGTACTTGCTTATATGCCATCTGTATGTTTACTTTAGTGGGGTGTCCAAATTTCTGTGGTCTGTTTTTCATTTTTGTTTTGTTTTGTTTTTGAGGCAGGGTCCTACTCTGTTACCCAGGCTGGAGTGCAGTGGTGTGACCACCAGCTCACTGCAGCCTTGACCTCCTGGGCTCAAGCAATCCTCTAGTCTCAGCCTTTCGAGTAGCTGAGACCACAGGCATGCACCACCACACCCAGCTAATTTTTTATTTATTTTTTCTTTTTTTTGTAGAGATAGGGTCTCCCTATGTTGCCCAGGCTGGTCTCCAACTCCTGGGCTAAAGTGATCCTCCTGTCCCAGCCTTGTTTGTTTTTTCTTTTCTTTTTTTGGCTTTCACATTTAATTGACACAGGATAATTGTACATGTTTATGGGATACAGTGCAATGTTTTGACACATGTATACATTGTGTAATGATCAAATCACAGTATTTAGCATATTTAGCACCTCACACATATACCATTTCTTTGAGGTGAAAACATTTAAAATCCTCTCTTTTAGCTATTTCGAAATATAGAATACAATATTGTTAACCATAGTCTCCCTAGTATGCTATCAAACACTAGAAATTATTCCTTTTATCTAACTGTATTTTTATACTCATTAACCAACCCCTCTTCATCCTCCCTCTCCAGGTTCTGGTAACCACTATTCTACTCTCTACGTCTATGAGATCAACTTCTTAAGATTCCACATATGGATGAGATCATGCAGTGTTTGTCTTTCTGTGCCAGGCTTATTTCACTTAACAAAATGTCCTCTAGGTAGGTTCATCCATGTTGCTACAAATGGCAGGATTTCATTCTTTTTTATGACTGAAGAGTATTCCATTGTGTATATGTACCACATTTTCTTTATACATTCATCTGCTGATGAACACTTAGGTTGATTCTATGTCTTGGCTATTGTGAATAGTGCTGCAATAAACATGGGAGTGCAGATATAATGATTTCGTTTGCTTTGGATGTATATATTCAGTAGTAGGATTGCTGAATCATATGGTAGTTCTATTTTTAATTTTTTGAGGAACTTCCAAAATGTTTTCCATAATGGCTGTACTAATTTACATTCCTACCAAAAGTGTATGAGATTCCCCCTTTCTCCACATTTATGCCAGCTTTTGTTATTTTTTGCCTCTTTGATTAGCCATTCTAATTGGGGTAAGGTGATATCTCATTGTGGTTTTGACTTGCATTTCCCTGATGATTAGTGATGTTGAGCATTTTTAAAATGTACTTGTTGACCATTTGTATGCTGTCTTTTGAGAAATGTCTATTCAGGTTTTTTGCCCACTTTTTAATCAGATTATTTGTTTTCTTGCTACTGAGTTATTTGAGTTCCTTATACATTCTGGATATTAAGCCCTTGTCAGATACACAGTTTGCAAATATTTTCTCCTATTCTGCAGCTTGTCTTTTCACTCTGTTTATTGTTTCCTTTGCTGTGCAGAAGCTTTTTAAATTTGATGTAATCCCATTTGTCTATTGTTCCTTTTGTTGCCTATGCTTTTGAGGTATTATTTTTAAAAAATCCTTACCCAGACCAATATCATGAAGCATTTCCCCTATATTTTCTTGTAGTTGTGTGTGTGTGTGTGTGTGTGTGTGTGTGTCTGTGTGTGTGTCTGTGTGTGTGGTGTTTCTTTTTTTTTCTTTTTTTTTTGTTTTCTGAGATGGAGTTTCGCTCTTCTTGACCAGGCTGCAATGCAGTGGTGCAATCTCAGCTCACTGCAACCTCTGCCTCCTGGGTTCAAGCTATTCTTCTGCCTCAGCGTCCCAAGTAGCCAGGACTACAGGTGTCCGCCACCACGCCTGGTTAACTTTTGTGTTTTTGGTAGAGAAGGGGTTTCACCATGTTGTCCAGGCTGGTCTCAAACTCCTGACCTCGGGTGATCCACCCGCCTCAGCCTCCCAAAGTGCTGGGATTACAGGCGTGAGCCACCGCACCTGGCCTCTTCTAGTAGTTTTATTGTTTCAGTTCTTACATATAAGAATATTTAATCCATTTTGTTTTTTTGTATGGTGAGAGATAGGCTCTAATTTCATTGTTATGCATGTAGATGTCCAGTTTTCCCAGCAAAACTTACTGAAAAGACTGCCCTTTCCCCAGTGTGTATTATTGTTGCCTTTGTTGAAAATTGGTTCCCTGTAAGTACACAGATTTATTTCTGTGTTCTCTATTCTGTTCCATTCGTCTATATGTCTGTGTTTATGGTGGTGCCATGCTGTTTTGATTATTATAGCTTTGTTGTATATTTTGAAGGTAGGTAATGTGATGGACCCTCTGGCTTTATTCATTTTACTCAAAATTGATTTCACTATTCAGAGTCTTTTATGGTTCCATATGAATTTCCTGATTGTTTTATCTGTTTCTATGAACAATGTTATTGGTATTTTGATACAGGTTGCATCAAACCTATAGATTGATTTGGGTAATGTGAACATTTTAACAATATCAATTCTTCCAATCCATGAATATGGGATATCTTTTCATTTATTTGTGTCCTCTTCCATTTCTTATATCAATTTTTTTATAGTTTTCATTGTAGAACTCTGTGACCTCTTTGCTTAAATTTATTACTAGGTACCTTAGTTTTTTGGTAGCTATGGTAAATGGGGTTGTTTCTTGATTTCTTTTTCAGATAATTCACTATTGGCATATAAAAAAACCTCCTGATTTTTATTTCCTACAACTTTACTGAATTCATTTATTAGTTCTAATGGGTCTTTTTTGGTGGAGTCTTTAGGGTTTTCTTTATATAAGATCATGTCATCTGCAAACAGGGATGTTATGGTTTGGATATTTGACCCCTCCAAAGCTCATATTGAAATTTGATATCCACTGTTGGAGATGGGACCTAATGGGAGGTGTTTGGGTCATGCAGGCAGATCCCTCATGAATGACTTGGTGTCATCCTCGCAGTAATGAGGGAATTCGTGTTCTATTAGTTCCCACGATAGCTTGTTCAAAAGAGCCTGGCACATTCCCTCACACCTCTCTCTTGCCTCCTCTCTCATCAAGTGATCTCTGCACACACTGGCTCTCTTTCCTCTTCCACCATGAGTGGAAAAAGCTTGAGGCCCTCACTAGATGCAGATGCTGACACTAAGCTTTTTGTACAGCCTGTAGAGCCATGAGCTAAATAAATCTCTTTTCTTTACAAGTTACCTAGCCTCAGGTATTCCTTTATAGCAATACAAATAGACTAAGACAGGAACAATGTGAGTTTGTATTTTCCAACTTGGTTGCCCTTTATTTCTTTCTCTTGCCTAATTGCACTAGCTAAAACTTCCAGTACTGTTTTGAATAAAAGTGGTAAAAGAGGGCATCATTGTCTTATTCCAGATCTTAGAAGAAAAGCATTTAATTTTTTCCAGTTCAATATGATGTTAGCTGTGTGTTTGTCATATATGACCTTTATTGTGTTGAGGTACATTTCCTGTATATCTGATTTTTAAAGAGTTGTATGATGAAGGGATGTCAAATTTTATCAAATGCTTTTTCTGTGTCTACTGAAGTGATTATATAGTTTTTGTCCTTGATTATGTTAATGTGATGTATCATGCTTATTGACTTGCATATGTTGAACCATCCTTGCATCCCTGGGATGAGTACCACTTGATCATGGTTAATGATCTCTTTAATGTACTGTTGAATTCAGTTTGCTAGTATTTTGTTGAGGACTTTTGCATCTGTTTTCATCATGTAGATTGGCCTGCAGTTTTCTTTTCTGTGTGAGTGTGTTCTTTTCTGGTTTTGGTATCAGGGTAATGCCAGCCTCACAGAATGAGTTTGGAAGAATTCCCTCTTAATTTTTTGGAATCGTTTGGAAAACATTGGTAATAGTTATTTAAATATTTGGTAGAACTCAGCAATGAAGTCATCAGGTCCTGGACTTTTCTTTGATAGGAGATTTTATTATTAATTTAACTCATTACTCATTATTCATTTGTTCCAATTTTCTATTTCTTCATAATTCAATTTTATTAGGTTGTATGTGTTCAGAAATTTTTCCATTTCCTCTAAGTTTTCCAATTTGTTGCCATATAGTTGTTCATAATAGTCTCTTATGATCCTTTGTATTTCTGTGGTATCACCTATAATGTTGCCTTTTCATCTCTGATTTTTTTTAAATTTGAGTTTTCTCTCTTTGTTCCTTAGGTAGTCTAGAGAACAGTTTGTTGATTTTTTTGTATCAATATATCAACAAAACAAAGAAAACCAACCTTTATTTTGTTGATATATTGTATTGGGTTTTGGTCTCTATTTTGTTTATTCCTGCTCTCATCTCTATTTTTTATTGCTATCTACTAATTCTGGGTTTAGCTTGTTCTTGTTTTTCTAGTTCCCTGAAGTGCAATGTTAAATTTTTTTATTTGAGATCTTTCTACTTTTTTGATATAGGCATTTATTGCTATAAACTTCTCTCTTAGAACTTGTATTCCATAGGTTGTGGTATGTTATGTTTCCATTTTTAATTTGTCCCAAGAATTTTGTCATTGATCCATTGGTAATTCATGGGCGTGTTGTTTAATTTTCATGTATTCATATGGCTTCCAAAGTTTCTCCTGTTATTGATTTTTAGTTTTATTCCATTATGATCAGAAAAGATACATGATATTATTTTTATTTAAAAAAACTTTTTGAGACTTGTTTTGTGACCTAAGTAACATATGGCCTATCTTGGAGAAAGTGCCATGTGCTGTAGAGAAGAATGTATATTCTGCAGCTGCTGGATAAAATGTTCTGTAAATGTTTTTTAGGTCCATTTGATCTAGAGTTTAGTTTAAATATAATGTTTCTATGTTGATTTTCAGTCTGGATGATCTGTTCATTGCTGAATGTGGGGCTGGATATTGGAGTCTCCTACTATTATTGTATTGCAATCTATCTCTTCCTTCAGAAGTTAGATATAATAATATTGCTCTCTCTCTCTCTCTCTCTCTCTCTCTCTCTCTCTCTCTATATATATATATATATATATATATATATATATATATATATATATTTGCTTAATATATCTGGGTGCCCCAATGTTGGGTGCATGTGTATTTATAAACATTATATCCTGTGATGAATTGACCACTTTATTATTATATAGCGAGTGTCTTTTTCTCTTTTTACAGCTTTTGATTTAAAGTCTGTTTTATCTGATATAAGTATGGCTACTCCTGCACTCTTTTATTTTCCATTTGCATGGAATATCATTTTCCATCTGCATGGAATATCATTTTCCATCCCTTTACTTTCAGTTTATTAGTGTCCTTACAGGTGAACTGAATCTCTTGTAGGCAGCACATAGTCAAGTTGTGTTTTCTTATCCATTCAGCCACTCTGTATCTTTTACCTGGGAAACTTAATCCATTTACATTGAATTTATTCCATAAGTTGGTGGAATAAATCTATCAATTTATTATTGATAGGTAAGGACTTACTCCTGCCATTTTTAAGTGTTTTTTGGCTCTTTTGTACATCCTGTGTTCCTTTCTTTCTCTCTTATTGTTTACCTTTGAGGTTTGGTGATTTTCTATAATAGTAAGCTTTGATTCCTTTCTCTTTTTCATTTGTGTATCTGCTATAGTTTTTTCCTTTGTAGTTACTACGGGGTTTACATTAACAATCTTAGAGTTATAGTATACTATTTTAAGTTGATAATAACTTATCTTTGGCTACATTTAAATATTCCAGACTTTTACCCTAACCACTCCCCCATTTTTAATTTTGTTGCTTAATTTATATCTTTTTATATTTTGTGTTCCTTAGCAACTTATTTTAGCATAGTTATTGTTGATCATTTTGACTTTTAACCTTCTGCTGTAGTTTGGATATGTTTGTCCCTCAAACCTCATGCTGAAATTTGATCCCCAATGTTGGAAGTAGGACCTAATGGGAGGTGTTTGTATCATGGGGGTGGATCCTTCATGAAAGGTTTGGTTCTGTTCTCATGGTAATGAATGCGTTCTTGCTCTGTTAGTTTCTGTGAGAGTTCCCCCAAGAGCTCATTGTTTAAAATAGCCTGGCACCTTTGCTCTCTCTCTTGCATTTATTTATCACCAAGTGATCTTTGCACATTCCTGCTTCCATTTTCCTTCCTGCCATGAGTGGAAGCAGCCTGTAGCCCTCACCAGAAGCAGATGGTGATGCCATGCTTCTAATACAGCCTGTAGAACCATGAGCTAAATAAACCTCTTTTCTTTATAAGCTACCCAGCCTCAGGTATTCCTTTATAGCAACACAAAAATGGACTAAGGCACCTTCATACTAGAGGTTTGAAAAAGTATGTATCATCATTACAGTAATATAGTATTCTGAATTTGATAACAAATTTATCTGCACCCGTGAGATTATGCTTTCATATGTTTCACAATAGTAATTATTGTTCCTTTACTTCTGGTTGAAGTACTCCCTTAAGTATTTCTTGTGAGGTTGGTCTAGTGGTGATGAATACCCTCAGCTTTGCTTGTCTGGGACAGACTATTTCTCCTTCATTTCTGAAAGATAGTTTTGTTGGGCATAATATTCTAGGCTGGCAGGTTTTTTTTCTTCCAGCACTTTGAATATATTATCCCATTCTCTCCTGGTCTGCAAGGTTTGTGCTGAGAAATCTGCTGATAGTTTAATGGGGATTTTCTTATAATGACTTCATGCTTTTATCTTGCACCTTTTAAAATTCTCTCTGTCTCTGACTTTTGACAGTTTAATTATAATGTTCCTTGGAGAGGACCTCTTTGGGTTGAACCTGTTTGAGGTCTTTTGAGCTTCATGGATCTAGATGTCCATATCTCTATCAAGACTTGGACAATTTTCAACTATTATTTTGTTAAATAAGATTTCTGTGCCTTTTACCAACTGTTAGTCCTCTGAAAACCTCATAATGAAGATATTTGTCAGCTTAATTGTGTCCCACAAGTCCTATAAGCTTTGTTTACTCTTTTTGATTCTGTTTTCTCTTTTGTACTGTGGGTTATTTCAAAAGACATGTCTTTAAGTTTAGAAATTCTTATTTCTACTTGATCTAGTCTGCTGCTGATGTTCTCAATTACATTTTTAATTTTATTCATTGAATTCTTCAGCTGTAAGACTTTGTTTGGTTCTTTTTTTATATACATCTATCTCTTTGTTGAATTTCTCATTCAGATCATGATTTGTTTTCCTGATTTCATTGAATTCTTTACCCATGTTCTCTTTTACCTCACTGAGTTCCCTTAAGATAATTATATTGAGCTTTTTCCAGGCAATTTGTAAATTTCTATTTCTTTGGGGTCAGTTAGTGGAGAGGTATTGTTTCTCTGATGGTGTCATATTTCTTTGTTGTTTTTTTTTCATGTTTGTTGTGTTCCTGCATAGATAGCTGTACATCTGGTGGAATGGTCACCTCTCCCAATTTTATAGGGTGGCTTTCATAGGGAAAGACTTTCATCTTCAGATATGTCCTAGAGTATACGTTGGGTAGGGTGCATTGGCTTTGGTTCCAGGTAGGCACAGTAGTAATCTCTATGAAGTTTCTTTTGCTGTATCAATATCAGTGATGCCTGTGAGTACCTCAGTGGCCTAGGCTGCTAGAGTTTGTGTGGCTGATCCACCCCACTTGGGTGCTGCTCCTGTGGAAGTGGGGCACCAGACTAGTTTGCATGCTGAGGGAGTATTTCAAGAGTTCTTTATATATTCTAGATACAAGTCATTTATCATTATGTGATTTGCAAATATTGTCTTTGAGTCTATAGCTTATCATCTTATTCTCATTTTATTCCCTTAATGTTGTGTCTTTCAAAGAATAGGTGTTCTTAATTTTGATGAAGTAAAATGGATCAATTTGTTCATTTATGAATTGTGTTTTTGGTGTCATATCTAAGCAATCTTTGCCTCATTCAAGATCACAAACATTTTCTATCCTTTTTCTAGTTTTATAATTTTATATTATGTCTATGATCTGCTTTGCATTAACATTTGTATACGGTGCAAGGTATAGATTAAGAAGTGTTTTTCTTTTTAATGTATGGGTATACAAATTTTCAGTACCATTTATTGAAATGACTGTCCTTTTTCCATTGAATTGCCTTTGCACTTTTGTTGAAAATCAATTGGTCATATATGTGTGATTCTGTTTCTAGACTAGTTCATTGATAACTACCCCTTTGCCAATTCTATACTACCTTGATTACTGTATTATTATGGTAAGTCTTGAAATCACGTAGAATGTCTTCCAACTTCATTCTTTTTCAAAAATTGCTTTGGAAATTCTGCTTCCTTTGCATTTTCATATAAAATTTAGAATTAGTTTGTTCACTTCTAAAAAAAAAAATCCTTCTGGGAATTTAATCGGAACTGCATTGAATCTATAGATCAGTTTGGGGAGAATTAACGTAACTATTGGGTCTTCACATCAACATGGTATGTTTCTCCATTTATTTAGGTCTCCTTTGATTTCTTTCATTAGTGCTCTCTAGTTTTCAGCATCCAGATCTTAAACATATTTAGTTTGATTCATTATTAACTTTTTTGTTGCTATCATAAATGATACTGTTTTTTCCTCATTTCCAATTTTACATTGCTGTTATATAAAAATGCAGTTTATTTTTGGTTGTTGTATATTGACCTGAGCTTAGGTCTTTATGGCTCCACATCCAGCTCTATGCTTCCCACTCCCCACCCTCTAGGCTGTTTCCTTAGCAGCAGGAGCAGCCCTGGGAACTAGGTTACTATGTTATGATCCCCATGCCTGACTCTGAGTCACCTTAAAGGAGTGAGTCACCAGCCTCTCTTGCAGTAGTTTTCCTCTCCCTAAAGCAAGGATTAAACCACTTGCTCTCTTATTGCTCCCAGGAATGTTAAAGATGAGTGACTAAGGCAGCAAGGGTGTCAGCACTCTGACATGAATAGTTTGACGTAATTGAGACCTGGTAGTTTTGTGGGTTTTTTCCTAATCCAGGTGTTATTGTCAATTACATGTTGGGAAAAAGAGATAAAGGTGGGATGAGTCAGGAGACAGCTGCTCACACTCTGTAGGTCTCCAGCGGCTTTCCTCCACCCTCTCACACAGCCTCAGAAGACCCCTGGTCCTCCCTTGTTTTGCCTACTCTCCCAACCCAAAAGTACCTCTTTCTCCCCTCACCTTTCTATTTTAACCATCTGAGAGATCCAGCTTGAGCCTTCCCTCCTCACCTTCTTCTGCTGCATGACATTACCCAGCACCTGTCAATCTCCCTGAGGCCATGATAGGCAGCACTGTCCCCCAGCTTGGGGTTAGATATCTGTCCCATCGCCCAAAAATATGAACGTGAGGAGGGCATCTTTTCTGTGGCCTGTCATAGGGCCCATTATATGCTGCAGTCGTGATGGGGGCTTAACAAATAAGTAAGTAAAGCCACGCTATGCTCAGGGTCTGCAGCTTTTCCTTCCCCTCCTTTCTTTGTGGTTTGCAGTTGTCTTGGGAGGGCCTTCTGTCTGGGTTTGACAGTGAACATGAGTAAAGTGAGCAGGGGCTTTGGCAAGAAGAGTGGTGAGCAGAAGCTGGTGGAGACTTGGGGGCTGCACAGGACCTAACTTTTGAAACTGAAAGCAAAGTCAAGTCTAAAATACATCACATTAACCCTCTTTTGGTCTGTCTGTCTCTTTCTCAGACAGTGTCCCTGCTGAGAGTAAGAAGTGTTCTCAAAGCCTTTTCCACAGCAGGAATGGGGCACGCGGGACTCGCATCCATTCATTCACAAAATGGTACCTGGTACAGAGTAAGGGATTAGAGAATATTGTTTGAATAAATGAACAAATGATTCTGCCTTATGTGCCAGGCACTGTGCTAGCTCTTTGGGACACTAAGATGAATAGAAAATGATATTAATCACCCAGGCGCGGTGGCTCACGCCTATAATCCCAGCACCTTGGGAGGCCTAGGTGGGGGGATCAGCTGAGGTCAGGAGTTCGAGACCAGCCTGCCCAACATGGCAAAACCCCGTCTCTACTAAAAATACAAAAAATTAGCCAGGCGTGATGACGGGTGCCTGTAATCCCAGCTACTCGAGAGGCTGAGACAGGAGAATCGCTTGAACCCAGGAGGCGGAGGTTGAACCAGGATCGTACCACTGCACTCCAGCCTGGGCAACAAGAATGAAACTCCATCTCAAAAAAAAGAAAGAAAATGATATTAATCCCCAAGCAGCTCATGGCCTAGTGAGGGAGGCAGATACAAACATATAAATAACACTCTGTGGGGAATCCCAGTGAGAGAGATCTCTTTAAGTGTATGTAGCGAGATCAGAGAGCGGAAAGTACCTCCTGGAAGATGTAACACTAGGCTTTCAAGAATGAGTAGGAGCTGGTCAGGTGTTAGTGAAGGGGTGAAGGGGAAGAGGCACAGGGACAACCTGAGTGTGGGGATGGGGAGCAGCATGGTGCTTTGGTGGTGCTACCGGCAAAGGTGAGTAGTCTGTGGTGTTCCCTCTGAAGCCGAGGACCACCACCAGCCCTATGGCTGCAGGGTCAGCACTGCACCTGGGACCATCTAGAACCTGGTTGATCTGGCATGGGAAGAAGTTGTTGAGTGATAACAGGTGCTGGCTTCTGTGCTGAGGCTTCCAGAGGTCCTCAGTGAATCCTCACCGCAACCCCCCAAGGGACGTACCAGGACTAGTCATTTTACAAGTGAGGAAATGGGTGCAGGGAGGCAAAGGAGCTTCCCCAAGGTCTCTGGCTTCTCAGTGGCAGAGTCCGGGCCCCTGACCCCTGCGGGATCCTACCTGCCTAGAGTGCTCCTGGAGAGCAGCGGGGAGGGATGCTGTTTACTGAACACCTTTTGTGGCTTGGTGCTGGGCTGGGCAGCAGATATCTGTGATCTCATTTTATTCTCACAAATATATGGGTGGGTGGTTTTATCTGCATTTTACAAGGGAGGACACTGCCCCATCCGATGTCACAGTTTTTGACTCAGAGATCCCCACTCCCGACACCACCCACACTCTTGTCCCTCCATGGCCCATTGGCCAACGAGCTCGCCACGCTCTGGACCCGTTTCTGAACCTCTTTCTGGGGTTGGCGCCAACTCCCGGAAGATGCCTTTGTACTTGCTTTTTCTACTCAGACCTCACTCTGGCCACTGAGCCTCTCCAAAAGCCTCCTCCAACACCCAACACCCTATTCCGTACAATTCTATATGCATTTGAAATGGGCTTCTGATGTCCTCTGGTGTTGGTCACCCCCAAGTGTCCACGAGAAGGTGAGCCCCTTTGGGCAGAGACCACCTTTTGTGCGGGCTTCCCGAGGAGAGTGGCCTGTTGCCACGCACAGAGCTGATGGGAAATGTGAGCTCTGGAGTTGTGGGGTGACACTGTCTATGTTGTATCGTTGCTGGAGAATTTGCTGGCCCAGGAGTTTTGGGGACCCTCTCCTCAGCTTGAGCTGCAGGCCCACGTCCGTCCCCTCACCCTGGCTCCCCAGGAGTCCTGCTGAGGGCTTCCTATAGGAAGCCAAGCTCTGAGACATGGAGCCACCCTCACCAGAGCCGCCTACGGGAAAGGAAGAGCCAGCCTCCTTTCCTTTGGGGCAGCTGGAAGACAATGTACAACACATTTTGAGAAAGTCTCTGCAGAACAAGAAAATTGACAAATACTTTCAGGTCTGTAGTCAAAGGAATCTGGAGTATGCTGCCTCCTTAGTTCATGACTAGCAGAAAATAAAAGGGTCTTTTTTTGTTTGTTTTTTGGGGTTTGTTTGTTTGTTTTTTCTGTTTTTTGTTTTTTTTAGTATAACAATGACTTATACAGTTGAGGTGAAGTGAAAATATCATTACAATAGAGGTGACATTAACTTGCTACCGATTGTGCCTGGTACTCATTGCAGGTAAGAGGTGAGCCATGCTGTTGGAGGCTGGTCTCTGTGGGCTAAGAGGTCCCCGGGCCTTCCCTCCTCCCTCACTTCCTGCAGGCAAGTAGGATGCGTCCTCCATGGAGTCTCTGCATTTTCTAACTCAATAATGGAGTCAGATATCCCGGTAGAGGACCAGGCTTGGGGGCCACAAGATGGGCCTAAAAGCGCATCTTGAAGGCCTAGTGTCACCTCCTCCAGGACTTCCTTGGTACTTCTCTCTCTCTGATTTCACTATATACACTTAGAAAAAAAGCTTTTCTTTTCTTTTTTTTTGGTTTGTTTGCTGTTGTTGTTATTTTGAGATAGGGTCTCACTCTGTCACCCAGGCTGGAGTGCAGTAGCACGATCATGGCTCCCTTCAGCCTTAACTTCTCAGGCTCAAGCAATCCTCCCACTTCAGCCTCCAGAATAGTTGATACTACAGGCATGTGCCACCATGCCTGGCTAATTTTTGTATTTTTTTTTAGAGACAGGGGATCACCATGTTGCCCAGGCTGATCTTGAACTCCTAGGCTCAAGTCATCTGCCCACCTTGGCCTCCCACAGTGCTGGGATTACAGGTGTAAGTCACCATACCCGGCCTGCAACAAGCTTTGATCTTGAACATGTGAGTTATTTTTACCAGGCCTCAGTTTCCTGATCTGTAAATGGGTATAACACCACACCGGGTGGATGTGAGGCTTCCACACACTGATAGGTCAACAGCAGTGCAGTGCCCTGGAGGAGGACCAAGCATGCCTCAGTGTTGAAAGAGTAACTAACTAGGTGCTGGCTGAGGACAGCACCTCCCCAGCTGTTGGGGGACAGAAGGGGGCACCGTTCTCGAAGCAGCTGCCCTGCTGTTGGGGATTTGGGGGATTTTGCTGTTGTGAGGGTGAGCCCTACCGTCTGCACCCCCTGCTCGGGCCCCGGCACTGCAGTGGGAGACTCACAGAACACTCTGGACAGAGGTTAAATGGTGAGGAACAGGGGTCCCCACAATGGCAGAGCTGGAGCTTCTGCAGCAGCATGGGCTCCTGGTGCCTGTCACTTCCTGTGATAAGTAAATCTTGTCCAGTCTCCAGATTGCTTTGGCTCCAGAGGATGAGAAGGGCTATGCCAAGTGGGCAATGTCCTGGGCATGGCAGAGAGGGGGCCATGATATGGACCAAGAAGCATGAACCAGCTTTTACAGTATCCAGCACCAGGGGTGCCCCAAACCCTAGACTCTGACAAGGAAGGACGAGGCTGTTTCAGAGCACAGTTGGCACCACAGCTAACCAGTAGTAAGTGTTCCTGAAAGGTAGGACATGAGGCCAGAAGCCACTATGCAGGGCAGTCCTCCACGTCTTAGATGAACAATCGGGATAGGGAAGGGCCTGAAAATTCTTTTTATACTGGACACTCGGAGAGTGTCTTTGGTTTGACAACAATATCCATGGCTTTGCCTTTTCTCACCATCTTCAATTGCTCACATGTCCATGCAGGTGTACACACACATGCACAGGCACACACATGCACACAAGCACACACGGATGTACACACACACACATGCATGCAGACACACACGAGCACACACACGCACACACATGCACACAGAGAGATGCATACATGTATACACAAGCAGGGCTTACGTGTAAAGGGGACTACTTCCTAAGGCCCCTGGGCCTGGGCGGCGGCTCTACCCAGAAGCATTTGTGTCCTGTCACTCCCCAGGTGGCCCACTGCTGCCCCCACAGCCCCCCTCCCGACAATGGGTAGAGTTACTCAGGCTTTTCAAAAAACCTCACCTGAGTTTCTGCCAGTTTTCTTTCTGAGTGATATTTGCATAAACCACTCCTAAGACACGCACATCCAACTGTGAGAGGGGACATTCTGAGGCCTCATCAGTTTCATGTCTCAGCCCCCAACCACCTGTCTCCTGGGCTTTGGTAGAGCTTGGAACTAAGTGCCCGCAGCCCGGCGGCACATGCAACCTTGCACTTAGTGCGAGAGACATCAGGCGGCTGCTGAACACTGCTCGATTCATTGAAGGCAGGCGGCCAAGCAGGCCCTTCTGAGCAGGTTCTGGTGCCATCGCCGCTCGGCCCCATGCATAGGTTAGTGATAATATGCTCCTTCCTACCCAGCCTCCCTGAAGCACCTGTCGACTGGCAAGGTTACTAAAAGAACTGACTTGGGGGGCTCATGGCTGCTGGGGTAGTAACTGCAGGGGAAGATACAGAGGCTATTAAAGCCAGGGCCTTTGGTGCAGCCCAGGCTCGGGGAGGGCACAGGCTGTCTTGGGGGACCACAGACAGGCACCTGCATGCAGTGTGTGACTGGAGGGTCTGGGAAGGGCCCTGCTCTGTGGGGCCCCTCACTCCTCACTCTGAAGTCTGAAGTCTCAGGGCTGAGGAAGAGGCCACCCATGGTGAGTTGGGAGGAGCTGAGCTGCCCTAGAGAGTGGAGCCACCTTGAGGGAGTTGGTTCCCTGTGTTGGCCTCACCTCCCCACCCCCAAATGCAAAGGACATGGGTGGGTGTTGGGGGGTGACTGCAAAGGTGGTCTCTAGGCCCCTCTGGCTTTAAGAATGAAAGCCCTTTGATTTGCACTGAGACAGCGCGTCTCCGTCCAACGCACTGGGGATGCCCGTGCCAGCCTGCAGGTCTCTGCCAGGCATGTTCACGAGGTGCTGCTTGGTTTTAGAAGGGAGCCTGATGCCCAGGCCAAGGTCCAGGCATGGATGTAGGTGACCAAGGCCATCGCAGGGCATTGGGGGCCTGGGGACAGTCCCCCAGGAAGGGAGGGAGCCAGGGCCATCTTGCATTCTATCCCATTTTTACCTTGGCCTACCCTGCATTCAACGAAGGTTCTCCCAAGCCCACTGGAGAGGACTTGTTTGCTTCTTAGAGGAGCCAGAAGTTCTCAACAAACACCAATGCAAGCAGAGAGCTGGCCAAAGACCCTGAGTGGGAGAAAGGTTGGAAGCAGGCCTGGCACCGGCCACGAGGCCTGGTCGTGGGTGCTCTCTGTCCCGCCTGCTCCGTCCAGGAGGCATCTCAGGGACAGAGCTCATGGTGGTCCTCTGGCCCATGTCAGGTGTCATCTGAACGAAGTGGTTGCAAGTGGCTCAGGGGGAAATCGGAGACCAGGGCCCCCGGCAAGCCTGGCGATGGCGGGGCAGACAGAGACTCCTGAGAATAGGGACCAAGCATGTCTGCGTTAGCTTTGCATCTTTGTGCTCAGCAAGGACTTGGCACAGAACAGCTGCTCCGCGTGTCTGTGGAGTAAGAGGTGGAGCCCCTGAGCCTTCTGCGAGCAGCGGGGCTGGTGGGGTCCCAGTCATTAGGAGCAGCCCCTCCCCTCCTCCCCATGCCTCGCCTCGCTCCTGCCAGGTGTGCTGTCTTGGCCAGGCCTCTGCTGACCTCAGCTGTCTCTATGTCCTGAGCCGCTTGGCCACTTGTGGGAGCCTCAGAGGAGATGTAGGGACAGGGTAGGGAGGAGGAAGCCACCCTGGGCAGCACCTCTGCCCTGGCTGGAGTCTCCCTGCTGAGCCACAGCTTCACAGGCTGCTCTCGATTTTGGTGATGGTGCCAGGTGGGCATGCATGGCTATCAGCTTCTGGGCACTGCCATCTACAGTAAGCCCTGGGCGCCAGGCGGCCTGGGTCCTCAGCCTCCATAGCACGCCTTGCTGGGCAAGCATCAGAGCCGAGAGGACAATGGTGATCATCTAGTTCATCTCTCTGAATTGGCAGGTGGGGAAACTGAGGCCCCAAGTCTGGCACTCATTGGCAGCAGGGCCCACGGTTCCCCCTCCCACTCACACACCTTCCTTTGCCACCCCTTGGTGCCTGTCTGCTCAGCGCCAGCCAGGTGTTCCAACCTCCCTGCCCATATGAAAGCAACAGAGGCCAGAGGCTGCTCCAGAACACTCCTCCTGTCCCAGCCTCCCCTGGCCCTCAGCAGACAACACCTAGGCGCTCCTTTAAGTACCTGCCTGTGGCCCTCTCTCCAAGGTCGTGACCACGGCAGCCTGAGAGAAGGAGCTACACATGGAGCCCAAGGGCTCTGACCTCCCAGCAGTGAGCTGCTGAGAGGCTGAGAAGAAAACTGGGTCCACCTACTCAGGGCATGCAGGCTGGACTTCCGTCATCTACTAGACAATCCCAGATGGAGAGACAGAGCGGACCAAGAGGGGGATGGTGGGAAAGAGCACGACCTGATTGTCCGAATACTTCTTCTTGGAGGGAGGAGAGCCCACTGTCAGCCCAAGATGTCCGGAGACCCCTGGCCTCCATCAGAGCTGGCCCTTCTGTCCTGCAGGGGAGGCCTTCCATCCTGCCCCTCTGGCCACCAGCCACTAAGCTTACCAGTCCCTTAGCCCTACAGGCTGGTCGAGAGCCTGGCCAGTGGGAAATGAGACCCACGCCCCGCCCTTGAGGGCAGAGTCCAGCATGAGGACTCACCTGACACTTGCAGGCTCCCAAGGGCTTCCTGGGCCATGGCTGGCATTTCGTGACTATCACCTGTCCCAGGTTTGACTTCCCACTTGACTGTGCTGAGCCCTCCCAGCTGCCCACGGGGTAGGAGGGATTGCCGTCTCCACAGGGAGGAACAAGGGCTCAGAGAAGCTAATTCTGCCCAAGGCCACCAGCTCACACAGGACAAGAGACTAGGACCCCCTCATTTAGCTTTCAAATGCAAAATAAATTAATTTTTTTGTTCTCAGAGGGAAACCCCCAACTCCTCACCTCATTTTTCTCTCCTGGGCACCTCAGCAAGGTGACACCCAAGTTCTTTTGGAATCGGACAAATCATTGCAGGGTCTTTCAAGCTCAAGGGACCCTGTTGATGGGTGGGCTGAGGCCTGGACCTGGCCAAGAACAGGAGGTCAGGAGAGTTACTGAGCAGGAAGGAGCCGGGTACCCTCAGCTGTTGCTTTCTGCCACTGCCTCAAGACAGACAGCTTCGAAGGGAATGGGGGCCAGTAGGTTTGTGTTTCAAAGAGCAAAGGATGTGGCTGGAGGCTTTTCTCCAGTTGCTCTCCCCTCCTTGAAGGAAAGCAGTAAGGATTTGTTACAGTTGATTTTAAAGTGAGCTGTAAATGCGTAAACTTAGGTTAAGGCAGAATTGGAAAAGGACTAGATTGGGCATTTTTCACTGGAGTACAGCCTGGACCTGGGAAATAGAGACAGAATGGGGAAGAAAGAACCAAAGACGTGGGCATGAGCCCCCAAAAACTGGTGGACATGGGGCCCAGGGCCTGCGGCAGAGCTGCCCCCTGAGCTGCTGGGTGAGGGTCCCACCCCTCACCGTCACCTGGCTCGAGCCTCTGAATGGCCAGGGCCCCTCCCGCCTGTCGTCAGGAGCCCACGTGGGTGCAGAGTGACACGTGGAGCCCATCTGATGGCTTTTGCGTTTGAACAGGCCAGACCACAATTCCTGATTCAGCAACATCTTCAAAGATTTGATAACCATAGAAACAATAACTCTTTGCAAAAAAGGAAAAGGAGACACCATCACCCAAAGAGGGAGAGGAGGCCCTGGTGAATATTTATGACCAGAGGCTACAGAATTCAGAATGTACTTATCTCAGCTCAGGTTGAAGAACTCGTGACCTGAGAGTCCTTGAGTGTGGACCACTTGATGACGTCCCCACAGCCCATGTAGCGGGGCTGGAAATACGGAGCCCTGAAGCTTGCAGGCGCTTTAATGCCTTCAAAATGCAGATGCTGTGGAAAAGCAGGGCGTTCTGGGCCCACACGGGGCGCTCTGCTGGGAGATACTTGCTAGTTGTGTCACTAAAGGGGTTGTGGGTTCCCAACGTGCATGGAGGGTGGGCGTCTGTGTGTGTGTGTGTGTGTGTGTGTGTATGTCTGTGTGTATGTGTGTATATGTGTGTATGTCTGTGTGTGTATGTGTGTGTATATGTGTTTGTGTATGTGTGTGTATGTCTGTGTGTGTGTGTGCACCCACATCCATGCACGTTTTAGTGTCTTTTTTGGAGAAGCAAATAGACTCCATAATATATTCGATTCTCACCACGGTCATCCTGGTTTTCTAAGCTATTATCTTGCTCTGTTCCTCTGGATAAGGAGCCAGCTGCTTCAGAACAGGTCCTCACACTCTTTCCATCACTGTGGTTTGGAGGGGCCGCGTCGGACCCTGGGATGGCAAGTTCAGTCATTTCGAAGCCTCCCTGGGGCATGAGCAGGGGTCCCCCTCTTTGGCGCAATGACAGTTCTAGTCCCCGACTGACGCAGGATGTTTCAGCGTCCTATAAGAGACCATCCTGGCCAACATGGTGAAACCCCATGTCTACTGAAAACACAAAAGATTAGCCGGGCGTGGTGACACGGCCCTGTAATCCCAGCTACTCAGGAGGCTGAGGCAGGAGAATCGATAGAACCTGGGAGGCGGAGGTTGCAGTGAGCCGAGATTGCACCACTGCACTCCAGCCTGGTGAGACTCTGCCTCAAAAAAAAAAAAAAAAAAAAAAAAAAAGGAATTAGTATCAAGTTAAATAACTTTCTTTTTTTTTAAGCCATGATTCAGAAGACCGAGGACACCCTTGCTGGCAGCTGATCTTTGAAGAAGTACCAGCTCAGAGAGAGACTCTTGGCCCATGTCAGGACTCAACAAATGTGGCTGAATGAACGAATGAATGATTGTGATGGGATAAAGCCAGCTTTTCCTTTTTTTATTTTATTTTATTATTATTATACTTTAAGTTTTAGGGTACATGTGCACAATGTGCAGGTTTGTTACATATGTATACATGGGCCATGTTGGTGTACTGCAACCATTAACTCGTCATTTAGCATTAGGTATATCTCCTAATGCTATCCCTCCCCCCTCCCCCCACCCCACAACAGTCCTCGGAGTGTGATGTTCCCCTTCCTGTGTCCATGTGTTCTCATTGTTCAATTCCCACCTATGAGTGAGAACATGCGGTGTTTGGTTTTTTGTCCTTGCCATAGTTTGCTGAGAATGATGATTTCCAGTTTCATCCATGTCCCTGCAAAGGACATGAACTCATCATTTTTTATGGCTGCATAGTATTCCATGGGGTATATGTGCCACATTTTCTTACTCCAGTCTATCGTTGTTGGACATTTGGGTTGGTTCCAAGTCTTTGCTATCGTGAATAGTGCTGCAATAAACATACGTGTGCGTGTGTCTTTATAGCAGCATGATTTATAGTCCTTTGGGTATATACCCAGTAATGGGATGGCTGGGTCAAATGGTATTTCTAGTTCTAGATCCCTGAGGAATCGCCACACTGACTTCCACAATGGTTGAACTAGTTTACAGTCCCACCAACAGTGTAAAAGTGTTCCTATTTCTCCACATCCTCTCCAGCACCTGTTGTTTCCTGACTTTTTAATGATCGCCATTCTAACTGGTGTGAGATGGTATCTCATTGTGGTTTTGATTTGCATTTCTCTGGTGGCCAGTGATGGTGAGCATTGTTTCATGTGTTTTTTGGCTGCATAAATATCTTCTTTTGAGAAGTGTCTGTTCATATCCTTCGCCCACTTTTTGATGGGGTTGTTTTTTTCTTGTAAATTTGTTTGAGTTCATTGTAGATTCTGGTTATTAGCCCTTTGTCAGATGAGTAGGTTGCGAAAATTTTCTCCCATTTTGTAGGTTGCCTGTTCACTCTGATGGTAGTTTCTTTTGCTGTGCAGAAACTCTTTAGTTTAATGAGATCCCATTTGTCAATTTTGGCTTTTGTTGCCATTGCTTTTGGTGTTTTAGACATGAAGTCCTTGCCCATGCCTATGTCCTGAATGGTATTGCCTAGGTTTTCTTCTAGGGTTTTTATGCTTTTAGGTCTAACATGTAAGTCTTTAATCCATCTTGAATTAATTTTTGTTTAAGGTGTAAGGAAGGGATCCAGTTTCAGCTTTCTACATATGGCTAGCCAGTTTTCCCAGCACCATTTATTAAATAGGGAATCCTTTCCCCATTGCTTGTTTTTCTCAGGTTTGTCAAAGATCAGATAGTTGTAGACATGCAGCATTATTTCTGAGGGCTCTGTTCTGTTCCATTGATCTATATCTCTGTTTTGGTACCAGTACCATGCTGTTTTGGTTACTGTAGCCTTGTAGTATAGTTTGAAGTCAGGTAGTGTGATGCCTCCGCCTTTGTTCTTTTGGCTTAAGATTGACTTGGTGATGCGGGCTCTTTTTTGGTTCCATATGAACTTTAAAGTAGTTTTTTCCAATTCTGTGAAGAAAGCCATTGGTAGCTTGATGGGGATGGCATTGAATCTATAAATTACCTTGGGCAGTATGGCCATTTTCACGATATTGATTCTTCCAACCCATGAGCATGGAATGTTCTTCCATTTGTTTGTATCCTCTTTTATTTCATTGAGCAGTGGTTTGTAGTTCTCCTTGAAGAGGTCCTTCATGTCCCTTGTAAGTTGGATTCCTAGGTATTTTATTCTCCTTGAAGCAATTGTGAATGGGAGTTCATTCATGATTTGGCTCTCTGTTTGTCTGTTATTGGTGTATAAGAATGCTTGTGATTTTTGCACATTGATTTTGTATCCTGAGACTTTGCTGAAGTTGCTTATCAGCTTAAGGAGATTTTGGGCTGAGACAATGGGGTTTTCTAGATATACAATCATGTCATCTGCAAACAAGGACAATTTGACTTCCTCTTTTCCTAATTGAATACCCTTTATTTCCTTCTCCTGCCTAATTGCCCTGGCCAGAACTTCCAACACTAGGTTGAATAGGAGTGGTGAGAGAGGGCATCCCTGTCTTGTGCCAGTTTTCAAAGGGAATGCTTCCAGTTTTTGCCCATTCAGTATGATATTGGCTGTGGGTTTGTCATAGATAACTCTTATGATTTTGACGTACATCCCATCAATACCTAATTTATTGAGAGCTTTTAGCATGAAGGGTTGTTGAATTTTGTCAAAGGCCTTTTCTGCATCTATTGAGATAATCATGTGGTTTTTGTCTTTGGTTCTGTTTATATGCTGGATTACATTTATTGATTTGGGTATGTTGAACCAGCCTTGCATCCCAGGGATGAAGCCCACTTGATCATGGTGGATAAGCTTTTTGATGTGCTGCTGGATTCGGTTTGCCAGTGTTTTATTGAGGATTTTTGCATCAATGTTCATCAAGGATATTGGTCTAAAATTCTCTTTTTTTGGTTGTATCTCTGCCAGGCTTTGGTATCAGGATGATGCTGGCCTCATAAAATGAGTTAGGGAGGATTCCCTCTTTTTCTATTGATTGGAATAGTTTCAGAAGGAATGGTACCAGCTCCTCCTTGTACCTCTGGTAGAATTCGGCTGTGAATCCATCTGGTCCTGGACTCTTTTTGGTTGGTAAGCTATTGATTATTGCCACAATTTCAGAGCCTGTTATTGGTCTATTCAGAGATTCAACTTCTTCCTGGTTTAGTCTTGGGAGAGTGTATGCGTCGAGGAATTTATCCATTTCTTCTAGATTTTCTAGTTTATTTGCGTAGAGGTGTTTGTAGTATTCTCTGATGGTATTTTGTATTTCTGTGGGATCGGTGGTGATATCCCCTTTATCATTTTTTATTGTGTCTGTTTGATTCTTCTCTCTTTTCTTCTTTATTATTCTTGCTAGCGGTCTATCAATTTTGTTGATCTTTTAAAAAAACCAGCTCCTGGATTCATTAATTTTTTGAAGGGTTTTTTGTGTCTCTATTTCCTTCAGTTCTGCTCTGATTTTAGTTATTTCTTGCCTTCTGCTAGCTTTTGAATGTGTTTGTTCTTGCTTTTCTAGTTCTTTTAATTGTGATGTTAGGGTGTCAATTTTGGATCTTTCCTGCTTTCTTCTGTGGGCATTTAGTGCTATAAATTTCCCTCTACACACTGCTTTGAATGTGTCCCAGAGATTCTGGTATGTTGTGTCTTTGTTCTCATTGGTTTCAAAGAACATCTTTATTTCTGCCTTCATTTCGTTATGTACCCAGTAGTCATTCAGGAGCAGGTTGTTCAGTTTCCATGTAGTTGAGCAGTTTTGAGTGAGTTTCTGAATCCTGAGTTCTAGTTTGATTGCACTGTGGTCTGAGAGACAGTTTGTTATAATTTCTGTTCTTTTACATTTGCTGAGGAGTGCTTTACTTCCAACTATGTGGTCAATTTTGGAATAGGTGTGGTGTGGTGCTGAAAAAAATGTATATTCTGTTGATTTGGGGTGGAGAGCTCTGTAGACATCTATTAGGTCTGCTTGGTGCAGAGCTGAGTTCAATTCCTGGGTATCCTTGTTAACTTTCTGTCTCGTTGATCTTTCTAATGTTGACAGTGGGGTGTTAAATTCTCCCATTATTATTGTGTGGGAGTCTAAGTCTCTTTGTAGGTCACTCAGGACTTGCTTTATGAATCTGGGTGCTCCTGTATTGGGTGCATATATATTTAGGATAGTTAGCTCTTCTTGTTGAATTGATTCCTTTACCATTATGTAATGGCCTTCTTTGTCTCTTTTGATCTTTGTTGGTTTAAAGTCTGTTTTATCAGAGACTAGGATTGCAACCCCTGCCTTTTTTTGTTTTCCATTTGCTTGGTAGATCTTCCTCCATCCCTTTATTTTGAGCCTATGTGTGTTTCTGCACATGAGATGGGTTTCCTGAATACAGCACACTGATGGGTCTTGACTCTTTATCCAATTTGCCAGTCTGTGTCTTTTAATTGGAGCATTTAGCCCATTTACATTTAAAGTTAATATTATTATGTGTGAATTTGATCCTGTCATTATGATGTTAGCTGGTTATTTTGCTCATTAGTTGATGCAGTTTCTTCCTAGCCTTGATGGTCTTTACAATTTGGCATGTTTTTGCAGTGGCTGGTACTGGTTGTTCCTTTCCATGTTTAGTGCTTCCTTCAGGAGCTCTTTTAGGGCAGGCCTGGCGGTGACAAAATCTCTCAGCGTTTGCTTGTCTGTAAAGTACTTTATTTCTCCTTCACTTATGAAGCTTAGTTTGGCTGGATATGAAATTCTGGGTTGAAAATTCTTTTTTTTAAGAATGTTGAATATTGGCCCCCACTCTCTTCTGGCTTGTAGAGTTTCTGCTGAGAGATCCGCTGTTAGTCTGATGGGCTTCCCTTTGTGGGTAACCCGACCTTTCTCTCTGGCTGCCCTTAATATTTTTTCCTTCATTTCAACTTTGGTGAATCTGACAATTATGTGTCTTGGAGTTGCTCTTCTCGAGGAGTATCTTTGTGGCATTCTCTGTATTTCCTGAATCTGAATGTTGGCCTGCCTTGCTAGTTTGGGGAAGTTCTCCTGGATAATATCCTGCAGAGTGTTTTCCAACTTGGTTCCATTCTCCCCGTCACTTTCAGGCACACCAATCAGACGTAGATTTGGTCTTTTCACATAGTCTTATATTTCTTGGAGACTTTTTTCGTTTCTTTTTATTCTTTTTTCTCTAAACTTCTCTTCTCGCTTCATTTCATTCATTTGATCTTCCATCACTGATACCCTTTCTTCCAGTTGATTGCATTGGCTCCTGAGGCTTTTGCATTCTTCACGTAGTTCTCGAGCCTTGGCTTTCAGCTCCATCAGCTCCATTAAGCACTTCTCTGCATTGGTTATTCTAGTTATACATTCATCTAATTTTTTTTCAAAGTTTTTAACTTCTTTGCCATTGGTTTGAATTTCCTCCTGTAGCTCGGAGTAGTTTGATTGTCTGAAGACTTCTTCTCTCAACTCGTCAAAGTCATTCTCCGTCCAGCTTTGTTCCATTGCTGATGAGTAACTATGTTCCTTTGGAGGAGGAGAGGTGCTCTGCTTTTTAGAGTTTCAGCTTTTCTGCTCTGTTTTTTCCCCATCTTTGTGGTTTTATCTACTTTTGGTCTTTGATGATGGTGATGTACAGATGGGTTTTTGGTGTGGATGTCCTTTCTGTTTGTTAGTTTTCCTTCTAACAGACAGGACCCTCAGCTGCAGGTCTGTCGGAGTTTGCTAGAGGTCCACTCCAGATCCTGTTTGCCTGGGTATCAGCAGCAGTGGCTGCAGAACAGCGGTGGCTGTAGAACAGCAGATTTTCGTGAACCGCAAATGCTGCTGCCTGATCGTTCCTCTGGAAGTTTTGTCTCAGAGGAGTACCCGGCCGTGTGAGGTGTCAGTCTGCCCCTACTGGGGGGTGCCTCCCAGTTAGGCTGCTCAGGGGTCAGGGACCCACTTGAGGAGGCAGTCTGCCCGTTCTCAGATCTCCAGCTGCGTGCTGGGAGAACCACTACTCTCTTCAAAGCTGTCAGACAGGGACGTTTAAGTCTGCAGAGGTTACTGCTATCTTTTTGTTTGTCTGTGCCCTGCCCCCAGAGGTGGAGTCTACAGAGGCAGGCAGGCCCTCTTGAGCTGTGGTGGGCTCCACCCAGTTCGAGCTTCCCGGCTGCTTTGTTTACCTAAGCAAGCCTGGGCAATGGCAGGCGCCCATCCCCCAGCCTTGTGCCGCCTTGCAGTTTGATCTCAGACTGCTGTGCTAGCAATCAGCGAGACTCCATGGGCGTAGGACCCTCTGAGCCAGGTGTGGGATATAATCTCCTGGTGTGCTGTTTTTTAAGCCCTTTGGAAAAGTGCAGTATTTAGGGTGGGAGTGACCCAATTTTCCAGGTGCCGTCTGTCACCCCTTTCTTTGACTAGGAAAGGGAACTCCCTGACCCCTTGTACTTCCCGAGTGAGGCAATGCCTCGCTGTGCTTCGGCTCACACACAGTGTGCCGCACCCACTGTCCTGCACCCACCGTCCGGCACTCCCTAGTGAGATGAGCCTGGTACCTCAGATAGAAATGCAGAAATCACCCGTCTTCTGTGTCGCTCACGCTGGGAGCTATAGACCCGAGCTGTTCCTATTTGGCCATCTTAGCTCCACCTAAAGCCAGCTTTTCGCCATGATTTTAAAAAGCAAGTCTGAAGACCCAGGCCCTTCCTCCTGTGCCAAGCATCAGGACCCTCACCTCCTTGGCCATTCCTCAGCTAGTCTTGGGTACCTTGGTGTGGTCGATTGCCCCCTTCTCTTGGTTTCCAAGACACCACCTTCTCCCAGCTTTCCTCCTACCCCTTGGTTTCTCTATTTCAGGATCTTTTCTCCCCGCTCTGGGATTCCAGAGTCCACTTCCTGGTCCTCTTTCTGCTCTTCAACACTTCTTTTTGTTGTTGTTGTTGAGATGGAGTCTTACTTTGTCACCTGAGCTGGAGTGCAGTGGTGCAATCTCGGCTCACTGCAACCTCCACCTCCCAGGTTCAAGTGATTCTTCTGCCTCAGCCTCCCAAATAGCTGGGATTACAGGTGCCCACCACCAATGTGCCTGACTAATTTTTGTATTTTTAGTAGAGACAGGATTTCGCCATGTTGCCCAGGCTTGTCTTGAACTCTTGACCTCAGGTGGTCCGCCCACCTTGGCCTCCCAAAGTGCTTGGATTACAGGCATGAGCCACCGTGCCTGGCTTCTCAACACTTCCTGATGACCTCCTCTTGTCCCCAGGACCTGAAAGGCTATCTCTGTGCCAGTGGCCCCAGATGCGGATCCCTAGCCCAGGGCCTTGTGTTGAATTTCACATTTGCTGATCCACCTGTCCACTCCACATCGCCACTTGGCTGTCCAACAAGTGTCTCAAATATCAGGAGCCCAAAGCTGAGCCCCTGAACTTCCCCTCCTGAGTCCCACTTCACTGCAGCCTGCCCATCTTGGTCAGCGGCAACCCTGTCCTTCCAAGCTCTCTGGGCAAGCACGTTGGAGCATCCTGGACGCTGCTCTCCTGCCCACCTCCACCCCACTCAGTGCAGCCTGTTGGCTCTGCCCTTGCATGCTGCCGGGACCCGAATCTGGACCACCATAGCCACCTCCACCCCAGGCGCTTCTGGCCATTATCAACACTGCAGCCAGAGGGATCTTCAGACACAGGTCAGATCAGGTCACTGCCCGCCAGAAACCCTGCAGCAGCTCCTGCCTCACTCAAATTAAAAGCCCAGTCACTGCGGCCTCTGTATTCCTAACCTCAGAGCTCCACCTTCCATCCCATGTTGTCTGTGTAGACAGGTGGCTGAGCACTCCTCATTCATGCAGCACTTTCTTCCCTTCCCGAACTTCTTCTTCTTTTTATTTTTATTTATGTATTTATTTGAGACGAAGTTTTGCTCTTGTTGCCCAGGCTGGAATGCAGGGCACGATCTCGGCTCACTGCAACCTCCACCTCCTGGGTTTAAATGATTCTTCTGCCTCAGCCTCCCAAGTAGCTGGGATTACAGGCATCTGCCACCATTCCTGGCTAATTTTTTGTATTTTTAGTAGAGATAGAGTTTCATCATGTTGGCCAGGCTGGTCTCGAACTTCTGAACTCAAATGATCTGCCCACCTCGGCCTCCCAAAGTGCTGGGATTACAGGCGTGAGCCACCATGCCCAGCCCCAATCTCCTTGACTCATGACTTTTGGGGATCCCAGGGCTCCCTTCCTGGGCCACCTCTCTGTCTGCACACAATCCCTAGGTGAGCTCACTCAGTCTCGTGGTTCTAAACACCACAAGGCACATTTAAGCTGATGCTTCCCAAACTGATTCCCTGGGCCTGGCCTCTGCCCCTGAAGTCTAGACTCAGACTCCTAAGTGTCGACTCATCCTCCTGACCTGGACGTTTGCATTTCAAACTGACCACGGCCACATGGAGCCCACACCCCACCACCACCCAGCAGCCTCCTCCTGTCATCCCACCTGAACCAGGACATGGCAGTTTTCACCTTCCAGCCATTCAGCCAAAATCATCAGCATCATCCATGGCCCACCCCATTCTTCCTCTCCACCCCCCACCCATCAGGAGATCCTGCGGGCTCTTCCTTCAGAGTGCTTTCTGCTTCTCACCACCCCTGCAGTTTTGCCACGCTGGACCACTCCACCATCCCGCCCTCCATCCTGATCATCATAACAGCTGCATGTTTCTGCCATTGGCCCCCGTGGTCTCTTTGTTACCTGGAGCCATCAGCTAATGTCACTTTCCTGCTCAGAAGCCACCAGGAGGAGGCTTTGCAGCTTACTGAGAGCAACTGCCCCAACCCCAGTGGGGACCTCCACTCTGGGCCCGCACACCCTCCTGAACCCATGCTGTTCTCCACGCGTGCCCCTCCTTTGGCCTTCACACTCACGAGCCCATCCACCTGGAGCACCTGCCCGGTCCTGCACACTTGGCCGCCTGGCTCCCCCACCTCTCCCCTCTGTCTGGGTAGGCTGAGTTCCATCACCCCAGCGGAGAGACCTTTCCAGACCTGCTGCCCAGTGCCCTGCTCCTTGCTCTGTCTTGTTTTTCTCCATTGCTTTTCTTACCATGTACAGTGCTGTGTTTACTCATTTGTTCGCTGTCTGTCTCTCCACTAGAGTGGAGCTTCGTGGGGCCACATGTGTTTGCTGCTGTATCCTCAGTGCCTACCACAGCACCAGGCCCTGGTGGCACTCAGGAAATCATGTCTAGTGAAGGACTAAGGGAGTGAATAGGCCAGGGAGGGTTTCCCTTCCATGTGGCCCTCGTTTGCTCTTCCCACCGAGCCCCCACCAGCTTCTCCACAGAGCTGCGATGTGTCTTGGCTCTGTCAATAAGTTTCTGTTCTATGCTCAGTCTCCTGGAAATCCATGCGTATAACCTCCCAGTCCAAATATTAGCAATGCCCTGAGCCAAAATCAGCATATTCTTTGAGCCTCCAAGCTGGTGGAGAAGCAGACAGAACCGTTCAAGTACAAATGTGTCTGTGCAGCAGGGCCTCCACAAAGGGCACCCAGCCAGGGGGGCAGAGGGGCCTCAGCTGGGTCCTGAGGGGCACGTTCCCAGCCACAGGTGCTGACATCATCCTGGACTTGAGCCTGAAGCACCCTGAGGCACAAGCTGGACATTCTCTGGGATCCTGAGATTTGCCACAGGCCACACACCAGTGGGGGCTTCTCAGGGGAGGCCTCCCTGGGATGAAAGTCCCAACTGTCTCTTGACCTGAGAAAAGCAGGTGCTGCCCTTCTGTGTCCTGGCTGTCTTCTGGCCTTCATCCAGGACATTTCCAGCACCCCTTGGAATAGCGGCTAGGTGCCCCGTTCAGTAGATATTGGTTGAATTTCTTTTTTCTTTCTTTCTTTTTTTTTTTTTTGAGTTGGAGTCTCACTCTTGTTGCCCAGGCTGGAGTGCAGTGGCATGATCTCAGTTCACTGCAACCTCCACCTCCTGGATTCAAGCAATTCTCCTGCCTCAGCCTCCCGAGTAGCTGGGATTACAGGCGCCCGCCACCACACCCAGCTAATTTTTGTAATTTTTAGTAGAGACGGGGTCTTGCCATGTTGGCCGGGATGGTCTTGAACTCCTGACCTCAGCTCATCCGCCCGTCCCGGCCTCCTAAAGCACTGGGATTATAGGTGTGAGCCACTATGCCCAGCCTATTGGTTGAATATTTTTAACCAGATAACACTGGAGTGGAGAGGCTGAACGTGACGAGTGCTGGATTGCTCTGGGACTTATTAGTGAGGTCACCTGGACAAGTTACTGAACTCTCTCTGGGCCTCAGTTTCTTCCTGTAGGAACTGGAGGTAACAACGGCCTCCCCCTCTTGGGCTGTGTGAGGATTAGTTGATGTGAAATGATCAGAATGGCACCTGGCACGCAGAGGGGCCTTCCATGCCAGCACTCACTGTTGCCACCTCATTGGTGGTACCAGGTGGGTCCGTGATGGAGGATGGGAAGGGAAAGACCAAGGAGGCAGGAGGCCGTTCTCCTGGGGTTGGGTGTCTGTGGTCAACAGACAGAGGGGACCATACCCTCCTGCAGGCCCACGGGGCACTGGGGCATGACCCAGCAGCGCTCACTCCACACTGGAAGCCTCCCTCCCCTGGCAAGCGTTGCTCTGTGTGGCATCTGTGCTGTGCATCTGCAGGTGCCCTCTCGGTGCGCCGTGGCTGGGGGAGTGGAGGAGGGCATGGATCTCCAGCATTCCTCATCACCTCTTCCAGCTCCTGGAGATATTTACAATCAGCCCAGGGAGAAAAGTGCCACATGTCAGAAACCATGAGAACATAAAGCAGGGCTGACTGGCAGGAGGGTCTGAAGGGGCAGAGTGGGAGCTGGACAGGGCAGATTGGGCCCTCCCCTGTGCAGGGGCCTGTGCTGTGGGTCGTACATGCAGGCGTGGTCTCTGTTTTCAAGATGCCTGGTTTCCAGCTGTGGGTCCTGGTGCCCATGCTAGGAGCTGAAGGGAGACAGTGAGTGATGCAAGAGGCTCAGAGGAAAGGCCGGGGGCTTCCATCCAGGGCCTGGTGGATCCTCCTGCTGGGGGTGGGTGAGAGGGGCTTCAGGACCAGGGAAGCCACCCTGGAGGAGACAGCAGATCCCGGCTTCCACGGACAGGCGAGAGGACATAGCAGGAAAAAGGGCACATGTGGGCAGGAAGAGGGTTGACAACACCAATGGCCAGACCCCCTCTGTGCTGGGGGGATCTGTGCTGTGCTGCTGCCCATCACAGCAGCCTAGCAGAGATGGGATGCCATGAGGATGATACATCTTTTAGACAATGGACTACAAATATTGAAAATGAGGATTTTAATATCCCTCTTTTACAGACAGGGAAAGTGGAGGTCAGAGAGGTTAAGACCAAGGCCAAGCAGCCCACAGCCAATGGGGCCAGGCTGTGAACGCTGCCTGTCAACCCTAGGGCCCTCACACCCACTCCATAGGCAGCTTCCCACATGGGGCTGGCACATGCCACCTGGACACAGGGCTCCCTGCAGTCCCCACACCCCCCTACATTGGGGTCTGCAAGCACCAAGTGGAGGGCATGCTTTCCATTGGCTCTTAGAGACTGGCCCGTGGATGCGAGGGGCCCTTTGCAAACCTTTGATGGATTTGTATTTGAAACTGCAATGAACACCTTTCCCAGGTTGCCCTGCAAGATGCATTTTCAGAGCATAGATTAATGGCAGTGCCATTTAAGTGTTTTGAAAATGTTTTCTCCATTAATCTCAATCAGGAGCCGATTACTACCAATAAGGCTCATGAAGACAGCATGAGTTAGATGGAGTCTCAGGGCAAAAGAGCCCCAGGGCGAGGCAGCCCTCACAGCCCCAGGTGGGGGCCTGGCCCCGGGCCAAGCCTTCCTCAATGGTTTAGAAGCAGTGCACAGGGCCAGGCGTGGTGGCTCAGGCCTGTAAGCCCAGCACTTTGGGAGGCCGAGGCAGGTGGATCACCAGAGGTCAGGAGCTCGAGACTAGCCTGGCCAACATAGCGAAACCGCGTCTCTACTAAAACTACAAAATTAGCAGGGCTTGGTGGTGGGTGCCTGTAATCCCAGCTACTTGGGAGGCTGAGGCAGGAGAATCGCTTGAACCCGGAGGCAGAGGTTGCAGTGAGCCAAGATTGTGCCACTGCACTCCAGCCTGGGTGACAAGAGCAAAACTCCATCTCAAAAAAAAAAAAAAAAAAAAAGAACCAGCACACAGATAATGCCTGCTGCCTGCCTGTACCCAGCCTCCCCCCGCCGGGTGTCATTACCTCATTCTCTATTGTTCTACTTAGGTGAGATGCAACTACATATTCAATTTTATATCCTGCTTTTGTCAATGAACATGAATTCCACAAGGGTCAAACTGTGTAATCTCTCTGATCAGTTTTTCTTACCAATAAAATGCGCAACGACTTCCCTTGCTTACCTCCCAGGGCCATCACTGGGTCAGCTGTGATGAGCGAAGGAGGATGTCGTATGGCCGAGTGTTTGTGCTGTTAGGATTTTGCACCTGCTCTTTTTTCATTCATTCATTAGGCAAATAAATATTTAACATACCAGATGGAAAATAAAGCAAGGTACGGGGCGAGAGGACAGAGAGGGGAGGGACTCTGAATGCTGCTTACACCTTTATCAACCAGGCGGCCAACTCTTTGCCCAAATGTCACCTCTTTCTGGCTTTAGGGAGCACTGTGAGCTATTTGGAAGCCCTTGCCGTCTGCCCCAGCACCATGCGGCACCTTTCTTGGGGTGAGGTGCTTGGTGGGCACCTGATGGGGGCAGAAGGATAAGCCCACGTCAGCCTTCCTCTCACCACCGTCCCCACGTGGGCTCTGTGCTTGTGGCTGTCTTCTCTCGGGCATCTCTTTCCTACCTTCAGGGAGGCTGCCCCTCAGGTGCAGCCATTGCATACAGGCAGCTGCTTCTCTCTGGTACCAACATGGAGCATTTTGCAGTCATTTATCACATAAACATCAATAGACATTTTTTAAAAGAAACCAAATTAGAGGTCCTCCCCAACCCACTTCCTCTGCTCTACAAATTAAATTGCTTTGATTTTTCTTATTCTCTGCCAGATCTTGGAAATATCATTTTGTATTGCGTGTCACAGTGAGGGGCCTTTCATGAAGCAGCATTCCTGTTTTGGCCACGCTGGGAGGATGAGGGGGGGTGGGGGTGGGGGACAGCTAGGGATTTGCCTGCCTGAGAGGGGATCCACATGGTGACTCCCATCCCACTTGCTGCATGGGAGCAAACAGGGCAGCCACGTCCTGGCCTGAAACTAAGCCTGTTGGTGCAGCTGACACGTTGTAAGAAAGCAGGCCGCTGTGGATGGCACTTTCTCATGGGCTAAACCCTCTCCTTCCTTCCTCTCAGTCTCTGGCTACAGTTGAGTCATGCTCCAGGCTCCTGGGAGGTGAAAGGTGGCTTCAGAGACCCTGGAACGTGGCCCAAAGCTGTCATGTTGCAGCTCGGATAAGGTGAAATGGGTCCTTGGCCAAGTTCAACAGTCTGGGCCTGCAGTGGGGAAGCCATCCCTGTCCCTAAAAACCGCTCCACTCTGACATAAAGATAATAATGTGTGGGTTTGTCATGGTGGCGCTCATCCTCCCAGAACGCTGTCTTCTAGCCAGCAGTTGAGGGGACAAGAAGGGAGTGTCCCTGCATAGGGAGGGAGGGAGGCAGGATGGACTTGGCTTCACTTCCAGGGGGGCTCGGGGAATCCAATCTGTGCCCTTAGACCTGAGAGCACTGCTTATTTACTTTTGGGAGAACTTGAATGTATCTGAGAATTGGACCAAAGCTGAGAACCTAGTCCCCATAAACAAAGTGTACACCGGCTCACTATTCTCACGTTTGTAAGGTCTCAAAGAGCCCACAGACCCCAGGCCAAGAGGCCTTGATCCAGGACTGTGGGGAAGACTTCCTGCTCTGAGAAGAGGCTCAGAGAAGGTGCACTGCCCAAAGCTCAGGGAAGACAGAGCGAGGCTTGCAGGTGGCCCTTCCATGGTGCCCTGAGGAGAGGCCGCACAGTTCCCTGGGGGCCAGCGGGGCTCTTGGCATTATGGTCTGGGTGCTCAGGTGGCACCTAGACCCTGGGAAAGAGGCCCTGGCAGTCCCCTAGCCCATGTCAGTCATCCTCTGTGAATGGCGATGGGGGCAGGAAGGACAGTCCTCTAGGAGTTTGTCTGGGGTGGACGCTGCAAGGCCAGGGTCCTTCAGAGCAGCCTCCATGGCAGATAAAGGGAGAGTGTGAATGAGGCTGCCAGGTGGGAAGCTATGGGTCGGGGTGTCTAAAGAGCCAGGCACTTCTTGCTGTCAGAGGAGAGTCAGAGGGGGCAGGAGCAATCCCCCCTCCACCATACTGCCCCTTCTCTATGACTCAAAGACGTCAGGCATGGCTGCTACCCACCGAGAGCCCTTCTGGGACTGGCAGGGTCCATCCACCTCACTCTGTTGCTGAGACCAGCAAACAGGGAGCACCCCTTCCCACTTGCTCGCTTCCTAGACGAGGGGACTCCCAGTCTCCCTTTCACTTTGGGCCCTGGTCTCACTCTGTAGCCAGAGGGGCCCAGTTGTGACTCCAGCTTCCCCATCTTCTCCCTGCCCCCATAGCCACTGGGCCAGCCACTGAAGGCCAATGTTTGTGATTTCATTGATTCATGTACCTGCCCTGTGCCAGGCATGGGGCCAGGTGCTGAGAAAAGAGGCTGCAGTGACTGGCACTACACATGCTTGAGATCACAGGTGAGCTGCGGTCCTGGAAAAGGTGGCAGGGTAGGGGCCTCCTGGCATCTGCAGGGCTCCTCCCTCCTTCTGCTAGTCCCATCAGCCACCCCATCTCTAAACACTTCTGAGCAGATTACCTTTCCAGCCTGACTTTAACAGTTTAAAAAGGTGAGGGCACCTCCCCCAGACCTTGCTCTTTAACTATATCCAGGTGCCCAGGGCCAGAGAGAGCTGCACGGTCCGAAGCTCAGAGCATCCTCACTAGCATTTCTGTAGCCCCTCAGAGTCCTAGGGTGCCCTGCCTGGTGGGTGCATGGGGCCAGCAAGGGCAGGTGGTGTCAACTCCCATCCTGGCATCGGATATAGGACCAGCGGTAGTGATCTCCCCCAAAAAACTGCCTACCTGGGTTTCCAACTTGCAGCCCATTATCTATTAATACTAAATAACTGCATCGATTCGATTGATACTACTTGTTAGATCAAGCGGAGGGCCCTGGCCAGGGCTGAGCAAGGCCTGATTTACATGGAGATCGTTTAAAAGATTAACTTTAGTGAAAGCTTCGAGGTTTGGCAAATCCATAATTAATCAGCCTGGCTCAGAGCTTCTGTGATTGGGGGCTGATGGCGACTGTGCAAAAAAGCAGGGGTTGGGGCGGGGGAAAGGTGGAGAAAACTTCGCTCACCGCATTTGGGCAGGAGAAATCTGAGATTCAGAGACGTGGGAGTTCCGAATGAGATCATTTTTGTGCCTGGTTGCAGCATATTAGCTTGCACGTGACTTAAAAATAATGGCTTTCGTAGAATTGCAAAATTAGAGTTAAAAAGACCTGAACGGCTGTCCTCCTGGGAGTCAGGTTGAGATGAAATTTGGTCCTTAAATCTGGCCTGTGTTTTTAGTAATTTATCAGGCCACCAGCAAGGCCTTTTTGCTCAGCGGTGGCGTTCAGAATCGTGTTTTCCTTACTCAACATTCCCAGGTGTCGTCCCCTCTTAAGCTGTCCTAGATGAATCTTCCAGAAGCAGGGCAGCCGACTTAGAGGCCTGAAGAGGTGGCATCCATCCTCAAGGACAAGCGAGGCCTCCAGCAGGTGGGGGACAGGAGGTGTCTGAGCCGAGAAGAGCTGTTTATTACAACCCTGAAAATGAGCTTGGCCATCTTTGATAAAAAATTAATGCTGCGATGACATCAACCTTTTGACCGCTTCCTAAGTGGCCCACAAATGTCAGAAAAGCTCCGTTCCTATTTGTACATTGTGAATTCCAGCACATTTAGTCACTAATCTTAAGAGATTAATGCTTAGCTATTTGGGCTGCAGGAGCACAAATGTAATATTTATAAGTAGATTGCGAGTGATCCAAACTCAGTATTTCTACGGCAATGGGTTCAAAAAGACCTCCTCAGACACCACTGATTGTCACTCCTGCCAGCATATCCAAGCTGCAGGAAGCTCTGCAGAGTCTAAATTGGAATGTGAAGATTTAGTACGGGGCTACACAATAATTTGCTATAAGCTGTATAAATAGTATTTTATTTGGGAATTCATTGAAAGGAAGTGTCGAAGGTCAAATCCTTCCCAGCAGTGAGTGCATACGTATTTAATTTTCAATCTCTAGTCTCTTTTATAATCCTGAGTGGCTTGGCTTCAGAAATATTTTTAGCAATGGGAAATTAAATGTCAATTTGAGAAAGCTCTCCCCTGGGATGGGCTGTCCTCTCCCTCTGCACACATTCTGCCGCCCAGGGACGAGGCGCAATCCCAGCTGGTCCTCTGGGGGAGAGTGGGTTACCCCTGAGCACTCAGCCCCTCAGACATTGCAGGTCCTCTAGGGTGAGCCTTGAGGTACAGGGAGCTCTGGGTTCCAGAATATTCTCAGGGCCCCTTGCGACTCATCCTTTCCTTTCTAGGGTACCCTCTTTGGGGATTACAGAAATGAGCTCCAAACTACAGAGCAGACCTGGCAAGGGAGGCTCCAGGACGTGCTGCTGCCACGGGAGGGAAGCAGGAAGCAGGCAGCACTGGAGTCGGCGTCCGTGGGAAACACTGTGTCTCTGGGAAGCACTGTGTGTCTGAAAGGTTCTGGCCAGCACGCAGAAGTGCTATCTGGAGGGAGGGTGGGGGCAGGAAGTCCACGGGCAACCATCAGACTCTGGAGAGCTATGGAGACGTTGGTACTGTTGGGAAGCACAGCCTGGGGCAGGGAAAGTTGTCTCTTGCACACTGGAAGGCGAATTTCTAGAGGGGAAGACCTCGTCGGGCGAATGCACTGTTCCATTGCCAGCACCTAGACCAGTGCCCAGGGTGTAGGAGGCGCTCACTGAGTATCTGTTGTATGAATGGGATCTTTGGGGTGGGGGCTCTGAAGGAAGGGAGGAGATGGAGGCACACCTTGCTGCCTCTAGGATTTTACCGAGGGCCGATCACCACATCAGGGATTGTGTGGCTCTCATGACCCTGCCCTGCTCAGTTGCCTCTGGTGGCTTCCCGGAGCACATAGAGTCAAGTCCAGATGCCTTCCCGCATAGGTGATAGGTCAGGGCTCTGCAGTGGAGGCCCAGCACTGCCTCCCAGCAGCGTCCCTACCACATCCTCCCCTGAGTCCTATTCTAAAGTCATCCAGAGCACCTGGCTCTTCCTCTGACCCCCCACACTGTCCTCTCCACTAGGATGACATCCCCTCTCCCTCATCCATCACTCCTTCAAAGCCATGACTGCCCCACCCCACCACCCCTGTGCCTAATCAGAGTGATTCCCTGAGTGCCACGTCTTGTATTGCGTGGCCTTTGCATATTGGTTTCGGAGCTGGTTGTCTGTGTGCGTCTGATTCCTGCAGCTAGCACCGGTGCCTGGCACCACTGTAAGGGCTCAGTGGGTGTTTATTATTAAATGTTATTTTCTCTGGTCTGCTGGCAGCGATGGCAGAAGTCATCTTAGCAGATGGTTATTGCATACAAGCCACAGGCTGAACGAAATACCCAGCACCTCTAATGGACGCCTCTAATGGAGAAGTTTCCTCCCCATCTTGAGATTTCTTGGAGTGCTTTCTGCTTCCACGAAATGCTCTTCCATTTGAGAGTGTTGTCAGAATTTGGGAGCCATAATGACCTGGGTTGCGATTAGAGCCCCACCACCTACAGGGTGTATGTCCTTGAGTGAGTTCCTAACCTCTCTGAGCATCCGTTTCCATACTGGATACACAATTGGATACACGTACCTCATATGGTGGTTGCGAGGTTGAAATGTAATGATTTATGTCAAGCCCTTAGCATAGTGCACGGCATATTTTAAGTGTTCAACACATGGAAACTATTCGCATGGTGATGATGGTGATGAGGATGGAGATAATGATGGGCATAATGGTGGTGATGATGATGGTGATAACTATGGTGATCATGATGGTGGTGATGATTATATCAATGATGGTGATTATGGTGGTGATGGTGATGATGACAGTGATAATACGGGTGATGATGATGGTGATGATGGTGGTAATGGTGGTACTGAAGGTGATGGTGATGATGGTGATGATGATGACAGTGATAATATGGATGATGATGATGGTGATGCTGGTGGCAGTGGTGAATGGTGATGCTGATGGTGGTGATGGTGATAATGATGATGATGGTGATGACAGTGCTGATAATATGGATGATGATGAAAGTGATGATGGTATGTTAGTTCTCACATTGCTGTAAAGAGATACTTGAGACTGGGTAATTTATAAAGAAAAGAGGTTTAATTGGCTCACATTTCTGCATGCTGTACAGGAAGCATAGTGGCTTCTGGGGAGGCCTCAGGAAACTTTCAATCATGGCAGAAGGCAAAGGGGAAGCAGGCACATCTTACATGGCTGGAGCAGGAGGAAAAGAGAGTGGGGGAGGTGCTACACACTTTTAAACAACCAGATCTAGTAAGAATTCACTGTCACCACGACAGCACCAAGGGGAATGGTGTTAATCATGAGAAACCACCCCTATGATCCGATCACCTCCCACCAGGCCCTACCTCCAGCATTGGGGATTACATTTCAACATGAAATTTGGGTAGGGACATAGATCCAAAGGTGGCAAATCTGCTGCTACTGCTGCTGCTGATGGGGATGTTGATGACAATGATGGCAATGATGGGGATGATGGTGGAGGTGATGGTGATGATGACGATGGCAGTGGTGATGACGGTGATAACATGGATGATGGTGATTATGGTGGTGATGATGATGATGGTGGTGAATCTGCTGCTGATGATGATGGGGATGATGATGACGAGGATGATGGAGATGTTGGTAGAGGTGCTGCTGCTGCTGATGGCAGTGGTGATGACAGCAATCACATGGATGATGGTGATTATGATGGTGATGGTGACCATGGTGGTGAATCTGCTGCTGCTGCTCATCAGGAGGATGATGATGATGGTGGAGGTGACAGTGATAATAACGATGGTGATGGTGATGACAGCGATAACATGGATGATGGTGATTTTGGTGGTGGTGATGATGATGGTGGTGAACCTGCTGCCGATGATGATGATGGGTATGAGGATGACGATGATGGGGATGATGGTGGAGGTGATGGTGACAGGGATCTTGATATGTTTCTACCATTTTGAGGCTCCATGAGGATCCATGGCTTCAGGTCTTGGCAAGCCTCTCTGTTACCTGACCAGGGCCGGGACATAGAATAACCTGCCCCTTCCCTCTCATTCTCTGCATGTTCACCCACAGGGAAGCCTGCTGGAGAGGCCTCTATTTCTGCCCTGTGGGCCAGTAAAGGCACCAAGTAAAATCTTTGCTAAATCCCTGCACTTCCAAGGCTCGCCATCTGTTTCCTATTAGAGTCTCATGCATCCCTTTGACATATTTTTATTGTCAGGTTAGAAGAAAATATTCCACTCATTTGCAACATTCTCATTATATTCCCTTTATAACAATTTCTAAAAGAGAATAAATATAAAATATTTCTCTGTATTGTGGAGATATTTCAGCCTGACTTTAATATGCTGCATAGTTTTCCAACTCACAATTCTTCTAACCTTGTGATGACAGTTAAGAAATCTTCAGGCTGGGGAAAACATGTGGATCAATGAGTTAGTGGAAGTGCAGGACACTTTATGAGGACTCAGGGAGAGCGGCTTTCTGCCGACTCAGAGATGCCTTCTCAGCCTTTTGAGAATAAACTGTTCCAACAGTCCCAAAGTCTCTTTCCCTTGGGCCATTTCTAAGAACTCAGAGATGTCTCCTTTGAGATCGATCAGCAGCTGGGTCCTCAAGGAGCCTGGCCAGGAAGCTTGGTTTGAAAGGGCAAAAGTGGAAACCCTTGTCCACAGCCTCTGAGTAAGCCTGGCTGCTCCAGGTGGCAGTCACGACTGACCCTACCCCAGAGGACCCAGTCAAAGGGCATCCAGATTTCTCATTTCCACCCGGGAGTACAGGTCCTACTGTGCCTTCAGCCCCAGGCTTGTGGCTGCCCCAGGTCCCTGATCGCTGGGAAGAGCGTCCTGCCATAGACTCAGCTCCACACTGGGCAGCCCCACTTGGCAGATCGAAGAAGGCAGCATTCCCAACTGCCCTCCCGAATGGACGGCCACTTTGGGGTGGGCGCCAGGCAGTTAAGCCTGCTGGTGGCCTCTACTTCCTCCTGCCGTGGCGCCGCTCAAGCATACCCCAGCCCATCTGCAGATCAGGTCCCCTTAGGTGAATTCCTGCCCCTGCTCCCTTGCCAAGTGTCTCCCACTCCCAGTAAGCCCTTCCTTCAAACTGCCTCTTCCCTGCAGATCTTTGAGACCAACTCTCTAAGGCTTTTCTGATGCCTAAGCCCCTGGAGACCACCCTTACCTCCTCCTGCCCCATCCCCAAGCTCCCAAAGTCCTATGTCATCTGTGCAGAGGCCCTTTGCACATGCAGCATGGGAGCCACTCATCCTACCAGACTCTAGGACCCCCGAAGGCAGCGACTGTAATGCTGGTGCCAGGGGAACAACCTGGGCCCTGAGCCAGGCAGAGGCAACCCTGGTCCCCAAGAAGCCTGCAGTCAGTTCTGGAGAACAAGACATAAACCTGGGAAGATGATCGAACAACGCTGACAAAGTGGACTAGAAACAAGGCTGACCAGCGCAGAGCCCAGGGGCCCTGGGAAGAGCCGGAGCTGTGAGAACCGCTGTTGGCTGTGGGTATGCTAGGTGCCAGGAGCATCCGTATTCTCTTTTAAGCCTCACCCAGCCTTGTGAGCTAAACATAACATCCCTATTCCACAGACCCAGAAACAGGCCCAGAGAGGGAAAGTGACCTCCCCAAGGTCACACAGCCGGAAAGTACTGAAGTCAGGTTTTGAATTCAGGTCTAACTATAAATTGGTGTCCCAGGGAGTTCAATCCAGGAGGCCTTTCTGTGGGTGTTTAACATAATTTAGAGGATCTGAGGGAATGGGAGGAGCATGTTCCGGTAGCGGCCAGGGAATTGAGGCACAGAGACCATTCTATGCAGCAGAAGACAAGTGAGAGGTGGCTGCGTGGCATGAGAAGTCAGGGCTGTCTGGGAGAGGAAGCATCCTGGTGGGGTCACCACGGGGCCAGGATGCTGAGGGGCCAGGGCCAGTGCTCTGCCTCCGTCCGGGCCTCAGCCCACCTCTGGTGCTGGGGTGGTCCGTCCTGAGCAAGCCTTGGGAAGGGAATCTGGCTGCTCCCCACACAGCAGCTGCCTTTCTGTTGTCTGAGCTCCACTCAGTTGAACAAAATTTGCCGTCCCCCTTGTGGCCCTGCATCTCCTGTTATCTCTATTCAGGGCCCTTCTGCCTTTCAGCTTCACCAGGAGAGGATTATTTACGGCCTTGTTTATTTCGCTCTCTGCAGGCAATGCCCAGGCTGAGGAGACAAGTAGCAGTGGGCAGCCTGCAGCCAGGGCCCAGCCAGCACCTGCCTTTCTTCGTGCATAGGTTCTGCACCGGGGCCAGCCCCAGAGGGATCTCCAGACCCGACAGACCCCCAGCCTTGGTGAAATCACCTCCTCAGAAGGAAGCAGGCAGCCTCCCTCTGACCACCGGGTATGCCGGCCCCCAGTCCCCATGGCTGAAGGGTACTTGGTCCCTGTGGCCTTATTCAATAGAGCCAGGTTGCCTGCCTCCTGCTCATGGAGGTCCCTGAGGGAGGAATTGCCCAGGAAATAGGCCAGCCTAAGGCTTGTGGCTGCCCTAGCAGGCTGGTGTTGGGTGTCAGAGAAGGAGGCAGGGCAGAAGGAAGGGCTGTGCTGCCTGCATCCTCCACCTGGGCATCTCTATCTAAGCCTCCAGCAACCTGAGCAACCTCCTTGGTGGCCACAGCTGTGTGACTCCCTCCTTTCCATTCCTCTGCAGCCCTTCAGATGGGACTGTGGCAGCTGGGAGCTTCTGAAAGCCACGGCCTGTGTGATTCCCACTCCTGGCCAGGCCCAGCCTTTGCCTTTGAGGCTCCCAAGGACCACCTAGCAGTTTCTTGCTGCAGGGCCCCTCCAGGTACCCACTTCTCAGGGAGGGGCCAGGTCCAATGGCAAGGTGAAGCCACTACTACCTCACCAACGGAGAAAAAAGGACGAGCCAATTGATGTACGTGAGCACCTGGAGGAACCCCCAGAGAACACTGCTGAGCAAAACAAGCCAATCCCAGAAGGCCACATACTGCACGGTTCCATTTAGATAATATCATTGAAATGACAGAATTATAGAAATAGAGAGCAGATTAGTGGCCGCCAGTGGTTAAGAAGGAGTTGGGCTGGGAGGGAAGTGGGTGTGGCTGAAAAGGGTAGAAGGAAGGGCCCTTGTGATGGAAGATTCCGTTTCCTGACTGTCCTGGTATCAACATCTGGGATGTACAGGAAAGGGAGACTCATGGGGCCAGGACAGCAGTAGCCCCAGCCTCAGCCCCACAAGCCAGCAGCACAGGATCAGCCCTCCTCATTCAATGCAAGGGGAGGGGGCCCTGGTGGACGGGGAAGCATTAAGCCTATTGCCTGGACCTTGGGCTTCACTGCTGCCTGCTTCGCCCTGTCCCCTGTCCCTCCCCCACATCCCTTCCACCTCCTGGAGAGTCCCTCCCCCACATCCCTTCCTCCTCCTGGAGAGTCCCTCCCCAAGCATCCATGCCTCCCAGCTCTCTCTCTTTTACTTTCCAAACTTGCTCTCAGAAAGGAGGAGGCTGGCCCTCTGCTGCTCTGAGCATTTGCAGAACTCTCTGCTCTTTCCCAAGGGATCAGCTCATGAAGGCAACCATATCCTCACCCTGTGCAAAAAATTGCAGGATACAGGAGCCACGGGGAGCATGGCAGTAAGGACAGCTCCCTCAGCCCCGAACACTGCACAGACGCTGGCCTTCTCCATCTCGCCAGGGCAGACACTGTCTGTGTGACATACTCCCCATAGGGTGGCTAGGCAGTGATGGGTTGGCCACCCCTGGGGCTTAGGAGGAAAGCACCATTCATTCATTCATTCATTCATTCATTCAGATTCAGCAAATCCCCACTGAGTCCCCCGCTACCTTCTAGGACCTGCCCTAGGTACTGGGTTCTCTAAAATGAGTCTGACATCATCAGACATTGGCTTGAGCCTTAGTCTGTTTGTGCTCCTGTAACAGAGTGTCTGAGATTGGGTAACTTAGAACAGAAATTTATTTCCCATCAATGGTTCTGGAGGCTGGGAAGTCCAAAGCCAAGGTGCCAGCATCTTACCTAGTGAGGGCCTTCTTGCTCTGTCCCCGAGTGGTGGACAGTAGTGGGGAGGGGAGCCGGGCATGGTGGCTCACGCCTGTAATCTCAGCACTCTGGGAGACCGAGGCAGGCTGATCGCTTAAGCTCAGGAGTTTGAGACCAACCTGGGCAACATGGCAAAATCCTGTCTCTACAAAAAAAAAAAAAAAAATACAGAAATTAGCCAAGCATGGTGGCACATGCCTATAGTCCTACCTACTGGGTAGGCTGAGGTAAAAGGATCACCTGAGCCCAGGAGGTTGAGGCTGCAGTGAGCTGAGATCCCACCACTGCACTCCAGCCTGGGTGACAGCAAAACCCTGTCTCAAAACAAGAAAAAAGAAAAAAAAGAAGGCAGAGGGCATGCTAGCTGAATGCTGCCTGAAGCCTTTTTTATAAGGGCCTGAATCCCATTTTGGCAGGAGGAGCTCTCATGGCTTTCTCACCTCTTACAGACCCCACCTCTTAAAACAATCACATTGGCAACAGCTGCATTTTGGAGGGGGTGCATTCAAACCACAGCAGTTTGCCTAGACCTGCTGAGCTCACAGTCCAGTGGGGAGATCAGGCCCCAGGCTGCCTTTATTCTCACTGTCTCAGGCATGAACTCAGGCCAGAATCCCATCATTCTAAAGCCCAGAATCCCAGAACTCCAGAATTCCAAGTTTGGGACTCCTGTACCTCTCCCTGTGGGATCCCTGCCCTAGGCTGGGTTCTTGCTCTGCTGCTATTCCTGTTTTGAAACAGAACCTTCCGGTTTGTTGAGGGTTGGGTCATCATCCCCTCTGTTACCCTGAAGAGAGCAACCGGCAGTGGGCTCTTCAGGGTTCTCAGCCTGGTTCACTGTGGTGGCAGTGGAGCGCAGTCCCCATGCTTGGGGAAAGTCCCCCAGCTTTGGCGGAATCAGCGCCTCAGAAAGAACCAGGCAGCCTCCTTCTGACCAGGCAAGGGCTGGCCGCCGTTCTCATGGCTGAAGGGTACTCAGTTCCTATAGCCCGATCATGGCATTGTCACGGTGGCACAGGGGCCCGCCTATCTGAAGTCAGGGCAATCCACGCAGAGAGCCCTCCTCATGGCCCGGCTCAGGGAGCCACCCTCCCATTCCTGCACCCTTGCCTTCTGGCAGGGCTTGCATGCCTCCGAGCTCACAGCATGACCCAGGGGCCTGGCTGTGCTGCACCCTGGGGAAGATACTGTCTTAGGTACAAGAGGCACCTCAGGAGCAGAGGAGGGAGCTGGGAAGCTCCCCATGCCACCACCCTGAGCTTGCAGCAGAGAACCAGCCCAATTTGCAAGCAGGAGCGGGAGGCTCTGGGCTTTCTTAGAACATTATTTATCAGGTAGACTCTCAGCCTCATGGCAGCTCGAGCCACAGCCTGATATGAATATTGATTGGAAAAAATGTCTCTCCCCTCGTCCCCCAGGCCCGGGGCTGCCAGGGAGCTCTCCAAGCAGTCTGGGAGGCGAGAGGGAGCCGGGCATGGGGAGAAGAGGCTCATGGGAAGAGAGTGTGTTTGAAGCTGGGAGATGCCCTGCGTGCCGCAGGCCCCTGTCCTCAGGAGCAGATGAAGCCCTGGCTTCCGGGCTGGTTCCAGCATGGGATTGTTCAGGATTGTTCAGGGAGGGGGCCTGGGAGGGAAAAGGGGAAGAGTGACGCCCCAGTTCCAGGCAGCAGACTTAATGCTAGGCTTGGAGGGGTGCTTCTGTCCTAGCACTAAGCACCTGGAGGGGTGCTCCCAGCTTCCTGCAGCATCTAAAGCTCTGTCTTGTGGGCCCGGCAGAGCCTCTGGGCCGCCCTCTGCCTGCAGACCACAGGGCCCCAGGGAACCTGAGGTGGGAGGAGCAGGGTGAGGTCGGTAAGGGGTCCCTCCTTGCCAGGGCCTGGTCCCTCCTCCCAGCTCCCCAGCTCTAGAGGTACTAGAGCAGTTGAAGGCTGGTTCCTGGACTTGCCCTTCCCGGGCCTGTGGCATCTGAAAGGGTTATTACTTCCAGGGTCATTTTGTTTAGTTTCTGTCTCTTATTAACTTGTAGTCCCTCGCCTCTGTACCCTGGGAACGGCAGTGGGGCTGGGGTCCCAGCGGGGCGGATGCAGAGGTAGAATGCAGGCTGTGGCTGGGAGCTGAGGGCCCTGCAATCTGGGTGTGGGATGTAAAGAGGTAACTGAGGCTGGAGGTTGTGGGTGCCGGGTACCAAAGTGGGGCACATTCTGAGCTGTGGGCAAAGCCTGCACGTTGGGGGGAATGGCAGGGCACAGCGGCATTGCAGGAGGATCTAAGTCCCCCATGTCTCAGCCCCTCTGGGGCACAGCTGGCAGGCTTGGCCAGGTGGGACAGGAGCAGAAAGGGGAAACTGACAGCCGCAGGCAAGCAGAGGAGGCCGCAGAGGAAGAGGAGGGAGGCCCAGCAGAGGCCCTTCCCAGCCCTATCCTCCCCGGATGCCTGGATGCCGGAGGCAGGTCTCCGGTGTCCAACCAGCAGCCTGGCCCCTCTTTAGCCTCCAGGCCTGGAAAGCGGATCATCCTCCTAAGGGGACAGATGAGCCTAAAAGCACCACAGCCTGGGGGCTTAAGCCACAGGGATCCATCCTGCCACCCTGGAGGCTGCACGTCCATTCCTCCTGAGGGCGGTGAGGAAAACCCTGTTCGGGGCCTCTCTTGCCTTCTAATGCTTTGCTTGGTGTCCCTGGGCTGGGAGAAGCCTCATCTGAGCTCTGCCCTCATGTTTACTTGGCATTCTACCTGTGTTCGTGTCTGTGCCCACACTCCCTGCCGTGTAAGGACACCAGTCATGCTGAATCAGGGCCCACCGACTCATCTGAACTCCTTACATCTGCAGAGACTTTCCAAATTAGGCCACATTCTGAGGTCCTGGGGGCTAGGACTTCAACGTATGAATTTTGGGAGACAACATTCAATCCATAACCGGGGGCCTCTGACTTTTAAGGGAAGAGACCCCTCCCCTGGGAAACCTCAGATTCTGGGTCTGTAGAAGCCTGCAGCTTGGTGGGTTGGAGGGCCTGACACAGGGTGCTGCCTCCCCAGCTGGCCCTGTGGGGTAAGTCCCGGGCCAGCAGGCGCATTCACTCATTCAGCGAGTACGACCGGCTCCTACACGGTCGGGCGGTGTGTCCAGCACATGGGTGAAGCAGGCCGCACGACAGCCAAGGTTTTACCACCTGGGTCTTGCTTTCTGGGAAGAAGCCAGAGGACAAACAGGTCAACAAATATAAAAAATCATCTCAAGTGGGGATGAGAGCTAAGAATGAAGTCACGTGACGGGAAATCACAGAGGGCCTTGCTGAGAGTGGGACGTTTGAGCAGAATCTGAAGGAGAGGGGCTTTGAGGAACCCAAGAAGAACACCTCAGGAGTAGGGGTGTAGAGGCGGAGGCAGAGGCAGAAGGCAGGGCTGGGTGGTGTTGGGGGAATCAGAGATGCCAGCTCTCACCCCAGCTGCGGCCCATAGGGCTGCCACCTCCAGGCAGCTGGGCAGGGCCTGGGTAGGTCAGAGGTCTTGAGACTGGGGTGAGGGGCAAGACGCACTGTCCGAGCGGCAGGTTTGCGGGGGTGGAGCATGGTGGAGAAGGACTCTGTTCTAGGGAAAACCCAGATACAGCTTTCTTTGGAGTCTTTTAAATCCTTTGAGAAGAAGCCAAAGTGATGAGTGAGCCAGGGTGGCCGGGAACAAGGGGAAGTTGTGACTTTGAGCTGGTCTCGGTCACTCGGGGCAACCATGGCTGGAGAGACTGGGATCCCCCAAGGGCCTGGGCTCAGCCAGGAATCTCTATCCTCACCCTGAGGGCATCCCAGGGTCCCCATCATCCACCACTGGCCCCTGTGTCCAGGCAGGAGGGGTCAACTGTACCCAGAGCCGTGGGAGGCCCCTGGCTTCCAGTTTCCCTCCTTCCTGTGGCTGCAATGCAGCTGTGGCCCCAACATCTGTCTCCTCCGAGGGGCAAGGGCAGGTGGAAGCAGGCAGAGGGGGTCCCGCACACAGGAATCAGACAGGTTTTAGAACTCAAAGGGCCTCGAGGGTCCTGGTGGAGCAGAAAGAGCATGGCCTGTGGAGCCCGGAAGGCCTGACCTGCTGTTACTGAGCAGGGTTGGACAGGAAGAAAAGTCCTGGCCACTCTCAGCCTCAGCTTCCTCATCTGTAAAACCCAGTGTCCACCTCCATATCATAGTGAGACAGTGAGGATGGAATGACCATCTCTGAGAGTCCTGGGTGCGGTGCCTGCACAGAGAGGTGTCACGGAGCCGCCTCTCATCACACCAGGGCCAGAGTGAGCAGGGCTCGTGCTGGCTCTGAGAGGGAAGGCCACCACAAAGAGGGGCAGCTTCTGGCTGCAGGCAGGTGGTCGGTGGGGGGCTGCAGGCCCAGAGCTGCGTCCTCCCAGGGCCGAGGGCCCCTCCAGGCCCTGCTGCTCCCAGGTGGGGTCTGCGGTCCTGGGTCGGGCCCGCCCTTGCTGACTGGACACAGGTGGGACAGGCTCCCCATTTCTGTCATACTGCTTTCTGCCTGGGTCCATGCTGCCACTGACCCCTCCTAGGTGGGGGATCTGTGTCCCCTGGACCACACTGAGCCATCGTTGGCTGCGACTCTGATGTTCTTCGTTGTCTGGAATCGAGCCCCTCCCTGAGACTGTGCAGTGAATGAGCCCCCTGCCCCTGCACCACCCAGGTCAGGCCGAGTGGACACTACCCTGAAGCACGTCTCCCGGTCCAGCCCCCACTCCTGCCTCACTGCGACTCTGCCACCTGATGCCTCCATGGAGGGTCGATTCACCTGCCTGAGTCTGTGTGGGACCCACCACCCATGCAGGACCAGGGCTCCCCACTGAGGACCCTCTGAGCTACTGGTTAACAGGCTCAAGCCTGCGCATGGTACGGCCACCGTCCTACATAGGTCCTGGGATCCAGCCTCCAGAGTGCAGGCCCATAGGCCAGACACCACCTGGGCAGCTTCTCATTCAGGACTGCCCCACTGTGATGATGGGGAGGAACGGAAGTGTGCAGGCCTCTAGGGTGCAGGTCTCTGAGCTCCCCAGGTGCAGATGAAGGGGTGAAGGGAGGGAGAGTGCCGAGCCCAGCCTCCCAGGAGGCAAAGCCTGGGTATCTGAGGCTGTCCAAGGTGCGGAGTGTCGGAGTCACGTGAGCTGCATCTCCAACCTTGGCTTCCTCATTTGCAAAATGAAGAGGCCCCAGTGAGCTCGGAGATCCCTTCACAGAATCATCGCTAGAATTCCGTGAGGCTTTGTTGAGGCCCAGCAGGCCTGTCTCAGTGGCAAGGGAGGCAGGTGGCTCCTGGAACGCAGGCAGCACTGGGCGGGTACCCGCACTGGGCATCCCATGTGCCCCACATCTCTGGCACATTAGCCCATGGCTCAGGTGGCACTGGCCCCGTGGCATAGGCGAGAGGGCAGGCTAGGGACTGCTCCTACCAGTGTGTCTTGGGCTCTGTGCCCACTACCTGGTGGGGAGAGGTGTCCACTTTGTCCACTTCATGGCATGGGAGCCGATGCGGCTTCAATCCTGACTCCGCAGCTGCCTCCTGACCAGTCAGCAATCGGGAGCCCCGACCTCTTCCCTCTCCATCCTCACTGCAGCCTGGGCAGGCCGGAGGCCAATGTCCCCAGGGCAGAGCTGGGACAGTCCCAGTGGGAAGGAGGCCTGGCCGGGCCAGACAGCAGCCTGGGAAGGAGCCGTGTGTTGCCTGGGAGTTCCACGGCACCGGCTGAACCTGCATCTTGAAGGTTTGATTGATTGCGTCGTTCAGAGTGAATATATTTTTTAATAATCGGTTTCCAAAATTAGTCTTTCTCTGTGTAGCAGCTATCACAAACAGCATGAGACGCACTCCTTTTATTTTTTTTTTACCTGCCAGAGGCAGATATTTGTTTTTCCTTCAAGAGAGCAGCAGGTGAAGGTGTGGTCCCCGGATCCCAGCACCTGGAAGCTGCGGTCTGGTCCTGCCTGCTTGGAGCCTGTGGGCCGAGAAAGACAGGGGCAGAGGCAGCCTGACCAAACCTCCTCTTGCTCCCACTCTCCGTGGCTTGCGGGCCAAGCGACATCAGCTCTGCACCCCTCGGTTTCCTTAGCCGATGGCGATGGTTTGATTACTTCATCACACTGTTTTGGGATTAAGACAGGACAAGCTTAGTGCACACATTATAGCTGCTCAGTGCCCATTCAGTAACTGGTAGCTTGGTCCTCCTACCTCGTGCCCTTGCGGTAGCTCTGGGAAGCCAACTCTGTCTCCATTTGACTGGTCCTACAGGTGCGGGTTTTAAACCCTACGTCACCCACATCTCCTTTTGGACATCACAAAACTCCTGAGGTGCCCAGCCCACTTACCCCCAAGTGCTCACCTTCTGTGAGCTCCTGAGCTTCTTCACCAGCTGAGATTTTTCCTTGTGGAGTTTTCTACTTCTGTTGTTTGTAATTCAAACTAATAAGTTCTTCCTGCATTTGAAAAATGAAAACATGGTGTAATATTGAATGTTGCTGTTCAAACTGCTCCCCACACCCAGCATTTTGCAATGTCCCCCAGGGGCACACACCCTTGATGCTTGACTGAAAAACTACCATACCAGTGACTGTCTGTATCTCATTGGCCTGAGAAATTAAAAGCTGCTACTGTGTTACATTAAGTGTCTGCTGTACGCACCGCCCTGGGCTGGGCCAGTCCTGGGGGATAAAGAACAGTATCAGAAAGATACTCAGACAGAGCTGTCTCTGTGGTGGAGGAGATGAGAGCTAAGAGAAGTGAAAATGCAGAGCCGAGGCCAGGCCATCCCGCAGTGTCCACTGGTGCAGGGGTGGGCTGCGGGTCGCGAGCCACGGGAGCTTGCAAAAGGGAAGGGCATGGCTTGAAGTCAGCTTCCCGGAAGAGGAAGAGGCGGTCCTTGGCTGATGGCAGAATTTGCATGGGCTGATAGGAAGGGACGGCTTCAAGGTTGAGTTGGCTAACAACTCGAGCCAAGGCCCAGAGGTGGGGATGAGTTTGCTGCCAAAGGGGACGGCTGGCAGGAAGCTACTCAGTGTGCTTGTTCGTCTCGCTCATTAATTGGGCACAAAGAGCAGCAAATCCCATCCCCATCCCGAGGCCCTGCAGCATGGTAGGATCATGCCCACTTCTCCCTGCTCTTAGACCAACGTGGGTTCTGCCTCCCCTGCCCAAAGCGTAGGCGCAGACTCTGGGTGGAATCAAGGTGCAAAGGAGGCCTCGATTCCGGCGGTTTCAGAGGGCTGCTCCCTGCGTAAGTCATCCACCCATCCTCTTGTTACCCCACCTCTGGCTTCTGGGGGCCCCAGGACTTCCCCAGCGCTGTCCTCAGCCCTGAAACCTCCATGGGGTTTCCATGGAGAAGTGCTGACAATTTTGTTTCTACTCTCCCAGTTCTTCCTGAAATTCATCTGCATCAAAGTGAGATCCCTTATGCTCAGCGCTCAGCAAGGCTGTGGTGATTAAGCACTTAAATTGATTAATCAAATTTCCTGTGATGAGAACTACTGTCATTCATTAATCTGAGCGGGATTATAAATAAGAGATGGCAGATACAGGAGACAACCGTGTTGACAGATGGACACGGTGGCCTGAATCACAAGTAGGTGCCTGCTTCCTGGGGGCTTTCGCTGTGGGCAGCTGGGGACGGAGCTTCCCTAAAGACAAAATTATTCGGAGATTGAAGTATCCCCATTTTAATAACGAAATATGCATAGATGAGCAGGCAGCCGGTACAGGGAGCACGTAGGTTCGCATACCAATGGCCCGGTTGTATTCATGGAGGTGGTAGCAGCAGCTCCAAGAGATAAAGAATCTGCTAGAAAAAGAGGCCAAAGCAAAGTGGCACACGGGTTGAGAATATGGGTTTGAGGGTCAGAGCAGCCCTGGGTGCAAATCCTGCCTCCATGGTTTACTCAACGCGTGACTTGGCTGAGGTTCTCAATCTCCCAGAGCCTCCATTCCCTCACTGGCAAAATGCGGATGCTGATAATCCTGATTCCACTGGGTTGTTGTTAAGAGTAAATGAGACAATATCTATGAGGCACTTTTTATCTAGTTTACAAACATTTATTGAGCACCTACTGTATGTCAGTACTGTGCTGGTATTTAGAGATTGGCAAGGAATAAAGCAAGCATGGTCCCTGCCCCCAGAGCTGGTGTTCTTATGGAGAAGGCAGACACTGAGACTCAAGGGCTATGACACAGTGCTACTGCCCTGGCCTTCCCAGATGCCACATTCTCTGTTGACCTCCTGGACTCAGGATGTCCTTTCCATCCCTGTCTTTGAACACTTCTTCCTGCCTGTGGTCTCTCCTTGCCCCTGCGCAGATCCTCCTCCTGACTTCTTGGCCTCATTCACTCCAACAGAACTGTCCCTCCCAGCTCAAGTATACTGTGTCTCTACCCAAGTCAAAGCCCTGGATGACGGCTGCAAAGCATAAGGCTTCGGGTTCCCAGCTCAGTCACACATAAGCTTCATACCCTAGACGTGTATGATGATCTGCATGAAGTCCATTTCCCCACTTTCGTGGGGTACAGTCCCCTTGAGGCAGGGACCAGGTCTGTTCTGGTCCCCATCGCATGCTCAGCCCCAGCATCGGGCCTGGCCCATGGCAAGCCTAGCTAGTACTTGTTGAGTTAGTAGATGCTGCATCAAGGTGGCCTTGGGAGCACGTGGAGATGATGATAGCCATGTCAGACGACAGCAGGGAGAGTGGAAAGTCACCCAGCCCTGGGCATCCGAATCAGCATTTTCTGGAGACTGGCGCCTGGACCACCTCAGCACAATACCTACCACTGATTGAGCTTCTGCTTGGCATATGGCCCTGCTAGGGCACTGGGAACCCAGTCTCACCTTCCAGCCATATTGAGTGGCACAGAGGAGGCTCGCAAGCAGAGATGATTGCAGTGCCCTATAGTGCACCGTTGGGGTAGAGGGAGGCCCAGAGCCTGGGGCATTCTGGGTGAGCTGATGCCAGAGGTGGGTTTTGTAGATGTGGAGGTTTGGTAAGAAGGGAGAAGTGGGGCTCCAGAGAGGGTCCCTCAGGTCTCTGCACCCTCTTTTCCATTTATTTGTACCTCCTGATATCCTGTCCAGGGTCCCAAGACAGCCTCTACAGGGGGTCCCAGCTGAGCAGGCCAGAGGGAGGAGGCACAGCCTCTCACCCATGCCTCTGCCTGGACACAGGACCAGGAAATGCCATCCCCAGTCTTGTTGGGCTCAGACATTGTGATCCGTCGGTGAGCCATCGAGCCCCTCCTTCAGGCCCCCAGAGGAAGCTGGAGGAGTTTGCGGAGGGTGGGAGCTGGGGCTGGGAGCAGGGAAAAGTCAGATTCCCTCGCTCAGAGGAAACCCGCTGGTGCTCAGTGAGATTAAAACTATCACTCCTGGCTGAATTGGCCTCTTCTACTGTTTTGCTAAATATTTAAAGACCCCTTATTAAAAGAGTTACCATCTTAAAAATGTCAGATCTTCATCTGTCATGTCCTTCCTCTGGAGTGTGGCCTCAGGGCTGTATCCAAGCACCCCAGAAACAGAAACCCTCTTTGCCCTGGGCCCCAGGATCATTTCAAGTGGTTTCTGAGGACCCACTCTGTACCCAGCACTGTGGCTGCCCGAGCATCTGCCTCTCCAGCCACAGTAGCTTCTGCCACGTGATGGGCTGGCACCAGCCTGAGCAGGTCTCAGGGAATATGGTGAGGAGGCAGCTTGGGCTGCAGTACGTGGCCATAGTGCACTCTGCCCAGCCCAAGGTTCTGTTTGCTGCTTCCCTCCTCCCTGGGCACCAGGCTGGGCTGGAGGCAGAGAAGCTAAGGACAGCCCAGCCTAGGGAGTGAGGAAGCAGGAAGTGAAGCCCTGAGCCACGGCAAGGTCTTGGCCCTGCTGATGATGTTGGGCAAGCAGAGGGTCATGGGGGCACCGAGCAAGAAGCATCCACTTCTGCCTGGAGGAATTAGAGCCAGATTAGAGGAGAAGCTGTTGTAGGATTAGGATGAGAATTAGGTCTTTGAGCAGCACCTAAAAGGTGAATACCAGTTCACTGGACATAGAAATGGGGGTTTCCCCCAACCCTCTAAAAACAAAGAAAACCAGACAACACAAAGACATACAGGTTCAAAGACTTGTTCAACAAGCAATTGAGCACCTACTGTATGCCAGGAACCATGCCAGGCCCTGAGAATATAGAACTGAGTGTGACATGTTCCTGCTTCCCGTAAAATTTGCCCGCCTAGCTGGGGAAATAGACTAAAAACAGCCCATGATGTGGAATCAAATGTGCTGTAATAAAAGCGGTTGCAGCTGCCTCCCTAGCACGGGGTAGGAGGTGGGGGATGGGGTGGGGGTTACCTCTGTGCCTCAGGTGGGAGGTGGGAGGGGTGCCTCAAGGGGAGGTGATGTCTAAGCAGGTTTTGAGGATACCCTGAATCCACTAGGAATGTGCAGTAGCTTGGTGTGGCCTGGACAGATGGGGAGAGAGGGAAGTACTGATGAATGAGACCAGAGAAAGGGCCCCAGAGTACAAGGGAAAGGCATGGGAAAGAGATATCCAGAGCCTTCTGGAATGATCCAAGCAGAGAGGGATGGAGAAGCCGCTGCTATGAGGAAAGACTGCCCCACAGAGACAAGGGTGGAGACGGAGCTGGTGAGGAAGGGGAAGCCCATGGGAGCTGTGGTCTGAGCTGGGTCTGAAGGGCTGGTCAGCCGGGGGATGCCCCACTGCCCACAGATGGTACAGTGAGGCTGGTGCCAGTGTGGCCCACAGGGAACGAATGCCCAGCCAGAGCAGAACCACCCAAGGTGACCCTGGACGGGGGAGGGGCTCAGCCTGGAGGGGGAGGCGGAGCTGGCCTGTGTCCCCTCCCAGGTGGAAAGACCTGGGCCCAAGGCCACCTGACGCCGGAGGAGCCAGAGAGAAGAGGGGACACAGGACAGAACAAAGACATGGCTGGACGTTCACTCACATCCACCCTCATGGTAGAAGAGTCTGGAACTCAGTTTAAATTTTTCAAGTCTTTCATGAAAGGGGAGGTTGCCTCCTCTTCCTAAGCGATGAACATCTCAATTTGCTGCTGCTACAGAGGGCCAGGGGTAGCATCACTGAGGCTAGGAGATGTCACCGGATGTCAGCCTTGACTTGAGCGAACATTCAGGGGTCAGGATGGTGTCATGAATGGAGCTCCCAGAGCCTGCGAGTCCAAAGACCTGGGTCCCATCTGGGTGTGGCCACAGATGCCTGGCGTGACCTTGGACACAGCTGTGGCTGCTCCAGGCCTCCCTCCTCACCTGATAAACAGGGGAGTTGGGCTGGTGGGTGGACAATCCCTCTCTGCTCCACACATTTTCCATCCCGGTGCATCCTCCGCCCGCCGCTCACCTTGCTGTCGGCAAGAGTTAAGTTTTACTGAGAAAAGAATTTCTCTCTGGAATATTGAGTATAATTAAAACTCTGCTGTGAAAAAAAAAAAAAAGCCTAGCAAACACTGAGAGACCTAGAGGAAGTGAAAATGTAAAAACACGACCCCCATTTTCCTCTCCCTATGACATGGATTATTAAGTCAGGTTTGAAAAGTTCCTATTAAATATTTAAATATTTCATTAAATATTCATCATCTCAAAAATTGCTTCCTAACAGATCCTTAGGTAAATATAACAATATTTGATCACAAAAGCTGCTTGGCCTGACTGAGGCTCAGGAAGGGTGATACTCTGTCTGGGGCTCTGGTCCCACGGGTACAGGGAATCCTGCTTACGAGAGGGAGGCTGAGAGACCGGGAGGGGAACACACGCCTGGCCACCAGGAGGGCCCGGGTGGCCACGGACTTGCCTACTGGGCGAATGAGCCTCAGAAAGGTGATACGGCAAACGGAGCTCATGTGGCTTGTAGTGGTGCAGCTGGGAGCCGAACCCATGTTGGCCGGACCCCTCTGTGGGCGATGAAGAAGGCTCTCCCACAGTAGGGGCTGCCCGCTGGCTTAGGCCATCCCAACACTGGCCACGTGCAGGGGACATTGTGAAAGGGACCTTCTATCAGACCAGCAGCTGGGCTGGAAACCCTTGACATCCCTTCCCCGGGGCTGTGGAGGGGAGGGGTGCTCCCCTGGGGTTCTGTGGAACTGGATTCACAGCCCGGTTGTTCCTTGTAAGGGCACCTGGTCTCCCAAAGTGGAGTATAAACAGCTTTCAGTGGGCAGGACATGTGGCAGCCACCCTCGCCTCCACCGTCTTTCTTACCTCCCAGGTATGGTGCTGGGGTCTGCAGGAGGGTCTCAAACCTGGAGCTGTCGGGGTTTGGGCCAGATGGAGGAGTCAAGGTGGAGACCGTCCCGTGCACTGGAGGATGCGGCTCCCACTGGGCCTGCACCTAGTAGATGCCAGTGTGCCCCAACCCCTCATGCCCACCTGAAATGCCCAGACACTTCCTATGCCCCCAGGGAGCCATACTGCCCCTGGCTGAGAACATTGCTTTACCAGAAGGGCACTTTGTAAACACGTGGTGCGCGTGGATGGTGTAGCACCATCTGGAGGGAGAGAGTAGGGGAGGGAAGCAGAGTGACTCTACAAGAAGGGCACTTGGTAAACACGTGGCACGCATGGATGGCATGACACCGTCTGGAGGGAGAGTAGGGGAGGGAAGCGGAGTGAAGTCAGGTTGATAGTGTTGGGCCTGCCTTTGGCCTGAAGGGCTTTGAGTGGGGGCGGGGTGGGGGGTGAGGGGGTGGGGGAGCTGCTGAGTGCTGGATTTCAGCAGCCACGGTGCCAGCTTTCAGTTCCCACATGGGCTTCTTCTCAAAGGCCTCAGGGGATCGTGCCAGGCTAAGGGGTCCCTGGCTCTGCTCACCTCCACCTGGCACTCGCTAGGCATATGCTGCAGCCCCTAACCCTCCCTGGGGCTCAGGACTCAGTGGAACGGCAGGGACTCAGAGCAGCCCTGCCAGTGCCACGGGCCTCCCAGCCCTGTGTGGGGGTTCTCTCGTCCACCCGAGTGCTTTCACTGGCCCTGGAAGCCTCCCCAGCCTGAATGCAGCCCTTGGAGGGTGGGGACACTGTCCTCTCCTGCCTTCCTGTGCTGAGTGTGAGGAACTCCCATGAGCATTCCAGGTGGGCTCGCTGCTGAACAAGGTAGAAGCTCTTCACTGCTTTTTATAGTGCAGGCACCTGGGTGCAGAGAAGCAAAGCTATTTGCCCAAGGTCACATGGCAATCAATCCAGGTTTACACCCAGGTTGGTCTGACCTCAGAGCCCATGCTCTGAAGCAGGCTGTCCATGCACACCACACAGACTGCCCATGTCACTGAGTCCTCGGAGCAGGTCAGCGGGTGCTCCTCTGCGGCCGCTGTCTTGATCCTCCTCATTCCAAACGCATGTGTTTGCAGAGCAGAGAGGGAGTCTTGGTGCCCAAGCCCAGTCCCCGCACCTCCCTCCTCTCCTTCCCTGGGCAAATTCTGGGGTGAGGAGGAGGGCACAAAGATTGATGGGCTCCCCTCACTGGCAGCAGGCATGGACATGGAGTGGGGGGGCTCTCCCCTCCAGAATTCTGATGCATGACACCTGCTGCCAGTGCCACCCTCTCAGGCTCCTGGGTGACAGGAAGGTGTGAAACCTGACGTTTCCTTGGGTCTGGAATGTGTGCGAACCTCCATGTCCTGGAGGAAGGACCCTCTGCCTGGGGAGAACTGGTCTCCAGGTGGGTGCTCAGCTGAGGCCTCTGTGGAGGCCGAGGCTCTCTGTGCTGTGTCCAAGCTGGGAGCTGGGCAGGCGCCAGCCCTCCTTGTGGGTGGGGGACAGAGCCTGTCCCAGTCTGTCTGGGCTGCTATAACACAATCTATAGACTAGGTGGCGTATAAAAAACAGAGATTTATTTCCCAGAGTTCAGGAGGCTGGAAGTCCAAGATCAAGGTACCAGCAGGTTCGGTATCTGGTGAGGGCCTTCTTCCTGGTTCATAGACCGTGCCTTCTTGCTGCGTCCTTACGTGGTAGAAGAGGCAGGGGTCTCCCTCCAGCCTCTTTTTATAAGGACACTAATCCCATGCACAAGGGCTCTGTCCCCATGACTTCATCACTTCCCAAAGGCCCCACCTCCTAATCCCATCTCCTCGGGGTCAGGATTTCAGCATATGAATTTGGGGACACAAAAACATTCAGACATTGCAGGCCCCTCTGTGGGCGCCCAGCAGCACTGCCTGCTTGCTCTGAGGCAGCGATCCAGGCTGTTTTGCACACACAGGTGGAAATGGCTCCAAGGTACAGAAGCAAAATGTTTCCCAAAACAAACAATAACCTGTCGTGAACATTGATACCAACATGGTCTGTGGGGCGCCATGGGCTGGAGGCCTGGGCAGCTGCTGGGGGCCACTGCCGAGCAGGAAGGGTGGCTGGCGGTTTGCACATTCTTAAGGAAAACAGCAAAGAAAGAAGAAGCTGACCCTGGGAGCATGGGCTGTGTCTGGATTCTAGACAAACCACAAGGCTGATAAAGCGAGGAGATGTAGGCCTAGACATTTGTCAGGATGGGGCTAGGGCTTCTTAACCCAGCGAAGCTGCACCCAACGTGGTGTGCGTGGGCCAAGCAACATTTTTCTGACACGAGGTCTCTAACTCTCATCAGAGAAGTCAGAAGCAGTCTAAGACCACCGGGCCAGGCAGAGCAGCTCCCACCAGGGTAGGCAAGGATGCTGGCAGCGTGTGGGATCCAGGAGTCAGAGCCCTCTGACCTCGTCTTTTCCAAGGGCCTCAGTTATCTCACCTAGAAGATAGGAATGAGGGCCAGGGCAGTGGCCCAGCCCTATAATCCCAGCACTTTGGAAGGCCAAGGCGGGCGGATCAATTGAGGACAGGAGTTCAACACCAGCCTGGCCAACATGGTGAAACCCCATCTCTACTGAAAATACAAAAATTAGCTGGGCGTCATGGTGCATGTCTGTAATCCCAGCTACTTGGGAGGCTGGGGCAGGAGAATCACTTGAACCTGGGAGGTGGAGGTTGCAGTGAGCCGAAATAGTGCCACTACACTCCAGTCTGGGCAACAGAGCAAGACTCGGTCTCAAAAAAAAAAAAAAAAAAAGAAAGAAAGAAAAAAGAAAAGAAAGTACTGGGGCCCAGTACTCAGTGGAACGGCAGGGACTCAGAGCAGCCCCCGAGGAGTATGAGCCTGACTCCTTGCTCCATGCAGCCCCCAGGGGAGAAAGGCGTTTGATACCACACTTCGCAACAAGACCACCAGGTGGCTTGGGGGTAGGAGGGAGGAGAGGGGCAGGGTTTGAATTCTGGCACTGCCATCATGTTACCCTTAGGGCCTGGTGTCCTGCTTGGAGAGATGAGGCCCAGGATGAAGCCCCACCAGCCAGCCCAGCAGGGATGCGGCCCCCTTGGGGACTGCAGGCACCAACTTGGAGGCCACCATCCCGCAAGCCATGGGTCTGAATCCCTGTGGAATGTGTACAAGTCCTGAGCCTCTCCAAGGCTTGATACTCCATCCTGAAAGAGGATGTGCTAATTCCCTCCTCCTTGAAGGTTGTTGTAAGGACCAAAAGTGAGGATGGGTGCCCATCAGCCAGCCAGTGAAGACACTACCTTAGGCAACAGTGGCCCAGAGATACAACAGCTCAGTGAGACAACCTGGGGAGACTTCCCTAAAAATCCAGAACACAGAAAGTGTGGCATCAGGCAAAGGATTTCCATTATGAGCAGCCACAAGAAGGAAAGCAGGCGCCCTGCCACCTCCACCCACCTCTGCTGGAGGGGAGGGGATGGAAGGGGCCTCTGCAGCTTTCACACCTTGTAAGCAGACCAGATGCAGAAGTAGAGACAGGTGGGATTGAATTAACCACAGGTGCCCGGGGCTGCAGGCCCCACCGCCTGCCCGCTCTGCCTGCAAGATTCAATACCGCCCCGTGCAGGTTAGCAGCACATTGGATTCCAACGAGTCATATTTTAACACTGCTGGATAGTTGCAGGTGACAGAAAACCTGTTTCTTTCCCATTTTATACATCCAGGAAATTTGTACCACATGCAGCCTGCATGTCATTACACACTTTAAAATACTGCATTCTCTCTTTCTGGAGCCCGCGGACCCATCACAAGGCAGATAAAATGCAGGACCGAGGGTGAGAGCCCCTCTATTGGGGCAGAGAGAGCAGCTAAATGCAGGGCATCTCATCTTACTGTTAAGAACTGATTCCTCCCTTCCACCCCCAGGAGGATCATCCTAGAGGCTGCAGGACAATCTGTTATTTCCCCGGGGAGGTCGGCGAAGGTGTTAGCTCGGGAGAAGCAGGTGTAATTACAGAGGCCCAGGCAGGGCACTGCATTAATAGATGTAGGCTCTTCAGCTAGAGACTTATGTACATGTTGCTGAGGCCCCAGACCCTGCTGAGGCTCCAGGTCCAGAGAGCAAACCTCCTGCCTGGTCCCATTAAAGCACTGAGCCAGCCCCATCTCTCCCCGTCCCTGACTCCAGTTGACAGCCATTTGCATGATGTTCTCATCTGCAGATTGCACTTCTTGCTGGGGAGCTGCTCAGAACCTACCGGGAGGGGTTTTGGAAAGCGGATTTCCAGGGCTCCAGATCAGTGCACTGAGCTCTGCAGCTGCCTGGATGGCCCCAGGCAGCTCAGCCCCCAGGCTTTACCTGGTGCAGGGATCTCCCTCCTACTGTGGCCAGGTGGCCGCCCTCGCCACTGCGGCACTGCCTACGGAGGGTCACAGCTCTGCCTGGGGGATGAGGGATGAGTCAGCTCGCCCCATCCCTGCTCTCCGAAGCCCCAGGTCCCTCCTGAGCCACCTTTCCACCTTGAGTCCTTAGCCCCCTGAGCTTTACCAGAATACGCACTGTGTGCCAAGTGCTGTGTCAGGTTGGGGAGGTGGTGGGGAACTTGAAGCCTAGCCTCTCCCTGAGAACCCTTAGAATGGACAGGGAGGCCTCCCTTCCTCCTGTCAATGAACCATCACTGAGCACGTTCTCTGTGGCTGCTCCCTGTGAGGCCTGGAGTCCACAGCTGAGTTTGGGCAGAACCTCAGCCCTCAGAGCTCCAGAGGGTTCTCACCCAACCAGAAGGGCTATTGGCTCCCTGCCCTCAGCTCCCCTGGTTTCCTCTGAGCTGGGTCCCAGCAACACACCATTGTCCAGTAGCTCTGCTGGGCCGCGTGTGCAGACCCAGGGATGCAGAAATACATGAAAGGTCAAGTTCATGCCCACAAGGAGTCAGCAGCCTCATTGGGCAGGTGGGCCCCTTAGAAGCTAATATGGAGGGGACACAAGAGGCAGGCAGCTCCCAGCCGCAGTGCTGAGGTTTGGACCTCAGGCTCACTGGGCTAGGCTACACAGAACACCAGGCCGGGGGGCTAACCCCCCTCTAAACTGGAGGCCTCAAGGGCAGGACAAACTTTGCCTGGTTCCCCATCAAATTTCAGCACCTCGAATGGGGCCTGGAATATAATAGGTGCTCGGCAAACTTGTCAGTTGAACAGATAGACTCACGGGGGGTCTGTGTCTCCTGCATCCCCCCTGGTTCCTCTCCAGGCCCCCCTCCGCCCTGCCAGGAGGGTGTGTGTGCTGAGGCAGCTTCCCCAGGGACTGGACAGAGTGGAATCCCTGGCCCTTGTCTGTGCCTGGGCCACGGTTTCTTTTTGTTTGTTTTCATTTTGGTCAGATTCACATAATGCAAAATTAACTTTTTAAAGTCAGCAATTCAGAAGCATTAGTACATTTACAGTGTTGTACCGTCATCACCACTATCTTGTTCCAAAACACTTTCATCACCCCAAAGGGAAACTCCCAATGCATTAGCAGCCGTTCCCCCTTCTTCCCTCCCTCTGCCTCTAGCGACCACCAATCTGCATTCTGACCCTATAGGTTGACCTCTTCAGAATGTTTCCTAGGAATGGAATCATACAATGTGTGGCCTTCTGTGCCTGGCTTCTTTCAGTGAGTCTGTTTTCAAGGTTCATCCATGTTGTGGCGCATGTCAGCTCTTGGTTCCCCTCTCGGGGTGGATAACGTTCCATTGTATGGCGAGCCCACATTTGCTTACCTCTTCCTCTGCCGATGGGCATGTAGGCTGTTCCTGCCTTGTGTGAAGTGTGCCACTGTAGATATGTGTGTGCAGGTACCTGTTTGAGTCTGTTTTCAGTTCTTTTGGGCAGTTACCTAGGAGTGGAATGGCTGGGTTGTATGCTAATCCTATGTTTAACTTTTTGAGGAATGGGCCACAGTTTCTCTATGAAGTTCAAACGAGGTTCTTGAATCGGCTTCCAGTTGACTAACTAGACTCCAAGGAAACACAGATGAAATAAGACCCCATCCCAGCCCCCAGGACCTCCTGGCCTGCTCTCAGCCCATGTGAGGCAGCAAAGCTGCTGCTGGGACAGGAGGACCCTAGGGGAAGCTTTGGAGAGTCCGAGCTCCCAGCAGCATCTGGTGGCAGAACCTTCTTTTGGCTTCGTCCCTGAAGCATAAATGTGGAATCGTGTCCAGCGGCAGCCTGGGTTCCCCAGCCTGGGAGGTTCACGGGAGGAGGCTGGCCCAGAAAGCACATGGCCCAGAATGAGCCACACGGGGTGACTGTGGCTTTGGGCAGGTCCCCCTCTCCCTGCACCTCCCTCCCCACTGTCATTATCTGCAGAGTCAGGGGTGGGCCTGACAGCTTCCAGCAGTCTGTCCAGGTGCCTAGATCTCTATACTCCTGGACCCCAAATCTAGGAACCACTAATCAGGAAGGAAATTCCTCCACCAATCCTTCCAGGCCTTTCCACAGAGAAGGCAGCCCTTTTAGCATTTTATGTCCGGATGAAATAGTTCTAGGCACTATGCTGGAACCCCCAGCTCTGAGCCAAACAGGCCTTCCCTGGTCCCCCCAAGTCCTGGGGGAAGGCTGCCCTGCACCTGTCCCTGGAGGGGGACATGTGGGCAGATGGCACAAAGGTGGTACTGGCCATAAAAGCCATGTTGCAGGCAACAGGCTGGTCCCATTGGCCTTCCCTGCTCTCTCCTCAGTAGGAGGCAAGGCCTAGAGAGCTGACCCTTAGGCAGAAGAAGGGGTGGCTGTGGCAGACAAAAGACCCCCCTGAGGGAGGGAAGGAAAGGGACGGTGGGGTTCCCACTTTCCTTGGAGCTGCTGTGGAGTCTTTGCTCACTCATGCTGGGACCCGGCCCCCCGCAGCAGCCCGGGGACCTGGAGGTGCATCCACTGTGGTGAGCTGCAGCAGGCGTGTTGGGTTAAGACCTATGTGGTTGGTTCTGAAGAGAGCTGGGAATTTCAGGGGAGACCTGAGCGGAACCAGGGAGGATCTGACATTTTTATAAAAGGAGGTCCCTGTGCTCATCCAGTGGGGAGGGGATCCCAGAGCTTATGTCCCCGAGGGGAGCTCTGACTCTGTCCCCCTTTCTGTTTGCACTTGGGCAGGGCTCTCGAGTCCTTGGAAGCTGCCGTTTATTTTAAAACAGCCCGGACTCCTTGAGGAAGCTGAGGAGAGAGGAAATGGCAGAGGCGACCTCGCCTCACACTTCCTGGGCGGGAGTCCCCACTAGGTGGCCGCCTGAGCCATGGGGAGCTATTAGGAGGATCCTGCTGTAATCAAGAGATGGGCAGGCAGGGGACAGAGTGCCCCGTGTCTGGGGAAACTGAGGAGGTTTGTGTTTATCGAAGACCTTTTATGTGCCAGTCACTGCAAACGTATTGTCATTTAATCCAACAAACCTGCAAGATCAGGGTCATCCTTCATCCCCTCCCTACTAATGAGGACATTGTGATTCAGTGTCGCGGCCACTGGCCCACAGTCATCAGTGCTGCTAAGATGTGCAGGCGAGTTTCAAACCCAAGTCTGGCTTAGTGCCCAAACTTCCACCAGGCACCCCAGGCCCAAGGCCAGGCACCCCGACCTCCATCCAGGAGGACCGAGTGAGTTTCTCTGCCTGATCAGGGAGGATAGGAAGGGGCCTCTACCCCCGCTTCGTCCTACTCAGCTCTCTCCTCCTGAGGGTCTGAGGCCTGGACAGCAGTGCTGGGCGGGAGGCCTCAGTCAGCCTGGGTCTGAGGGTGCAGAGCTCCCTGGGGACATTACCTCTTCCTGCAAGGGGCAAAGTTCCTCAGTCCCTGTGTTAAAGGAAGGTTGGCTTCTCCTCTGCCCGAGATCCCAGAGCGCTCACAGTGCAGCCCTTCTTTCTGCTAAACTGCAGACTTATTTTATCAGCAGTTATTATTGAAGTCTCACCATTACTATTATTTTCATTCTGCAGATGATGAAGTCAGGGCTCAGTGAGACTGAGTGATTCAGCTGGGGTTCATCCCCCTGCTCCGTGCCAGAGCCTCGGAGGTTCCGATGCACTCAGGGCCCTGGGGGCATCCAGGGCCGGCCTGGCTGGGGCAGCGCATCTGCAGGTGTTTGAGGCACATTTGTTTTCAGGGGAAGGGGCGCTGCTGTGCAGACCCTGCTAAGTCTGTTCCAGGACAAGACATGCTGCCCATCCCTCCTGCTTCTCTAGTGCAGGAGCCGCGGCTCGGCATGGTTCTGCGTGTGTGTTTCCGACACTGGCTCCCAGGTGGAAGGCCTGATGCCGCCCTGCTGTCTGCTCTCTTTTGTAGAGATGTTTTCGTGAACTTGAGAAAAAATCGGGAAAAGGCCGATTCCCTCTGCCCAGCCCATTAATTCTGCATGCTCAGGCCGAATTAACCTTGGCAAGCCTTCAAGAGGAGAGAGTAATTCTAACCTTAAAAATCTGCTGATGAAAGCTGGTTTCAGGAATCCAACTCCTCTTAATGTCCTGGCAGACAGCTCAGCCTTGCATTAACATAGCCACAGACCGGCCCGGCGTTTCCCTCCACCTGCTTCATAAGCAAAACCCTGTTGTCCGTTTTAAGCAAGAATCCCTGCCCAGACTCCCTGGCCACATGCAGCCGCACATGTTGGAGTGTGCCGTGGATACCTACGTGGCGTCACAGGTGCCTAGAGCGGGCGGCGCTGGGGAGCTGGATGCCAGCAGGCTCTGGAGCTGAGTAGTAACCACAGCCAGGAATCCCGGCAGTGCCAGCCCCGCAGACGCCTGCCCACAGGAGAAGAGAGCCACTGATTTCTGGGCAGCACTTGGCCCTCCGTGCCGTCCAGAATGGCCTCGGGGAGTGGGCTCCTGGCATCTGCATCTGCTCTCCTCTGGGAATGGCAGATGAGTAGAGAGAAAGGCCGGCCACCTGGGGCTGTGTAGCCGAAGCTCCCAGCGCCAGAGGGTACAGCCTGAGCCTCCTTACCAAGGCTCAGGGTCCCACCGTTGGTCATCCCTGAGGCTGAAATACACAACACCCCTGCTGGCCTAACAGGCTGTTGATAAGGAACACATCAGACCCAGAGCTACTTGCAGGCATTCGTCAGAGATCCCTTGTGCTTAATGCAGGCAGACCTGGTGAAGGGTGAGGGGGTACCCATAACAGAGGGATGGAGGAAGGGAGGGAGGGAGATGGAAGGGAGGGAGGAAAAATGGGAGGGAGGGAGGAAGAATGGGAGAGAGGGAGGGAGAGAAGGAGGGAGGGAGGAAGGGAGGAAGGGGGGCAGGGAGGCAAGAAGAATGGGAGGGAGGAAGGACAGGGAGCGGGAAGGAGGAAGGCAGGCCATCACCAGTATACACCACTCTGGAGACCAGCTCTAGCCACTTGGCAGGGCTCCAAGAAATAGGTCTCAGCGGTACATTTTGATGAAAGAGAGGGAATTTCACTTTATTTATATATTATTTATGCCCAGTACTTTTAGGAAGTATTTGAGATAGCAACAGCACTGATACATTGAAATAGGCTAAAAGAACAAGAGCCAGTGGGTGGGAGATAACTGAGCAAGAATATACACGTACACTGAGCAGAGCTCCTGCTGATGACAGGACCGCAGATCCCAGCAGCCTGGCACACCCAGCTCAGAGAAAGCCTGTTCTTTGCTGGGGCCCGCAGGGAGCCAGGTATCAGGACAGATTTCTGAGACACGAAAGGTGCAGGTCTCCAGCTCCCGCTTGGCTGGGCCTGTGCAGGGTGAGGAGCTGGGCTGCCTTCCCCAAAGCGGTTTGGCAGGTGCTGGGACACAGCAGGGGCCCATGTGGGCCTGGCTGAACGTCCTCAGAGGGTGGGAAAACAGGCAGGTGAGAGTGGCCAGGTTCCTGGACGTGACCCTAAGCAGCAGGCGCTAGAGCTGACGAGAACAGCCCATGTGGAGCGTGCAGCAAGGCCCAGATGGGAGCAGCCCATGTGGAGAGTGGAGCGAGGCCCAGCAGAGTTCGGCGCCGCCCTCCCGTTCCTCCTCCCTCCCATTCTTCCTCCCTCCCTTCCATTTCCCCTCACCCGCCCCGCCCCCTGCGCCGCCGTGCCCCTCACCCGCCCCCTGCGCCAACGTGCCCCTCACCCACCCCTGGCCTTCTCTGACTTGAGATTCATGACTTGGATCAACTCTTTCTCTAAATCTAAATTTACCTTATTATCAATTTTTAGCTATTATTCCATTTTATGCCCACTAATTTATTAATCTTGGAACCCCCAAAAACAATAAAGCTGAAGCTCCAGATATTTTATTTATATCTTTCAACATGATTTTTATGGCTTTTTATCTAAAAATTCATTGAATTTTTATTGCCCTCCTCACTCATGTCGTCGTTAGGCCGGCGGCCGCTTTATTTAGATGTTTCCCCTGCAGATACTTGGGGGCCCCAACAGGAAGGAGCTCAGGTGAGGGGAGGTGGGTGGGGGCAGAGGCACGGGTGCCAGCCTCCTAGGGGACTACTAGGTTAGGTCCCCTGCCCCTCAGTGTCCCCGGGCCAGGCTGTGTCCCATGCCCCTCAGTGTCCCCGGGCCAGGCTGCACACCTCCCTGGTTCCTTTCTGGAGCACACACTGTTCTCCGCGACTCTTACCTCTGCTCCCATTTTGCCTTCCAGCTTGCAAAAGGGCCTATGCTGCAAAAGCAATCTAGAACATTCCTCAGAGAGGCTGGGGGAGCCTCCAGCTTGAAGACCCAGTGTCCCTCTCTCCATGACCCCCCTGCAGAGTTTCTCACTGGTCTTCATCCAGACCGAGGGGCCCTCCTTCCTGTTCCCCATTCGACGGCACACCTGTCCTCCCTCCTGAGCAGAGCTCTGGGGTCTCCAGGGTCCCCACCTGGCGGGTCTTCTTGGTGCTCTCTGCCTGCCCAAGGATCCCCCTTCCGCGGAGCTCCGGCCGACCCAGATACCCAGGGGAGGAGTCTGTCCTGTCCCCCACGGCCAGAGGCCCGCAGGCACTTTCTGCCTCATGATGGGGTGGGGCGCCCACGTGTCCTGCGCCTGCCTGGCGCTGCCTGGTTCTTCTGGCTGTTTCCCTCACCAGCTTCCTGTCTGGGGGTGGGGACTAGGGGGTGGCGGGTGGCCAGCTTTTTGACGTTTGCTGCCGTTCCTGGTTTCTATCTGCTCTTCAATCGCCTCCATCTCAAAGGAACCAACCTTCATGGCCAGACTGGGCCACCTGGTCCCCTGTGTCCCTCCAGGGTGTGCACCAGGGCTTCTGATGAGGGAGACGGGGTTAACTCCTGCAGGCTTTGCCGGCCAGGGGACTGGAGTTCAGATTCTAGCTTTATCATGCCCCTGTGACCTCTGCCAAGGAAGGAATTGATGCCTCTGAGCTGCAGTTCCCACATCTGCAGAGAGGGATTCATACTACTCTTCCTTCCAGGAGGGTGGTGAGGTCCCTGGAAGGGCTACCCTTCCTCATCCTCCTGTGTCCACTATGGCAGAAAGAGTGATTTAACATTGTGGAAGGACAGGACCAGCCAGAATGCCAAGCCAAGGGACGGCTACTCTCCCAGGGAGCCCTGGAGAATGAATTTTGGGGAGCCTTCCCGCCCCTGCCCAGAGGAGTCCCCCAAGAAAGTGCAGTGTTAAGGGGCTGTTTTCAGGAGAGCCTCTAGTCCCACTTGGGGAGCCTGGGCCTGAGCTGTGGCCGGCACCTGACTTCATAACCTGAAGGCATCAGGGTTTGGGGATCCAGGCCAGCCCTCTTGCTGTCTGGCCTCAGTCCCCTGGCGTGGCAGGGCCACAAGCTGCTTTGGGAGACACCATTGCAGATTGTCTTAGGAAAGAGGCCAGGCTAGAGCCCTGGTCAATGACGATCTAATATTCCAAATCTCTGCTGTGACCCAACCCTGGAGGCTGAATCAGACTGCAATCCATTTAGCTCAAACTCGTTTTAAAGCAATTCACTATTTAACAAGTTCTGAGGCGCCATGCTTTTGCAGGCAATATGTGAATTGAATCATTTGGTCTAATCTTAGATTAATACAAACCAAATCCTTCAGCGAGGACAGTCTTGGGAGCAGCTCCAGGACTTCATCTCATTGTCTTTGATGAAGGCGGGTCCCAAAGAAGACCTGACTCTCAGCCAATGGCACGGGTGTCTGAGCGAGGACCAGGGGGTGGCCTGCTGGGGAGGAAGGAGCAAGGGCTTTGCGGTCAGATGACGCTTGTTTGAATCCTTCTGCCTGTTCCTAGCCGGGTGACCTTAGACAAACTGCTGAGCCTGTCTAGGCTCTGGTCTTCCCCACAGATGCCTCTGTGCAAGACACTTGTGCAACTAGAGAACTAGGGTAAGAGGAATCCATGTCATCCTCTCCTTGCCCCACACAGGATCTTGCCAAGGCCTCCCAGGATCTGCGTCTGCGTTCAGGGTACCCTGGGGAGCAATAGGGCTGCTTGGTCCTCCTCCTGTGCCTTGCTGTACCTGCTGCTGGTTAGGGAGCTCTGGAAAGTGCTGGAAGGTTTTCACTCCCACCTGCTCTTTGAGGAGCACCTACTTCTTCCTGACGTCTAGGCTTTGACAGGAAAGGAACCACATTTTTACCCCCTTCTGTGAGCCCCACAGCCCTGCCCTTGGACATCAGCGTAGCACACTCAGGCCCTGCTTCTGCTGACAGATCTGCCCTCCAGGCTGCAGGCCCCTGCTCAGGTGCTGCCCTACCCCACTGACAGTCCTGGGCTTGCAGTCCAGGTAAGTCAAAGTCCCTCCCTGGTGCTGTCACCCCAAATCTGGAAGAGAGAGACTTTCCTGCCTCTTGGGTCACAGCCGGAAGAAGGGGACTCTGGCTACGTGCCACATGAAGTCAGCCCAACTGTAGTGGGAGAGAAACAGCGCAGGGAAGGCATACAGAGAGGAGAAATGGAGACATGGGATGGTGAGCGGGTCAGAGCCAAAGTTCTAGTCCTGAGCCTGCACTTGAGCCATCAGTTCTCAGAGCAATCCTGAGTCCTTCCTGGAAATCTGCTTCAATACACAGAGTCTGGACCAGTGGAGAAGGGCAGCGCCATAAAATCACAGGGCCTTTGCTTCAAAGGCAAGGCCATCTGCCAGCCGCTCACTGTGGGTCCCTTAGGGGAGATTCTGCAGAACTGTGTGTGGAGTCATGCACTCGGCCCCTGCAGCTTCACCCCGCATGCGGGACGCGGATGAGAGAGCTGGGGAGGGGCCCGCCGTCCTCTCCCGTGGCGGCCCCTCTGCTTTGCATCCCTTTTGTCCACCTGGCCAATTCCCTCTCACCTTTTTTGGCTCAGCACAAATGTCACTTCCTCTTAGGTGACTTTGCTGACCTTGAATGAAAAGGGGACACTTCATCCTCCGGGCTGATCCTGCCCCCTCGGTACTCTGCCCTTAGCAACAGGGCTCTTTGATTTGGTCTCGTGTGTTTGCCCGGCATGTACACGCTCTCTATCTCTCTCCTCTACGAGACTGGGGGAGGCTGGAGGACAAGAGCTCAAGGCAGGCACAGAGCAGACAGCAGTGAAAAGTTACTCACATGGGATCTGGTCCCACACGTTCCTTGGATGTCCAAGCTACGGCCCAGCTGGTCCAGGATGCCCCGTTCTGGAGGCTGTGACTGCCCCCCCCAACCCCAGCCTGCCCCCAGTTCTGCCTCTCACCTGCTCCTGTCCCCTCATTGCTTGAGGATAGCATTAAACCCTCATCTTCTAGGTGGATTTTCCCTTCCCTTCTATGAGCTCTTTTCTTCCATCAGCTTTATACCCTGGACACATTTTAAAAACTGTTCATCTTTGTCGTGGGTACATCAGATACAAGCAAGAGTGATAAACCAAGCACCAACAAAATCTATGTTCTCTCTGATTGCCTTTGTGTAGACAGCCACTTCCCTAGCGGCAGAGAGATGGGCCCAGTGGAGTCTCTGGGGCCAGCCACAGGGGCTGTGGTGGTGTGGAGGCCACCACAGCCAGCCTAACGTGGTGCTCTCTGACCCCTACCGGTGGCCTGGCTGCTAGGACTGGGGCAGGGCTGTTTGCAGAGGAGGTAGCAGAGGGACCCTCATAAAAGAGGATTATAGATGGAGATTTGCTGGTAAACACCCCTGTCTGCCGCCCCCGCGGGTATTATCCTTGCATTAGAGAAGGTTTTAGGGAAGAGAGGGGAGGGGAGCTCAGGAATGAGCTTTGCCATCACAGGCACAGAAGGCTCTGGGGAATCTTCCCTGGTTGATTCAGGCCTGCCCAGGTAGAACAACAGGTGCCAACCTTCAAGCATACGGACTCCCCAAGTCCTCATCCCTTGAAGCCCTGACTCCCCCAGATCGTGGCCCCTGGGGTCCCAAGCTCCCAGTGTCTTTGCCAAACATCTCTGAACTGGACCCTAACCCATGTTCTCTAGCGTGGGAGCATCGGTATAACTTTCTGCCATTGCTGTGCTGTCCAATGTGGTAGCCCTCGGCCACATGTGGCTGTTGAGCACTTGAAATGTGGCTGCTGCAACTGAGGAACTGAAGCTTTGATTGGATTTAATTTTACTTCATTTAAATTTGAATTCGAACAGCCGCAGTGACTAGTGGCTGCCAAGTTAGATAGCCCAGCTTTAAAGACACCTGTTGAGCAATGCCAAGGATGTCTTTTCCAGTGATCCATGAAATTAGATGCTGGCCTCACATTTTCCCAGAATGGGAGGTCAACAGCAAGCCCTGGCTTCTGGGGGTTCCCTGCCTCCTTGTGGGAGGTGGACCCAAGGAAACAGCATAAAAGGGGCTTCCCTAGAAAAGGTCTTCATGGCAGACCAACTAGAAGTTCTAGGGTCATTTTGTTCCTCCAGGGGAAAAGGGCCATGCATGCTCATACTCAGGACCAGAAAACAAACATCCCAAACGAAGTACAATTGGAAAGACATTTCCAGTTTCCTTTGTGTCTGTATCATATGCAGTCCATGATCTCCCATACGCCTGGGCCATGCTCCCCTTCCCTGCCCTGCCTAAGGGCGCACAGGAAATCACACATATTGAGCACCTGCTATGCGAATGTCACTAGCAGTGATTTAAAATTGGGAATTTTTTGAAGGACGATATAATCCACACTTGTCCCAACCTGACAGGTCACAGGTCAGCAAGCAATGCTCCATAGGCCAAATCCGGCCCACTACCTATTTTTATTTTATTTTTGAGACAGAGTTTCACTCTTGTTGCCCAGGCTGGAGTGCAATGGTGTGATCTCGGCTCACCACAACCTCCGCCTCCTGGGTTCAAGCAATTCTCCTGCCTCAGCCTCCCAAGGAGCTGGTATTTTTATTTTTTATTTTTTGAGATGGAGTCTCACTCTGTTGCCCAGGCTGGAGTGCAGTGGCATAATCTTGCCTTACTGCAACCTCCACCTCCCAGGTTCAAGCAATTCTTCTGCCTCAGCCTCCTGCGTAGCTGAGACTACAGGTGCATGCCATCACGCCGGCTAATTTTTGTATTTTTAGTAGAGATGGGGTTTCGCCATGTTGGCCAGGCTGGTCTGGAACTCCTGACCTCAGGTGATTGGCCTCCCAAAGTGCTGGGATTACAGGCAGGAACCACCACACCCGGCCTAACTACCTATTTTTGAACAGCTGTGAGGTAAGAATAGCTTTTACATTTTTTTTAATTGTTGAAAAATAGCCAAAAGAAGAATACTCATGACACTTGAAAATCATCTGAATTCAGATTTCTGTGTCCGTGGTAGTTTGATTGGGATGCATCCCCACCCCATTCCTCCTGCCGCTCCTCCCCTGCCCTGGCAGGGACCTAGTAACCCCCGAGGCCACCCGGCTCTCAAAGCTGGACACATCTGCTCTCTGACTCTTAGCAGGAAGTCTGCCAGCCCACAGGATGGGTGAGGTGAGGCTGCAGAGGTGAAGAGTGAAATGACCCGAGGCAGAGTCCACATCCTCCCTCCACCCGTGTGCCCACTGTCTCGCTCTGATGAGTGTTCCCAGCGTCTGCTCCTAGGCCACTGGGTCGGGGGCTCCTGGAGGGGGACCTGAGCTGGACTCCAGCTGAGCGGGGTCTTCGGAGGCAGCACAGGGAGGTTGTCCTGGTGAATGGCACTGTGTGCGGCAGAGCCTATAGGTGGGCACATAAGGCCTCCTGGGGCCGGGGGTTCATGTGAGCAGGGACACGGGGAGGGCTGCCCTGTGGCCCGCTGTGACCTTCAGGCCCCATCTGCTCCCCGGGGCTCCATGCCCTAAGCATGCTCTGCTCAGGACGCCTTGGGTAAGTTGCTGAATCCTCTGCGGCTTCCCCCAGGCAGGGCATGGGAGGTGGAAGGAAAGGGATGGAGGGTGTGTGTGTGTCAGACACAGAGACAGGGACAGGCAAGGGAAACAGAGACAGGGAGAGACAGAGAGACAGAGAAAGATGGAGAGAGATAGCAGGAGAGACAGAGACAGATACAGAAACGGAGAGAGAAATAAAGACAGACGGGGAGAGACAGATGGGGGAAATGGGAGAGAGACAGAGAGAGGACAAGACAGCTGCAGAGATGGAGAGAGAGAGAAAGAAAGAGACTGAGAAAGAGATTGAGAGACAGGGAGAGACAGAGAGAGAAAGAAGATGAGACAGATACAGAGATAGAGAAAGATAGAGACGGAAGAAGAGAGACCAAGGGACAGAGACACAGAGAGGCAAGGAGAGAGAGACAGATACAGAGATAGGAAGAGAGAAACAGATGGTGGGAGTAGGTGGGGGCAGAAATCTGCTGCGTCAGATGAGGCCGTAGAGAGCTGGCCGGGAAGGGAGGTGCCCACAACATACCAACCTATAAGTGATGTGCTTCCTTCTTGGGCCACTAAGCCATCACTGCCCAGCCTTCAGGAGCCCTCTTTGGTGTGGGACCCCCACTGCGTTTGAGGGGGCTCTGCGGCCATGCTCCCTTCAGAAACGCCACTTTCTTTTTTGAGGCATTTACTTTGAGCTGAAGGGAGCTCTTGTTTGCTGTTGGTTTCCCCTGTAATTTCATCTTTACTTTTTTATAAAAATAAATAAATAAATAAGCCCTATAGTGTCATAAAAGCAATTTTGAATATTTACCAAAAAATTTTTCCTTGCTCAACTGCCATGTTAAGGGGAAGCTGCCAGGCCTTAATTCCCCAATACAACTGATTCAAAGGTTGCTTTCATCTGAAAGGTGATGTCCTCCCAGGTTTCCTATAAATACCTAGTTGCTTCCTTTCTCTCTCTTTTTGTGTATACACAAAAATAAGGGAACCCACGGCATGTACTCCCTCACACTCCCACACGCGTGTGCACCTCACACGCGGATTTATCCACGAGCCCCGGAATGTGGCTCCCTGCAGTGAAAAGCTCAACTGGGGAAACCCCAGAGGACCCTGAGAGCCTGATCAAAAAGCGCCAGGAGTTTGTACAACACAAATCACTACAGACAAACTTGATTGCTTTTTTGATTAGTGGATAAAGGGAATGGATTCGCCACACGGCCTCATGGAATATTGTGCAATTAATCCCCAATTGGCTTGGTAATGACCTTGTCATATGGCCTGGAATCTGGTGAAAAGACTGCAGAGTGAGGGCGGTGGTAGCAGCTAGAGCCTGGGGTCAGGGCTGGGCTGTAGGGTGGTTTGGGCCAAGGGGTGAATGGAAGGGGAGAGGGAATCTCCTGTCCTTCACTGGCTGCTTTTCCTGCTGCTGTGCTTCCCTCGGCAAACCCTGCTCATCCTTAAAGCTTTTGCAGCCTCCTCTGATGTCCCCTTCCGGTGACAATCACTGATGAGGGTGCACACTCACGGGGGGTCCAAGGAGCATCCCGAGGGTTCCATTGCTGCATAAGCTCTCAGCCCACACAGCCACCCGAGAGAAAGGATTAGAATCGTACCCATGGTGCAGCCTGGCAGGACAAGGACTCTCTGAGCCCAAGTCACACATCTCCCACCCCAGGCAGGCTCCACCTCTCGCCGAGGCCCTCACAGCCACCCCGGCTCATCAGCAGGGGATTGCCGTGAGCTGCTTTCCCCACTTGGACAGCAAAGCGCGACTCCACACAAGTCTGCTTTCCTTGAAACTGAAGCTCAACCCTTTAAGCCCTAAATGTAGAGCCATTTTTCAAGGTTGTTTTCTAGTGTGTATTAGAAGTCCTTAGCGTTCAGGGTGCCACGGGCAAAACTTAAACATTGACCGTCTCTGGAGTCCTTTCCTGGGACCTGTGTCCTGGAGCTGCCAGTGGGGAGAACTGGGATATCTTTATTCAAAAAGCCTAAGGCCCTGTGCCCTCAGGAGCCCCCATTCTGAGAAGGCAGATGGGTAAATTAACCAAATAACCAACCATTGGGGTAGCCCAGTGTGCTGAGCCAGGCAGCATGGAAGGGGTCCCATTCCCTGTGGGCTTCCTGAGTCCCTGGGGCTCTTTGTGTAGCTTTTTTCTTTCCTCCTCTGGTACTGTTTGATGTGATCCTTGCCTATTGGGGATCTGCCTTCAGCCGCACTTCCCATCCCTCCCACCATCCAGGGACCACGCTTCTCATCCAAGGAGACCAGGGGCATGGGATTGCCACAGTGGTTAGAGGAGTATCTAAAAATGGAGTAACCGGGTTCTGGAGTGAGGGCCCGAGGGTTCCTCTGATTCAAATGAGTGAGCCTTGATGTAGAAATGGCAGTGTTTCTTTCATCTTAACTTCATTTTGTTTATCGGATGGTTCTGGGGCAGTTGTGGGTAGGCCAGAGAGGTGTTAGGAGGCTTCAGGGGAAAGCGGGCCTGGGCCTTCCTCTTCTTTTGTAGGTTCACAGAGGAAACACAGTTGGTGTTTGGGAAATTCTCACCTCTGAGTGTGGGGTTCAGAGATGCTGAAGCCCAGTCCAGGCAGACAGGCAGGCAATCGAGGGAGAAGTGATGGTGAAAACCAACCACGGTCTTTTCAAGTCCAAGAGAAAGTAGTGGACAGAGAATAAGACAGGTGAAGAGGGAAAGTCATTGCAAAGTCTAGAGAGGAATAGAGTGGGGAAACAGCAGATGGAAACCTCTTATTTCAAAGGGACGAGAGAAACACCCCTCAGCCGTTGATATCTCCCTCCATTTGGCTCATCACATGAGTCAAAGTAATGAACCTGCCTGTGAGAACATGCAAATTCCAAAGGAAAGGAGATGGTGAATGTCACAGGTGGGTTGCTTGTTCATTGCAACCAAACGCTTAGACAAAAATGTCTAGACATGCGTCTCCTTCGGCAAGGAGTGAGTTATCAAACCACCAAAACAACGAAAACAAAACACCGTGTCTTGAAAACCAGAAAAGTCAAGAAAGAATATTGCTTTCTTAATAATAAATACATTTCATGGGCAAGAATTGCAAGGGAATTGTTTAAATTAATTTCCGCTTTGTATGTTTGGTTTATACAGGGCTTAAGTCCCAGCTGACAGTGATCTGTAAAAGTTCTAACATATTGAAATCTGATTTTCTTGCAGCCAGAATCGCATAGTCCAAAATGATTTCTCTGTCAACTCTGCTAATCAGACAGGCAGGGCTCCGATGGACTCCTAGTTCAACCAAATTGCACCCGCTCTTTTGGGGGTGTAAATAATAGCTGATGAAAGCTTTAAAGCAGAGCTGGTGGCATTTCTCTCTGGAGAGCTGGTTCAAGGGTATGGGGACAACAGTGAGATTAAAATGAGCAAGGAGAGGTGGGGGAGGCCTTTTCCCACCTGGCAGATGTCCTGTGTGGCTCTGAGGAACTTTCCTCCCCTCTATGCCCCACCCCTTCTAGAGCGGATGCAGTGGGAAGCCAGGGGAACTCTGAAGCTGATGGAAGGGAGATCATTCCAGTCTGGAATCAGAGGCACCAAAAGAAAAGCTTTGCCCCTGGCTTTGGTGGGGGCCCCCATCACTGGGTGCCTTGAGACTTCCCTCTCCAAATTGATGACCTGCTCAAGGCTGGGCCCCTCCCTCCCACTCAGACCTTCCAGCTGGATTGCAAGAGGGACCTGATCAATGGTTCTCCTTAGGCCCCTTTCTCCATCTCACCAGCAAGCCTGGCCCACGGTGCCCAGCTCTACACACGCAGGCAGCACCAGAGAATCAGAGCAGGGCGGCCTTCCTCACCAACATGCCAGCCCCAATGACCCCACCCACTGGTCAACTCTGCTCACCTGGGTCTAGGTGATGGGCCCCTGAGAGCCATCCCGACCCACAGTCCACCCTTCCTGACCTTGACTTTCCACCCACCTTCTCCAACCTGGCTCTGGCTGTTTTCCAAAACCAAATCCATCTGCAAAAGATGCAGGATTACTTAACAAATATATGAATAAACAGTAGGCAAAGTCAACAAGCAGGGATGCACAAGAGGCCCCACAAGCTCTAGAAGCCCATCCTGGGAAGTGCCGCCCCACCCTGTCCCCCCTGGTTGGGCTCGTACCGGCCAGGGCCCCCTGGCCAGGAAAGGTCTGTAGCATGTATGTTTCATGTGTTTAATGAATTCTGTAACCATCAGCCATTCCCTGTACCCCAAAGGGTCTTAACCTAGGCTCTAGGAATGAACTACAGAGTAACTCCAAGCCCCTAAAATTATAGGAAAATGCATACGTAGGTACATTTCCCTGGTCCTTGGCTGTCCTGGGTTCTCGACGCCTCTATGGCTCCCGGAGGGTAAGGCCCCAGCTGCCCATCGAGTCTGCCGGCTGGTGTGTCCCCACGGGGCTTCGTAGGTGCTGTCCCAGAGCCTTAGTCTTGGAGCTGGAGCCAGACGCAGAGGTGCCCTCGGTCTCCCTGGGCCGCTGCCAGGCGGCTGTGGCCCCTTCTTGCTCCTTCTCTGTTGCGCCGTCTTCCTTCCTTCCTTCCTTCCCTCTTTCCAACTGAATTCTCGTTTTTCCTCTCTCCCTAGTGCTTGTACGGCTGCTATGTCCATTCCTCCATCATCCCCACCTTCCACCGGAGGTGCTACTGGCTCCTTCAGGTAGGTGGCTGGGACTGGATTCTTCTTCTGTCTCTGGTGCTCGGGAAGGGTCTGTGGAGGGCACTGAGGGCGCGGGGCTCCGCATGCGACACGGCTTCGGGCTGAGAGCCCTGGTGAGCTTGCCTAGGGAGACTTCGGCTGTTGCGGCACTGAGGCCAGCTCAGTGGCTGGGCTGGTGTTGTCATGTGTCAGGAAGGGGAGAAGGCCTGGTGGCAGGGGTAGCTGTCACCCACTGATGGGAAATAAACCTAGGTGCTTCCAGCTTCCAAGGCGCCTCAGTTTTCTTTTGATGAGGACAAGAAAGAAGGCCGAGTATCCTGCCCTGAAATGCCTGTTGGCTGAAAGCTGTACATTCATTTTCTCTCATGGGTTAGTTACAAGGCACATGTGGAAAACAGGCTCCCGGAGGTTGCCAGGCACAGCTGGATTGATTGGGATAGCTGTGGGGAAAGGAGGAAGGAGCTCCGTAATCGATTTGTGATGTCTGCTGTGGCAGGGATGGAACAGGTTGTGGCTGGGCATGCTAGCCATTCCTGTGGGAGAGTGGCCTGGTGCCCAGATCTCTGTCCATGGTGTTTGTGCACAGCGTTGCTGAACCAGGGGTGGGTAGGTACGGGAGGCCCACCTGGCCTCTTGCCCTCTGGGGATCGTCTGCCAGCTGTCTTGCCTGCCGTGTGGGCGGGAAGGTCTGAGGGATCCATGCAGTCGGACTAGACATAGGTCCTTTTCAAAATGCATCCTCTGATTTGCAGCTGTTCTTGGTAGAACCCATTCCCCATGGCCTGCCTCTGTCACCCCAAGTTCTTACTGTTGCCTCTACCCAGGAGTTGCTGCCTGAGGCCTTTCCCACCATGGTTCTACTTTCTGTTGTTCAAGGCAGCAAACCCCTGGACCTTGATGGTTTAGGGATCTCTCTGACCTGGCGGGGGTGTAGTTGGAGGGGCCTGGCAGCTGGGGAAGCAAGTCCCCCAGTGCTATGACACAAGCTCAGGGAGAAAAGAGTCACACATGCCACGGAGTGCAGAGAGGCTGATGGCCACAGGAGAGCTGGTCTGGAAGGTGCCCACAGGGCCGGAGCCATGTCGATGTGGAGGCCGGGCTCAGCCTAGACAGGGCCCTCTATCCATCGGCTCTGCCCAGCCCCAGCCTCCAAACCCTTTCCATTCTCCCTCAGTTCCCAGAAATAGCCGTCTGTTGTTCAGCAAGTTCAAATGATGCCCGAGACCATCCGGGGACGTGCTGATTTGCAGAGGCTGCTTCCCAATACCTCACCCTGTCATCAGTTTCCCTGGCTCTGCCTCCCCTGGAGGCTGACGTGCTAGCACCTGCTTTTCTAATTGCTCAGACCTGTGTGCTTGAGGAGGGGAGTTGTCACATGGTCATGGGATGAGGCTTTTGGGGTCTTGTTACTAGGAATTGGTCCCAAGGTGTTCCACCCCTTGGCAGAGGGTTTTCTCCTCTACCCGATGAAGGGTGGGGTTCCACCCGAGGCCAGAGTTCTGGCGGCTGAGTCAGAGTCAGAGCATGTCCTTGAGTCCCCAGGGACAAACTCTGGCTTCCCAAGAAACACCATTTATCCAAAGCAGCCTGCAGCCCTGTACACTCCTTCCTGGGCCTCCAGCCCCATGGGTCTGGTTTCTGCCCTTTTCCTTTTCGGTTTCATGCCCCCTGGTCAGAACACCTCTTTGGCCATTGCCCTCCTGTCGGGGCAGCACCTGGAAGCTGGCATCCTGCCAGCAGCCCAGCCACCCGCTCCTCCAGGCTGGTCTGCTCCTCCAGGCCTTTTCTCCTGCACCCACGCCTCCGCCTGCCTCCCCTCATTCCATCATGCCCTTGTGGCTTTTTAATTCCACTAAATTTACTTTCCTGGAATCAGACACCATTGGGCAGCCACGAGGTCTGAGCTGATGACTTCCCAAGCTGCATTCTGCTCATTCCGGGTCCCTCCTAGATTCAGCTGCTCCTGTTCCTCAACTCGGGCCAAGCGAGGAGAGGGGTCCTGCTCTCTGCCCCAGCCCTCCCTCACTGGCGCTCCTGTTTTCCAGCCTCCGTATGCTGGAGGCATACCTGGACTGATTCATGTGTGTCTGGTTCGTTACCTCCCAGCTGGCGGGGAAGTTGGAGTCTCCCCGAAGGCCAGGATGGCAGGACCAGGCTTCTTCATGGCCGAGCTGGGGCCTCTTCATCTTCTCTGCCCAAGCCTGGGGGAGCCATCCCTCCCCATCCCTCTCCTCTGTGTCCTCCAGCATCAGACTTGTTTCTGTGATCAGATCACAAAGAGGGAGCGCACACAGGTGTAGGGGGTTCCTGCTCCCCCAGGTCTGTGCGGGGCAACAGCAGGTTAAGGAGCTAAGGCCAAAGCAATTAGCACAATGCACGCCCTGCTCGGAGCCCAGAGCCTATGTGGCAGCCGGTGCCGCTCAGGGCAATTTGTTCTGGTGCTAATTACAACACCAGGATAATGATGCTGTGGCCAGGTTTAATTTCTCTGATGTTAAATAGGAAAGAAGCCATGAGTTACTGGCTCAGATGGAAATTGGCTCAAGTGTGTCTCTGACACCAATTACCAAGAAAAAGGATTAGGTGGGGTCCAAGGTGTCAGGGCAGTGCCCATGTTGGGAGCTGAGGAAGGAGGCTGCTCAGATGCCAGCCCCGAGCCAGCCTGGTCCTCTGAATGCAGGAGGCACTAGGAAAGGGAGTGATGGGCTGGCCATGCTCTCTCAGCCCCCTGCAGGGGGTGAGCCTTCTAGAAAGGTAAGGGCATTGGAGGAAAGAGGGAGGAAGGAAAGGAAGAAGTGCTTCTGGAAAAAGGAGACTTTCTCCAAGGAATAGCACCCACTGCCCCACCTTTGTAGCCTCAGTTCAGTGGCCGCCTCCTGCCGGCCCACTGTGAACTCGCTCCTGCCCTCTGAGATGCTCCAGCTGATGTCACCCAAGGCCACTTAGCACTTAGTGGGCACGTCTGCCTATGTTGGCCTCGATTTTCCTCTCCAACTAGTCAGCTCCCAAGGGAGAGACATGAATTCCTGTCTCCCCTGAGTGCCCAGCCCAGAGCCACAGCCACCACAGGGCAGGAGCCAGCATTTGGGAGAGCCATGTTCTGCTGTGGTGACGTATCCACCCCGGGGCGGGAATGAGCAGGCCTCGCAGACTCGGGGCCTGGAGCTCAGGATTGGTGCCAAGATTTACAGAGAAGGGCCTGAGTTGACGTGGCACGTAAGCTTCTGAGTCATCGGGCTTTCAGGGGAGGGTGCTACCTCTCTGTCTGTGTCTGTCTGTCTGTCTTTCAGGCTCTCTGTCTCTCTCTGCGTCTCTCTCTGTCATGTTCTCCCTCCCCATCTCTCCATTGCTGACAAATATTCTATTAGGCTATGAGCGAGGAGACGGGCAGGGAGCCTCTCACAGGCAGGGCACTAGAGCCCATGTGGCCCATAGGCTCATAAAGCCATTGGCATGACCAGTAACCACCATGTGAGGTCACCAGGACAGCTGGGGAGGGACCAGATGACCTGAGCTCAGCCCACTCCAGCTGGGCAGGGCCAGAGCCATGACCTGGAAGAGGCCACCTCTTCCCCTCTGCTGGTGGCACCCATCCTCAGCATTGCTGGGGGCTCTGTGTCACAGCTGACAGGGCCTTCAGGCTCCCCTGAGCCTACCCAGTGCATTTTCTAGAAGGATTTCTGAGACCCAGCGAGAGCAGGGCCAGGCCCAGGTCACCCAGTGGGTCAGGGGAGGAGCAGGCAGTGCTCCGTTCTCCCGATGCCTTGGCCTCTGCCCCTACCGCCTGATGTGGGTGTCACTGCAGCCGCAGGACCCTGAGCCTCGTGAGGTAGAGGAGGCATGAAGGGGTGAGCTGGACAGAGCGGTCCCTCCTGTTTGGGATTTTCTGATGGTTTCGAGGGGTAGGCAGCAGAGGTTCAGGGCCCCCTGACCTCCTCATGTGCCCCTTTCTCCTGGTCCTCCACCTTCCGTCCTTCTCTGCATTCTCCGCCTGCCCCCGCAGGGGACCAGGCCCCCATTCCAGGCCAGACTTCCCTGCAGATTCTGTATGGCTCATTTGGAAACTATTTCTGCTTCTAATGAGTGTTTTCCTTTGTGCCCTTGTCCTCTAAAATGCTTAATGACTGCTTTCCGTGCTCGAGTGAAGCGGGGGTGTGTCCCCGCATGGCTGCCATTGCCAGGCCGGAGCTGTTTGGCTGCCAAGCCCGGCTTGCTTGGGTGGAGGCAGCGGGGGGTCCTTCCTGGCCCACGCTGGCAGCACAGACCAAGCCTGTGGGGGCAAGAGCACGGCTGCGGGGAGACGAGGACCCTGGGGCCTTAGGAGACCACAGGACAGGGTGGCAGTGCAGGTCGGGGCTCCCACATCACTGGAACAGGCAGATCTTTGAGCCTGAGTTCTAGGAGTTGAGCTCCTTGGGGGACTCTGGATTCAGAGTCTGAGGAGCTGGATTCCAGCTCTGCCTGGACCTACCTGAGCACCAGGAGCGGTGACCATGCCACTGGACACCTCTGGTGCTGACTCCTGGCTGGGCAGTGAGCCTCCACCACGCACCACACTTCACCTGGGAGAAAACAGCCTCCGAGAAGCTCCACAGTTGCTCAGTCAATAGGGGGCAACCATCGCTGCCCTCCGCTGCCTCCCCTGGGGGCACCACCATCACCCCTGTTTATAGATGAGGCATTTGAGAATCAGAGAGATTGGGCACCTTGTAGCAGATCACGGAAGTGGCCAGAAAGTGGGACAGCTGCTGGGCCCTCAGCCTGGATGCTGTCTGCTTGCTGCCCCCACATGAGCCTTTGCCAGCCCTGGGTCCCCCTAGAAGTAGTGGGTGCAGGGCACAGGGGTGCCATCACCCCCTAGAGCAGGCACCGTGAGACTAAGCACCACAGGCATTGTGGCCAGAACAGAGCCCAGCCACAGCAGCCTCTGTGGCTGGTGCTGCTGAGTGGGGACTCGGGGCGGGGACAATGCCAGTTCACCATGGGGTTCACTCCAGGCGGTCCTGGCCCCAAAGGGCCCCCATGTCCAGGAGCGAAGTTGCCTTTACCTGGGACTCACCACCCCCCAGGAGAGGAAGAAGATGCCTTCTCCATGGGGCTGCCTCTGGGCAGGATCCAGGCTTCCCCACAAGGCCTGGGGCTCTGAAACCAGGTTCACAGGGGAGAGATGAAGCTCCAGATCCCCAAATCAGTGGGCCTTCCATCCCCAGAGTGGTCAGCTGCTTGTCCACCCTGGGGCTGAGAGCAGGGTTTCCTAGGGTAGTTCCCAGAGAGGGGAGAAGGGCAAGGCTGCAGGGAGAGGCCCTAGGGGAGATGCCCCGGTTCCACTCCTGCCCCAGGCCATCTGCCCTCCATGGGAGCCCTGCAGAGTTAGCCAGAACATGGATCTCTCCAGCCAGAGCAGGTCCCATTGGCATACTTGGCCTTTTGGCCCATAGGAGGAACAGCTGGGGCTGGGGCAGCTCCATGGCAGAGGGACCGGCAGTCCTAGAGCCCAGGCTCGGGGCTCCCCCAAGGAGGAGGAGGAGGACAAGTGGCCTCTCCAGGCTGCTACAGCCTCTGGAGTTCCATACTCAGGCCCTAGAGAAGCCACTTCTGCTCCTTGTTCAGGAGACCTTGCAGCCAACAGCCTTTTCAGCCTCTGCCCCAGACACAGGCCCTATAGGCCTCAGCCCAGGCATGCCCCCAGGGAGTCCTCCCTTCATGCTGCAGCCCTCAAGAGGGGCCGTGGGGCCCCCTCACTGCTGAAGAATCTTTTCAGAGGGACAGGCCCTGCAGGTCCCTGAGGGCAACTGAGTCCCAGGCACCCCCAGCCAACAGAGAAGAGAGTAGGCCGTGAGCCCTCCTGGCCCAGCTCCAGGGACCGTGGCACCTCATGGTGGGTCTGAGATGAGCCCAGCTCCACACTGGGGCATTAGTGTAGTTTTTCTCCACTGACGCCGGAACCTGGCTGTGGAACGCGATGGCCTCTCTGAGCCGACTGCCTCTGGCTCCCCAGGAAGGGTCCTCAGGATGTGTCTCTTCTGGGAGCACCAAAGCGTGCTGCTGTGTCAGGTCTAGGCATCCTGCAGGGTCCCTGAACCCCAGCCCCTGCCTGCTGCAACCACACAGGAGGCTGCCCTTCCGGGGCCACCCCCCTGGACACTGGGTGAGTGGATGGGCACCATCAGCCCTCTGTGTGGGGTGGGGTTTAGACCCGTCAAATAGTGGGGTTAGGATCACCCAAAGAAGCACCTATTAGCTGTGTGACACTGGGCAGTTTGTCTAATTTCTCCGAGTCTCAGTTAGCTCATCCATAAAATGGAGCCAACAGCAAAGAAGCAGCTATTAGCTGTGTGACTCTGGGCAGTTTGTCTAATGTCTCTGAGTCTCAGTTAGCTCATCCATAAAATGGAGCCAACAGCAAAGAAGCAGCTATTGGCTGTGTGAATCTGGGCAGTCTGTCTATTTTCTCTGAGTCTCAGTTTGCTCATCCATAAAATGGAGCCAACAGCAGCATGGAATACAGAGGCTGTTGGAGGAGTGGAAGTCTGCATTGATGCCGTGCATAAAATGTCACCCAGTCCCTGGCACAGGGCAAGCATCCACGAATGATAGCTTGATGCTGCCAGCACCAGGTAGACCTGTAAGTGGACATCCTGAATCCCGGAGAAAGCGTCTGTGACATCCCCACCCCATCCCTAGCATCCCACCTCTGCATTCTCTCTCCCAGAGGCGTTGAGCTAGGCTGAGCCAGCCCCTCCCAAAGCCTGAGCCAGGCAGGAGCCCCGCTGGTACAGGCAGCCTCTCTACCCTTCATACCACCCTCTTCTGCAGCCCGGACAGAGAAGGGAGCAGAGGCTACACCAGGGTGGTGCTGTCATTGCAATAAATGTCCCTTAGCCACCCAAGAGACTTGATGTCTATTTGGAGAATGAGCAGCTCTTTGGCAACCCAAGTGTCTCCCCAGAAGTGCAGCCTCTCCCCGCACCCCACTCCAGGACCATGCCCTGCAGCCCTCAGGAAGGACTGCCCTGGCGGTGAGCTGTGAGCTCGGTCATGGAAGGGACTGCAGGCCAAGTGGGACACCCTGAAGAGTATGGCCGCGCTCGCCCCTCAGCCCGTGGCCTCCTCCTGGTGGTGGGGACCTCTCCACCCGGATGAGCTGGGCTCTTCCCTGGCAGGCCATCTCTAGGAAGCACAAGCTAGCTTAACAGGATATCATTTCTTTCTTTCTTTTTCTTTCTTCTTTTTTAAAAATCTTTCTTAAAATGGAGAATATTATAGCTTCATAAAAAATACCTGAGCTTTTTGCTCAGCAACCATTTTTATGTTTCATCAGGGTGAAATAGAAATGGCTTGGAAATAAAGCCTGACGGCACTGGCTCTGTACCTGGGCCTTCTACTGCCATCTATCGCTGGGGCAGGGCTCCACGGCTCCCACCAAATGAGGCTTGGCGGGGGGGATTAGAGCAACAGGAGGCCTTGCTGTCAGGCTGACACTCTGCCCCAAAGAGGACATTTGGACCCATGTGCTTCAAGGAAAGGAAGCAAGTCGCTCCCTGAGGGGTCCTGGCCTCCACATCTGGGCTCAGCAGGGAGGGGAAGGTGTCCCAGGCCTGCCAGACCCTCTGCGCACCATCCCGCAGCCCAGCCCTGGTATCTTTGGTGTTATAAGCACCCTGTGTTACCTTCAGCCACCAAGAGTGGGGACGTGGCTGATGCCGAGGTGCCCCTATACACGCTCACCACCGTGCATGGCTCAGGAGACCACAGCCCTGGCCGTGCGTGACGGCCACTGAGCGCTTGATCAGAAACTTCAAGGCCTGGCTTTTGGTTCTCACAGCTACCCTGGGAAGGAAACAGGGCAGGGGTGAGTTCGTCCCAGTGTTTCATAGAAGAAGAAACTGAGGGTCAGGAAGAGAATAAGGGGCTCCAAAAGACATAGGGTAGGCAGGGCCCTGGTCCAGGCCCTTTAAACAGACGTGGTCCCTGTCCTGGGGGAGCCCACAGGCCACAGCGGCCAGGCCCAAGGTGCACACATGTGCAGTGAGCAGAGATGAGAAGGAAGAGCAGCTTCCAGAGCCTGGATGTGCTGGCCTCACAGGGACCAGTCCTGATGCCAAGAAGGGCAAGAGAAAGGTTGACCGACCCTGACATAAACCCCAAGTTTCCCCTGCCCTGGCCCTTGGCGTCCCTGTGAGGCTGGGGTCTGATGGGACCTTTCTTCCACACCTTTGGCCGCCACAGCTGAGCTGACCATGGGCACACTCCAGAGCACTTGGACCTCGGCAGGGGACACTGAGCCAGCCCGCTGTACTCCAAGGGGTAGCTGGAACTTGGCAGCAGAGACAGGAGTGGCCAGGCCCTGACATTTGGGCCCTTGGATCCTTGCATGGACAGCAGATGGAGGACCCTGTGGTGTCAAAGCCATTTCTGACCCTAGCCTAGTTGGTGGTCCCTAAAGCTGGTCAAGACGGTGGATCCAGAGAAGGAGACACAGAATGGGCGGGGCGGTCAGGGGAGGCTTCCTGGAGGAGGTGAGCCCAAAGTTGAAGGATGGAAGAAATGGGGAGGGGGTGTTTCCATGCCCTCTGACATGGGGCAAGCATGGGTCACAGTGCTAAGTGCTCAGTGAGACTAACAAGGCCACTTGAGGGGTCCCAGTTCCCATGAGCCAGTTCCACACACCTCACCCGGCACAGGGCTGTCTGGGAAGAGGCCCTCAGGACAGGTGTCCCAGCACCGGTGCCAGCCAGGTGATCTGGAGGGGAGCATGGGGAAGGGCCTGGAATCCTCCTGACTCTCTGCTGGGCTCAGAAGAGAGCAGGACAGGAAGAGCCTCACCAGACCAGTGCATGCAGCTTCAACATGGCCATGCAAGCTCCCCACAGCTGACAGTGACAGCAGTGGCCATCCTCATCCTCATCCTGTCACCAGTAGCAATAACAACAGTCATCGAAGGCTGCGGGCAAGCACTCAGCCTGCCTGTGAGGCCAGCATTTAGTCACTGTCACCATGTGGAAAGGAGGCTGGGTCTGTGCTTCAGGTCAGGCCTCCGCAGCCCCCGCCATGCAGAGGGAAGGCTGGCTGAAGACCCAGACACTGGCTCGCTTCACAGACCTTGCAGGAAAGACAAGACCCCAGCAGACGCTTGCGCCATTAGATAATTAGGAGAAGGGCAAGGGGGTGTGAGGGAGGCCAGGGCTCCAGCGGTGCCCCAGGTAGGAGGAAACCCTGGCAGGAGTGACCATGGTGACACTGAGAAACTCACTCAGTCCAGAAGCTGCGGGCCAGGGATAGAAACCCAGCCCTGGTCTTAGAAGCCGCCTCGAAAGCTTCATCTGGACTAGTAAACGGCAAAGCCCTCCTGCAGCTGGGGAGGGGCGGGTTTTGGAAAAGAGAGTTGAGGATGAAAGGTTGTGTCAGCCAGAGGGTTCCTAAGCTGCCTCCTGGGTCTGGCTTCATTCTAGCTGGCAGCTTCCACATCTTTCTCCATTTAATGTCCCTTGAATAACGTGACGAGGAGATAAGGTAGACACTGGGAATTTACGGTGCTGTGCAAAAAATTGCTCAATTCCATTAAGATTTCAGGACCCTTGCCAAGGCTGCACGGCAGAGCGGACAGTATTTCCCGCTCAGACATCTTTGCCTGATTGCAGTTTACGATGCCAAGGCCACTGCTGTACCCACCTAAAGCCTCCAGAAAATATGGCAGAGCTCCCAAAACGGCCATTATCCTCTCTGAGAAAAGTCACTGGGCATTTTCTAGAAGATTCCCTCTTCCCGATTCCTTCCTTCACCCCTCCCCGCCTCTGGGGACTGGGCGACAGGAGGACATCCAGTCGGCTTTCTCAGAGGGTCCCCTTGCAGGCCCCATTGCTCACCCTTCACCTTGCAGACTGCGGCGGCCAACGTCTGCTATGTGGCCAGAGCCCTCTGGGGAGGGGCACCCTCTGCTCCCGCCGTGTGGACGAGTGGGTACTGAGTACAGGGGAGACCTCGGGGCATCAGGAAAGTCTTCCTCCTGGCCACCTATGTGGGACCACCAGAGCCAAAGGTTTTGAATTCATCACCACCCTTATGAGCCAAGTGACTCTGGCCAACTGAATCAACTTCTTTGAACCTTATTTCCTTTTTGGTAAAATAAAATAAAATACCTCCCTCCTGAGCTGAATGGGAAGATGAATTGAGCTAAGACACACAGAGGTCTTTTGGACTCGGCAGCCCCCTGGGAAGTGGTGGCTGTTTTCACCCCACCAGGACCCTTTCCAGCAGCTTTTACTCTAGGGGATTGGACGGGTGGAATAGCAGTGGTCGGGGAAGGGGGTCCCCTGAGAAGGTCCTATCCAACCCAGTTTGCAAATGGCAAAATGCTAGGCTTGTGAGATGCAACTGTGATTAGGAACAAAACTCACTTGTTCCGCAGCCTCAGGCGGGAATCTGGTGTCTGGCTGAGTGAGATGGAAGCTCTGCCTTCTGGCACTTGTCTCCTGTGTGCCACCCTCCCCGAGCCTCTCTGCTCCACACCATCCCCTGTGACTGCCACCAGGACCTCTCCTGGCCTGGCCTGCCGACGCTCCTCTGTCCCTCAGCCCTTAGGGACTGGGCTGCCCAGGCTTGACTGGGAGAGAGGAAGGATGAAGCTTCCGGAGCCGCAGTTCCTTAGAGATGGAAATTATTAATTAGTCTTATTATCCAGAACTTGTCAGTCTCTTAATCCTTCCGTCGGCAGAGGGGTTTATGCCTCCACAGCGTGTGCTGTCAGCTTGGCTAAACAATCGCTTTTCATATACAGCCAGAACAATGGGCAATACAGTTTGGTTACTATCTTTATCAAGCCAAACAATTCCTGCCCCCTCTAAGAACATCCTTCAAAGATGTGGAGAATGCAGAAGCTGCTTAATTTCCCTTCTAGATGGCTTATAATATGGGGCTTTTGTTTAATTATCCTTTTCATGTAATCTTCAGCTGACATTGTGTCCTTAATATTCTAATCTCCTTTGGAGCAAAGGGGAGACTGTAGTTTCCAAAGCAAAAGACAAAACTTTGCCTCAAGGAAACACTTTCTCTTTTGCCTCTGACGTGATTCAAAGGGCAAAGAGTGAAATCCAGACGTAGTGGGACAGAATGCAGTGGAAGACGTGGGCGGTGGGTGACCCACTCTGCGTGTGGACGTCAGCAGCTTGCTGGGCCTCCAGCTGCACCCAGCTGGTGATGTTGGTCTGTGTGGGCGTGTCAGAGACTCTAGCTCAACAAGGAAGTCCCATGACATGGTGTCATCACTGCTTTTAGCACCATTAATATTTCAGTGGCTCTCGGGATGCAGGTTGTATATTCCCACGGGAGACACACCACCTGCTTCGGACTCCTGGCAAATGGTTTTGCCTAGACAGGTGAAGACAGGTGCGCCCAGGTACCCACAGGTGCACACAGCTGTACACAGGCGTCACTGCGCCACAAGCCTCCCCTCTCAGTTCTCCTGCCTTCATGCTGGAGTAAGGATCTGGGGTGGGGGTGGTACCTGAAGGAGGCTTCTTGCCATCCCCATCACCACCCCAAAATGGGCAGGACGTCCTGGGGGATTTTATGCTCTTTTTCCAGACATGCCAGGGTCCCTGTAGGTGATGGGGAATATTAACAGAGCTGTCCTCTCACTCCACCTGGCTGCTGGGAGAAGGCAGCCATGAGCCCAGGGTGTGTCTTCCCCAGGCCTCATTGGGCTGTCATGTGAGATGCGCTGGTGCTGGCGAGCCTCCTGCCCAGCCCAGCTCAGCCTAGCTCAGCTCAGCAGCATCCCAAGCCTGAAGCCTCTGGAACCTAGGCCACCTCCCAGCATGCAGAGCCATCCTGCCTCATGTCTTTCTTTGCTGTTCCTGCAATTCTGCCTCTCTACCTAGTCCCTTATCTGCTTCTGCCAGAGCAGCCCCACTGGCTGGCAGCCACCGAACCCACATAGCCAAGTGCTCCTGTGGGTTCAGCTTCCCTTCAGCTCAGTGTTCTGCACCCCTAGAAGATATATGTGTGTGTGCATGTGTGTGAATGTGTATATGTGTGTATGAGTGTATGTCAGTGTGTGAGTACACAAGTGTGTATATATGTGAATGTATGTGCATGTGTGTGAATGCTTGTGTATGACTCTGAGTGCATGTGTATGTCCATGTGTGAGTCCGTATGAGTGTGTTTGTGTGAGTGCATGTGTCCGTGTGTGTGCCTGTGTGTGAGAGCGTGTGTGTGTGTGTGAGTATGTGTGTGTGAGCGCCTGTGTCCGTGTGGGTGCATGTGTGTGTGCTTGTGTCTCAGTGCATGTGTGTGCATGTGTGTGAGTGCATGTGTGTACGTGTGTGTGAGTGCATGTGTCCGTGTGTGTGCATGTGTGTATGTGTGTGAGTGCATCTGTGTATGAGTGCGTGTGTGTATGAGTGCATTTGTAAGTGTGTGTGTGTATGAGTGCATGTATATGTGCATGTGTGTGTTTGTGCATGTGTGTGAGTGCCTGCATGTGCGTATATGAGAGTGTGTGTGTGTGTGTGTGTGAGAGAGAGAGACAGAGAGAGATATCCTCGCCCCTAGTTCCCCTCTCCTCCTCTTCTCCCCCTGCTCCTTCCAGCTTTCCTTCTCCTCCAGGCCCCGATGAGGCTCTTGGAGAGGTCACTAATGACCTCTGCCTTGCTATACCAGAAGGTCACTGTGCCATCGTCATGTTTCCTGGCCTCCCAGCAGCACCTCTTCAGGCGGCCATTCCCTCCTTATGAACGCTCCCTGCTGCCGAGACTTCCCGGCTATCTCCCTCCTTTCTGTTCTTGGCAATCCCTCTTGCTCAACCCCCCGATGCTGGACTATCCCTGAGCTGCTGAGGCCTTCTCTTCTCTGTCTACACTTTCTCCTGGGATCATCTCATCCAGCCCCACGGCCCCAGTGCCAACTGTATGCTAGTGACTCCCACGTTCATATCTATGTCCTGCCTCACTGCTCTGCACCAGATTTTTACCCGACTCAACATCCTCTCTTAATGCAGAATCTGCATCTCCAACTTCTCACGGCTAGAGCAGGACTCATGATGATTTCCTCCCTGAACTGCTCTTCCTCCTGCCTTAGAGCATCGATGGCTCGCCGTCATGCAGAGGCTCAAGCCAACCCTCCATTATGCCCCTCTTTCCCTCACTGCCTCTTTCCTGCTCAGAAATATGTCCTGAACCCACCTCCTTCTCTCCCTCTCTTCTGCTTCCCAACCCTAAGCCACGGCTCCCTCCTACCCAGAGCTGGAGTCCCTCCTTCTTAGCCTGTGCTGCACTCTCCACAAAGCGGTGGGGGCAGCCACTTAAATCCCAAATCAGATCACATCACCCTTATGCTTCAGGCAGTTCAAGAAGTCTCCACGGCACTTAATGTCCAAAACCTTACCGTGACCTCTGAAGACCTGTACCCTTGACCTTGGTCTTCCTCTCCCTGCTCACTCTCCAGCCATACTGGCTTCTTTCTCTCCTCAAAGAGTCAGGTCCTTTCGTGCCTCAGGGCCTTTGCACATGCTCCTCCCTCTGACTGGAGGCTGCCCTGGACCTTCCATGGTTCACACTAAGATTCAGGTCTCCTTTCAACTTTCAACTCCACATCAAAGCCCTCTTGACACTCCATCTACTGTTCCCTCACTCTCTGGCAAGCCCTTCTGTTCCTCCCTCCCCAGCATTTTATGATGAAATGTTTATGATATACAGAAAAGTTGAGAGAATTGTACACACACCCGTACAGCTGCCACCCAGATTCTGCCGTTAACATTTGACCATATCATTTGATCACTTACGTGTTCCACCTATCCAGCAATTTTTCGAGGATTTCAAAGTAAGCAACAGCCACAGCACACCTCCCCCAAGTCTTTCAAGGTGCATAGCATTAACCAAAGTTCAATATTTGCATACAGTTCTTTTTTTTTTTTGCTTTTGAAGTAAAGTTTATACACTGTGAAACAATTGAATGCATACATGTTAAGTGCACTAGTTGATGAGTTTTGATCGATGCGTGCGTCAGTCATACCCTAAGCCCACATCAAGATTTGGAACATCGCCATCACCCCAGAAAGTACCCATGTGTCCCTTTGCAGTCAATACCCACTTCACCCCCAGAGGCCACCACTGTTCTGATTTCTCCACTATAGGTTCATTTTTTCTGTTCTAGAACTTCGTAGAACTGGAATCCTGCAGTATATGCACTCAGGTATATACTTGGCTTCTTTCACTCCACATCGTATTTTGCCATTCATCATGTTGCTACTGCCTACTGTGTTATTTATGCCTTGTCTATCCCCCCAAGCCCAGCCCCATCCTTCAAGCATAAGCTCCACAGGGTCAGGGGCATGATCTGTTTTGTTCACTGCTACATTTGGAGTGCCTGGAGCCATGCCTAGCACATAAGTACTTGTTTATTGGATAGGTGTGAATGGTGTCCATCCATCCAGCACCGGGCTTCCTGAGGGCAGGGCCAGGTCACTACTTCCTGGGGTTTCTCCTAGGCTCTCCCACAGCTGCCCCTAGGTCCAGCTGTGCCCCACGAGCACAAGCGTCAGCACTCGGTAAAGACACCAGAATGGATGCGCTCTCCACGCAGTGTGTCCCCACCTCCCTCCATCCTCCTGAAGAGGGAGAAGACATGCTCTTTAGAGATACAGTTTAAACTGGCCTTAGCTTGGGCAGAACTAAAGCATCAGAGAGCCTTTGGAATGCCCAGAAAGGGTGACCCTGGTGACACCAGGCATGAGAATTCTCTGTGAGCTTAGCTTGGAGGATTGAGAAGGAAATTCGGGGCAGAAACGTTTGTTGATCCTGAATTGCTAAAAGGTTTCTTAGTTTGGAGACCAAGTTCTCAGAAAAACACTGTCGGTTCCAAAGAAATGAGCTCCCATGGGGTCTCATTTTGCCCTATCTGTGCCCTCAGTTTCTCTGCAGCAGAGGAGGTGGCATTGGGGTGCAGGCGTCTCCTGTGGAAAGTCCCCAGCTCAGGTCCCTGATGCAGGGGCTCTGTCAACACCTCCTCTCAGTCAGAGTGATGTGAGCTGTAAATGTGCCCAGGCCCCACCCCATGTCATCCCAGGGTGAGCCTGGAGCCAGTGCCAGCCAACTGGGGCCACCTCTACAGCCTGAGAGGGCTGCAGAACTCCAGACAGGAGGCTGAGCCAACCCCTCTGCATTCAATATGTCTCAGCCTCTCTCAGGAAGCTGGGCCCCAGCAGCCCGAGGTCAAGGGGGAATCCTTCAGCCCCCTGCAGGCTCAGGACATATTTGAGAGCAGGAAAGAGGCAGTGAGGGAAAGAGAGGCATGAAGGAGGGTTGCATGGATGGAGATTTGTCATTGCAGTCAGACCGGAGGAAGAGAGCTCAGGGAGGAAATCAGGAGTCCTGCTTCAGCCACGAGAAGTTTAAGATGCAAATTCTGCATTAAGAAGGGATGTTGAGTTCAATCTAAAATCTGGTGCAGAGCAGCCCGTGGCAGCGACAAGAAGCCACCACGGCCAGAGACTGCAGTCTGGGAGCCTGGGCCGGAGGGAGACCCTCAGCTCGGGGAGCTCTTCTCCCCACCCTGAGGAAGGGCAGAGACAAGGAATGCAGCCCCCTCAGATCGCAGCCAAAGCCACTGGGAAGAAGCAAGTTCCCTTCCTTTCCTGGGGAGAACTGTAAAAGCCTCTGGGCAGGGAGATCAGCCAGGAACCAGAGCAGGGGCTGGAGGATTCCCCCTTGACCTCAGGCTGCCGGGGCCCAGCGTCCTGAGGGAGGCTGAGAGCTGGCATCTTGCTGACCCCAGGACAGGGCAGTAGCCCAGGGCGGGGAGCAGGGGGTTGCAGAACAGAGTCTCGTCCCACCCTGGGGAGGGAAACCTCACCTTCCTGCAGCCTCCTGCTGACTGGAGGACTCCTCAGGTGCACAGGGAGCTGGAGAACGCAGCCCACAGGCCGTGGCAGGACCCCAGGGGTGGCTCCTGGAGTCGGCCAGCCCCTGACCTGGCTCCCGTGAGCAGCCTGAGCTCCACACACCTCCTGGGCCTGTTCCCTCCTGGGGCAGAGGACCTTTCTATCATTTTTATTCCCACTTTGACCCTTGGCCAGGGAGACTGGGGGAGCCCCACCTTGGCCCTGCACTTACTACCCTCGTAGGTAGGAAGTGCTCACTTCATTATGGGCTAAAATATTGTAGACCCAGCATTCACTCTGAGCCTCACCAAGCAAGAGACATAAAACACAGCCACTTGCAGACCGTGGCCTGGGGCCGCAGGGCCATCACCAGCTCATCCCAGGGCAGACCCGGTGTGGGTAGGTGGGTGAGTACCTGGCACAGAGGGGGGCCCACCTCAGGTCCGCCTTCCCTCGGGGGGCTCACCAGCCTGACTCAGGCTGGCCCCCAGTCCCAGGAGACTGAGCCTCTCCCCAGGAGGCCTGGAAAGGGTTGTCCTGATGCAGCCGCAAGGTCAGGCCCTGGGTGTTCACACTGACCTGGGTTCTAATCCCCCTTCTTCAACCACGTGGAGCTGTGTCACCTCGGGCTAATTAACCCAAAACCAGGGGCTCAGTTTCCTCATCCGCAGAATTTTTAAAGCACTTTGCACAGGGTCGGACATAGACCAGCATTCAGATAACAATCGTGGCCGGGCACGGTGGCTCACGCCTGTAATCCCAGCACTTTGGGAGGCCAAGGCAGGTGGATCACAAGGTCAGGAGATCAAGACCATCCTGGCTAACACGGTGAAATCCCGTCTCTACTAAAAATATAAAAAATTAGCCAGGCATGGTGGTGGACACCTGTAGTCCCAACTACTCAGGAGGCTGAGGCAGGAGAATGGCATGAACCTGGGAGGCGGAGCTTGCAGTGAGCTGAGATCGCACCACTGCACTCCAACCTGGGCGACAGAGCGAGACTATGTCTCAGAAAAAAAAAAAATCGTGGCTGTTGTCATGACCGTTGTGTTGTTACAAAACCACGTGATAACCCCTGATAGAGCCGCCCGTGCTGAGCTGGGCCCACAAAGACCCCGTCCTAGGCTCTCTCCCCTCTCTGGCCATCAGTTGAGTTGTACACTGTGACCCACCAGGCCACTGCTTCCAGCATTCACAGCCAAAGACCTTGGCCAAGCACCGGCCCACGCTCACCATGGGCCATGCCTGCCCTGGTGACTCTGGGAATGTCCCCAGAGCTGCCCGGACCTGGATCCAGCCCCTTCTGTTGCCTCCAAAAGGCTTGGATTCAGAATTCCACAGGAGGATCTTCTCTGGCTGCCCATCCCCAGTCCCCCACCCTTTCCTGGCCAATGGCCTCCCTGTGTCCCCTGATGTCTGAGCCTGAAAGCCACGGCCCTTGTGCGCGCATTACATAGCTGCAGTTGCCAGTTGTCACCCATGTCTCCATCGTGCCTCGTCTCTCAGGGTGTGTCAGAGCAGTCACTCCCACTGCCTTAGGGGAGACAAGAAGGAAGCCCCATCCCACCACCCTCCTGACAGCCACTCGTGCTCCCTGCCACATGCTGCTCTCAGCTCCCTGGGATCAGCTGCCTTTGGGGGCAGCTGGGGAAGGTGAAAGGGTTTGGTCATGGAGCCTCTTCTGCCAAAGCCATAATTCTGAACTTGGAGTAGTATGGGCAGTGCCGGGCTGAGAGCCACAGCAGAGAGAGTGCAGCATGCTTGGGGTTTGGGGCTGACGTTCCTTGCCAGAGTCACTGGCAGGATCTTCTGCTGCTGGGACCCTGCCAGGCTCTGGGCCCCTGGGTGAGTCCAGGAGAGCCCCTCCCACTGAGTCACAATGACTCTGCCCCTTCCCCACCAGGCGAGGCAGGACTTCAGAAACCATCCGGCCCAGTGCCTTGCTTTGCATGGGAAAGCTGTCACCTAGGGCAGGCCAATGACTTATCCAGGGACACCCAGTGACTTAGCAGAAGAGCTGGGCTTGAACCCCAACTTCCTGACTGCATGGCTGGGCTCTTTCTGAGACTTCCCTCTCAATAGAGATGGTGGGCAACCCACAGCACTTTTAACACTCCAGACCAGCTTCTCAGGCCACCCCGGCATGCACCTCAGCCGCCAGCTGTTGGTGTCTGATCAGAGAGTGCACGCTCACAACATTAGCCCAAGTTGAGCTTAATTAGATAAAAGATCATTCTACTGCCAGAAACAGACCATGCTTTCCCAGCTCCAGAAGTGACGTTTGCATATAACTGCTGTTTGAGATGATGATTGCCTCTTTCAGGAAGAGACATGCAACTGCTCCTCAATTCGGTGTGACAGTTTGCAGAATGGCCAGATTTTCGTAGGTGTTCAGATTTTGTCCTGCAAAGCAGTGGTATGCTGGAAATGCCTAACAGTTGGCTCTCCAGGAGAAAGAAAAAATTTCTGATTGGTAACGTTTGCCAATTTCTATGGTGTAAATACCACCACTGTAGCTGTCTTCAAGCTACCAACATGATATCATGATATCCATTGCAAAATTCTCAAAAATGTACCAGGCTGCTTTCATGAGCCAGTACAGGCCAGCTCCAACAACCCAGTCTTGTATTGCCTCTGCACATCCAACCTCCTAGGACCTGTTTGGGCCTCTCTACTTCTGGCCAAGACTGATAATGCTCATGCCTTAAGGAATGAAAGGCAGGGTCTCCCTCTTGAGCCTCCCCTGGGGCAAGTCATCTGTCGCCATGGAGACTTCCAAGGCTGACGGGGGCCTGCTTTAGGCCTCTGAGACCTGACTTCCAGGGTGGTCTCTGTCCCCTGTTGCTACAGCTCAGCTCCTCCAGACCTAAGGCTTAGCTAATCTCAGGCTCCCTGTCTGTCCTGTGTCCGGGATGACCCAAGTGCATCTTTCATCAGGGTCATGGCAGTGCCGCTGTTGGGTTCCACTTTGATGGTCAAAATGACACTCTGGGTGAACCTTGTCTTTCCTCCCTGGAGCTCCATCTCCCCAAGGCAGGATCTGAGGGAAGGTCCTGCCTCTGAAAGCCCTGTGAGCAACCCCCTGGATACAGAAGCGGCGGCTTCCCCAGTCTGCCCTCCCAGCACACCCAAGCTCTACCCCTGACTTCTCTAGGGAAGTGGCTTAACCTCAGCCTCTCTGGGCCTCAGCTTCCTCACCTGTACAACAGAAATGAGAATAGCACCTGACTCAAGGGTTGTTGGGAGGGGAAAAATCCCTAACAAATGTGAAGCACTTAGCGTGATACACGGCACATAGTAGATGCTCAATGAGCACAGATGCTCCTGATAGGAGGGGCTCCTTTCTGACCCGCAGCTGGTCTGTCTCCCATCTATGCGTCTCGTGTTCCTCCCTCCTGTAGCAAGTGCATGAAGGCCCCTCCACGGTTATCGGCTACTCTTCAAGCTCCTCAGTTAACCATGGAGCAAAGAGTTGTGGCCACCAAGAGGGAACTAAGAAGGCAGCACTTTGGGGTAAGAAACCTTTACTCAGGGTCAAGCCCCACCCCAGCTCTGGGGCCATGCCCAGCTACACCAAAGCTTTAAGGCAAAGGGAAAAATCAGTCAGACTGACCCTGTCTTTATTTAAAATGTTGATATTTTGTTCATCAAGGATTCTTGGATTAATTTTGATATTTTAAAGTATTGCACTGCAGTGGCATTTGTCTTGATGGCTGAGTGTTTGGGCACCTCTTGAGATTTCCACCCTAGTGCCAGCTCTGTCTGGACGTCCATGGAGGACCTGCCCGTGCTCTCTAGCATCCCATTCAGATGCTGGACCTGCTGCAGCCTGCAGGTGAGGCTGAGGCTGAGGATGCGGTGTCTTCTCAGCTCTCTGGTCCCGCACAGGGCCTGGCTTACAGCAGGTGCTCAGTTCTTGACTGAAGAGCAGAGGGACAAGACTGCAAGAAACTGAGTGTCCCCAAAGGCTGCACTTTCCAGAGCATTCTTATCGCCCCCCAGAGGAAGGGATCCCAGGCCCTTGTCTGTCCTTCACCCTGATCTCCTCCATCCCCTTCCCCTCTGTCCAGGTTCTTTGCTGTTTCTGCTGAGCCCCTCGGTTGCTCACGTCACAGCTCTGCCTCAGGACCCCAGGCCCTGCTGGGAGCATCTTAGCCATTCCCCGGAGTGGTGTCGTTTGCCGCCACCTCCCACACAGCCTCTCAGGAAAAGCCTGCCTGCCTTTGGAGCCAGGCTCTCCCTTCCCTTTCTCTGAGACTCCTCCCATCTACTCTCTGCAGTCTCTCTGGAATCTTGCTAGAGTCTCTCTGGGTCTCTCTAGAACCTCTCTAGAATCTCTCTAAAATCTCTCTGGAGCCTTTCTGGAATCTCCCTCTAGAATCTCTCTGCAATCTCTCTAGAATCTCTCTAGGTGCTTGATCCCAGGAGCTCTCAGGTGACCAGAGCCTTTCCAGCAGCAGCGCCTGGACAGGGGGCTGGAGCAGCTGTGAGGCTGGGCCAAGTGTGGGTGCTCCTGGTAGGATGTGGGATGGAGGCCTGGAGTGGCCAGGGATGGCTCCAGACCCTGGTGTCTGGCACCCCACTGGCTCCAAGGAGTCCTCATTACCCCCAGCTTCGCTCCTGGAGCCCCAAGGAGCAAAGGGACCCTGAGAGGGGCTGGGATCAGGGACAACAACTCAGCCTATTTCTGCCCATCCCATCACACACACACAATACACACACACGCACATACACACACATGTACACACAATACACATGCACACACATACATCTGTACACATGCATGCACATACATCTGTACACATGTGTACACATACATGCATGATACATGTAACACATACACATACAATATACATATACATATAAGCACATATGTGCACACATATAAACACTTGCATACACACACATATACACATAAATATATACATATGCATACATACCCATAGTACACATAAATGTACACATATATACACATACATGTACATATGCACATGCTTGTAATTTGCAATATAAATACACACATGTAATACAAATATGTACCTTAACATCACACACATATGCACATGATATACACATACATATATACACACAATACACATTGCAGACGTGTACATATGTACATTTATACACACATGCATACCCATGCACACGTCACACACAATACACATTCACACATACACATATACATACAAGCACACACACACACACGCTGCCACCCCCAGCGCCACATGGGCTCTGACATTTCTGCAAAGAGGGACACAGAGCCTCTGGGTAAATCTGAGCTCTCCCCACCTCAGTCACCTTCGGCAACAGCTACCACACTCCGTGGCCTCACATGCAAGAAAACCAGGATGGCTATTATTTGGGGCCTCCTTTGCCACAGGTGGGCCCTGGCCTGGGAAGGGGGGCCATGATGCCTGCCGCCCCCTAGACACACTCCCATTTGTTTCTGTCCCCCGTTTCCAGATGCTGAAAAAGATTCAACAACCTAGATAAGGCCCTCTATAGGACCTTCCAGAAGAGCTCAAATCAAATCACAGCCAAGAGATCTTTCGAGGGTCTTTGCAGGGGAAGGAAACAGCTGTCAGGGCAAGGCATGGCTGATTTGAGGCAGCTCTTTAGAGAGAGGCTGTGTTTGGAGAAGATGTGTGCCATTGGCATGCAGGGCACTGGGGCTCCCGGCGAGCCTCTGCATCTCGTTCTCCAGGTGTCGGAGGAACTCACTCCTTAGGCATCCATGCGTGTTAGGGGTCAGGTAGTATGCCAGGTGCTAGGGTTGCAGGGGTGATCCAGCCCTTAGGAAGCTCACAGTCTAGGCAGGTGGAGACTCACAAGGGACCTGGTGGCAAGTTATTTGGAATGCAAAGCATTGCGCAGAATTTATCCATTTGGTAAATACACACTCGTTAAAGTGGCACGCATCCAGCCTCCCCACCCTCCTGAGGCTGTAGTGGTGGAGGCGATCCTCATTCCTTTCCTGTCCAGCCCTCCACAACCCCTGGCCCGGAGCAGTTCCCATGCCAGGGGCCTTCGGCCAGCATCCCATGACCTAGACGAGGGTGGGACATGTCCGTCCCCACTCCTCCATGTCTGGCCCCGAGCAGACGGGGTGACTGGCTACTGGCATCATCAGCTTGCTTCTGGCTGCTCAGCAGATGGGGTGACTTTCAGCGGTTACGGGAGGGCACTTGGATCCCCGAGGAAATGTTCCACGCCGGGATATTGGATCTCACAGGCCTGCTCTGTGGTGACGTCCTGAAGGTGAAGCCCTCCGCGGCAGCCTCTGCTTCAGGGTGACTGCTTTCTGCTACAGGAGTGACTCGGGCATCCTAGTTAATGTTGCAGAGTACGATAGGAGCAAATAGCTCTTCTCCCCACATCCAGGACCAGCCTGTCCTCTGGGTGAATCTGGTGCTGAGCTTCCCTTGCTATGCCTCCTCGCATGGGATTGCACCGTGCACAATGTGGAGATGTGCTTTCCATAAGAGATGCAGTTAGGAATGTGCGGTCACTGCCGCGGGCATCGATTGCCCAGAACACAACAGTGAGCCCTCCATAAAGTCGGAACTGTCATTATCAAAAGCAGTGATTGGCCGGGCGCGATGGCTCATGCCTGTAATCCCAGCACTTTGGGAGGCCGAGGCAGGCGGTTCACCTGAGGTCAGGAGTTCGAGACCAGCCTGGCCAACATGGCAAAACCCCGTCTCTACTAAAAATACAAAAATTAGCCGGGCGTAGTGGCACGTGCCTGCAATCCTAGCTACTCGGGAGGCTGAGGCCGGAGAATCGCTTGAACCCAGGAGGCGGAGGTTGCGGTGAGCCGAGATTGTGCCACTGCACTCCAGCCTGGGTGACGAGAGCGAAACTCCATCTCAAAAAAAAAAAGTGACAAAGCAGCCCCTCTGCCAGGGAGTGGCCAGTGTGACCTGAGGCCTTGGCACCCAGCCACCGTGCGTTACCTTTTGAGGTCTGTGCTAGAAGGTGCTGCTGCCGCAGGAGTCCTCTGACTGGGTTGTCAGGCCGAGATCCTCTCCTTGATGCAGAAAGTGGGAGGTGCTTTCCTCTCTCAGGCAGGATGCTCTTTCCTGGGAAGACTTTGGGCCTCCAGGCTGAGGACATAACCCCAAAGCAGTTTAGGACTTCTGGCTTCGGTAGCAAAGATATTTCCTTCTGTGCTTGTCTCTTCCCCACTCCAGCTCCGATCCATTGACTCAGCTTTTGTTCTGTGAATGTCATTTTCTTTGAATTTGTGTGAGTTTTGTTGTTTGCAAATAACCTAATGAAACTCCTTCTGTTCCCTTCCAAAACAAAAAGGAGGCTCTAGCATGGTCTACCTCCACATCTGAACTCCTCCAAGCTTTTCTGATGGTGTTTGGGCTGTACAGCACCCTGAGAGACCACCCCCGGCCTCCATGTACCCCCTGCCATCACCTGAGCCGCACTCACCAAGGCAGAGCCGGGAGGACTCCACCCACCCTCTTTCCTGTTCATAAGGTTTCTCAAGGAGCCTCTTGATGCTTGTTTACTTAAGGACGGGCACGGGTGAACTCTCACCCCCACCTGGTGATTTCACAAACACAAACCATAGAGGGGAAGGCTATTTCTCTCACTTTCTGGAAAAGGCCAAAACTAACCCTGAATCCCCCCGCCCATGTTTAGAGTAGACACAGAGGGAAGATGGTTCCGGAATGTTCTGCGTGTACTGCCGATTGTCCAATTGCTTAAAACAGGGCTTGGCGTGCATTGTTTTGGTCATTAGTTAACCAATCTGGGCGGGGAAAAAGGCAGAGCGTTAAATAATTACAAGCACTTCGGTGATTTTTTTTTCTACTGACTAAGGTTAAAATGAATAGTGTTGATCCGTTGCCCAGGCAGCAGGCTTGTTAAAGGAAATGGTATTTAAAATGATTTTTGAGCCAAAGCAATTTGGCTGCTTCAAGGCATCCTTTATCTTTTGCTTTCAAGAGGATAATAATGTTTAAAAACGAAGTCACTCATACCATTTCCTGTCGCGAAGCCAGCTCAGTGATGGGCAGAGCTTCCTCTGGGTTTGTTTACTTGCTCCATGATGGAAAATGCAAACTTAATGGGCTCCCTTCTGCCGAGGCTTTGGTGTTCCGACGAAACAAAGACCCATGCTGCTGCCGAATCTGTGTCCACAGCTCTGGCCAGCTCACCCTGGAAGTCTTGATTGCCACATTGTGGATGTCAGAATGTCACCTGCTTGGTTAGAGCTTCTAAACAGGAGGCTCAAGGCCACTCCCTGGCTCTAGGGTGGAGTCGAGGAAACCTGTCTAGGATGGGACACGCTCCCACTAGGCTCAGGGTGCCCTCCCGTCCAAGAGCATGATGGTCACCCCAGCTGGGAAGTTGCTAAGCAAGTCCTCCTTGGTAGAGCGTCTTTCCCATCATCCTCTGCGAGGAAGGCCAGGGCGATACACTCAGCTTATAGAGTGAAGTCGGCAGAAAGCACAACTTCTCAGTGAAGAGGATAAAAGGAAGGCACTACGGGGGCCCAGGACCTGCTCTGCCCTGCTTAGGGCTGGGCAGGGCTTACGGGCGTGACATGCATAGAGGCTCAGAAGAGCTGGCTCCGGCCTTTTGCAGTCTGGGATCCTCAGCTGGGGTGTGCACATGAGCAAGGGTGCTCTATGCCCCTGCCACCAGCCCCCGGGCTGCTCAGGAGGCAGCAGTGAAGGATGGAAAGGGTTTCCATGGCCATGAAAGAGAGAGAGCTCATCCGCTCCTGCATAGCACTGTGAGGGCTTGAACACACACACGCACGCACATACAAACGCAAACCTACATACACACACGCGTGCACACACACACACAAATGTACATACACGCGCACACAAACACATACAATCACACAAACACAAACATACGAACACACACACACAAACACAAACCTACAAACACACACGCAGGCACACACACAAACACAAACCTACATACACACACGCGCGCACACACACACAAACCTACATACACAAGTGCACACACAAACACAAACCTACGTATACACATGCGCGCACAGACACACAAACATACAAACACGCACACGCACAAACACAAACCTACAAACACACGCGCACATGCACAAACACAAACCTACATACACACGTGCACACACACAAACCTGCAAACACACACGCACGCACACATAAACACAGACTTACATACACATGCGCTCAAACACAAACATACAAACGCGCACACAAACACAAACCTACAAACACACATGCACGCACACACAAACACAAACCTACATACACACGCGCGCACACACACAGACATACAAACGTGAGCACACAACACAAACCTACATACACACACGCGCACACACAGACATACAAACGTGAGCACACAACACAAACCTACATACACGCGCACACAAATACAAACACGCACACACACAAACACAAACCTACATACACACGCACACACAAACGTACAATCACGCACACACAAACCTACGTACACACGCACACAAACATACACGCGCACAAACACAAACATACAAATGCGCACACAAACAAACCTACGTACACACACATGCACACACAAACACAAACATACAAACACACGTGCGCACACACAAACAAACACGTGCACACACACAAAAACACAAACCTACATACACACATGCACACACAAACATACAAACACACGTGCAAACACACAAAAACATATAAACAGGCGTGCACACACATAACCATACAAACACACACACGCGCAGGGGCACACATAAGAAAGTGCCAAGCACAGTACCAGGCACGCAACGACGGATCCACACACTTTAGATCCTTCTCTGACCTTTCTTTTATTCCTCAAAAGCACAGCATCCATCCCCCAGGGAACTGGGGGGGGGGGGGGGTCAGCGGAAGAGTTTGTCCTTGAGGGGACATTGCCCACTCTGTAAACTCAGGGCACCTTCTCGAGGATTCCCTCAAAGGGTTCCCTGGCCACGCATCCTACAGAAGTCAGCGAAATGCAGTTCTATGAAATGAGGCTGTTGGGAGATTTTGTAGTCTTGTGGGTGTGTGCTCTGTGTTCAGCTTGGGGGTCACGTGGCACCTGTCGGGGGCGGGATGCTGCTGAGACCTCTGCAGTGCTGGATGGCCCCATGGGGCCATGTGGCTTCACTCCCCGTCTCTGCCTCCCAGGCTCAGCAGGCCACCCGCCGGCCTCTCCTGCCCATCTCGGGAGGGCTAGCGGGGTAATTTAGGATGGTTGCCACTCCCCCGTGCATTTTAAACACGTTTCCAAACTGGGTTCATTCTGCCTTTGATAGGGAGGTGGCCTTCTGGGTTTTTCTTTCAAGAGATGCAGATTTCATGGACTGCGATTCTTCTCCAGATCTGCTGTTCAAAAAAAAAAAAAAATGTAACTCAGAATTTCTATTTGTTCAGAGGGGGAAAAATCTGCTTGCTATTCAGGCCCTAGATTTTCCTGAGAGATTAGTGTACTTGCCTGCCAAGATGTTAGCTAAAGGAAAACACATTTGCTATAGATCAGAAATATTTATCCTTTTCTGGGCAGGAGATCCGGAGAAGAACCTCATCAGAATGTACAGCACCTGGAAATATGAATAAATTCAATCTCCTGAGCTGCAGGCATCTGCCAGGAGGGCTGAGGCATGGAGGGGCTCTGGCCGTCTCCGGGGAGTTGAAACCATGAGCGGGAAGCCAAGAGCAGCTGCTGGGGTCTGGGGGATGCAGAGGTCAAAGGACCAAGAGGGGCCGGGTGCGGTGGCTTACACCTGTAATCCCAGCACCATGGGAGGCCAAGGCAGGCGGATCACTTGAGGTCAGGAGCTCAAGACCAGCCTGGTCAATGTGGTAAAACCCCATCTCTACTAAAAATACAAAAATTAGCCAGGTGTGGTGGCGCACACCTGTAATCCCAGCTACTCAGGAGGCTGAGGCATGAGAATCACTTGAACTCCAGAAGTAGAGATTGCAGTGAGCAGAGATGGCGCCACTGCACTCCAGCGTGGGTGACAGATTGAGACCCTGTCTCAAAAAAAATAATAAAAAATAAAAGGCCAAGAGGTCTGGTCCAGATAGAAGCCAGGGGAGGAACAAGTAGGGAACAGGCAGCCTTGACCAGCAAGCCGGCAGTGTCCTGAGGAAGAGGACGCTGACCCTTCCCTCCTGTTCTCTACGCCCTCAGACTGGGGCTGGGATCCCGAGACTGTGGGTGAGTGGGGCCAAGCCCTCTCCTGCTTCTTGTCCTGAGAAAAGGATCCTAGGTCTCTGTTGGGCTCCATGCAGTTGCCCCTCAGTGGCTGCCCCCGTCGTTTAAATCCTCTCAAACTCAGGCTCTTGTTTGGTAGCTGCAGAGAAATAAGAGATGCAAACTTATAAATAATTAAGAAACCTAATAATTATCTCCAACCAGACAGCAAGCCTGCATCCTCGTGAGAGACGGAAGATCTGGAGAGTTTCGGGGGGTAAACTACAAACCATTATTTAGCAAGTTTTCCCACTGGGCTTTGTCATGCCTTGATCTTCAACGATCATGATTAGAGTTCATTTGATTCCCGCAGCTGTGTTCTGGGGGCTTTGTGAGGAGGATCAAGTTTGGGATGTGGGTGAGCGTAGGGAGAGGAGGCGATGAATTCCTTGTGACATCAGAGCCCGATCTAAGATCATTTGTCTTTGGGGCCCCATGTTCCATCCCCAGAAGTGATTTGCCTTGACCACCAGCTGGCATCTACCCGGCTTGGGCATGGCAGGGCCCCACATCTCCTGGCACAGCCAGGCAGAGCCTGAGTCGGGTTGTCAGGACTCTTGATGCCTGGCCTCTCATTCCTGGACTGGCAAAGCCTGTTAGCATCCCAGGGCTGGAAGAAACACCCTACACACTTTGCCTTCTTCCAGGCAAAGAAGGATCCACCCTGGAGTCTCCATAGGCCCTGGCCAGGTGCGGAATGAAAATTCCTACCCCCAGATTTAAGTGTTTATCAGGGAGATTTCTGCTCATAAGGACTTTGTTAACCAAGAGACTGTGTCATTTAAGCCAGAGTTCCCTAGATCTTGTTGGAACAGAGTTCCTCTCAGGGCTCCTCCAGGCTAAACCCGCCCAGGAAAGCCTGCGAGTCCTGGGAGGTGACGGGCACTGCCTGTTCCCAGGGTCCTGTCTTGGTCTTGCCCAGAGCACCTCCTGGCCATCGTTTCATTTCAGGTCGATGAAAGCTCCTTGCTTGGCCCTCTGAACTGGGGAACCATTTCCTCTCTCTATCCTGGCCCAGGGCCAGCTCTCTGGGCTGCCCCAGGGAGCCGGAGGGGAGCGGCCTGTGCAGACCCAGCCGCCAGGACCCAGAGGGCCGGCTCAGAGCTGTGTGGCCATCCTCTCCCCGGGCTGCCTTTGCCTGAGGTCAGCCTCACACAGGCAGTCTGAATAGGCTGGGGGCTCCTTTGTACTTGAAAAATAGTCCATGTGCGGGAGGAGGTGCTGGAGAGGGAAAGAAGTGTGTGGCTGTTGTGGGCTCTCTGTAAGATGGCTCTATGTGGGGCACGTGAGCTCGTGACTTTCCGGGTATGGGCGTGGCCTGCAGACAGGGATTTGAACAAGGGTAAGCATGTGGGTGAGGACATGAAGCCCCAAAGAGCATGAGACTGTGGGGAGGGGCAAGTCCCGTGTGCACTGTCTGTGTCCCCCAACCTGTCACAGCCTGCGTGTGCACATGCGTGCCCAGGTCCTCCTGCAGCAGACAGGGCGGACATGGGCTCTGCTGGCTGCAGTGTCTGCCCTGTACCCAGGTGGCTGCAACGCCTCAGATGCAGCAATGTTCCCCTGGGATTAATCCCCAGCATCTCCATTGGGCTTTGCTTATCTGGTGTTGGCTATAATTAAAAAGTGGTTACTTCATAAAATAAAGGCAGGGAGAGAGGACAGCATCCCCTACCCCTGTCCTGTGGTCCTTGGAGAGGAAGGTGCTTGGAAGGTCGTGTTGTTGATCCCTCTGCCTCCCAGTAGGCAGGGGTCCAGCGTCTCCTAAGAGCACCCTGGCCCCAGGCACGGCCAGGGAAGGAGGCCTCCCAGGCCCCAACACCACCTCCCAGGGCTGCTAGTCACTGCACGGTCAGCAAGCGCAACCTCAGGCCAGACACAGCCCAAGAGCCTCCATCCTGAGCAGCCACCGAGACACTCTCCCTTCCTAGGCCATGCAAAAGTGGCACAGCCCGGGAAGGGAGGCATAAAAGCCAAGCCACGGTCCACCCCAGGGGACCTAGGGCTCGAGAAAAATAGCTGAGGCCACCAAGGCCACGGTCTTTTCAGTTTCACTGAACATTAAACTCATCACCCAAGATAAGCAGAAAGAAAAGTGGCTGCCGCTTCTCCTGAGGCCACTCGCTGAATGGCTTCTGTCAGACGGGAGAAGCTGCCCGTCTCACACCTCCCCTGGAGATGGAGCCCCTGTGAGGCCCCAATCCCCACCCATCAGACACGATGGCTGGTCACAGACACTGCGCTGTCCCTGAGGAGGCCTGGAGCTAGAAGCCAGCCACCTCCCCCATGTCAACAGCTCACGCAGGGGGCCAAGCCCAGGCCCCATCCCATCCTCCAAACCTCTTGGTGTCTGGGCAGGCAGAAAGCCTATACCCTGGCTGAAATCCACCCTGGCTCTGCTCCTCACTCTGGGCAACCTTGGACAAGGCACGGCCCATCTAGAGAACAGGAATGACATCCCCAGCCCTGCATGCTGGCAATCTCTTTTGGTGCACGGTGCCACAACCACAAATCAGCCTTTGTTGCTTCACCCACACGTTCCTGGTGAGATTCTAGAATGGAAATCTCTCACGTCACATTGCGTGGTGCCTTCCATTTGTGCTTCTTGTACTCTCATGAATGCTACCACTTTCATTTTTCACTGCACCTTCTCTTAAGGGACTTCCCTGACTGGAGAGACAGCCACACAAACTCAGGGCCCAGAAGAGAATATGACAGAGCTCAGCCATGACGGCAGGAGAGAGCAGACGGACTGGAGTGCGCCTTAGTAAGGGGGGCAGCGCTAGACACCTGGGAGGCCATTTTCATTCTGGAGAGTTGTGCTAATGTGGATTCTACTGTGCAAAGTCAAAACACTGAGGCAGAGACAGATGCAAGCAGCCCACCCACAACCCAGGCAGGAGAGATGACGGGGCTGCTCGGAAGACAGGCCTTGTCTGCTGGGCCTCACTCGAGGCCCTCAGTGCTCCCTGTGGGAGTCTCTCCTTGGCATGTTGGGATGAGTCCAGTCCTTCCTGGAGAGTCCTTATGGAAAGAGGGGGTGAGAGTGGGGAAGGGGTGCGGGGAGCATCCTGAGGAGAGGGGGAGGGAGGAAACGTCCCCTGCTCACTAGTATGAGCAACAGGATACTGGAGATTTGTGAGTGTGTGTGCATGTGTGTGTATGAGAGTGAGTGTGTGTGTGTGTGACAGTGTGGATGTGTGTGTATGAGAGTGAGTGTGGATGTGTGGGAGAGTGTATGAGAGAGCGTGTGTGAGTGTGAGCGTGTATGAGCGTGACAGTGAGTGTGGATGTGTGTGTAAGAGTGAGTGTGGATGTGTATGAGTGTGTGTAGAGTGAGTGTGGATGTGTGTGTATGAGTGGATGTGTGTGAGTGAATGTGTATGAGTGTGTATGAGTGTGTGGATGTGCGTGTGTATGAGTGTGTGTGAATGTGCATGACAGTGTGTGTGGATGTGTGAGCATGTATGAGAGTGAGTGTGGGTGTGGGTGTATATGCATAGGAATGTTGTGTTGCATGTGTGCATGTTAATCTACCTGTATATGCATGTATATGCATGTGCATGTGTGTGTACGTGTGAGTGTGAACATCTGTGTGCAGTGTGTGTATGAGTGTGCATGCATGTGAATGTATGTGGATGTATGACTACATTGAGTGCATGCATATGTATGTGTGTATATGTGTGTGCACATGGGTGTACATGAGTGCATGTGCAGAGAGGATGAGTGTGCAGAGGATTGTGTGAGCCTGGTGTGCATGTGTATGTATGTGTGTGCATGTGTGTACATGTGTGTAGAGAGGATGGTGTGAGCCTGGTGTGCGTGTGTATGTATGAGTGTGTGTGTGCATGAGTGAGTGTGTAGAGAGGATGGTGTGAGCCTGGTGTGAGTGCGTATGTATATGAGTGTGTGTGTGCATGTGTGTCCATGAGTGTGTAGAGAGGATTGTGTGAGTCTGGTGTGCGTGTGTATGTATATGAGTGTGTGTGCATGTGTGTCCATGAGTGAGTGTGTAGAGAGGATTGTGTGAGCCTGGTGTGCGTGTGTATGTATATGAGTGTGTGTGTGCATGTGTGTCCATGAGTGAGTGTGTAGAGAGGATGGTGTGATCCTGGTGTGCGTGTGTACGTATATGAGTGTGTGTGTGCATGTGTGTCCATGAGTGTGCAGAGAGGATGGTGTGATCCTGGTGTGCATGTGTATGTATATGAGTGTGTGTGTGCATGTGTGTACATGAGTGAGTGTGTAGAGAGGATGGTGTGAGCCTGGTGTGCGTGTGTATGTATATGAGTGTGTGTGCATGTGTGTACATGTGTGTAGAGAGGATTGTGTGAGCCTGGTGTGCGTGTGTATGTATATGAGTGTGTGTGTGCATGTGTGTACATGAGTGTGTAGAGAGGATTGTGTGAGCCTGGTGTGCATATGTATATGAGTGTGTGTGTGTGCATGTGTGTACATGAGTGTGTAGAGAGGATTGTGTGAGCCTGGTGTGCATGTGTATGTATATGAGTGTGTGTGTGTGCATGTGTGTCCATGAGTGTGTAGAGAGGATGGTGTGAGCCTGGCGTGAGTGCGTATGTATATGAGTGTGTGTGTGCATGAGTGAGTGTGAGCCTGGTGTGAGTGCATGTGTATGTGAGTGTGTGCATGAGTGTGTGTGAACCTGGTGTGCGTGCATATGTATATGAGTGTGTGTGTGCATGTGTGTCCATGAGTGAGTGTGTAGAGAGGATTGTGTGAGCCTGTTGTGAGTGTGTGTGTCCATGAGTGTGTGTGGAGAGGATTGTGTGAGCCTGGTGTGCATGCATATGTATGTGTGTGTGCATGTGTGTACATGAGTGTATATAGAGGATTGTGTGAGCCTGGTGTGCATGCTTATGTATATGAGTGTGTGTGTGCATGAGTGAGTGTGCAGAGAGGATGAGTGTGTGGAGAGGACTGTGTGAGCCTGGTGTGCGTGCATAGGTATATGAGTGTGTGTGTGCATATGTGCACATTTACTGTGTAGAGAGGATTGTGTGAGCCTGGTGTGCGTGTGTACGTATATGAGTGTGTGTGTGCATGTGTGTCCATGAGTGTGTAGAAGATTGTGTGAGCCTGGTGTGCGTGTGTATGTATATGGGTGTGTGTGTGCATGTGTGTACATGAGTGAGTGTGTAGAGAGGATGGTGTGAGCCTGGTGTGCGTGTGTATGTATATGAGTGTATGTGTGTTCATGAGTGAGTGTGTAGAGAGGATTGTGTGAGCCTGGTGTGCGTGCATATGTATATGAGTGTGTGTGTGCATGTGTGTCCGTGAGCGAGTGTGTAGAGAGGATGGTGTGAGCCTGGTGTGCGTGTGTATGTATATGAGTGTGTGTGTGCATGTGTGTCCGTGAGTGAGTGTGTAGAGAGGATGGTGTGAGCCTGTTGTGTGTGTGTGTGCATGAGTGAGTGTGTGTGAGCCTCTGGTGTTTGGCATCTAGTTCTCTCTGCAGGTCTGGAGACCTTCTTGAGCAAAGCTCAGGCTACTGCGCCCACTCTGTGCACGCTGGTCTTGAGGACGCGGCCCTGCTCCCCTGGGTGGGCCCGTGGGTCCTGCCCGCTTCTGTAGCAGCAGCAGCCTCCTCTCAAGGGCCCTCTGTTGCTCAGGCCGTGTTCCTGCCTGTGGTCGCCCAGCTTCAATTACCACGGCTCAAAGTCAGAGGCGTGGGCTGGCTCCGTCCAGATGGAGGGAGGGCCGGTGTTCCCTTGCCTCAGAGTCTGCGGGTGGCTTCAGAGAGAAGGGAGCAGAACCTCTTTCCTTTGCTGCCTTAAAGCAGCAAGTCTCGGTGACATCAGGCAGTTCCAGGGCAGAGCTTGTGGCCGCTGTCAAGCCCAGGAGACATCAGGGCTTCATGCTCAACTGGTCACACCCAACTGGCAAGAGGGGTCCCAGGCAGAAACTCTGGGAACCGTAGCCCAGGCCGAGAGCCATCCCCAGGGGACTGAGGTAGGGTCTGCAGGACCAAAGCTGCCTCACACAGACCTTTCAGGAAAGCAAGCACAGATCCTCGGAAGCGGTTACCACCCACCTGTGCCACGCGCCACCCCTCGTCCTTGACACCACTGCTGGCGAGGCAGCCGAGAGAGTATGCTGAGTAAGCAGGTTCTAGGGCATTCTCCCCAGACCCTCCAGGGAGGCTCTCCCTGGAAGGCTGCCTCAGTCCCTGCCCTTCCAGTCAGCAGAGCAAGGCATCAAGCTGAGAAAAGTCCAACAGAAGGGCGGGAGGCAGATTGCTGAGATGAATGGGAAGTGCAGGCCACAGGTCCTGGCAGGCAAGAGGAAGGGAGGCCTGAGAACGGCCTTTGTTCCCGGGATCTCCGGACCAGATGTGCCCTCACAGCTGCTGCTTCAGGTTTCTGTGCTCCAGAGCCCGCTGGAGGGAGAATGCTCGCCAAAGACATCTCATTAGGGATGGCCTTGGGCTTGGCGGGGTGTGGGTTTTGGTGGGAAGAGGAGAGAGGGATGGTTTGTGCTGTCAACCCTGGAGGCCCTGGAGGCTGGGGTGCAGGCTTACCAAATTTAGCAAATGAAAATTGTAGATGCCTGGTTACTTTTGAAATTCGGATAAACAACAGTTTTTTTTTTATTTTAGTCTAGGTATGTCCCACACAGTATTTGGGATATACTTCCACAATTGATTTATTGTTTATCTGAAATTGACATGTCATCGGCACCCTCCACTGTGGGCTCTTCTGCTGTGGGTTTTCCTCTTTGTGCCACCTCCTGCTTTCACACCGATTTCATCCACTCCTACTAAAGCAATAGAGTCTGGGGGTTCTAGGATGCATAGACACCCACTGGGATCCAAATTCCTCAGCTGCCGGCAGCTCAGTGGGGGCTCACATGTGCAGTGGGTTCTCCCTGAGCCCCTGAGGCCTCCAGCTGAGGGCTTTGGGACCCCTGGTGTTTGCAGCAAGCCTGAGTCTCTGAGACTGCAGAGGGGCTGGGGAGGAAGCTAGGGGATCCTCTGCCTTGGCTGCAATCTCAAGCCCCCCGGAGGAGGAAGCAGCAAGGCGCCTGCTGGTTTTCTGCTCAGGGTTAGCACATGTGGTGCAGCGGTGAGCAGATTGCAGGTTGCTAGGATGGGTCCAAGGTCAACGACAGCCCCGGAAGGCAGCTGGTTAGGGCTTACAGGGTGGTCTCCACCCCACTCTCCCCTCTGGAGGTCCAGTTCTCCACACCCCTCCAGACCCTGGCCAACGGCAAGCCTAAACCCAGTCTTCATGCAGAGAAGCGGCTTTGGAGGAAGTGTGTCCTTTGCTCTAGGAAGGAACATTTGCAGTCAGGGCTGTGTGTGGAATTTTTATTCCTCTAATACAGCCTAGGCAGGATGTAGTACACGAGTTCTCCAGAGGAAATGCATTCAATAAAAATTTGATGGGCTCCGGCAGCTCAGCAGAATCTCCTTACGAATTCCAAGTGTTTGTTTGGTCCCTGGCTTGGGCAGGAGCTCAGCCACGTTCTGCAAGTGGCCTCTTTAGTGAGGGAGCCCTTGGAGGAAGGACTCCCTCCACATCTGGAAAGTCGCCTTCAGCCCCCGGCTTTCCCAAGAAGGAGCAGGATTGCTTCACCAGGTCGAGGAGTGGGGGGGCCTCTGGCCTTTGACCCCAAGGAGAAGCGAAGCCCCAGGGCTCTGGAATCGGGCCCTCATAAATGAGATGAGGACACTGAGCACTGGAGGGGGATTCAATGCCGACGGAGATGTGAAGTCAGCGCAAGAATAGAAATGGCCTCGCTGGGCTTAGTGGGGGATGTGTAGTACGTTTCCAGAGATCACCCCTGTACTTCATTCGCTCAGCACACAAGAGCTCCCCTACAAGGGCTGAAGCGAGGCAGGCAGCCCTGCCCTGTGGCCCCTGCCCCGCACCCCCTGCCCCGCACCCCATGGCTCACCCTGGGCACAGATGTGCTTGGAGGGAAACACACACTAGAAGCTTCCTGTGGGCAACGGCCATGTCCATTTGGCTCTCTACTCTCCCCTCTTAGCCGGGGCCTGGCACACAGAGTGGGGTCAGTCAGCGTCAGGACAATGGGGTGGGCGTGTCATGGGCTCTGTGGAATGGGGGAGCCTGCTGGCCACCCCTCTGGCTTGTGAGGTAAATCCAGGCACAAGCCCTAGAAGCCTTGGCTTTTACCAACAGGGCCAGACGATCAGAAAAGTGCCCCGGGCTCTGCTGCCCTTGGAGAGTCAGGGCTGGGGGCCGAGAGCAAGGGTCCAGGGCATGGAGGGCCCTCCCGCCTGGGTTTTTGCTTACAGATGGAGAAGTGGGATTATTAAGCCAGAGGGTGTGCTTCAGAAGGTGTGCTTACGAAGGGGCTTTCGGGTCACAATGCAGAGAACTTCCTCGCAGTGAGCAGCCTTGGGTCCTGGGGTAATACAGCCAGCCCAGGTAGAGGACCATGGAGTTGGCCTGGGTCTCCCTCTGGCCTGGCCCTGGCTGGCCACCTTCGCCGAAGGGGAGGGAATGGTCGCTGCCCTCCCCCACCATTTCCAGGGTCAGGTGCCAGACCTGGGCCTCATCTGCCTTTGCAGGGCATTTGGGAAGCACTTAGCCAGGCCTGACAGTGGCCAGGCTGCTTCATAAGACGCCTGGTGGTGAGTAAAACCCCAAGTCTAGGGCACCTGAAGGCTCTCTCAGGGTAGTTTCCCATTTCCGTCAGGTTCAGCTCAGCTCGATTCTTAGATGTGTGGCCCTCGGGAGGTGGGGGGAGCCTCCTGTTTGTGTGTAGCCTGCCCACCCACAGTGATGCCCACTCGGATGCTGTGCCCACCACACCTGCTGACGGAGTTCCCTGCAAGTGTGACGCATCTGGCCGGCTCTGAGCCACCTCCGCTGCCCCGCACTTGTGTCCCAGGGGACAGAAGCATGGAGGCTGGAGAGGAGCCAGAGGAAGGGCTGGGGGAGGGGAGTCAGGAGCTGGGGGCCTCAGAACGGGAGAACCAGGTGAACAGTCTGACCCCAAAGGGCAGCCAGAGGGGCCTCCCGGGCAGGAGAGGGTGGCAGCCTCAGCCGAGACTGGCCATGCCTGCCATCCCAAGGGCCTCTGTGGGCAGTGGTGGGTTCTTAGGATACCATGGCCGGGGGACTCTGTGTCCTCACTGCGGGGAACGGGTGGGGACTGACTTTGGACCCAGGCCAAGGGTCTGCAATCAGCCTCCCGGGTCCTGCCAGGCTCTGCTGCCCAGGAGGTCTCAGGTGACAACCAGGCCATGCAGCCACGCTCACCTTCCTCTACTGTCTCTCACAGTCTCATGGCCCCGTGGAACCCCCAGGTGTGGCTCCTGGTACCCAGGCTTGGAGAATGTGTCCAGCTGTCCTGCCCCCTTGCTGCCTGGGCTTGGCCTGGGCACAGGGCTCTGCTTCCCTTTGGTATCTGAGGACCCTGCTAGACAGACCCCTGTCCGTCAGGGAGGCCTTCTCAGCCTCGGGCAGGGAGTGTGGGCCTCACAGGCCACCTGCTTCCAGGGCCCTCAGAGCTGCCTGGTCTTTCTGCCAACTGACTCCAAGATCAAGCTTTTGGGGCTTCCAGCTTGGTGTGGGGTTGACCCCACCTGCCTGCTCCACCTGCAAGAGGGAAGAGGTTGGGGATGCACCAAAGATGCCCACAGCCATGTACTAGAGGGGAGAGGTGAGGTCCAGAACATTCTAGAGCAGTGGTCCTCCATGTTTTTCCTACCCTAGCAGTAAAAATGTCTAGGCCCACTGGGAATAGCGGCTCTGGACCGTTAGGGCAGCAGACCAGCCTTTCCTAGAGGGCATGGACATCTCACAAGTGCCTCTTACAGTGACACAGCTGGCCTTTCTCAGAATGCCATGCCCACCACCTCACTGGGCAGAATCACTGGGCAGGAGGAGTTCAGTGTAGCGCACAGCCTCCTTCACGGGCGGACATGGCACAAGCACACAGATGCCTCATGGGCACAGCTGGGCAGGAGGAGTTCAGTGTAGCGCACAGCCTCCTTCACGGGCGGACATGGCACAAGCACACAGATGCCTCATGGGCACAGCTGGGCAGGAGGAGTTCAGTGTAGCGCACAGCCTCCTTCACGGGCGGAAGTGGCACAAGCACACAGATGCCTCATGGGCACATGCATAATATTCACCTGGAGGCCAAGTGCACACATGTTTGTTGCACAGCTAGCTGGCCAGTGGCAGGAAAGGAGGCCCTGAGTGGCCTCCAGGACCTTTGCCCATGGGCCACAGCAGGACTGGCTGCAGCTGCTCCCACCACATCCCCGGCAGCCAAGTCGAGGCTCCCTCTGGCTTCTGAGGGCTGCTGCAAGCACTGCGGTCACTGAGTTTAGGGCCTACCTGAGGGGTGTGCTGGGACGTGGGCGTCTAGTGCAAAAGAAAAACAGTCCTGGGCGGCCCAGGACAGACAGAGCGTGCCACCCTCCCCCAGCTCCAGCCCACCCTCTCCACGGCCCCAGAGCTGCCTGCTGGAGACAGCGGGAAAAGGAGCTTGTGCAGGCCCAGATGGGGCCGGGAGGGGACCTGGACTTCAGATGAGGCCACCCACCCAGGGCTGCAGTTTCAGGGACCTGGCGGTGCCCCAGGGGCAGGGTGTTCCTCCCATGGTCAGGTGGGGGGACCAGGCCAGGAGACAGCCCACCCAGAGGCCACATGAGGCAGCACATTTGGGTCTGGCAGAAGTGTTGACAGATAACCTTGGAATGTCCTCGGGTGGCACAGGGGGACACCACAGTCCGCTGAGCAGGGTCCACTGTACCTGGTCTTCTCAGTCTGGGACGGTCTTGGGTGTCCGGCCCCAGTGCTCATGGTCACCTGGGGTACAGGAGCGAGGGCTGCTGAGGTCCCAGCGGGCACAGCTGACCTGTGGGCGCTTCACCTGCACGACCTCACCTGGCCCTCCCAGTCCGAGAGGCCTCCTCACCCAGGTTCTCAGGCGGGCAGGTTTGGTGGGGGCAGGCTGCAGCAGTGTGGAAAGCAGAAGCCAGTGGAAGGGGAGGCAGAGCTCTTCACATCAGTGATGACAGAACGGCCCAGACCAGAGGGAAGCGGAGGGTGGAGAATCGCAGAGGAGGAAGCCGGCCAGAGGCTGCCTGGGGAACAGACCACCCCCACCCTCTATAACCTCGCTGTGGCACTGGGCTTCAGCATGAGGACTTGGGAGCAGGAACTGGGAATGAAAGGAACACACCAGAACCAGGAAAATCTTCCAGGTGTGGCAAAGGAGAGCAGGGGTGGGACTGAGTCCCAGGTGCCCCAGGGCCCTGAGCCCGGTTCCCAGAGGAGGGAAGTGAGCCCAGCCCAGCCCTGCCCTGGAGCCCCGGCCCCACTCCCAGGGGGAAGGTTGGAGGTTTGGGCTTCCTCAACCCACCACCGGACACCTGTGCACTCAGTCACACACAGTCTCATGCTCACACTCAAAATTCACACTCAAAATTCACACTCTCATACTAACACTCAAAATTCACACTAACACTTCATACTGAAACTCAAAATTCACACTAACATCTCATACTCACCCTTATAATGTACACATGCTCACAAGCTCACTCAAAATTCACACGCACACTCACACGCTCACACTCAAAAGTCACACTCTCATACTAATGTTCAACATTCACACTAACACCTCATGCTGAAACGTAAAATTCACTCTAACATCTCATGCTCACACTCGAAATGCACACTCACACGCTCACACTCAAAATTCACACTAGCATCATGCTCACACAAAATCTCACATGCTCACACTCAATGCAAACTCACATGCTTACACTCAAAATTCACATTAACATGCTCACACAGAACTACACCCATGCTTACACTCAAAAATCACACAGAATTCACACTCGCTTTCATACTAACACTCAAAATTCACACTATCTCTTGCTCACACTCAAAATTCACTCACACTTATGTACTCACAATCAAAATTCACACACACTCAAAATTTGCACTTGCTCTGATACTGACACTCAAAATTCACACTAACATCTCATGCTCACACTCAAAACTCATGCTCACATTATCACACTCAAAATTCACACTTGCTCTCATATTGACACTCAAAATTCACACCCACACTTACATGCTCACCCTCTAACCCTCTCACATTCACACACTCACACTCACTCCCACACTCACACAACACACACGCTCACACTCACATACATAACACCCTCACAGTGGCACACTCACCGATACACACTTGCTCACACAAAACTCACGCTCACATATTTGCACACTCGCACACACCCTGCCTTTTGCACACGGCTGCACACACCCCTACCAGCTCCAGCTCTCCGGCTCTCCCTGCCTCCTGGCTGCTCTGATGTGAGGAGCCGTCTCTGCACAGGTGCCTGCAGGCTGCAGGCTGGGGAGGGGGCACACGCCTGGCACGGGGGTCTATCGGAGCTGTTTACTCCCCCAAGCAGCTCTTGGCCTCACTTCCTTTCTCTCTCATCTTTGGCACCTGAAAAACCCCAACATTCCCAGGAGGGCAAACAGGCCCTTTATTACCTCGTGGGCTCAGAACACAGCATCTTAGTAATTGAAAGTGGCTTGACTCAAATTGCATTTTCCGAGGAGCCCTGCAAGATGGAAGTGCAGGAAGGAGGGAGGCAGGGTGGAGGGAAGCTGCAAGCGCCAGCCCCCGAGCAGGCAACAGGTAGGGGCCCAGGCCCCAGGGGCCTCTCCAGTCTGCTGGCAACTTTGGGGCCCACGGGCCACGTCCAGATAAGAGCAGACCTGGACCCCACCTGCAAAGGGAGTCCAAGCTCTGAGCGGGCAGCCTCTGCCACCTGCGCCAGCCTCCTAACAAGCCTCCACCCCACCTCCGGGTCTTCCCAGCTGGGCACTCGGTGGCCTCCCTGCCTGGCACACCGCAGCTCTCCAGCGTGTGTCTGTTGACCGAATGCTGGTCCAAGCCCCAGGGCTTTGCCACGTGGCTCCCACTCTGTAATGCCCACTTGTTCCTTCACCAAGTCATGACGATACCAGTGGGGTTTATGGGGCACTTGGCTGTGTTCCAAACAGGGAGCGAAGCCCTCGCTTATGATCTCATCAAATCGGTTCCGTACCCTGAGAAGGTAGGAAGTGGTGCTGTTGTCACATTATAGATGGGGAACCTGGAGCCCAGAGAGGTGGAGCTGGGCTTTGCCTGGGGCCCTGACTCTGAGCTTGGGCTTGAAGCAGGGCAGTGCCGGGCCCGGGCCTCCGGTGGACCCTCCACAGACCCCTGTCACAGCCATGGGGAGCACCAGTGGTGGGCAGAGGGCCTGACTCCTGCATCCCACACCCGTCGGAAGAGGCGCTTCAGAGGCCCCTGGAAGCTGGGACGTGGGGCTGGTGAGGCTTGAAAAAGCCTCCTCAAAAATCCTGCTACTTTGATTTGTCGCTAGTCCTGACGATTATTTTGAAATTCCTTGCAGCACTAAAGAAGACTAGCAAAGCAGGGGGCGGACTAAAGTGGGCGGGAAATGCTGCTTTCATGCATCTGCGTGTTGACAGGTATGACCTCCCTGCTCACCCTGAGTTCTCTGAGTCACCTCTGTGCCCCCAGCACCCAGCACTGTGCCTGGCTCAGGGCAAAGGCTCAGAGAATATTTGTTGAGTCAGTGAATGAGGGAAGGAGGGAGGGAAGAGAGAAGGGAGGAGGAAAGTGGGGCAAGAGATGAAGAATGGAAGGAGGTTAGGAAGGTTGGAAGGGTGGAGGGAGGGAAGGGAGGGAGGGACAGTCCTAGAATAGGAGAGGGAGCAGGAAGACAAGGCCTCCCAGCCCTGGCCCTGGAGGAGAGGGGCATCCACACCCACTTAGCCTGTCTGCCAAAATTAATGCATTCTAGCTCCCTGCAAACCTTCTCCCCCTCTTGATTTCTGCAACTCACTCAGCTAATGAGGAAGAAAGGGAAGGCCCCTTCCCATACAGGGCTGGAAAACGTGCAAAAAAAATGCCCATGGCCTGAGACCAGGCGCTACAGGCTATGGGCAGGACAAGCCTGGGCCTCCCTTCCCGGGTCTGTCCTGGGCTCCCTGGCTGCTGTGGGTCCCCCCAGGCAAGATACTCACCCCACTGGGATGGCTGAGCAGAGAGCTGGAGGCAGCAAATGGAAGCACCATCTACTGGGAACCTCATGTCCCTAAAGAATAAGCAGGTTGCTTCTGTCACCACTTTTTTCAATTTAAAGGAGAGTGTGTTGGAACCGTCTTACAAATGCATCTGTTACATCAAACCAAAGCCTGGGCGCCTTTTCTCTCTTTCACTTTATCCCATCCTCACGCTAAAAATACAGCTGGAAGATAAACAGAGCAGCGCTGGCCAGATGACAGAGCTGCCTTCCCCAGAGCCAGGCAACACTTGGGGGTCGGGGGAGCCAGGATTCAGAACAGAGAGAAAACACCGTGACACGGGTTTGATTTCTAAACTGTCGGACCCAGCAGGCTTTATAGTCCACAGACACTTGTACCATTCTTTCCCCTCCTGGTTTACTCTATTTCTGGATTATTGTCTGTAAGTTTCAGAATGGCCCAGGATCCCTGAGTGGTTTATAAATTAGGGCTGTATTCTGGGAGCACCCAGTAGTGCTGCTGTATTTTAGGTGGTGTCAGAGTTTCCATTATAAACCCCATTTCTCAGAGGTTTATAACTTGGCCGTAAAAACGTACTGAGGCCTGAGGCTGGGACCCTACGGTGCACAGCTGCTGGGTCCCTTCCATGCCCCCAGGTGGGGACATCCAGTCGGCCTACAACAGAGAACAAGAGGCTAGGAGACCTGGGCTTTGCCTCCTGGTGTGAGGGGATGTGGACATGGGGCCTCCCCTTGCCAGCCAGGCGAGCTATGTGGTCCAAAGTCTGCTCATAAAGGATTTTCCATGAGTTCACAAGGCCATGAAGCTTTTTAGCAGCCCAGCGACCAAGGGGGAAAAGCTACCCTGACTCTCAGTGACCACAACCTCTGTCACTCCCGAGTCATCCTGCAAAAACAAACAAACAAACAACAAAAAAAAAAAACACTGTCCTCCGAGGCCATCCAGGCCCCCTTTGTACAAGCTCCTGACCCAGTGACCCAACAGATACATTTCAGACTGATTTTCACATCAGGAGGAGATTCCACGCTTGGTACGACGGCACTCGAGATAACACTCCCCGTTTTCATTAAAGGGCAAGCTACCAAGGGTCACCTGTTTGGGATATTGAAGGGGTAAAGGCCAACAGTTCTTAGGTCTAAGGAGTTTGTAAAAAATATGCAAATGCCTGGGCCCCACCCCCGGGAATTCTGGGTGCCCCACTCTGGGGTAGAGCCCAGAATGGCTGTTTTGTTCAGCGATTCCCAGGCTGGCATTGGAGGGTCCATCCCACCTCTGACACCTGCTGGCATTGATGCACCTTGCTTCGCCCCTGGGGGCTCACCTGTCCCATGGGAAGGAAGGTAGTGCCACCTTCCCACTTGTTAAGAGGATCAGGGGCAGTGCCCTCCCAATAGTGACACATAGGTCACAGCTGTAGCTCGTACTATGACTGCGATGGGCAGAGCCCAGTCTGCCACAGGCACTGGAGAAGGAAGAGGATTTCACACAGAGGTTCCAGAGTCCATCAACAATCCATCAGAAATGACGTCAAGAATCTTTCAAGTGATGAAATTCTTGGGGCGAGAATGTGTGGTTTATACAAGCAGCCTTTACCTCCAGCCTTTCCAGAAACTCACATAAAATGAGTTTCCTCCATTGTGTTTACCCTACTGGGGACAGCAGGACCTTTGTCCTCCTGCTCCAGGATGGCTCTCTACCTTCCAGGCATCCCAGTTCATAAACACACACTGTAATTCCTACTTTTGTTTGAGAGCATTGCTTGGGGTCCCGGTGGTTTGGGAGTCACTGTACCTTTGCCAGCGTGACCCTGCCCCATCTGCCTGTCCACATCCTACACCCTCCATCGCCCCACTCTAAAGCCACCTTTTCCAGGGAGGCTCCTGGGAGCTTCGAGCCTCCCCTCTTTAAACTCTCCGTGTGTGTTACTCCTTCGGCACTCGCCCGATTGCCCGAGGCATTCTTTCCACAGCCAGAAACTCAGCACCTGCTACTGGGTGTCAGCCGAGCCTCCTGGAAGGCAGGAACTGTGCCTACGAGCATTTCCAACCCCCTTCCCAATTAGCAGGGCACCTTGCATAGTAGGTTTATCAACTTTCAGTTAAGCCAGGATAATGCAGGATAGCACCAGGGGACACTTCAGACTTCGAATCAGAAAGCCTTGAGTTCACATCCTGGAGGGACACCCTAGTAGCTCCGTGACCTTGAGTGTCCACTTTCTTTCCTGTAATGTGGGGATCATCACCCATATATTAAGTGTTATGAGAAAAAGAAATAATGAATGTAAATCACTTGGCATCTTTGTGGCATTTAAGCATGTGCAGGATGATAATTATCATTATCACCATGGACACAAGCTCCTGTTCTGGGAGAATAGCCCAAAGGCACAGGATCCTGGGGTGCCCAGGTGTTCCTGAGATATGTCTGTGGCTGTCTCTCCATCACATGGAACATCTGGGAACTTTTCCAGCTGCTGCTAGGCATTCCCCACATCCCGGGGTCCAGCAGAAGGGAAGGAAGCCATCTGGAGTTCTGGAGTTCTGACCAGTGTATTCTGACCCCACCAGAGGCAGTTTCTCACCAGATTCTTGCTGCCAGATCTCAAAAGGCTGGTGAGGTTTCCTGGACCTCCCCTTTCCCTAGAATCTGGCCAGGTGTTTCCCGTGGCTGGGGCTCCTGGGCACTTGGGACCTGGGCAGAGACTGTGGAGCTGGCGGCTTTCCTGGTCCCCAAACTCCACTTTGTAGAGGAAACACCTAATACACCATCCCCTGGGAGACAAGAACACAGGCCAGAAGAAATCGCAGTCTGCAGGGAGCTCTCTTTGTTTTCTCAGTTTCTTCTGAGGTTCCTAGAATTTCTAATCCAGATTCAGGAACCACAGGCTTATCTGGATAGATGGGTTGCCTGGCTCTGCGCTCAGCTGCCACTCAGGGACTGGGAGCCACTCAGCTGCCTGGAAGGAACTGAGGCCTTTCCTTGGGAGAGCACAAGCTGTCAGCTCATGAAAGTGCTTTCATTCATTCATTCTTTCATTCATTTATTCAGAAATGTTTACTGAGCACCTGCTCTGTACCAATCACTGTTCTGGGTGTCTGGAATATGCCAAAGATAAAGCAGAGAACCTTGCATCAGGGGCAAGGAGATGGCCCCAAACGATGGGCAGAATCATCAGTTATGTAACATGTGGAAGGTATCAGTGTTATGGGAAAGAAACAATAAAGCCAGACAAGGCCTGTAAGGGGGAGATTGGGGTGGTCCTGGAGGGATGACAAGATGCAATTTCAAATGGTGGGGCAAGGGTAGCAAATTAGTCAGGTTTGCGGCAACACTGCTCGGTAACAAACAGTCTGGGAATCTCAGCGGCTGACAGGACCGCATAGTTATTTGATTGTAGGCAGATTCAGTGGCTGTGTCCAGGCTGAGGGGTGGCTTCAAGTCTATTCCAGGGGTCTCGCCCTGGACCTGGACTGGGGCTTGGTTTTCTGAGAGCAGAAGGCGGGAGGGCCGTTGGCCATGCAAGCTGCTGCTCAGACACAGGGAAGTCATATCCACTCCTATCACGCTGGCCAGAGCAAGTTACATAGCAAAACCCAGCATCCGTAACATAGAGAGTGGGGAAGGAAGCAATACTAGCTGCTGAACAGAAGTGCATCCTCCCAAAGCCAGCAGGACAAGCCCCTGAGAAGGTGTCTCCTGTGAGCCATGCCTTGGAGGCTGGGAGGGAGGGAGCCAGGAGAAGACTAGGTAGGACAGGGCATCAGGGCAAGGGGACAGTCAGAGAGGGCAGAGACCTCTTTGTGGAAGTGAGCAGAGGCTGCAAAATGGCAGAAGAAAAGGTACTAGAAAGTGCCAGAAGGGAAGATGGCAGGGGTCCCTTGAGTTGCTGGAAAGGCTTGGCCTCCCACTGAGCAAGGTGAGAATCTGGTGGGTTTTGAGTGACAGGCACTGACTCCCATCCCAACACCACCCCGTGCCCCCTTCACTGCAGGGACACCATAGGGGAAAAGGGGAGACCAGGGAGGTGCTTGTGACGACCCAGGTGGGAGGTGATGCGGACCTCCAGGGTAGAGCTGTGGGGTGGGGAGAAGCGGCCGATTCTGGGCAGATTCAGAGGTCAAGCCACCGGCCTGCCAGATGCTAGGATGTGGGAGAGAAAGAGAAACTTCCAGGCTGACTCGTGGTCTTGCCATCGTAATGGCAGCTGGGTGGGGTCAGGAGAGCCACCTTGGAATTTCAGCTTGGAGAGGCCTGTGGGGACATCAGTGTGAGTTTCCCAGGGCAGCCATGCAAAGCAGCGTAGACTGGGCAGCTTAAACAACAGAATCTACCGCCTCTTAGCTCTGGAGGCCAGAGTCCAAGATCAAGGGGTCGGTTCCTTCCGAGGCTGGAAGAGAGGGTCTGTCCCGGCCCTCTCCCCTGGCTTCCAGTGTTTGCTGCAATTCCTTGGCTGTAGAAAGATCACTCTGACCCCTGCCTTCATGTTCACATGATCTTCTTCCTGTGTCCATGGCTTTTTCTTACCAAAACACCGGTTACAGGCTGGGCGTGGTGGCTCACACCTGTAATCCCAGCACTTTGGGAGGCCGAGATGGGAGTATCACCTGAGGTCGGGATATTGAGACCAGCCTGACCAACATGGAGAAACCTCATCTCTACTAAAAATACAAAATTAGCCAGGCGTGGTGGCGCATGCCTGTAATTCCAGCTACCCTGGAGGCCGAGGCGGGAGAATCACTTGAACCTGGGAGGCAGAGGTTGCAGTGAGCCAAGATTGCACCATTGCACTCCAGCCTGGGCGACAAGAGTGAAACTCCGTCTCAAAAACACATACACACACACACACATACACACACACACACATACACACACAAACACCAGTTACACTGGATCAGGGCCCACCCTACTCCAATGACCTTATCTTAACTAATTGTATCAGCAATGAGCCTTTTTCAAGTCAGATCACATTCTGGGGCACTGGGGACTTCAGCAAATGAATTTGGGGGATGTGAATCAACCTATGACAACATCCAAGGAAGAAGGACTTCTCCCCAGAGAGGGAACAGTCCCTCACATCTGGCTCAGATCTCCATGCCTCGGAGCCTCTTCCAGCTCCCTAGCACAAGGAGGAAAGAGGAGGATTCTCCTTAGACCTCCAGCCCTTCCTAGCCAGACCCCACCCCAAGAGGAAACAAGCAAAGAGCAGTTGCCCAAACACAGGGCAGACAGGCAGTGCCTGGGCCAGAGTCTCTCTGCTCAGGAGCCAGGTGCTCCAGAAGGGAAGGGCATGAGTGGGGAAGGGCATTGACTTGTTCTGCATTGAGTTAACATTCCTTGAGCACCTATGATGTGGCATGGCATCACGGAGCACTTGCAGATGTGTCAGAGGGAGCACCAGGGGCTGGGAAGGGGCTGGAGGTGGCCTCCTGGAAAGACTTTGAAGGACATATGAGATTTGTCCTAAGGAGAAAAGAGAGATCCTTTTGCATAGAAACAACTCATTTGGGAAATGCAAGCAGGGAGAGCCCTGTGCCCAGACTGCAGGGTAAGGCCCCAAGGGGCAGAGACCTGTGGCAGGGTGCTTCTGGCCAACCAGCCAAGGGGCATGAGCAGACAGTGGGAAGAGAGGAATCCTCTTCCCACTGGGCAGCCTGGTCCTGGTGCAGACATCCACCTGGAGCTGTGGGGCCTGGAGTGCCTGAGAATGTTCCATTCGGGGCCCAAGAGGCCCGCCCCCCACCACCCCATTATTCGCTGCAGAGCACCTGCTTGGGATGCAGACTGAGATTCAAAACAGTCCCAGAGGAAAAACCTAAAGAGCAAATGTCTGTTCCTCCTACTCCCCTTTGAGAGCCAGGTGGTCCTCCTGGGCTCCCTCCACCCAGGATCATCAGGCCGGCCCTCCCCTGCTCCCTTCACCTGGGATCATCAGGCTGGTCCTTCCCGGCTCCCTCCACCTGGGATCATCAGGCTGGTCCTCCCCGGCTCCCTCCACCTGGGATCATCAGGCTGGTCCTCCCCGGCTCCCTCCACCTGGGATCATCAGGCTGGTCCTCCCCGGCTCCCTCCACCTGGGATCATCAGGCTGGTCCTCCCCGGCTGCCTCCACCTGGGATCATCCCAGGTGTCCCCTTGCTCATGTCACTCACCGGCAGAGCTTATCTGGCCCTGGCAGCTTCCTGCTCTTGTGGCCTTGGAAGGGTTCCTGAGACATCAGGAAGAAAGAGGCCTTAAGGAGCATTGCCTAAGTCTCGGACTGTGGCACCAAAACACCTGATTCCTGTCCGGGCTCTGCCTCTGTATGTGACTTCAGGTGAGTCATTCAACCTCTGGGTGCCCAATTTCCTCATGGGCTTATGTATGTAAGTACTTAGCTCACAGCCCAATGCCCACCACATGGCCCAGTCAGGGGTGGCTGCACAGCCAGGGATGGGCACAGCTGAGTTTAAACCCGGGCCAGGGCTCTTGACAGGATTTGGGGCTGCCTCTTAGCCAGGATGACTTCTCCCTACACCCTATTCCACCCCCCGGGCAGCTCATCTCGGAGCGAGAGGCACCAGTGAGCAAATCCAGAGTCCAGGCTCCACCAGGCTCCCAAGTTCCCCTCCTTCGTCCCCTGCTAAGCTAACCTCTCGCGAGCCCTGGACAGACCTGGTTTCACTTTTTCCCAGGATCTGCTGGTCTGCTAAGACTCCACGACTCTTTTCCTTCCTTGAGTGATTTCACAGACCCATGGGCGCAGCAGGTCGTGGGACATGGGTCCCAAATAGGCACGGTTTGTCTGATTTCAGCCTCTGAGTGGGAACAGCCGATGCAAAGGGATTGTGGAGCCTGGTGGCTCTTACCCCAGGTCTCAGGGACTGATGTCCCCTGAGTCTTTGCATATGCCCTTGCCCTGTGTCACATCCTCCCAAGCTAGAGAAGGTGGGCTCTGCATCAGCCTTCCTGGACCGGCCCCCACCAGGGCAGGAGAACCTACCCCACTCCCGCCTCCATCAGCAAGCCTCCCAGCCGGCTGGGGAACGTGCGCTGACTTTGTAAGTCTCCACCGCTTAACACAGAGTCGTGGGCTCCACCACAGAGGGGTTTTGTTTGGAACTTAAAACACTTGCTCAAATTAATGACCAAAATGTCAGATGTGTCCACAGCTAATTATTCATTAGATGCTTAATTAGTGTGGGATGATCATGACATTTTAATGTTATTAATTTTTATACTGTAATAGGAATTAAATTGTTCTGCTGTCCCGAAGCCTCCTGTTGGAGTCACACTGTGGAATTGGGGGCTGGGAGGAGGAGGGGCCGTGGAGGGCAGCTGGGGCAGCCAGGGAGCTCACCGGCCAGAGCCAGTGCACACACGCCCCTCTGCTGGCTGGGAGAAGCCTCTTCAGAGCTGGATGCTTTGGATGGCTGGGCTGACAGTGGGAACAGCTAAGAAAGAGGCACAGGGTAGACCAGATGGCTCCTTGAGGTTCCTTCCTGCTTAGACATTTCAGGATTTCATGTTCTTCATTTCTCCACCCCAAGACAAGAGGAATGCTAGGGAACTGTCCTGCAAAACCCACACAGAAAAGAGGAAGGGACTGAGGTGGTCACACCCACAAGAGACCACAGAAGGCCAGCAGAATGTCACAGACCTGTTTTCCACTCCCCACAGGCCAGAAGAAGGGGCTCACTGGGAAGAAATGTTGCATATTTTTAGACAAATGGAAGGAAGCCCTGTCTGCCAGCAAAGGGAGTCACACAGGAGACCCTGAGAGGGCTCTTGTTTGTAAAATGGGCATAGCTCTATTGTTATTTCTCATTATGAAAATAATCCATGCCCATGTTTAAAAATCTAATCATTAAAAAAAGGTAGAATGGTAATAAAAATCGTGTGAAATCCCACCTTCCAAAGATAGTAACTCTTCAGATTTTAGTGTCTGAACTTCTGAGCTCTTTCTGGGCAGATATTAGCCACTGCTATCTTGTAATCTACTTTTTTTGCTGACATGAGCATCTTTTCAAGCTGATGGACATAGATCTGCATAATCCTTTCTCGTGGCCACGTTATATTCCATTCTCCAAATACTCCATCACTTATCTAGCCAGTCCGTGAGCGTGGGATGTTTGGATTATTCCTAATTACTCATCATTAATAACCAGGATCCTTCTAATTATCCTTTTCATGTTGGTCTGGTTATACCCTTGGGATAAATCCCTAGAGATGGGATTGCTGGGTCACAGGGGAACCTCACAGGAGAGTTCCACTTCTACCTGCAACCTTGGCCAAGGACTTTAATTTCCCTAAAGCTGTTCCCCAACCTGTGAAATGGGTACACGAATCCTGTTCTGATAATGGCAAGGATTGCAGGACCTGGCACAGAACCTGGCATTTAGTAGGTTCTACTAAATGTTAGCTCCTTTTCTGAGTAGTTGCTGCTAACTCTCCTTTCACAAAGTGCTTTGGTATATATCATCTCTTTAATGTTATGATTCCAAAGGAAGGAAAAAGTAAAACAGATATGAAGTCTCAAGAAGGGTTGGGGAAATTCCTGGGTGGGTGACTGCAATTGAGCAGGGGCTGACGGCTGGGGCTTATTCTCAAATCTTCAGGGTCAGAGACACTTAGAGCAACCAACACATCCTCTGTCTACCATGTCTGGGCATCCCCCATCAGGGAGAGAACACGATATCCATTCAGTCCTGGCGATGTACTTTCGGAGTACACCCCTGGAGGATGTCCAGGCAGAGGTTTGAGCCAAGGTCCCTTAAAGAGAAGTCCTGCCATGAGGGACGATGATCCCCCCAGGAGGCCTGGAGGACCCCTCCTGCACCTGGCTCTGAGAGCCCAGGGTTAAGCCCTTTGCTTACTGAGCCTGGGCAATTGACTGAACCATCAGAAACTCTTGATTTTCCAGCCTAGATAAGAGGGCCAAGGGCTCAGAGAAGCTTCTCCCACTGGGGGACAAGAGGACATATGAGTAGCTAAGTGGTGTCTGCCAGAGCTGGATGTGAGAAGTGGATGGGACCGTGATCCCAGAGTCAGGTTATATTTAGCAAGCACGTGTCAGGGATATGGCTCCTATCAGCAACTCTCAGGCTGCTTGGAGACTGTGTCTTACACAATTTGAAAAACTACCTGGTAAAACGAAGCTGGCAGTTGGATTCCCAGACTTCTAGAAGCCCCTCCCGGAGGTGTGGCGGGATCTCTCCAGAGGCTGAGCTGCCCTATGGCTTCCATCCCTAATATGGCTCTTCTGTTCCCTCCACCGGCCTCTCCATCCTGGGCCTGACCCCTATCCACATCAACTTCACCAGGAGCCCAGTGACACCCCCAAGGTCAGTGTCTCCACCCATTTAGAAGGGCCCATTTAGGTGAAGGCTGATTGCAGAGCCCCTGAAGTCCCCCCACGGGGCAGTTGCCTGTGGGAGAAGCACCATCCCTCCCTGAAGACAGCCGATGAACAGAGCGTGTTGTCGGGCCGCCTTGGGGTCCAGGAGCCTGGGCCGCCCACACTGCCCTCAGGAGAAATGGACCTGTGCCCACCCAGCGCTGGTTCCAGGAGAAGGGCCGGGCTGGCCTGGTGCAGGGAGGATGGCATGTCTTACAGCTCCACTTAGCTGACTCCTGGAAAGGAAGGTGCCCCTCACTCACTGCCTCCATCTCTCCAGAAGCCAATGTCAGAACAAAAAGTCAGGAGGAGCCACACATCCATCCCATGGGCAGAGGGAGCCTGGTGCATACTCATCTCCCTTCTGAGGTCAAACTTGGCCATACCCTCATTGAGTGCTCCCGAAAAAATGGCCTGTGATGGCTCCAGGCCTGCCAGCCCCAGTACTTGGGATGGCTTGGGTCCCCAGGGGAGGGGGCCCCCGGCCCTGTGCCAGGAGCAGAGCCCTCCTGGGGAGAGCAAGGCAGTTCTCAAGGAAATCTTCTGGCCTTCCTCCCTGCCCCATCCATCACCAGACAGCCCACTCCAGATGGAAAGGGAAAAGGAAGAAAAAATGTTAATATGCAATTAAAGTTGAGATCATAAACAGGTGCTCTAATTAGAAGTCTTCTCAAATCATCAAAAGCTCATTTACAAGGTGAGATGCCAGAGGTGCCCTGATGCCGGCTGGCACAGAGCTTTCTGCCACTGAGGAGGAGTTTGGGGACAGCCCTCACCTGTCTCCTTGAGGCTTCGGCAGGTGGGCAGGGGCCAGGAGAGGTGGGGGCACAGGGGAAGTCTTAGCCAGACCTGGAGGAGGGCAGCTCCTGCTCACGGCAGCTCCACAGGTGGCTCCCCAGCATGGCCACTGCTCAGGCTGTCTTGGCAGAAGGAGCTCTGCACGCCTGGAGCCTGGTGTGGAGGGGGAAGCCCAGGATCCCTTTGGAGGCATTCAAGGAGCCTTGGAGATGCAGGCAGGGCTTCTGCCAGGCTTTGTGGTTCTTCCTCCAGTGTTCCTCAGCCAGGGACCTTCCTTGGCCCCGTCTCACTGAATTTCTCCTCCCTGAGCCACCTCTGCCACTCTCATTGCCCGGGCCAATGATGCCAAATCCTGAAATCTAGCCTAGAGCCAACCCTGAGCTTCAGGCCGCATACACAGCTGTGTACAGACATGCCCCCTCCCTCAGTAGAGGTGATGCTGGGCTAATCCTTTGTCCCCTTACTCCTCCTCAGGGGCTCCTTCTCTCCCTGACAGGTGCCACCATCTATCTGGTCACCCCCACATCTGGATGACTCAAACCTGGTCAGTTCTACTCCTACATGTTCCGCAGTGGTCCCTGCCCCTCTATCTGCACAGCCACCACCCTCCTGGGGCTTCCTCACCTCTCTCTTTGACTACTGCCTTCGTCTCCCTGTTCATCTCGGGCACATCAGTTGTCCCGTGCTGGCCCACAGTCCACAGCACCATCAGAACGGGAGCTTCTAAAACACATCACTCCATGTTGTTCCCCTACCCAAAAGTCTTCAGCACAAAAAGCAACTCCCCTAGCAGAGCTCTCTTTGTGGACTCCCCACCAGTCCACCAGCCCCCCAACTCATTTCCAGGGCTTTGCACTTGAAGAACCCACCCTGTTGCTTTCAGCACCTGGCCGCCTCTCAGGCCTCAGCTGCCCTGGCTGGACTGCCGACCTCCTCCTCCTCCTCCTCCTCCTCCTCCCTCCTCCTCTCCCCTCCTCTTCCCTCCTCCTCCTGCCTAAAAACCAAATGAGAGTCTGCTCTGGTGAGGCTCTGGAGCCCACCTCTCCCAGGGTCCTGTGGGGTCTATGGACCACCACAACTTGGGGCTGAGAGTTATTCGATGTGTGGACAGGCGCTGGGTTACGGCCCCTCTCCGAAGTGCTGAGTACAAGTGTCTTGGCAGGGAGGTGGGGCCAGCAGGATACAGCCTTGGGTTCCAGTCTCAGGCGCCCATCCATCATGAGTGCCACAGGCAGACATGGATCCCCACAGGAGGGGTCTGGCTGAGTGGGAGTGTCTCTCCCACAGAGAGGGAAGAGCACATGGGCACCCGTCATCTGCCCACCTTGCTAGGGTGGCTGCCCCAGAGGGGAGCAGGGGCCCCTTCTGGGCACCCAGCTGGGGAGCACTGGCTGCAGAGTTGGGCGGTGGGGAACCTTCTCTCAGCAGTCCCAGCTACCCCAGGCTCCTACGCCAAGGACCTAAAGAGCCACACAGCCTCGTGCATCTTGCTGTGGAATGTGTGAGAAGGATGTTGGTATTGGCTTCTTCCAGTCCAAGAAAGGCCCTGGCACCTCATTCCCCAGGTATCCATAGAACCTTCCAGACCAGCCTTCCTCAGCATGGCCAGACACTGCAAAATCCCCTCCAGACAGACAGTCACACAAACACACACATGCACCCACACACCTCACCTTCCCCATAATAATATATAACTAGCCAGCACTTGATATTAGTGGTTCCCAAATACTTGTCTTCAATCCTGTATTGCTTGTGATGAAACTCTTATCAGTCCATGGGGAAATAAGAAAAATAAAAAAAATGTGGTGGGCTTTTCATAAGCTAAATGTTCATTTTCAAAGGACTGTCCTCTATTCTGAGACTGATCTTCCCGCTTTTATTACACTTTAAAATGTCCTCTCTTTTATGAAAGCATGGTGATGGTAGACAGGGTGATTGTTTCTTAATGACTTATTTGGCAAAATTAAAAGATGATACCCCATCAGCGCCCCCATTTTTAATTGAAATTTTTAGTGAGATAATTGTAGGCTCATATGCAGTTGTAAGAAATAACACAGAGAGCTCCCAAGTACTCCTTACCCAGTTTCCCCCAGTGGTAACATTTTGCAAAATGTCGGCATAAATATCACAGCCAGAATGTTGATACAAGCCACCAGTCTCATTCCGTTTTCCCCATTTTTACTTGCATTTGTGTGTGTGTGTGTGTGTGTGTTTCATTCTCTACAATTTATTATACATGTAGGTTTGTGTATCCACCACCGTTGCATGTCCACAGTTCCTTTTTTTTTTCAGATGGAGGCTTGCTCTGTAGCCCAGGCTGGAGTGCAGTGGCACAATCTCAGCTCACTGCAACCTCTGCCTCCTGGGTCCCAGTTCAAGCAATTCTCCTGCCTCAGCCTCCTGTGTAGCTGGGATTATAGGCACACGCCACCATGCCCAGCTAATTTTTGTATTTTTAGTAGAGACGGAGTTTCACCATGTTGGCCAGGCTGGTCTTGAACTCCTGACCTCATGATCCGCCCACCTCTGCCTCCCAAAGTGCTGGGATTACAGGCGTGAGCCACTGCGCTCACTCCACAGTTCCTTCCTTTTTATTTCTGAGGAGTTATTCCATGTTATGGATGAACCACTATTGTTTGAACCATTTACTCATTGAAGGACGTCCGGATGTTTCCATTTTTTGACAATGACAAATGAAGCTGCTGTGAACATCACATGTGCGTTGTTATGTGAACTTCTGGGATAAATGCCCAAGAGTGCAATTGCTGGGTCCTGTGGTAGCTGCAGATTTAGCCTGCCAAACCGTGTGCCAGAACAACTGTACCATCTCACATCCCCACTAACGGGGTATGACGGATCCGGTTTTTTCACGGCCTCACCAGCATTTGATGTTGTCACTATTTTTTATTTGAGACATTTTGATAGGTATGTAGTAATGTCTCATTATGGCTTTGACTTACATTTCTTTAAGGCTAGTGATGTTAAGCATCTTTCAGGTGCTTACATGCCATCTGTATATCATCTTTGCCGAGATATCTCTATGTGTCTTTTGCCCGTTTTCTAATGGAATTGCTTGTTTTTACTGTTGAATTTTGAGAGTTTGTTATTATATTCTCAGTACGAGTCCTTTGCTGACTATGTGATTTGCAAATATTTTCTCCCAGTCTGTAGCTTGCTTTTTCATCTTCTCCAAATGAGCTTTTGTAGAACAAAAGTTTTTAATGTTGATGAGGTCCAGTTTTAGCATTTTCCATTTATGGACCATGCTTTTAGGACTAAGTTGCCCAGTCCTAGATCCCAAATACTTTCTCTTGTGTTTTTCTACAAGTATTATAATTTTACATTTAAGTCCGTAATTCATTCTTAGTTCACTTTTGTTTAAAGCATAAGGTTTAGGTCGAGGTTCCTTTTGTTTCTGGGGTTTGGTTTTTTGTGTTTTGTTTTGGTTTTGGCCTGTGGATATCCAATTGCTCCAATACCATTTGTTGAAAAGTTTATCCTTCCTCCATTTAATTGCTTTTGTGCCTTTGTCAAAAATAAGTTGAGTGTGTTTGTTGGGGCTATTTCTGGGTTCTGTATTCTGTTCTGTTGATCTCTTTTTTTGGTTTTTTGAGACAGGAGCTTCGCTCTTGTTGCCCAGGCTGGAGTGCAGTGGTGCAGTCTCAGCTCACTGCAACCTCTGCGTCCTGGATTCAAGTGATTCTCCTGCCTCAGCCTTCTGAGTAGCTAGAATTACAAGCATGCGCCACCACGCCCAGCTAATTTTTGTATTTTTAGTAGAGATGGGGTTTCACCATGTTGGCCAGGCTGGTCTCAAACTCCTGACCTCAGGTAATCTGCCCGCCTTGGCCTCCCAAAGTTCTGGGATTACAGGCGTGAGCCACCGTGTCTGGCCCTGTTGATCTATTAATATATGACTGTCTCTCCTCTGACATCACACTGACTTGATTGCTATAACTCTGTATTAATCCTCAGTATCAGGTAGAGTGGGTTCTTATTTATTCTTCTCTGTCAAGCCTGTTTTAGCTATTCTATTCTAATATTGGTATCTATTCTAAGCCCTGTGCCTTTCCATATAAATTATAGGATACATTGTCCATGACTATCCGAAATATTGCTGCAGTTTTGATAGGAATTGTATTAAACCTATAGATAAATCGGAAGAGAATTGACATCTTCACTAGGTTGGGTCTTCCAATCCATGAAAAAGGTATGTGTCTCTTCATGTACTAGGTCTTTGATTTTCCTCCATTGGCATGTTGTCATTTTCAGTATACAAATTCTGTACACATTCTGTGAAGTGTAGGCTTAAGAATTTCATTTTTGGCCGGGTGCGGTGGCTCACGCCTATAATCCCAGCACTTTGGGAGGCTGAGACAGGCGGATCACAAGCTCAGGAGATCAAGACCATCCTGGCTAACACGGTGAAACCCCGTCTCTACTAAATATACAAAAAAAAAAATTAGCCGGGCGTGGTAGTGGGCACCTGTAGTCCCAGCTACTCAGGAGGCTGAGGCAGGAAAATGGCGTGAACCTGGGAGGCAGAGCTTGCCGTGAGCCAAGATCGCACCACTGCACTCCAGCCTGGACGACAGAGTGAGACTCTATCTCGAAAAAAAAAATAATAATAATAATAATTTCATTTTCTTGGCCGGGTGCAGTGGCTCATGCCTGTAATCCCAGCACTTTGGGAAGCTGAGGCGGGTGGATCACAAGGTCAGGAGTTTGAGACCAGCCTGGCCAATATGGTAAAACACCTGTCTCTACTAATAATACAAAAATTAGCTGGGCATGGTGATGCGTGCCTGTAGTCCCAGCTACTTGGGAGGCTGAGGCAGAAGAACTGCTTGAACCTGGGAGGCAGAGATTGCAGTGAGCCGAGATCGCACCACTGCACTCCAGCCTGGGCGACAGAGTGCCCAGGAGACTCTGTCTCCACACACACAAAAAAGAATTTCATTTTCTTTGGAGCTATTATCAATGGTATTGTGTTTGTGATTGTGGTGGCCACATATTTATGATGAACATATAGAAATGCAATCAATTTTTCTGTGTTGATCTTGTATCCTCCAGCTTTACTGGATTCACTAATTAGTTCTAGATTTTTTTTGTAGATTTCTTGGAATTTTCTATTTAGGCAATCATGTCATCTGTACAGACAGTTGTATTTCTTCCTGTCCCATCAGTGTGGCTTTTACGTCTTTCTCCTGCTTTACTGCCTCAGAACTTCCTGTACTGTGTTGGGTGAGGGCGGTGCAAGCAGACATCCTTGCCCCATTCCTCATCTGTGGAAGAGCACTCAGTCTTCCACCATTAAATTGATGTGAGCCAGAGGGATTTTGTAGATGCTTTTTATCAAGCTGAGATAATTTCCTGCTATTCCTGACTTGCTGAGAGCAGTTCCCTCATTTGTTAAACTTTGCTGCCCCTGAAATCAGAAACTTTGGGACCCACCAGTTTGTACCATACCCAGGACTGCTTTTCATTCACATCCTGCCCCTCACAGGATCCTGGAGGGCCCGGTGGGTAAGGGGTCCACAGCCTCCCGCTCAGGTTTTTGACTCGCAATCCTGTCCTCTACCCCACCGATCCCTCTCCCCTTGGCTGAGCCTTCTGTCCTGTGCCATGTTCCCGGCCCCTCAGGAAAAGGAACCCTGACAAACCAGTGTGGACCATTCACACATTCACATATCCACTCATTCATTCATTCATTCAGCAAGGCCTGCACCCTGTGGTACAGAAATCAAGGGCTGCAGACCTGCCCTTGAGAAATGCAGTCTAACACCCAAACTCCACCCGCCCCCGCGTCGGCCCCCGTCGCGCTGCATGAGACTTGCATCCCCTCTCCAGGGGGCTGGCCAGGGCTGGCTGAGGCTCCAGGAGTTGCTCTGCTCTACCATTTTCCTTTTCCAGGAAATGTGTATCCCAGACAGCCCCCAGCACCCACTCTTCTCCGGGCCGCCCTGCAGCAGGGTGGGAGCAGTGTGGTGGTCCTCAGGCCCCCATCTCACCCCCCTACACACACATACCACTAGAGCCTCTGGCCCACAGCAGGCAGAGGACAAGCCCCCTCACCCATCCCAGCTCCAGCCCTGACTCTGGAACCTTCTGCAGAGGCTCAGGCTCCCCCCATCTCCACATCCGCAGGATGGTACGCTATTGATGTTCTTGTGTGTGTTTTTTTTAATCAAGGGAACAATTTCTTTATATGCAAATCTCTTCAATAATATTATTATTATCAGTGTGGCCTCAGGCAGAGGCTCACAGAATTGGAGAGTTGCCGAGTTGATGGTTTTTTTCATAGCGACTCTGAGCATCATCAGGCCAGCTCCTGGGAGGACAGCGAGGCTCATTTTCCCCAGAACAATCCCAGCTGGAAAGATGATTGCAGGTATCAAGAGATACGGGGTGATTTCATCCTCATCTGAATATCTGTGAAACCACCCCTGCACCCTGCTCCTCCATCTCAGGTCACAGCCAAGGGTGGGCAGCCCTGACCAGTGGGCACTCCTTCCACGAGCATCTACTGAGCACCCACTGCCCGCATGTCACTTAGCGCCCAGGGCCAGGCGGGCAGCTGCTCACGGTCTGAAGAGGGAGGCAGGCAAGACAGTGTGGGTCCCCTGATCCCACAGACCCACGGCCTGTGGGAGCCCCCACCCAGACCTGGGAAGCCTGGCAGGGCCAGGACCAGGGTGAGGCACTGGCATGGGGTACAAATTTAAGGTGGTACAAAAAAAAATTGTGAAGCCAAATAATATTTTAATAGAATATTTTTGATAATCAAGATTAATGCAAAAAATCCATGATAAACACAAAATCAACATTTTAAAGAAAGGCAGGACACCTACGGGAAGGCTTCCCAGGGAGGAGACATTGTCACTGCAAGCAGAAGGAGAAGGATAAGCAGGACAGAAGCACGGGGAAGAGGTTTCCAGGGGTGAGAAGAAAGAGAGATGGCACTTTCCCACCCCAGGGGCTCCAGGGGCTCTGGAGGCTGGAGTTCCAGTCTGAACCTATGCATCTCCCCGAGCTCCCCCACCGCCCACCACTGCACCAAAGCCCCAGGCCCACCTCTGCTTCTCCTTCCTAAGCCCGTGGCTACTGCACACCCCTGCCCCCCACCCCACAGTCTGCACGGACTGGACAGAGGCTGGCCATGGGCCTCCCCTGCAGTGGAAGAGGCTGAGGCCTGGAGCCCTGAGGTCTGTCCAGGCCGTGGATACTGCACACAGACCACAGCTGTGAGCTGGCCTCGTCGGGGTTCAGAACAAAGCAGCAAGAGCCATTGGAAGGCGGAGGAGTCCTGGACAGAAATCCAAGGGTGAGGGACAAAGGTGGGACAAAGCATGAGTGTGTGGTGATTCATGGCAGAGAAGGGCATGTTCCTCCAGGCCTGGCTGAGGGGCGAGGCCAGCCACTCACTTGGAGAACACCAGCCTGCGTTCTAGCAGTGAGCCTTCTGGATACCCTCAGGGCATCCAAGGCCAGGCCAGGGCCTGCCCAGATGACCAGGCTGACATGAGGAGGCCCTGGCTCTCTGTTAGCAGATGGGGCTGGGTGACCACCCCTCCAGCCAGGGCTGGCCACCCCCAGGAGCAGTGTCTGAAGAGTTCACTCTATTTGTGTCTCTGGGCATTAAGCTACGTTATTCCTTGCCCAGCTGCTGGGGCCTGTGTTTCCAAGAAAGCAGCCTTTCCAACAGGGACTTTGACTGCTGAGAAGGTCTCTCCACCCCCACGGCTATCACCGGGGCATGCAGACCTGACTCTTCCTGCCCCAGGCCAGCGGCTGCTCCTCTCCCCTGTGAGGATTGGGGTACCCAGGCCTGCCTGACTGTGCATCCTGAGAAACTCAAAGCCACCACTGACTGTAGCCACCATGATCAGCTTTATATCTGATGATCTCGTTTGACTCATACCCTAACCCCATGAAGGAGTGACTGTTTCCAGAGAAGGAAACTAAGGCTCCGGAAGGTGACCTAAACTGCCACTGAGTGACAGATGAGGATCTGAATCCACAGAAGCTCTTCACCATGACATCATGTTGGTCCCAGCCTACAGCCATCATCTCCCAGACGATCCACCCCTGGAGAGTCATCCCTGGGCTAGAAAGAGAAAGCTGGAAGACAAGCAGCGCCAGGTCAACCTCTGGCCTCAAAATACAGAGCAGCTTCTCCAGGCAGCTTGGGACTTTGAGACATCTAAACTCGCTCCTAAGACAGGAAGTCTGAAAAGGAGCTGAGACCAGAGGCAAGAGTATAGCACAGAGCCTGGGTCCTGGCCCTGCAGAGGGGCTGGATGGGGCAGGGCCAGGGAGGTAGCAGGGAAACACAGCACAGCTGACCTGGGGCCTTGTATCTTGAGCCTAAGAGGCCAGAATGCTCATCGGGCACAGCCCAGGCTCTTCCTCTTGGAAGTCACTAGAAGCTGCCTCGACCCGGAGATAGGGAGCTGAAAGCCCAGGTCTAGTTTCATGCCCCCAACCAGCTAAGGGGAAAGGGTGCCTCACTTGGGAGCCCCACAAGTGGCTGCGGTTCTCCGACCTCACAAATTCAGCCTGTACCTATCTGTTCTCTCCCAGCCTCCACCCCAATCCCTGCCCTTTCTGGAACCTGCCAGAGGTTGGGACAAACAGCAGCACCAATGCTCTAGAGATCGCTCCAAGAAGCTGGGGAAGGTTTGGAGGGCGCAGCGGCAAGAGCCTAGAAAGGGACTCTGAAGCCACTAGAGACGGAGCCCTGGGGTTAGGAAGCCCGTGACCACTGCTGCACCAGTGGGACCAAGAATCCCACAGCCCAGACAAAGGTGCCTGTGGCTCTGCCTGTCTCCCCACACCATCGCTGCCTTGGGAAGAAAAAGCTTGCTCTCTTTAGATTGACGAGAGCAGACTGATCTTGTTCCTGAGCTTTTCCACGCATTTCTTTTTCCTTGTTGGTAATGAAAAAAAACAACAAAAGTCGACTCAGGGCTTAGCCCTCAAGGAAAAAGGCCTGGGGGAGTTAGTGTTTCACTGCCTTCCTTAGCTTTGTTATGACACTAGCAATCCATGTTCATTGATGAAAACTTAGAACCTTCAGAACAGACAGGAATAATTTTAAATTAAAATAGCTTCAAGGCCTGACACTCAAAGTTAACCACAGCTAATATTTTGGTTTTTTAAAAAAAAAAAATCTTTCTAAAGATAAATACAACTAGGGATCTCCTAGAGGGCCCCGGAGATCTGGCCTCCTTTCCAGGAGCCTGGGTTCCTCAGCTCTGAGTCAGGCTGGTATCTGACTTTTGCTGTCAGCGTCTGCATTGGTCTCGGGGAGGAGCTTTTGCATGAGGCCTGGGATGTGCCCTCACAGTGGCTGGTCCTGGGAAAGATGGTGGCGTGCCCTATTGACAGATGGGAATACCGAGGCCAGGAAACTTGCACCAAGTCAGTGAGAAAGGCAGAATTGGAATTAGAAAACCACATAGCTATTGAATGAATGAACTGTTTCTTGGCCTTTTGGCTAAGATCAAATGTAAAGGAATGAAAGGATGGATGAATGAATGAATGAATGAATGAATGAATGAATGAAGTGAGTGAATGAAGAATAATTATGCTGTACTCCATCCTGAAGCAGCTGACAATGTCTGTGAGAATGTGTTCCATGCCTTCTGTTCCCCTGTGTAGGGTAGAAACTCCTGCACAGGGTTGGTGCCAGTAACTAGTCATGCCAGTAACTAGTCATGCCAGTAACTAGTCATGCCAGTAACTAGTGACACCCAGGGAAGTCAGCTCACTGCTTGCAGCATCTGCTTCCTAGCAACTAACCAGGAGTTTCTGCCAAGCCCTGCCCATCCCACGGGTCTGTTGTGGATATGGAATGAAGGGGGCCTCCATAAAACTCATAGAAAGGTCAGGACAGCCTACAGAAGTCCAGGATAGCTCTTGGAGTCAAGAGGACCTCATGGCGGGGAGGAGTGGGGCAGAGATGGGCATGGGGCAGGCTTGCTCAAGGTCCCTGTGACCTTGGACATTCCTCCACCTGCTTCTCTGCATGGCATGGGCTGGGTCTGCATCTCTCCTCTTGTGTGAGCTGGGGCTCTCTGTCCTCTCGGTGCATACCATGTGGGAATCTGGCCCCAGTAATGACGCATACCTCCTGGCCTTGCACTGACCCCGTGCGACAGTACCCGCTCGCTGAGCCCCCACAGAACCCTTCGAGGTAGAAAACATTGTTGTCACAGACAAGGAACTTGAGGCACAGAGAGCTTAAGTAACTTAACCTGAGCTCACACCACATGGAAGTGAAGGATCTAGGATTTGCACCGTGCAGGCAGGCCCCGAGTCCACGTTCCCTGCTCCTCTGTGATACTTCTGCTGTCTATGGGTTAAAAACATTCACTTATGGGCCCCACTGGCTGGATGTAGCTCCCAGATCTGCTGGCTACAAGCTCTTGACCTCAGACAAGGAACCTTAACATCTCTATCTGTAAAATGGGGCAAAGCAGTCACTCCCTTATAAAGATGTGGTTGGGTTTTTAATGGAAATGGTGTAATGTAAAGCCCATCACATAGTAGGTGTTTGATAAATGGCGACCATGACCAGGATAAAGTGTAACCCAGAAGTGAGGCTGTCCTGGGAGGCCACATGCTGGCAACATATCCAGAAAAGGCTGGATAAGAAGCTTCCTGCACAGGTGGGCATTCTTGGAGGGGCATCTGCTGCCCGTGCCCAGCATGCTCCCCTGCCACCGACCAGGAGCTGAGTGGGGTCTCTCTGGGGCCCAGCAGAGGTTGACTTCCCTGTACCTGGGGAGGGCTCGTCAGCTCCACCCACAGCCCTTGCTACCCTCCCTTCTCTGGCACCTCGGCACCCTGCCCAGACCCCTCTGCCCACCTGTGGCTGCCACCCACACAGAAAGATGCAGATGTGTGTGGGCACAGCCCGTGCACAGCCACCTTGGCCTCAGGCTACAGCTGGCCCCAGCTCGTCCTCCTCCCTCCTTGATACAAACTTAACCAGAGCTTCATGAAAGGAACCGAGGCTAATAATTTAAGAAGTAATTTGTTATTAGTGTGGCACTGATGCACTGAGCTGACCGAAGTGCCTTTCAGCAGATTATTATTAAATATTAAGTCTGTTGATTCGAGGCAGAGCGGCACTCTGGTCGGTCCCTAGCAGCTGGGGACATGCATTTGTTTCGGTGATTTATGGAAATCAAGCCACTCCAGGGAGCCTCACAAATGTCGCTGTCCACTGTAACCCAGGTATCCTCCCAGCAGTCCCGGGGGTGGGTTATAGATGAGGGAGGGTCTGAGAAGTTAAGGAAGCTGCCCGAGGCTGCACAGCAGCTAGGTGAAAAAACCAGGATTCAAACTTGGATCTATCTGAGTCAAGTCTCTGCCACTTTGAAGCTGCATATGGAGCACACAGTAGGGACTCATCACATGTGCATTATTATTATTATCATCTTTCCCTCCCAAACGTCAGCTCCATAGCCATAGATCAGAATGTGGATTTTTTTTTTTAATTTACTAAAGTATGTCCAGCACTGTGAGCTCTTGTTTTTTTTTTTTTTTTTTTTGAGACTGAGTCTTGCTCTTGTCGCCCAGGCTAGAGTGCAATGTGCAATCTCAGCTCACTGCAACCTCTGCCTCCCGGGTTCAAGCAATTCTCCTGCCTCAGCCTCCCCCAAGTAGCTGGGATTATAGGCATCTGCCACCATGCCCGGCTAATTTTTGTATTTTTAGAAGAGACGGGGTTTCACCATGTTGGCCAGGCTGGTCTCAAACTCCTGACCTCAGGTGATCTGTATGCCTCGGCCTCCCAAAATGCTGAGATTACAGGCATGAGCCACCGCGCCTGGCCAGTAACCTCTTAATATGCTCAATAAATGTTAAGATGAAGGGATGGAAGCATGGATGGGAGGGAGGGAGGGAGGGAAGGAGGGAAGGTGGGAATAGTAAAGTCCCGGTGAGAGCAAAGAGTGACCTAAGAGTCACTTTTCCTGCCTTGTTGTCACTGTGCCTCCACCGAAGTCTCAGAGTCTGTGATGTTCTTACCTCTCCATGCCTCACGCTCTTCACCTGTAAAATGGGCTGAGTCATCACAGTGCCACCTCACAGACTCGCTGGGGGTTCCATGAGCAAATGCATGCAGACCTGCTGAGTGCTTTGCCAGGCAAGGTGGGCCTCAGTGTCAACCACCATCCTTACTCGAAAAACCTGCAGAGGGGACTCCTGAGCACCTCGTTCCCCAGACTCCGGGAGAGGAACCCCAAGTCCAGGAAGGAGATCTCCAGGAAGGAGATCAATTCTGGCCCACTACGGGTCTCAGACCAGAAGCAGGCCTGAGAGAAGTGTGCCCGGATCCCCTAGGCTGGGGGACCCAGAGGAGAGGAGCCTCCCTCTCGCCAGGTCCACTCCCAGCCCCTCCCTCTACCTCTTTGTTCCTTAAAGTCTTGAAGTTGAGCTGCCTCCAGAAGCGCAGAGCTTCTGAGAACAGCATCACTGAATAAACAGTCCTTCCATGCCGTGCCTGTGGTCCACAGAGCGGCTGAGACTTCAGAGGACTATGACGGGGCAGGTTGCCCTGTGAGCTGGTCAGGTGGTCCTGTTCCACTTCTCTGGGTGTCCATCTGGGGCGGCCACAGAACCTTTGGGCTGAATGTTGGCTTTTGAACAGATAGTAATTTTTTTCTAACGCACCTACAAAATGCCCCAAACTGCTGGCGTTCTTGAGGCTTCACACCATGCTAGTCCTTTAGATGTTCAATACCATGAAGGAAATGAAAGCAGTGGAAGAAAGGCAGAGAGGAAGGGGCAGGGGCGGCGAATGAGTGACAGAAAAGGAGGCAGGTGACTCCAGCGGTACCTGGAGGCTCCCGGGCCCACCCGAGCCCTAAGCTGCAGCCCTTGGGACGTCTCCATTGAGCCAGTCCTTCCTGTGTGGCCTTCGGATTCTTGGTGGAGGGGACATTCTTGCACACTAGTGCCCTCAAGTCAGGACTGCCACTCACCCTCCGAGGTGGCCATCTTCTCAGCTTCTTTCATTTCTTTCTATTTTTTTTTTAGAGACAGATTTCACTCTGTTGCCCAGACTGGAGTGCAGTGGTATAGTCACAGCACACCGCAGCCTCCTGGGCTCAAGTGATCCTCCCACCTCAGCCTCCCAAGTATCTGGGACTACAGGCACACACCCCTGTGCCCAGCTAATTTTTATTTTATGTTTGTTTTAGGGACGGGGCTCTTACCATGTTGCCCAGGTTGGTCTTGAACTCCTGGGCTCAATCAATCCTCCCATTTCGGCCCCCCGAGTTCAGCTTCTTTCTTTAATCCATCACTTAGGCCACAGATATTTACCAGTCAGGTATTGAAACTTACAAAAAGCATAGGGCTTGGCAACCTCCCTCTTCTCCCTGGAGTTGAAGGCAGTACCTGCCTCCCCATCAGCCTGGTAGTGACTGTTTACGATGGGTGCCCAATCGCTGATAGAAGAATGAATGAGTGGATGGATCAAGGGAGATTTAATCCATGCTGGAGAAGAAGAAAGAAAGGGAAGGAACACAGAAAGAGAAACAGGCCAGCAGGGCCCCACGTGCTGAATGTCAAAGGGTGGAATGGACCCTGGGGCCCCAAAGAGTTCAGGACAGAAGACTCTTATTGGACCAGTGCAGGTGGCGGCTTTTTGGGAAGGGTGGGATTTCATCTGGAACAAGAGATGGGAGGCCCAGGTGGGAGTTGAGGGTCCCAATAATTAGTACGTTGTTTTCCCTGCCTGAGTTCTGAACCTACTGAGAGAAACAAGAGTAAGGCAGTTGGAGGTACACTCCTGGGTTAATTCCTCCAGCGCTGTGGTGCCCGGGTGCTGGGCAGCAGTGGGGATGTGCCCAGGAGTCTCCCTCCAGCGTCCCCAGTCAGTCGGGGGGCACCCCTCCCCTGCTGCACGTGCCGGATGGGTCCCGAGCCTCCCTCCAGGGGCAGGCCCTTCCCTGCCGGGCTCCACTCCAGGCTCCACTGAGGTAGGGCACAGGCCGGCTGTGCCCTCTGCAGGCAGCTGACAGAAGAGAGGGAGGTGGGCCAGGGTTACCTGCCCTGCCCTCAAACTAAGGAATCAAGAGAGACCCTCCTGGCACCAAGCAGCTGGGGCTGAAGAAGGGCTGGGTCCTTACTCTTGACCTCTGATAGCTTTATCCCCAAAGAAGGAACTGCCAAGAGGGACCAAGGGCTACTCCGAAGGGAGGTAGAGGTGGGGTGTCCCTGCAGCAGGAAGCACGGAGTCACATCCTCTCCCTACTGAGTGTGTCAGAGAGGCTGGGGGTGTGGACAGTTGGGGTCTGGGGCTCCTGGACTTCTCCAGCTGGACTAGACATTAGAAAACGTCGGCCGGGCACGGTGGCTCACGCCTGTAATCCCAGCACTTTGGGAGGTCGAAGTGGGCAGATCACTTGAGGTCAGGAGTTTGAGACCAGCCTGGCCAACATGGTGAAACCCTGTCTCTACTAAAAATATAAAAATTAGCCGGGCATGGTGGTGTGCACCTGTAATCCCAGCTACTCGGGAGGCTGAGGCAGGAGAATCTCTTGAACCCTGGGAGGCAGAGGTTGCAGTAAGCCGCAGTCACACCACTGCACTCTAGCCTGGATGACAGAGCGAGACCTTGTCCCCCCAAAAAAAAATGAAAAGAAAAAAAGAAAACGTCCAGGCTTCTTCCCTTGAAGCCAGGAGCAGGGCCCTTCTGGATGCCGCATGGTCAAGCCTCATCTACTGTACCTGGAGCCTTCTCCTGACCCTGAACCCTGCCCTTGCCCAGCCTGGCTCTCCTGGGGGCTCATGGGACTCCTGAGGCCCCTCCCATCACCGGTCACCCCGCCCGCCAGGCCCCTGGCAGCCTCATATCTGCCAATACAAAGCCATACATCTTGGTGTGTGACAAATCACTTTTTAATTGCCTGAAGGAAGAAATCCATTAGTCTTTCCTTTCCGTGAGAAACATCATAACGTTCAGCAGAGCCCAGGCTGGCTGGAGGCCGAGGCTGGGGGCCGCGGGGCTATTTTTAGTTTGCGTCAACATCCCCCTCCAAGCATCCATTCTAGAAAGGGAGGAATTAAATCTTCCTGACACCCCGGGGCCACACGGGGAGAGCTTGCTGCAGACCCGGGGAGGAGAAGCCACTGTGGATGGAGTGTTATTTGTCCAAATGAATTTGTGTCACGTTTCACAAAAAATCTGCTTCCCTGTAAACAAGTGGCAGTCCTCACCCTCCTAGGCAGCTGAGGCCCAGCCCTGTGGGGTGGCACTACCTGCTCCCCACCTCCCCGGCCAGCCCACACCCTCTGTCTTTGTCTGGCATGTCCTCGGCGGCACGGGCTGTGGCCGCAGAAGGCCAGCAGCTGTCCAGGGTCACAGCAGTGGACGTTCGGGCCGAGGGGAGCTGAGGCCACGGCGGGGACTCCTCACTCCTCCTTCCTAAGACCACAGGGGGCAGAGTTGGGGCCTGGGGGGCTGCTGCTGGGTCAGTTTGGGGTTCCACTAGCAGTCCTCAACTTTAGAGAAAGGCCAGCGAAAGTGAGGTTTATGGCTTGTCCCTGAGGCTGCCTTGGGGCCAGAGGAAGTGGGTTTGCCTTTTGCCTGGTACAGATGACTCTGTCTCGATTTTGAAAAAGATGCAGAAAGAAGGAAAGAAAGTGGAGGGCAGAGGGAAGGGAAGAGGAGGGGAAGGGAGTGAAGGAGAGAGGAGGGGAGGGGAGGGCTAGGAAGATCCCATCCAAAAAAGGGGAGTCAAGGGAGATGGCTGGGATGTGGACACCACAGGCCGCCCGCCCCACCCCGGGCCAGCCACCCACAGGCCGTTGAGGCAGCAAGGCCGGCAGGTCCATGCCAGGGGTGAGAGCTGAGTCCAAAGGAGGAACTCAGTGAGTTTCAGTGAATGAATGAACGAATGACTCTGGTGACAAGGGGCTCTGATTGGCCAGCATGTGTCTTCTGAAGTCAGGCACCCCTGGCAGGGCCCCCGGTCCTCTGGGGCGATGCCTGCTGAGGGCTGGGAGCTCTTCCTTGGGCTGGGGAAGCTGCAGTGCCCAGGGAGTGCCGCCCGCCTCCACCCCCAGGTCTTTTCCTGAAGAAAGCCTGCTGGTGTGCAGGGGCAGGCTCAATCTTTACGTCAGACAGAGTATGTGGGCTCAGGACCTGCCCTGTGACATGGTCCTAAAGTAAAACTTGGAGGGGCTCTGGGACGTCTGGGCTGCGAGCATGGCCCAGTCACCCGCTAGAGATGGGCAAAGCTGCGCTTTCTCAGTGCAGCTTCTGTACCCGGGAAACCTCAGCACTTTCTTGGGTGCAGGACTGGAGACGAGTGGCCACTTGCAAGCTGGAGAAGACCTTGGAATATGTCACTGATGCAAACACAGGAGACTTGGCTGAAGACCACACCTCCTGAACCTCACCTGGCAGGTTTAATAGACAGCCACCTAGTATTGTCACCTCTCTGTGGCCACCACCCTGGGACACAACCTATGACCCCAGGAGGTGATACCTCAGCCAGTCCCTGTACTTTGAGACCCACAGGCACCTTTCAAAGAGGCTTCTACCCCACAGGAACCTGGGGCGCTGCCACAGGTGTGAAAATGTTTTAGCAAGGGAAGCCCACAGTGGGTGAGCTCCGGTCTTTTTGCTGTTGTTGTTTGAATCAGAACAAAATGCACTACACGATTATTTCTGTGCATGAAATGCAAGGTTGCCAAGTTTAGGTTCCACCTGATGCTAATAACCTTAATTGTAAATCCTTTATGTATAGACTTGGGCTATAACAACCTCCTCGTGGCATTAAACTAAACGCTGACAAAGGTAGAGTGGGCCAAGCATCCCTGGCAGCCCCCAGAGGTGACATGGCAGCCCCCAGAGGTGACATTCCAGCCCCCGTCATCGTGTGTATTAAGTGACAGGGCTCATAAAACCCCACAGCTCCTTTCCCCACCCCTTGCAGTCTGGCTCCCAGAGGGGCAGATAGTTGGAGATTCTCATGCAAAATAAATTGCTCTGCACTTTCATTAAAAAGTAACTGCAACTGACTCAGCACTTTCAGGGTGAGCGGCAGGGAGGGGCTTTGTGGCAAAATCAAAGGACGGGGAGGAGGTGCCTGCCCCTGGGTTCACTCTGCGTCCCTGCCGCTGCAGCCTGCCCTTTGCTGTGGGTTCGGTTTCTCTGCATCCTAGTCCCAAGTCTGTGACCATTGGGTGTCCTTAAACAGGCAGCTGGAGATCCCAGAATTTGGATCATGATTTTACTGGAGCTGGGCAGGCCTTGACAGGGGCTCTAGCCCAGGGTTCCCTATTCTGGAACAAAACTAGGACCGGGCAGGGCTGCTGGGGGCAGGGACGGGGCTGGGACACCGGCCCCTGGGTCCAGCGAGTGTGTGAAGGGCTGCCTCCATGGTGCACTGGGCTGAGGTGTGGACGCAGGGCTTTCTGCACGGCAGGCGCGACGCTCATTTAAATAGCAGATCCGACCAAGGCCTTCCCTCTGCTCCACCCGCGGAGTGCTGCCCCGCTGCCTGCAGCCTGAAGCCCTAACCCTCTAAAGAGTCCCCTGAGCTACTCCCAGGGATCCCAGCTGGCCAAGGTCTCACTGACCCCAGGCATCAACTCTGGTGGCTCCTGCCCCCATTGATCTCTCGTCCCCCTCCCTGCCCACATCTTCCTCGTCCCTCTGCCATCTCAAGACATCACCTGCTCCAGAGAGCGTCCTGGACCAAGCATGGTCAGGAAGCCCTCGGCTTAGGCAGGGGCTCCCTGTCCAGTCAGGTAGCAGCCTCTGAGCAGGCAGCAGGTGACATTCATCTGCAGCTGTGGGCTACAGCGGGCGCCTCCTCCCCCACAGCTGAGAAATGCAGCATTCGGAGCTCGCAGGCATGTGGCCTAAGCAGGAGGGACGCATTGCCCCACGGTTTATGGGGCGAAGCATGATTGAGTGGATGGGGCATCAGGGCTGTCTTTGGAAAGGACACCTTTCCTGTGATCCTTTGCCCGTCGGCAGCCAGTCCAAGCAAACACAGCCCCTGCTCCAGGCAGTCGGCAAAGTGGCCTCCCCCACACCATGAAGGACGCTTTGAGCCCCTGGGAGCAGCCAGCAGCCAGGTGCAGCCCCACCAGCTTCAGAGTGGGCAGGACAGAGAGGCCCCTGCCCGAGCAACAGCAGCAACACAGCCCTGGCTGCCAAGGTCCTAACAACCCTTCTCCAAAAGGCGTCTGTGCACAGCGGGGCTGACTCTCAGGCTGCCACCAGCTGGAATGGGGTGGGGCTGAGCCCACGAGGCTGCCAGACCCTGGGGACGCTGGTCCTCAAGGCCTCTCTGCTGAAGGGCATCGGGATACAGGAGCTGGGGCAGGATCTTCCCTAGAAGCTTCTCAGCCCGTCCTCACTGATGAATCTCTTCCCTTAAAATGAATTTAGGTCCTTTAGCCCCAGACAAATAGACACACTCTCTAGCCCCTGGAAGGAAATGAGATTTTAATTTGGGATGATTTTATTCAGCAAATGCCCCCAAACCATGCACTTTTCAAAGGGAAACTCCAGGTTCAGTCTCGCCTTTTGGGGATAGAAAAAAAGACTTTTTAAAATCTTTTTCATTCCCAGCTCAAACTGAGAAGGGAAAACCTGTTCCTCTCAAAGGGGTCTTTTCCTATTTTCTTCTACTTCAGAAAACAGTCTTTCCTCCTGTCTGACGTCGTGGCTCTAGGTTTTTCTCTGCTCTGTTCTTCATGGGCCCCTGCCTAATAAATGTGTTACGATCAGAGGCAAGTTTACCACGGAGCTAATGATGCTCAAGCTTGGAGCCCTCATTTGCACGTGCAGTGTTGTGCTGGTAGCTGTTGAACAACCAGCTCTCTAGGGGGAAAAGCCTGATCTGTGGCATTTGCCAATCTCCATAGTGCGAGTACTCCCACCACGGCCAATTCTCAGGCTACCAGCATGATGTCATTGAGTGCAAAGTTGAGAGGAAAGATGTATAATTGGCTGTGATGAGTCAGTGCAAGCAGACATCAGCAGGCCAGGTCACAGGCTGTCTCCAGGCCCCTGCAACTGAATACACAAGGAGTTATGTATTCTTTTCATTAAAAAAAAAATACCCAGGCTGGGTGCAGTGTAATCCCAGCACTTTGGGGGGCCACAGCGGGGGGATCACTTGAGCCCAGGAGTTTTGAGACCAGCCTGGGTAACATAGGAGACTTCGTCTCTACTAAAAAGAAATAAAATTAACCAGGTGTGATGGCAAGTGCTTGTAGTCCCAGCTACTAGGGAGACTGAGGCAGGAAAATTCTTGGGCTCAGGACGCTGAGGCGGCAGTGAGCCATGATCACACTGCTGCACTCCAGCCTGGATGACAGATCAAGACCAAGACCCTGTCTCTCAACAAAAAAAAATGAACAAACTATATAGACCTCAGACCCCAACAAACTGAGTCTGCCTCATTACGATGTAGGGGTGGGGGTTCTTAAAGAGGTAGGGCGTGTGACCAGCTGACCAGCTGCCTCTCCATTGGTGGCCCTGCCCCAGGCTATGCTTAGACCAGGCAGCATAGAGCTATCAGTGTGGGTGAACCCACCTTTCTACTTTGACACTGGAGGAGCATGGAGTTTCCTGGCTTCCGGTCATTTGAACTTCCTGAAAATGTACCCAAGCGCTGAACTACTAGCACCTTCTAGCATGTCCTGGCCAGAGGGGTCCCAGCCTGCTTTCCTTCCCTTTCATCCTCCCCATGGTTCAGAGTTCCCCTCGGAGATCACAGCCTCCAGATGCAAACAGCCTGCCACCCTCAGGGCCAGGGTTGCAAGCACAGAGCCCTCGGGCCTTCCAGTGTTTTATACATATTTGAACCCACATATAGAAATCTGGGAGTTTCACATGCAAACCCAGATGTATGACTTTTCTTGAAGAATCAGAAGACCTGACCTCCTGGCCCTAAATCCCCACATGGCTGCAACAGGCAGGACTGATGGACAGCCACAGCCTTGGGGGACAGGACGTGGGCCATCTGGCTTCCCAGGCCACACCCTCTCAGGCTATCTCCCCAGTGCTCAGGCTGAAGAGCAGTGGCCTTTTCTTATGGTGTCTGCACAGTGGTTTTTCTTAAAGAAATATTTCCCTCTACCCAGGTTTCTTCCAAAAGTGGGAAATGAAAGATAGTACAAGTGGGCCATGTGTTTCAAGAGAAAGCACGTAGCATATTTCTTTGTATGAGTGAAGAATGTTCCTCTTGGGGCTATTGCGCTGAACCATTCCAGGGGATATATCACTCCGAAGTTTGTGGGAATGGCGCCTCCTAGAGTTGTGCATTGCACAGCACATGCAGCCTGATTCCTCTGTTTCCTATGCAAACTGGAACAGTGTCAAAATAACTCCACTTAGGATGCTATCGTTCTCATACAGAATTGGCTACATCACACATGCATGGTGGAGTCTGCCCACCTCCAAGATCTCACAGAAATTCCAGCCAGGAATGATGAGGGCAGACATAGGAAGGCAGGGCCAGACGGCAGGGCCAACGTGGAAGGTGCCTGCAGAGACAGCATGAGAACTGCCTGATAGGCATCTCATGAGTCAGAGAACTAGCGGGCCAGGTAGAAGGTTGGCCTGAGTTGAGATTCAGGCAGGGGATCAAGCAGCGCCCTCTGCTGGGCTGTCCCTTACTTTTGCATGGATCACCTTGCAGACTTCTGTTCCTCCTTCAGAGCCCAGCTAGGATGCTGACTCCTCCAGGAAGCCTTACCTTCTAGGACGTTAGTCGTGCCCTGCCCTGGGCTTCCTCTGAACCCTGTACACACCCAACGTTGTACATCCTTCTCTGTGTGCTGTGATTCTGTTGCCATGATCTGGCCCCACTCCAAGAACAGTGCCTGGTTCATGATTGTGTACCTGGTAATGGGGACAGTGCTGGTGCATAAGTGCGACTCAATGAATAATTAATTAAATGCATGAATGAATGGAGAAATGGATGGATGGATGGGTGGATGGAAGACACGTAGGAATTCCAGCCCTGGGGACCCAGGCTGGGGCCCAGCATTAGAACTGGAGTACGGGCAGGGTTTAGTCAGGGTGAGCTCCTTTGGGGACCAGATTTTACCAGGAGAGAACCCTAACCTGGAGTCTCTCCATGAGCTCCTGGCTGAGTTTCTGAAATCCTGCCACCCCCCACCCAGGAAAGCAGCTCCTGCTGGGGAGAATAGAAGCTGGAAGGGTAGCAGTCCGGCATCCAGGCCCCAGCTCAGCTCCATGGCTGTGAGTTCAATAGATGTCTACACTTTCCAAGGACATGGGTAACTGGTGCAGGAAATGTTGTGCACATTCCTCTTTGCACGACAGCTGGATTCACCCCCCAAAACCGCCCACCTCTGTGTCTCAGGGACACCAACCTGGACGTATGGGCCTAATTGCTGGCCCTTCCAGAGTACAAGTGGAAACACGTGGGCCAGTTGAGGGTAAAAAATGCAGTAAGTTAAAGGCTTCTGAGAGATAGTTACATAGTCAAAAAAAAAGGTCAAGAAAACTATTGCCAAAACCTGAAACTCTGGTCCTTGATTAATTGACTCAATCATAGAGGCTTTGGCCTACCTCTCTGAAGTTGAATGAATTAGTTGATTAGTTGCACAAAGTTGCTGCACCAACAGGAGGAGGGAAGAGGTCATTGGTCTTTAGCTAATGGCACGTCCCAGCAAGTTGCTTACAACCTGCCCTGGGCACGTCGACCTGGAGAACTGGAGGTTGCAGGGTCCCTCCGCACACTGGCTGTTGCCAAAAAAGGGATGTGGGGGCTGTGCTGGGCAGGACAGAGTGACCTTCCTCGAGGCTCCAGCTGTACATGGCCCAGATTTTATGCCCTTCCTCCAGCCTCCTTTCTTTCTCCTGCACTCCTCCCTCCCTTCCTTTCTGGTTCCCTCCCTCCATGTCCTCACGTTTTGACGCTTTGGGATTTGTTTTCTGACCCTTGGCCTCACTGCATGGGCAAGCCCCCTGCCTGTTTCTCTCCTGCCTGGAGAAGGGAGAATGGGAAAATGATACCTCTAGACAGATCTCGTCCATGCTGCCTTGGCTTTGAGGAAAGAAATCACCACCCTTGTCATAATTATTGATGGGAACTGGATTTGCTGAGTTAGAGGTTGGGAGAAGGGTTGATATTATGGCCACAGGACTTGATTTGGTCAATAAAGCAAATTGGTTTAAGTGAAAATAAAGCAGCGCTCACAAGTATGTTAGAAGAATAAAGTAATTGCTGCCCAAGGTGCACGGAATATAAATCTCTGTTTGCTTGAAATTATTACAATGTCGTATTGATTACTTAGAACCTGCCATTGCCTTTTAAGTTATAGTTTATTAAAGGGTAATGTGTTTAACAAACATTTTCCCCGGCATGCACCATTGAAACACACAGAAGTTACACGGGCGCGTTCCCCCAAACCCCCACTGCAGCCTTTGGTTGTTCTGTGGTCACGTGATTAACTTTCCAGGCTCAGCTTGCAGGCACCAGGGTGGTCACCCACAGGGGTTCTGGTGAACTCAAGATCCTGCCAGAACCCTGGGAGAGGTGCATGGAAGGGCTCAGAATGCGCTGACCACACTGACGTGTTTTTTTGTTTACTGCTCTGCCTGGCCAACAAGATAAGTCCATGAAGTCACCAGCACCGTCCATGTTTCTCACTGCTTCCTCGGCGTTCCTCCAGAACCAAGCGTTACACCCCAACACAGGATGTGTGCCATAAATACTGGTTGCATGAATGGCTATTTTTTTTTAACTTCACTTTTTTCTTAATTAAAAATTTTTAATTACAAAGGCAAACAGGCTCATTATAACAAATGAATACAATTTTAAAATATTTTTCTAATTAGAAAAATTAGGCGTACTCATAGTAGAACATTTATAAGACATGGGAAAGTACTAAAAGGATAATAAAAACCACCTATAATCCCATCACCCAAAAATAACCTCTGTTTACATTTTGTTATATTTCCTGCCAGTTTGTTGTTGTTGTTGTTGTTGTTTTTTGCTATACTCATGCCTATGGGTATTTTTTCTTTTCACAAAGTTGATAATATAAGATGAGGTTTAGTGTTTTGCTTTTTTTTCACTTACCATTGTATAAAAGCATTTCCCCCGTCATTCACTGTTTCTCAAAACATATTTTTTTGTTTTTTTTGTTTGTTTGTTTTTTTGAGACAGAGTCTCACTTTGTTGCCTAGGCTGCAGTGCAGTGGCGTGATCTCGGCTCACTGCAACCTCTGCCTCCTGGGTTCAAGCAATTCTCCTGCCTCAGCCTCCTGAGTAGCTGGGATTACAGGTGTGTGCCTCCTGAGTAGCTGGGATTACAGGTGTGTGCCTCCTGAGTAGCTGGGATTACAGGTGTGTGCCTCCTGAGTAGCTGGGATTACAGGTGTGTGCCACCATACCTGGCTAATGTTTGTATTTTTAGTAGAGACGGGATTTCGCCATGTTGGCCAGACTGATCTTGAACTCCTGGCCTCAAGTGAATCTGCCCGCCTTGACCCCTCAAAGTGCTAGGATTACAGGTGTAAGCCACCACGCCTGGCCTAAAACACAGTGTGTGTGTGTGTGTGTGTGTGTGTGTGTGTGTGTGTGTGTTTGAGCCGGAGTCTTGCTCTGTCACACAGGCTGGAGTGCAGTGGCGCGATCTCGGCTCACTGCAAGCTCCACTTCCCGCATTCACGCCATTCTCCTGCCTCAGCCTCCCGAGTAGCTGGGACTACAGGCGCCCTCCACTACACCCGGCTAATTATTTTTGTATTTATTAGTGGAGACAGGGTTTCACCGTGTTAGCCAGGATGGTCTCGAACTCCTGACCTCGTAATCCGCCCACCTCGGCCTCCCAAAGTGCTGGGATTACAGGTGTGAAACACCACACCCAGCCTAAAACACAGTTTTTAATGGCTGCGTAATATCCCATCTTCTGGATATGCTGTAATTTAGTCATTTCCTGTTGGACATCTGTGATGCTTCCGGTGTTCAGCACTATAAATAATACTCTGATGAACATCCTTATAAATAAATTTTTCATCTCATCCCTGGGTATTATAAAAGGACAAGTTCTTAGCCCTTTTCCCATTTGCACTGAGAATAATCCCCAGCAGCACTTGTGGCTGCAGCATTTACCCCGAGATAGCTTTGACATGAAATATCTCGCTTTTATTATTATTTTCACATGGCTCTAGTATATCGACTTTGGAAACAAAAGACCTCATTCTATTTTTAGCATTCTGTGTTTAGTAGTGGTATTTCCATTTACAAAATATAGCAGTTCCCGAACGCTGAAAATGTCAAATCCTGGAAAACGCAGCATTTCTACATGTGATGTTAACATTGTTCTCAAACAGTTGTTGGCTAAAGACTCATTTGATGAATCCGAGTTTTCTGAAATAGACAATTCTGATGATTCAGATGATTCTGATGTTAGTTCTGTTTAGAAATAACTCCAAGAACAGTTTTTATATTTTATTTTCACATTGAAAATCAGTGAGATTTGCTTCATCCTCAAAGAGTGTGTTTATGTAAAATTAAATGAGTGCTGGCAGCGAGCAGAACTTTTTTTTTTTTTTCTGAACAGGAAAAGGGTTAAAGCAACAGCTCTTGGCAGATGTCATGGAAAGGGACAGATTCTGGGTGTGCAACCTGTGCCGTTGTGTTAAACCAAGCTTAGTTTAATGCCTTGCTGCCGTATTCTCAAAATTCTTAATAGTTCTTAAAAAAGGGATCCCACATTTTCATTTTGCACCAGGTCCCACAAATCATGTAGCCCATCTTGGTTGGTGTATTAGTCTGTTTTCATGCTGCTGATAAAGACATACCTGAGACTGGGAAGAAAAAGAGGCTTAATTGGACTTACAGTTCCACATGGCTGGGGAGGCCTCAGAATCATGGTGGGAAGCAAAAGGCACTTCTTACATGGCGGTGGCAAGAGAAAAATGAAGAAGATGCAAAAGCAGAAACCCCTGATAAACCTATCAGATTTCATGAGACTTTTTCACTACCACGAGAACAGTATGGGGGCAACCGCCCCATGATTCAAATTATCTCCCGCCAGGTCCCTCCCACAACATGTGGGAATTATGAGAGTACAATTCAAGATGAGATTTGGGTGGGGACACAGCCAAACCACATCAGTTGGGGAAGACTCTTTCCCACCGGTGTTGAGGAGTCAGGCCATCTCTAACCATTGAGGGTCTTTGTGCCAGGTCTCACCCTTCATCCCCATGAAAATCAAAGCTCAGAGCATGATCTCCTCTGTGCCCTGCTGCACTGAGCCTGAGAATTGTCGTACAAAGAGAACTTTCTATGCAGCTGAAGTTTACCCTTCAAACACTGAGTCCATTTAGTGTTGCTATAACATAACACCTGAGGCTGGGTAATGTAGAAAGAAAAGGGGTTTACTTGGCACAGGATTCTGGCAGCTGGAAGGTTCAAGACTGTGCAGCTGCATCTGGTGAGGGTCTCACGCAGCTTCCACTCATGGTGGAAGGTGGGAGGAGAGCCAGCCTGTGCCAAGATAACACGTGGCAAGAGAGGAAGCAAGAGAGAGAAACCGAAGAAGCCAGACTCTTTAACAACTCGCTTTCTCCGGAGCTATTTCATTCCCTCAGGAGGAAGAAATTACCCCTTCGGGAGAGAACTAATCTGTTCATGAGGGATCTGCCCTCATAACCCAGACATCTCCCACATGGCCCCACCCCCAACACTGCCACACTGGAAATCAAATTTCAGCATGGGTTTCGGCAGTGACAAACCATATCCAAACCATAGCAAACACCAAAACTTATATATTATCGTGGTCATTCATGCCTCATTTATATTGCTTTTTATTTGAACCATAACTTGCTTATGCCGTTATTTTTGTTTCTTCTTTGAATTTCCAATTCTCCCTTTCACTTTTTCTTAAATCTTGAAACAATCAGACATACTAAAAAGTTGGGAGTACAATTCAAAGAAACTTTTTTCTGAACCATTTGAAATTTGCCAGCCTGATGTCCCATCACCCCCCAAGTATTTTAGCATCTATGCAACAAAACATTTTCTCTGACAAAACCACATCAGAACTCTCAAATCAGGAAACAAACATTGATACATGTCTATCAACTAATCCTGTCTTCAATGACATTTTACCGATTGTTCCAATGATGTCAGCATCACGGGTCACATTTAATAGTTGCGTCCTTCAGTCTCGAGCAGTTCTTCATTTTGTCATTGACTTTTGTGACCTTGACATTTTTGAAGATTACAGACCAGTTACTTTATAAGGCTGCCCCTCAGTTTGGTTTTGTCTGATGTTTTCTTGTGATTAGACTCAGGTGGTGCATCTTGAGCAAGAGCCTCACATAAGGGATACTGAGCTCTGTCTGGTGGCCCAGGATTTCCAATTTTTTTTTTCTCTTCAACTTTTAAGTTCCAGGATACATGTTAGGATGTACCCTGGATGTGCAGGTTTGTTACATAGGTAGACATGTGCCATGGTGGCTTGCTACACAGATCAACCCATCATTTAGCTATTAAGCCCAGCATCCATTAGCTATTCTTTCTGATGCTCTCCCTCCCCACCCCCACCACCAGGCCCCAGTGTGTGTTGTCCCCCCGGACATGTCCATGTGTTCTCATTGTTCAGCTCCCACTTACAAGTGAAAACATGTGGTGTTTGGTTTTCTTTTCTTTTCTTTTTTTTTTTTTTTTGAGACGGAGTCTCGCTCTGTCGCCCAGGCTGGAGTGCAGTGGCTCAATCTCAGCTCACTGCAAGCTCCACCTCCCGGGTTCACACCAGTCTCCTGCCTCAGTCTCCCGAGTAGCTGGGACTACAGGCACCTGCCACCACGCCTGGCTAAATTTTTGTATTTTTTAGTAGAGACAGGGTTTCACCGTGTTAGCCAGGATAGTCTCGATCTCCTGACCTCGTGATCCACCCACCTCAGCCTCCCAAAGTGCTGGGATTACAGGCGTGAGCCACTGCGCCCGGCCTGGTTTTCTATTCCTGGATTAGTTTGCTGAGGATAACAGCTTCCAGTTCTATCCATGTCCCTGCAAAGTACATGTTCTCATTCCTTTTTATGGCTGTATAGTATTCAATGGTGTATATGTACCACATTTTTAAAATCCAGTTTATCATTGATGGGCATTTGGGTTAATTCTGTGTCTTTGCTATTGTGAATAGTGCTGCAATGAACATACACATGCATGTATCTTTATAACAAAATGATTTCTATTCCTTTGGGTATATAACCAGTAATGGGATTGCTGGGTCAAATGGTATTTCCACTTCTAGATCTTTGAAGAATTGCCCCACTGTCTTCCAAAATAGCCGAACTAATTTACATTCCCACCAACAGTGTAACAGCGTTTCTTCTTGTCTGCAACATCGCCAGCATCTGTTGTTTTTTAACTTTTTAATGATCACCATTCCGACTGGCATGAGATGGTATCTCATTGTGGTTTTGATTTGCATTTCCCTAATGATCAGTGACGTTGAGCACTTTTTCATATGCTTGTTGGCTGGACGAACGTCTTATTTTGAAAAGTGTCTGTTGATGCAGGATTTCCATTTTACTCATGACTGGTGATGTTCACCTTGACCACTTAATTCAGGTGGTGTCTGCAAGGCTTCTCCACTGTAAGCTTACTCATTTTCTGTTTGTAGTTAATAAATATTTTGTGAGAAAGTACTTTCATAGTATATGCAAGTATTCCCCATCAGACTTTCAGTTTTTATTCATTTGTTTATGTATAACCTTATTTTATTCAATGGATTATAATCTATTACCATTGTTATTTATTTCAGTGTTCATGTTGTCTCAGATTTGGTTGGTGGACCTCCATTCAAGCTGGTTTCTGGGTCATTTGATATAAGCCCAATCATTCTTTGAGCACTTCCTTGCTTTCTGAACAAGATGTTCCAGGCATATCTTGTACTTTCCTGAAATCAACCATTTCTCCAAAGAAACCTGGTTTCTTTTAGTGGAAAGTGGTGTTTAGAAGCCAAGATCTGGGCCTGAGTATGCTCACTGCTCCCAGGCCTCTCTCAGTAGATAGAGCTGGGGAATATATGTATCATATGCACACACACACACACACACACACACACACACACACACACACAGAGTTGGCCTTCCACATTCATGAGTTTCGCATCCGTGGATTCAACCAACAACGGGCCAAAAATATCCAGGAAAAAAATTGCATTTGTACCAAACATATTTTTTTCTTATGATTATTCCCTAAATAAAACAGTATAAGAAATATTTACATAGCATTTACATTGTTACTAGGTATTATAAGTAATCTAAAGATGATTTAAATCAAGCTTGTCCAACCCATGGCTTGTGGGCTGCCTGTGGCCCAGGACAGCTTTGAATGTGGCCCAACACAAATTCATAAACTTTCCTAAAACATTATGAGACTTTTTTGCAATTTTTTTTTTTTTTAGCTCATCAGCTACCGTTAGTGTTAGTATATTTATGTGTGGCCTAAGAGAATTATTCTTCCAACATAATCTCCCTGTACACAACCAGTCTCACATCTCTGCCACCCCATGTGGGCCCCCTCCAAACCCAGACTCTGACACCCCTTGCAAGGGCACTCCACTGTGTGGACCCCCCACTCACCCGTCAATATGCCCTTATGCTGTTGTAAGGAGGATTCTGAAGCCATCTCCAGGCTCAGGGGAAACAGTGACGTGATTGATTAGTAATGTCTGCCATGAACAGAGGGACAGGAAGGGTTCCTGCCACACATATGCTGGCCCCGACTTAAGATGGTCAGTGTGAGCATTTATATTGATCAGGTGACCATATCGTTTTGAGAGAGAAATAAGAATTAACAATTGCAAACAATAAAAGTTGACAGTTATGCTGGGCAACAGGCATTAACCAGGTCACTGGTCATGCCCTGTATGGGTACTGAGGAAGCACAGTTCTGGGTCTGCTCTGTGGTTTTCGACCCTCTGTGTTGGGCACATGTCTACAGTTTCCAGCAGCTCCTTTGCCACCTCCCCCAACTCCTTGCCCTCTTCTGTAGACTGTGGGAGGGTCTGGCAAGCCTCCTTAAGGAGGAAGATTCCCATGCAGGGTGCGCCTTAGGAATGGAGGTGCCCATGGAGGGCACCCCTTAAGGGTGGAGGTGCCCGTGCAGGGTGCCCCTTAGGAGTGGAGGTGCTGGTGGAGGGTGCCCCCTTAGGAGTGGAGGTGCTGGTGGAGGGTGCCCCTTTAGGGGTGGAGGTGCTGGTGGAGGGTGCCCCCTTAGGGGTGGAGGTGCCCGTGCAGGGTGCCCCTTAGGGGTGGAGGTGCTGGTGTAGGGTGTCCCCTTAGGGGTGGAGATGCCCATGGAAGGTATCCCCTTAGGGGTGGAGGTGCTGGTGGAGGGTGCCCCCTTAGGGGTGGAGATGCCCATGGAAGGTGCCCCCTTAGGGGTGGAGGTGCCCATGGAGGGTGCCTCCTTAGGGGTGGAGGTGCCCTTGCAGGGTTCCTCTTAGAGGTGGAGATGCCCATGGAGGTGTCCCTTAGGGGCGGAGGTGCTGGTGGAGGGCACCCCTTAGGGGTGGAGGTGCCCGTGGAGGGTGCCCCCTTAGGGGTGGAGGTGCTGGTGGAGGGTGCCCCCTTAGGGGTGGAAGTGCCCATGCAGGGTGCCCCTTAGGAGTGGAAGTGCTGGTGTAGGGTGTCCCCTTAGGGGTGGAGATGCCCATGGAAGGTACCCCCTTAGGGGTAGAGGTGCTGGTGGAGGGTGCCCCCTTAGGGGTGGAGATGCCCATGGAAGGTGCCCCCTTAGGGGTGGAGGTGCCCATGGAGGGTGCCTCCTTAGGGGTGGAGGTGCCCTTGCAGGGTCCCTCTTAGAGGTGGAGATGCCCATGGAGGTGTCCCTTAGGGGCGGAGGTGCTGGTGGAGGGCACCCCTTATGGGTGGAGGTGCCCGTGGAGGGTGCCCCCTTAGGGGTGGAGGCACCCATGCAGGGTCCCTCTTAGGGGTGGAGGTGCCCATGGAGGGTCCCTCTTAGGGGTGGAGATGCCCGTGGAGGGTGTTTTGACTTCTACTCGGGACTCACCAGGTCCCTTCTCATTTTCTTCCGGGTTGACCTTGTTGGCAGCAGGAAGCTGACCGTATTTGACCTTCTCCTGCCACCACAGAACCCCTTGGCCACCTCCCTCATCCTTATTCCCCCGATTGGTGCCCACAGAACCTGTGCTTGGCTGTCAGCAAAGGCGTCAGAAATGGGATGACTCATTTCCTCTCCAATGCCCTGGGGCATTCAGAAAGTCTACTTGTGGAAAAAGTGCTTTAGATAAAATGCAGTTGTGGACTGGCCCAGCTTTAGTTTAAATCTTTTCATCTCACAAATATTTTTAAGGACCCACTATCAATCAGACAATGTCCTCAAGTGATATGTGAGGTTCATGAGTGATTAAAACAAAGACACCTGTGGGCCGGGAGAGACAAACAGAAAAGAAAAAAATGAGTAACTCAAGCATGTCAGAAAGTGATATGTGTTGTAGGAAGAAGAAAGAGCTCAGAGTAAGAATGGGAGGGTGAGGGCGGGAGGGTTTCATTCTTCAAGAACTTAGGAGAGCCTCCTGTGTGCCAAGCGCCCAGGCTTGGCCCTGGGGGCTCAGAGAAGAGGCTGGCCCCATCTCAGAGACCACAGCATCTATAGAGAGAGGAACATAAGAGACAGAGGTTAGGGGCTCTGGTGCTCGGAGGAGGAGTCTCAAAGGAATCTGAAAGAGGGAAGGAAGGAGGAGGAGGGTGTGCAAAGGAGGAGAATCCCAAGGAGTCATTGCAGGGGAGTGGAGGAGAGGGTGCAGGGAGTGGAGGAGAGGGTGAGTTTCTGGGAGGGGCTGGAGTGAGGCTAAGGGTGCCCAGAGGCAGAAGACAGCTGAGCTGACCTAGTAACTTTGGATTTAAAAATCTGTGAATCCACAGCTCCCAGAGTGGTAGGAAGAGAAGCTGATACAGAGGGTTAATGGAGTGTTAAATGCAGATCTTTCTTTGGAGACCCTGGTCTGGGAGGGGAAGAACAAGATGATGGTTCCGGAGTCCAGTGAGCAAGTTTAACCTGGGCCACTCACCATTCCTTTTTGCCTCAAGAGTGTGGCCCTGATCCAGAGTCCTGAATGGGGAAGCCCAGGGCCTCCCACTGCCTGTGCCACCCAGCCACTCCCACCCGGCTTTCTCCCACCTGGACCTCCCCTCCCTGGCCCTGGCCACCTGGGCCCCTCCCATATGGTAGGGGCCTCGCCCTCTGTCCCCTCCCCATAATCCCTCCCACCTGGGCCCCTCCTACCTGGCCCTCTCCTACCTGACCCTCTTTAACGTGATCTTTTCCTACCTGGCCCCCTCCCACCTGGCCCCTCACCTAACCACACCTACCTGGCCTCCTCGCAGCTGGCCCTCCCCTACCTGACTCTGTCTCACACAGTCCTCTCCTACCTGGCCCCTCCCCCTGACTCCTCCCCACTGAACCCTGACACCTGCCCCTCCCACCCGGCCCTCTCCTACCTGACCGTCTTTCACATGGTCCTCTCCTACCTGGCCCCTACCACCCGGCCCCCTCACCTGACCACACCCACCCAGCTGACCCTCTCTCACCTGGGCCTCTCTCTCCCAGGCCCAGCAGCAGCCCATAGACACCCCAGCTCTCTCTGCCCCCTCCCCACGAGGAATCTCCCTTGGCCTCCTTCACAGGAAGGCAAAGTACCCCCGCTTCATTTTAATGGATTTTTGTCTAATTACTGACTGGAACAGATGCAGAGACAACCTCATTGAAAGGTCTGGGAAGGCGCAGGATTGGCCTGGGAGAGCCAGTGTGACCTTCACCCTCACAGGGAGGGAAGCACCACGAGGTTACTCACTAGTCCCTCCTGGTCTCCACCCCAGTCTCCACCCTAGCCACCCTGGGGCTTCCCTGCCCAGAGGGGAGAAGCAAGGAAGGGAGGAGGGTGCTTATCACATCCTGTGCCCAGCTGGGCTCCGGAGGTCGGACAAGAGCTGCAGGGCCAAAGGACATGTGTGCGCAGGTGCACTGAGTGTATGTGCATGTGTGTGTGTGCACATGTATGTATCTGTGCATGAGTGTGTATGTGCATGTGTGTGCACACACACAGGTGTTTATGAGGAAGAAAACGCAGGGCACAGAGGAGGAAGGCACCCAGCTAGTTCCCAGACGCTTGTTCCTTCTCTCCATTCGTAACAGAGCATGCCTGAAGTGGCCTTGAGCTCCAGAGAACCGTGTGTCTTCCAGGCAACTTCCTGTGTCCATCGGGTCACGTCCTCACCGCAGGCTCCCAGCAGCCCCCTCCCCTACTGGGGACACTGTGGCTGCTGAAGCTTCCTGACACTCCAGAGAATTTAATGCAACCCGACTCCCCTGTGGCTTTGCCTGAATAGGGCCTGATCAGGCCTGGGTCCCCGTGGCCCTCAGAGCCTGTCCCTGGTGTCCAGTATCTGTGGCCCTTGGAGCCTGTCCCTGGCACTGGGTCTCTGCTGCTGGGACTGCTCCCTAAGAGGTTCTCTCTGGTCTTACCAGCTGGCTGGTTCCCAGGGGTAGAAGGACACCTCTTAGGCTTCTCTCCATTCCTGATGGCCTCAGCACAGAACCAAGCACAGAAAAACCCCCAGGGAGGGAGAGTTAAGTAGGACTGGGACTCCAGTGTAGACCTCAGCCAGGTTCCAGGATATGCACTTTTTAAAATCCTCTCATTTAATCCTCACCAGAATCCTAGAAGTGGGCCTGTAGGTGAGGAAAGAGAAGCTCAGAGAGGACCAGTGACTTGCCATAGGTCACACAGTGGGAGACGGTAGAACTTGGATTCAAACCCCAGTCTGACCCCAAGGGGCACCAGCCTCCTCCTTTGACAGAGCAAGGCTGATGGCCAGAGGGACTGATGAAGTAGCCTTCTGAAGGCCACCACACCCCCCCAGTGCCACCCAGCCTAGCTCTGGAGGCAAGGGAACGATGCTTCTGCCACAAGAGGCTGCATCTCTGGACCGCCAAGTCCCAGAACAGGACCTCTGAGCCCGGACCTCACTCAGCCCCTGCAAGGTGCCGTAAAGTGTGATGCAGAGCTTGCTGCACAGGGTCAGGCAAACCATGGCCCCATTTCTCCATCCACCCAGGAGCCATTCCCAGTTGTGTTCACTGGGAACAGTGGATGTGCCTGTCTCGGCCAGACTCTGCTTGTGAAACAGCATTCAGCAGACTCTCCTGTGTGTGCGCCTGACACACAGGGGTGGGACAGGAGCAGAGCACTGGCCGACAGGAGGGAAGGAAGGAGGAAGTCCAGAAGCTGGCTCGCCTGGGCTTCAGGCCGCAGCCACTGTGAGCCCTGTCCATCCCGGGTCACTGCCCACGCATATCCAGGAGGTTGCTCATTAAACTGAAAGCAGGGGAGGACTGGCTCTCCTGCTTCCTGTCCAAACACTCAGGGCTCTGGAGCAGCCCGCCCAGTTCCGCAATGGTGCACTGCAGCAAAGCAGGGAGGCTGGGTTAGGGGAAGAGCTGGTGGAGGCCCCTGCCACAGCTCCCGGGATGGCGTGCTCAGAGTTGACCTCCAGAGTCACAGTGAACCAGGAGGTTACAGTCCAAGGAGCACGGAGCCGCACGGAGAGCCTCTTACCCTGTTTCTCTCCTGCCCTGTCCATGTTAAGCAGTAGCTGAGTGGGGATGTCATTGTGGCAAACCTTCCCCCAACAGCCGGTGAGGACAGAGGGACCTCTGGGAGCTGCAATAGGAACAGCCGCAGTCTAACTGGCTTTCAGAGAAGCTAAAGACTGTGCTAAGATTGGTAGTGAGAACAGGGCCTGGCACACATGAAGTACCTTGAGTGAATGAACGAATGAGTGAGTGAGTAAATGAATGAGTGAATGAATGAATGAGTGAATGCATGAATGAATGAGTGAATGAATGAATGAGTGAATGCATGAATGAGTGAATAAGTGAGTGAATGAATGAGGGAATGAATGAATGAGGGAATGAATGAATGAGTGAATAATTGAGTGAGTGAATGAATGAGTGAATGAGTGAGTGAATTCAGGGCTCAGCTATGATGAAGAGGGCACACTGGCAGTGAGGGAGAGCTGTGCAGAAATCTGTGCTTTAGAGAAAGTGTAGTCATCCATTCCCAGAGCCATCAGCTGTGTATTGAGTGCTGCCACGTGTAGGGGCTGAGATGCAGGACCCATCCCACAGGGCTCCCCTGGAGGGAGCTCACAGCCTAGTGGACTGAAAGATTGAAAGCAAGAGGGATAAGCGAAGCTCAGGGTTCTGTCCCTGACCCTCTTTGGTGTCCCCCATCTGTGCACAGAACCTGGCTCAGAGGTGACTGCACAGATTTCCTGGAGGCCCAGATGGGGGTGCTGAAAGGTGCTGAGAGAAACTTCCCTGGTTTAAGCCTCAGGAAAGGAAAGGGCAGCTTCCCAGACATCTCCAGGCAAAGTGTCAGGAACCCTGGGTCCTGTAGCTCTAACAAGAATTCTCACCTGCAATCAAGAGCTTGGATTCAAAGAGAAGGGAGGTCGTGCTCTGCAGGGCTATCTCAACAGTGACTCTGAGTCCAGGCCTGAACAGCCACATGATGCAGGGGCGTGAAATCAGAAGTGATTGTCACCCTGTGCTAAGATGAGACCAACATGACTGCCCCCCTGCTCTGTCTCTGGGGAGTCTGTACTCAGGTCCTAGCAATTTGTACTCAGGTTCTTTCAGTGGGCCACAAAGTGATGGGTTCTGGACTCTAAAATTCCTGGATGTGGGCTCTGTTCTAGTGCACACTGCAGGGAAGTGTCTGGAAGCATGAGAGAAGAGGGAAATAAATGTAGAAGATGGCCTGGGTGGTGGTAGCTGAAAATTTCCTCCACATAAAGGAAGGCAGGAGTCATTCCCGGGTTCGTTTCATTACATGGAAGAAGAAGGGTGTTTTCCTGCCAGGTACCTCCCTTCAAGCTCCCTTGCTGGCCCAGGGCTTAGGAATTCCCCAGAAGTGGTCATCTTCCTCCATTTCTCTACCCTGCACTCCTTCACTCTTTCAGCTGGTTGCTTGGCAGATATCTGTAGAGACCTAGTATGTGCCAAATGCTGTTCTAGGTGTGAGGTTGCTCTTCCTCGTCTTAGTTCTAAACCACTTGCCTTACATGCTGCGATAACAAATCACCAGCTGCCACCTTCCCCTCCCGTGCCCAGGGCAGACATTACTAATGGATCACAGCACATTTTCCAAATGCAGTCTCAGAATCCTGCCCAGCCTGGCCCTACAGCTGTCAGCTGTCAGTAGAAGCCCATGAATAAGAGAAAAGTAATTTGCTATCCCTGCTCTTGCCCCCTCCTGTCACTGCCTCCACCCTGATCATCTCTGACCTGTTGGCTCTTTCTGCCATTTTCAGCCTCACACAAACACTGACGATGTCCCTCCCACCCTCTCCTTAGCGTCTGCCTTTGACCACAAGCTGGGTTCTTCCTCCTCCCCCAGGACTTGAGTTTCAATGACCTTCTGAGGTTGTCCCAGTTCCTGGAACCCCTTATCTTGGCTTGCTTCATCCCCCCCAACCCCATGCCAAAAAAAGAAGCCAGATTTCTGTAGGGCAGAAACAAAACCCAGCAGACTTCCCAAGCCAGATGGTGGGGGCCCAAATCTGAGAACTGAATTTTTCTGACTTTTTTTTTCAAGCAATCTGCTAATGGAGGCGAGAACAAGACTCAGGGAGTTATCAGCTGCCTCTGTCAACAGTGGGTAATGATGTGTGAATGCTGGCACCTCCCAGTAAACTGTGAACCTCAAGGGTATCCCCAAGTGCCTTTCAGCCTGCTTGCCCTCCAGGAGAGGGGATTGCTCCCCAGCTGCCCCTTCAAAGCCTGCAGCGAGATGGGTGTGTTCTGGGAGCCGGATTGGCCTGTGGCTTTGGAAATCTATTTATGGGACACACAGAGCTCGCCCTTTTTTAGAACTAGAGGAAACTGACAGCTTCGATTGACAGAAAGCTCCGCGAAAAGGAAGGGAGCATTTGTTTCCATTTTTAAAGTGCTCAAGCTTATTTGGGGGTGCATGTGGGTAGGACCCAGGAGGGCAGCTGGGACCAGAATTTCTCAGAGCCAAAGCAAGCAGCCCCTCCATTCATGCTCCCTCCATGGGTCCTGTGGGTCTGCTGCCCTCCACCCACCTGTGGCCACCCCACAGCCCTGCTCCTCCTTCTCCTCTTTCTCTCCTGAGACCCAGAGCTGTGCCCTCCCCAAAGCCACTCTCTCATCATTCCCCAGGGCAGACAGAGCCAGGGCCTGGATATCCCAAGAATCACAAGCTTGGAACTCTCACCCAAGGAGCCGAATGAGGTCCTGCTCCTGGAACAGGCAGGAGAAAAGCCCCTGGCTCCCACGGAGCTCCAGGGCCCATGGGTGGCTCTGGTCACATTTGCAGCCTGGTGTCCCTGTCTCCCCCAGCACCAAGGCAAGCACCTAGCACGTGGTCCCCCAAACCAAGCTCAAGCCCAGGAGTCATTCATTCACCTCCTCTGTCACATTCCACCCCCAGGTCACCACTAGGTCTGTCCACCTGTTCTCCTAAATGCCCCAAACCCAACCACGTCCTGCATCTCACACCAGCTCCAATCTAAGCCGCTAGGGCCCTTTTTTCCAAATGCGGGTTGTATTAATATGCAGCCATGGTGAGGCTAGCAGATCAGCAGGCGGCTGCCTGTTTAAGATGGTTTGTTACTCATAGATCCCATGAGGAGGGGGCAGGCCACGTCACACAGGACCACTTGGGGAAGCAGGGAGTCCATCAAGAGGCAGAGGGAGCCGGGGGCAATGTGGGCAGAGCCTCTATTGTGGTTTTTGCAGGAAGGAACAAGTAAGACGGGGTGAGCAGGCTTTGGAGAAATTCCTGGGGTAATTCCTGCGGGCTCTGGGCGGAGAGGCTGCCCCTAAGTTGTCCCTGGCCTGGGGTGACTAGGGCAGCTAGATGGTGGCCCTTGGGGGAAACCCTGATAGAGGAGGTTGTGGGGTATGGGCTCTGGGTGGGTTGGTCTGAAAGGTGGGTTCCCAGGCCAGTCCTTTGCTATCTCTAGGAATTGACCAGCCCTAGGGGGGCAGTCCCTCCAGGTTCAGCAAGGCCCCAGAGGTCAAAGCATCAGAAATACAGAAAATAAAATGGCATGACGACTGTGCCTTCTTCCGGACCCTGGCCAAGGTTTTCTGAGCATGCTCTCACCCTTGCAAACTCTTCCTTGCACAGTGGCTAGCAATAATGATCCTCATGTGGTCATTACAGCCATGCACACGCACATCACCTCGCCAATTCAACACCACTGTTCTAAGGGTGGCCACTGTGGCCATTCCTGCTCTCAAACCCCATCTCAAACCTTGTGCCCCACCCCACGCTCCAGACACACTGGCCTCTTGCAGGTGTGGAATGCACTCAATTCGTCTGCCTGGGCCATCCACCTCCCCTCCTCTGCTCACACCCACTCAGCCCTGTGACCCCTGCCTAAGGATCCTCGAAGAACCAGCTCCCCTCCCTCACTGCTTGGGCCTCTGTGGTGGGAATTTTGGATCCAAAAGGGCCACCCCACTCAGAGTGAGCATTCAGTGGGGCATGCTGGGCACCGATGACAGGGCACAGCTCATGGCGGGCACTCCAGAAATAGCTATAGAAGAGTTTCTCAAATCTTCATGGTGACCCTTTGAGGCAGGTGTTCTTGTTTATCCCCATTCTTTAGATGAGGAGATGGAGCATCTTAACCCATTGTTAACATGTTCAACAGCCAGGCGCGGTGGCTCACACCTGTAATCCCAGCACTTGGGGAGACCGAGGCGGGAGGATTGCCAGACCTCAGGAGTTCGAGACCAGCCTGGGCAACATGGCGAAACCCGGCCTCTACTAAAATACAAAAAATTAGCGGGGCGTGGCAGTGTGTGCCTGTAATCCCAGCTACTCGGGAGGCTGAGGCAGGAGAATTGCTTGAACCAGGGACGTGGAGGTTGTAGTGAGCTGAGATCACGCCACTGCACTCCAGCCTGGGCGACAGAACAAGACTCCGTTCAGAAAAAAAAAAAAAAAGATGTGCAACAGATCCCATCACATCTAACAGCAGGAGTGTCCAGAGCCCGGCCAAGCGGACAGACCAGCTCTCTCCCCACCCTGAGCCTTCACTTCCTAGGCTGAACAGTGAGGATTTGGGCTGGATGCTTTTCCAGCTGTTCCCCAGCTGTGACATTCTAGGATCCGGTATGTTTCATAGCCACTTTCTTTAGAGGTCTTTATTTTCTTGCAGAAAAGCAAATGAAAAACATAATTTTCATTGCTTCTAAAAGTTATTGGTGAAGTAATACACATTCATGGCAAGATGCCAGAACTCAGTGGGCGGATTTGGCCCATTTCTCCCCCAGCTCCCTTTTGCCCGTCAGTCAATTGCTGCATATTTACTGGGCACCTACCGTGTGCCAGGCTCTGGCCCAGACACAGACACCGGGTGAGTTAGCTGGACACAGTCCCTGACCTCCAAGACCTGCAGCCATAGATCCTTGTGATGTTTCTGGAGGGGCTGGCAGGAGGCATCTCGGGATCTGGGGTGACCGCAAGGGTCTTCTCTGGGAGCATCTGAGTGGAGGAAGAAAAGTGAGGGAGGACTGTCTGGGGCTGCAGTGGACAGCGGGGTGGGGGCAAGTCTGGTCTGTGCCACCAGCCCCGTGAGCATCTTTACCTCGCGGTGTGGTGTCCGTGGGGCTTCCGGCTCTGGGCTCTGTGCCTCTCGCCTCTGCCATTCCCGGCATCCTGAGGTAAAGTGATAACCAGGCCTCCTCCTCGCCTGGCTCTCTGCCACTCCCCCAGCCACCCTCCTGTGACCCAAATCCCCTCCAGGCCCCTCGCTCCGGCAGCCTCTTATCTCCTGCTTCCCAGAGCCCCGTTCTTCCCAGTCCAGCTCCGCCTCGGGGCCGCATGGGGCCTGTGCTGTGCCTGCTCTCCTGCTCATGGCGCCAGGGCCCCCGCCCGCTGCCTCTGCTCCTGTGGGACTGGATTCAATACCAACATGCTGCGGCGTCCCCCAGGCATGGCAGGAAGAGGGGGGTCAAGGCCGCCAGGGTTGAAGGCGGGGAGCATGGAGCCCCTCTGGATGGGACCCAGGAGCCAACACGCCGTGCCCCTCCAGCCATCCAGGACAGGGTGCCCCAGCAGGGCCCAGACAGCTGCTTCCCTCACTCCTGAGCAGACAGGGAGGAACTCGGCTCCCTTCTCCAGGGAAAAGTCTTAAAATGTATTTAGGGACCCACTGTTGTTCCTTCCAAAGTTGCCTGCTCGGATTAAGTCCACTAGGGCTGATGGGCAGTGGGCATGGTCCTGAAGATGGGAAGGAATACCTCAGCCATGTACATCCCTGTCCCCCCAGCCCCGAAACACACGGAACTCACCCGCTCTGCGGGTCTGGGGTGCAGAGGAGAAGCAGGGGCTTCCGCCACCCCCTGTGTCTGCAGCCCCAGGCCTCTATACAGTGAAAACCCACTCGCCTGCCGAGGCTGTCAGAATTAAAGAAGGATTTCAGCAGCTGTAGTCATTAAGATAAAAGTTGCACTAATGACTCCAGCGTTATTTAGTTCTGATATCTTAATTTAATTGGATTTTTTTAATTAAGAAAAAGACCCATAATCCTGCAAGCACTGAGCTGGTGCAGCCTTTTCACAAGTTACCCTTAAAGGGCTGGGTCTCGGACCCCCGTCCCCCCTGCCTGAAGGCCAGGGTCACTTTGGGAGAGGAGGGACAAAGGGCCAGGTGTCTGAACTGAGAAGGAAGCAAGGAGCCACCAGGAGAGAAAGGCCAAGGCTCCCCCACATGGCAGCCGCTCAGGAAGGAGGCGGCAGCTGGCACCGGTGGTGCTGTCTGGCACGGAGGCCGGCTGTAGGCATTGCCGCCACCCGCCAAGAGGGGCCCGAGTGGTAGCCATTCTCCACCCCCAGAGCCTCCCACGCACCCCAGACATGGGCCTTGTGCCTCCTGTCCCTCCACCCAGAAGCCCCGTCCTTCTCAAGGGCACACGGCCCTCCTGCACCCAGCTCTGCCCAGGGGAGGGGAGGTTCTCAAGCTGACCCTCCTGCCTCCTGGCCCTGGACGGCCACAGCACCTCTTGCCCTCCCTGCCACCTTCCCCTCCAGGCTGTCTCAGCCAGGGGCTGCTTGGCAACAGTGATTGATGGTTTACCAATAGGAGTGGAATGAAATTTTAATAGTCTCAGATTAAAGGATCAGAGAGCAGAGGGAAGCGGGGAGCCTGCCTGCCGACTTGGTGTTTTCACGCCGAGCACAGCTCGGAGCCCTGCAGAAGGACCTGCTAATGCCACGGTTTGGGGAGGTGTTGGAGGGGTCTGCACTGGAGGATTCCTGAGACATCAGGCAGGCTCTGAGCCTGCGCCTGTCACAGGGTGGGCCGGAGGACACACGGCTCCTTGGGGTCCAGAGCTGAGCCCCAGGAGCTTGGCATCCTCACTGAATCAGGATGCACCCCAGGATGCAACTGATTGCACCCCGATGTCCTCTGAGCATCCTCCTCCCTAGATCTGGGCTGAACTTCCAGCTTCTGGGAGGCCAGGGGAGGGGGGCCTCAGGGCCTGACTGCAGGAGAATTCTAGAAGGAAACACAAGTCAGACTCGCAGCGAGTTTCCGGAACCTGTCTGGGTTCTTGGATGAGAGCTTGGTTCTCTGCTGTTCTTAGGAAACCATGATGTTTCTGTTGTTTGGGAATTCTGTGTAAAATAAATGGGCACTTCCTCCAAATCACATGTGACTCTGGGACCCCAAGGCCCAGGCTGAGGATGGATCTAAATGGGGATTTGACCTCCAGCTCAGGAGGGGGATTCTTCTCCTCTCCCCCAACTGTGGGGTGATTGTTCCTATCCTTGTCCCTGGTCCCGAAGGGGGAATGAGGGCAGCAGGGCCCCCTGGCACCTGTGTGGGATTCTGCCACCACTTCTTGTGGCCCTCTAAGGTGCCCCTGCACACTCTCCTTTCTGCAGGCCCCACTGCCCTTCAGGTCCCCTGGGGTCGCTTGTGTCCCCTGAGGCAGGTGCTGAGGCTCACCCTGCAGCCCAGGCTCCAGGCACTGAGCCCCAGGGGTGAGAGGCTGAGCAGAGTCTAACAGGTCTCTGCGGCAGCATGGGCTGGGAGCTGGAGCCGGGAACATGAGATGTTTCTGTCCTCTGGGCCTCAGTTTTCTCCTCTGTGAAATGAGCCATGTAGAAGATGGGATGGCCAATGTCTCCATCAGGCCCCAAGGATACTTGGCCATCTGGGCCATGAGTAAGGCCTATGCATCCAAAGCCAGCCATTAGGTCCTCAGACGTGCAGACAGGCAGGGCTGGCTGTACCACACGGGCCAGGGGAGTATGCTGTGATGGATTGTGTTTTGAGGTCACCGCGGCCGGTGTGCATCTCAGCTGGTGTAAGACCCTGTGTCACTGAGCACGGTAACCCACTGGCTGGCTCATGCGACTGCCTAGGACTGCTTTGGTGCCATCAGCAAAGAGCATCATGAGAACATGGGACTCGGGGCAGGCACTCAGGTGGGGAAGAGAGAACACACAAAGGCTGGGAGCTGGGGCCTGGAAGGGCAGGGACAGGCAGGGCTGGAGGTGACAGGAAGGAACGCTGGGGTATGGGCCTCACTAGAGCCCAGATTTATCCAGCAGTGCCAGCTGGGAGCCTGGAAGAACAGGAGTCCCTCAGTGGGGGTGACTCGTATGACTGTGAAGGACAGGCTGGGACCTAGAAGCCCTGGCCCTCTGCGCTCAGGCTCAGGGGGTGACGCTGGGCTGGGCGCTTCCCATGAGGCAGGATCCTCATTGCTGTCCTTTCTGAACAACGCCCAAGAATCCAGGCATGGCCAGGGGCTGGCCGAGGGGGGCCGGTGGGTGGTGAATGAAGGGCTCCCAGCAAACCACAGCCGATCCAGGCAGGAAGAGCCCAACAGGTTCAGCAGGAGCACCTGGATCTGATATTGATCATCCCAGCCCCTCTACCATCTGCTCAGCTACCAAGGCTGAGGTTGGTGCTCCTGGAGGAGCCTCCAGGAGCCCAGCTGGGGTGATGGAGGGACAGAGGGACAGGCAGAGAGGCCGGCGGGCAGCAGGCCAATGGGCCAGGCAGGTGGGGCAGGAGCCTCCTCTTGGGAGTCACATGGCCCCTGAGGGCATGGGACTCTCCCTGCTGGGCACACCCCAGCGGCACCAGCACACTCCTCATCCTCTAGGATGAGCCCAAGCAGAGGTGAGAGAAAGCCTCTTGCCTGTAAACTCGTTGCAGGCGCAGGGATGGGCTGGTTCAGGGAGGAGGGGAGACTGTGGGCGGCTTGCGCAGCACCCTCTGCAGGCAGAGCTGGTTACATGCAGCAGTGGCACAGGATCAGCAGGCAAGGCTCCATGATGCCCGTCAGAGGCCACCCCTCCCCAGCCCCCTAGGCCACTGTGTTAGATTCTTCACGACGCCTGTCAGAGGCCACCCCTCCCCAGCCCAACAGGCCATGGTGTTAGCCTCTCCACGCTACCTCCCACAAGCAGAAATGACTCGGGGATGGATGAGAACGAACCCTCATCCCTGCCTGCACGCCGGCCTGGAGGAGGAAGCCATCCTCGAGGCAGCCTTCACCAGCATGTGTCACCAGGCACTCCATTTCCTGGGCTCCATTTTTCCCCTGACCTGCCCAGTCCTGTGTTCCAGGTCAGAAGAGCAAACGCAGTCTCCAGAGAGATCATGAGGCTTTCTGCAGACTTTGTCCCCATCGAAGGGTCGTGGCCAAGATGGTGATTGGGAGATGGTGTTCAGGGAAGCCTTTGTGCCCCAGGAAAAGCCAGGCCAGGCGTGCCTATCTCCTGCCAGCCTCACTACCCGCACCAGGATTCACGGGTTGCAGCTGCCCAGTCCTGAGGCCCGGCACCCCAGCTCCGGCCCCTCCCAAATCTGCTATTGTAAGCACTACACAAAACTTTAAAGAATGTGTGTTAGACAACTGTCACTCAGCATATTTGATGGTGTTTTGCCTTGGTTTGAATATGTAAAGGCACTAAGCTGTTTAATTCGGTGCTTCCTGCATCGTTGGGCAGTGTAACTCAGTTGGGTATCAGGGCTGGTGGCAGCAGCAGGGCAGGCCGCGGCAGCTCAGCTAATTTAAGCTTTGTTTGCTGCGATGCTGGAACTTCTGCCTGGCTCTCCGCATTCTTCCCCCAGGCTGGCAGACGGCTCTGCCCACTCCCGCCCGCCTGCGACACCTGTCCTGCTGCTCCCCTTGACAGCTACCTGGCCCCTGACAGGCAGCAGTACCCGCTGTCACGCTGCCTGCATGTCCCAGAAATGTTATCTCCTCTTTTTCGGAGATGTCACCCACAACCGTCCGAAGAGATACCCAAATTGTACGCCACTGCTCAGATGGTTTATCTGACCCCGCAGCTGGCACGGAGATGCTGGGAGAAGGGTCTGATATTTCCCGCATCTGCCGTTAACCCTCGCCAGGCCAGCAGTAGCCCACCCCACTTCTTGTTCTCATGGTCCCCAGGACCCCCAAGCAAGGCGGACGGGATGACAGGCCCTCTAACCCCACCGCCCACTCACCTGCAGCCTGTCAACAGCCAGCTCCGGGACTCTCCCAGGGCCCCATGGGCTGTTTAGCCAGAGCTTGGGGCCCACCCACCCCAGCTGGTCCTTGAATCTGGATTTGGTTGGGGGCTGTGAGGCCCATCACAGAGGTGCTTTCTGGGTACACTGCTTCCCACATTCTAGAGACGACTCTCAACAGCCAGCCCCTGCTGGGACTTTTGTGGCCTTTGGACGCCCACCAGCCCCTCCCCAGCCCCAAGCTATTGTGTCCAGTGTCCAGGGTCCCTGGTCATCGGGCTGTAGCCCCCAGGCATCGGGGCAGCCCCATGCCCCCTGCTCCTTTCTGTCCTGGACTTTTCCTCACACATGGGGGCAAGCGGCCACAGAGACAGGACACTAAGTACCTGCCAGAGTCTTCCGCGCAGCTGCTAGAAGCGAACCTGCTTTTGGACTGGCCCAACTCCTTACGGAGAGGCAGGGATGGGGGTGGGTCTGTGGAACCAGCCGCACCTCAAGAAGCCTGGTTTGGGGAGATGGTCAGGACTGAGACCTGCAGCACAGCAGGACCTGGGAGGTCAGCGAGGCTCGGTGGGACCTGCTAGCAGCTCCCGTGCCTTCTGTTCCCACTCGGGCCCCACTAGAGCCTGCTGTCCAGGCCCAAGGCTGGCCTCCTCATGTGGAGTGGGCCCAGCTGTAGCAAGTTTTGTCTTCAGCCTTCCACATCAGGGTGTTAGCAACCCTTGGCTTGGGGTGGCTCTGATGGCCACCTTGAGACTGGATGGCAGCCAGTGCGTTTGCTCACGGCCTTGTGATCTGAGTGGTATCAGTGCTTCTGCAAAGAACACAGCATTCTGGGACCACACATCTTTTTATGCCCATTGGGGAAACTGAGTCCTGGAGAGATACAGCGACTTGTTGAATGCTATATGGCTCTGCAAAGTAGAGGCTCCTGCATTTACCCAGCAAATATTATTGTGTGCCCTGCAAACAAAGCAGACCAAATGCCTGCCCATGGAACTGCATTCTGGAGAAGGAGACATAAGAACAGGAGAGCTAAGCAGAACCTGCAGAATATTCCATGGGGGTAAGCGCTGCAGAGGGAGGGTAAAGCGAGGAGGGGCTGGGTGGGGGGTAGACATTCAGACCCAGGCCTTGGGTGTCATGACTGATCTAGAAGGGTCCTTTTGGTTTTAGGTTTTTAGAATTCAAATGAGGAGAATCAAATAGAAGTTGAATCCTATTCTCCAGAAACATCGTTCTAGGTGCTAGGCCCATTGGGGCTCTCCGGATGTTCCGACCCCATGTCCCCTCCTGGGGTGCACCCCTCCTGGCCTGTGGTCCTCCCAGACCCTCTATTTCCGGCTATTGGGTAGGGCTGGCCTTTGTCACTCCACCTGCCAGGCTGGCTTCTAAGGCAAGAGTCTCTCCCTGAGGAGGAGACGCCAACTCAGCTCTAATCTTCCCCTTCCCGGAGACGGCGTGCTGTCTGGATTATCGCTACTGATGTGATTTGTAAGGGCCGTGGGAGGGACAGCGGTTATAGTGAACCCTGAAAATTAATTAGAGAGGGCGGCGCCTTCACAGGGCAAGTGGCTAAGACCTTGCTTCTTCAGAAGCTCTGTAAGCTCCCATGCCGTGGGAAAACGGGCTCCTCTGCCCTCTGTTTCCTGGGATGGCCCATGCACCAAAAATGAGACACAGCAAATATGAGTCTTGGTTGCCTGTGCATGCCTGCGTGTGTGTCTGCAAGCTTGTGTGAGTGTGCATGTTCATGTGCGGGTATGTACGTTTGCAGGCGTGTGTGTGTGTGTGCGTGTGACCCCCAGACATGGTTGTCGTCCAGGAAGCTCTGCAGGCCCTCTGCCCTCCCAGTGTCCAGTGGAGTGAGGGCTCAGGGACTGGAAGGAGTAGAGGGGTCCTGGGAGGCACGTGAAGCAGAGGAGGACAAGCAAAAGGCTGTGAGGATTAGAAGGAGATGGAGACTGAGGCAGAAAAAAGGAGAGTTGAGAGGGATGAGAACAAAGAGACAATGAACAAAAACAGTGGGGTGGAAAAAAATAGTCAAGGAGAAGGAGGGTGGGGGACAGAGAAATGGAGAAGGAGAGAGAGAAGCAAAGGAAGCAAGGTGGGAGAGTATGAGAGGGATGAGGAAGACAGGGTGACAACCACGAGATCAAGGTGGATGGGGGGTGGGAGCAGAAGGGCAAGGCCCCTCAGGGAGGTGAGGGACCCAAAGCAGAGGGGCTGTGGGTGCCAGGGGGCTCCCTGGGGAGACTCCTGCCAGTCACCTGTGCTACCTGGATATACCCCTCACACCCCCACCCTCCACTTGCCAGCCGATCACTGGGGCAGAAGGTGGGATCTCCATCTGTCCCTCCTCATTCCCCGGAGAAGCACCCAGAGAGATGTAGCTGCCATAAAGGGCTGGAGAAGTGGGCGCTGCCTTTGGGGCCCACGGGCCTATGGGGATGGGAGTGAGGCAGGCTGTGGGGCAGTGGGGTGAGTCTCTGAGCAGGGGCAGAAGGCTGGTGAGGGCCCAGGGGAGCCTACTGGGACAGCTGACCCAGGCTTCTAGGCCCCAGGGACAACCCAGGTCCCTGACCACGTGGTAGAGTGAAGAGGCCAGGAACAGAGGGCTTGGCTGAGTGTCCACATCAGGGGCTGGGCTTTCCGCAGAGAGCCTGGCTCTAGGCTGTCCGGAACAGCAGGACGGGGCTGGCAGAGCTTGGGACCCTCGAACTCCATTGGGCCTACCTGACTGAGACCCCAGGAGAGCCAGGTCCTGCTCCTTTGGGGAGGCTGCCTGGGGGCCTCAGCCATACTGTGGGGCTCCTTGGGGAAAGGAATTCCTGGGTATTTTCTGGGGGCTGTTTTATGTTGTTTGTTTTGTCCTCGTGTCTTAGTCTACTCAGGCTGCCATGACAAAATACCATAGACCGGGTGGCTTAAACAGTAGACATTTACACTCTCACAGTTCTGGAAGCTGGAGGGCCAAGATCAGGATGCTAGCGTGGTTGGGGGCTGGTGAGGACTCCCTTCCTGGCTTGCAGACAGCCGCCTTCTCGCTGTGTCCTCACATAGTAGGGAGAGAGAGAGAGAGAGAGAGAGAATCTTACTCTTCTTAGAAGTCTTCCAATCCTATTGGATTAGGACCCTGGCCCCATGGCTTCATTGAACCTTAATTACCTTCTAAAGCTGTATCTCTGATTACGGTCACACTGGGGCTTTGAGCTTCAACATATGGATGTGGCAGGATACAATTCAGCCATAGCACCTTGAAATCACTTTGGAAAAAAAGATGGAGGTTTTCCTGGATCCTGCCTGTGCTCTCTAGAGACTGGAGACAAGGGATCTGGTGCGAGCCGGGCTGGGCCCCTGGGTGACCCCCAGGCACTCACTGTCCCTCTCTAGACCTTTCTTTCCATTTATAAATGGCAAAGAGCCATCGACCCTGTCTCTGGAGGATGTTGGGAGAGATGATTAAGGTTATTTTTAAGTATGGAAAGCAGCCTTTGGAGATAGGCCTAGTGTAAATAAGGCTGGTTTTGTTACTCGTAATAAACATTTATTAAGCACCCACCGAGTTGCAGGCAGGCACTGCACAGAATACCAAAGAGAACCCAGCCCAGCCCCTCAAACTTCCCACCAGCCCCTGCCTCGCTTCCTTTCTTCCCTCCCTCCCGTGGTTGTTGATGAGCAGAGAGAACCTGGCCTAAGCAGGCAGGCAGCCCCAGCTCCAAGAAAATCACATGACCATGGCTTTGCAGATCTCAAAACCGATGTGACACCCAGACCTCAGCCTGGCTGGGCCACAGAGCCCTCCACAGGCACCCAGAGGCCTGAGTCCCTCTGGGCTGTGTCACACTTAGAAGGCTCTCTCAGCCTCATCCCTGCACATCAGGAGGGAAGACAACGAGATGTCCAGTCTTTCCCTTCTATGCCCAGTGGGCTTCATCGTGCGGGGAGGGCAATGAGACCAGCCCAAGCCCCAGATTGGCACTAGGAGCATTTCACATGCTGCCAGACTCCCGAGCACCCCCTCTGTGCCCACACGGACACAGTCTTCATGGGCCAGTCTTCATGGACCTTGCCTGCTAGTAGGAAGGAGCTAAAACAAGTGAGCGTAGCAGATCCATGAAAATGGGGACTTTTGTGTGTCCCACCCTGGGTCAGGGTCTGGGATGGAGGAGGCTCAGAGCAGACAGCTGTTAGGGAAATAAGTGAGGCCAGCTGAGTGACCTTGGGGACGGGGACCTCAAGTGTGGATAATAACTCCAGAGCAGGGGTCCGTTCCCGGAATGTGGTTCTGGAAGGCACTCTGAGGAGGCAGCTTGGCTGGCAACCTGGCAGAGTAGAAGGGGCCCATGGTGGCAGCGGAGGAAGGCCACTCACCATGGAAGCATGGAGGGCAGGCCCTGAGGTCTGAACCACAGGCGAAGTGTGGTGATGAGGACCAGGGCAGGCAGGACTGCTCACAGGGACCCTGAAGGACAGGGGAGGGCCAGCTGCAGGAGAGCCTCCACACTCGACATGCAATTGCAGACATACACCTGAATGGCAGGCAGAAGCAGAGGTAAGGGACAAGTCTGAGTATTTGAAAGCTCTCAGCCAAGCTGTAGCAGTGGGACAGGGAAATGGTGGCGTCAACACAGGTGGTGGCCGATGACAGGGAAAGCAGTGGATGGATGGGAGACGTGCTTTGGAGACAGGCCAATAGGCCCAACCCCTGTGCCAGCCCAGCTTCCTGGTGGGTTGTTTGCACTGGTGGGTCCCACCTTGGTCCTGGATTATCCACATGTGAATCACCCAAGGACCTTATGAAAATGCACATCCTCAGGCCTGGGCCACAGAGAGCCTATAGTGGCTGTGGAATATGTATTTTCACAAGATGCTGGGGTGATTCAGATGGGCAGTCAGTCTATGGACTTCAAGTCTGTGCCATGTATTTTATCCTGGGCTCAATCACCACCCATTGAAAGGTGAAGAGAGAAAACTCCGGTCCCAAACAAACTGAGATCACAGCTGGGCTCTGCCACTGTTAACCATTTGTCCTCAGGTATATAACCTAAACTTTCATTGCCTGTTTCCACATAGTAAAGTGAGGATAATACTATCACCTACCTAACTGGGTTGTTGCCAGAATTAAGTGAGTTAATAAATAGCATGCTCATAGAATATTGCCTGACAGATATAAGGTGATCAATAAATGTTTACCATTACCACCGTCATCACTACCACCACCATCTCCATCATCATCATCATCACCACCACCATCTCCATTATCATCATCATGATCACTATCACCATCATCATCCTTATCATCACCATCACTACCACCATCCATCATCAACATCACCATCATCATCACCACATCACCATCACCACCACCATCCATCATCAACATCACCGTCGTCATCATCACCAAATCACCATCATCATCATCATCATCACCACATCACCATCACCACCACCATCCCTCATCAGGATCACCAGCATCATCACCACATCACCATCATCGACATCACTGTCATCACCACATCACCATCACCACCACCATCCATCATCAACATCACCATCATCATCACCACATCACCATCAACATCATCACCACATCACCATCACCACCAACAACCATCATCAACATCACCATCATCATCACCACATCACCATCACCACCAACAACCATCATCAGCATCACCATCATCATCACCACATCACCATCACCACCGACAACCATCATCAACATCACCATCATCATCACCACATCACCATCATCATCACCATCACATCACCATCACCACCACCATCCATCAACATCGCCATCATCATTGTCACCAAATCACCATCAAAATCATCACCACATCACCATCACCACCACCATCCAACATCAACATCACCATCCTCATCACCACATCACCATCATCATCACCATCACATCACCATCACCACCACCATCCATCATCAACATCACCATCATCGTCATCACCAAATCACCATCATCATCATCACCACATCATCATCATCAACATCACCATCATCACCGCATCACCATCACCACCACCATCCATCATCAACATCACCATCATCATCATCTCACTACCACCATCACCATCTCCATTATCATCATCACCACCACTATCACTATCTCCATCATCATGATCCCTATCACCATCATCATATTATTACCATTACCATCATCACCACCATCATTCTCCATCATCATCATTACCACCACCATCATCAACATCACCATCATCATCAGTGTCATCATCACCACCATCACCATCTCCATCATCATCACCACGATCATCACCATCTCCACTATCATCATCGTGGTCACTATCACCATCATCATCCTTATCATCACCATTACCACCATCATCCATCATCATCACCATCATCATCATCATCACCAAATCACCATCATCATCATCACATCACCATCACCACCACCAACCATCATCAACATCACCATCATCATCACCACATCACCATCATCATCATCATCACTACCACCATCACCACCACCAACCATCATCAACATCACCATCATCACCACATCACCATCATCATCATCATCACTACCACCATCACCATCTCCATTATCATCACCACCACTATCAGTATCTCCATCATCATCATGATCACTATCACCATCATCATATGATTACCATTACCTTCATCATTCTCCAACATCATCATCACCACCACCACATCAACATCACCATCTTCATCATCACATCACCATCATCATCAGTGTCATCACCACCATCACCATCTTCATCATCATCATCATGATCACTATCACCATCATCATATTATTACTATTACCATCACTACCATCATTCTCCAACATCACCATCATCATCACCACCATTGTCATCAACATAACCATCAGCAGCAGCATCACCATCATCATCACCACCATCATCATCATCACTACCACCATCACCATCATCACCGCCACCATCACCAATCACCATCATTATTATTACTGTACCACCCAGGTGCAGACAGTGTGTCCTGGATCCCAGCCCCTGCAGCCTCCATCCTAGCTGCCATCGTCAGGTCCCCTTAGTCAGGAAACACCCAGGAAGTGAGTTTTCCCATAAGCTAACTGCCCTGCCTAATCCTTTGGACTCTTAGTGGAAAAGGTTCTAAAATCATGTGTCCATTTCCCTGCCTTATTAAAGACTGTATCAATTTAAAATGGCTTTTGCTTTGATCATTAGGGGTCCTGGGAGGCCTTGGGGCCGTCTTGCTTAATTCTACCGAGACCTTGGGTGGGAGATCAGGGATCCCTTGCTGGGCACTGGGGGGATCCAAAACTCCCTGCAGGACTGGTTGCCCCTCACGCCACCTCCTTCCTGTGATCCAATCCTGAAATTCATCCAGGAGAGTTCTTTTCCCTGGCTTCTGCTTTTGATCCCTGAGGAGATGCAACCCTTCCTTTAAAAGTTCCTACATTCCACTGTAGGTCAATTACACTGTAACCTGAATTGGGGCCCTTTCAGAGAGGGCCGGAGAACTTATTGCTTAAGCTGGAAGGGTGGAGGGAGGAAGCACGGGGAGGAGGAAGCCAGGGGCAAACCCGGACCAGCCCGTGCATGTGCCAAGGGCTGGCCCAGGATGTCGGCAGTCACCAGCAGGAGTTTGGCTGCACATGGGCCCCAGCCAGAGACCTGGAGGCTGTTCTGCTATCAACTTTTAATTAAGGAAAGTCCTCTAGTGCCATTGAACTTTGTCCTGAAAGTGGAAGGCAGGGGTGCCTTGCTGGTTGGTTCATCCAGTTTGTTCTCTGAGCCTGGCACTGCCCTGTTCACCAAGGCCAAGGTCCTGTCAGCCTCCTGCTGTGTCAGCACAGACCCTGCCTGGGACCCCTGCTTCCCCAGGTGGGTTTGAAGGGCCTCACCTCTGCTCTCCATCACCCCCCACCGCAGAGGGAAAATCAGTGTTATCATGCGAGGATGGGGATAGGGTACGGAGACTGGAGAGAGCCTGGGAGTCAGAATCCAAGCCTGGCCTCCCCCATGAACCAGCTGGGTGATGTCAGGAGGCTCCTTAACCACTCTGAGCCTCAGTTGCCTCAAGATGGGCAGCCTTTCTGTGTCGCCGGAGGTTGTGAGGATTAAAGGTGGTGTATCTGTAAGGTGTAAGGTGTCCCTCCCAGAGCCAGGCCTGTGCATGCTCTGCAACAATCTGTGCCCAACTGCCTTCACCTTCATGGAAAACAAAGTGTCTTAGTCCATTGGGCTGCTATAGCAAAATGACATAAACTAGGCAGCTTTCAAACCAAACTTTATTTCCCACAGTTATGGAAGCAGCGAGTCCAAGATCAAGGTCCCAGTAGACTTAGTGTCTGCTGAGGGCTTTCTGGTTCATGGATAACCATCTTCTCACTGCGTCCTCACAGGGTGGAAGGGGCAAGGGATATCTCTCAGGCCTTTTTTCTAAGGCCATTAATCCAGTTTATGAGGATTCTTTTTCTTTACACTTTTTATGGTTTATTTTAGGTTCGGGGTACCTGTGCAGGTTTGTTATGTTGGTAAACTTGTGTCACAGGGGTTTGGCCTACAGATTATTTCATCACTCAGGTACTAAACATAGTACCCAATAACTATTTTTTTCTGATCCTTTCCCTCCTCCCACCTTCTGCCTTCAGGTAGGCCCCAATGTCTGTTGTTCCCCTCTTTGTGCCCATGTGTTCTTGTTATTTTAGCTCCCAATTATAAGTGAGAACATGCAGTAGTTGGTTTTCTGTTCCTGTGTTAGTCTGCTTAGGAAATGGCCTCCAGCTCTATCCATGTTGCTGCAAAGGACATGATCTTGCTCTTTTTTTATGGCTGCATAGTATTCCACGGTGCATATGTATCACATTTTCTTTATCCAGTCTATAGTTAGTGGACATTTAGATTGATTCTATGTCTTTGCTATTGTGAATAGTGCTGCAGTGAACATATGCATGCGTGTGTCTTTATGGTGGAACAATTTATATTCCTTTGGGTATATATCCAGTAATGAGATTGCTAGGTCGAATGGGAGTTCTGTTATTAGTTCTTTGAGGAATCACCATACTGCTCTCCACAATAGCTGAACTAATTTACACTCCCATCATCAGTGTATAAGTGTCCCCTTTTCTCTGCAACCTCACCAGCATCTGTTACCTTTTGATTTTTTAATAATAGGCATTCTGATTCCTGTGAGATGGTATCTCATTGTGGTTTTGATTTGCATTTCTCTAATGATTAGTGATGTTGAGCATTTTTCATATGCCTATTGGCCGCATGTATGTCTTCTTTTGAAAAGTGTTTGTTCATGTCCTTTTGCCTATGTTTTAACGGGGTTGTTTGTTTTTAGCTTGTAAATCTGTTTATGTTCCTTATAGATTCTGGATATTAGACCTTTGTCAGAAGCATAGTTTGTAAATATTTTCTCCAATTCTGTGGGTTGTCTGTTTACTCTGTTGACAGTTTCCTTTGCTGCGCAGAAGCTCTTTAGTTTAATTAGATCCCATTTGTCAATTTTGGCTTTTGTTGCACTTGTTTTTGGTGTCTTCATCATGAAAGTTTTGCCAGTTCCTATATCCAGAATGGTATTTTCTAGCTTATCTTCCAGGGTTTTTATGGTTTTAGGTCTTACATTTAAGTCTTTAATCCATCTTGAGTTGATTTTTTTATATGATATAAGGAAGGAGTCCAGTTTCAGTCTTCTATATATGGCTAACCAGTTGTCCCAGCACCATTTATTGAATAAAGAGTTCTTTCCCCATTGCTTGTTTTTGTCAGCTTCGTCAGAGATTAGATGGTTGTAGGTGTGAGGCATTCCCATTCATGTGAGCTCCATCCCCGTGACTCAATCATCTCCCAAACCCCCACCTCCTAATACCATCACCTGGGGGTTTAGGATTTCAACATAGGAATTTGGGGGAAGACACACATGTTCAGACCAGAGCAGAAAGGAAGCTTGCTAAAGACAGAAGGGAAATGGAAGACGAAGATAAAAGGCTGCCAGGGCTGGCCAAGGGCCCAGTCTGATAAGAAACCGCACCTGTGATCCAGCTATCTGTATGGACAGCCACCCCCTTGCCCATCCCTCTCAGCCCCAGCCCAGCCCCAGCTCTTCCAGAAACAGGCAGCCGGCGCCTGAACTCACCAAAGCCTTATGCCTGGCCTGTGTTCTACCAGGAAGCAATGTCTTATTTTAAGCCATATTTGTTTTTCTGGTTCAGAAGGGTTTACTCCTGGACAAGACTCAAGTTCTTGCACTGGGCAAACCTAATGGAGTGGCATGCAGGAACAGGGTTAGCATGCTAAGGATCGATGGAAACTGGGGAAAGAAAAACCTGGCAAAGCACCCTACTTAACCCTCAGAGTGCCAGGGCCCTGCTCCCCAGAACCCCTTGCACCTTTGCAGCTGGGCACACCATGGAGTTTACACAGATTGACAAACCCTCTTGGGCAGTGGGACTATGGTTCCCATTTTAGGGTCAAAGAAACTGAGGCTTTGGAGAGTGAACTGCTGGTCAGCCTGAGGTTTGCCTGTGCTCAGCGGGGCCACAGCTGCTTCCGTGCCATCCAGATAATGGTGTTTCTATGAAGGGAACAGTGGTCCCTGGCTGCCCTAATAAATTACCACTGACCGGGTGGCTTAAAACAGCAGACATTTATGCTCTCACGGTGCAGGAGTCCAGAGATGTCCAAAACCACAGCGCCAGCAGGGCCAGTTCCTTCCAGGAGAGCCTATGCCCGGCCTCCCCGCCTCCGCTGGCTCCTGGCAAGCATTGGTACCCCTTGGCTTGCAGCTATGTCACTCTGATCTCGGCCTGTGTCTTTGCAGGGCCTTCTCCCTGGGTGCCTCTAGTGTGTCTCTCCAGCTATTGCATCTAGGACCACTCTACCGCAGCATGACATCATCGTTTTTTGGGTTTTTTTGGGTTTGTTCTTGTTGTTTTGAGACAGAGTCTCGCTCTGTTGCCCGGGCTGGAGTGCAGTGGCGCCATCTTGGCTCAGTACAAGCTCTGTCTCCTGGGTTCAAGCGATTCTCCTGCCTCAGCCTCCCGTGTAGCTGGGATTACAGGCGTGCACCACCATGCCCGGCTAATTTTTGTATTTTTAGTAGAGATGGGGTTTCACCCTGTTGGCCATGCTGTTCTCAAACTCCTGACCTCAGGTGATCCATCTGCCTCAGCCTCCCAAGGTGTGAAGATTACAGGCATGCATGACCTCATCTTAACAAATTACTTCCATAAAGGCTCAATTTACCTGAGCCAGGAGAGGGCTCTCAGGGCTTCCCTGCAGGTGTCCACCCGACAGGCGGCAGCATGTGGGCCGTGCAGGGAGTAACAGGAGAAAGACACAACACCATGTGCCGAGCTCTGAGCCAAGGGCTGGGAGCTGGGAGCTGCGAGCTGGTCCTGTGCACCTGCCAAACAGACCTTCCAAGCAGACACTGCCAGGCGTTATACATGACTGTGGAAATGGGGCGGTGCCTGAACCCACCCAGGAAGGAAGGGCAGCCCACTCCCCTTGCCCCCATCAGGGAGCCCTGGCAAGTGAGCTGTGGTGTTGGGGAACACGTGGCACCTCGTTTGCACAGCCCAGGATGTGCAGGGATGCTCCCTGGCCAGCTGAGTGGAAAAATAAATTACCTGAGGGGCTGACTCAGGCCGGTCATTTTGCCAGTGAAGCTCTGCTAACGCTCACTGGGCACGGGCCACGATCAATATGCCTCTATTTTTAACTCCAGGATCAGCAGGGTCATTTTCCAGAGAACACGGGCTGTTTATTTAGCTTCCTCTCGACGCGATGCAGAGAGGTCCGCCTGGCCAGCTCTGTCCCGTGCCAAGCCAACCGGCTAACCTCAGCCGTCTGTGCCTTCCTGGGGACAGTCTTTAGACTTTCAGGGGTCAGGTAGAGAGAGGCCAGGTGTCAGGCTGGCTGAGATGGAAGAAAAGTTCCAGGCTTCCCACCTCCAGCCAACTTGGCTTCCACCTGCCAGTTTCATTTTGCAGGCCCCAGACCCACAAGCTCTTGGCTTACTGAGAGGTCCGTGCCCCAACCCCAGCCCAGTCCCAGAGCTCCACCAGGGAAGGACGGACATGTCGACCAGCAATAGTGCTAAGCCTAGTGGCAGCCGCATGTTGAGCTCTGGGCTGCTGCTTCATGCACATTCCCTGCCTCTGACGCAGCAGGATTCTGCTTCTGTCTGTGCCTCTGTGGTCTCATCTGTAGAATGGGCTAATATTGTTGCCTTGGATAGTGGTGAGGATCACATGAAATAACTCATGTTGGGTGCTCAGCTCTGTTTCTGGCCAATGATAAGTACTCAATAGATGTCAGCTGATGCCTTTGTGGTTATTCTTTGCTGAATGCCACAACACCTCAAGCTGAGAGTCAAGCCCAAGGGACTCAGTAGCCTGAGCTGTGCCTCTGCACTGAATTCCTCTACCCCACACTGCCCCGACTCTGTCTCTCTGGATAGAGGCCTCCTTGTTTTTTAGTGCATCAAAATCACTCCCACCAAACAGAGAGGCAGGGAGGTGGGTCAGACGTCCTCCCAGAACACAGGCCCCATATCAAGCTAAGTTCCTCCTGTTTCTTAGGGGCAGAATCCAGTTTACAGAACATGGAACCAGAGTTTGCAGATGGCCTGTCATGTGTACAGCCCTGAGGCAGGAGAAAGGAAATGAGATCTAAGCCTGCCTCTGCCTCAAATGCCCATGTGACTTTGGGCTAGTCACCTCCCTGCCCAGGGCCTCAGTTTCTGCCCCAGCAAAACCATGGCCAAAAGGGTTCATCACTTTAAATAACATGTATCAAGGAGGAGTCTGAGTTCTGGCTCAGAGGGAAAGAGTGCAGTGATTGATTAGTAATGTCTGGCCCAGGTGTAGGCAGGGAAAGATGAGGCACACTTGTTACTTACTTGTCATAGAGCTAAGTGGTAACACCTTATTGGATGAGACCCTGGGGAAGAGGAAAGCTGAGGGAAATCCACTCGGAGAAGGAATTTGCACTGCCAGGCAAGGCCATTCTCAGTGATTTCTGAGGGCCCTCCAGTTCCTGCTTCCCTGGAGACGTCAGGGAGGGAGGTGGCAGAGGGGCGATCAAGGAAATGGAGCAAGGAGGCGGGCCTGACTGCAGGAGGCTCAGCACTGGGGCTCAGTTTTGTTTTGTTTTGTTTTGTTTTTGAGACAGAGTCTTGCTCTGTCACCCAGGCTGGAGTGCAATGGTGCAATCTCGGCTCACTGCAACCTCCACCTCCCAGGTTCAAGCAATTCTCCTGCCTCAGCCTCCCAAGTAGCTGGGATTACAGGTGCCCACCACCACGCCTGGCTAATTTTTTGTATTTTTAGTAGAGACGGGGTTCCTCCATGTTGGCCAGGCTGGTCTCCAACTCCTGACCTCAGGTGATCCATCCGCCTCGGCCACCCAAAGTGCTGGGATTACAGGCGTGAACCACCGTGCCAGGCCAATTAAGGGCCTTCCTGTTACAGACCAAATGTTTGTGTTGTCTCCCCAAAATTCATACATTAAAATCCTAGCCCCCACAGTGATGGTATTAGGAAGTGGGGATTTGGAGCGTTGTTTAGGTTATGAGTGAATACAATTAGTGCCCTTATAAAACCTTATAAAAGAGGCCCAAGAGAGACACCTCAGACCTTCCACCGTGTGAGGACGCAAGCAAGAAGGCACTGTCTAGGAACCAGGAAGGGGCCTCACCAGACACTGAATTGATGGTGCCTTGATCTTGGACTTTCCAGCCTCCAGAACTGGAAATCCATTTCTGTTCTTTATAAACCACCCAGACTATGATATTCTGCTATCACAGCCCAAATGGACTAAGACATGTGAGGTGCAGAATGGATTGAGATGCCACACGGTGGAGAGTGATGGGAGCGGGTGCTGCAGCTGAGGGGAGCAGTACTAGGGAGCCAGCAACCATCCTTGAGAGAGTGCATGGCCCCAGGAAGGTCGGATTGTAGGAAAGATTGCCTGGCAGGGGTGTGCAGGATCCACCAGAGCAGAGAGGTAGGAGGACGGGGGATTGGCCATCACAGATACAGGGAATTTGTTAATGAAGATCTGTCTTATGGCTCTGAAAGTGGAGAAAGGGGCTGAATGCATGGGGTGCCAAGAATAGGTACTCAATAGATGCCAGCTAATGCCTTTGTGGTTATTCTTTGCTGAACGCCACAACTCCTCAAGCCGAGAGTCAAACCCAAGGGACTCAGTAGCCTGGGCTGTGCCTCTGCACTGGGGAGATGGGACTGATTGGTGTGAGGGATCAACAAGCCAGCATCGTCCTCCCCCGGAGGCCCAGTGTGCTTGGCTGTGAGATCAGAGGCCTGGAGGAGACGTTCCTCAGATCCCTGTCACCTCTGTTTGGCTAGGACTGTGGCCTCCCTATGTGCTCCAGAAACTCATCTGGTGTGTAGAACGAGGTGTGCCATCACTGAAAAGGGCCCCCCCTTGTGCTTATTTTTTGCAGATTAACAAACTTTAAGGAGTAGCCCCAACCTCTCCCAGCCCCTCAGGAGGGAAGCAAGGCCACCTGTGTCAGCACTCCTTCTCACCGTCACAGACCATGGCTCCCTCTAACGGTTGCCTGTGACTGGTCGGGAATTTCACAGGCTCTGACCATTCTCACTCACCAGCCGGCCTGGAAGGAAGTCCCATCTAGACACGTGCCCAGGGACTTTGTTTTGGAGATGCCCCTACAACCCTTTTTTTTTTTAAGCATTGAATTTCCTTCCTAACTGCAAACGCTCCCGGTGGTGTAAAATGGGTTGATGTTCTTCACACTCACACCGTCCTGCATGTCTTTACAGTGGTCTCATAAGGTTTTATTTAAAGCAATGGTCAGCCAATTTTTTCTTAAATGGTCAGATAGTATATTCTGCTTTGTGGTCTCTGTTGAAACTACCCAACACTGCCATTGTAGCAGAAAAGCCACCAGAGGCAATATATCGATGAATGCACTGGCTGTGTTCCAATAAAACTTTATTTACAAAAATAGATGGCGGGCCAGATTTGGGCCTATGGACTATAGTTTGCCAACCCCTGGCCTAGATCATCATTTTCAAAACTATAGTTGAAGGTCACCGTTATTTGCTGCCCCACAAAAACAGGATTCTGCCGTCAGATGAGTTCAGGGAACACTGGGTACAACAAAGGTTGATGGGTTTTCCCAGACTGTTTAATATGTTAATCTCACATTGTGAGTCCCCATGATGGGAGTTACTGTGCACATGTTCCTAACGCATTTGACTGTGAGCCCTGATTTCCGAGAGGACCTGGGAACTTTTTTTTCTCCCTACACACCCCTGTTCATGTCTCTCTTGAAACACAGTTTAGGAAAGTTCACTAAAAGAATCTAGGTGGTCACACCCAGGTGCCCTCTGTGGATCCTGTTGGAGGGGAGGACAGGGGCCGTGGCCTGCTCCAGGGTCATGCACATCAACAATCCAGTGGCTTCTCCACAAAGAGAAAGCCGAGGCCCTGGGTCCTCCAGGGAGCCGGGAGCACCAAGGACAAAGCCACGTGTCCCTCCCCGCCAGGCTCTCACAGCAGCTTGCTCGGGAAGACCCCTTGTTCCCAGGGCAAGGGCCAAGCGGTGTGGAGGCTGGGTCCCACAGATGCCACTGGGGAAGGGCTGGCTCACCTGCCCTCCGCCCCTACCGACAGGGTCGCCGGAAAGGACACGTGCATCCAAGCGGCTCCCATATCCGTGGCAATGGATGGCCGTGCCCTGTGGATATGGAGCTGTCTTAGTCTGTTTTGTGCTGCTCTAACAGAAAACCGCAGGCTGGGTAACTTACAATGAGCAGAAATGTATGAATCCCACTGATCTAGAGGGTGGGAAGTCCAAGATGGACAGATGGCCCCATCTGTGAGGGCTTCTTGCTTCATCATCCCATGGAAGGAGGCACTACGTGGCAAGAGAGAGAGCAAGAGGCCCACTCTCTCAATAGTGGCACGAATGCGTGTATGGGGGCACAGCCCTTGTGACCCAGTCACTTCCTATTAAGTCCCCCAAAACTGTTGCATTGGGAATTAAATTTCTAACACATGAGCTTTAGGGGACACATTCAACCCACAGCTGTGGCAAAGGCATTCATACCATCCCCGTGGGAGGCTCTCCCACCACTACCCCTGCTCCAGGGAGCACAGCCTCCCCGCTTTACTGAGTGCAGAAGCCTCAGGCTTATGGAGGGATTGACAGGTGGAAAGGTCTGTCCTCTACATCAAGAGGCCACATTGAGACCTGGGGCAACAGACGGGCAGTGGCTGAGGCCACATGGAGAGGGACGTGCCTGGGGGAGATTGGGCACTTTCTGGTGGCACCAAGGCTGCCCCTCCACCCTCACAGTCCTCCTAGCCCTCATGCCCAAGCCTTTGGACACTTTGACCATTGCATGGTTGCCGTCCCTGGCCTGGCCTGGAGAAGTCTTGCCAGCCTGGCGAGGCTTCCAAGCAGATCTGTGCCACAGCAACAACCGTCACGATGGTGGCATGGATGGAGGGCCCTGGGCATGGCAGCGTGGGCTTGGGGAACCTCATGACAGCCCTCAGGTGCTGTTATTACCTGCCGTTGTGTAGACAGGAAAAGCTCAGAGAGTTCAGGAATGTCCCAAGGTCTCGGCACCTGGAGGTGGCAAGCCAAGAGGTCCATTTGGTTTTGCTCTAAGGTCCACTTTCTTTTCTTTTCTTTTCTTTTTTTTTTTTTTTTTTTTTTTTTGAGATAGAGTCTCACTCTGTCACCCAGACTGAAGTGCAGTGGCACAATCTCGGCTCACTGCAACCTCCGCCTCACAGGTTCAAGTGATTCCCTCACCTCAACCTCCTGAGTAGCTGGCACTACAGGCGCCCACCACCATGCCCGGCTAATTTTTGTATTTTCAGTAGAGACGGGGTTTCACCATGTTGGTCAGGCTGGTCTCGAACTCCTGACCTCAAGCAATCCACCAGCCTCGGCTTCCCCAAGTGCTGGGATTAGAAGCGTGAGCCACCGCGCCCAGCCTTAAAGTCCACTTTCTTAAGTTTCTGGACAGAACTCTAGAAAAATATGTCCTTCTCCTGCGTCACTGGGACAGTTCTGAGATCTGGGTCGTGGCACCCAAGTGACATTCACTGTGAGAAGTGGGGGCTCCATAAACTTGGGGCAGCTCAGCTGAATCCACCCTCTCTCCGGTCAACTCACAACTCACACATGCATTCTGGCCTCTGGCCTGTGCCAGGCACACAGCTAGGAGCTGGGCCTTGCGGACCACAGGGAGCATCCCTGCCCACAGCGGGCTCACAGTCCGAGAGGACACTGGTATGTGAACTGAGGCAGCGGGAAGAGCTCCTGGCCAAGGTCTTTGTGTTCAGACCAGAAGAGGAAGGAGGGCTCCCTCCCCCTGGGGCTGTGGAGGCTGAGGCTCCTGGGGGGTTGTCCACATCTGGACCGTGGGAGCTGTTGGGGGGAATGGGGGCAGGTGGAGAAGAGGAGGAGCTTTCTGGAAGGAAGCCCTGTGAATGAGGGGAACCCAGGGAGGAAGGGGCTCAGATGAAGCAGGTCTGGGGGAGAGGAAGGAAGACAGGTGAGGGGGCTGATGGGAGCCATGATGAGGTCCCAGGGGTAGTGTGCCCCACTTTGGGCATGGAAGACATCATGGAGACCTCAGAGACACACAGCCCTCTTCCCATGAGCCAGGTGGCAGACAGGACACCCGCACATGGAGGAACCACTAACAAGTGCCAAGCCCTCCCACGTTTGGGGACAGCCGTGTCAGAGACTGATAATACTGCTCATTCTCGGTGGCACCAAAGGTCCCTGGGCACCTGGCCCCGAGGCTGGCTGTGCCCAGCACTGTGCAAAATCCCTCCTGTGCTGGTCTTCCTGGATGGGCTGCCGGTCGGAGGGAACTTGGCATTTGACTCTGGCTTTGGAGGGTTTGGTTATCTCCTCCCCAACCAAGATCTCCTCCAACCCGTGCCCATCACAAGCCCATCCTTAGAGGGTTCAGAGTCATATGGTGTGAAACACCCTGTCCTGACTGTGTGACCTCGAGAAGGTCACATGACCTCGCTGGGCCTCAGTTTCCTCATCTGTAAATGGGATAATAATAGAAAATACCCTAAAAGGTTGTTGAGAAAATGGAACGACTGCAGAGCTTAGTAAAGTGCCACCACACATACGTGGTTTTTGATAACTCGGTGCCAGGGGCACTGGGGAGCCATGGGAAGCGTCAGATCAGAAAAGCAGGGCCTGAGGGCCCCCGCCCCTCCTCCCACATCTGCTGGGCACCGTGTTGCGAGAGGACAAGTTTGAGGGGTATCTCTTGGAATCATCCCCTTTCCCTGGCACCAACCAGCTGCAGCCCCAAGATAGGAAGTTTGGTTGTCATTCCAATATGGCTGGAACCCCAGAAACTTTTTCCTGGCAATCATGGCTGCCTCCGAAGGGCCTGCAGCAACGTTCTCTGAATTGCTAAGCAACAGTGTCCGTTCTCTCACATGGAGAAAATTGAAACATTGATTCATCTATTTGTTTTGCAACTAGCACTAGCGGCTTCATTACTCTGTTCCCTGGGGACACCCTCCCACACACTCGAATTGAAAATTAACTCTTTTTACCTAGGAACAGCCACAATGGGTTTTTAATTTGGAGAAAGTACAGAAACAATGGTGGGGCTGGGTGCCAGAAATCAGGAGGCAAAGCTGACCTGTGACCCAGGGGCCCTAGACAAGAGCACCCTCCCTCCACTGGGCCGTGGACAAGCTCTTTGGAGGTGGGACCGGCCAAGAGTGGGCCTTGCGGTCCTTGAGGCCATTAGGGGCAAGTGTTCACACCTGCCACGTGTGGCCTAGGTTTCTGCTCCTCACCGGAGCTTTTGCGGTTCTGGCACTGGGAGGCTGCTAGCATCCTCTTGCTGGGAATTTTCTGGAATGGAAGGAGCACTGTTTCTGGAGTTCAAACAGCTCAGTTCTAGTTTCTAACTCTGTACTGAGGGGCTTTGAGCTCCTCCTTTAAGCCATGTCTCAGTCTCCTCATCAGTCACCAGAGGGCAGGAATGTGTCTGTGTTCCTTGCATGGCTGTTGTAGGGTTTACACAAAGCTGCACAGCCCACAAGGATGGTGTGATGATATTCGTGTGCCGGCGAAGCTCTCTCCGTCTTCTTGTCTCTCTGCTCTTGTTGGCTTTCTGGGGATACGTTCCCCTGGAGGACAGAAGGCAGCATTTGTTGCTTCCGTAACTTTCACATCACGCGTAGGCCAGCAGCAGGAGGAGCTGGCTCTGATCCCTGAGCTGGAGTCTGTGCTCCAGGAGGCTGTCCCCAGCAACGGCAGGGTCCTCTTTAGCTAGGAAACAGCAACAGCCATAAATGATAGCCCACGTGGCGGTTGCTCAGAGAAAGGAGCTCTCTCCTGTCAGTTTGCAGAGAGCTCTCTGTCCTTCTGATAATGCAATGCGTTACTGACCTGATTTCCTAAATCCTCTCCTTCCCCCACTCCTGAGGGCCTCAGTGCCCTGATTCACCCACCCCCTACCCTGCATCCTTGGGTGTGTCCATGAACGAGTCTCCAGCAGGAAGATCTGCCTGGGCTCTGGATTCTCTGGGGTTGGGTTCAGCTGTGAGTGGCAGAAAATCTAAGCCAACAGAGGCTCAATGGATAAAGGTTCTCTTTTCTCTGTAAACAGACACAGTCAAGGGCTAGTGTGGTGACTGCACAATTTCCAAGGGACCCAGGCTCCTTCTAGCTTGTTGCTGTAACATCCACTCCAGCAGCTTCTGGTCCAGTGTGGCTGCTCTAACTCCAGCCATCGTGTCTTCATCCCAGCCACTACAAAGGAGAGAGGCACAGCCCCTCCTTTTAAGAACACTTCCTGGAACTCACACATACTACTTTCGCTCACAAACCACTGGCCAAGCAGAGTCACATGGCTAGCTGCAGAGGGAGCTGGGAAGTGTCACACAGCTGTCCAGGCAGCTGTGCACCCAGGAGACTGGGGACTGAGGAACCAGAAGGAAATGGGCCCTGGGCACAATAGCAGCCTCTCGGTGGGTTTCATGGCTGTAACCCAGACCTTACCCTGGCCCGTCCTCTCTCAGCACAGTATCACCTGTCTGTCTGCCCCTAGCTGCTGGGTGTAAAAGAGCCCTCTTCTCCAAGTGTGGTCTCCTTGGCCTGGAGTGCACACGCTCCAGAACCTTCCAGTGGCCATCAGCTAAGAAGGACCAGAAGGTGAGGCTGAGGACTGGGCACATCCCAGTGGTGAGGCAGCGCCCTGTCTTTATCAGCAGGGAGCAGGGGGCGTTAGCAGGGGGCCTAAAGGGGATCCCTTCCCCAACCTGCCCATCATCCTGGGGAAGAGAAGACTCAGTTCCACATTGCATGGGGGTGTGTGGAAGGAGGGAGGAGCCAAGCAGAGGCCCAGGTGTGTGGAAGGGGTGCAGAGACTGAACCAGGCCTGTCCTGGGAAGCCGAGAAGATCAGCCCCCTACACGATGGGAAGTAAGGCAGCCTGAGGATGCCGGACACACTGTGGGCTGCAGGGTACTCTGAGCTCTAGGAAGCAGAGCTGGGGCCAGCAGGTGGGGGCTGCAGGATTTTGGCTCAATGAAAGGAAGGTGTGACTAACTGCTGGGGCTGTCCTCTGGTGGACCGGGCTGCACCAGAAGAGAGCTAGATGTGAGCAGGCAGAGGCTGGCCCTGCATGGAACGAGGTGTGGGGTAGGACCCAGCAGTCTTCCCCTGTGTGGAACCTGCTCTGAGCATTTCTGCCAGGACAAAAGCCACATCCCAGAGCTTATCCCTGACACTCTCTGCCGCCTCTGGGGGGCAGTGACCAGACTCTGAGGGTCGTCTGGAGGCTCTGTCCCGTCCCAAGTCCACTCTGATCCACAAGGTCTGCCCTGGTGCCCAGACCTGCACAGGTGCACAGGAAGACACAGGGGGGTTCAACTCCACACGGTGAGTGGGTGTCCAGCCACTTAGAAGGTGCCGTCTCCCGGGAGGTAGACCCAGATCACTGTCCTCACCCTAGGGATCAATAGTCTGAGGTTGGCCACGTGAGAGTGGCATCAGATCTGGGCTCTGGGAAGCTCCCCTGGGACCCTGAGCTCTGACGGGTGCTCTTGCATCCCCAAAGATGAGCTGGGATGGAGAATGGGGCGTCCATGGCATTCTGCTCAGAGAGGGGGTGTCACGGACATTCTGATAAACCCTTAGGGTGGGGACTCTGCTAGAGGAATCATATAACACTTTCTTTCTTTGTGCCACAATTCTGTATTGTTAAAGAAAAACTTTATTCATGATGCTTGTTAAAGATGATAAGGCAGACGTTATTCCAGGGGCGCCATGACTGTAGGTTCAGGGACCACCATGGGGTCTTACAGTAGGGGAGAGAGATCAGGCTGAACTCTGACTCCAGCAAGGAGAAGTGGGGATTTATCAGCAAGGAGCAGGGGGCATCAGGGGACGGAAGCTGACTGAGAGGATGGCCAAGGGTCGGGGGCTTCCGGCTGAACTGTCTCGCTCGGATTAGGCCTGCAGGCAGGCCAGGAGGAGATGATGTGGAGGGTGGTCAGATACTAAGGTGGGGGTTTCTGCTAAGCTGACGGCAGGATTGTGGCTCACACTGGATTCTCCCACGACAGAGAGGGAAGCCCGAGTTTGGGCCGAGTCAAGCAGAGGACTCAGTAGACCCTAACTAAAGTTTTAGTCAAAGGAAGGAATCTTTGTCAGAATTAAGTACCCGCTCTGGGGTAGACACCACTGGATGCTGGGTATGCAGCAGAGAACAGAAGAACAGGGGTTCTGCCCCCATGGGGTTTATATTTCATGTAAGCAGATAAATAACTGGAGAGAGGTGCACAGCCCCTCATCTGAAACCCCTAAGGCCAGGTGTACTTAGCTAGACCAGAGGTCCTCACATGGGGCAATCTGGCAGTGTCTGGAGATGCTATCGGTTGTCACAGCTGAGGGTGGGGCTGCTAGTGGCATCTGGTGGGTGGAGGCCGGGGACACTGTAAACATCCTGCAATGCACCGGACAGCCCCCACGGTGGAGTTATCCGGCCTACGACGCCAGTACTCGTGCCGAGGCTTAGAAACGTGGCTTGAGACTTCAGACTTTGCATTTTAGAAACAGAATATGGTACATAGACCATATATTATGTAATGTCCCCGGCGGGATGTGGAGTAGCACCCCATAATCAGATGCATTAATATTTCTGCAGCAAAATTTATGAATATTCACACAAAGAGGGATGAACTGAGACTATAAGTAGCCTCACATCAGTTCAGGTCACGTTTTGCCACCAAATGAGTTATGAACAAGCTGTGGCTTTTAGAGCTTTATGGATTTTGGAATTGGATTGTGGGCCTGTAATATAATTTAAGATAGTGATAAATGCAGTAACGACAGCCAGGCAGAGTAAAGGAAGGGGTACGGGAGGGTTGCGGATAGAGTAGCCAAGAAGAGGCCTCTGCGGAGGGGCACCTGGCAGAGCCCTGAGAGCGGTGGGATGGGCTGGGAGCAGATCTAGGGAATGGCAGTCCTAACAGAGGGAAGAGTATGTGCAAAGGCCCTGGGGTGGACATAAGCTTGAAGTCTCTGAAAAACAGCCAGGAGCCCAGCCTACTCCAGTGGGTTCCCATAGGAGTGACGAGGCTACAGAGGTGACCAGGACCAGATGGGTCCAGCCCATGGGCATTGTAAGGACTTGGGGTTTCACCGTGAGTGTGGAGGGGAGCCAGTGAAAGAACGTGAACATGGGATCACGCTGGCTACTGGTGCAGAGGGCAAGGGCAGGAGGCTGCAGGAGGACAATGGGCCATGGGAGGACAAGAATAGGTAGCCTCAAGGGGCAGGAGGGGAATGGCCAGGATGCGGGGTGCCCAGTTCATACATCCTAGAGGGGGGCTCTCTTGTGGACAGACAGGCCAGAGACACGGCTCATCTGTCCCTCATCCACCTCCAGCTTCCTGCTGCGGGGCCTTAGTAGACTCAGCCCCCACCTCCCCTGCCTCCCACCTCCCCTCTCGATGCGGCTTTCATTATGTAAACCTGTCTGGTTCCCAGCTGGGCTGAGCCTTCCTCTCTGTGTCCCCCAGGACCCTGGGTCCAGCTCCTCACATGCACTCACAGGGCAGGGACAAGTTTGCGGTAGAAATCCCCAAGATTGTGGGAAAAGGCTGGGGTAGCCAGGGCAGTTCCCAAACAGACAAGGTGGTGAGAACAAGCTGGAATGAGAACCAGAGGAGCCTGGAGGAGGAGGAAGGCGCCCACTCCCAGCCAGGCTCCACTCCCAGCCAGGCACCTGGCTGCATCCATCCCTCAGGGCCCCGGGCACCCTCCAGTGTGGGCGGCCCCTCCCTGCAGCTGCATCTCAGGGCCCAGCGGTGGGGATCCGCACTTGAGTTTAAGCCTCGAGGGCTGGCTGTGGACGCACTCTGAAGACGAAAGTCCAGAAATTAGGGAAATGTCCTTGGCTCAAATGTCGGAGTCCTCCCCGTTATCGCAGAAGGCGCCTTATCTGCGCTCCCCAGAGGCCCGAGATAAAGCCCATGCTGCAAGCCAAGGGCACTCTTCAGCCTCCAGCCTGGAGTTCTAAACCCTGCAGCCACACCGAACCTCCTGGCAGCTTCCAAACAATACTGACACCTAGGCGTGACTTGGGCGCCCAGGCCAGGCTGTGAAGCCCTGCTCCAGGGCCCAGGCCTAACTGGCACCACCCCGTCCCCATGGGCCTGCAGCCTCCCTCCTGCCCCAGCACTCCTCTGCCCTCAGCTCACCAGCTGGGCAACAATACCTGGAAAGGGTAGAAGCATACCCCCGCCTGGGCACACCAGCCGACACGGTCTCCTCCTGGTCCCACTGGGTCCTCACCACATCAGGGATCAGGGGTGGGGGACTGTCGACAGCCCTGAGATGTGACCAGGAAGATAGGAGGGGCTCAGAGGGGCCCCATGCTGTGCAGGGGTCATGTGGCTCCCACGGTGGCTGCGGTGGAACTGAGGTGCCCCTTGCTGTGGGGCGGGCAGAGAAGCACAATAGCAGTGTGGATGGGGACGTCCCCACCTTGTGGCTAGGGGAGGGGTTGTGCCACTCAAGAGGGGTTGGTGGACTCAAAGTAGCCCAGATACACCAGGGCAGGGGTCTGTGATGTCCCCAACCACCCCCGCCCCCATGACCACCTGCACCCACCACCAGCTCCCCCAGAAGGGGAGGGGTTTCAATGCCTAGAATTGTTCCTATTCCCCAGTCATTCTATCTGTCTGTCTGCACGCCTTCCCTTCCCCACTCCCATCCCAGACCAGGTGAGAGGGAAGAGGCCTCTGTGGCAGGAGGTGGGGGGCCCACACAGCCGCCACGAAGAATTCATAGCCTATTGGAGTTGAGCCCATCCACCCGCCGCCCCTGCAGGCGGCCCTGCTGTGCCTGGCAGAGCCCTGGCCAGACAGATACCCCCACCCTAGACCCCCACCCTTTCCCCACTTCTGGAAAGGGTGAATCTTTCCTTCCTAAAGGGCTTTGCTCACAGATCCATCTAAACCCAATTACCGGGAGTGTGGGGCCTGCGTCTGCGGTGAGTCGGCAGCACGCCCTCCACTCTAACCGCCCGTGATTTCAGCGCTGAATATCTTTCAGAGTTATTTAAGAGGTTCTTCCCTTTTTTCCCATTTTGATGATATGTTTCTAAATTATACATTAAACTTATCAGGGTGAGTAATACCTCGCAGCTTCCCCATGTCAGGCCTAATGTTACTTACTCGTCTGCTGCCTTGTGTTTACATGGTTGAGGGGGATATGCTCCTTTCAGATCCATTTATCTTCATCTGAAGTGTTTAGAGATGAGAACCTCAGATGGGTTGCAGACACCTGGGCTCCCCCGAGCGCCCAGCTTCTGCAGGAACCTCTCCTCCTGCAACCAGGGTCTGCAGTGTCATGTCTCAGGCTGGCAGGAACCTGGAGGCACCCCTTCCCCATGGGAGGGTCATGGGGAACAGAGAAGCCCCCAGAGAGAGCAGACCTGAGAGGTCAGGCTCAGAGATGAAATGGCTTTTCCTGGAAGGAAACGTAAAGCACCGGGTACCTCCCCAGAACCCGCCTCCCTCGGCCCAGATGGCAGCTGTAGCTTCTGGGAGAACAGGTCCTTGATCCCCTATCGGTGCCTGGCCCTGGCCATTCATTCCTCGTTCAAGTGCGTGTGGCAGCCTCCACCGTGCAGGTGGGCACTGGGCTGGCCTGGCAGTGGCCCAGGGTGCTGTTCTGGGTCACTGGGGCTATGGGACTAGACCCCAGGGCTGGGATCCCACAGAAAGTCACAGGCCCTGCCCATTGGCAAGGTCTCTCTCTGCCTCTCAGCCAGGAAAATCCCTACCCCAGGACAAGCTCCTGTGGCCAGACAACCCCCGCCCCAGTTCTCACTGCCTCTGACACCCACGCTGGTGTGGCCCTGCTGGGGACCCCGGGTCTGTCAGGTCTGGTGAGAGGTGGCTCTGCAGTCTGGAGCCCTTTGCTCTGCCACACACAGTCGGGATGGTCCGGGCGGGGGATGGCCCCAGGGGCTCAGGAGGCCCTGGGCTTCGTAATCACACTACACTAACGCCTCTGCAAGCATCGTTTTATCAAAACCCTCACCATTGCCATCACCACCTCCATTTGACAGCTGAGCTGAAGAGCTTGGTGTGCCCAAGGCCACGAAGTGGAGCCCAGGTCTTGCAGACTCCAGACCTTGGACTCTCGGGTCCCATGCAGCTCCAGGCCAGGGCGATCTGAGCAGCCCCAGCCACAGTGGCCCATGTTGTTCCCTCCCTTGCAGGGCAACCCCAGGGCCACGACTGGGCTCCTGGCAGCACGGCCAGATGGACCTCTGCTCTCTGCCAGTGAGGTACCTGCCCCTGGAGCGGGACCAACAGCTCCAGGCAGGAGATTCACCCAAAGGGAAGTGACGGGGCAATTTATCATATCAATAAACTTGCTTAGAGTGCACTCTGTCTTCTGTAATGAAATGGGGATGCAGTCCCACCATGTTATTGGGCACCAGGGCAACCCCGCATCAGGTGCTTATTATTTTCTGCCACGATCAGGGAAGACTGATCGTGCTTGGATAAGTGCAGCTTAAAATTGAAAACCAAGCAATTTACCTTCAATCGCTTCTCAGAATTTTGCGCAGCCAGAAAACCGACTCCCTTTCCATTTTAACTGCTTCCATTAGCATTCGTTTCCTCCGTGAGAAGAGGGCTTAGCTGGGAAGGGAATTGTAGTGCCATCACATTTCCCCCTTCTGGAGAAAGACGCTTGCCCCAGGCTCCTCTTTCTTGAGGGCCGACAGGGTCAGGGTGTTGTGGTCCCTCCCCTTCCTCCTGGCAGAGCCAGGCCTTTACTGGGCACTGGGCTGGGCATTGTGCCTGTCCTCAGGTCTACCAAGGAGAGGGTGCCCAAGTAGGGGTGGGTGTTGCCCTCTTCCTGGGGGCTCTACACACCCCGGCCGCTGTGGCAGGGTTCCCCACATGTCCCCTGCATTTGTTCAGGTGTTGAGGAGCAGATGTCCTCAAGTCAATTTTCCTGTGACATTTTCGTGTCATTTCCAAGTGAAGGAGGACAGCTTGACTGTGGGATGCTTGGGGACCCAGGGGAGGCAAATCCTCTTGGTGAGAGCAGTCAGCGCTTGTGGCTTGACGGCTTGACGCATGGTGTCCGTCATTCTGTGCAGGCCTGCAGTTCTGACCAGCAGTGGTTGTCTCCGCTGGCTCCAGATATCCTTCCCTCGACCTCTGTCGCTCAGCATCTGCGGGGTAAATCCTGCAAGGTTTGCTCCACGTTCTAGGAAAGAAATTCTCTACTCTAGTGATATTGACAGGGAGGCTGGATGAGGCCTCTGGACAGACCCCCAAAGCCCTTGCCTCGATGTTCCTTTTATCCCAGGAATAATAAGAGGAGGGTTTTCTCAGATGCAAATCATCCTCCACTTGTAAATTTCACAGTTACCTCCCGAGGCCCCTCCATCAATGCTGCCAAGATAAACTGTTGTGATAGCCTCAAACCCCGGCTGCCCTTCTGGCTGTGTGGCTTCAGCCCTGGCCTCCTCTTGTTTGATCAGCCTCCCTCTTGCTGGCTGCACAAGGCGGGGTTGTGTGCAGATGGGATTTTAAAGCCCTTTGCACACCCTGGCTTGGTACGATCGCATGGAGCTTGCCCCTGAAAGAAGAACTTGAGGGCCAGGCCCTGAGTTTGGATCCTTTTCCTGGAAGTCTCCGCCCTGAACTTCAACATTGCCTATTTGCCCGTACAGGGTGTCCCAGGGCTAGCATCTCCCTAAGGCAGGGGTGAGGACATAAGCCCCCAACACGGCCCTCACAATCAAGGCAGCTCTAGGAGGATTCATGCACAGCTCCGAGTCATCAAGGCCCTGCTGCTGCTATGAGTCCCTGGCCAGGGCTGATCCTGAGCCTCTTACGTGGAAGCAGTGAGATAAAGGGAAGGAAAATTTCAGGCAGATAGAGCAGCACATTCCACAGGGTCAGAGCAGGTGTGGGCCCTGGTGGGGGCAGTTTGGATGAGTACTGGGACCCTGTACTCATCTACCCACCACAATATAACCAGGCCCCGCTGGCTCTTCAGGATTAAGGGCCAGGGAACCTGCAGTGGCCCCTTGGGCTGGCATCTCTGATTTGAGACAGTCTGGCTTTGCTGCCTGCACCTTGGAGGGTGGTTCATGAGGGCTACAGCTGGAGGTGCCCCCACCCACTAGCATACTTGGGGTGGGCGGTTGGCTGACAGCCAGCCAGCATTCCAACTCCCTCCCCTCCACCAGACAGCGCTAATTTTGGGGAGAACCTTAGAGGTGTCCCAAAGCACAGCCCTGGTCACTTTATGGTCCTGCTTTCAAAAGGACCGGCACCTTTGCCCACCCTCAGAGAGACTGGGCAGTGGGTGTCAGACTCTGGCAGCATCAGAGAAGAGCCCAGAGAGAGAGGGGAGTTTCCCCAGAGCTGACGGCAGGGCTTTTCCAGGAGGCCGTCTGAGAATCAGGATCACCAGACAAAACCTCTCTAATTATTTTTAAGTATATTTTTACTTTCACATTTGCTCTTGTTTTTATCGTCATATATACTGTACCTACAGAAAAGTGCACGGAACAGATAGGACTGGTGATTCCGTGATTATCAAGTGTGTGACCACAACCCAGGACCAGAAACTGACACTGGGTTCTCTGCGGTCTGCCATTTCCCCCATAATGGGAAGAGTAACCTGGGACTAGACCCTCACTCCGAAACTGAAGTATTTCTGTGCAGTTCCCGGGCGCTGCAGCAAACCCTAACCCACCATTGATTCTTGTTCCTTCCTGGTCTCTGAGAAAGGACCGATCCAAAGATGACAGGATTCAAAAGAGATTAATTTGTTATTTTAGACCTTTAGAAAGTGCAGTTGCACAAAATCGGAGGCCCTGGGTCATAACGAAGTTCAGATCAATTAAAACAATTTACTTTGCTGCTAATGATTTCAGACCATTGTAATTTATTGGTAAGTAAATGACTTCAAAAGCCCATTCCTTTGTGGTTGCACAGAGGGAATTTTAACAAGTTCTTGGATAAATTAAGTCTGGAATTTGTTAACAGACTGTTACTGTAAAACATTGAAACTAGGCCTTTGCACACTGCTCCAAGGCCTCAAAGTTTCCAGGAATAATTAAAACTTCTAATCAGTTCTTCATTGTTTAAGCAAATCAAATGGCAAGAAAGGGCTTGTGATAACAAGAGGGAAACCCTCCCATTTGGAGGGTCAGTGGCCACTAGAATCCCTCCCGTGACTCCTGTTCTCAGGGTGAAATCCAAGTTACCACTCTGGCCAGAATGCGCCCTGCACTGTTTGGTTCCCACCTGCCCCGCGGGTCTCAGTTTGGATCTCTCTGCCCATGGTCCACCGTGCTCAGGCCACGCTGGCTCCTTTCCTTCCTGCAAACAAGCCAAGCTCACAGCTTTTCCCTGGCAGCTCCCTCTGCCCGCCACGCCTCCCTAGACTTGTGTGGCTGCCTGGATTTCACAGTTTGTTTGTTTATTTATGTATTTATTTATTATTTTGAGATGGAGTTTCGCTCTTGTCACCCAGGCTAGAGTGCAATGGCGGGATCTCAGCTCACTGCAACCTCCGCCTTGTGGGTTCAAGTGATTCTCCTGCCTCAGCCTCCTAAGTAGCTGGGATTACAGGTGCATGCCACCATACCTAGCTAATTTTTATATTTTTAGTAGAGATGGGGTTTCATCATGTTGGCCAGGCTGGTCTCGAACTCCTGACCTCAGATGATCTGCCCGCCTCAACCTCCCAAAGTGCTAGGATTACAGGCATGAGCCACCGCACCCAGCCACTTTTCACAGTTTAGATCTCAGCTCAGTGGCCCTCTTTGAAGGCCCCTTCCCCAACCACGCCCATCACTGTCCTTGCCATCACTGTCCTTCCCCTTTGTGCTAGCTCACCGGACTGGCAGCAGACAGCATCTGGTCACATCTCTCTCGCCAGTGCGCCTCCCCTGCGGCACATTCGGTAGGCTGGGGGTCTGTTGGATCCTGGCACCTTGCAGTAGTGTTGCCCGCTTCCTAACAGGAACAGGACAGATATTCATGGAGTGATTGAATTGGTGATGATTCCAAGCATGAGACATAGGTAGGGTCCTATTGGAATGGGCCAGCACCCTCTGGGGGTCCTCTGATGACCAGGGCAGGGACTCTTAGGGACACAGGGCCGTGGGAAAGACCTGCTGTCCTGCAAGCCACCTACCAGTGCGGAATGAGTGGGGAGTGTCCAGGCGTTGCTGCATGAGTTGCCTCTGGGAGGCTTTGGGTCAGGTCGGAAGCTTGTCTGTGCCCTGAACATAGGACACACAGTGTCCTCATGGAGTCAACCAGCATCTCCTGCATCCTCTACCTTGGAAAATGAGGATTCTCCGAGAGCTCCTCCCCACCCTCACACACCTCAGCCTCTATAACAGTAACAACAGTAATAGCTATGGCCATGTGTTAAACATTAGGGCGGGATCAGGCATCATGACCTCATGAAATGCAATATTGCATTAAACCTCAGCAGGGCCGAGAGGCAGAACTGCTGTTCCAAGGAGGAAACTGATGCTCAGAGGCTTATTAAGGAATGTGTCCAAGTCCCACAGCATCTAGATGGTGGGATTGGGCTTCAGGTGCCTACATCCCAAAAGCCATTATGCCATCCTGCCATCTGAGCCTGTTAAAGCTCCTTCATGCCACTCCACTCTGGGGCAGTGATTTCTCATCCAGGCCTGAAAGCAGCCAGAGATGGCTCGGTAAAGGTCCGGGTTTTGCCAGTCAAGACATTCCAGGGGGAGAAACAGCATATCTTGCACAGTGAATCACCTGGGACAGGTCCTAGGTCTCACTTATGCATTCCTCAAGATTTATTGGAGAGTGTGTGCCAGGCATGATTCTGGGTCTTGGGCATTTGGAGTCCTGGAGTCTCTGCTCTCATAGAGTTGGTGACCCAGTGGGAAGAAGTAGATGATAAGCAAATAAACAAGAAAATGCTATCTAGATGCGTATCTAGATACACATAAGGCCTGTGGGCTTTCCTGATCAAGGGTCGAGGAAGGACTCTGGCCAGGTGAGGTGGCTCATGCCTATAATCCTAGCACTTTTTTTTTTTTTTTTTTGAGACAGAGTCCCACTCTGTCACCCAGGCTGGAGTGCAGTGGCGTGATCTTGGCTCACTACAACCTCTGCCTCCAGGGTTCAAGCGATTCTCCTGCCTCAGCCTCCTGAGTAGCTGGGACTACGAGCATGCACTATCACGCCTGGCTAACTGTTGTATTTTTAGTAAAGACAGGGGTTTCACCATGTTGGCCAGGCTAGTCTCGAACTCCTGACCTCCAGTGATCCACCCGCCTTGGCCTCCCAAACTGTTGAGATTACAGGCGTGAACCACTGTACCTGGCCCCTAACACTAGGAGGCCAAGGCAGGTGGATCACCTGTGGTCAGGAGTTCGAGAGCAGCCTGGCCAACATGGTGAAACCCCGTCTCTACTAAAAATGCAAAAATTAACCTGGCATGGTGGCATGTGCCTGTAATCTCAGCTACTCAGGAGGCTGAGGCAGGAGAATTGCTTGAACCTGGGAGGTGGAGGTTGCAGTGAGCCAAGATCGTACCACTACACTCCAGCCTGGGCAACAGAGTGAGATTCTGTTAAAACAAAAAAGAGAAAGAGAGAGGGAGGGAGGGAGGGACAGAGAGAGAGAGAGAGGAAAGAAGAAAGAAAGAAAGAGAGAAAGAAAGAAAGAAAGAAAGAAGGAAGGAAGGAAAGAAGGAAGGAGAAAGGAAAGAAAGAAAAGACAAGAAAGGAGGGAGGGGAAGGAAGGAAGGAAGGAAGGAAGGAAGGAAGGAAGGAAGAAAGAAAAGAAGGACTGTCAGAGGAGGTGGTATTTGAGCTGCGGCACAGAAGCAGCCTTTTAAGGACCTAGGGGAAGAATGTTCCAGACAGGGGGACCAGCCGGGGTAAAGGCACCAAGGCTGGGAGGAAGGAAAAAGAAAGGAAACAGGGGCAGAGCTGGTGAGCAAAGGGACCCGCAAGCCCTGGGCACAGGGCAGAGTGTGTGGGTTTTATTCAAATCGCAGGGGATGCCTTGGGGCATTTCAAGCAGGGCAGTGACATGATCTGATTGATGTGTTTTAAAAGCTCCCTCTGGCTGCTTTGGGCAACATGGTTGTTTGCAAAGTCTGGGCTGGCGGCCTGCAGAGCTACTGGAAGGCCCTCTCAGGGTCCAGACAAGAGAGGGTGGTGACTGCACCAGGGCAGAGCAGGGTGGGGAGAGGAGGACAGAGGTCTGGGACCTATTTTGAGGCAAGGTTGACAAATATGCTGATGGTTTGGATGTGAAGTTAAGACGAAGAGAGGACTTCAGAGCAACACATGGATTCAGAGCTTGAAGAGCTGCATGGAAGGTTCTTGTCCTCAGAAAGGGAGGCCCAGCGGGGAACAGGCGGGATGAAGAGCTCCCCTCGGGTCATATTGCAGTCGAGGTGCTTGTCGGAGATCTGGGTAGACAGATCCAGCAGGCAGTGAGCACTATGGGTTCGGAATTGGTGAAGTTGGAATGTGATTCAGGAATGAAGGAGTCAAGGGTCAGGCGATGGGGGATCACCCAATAAAAGAGGAGAGGCCTAAGACTGAGCTGGGATACCCCAACATCTTAGGTCATGAGACAGGAAGCGGAGGGTGCTTGGATGGAGCTGATGATGGGGACTCCATAAACTAAGAAGAGGGGTCTTTCAGGATAGGGGTCCTGGGTGGATCTCTAAACAAAGGGGTGCGGTGCGCACTTCGAGGCAGCCCTGGATCATCATATTGATCCAAAAGAGCGCCTGTGTCTCAGATCAAATGTGATCAGCTTTCAGATTATCTGAAGCAAGTTGGCAAACTCAGAGCCAACAAAGTCTGCATTTGAGTAATTTTCATCGTATTTTTGGCAGCTGCAGAGACTCCGAGGCAAGGCAGAGAGCCCTTTAATGGAGCATTGAGAAGCAGTTTTTAAAAATACCTTTTAGAAAGCTATTTCAGTTCTCCCGTCTGTAGCAAAATTAATGTATAAACTTAGTGCCTTAATTTGGTTCTTCTTTAAACGAAGAAGGTGGGAAGCTGTTTCCTCCCGCGGCTCTGCTGAATCTGGAGGCTGATTCTGCTTCAGCACCACGGAGCCCGGACACCGCCGGGGATGCCCTGCACAGGCCAGGCACAGCTCCAGACCCTGGAGGCTGAGAAGCCACTGGATCTTCACAACAACCCTCTGAGGTGACACCAGTGAGATTGCCCCCATTTTAGAGATGGGGAAACTGAGGCCCAGGCTGGTTAATAAGAAGCTACATGGAGTTAGCCTTGTTTCAGAGATGAGGAAATGCAAAAGGCTTGCCTGAGGTTACAGAGCTCAAGAGATCTGAGTGTTGAGGTCTGACTGTTGTGTTTTCATGGCCCTGGCGGAACCCCCCACCCCACCTGGGCATCACAGTTACTTGTGGCCACTTTCCACAACCACACCTCCCAATCTAGCCAAAAGGATGACATCCCAAGGAACGTGCAGCCTCCCAAGCTTCCAGGATGAGATTAGGGGCCTGACACTTGACCAGCCTCAGCCTCTGCCTCCTCTTGGCTTCCTGGGGACCCCGGCTTCAGCAACAGCAAGCTGGGCAATTTAGCTTCACTGTCCCCATCCGTCTTGCTCCCTCTGTCCTTGAAGATGGGTGGAAAGTCAGGGAGGGGCCGCTGCAATAAGTGACAAGGCTTGGCTGCCTGCAGATGAGGGTGGGAGGAAGCAGAGCCGAGTGGCTGGTGCAAGTGGGGCATCAGTGCCCAGGAGCCAGCTTCAGGGGAAGCAGGAGGCTCTCTGAGGTGACAAAGCTGGGGCCTGTCTGCCCCACCCACTGCAATCCAGCATGCTGGCTGGGTGACCCAGGCCTGGATAGAAATGGAGAGGGCAGCTCCATGCCAGGTGCAGCTGGATCTTGGGAACAAGGGATCAGCTCAGAAGATATAGTTTGACTCAGGCTTCTTGGCCCCGAATCTGCCCAGCATTTCTCCCACCCCCATGCCTGCTCCTACTCTTCTGTGTGTCCTGTGCTGGCCGCAGGTGCCCACTTCCCTGTCCAAGGGGCCGTGAAGCACTCCCCATGGCCACTCACAGCCCTGTGCTGTGGCCTTCCCTCCACTCAGGGCCATGCACAAGGCCTGCTCCCACCCAGGCTGACAGGTGCCTGCTCCTCAGATGAACGATGGGTGCCAGGCTTCTCAGGGTCACTCGCTCCCTGGACTGGTTTGCTCTGACTTCCATTTTCCTCTGTGGTTGAATTGGCCATCACCCGCTGGGGACAGCCAAATCCGTCAAGCCCCACGGCACTTGCTTTTATTGGTTCTCCTAGCTTTATTGCCTTTCCTGGAGCAGTGAGGGGCAGTGAGCCACTGCACAATCACTCAACTTGACATGGCTTTGTAGATTTCATCCCCCCACCCCCACCCATGTCTCTATCTGCAGGAGAGAGTGACAAGATGACAGACATGCAGTAACTCCTAGCATGAGCAGAACTGATGCCCTTGAGACAGGCGGAGCCCCCTGGCAGCCCAGGAGACTGAGGACTGGTCCAGGGTACCAGTGTCTCCACCTGTAATCCCCTTGTGGCCCCAGGCCTTGGACATTGTTGGCATCTTCATCCTTTCTATTGCCCCTTGCTGACGTCCACCAACCTGCTCTCCCCAGGCACCCAGCAAACACGAGCCCACTTACCCAGTGGACACGAGCCCACTGAGTAGGCAAGGGTCTTGGACAAAGCTGGGTGCAAGTCTTGACCCTACCAGCTACTAGCTGCACATGACCTTGGGCAAGGTGCTTGACCTCTTTGAGTTTTCATTTCCCCTGCTTCCAAATGGGAGCAATGCCTCCTAGAACTGGTGCGAGGACAAGATGAGCTGACGCCTGTGATGTTCACTCAGTGTTTTGCACAGAGTGAAGCCTTGATAAGTAGCGGGAGCACTGCGAGTTTTTCTTCTTATTGACTGGCTGATTGATTGTTGACTCTGGCCCCGAGGCCTCCACAGGAAGGAAAAGAGAGCTTGGCCCTGAACTTCGCAACCCCTGAGTATTCCATAGGGTTGCTGCAGCAGAAGATGTGTTTCCTGGGTGGGAACTGTATTAGTCAGGGTTCTCCATGTAACAGAACTAATAGGATGTGTATATATATGGAGAGAGAGAGAGAGAGGAGCATGATTGTGGGGCTCCAAATTCTACAGAGTAGGTCAACGGGCTGGAGACCAGGAAAGAAATGATGTTGTAGGTCGAGTCTGAAAGCCATCTGCTGGTGGAATTGCTTCTTTCTTGGGGACCTCAGTCTTTTTTGCATAAGACCTTCAATGATTGATTGAGGCCCACTGACATTATGGAGGGTCATCTGCTTACCCAAAGTCTAGTGATTTAAATATATTTTTTAAATTTTTTTAAATTTTACTTTAAGTGTTGGGATACATGTGCAGAATGTGCAGGTTTGTTACACAGGTATACATATGCCGTGGTGGTTTGCTGCGACTATCAACCCGTCATCTACTTTTTTTTTTTTTATACTTTAAGTTTTAGGGTACATGTGCACAATGTGCAGGTTTGTTACATATGTATACATGTGCCATGTTGGTGTGCTGCACCCATTAACTCTTCATTTAACATTAGGTATATCTCCTAATGCTATCCCTCCCCCCTCCCCCAACCCCACAACAGGCCCCGGTGTGTGATGTTCCCCTTCCTGTGTCCATGTGTTCTCATTGTTCAATTCCCACCTATGAGTGAGAACATGTGGTGTTTGGTTTTTTATCCTTGTGATAGTTTGCTGAGAATAATGGTTTCCAGCTTCATCCGTGTTCCTACAAAGGACACGAACTCATCATTTTTTATGGCTGCATAGTATTCCATGGTGTATATGTGCCACATTTTCTTAATCCAGTCTATCATTTTTGGACATTTGGGTTGGTTCCAAGTCTTTCCTATTGTGAATAGTGCCACAATAAACATATGTGTGCATGTGTCTTTATAGCAGTATGTTTTATAATCCTTTGGGTATATACCCAGTAATGGGATGGTTGGGTCAAATGGTATTTCTAGTTCTAGATCCCTGAGGAATCGCCACACTGACTTCTACAATGGTTGAACTAGTTTACAGTCCCACCAACAGTGTAAAAGTGTTCCTATTTCTCCACATCCTCTCCAGCACCTGTTGTTTCCTGACTTTTTAATGATCGCCATTCTAACTGGTGTGAGATGGTATCTCATTGTGGTTTTGATTTGCTTCCTTCTCTGATGGCCAGTGATGATGAGCATTTTTTTCATGTGTCTTTTGGCTGCATAAATGTCTTCTTTTGAGAAGTGTCTGTTCATGTCCTTTGCCCACTTTTTGATGGGGTTGTTTGTTTTTTTCTTGTAAATTTGTTTCAGTTCATTGTAGATTCTGGATATTAGCCCTTTGTCAGATGAGTAGATTGCAAAAATTTTCTCCCATTCTGTAGGTTGCCTGTTCACTCTGATGGTAGTTTCTTTCGCTGTGCAGAAGCTCTTTAGTTTAATGAGATCCCATTTGTCAATTTTGGCTTTTGTTGCCATTGCTTTTGGTGTTTTAGACATGAAGTCCTTGCCCATGCCTATGTCCTGAATGGTATTGCCTAGGTTTTCTTCTAGGGCTTTTATGGTTTTTGGTCTAACATTTAAATCTTTAATCCATCCTGAATTAATTTTTGTGTAAGGTGTAAGGAGGGGATCCAGTTTCAGCTTTCTACATATGGCTAGCCAGTTTTCCCAGCACCATTTATTAAATAGGGAATCCTTTCCCCATTTCTTGTTTTTGTCAGGTTTGTCAAAGGTCAGATAGGTGTAGACATGCAGCATTATTTCTGAGGGCTCTGTTCTGTTCCATTGGTCGACATCTCTGTTTTGGTACCAGTACCATGCTGTTTTGGTTACTGTAGCCTTGTAGTATAGTTTAAAGTCAGGTAGCGTGATGCCTCCAGCTATGTTCTTTTGGCTTAGGATTGATTTGGCGATGCGGGCTCTTTTCTTGTTCCATATGAACTTCAAAGTAGTGTTTTCCAATTCTGTGAAGAAAGTCATTGGTAGCTTGATGGGGATGGCATTGAATCTATAAATTACCTTGGGGAGTATGGCCATTTTCATGATATTGATTCTTCCTACCCATGAGCATGGAATGTTCTTCCATTTGTTTGTACCCTCTTTTATTTCATTGAGCAGTGGTTTGTAGTTCTCCTTGAAAAGGTCCTTCATGTCCCTTGTAAGTTGGATTCCTAGGTATTTTATTCTCTTTGAAGCAGTTGTGAATAGGAGTTCATTCATGATTTAGCTCTCTGTTTGTCTGTTATTGGTGTATAAGAATGCTTGTGATTTTTGCACATTGATTTTGTATCCTGAGACTTTGCTGAAGTTGCCTATCAGCTTAAGGAGATTTTGGGCTGAGACAATGGGGTTTTCTAGATATACAATCATGTCATCTGCAAACAGGGACGATTTGACTTCCTCTTTTCCTAATTGAATACCCTTTATTTCCTTCTCCTGCCTGATTGCCCTGGCCAGAACTTCCAACGCTGTGTTGAATAGGAGTGGTGAGAGAGTGCATCCCTGTCTTGTGCCAGTTCTCAAAGGGAATGCTTCCAGTTTTTGCCCATTCAGTATGTTATTGGCTGTGGGTTTGTCATAGATAGCTCTTATGATTTTGAGATACGTCCCATCAATACCTAATTTATTGAGAGTTTTCAGCATGAAGGGTTGTTGAATTTTGTCAAAGGCCTTTTCTGCATCTATTGAGATAATCATGTGGTTTTTGTCGTTGGTTCTGTTTATGTGCTGGATTATGTTTGTTGATTTGCGTATGTTGAACCAGCCTTGCATCCCAGGGATGAAGCCCAGTTGATCATGGTGGATAAGCTTTTGATGTGCTGCTGGATTCAGTTTGCCAGTATTTTATTGAGGATTTTTGCATCGAGGTTCATCAGGGACATTGGTCTAAAATTCTCTTTTTTTGTTGTGTCTCTGCCAGGCTTTGGTATCAGGATAACGCTGGCCTCATAAAATGAGTTAGGGAGGATTCCCTCTTTTTCTTTTTCTTTTTTTTTTTTTAATTGATCATTCTTGGGTGTTTCTCGCAGAGGGGGATTTGGCAGGGTCACAGGACAATAGTGGAGGGAAGGTCAGCAGATAAGTGAACAAAGGTCTCTGGTTTTCCTAGGCAGAGGACCCTGCGGCCTTCCAAAGTGTTTGTGTCCCTGGGTACTTGAGATTAGGGAGTGGTGATGACTCTTAACAAGCATGCTGCCTTCAAGCATCTGTTTAACAAAGCACATCTTGCACCACCCTTAATCCATTCAACCCTGAGTGGACACAGCACATGTTTCAGAGAGCACAGGGTTGGGGGTAAGGTCACAGATCAACAGGATCCCAAGGCAGAAGAATTTTTCTTAATACAGAACAAAATGAAAAGTCTCCCATGTCTACCTCTTTCTACACAGACATGGCAACCATTAGATTTCTCAGTCTTTTCCCCACCTTTCCCCCCTTTCTATTCCACAAAACCACCATTGTCATCATGGCCCGTTCTCAATGAGCTGTTGAGTACACCTCCCAGATGGGGTGGTGGCTGGGCAGAGGGGCTCCTCACTTCCCGGTAGGGGCGGCCGGGCAGAGGTGCCCCTCACCTCCCGGAAGGGGCGGCTGGCCGGGCCGGGGGCTGACCCCCCCACCTCCCTCCCGGACGGGGCGGCTGGCCGGGCAGGGGGCTGACCCCCACCTCCCTCCCGGACGGGGTGGCTGCTGGGCGGAGACGCTCCTCACTTCCCAGACGGGGTGGCTGCCGGGCGGAGGGGCTCCTCACTTCTCAGACGGGGCGGTTGCCAGGCAGAGGGTCTCCTCACTTCTCAGACGGTGCGGCCGGGCAGAGACGCTCCTCACATCCCAGACGGGGCGGCAGGGCAGAGGCGCTCCCCACATCTCAGACGATGGGCGGCCTGGCAGAGACGCTCCTCACTTCCTAGATGGGATGGCGGCCGGGCAGAGACGCTCCTCACTTTCCAGACTGGGCAGCCAGGCAGAGAGGCTCCTCACATCCCAGACGATGGGCGGCCAGGCAGAGATGCTCCTCACTTCCCAGACAGGGTGGCGGCCGGGCAGAGGCTGCAATCTCGGCACTTTGGGAGGCCAAGGCAGGCAGCTGGGAGGTGGAGGTTGTAGCGAGCCGAGATCACGCCACTGCACTCCAGCCTGGGCACCATTGAGCACTGAGTGAACGCGACTCCGTCTGCAATCCCGGCACCTCGGGAGGCCGAGGCTGGCGGATCCCTCGCGGTTAGGAGCTGGAGACCAGCCTGGCCAACACAGCGAAACCCCGTCTCCACCAAAAAAATACGAAAACCAGTCAGGCATGGCGGCGCGCGCCTGCAATCGCAGGCACTCGGCAGGCTGAGGCAGGAGAATCAGGCAGGGAGGTTGCAGTGAGCTGAGATGGCAGCAGTACAGTCCAGCTTTGGCTCGGCATCAGGAGGAGACCGTGGAAAGAGAGGGAGAGGGAGACCGTGGGGAGAGGGAGACTGTGGGGAGAGGGAGACCGTGGGGAGAGGGAGAGGGAGAGGGAGAGGGAGAGGAGGGAGAGGAGGGAGAGGGAGAGGAGGGAGAGGGAGAGGAGGAGCCTTTCCAATTTTCTTTCCTTCCTTCCTTCCTTCCTTCCTTCCTTCCTTCCTTCCTTCCTTCCTTCCTTCCTTCCTTCCTCCCTCCCTCCCTCCCTCCTCCCTTCCCTTCCCCTCCCCTCGATTCCCTCTTTTTCTATTGATTGGAGTAGTTTCAGAAGGAATGGTACCAGCTCCTCCTTGTACCTCTGGTAGAATTCGGCTGTGAATCCATCTGGTCCTGGACTTTTTTTGGTTGGTAAGCTATTAATTATTGCCTCAATTTCAGAGCCTGTTATTGGTCTATTCAGAGATTCAACTTCTTCCTGGTTTAGTCTTGGGAGAGTGTATGTGTCGAGGAATTTATCCATTTCTTCTAGATTTTCTACTTTATTTGCATAGAGGTCTTTACAGTATTCTCTGATGGTAGTTTGTATTTCTGTGGGATTGGTGGTGATATCCCCTTTATCATTTTTTATTGCGTCTATTTGATTCTTCTCTCTTTTCTTCTGTATTAGTCTTGCTAGCGGTCTATCAATTTTGTTGATCTTTTCAAAAAACCAGCTCCTGGATTTATTGATTTTTTGAAGGGTTTTTTGTGTCTCTATTTCCTTCAGTTCTGCTCTGATCTTAATTATTTCTTGCCTTCTGCTAGCTTTTGAATGTGTTTGCTCTTGCTTTTCTAGTTCTTTTAATTGTGATGTTAGGGTGTCAATTTTAGATCTTTCCTGCTTTCTCTTGTGGGCATTTAGTGCTATAAATTTCCCTCTACACACTGCTTTGAATATGTCCCAGAGATTCTGGTATGTTGTGTCTTTGTTCTCATTGGTTTCAAAGAGCATCTTTATTTCTGCCTTCTTTCATTATGTACCCAGTAGTCATTCAGGAGCAGGTTGTTCAGTTTCCATGTAGTTGAGTGGTTTTGAGTGAGTTTCTGAATCCTGAGTTCTAGTTTGATTGCACTGTGGTCTGAGTTCTAGTTTGATTGCACTGTGGTCTGAGAGACAGCTTGTTATAATTTCTGTTCTTTTACATTTGCTGAGGAGTGCTTTACTTCCAACTATGTGGTCAATTTTGGAATAGGTGTGGTGTGGTGCTGAAAAGAATGTATATTCTGTTGATTTGGGGTGGAGAGTTCTGTAGATGTCTATTAGGTCTGTTTGGTGCAGAGCTGAGTTCAGTTCCTGGATATCCTTGTTAACTTTCTGTCTCATTGATCTTTCTAATGTTGACAGTGGGGTGTTAAAGTCTCCCATTATTATTGTGTGGGAGTCTAAGTCTCTTTGTAGATCTCTAAGGACTTGCTTTATGAATCTGGGTGCTCCTGTATTGGGTGCATATTATTTAGGATAGTTAGCTCTTCTTGTTGAATTGATCCCTTTACCATTATGTAATGGTCTTCTTTGTCTCTTTTGATCTTTGTTGGTTTAAAGTCTGTTTTATCAGAGACTAGGATTGCAACCCCTGCCTTTTTTTGTTTTCCATTTGCTTGGTAGATCTTCCTCCATCCCTTTCTTTTGAGCCTATGTGTGTCTCTGCACGTGAGATGGGTTTCCTGAATACAGCACACTGATGGGTCTTGACTCTTTATCCAATTTGCCAGTCTGTGTCTTTTAATTGGACCATTTAGCCCATTTACACTTAAGGTTAATATTATTATGTGTGAATTTGATCCTGTCATTATGATGTTAGCTGGTCATTTTGCTTGTTAGTTGATGCAGTTTCTTCCTAGCCTCGATGGTCTTTACAATTTGGCATGTTTTTGCAGTGGCTGGTACCAGTTGTTCCTTTCCATGTTTAGTGCTTCCTTCAGGAGCTCTTTTAGGGCAGGCCTGGTGGTAACAAAATCTCTCAGCGTTTGCTTGTCTGTAAAGTATTTTATTTCTCCTTCACTTATGAAGCTTAGTTTGGCTGGATATGAAATTCTGGGTTGAAAATTCTTTTCTTCAAGAATGTTGAATATTGGCCCCCACTCTCTTCTGGCTTGTAGAGTTTCTGCTGAGAGATCCACTGTTACTCTGATGGGCTTCCCTTTGTGGGTAACCCGACCTTTCTCTCTGGCTGCCCTTAACATTTTTTCCTTCATTTCAAGTTTGATGAATCTGACAATTATGTGTGTTGGAGTTGCTCTTCTCAAGGAGTATCTTTGTGGCGTTCTCTGTATTTCCTGAATTTGAATATTGGCCTGCCTTGCTAGATTGGGGAAGTTCTCCTGGATAATATCCTGCAGTGTTTTCCAACTTGGTTCCATTCTCCCCATCACTTTCAGGTACACAAATCAGACGTAGAGTTGGTCTTTTCACATAGTCCCATGTTTCTTGGAGGCTTGTTTGTTTCTTTTTATTCTTTTTTCTCTAAACTTCTTTTCTCGCTTCATTTCATTCATTTGATCTTCCATCACTGATACCCTTTCTTCCAGTTGATCGAATCAGCTACTGAGGCTTGTGCATTCATCACATAGTTCTGAGGCCGTGGTTTTCAGCTCCATCAGGTCCTTTAAGGCTTTCTCTGTATTGGTTATTCTAGCTAGCCATTCATCTAATTTTTTTTCAAGGTTTTTAACTTCTTTGCCATGGGTTCGAACTTCCTCCTTTAGCTCAGAGTAGTTTGATCGTCTGAAGACTTCTTCTCTCAACTCGTCAAAGTCATTGTCTGTCCAGCTTTGTTCCGTTGCTGGTGAGGAGCTGGTTTCCTTTGGAGGAGGAGAGGTGCTCTGATTTTTAGAGTTTCCAGTTTTTCTGCTCTGTTTTTTACCCATCTTTGTGGTTTTATCTACCTTTGGTCTTTGATCATGGTGACGTACAGATGGGGTTTTGGTGTGGATGTCGTTTCTGTTTGTTAGTTTTCCTTCTAACAGTCAGGACCCTCAGCTGCAGGTCTGTTGGAGTTTGCTGGAGGTCCACTCCAGACCCTGTTTGCCTGGATATCAGCAGTGGAGGCCACAGAACAGCGGATATTGGTGAACAGCAAATGTTGCTGCCTGATCATTCCTCTGGAAGTTTTGTCTCAGAGGAGTACCCGGCCGGCTGTGTGAGGTGTCAGTCTACCCCTACTAGGGGGTGCCTCCCAGTTAGGCTACTCGGGGGTCAGGGACCCACTTGAGGACGCAGTCTGTCCATTCTCCGATCTCCAGCTGCATGATGGGGGAACCACTACTCTCTTCAAAGCTGTCAGACAGGGACATTTAAGTCTGCAGAGGTTATTGCTTTCTTTTGTTTGGCTATGCCCTGCCCCCAGAGGTGGAGTCTACAGAGGCAGGCAGGCCTCCTTGAGCTGCAGTAGGCTCCACTGAGTTCGAGCTTCCCAGCCGCTTTATTTACCTACTCAAGCCTCGGCAATGGCAGGCGCCCCTCCCCAAGCCTCGCTGCTGCCTTGCAGTTTGATCTCAGACTGCTGTGCTAGCAATGAGCGAGGCTCTGTGGGCGTAGGACCCTCTGAGCCATGTGTGGGATATAATCTCCTGGTGTGCCGTTTGCTAAGACTGTTGGAAAAGTGCAGTATTAGGGTGGGAGTGACCTGATTTTCCAGGTGCCATCTGTCACCCCTTTCTTTGACTAGGAAAGGGAATTCCCTGACCCTTTGTGCTTCCCAGGTGAGGTGATGCCTCGCCCTGCTTCAGCTCATGCTTGGTGTGCTGCGCCCACTGTCCTGCACCCACTTTCCGACACTCCCTAGTGAGATGAACCCGGTACCTCAGTTGGAAATGCAGAAATCACCTGTCTTCTGCGTCGCTCATGCGGGGAGCTGTAGACTGGAGCTGTTCCTATTTGGTCATCTTGGCTCCACCCCCCAATTTAAATATTAATCTCATCTAAAAAGGACCATCACTGTGACCGCCAGAAGGGCTGGGTTCTGTGGCCTAGTCAAGCTGACACATCACAGAGAGGGACAACAAAGTGCTCTCAGGTGACACTGTCCTCCCTTGGATCTGTGGCTCCATCCCTGCCCTCCTGCCCTCGGGGGAGCTTGTAGAAGGCTTCATCTCAGAGCCCACTGCCCCTGAGTCATGTGATCCAATCAAGGCCCCTGAGCAGAGAATAAAGAGGTCACTCTGGCAAGTCTGGGAGGAGACTGACCAGTGTAGTCGGTGGAGGCATTGGTCAAGCCCCCAGCCCTGGTCCTGAAGCAAAATCCTCCCCAGGTCCAGACTCTCAGCACCTTCTTCCCAGGCAGGGGCTGACAGATGCCTCTGTGGGTGCTTAGGAAACAGCCAGAGGATGCCAGCGGTCCAAGGAGTGGCTGGGGCAGGGCCTGAGACCCAGCAGCTGCCGGCCATGATGCAGGCTGGGAAGTGGTTCATTTAAGATGGCACTTGTTGGGCAGCAATGTGTGACACTCCCTCTAGAGGCTCAGATCAATTCTCGTGCTTTTATCTTTTCTTGAGGCTCAGCATGATGAAAAGTGGCCTATATCTACAGCTGATAAATAACCAGAAACTTGCTGTATCTGTTTTCATTTTATTTTCTTGAACAATTACCGCCAGCATGCCTTACATTCAGAGGCTGAGATTTTAAGTGGCCAAAAGAACTTCCCAACTGAGCCTGCCAGGGACTCGTTTGAAATGTTCTTTGCTGCATCGAAAAGCACCAGACATGATCTGTGAAAGAGCTGGGAGGAAAATGTTGCATGTTCACAGCACAAGCGTGTCCTCCTCTCCAGGGGATGGGAACATGGAGGATGGTTCCCACCTCCAACCTCAAACCCTAGGAGAGGCCTGTCCCACTGATGAGAGAGGACAGCGCCAGCCCAGGAGCCATCCAAAGGATCATCAGGGTGAGGAGGGGTTTGGAGCCCCTGGGATGGCTGGGGAGGAAATGGGGAGTGTGGAGCTGCAGGATCCTTAGATGCTGTCTACATTCCTCTAGTTGAGCACTCAAGTCATTGTGTGACCCTAGTCACATGTCTGCCTCAGCACCAGGAGAGTTAGCTCCTTGAAGCCAGGAACTGCTTCTTTTAATACTCAGAGTGGTATCAGCATTTAACAACAGGTGCTCAATACATGTTAAATAGAAGGGAGGACGGATGCATGGATGGTTGGATGGGTGGATGGATGGAGGAGTAGGTGGGTAGATGGAAGGATGGATGGATGGATGGATGGATGGATGGATGGATGGTTAGATGGGTGGTTGGATGGAATGATGAGTGGATGGATGGATGGGTAGGTGGATGGATGGAAGATAGGTGGATGGGCAGCTGGATGGATGGGTGAATGGGTGGGTAGCTGGATGGATGGATGGATGGATGGGTGTGTGGATGGTTGGATGGAATGGTAGGTGGGTGGATGGATGGATGGGTCAATGGATAGATGGAAGATAGGTGGATGGGTAGATGGATGGATGGGTGAATAGGTGGACTGGTGGATGGATGGATGGATGGATGGATGTGTAGATGGAATGATAGGTGGGTGGATGGATGGATGGGTGGATGGATGGATGGATGGATAGATGGATAGATAGTCAATAGATGAGTAAGTGGAGGGGTTGATGGATGGAAGATGAGTGGATGGGTAGTGCATATATGGAGGGGTGGGAGAATGAGTGGATAGATGTGTGGATAGGTGGATTCTTTGGAGGATGATAGATAAATATTTGGATGGATAGGTGGGTGGGTAGGCAGATGGGTGAATGGATAGGTGAGTAGGTGGGTTGACAGATGGACTGTTGAGTGAATGAATGTGTGAATGGAAAAGTGGCATGAATCTTTCCTCAAATCTTTGAAAGACTGTCACATCTTAAAGAGTGGAGTCGTATCTTCTGTGGATCCAGAAAACAAAATCATAGTAGATTCTATAGAGAAGCAGATTTGGACTCAGGCTAAGAAAGAACTTTCTACTGACCCCAGTTGGCTTTTGTTGGAGTAGACTGTGTGGAAAGGGAGCAAGTCATGGTCCCTGGAAGTGTCAGGAAAAGGAAGCTGTCAGGTGTAGTAGAAGGTGTCCTTGTGCTAGTTGCAGGGAGACCCCAGAGGTCTTTCCATCTCTGGCCTCCATAGTTCCTCCTGAGCCCCTGTCCTCAACTGGGTCAAGGAGCCAATTTTTCTGGCCCCTGCAGGAGACCCATGCTCTGCTAGTGCAGCTGCTGACCCATGGCAGGGGTGCACTCTCCTGGCTTCAGACCTTGGCTCTCCTGCCCGCTCCTCTGACTGAGCTCTCAGATGCTGCCCAGGTGACCTGAGGAAGCTGATCTGCAGAGAGGACAGGAAGCATGTGACAGTCAAGCAGGCCCAGACCTGACCAAGGTCATGCAGGTGGTAGATGGGAGAGGCAAGGAGGTGCTGCCAGGAAGCCCCTACAGAGACAAATTGGACAGAGCCAGGGCAGAGCCTCCCAGGCCTAGTTCCTGGGGAATGCTCAGGGCCAGGGAACCCTCCTCTGGAGCAGGCACATGTCCTTAGCACTCACCTTCCCTACTAAGAGCCAGGGCCTGAAAGGAGACAAAAAAGGCCTGAGAAAGAAGCTGGGGCCCAGGACTGCATAACACCAGTGCCTGTTTCACTGTCCCCAGCCCAGGGAAAGGGATTGGGGCTCCATGAGAGGCTGATGGCAGGGAAGGAGCCATGCAGGAGCCCCATTTGGCTTGTGTCTGTCCCCTTGGCATCTCTTTCTCCTTAGAAAATCTGATTGCTTGTAGCTTCCACACTGGCCATCAGTTTGATCTGAGCTCAAGGGTGCAGCAGAGGCTCACCTTGTTCTGCTTAAATAATGCAGGTAGTGAAGTTATTGACAATCTGTCATCTGCTTGAAAGTGGCTTCGACAGAGCCAGAAGCGTGGGAGGGCCCCAGGGGCCTCAGCCGGCCACAGGTCCAGTCTCTGGCTGAACAGGGGCTCTTCAAGAAGGGCCAGGCCCTTGGCATGGTCCAAGATGAATGGATGGGAGCTTGAGCCCTACCTGGCCTTTTCTAGAAGGACATTCTATGGGGAAATTCTAAGCAGAAGTGAGGGCAGGAGCTGTCTGGCTAGGAGGCCTGCGTTGTGGATTGGAAAGGAGTCTCCTGATGCAGGCTGGGCCCCCCGCAGGGGTGGGGGCAGTGCTGAGTCACTTCCTGCCAGAGGACAGGGTCTGAACTCCCAGGACATTCTGGCCCCTTCCCACTACCGGCCTAGCCCTGCCGCCTGTGCCTTGCCTCCTGGCCTCCTAGCCACAGACAGGGGTTTATGATGAGCCGGCTTGCTCATCCTTGAGCCTGGGTTGGATTTTTTTTTAATGTTTAAAAATTCCCCACAGCATGGCAGGTGCCCGGCTGCTGGGTCACCCCATCGGCTGTTCTGTCATCAGACATCATGTTTACCCATCAGACGCTGTTTTCCTGACACTCAACACTCAAAATAATGATCTCGCTGGAGCACCTTCATGAATGATTCATGAGGCTCTGCTCAACTTTGGGTGTTAACAGCAAATCAAAGCCCCTCAGTGAGGGCAGCAGAGCAGCAGCCAGAAGGCAAGCCCTGGCCCCAGCCTCCAGGCCCCCAGGGATGCTCAGGGCCTGCCACCCCTCTCTCAGGCTCCAGTCCAGCCCTGCAGGAGTGAGCCAGCCTCAGCCAGGCCATGGCACAAAAGGGGAGGGGAGCAGGGTCCTGGCTGTCACCCATGTCCTGGTGACCTTGCTGAGGACATTGGAGCTCCAGCCTCAAGTCAGATCCCCTGGACCCCAGATCTCTTCCACCCACAGGTGGTGTGACCTTGAGCAGGTCACTTTGCTTCTCTGAGCCTCTCTTTCCTGTCTGCAAAGCCAGGTGGGAACTGCCCTCCCGCAGGGCACCTGTGAACACGTGTGAGTGCCAGGAACTGAGGTTCCTGGCATCCGGGTAGAGTCCAAACATGGAAGCTCGGATTATTATGTACTGCTCTTACTTCACCTCTCCTGGTCTTCATTCTCTTATTTGTGAAATGAGAGGGTAAACTGTGGGGTCTCCAAGTCTCTTTACCTGAAATACAGCACCTGCCGGGTCTGTCCACACTGTGTGTGCACTCACAGGAGGGAGCTGTGCAGCCTGCAAAGGGGGAGCTGCTTCTCAGGGACGTTTCTCTGCCAGATTCTGCAACGGAGAAGCATGGAGGGCACAGCCCAGCCAGGGGTTGTGCAAAAACACACACACACACGTGCTCACATGTGCTCACATGGCAGTGGCAGCAGCCAAACATGACCTCATAAATACATACACAGCCTGTTCAGCACATAGAGACATTAAAGGCAAGGCTCAGCGAGAAGAGCTGGGATATCTGGGTCCTGTTCTGTCCCTGTGTCCCCAAACCGGTGGCTCCCTGAGGGAAAGGCCAAGTCTGCTCCATCACCAGGACCTGCCTGGCTCCTGCACATTGTGCTTGGCACTGAACTTGCACTTAATAAACATGGGTCAAATGAAGGGAATTCCTAGTGTTGAGCACTAGGAATGCAATCCCAAACAAGACCAGCCACAGTCAATCAGCCCCGTGACCCTCCCCCCAGCCTCAGTTTCTCCTCTGTGGCCTAGCAGGTTAAATCCCTAATGCCACAAATGTTCTAGCCTGGTTCTGCCATTCAAAAGTGACTGGGGGCAGACTCCGTGGCCCCTCCTATAGGCCTGTCAGCAACAGTTGCAGGGGGGTGCCCATCCATAACCCTGACCCCAGGGAAGGGAGGGAGTGGAGCCACAAGACCAGAAGTGGCCTCTGCCCCTCCCTAGAAACAAGATGCAGCCCCAGCTGGGAAGGCCTATGGCTTTTTCTTTCTTCCCTAAATGGCCTGGGAGCCCCTAAGGCAAGGATGGGTCCTTGCCCTGATGGTGCAGCCAGGCCCAGCAGCAGCACAGAGTGGAGGTCAAATAGCGCCTCAGAGCACCAGATGAACCTCAAGAAAGCAGCATGAGGGGCAAAGGCCAGGGCTTCCCAGTCCTGGTAACTACGGGAGGCCAGGTCCCAGGCCCCCAGGCAGAGGGGAAGCTAAGTGGCCAAGACGCAGGCCCAGGCCTGAGACCCCTAGCTCTGCCCTTTGCAACCTGTGCAGTCCTGGACAAATCACCTTGCCTCTCGAAGTGTCCATTTTCTCCTCTGTAAAGCAGGCAGAGTGAAAGTACCCACCTCCGGGACTGTGGAGAGGAAGGCGCGGGGCCATGCAGAAGAGAGCTGGGCCATGGTGCGGGCCTAGTCCATGCTCTCGGTGCAGAGTTGGGGATAAGAGACCAGGGCCCACAGCCTGGGGGGCTGCTGAGTCTGTGTTTATTTATCACGTTGATATTTTGTTCATTGTGGATTTTTTTCACAACAGTTCCAACTTTTTAGAATATTGCACTAAACATTATCTCCGTTACTGAGTTTTCTGGCACCCCCTTAAATTTTGTGGCCAAGACAAGTGCCTCCCTTGCCTTCCCTGCACAGCCTAGGCCTCTGGCCAAAGGGCTTGGACCAAAGTATCTGAGTCCAGGAGGAGGCCAGGTTAGAGGAGCAGGATGCTGGGAACAGGTTTGAGCGAGGACCAGGAAGGAGAGGATTCCCTCTAGCCCGAGGGCCTGAGCCTGACCCGGGTGGGTGTGAGAGAGCAGGAGCCAAGTGGTGCCTGATGTTGGAACATGCCACCTGGGCTGCTGGGGGGCCAAGCTTGCCAACAAGAGTCTGACAAGAGCTGTGTGCAGCAGGAGGCTCTCTCCAGCCTTACTATCAGACCCTTACTGTACCTCCCAGGCTCAGCCGGCCTTTCCCACCTGCACTCGCTGCCAGGGTAAGGTGGGGGCAGCTGCTGCTTCAGGCTGCCCCTCACTCCCACCTCTGCCCAGGGGCCAGTGCTGGGGGACCGCCTGGAGCTTCTCTGTGCCTTGCCAAGCCCCCTGTCTTGACCTGAGAGGTGCTGACCTGACCCACTGAAATGGGAGAGTTCCCTGACCCCGTCAAGAGACTTGCAACGGGGTATGGCTCATTTTCTTGGCAGCTGCCATGCGCCCACTGGGAGGGGGTGCACAGAGATGGGCAGGGGCAGGAGCCTGGGCAAGTGCTTTTGGGCTCTGGCCCCATGGTAGCATCTAGAGGTGTGTTACAATTAATGCTGTTTTGGCAGTTGCCATCCACGGACAGCTAAGTGTTAAACCAGCTCAGTGGAGAGTCAGGATGACAGCCTTTTACACCCTGCCCTCTTGGTACCCAGCTTCTTGTCCGGTATCCCAGAAGAATCAGGTCACACGGACTTGAAGGATGGTGAATGTGGGGATTTGATTGAGTGGTGGAGGTGGCTCTCAGCAGGATGGATGGGGAGCTGGACAAGGGATGGAGTGGGAAGATGATTTTCCCCTGGAGTTTGGTCATCCTGAAGCTGATCTCCTCTCCAACTATCCCCAGCCAAACTCCTCTCGACGTTTAGACACTCCTTCTCTTTTCTCTTTCTCTGCCGTGCCACTGTGCCACTCTTCTGCCCCTCTGCTCATCTGTCTGTGGATCCTGGAGCTTGGGGTTTATATGAGTACAGGATAGGAGGGCACGGTGGGCTAAAAGGCAACATTTGGGCGCAGAAACAGGATTGCCTGTTCCCATTTAGGGCTGCAGGTTTCCAGGCTTGAGGGCGGGGCCTTTGCTGGGGAACTGCCCTCTTCTACCCAGTATTTCCTTGCCTCCTGTCCGTATCACCACTCCGAGCTCACTGGGCCGGAAGGGCAGGGGTCACAGTGTGCATGGAGTGATGGCTGCCAGGCACAGCCATTCTGACATTTCAGGAGACTGTGGACCACTCAGAGACAGGGCTCTAAGCAAGGCCAGCACACAGATGGCTGAGGCCATCCCACTGGGGCTCTTGGGGCCAAAACCACCCTTTGCAGGTTAAGAGGGCATTTCAAAGAAAAAGGTTTGGGTGAGAGGAAGGCGGTGGGAGTGATTCTGCAGAAACAGATTCTGGGCCTCAATTCCCTCCTCTTGGAGGGCCTGCTCCCCAGGAGTCCCCATCACCCTGTGGGTTGGTCCTCGCCACCAGAAGGGCCTGTGTTCTTCATGAACCTTTCCATGTGCACCAGTCTTAACCGGGAGTGTGTTTCCCAAAGACAGGTAGCTCACCTTAGCAGTTTTATATCCGTACCCCAGGCATCAGCAGGTGCCCACCAAACCCATGACCCAAGGATTGCAGGGACCAGGAGAGAAGAGCAGGAAGAAATTGTGTCTAATCCATGGGAACCCCGGGATGGGATGTAGATGAGTGTTTGGCCACACAGTTGGCAAGTCGCCTTGGAACTGGAACATAGAGCAAAGCCAGAGTCCTCACTGACCCCCTCCCGACACCTGCCTTTCATCTGCTTACGTTTTCAAGCCCAGCTGTGTGCCCAGCACTGTGCTGAGTGAGATGGACAGACAAGTAGGGAGGAGGGTCCTGAGTGGTGGGCATGGACTGGTGCAGAGCACACAGGAGAGGCCCAGCCTGGCCTGGGTGGTCCCCCAGGCCGTAAAGCCAGAGCTGGGTTTTGGACAATCCCTGGAGCTGAGCCAGGCTGCAGGGAAAAGATGCACGGAGGCGCAGAGGCAGCAACCAGCCCCCTCCAGGACCTGCGGGAGTGTTTATGGCATGGTCCTTGCCCACAAGGAGGTGGTGACAAATTGGGGACAAGTTAAATAGAACAAGATTTAAGTCCCATTGCCAAGCAGGGAATGGGAGCCGGGGCACAGGAAAGCTCGTGATGAAGTGCCAGATGAATCACACACTGCATGGCTCTCAGCCTGAGGAGAGCGATGGCGGGGGCGGGGCAGGCCGGACCCGGAGGAGTAGGGGGAGCAGGCGGGACCTGGAGGGGTGGGTGGGAGCAGAGCGATGGGTATTGGGGCAAGCTGGACCCAGAGGAGTCGGGGGAGCAAGTAGGACCTGGAGGGGCAGATGGGAGGAGAGCGATGGTGGAGAGGGGCAGGCCGGACCTAGAGTGTCAGGTGGGAGGAGAGAGATGGTGGGGGGGCAGGTCAGACCTGGAGGGGTGAGGAGAGGAGAGCAATGGGTGGGGAGGGCAGGCCTGACCCAGAGGGGTGGGTGGGAGGAGAGCACTGAGGGGAGCGATGGGTGGTTGGGGAGGTGGAACCCAGAGGTAGGGGTGGGAGGAGAGGGATGGTGGTGGGGGCAGGCCTGACCCAGAGGGGTGAGTAGGAGGAGAGGAGATTTTGGCAGGAGAAATGAGGATGTCAGCAAAGGCCCGAGGCCTGAAGGCTCAGGCTGAGTCCAGGTCAGGTTTGGCTGCAATGGATGAGTTGGGGTCAAAGGCGGCTGAGAGGGGGCTCCTCCCAGAGCCTGAGCTGGCCTATGTGTCCATCCCCTCCCTTGTTGGAGCTCTGGCGTGGAGCTTCCCATTCTAGCCTCAGCCACCTATTTATGTCCATCTCCTGCTCACACAAAACCAGATTCCAGAGACAAACAGGGAGACATAAAAAGGAGAAGAGATGAAGATTCATTGATGCCAGAACTGACTCTCTTCTGGAAAATTGAAATATTTTGTACGTAATGACAATCAAGTCACCGTGCGACCTTCCCGGAATAACTTCCCAGATATATGACAGTGACAACAACCGCCCCATTGGCGCTGACACGCTGAAGGCTCCCCAAAGCCACCACTTAAAAAATGCCTCCCGCGTTATTAACATTCCTCACTTGGGAATGTTTATGGCTCGTCACTGTTATCAACAGTAACAAATTTCGAGAACCTATAAATGACACCACCCCCAGAGACAGCCCGGGACAATCCACCATCAGCCTGCCTGGCCCAGGCTAGACTGTGAACATCAAATCAGGCTCATCTGATGGGCCCCCAGCCCCGCTGCTCCCACCTCCCGAGGCTCCTGTCCTCCTCACTCACCTTGACCCCTGAAAGCCCTGGCTCCATCTGCATCCACTTAACCTCCATCAGGGCCCTTGCCCATCAGATACTGCTGGGGGGAGGGTACAGGGGTCTCCTGTTCAGAACCAGGGCTTTGAGCCACAGCAGGTGTTACATTTCCCAACCGCTGCTTCTTCCTGCTGCAGAGCCCCACTCCACACACCTACAAAGAGACCCTTTTTCTCTTCCCTTCCTTCATTCATTCACTCATTCGTTCATGTGTGTATTCATCCATACGACGTGTTTGCTGAAGTGATTGGAATGTTGCACGAATGCCCTGGCCATGCATCAGTTGCAGTCTGGTGACTTCCATCTTAAAGGGCAAGGTCAGTGCCAGGCAGAGGGGCAGCCTTAGGACCTGCGATGTCAGAACCCACAGTGCTGTGGTCCCCATCCTAGCAGCAGCCTACAGGAGGCAAAGAACCTAGCCGCTGGCAAGAAGGGCAATGCAGGCCTCATACCCCACCAGTCCCTCCCTCCAACTGATGCTAAAAACTGTCCTTGGAGACAAACAGGAAGTATATATATGGCATAGTGACAGGCAGCTCGGGCTTTGGAGCAGGCTGCTTGAGTGTGGCTGCAGCTGTGACACTGATTAGCTCGAATCTTCTGAACATCAGTTTTCTTGGCCATAAAATGGGACTAAAAGCATTCCCGGAGCTGTTAAGAGGGTCAAATGAAATAGTGCATGTCAAGGGTACAGCACGCTTCTTGATGCAAAGCCAATGCTCAGCAGATGAAGACTGTTGCCACTTGTACAGATTCTCTCTTTTTGCTTTGGGCTTTAATTCTCCTACAAGGGTAGAAGTCCAGGTGAGGGGGTTTTGTGGCCACTTCGTTTGGAGGATGTGTGTTCCATGAGAGAAGAGACAAAGGTCACTTTGGGGCCATGGGGGAGGTACCAGGGAGGAGGCAGCCTGCAAGACGGATGGCTGGCATGGCCACCTCCTGGCTTTGGCCAGCTCTCCCTGGCTTGGCCACCATGGAGTGACCTTAAGCCAGTCACTCACCCTCCCCCAGCCTCAGTTTCTCCATTTGCTGAGAAGGCCTCCTCAGGCCTGCCATTCACATCCAGCACCTACAATAGCTCTTTGTGGAATGTTTTATACAGGATTTCTGTGAAAACCTAACAAGATAATGAATATGAGAGAGCTTTGAAAATACTCAGTGTTTTGTAAATGTAAGAGATTATTATTCCCATTTACCACCCTTTTAAAAGGATGTTTTTCCTCCATTCAGCCAAATTTAACTTGGATGATGAAGAACCCAGCCTGGGCTTCCCCAGCTATAATTTTCCTGTTCCTTGTGCCTCTGAATATTAAAACACAAAGGCTCACATTGCTGAGAGAAACCAAAACAGCAGCCTATTAGAGGTGCCATTGCACAAACGGAATTCAAAGTGATATTTCAAGCAGGGCGTTCTGTTTATGTAAACCTTGAGAGCACTTGATGAATGTCAGCAGAACTTTGAAATTAAAATCACTTCTTTTTTTCATACGCTGCTCACTCTGTTCTTGAGCCCACGTCTTGGGTAGTCGTGGAGGTTAAGAAACCACTCAGGGTTTACCTTATACTGTTAGAAATGCTAAGAGATGAGGCAGGGAGGCATCCTAAATGCCTCCGAACCGGTCAGCCCAGGACTGCAAGGCGAAGGCCAAGTCTCTTAAAGCAACAGCCTCCAGGAGCGCTGTCCAGAGTGCTGAAAAGGAAGCCGGGCCTCGGGGGTGACTGGGGGGCATTTGGAAGAGGGTCCTTCCCCAGGGACACATTCCTGCTGCTCCCTAGAATCCTGAGGGGGAATGGAGGGGGACCCTAGGGAGGCCAAGTCCCCTGTGTGAGCTGGAGGGAATGGAACACTAGCAGGCAGAGGGAGAAGCGTGACAGGGAGGAGAGACGGGGCCCCCCCACCAGAGTGACAACTGCAGTGGAAATGAAGAGGAGGGGTGAGCGCAGAAGCTGGAGGAACTGGCAAATAAAGTAATAAAACAGAGAGATATACCCTATGACAGCAGGGAGATAAATGGAGCAAGTTATACCAAGGGCTCATTTTTGTGCAAATATTTGGGGCTCTATAAAATAAGGCTGTTTATTATAAATCTGTCTCCCAAGTAAGTCTTGCCAGTGCACAGGTGTCACCCGCAGGGAAGTTTTCCCTCTAAGGCACAGAGGGTTGAGCTCGTGGGGTAAAGTGTGGCTGCAACTGCTCTTTCTGTTCTATAAATAGCCCTTCCCGCGGGGGAAATGAGACTGCTGGGAGCCAAGAGAAGGAGCCAGGTTCGGCCACGGGATGCCTGGTGGCCTTGACCTTCACTTCCAGCCAAGCGGCTGCTGTGGCTGTGCAGTGTCCCAGAATCAAGATGACTGACACACATGGTCGTGGCTGAGGAGTCTCTCAGTCCTGTCTTTAAATATCAGGAGGGCTCTGCTGCCACATTCTCTCTCCAGCTCAGCGGGGGAAGAGATGACAGAGCACAAAAGTGTAGCAGCAGAGAACCAGCTGAGACCGGAGGAGGACTTCAGGGTTCATCCACTCCTTCGAAAACTTTGAAAGTATAGACAACCCTCTGCCTGAAATGGCTCGAGGCAATTCTTCCTGGAACCAAGGGAAGGATTGGAAGACTTCAGGAGCTTGGGGAAATTCCCAGGAGAATTTGAGTCCTCTACCCTCAGGCTCTAGGGCCAGCATATCAGCAAAGCAAATAAGGCCTCAAAGCTGATGAGGTCCTCAATCTCAGAGCAGCCCCTTTCCCTGCTAAGCAGACACTTAGACACCCAGGAAAGGACACAGCAGGGGTGCCAGATGTCTCAATGGTAGGGTCACCTGAAGGACTTTGGTCATGCACACCCACCCCCCCACCCCCATGCATACACATAAGGTCTAAGGTACTATTTCCAGAGGACCAGGATTCCTGTTCCTCAGAGGAATTTGCTCTTGGGTCCCCGATCTTCTTGATTGTGAAATAGTCCAGTGAATGGAGAATCGGGGTCCCCAACTTCCAAGAGCCCATTTCCTCAGCTCTAAGGTGGGGCTGATCACAATAAGGTTCTTAGGAGAATTCAACACAGGAAGCTACTCAAAGCCTGCAGCCCAAGGCCTGGCACAGATCGACATTAGTTCTTAGCATGCTCTGGACAAGAAGTCACCCCTGTACCATGCACACAGTGGGAGCTCCTGAATTACCCAGATGGACTTGAGTCTGCTTCTAAGATGTGGTGCTCCCACAGCAGCCTGGGCAGGTTCCTTGGGGGCCATCATCATACCTTCATCCCATGTTGTCATTTTGGCTGGCCTTGATCACATCACACTGGCACATCATCTGTCTTCTTCACCTCGACCCTGAGGACACTGACTCTCTCTTCTTCCATCTCCATATCTCTAGTGCCTGTAACTCAAGAAGGTGTTAGCTGAGTGGTCAGTGGAGAGATGGCATCTCAGCCTATATCACCTCCCAAGCCAGACCAGATTCCACCCTGTGCCAAGCCTCAGCAGCTCCCCACCCAGGAGAACCACTTTCTAGGATCGGGAGGCCCTCTTTTCCCAATTCTATGCCCACTCCTCTTTATCCTGCTTTGTGTGCGGCTCCAGGCTCTCAACTCTGCACCTTTGGAAAAGACGTCAGCTTTCTCCCTGGCTTGGGGCCTCTGCCCCAAAGACTGACTCTGTACTGTTTATCGTCTCCCTCGTTTTCAAGGCTTTGGCTGGAAATTTGGCTCCTTGGGCCGGTTCCGATGATATTTTACAGTGCCTTCTTAATTTACTGTCTTTTTATGACTATAGTAAAAGGCCACACATCAGGGAAGGCTATCAAACAGGAAGAAACATCCCCTCTCCTTGTCAGCTCAAGTTGAGCATTGTAATTTACATGAAAACCTTGTGGCTTAGGGTGTTTACCTCCCATGGAACCAGTTTCTTCTCCCATTATGAGAATGAGATAATTAAAAACTTCCCTGTTCCTTTGATATTGAATTAGGTTAACTCAGCCCAATTGCAAATGCCAGTTTGAAGGCTGTTATGTCATTTGGATTTCAATGTAGAGCCATCCTTTTTTTTTTAATCCAGAAATGCTTTATTCTTGTCTCTTATCCTGATCCCAAATTAGACATAGGGAAGGGAAATAAGGGATTTATTCACATTTGACCAAAAAATTTGCATCTCAAACAGAAATTTTAAGGAGGCCAGGGCCAGGGAGGCAGCTGAGGCTGTGTGGCTTCCCCCTAGTCAACAGGCTTCACAGTTCACCCAATGTGAGAGAGGGAAAGCATGAAGAGGAAAGTATGAGACCCAGTCCATAGGAGGAAAACCACAGTCCAACTTCTCTCCACCTGCCATCTACCATCACCACGGAGCCATGCCATGGCAAGCTATTCCTGCCCCTAGGGAGACAAACCCCAACTCAAATTGGCCTAAGCAATGCAGAATGTATTCTATCACCTACGCGGAAAGCCAGAGAGAGTGCGAACTGCAGGGTCAGCCTATTCAGGGGTTCAGCCATGTCACCAGCCAACTCTGCCATCTTGAGTGCTGGCTTCGTGTGCCTCCTGGGAGCCAGGTGACTGCAGTCCAGGTTCACATGACACATAGCAGGTGTCACAAGGAAGAAGAGTGGGATGTTCTGCAGCTCCTACCAGTGAAAAACCCTCTCCTGGAAACCTTCACACTTCTCTTACCTCATGAGCCAGAATTGGGTCACATACCCATTCCTAAATATTCCCTTATGAGGAAGATGGGAGAATAATTGGCCAATGAGATTCACTCGCCACTGCCCCCTGCCAAACACACACAATGACAAAATTGAGGAGAAATTGATTTTTTTTTTTTTTTGAGATGGAGTCTCACTCTGTCACCAAGGCTGGAGTGCAGTGGCATGATCTCAGCTCACTGCAACCTCCGCCTCCTGGGTTCAAGCGATTCTCGTGCCCCAGCCTCCTGAGTAGCTGGGATTATAGGCAAGTGCAACCACACCCAACTAATTTTTGTATTTTTAGTAGAGACGGAGTTTCACCATGATGGCCAGGCTGGTCTTGAACTCCTGGGCTCAAGTGATCCGCCTGCCTCGGGAGAAATGAATTTTGATGGGGAATAAATGCTGTGCAGACAATGTATGTGATGCTGTCATTAAATGTTGCACACATTCAAAGCAATGTATATGTACACAAGCAAAAGTAACAAGAAAATGGGCCCTCCCAGAATAGACCAGAACTAGACCCAGGCCTTTGAAGTTCCCTCTAAGGACAGGCTCACTCTTCTCCATCCTTGCTGGAGTCTTGAAAGTTGAACATCGTGGTACCAGGAGAGTGAGTGGAACGTGGGGCCACTGTGGAGCCCAGTGATTCTCAAACAGGGGTGATTTTACTCCCCAAGGACATTTGGCAATGTCTGAAGACAATTTTTTGTCATCACCCTTCGAGTAATTTAGTCGTGGAGGCCAGATGTGCTGCTGAGCATCCTCTATTGCACGGCACAGCCCCACAACAAAGAGTTATACAGCCCCAAGTGTCTACAGTTGTGAGGCTGAGAAACCTCATGGAAGCCTGGCTTTCATCCAGGATACTCCCATGATGCTTTGCCCCCTGGGAAAGGGAGAGAGGAGGTGGCTTACCAATGAGATGTGACTGGAAGCTGGAGAACACAGAACTGGTCTTCACCCCTCCTTCCCTTCTCTCACAGAACTTTCCTTTACCTCTGGCAAAACAAAGAAAAAGAGAGAGAGAGAATATATTCTATGCTGCCTTGTTCTGCACGAGTATCTTACTGGGAGGCTGTCAGCATTTGGAGAGCAGGGCCCAGTTCCACCATGTCTGTATCCGCCCAGCACTCACAGAGCAGGTACCTCATAAATGTGGGTTAGAAGGAGGGAGGAGAGATGGAGTTGGAGGAGAGGTCTGGGACTGAGTAGAGAAGCTATGATTTAGAGGCAGGCAAGTCCCCTGAGGCAAATTTTGGCCGGGGCTGAGATCAGCTGGTTCTTAGCTGGGGAACAAAGACCATTCAAGAGTGGGTCAGCCAGATTCAAAGGTTTAGCTCGAGAAATTGAACCTGACAGTTCAGACCAAGCCAGAAGGTCCTTTGACAAGAGAAGCAGGGAGGAGGTGTTGGAGGAGGCAGCCCTGAGGACAGGTGCAGGATGCATGGGGCCAGAGCAGGTGGAAGCAGGAGAGAGAAAGAGAGTGCGAGGGAAAGGCCGTAGGGTCAGGGGAGTAATCCATCAATGTTCCGTCCAATGCTGGGAAGAGCAGGGCCCAACAGTGGAGAAAAGGCCAGGACCTTGAGAGGCATTGCACCCTGATTAGGGGCTGGTGAACTGGAGGGAGCAGGCAGGGGTCCAGCCAGGAAAAGAGGTCCTCTCATAGGGGCAACTAGAGGGAGGCTGCCACAGAAGAGGGGCCACTGGCCCAAGAGAGCCAAGGGCTCTGGGAGGACCCCCCATGGTGGGTGCTGGAGAGCCCCTGAGCCCTTTTATTTCACAGTGACAGGCCACAGCCAGAATACGTTGTCACCGTCACCTGGCTATGTCAGCAGAATTTTCAACAGGGGCTGTGGTCTGGGATGCCAGGAATTTCCCCTTGGCTCCTGAGACATTTGCTAAGCCAGGCGCCAACTGGAGACAGTGACGGGAGAGTCTGAGCATCGTGCCTCGGTGCTGACCTCTGATATTCAAATTCCTGGAAGCCCTGGTGCACCTTGTCCTGGCAGTGCAGCTCGGTAGAGGTACTCCCCTCAAAGTTAATAAGAAACTAAGAAATTAATTTCCTGTCAGGTGCCTCTGCCCAGCAGTGGCAGCCCAACACTCTGTGTCATTGGGAGTGTACTTAAATCGCAAGGAAAGTTATAACAAGGGGGCTGGTGAGGTGCCAGGTGCAGTGCTCGCCCTTCTGGAAGTTTCCTGGAAGAGGGATGGAGACGTCTGTGCAATCCCGAGCAGGTCGGGGGTGCCAGCAACACAGCCTGGCCCTGGGACCATTGCTTCCAAGAAGGTCACTTTGGTTTTTACTTGACCATGGTTTGTTGCAAAATTCCTGGCACCAGCTCAGCTCGGCCACGTCTCGGCTCCCTGGCGCCTCTAGAGAGAACGAATATGCTAAAGATAGTGAGGCGTCTTCTCTGGGTGACCTCGTGTGACCTTGCAATCCCGTCAAGTCTTTGGTTCTGCAGAAACAACTGTCAGATCGGGAGTTAGTCACCTCCAAAGACAGAAACCAAAAACCAAAACAGTGACCTTGTTCTTTCTGTTCATGACCCTGGAGGTATGGGGGGAGGAGGAGGAAGCGGAGATTGGTTTTGCTCGTTAACTCATTATCAGTGACTGAGCGGCTACTCATGGCTGGGAACTTGTTGGGTGCCCTCCATTACACTTCCCTTAATCCTCTCAATGGCTTTTGATATCCTCAGGTAGATGGGAGGATCCCCATTTTACCTGGGAGGGATACAAGGCCAAGAGGGGTTAAGTAACTTGCCCAAGATCACACAGCGTTTGAAGTGGCCAAGGTGAAATTTGATCTAACTTCCACTTGGATGTGTGATTCCACTCCACATCCAAGTTCTTTCCATCATCTGGCTGCAGGCAAGATAACAGATTGGTGTATTCTTTCTATCTTATTTGAATTCCAAAGTTAGTATCCGCTATTGAAAACAGCTGACTTCATTATAACCCATCATTGACTCCTTTCTTTAACAAATAACCAGCAAAACAGAGCGTTCTTTCGGAGTAAGCCTTCCACCACCTGAACTTTGACAACTTTCTCCCTAATGGGTTTCTCCCTGTGAGTATTTGATCTTGGCCACCAGCATGAGCCTATCCTGGTGATCTCAAAATGCTGAGGTTTTTCTTCTGTTAAGAGATTGAATCTTCTGTTCCATGTGGAGGCTTATTCAACATTAAAGCGTTCCTGAACCATTTCATTTATTCAACAAATATTTTCCAAGCCCAGCTCTGGGCCAGATGCCAGGCTCAAGGCTTAGCAAGCCAGACAGATGTGGAGCCGCCATCATGGAACTCGGCCCTCACAGGCCATTGTCCTTGGCTTTCCAGACTGAACCTCTGTGCTTTCTTGTTTCACGGCTGTTTTCCTGAATGCTCCCTGTGAGCCCGAGTCTGTCCTGAGGTCTTCGTCCCTATTCCCTGTGCCTGAATCCTTTCCTCTCCCAGAGCTCCCCACAGCTGGCTTCTTTTTATCATCTCAGATACAGCTGAAGGTTCCATCCTCAGAGGCCTTCTCAAGCTCGCTGGCTAAATTCTCCACCCACCCCCATTTTTTATGCTCATACCACTTCATGCCATCCAGAACCACCTTATTCTTTATTCCAATGTTTATAGCTCGTCTCTTCCATGCTCTTTGAGGGCAGAGTCTTAGACTTGGTCACAGTAGACCCCAAATGTAGGCCAGTCCCTGGTATCTTGTGGTTCTTGAGAGCTAATCTGTTGAATGAATGAATGAATGAATGAATGAGGGAATTAATGAACACCCTGCAAAGCAAGTGCCACAGTTACCCCTACTCTATAGAAGAGGCAGCTGTTCCTCTAAAAGGCTGAGAATCCCACCTCAGAGCTACCTGCAGGAGAGTGGGTGAGCTGGGACCCCAGTCATTTCAGGTTAACTGAAGGGAAAGCCTGACTTCCCATCAGCTCCACACACTGAGTCCTTTCTCCTAGAAATGAAGGAAACACAAAGAAGTCACTAAGAAGGCACCTCGCCCTCAAGCATCTGAAACCCTCAGTTGGAAATTTGACTGCAACCTCTGCCTCCTGGGTTCAAGGGATTCTCCTGCCTCAGCCCCCCAAGTAGCTGGGACTACAGGCATGCGCCACCACACCCAGCTAATTCTGTATTTTCAGGAGAGATGGGATTTCACCATGTTGGCCAGGCTGGTCTCAAACTCCTGACCTCAGGTGTTCCGCCCGCCTCGGCCTCCCGAGGTGCTGGGATTACAGAAGCTCTTTTTCAACATTGCCTTTTAGATCCCCTTTCCCATCAGCTTCCTCCAAAGGAGCTGCTGGCTTGATTTACCTGCAGCCACCGCAATTAATTGCTGTCCCCTGGTAGCTAACATCTCTTAACAGCTCCATAGCAACAGTGGTTTCCAAATGCCAGAAAGTGTTTTTTCCAAGGGGACTCTATCCTCGACGCAAAATAGAACATTTTGAGTGAAATTTAAACACAGTTTTTGAACGGTGCTGTTCTGATTTCTTCACACTTCACAAATGCTTTCTTTGCAAACATGGGTGTCCCAGTTACCCTGGGCTGGTGCCAAGGCCCTCAGCCCAGCTTCTGTTTTCTCAGCTTCAAGGCAGCCGTGGTAAGACCTAAAAACAAACAGGGAGCGAGTGCTGTGGGTCTCCCCGCTAAGGGGTTGCCTTGCGCCTGTGCAGAGATGAGGACCACAGTTTGTCTCCCACACCAGCTGTGATCAATTGGTGATGACAACGCAGAACCCTGCCTATGCGATTTCTGGGACCCCATCTGAGCTTAGTGGGAAAGAGTGCCATCCGCCATGGTTCCAGTGCAGAATTCCAAGGGCCAAGATGGGGAGTAGGGATTTGTGTATGAGTGGTTGGTTGGAACAAATCATCCTGGTATACCACTGCTCCCACAGGTGGAAACAGAGAAACTGGGTTAAAATGAAGACTCCAGTAAATTCGCATGCAGAAGTACCCAGAAAGGCCCTTGCCATGTCCTTCACTCTGCCTTGGTGAAGGTGGAAGAGATGAAGGGAGAGGGTGATGGGTGGGTGGTGGGTGTGCTGGCCACCGACTGGCACAGCCCCCAGCACAGGGGCTGTCTCTAGTGACCGATCCAGGATGAGTGTCCCCATTCAGATGCAGTCAACCCACCACTGATTCAACCAACACTTGCTGACTGCCTATCAGGGAATACATTTCCTTCTGATGCACACTCTGCTCTCAGGAAGTCTGGGGTCCAGAGAGGGAATGGAGGTGCCAGCCAGCCTGAAGATCAGTGGAAAGAGTGAGGCTGGCTGATGCTGCAGGAGAGACACAGAGGACTGTCAGGGGAGTCCCAAAGGGAATGAAATTATTTTGGTTGGAAGGATAAAGGGAGGCTGGAAGGACAGTGTGACGTTGGATCTGGGTCTTGACAAGTAGGTGGAATGTGGAGAGATTCCAGGCCTTGGGAACAGCGTGGGCAGGGCCAGTGGCAGAGCAGGCTGAATGGTCTGGTTGACTGAGCCAAGAGGGGTGAGAAGGGTGCATGGGAGGTGGATCCAGCCGATCATGGAGGCCATTGGGATCAGGAGTGGGGTTGCATTCACAGGAAATGGGGAGCCAGGAAAGGTTAGCAGTGGGTGACGTCATCAGAGCTGGGACTTGGGAAGATGGCTCTGAGAGTTGGATGGGAGTGCCTGGCTCAAAGGCAGACCAGTCAGGAGGCTGATGCCAAGGAGCATGGGGAAGGCAGTGAGGGGAGACTGGGGCGGTGGCCTCAAGGGCCAAGAGGAAAGCAGGATGCCTGCCCGTCTCTCCCCTCCTTCAGCTCTGCTGGCATTAGCAGCGCCTCAGACTTGGTGGCCATGGAGTCACAGTGGCAGGACTGCTCTGTGGCCTGATTCTGCCCCCATCGGGCTGACAGGGTCTTGGCCTCTAAGCAGGATGCTTAGAGTTGCCCCTGCCCTGAGGAAGCTGGATGAAGCCAGGCCGTTCTGTCGCATCATCTGAAGAGGAGTGAGTGGGGTTGCCAGCTCCCTGCTAGCACAGATGCCCACCCCACCGTTGTCTTCAGCATCTGCCAGGAGAGGGACAGTTTGAGGCAGTGTCGGGGTTCACGAGCTTGCTCTCCTCTGCCATTCGCAATGGGCTGGCATAGGGCAGCCTCACTGCTTGGCTCCAGCCAGCGACTTCAGGATGTGGCGATGAAGATGGGGTCTGGATGGGCGTTGGTATTCAGGATGTCGAGCCCCACTGGTCTGGGGGACCAGTTGGCGCTTCCTGCAAAGGCATGTGCTCTGGGAAGGGCCTGGCCTGCTGCAGCAGCTCTGCAGAGGGGCCGGCCCCAGACTTGCCTATGTCATTAGTATAGCAGGTCCCGTTATTACCCGAGGAGGCTTACAGGTTATCAGCGAGCTCCAGGAGCCACTGGAGAAAGGAAGAAGATAAAGAAGGATTTAAAAAGAAAATAACAAAAAGAAAAACTGTATTTTCTAATCCAAACCTTGCCCTGCAGTGGCTTTGTTAACCCCCAGTCACTCCTTCAAGACATAAACTGTTGAGAGCCACAATTACTTCAGTGATTACACGTTATCTTGTCCTACCAAGGTATTAAAGAGGAACTGGGGAACACATTAAAAAAACATACAGCCCAATTTAATCATGATTCCCTCTAAAACAATTGCTGGAATCTCACCATTACAGATGCCAGAGCATAAAAATCCTGTAGATGCTTGATGGACCGGGCACAATTCATCCTCTGCTGCCTCCACGGCCAGCCCATTTGTCAGTCAAGGGAGAGCTTTGGGGTTTAGGTCTTTAACAGGATTGAGTGCAGGGGCTCCCCAGGTGCTCCTCCAGAGCAGAGGAAGGGTGGCCCCATCCCAACCTCCCAGATTTCCCTGCTTGGATCACCTGCCCTGCCATCACTACCACCAGGAAGACACTAAACAGAAAGCCCACCAAACATCTCGGGACCCTACTCATAGTCAAGGTTGTGAAGAAGTTTGCTGGCCGGGAAGCAGCCTTGTTCTGAATGCCACTTGTGGTGAACAGCAACCAGCTCTGCTTTTCTGCAAATTCTCTCTGCAAAGCGAGGGAGGTGTAATCATTTGCTTCAGAAGGTTCTGAACATCAGGAAGAGGCAAAGCTGAGAGACAGCAGAGGGTGGGGGTCGGGTGCAGCTCCCTGTCCTCACTCTCTACCTGTCTGCTGCGTGACGTTCAACTCAGAGTCTCTCTTGCTTCAGTTTTCCCAATTGGAGATGGAAGGGGGTTGATAAGTTGGCCTGGACAATCCCTAAGTTTCCTCCCACCTTCACTACTCTCTGTTCCAAGAGGAGTAAACAGAAGGGTTTAGGAGACCCCTGACTTGCAGGACCCTGGAGGATCTTTCATGCACAAATTAAAATACATAAAGCATCCAGGAAGAGGACAGTGCTTACTAGAGAAGGGGCTGGAGGCACTGGAGCTCCTCAAGGGCTTGCAGGTCACTTGATGCCTGTATCATCTGGATGAGGACTAGAAGTGATCCCATTGGCCCAAGGGACTCCTACCTATCCAATGTGGCAGGATGTGGATGGGGTGTCTGTCTCTTTAATTCATGGAGAGTTATGGGATATTTTTCGGGAAAATGGAGCTTTGTTTTCTTCCAGAGTTTGGAAGATAACCAAGAATTGTCTCAGAGATCCTGTTTTTATGTTTGGACAAGAATGGCTGGTGTTTAGCTCATCGTCTGTTGGAGATCATGATGCTTCCTCGATGTTTGAAAAGAATTTAACTTTACCTAGATGGGCTCCTATCTCAAAGAATCACGCTTCCCAAATAAGCAATATCTGAATTAATTTGATGTTGCTCCACATGGAAGTTCCATACGATCCTAGGGAAACTTTGTCCTTAGCAATAGTGTGAGATGACATAACACTGGTTAGAGAGGTCAGTCAGAATAATACCTGGCCCTTCTGAAGGTTTCCCATGCCTCGGGCACTGTTCAAATGCTGTATCTTGTTTAGTCTTCACAACTACCTCAGGGAGCAGGCACTACTGTTCTCTCCATTGTATGGATGAGAAAACTAAGGCACAGAGATGTGATTGCCCAAAGCTCACAGCTAGGAGGTAGCAGAACCCAGACTCGAACCTAAGGCAGTTGTCTCTGGAGCACACACTCTCTACCACTCTGCTTCCTCAGCATCAGATAGACCTGGGCTTAATGGGCAGGGCTTTGATGGACTACTTAATTCCTTACGTTTTAGATTCTTTATGTGTAAAGCAGATGGGGCCATAACCAGTTCTACCTTGTGAGGTTGTAGTGAGGATTAAACAAGCTAAGTCCCGGGAAGTAGTTAGCACTCAGCACCTGGAGCATACAGGTCTGAAGAAATGCTAGTTCTCAGCAATCATAGCGGTGGGGGTTATTGACACCAGAGGGTCATCTGAATTGTGTGGTGGAAAGAGTGACCGGCTTAGCCGAAAGAAGATGTGATCATTTTTTAGGAACTAAGGCTCATGGGCGATGCAACAAAAAACTCGACTTGAACTGACTTTGGGGGAGGAAGAGATTTGGGGGCTGGAGTTGCTGAAAAGTCTTGAGATGTGCTGGCCTGTGTTCCATCAGTTGCATCGAGGCTTTGTGTCTTCTCCCCTCAGCCCTGCTCCTCGCACCAGCTCCCTTCTCCTTCTCCATGTGCTGGCAAGAGATGGCTTCCAGGAGCACTAGATTTCATTCTCCCAGGTTCGAGTTCAGCAGGAAAGAGCACCCCTGCCTCCAAGTGACTCCAACCAAAGCCTAGTGATTAGCACTGATTGGCTCTGGTGGAGCCATGGGTCTCTCTCTGAGCCAGTCGATGTGGCCCAAAGAATGCGGCTTGGCCAGCCTGAGTGACAAGCTCCACCCCTGGACTGAGTTGGAGAGGTGGCTGGATTGCTAAAGAAAACTTGGAAACTCTTATCAAAAGAGCTAGTGCACCAGAGTTGTGTCCAGCTCAGCCTCCCATGAGCCACGTGGCCGTGAGCAGATCATGTAGCACCTCTCAGTCCAGCAGGGATGGTGGCACATGCCCAACTTCCTTCAGAGCTATGGAGGGGAGCAGATGGGCAGGAAAGGCTACAGAGCACATCAGTCACTCTAGAGATGCCTCAATGACTGTTTGCTGCCATTGTCATCTGATGGGCTTGATTCACTGCCTAATGGGGCACAGTTCTGAGCAGGCACACCAGCTCTGGGAGCAGAAGTGGGGCGCACGTGCTTGGAGAGGATGGAAGAGACAGGGGAGGGCAGCAGGCCTGGCTTCCAGCCATCCAGGAGGACATGGCCAGTCTAGGCTGCAGGCAAGACCTCTTTGAGGCTGGTGAGGAGGCCATGTGCCTATGGATTTAGCTCCTGGGAGGGACAGGAGGCCAGAGGTATGGTGACTGCAGCCCTCTGAGACCTGATTGCCCAGCATCTGTGCTGTTCCACCCTCTGTCTCTGCTGGGCCAGGGCTGCATGCCCTGAGGAGGACCTTTGCCCTACAGGAGTTCCCTGTGCCCCTGCGAAAGGCCCATGGCTTCTTGTCCCAGGGGTGGTCGGAGCAACTCTTGCAGCATTGCTAATAAATCAAAAATTAGTTCAAGGTGAGAGCAGGAGACAAACAGGACAGGACACCAACCAACAATCTCATCCAAGCTCAGGCTCTGCCAACTGCAGGACGCCAGCAGCCTGCATCCCTGACAGGTCCCTGGCAAGAGAGAGAAGGATGGTTGGACGCTGAACAGTCCAGCTGACACTCGCAGCCCCAGATTCCACCCTGGTGGGGGCACCGGCCATCATGGTGTCTCCTAGATTTTGTGGTCCCAAAGAGAGATGGCCCCCAGCATCCCGATCTCTTGCACAACTCCTTATGGATCAGCCATCCGGGAACTAATGTCACCCATTTTAGAAAAAGCTCTTTATATTTTTCAGCCCATGTCGCCTTGCAATAATGAGTCTCATACGTTGACTGCCCGCTGTGTAGTTTGATTGTGCTAAAATTACCTCCCTGAGCTCCAGAGTGGGGGAACCCGTATTCTTAGCTTTCATGGATCTAGAGTTAGAAGCAACTTTCACCTCTTCTCCCCTTTCTGAAGACTCGAATCACATTTCCTCTCCACTGTTATCTTTCTGGACCGGAAAGCCCTTATCTTCATTTTCCTGGAGCTGCCTGCCCCTCCTCAGTTGGTGCTCCCTCACCCCTGCACTCCCTAGTTCAGACCCAGCTCTGCAGCAAGGACGCCTCGGCCATTCTGTCTCCAGTTCCCAGGTCCTGCCCTCCTCTCCAGGCTGGGCCCTTTCTGGTCCCTGCAACAACTGTGGACCAGTGGCTTCTGTGGATCCTGGGAGGTCCTCTCTCGGGGGGCCTGGCAGTGGCAGCTCGAGCTGCCAGCCTCCGTTGCCAATTTGCTTTACTCATCCTGAGCCTCTCGCCCTGCACGTCACTGCCCTGGGATACATCTGTAGCTCCCATACCCTCTGACACTGGCTCTTTTTCGTTACTCATTAAAATTTAGTGTCATCTGCAAACGTGGAGATTTTATCGGACATGTCTTCCCCCGGGTCATTTATAATGATTTTAAATAAGGCCAGCCCGGGCCCCCACGCATACGTGCTGTTGGGCAGCCAGGTCTTGCTGCGCAATGAAAAGTCCTCCCCTCCCGGGCAGCGCCCCTCCAGGATGGCTTGACCCCCCTCTCAGCCTTTGGGTGGGACTGTTTCAGAGGCCTCTGGAAAGTGCAGGCAGACGGGACCCTCTGTCCCCTCTTGAGGTACATGCATCTTTATCTGCTCAGCGAGAGTGGAGAACTCCCTTCATCCAGCATTCTCTGGGTGTCTAGGATGTGCCCAGGATTGTGTCAGGCATGATCTCCCACCATAAATGTGTTTTTCCTACACTACCTTTGGGCTAAAGGAGGCAGGGCAAGCCAGCCCCTGAGCCGGCATGGTTCCCGGAACCCCGCACCAGGTGGAAATTGTTTAACTATATTCCCATGACTGGAAAATTCTGGTAATTGTGTAACAGCAGCAGCACTCAGCAATTACCCAGGGTTTTTCATCTTCAGACCACTTTACCCACATTAACTAATTAAGTCTCCCAGCCTCCCTCCAAAGCAGGGAAGGGCTGCCGGCCTGACTCCTGCTGGCGCACAGGCTTGCGTAATGAGGGCAGCCATGGGAAGGTGCTGCAGGGCCCCCAAGGGCAGCCTACCTCTGCCCTCGCCTGTAGGCCCTCTGAAGCCCTTGCCAGCCATCGCTCAGAATCCTCCAGCCCTGCTGAGCACTGACAAGGAAGTGGGGAGGTGTTCTGTGTGCCTGCCACACTCGGCCGCAGTGGGAGATCCCTGGGCCCAGCACAGATTGCAGGACCAAGCCCCCAGAAGAGCACAGTTGACTACTGACCCTGCCTATTACTGGGGCACCAGGGCCCCTCTTTCAGTTCCTACTCCCTCCCTTCTGTTTTTGCTTATCCTTTAATAGCTGCCAACTTTGGGGACCTAGATCTGTACCCCAGTTACCGGGTGCTCAGCTCCAGGGTCCCTGAAGGCTGTTCCCCACTCCCCTGCACACCCCACAGAGGGTGTTCTAACTACTGTGGGCCCTTGATGTGGAGACAGGGACATCTGCAGCCTCGGTCCTGCCCTGAGGAGCTTACAGACCAGCCAGGAGCCTTCCAGCCACATCCTTGGTCCTCCCAGCTCCCCACACCTCACATGACCCAACCGGGCTCCCTGGACCTACTTTTGCTCTGGCATAGACATGAACTGGGCTGCTGCCACCCGGGGCACTGAGGCTGAGTGCACAGCCCTCCCATGAAACATCCAGTGAGCCCCACAGAGCCCTGGGGCAGTGGTCTGGAGGTGTGAGATCATGACTTCAAGCAGGGCTGGCACCCAGAGACTCAGCCCTCAAAGGCACTCTCCTTTCTGTAAACAGGGATAGCAATACCACTTGCACCTGTGGGTTGTAGAACTTGAATGTGGAGCCCGAGACACAGCTGACACTCAGAAAGCAAACTGTGAAAACAGAAATGCCCACTGGGAGGTATGTGCTGTGGGTCCAGGCATGCTCCCACCCCTGAGTGGCCGTGGAATGCCACAGTACTATGCATTGGAGCCATCAGAGGCAGGGAAGAGAGACCCAAGGAGACAGCAGCCTGCAGGGGCCGGCAGATCCTGGGAGACCTGAGCAGCAGGCGCCCGCGTGCCCTGGCCCTTCTCAGGGAGCATCCTTCTTGTGCTTCCGTCCATCCTCCAGGCCTCTCTGATCCTCCCCCTGCCTCCTGGCTACCCTCAGTGGGTGACAGTGGGGATAGAACCCAAGCCTGCCAAGGCCTTCATGATCAGCCTCCTTTCTAGTGGAACCATCGTCCCACCTCACACTGCTACCCAGAGCAGAGAGGACAGGGGCCCAGCTACCTGGGGCAGCCAGAAGGTGGGTGAGAGGATTTTGCTCAGTCCTGCAGCCTAGTGACACCACAGCCCTGTGCCACCCAGTGTCGCCCAGTGTCGCCCAGTGCCGCCCAGTGCCGCCCTCTATCCCGTCCCTAATAAACCCTGCCCTTCTCCCTCCCAGCCTTGCACACCCGTTTCACAGGCTCCTACCCTCGTTGTTCATTAAGCATCCAGGTGCAGGGAAGGCTGTGCCTCTGATGATGAGGCTTATGGGACATTCGGAATATGTATAAATGGTGCTAATATGACAAATGCAAAGATCGAAGGAGCTTGTGACGCAGGCAATGCTGCTTCCTCGCCCGTCTCCCTCCTATCCGGCTGGCGGCAGGCAGGCCCGCCCCCCGCGCCCCCAGCGGCAAGTGGGGAGGTGTGTGGCACTATTACATGCTATTATGACTTTCTGGGTAATGTATACATTTTCACTATCACACGGCCTCTCTCCTTCATTTTTCATGAGAACTGGCACGAGATTAATGACTGAGCCCCAGAAGAAACGGAACGCCATGCCACTCTGATTTATTGACCACTTAGCGTTGATGAAGCTGCAAACAAGAGTCAAACAGATGTTGCAGCTGCATTTTTCTTTATCAAAACCAACAGCTTTTTGCATTTTTAACCACTTCTTGCATCACCACCCTGCTTACTCCACAGAAAGGGGTCCTGGCTCCAGGCCTCCTCCTCCTCAGCGGAGATGGAGGAGCCGAGGCCAGGGCGGTGGGACCCTGCTGCCTGACACCCATTGGCCCAGGATCCACCCCTGGAAGCGGCCAGGAAAAGGATGTGAGATCCCCAAGGCTCTTGCTGTGGGTGACTTGAGTCCCCTCCGTGGGTCTCTGGGGAAGAGCTCACTGCTGCATCCTCAACCAACTCCAAGGGCTGATTGCGCACGCCCAGGCGTGGGCTCAGCATGCGGGAGGTGCAGAGCTCAGCTCCCCTCTGCAGCCTGGAGCACCTCCCCCACCTCCGCCTCATGCCCATTTACTAGCCAGTGTAAGTGACCTTACACATGAGCGCTGCTGGGGGCCAGGCCCGTCCTGAGCCCTCTGCCTGCCTCACCCCCTCCTGGCAAGGTTCAGGCTAGCACTAAAGGGCCTGCTTAACACAGAGCAGGCATTCTCTGCAGAATGTTCTTAGCCTCTCCTGTGCTTTTGGAGGAAAGGCCCTCAGCTTGTCCCCCGTCCTCTCTTTGTCCCTGCAGTTTGGGTGAAAGGTGCCATCTAGAAAAGGTTCTCAAAGAGATTGACTCTACCTCAGGCTCCCGGGAGATGCCCTTCCACCACCTTCAGCCTGAGAGTCCTGTGCCTGGCAGGGCCCTGGGAGTCTGGAACTGGGGAGGTCAGCAGCTCCAAATGCATTTCCAGGAGGCACAGCTGGGTTAAGGGACAAGCTGAACTTCCCTCAGAGAGGAAGAGCTGCAGAGGGGCAGAGAGCTCGTGGACCCCCCCAGATGCCACCCCTCCTGGGCCCCTTCTGGGGGAGTGGACCCCCTCCTCTTCCAGCCCATGCCTGGGATGGACACCGACTCCTTCCCCGCACCCTAGTCTCTGTCTGTCCCTCTAGAAGACATGCCTGGGGGTTCTCCAGGATTGGTCCTGAGACACTGAGTCTCCGGAGAGGAGACAGCCACCCCTGCACCAGCTCCCCCAGCCAAGGCCAGGTGCCCCCTAGCAGGCTTGTTGGCCCGTGTGCTGGAGCAGCTTGGCGGCACCCCGCTATGCCCCCGGTTTTCAGTAAGTAGGATGGAGCCCCTGCCATGTGGCTGCCCCGCAGACAGAGTCCCAGCCATCCGGAGCTCACATTGTGGCCAGGAAAACAGGCCAAACCCGAGTAGTAATTGAGCGGAAACTGAGAGATTAGTGCTGCAAAGACAGCGAGGCGGGAACCAGGCAAGGTGGGCACTGTTGTCAACGGGGTTGCTGAATGAGGTTTCCACAAGAAAGTGACCTGGGACCAATGTGGCATGGAGCGTGGCAGCCAGAGACCACAGCCCAGGGAGAGAAGCGGCAGATCTGGGGAATGGGGTGGCGGGAGCCAGGTGCATGAGGCAGGCAGCGGCCAGCAAGAAGCACAGGTGGCCCGGCCTGGAACCGTGGCAGGAGTGTGGGCCTGATCTCAGTGCCAAGGAGCCGTCCGGAACAGCCCAACCACGCCTGCTGCTGTTTGAAGGGTGGGTTGGGGAAGGGAGGAGCAGACGTGAGGACACCCGGGAGGAGGGCACACTCCCACGTGCGCAGGAGAGCAGGTGGAGGATCAGACTTGGTCATTGCAGGCAGGGGGTATATGGGAGGATTAGGCTTCCTGGGGTGGGAGAAATGGCAGAACTGGGTGATCGACTGGCCGTTGAGGGAGAGGGAGGGAAAATGAGAGGATGACTCCTGGGTTCCAGACCTGGGCAGCTGTGGGAAGCCTGGAGGGGCCAAGGGTGCTGAGCAGGAGGTCGGGAGGCGAGGTCGGCCATGGGAAGTCATGGGGATTTTGAGGCCTTCGAGGGGTGCCGTCAACAGGCAGGTAGGCAAGAGAGGAGAGGTAGGCTGGAGAGGGAAATCTGGGTGTCCTGGGAATCTGGTGGGTGTGAGGTCAGGACACTGGATGAGGCCACTAAGGAGGGAGAGAGGGAAAGAGGGAGAAAGAGAGCGAGAGAGAGGGAGGCCAGAGCCCCAGGCTGGACGCTGGTGGAGGAAGGGCCTCTGTACACAGCAAGAGGAGAGCTGGGACAGGCTGGGGCTGCCGGAGGAGGAAGGGGGCTCTAAGCAGCAGAAGTGCCCGCTGGAGGCTTAACTCTGCTCACCCTCTCAGGAAGCACGTCAGGGCTTTTTTCTGTCTGGGTTTGGTTTTGGTGGTGGTTGGTGGTGGTAGAGCGGGGCCTCTGTCTCTCCTGACGACATTCCAGCTGTTCCGAGGCCTGACCCTGCTCCCTGCAGCAGCCCCAGTGAGAAAGAGGCGCAGCTTCCATGCTTATGGGTGAGGAGCCTGAGGCACCAAGAGGGAGGAGGGATCCCCTCGTCCACGGCTCTTCCAGAAGGCTGTGGAACTTCTCTGAGACTTTTACTTATCCTTGGCTTCCTCTACCACCACCACAGTCACAGACCATGCCACGGGGCTCTCTCTCCCCAGCCTTTGGCACTGACCAGGCCTCCAGGAAAGCAAGGGCTCATCTCCAAAGGTCACGATCACTTTGGGGGGTGACCCCTAGCATCTCTCATGAAAACTCCATAGCCCAGGGAGGGGCTTCTGCACAAGCTCTTCTTCCCTCCCTGAACCCACAGGGCCTGACAGGGTGGTGAACCCCACGGAAACATCAGGGCAGCCTGGGCAAGACAAAGGCAGCTTCACTCCACAACTGTCCAGAATCAAGGATCCGGGCCGGGCGTGGTGGCTCACGCCTGTAATCCCAGCACTTTGGAAGGCCGAGGCAGGCAGATCACGAGATCGGGACACCGAGACTATCCTGGCTAACACGGTGAAACCCCGTCTCTACTAAAAAATACAAAACAATTAGCGGGGCACTGTGGCGGGCGCCTGTACTCCCAGCTACTCCAGAGGCTGAGGCAGGAGAATGGCGTGAACCCGGGAGGCGGAGGTTGCAGTGAGCCGAGATCGCGCCACTGCACTCCAGCCTGGGGGACAGAGCAAGACTCCGTCTCAAAAAAAAAAAAAAAAAAATACAGGGCCCTGGCGGGGTCTGTCCCCTGCCGTGACTCTCAGATCCAGGCCCAACCCGGGCATTCCTGCAGGCCGCCCTGCTGAGCTGGTCCACCTGAGCCCATCTCGCCACCAGCAAAGCAGCTCAGCAAGGACTCTGACACCGTTATGAGCACTCCATGAAACTGATACATTAGGACTCCAAGCTAATATATTTTTCTGCCAAAAACACCCAATAAAATGTACAACTAATGAATAAAATTGCAACATTGCCAAGAAGCGATGTGTGCCCCAAATTTCCAAAATACCTCCATCAGCCCATGTCTGAAAACCAGCCCCACGCCAGGAAATCGTTACTACTCAACTCTGGGCATTCCAGGTGCAAGAGCTCCAGGCCCTGGGATGGAAACCGGGAAGCTGCCTGCTCCTGCATCTCCTGAGCCTCCACTTGGTCTCCTGGAACTGCCAGGGGCTGGGACACTCTGCTAATTGTATCAAAACAAGGGAGAAAGGCAAGGCCCAGCATGGAGGCTCCCGGGAAGGGACCCCCCACCCCCGGTGTTGGGCAGGTGCCCTGAGTTGAAAGGGGTAGATCTGGATGCTACAATCCCTACATTTGTAGTTACTGAAGTGGGATCCACTGACCACTGGATCTGTGAGCCCTTGAACTGAAGTGTTGATATGCCTTGGGGTATGTTGGAGGATGGGGTGGGTATCCACTGCCTGCGTCAGGCTCTCAAAGAGATCTCATACCCAGAAAAGATGAAGAACCAGCCTTGCATTGTATCTTACCTTCCTAGCAACAACCTGTGTTTAGAAAGGCTTCCCGGCCGGGTGCAGTGGCTCACGCCTGTAATCCCAGCACTTTAGGAGGCCAAGGTGGGTGGATCACCTGAGGTCAGGAGTTCAAGACCAGCCTGGCCAACGTGGTGAAACCCCATCTCTACTAAAAATTAGCCGGGCATGGTGGCAGATGCCTGTAATCCCAGCTGCTCGGGAGGCTGAGGCAGGAGAATTGCTTGAACTCAGGAGGCAGAGGTTGCAGTGAGCCGAGATCATGCCATTGCACTCCAGCCTGGGCAACAAGAGTGAAACTCCATCTCAAAAAAAAAAAAAGGAAGGCTTCCCTGCCCTTTGTGGACCCAGAAAACTGAAGCCAGATGTCAGGAGAACACAGGTCTAGGGAGGGCACAAGCAGGAGGTCAGAATTCAGCCTAATTTGATTCTACAAACCTGAAATAAGCACCGGTGATTGTTGGACTGTCGTAGCTGCAGGGCATTGTCCCTGAGGTTGAGGAAATAAAGTTGATGTTCAGACAATTAAAACACAAAGCCAAATGCCACCCTACTATGGTAGAGGCAGAGAGGGAATCAGGGAAGGCTTCCTGGAAGAGGAGGGGATCCTGGCATCTGACCTCAAAGAATAGGTGGAGGCTGGTTATGCAGATGGAGGCTGAGGCCTGCAGGCAGAGCTTCCTGAGATAGCAGCTTTTGGGGTGCTCTCATGCAGGAACTCCACGGTTTGGGTTCATGGTGAGAGAGGGCCTTTGCCCCACAAGACCCTGTCTGCCTGCCCGCCACCTTGGCCTCCCACGGGTCCCAGGCTGGCCCAGGCTGTGCCCAGCACGACTGTGGGGCAGGATGCGGCAGTCCTTTCCTCTCCCAGGCGTCTGGCATCTCCGCTCCCTCCTGCAGGGCCGGGCTTCTGCTCCAGGGCCAGGATCAGAGGCAGCCCTGGGCGGCCTGCTGGCCCCTGCAGTCCTTTGATCTTTACTCATCTTGCTCAGCAGCTGGCATTGCTGCCTGGCCGTGCCCAGGCACAGGCAGGAGCCCTCAGCCCAGACGCGGTCCCTGGGAGGCCACTATGTTGGTCTGTAGGAAGAACACGGGGCAAGGACACAGTGAATCACCCCGTCTCTCCGCCGTTACCCCCTCCATGCAAAGGGCATAGCAGATCTACCCGACCCACCTCTTGGGCATACTGCAAGAATGAAGTGAAATGGAGATGAGACAGTACTTAGGCCAAGCAAAAAGAGAGGCCAGCAGATGTCCTGGCAGGACCCGAACCTGGAGTCAGAGCCCCAGCTTCCAGCTCAGGCTGTGCCCTGCTGGCACATAGCTTTGGGCAATCACAACTTCTTAGTGCTACAGGCACCTCTCTATAGACAGAGGGCACCCTGCCCTGCCCTACCCTGCCCAGCCCGCCTCCTTGGCTAGCAGGGGCACCGAATAAGATAATGGCTGGAAAGTGCTTTGAAAAGAATAAAGTGCTGCGCTTATGTCAGGGATTATCGTGATTATTAAGGAGCATGATTACCGCAATCCAGAAAAGCCGCCATTAAGGAGAAGGCTCCTGTTCGTGTTGATTGAGTTTCCTGGTTAACTGAGCGTTGGCAGGAAAAAATCTGTTTAATTATGCCAGTCTCCTTTCTTACATTGGTCATGGTGTGGTCTTGAGTCTTTATTTATTCATGGATTGATTGATTCATATATTCATGTATGACTCTTTCCCTGACAACATTCAAAAAAGCAGTTGCAGACCCAGCTCTCTCCTGCCTGGGGTCCTGCCTGTCCCAGGACTCATGGTTGAGTCTCAGTCTATCAGCTGGGGAAAGCAGAGGGGAAAGCAGCTTTCCTCTATCAGGAGGAAAAGCACAGGATGAGGCCTCCCACGTGGCTTTTTCCATTGTTCCCTGCAGCGTCTGATATCCTGCCATGTTTCCTTAGGAGAATGCAAGAAAAAAATGGTTCAGGCCAGGCGCAGTGGCTCACACCGGTAATCCCAGCAGTTTGGGAGGCCGAGGAAGGCAGATCACCTGAGGTCGGGAGTTCGAGACCAGCCTGACCAATATGGTGAAACCCCGTCTCTACTAAAAATACAAAAATTAGCCGGGCTGTGGTGGCGTGCACGTGTAATCCCAGCTACTCAGGAGGCTGAGGCGGGAGAATTGCTTGAACCTGGGAGGTGGAGGTTGCAGTGAGCCGATATTAGGCCACTGCACTCCAGCCTAGGTGACACAGCAAGACCCTGTCTAAAGGAAAAAAAAAAGGTTCAAGAAATACCCTCTGATTGAGATGGGAGGGTTTAGCTAGGCTTTTCTGGCTTATCCAGATGCATCTAGAAAGTGACAGGATTGCTTTTTCTTTAACAAACTTGTCAGTATTGTCGTGGCCAGATAAGCAGCGCTGCCTTCTGGGGGGACCATGAGAAAGCCACCGAAGGCCCCATGCTCATCCCAGGGACACTGCTGCCTTACACAGGCCCCTGGGCATGTCCTATCTGAGCTCGGGGGGCAGAAAGCGACAGAGGACATTCTTAATAAGATGTGATGAGAAGGCGCTGACTGTTAAATGGAACTGATTTGAGACAAACTGGGCCTTTTTATTTTTGAGACAGAGTCTCGCTCTGTTGCCCAGGCTGGAGTGCAGGGGTGCGATCTCGGCTCACTGCAAGCTCTGCCTCCCAGATTCACGCCATTCTCCTGCCTCAGCCTCCCAAGTCGCTGGGACTACAGGCGCCCGCCACCATGCCCGGCTAATTTTTTTGTATTTTTAGTAGAGATGGGGTTTCACCGTGTTAGCCAGGATGGTCTCGATCTTCTGACCTCGTGATCCGCCTGCCTCAGCCTCCCAAAGTCCTGGGATTACAGGCATAAGCCACCACGCCCGGCCCAAACTGGTCCTTTTAGGTCTTCAGACTGAGAGATCTTTCCCAGAATACCTGTGGGCAGCTGGTGCCCAGAAGTTTGGGAAACTCCGCCCCAGAAACCAACAAGAAAGAGTGGACGAGCTGGATGGGGTGACAGAAGAGCTCTTCCAGGGAGGAGTTTCCAGAGATTCTGGGCACCAACTGCCCCCTGGGTATTGCTTAGATGGAAAGTGCCAGCTGGGTGCGGTGGCTCACGCCTGTCATCGCAGCAGTTTGGGAGGCTGAGGTGGGCGGATTGCTTGAACCCAGGAGTTCAAGACCAGCCTGGCCAATATAGTGAGACCCCATCTCTACAAAAAATACAAAAATTAGCCAGGCATGGTGGTGTGTGCCTGTAGTCCCAGCCTCAGGAGGCTGAAGTGGGAGGATCACTTGAGCTCAGGATGCAGAGGTTGCAGTGAACTGAGATCACACCACTGCACTCCAACCTGGACGATGGAGTGAGACTCTGTCTAAAGAAAAAAAAAAAAAGTGCTTCATTGCAGGGCTGTTTGTCAGGGGAGAAGACCACGGCTGAAGGCAGAGGGGCTCCAGCCCTCAGCAGGAGGAGCCTTAAGCCCTGGGAGCTCCTTTTCCCCTTGGGGAGAAGCGGGTGACCATGCCTGTGTTGGGGGCATCCCGCAAGCTGTGAGGGGGCAACGCGTGTTGGGCGTGAAGGAGGGAGAGGGCAGTGGCTGTGGTGCGAGGTCAGGGATGTTGGGCTGGAGGGAATTTGACCTCATGCCCGTGGTTCCCAGTTACACACATATCAGCTTATGTGTAGGTCAGAGTTTCTCAACCAGGGGTGATCTTGCCCCCTAGGGGACACTGGGCAATGTCTGAAGACTTCTCCAGGGGTCACAGCCGGAGGGGGAGGGGCCTAATGACATCTAGTGGGTAGAGGCCAGCGAGTCTGCTAATATCCCACATGCGCCGGACAGCCCCCACCACAGAACCATCTGGCTGCAACCGTCAGCAGTGTGAGGTCAAGAGAGCCGGGTGTCTGGGGCCTCAGTCTCTGCCTGCACCTGCGGGGTTGGGGGCGGCCCTGACCCTGGTGGGCTCCATGCCACCCTCATGCTGCCAGTCTCTGCTCTCCCCACAGAACCCCGACATCGTCCTGGTGCACTACCTGAACGTGCCGGCCATCGAGGACTGCGGCAAGCCTTGCGGCCCCATCCTCTGCTCCATCAACACCGACAAGAAGGAGTGGGCGAAATGGACGAAAGAAGAGCTCATCGGGCAGCTGAAACCCATGTGTGAGTGGCCTTGGCCGGCCTGGCGCCCCCACGCTGGGAACCAGGCTGGCATCAACCAGGCGGGGCCAGGAAGGTCCTCTGTGGCCTTGGGGATGCGGGTCCGGAGCCCCATCTTGCTGGAATGACAGTGGCACCGTGAGCTTAGCTTTTGCCCCACCTTCACTTGGCCCCTTGTAAGCTCCCTATACAACAGCCAGGGCACAAAATGCCAGGCCCACGTGACAGATGAAAAGAGTGAGGTTTGGAGACACAGAGCATGTAGAGGAAGAAGCAGGCCAAGAGTGGGCCAGGACCGGGTCTCCGGGGCCACAGACAGGAGTGGAGGCCGGCTGGGGAGGGAAAGTATGGAACAGGGGAGGGGTGGCGGGAGCGGACCCTGCCTCCTGCCTTGCCCATCCACGTGGGATCTGGGCTTAGCCACCACCTCCTGGACTCAGGGCCTGCCTCGGCTCCCAGGCTGGGTGGCAAATAGATGATGGTAATTGAGCTGGATTTCATTTTGTCAGCAAAGTGGTGCTTTCTGAAGCATCTGTCAGGTGCAAATCACAGAATGCAAAACACCGAGTGAGGCAGGGAAGCTGGGGCTGCTCCGTACTTTGTTGCCGTGGCCACAGCTCCCGGCAGCCGCTGGCGGCTCTCAGTGGCTTCTCCTGCCCCCTGTTCAGCGGGGCTCGGGAAAAACAAACATGGGTCTGGGGCTTTCCTGACCCAAGAAGAGCATGGGGGCTGTTTAGTGGTGGACACGTAGCCCACGGGGTTCAGGGACATTGATGGCCAGGGCTCAGGGCAAGGACCTGCCATCAGCAGGGCCTGAGGGGGTGGGTCAGTGGCTCACTCAGAAGCAGAACTGTCCCTGGAGCTGGGCTGGAGGGAGGAAGCAGCTGTTGGTCACCATATACAGCGGGGGGACTGAAATATTCTTTCTGCGGCTGGGAGGAAAGGTGAAGGTCCTGTGCCTGGGAGGGCCCAGGCTGAGGCTACGGGCACCTGCGGTGATGCTAATCCTGAGAGTCCCCTGGGTGCTCGGATTTAGGGATCTGCTCCCAGCCTCAAGGTTGGGGATGAGGGTCAGGAGGGACAGAGGGGTCTGTGTGGCAAGGGAGGCCCCCCAGTGGGTGACAGCCCTGCCCGCCAAGGGCAGGACCACAAGACTGAGCTTCCTCACGTGTCGTCCTTTGAGCCAAGTACCCCGTGGGGAGGTTTGGACCAGGCTTGCCTCAGTGCTTCTGCCTGGAACCTCGAGGCAGGCAGCCCAGGGACCTCCTGAGCTCAGACCACACCCAGTGGCAACCTTCTTAACTGCAGCCCTGACCACATCCCTCTCTGCTTAAAACCACTCAATGCCCATTCAATGCACGCTCAATGCCCAAGCTCCTGAGCACAGCCTGCAGCCCCCCCACCCGCAGCCCCCGGCCTCTGCAGGACTCTGCGCCCTTTCCACCTGCTGTAGTCCCCACTCCCCAGAGCCTGCTGCCTCTCCACCTGCCCCTCTCCCTGGCTCTGCCTGCTCACCCCACCTTTCCCTCAGCTCTCAGCCTCTCCACAGGCCCTCCCACCACCCAGCTGGGCCTTCACACCCCTGTGCCCTGGCCTCCTCGAGCCCCCACGGGGGAGATGTCAGCTTCCCGCGCTTCATCAGGAGGGGCCTCGTGAGCCTCTTCAAAATGCTGCCGAGCACCGGGAAGCATGGGGAAATGGCACAGCTGCCCTTGGGAAGCCCTCCGGCTCTCTGCACAGTGCTGGGTGTGCACAAGGCCCTGGAAATAGCCCTGGAATGGTGGGGGGGAAGGGACCTGCCCAGGGTCCTGAGCAGAGGACAGAAGCTGCAGTGTCCTGGCTCTGGGAGCCGGGGCTGCTGAGTGGCACTTTCCCAAGGGCAGGCCAGAGGCTAGGAGTCTGGGGCACCGGTGCTGCGGGCCCTGCTGTCAGGCCCGCCTGCCTGCCTTCGTACTCAGTACATAGGGGGCACCTCACTATGCAGGGCTGGCACCGGACACTGGGTCCTGCCTAGACCCCGCCCCAGGGGGCCTACTGATACTTTCTCTGCCGCAGAGCCTCAGCTGGGCCAGCGCTATGACTGCTGACCAGGAATGCTGGTGCCCCCTGGCCAGGGCGGTAGAAAGAGTCAGGGCTGGCAAGTCAGGAGGCAGGTGCTCATCCTGGCTTCATGGCTGCCCCTCTACACAGCCCCAGACCAATGCCCCACCCTCTCTGCACCCCAGTACCCCTTCTATAAAGGGGTAGCAAGAATCTAGCAGCCTCTGCCCTAAGACCAGCACTTCCAGCCATCTCAGGGGGCCCGGCTCAGCTCCTCCACCCCTGCACACCATGTCCAAGGGGCTGAGGCTGCCAGCCTGTCCCATTTCTTGGGAGGTGGAGTCACTCCAGAGGGCTCAGCTTGGTCCTGCAGAAGCTGCCATGGCTGAGTGCACTCCAGGCCTGCAGGAAGTAGCCTGGAACCTCCTTTCTGGGGCTTAGTCAGTGCTTTCAAAATTAGGGTCCTAAGTACTCTTGCCTTGAAAGGGTGACCAGGGTCCAGGTGCTTCTGAAGCTCCTCCCACCCCTCAGTGTTTACATTTAGAGGGGAGTTCCTGCTCAAAACAAGTCTTCAGTCAGGAGGAGGAGTTGCCTTCCTGGCCTTTCTGAGCCTTCTGTCTGCTTCTTCTTAGGTCACTAGAAGGAATTCCTCTTGTCAGATTCCACTGGAAAATGAGGGCCCCTTTGCTGGACAGAGGCCCCATCCATATGGCCGGGGAGCAGCCCCAATCCCCTGGGCCCCAGCAAAAGTTCCAAGAGATTGTGTGAGCCAGAGATTAGCCAAGGAGGTTCTCCCAAGGGAAAAGATGCCTTTCAAGGTGGCTCCTACAGTCAGAGGCTGCTAGCCTGGGCCTTCCCAAATTCTTCTCGACACACACAGACAGCCCTTCTCCTTCAGCCATATGCTCCCCATTTTTCCTGGAGCTGCCCATCCATCAGACAGGAATGCCACCTCCAGGCTGGGTGGGAGGAATTAGGCTTTATGAACTCCAGGGGGTGGAAACCAGTCCGGAGCCAGCCTCCAATGCTGAACTGGAGGGAACTGTGAATGCCTGCTCAAAAATCTGCAGTGCATCAGAAAATTATGTAAAACTACAACAAACTCCCCATAAATCTAATAACACTCAGCTCTCTGGTGTCTTGGGCTGGGGGAAGCAGAGCCGCACACAATTCCTTGGCTCGGGCGTGCGTGTGCACGGCTCTGACAGAAACACAGCCCGAGAAACAGCCCTGGAAATGCGGCTGCAGGAGAAGGCGCAGATGACGATCAGGCTTGGAACACACAGAGGGCACCAGCTAAGTGTGTGTGTCCGGGGACAGCAGAGGTGTGCTGAGAGCCAAGAAGACCTCAGATTTGATTCCAGAATCAGGCGGGTCACCCAACACTGGAGCCAAACACATTAGCTTCATCCCATTTTCACATAAATCGCGTGCCTTCGAAGACTTCACAGTTTGATTTCCTGATGTTTCCAAATTTCCCTGCCCGCCAGCGGAGTTGTCAGCGGTTTAATCACAATGTCGTGCTCCCCAGGGCTGAAGGGAGATGGGTCTGCAGCCTTCACCTCACCTGCTGTGAGATGGGGGCTCCGTGACCTTATGCCCTGGGAATCTCACCAGGCTGATTCAGAGAATCCCATCCTGGTCCTTGCAGCTGTGCCCTTTGGTCAGAAGGGGGCTTCCCTTCCACCTGCAATCTGAGGAATGCTTCCTTCAGATGAAAAAAAACACACACAGAAATAAATGAAGATAGCTGATAGGAATTCCCAGGACATTCCCAGAGATCTTTCCTGTCTTTTGGAATCCCTTCTGTAATCATGAGACTATGGGTCCTGCTGCTATGAGGAAGACCAAAATAACAGTGGCTTCAATGAAAGGGAAGCTCCTTTGGCTTTCATGTCACAGTTCAGGGTTGATGTGGCAGCCCCAGGGTCAGGGATCGGCCACCCTGGCTCCCTCCGGGTGGCTGCTCCCCATTCCTAGGGCTTTGCCTTCTTTTACATGGTCCAAAATGGCTACTCCAGCTCCTGCCATTGCAACTGCATTCCAACCAGTGGAAAGAGGAGAAAATAAGGTGGAGGGTGAGTTCCTTCCCTTTAAGCCCACAACTTGCATACATCATTTCATCTCTGGTGTCGTTGGACAGAATTTTGTCATATGGTTACTCCTAGTTGCAAGAGAGTCTGGGAAGTGTCGTTTTTTGCTTTGTAGTTCCATCCTAACGTACTTTGGGGAAAGAGGTTCTGCATGTGAATCATTCAGGGCTGAGTAGAGCTGTGCTTAGCCTGGGGTGCCCCTGTGGGCTTCAGCTTTCTGGCTTATAGTGCACAGAATTGCCCATCTCAGTCCAAGGCCTGGCAATGACTGTCTGAGGCGCCGTCTGAGGCCTGGAGTTTACAGTACGCAAGTGATCTAAAGCTTAGTATGTCTCATCCTGGAAATTCCAGGGTCTGTTCCAATGCAGCTGGTCTGAGAGAGCACCAGATTTGCACCCAGTAAACCCCCATAGTGTGAGTGAGGAGCTGAAGGGGGAGTCCTCTCCTCCCAGATTAGCCACTGAGAGATGACTTTGAGTGGAGTCGACTGCTCTGCCAGGCAGGCTCTGTGCTTCTGTCCTGCCAAGCTGGCAGGAAACTTGCTCAGTGATCTTGGGCTGCTCAGAGCCACAGTGGTTCTAAACTGCCATGCCCCAAACCTTGCACCCTTGGCTCCACTGGAACCTACAGAAAGCCAGATGGAACCGTTTCCTCGGAGAAGATCCTCTCCCTCTGAGCACCCGTGGCTTTCTTCCCTGCCCATTTCCTGGCAGCCCAGGAGGGGATGGCACGCCAGGCATTTCCCAGCAAGCTGTTGGTGAGGTTGTTCCATCCGGAGTGAGTGGCGAGGGCATGACTTCTAAGCTGTGTTCACAGCCCTTCCCGTGTGGTGATCTTGTCCCAGCTCTCCCACCTGGAGGCTCCTCTTGGAGTGCCCTGGCTGGCCAGATGGCCCTGCAGCCATGAGCAAGTCCTAGGCCTTCCTGCAGGCTTCGAAGGCCCGGAAATCAGCAGGCAGCTCCCCCAGCCGCCTCGGGGTTTAGCTCCACCCTGCCTGCCAGCCCCAGAGCTCCGCTGGCATCAGGCCAGAGTACTCAGGCCTCTGGGGCAGGTGTCCTCTGCAGCACTGGGCGGGCGGCAGGAGGGCTGGCTGTGGAATCAGCAGAGCCCCAGGGCCTACGCCCACACCACACAAGTGCTCTGTGCACCTCCATGCTTCTGCACGGGCACACGACGTATCCACAGGCACGAGTGTGTGGGGATTCAGCACCTCCACCCCCACACTTCCTCCAAAAGCAACCTCACCTCCATGGCAGGTGGTGGAGGCCATAGTAAATGTGAGGCCACAAAGGCCATGTTGAAAGTGGAGGTGGAGGCCATCCTGAATGTGGGGTGGAGGCCATAGTGAGTGCAGGTGAAGGCCCTGGTGAGTTTGGTGGGGGCCCTGGTGAATTGGGTGGAGGCCATGGTGAGTTGGGTGGAGGCCCTGGTAAGTGTGAGCGGAGGCCCCGTTGAGGTGGATGGAGGCCCTGGTGACTGCAGGTGGAGGCCATGGTGACTGTGAGGGTGGAGGCCATGGTGATTGTGAAGGTGGAGGCTATGGTGAGTTGGGTGGAGGCCCTGCCCTGGTGAGTTGGATGGAGGCCATAGTGAGTGTGGTTGGAGGCCACGGTGAGTTGGGTGGAGGCCCTGGTGAGTTGGGTGGAGGCCACGGTGAGTTGGGTGGAGGCCCTGGTAAGTTGGATGGAGGCCATAGTGAGTGTGGTTGGAGGCCCTGGTGAGTTGGGTGGAGGCCCTGGTGAGTGTGACTGGAGGCCCTGTTGAGGCGGATGGAGGCCCTGGTGACTGAGGGTGGAGGCCATGGTGACTGTGAGGGTGAGGGCCCTGGTGAGTGGTTGGAGGCCATGGTAACTGTGAAGGTGGAGGCTGTGGTGAGTTGGGTGGAGGCCCTGGTGAGTTGGGTGGAGGCTCTGGTGGGTTGGGAGGAGGTCCTGGTGAGTGTGAGCAGAGGCCCTGGTGAGGTAGAGGCCCTGGTGACTGAGGGTGGAGGCCATGGTGACTGTGAGGGTGAAAGTCATGGTGAGTTGGGTAGAGGCCATGGTGACTGTGAGGGTGGAGGCCATGGTGAGTGGGGTGGAGGCCACAGTGAGTTGGAATGGAGGCCCTAGTGAGTGTGAATGGAGGCCCTGTTGAGTTGGGTGGAGGCCCTGGCAAGTGTGGGCTTGCTTGTGCTGTCATGGCCCCCACAGTCCATCTCCCCTAACACACTGGTCCTCACCTGCAGCCTGTTGGTTTTCCAGGGGCCAGGGTGTCAGTCCTGCCAGCCTTCAGCATCTGTAAGGCAGTGCTGCCGAGACACCACACCGTTTCCAGTACCGGGCCTCGGATGGGGTGGCTGCAAACGGGCCCCTCATTGCTGAGCAGTGGCTGCAGTGGCAGAGAAATCTGCTCAGAGCGGCTGCTTAGCCAGCACCTGCTCTCCAGGGACCCAGCTCAGGCTGGGAGAGGTCGCAGAGCCCAGGATCCCCAGACCCCCAGCCTCCCTCCCTCTGTTCCGGAGGCCCTCGCTGTTGCCAGTACCCAAGCCTGGGGTTGTATGTTCAGTGCGCCTTTTGTTTTCTCATAATTTTTCAGACAAAGACCAAAGATCCAGAAGGGGGGGGGGCTGTGTTTATTTGTTTTGTTTTTTGCTTAGATTGTAATCCTGGTGATTATAGAATATCAAGAAGGAAAATCAACAAAGCCTTCCTTCCTGGGGCTCGCGGAGCCGTTCCTGGTCGACCAGCGCCACCTGGTGGCCAGTGGCAGCGGCCCCGCTCGGAGATGGGAGCCCCAGGGAAGCCTGACTCCCCGGTCCAGGCCACCTGGAGCTTGCAGGCGGGGGCCTGTCCCACCCGCGCCTCTGGACCTGGTGTCTGAGATGTGCTAGGAGGCTGTTTGGGGACCTGCTCTGTAATTCTGGAGTGGTGGGGCTTGGGGTGGGGCTGGAACTAGCAGCAGGAGACCCTAGGGAGAGGTGCCTGTGCCCACCTTTTTTCCTCTCCAGCTCAGTCGATCCTGATCCAGTATCACCTGGCTGGCTGGGGACGGCGGGCTGGGAGCTCCGAGCCTGACTAGGAACAGGTATCCCTAAGGCTCAGCCAGAGCCCATCGAGGAAGGACAGCAGCCAGCCTAAAAGTCCGGACGTAGTGGCTTACGCCTGTAATCCCAGCACTCTGGGTGGCCGAGGCAGGAGGGTTACTTGAGCCCAGGAGTTCAAGATCAGCCTGGGCAACATGGCGAGACCCTGTCTCTACAAAAAATAGAAAAATTAGCCAGATGTGGTGGTGCACACCAGTAGCCCCAGCTACTTGGGAGGCTGAGGTGGAAGGATCACTTGAACCTAGGGAGTTCAGGGCTGCAGTGAGCTGAGATGGCGCCACTGCACTCCAGCCTGGGTGACAGAGCAAGACCTTGTCTAAAGAAAAGAAGAGAGAGAAGAGAAGAGGGCTGGACATGGTGGCTGACACCTTTAATCCCAGCACTTCGGGAGGCTGAGGCAGGTAGATCACCTGAGGTCAGGAGTTTGAGACCAGCCTGACCATGTGGTGAAACCTGTTTCTACTAAAAATACAAAAATTATCTGGGCATGGTGGCAGGTGCCTGTAATCACAACTACTTGGTAGGCTGAGGCAGGAGAATCACTTGAACCCAGTAGGTGGAGGTTGCAGTGAGCCAAGATCGTGCCATTGTGCTCCAGCCTGGGCAACAGAGTGAGACTCCACCTCAAAAAAAAAAAAAAGAGAGAGAGAAGGGAAGAGAGCTGCAAAAACTTTTCCCCCATGGAGCTACAGGTGTGGGCACAGTAAGGAGTGGGGGGATCAGCCCCGGGTGGGAGAGAGAGGGGGTGTTGTTAGAGGGACTCTTTCTGGCCAGCAGTGTTCACTTAGAGGCGTGTTCCAGGGTCACTACCTCTGAGCAGAGACTTCTGGGATAGGAGCAAATGGCTGAATGTCAGGAGTGAGCTCGGGCCCCCCAGGCCACCCAGTTCTGGGGCTCAGAGGGAGCCGAGCCGGCTGCAGTCTTACCCTGGAATCCACCAAGGTCCCAGAAAGCCTGAGCAGAGACAATGGTTCCCCCTCAGAACCACCTGGGAGGGGCTGAAAGGCAGGCCCTTCCCCAGACATTCTGACTCCCTGGGTCTGGAGTGGGCTCCAGACACTGAGTTTTTTATGAAGCTAGGTTCTTGTGCTGGGGTCCCCAGGACCATACTTTTTAAGGAACCCCGGCCTATAGCAGCCTCTGGCGAGAGGCCAGCCAAGAGCAGGACCAGCACCTCTTTGGGCCACAGGCCTCCTTTCTCACATCCAGGTGCGAGGAGGGCAGGCGTTGGAGGCCACACGGAGCTTAGTGTAGCCACACTCCCAGAGGAAGCCAGTCCCCAGCATGCACTAAGTACTGGGTGTACCATTTCTGGATGTTCCAGGACTGTGTGAGGACTTTCCGTAGACTCTGGGTTAAGAAATACGACTCTAGAAGTTTCCTTGTTTTGCAGCTGAGGTGTTGGTGCCGGCACATGGTGGAGCCTTGCCAGACACTTGTTGACTTGCACTTGTGAGAAACCCTGGAGTTGCATAAGAGGAAGCACATCTGTGTCCCCACGGCAGCCCAGACAGCAGCTCGGTCCCTGAGAGCAGAGGCCCGGCTCCCTGCCTGCATCTGCGGGGCCTGGGAGTCATGGGGGAGGCAGCGATAGCGCTGGGGGTTCCTGGAGAGGATTTCCTCTGCCTTTTACCCTTCCCTTTGGGAAGGAGCTGCTGCCATGAGGAGCAGGCAGGGCAGGTTCCTGGAATCTCCAGGTGGGTCCCAGCCCTCTTCCTGGCTCCTGCCAGAATGCCTGCAGCCCCCTTCCAACCTGGCATGGAGGACAGCAGAGGGTGGGCACGGAGAGGCTGACTTGAGTGTGGGGCTTCCTTCCTACTTTGCTCCAGGATCCAGGTTTGTTTTGCAAATGTTGGTTTCTCACTCCAGCTAGTTTTATGGAGCCGATCCGGCCCCCAAGGAGGACTGGAAGAGAAATACTGCTTTTGATTTCCTGTCTCTCCTGGCGTCTTGCTGCCCAGGGCCGCTTCAAGGCCGCATAGCTGCTTCCGTGACAGGAGATCCCCCTTTTGTGGAGTGCGCCCCTGTGCTGGTGTTGGGGATACAGGACCCCACCGACGTCCTGGGCCCTGACTGCTATGCAGAGCTGATGCTGAGCCCTGCTAGGTGCCAGGGAGTGGTTCTGTCAAAGTTAGAATTCATTGCCAACATTCAAATCTCCAGATTTTCAGCCTCTCTTTAAAAATGGAAGGCTCCAGGCCAGGTAGTTGGGAGCTCAGAGGCGGCTGCTCTGTGGACCGAGCCTGGCTTCCTGCGGCGCTACCTCCCCACACACCAGGAGGCACCTGAGTCCAGGAGGCCCTAGAGCAGTCTTACCAGGAGCAAGATGGAAGCATCCAGAATCCCACTTGGTCCCCCACCCCTCTTTCCAAGTGGCCTGGAGGGGCAGATAACCCTGAGGCTCTGACGCTGCCAGGCGGCCGGCACTCCTAGCGCACTCACACTTCACCCACGGTGCAAAGAATTCCCAGCCTGGTAACAATGCCGCTTCGCACATCAGGAGAAGATTCCGAGAGCCTCAGGATGGCTCTAAAGTGCCACTTTGTATGTCACTGAGCACCTTGGAGATTTCCTGTGAGGCCAGTTACAGGGGTAAAGGACATGCCACCCCACACGCTCTGTATTTCCTGATGATGGAGTCACTGGCCGGGCTGGAATGGCGCCTCTCCCTACCCCTCATTGACAATGTCTGTCCCACTTGCAAGAAGAAAGAATACGGGAAGGTCAAGCTCTCAACACCCTGGCAGTCTGCTGGACCCTCCACCCCCGCCTTTTCCAGAGGACGTGTGATGTTGGGACGAAGCCCATGCCCCCTGGCAGAGGGAGGACTGTGATGCCCCAACAGCGAGCACCAGAAATGACAGGCTCACTGGGGACACGGCAGATAGGTCCCCGCATGTGCACACGGTGGGCGCACACTCCATCCCGTCCCCCCTCAGCCTCTGCGCTCCTCGAAATGAGATTTCTGAAAATTTTGTCCTCAGGACCAATAGGCGAATGAGAGTTGAGTGGTGAGATCGGGAAATTGAATAGTATGTGGGTGTCTGGATATGAGAAGTTAAATCTAATGAAAATTTCATCCAGTTGAACCAAGAAATCAGAAACAGGGCCTTTATTCCTGTCAACAAGAATACAGTGAAAATTAAACCAACCCGGCTGCCATTTCCCATTGACCTTGTCGCCATGGAGACAGCCTTCTAGTGTCAACAACACCGAGGACTCCGAAGGGGCCTCATTCACTCCAGGAGAGGCACGTGGCCGCTCCCTCTCCCGTCCGCCTCCGGCACGTGGTTCATAAGGAGAGCAGCCACACGTCCAGGGTTGCTGGAGAGCAACCCAGCCTATACCAGCACCTGGACAAATGACCACAGCACCCTTTGTTGGCTCCCAAGGTGACCTGGCTTGACTAGTTAAATGGCCACCCTCTTTCTGGGTCTTTCTTGGGTGGCAGGGTACCTAGGTGGGTGGACTGGACGAGCCCAGATGGAGGAGGAGGACAGGGCCCCCCACAGCCCTCCAGAAAAGGACACTGCCCCTCGTCCTTGCCACCTGCTCATCACAGCACCCAGAAATCTCTTCTCATGCAAAGGAAGGCCAAGCGTCGATTCCAGCAGGTGCCGCCTGTACAGTTACCATGGTGACCAAAGCTCCAGGTGGCCTTGCCCTGTCATCCTTCCAAGAGTTACTGCCCCACAGAGCAGAGGGGACAGGTAGCTGGTTCTCACCCGTTCCAGGAGCCACCAGGGGCTGAGGCAGACTTCTGGAGTTCTCTCTGTCTCCTCGTCCAATTCCTTTCCAAAGTCTTCCAGGCAGGACTGCGGAGCAGAGAGCTTCCCCTCTTGTGAGGCTTTCCACCCTGGCCTGGGCAGATCTCCTGTGGATGCCATCACATCAGAATCCAGGGGTGGGGCCACCTACCTGGATAGGGCCCAGTGGCATACAGTCAGGTGAACTGGCAAGAGGCAACCACTTTCCAGATGAAGAAACTAAGATCCAGAGGAAACAAAGATCTTGTTCTAAGATCACACAGTGCATGAGGGAAACAGCTGCGGCCACATGGGGGCCCCGACCCCAGGCCAGCACGGTGCTGCCACCCGGTCTCCCACTGTTTCTAAATTCTCGCCTCTTCTTCCCACATAGCCAGCACAGGGCATCGCACTTGGAGGTTTTCCCTGCCCTTTGGGAAAGCCCCACCACTGCATGGGACAGCCATGTCAGGAATGAAAGACAGCCAAGACGAAGCTGCCCCTCAGCCCCCTGCCATCCCTCAGGGGGTCCCCTCCCACCCCCACCATACCCCAAATGAGGAGGCCCTGTCGTGGAGCCAAGCATTGCCCCCACACATCCTGTACCGTCTGGAATGAACCCTTCTTAGCTTCTTTGGGTTTTTATAGAAATTCCCCCCAAATGCACCTCTAACCAGGCACAAAGCCTGCTGCCGTGACAAGACCAGCACATGCCTCAGGGAAGCCCCAGCTCCCAGGCTTGGATGCAGCGTTGCTGAGATGTCCTCCTTGCAGCAGCCTCCCAGGTTTTCTTCCCCCTTCCTCTCCTGCTTGCTCTGATTTTCCAAGAGCAAGTCCCCATCAGGCCCTGCCTCCCAGTTCCTCCCGTGGGAGGCTCAAGGACGAGTTTCTTCTGCCCTGGTCTGGGTGGCTTGGCCAGATGAGTGACAGCTGACCTGACCCCGAAGTGAGGAAATCCCAAGTGGGGAGCCAGGGACTCGGGAGCTTCTGCCCACTAAGGCCCCAGCCAGCAAGGCCTGGCCCCTCTGAGACAGCCCAGCATCTGCGAAGTCAGGGAGGGCAGGAGACGAAGCTGGGCATCAGCTTGGGATGACAGCATGTGGTCCAGCACCAGGACCCTGAGTTTCCTGCACAGTCACCAGCCCCTGGTGAAGGGGCCGAGGGAAACCAGACTTCCCTCCAGGAAGTGAAGTGAGTCTTGCTGCTCACGGCCAGCACCCTCTACCTCCAGATGGGGTCGCTTTTCTCCTCTGCCCACCACCGAGCTGCTGTCCAGTCTTCCTCACCTCCTCCTAGGAGCTGGTCCTGGCAGAGCTGAAAGCCAGGCAGGTCGCCCAGTGGAAAGAGCTTGAATCTGCAGCCCCTCCTCACCCCCTACGCACCTGCTGTGTGACCTTGGGCAAGTTACATAACTTCTCTGAGTCTCGGTTTTGGCATTAATAAAATGGGATAATATATTCTGCCTCAAGGGATCACTGGGAGGTTAAAGATGTCATCTCTAGACCTGAGCTTCTCAAACTTGAGTGTGCCTCGAAGGCCTATTAGGACGTGGATGCTGGGCCCCAAACCCCAGCGTTTCTAATTCTGCAGGTTGGGGCGGGGCCTGAGAATGTGCGTTTCTAACAAGTGTCAGGTGATTCTAGTGCTGCGGGGGCCACACTTTGAGAACCACTGCTCCACAGGAGAGTGTCTGGCCCCGTGCCCTGCCCACAGCAGAGGCTCAGTGGAGTACATAGTATTGTTATTATTTTTTTCCCCTTCTTTTTTTGAGACAGGGCCTCACTCTGTCACCCAGGCTGGAGTGCAGTGGCCCGATCACAGCTCACTGTAGCCTCGACCTCCCTGGGCTCAGGTGATCCTCCTGCCTCCGCCTCCCATGTAGCTGGGATTACAGGTGCCCACCACCACACCAGACTAATGTTTTTATTTTTTGTAGAGACTGGGTCTCGCCATTTTGCCAAGGCTGGTCTCAAACTCCTGGGCTCAAGTGATCCACCCTCCCCAGCCTCCCAAAGTGCTGGCATGAGCCACCACACCTGGCCTTGTTCTTTTTTTCTTTTTGGAGTCAACATATGAAGATGCTCACATACTGCCTGGCATGGAGGATATGTCCAATAACTATCATTGTTTTTGTTGTTATTACTGAGACATGAGCTCTGCTTATAGCTCACTGAGGGAAATGATGAACCAATTAAAAAAAAAAGTGCTAGGGAGGGCATGATTGAGAAATTGGCCATTCACTCATTCACTCTACCAGCCTTTATTAAGCATCTACTATGTGCCAGGCATTGTTCTGAGGATGGGAGATGAGCAGTGAACAGCTTGGCAAGGCCTGCCCTCAGGATCCAAACTCCAGCTCCTAGGGACAGGCATGAGCAGCCAGGAAGGCTATTGTGATTTCTATACCCATAGTTCTCAAACTGGAGCATGCATTTGAATTCCCACGAGGGCCCCTTAGGACACAGGTGCTGGGCCCCATCCTGAGTCTGTGATTCGGTGGGTTTGGGGAGGGCCTGAGAATGAGCCAGAGGCGGGGGCTTGAGCTGGGCTGTGCTGGAAAGAAGGGTGGCATTTAAAGTGGTAGAAGGGCTAGGCGTGGTGGCTCACACCTGTAATCCCTGCACTTCAGGAGGCCGAGGTGGGTGTATCACTTGAGGTCAGGAGTTCAAGACCAGCCTGACCACCATGCTGAAACCCTGTCTCTACTAAAAATACAAAACTTAGCCAGGCGTGGTGGCGCACACCTGTAGTCCAGCTACTCAGGAGGCTGAGGCATGAGAATTGCTTGAACCCAAGGGTCGGAGGTTGCAGTGAGCTCAGATTGCACCACTGCACTCCAGCCTGGGTGACAGAGTGAGACCCTGTCTCAAAAAATAAATAAATAAATATATTAAAAATAAAGTGGTAGAGGAGAGAGGCATTCTGGAAAGCCCCTGATGTCAGAACCCCTTGAACTGTACACACACACACCCCTATACATACACACACCTATACACACATACACTCCTATACACACAAACACACCCATCTATACACACACCGGCACACACCTATACACACACACCTATACATACACACAGCTATACACACACACTCCTATACACACAAACACACCCATCTATACACACACAAGCACACACCTATACACACACACCTATACACACACTCCATGCACACAAACACCCCTATACACACAAACACACCCACCTATACACACACCCACACACCTATACACACACATATACAAACACACCCACCTAAACACACACCTATACCCACACACCTATACACACACCCACACACACCACACACACCCCTATACACACGAACACACCCACCTGTACACATACCCACCTATACACACACATCTATACACACAAATACATCTATACACCCACAAACACACCCATCTATACACACACAAGCACACACCTATACACACACAAACACACCCACCTATACACACACACCTATACACACACCCACACACACCTATACACACACCCCTATATACACAAACACACCCACCTATACACACACCTATACAAACACACCCACCTATACACACACACCCACCTATACACACACACCTATACACACACCTATACACACACCTCTATACACACAAACCCACCTATACACACACCTATACACACCCACACACACCTATACACAAACACACACCCCTATACACACAAACACACCCATCTATACACACACACACCTATACACACACACCTATACACACAGACCCACCTATACACACCGTTATACACACACACACCTATACACACACACCGTTATACACACCTATACACACAAACCCACCTATACACACACCCTTAAACAAACACACCCACCTATACACACACACGTATGCACACAAATACACCCACCTATACACACACACCTATCCACATACACAACCTATACACACATACCTATACACAAACACACCCACCTATACAAACACACACCTATACAACACACATACACACACCTATGTACACACCCACACACATACACACTGATATGCACACCTATACACACAAACACACCCACCTACACACACAAACACCCCTATACACACACCTATACACACCCACACACCTATACACACACCTATACACACACTACACACCCACACACCTATGCACACACACTGATACACACCTATACACACACACCTATACACACATCTATATACACATACACCGATACACCCACACCTATACACACACCTATATGTACAAACACCTATACACGCGCACCTGTACACACACACGTGTGCAGTGCATAGAGCAGGGTTGGTGTGGACCTTTAGCCACAGAGCCTGAGGATGGGGGAGGCCTGAGCCCCCATGCGGGGTGTGTTATTTAGCCTGCTGTGGTTTGAATGTTTTCCTCCGAAACTCATGTTGAAATTGAATTCCCAGTGCAACTGTGTCTGGAGGTGGGGCCCCATGGGAGGGATTAAACTGCTTTACTTAGGGTTTCTGGGAATGGATTCTTTTTCTTCGCCCTTCCACCATGCAATGACCTAGCAAGAAGGCCCTCACCAGGCACTGGCAGCTTGATATTGGACTTCCCAGCCTCCAAAACTATAAGCCAATACACTTGTGTTCTTTATGAATTTCCCAGTCTGTGGTATTCTGTTGTAGCAGCACAAAAAAGACGAAGACTAAAACACTGCCCTCACAGTGTGCCACAGACTGGCGGCTTAAACAACAGAAATTGATCGTCTCACAGTCTGCAGGCTGGAAGTCCAAGATTAAGGGGACATTGGGGTTGGTTTCTGGTAGGGCCTCTCTTCCTGGGTTGCAGACAGCCACCTTCTCACTGCTTCCTCATATAACCATCTATCTAGGCATAGGCACTCCTGGTGTCTCCTCCTCTACTTATAAGGACACCAGTCCTGCTGGGATAGGGTCCCACCCATGTGACCTCACTTAACCGTAATTACCTCCTTAAAAGTCTGTTTCCAAATACAGTCACATTGGTGGTTAGGGCTTCAACCTATGGATTTGGTGGGGGACACAATTCAGTTCATGACAGAGGAAAATAGGACGGCCCTACCGTGGCTCAGGCTTAGCCTGTGTAGCTGAAGCTCTCCGCCGCTTCCCAAGGGCATGGGATGGAGCAGCTGCAACCCAAGAGGCTCTCGGCTGGCAGCCTGCCCCATGTGGGGTGAAGCCCCCACGCCTTCCCCCAGCCCTCTCTTCTAGATCTCAATTACTCTTTTCCCAGCGGTTGGCCGCCTCTTGGGTAAATTGTTCATCAGAAGATGCTCTCCAAAGCATGGGCCACACGCTGTTGTCATTGATTTCATTTTGATTATTCATATTAGTGGAAGCGCTGCTGCCTTGCCAGGGGCCATAATTAGGGTAAACATCTTGTACGAGGGCTAGGTCAGCATTGGAGTGGGCCCTGGGTTCCTGCGACGGCCACTCCCAGCCTCGGCTCTGCAAGCCGATCCTCACACAGGCCGCGCTGCAGGCAGCCCTGTCCGCGAGAATGCAGTCCCCGGCCTGTGTTTCACGGGGCAGCCGCAGGGCTTCTCGGGTAGCTGTAGGAGGACACCTTTCGAGGAGCCAGCATCCTGCTTCCCAGTGGCCAGTGTGACCATCCTGCCTGCCCCTGTCTTGTGGAGCCCCATGCTGGGGTCTGGCTTATCCCACCCCATGCCAGCCCTTTCTTCTCTCTGGTACTTCCCCTGACCCAGCCTTCCTAGGGATACAGGTCTCTCTCCACCACCTGAGCAGACCAGGGACCACCACCAAGGCTCCAACTATGGGGAGCTGCAGAGAGGGTCCCTCTGTCTGGGATTCAGCTCAGGCCATTCTGCCTGAGAACGGGGAGTCAGGTACCGCCCGGTGAGGTACAGTGAGCAGGAGGGGACAGATGTGACCCAGAGCCACCAGGACATTACCTTTCTGGGAATTCCTCTTTCTGTGCCTCCTCCCTTACAAGACATGTCATGACCTTACATGTCATGGGAGGTCACGTGATCAAGTGTACTTTTAACGCGGTTTCCCTTTTGCTGCTTTAAAAAGGGGAAGGGGCCGAGGGGGCGGCCGGCATGCGTGGCTATTAACCTTCCTTTCATAAAGCGCTTTTTCCCTATAGAAATCTCCCTTCCCACTGATTCATTCCGTGTTGGGAAGCAGAGCATGACATGTTAAAAGCCGTCTTGATACTATTTGATATTCAGTGCTAACAACTCACCACCTCAGAGGAGGGGCTTTTCTCCACCCACCCACCCCCAACACCAGAGCAAGGAGGGAGACAATCTGCATATTGGATGTGCCAAGACAGTAGGTAATTTGCATTAAGCATCTAGAAACTCTCTGCTTGCAATCTGTCACCCTTCACTGGGTCTTCATTTTATAACCTTCACAACATAAGGAGGAGAACAAGAGGCAGAGAGAATGCGGCTGCCGCACCCCCATCAGGACTGGAGGAGAAACCTGGCCTGATCGGCGGTTGTCAGAGCAGAGGGGACCCTGATCTGAAATGCCAGGAGACTCTGCCAGCCAGGGGATTCAAAAGCCTCACTGTGCCAAGACCCAAGACCCTCAAGTGGGGTGTAGCCTGAAGGCCGAAGCCAGAGGTGGGGCTGCCCTGAAAACAGCTCATCTCCACAGACAGCCAAGTTCAAATTCAGCAGGGATCTTCCCAGAGAACATGTGGCCTGGCTTGGCAAGGGGCACCTGCTCCGAGTTCCCACAGGGAGAGGCTCCCGTGATGAGCTCTGCAGGGCTTTCTGCTCTTGGACTTGCAGTTCCCTGCTGAGTTTAAGCTTAGGACAGAGCTGCGTGTTCTCCCATCCTAACAGCATGTGAGACAGAGCTGCGTGTTCTCCCATCCTAACGGCACGTGAGGAGCCTCTGCAGAGCTCTAAAAAAAATACCTGGCACCACCCCAGACCAATGACATCAGAATCTCCTATCTAGGGCCTGGGTACAGCCAGAGTAGGGGACCCACAGCTGGAACAGACCACTGCCTGTGCAGCGGTACAGAGGAGAGTCTCAAATCCTGCCCTGTGGCCTCTGGAATGTGATTTGGGCTGTCACCTCCCCTCCTGAGCCTCTGTTTTCTTATCTGTAAAATGAGTCTGGAAATGTCTGTAAGCCAAGGAGTGCCCTGGGCATAGGGACAGGCCAGAGAGCCTGTGACCCCTCATCTTGCCTCCACCAGGTCCTTTCTGCAGTAATCTGTCTTCTGTATTGAATTTCTTGGTAGAGGTTTATTTAAGAAAAGGGTCCCATAGCTATGATGAGGTTTAAAAAGCCCCTGACCCGGGCCTTCCCTCCAGCTGTCAGGGACAAGGTGCTTAGGGGGATGCTGGAGAATTCCTCCAGGGAGCCCAAGATGAAAGCACTGTCCACCTGAAGAAAAGTGGGCTGTCAATGCTGCCACCTGCCTGCCTGCGCCTATCACATGTTCGCCGATCACAAGTTCTGAACATGGCGGCTTGGCAAACAGGTGCCACTCAGCCCCACCCATCCCCCTTAGTGACCCACCAGAATCCCAGGCCCCCTGAGAATAAGTGAAGATGCAGGAGGCAGAGGGTGCTGCAGACCTCAGAGGAGCCTCTTCAGAGTGAAGCAGAGGGGAAGGAAAGGGAGCGGACACCCGGGTCAGGCGACAGCACACACAGAGAAGGAAAGCAGCACCCTGAAGGTATTCCTGCCAGATCCCAAGCCTCACACATGGGTGATTTCCTTTGAAAAACTATCAGAGGCTGGGCGTGGTGGCTCACGCCTGTAATCCCAGCACTTTGGGAGGCCAAAGGGGGGTGGATCACAAGGTCAGGAGTTCAAGACCAGCCTGGCCAATATGGTGAAACCCCATCTCTACTAAAAATACAAAAATTAGCCAGGCCCGGTGGCAGGCGCCTGTAATCCCAGCTATTCAGGAGGCTGAGGCAGAAGAATCGCTTGAACTCAGGAGGCAGAGGTTGCAGTGAACCGAGATCGTGCCACTGCACTCCAGCCTGGGCAACAGAGCGAGACTCTGTCTCAAAAAAAAGAAGAAGAAAAGAAAAACCATCAGAGTTATAATTAAAGGGAGAGCTCTACACCCAGGAACAGAGGCTTGAGATGAATGGCCACCACAGAGATCTACCCGCAGTGTTCCGGGGCTGAGCCATCTGTGGATTTCACAGCAAGAAGCTTCCTGCCACAAGCCCAGTCCCCATAGCATCGGCCAGGCCCCAGGCAGGGCCAGCACTGCCTGCTGGGTGTCACAGTCATTACTGTCATCACCATCATCACTAGTGATGTTATGACAACAGCTACCCTTTTTTTGGGTATGCACAAAGTGCCAGGCACGTAGATCGTGTTTTCTCCTGGCCAGTTCTCCAGGCAGGAACTACTATATGCCCACTTTACAAGTGAGGAAACTGAGGCTCAGAGAGGCTAAGTGACTTGCCCAAATCCACACAGCAAGATCAAAACCTAGACTCAGACCAGGTACACACCTATAATATCAGCACTTTGGGAGGCCATGAGTTCCAAACCAGCCTGGGTAACATAGTGAGATCCTTGTCTCTACAAATAATTTTGTTTTGTTTTGTTTTGAGACAGAGTTTTGCTCTCATTCCCCAGGCTGGAGTGCAATGGTGCAATCTCGGCTCACTGCAACCTCTGCCTCCCAGACGATTCTTTTGCCTCAGCCCCCCAGGTAGCTGGGATTACAGGCATGTGCCACCACGCCCAGCTAATTTTGTATTTTTGGTAGAGACGGGTTTCACCATGTTGGTCAGGCTGGTCTCAAACTCCTGACCTCAGGTGATCCGCCCACTTTGGCCTTCCAAAGTATTAGGATTATAGGTGTGAGCCACTGCGCCTGGCCTCTACAAATAATTTTTTTTTAAATATCCAAGTGTAGTGACACATGCCTATAGTCCCAGCTACTCAGGAGGCTGAGGCGGGAGGATCACTTGAACCCACGAGGCCGAGTCTACAGTGAGTCGTGTTTATACCACAGCACTCCAGCCTGAGCAACAGAGTGACACCTGTTTCAAAAAAAATAAATAAGTAAAACTTGGACTCAAATCCATGTCTGAACCGAGCCAGCTCCTACCTGCCATGTCGACGCTCTCCTTGTCCCCCTACCTTCTAGAGCCCTTCACAGAACTGGGGCCAGTGCTGCGAGGGTTAGCGGCTGTCCCCCTGGAGCTGGTGGGAGAGGAGCTTCAGCCAAAGGAGGAAGGACATTGCTCTTGTATCGATAAAGCCACTGACCTCTCCGTATCTCGACCCTGTGCCCGGCTCCTCCGCGCCTGGATCCCCAGCACCAGCTCCAGCCCCAAAGCTGCGAATCCACTGCCTCTGAGCCTGGCCCCACTAGAGACAGCTGGATTGCTCCATGTGCCGGACTCAGGACTTAGCGACCCCTTGGCCGGGTCTGCTCCAGCTGAGAAAACTGCTCTGCTGGAAAAGTCGGTTTAGACTTCCAGCCCCCATCCTGCCAGGCAGGTGGGGAAACCCCAATCCCAACTCCAGGAACTGCAAAAGTGCAGGGAGGAAGGTTGAGCCCAGCTCCCGGGGTGGCTGTTCAGATGGCTGCCATCAGTCAGCACTGGGCACTGAGCTACCTGATGTCCAGGCCACGTGGGCCCTTCAGTCCCGTCCCCATCTCCCCTGGCCTCTCCTGCATCTGCACTCCCTTTGGGGCAAAGAAGTCTGGTGAGGGCAGGAAGCCAGAGTCTTACCCCCCAGGGTGGGGCCACCTCCCCACACACTCCTGGGAGAGGCATTGGTCCTCCCGGCTCGGTGCTTGTTGGTCCACCACCTCTATCCTGAGTCTCCACAAGAAGCTCACAGGCTGGGAAGTCCCTCAGCCTCCTGTCCACTCTCCTTCTGTCCTTGTTCCCTTTCTCTTCCATTCCAGCACCCCTGGAAGAGCCGCCTCGTGCACTCTGACTTTAGGGAAACAAAAGCAGAACTCTATGCGGTCCACTCCCTGGGCTGCACCATAGTGAGGGGGAGCTAAAGAGCTCAGAACCCCCGATGGGAGCAGGGGGTCTGGCGGGGGCAGCCTGGCCTCCCTTCCCCTCCTCCTCCCCTACTCATCAATTCGCCCCAGGAGCCAGCTCCCCAGCAGTGAGAGGGCTGCCCTCAGGGAGGGCCTGGGTCCTACCCCTTGGCCCCACCCAGGTCCCCTCTGCACCCACGGGCTCTGACAGCCCCCCTGCCTCTCTCTTCACAGTCCATGGCATCAAGTGGACCTGCAGCAATGGGAACAGCAGCTCAGGCTTCTCGGTGGAACAGCTGGTGCAGCAGATCCTCGACAGCCACCAGACCAAGCCCCAGCCGCGGACCCACAACTGCCTCTGCACCGGCAGCCTGGGTGAGCCGGGGCTCCCGGGGCAGGCGGGCGCCACGGGGACAGAGGGGCCCTACCAGGCAGCCGTCATGGCTGTCCTCTGTGGGAGTAGCCATGACATCTAGTGAGGGAGGAGGGGGACAGTCAGGGACTGGGCGACACCACCGCACCCAGCACAGACACAAGGCAGGCCTTCCGCCTCGTCCTGCCCTGCAACTGGCTGGCAGTCCGCTCTGGGCAGGAGGGAGCAGTGTCCAGAGGGACAGCTTCCTCCGTGGGGCAAGAACTGGGGGCAGCAGAGTTGGGGAAGCGAGGAGCTCTGGGGCTCGGGGCCTCTCTGTTCAGGCCCACACTCTTGGGCATCCTCTGCCAGAGGGCACTGGGGTCTTGAGGGAGACGTGCCCTGCGTCAGTGACACCACGCAGGCGCAACCTCTTTCTTTAACCTCTGTCTCCTCCAAGAACATGAAGCGTCCCGCGCTCTCCTTCCTAATGTGTCTGTTTTTCTGATAATGGTATTTGCTCTTTGAAATGTGTGTTCTCCACTCCCCAGGCTGACTTAATTAGATAGTCCCATTAGAGGGTCGTGTCACTTCTCTACGCAGTCTTGGTGCATTGAGGAGTCTTGGTGGTGAGGCCATAACAGGATCAGGGAGAATTTGCCCTTTCATCAAAAGTAAAGTGACCCTTATCAGATGAAATGAAAATGGTGAAAATATCCAATGGGAGGGAGAGAAAAGCCGTCCTGGCTGCCGGGGCTGGAGGAGCTGCCAGGGAGGCTTTGCCAAGCTCAGAAACGTTCGGCTCCTGAGGCTTGTACGTCTGAAATGAGGAGCAAGGGCTCTGTCCCTACTTAGGACCTAGAAGGATTTTTGTACCCCAGAGAGCTGAGGGTAGGCCTGGGCTTAGGTACCTTTCCGCCTCTGGAGCAGGGTCGAGAACCCTCTTTGGTCCTGGGGCCTGAGAGCTGGTCCCGAGACTGCATTTCCATCACCTCCCCATTGACCTCTGGTTGCCAGGCCCCAGGGGTGGCTCCTCACTGGGGCATGGCCTGAGCAGCTGTGGGAAGTTGGGGAGGGGAGGTGGGGCAGGATACGAACGTAGCCACTCTCACCAGGCTGATCCCCTCTTGCCAGCAAAAGCCCTTCCAGATGAGTGGTATCTGTCTCTGATGGCGGAGGGGACTTTCCTGGGTGTTGACATTCTCTCCACCTTCTCCTTCCCAACTTCCCATATGCTTCCTATTTGAAAAGAGCATCAAGGCCAAAGCCCCTCTGATCTTTGGAGGAGGGTCAAAGGGGCGTGGGACGGCCCCCGGGCTTGGGGTACGTGTCCAAGGGCTGAGAGTCTGTGGCCTGCCTGGGGTACCGGGCCTGGACTTTGCCAGGGACCCCAGCCGCTGTGGGGCAGGTCCACCACGGTCCTAGCTCTGACTCTCTTTTGTGTGTGCATGTGTGTGTGCACATGTGTGCCTGCGTGTGCGTGCGCGTGTTGTGTTCCGATCTCCGCAGGAGCTGGCGGCAGCGTGCATCACAAGTGTAACAGCGCCAAACACCGCATCATCTCGCCCAAGGTGGAGCCACGGACAGGGGGGTACGGGAGCCACTCGGAGGTGCAGCACAATGACGTGTCGGAGGGCAAGCACGAGCACAGCCACAGCAAGGGCTCCAGCCGTGAGAAGAGGAACGGCAAGGTGGCCAAGCCCGTGCTCCTGCACCAGAGCAGCACCGAGGTCTCCTCCACCAACCAGGTGGAAGTCCCCGACACCACCCAGAGCTCCCCTGTGTCCATCAGCAGCGGGCTCAACAGCGACCCGGACATGGTGGACAGCCCGGTGGTCACAGGTGTGTCCGGTATGGCGGTGGCCTCTGTGATGGGGAGCTTGTCCCAGAGCGCCACGGTGTTCATGTCAGAGGTCACCAATGAGGCCGTGTACACCATGTCCCCCACCGCTGGCCCCAACCACCACCTCCTCTCACCTGACGCCTCTCAGGGCCTCGTCCTGGCCGTGAGCTCTGATGGCCACAAGTTCGCCTTTCCCACCACGGGCAGCTCGGAGAGCCTGTCCATGCTGCCCACCAACGTGTCCGAAGAGCTGGTCCTCTCCACCACCCTCGACGGTGGCCGGAAGATTCCAGAAACCACCATGAACTTTGACCCCGACTGTTTCCTTAATAACCCAAAGCAGGGCCAGACGTACGGGGGTGGAGGCCTGAAAGCCGAGATGGTCAGCTCCAACATCCGGCACTCGCCACCCGGGGAGCGGAGCTTCAGCTTTACCACCGTCCTCACCAAGGAGATCAAGACCGAGGACACCTCCTTCGAGCAGCAGATGGCCAAAGAAGCGTACTCCTCCTCCGCGGCGGCTGTGGCAGCCAGCTCCCTCACCCTGACCGCCGGCTCCAGCCTCCTGCCGTCGGGCGGCGGCCTGAGTCCCAGCACCACCCTGGAGCAGATGGACTTCAGCGCCATCGACTCCAACAAGGACTACACGTCCAGCTTCAGCCAGACGGGCCACAGCCCCCACATCCACCAGACCCCCTCCCCGAGCTTCTTCCTGCAGGACGCCAGCAAACCCCTCCCCGTCGAGCAGAACACCCACAGCAGCCTGAGTGACTCTGGGGGCACCTTCGTGATGCCCACGGTGAAAACGGAGGCCTCGTCCCAAACCAGCTCCTGCAGCGGTCACGTGGAGACGCGGATCGAGTCCACTTCCTCCCTCCACCTCATGCAGTTCCAGGCCAACTTCCAGGCCATGACGGCAGAAGGGGAGGTCACCATGGAGACCTCGCAGGCGGCGGAAGGGAGCGAGGTCCTGCTCAAGTCTGGGGAGCTGCAGGCTTGCAGCTCTGAGCACTACCTGCAGCCGGAGACCAACGGGGTAATCCGAAGCGCCGGCGGCGTCCCCATCCTCCCGGGCAACGTGGTGCAGGGACTCTACCCCGTGGCCCAGCCCAGCCTCGGCAACGCCTCCAACATGGAGCTCAGCCTGGACCACTTTGACATCTCCTTCAGCAACCAGTTCTCCGACCTGATCAACGACTTCATCTCCGTGGAGGGGGGCAGCAGCACCATCTATGGGCACCAGCTGGTGTCGGGGGACAGCACGGCGCTCTCACAGTCAGAGGACGGGGCGCGGGCCCCCTTCACCCAGGCAGAGATGTGCCTCCCCTGCTGTAGCCCCCAGCAGGGTAGCCTGCAGCTGAGCAGCTCGGAGGGCGGGGCCAGCACCATGGCCTACATGCACGTCGCCGAGGTGGTCTCGGCCGCCTCGGCCCAGGGCACCCTAGGCATGCTGCAGCAGAGCGGACGGGTGTTCATGGTGACCGACTACTCCCCAGAGTGGTCTTACCCAGAGGTAAGCTGCCGCCGCTGCCACCACCTGTCACCTCCCCTCCCACCCACCTCGCCAGCCCCTGCGCCACCCTGCAGCTAAGGGATGCCTGTGGCTGCCCTTCAGAGGAAGCTCTGGACCACAAAGATGATGCTTTCCCCTCCTTGTGTCCCCACGGCGCTTGAACACCTCCGTCTTTCACGCAGTGGTTCTCAAACTTCACTGGGGCAAGTAGCTTTAAAGTCAGGGGGTCTTTGGCCGGGTGCCATGGCTCAAACCTGTAATCCCAGAACTTTGGGAGGCCGAGGCAGGAGGATCATCTGAGCCAAGGAGTTCCAAACCAACCTGGGCAACGTAGTGAGAACTGGTTTCAACAAAATATTAAAAAAATAAGCCAGGTGTGGTGGGGCCTGCCTATGGTCCCAGCTATTCTGGAGGCTGAGTCCGGAGGAGCACTTGAGCCCAAGAGGTTGAGGCTGCAGTGAGCTGTGGTTGTACCACTGCACTCCAGTCCGGATGACAGAGTGAAACCCTGTCTCAAAAAAAAAGAGAGAAAGTCAGGGTATCCTTGGAAGCAAAATGCTCCCCCAGCTCCAGCCAGAGTCGTCTGCCGTTTCTCAATTTATGTGTTGAGTCCATCTATGTTTTGCTTTGCTTTTTTTTTGAAAAGGGGTCCCAGGGTTGCTTAAAAAAATTCAAAAGTCACCATTGGCCGGGCTCAGTGGCTCATGCCCATAATCCCAGCACTTTGGGAGGCCAAGGTGGGTGGATCACCTGAGGTCAGGAGTTCGAGACTAGCCTGGCCAACATGGTGAAACCCCGTCTCTACTAAAAATACAAAAAATTAACTGGGCGTAGTGGCACGTGCCTGTAATCCCAGCTACTCGGGAGGCTGAGGCAGGAGAATCGCTTGAACCCGGGAGGTGGAGGTTGCAGTGAGTCGAGATCACGCCACTGCACTCCAGCCTGGGCGACAAGAATGAAACTGTCTTAAAAAAAAAAAAAAGAAAGAAAAAGTCACCATCATAGATCGTCTACATCCACTGCCTTCACCCTACTTCTCTAAGCCAAACAAAACCAAAAACCAAAAATCTCTCTCAAAACTGAACAGGGCACAGCTTCTGAAGAGTCATCCTGAAGATCCTTCTTAAGTAAACCTGGCCTTCTGCAAAATTCCACACAGGTCATAGGACGCAGGATTCCAACGTGCACCCTCCCCCAGCCCCCAGGCCGCCTCAGCTCCCGGGGATCTGACTTTGAGAACCACTACTCCAAAGACCAAAGCATCTTGCCTGAGGGACACAAGCAGTAGAGGAATCTCTGCTTTTTCTGTAGAGCAGAATAGCACAGGAAGGGGACAGAGTGGCCCAGGCTTTCCCTAAATAACCTAGTGCAGACAAGCACGTGCATCCTGACCTCTACCCAGCCCATCTGGGTGCTCAGGGACCAGCACATGCACCACGGGCCCTGATTGGACACTGCCTGGGAGGTGGCTGCCCACGGCCCACTCGGCTGGAGAACACCAAAGAAGGGGGCTCATACTTCCTCACCCTTCTTCCCCGCTGGCAAAGCTAAGAAAATCTGTGTACAGACACCCCCAGCTCTCCCATCCCCGATAGGAAGAGCCCGGAAGGATCAGACTGGGCTTCCTCTTGGTATAGGTTGGTGTGACCGTGTTTCTGACCCCCCTGCTGTTGTTGTTTTGTTTTGTTTTGTTTTGTTTTGTTTTTGAGAAGGAATTTCACTCTTTTTGCCCAGGCTGGAGTGCAATGGCGCCATCTCGGCTCACTGAAACCTCCGCCTCCCAGGTTCAAGCGATTCTCCTGCCTCAGCCTGCCGAGTAGCTGGGGTTACAGACACACCCTGCTGCATCCAGCTAATTTTTGTATTTTTAGTAGAGACGGGGTTTCACCATGTTTCCCAGGCTGGTCTTGACCTCCTGGCCTCCAGTGATCCGCCCACCTCAGCCTCCCAAAGTGCTGGGATTTCGGGCATGAGCCACCACACCCGGCCCTGACCTCCTAATCTTATCAGTGACTCTGAGCTCAATGGCACCTTCGGAGTGCCCACCACACCCCCCACCCCACCCCATGAAGGCCAGTTGGGCATCTTCCCCGTGCCCCCTGACCCTGGGCTTAAGAAAGCGATGCAAAGGGACAGGGAGGAGGCCAGGATCAGGGTGCGGGGGGACGGTCAGAGCTGTCTTCTGGTCCTGGCTCCTTGAGACCTGACTCTCTGGGGCTCAGTTTCCTTACGTGTAAATGGCTGAGAGGGGGTGGCCTCGAGGCACTCCCAGTCCTAGGACCTGGGAGATTTGGTCCTCGGGACACTTAGAGGCGCCCTGGAGCCCTTAATGTCTTGCAGAAGCCAGGAGGTGGGAGGAGGGTCCCCTCTTTTCCCGAGGTCCTGGCCTGTCAGACAGGCCCTGGGCTGGGTGCAGACCCACACCCCAGCCTCCTGGGTGTCCTGGCGAGTGGGACATTAGCAGGCCTGACTCCTTCTGTCCTTTCTGGGCCTGCAGTTCAGCAGCTCGCCACACGAGGGCGGCCCAGGAACAGGAACGCAATGGCAGCCTGGCAGCCTGGCAGCCCAGCAGAGGGAGCGGCCAGCCTTGCTTTTCCAGAAGCCCTCAATGCTTCCAGTTACCCACAACCAAAAGCTGCTGAAATTCAGCTTGATTTGGAAAATGCGCATAAGCCACCCAGCTAGGCCCTTTGGGGCCCCACCTGGCCACACAGTGAGGCCTCAGAGGTTGTGAAGGGCCCCTTCCTCCTTGCTGTCCTCTCCTACCCAGGCCACTGTCTCCACACCACAGCAGGGGTGCCCCCATCCTGGGTTCTACAGGAGAGAGCACCTTCTCTCTTGACACTTCTCTCCCTTTGTCTGGCCCTCGTCCTGTCCCCTCCCTGCCAGCCTGTCTGTGCACTGACTGCATCAGGAGTCCAATCTGGCCAGGTTCTGCCAAGCTCAGGGAGGGCTCTACAGGCAGGCTCGTCGGCCTGGGCCCTACTTCCCAGTCTGCAAAATGGGGTTTGGCTAAACGGTTACTCAGCACCCCCACCCAGCTCTAAACCTCAATGCATCTACCTAGCAGGAATGCGATGGCCGGGGCCATCCTGCTGTCTCTTCTCTGAGTGGCCCTCCCTCCCACAGGCTGCTCCCATTTCTCCTATCTCTGTCCACCCCTTCACCTCCAGCTGCAGCTGGTCACCAACACACACACACACACACACACACACACACACACACACACACACCCACCACACACCCCAGAGGCGTCCCCCTATGCCCCAGCATCTGCCCTGGCTGCATCAGACATGGGCCCTTTATCTCAGGACTCAGAGACCTCAGATGGCATTTCGTGCCCCCTCCCCACCCCCAAAACCCTCCTGCGTCATCTCCCACCACTGACACTCCTGCTGCAGCAGCAGAAGAGCCTGCAATTACAGCCTCAGGCACGCGCGTCACCACCAGTTCAGCGCAGCCAGGCGGGCTGTTGCCATGGGAACCATCCCTTGAATGGATGGATGCTGAGCTGTCCTGCGGCGGTTTCCATGGAGAAGGTCCTGATGTTCTCCAGTAATTTCTGCAGTTCTTTGTTCCCGGCAGCAGCCCCAGCCTCATGCTAGCAGCTGTTGATTGCGGTTATTATTTTTTCCCTTTTTCTCACATGGTAACTGTCTGTGGCCTTTTGAAGTCACTGCTCTTCCACTTCCCAGGATCCTGGGGGATGGTGCCCTGAGCTGGCCTTCTGGTGCTTCCAGACATCCCAAAGTCAGGCTCCACCTGTCCGCCGGCACTCTTCTCAGCCAGGCACCCACTCCCCCCAATGCCCCGCCACTTCCACGGAGCTGCAAATATCCCTGGGCATCAGAACAAGGGATGCTGTGGTCAGAAGGGCCCCTAGCAAGGAGATGCCACCCAGAGAGGCTGGGCCACTTGCCTGAGGACACACAGCTACTGAGGCGCAGGAGCAGGCCTCCTGCTTTTGTTTCTCGGTCCTGAGCTCTCTCTGCTGCCGTAGCAGTAAAGTGACCTCCCAGGCCAGAGCCAGGCTCATGCAAGAGCAGGGGTGGAATATGCTTTCCAGCCTGGGAGAGCCCCTTCCGTGGAAGAAGTCTCTTTTCCTGGCTGGGCAATGGGAGGAGCTACTTCCACCTCATCCCTGGAAACACTCACTCCTGCTGCAGATGCCCTGGGCCAGGCCTGGGTTCCAGGAACATTGTGGGGCGCCTAGGGCAGGCTCCTTGTAGAGGCCGGGGCTTCCTCCAGGGCAGGGGTGGGCCAGGGCCCAGGAGAGGCCAAGCAAGAATGAGTGACTGACCAGTAGGGAGCATCTGGTTGGCACGGAGTTGGGGGGTAGGGAATCACTTCTCTGGCCTGGAGCAGTGGGGAAGGTGGGCTCACAGCAGCTCCTCACCCCCACCTCCCAGGCTCCAGCCTGCCTGGCGGCCTTCTCCAGCCTGGACACTAGGTGGTGCTCTCCGCCCTGACCTAGCAGCTCTCCGCCCCACTGCAGGGAAAGGTGTTTACTGGTTTGGGGGTGGGGTGGATGGCGCCTCTGGGGTGGGTCCACCCAAGGTTAGCCAGGAGAGTCCGGGAGGCCGGCACCCCTACCTTCCTCATCCCCAGGGAGAGCCTCCCTCTACTCAGTGACCAGCCCCTCTCCTCGGCTAAGCCGTAAGTAGGGGACCTCCAAGGTGCCGTCCACCTCGCACCTCCCTCTCTCATCACTAAGCAGGACAATGGCCATGAAGCAGGACTGCCCGGGCCCCGGACATGAGGCCACCCTCCTCCTCCACTTTCTGCAGCAGCCCCAGGCTGGTCGGAACGGGGAGTCAGGGAGTACCCCAGCCCTTCCGATGCTCTCCTGCCCCTGGGCGCCCTGGGAGGTTCCTGAGGGTGGGGTCCTCCCCCCTGGAGCTGAGGAAGGTCATTCGAGGCTGCTCCCAGCCAGGCTGCATGGTCACTGCTTGCTTGTGGGACCCCAGGCTAGCTGTGTAGGCAGTGACACAGACTCAAGGACCTTTGATAGCACAGGGTTGGGGGAGGGGGCAGATGCTCAGCCCCGTTCCACTCCCAGCCCCAAGCTCTGAGCCCCAAACTCAGCTCCCAGGGCAGTCTCTGAGCGTCTCCTTCACTTAGCTCCTTTAGCTCCTCTGTTTCTTCATCGGGCTCTTCAGCCCGTCCTGCTCCAGCCCCTCACCTTGCCATCCCCACAGCCTGGGGATCCTGGGTCTCTCCTCAACTCCCTACAAGAACTTCTGGTCCCTGGGCTGACACGGAGATGCTCAGGCCTGTTTTCAAAACTTGGAGTTCCCTCAGTCTGTCCACAAGTGAATGACGGAGCAAGTCCCCTCCCTGCCCTCGGCTTCCTTCCAGGCCATTTCTCAGGGGCATCGTAGGCTGAAAGGGTTTGCAAAACTCTGCACTCCCTCCTGCCTGGATCTGCGAGTTACACAAAAGGGAGAAGGTCAGGGGTTGGAGCTGCCGGTCCTGGGGCTTCCTGAGGGGCTGGGGAAGGAGCGCCTTGGGCTCTCCTCTTGCTGTAGTCCTGGAGCTGTGGTTCTCAGAAGTCGGGGCTCACTGCAATCCCTGGAGTGAGGGCCTGGGAATCTGCATGGGGCGAGGGGTACAGACCCCCATCTGAGCAGTGAAGCCTCAGGGGGGCTTCCCCATGCTGCCTCCCACAGTGGCTCACACTCCAACTCTGTTCCCCTCTCTGTTCTCTGCAGGGAGGAGTGAAGGTCCTCATCACAGGCCCGTGGCAAGAAGCCAGCAATAACTACAGCTGCCTGTTTGACCAGATCTCAGTGCCTGCATCCCTGATTCAGCCTGGGGTGCTGCGCTGCTACTGCCCAGGTGAGAAAGCCGCCCCCCAGGCCCCCAAGGTGAGTGTGATGGCCTGAGGAGCACTGGACTCGGAGTTGGCCTTGGGGTGACCTTGAGCAGGTCATGTCCTTACTCTAGGCCTCAGTTTCCTCGGCTGTGAAGAAGCGGATCCCCGATAGTCTATTAGAACGTCACCTCCTTTGGCTCAGGGACCTAATATAGGACAGGGACACAGGCACGCTTGACTGGGATTTTGAAGCGAATGTGATGAGAGCACGATTTAGGGCAGGAATAAGCCAGGCCCAGGCGATGTATCCAGGACTGGCCACAGTGGGAAGCGGCCACCACCCTCAGCCCAAAGGGTGACTAGAGCTGGTAAGAGCTGGGGCCAGAGACCACCTCTGCAGCAAGGCGGCCTCTCTGCACCTGCCCGTGCCTCCCATGGCCCAAGCCAACCAGAAGCCAGGAGAGCCCAGGCAATGCAGCCCACACACAGGCTCCATCCTCCCGAGGGCCCTGGGCAGGGGGCAGAAGGCTGGAGAAAGCCTGGCAGGGGCGGAGGGAGATGGGGTGGTGATGGGAGGTCAATCTAACAATAATCAGCACAAATGCCTTTGAGAATGTAAAACAGAGCCATCTACCCTGTGCCCAGAAAAGGTGCATATAATTTGCTTCCAATTTCAGGGGCTCAAAAATCCCCCAAGAAACCCTTGGGACAGCCTCTGTGCTGTCCCTGTGCCTCTGAAGCCCTTCCCCAGGCTCCAGCATTATCTGCTTAGCACGGTGTCCCTGTCTGGTCAACTTGTCATTGATCTCTGGCCATCACTGCTTCCCCACTCGCCTGTCCCATGGGGTCAGGGACTATCTTCTTGATCACCATAGTATCCCCGGGGCTGGCAGAGTGCCGGACATGTCACAGAGGGGGATGGAGATTGTGACGGAATGAATGAGTCTCCAGGCATCTGAAGCCTGTTTCTAGAGCTCATGTCTTCTGCTCCTGGGCTGTTGCTGGCAGGACTCCCTTGGCTGCCCCATCTCATCACCACCAGCCCTCAGGATGGCCTGTCCAGTGAGCCCTGACCATAAACAGGAGGGGGGTAAGGATGCAGGGGTGCGGAACGGCAGGGAGACCCACCCCTGTCCTCTAACGTCAGGGAGCCTAGAAAGGAGAGAAGATGCTCAGTGTAGAAGACTGGGGGTGAGGAGGAAAGGTACGGGGTGGGAGTACAGAGCTGGCCAGTGCTAGGCAGGCCCCAGGGTGTTTCTAGGTTCCACCCAAGGTGGTCCAGCCTGAGCCTTGGCTGCCCCAGCTGTCTGCCACCACCACCCCACCCTTGAACCATGCCCCCAGGCTGGGCCAGCTGAGTCCCACCACCCATTTCTCCTTTTCTCCTTCTCTCTCAGGCTCTTCTTTTTGTTGGTTTTTTTGTTTTGAGATGGAGTCTCACTCTTTTGCCAGGCTGGAGTGCAGTGATGCAATCTCGGCTCACTGCAACCTCTGTTTCCTGGGTTCAAGTGATTCTCTTGCCTCAGCCTCCCTGGTACCTGGGACTATAGGCTTGTGCCACCACACCCAGCTAATTTTTGTACTTTTAGTAGAGATGGAGTTTCACCATGTTGGCCAGGCTGGTCTCGAACTCCTGACGCAAGTGATCCGCCCACCTTGGCCTCCCAAAGTGCTGGGATTACAGGGGTGAGCCACTGTGCCCCATCTCTCTCAGGCTCTTCTTGCAGCCACCAGAGCAGAAAACCCCTGCTCCACAGCTGGCTGCACACTCCGCCTCTGCTTGAACCCAGCACCATCTTCCCCAAAAAGTTCCCAGGAGCCAGTGCAGCAGCCCAAGGTGCCCACCCCACCCCCTGCTGGCCCAGCCCTCCCCTCCCAGCCCCCACCTGCCTGGCTCCAGAAGGCCCACCTAGCTGCCCTGCTCGGCCTGGAGCACAGCCAGCCGGGGTGGCAGCCAGGCCGGGTCTGCCTATCACAGCTCAGGGCTGTGTGCAGCTGATGGGACCCCGGCCCGGCGGGAGTGGCGGGGAGGGCACTGTGGAATTAAACAGTGCACCCATCATCTGCTGCCAGAATGCGACTTGCCTGGCCTATAAATAGATGCCACTTCCTGTACCTGGTTCTCGCCTGGCTAAGGACCAGGGCAGGGCTGCTTAGGTCTGCTCTCAGTTATCTGACCCCTCTACAGAAAAAGAAAGGCTGGGCTTTGTGTGGCCCCGGGGCTGGAGTCAGCCACACTCGGGTCCATCCCAGATCAGCCAGAAACCATCCCTGTTGCTGGAGCTCAGTGCCTGACCTCTCTGGGCCTCAGTTTCTACAGCTCTGAAAACTGCCTGCCAGCAGGGCGAGAGCAGTGAGTGAGAGGAGGTGTGTGAAGCACCTGGCCCAGTGCTCCATTCCTGAAGGGTTCCCATTAAGGAGGCCTTCGCTCTTCCTTTCCCAAGGGGGAGTTCGGAGAGGGTACCAGGGCAGTTTGGGTCTCAACAGGCAGTTCTCCTGGTCCTGGGGCATTTCTGGGTCCCCAGAGATGGCAGGTAGAGTCTCTGCCCAGGCCACTCACCCTCCTAGCTGTTCAGGCTCATTATATGAGCCATAATGTGTCTCGGACCAAGGGACCAGGAGCCACAAGGCTCAAGGCACACTGAGAGCTGGGACTCCCCTGCTAGAGCCAGCACTCTGTCTTCAGCTAACTCCACAAAGGGGGCCTCCTTTGGACATCTCTGCTTTGAGGCCCAAATTGGAACACATTGCTCTGTAAAACAGCACTGGATGTATTAATTCATTCATTCATTTCTTCATTTGCCAAATAACTTTTGAGTAGCCCCTGCTTGCTCTGCACAGAGTAGGGGCCTGGAATGGAGCAAACAATAAGACCCAGCTTCTCACCGGGCCCCTGATCGTAAGGGGCTCTCGGTCCAGGGAGGAGTGCAGTGCGCAAATGAATCACTGCTCCGGAGATGACGCTGGCTGCTTGGGGACCTCATCTTTGGGTCTCCCCAGAGGAATCTGAGGCTGAGCTCGAAGGATGAACACTTGGAAGTCAGAATCAAACTGGCCTCACCAAAAAGAGAGGCTCAGAGGCTTATGAGCACAAGCCAGGAACGACACGGGAGGAGGGGGCACTGGCAACACAGTTGGCCAATGCCCACCCGTCTCCCAACACACCTGCCCAAGCAAAACAGATGAGCAGGGTCCTGCCCTGGCAGCTCCCACACCGTCACAGGTGGCAGGAGACACGCAGGCACTGAGTGTGTCTTCTGCAAGACTCCAGGGTGCTTCAGGGGCAGGAGGGAGCCCACCAAGTTAGGGCAGTGAGCTGAGGGCAGTGAGCAGCAGTGAGTGAGAGGAGGTGCTGGGGAAAAGAGGCGACTCAGGCTTGGGAGAAGATAGGGGAATCCACCAAGAAGACTCTACTGGCCAGAGAGCCCTACTCTGGATTCCTAAGAGGTCACCAGAACACAAAAGATGAAATTCAAAATGAAAGCCAGGCACAGTGGCTCATGCCTGTAATCCTAGCATGTTGGGAGGCCGAGGCGGGCGGATCACTTGAAGTCAGGAGTTCGAGACCAGCCTGACCGACATGGTGAAACCCCGTCTCTACTAAAAATACAAAAATTAGCTGGGCGTGGTGGCAGGCACCTGTAAGCTAGTAGGGAGGCTGAGGCAGGAGAATCACCTGAACCTGGCAGGTGGAGGTTGCAGTGAGCCAAGATCACGCCACTGCACTCCAGCCTGGAAGACAGAGTAAGACTCTGTCTCAAAAAAACAAAAAGCAAACAAACAAACAAAAACAACAAATGAGGTGTAGAATTGGGTTTCAAAACAATTCATTCAACAAATAGTTACTGAGCCGCCATAACATCCTGGGCACTGACCTTGGCACTAGGCATGAAGATTAAGACAGAGCCAGTCCCAGCTCTCATGAGCTAATGTTCTACTGCAGGGAGACAGAAAACAAACAAGGAGAAAAAGAAATAACCAAGATAACTGGTGAAAACTGTATCCCAGCAGTAGAATATGGTAATAAGGTCACCTGGGAAGAAGGAGGTTCCTTCTGGAACATGGATGAGCAGAGGCCTCTCGCAGACTGGGACCTGGATGATGGGATGGAGCCAGTCATGGGAAGTGGGAGAAGCATCCAGGCCAGGTAGAGGGTAGGGGAAGTGCAAAGGCCCTGGGGCAGAAAGAGGTTTGGCAACGTGGAGAATCTAAAGCCTGAGAAAGGCACTGGCTGCAGGATAGTGAGTGGGGTACGGGGAGCTGAATACAGTAAGACTGGAGATGATAGCAGGAACTAAAATAAATCGTGTCCATCTTTCTGCATCATAGGAAGGAGTTTGGTTTGATGTTACTTGCAATGGGAGGCTGTTAGCTTTAAGCAGGGAGTGGCTTGATCTAAATGATGTCTTTAAAGATGATTCTGGGTGTGTGGGAAAGATGATTCTAGGTTGTAGGGAGGAAGAACAGAAGCAGGGAGACCATAGGAAGAAGGCAGAGGGCTGATCTTTCCAGATGTAAGGAGAAGGGCTCCCTTGGGCACCACACTCCCCCTGGTTTCCTGTAGGGGTGCTGGGCTGTGGCCCCCGGTGCTGGATTATGGGCCTCCCGACACCCTCCCAGCAGGAGCGGGTCTCAGGTGCGCTGATGTTGCCTTCGACAGGAGGCTAATGAAGGGGTCTAGGCAACAAATGATGGCGGCATGGACTACAGCATCTGCAGTGGAGATGGAGAGCAATGGATGGACCCAGGACTTGCTGATGGACTGCATGAGCGGGGAAGGGAAGAGCGAGTCCAGGAAGCTTCCTGGGTGATGGAACTGCAGGAGCAGGGCTGCTGGGCTGGGACCCCGGAGACCACAGTAGGTCCCCTCTGCTCCGTCTCTCTGGGAAGGAAGAAATGCCTTGGAGTCTGCCACCATTCCAGCGTTGCTGCAGGTTGTGCACTTGCCAGAAGATGGTGGAAGAGCAGCAGCAGTTGAAGAGGCCATCCCCCCCGACCCCAAGCTGGGACACATTGTCCCAGAGAAGCCGTGAGTTCTCCAAGGCTGGCCCAAGGAGGCTGCTAAGAGGAGCAGCCCTGAGCGGGCTCCGATGGGTGTAGGTGCTGGCCACCTGCCTTCCTGTTGGCAAGCCAGGCCAATCTCCAGGGCAGGCATGCGACCACAAGCTTGGAGACCCGCCCAGGGATGCCAACAGAGCCATAGCAGGTTCTGGACTTGGCCGGGGCTCCCTGCCCAGGCACCTCGGAGGTCCTATGTGACCTCCACTGTGGAGTCCTTTGGTTCAGGTTGTGGCCTGGAGCTGAGGTTCCCAGCCAGGGTGGAAAACACAGAGGAAAAACCCATGGGTCCCCTTGGACAGTGACTCCCGAAGGCCTTCCCTGGGGACAATGGCAAGATGGCTGCTGCCTTAACACATCCACCCAGGATGGACAGCGGCCACCGGTCAATGAGCTGGTTTTCCCATCGGGACTGGGATCTGCATCAGAGTCCTCGGAGGAAAGATGGAGCTCTGCTTGTCCTAGGGAGCGGCTGGCTTGGACGGCTTCCTCGACTCTATAAGCTTCTGAAAACCAAGGGCCCACACAGTAATGTGATCCCCACGCATGTCCTCCCTGGAAGTCTGTACTGGGGAGGCCCTGGGTATCAGTATCTGGTATTCCGGAAAAGCAGGGCAGAAGGCACAGAACCCAGACATCTGCCAGGGATGAGGCCTGGCGGGGCAGTGTGCACACCCACCATTGCCCACGGGCCACCTCTGTGGGCCACAGGCCAGCCCCCAAGATGCCAACATGAGCCATGGAGAGGCAACCTCAACCCAAGAGCTGAAGCTGGTCTCCACCGCAGGCTGGCTTCGTCTTACTCACAGTGAGAACATACCTCGTTTATTCCACAAATAGAGTTATTTGTTGAGCCCTGTGTTGGGGCCACAGCAGTTAACGAGACCTGCCAGGGCCCTGTCTTCCAGAGCTTACTGTCGGGCCACTGGAGGGAGGTGCAACCTTCACATCAGCATCCCCAGCTCAACACCCACTGGGGCTGAGCTGGGGCCAGGGTAACAGAGGCACATCTGAAGCTCCTTCATCGGGGAAGCAGAAGAACTAAAAATACAAGGGATGGCTGGCTGTTCATCGAGTCAGGACAAGCTTGTAGGAATAGGTGAAACAAAATAAGCGCAAATAAATCCAAAGCAAATTTTGTACCCGAGCCCCACCCAGGAAGGATGGGACAAGAGGGGAAGTCAGCCAGCCATGAGGCAGGGATGGGGGCCATTCACTCATTCACTTGTTCAGCCAGTCTGTACTGAGCACCCAGCTCCTGCCCTCACTCGGAGGACAAAGCAAAGGGGCAGTTACGTACCTGGGAGTGATCACAGGACAGCTGGCTGAGTCTGGGCGAACCAAGAAGGTTCCTAGAAGCAGCATTGTGTTTGGGCCTCGAATGAGCAGGCATAGGCTACCATTAAGGAGAGCTGGACATTAACCAATGAAGGGTAGTGGGGAGGGGACATTCCAGGCCCTGTGTGGTTCACCAGGCTGTAGGTACCCACCCATCCCTTGACCTGGTCTTTTTCTCTCGCTTTCAGCCCATGACACTGGTCTTGTGACCCTACAAGTTGCCTTCAACAACCAGATCATCTCCAACTCGGTGGTGTTTGAGTACAAAGCCCGGGCTCTGCCCACGCTCCCTTCCTCCCAGCACGACTGGCTGTCGTTGGACGGTAAGAACAGTGCTTGGGTCGTCTTGCCAGGCACCAAGGGAGAGGGATGCTTGGGGACTCTTGCACAAGGTGTGAAAGAAGAGTAAGCACCCAGAAAGGGGCAGGAAGTGGTGCCAATGTGAGCAAAGGAAGGCCGACTGGGTCTCCACCGCCAGGCTGAGTGCCTATGCTGTCAGCCATTTGTGTCTGGACACTGGCTGGCCCCACCCTCAATCTCAGTCTCTCCCTGGGACAGACTGAAAAGTATGTGAGTGTGGGCCTGTGGCTGGCACGCCTGCTGGGCTGTCTGAGTGGCCAAGCAAGCCCAGGGCAGCTAAGAGGCTCTGGCGAAGGACCCCAGGCAGCAAGGTCCAAGCACCCGCTGTGCCCCTCCAGGCCTGTTTCCGCGGGCTCCTGGAAGCAAAAAGGGTTCCCAGAGGCCATCGCCAAGCCCCAAGCCTCTCGAGAAAGAGGACGGGGAGGCAGCTCAGGCCTGGGCTTCTTTCGAATTTGGGGGCTTGCTTCTGCCTTTTGGGGCTAACCAGCCAAATCTTCTCCTGGAAGCCCTCAAATACCCTCAACTCCAGCTTCTTGGCTGATTTTAATTCCACCTCTGGCCTGTACGGCGTCTGTGGCAAGCCCAGGATCACGACTGTGGCAGAGGGTAGAGTGTCAGGGACCCCAGTGGGCTTCAAGGGAGCAGGCAGGACCTGGTGGTCAAGGAGAGGCAGGGACTCCAAGAGCTGCCAGCCTTGGCCATGGGGGTCGGTGAGTGTTGGTGGTTCCCCTTGGGGTACCAGGGGCTCTGCAGAGAAGAGCTGCCAAAGGCAGGCTGGGGACGCCAGAGCCAGAGGCTGCCATTTCCCACCTGGGCACACGTCAGGAGGCCCAGAGCTAGCCAAGGCCTGGGGGGCTGAGCCCAGTACACTGGGGATGCGGTAGGAGGGATGCCTGTCCATAACCTCAGTATCAGGTGAGCCCACAGAGGTGACACTCCATGGGGTACCTTGCTGGAGACCTTGCTAGCCCAGGATGTTGAGGTCTGGGCTAAGCTGAGCCTGAGCCCCTTGCAGGGGTGGGTTCTCCAAGCAACACCCCCTCACGCACCCCGCACCCACAGCTGGCCTTCTGGGTCTCACCTCTCAGACTGCCCCTTGCTGTTGGCTGCTGGAGGATTTCTGGGCTTGGGTACATAGTTCATTTCCTGAACCACCCAGTGTGTAAACCTCAGCCTTATCCCAGTCCCTGCCCCAGCCGAGAGAGAGGGTGCCGACAGCTGCCCTGGCTGGTGAACCCTCAGGAGACAATTCCCTGGGGTGGCTTTGGGTCTTCAAACCCTAGCATGGGCTGCCCTGGGGCACCGAGCTGCCCTTGGCAGCATCTCTGGCTGAGGCCGGAGCCAGGCAGAGCTGTGATGACCACCCACAGGATGTAACAAAGAAGGGCAGGGTGACCAGGGGCTCCCGTTTAGGAAATCTGGTTTTAGTTTTGCAGAACAAATGGGGAATGGAGTCAGGAACTCTCCAGAGCTCTGGCTCTCCCTGAGTGACTTGGCCGGCCTCACTAGAATGAACCCAAGGATGCTGGGACCACTGTAGGACCCTGCCTGGCAGATGGAGCCTTTTCAGAGAGCAAAGTCACAGTCAGGCAGTGCCCCAGAGCTCAGGACACATCTGCAGGCCCCCTGGAAACCCAGAGAGCCAGCTGTACCCCAGAAGCTACGGCACGGGAGGATGCTGCCATAGAAACCGGGGGGAAGGGGAGCCACCCAACTGCTTCATGACAGACACACCCCGGGACCTCGGCCACCCCAGGCCCCTCGAGATGGGCCTGCCGCCAAGCTGGGCACCTGCTCCCTAGCTGCCCCCCCCCCCAGAACTTTGAGCTCTGAACTCTGTGGGCCTCCAAGTTGAAATAAGCACCCCTGCACCTGCAGGATACACAGGAGGGTGACAGGAATTGGGGCGGCGATGACATCAAGGCCTGGGCGTCCAGCAGCATCGCCTCTGTTACCACCAGCCAGGGCACAGCTAGGGGAACAGTAGCTCCGCAGCTTGGACCCCCAGCTCAGAGCGCCCTGCTGAACCAGAGGGGACCAGCCTGGGGTCCACCTCGGCCCAGGGGCCCTGCAGAGAGCAGATCAGGGCCCTGAAGGACGCTTTCCTTTGGTCTGGGCCAGTTGTCCTTTCAAGGAATGAGTGGGAGGCAGGGACAGAGGAACTGCCAGACCCCACCTGGCTGGGGAGAAGCGGGTCTTCCCTGGCTATTCTTTTTCCCCCTAAATGAATACAAGGCACTCACCCACCCAAGGGCCCAGCCTTCCCAGCCTTTCACCAGCTTGATAAATACTAAGGGAGGGGAGGGGAAGCAGCGCCGCAGTCGCAGCGCAAAGGGGGCCGCGGGAACAGCTAGTCGGGAGCGCGGGGGTCCCGGGCCTCTGGCCAGCCACGGGGCCTGGCCATGAACTTTGCGTCCGGGCCAATGCTGCAGTGGCCGGGCGGTGGTGAGCCTTCCGTTCCCCGCCTGTCCCTCCCGGCCCCTCCCCTCGGTCTCCGCAGCTTCTCGGCTCAGCCCCTCCCGTCCCCGCGGGCGCTGGGCCGATTCTCCCTCCGCGCTGGCCAGGCCGTGGAGACGGGTTCGCCGCGGAGAGGGGAGGAGGGCTGGGGAAGGGGTGGGCGCCAGGGGACTGCAGCGCGGAGCAAACTGGGGCACGGCTGCCGGCGGCGCGCGTGCACACACTCTCTCCCACGCGCGCGCCCTCCCGCCGACGCGCAGCCGCAATGCGGGGCCCTTCGCGGAACTGCTGGCGGCGCCGCGCCCCGCGGGGTCTGGGGCCCCAGCAGGGACTGCGAGGACCGCGGGACTAGGAAGGCCTGAGCCCGGCCACCCGCCTCCGAGTGCGCCGCACCGTGCGGCGGGGACCACAGGCCTTCGGTGGGCGGCGAGCCCTGGCTCCCTCGTTCGGTGGCCTCTGCTGCATGTGGGATGCGCCCTTTGTCCCCTCTGCCATGCGCGGGGGAAAATGTTTGAGGGCGGGGAAGAGACTGTCTGCCCTCATTTGATCTAAAACATGAATTTGTTTGCTTGGCTAAAGGCCGGGGGGGGGCGTGGGTCCGGGGCGCAGAGAACACGCGCGCGCGCGCGCGCGCCAGCAGCAGCAGCAGCAGCAGCTGCTGCGGCGAAGTCTTTGTCCCCGCGGCGCAGCCTTTGTCCCCGCGGCGTAGCTTTTGTTTGCGCAGCCCCGCCCTGCGGAGGGCGATCGTCCCCACGTTGGGGCCGGGGGGCAGGGACCCGACGTCCCCAAAATCTCAGCTGGGGCGCAGCCATCCTGGGAGAGACCGGGCGTGGAGATGGGGGAAGGTGGGAGGAGGAATCGCAGCCTTCTGGATCCCGGAGCTGCAGCGCCTCCCCCAGACCTAGGGGTCTTCCCCTCCCTTCCCCTGCGCCCCACTGTGAGCTCCAGGGTCAAAGGCCCTGTCTGCTGGACCCCCATCACTTAGCCCAGGGTTGGCACGTGGTGGGCTGCAGTACATATTTGTGATATGAATGCAGGCACACGTGAATGAGTGCAGGAGGGACTGTCAAAAAGCTGAATCCAACTAGTGGTAAGGAAGGTTTCACAGAGGAAACGACCCCCTTGGTGAGACCTGAAGCCTGAGCAGGGTTAGCCCGGGAAGAGGGGGCATCAAGGGTGGCAGGAGAGGGAATGAGCGGCTGCCTTTAACCCAGGGTCTTCGGGAACTGCCGTTTTCACCATTTCTCCTCCACCCACAAAGGTGCGGATTCAGAACAAATTTCCTCTGTCCTGACCTGACCCCAGGCCATTTGCACAGGACCCCAGGGAGGTCTGAGCAGGCCAGCTCTTCATACAAAGATGCAAGGGGGACCTCTTCCAGGCTAGAGGTAGGCAGGCAATGGGGTTTACCCTGGAGACCCACTGGGGAGGATCTCTGGGAAATGTCACTTATACCTGTGATAGGTCCTATGGATACAACAGCCAGGGCCGTGCTGAACTTCAAGAGGATGCTGTCTGTGTAGATTTGGCCTCGCCTGTGCCTGTGTTTACAAAGAGAATAAACCCAGGCAGTTCAACACTGCAGCCCTGGAGCTGAGGGGATGGGGCGGGCCCTCTTCTGGCCAAGGACACTGGGACACCTTTAAGTGACCTGGGTCCCTAGAAGAGAAGGTGAGCGGAATTTTTGTGTGCCTCTTTCTTGTCTTACAGCATCTGATTCTCCCCCAAGGCCAAGTTGAGAAGATTTAGGGTACCCTGTCCCCACCCCCACCTGCCGGCCCTTCTTGGAACCCCACTAAGCCGCTTAGACTTAGACTCTATTTTCAGTGCTTCTCAGGCAACTGAGCCTCCTTGCCTGGGTGAGAGGATTGGAGTGAGACCTGCGTGCAGCTCCCCTGGGCTTGGCTGGTCTCCTGGGCAGGCCCCCTTCTGGCCTCAGGGGTGAGGGGGGACCCTGTCATCTCAGGCAGAGCGGGGAGCATGGACTAAAAGCTCAAACTTCATTATCCAGTTGCCTGCTTCCTGGGCAAGCCTCAGTGTAAGGTGGGTGAGCCCAGACAGCTTGCCCCTGCAGCTGGCCAGAGACAGACGGGGTTATCCTGTGACTTCTGGGGCAGCCTGGCCCTGGGGTAGGTGTCTGGGAAGACTGAGAGCCTCGCTCCTGTCTAAGCAAGTGGAGAGAAGGAAAGGCCTCTTGGTTTGGCCTTCTGATCCGTCCACGCTCTCTGTGCTAACAGATGGAAGATGTGTCTCTGGGGCAGCCCCTAGCTCTGCCCCCACTTCGGAGCTGCCACCTTAGGTGTGAGAGGGCCTGTCCCTGGCATGTGGCTGTGGTCCTGCTGGCCTTTCCTTGTGGGCTGATTCTAGTACCAGCCTCCACCCACCAGAGCTGGGAGATCACACACTGTCCCAGAGTCCAGGGGTACATTCCAGGGACAGTGGGAAAGGCCATTCTAGCTGGGACACTGGTCCCTGGGAGGCCTCTGGGTGCTTCTTCCTCCAATGGCAACACTCCAGGGCTTTCTGCTGAGTGGGCCTGGGCCGGCCGCTCCTAGGCTGGCTCCCTCCCTCAGATCCACCCAGCCCACCTCCGAGCAACCCTCAGCTGGCCCATGAACACATCGCATGACATGGGATGCTGTAAGAGAACATACACAGAGTTGGCTGGGTGCGGTGGCTCACGCCTGTGATCCCAGCACTTTGGGAGGCCGAGGCAGGCGGATCACAAGGTCAGGAGATCGAGCCCATCCTGGTTAACACGGTGAAACCCCGCCTCTACTAAAAATACAAAAACAAAATTAGCCGGGCGTGGTGGTGAGCGCCTGTTGTCCCAGCTACTCGGGAGGCTGAGGCAGGAGAATGGCTTGAACCCGGGAGGCGGAGCTTGCAGCAAGCTGAGATTGTGCCACTGCACTCCAGCCTCCAGCCTGGGTGACAGAGCGAGACTCTGTCTCAAAAAAAAAAAAAAAAAAGAACATACAATGTACACTGAGAACACATTCCAAAGGCATCACTTGTCCCAGATAATGGAAGACAGAGGAGCAAAAATTATTTCCTTGCTAAATAATGTAAAATGCCTTTGCTTTACTAAAACCAATACAGTTTGTATTGTGGAGCAGAATACAAAATTCACAAGAATTTTTCAGATTAGACAGTATGGGTGAATGGTCTTGACTTCAAAGAGCTACTTTGAATTACACCCATAGTGAAAGACTGGAAGCCCCCACCTACCCTCTCCCACCTCCGGGAGCTCTTTAGGGGAGCTGGAGAAGCACTGACCCAGGGGTCACCCAAAGGAAGAAAGGACGCCCACCCCACCGAGAGCTTTCTGGCATCCACCTGGAGTGGGGACTGGGGCCAGCACAAGCTGGTTAGCGCATGGGCCCCTGGGTACTTCTGTGCATAGCAGTAACAGGTGACAGAAGCAGCTGGCGTGAGCCGGTCTTGCACTCGGGACCTGAGGCTGAGTGGCAGGAGTCACGTCCTCTCCGAGCCCAGCCAGTGCCATGCTCCAAAGCACAGGGCCCTCCTCGTAACCCGTCTCTCGCTGTCTGTGGGGCCTCCGTCATTATACATTGCGGTGGGTGTCTGTCAGCTTGGGTGCATGTGCTCCCCAGGCCTGCTTTCCTCAGCACCGCAGTGGGTGGGAGTCGCATCAGCATCCAGTTTGGGGAGCATCTTAGCCATTGGGGCTCCTAAGGAGCCAGCTGTGCTCCTCAGCCAGGACCAAGAGGTCTGGTCCTCAGATCCTCCTGGGACAGTGACTTCCTGCCATTTGCAGCTGGAGCCACACCAAGCAGACCTGTGTGGAGCTCCTCTGTGTAGCAAGGAGTGGGTCACCTTGGAGCTGGGTCCCATCCGGCCTCCTTGGAGCAGTGGCAAATGGTGCCCTGCGGAGAAATGGCCTTTAGGAGGAAGCTTGCCTCTCAGCAAAGGCCGAGGGGCAGCCTTTGCCACCCTGTCCTGGCCGTTGGGGCAGGAAGCAAAGTTGACTCTGTGGAGGACGCCCCAGGACTCGGGCAGATGCAGGCTCCTCTCCCAGGATTGGCTTCCCTGCCACCTGCGGGCCAGATGGCTCCTTCCAGAGTGTGCATGACTATGGCAGCTCAGACCCTCCAGGGGTCAAGATCAGCCAGCTGTTCCTGTGACTGCCAGACAAATGCCCACCAACTGGCTGGCTTCACACAGAGATGTGCTCTCACGGCTGTGGAGACTGGAAGCCAGAGTTCAAGGTCCCAGAGAGCCGTGCCCCCACCAAAGGCGCTAGGGAGGGACCCTCTCTGGCCACTTGCAGCTCTGGTGGCTGCTGATCATCGTTATGGATCCATGGCTTGTGGCAACAGAACCCCAGTCTCTGCCTGCACTGTCCTCCCTCTGCGTGTGTCTGTGTCCCTACTTTCTTTTAAGGACACCAGTCATTGGATTAAGGCCAACCCCATCCGGTGTGAACCCGTCTTAATGAATTACTAATTACATTTGTAATTTACTAATTACAAAGACTCCATTTCCAAATCAAGTCCCATTCTGAGGTTCCCTGTAGACATGAGCATTTGAGGAACACTGTTCAATGCAGGGCTCCATATCTTGTAGGCTTAGTCCCCAGGGCATGGTCCTGGGCATGATCCCAGCCGTCAGGCCTCACTGAAGGCAAAACTGACCCCCAGAAAATACCAGAAGCCTCCTGAGGGTTTGTTGTGCACGGGGTTCTGCCCTAGGTGTTGTGAGAAGCGCAGTGAAGAAGCCGCGCAGGTTAGGCTCCGGGGACTCCGCGGTGTCGGGGAGTTCACAGGCACCGTCCCGCGGTCACAGGTGGCATGTTTTGAGGAGTTCGCAGGCACCGTCCCGTGGTCACAGGTGGCGTGTTTTGAGGAGTTCGCAGGCACCGTCCTGCGGTCACAGGTGGTGTGTTTTGAGGAGTTCGCAGGCACCGTCCTGAGGTCACAGGTGGTGTGTTTTAAGGAGCATCACAGGAAGTACAGTTCCGTTCAGTGTTTATTGAGCATTTACTATATACACAGCAATACGTATTTAGGGAAGGATGCAGATATGGGAAAGATCAGTTCCTGGCTTGGAGGAGCCACTCACAGGATGCCCTCCTGTTGGAATGCTCAGGGACGGCCATGGGGCAGCAGGATAGGGCGGCCTCCCACAGCCACCTGCCATGAACACACTGACCAGCTTGGCTCCTGCCGAGACCACAGCACATCCCTGTGGACCCCACGGCCTGATTGTCTTCATTCCACTTGAGGACTCCCAGCCCCTGTGTCCCCATTGATGGCCCCTTCCCCAGGCGAAGCCCTCTGGCTCTGGGCAGTGCGATTCTGCCCCTCCCTCCCACTCCCCTGCTTGCTCCTCAGTCTCCAAGCTTCTCCTTCCAAAATTCTCTGTCATGTCCCCATGGCCGGCTCTCTCCTGACTACTCTCTTCTCCCTGCCCACGCTCCCTGAGGGCTTCTTCCCAGCCAGGGCTCGCTCTCCCACCTACTAGGGTGCAGGGATGGCTGCCCCTCTGTTTGTCTTCTTGGATCCAGGCCATCCATCTAACGGCCTACAGGGCAGCTTGACCCACGTTTCTCTTGGGCAAGCCAGTAGGTCCCAGACAGGACAAATGGCCGTTCTTTCTGTTTTCCCCAACCTACCTCTCTGATAACATTCCTGACCCCTGTGGATAATCCCACCCAAAAACCCAGGAGTCACCCCTTGCTCACTCCCTCCCCGACATCCCAATACTAGCCTAGCATGTTTCTTTCCTTTATTTCTCTCACATTCTCTACTTCTCGCCATCCTCTCTGCCACCACCTTAATTCAGCCCAAACTAATCAATTGTGCACGTCCTAACCAGTCTTCCCACCTCCTTCCACCTGGGCTGCCTGGTCTTCCATCACCTGGTCAACATGGACTCGGCATCTGCTGGGTGCCAGGCACTGTTCTGGGCTCTGGGGAATCCTTATTCTCCTGTAGTTTCTATTCTAGCGGGGGAGAAAGACAACAAACAAGATGCAAAGGAAACTGTCAGATGTTGATACCTGCTGGGCAGGGAACTTCCCCTGGATGGTCTGGGAGAGGGTACCAGGGCGGCTGCTTTATAGGCCAGGAGAGGTCAGAGGAGGCCTGTATGAGAAGGTGATATTCAAGCTGGGGTATGAGTGACAGGCAGGGGCCAGCCACAGTAAGACCGTGGGGGGAATATTCCAGGACAGGGAATCAGGAGCAAAGCCCCCAGGGAGAGGGCAAGCCTGGCGCGTTGGGGGAGCTGCGGTCAGAATAGAGGAAGGGGAGGTGGAGGGGGTTGCGGGGATGGGAGAGGGCCAGGGGGTTCAGCAGAGGCCACATGGGATGCATCACCAAGAGTAGGGGGCTGGGCTTTTATTCTGAGGTCAGTGGGGAGCCACGGGAGGGGCGTTGCCACACACAGGTGTATGTTTGCAAGAACACCGCAGCTGCCACGTGGAGAATGAATTGTGTCTCCACCGGCACAGAGACTACTCCAGGGCTCTTGCGTCCGTTCGGGCAAGAGGCGATTGTGGCTCTGACAAGGCCGGAACAATGACTCCTGAGGGACAGGGTGGGTTTGGGGTTGTTTGGAGGTGAAGTGAAGGGCTCTGCTGATGATTTGAATATGAAGAACGAGAGAGGACAATGAGTAATAATGCCTAGATTTGGGGCTTCAACCACCGGAGGAACAGCAAACCATTTCCTGAGATGGAGAAGTCTGAAGAAGCAGCAAACCCAAGGGGATAGGGGAATCTAGTGTTCAGTTTTGGTCACGTTACAGCTGACAACCTCATTAGAGATGCGGGGTTCACATTGCGGTCTGAAAGTCTGGAGGCCAATGAGAGATCCAGAATGGAGATGACGTTTAGGAGTCCTCCGCGTGCAGATGGCGTTTAGCGCCCTAGGTCTGAGCACGAAGACTCCGTGAAACAGCACAGATGAAGCAGAGGAGAGGCTGCAGGATCAAGCACAGGCTACCCTGGTATGAGGACACCAAGCAGAGGAGGAGCTGGCCAAGGAGGGAGGGGGACAGCCAGTGCAACGGAGGGAAACCAGCAGGATGTGACCCATGGAGGCTAAGAAACGAAGGTGTTTCAAAAAAAAGGACGTGGTCAGGCAGGTCAGATGCCAAGCAGGGAGCTGGGTAAGAGCCCTCCAAGCAGGGGGAGGTGGGTAGGAAGGTCCTGAGGCAAGAGGGAGCTCCACGGATTTGCAGAATTCAGAGAAGTGGCTGGAAAATCCAGGTGACACGGCACCATACCTGTCTCTGAGCTCAGAGTCACAGCCTTCCACAGTGTGGGGTCAGATGAGAAAGGGCAGGAGCCTCCTGGACTCTTGCCTGGCCCAGGAGATCGCGTGCCTCCCACTGCCCCATCCACTGCTCGTTCAGCAGAAGGCAAGGCCCCGTCCCCTGCTTTTCCCATCTTGCACCTCTGGTGTTGGTCTTGCCAACCTTTTGATAGGTCCGTGGGCCCCAGGAGGGCAGCTTCTGTGTCCCTGGGCTCGTGGAGATGTCCCACATCTGTTCTGAGTCCCAGAGACAGATTCCTTCTTCATGGCTCCCCGCTGGGGAGCAGGGGCTCCAGGTGAGCCCCAAAGCAGGAACAAACTGTGATTCACCCCCAAACACTGTGTTGGTATCAGACCTGGTGGAGACAGCTCCAGGGCCCTGACCACTGGTTGTTGCTGGGTGCAAGAATCGTGCAGATTCACCGGAAGCCTGCCTGGCAGGCCTGCTCAGGCAATTACGCCCCAGCTCCTAAATCGATTACGTCGGACTCTCATTATTCCTTTTTTTTTTTTTTTTTGGCAGAGTCTTGCTCTGTCGTTCAGGCTAGAGTATAGTGGCTCCATTTCAGCTTACTGCAGCCTCTGCCTCCTGGGTTCAGGTGATTCTCCTGCCTCAGCCTCCCAAGTAGTTGGGATTACAGGTGTGCACCACCACACCCAGCTAATTTTTGTATTTTTAGTACAGAGTTTCACCATGTTGGCCAGGCTGGTCTCGAACTCCTGACCTTAAGTGATCCACCTGCCTCGGCCTCCCAAAGTGCTGGGATTACAGGCGTGAGCCACCATGCCCAGCCGGACTCCCATTATTCTACCACAGCATTTGGATGTGGGTCAGCTGTTCCACTAAAAGCACAGCCTTGAAGAAAGGCCTCTTGGCAAAGCTGGGACCACAGAGAGACCGGTCAGGGAATCTGGCTGGTCCAGGCCAGCAATGGGCTGACATCCTTAGCCTTTACTGGGATTGGGCTCCCAGAATCCATCTCCCTGGAAACCAAGGGAGGTGCCAGTCTGTGTGTGCAGCTGCCGGGAGAAGTGGTCCTGAGACCCAGAACACCCACCATGGAGAAGAGAAGACACAAGTGCTGGTTGGGGGCTAGGGCAGCCTCTGAGGGGATGTGAATTCCTAGTGGTCCTGAGCAAGGTGAGAGGACACCCTTCCCATCCAGTCCAATGCTCAGCCTCTAACTGGGGCCAAGGACAAAGCCCTGTCCTTTCAGAAGCTCCTAAAAATACACATATCTCTGACCCTTCTGAGCAGCCCAGCAACCTTGTCCCCCACATCTGTGACACCAGGACATTCAAAATAGTCTTTGATAGGCTGAAGACTGGCTCCCTCCCCAGCAGTAATCTGCTGAAACTTTGCACCTGTTGTGAAATCAGAGTCCTTTGTTAGGGGAAAAACAGTGAGAGGCAGGTATGTGTCATATGGACCATACTTCATGAATAACAGGAGACTTTTTAAAAAATCAGGCCGGGTGCAGTGGCTCATGCCTGTAATCCCAACACTTTGGGAGGCCAAGGTGGGTGGATCACATAAGGTCAGGAGTTCAAGACCAGCCTGGCCAAAATGGTGAAACCCCCTCTCTACCAAAAATACAAAAAGTAGCCAGGTGTGGTGGCACAGGTGGCACCTGTGGTCCCAGCTACTCGGGAGGCTGAGGCAGGAGAATCGCTTGAACCCAGGAGGCAGAGGTTGCAATGAGCCAAGACCACACCATTGCACTCCAACCTGGATGACAAAAGTGAAACTCCTTCTCAAAAAAAAAAAAAAATCAGTGGCAAGCCAGGCGCGGTGGCTCACACCTGTAATCCCAGCACTTTTGGAAGCTGAGGCAGGAGGATTGCTTGAGGTCAGGAGTTCAAGACCTGCCTGGGCAACATGATGAAACCCTGTCTTGACAAAAAATACAAAAATTAGCCAGGTGTGGTGGCACAGGTGGCACCTGTGGTCCCAGCTACTCGGGAGGCTGAGGCAGGAGGATCGCTTGAGCCCTGGAGGTTGAGGCTGCAGTGAGCTGAGATTGTGCCATTGCACTCTAGCCTGAGTGACAGAGCGAGACCATCTCAAAAAAAAAAGAAAAATCAGTGGCAGAGGGAAAACAGTTGATACACCAAAAACAAACGGAGGTTGTTCAGGAGTTGGAACTTGTCCCATAGTCCAATCTCCTCATTCTTCTGGAAGGAACCCAGGCCCCAGGAAGAGCAGCTGCTGGCCCCAAGCCATCGCTGAATCGGGATGGAAGTCACCTCCTGACTCCTTCTGCATGCTCTCCTCCCTCTGTCTGCCTCCCCTTCTCCATCCCACAGCCAAATTCACCCATGCCCCAGAAGCTAGGACACAAAGGCAGATAAGAAATGAGCCGGCTAGTGGGCACAGTGGCTCGTGCCTGTAATCCCAGCACTTTGGGAGGCCGAGTTGGGCGTATCACCTGAGGTCAGGAGTTCAAGACCAGCTTGACCAACATGGTGAAACCCCGTCTCTACTAGAAATACAAAAAATTAGCCAGGCGTGGTGGCAGGCGCCTGTAATCCCAGCTACTCGGGAGGCTGAGTGAGACAGGAGAATCACTTGAACCCGGGAAGCAGAGGTTGCGGTGAGTCAAGATTGCGCCACTGCACTCCAGCCTAGGCAACAAGAGCGAAACTCCATCTCAAAATAAGAAGAAAGAGCCAGCTGGGAGCCCTGGGCGGCTTCTGTGTGGTGGGTTGTGGTTTCTTTGGCGAGGTCAAGTTTTGCCTCTGGTGTCCCCGCGGAGTGAGCTGACACTCTCCCGGCATTCACACTGGCAGGAGAGAGGGAGCAGTGACCTGGCTCTAGCCCTCTGCTCCCTGGCCCTCATGCAGAAGGACCAGTTCTGGCATCAGCAGATCGGGAGGTACCCAGTGGAGGCCTCAGAGTGTCTCCTGTCATACCAAATCCTGAGATGTGCTGGCATGTGGGCAAGGAACTCTACCCCAGCCCCACACCCCATTTGGTGGTCTTGAGAAGAGCTGGTGACATCCTGCATCACTTCAGTGGCACCAAGCTGCATCGATTGGTCTTGAGACACATGGCAGACTTCTGAGCCACCAGGATTGTTTCTTTCAGCAAAACACCTTCTGGCACAGAGTTGCCACCAGGAGGGACAGCAGCTGACATCTGCACATGCACCACCTGCCAGGACCTGGCCATGAAGTACTGATGTGTACCCATGTGTAGTGACTCACTGAGACTTTCCGGCAACCCGTGAGGCCCCTGTTCCACAGATGGGGATGCTCAGACAACAGTGAGTGGGTGGCGCAGAGAGTCACACACAGCAGTGCGACCCCATCATCCGCTCTTGACCTCTATGCCATGTGAGGCTTCTGGAGCCTCTTCCTGTTGCACCTGCACTACTTTGGAGCTGCCTCCCAGGGCTAGAGCCTGTCCTTGCTTCCCGGTTATTCACGACAACCGTCAGTGGAGTACCCGTTAGGTGCCAGGCACTGCGTCACGTGATGAGTATCAGAAGAAATGGATCAGATGAGGACCTGCAGTCAACGAGCTTCCCGTCCAGGGGAGGAAACATCCGAACTGACCACCTGTCTTCGCACAAACAAGCATTTGGGGACCTTATGATGGAGGATGGTGACTTCTCGAGGAGGTCTGGGAGGGATTTCTTGAAGAAATGACCCCCAAACCAAGAGCTGAACGATGAGCACAAGTTAACTCCCTGAAGAGAGAAGGCAAACATTCCAGGCCGCAGGAATGGCACGCGCAGAAACTCTGTGGTGGGAGGGAGCCATGAAGCCAGTGAGGCAGAGGGGCAGGCAGTGAATCAGGCCACAGGGGCTGGAGGGACCCTCAGAGCCAGGGCTGTGTGTGCCAGGCTTTATCCCCAAGGAGAGGAAAGCCACTGAGGGCTCGAGAGGCAGGGACGTGACCAAGTTGGCTTCTGAAGAAGCGCACATGGCAGCCACATGGAGAACAGATTGAAGGAGGCTCAGAGAGGGTGAGGGGAGACCAGGAAATCATCCTGGCTAGAGATGATGGTAACTTGGCAGTTCTGGGGGCACAGGGACAGTGTGAGAGCCACCGAGGAGATGGCATCAGGAGGTCTTGTGGGTGGATTCACTATGGAGGCTCCATGTCATTCACCTTGGAGGAGGACCAGTCAGGAGTTGAGCTGAGTTTAAGGGGCTTTTGGGACATCTGTGTGAAAAGTCAATGGCAGGTGGGTGTAGCCCCAGAGCTGAGAGAGCAAATAGACAAGAGAGCGAGAGAGAGAGAGAAAGAGAAGTCTGAAATGTCTGCGTGGAGGTGGCACTGAATAAAGCACATCTGTGGGTGTGGAGGAAATTGATAAGCATGACAATATTGCTGAGTCCCAAGGCCAAGAACTTCTGTCTTAATTATCATTGTGCCCCAGTGTAGGGGTCCAGGGACACAGTAGGGTCTCGATGAAGGTTTCTTCAAGGGAGGGAAGGAAGGGAGGGAGGAAGGGAAGGAAGGAGGGAGGGAGGGAGGGAAGGAGGGAGGTACAGATGGCCTAGTGGTATCTTCAGGGCCATTGTCCTCAGGGCTGACTGCAGCTTTAGGATCCAGCCACCCGGATATCCTCTCTGACATCAGAACCAGGCTGGGTAGGGTGTCCAGGACTAACCAGGCAGCGTCACCTCCCTTTGGGTCTCCCTGTCACTGAACAAGCTCCAGGCAAATGACCCAAGACCAAAGTGCAGAAGCTTGACCCTCTGCTACCTCTTTATTGAACCTGCCCTGAGGCTGCCTTCAGAGCTTTTAAAGGGCCACCTGGTGAGAAATCCTCCCTTCAGCTCACTGAAGCTGGAAGAGAAAGGAAAAAGCACTTTTCTTCCTGGAGCTGCTCAGCCCTCTCTCTAGGCCTCAGAGAGGGAGGGGGTTTCTCAGGCCGGTCCTTGGCAAGTCACTACATGGTAGGTTGTGGTGCATGGACCCTGGAGGAGAGCCTCATCTGACCCTCTGTAATGCCCCTGACCCAGTCCCACATTAGCCTGGTGAAGGAAAGAAAGAACGAAAGAAAGAATGAATGAATGAATGAGTGAGTAGGTGAGTCGGGGCCATGAAAACCTCCCTATGCACAGGAATCCTGCTGCTTCAAAACACACTGGTGTGACAGTGACAGTAATGATCACCAGCCAGGCCCCAGGCCTGGTGCTTCACATCATGGCCCTGTTGAAGCCTCCCAGCACCCAGCCTCAGGTTGTCATTCACAGGCACCTCACCCCCAAACTGGGTCATAAACTATATGGAAGAAACAGCGTTGATAGGTGGCAGCCCGTCCACCCACCTGTCATTCAGCAGTACCTGCTAGAACCAAGGCTTTACCCATCAACCAGGCATCCCCCCACCCCCCAGGAACTCACAGCCCAGGGCAGGGGGCACACGGAACAACACAATTAATGTGAGGAGTGCTTGAGTGTCCGGGAGGTGTGAGAAGCCAGGGGAACCCCTCTGTGCCTCCATCTGGAGGGAACACACTTGACAGTGGCTAATTCTCTATCAAAACTGTAATGTGTGCTCATAGGAGTGCCCTTCATATATAGAAAGAATGTGCAAGTGTTAATGTATCAGTCTGTTTTCACACCGCTGATAAAGACATAGCCAAGACTGAGCAATTTACAAAAGAAAGGGGTTTAATTGGACTTACAGTTCCACGTGGCTGGGGAAGTTTCACAATCATGGTGGAAGGCAAGGAGGAGCAAGTCACATCTTACATGGATGGTAGCAGGCAAAGGGAGAAAGAGCTCTTACAGGGCAACTCCTGTTTTTAAAACCATCAGATCTCGTGAGATGTATTCACTATCGTGAGAACAACACAGGAAAGACTTGCCTCCATGATTCAATTATCTTCGACTGGGTCCCTCCCACAACACATGGAAATTCAAGATGAGATTTGGGTGGGGACACAGCCAACCATATCAGTTAGCCACCTGTCAAGTTAAAGGGAGCACCATCCACATAAGACCACCTTTATTGCTGCACCAACTGCAAGGGGTACCCTAGACCACCCTCAGGTTTGATCATTCACTGGAAGGACGCAGAACTCATCAAAAGCTCTCATACTCACAGTTGCACATTATTACATCAAAAGGATACAGATTAAAATCAGCCAAGGGAGGAAGGGCATAGGGCATAGTCCAGGAAGGTACCAGACATGGAGCTTCCACTGTCCTCTTCCCCATGGAATCATGAAAAGCATGACTTTCCTGGCATTGATGTGTGACAGTACCCATGGAGTACTGCCAACCAGGGCAGCTCACCATAGCCCCAGTGTTCAGAGTTTTTATTGCGGCTCCATCACACAGGTGACTGCCCTCCCTCTCCAGCTCCTCCAGAGTCAGCTGATACCACGTGACCCAAAGACCCCACCCTAAGTCACATTGTTGGTCTTTCTGGCACAGCCAACCCCTACCCTAAACCTATCCAGTGTGGCCAGCATCTACCCTAAATCATATGGTTAGACCATTCTGTGACACAAGGATCCCAGGCAAACAAACTCCAATCAGGCATGATATTCCAAGGGCTTAGAGTTCACCTCCCAGAAGGTGAGGACAAAAGCCAGACCTCTCTTTGGGCAACGTTAAATTCTTTCCTACACAAAATGCCATCTTCCCACTCCTCTGCACCCACTTGCTTGCACCTGCTTCCCCTACTCCTCACCCCAGAGACCAGATTCTTTTCAGTATCTTTATCGAGGGAGGAAAGGGTTGTTGTGTGTCTGAGGTGTTTGTTGTTGTTAAAGCATGGCTCCTACACAGATCTTATGTAGTATTCAGCAGTTCTCTGGGGACAAAGAGCACATTTTACTATGAGAAATAGTTTGGGTGAATACTTTGTCGTCTGCAGAAAATATTGTGCAGAGCTCCAGTTTTCCTAGATGGAGATGTGAAATTAACTAAATTACAGATCAGTCCACCTAAAATATGAAATTAAATGACAAATTCCAGGAGCCTTTGACTGCTAAGGTCATTATTCTAACATATGATTCCAATCACCTTTTTAAATTGCTCACCTGTGCCATGGTCCACGATGCCCTGGAAACAACACTGCCTCCTGTCTCTGTCCTGCAGACGGCACCCCTGGCTCAAGCAATGCTCTCCTCTCGGTCAAGTGTCCTCCCAATGGCTCCATTTGCTGTGCGGGGTTGTAAACGGCTCCATTTTAAGCCACCAGCTCCCTCCCTCCGGCCCTCTCTGCTGTCTCCCTCTCCTGTGCTGGGGGCTGGGAGGCTGAAGGAAGCCCTAGCACCACTGTCCCCTCCTCGATGGCTACTCTTCTCCAACAAGACCTCTCTTCCTCTCCTCAACACTGATGGGAATGGATCGGACCTTGCAATTAGTGCCCAGCTGGGTGCAGACAGGGATCTCTGAGCCAGGGCGGGGACCTGGGGAGAGAGCATTCCTGCTCAATAATTCACCCTTAAGGGAAAGGAAAGCTACGAATGCAGCATTCAGCCATTTTCCAAGACATTAACAATTCAGTGTAATTCCTGAGGCATAAAAAATGCATCATTGCTCTAATTTTATAAGCTCCATGATGTTTATTATGACATCAGAAGGTCTGGTCTGGGTCACCCAGGAGAGCTAAAGCCAGGAGAAACCGGTAGATAGCTCTGTACAGGGCCTGCACAGAGGTGCTTTGGAGCCAGCCCAGAAATGCTGCAGACACAGCCCCCACGAGGTGGGACCTGATGCCCTGGAAGCCCCCAGCACTCTGGAACTTGGAAATGACTGACGCATTCATCATGAGTCTTTACACCCCTCCCCTGGAAAGCAGCAGGCAAGAGCGAGCTCTGAGCAGAGAGAAGAGGGCGCGGCAGGGAGCCTGAAGCTCCAAGGCCCCCAATTGCACTCAAAGACATCATTCCTCCCCGGCGTTCTCATTTTTTCATTCCCAGTAACAGAGTGAGTGGGTGCTCATTTTTATATTTGGTGAAACGCCCTGGCATTATTCCAAGTCACTTGAAAGTGAGATTAGACCAGGAGGATCACTGGGTGGGGCTGCGTTTCTTGTTCCCACTCTGGAGACAGAGCACGATCCATGGTATTTCACTTTGGACATAGGTGCTTCTTAGGCCCTGGGGGGCAGCAGAGCCAAGCAGGGGACAGCCTCCACTTCATTGGTTCCAGAGCCAGTGAGGTGCTGGCCTGCATGGGACTGTGGCTGCACCATGAGGGGCCACAGTGACAAAGTGACCCAGGGTGCCAAAGAGAGATCAGCAGGGGGTGGGGGCATGCGAGTGTGTGTCATGTGTGCGCTTTTCCCTGGCCACTTTTTTCTTTTTCTAAGTAATGTCATTTAGCACCAAAGGTATCTGCAAATGCTCCCTGAACTAAATATGTCAGCTCTGCCTCCCCTGGTGCAGGAGACGGCTGTCATTTAAAATGCACTTGCACAGAATTGGGCCTTCCTTTGTGATTGCTCTGTCTCCTGTTGGTAACAGCACAGCTCCTCTCTTCATGACCTTGGTACTTATTATTCTTAGGGAGTAGCTAGTTGCTTCCCTAAAAGGACAACTTTCCAGCTCTCATTTTCACGGGTACCTGACAGTGGCTCAGTGGCTGTGAGGATGGTGATGTCAAAATGGCTTTCTCATAAATGTCACAGTCTTTTGACTCCACTGTTGCCTATGAGAGAGCACACTTGTTTCTCTTTAATTAGATCTCTAAGTTTTTGTTTTGTTGTTGCTGTTTTGTTTTGTTTTTTGATACGGAGTCTCACACTGTCACCCAGGCCAGAGTACAGTGGCGCAATCTCGGCTCATTGCAACCTCCACCTCCCAGGTTCAAGCAATTCTCCTGCCTCAGCCTCCGAGTAGCTGGGACTACAGGCACCACCACCACACCTGGCTACTTTTTTGTATTTTTAGTAGAGACAGGGTTTCACTATATTGGCCAGGCTGGTCTCGAACACCTGACCTCGTGATCCTCCCTCCTCAGCCTCCCAAAGTGCTGGGATTACAGGCGTGAGCCACAGTGCCCAGCCAGTTTTTTTTTTTTTTAAAATAAATGTTATCTGCTTTATAAGAAAGCCACACCATGACAGCTTGATTTAGTGCATTTTTTGAGAGTACTTTTCTGATTAAAATGCCCATTTACCACTGTGACTCTACTGGGCTGTAGGGTACACGGCATCCTCTTTGAAGGCTCAGTGGGGTCTTTCTGCCTCATGGAAAAGTTGACTGTAGCCCCACAGGACCTCTGATGCTGTCTCAGACCTGAAGACTGGGGTCTCCTGAGCACCTCTTCAGGAGCTTGAGAAGGGTTGGACCCTGCACAGGGAGCCGTAGAGAAGGCCGTGGCAGCCCATACACTCTGCACGGGAGGATCTGTGAGCCCTTAGCCAGGTGAAGAAGTGCATGGACATGTGGGAATTCTTGCTTAGAAGAAACAGCCTGTATTGCTTTGCTGGTGCAGGCTGGGCTGGGTGGGACCTGTGAGTTAAACCAGTGCATGCTAAGAGGTCTGGGCCTAGGTCGTCTCACTCCAGCTACTCCTGAATGGCTACAGAATAAGATTCCGTTGGAGCACCTCTCTTGTACCTGTGTGGGATTACTCAATCTGCCTAGGGCATCCTGGCCAACTCCCTCACACAGCTGCTGTGCAGGCAGGAAAGGCAAGCTCATTCGAACAGCATAGGGAGGAAAGTGGCAGGAAGGCATCTGCCACCCTGAAAGATCTGGAGCACATCCTGAGGACAGGAGGACCCGAAGTGATGGTGATTTCCGGGTTCTATCCCCTGAGCCCTCACTGGGCACCCACCAGGCCCTGGGCTATCTATTTAAGTTTATTATCCAACTTCATCCCGGCCGTATTCCAGATCTTTCCATCCCCATTCTATTGACGAGGAGCCTGAATCTTAGAGGAGTCAAGTGACTTGTCCTGTGTCACACCGCTGGGGATTCGAACTCAGGGCCATCTGACATTGCAGCCCAGTGGGCACTTTTTCACCATGCCTTCCCACCACCTGAATTGATTTGGGACAATCCGCTTTTTAGTATCCTGCTCCCCTTCACAGCAGAGATGTCTCTGCATTTCGCCCACTTTAATGGGGAGAATAGCTGTGTATTTTAACATCCAACATGTGTGTAATAGTGGGGGCCTGGTAGAAGTTGCTGGCGGAATGGATGGGCCTGTGTCAGCCAGCAGGGAGAATGAGTTGAAGGTGGTTTCACTCCGCTTCCTTGGATTCTTTTCTGCATTATGTCCATTAGGAGAAACCTGCCAGTTTTTGGGCTGATGGCTAATGCATCTCTTCCTCCCTCCATATTACAGCTGGCACCTTCCCAGGATGACGCCAATCATGGCATATCCTGGTAGCAAACACTGTTTCTCCCCACTATCCTCCACATCACTGTCAGGACCATTATCTCTGGCCGTATAACAAGCCAACCCAAAGCTGAATGGCTCAAAATGATGAGAATGGGTACTTTCTCTTGATGCCGTGGGTTGGCCAAGCTCACACATGCAACTGCACTCATGGGACTGATGATTTTAAGCCCAGAGTCCCTGCAGCTGAAGCATAGGGGCACCTGCTCTGTCAGGTCATGCTGGCCACGCACTGTGACCCCCCCCCCCCCCACCAACATGGCCTTAGACCTGTCCCTTCAGCAGCAACAACGGATTTGGATTAAACAGGATTTTTAAAGAATTATGTTGAGACTCTAGTCCAGGGTGTCCAATCTTTTGTCTTCCCTGGGCCACAGCAGAAGAAGAAGAATTGTCTTGGGTCACACATAAAGTACACTAACACTAATGATAGCTGATTAGGTTAAAAAAATCACACACAAAAAAATTTCATAATGTTTTAAGAAGGTTTACGAATTTGTGTTGGGCCACATTCAAAGCTGTCCTGGCTGGCATGCAGCCCACTGACTGCGGGCTGGACAACCTTGCAGTGTAGTCTAAACTGATTTTACAGAGGAGGAAACTGAGGCACAGGAAGGGAAAGGAGCTTGCCATACAGGTAGTTCTGGGGGGCAAGGGGGGGTGCGGAACTGGAACCAGAGCCCAGGCTGCTGACCCCAGGCCAGGACCCCGTTCCCCACCTCAGTGCCTCCTTCTTCCTGGATGGCTCAGGGGCCCTGACAGGTGCAGCTCAGCTGGAGATGTTTGAGGCTCTCTGCAAAGCTCCCCCTTTCCCCTGAGTCAGCCAACCATTGTGATCTGCAAGGAAAATCCCAAGTTCTGAATGCTGTTCTCGCCAGGATCCCCAGCTGTCAGGGACATCATCATGGCCAGCAGGGACTTTACAGACTCACCCCTGGCTTTTTCACGACCTTCAGAAGCACTGTCAAACTGCCTGTCTTCTGACATCTTCTGCCCTGGGCATCACCATCGTGTGACTCAGGGCCTCCCCTGTGCCAGTCTCATCTCCTCACTGAGTAGTCATGGGACAGGGCCTGTCTATTCAGATTCCCCTCCTGCCACTGCACCCCACATTGGCCCAGACCGACTCACTGGGAGGATCGGCCATCAGACTCTCCTGACCTGGGCCTAGCTTTTTCCGTCGGTCAGTCTTCTTTTCTCAAGTTAAATCCATTGATTTCTATTCTATACTTCTTCATTCTCTTTCTATTCTCCTTTGTCTATGTGTGTGTGTTACAGCATTATTGAGACATAATTAACATACCATACAATTTACCTATTTGAAGTACAAAGTTTCTGAGTGTTTTCACAGGGTTGTGCAGTCATCACCACAAACTAATTTTAGAACATTTTCATCCCCCAAGAAACATCCTGCTGCCCATGAACCAGGGTCACTCCCCATTCCTCCTCAGCTCCCCCCCACCACCCTCCCTAGGCAATTATTGATCTATTTCCTGTCACCATAAACTTTCCTAATCTGGACATTTTCTATAAATGATGTAATACAATGTATGGACTTGTGGCTGGCTTCTTGCACTTAGCATGATGTTTTTAAGGTTCACCCATGTTGCAGCATGTATCAGTACTTCATTATTTTTATTGCTAAGTAAATGTCCATATGTATGGACATCTCCTTTCATTCTCTTGGATATATACCTAGGAATGGAATGGCTGGGTCACATCATAACTTTATAATTAACCTTTTGAAGAACTGCCAGACTGTTTTCCTAAGTAGCTGTGCCATTTTACATTTCCACCACCAGTGTACAAAAGTTCAAATTTCTCCACATCCTTGCCAACGCTTGTTATTGTCTTTCTTTGTGATTATAGTCACTTAGTGGGTGTGAAGTGGTATCTCATTGTGGTTTTGATTTGCATTTCCTCAGTGACTTTGATTTCCTCAAATCAAATGTTGAGCATTATTGATTATTGCCCTTATTATTGATCTTCTTTGGAGAAATGTCTATTCAGATACTTTGCCCATTTTAAAAACTGGGTTCTTTGCTTTTTATTTTTGAGCTGTAAGAGTTCTCTTTATATTTGAGATACAAGTCCCTTATGAAATATGAGATTTGCAAATATTTTCTCCCTTTTAGTGAAATGTCTTTTTACTTCTTGATGTTGCCCTTTGAAGCAAAGAGGTTTTCAATTTTGATAATGTTCAATTTATTTATTTTTTCCTTTGGTTGCTTGTGCTTTTGATATATTTAAGAAACTATCGCCAAATCCAAGGTCATGAAGGTTTACTGCCGTATTTTTTTTCCAAGAGTTTTGTAGCTTTACCTCTTATATGTAGGTCTTTGATCCACTTTGAGTTACATTTTATATATGGTGTGAGGCAGGGGTTCAACTTCATTCTTTTTCATGTGGATAGCCCATTGTCCTAGCCCCATTTGTTGAAGACGATTCTTTCCCCATTGAATTGCCTTGTCAGCTTTACCTGTGGCTTTTTAAAATATTTTCTATTTCTTCAAGCCTTAAAGATATACTGAATATGCATCTTGCTCTTATTTTTAAATTGTCACTTAGTTTGAGCAGAATCTTATGATTTTTTCTTTTACTGGAAGTTGATATATACAGAAACATCTGATTTCTTATCAGACAGGAGAGGTTAGATTATACTGCAGTAACAACCAATTCAATCTCAGGACTGGATTTCTCATTCATGCTACAAGTCCAACTACAATTGCTAGGGAGGGCCCTACTCATCATGGTCACACAGGGGCCCCGGCTGGCAGAGGCTACCTTTTCCTATAAACAAGCTTGCACAATTGCCAGGGCCGGGGGAAAGAATGTGTTGGGCAGGTCACTGGCTCTTAAAGCTTCTATCTGTAATAATACACATCAGATTTATTCATGTTTCATTGGCTCAAGAAAGTCACATGGTCACATCTAACTTCAAAGGGTACAGGCCAGTGCAAAGCACCCCCAGGGATAGCAACCAGAGATATTTGGTATATAATATTAATGACTACCATTTCCCTGGAGTGTATTGAAATGTAACAGGTGTAATGAAATCAGTTGATGTGGACTTTCTGTTGTGCATCTCGAACTTTAATCACTGTGGTAAAATTCCTTTGTAGAGATCAAGGCTGCATCGAGCCAAGATCATGGCATTACTCTCCAGCCTGGGCAACAGAGTGAGATCCTGTCTCAAAAAACAAAAAAATCCTTTGTAGAAATTTCCAGACTGTTCTGTTAAACAAATGATATCTACTTAATGGTAAGAGTTTTTAGGTGCTTGGAATAGGGCAGAATGAACACAGGCTCTGAAGTGAAACCCAGATCCACTGCTTTCCAGCTGTGTGGCTTTGAGCAAGTTATCTGACTTTTTGAAGCTTTCGTCTTACCCTCTATGGAATATCCTGCTTGCAGGAGACTTAGCAGCAGCGTGAGTGCCTGGCACAACAGCAGGCAGATAACAGGCATCCAACAGACTGAAATTCCCTTCTTCCTCCTCTGCAACAGGATCCACCCCCTGGGTTCATCCTGAGACCCTCAGCAGGGTTAGGGCTGATATATCAACTCCCTGTATCTGCTTTTTTTCTCCCCCTTTTTGAGACAGGGTCTTGCTCTGTTGCCCAGGCTGGAATGCAGTGGTGTGATCATGGCTTACTGCAGCCTCAACCTCCTGGGTTCAAGCAATCCTCTCGCCTCAGCCTCCCAAATAGCTAGGACTACAGACACACACCACCACACCCCGCTAATTTTTTTTAAAAAAAATTGTAGAGAGGAGATCTCACCATGTTGCCCAGGCTGGTCTCGAACTCCTGGGTTCCAGTGATCCTCCTGCCTCAGCCTCCTAAAAGTACTGGGATTACAGGTGTGAGCCACCGTGCCCGGCTGTATCTGCTTTAAAGGACAAAAATTGCACTTAACCTTGGTACTGCCAATGGACTCATAACTGAGTATTCTTTTTCTCTATTTTACAAAACAACCCAGGTATGCTCAAAGCCCCATAAAAACCCAGTGTAACAATATGCTTGAATCATGCGCGTGCCTTATTCTCTCATCTTCTAACTTGGAAGAAAGAACATGAATACCACAAGGAACCACCTGTGGAGATTCAGTTTTAGGGCGCTGGCAGCACTCGGGGCTTGCCTCAGGAGCACCCAGCTCATCCCACCCTAGCTCTGCCTGACTTTCCAAGAAAGGGACCCAAGGAAGCCTCCTGCTCCTGTGGTGCAGTGAGTGGCAGGCACTCCAGGAGAAGAACGAGCCCAGCCGAGAAACAATACCAGGACATTCCCCATGCAGAAACGTCACCCCAGGCTCCTGACCCCAACCCACTCAGCAGGGCTCAGCCAGTGCCTCCTGGGCTGCTGCAGCCATGACCCCACCTGTCCCACCTGCTCGGCAGAGGTGGGGCTGCTGCAGGAAGGGTGAGGGGTCATGGGTACCCCTGAGGCCCCTCCTTCAGACAGCTGGGATGCCAGGGCTGAAACTTGTGTCTGCCAAAACAAACAAACAAACAAACAACAACAACAGGAAAAAGAACTTCCCCACCTGAGAGAGAAAAGACTGAAGATTCCTTCTCTTTAACTGGGCTTCAGGTGCCTGAACTGGATCCAAATCACCACGAGTTCCCCGGCACTTTAGAGTACAGAGGCAGGCGCTGTCTCTCCTGTCAGCCTCCACCCCTGCTGGTCTCTTGCTCACAATCCATTCAGAGCAATTCAACAACCATCAGCTGAGCACTTACAGCGTGCCCCGCCAGCACTGTGCAAGCTGCTGGGATGTCAGGCTTTGTTCTTGTTCTCAAGGAGATGAGGGCTGTCCTGCTCTTAGTGAAAAACAACTAACTTCTAGAAACACTTTTTATTAATGTATGATGGACATATGGAAAAGTGCACATATTCTAAGTATGCAACTCAATGATTTTTCACAAACTAAAACCAGTGCCCAGGTCGAGATTAAAACAGCACCAGAAACCCAGAAGCCACCCCAACCCCAGCCTCCAGCCACTCCTCCTCGCCCCCAAGTACCCCGTTTTGGCAAAGCTGGCAACGGTAGCTAACTTTGATTGAATGTACATCAGTGCCAGGCACTGGTACATGCACCTTCCACCTATTGATTCCTTTAACTCCCGCACCATAGATATGAAGGCACAGACAGTGGAGCACACAGCTAGCAACGAGCCCACTCTGAACCCAGGGGGGTTGGTTTCCCGAGCCTATGTGTCCCTGATGACTACCCTTTCATTGCCGCCCTGGAAAACAAACAGAACTCACTCACTGTGTACTGCAACACCAACACATAACAAAGCTGGAGGTTTGGTTCTGCTGAGAGCGTCAGGAAAAGCCACTGAGGGTGGCCAGATTTGAGCTGGACCTTGATGAATGCATAGGAGTCTCCCTAGCAGATAAAGGGGAGGAGTTGCATAGCAAAGGTGGTGGGGGGAGCGTGCAAGGGGTCCTGCGTGGTGACCCGGGGGGCGGGCGAGGGGTAGACAGGTGCAGTGGGAATACTGACCTAGAGCAGGATTGGAATATGTACTGGGGCTTTGCCAGGGCAGGCTTCGGAACAGGAGAGGAACTTGCTCAGGTTTACAGTGGGTGGCAGCCCCCAAGGGAAGCCATGGACGATCTACCGGCATGGGCAGGACCCAGCTTGGTCAGGGTGTCCTTCACGCGGCCTCTAACCAGCGATTCCTCATTGGGTGTACAGGCTTAAGGGCTCTGCAAATGTTGGGGTTGTTTCTGTGTGCGTTTGGGTAGGGTCAGAAAAGAGACTCCGCCCCCAATTTCGAGACACCTTTTTACCCAGGTGGCAGAGACATGGCCGATTTTACAGATAATTGACTGTATCTATATATCTATATCTATTAGTATATAACAAAAACAAAATAGGCGGTCTCATCACAGGTCTTGGGGTCAGGCACTTTCTCTGTGCGAGGCCGTGGGACTGCAAACAGCACAGGGAAAAAAGAAAGCGGGATCCGCTCGGGACGCCTGAGCCTCGATTAAGAGGTGCGGCTCGGGATTTGTGGCCGGGGCGAGAGACCCTCACGCAGAAGTCCCCAAGTGCGCAGGGCTGGAGCTGGAACTTTGGAACGCGGAGGTTAGACCCAAAGGGTGGGCGGAGCCTGCACTCCAGCTAAGGGGGCCCAGCGCCGCACCCCCTCCCCAAAGCCGGAGCCGCCGCCACCGTCCCCGCCCACCGTCCTCCGCCCCGCCCTGGCCCTCCCCGGGTCCTCGGGCCCCGGCCCCCTCCCTCCAGCCTGGCCCCCACGCCTCCCCGCTCGTTGCGCAGCGCCGGCTCCTCCCGCCGGCTGCATTGCAGACGCCGCCGCCGCAGGGCGCGCCGGGGCCGCGCAGGGAGCCCGAGCCCGGGAACGCGGGCCCTCGGCGCGGAGCTTCGGGCGGCCCCGACGGCGCGGGGAGCCAGGCAGGGCGGGCGCGGGGCGGCCCCGCGGGAAGGGGAACGGGAGGCCCGCGCGGGGCTCCGGGGGCCGTCGGCCCGGGCAGCGGGCGCAGCCGTCGGGCTCCGAGCCGTCCCGGCCTCGAGGGAACCGTCGCCGCCCCATTCGCGGGCCGCGCTGAGCCGGGCGGGCGGAGCGGCGGGGACCGCGTCGCGAGGGACCGGGGGCCCGGCTCTCGCGCGGGGACGCCCGGGCCGCGCTCCGCCCGCAACCTCCGGCCGGGCCCCCGCCGTCCAGCGCGGCTCGGGCGCAGTTCCGGCGCAGTCCCCGCGCCGAGCGGCTCCGCGCCCCGCACCAGCCTCTGCCCGGCTCCGGGTGACGTCGCATCCTCCGATTGGACCACGCGGCCTGGGGGGCGGGGTCTGGTCCGGTGAGCTCACCGCCGCGCCCCGCCATTGGTCCGGGCGGCGCACTCGGGCAGTGGCGGGGAGACCGCGGTACCCGGAGCCCCGCGAGTCGTTCCAGCTGCGGCGAGTGGAGCTGAGCGGGCGCGGGGCCGGGCTGGGCCGGGCCGGGCGGGGCCGGGCGGGGCGCGGGAGCCAGTGAGCGGCGGCTCGGCGCAAGCCTGACGAGCAGGAGCCGAGCTCAGCAGGTCCGGGTAGGTGCGCGGCGGCGCGGGGCTAGGCGGAGGGCGCGTGCGGTCGAGGGCGGCGGCCGGCGGGGGCGCGCGCGGGGCGGGGGCGGGGCCGGGGCGTGGGGACACGCGTGCTCGCGGGCCGGGGGCGTGGTGCGCGGCCACGCGTGTTTCTGGCGCGAGTGTGCGGGGCCAGGCCGGGAGGGCGTGCGCGGACCGGGCGTGTTTACGCGCGGCAGGGAGGGGCCACGAGGGTGCGCGCGTTTCTGGCGCGAGTGGGAAGTGTGGGGATCCGGCGGGCCCGGTGTGAGGGGCGTGTTTCTGGGGCGAGAGTGGGGAGTGAGTGTGAGGAGCAAGGGTGAGGGGCTGCAGGGAGGGGTGCGTTTGGCCGAGGAGTGGGTGGGAGACACGCGTGTCCATGCCGCGAGGGTGTGTCGACGCCCGAGCCTGCGTGGGGCCCGGGGCCGTGTGTCTGGAGTGGCCGAGGGCGTGAGGGGCGCGCGTGTTTGTGCGAGGGGCGTGTGCGGCGGGTGTGAGCCACGCGTGTCTGGGTGCGCGCGCGGGCCGGATGAGCTTCTGGAGTGGTGCGAGGACGCGCGCGTGTGTCTGTGTCGGAGCGAGGGCGGGGACGAGCGTGTCGGGCGCGCGCGGGCGGGGCTGGGGCGGCGTCGGGGCGCGCGGGGGCCCGGCCCGGCCGGCGGCGAGTGTGTTGGGGCGCTCGGCTTCTCCTCAACACGGGTTTTTGGGACCCAGTGCCGCCTCCTTCCCGCGGCGGGGCCCGCGGAGCTCCCGGTTTCCCTGGGCAGACAGGTGCGAGGCGAGGTGCGGGCACAGCCCTGCGCTCCTCAGCGGGTGCGGGATCGGGCGACGGGGGACTGTCTCTAACTACAGACCAGGGGAGCGGAGGGACGCTCGATTCACCCGCGTGCACAGGGCAGTCCTGAAAGTGGATGGAAGGCTCGGAGGAACTTCTGAGAGCTTTGCTTCCCTGCAGACTGGCGACCAGAGAGCACTTTCCACGCGCAGATGGGCCAGGATAGATGCTCGGGGTGGCCCTTTTGCATTTTCGGAGCTCTGGTGATTGGGTTTCTAGGTATTGCGCCTCTTTAGAGGTGGCGCTGATGGCGTTCTGGTGTTTGAGACTTTTTCGATCTCTGTAGATTACTGCAGACATCAAAAGCATTTCTCTACAAATCAGGTATCAGAATAGATTTCTGAAATGATGATATTCTTGCAGACTGTCTTCTTAATCAGTTGCCTCACCAGGGAAGGACGACAATTTTAAAGTCCATTTTCTATTTTGCCCACTTTTACTTGATAGGATTTCTGCTGGCAGCCTGAAGTATCTAATCCCGGAAGCGGACTCAGTAAACGTGAGAGGTGCCCTCAGATAACTACAGAAATGCCTCCTGTGTTTGGTTGCTTGAATGAATGCATTATATTTTTTCCACCAGTGAGGCCAACCCCTGACTTTTTAAAATTGTGCTCCCAAGTTTTATCGATAAAATGTCTGGCTATTACATACAAGGAGTCTTTTTCTCTTACTACCTTGAGGAACTGAAGTGTTCCGTTTCCCTGCAGAATCTGTGTCTTATCGAGAAACTATTGCTGGGAACCGGATCAAGAGAAATGCATTATGCAGAAGCACTTTTCCTGCTGTGTGTTTAGAAAAAAAATAGTTATTATTCCAAGACCAGAATTAGACACTAGCAAATAAATTTGTTTCTCTTTTTCTTTGTATTAGATTTAGAGAGTAATAATGTTTAATGTCCAAGAAAATAGCATTTACTTACAGCGTATGCATTTCCTAAATAAATTTAACCTAGTAGTGAAAAGAAGCAGAGAACTGCTGTGTATTCCTGAGAGACCTTGATGAGGTCGTCCTGATTAATTATAATCTGAACAACTCAAATGGAAATACAGTATTTCATGTACTCGTTAATAACAGTCTTGTTTGTATTATTTAAGGATTTGGCTTTGGTGATACCCTGGCGGATGCATTATTTCAGGCTATTCTTTTTTTTTTTTTTTTTTGAGACGGAGTCTCGCTCTGTTGCCCAGGCTGGAGTGCAGTGGCATGATCCCGGCTCACCACAACCTGCACCTCCCGGGTTCAAGTGATTCTCCTGCCTCAGTCTCCCGAGTAGCTGGGACTACAGGTGCGCGCCACCATGCCCAGCTCATTTTTGTATTTTGGTGGAGATGGGGTTTCACTATGTTGGCCAGGCTGGTCTTGAACTCCTGACCTTGTGATCTGCCTGCCTCAGCCTCCCAAAGTGATGGGATTACAGGCGTGAGCCACCGTGCCTGGCCCAGGCTTTTCTTTAGTCTTCTATTTAGGACTGAACTGGGCCTTTACTAAGAGCTGTCACTGCTGCAGTGTATTCATGTGGGGCTGTTCTAGAATCCAGTACGTGAATAACAAGTGGAACTGAGTATTATTTACTTAATATGAGAAAGATAGCAAAGTTAAAGCATTGGTTGATATGAAAGTTTCCCGAGTGAAAGGTGTGAGGCTCTTTTTGAAACAGGTTTCACTCTGTCTCCCAGGCTGGAGTGCAGTGGCATGATCATGGTTCAGTGCAGCCTCCACCTCCCGGGCTCAGGTGATCCTCCCACCTCAGTCTCCTGGGTAGCTGGGACTACAGGTACACACCACCATGCCCGGCTAATTTGTTGTATTTTTTGTAGAGATGAGGTTTCTCCATGTTGCCCAGGCTGGGCTCAAACTCCTGAGCTCAAGTGATCCACCCGCCTTTGCCTCCCAAAGTGCTGAGATCACAGGCGTGATGGTGGGAGAAGTCCAGATGTGATGTATTGAATTACATTAAAAACCACAAGTTAGTATTACTCACATTTAACATTTCAGAAGTGCTTATTAGCCTGCTGGGTGATACCAATGGGTAGTGTCACATCATGTCATGGGGATGTTGGCGTTCATAGTCATGGAGACCTTCAGTTAGAGTCTTCTCCTCTTCTTGAGTGAATTGCCCTGAAGTCAAATGACCATCTTTTCTTTGCTATTCTCTTATGTGACTACATTTGGCTTAACATGACAGGCAGACAAGGAGATGCCGTCGCCATCAGGAGATAGTTACTCTTCACCCCACAGGCAGTACAGCAAGTGACTCATTAAAACCATGATATGATACCTTGTGAATAGTAAGTTTAAAAATACGGCCAGGTGTGGTGGCTGACACTTGTAATTCTAGCACTTTGGGAGGCTGAGGCAGGTGGATTGCTTGAGCCTAGGAGTTCAAGACCAGCCTGGGCAACATGGAGAAACCCCGTCTCTACAAAAAATACAAAAATTAGCCAGGTGTGGCGTTGCATGCCTACAGTCCCAGCTACTCAGGAGGCTGAGGTGGGAGGATCGCCTGAGCCTGGTAGGTGGAGGTTGCAGTGAGCTGTGATTGTGCCATTGCACTCCATCCTGAGCAACAGAGTGAGACCCCATCTCAACAAAACAAAACAAAGAATAGCCAGGCGTGGTGGCTTTCACCTCTAATCTCTGCACTTTGGGAGGCCAAGGCAGAAGGATTGCTTGAGCCCAGGAGTTCAAGGCTGCAGTGAGCCATGATCATGCCACTGCTATGCAGCCTGGGCAACAGCAAGACCCTGATTCAAAAAAAAGAAAAAGACAGTGGAGGGGGAGAATGCCAGTATGATCTTGTGTAATGCTTTATTTCAGTAAAGTTCCTTTGATAGACTAACTGGAATTTTAGTTTATAAAGTATCGTGATCCCTGTAATTTGCTTAATTTTATATTGTCTTATAAACATTGAAAATAGAGCATAGCTTTAGACATGATGTGGAGAGACTGGTCAGCTCATCTTTGAAGCACCTACTATACATCAGTTGCTTAGCAAATTAAAACTAATAATTAAATATTACTTTGAGGAAGGTAAAGTATACGGAGTTTAATGAGGGTAAATGTTTCTAGGAGTTAAAGTGCTGATCATAAAGCTACATAATGTTTTTGTAATGTGGAAGGTGATGATAAGTCATGTAAATAAATTTCTCCATTATATTAAACTAATATTTATCAACTACTAAAAATTAATCATTCTCTCCATTTTTTCAGCTTTCGTGTTTCACCTGACTTTCACCACCCCATACATCATGTTTCACTCTCCAGCTGGCCACACCCCATCCTCAGCCACACAGCATGAGCCCTCTGTCACACGCAGCCAGGCTGGTGTGCTGGTGTGCTGGTGTGCCTACCGTCACCCATACTCCATGTTAAATTCTGTCTCTTTTTTCCTTTGAGCCTCACTCAAGTCTTATTAATGAAGCTTTTTTTCTCCCCTCCCAGATTAGATTAACAGCTGTTTATGGGGTGCAGAGGGGCCCCACCTAAGCTGTATCTTCTACTATGCCTAGCATAATGCCATCTGGGACTTGAAGTTTCATGAATACTGTTAGTTGGCAAAGAAGTTATCCAGCGTGATGCTACTCATTAGATAGGGTGAGGAGACTGTAATGAAATGTGTTTCTTCAAGCCCAAGACAAACGTGATCCTACTCCGTGCCTTTGGTTCAGTCTTGTTTGTTGGTCATTTAGGCACAAACTCCAAATGATTTCCCATGCAGGTCAGTTCAAGGAGGAGTGAGAGGGTCGAAAATCAATCTATGTGGATGTGAATCTAAAGCCAACTGGTGGATGTGAGTTTTCACTTAGGTGGTCTTGAGGTGGCCCTAAAAATCCTGGACACTGTACCAGTGTAAAATAGGCCTGACACCTGAATCATTTTCCCAGACTGAGAATATTGGCCAGAAGCCCACTGTCTAGGGATGTGTGTAGGTAACAGCTGTTCTCTTTCATATAATACAGCAGGATGGGCACTGGGTGTTTCAGCTCTACCATTCACTCAGTGAGAAACCTTATGTAAATTACCTTGTATCTCCGGCTCTCTTACCTGTTTTCCAAACCCATTAGTGGTTCAGAAAAGCATGGTCACCATCATCAGATTTTAAAATCAGAGTGCATTGCACATAGTAAGCGTAAGTATTGATTTGGGAAGCTTTTTGGTTTCCATATGGGAGTGTGTGTGCTGGCTTCTATTTCTTTCTGTGGACCACAGTTTAAAAAAGTTGAAAGCCACTAGACTGGATATTTCCTAATTCTCTTTCAATTCAGCTATTCTGCTGTGATTCTTTTCTGTGGTATGTGTCTGTTATGACGCCACATTTAGCAGTCGCATAAGGCCTGAAAGAGTTAAGATACCTCCATATGTATGAATTCAACAGATAGTCTCCAGCCAGGCCAGAGCTCAGTATACCTTTCCTTGTCTTACTGAATGTTTTGGCAGTCAACATTGAATCAGTGTTTTGAATAAGCAAGACAGTTTATTGCTACTGTCATTTATCACATGTTTTGTAGATAAATTCTAATGCTGCAAGTGACAAAACTCCACCTCAGACTGGCTTACATAAAAAAGGGAACTTGGCCGTGTGTTGGCTCACACCTGTAATCCCAGCATGTTGGGGGGTCGAGGCAGGAGGATCTCTTGAAGCCAGGAGTCTGAGACTAGCCTAGGCAACATAGCAAGACCTCATCTTTAAAAAAAATTTAAAACAAATAGCTGGACACAGTGGCACACACCTATAGTCCCAGCTACTCAGGAGGCTGAAGCAGGAGGATTGCTTGAGCCCAGGAGTTTGAGGCTGCGGGTGAGCCACGATTACACCACTGCACTCCAGCCTGGGTGACAGAACGAGACCCTGTCTCAAAAAAAAAAAAAAAAAAAAAAGAATTTATTGACTCTTAGGAAGTCCAGAATTAGTGTTATCTTCAGCTAGAACTAGCTCTAGATGTACAATGATGTCATTAGGCCTCCCCCATTGCCCCCACCCCACTCTCCTCCTCTATGTTAATTTTATTCTCAAGCAGGGAAGGGTCCCCAATATGGCAGCAGCAAGATGGCCCACTCTGAGCTACAGGCTTATCGTCTGCCAAATTACCAGATGTCTCCAGGAAGACAGCTCTTATTTCCCTGTAGTTCCAGGAAATGTCTCATCTCTTATTGGCCCATCTTGAGTCACGTGTCTAATCTCTTGAATAAGGGGACATGGTCCTCTCATTCATAAGGCCTGGCTCATACACCCCTGGAGCCAAGAATTGGGCTCTGCGCCACCTAAACCGGGTGCAGTTCCTTAGTTCAGGCTGCTCTAACAAAGTACCATGGACAGGTGTCCTGTAAACAACACAGATTTATTTCTCAGTTCTGGAGGCTGAAAGTCCAAGATCAGTGCCAGCATGATGAGGGTCACTTCTGAGTTGCAGACTGCCAACTTCTTGCTGTATCCTTACAAGGTGGAAAGAGGGCAAGTTGCTCTCTGGGGTCCCTTTTATAAGGGCACCCATATATAATCCCATTCATGAAGGCTGTACTCTCAAGACCTAATCACCTTCCAGAGGTCCCACTTCCTAATACCATCACGTTGGGAGTTGGGATTTCAACATAGGAATTCTAGGAAGACATAACATTCAGTCCATTGCACTCCCCAAGGAAGAAGTAAGGTGCCCTGATCAGGGATGAAGGAAGGGACGCTAGGGGGGCCAACTGTGAAGGAACCAATAGGTTTTGGTCTTCACACTTGATTGTCATAGTCCTAAAGAAAACACCATCCTGAAGCTACAGAAACTCACTCTAGGGCTTTCTTCCTTGCTTTTATTCTCATGGTCCCATTTTAAATGAGAAAGAGGAACCAGAGCCCATCACCTTTTAGTGAATCTTTAAATGGATATTGACTAACAATTTCTAGGACCATTTCCAGAAAGTATGGTTCAATTCCTTAGTATTATACACTGTGGTTTGGATTAATCACCAAAGAATTTATTTAAATATCCTCTTTTCTAGTGAAAGAAGCGATGTCACTCTAGCCAGAACCAATGCCCCTGGCGCGCGTGTGTAAGATGTTTTATCTAATGATGTAAAAAATAGGAAGTACTTAGCCTAAAACTGATGATTCTGAAAGCTTTTAAGTCAGTTGAGTAATATTTCCCAGAAAAACAGTGCAATAAATGGCAGGTAGGTTCCCAGGCTAGCCAGAGAACAAAAACCTTTTGGGACCCACTATAGATACTCTGCATTTGCAGGAGAGAAATAATTAAAATAATGTGTGTGCACATATATATGCATATTATAAAACATTGAACTACATAATCTATAAAATCTATCAATATATAACATACAAGTATGTATTGCAAAACAAGTGAAAGAGTGAACCTCGCATTTATATATTAAGTGATGCTGCTTAAATAAGGAAATATATAAAATAACTTTGGTAAATGGAAACAGTTTTGGTGAAGATTCTTAATTCACAGGGTAGAACTCAAAATGGTTCTCTGAAAATACAGTCTAGTTCTCTAATGTTTTAGAGTAAAGTTGCATAGAATAAGTAATATAAATTTATTGATAACCTAACTCCAACATTATTCATTATAATTACTATTTTTTTTTTTTGAGACAGGGTCTGACTCTGATGCCCAGGCCGAAGTGTAGTGGTGCAATCTCGGCTCACTGCAACTCCCACTGCCCAGGCTCAAGTGATCCTCCCACCTGAGCCTCCCAAGTAACAGGGACCACAGGTGTGCATCACTGTGCCTGGCTAGTTTTTGGATTTTTTGTAGAGACAGGGTTTCATATGTTGCCCAGGCTGGTCTTGAACTCCTGAGCTCAAGCAGTCCACCTGCCTCGCCTCCCCAAGTGCTAGGATTACATGCCAGAGCCACCACATCCAGCTCAATCTTACTTTTATTCCCAAATGGAACAAAGAGAGTGAAAGAAATCTTTCTGAGGTGGCTCAGATAATTAAAACAAGGATAGGGAAATAGTCCATTTTCATGCTGCTATGAGGAAATACTCCAGACTGGGTAATTTGTAGAGAAAAAGAGGTTTAATGGACTCAGTTCCACATAGCTGGGGTGGCCTCACAATCATGGCAGAAAGCGAAGGAGGAGCAAAGGCACGTCTTAACATGGCAGCAGGCGAGAGGACGTGTGCAGGGGAATTGCCCTTTATAAAACCATCAGATCTCATGAGTCTTATTCACTATCACGAGAACAGCAGGAGAAAAATCCACCCTCATGATTCAGTTACCTCCGACTGGGTCCTGTCCACGACACATGGGGATTATGGGAGCTACCATTCAAGATGAGATTTGGGTGGAAACACAGCCAAACCATATCAGGAGAGGTTGGATTAAAGAAGTGATTCTGTCTGTCAAAGGTTGTCTGAAGTGGAATTGACTGACCACACAGAGTGAGTGAGGGAGTCTCCTGAGATGGGAGAGAGGCAATGATAGTGGGGAGACATTGGGTCAAACCATTTCCCACACTGATCTCTGGTTGGCATGCACCATTCATCCACGTAATTTTATTGGAGTCTGTGCTAGGATGGAGTAGCACCTGAGCCTGATGAGAGAAAGAGGAGGAAGAGTATGGACCAAGACTTTCCTAACTCGGAGACTGTCTATATCAAAAAGGTATCCTTAGGGCTAGTTTCCTTCCCAAACTCTTCTGTGGGAAAATTAGTTTCAGGAAATGCCTGTAAGAACTGCCCCCCAGCCCCCACCCCACAAAAAGTTTCACATAAGTTTAAGAAACACACCTACTATTGGCGATTATCAGTTTATAGCATCTGTTAGCATATTAGGGTTCAGAAAAGTCTTCCCTTAATGAGGTGTAAATGTGTTTGTGTTTCACCTAGTATTTCCAAAACATCTTTGATACAACATTTTGTGTTTGCTGATCAATAGCTCGTGGGAAATGTTCTGCAGAATGCAACCTAGGAAATGCTTCAGCAGATAGACCATCCTCACAAAATAGTTCTGAGGCCGTGGCATGGTTCTTTGAGCCCCCTGAAATTGAATACAAGATCTTATATGTACGTATGTTTCTAGGAGAGGACTCACAGCCTTTATAATTGTCAAAGAGCCCCTGAACAGAAAGCGCAAGAATTGTTGTTAAGGGCTCTTTTCTAACAAGGGAAGTTTCAGTTTCTCTTAAATTTCTCTTATCTGTATATTTCATATCAGCATAGGGGATATTGCCCGGTGAGCACCGCAGCCACTCGGGGGTCCACACTGAAGAGGCCAAGTTATGAACAGGGGCTGGGCAGTCACTTGATTATTGTGTTTATGGTTGAACAGATTTAAAAATTGGCAGCTACTCTCTTTCCACCACGAATTGTGGAAAGATATTATCTATGCAAGACACTGACTTTTAGCCAAACTCCAGGTACATTCAATTCTGAAAACAGAAGAAACTAATGTGTTATTTCATTGCAGTAAAGAGACTTCTTGAAAAGTGAAGGCCCACTGACCTGCAGAAGAGAATGTTGAGAGTGATTTAGTAATATGCAACTTAAAACCAATGAACTATAGAAAGCTTTTCCTTCAAGAAATTTAGAACATCCAACTCATCTACATTCAGATTTAGAAATCAGCATGTATTCCTCTGAATGGTCTACCTTTAAGCCAATTCATCAGAGCATCCGAGAGCTGTGAAGTTGGACCACATTGGACCTTTGCTGAATCGCTTCGATGAAATGGTGCTTTGGTGTTCCTTAATACCAAACAGTAATAAACAGTCACTTGAAACCTAGTAGTGCTTTTGTCGCAAGGATGTTGAAATCTATTAAATCACAGCATCCTTTTTTTTTTGGAGACAGAGTCTTGCCTTGTCACCCAGGCTCTGGCTTTGGGCGCGATCTCAGCTCACTGCAAGCCTCTGTCTCCTGGGTTCAGGTGATTCTCTTGCCTCAGCCTCCCGAGTAGCTGGGACTCCAGGTGCGTGTCACCACACCTGGCTAATTTTTGTATTTTTAGCAGAGACGGAGTTTCACCATGTTGGTCAGGCTGGTCTCAAACTCCTGACCTCAGGTGATCTTCCCGCCTCGGCCTCCCAAAATGCTGGGATTACAGGTGTGAGCCACCACGTTTGGCCCACAGCATCCTTCTTATTAGGACCTATGGGAGAAATTTATTTCAGATCCTAGTACCAGGGAAAGTCATACTATCCAAAGCAACTGACGTAGTGTGATCTTGAAACTCACTGCCCCCTTTTGCTTTGTTTGCTACGTTCAGCCCCATTTGGGACTCACATTTCACCATTTTGGAGGGTTTAGTCTGTGTTTTCTGTGAAACAGTTTTCCTGGAGCTTTCTTTTATTCTTGTCTGTAACATCATGAGTCCTGATTTTGCCTGATCTGCTATTAATCACAAGTATTTTTGTTAGCCACCTCACACAGGATTGTTACCAGTTAAGTGAGAGCAGGAAGGGAAATAAAGAGGCCCGGGGGAATGGGCTGGGACAGGGAAGGAAAATCAGGAAAAGGGGGGAAGAGCAGAGAACAGACTAAGGAGCATCTGGAGGTATTAGGGATTCGAGAGAGAGGATCCTCAGAAACAGTGCACAGTGCCACCGGAGTTGGCTATTAACGTTTTGTTCCATTATTTAACCATTCCGTCAACCACTTGGGGGGGTTCTGTAAGGATCTGCAGATTGCATAGCCCCTGAAACTGGATGAAGTCAAGCTGCATCCCATAGCCACACACTTTTTTTTTTTTTTTCTTGAGGCACGGTCTCTCTCTCTGAGCCAGACTGGAATGCAGTGGCACAGTCATGGCTCACTGCAGCCTTGAACTCCTGGGCTCAAGTGATCCTCCCACCTCAGCCTCCCAAAGCGCTGGGATTACAGGTGTAGCCACTGTGCCAGCCACATCCCCCTTTCACAGAAAGCACCCTTAAGTGTTTTGCTTTTTTACGTAATCCAAGGGATGCTTTAATGCTGGCCTCAGTAATTCATACATTTGTTCAGGCCTCACTGATTTGAAATTTGCAAAAATCGGAGGATGACTCTGGTCTAGGGGTAGGGTGCCAAGGGATACTCAGAGGAACTGAGTGCCGTGCCGGCATGGGAGAGCAGTCCTTGATGTATTCTGATGTGGCATAAGGAGCCGAGACATGAAAGAATCCTCACAAGCATCCTGACACTACTCGGAAGAAGCTTAATGACTAAAAATTTTCTGAAACCCTGTACTTCCCTTGGGGAAATAGTTTATTTCTGAATAAAATATTTATGTGGTATATTGACTTTTTAAAAATATCATCTATTTATCAGAAGGGTCTATGATGAATTATAAAATTGTTTTGCTTTGTTTTATTTTGTTTTTGAAACAGGGTCTCACTCTGTTGCCCGGGCTGGAGTGCAGCAGCATGATTGAAGCTCACTGTGGCCTCCACCTTCTGGGCTCACGTGATCCCCCCATCTCAGCCTCCAGAGTAGCTGGGACTACAGGCTCATGCCACCGTGCCCAGCTAATTTTTTTATGTTTTGTTGAGATAGGGTCTTACTATGTGGCCCAGGCTGGTCTCCAACTCCTGAGTTCAAGTGATCCTCCTGCCTCAGCCTCAAAGTGCTGGGATTACAGGCATGAGACACTGTGCCCAGCTAATATTCTTAAGTCATTTTATCCATTAGGACCTATTTTATTAGCCCCTAATAATAAAGATAAAATATTGGACAGATATTTTATCCAGAATCCAGCTATTTATTTTAAAATATGTACATTTCATTCTACTAAGTTGGGAAGGACTTATTTACCTATATGTTTTCCAGATTTTGTAGCACTATGAAAAACATTATAATTAATAAACTTGTGAGTTCTGGAACAGAAGTCTCTCATGTAGAATCCAGTATTCAGAAAAATACATATTTTTGGAACGTCTTGGGCTTTAACTCTCACAAGTTAGCAAGACAGTTAGCACCGTCTGTGCAGATGGTCCCCCTAGAGTTAGTTCTGAGAGCCAAGCCTTGCCAATAGCAGTCCTAAATAATGTATGGAGAATGAGCTTGGCACAACTAATGAGGATCCAGCAATCCCACCACTGCGTCTGTAGCCAAAGGAAATGAAATTAGGATGTCAGAGAGAGATCTGCACTCCTGTGTTTATTGCAACACTGTTCACAATAACCAGGATACGGTAGCACCCTGAGTGTCCATCTGTGGATGAATGTGTAAGGAAAATGTGGTCTGTGTCTACAGTGGAGTACTATTCAGCCATAAAACAGAATGAAATCCTGCCATTGCCAACATCAGAGCTGAATATGGACAGCATTCTGTGAAGTGAAGTAAGCCAGGCACAGAAAGACAAATGCCACATGATCTCACTCCTAGGCAGAGTCTTAAAAAGTTGATCTCATGGCAGTGGACAATAGAATAGTCATTACCAGAGGCTGGGAATGGGGACGTCGGGGAGATGTTTGTCAGAGAATGTGTATTTACAGTTAGACAGGAGGAATCAGTTCAAGGGGTTATTGTACAGCCTGGTGACTCGAGTTCATCATGATATATTCCTGAACATTGCTAAGAGGGTAGATGTTAAATGCCCTCACCACAAAAATGATAGCTGTGTCATTATTTAATGAACAAATGTACTCCAAAGTACATTTGTACATAGTGCATTACTATGTAGTACATTTGTTAATTAGCTAGATTTAATCTTTCCACAACGTTCATGTACTTCAAAACATCAGGTTGTATGCAATAAATACGTACAATTTATGTCCATGTCAAAAAAATTTGAGGCCAGGCGTAGTGGCTCACACCTGTAATCTCAGCACTTTGGGAGGCTGAGGCAAGAGGATCACTTGAGCCCAGGAGTTTGAGATTAGCCTGGGCAACATAGTGAAACCCTACCTCTACCAAAAATACAAAAAATTAGCCAGGCGTGGTGGTGCATGCCTGTGGTCCCAGCTACTTAGGAGGCTAAGGCAGGAGGTAGAGGCTGTGGTGAGTCATGTTTGCACCACTGCACTCCAGCCTGAGCAACAAAGCGAGACCCTGTCTAAAAAAAAATAAAAAAATAAAAACGGATATATTCTTATTAGCTAAAAGGTGACCATGAAGGAGCTGCTTTTAATAACTTGGCTGAAAAAAAGCCCATCATAGAAATGACTCATGGAAACAAATATTTGTTCTACATGTTATTCTGTACCTTGTTCTTCTTGAAGTTCACGTTGTGTATTTCCGATAGTTGAAATTAAATCATTTCGTCAATAAATATTTACAGAGGGCCTACTGTGCACCAGGAATTTCTGCTAGGCCTCAGGAATGTAGCGGTGACTGGGATGAACGTAGTCACTGGCCTCACTGAGCCAACACAATTTCTCTTTACGTTCATGTATATGAGACCGAGTTTCTGGTGACAAAGGCTCATATCGTGTTGGGTTTTTGTAGTCCCGGTGGCTAACAACTTGAGTTGTCTTGTTCACCCTTAGTTCCCTAGAGCCTTGGCGCAGTCTTAGCCAGCAGTGGGCGTTCCGTAAACACAGTGGGCGTTCCGTAAACACAGTGGGTGTTCCGTAAACACAGTGGGCGTTCCGTAAACATTTGTGGAATGAGTCCGTTCTGGCCGGATTCTCCATAGTTCTTCCCCAAGGATTTCAAGTGGTGTTTTGATCATGCTAGGCGCCACCAAACAAGCCGCTGGTGCTTAATTATTGTATCCATACCTCCTGACAATTCCTGCTCACTTTGTCGTTTCTGTCTTTGCAGTTTCCCTTCTTAAGTGTTAGGATTTTCATTTTCCATTTTCCTTTATATAACCCATTTAAATCACGCCTTCATGTCCAGGTTAGATCATTCATTGTTCATCTCCAGGTCTCATTACAGCACTTTTTTTTTTTTTTTTTTTTGAGACAGGGTCTCGCTCTGTCACCCAGGCTGGAGTGCAGTGGTGCCATCTCAGCTCGCTGCAACTTCTGCCCCGCCAGGTTCAGGCGATTCTCCTGCCTCAGCCTCCCGAGTAGCTGAGAATACGGGCACATGCTACCATGCCCAGCTAATTTTTGTGTTTTTAGTAGAGACTGGTTTCCCCATGTTTCTCAGGCTAATCTTGAACTCGTGACTTCAGGTGATCCCCCTGCCTCAGCCTCCCAAAGTGCTGGGATTACAGGCATGAGCCCGGTCAGCCCTTTTTTTTTTTTTTTTAAAGACCTCATTAGTCTTAGGAGTAATACGCTTTCTCTGTTCTTCTACATTCATTTCACTAGTCTTACTTTAGAATGTCTCAATTCTTGTTTATAATATTTCTGATTTTCACTGTGCACTGAAACTGTTGAGGCAGTGTGCTCCAAACTTGTTGCTTTCTGCAAAGTTAGCCGACTTTAAGATGTTCTCCTCTTTTGTAGACTCTTTAAAGGTGGGTGCAGAATCTGTATGGGAGTTCCAAATCTCTTTTGTGCTTCATGCCAATTAGCTGCAGTTTTACTACCTTTGTCTTTAGTTGGATTTGTTACTTCACTGACAGCAGAGTTGGCTCCTGCGTGGTGGAGGTGCCGTCGGTGCCTGAGACTGTGTTGTGATGTGGCTGCCTGAATGTTCCTTGGAGAATAGGTTTGAGATTTTCACCCTGAGACACCCCTAGCTCTAGTATTGAAAGATTTCAAATGAGAGATGATTGTCAGTTTGCTTTGCTGCCCTTGTAACATTTTGTCTAATCACTGTTGGTCCGTTGTTTTGGCAGTATCCTGAATGATTTTTCTGAACAAGTCCAAGACTGAATATGGGGATAGTGTAAAACAAAGATCAGGAAGAAGAAATATGGATGCAGAATTATGACAAATGAAGAAGTCCTAAGCAGCATTGCTCATTGCCATTTCTAGTGTTTTGGTATACAGAGTCAGAGAGTTTTCAAAAAGTGGAGTATGGCGGTTTTTTCTACGGCTAAATTTAGCCATTGCTTTGGAAAATCAGAGTGGTACAGCTTGTGCCTCATCTCCACCCGGCCCTTACCCTTCCCTCTGCACTTGGACATCTTAAACGGCTTGCCAGGGAGGAGCAGCTTAATATACTCTCGTGGCACCATTTATTCTGGGAGGGAATTAAGTGACTTCATTTTCCCTGTCCTTCTGAGCTTCCTAAAAAATTTAGGAGACTTCCTAAGCAGCGCTCACAGTGCTCTACAGAAATAGTTGCAGGCATGCCTCCTTTGCCTCCTCAGCTCTCCCTGCCAGGGCAGCCAAGGGCTGTAAGTGGAATGAGAGATGGATGGCAGTGGGAGAGCACATGTGCACTTGAGCTACAAATAACGTGTTTTAAAATAGCAGATGGTATTTGACGATTGCTTCTTCATTCACTTACCTGCCAAGGCAAAACTTTTTCTTCTCCTCTGGCAACAAGACCTGAGATGGCTCAGCTCAGCAGTTGTAATAACAAGTTCTCACGTTTGCCGATATTATTCATTAGCTGATGTGCAGGCATTCATATTCATGGACGCTTTCTGGGGCTGTTCTAGAAAGTGTTCCTTTTGTTTAACCCGATCGAAACCTCATGTTTATACAACAGTTGAACCTGGCTGACTTGTTAAACACCTTGGTAACTAACGAAAGCCACTCCTTTCATTGAGGGGCGCTGCCAGTCATTTGTATTCCAAATAGTCCATTTTTCTCTTGAAAAGGGGGAACATCTCAAAGTTAGGGGTTGGGTGGTTTTTTTTGTTTGTTTGTTTGTTTTGTTTTTGAGGCAGAGTCTCACTTTGTCGCCCAGGCTGGAGTGCAGTGGTGCAATCTCGGCTCATTGCAACCTCCCTCTCCCAGGTTCAAGCAATTCTCCTGCCTCAGCCTCCTGAGTGGCTAGGACTACAGGCACCTACCACCATGCCTGGCTAAATTTTGTATTTTTAGTAGAGACGGGGTTCACCACATTGGCCAGGCTGGTCTCAAACTCCTGACCTCAAGTGATCTGCCTGCCTCAGCCTCCTAAAGTGCTGGGATTACAGGCGTGAGCCACCAGGCCAAAGTTAGGGTTTGGTATTTTTCATGAGAAACTCAGTGGCTATAGAAAAGTGACACTGCTGGGAAGTTCCAGTGTGTGCCTGTGAAGAAGTCACCTCATACCCAGCCTTGCTTCCAGAGTCTTCACTGTAGCTGCGTGGTTTCCTTCCCTGAGCTTAAAGCAGATGGCAGCCAGCCGGGCAGACACTTGCTTTCCAAGTCAGCTCTGCTGGCCTTGGATCACTTTGACCATCCTCTCTTGCCCCTGGACAGGTGATAAAGCTGCTCACTGGTATATGAGCCACCTGGACTGCACCTGGGGAGCGGAGGCTGCTCAGGGTTCTTGCCCCAGAGTTTGGATGACCTCATCAATAAATAGGCTCCCAGGAGCTTAAATTAGAAAATAATCCTTTCCACATGCACTCACTTTCTGAATGGTGCTAGGGATACAAGACAAGGTCCCTGCTTTCAAAAAGCTCACATTCTAGCCTCTAGCAGGAATGACACCTAGGAAAAGAACTATCCCTTCATTGGCTCAGTACTGTTAGGACCCAGGGCAAAATGTGGAAGGTTTACCAGGCATAGCAGAAAGAACACTGGTCTGGAGTCCAGTCTGTGTTCAAATCTCTGCCCTGATACTTACAAGTGGTATGCTCTTGGGTAAGTAACAAATTTTCTTAGCATCAGCTTCCTCATCCGAAAATGAAGGGGAAAATCTTTATTTCAGAGTCATTTTGAGGATTAGACATAATCCATGTAAAATGTCTGGCTTACTGTAGATGTCCAGTAGCTGCTATTATTATTATTAATAATATTGGAGTGATGTCTGAGCCACACTCTGAAGAGTTAAGAAGTTCACCAGGTGGATGAGGAGAAAGGTTGGCCTCGGCAGAGGCCCAGAGGTAAGTAAAATTCCTGGTCGTGAGCCAGGAATTTTGGAGAACATTGAGTTATGAGAGAACCCTAGAAACGTAGCCTGGGATGGTTGGTAAAGAACAGTCCATTCTGTGTCACAACAAAGAGTTTACATTTTATTTTGTATGTTCAGGAGGAGGGATTTATTTTACCTTATTTTTATTTATTTATTTTTTTGAGACAGAGTCTCACTCCATCGCCCAGGCTGGAGTGCAGTGTATTTTTATTAGAGATGGGGTTTCGCCATGTTGGCCAGGCTGGTCTTGAACTCCCGACCTCAGGTGATCCGCCCACCTCAGCCTCCCACAGTGTTGGGATTACAAGTGTGAGCCACCACGCCCAGACAGAGGAGGGACTTAATTTTTTAAACTAAATTATCTGATAAAATATCAGGAACCATCTCCTGGTGTATTGCTCAGTACAACCAGGAAAATTGATTAGATTTGAAGATTGAAAGTGAGTTGTGTAAAATCCAGAGGAAGCAGTAGGTGCTGCTGGGGCCTGAGGGCCTGGGAAATCTGGCTAGGAGCTGGTTTCCTGGCATAGACACTTTCTCACTCACAGCAGACGCCCAGACACTCGGGATTCTCCACTTTTACAGCAGCAAATCCCAGCCCTTCTAAACTTAGAACACACTGTGGGTGTCTGATTTCATGAAATTGTCTCTGTCTTTAAAACATTGCTAAGGAATTTTAAACATTTAAATGAATATTAATTTGGGACATTTTAAAGTGAGTCCCTTTGAAGGTTAGGAACCCCTGTCAGAGAAAGAGGAAAAGATGTCCCATGACTGTGCTGTGTGACACTTCGTGGAACAGCTGTGATGGAGAGGCTAGGATGGGGTCGACCCAGCAAAAGAAAAGGGAATCTGAAGCCCCAACTAACCATTCCTTGACCCTTGGGCCATTGTTTGGAAGAGTTTTTTCATCTTCTTCTTGATCGTTGTAATACTCAAAGCTATTCTGGGATTATGAGTCTATTTCTATTTATACTTATGCTTTCTAATATTGTTGGAAACTAAGAATTGAAGTATAATAAGGTAAATGAATATACTACTATACTATAACCTATGCTTATACTTTTGAGATACAGGAGTTAAACCTGAAGGTCTCTTTTTTTTTTAGTTTAATATATCAATAAGGTTTCTTTTCAGCATTTCATTTATCGGTTTATTACAGCTAGGTAACACACACAGTTACTTTCATCATCATTTGATCTATTTTTAAAATGCCAGCTGGGCATGGTGGCTCATGCCTGTAATTGCAGCACTTTGGAAGGCTGAGGCAGGCAGGAGGATAGCTTGAGGCCAGGAGTTCAGGACCAGTCTGGGCAACATAGCAAGACCGCAGCTCTAAAAAAAAATACCCTCAGAAGGCTCTAATAAACACTGCAGTGCTATAGTAGACACAGAGACATCAGTAGGAACTCATGTTTACATTAGTGTGTATACAGGTAGATATATACATATATACGTATATTTCCTAGCTTTCCCATCGAGAAGGCCTAGAAGCAGTGATACCTCAATAGCAATGAACGCTCAGCACCCAGATGTTCATTTCTAAATACCGTTCTCCAATAAAAAGAACCAAAGCTCCACTCCTTAGAGAAATGGACAGTTCTAGGATTGGCACAGGGGAAATGAGAGATGAATCTGGAGCATCTTGTAATGCCAGAAAGGAAGGAAGTGCTAAAAGGAAGAAAAAAGGATGAGGGCACGTCAGAGGGGCATAAGGGTCAGCCGGAAAGAGCTCCTGATGGCCAAAGCTGGAACACTTGGAGCAACAAAATAAATAACAGTATCAGATTGTGACCCAAAGTTTAGAATAAATGTACAGGAGTCCATACTGATATAAATAAGTGATTGACTAAATACATAAATAAATAAGGACAAATCTTCCTTACAGGAGAACTCCAAATAATATATGTAGATACTCCCCCGTCTGCGAGGTGGAACTTAGTTACCCTCTTGTTGTTGGGACTGGACTTAGTGACTTAGTTCCAAAGAACGGAAAGAGAAAAATTGTAACTTCACAGTACAGCAATGTAGCAAACATTGCCTTAACCAAATGATGGAGGCTGACCTCTCCAGGACATCATTATACCTCTGATTGTATGTGATGAGCAGGGTGCCTCACCTCTGATACTCTTCCTAAAAACCCAGAACCCAGTCTAAGGGTTAGAAAACACCAGGCAAACCTAAATTGAGGGATGTCTCCAAAATACCTGACCAGTATTCTTCAAAACTGTTAAATTTTTGTTTGGAGATAGAGTTTCACTCTGTCACCCAGACTGGCAGGCTGGAGTTCAGTGGTGTGATCTCAGCTCACTGCAACCTCTGCCTCCTGGGTTCAAGTAACTCTCCTGCCTCAATCTCCCAAGTAGCTGGGATTACAGGTGCCCACCACCACACCCGGCTAATTTTTGTATTTTTAGTAGAGATGGGTTTCACCATGTTGGCCAGGCTAGTCTCAAATTCCTGACCTCAGGTGATCCACCGGCCTCAGCCTCCCAAAGTGCTGGGATTACAGGCGCGAGCCACTGCGCCCGGCCTAAAACTGTTAAAATCTTGAAAAGTAAAGGAATATGGAGAAACTGTCACAGATCCAAGGACACTAAGGAGACTTCAAAACTAAACACAATGCGGGATCCTGGGTTAGATCCTGGAACAGAAAAAGGACATTCATGGAAAAAGTGCTAAAATCGGTTTCAAGTCTTTAATTTAGTTAATAGCTCTAATATACCAATACTAGTTTCTTAGTTTTGACAAATGTGCCATGGTTACATAAGATACCATGTTAGAGGAAACTGAGTGAGGGGCATATGGGAACTCTACGATCTTTGCAACTTATCTGTAAATCTAAAATTACTCGAAAAAATGTTTAATTTTTTAACCATGCTCCCATAGATGGGGCTGGGCAGAAGGCCCCAGTCTACTAGCTCAGGCATAAGAGAGTCATATTCCTTCAAAAGATTGCATGTATGGGCCGGGCGCGGTGGCTCACGCCTGTAATCCTAGCACTTTGGGAGGCTGAGGTGGGCAGATCACGAAGTCAGGAGATTGAGACCATCCTGGCTAACATGGTGAAACTCCATCAATACAAAAAATTAGCCAGGTGTGGTGGCTCATGCCTGTAGTCCCAGCTACTCGGGAGGCTGAGGCAGGAGAATGGCATGAACCCAGGAGGCGGAGGTTGCAGTGAGCCGAGATCGCACTACTGCACTCCAGCCTGGGCAACAGAGCGAGACTCTCAAAAAAAAAAAAAAAAAAAGATCGCATGTATTAGTTTATTTCATCCTCACAAACAAGAAGGGATATGTATATAAATATCCCCATTTTACAGATGAGAAAATTGAGGTGCAAAGTGGGAATCATTTTTCCAAAGTCACACAGTGACAGGATTAAACCTGGGGCTCTTATTTCTACTCCAGTGTTCTTTGCACTGTCTCAGAGCTGCCCAGGCTGAAACTGCTGCTTCCACAAAAAAGGAGCACAGGGAGAAGAGGTTCATGAAGAGAAGCTTTGAATGAATCAGGAGCCGGACGGTTGCTATGAAAGCCGTCAGAATGATTGAGTTTTTGTCCGGGGATTTACATGCGCGTGCATGTCTGGAAGGTAGCGGGAAGGAACTACTGCATGAAGGTGAATGTATCCTTCCTCATTCCCTGGAACCTTTCAGGAAAATAGACTGCTTTAGAGAAACACGAGAGGCGGAGACAGACACCTGGAAAGACAGCCCATGTTGTCAGCTGAGTAAAGGACAAAGTAATAAAGAGGTCAGATGCAATGGGAATGGTAGAGGAGTACTTGATCCGTTGCAGACAGCAGTGCAGGTGGCTGGGTTTTAAATCGTTTTCGAGTATCGCCTGGTCTGAGTTGGGGTGCTTGAGAAGAAAATGTGCACCCAGTTATTGTCAACAGAGCTACTGCGGATGGCTCTGGCATGGTTCACATGAGGTGATGCCTCACATACCCATGCTGGGTAGGAATCTCTGCTTCTGTTTGAGCAGGTGGTTCTGGGATCATTCTTAACAGGCACTTGGGTGGAGGAGAGAGGAGTCATTCTTTCACTGTGGAAACAGGCCAGGGTCTTAGGGCAGCGGTTCTTGAAATGTGGCCCTAGACCAGAAGCATCAGAACTGCCTGGGACCTTGTTAGCAATGCAGCCTCTGGGTCTCACTCAGACCCACTGGACCAAAACTCTGGGAATAGGGCCCAGCAGTCTGTCTTAAGAAGCCCTCCTAAAGTTTGAGAACCTCTGGTCTAGAGGAATGGTCACTGGGATGAGCAGAAGCCGCCATCTAGGGCAGCACACAGCCTCCAGCCAGGAACAGGCGGGTGGGTCACACACACAGACTCACAGCCTCCAGCCAGGAACAGGCGGGTGGGTCACACACAGACTCACAGCACACGGCCTCTAGCCGGGAACAGGCAGGTGGGTCACGCACGGAGAGTCTGCCACTGGAAGGGAAGCTGAGACTCACACCCAGAGGTTCTGCACCAGAAGTAAGACATCATTCAGAGCTCACTTTGCCTGAGTCTTTAGATCCAGGAGTTATGGGACTTACCCAGAGGGGTTAAGAGTTGGGGAACCTCAGCCCAGTTGACACTTTATTTTGTATCATTTGATACTTCCTTGTCTGTCAAAGGATTTTTTTTTGCTTTTGCCTTTTCCTACTCTGCCCTGCTCTTCCATGCCCTCAGAAAGTTTATAGTTTCGCTGGGGAGGACATGGCTGATAGCTCAGTGTAGTTCTGGATCTAACATTCACCTATACACCCCGCAGGATACAAACTATATGTATTTATTTATAGCCTCCTATGTGGCCACAAAAGTTTGGTCATTGTTCCCACTTGAAGGTAGGGTATCATTGCAACTAACTTTTGTGAGGTTTGTATTGATACCTAGAAGGCTCTAAGTAGGTGGCTCTTTATACTGTTTTTTACTGAAGCATGTATGTGTAGAAATGTTATGTAAATTTTTATTTTCTTGGGTAAAATGCTTAGGATGGTGGTGTCTGTCTCTGGGTTATGCGTCTGTCATCCTCATGTCTTCAACAGGAGGCCAGCCTGTGTTACTAGAAACAGGCCTCTGTGCACCTCTTTTCTGTACCCTTGCCCAGAGTTCACTCGCTGCAGCAAATATAGAGTGCCTGTTCTGTGATGAAGCAGGAACTTGTTCTTCCGGTGCGACGGATATAGCCTAATATTTCAGGATAAGAACTAAAAATCTCAGAACCGCCAGGCAGGAAGTGGAGCTAGAGCAGCTGGCTTTCTTTGCGGGGACCTCTGGAGCCTCCTGTGGCCTTGAGCCACCTCTGAGCCTCATGTGCCCATGGAAACTTGCACTTGTAACTTTCCTTCTGTGCAGAATTTTCTCCCGATGGAGTAGTTCAGCTGCTTCACTTGGACTGTCCTAAGGACATCCACTTGGAAGCCCTCAAAGCTCACCCTGTTGTCTTTGTTTGAAGCATCATGGGTAAGAACTAGGACCAAACTCATCAGCTCCCTAAATCTACGCATTATTCCTACTCCCCTTTCTCTGCCTTGTATTAATTTTTTTTTTTTTTTTTTTGAGACAGAGTCTCGCTCTGTCGCCTAGGGTGGAGTGCAGTGGCGCGATCTCGGCTCACTGCAAGCTCCGCCTCCTGGGTTCACGCCATTCTCCTGCCTCAGCCTCCTGAGTAGCTGGAACTACAGGCGCCCGCCACCACACCCGGCTAATTTTTTGTATTTTTAGTAGAGACGGGGTTTCACCGTGTTAGCCAGGATGGTCTGGATCTCCTGATCTTGTGATCCACCTGCCTCGGTCTCCCAAAGTGCTGGGATTACAGGCGTGAGCCACCGCGCCCAGCCTCTGCTTTGTATTAATTTAAAACTCCAGGTTTGTTCGGGCTGCAGAAATTATCTGTTGGTCGACAAAAGAGGGCAAGGATATTTTCACTGCTGTTCTAAGTACTCCCTACTGCCTGGTGCATACATAGTAGGTGCTCCAGTGAATATTTGTGCATGAATAAGTGAATCTTTCAAATGTACTTATTTACTCTAATGTAATCAGAAATTCTTCTTTGCTTCTAAGTAATTGTATTCCCTATATCCCGTAATCACACACAGCATACAGTTAAAGCAATGCACAGCTCTCAATTTGCCAAATATTTCACAGTGTTTTAATTATCCTAATAAAGCTGTAAAACCAAAACAAGCGTAAAGGCGTTGCTTTTGGCTTGCTAGTGTGGAGATGTAAAGACCATCATTTTATCCATCTAAGCCTTACAACCTCAAGAGCTGGGCCCTGGCCCCGTGCAGAGGAAAGGACATGTGAGGAGAAAGTCTCTCTGAACTTGCATAGCACAGTGCAACAGACCGCACTCCCTGGGTGCCAGCTCAGTCATTTGCATTTGAGATTGGTTTTTTATTTTAATTATCACTCGCTTCCCCTTTGGAATTGAGAGGCTCAGAGATGCCGTTATGCATGATATGATTTTGTTAAGAGGCACATAATTGCTTCTGAGTATTTTCATGAGGTGCTTCTCAGAGCAGCTTAATATCATGCACTCATGGCATAGCAACAGGGAATGCAGCTGGGGAACAAAAGCTGGTCACCTCTGTGGCACACACAGAGTCACTGTGACTGTTGGAGGGGTTGACCGGGTGACGCCGTGGGCAGGGCCTGACTCAGTGATGTCAGGGAAGGTCTGTTTCTGCAGTGCCCGTGCTTGGCGGGGGGATGGGCAGGGGACAGCTGATGCGGGGACCGCACTGCAGCACACTGCAGCACAAAGCCACCTCCACGGGCAGCAGGCAGGCTCGCTCCAGGCTGACCACAGCTCAGAGAGCACCTTTGGTGCTTTTCTGCCCCTTTGTCTGCCACCGGATGTTGATCTTGGCCACTCAGTTGCAGATTGGTTCCAGAGTGCTCTGGAACAAGTGAAATGGATGCTGAAAACTCGTTAACCAGATGCAAGATTTGTAGACTTGCAGAAGAAATCACAGATCTGTGGCTATGGAGGTTTAAAATTCAGTCAAGTCATTTCAATGGGATGCATAACGATCTCCAAGTAGGTTCCGAGATCAATGGTTGTCTGGCTTAGCAGCATCAGGAATAAGCAGAGGAGTTTATAATATCCTGCAAAGGGCAACTGCCATGCTGCTTGGAACTGAACTCTAACTGAAGAGTCAACTTCTTAGGCTTCACATGGAAGAGACCTGTGATCTGCAAGATTTCAGATTTCTAACAAAGAGGCATGGCATCTGGAGTAAAGACACCAGCGCAACCTCTGTAGTCATCTTGTGTTTTCTGCTGGTGGTCACAGGATGAGAACGGCCGTGTGCAGGTTACCCCACACAGTGTGTATTCAGAGTTACCTCCCTGTGGGAAGTTGCCACTGAGTGAGACACTTAGTGGCAGGATCCTCCAAGTTTGCCTGTGTCTGTCCATCCATAGTTGTGCAATTGGAAGGAAGACGTTATTTTTCGCTTTAAAAGAGGAAGTATCTTTCTTGCATTGTTGTTCCTGGAAGTAGTTTATTAGAAATTAATATGAGGAATCTTTTTTTTTCTTTTTTTTTTGAGACAGAGTCTCACTCTGTCACCCAGGCTGGAGTGCAGTGGTGCCATCTCGGCTCACTGTAACCTCCACCTCCTGAGTTCAAGCGATTTTCCTGTATCAGCCTCCTGAGTAGCTGGGACTACAGGCATACACCACCACACCCAGCTAGCTTTTTTTGTGTTTTTAGTAGAGACTGGGTTTCACCATGTTGGCCAGGCTGGTCTTGAACTCCTGACCTCAAGTGATCTGTCTCAGCCTCTCAAAGTGGTGGGATTACAGGCGTGAGCCACCTTGCCTGGCCAGAAAATAATATCAAGATTCTTAAAAAGCAACCTTCCTCTTGCTTTTGTGTTTTAGTAAAGTAAAATCAGTTTGATCTGAAGTGAGGACTGAACTGCTGACTGGGTATTGACTGTCTTTTGAGTAGAGCTAAGCTTTCTAGAGAGTGAGAATATTGTCTCCTTCTGGTAAGACTGCCTCATGCCTATGCATCTTTTCTTCCCATCACCCTTCCTTCTTCTTGGCGTATCTGGTTATACTCCCAGCCCTGGGGCCAGACAGATGGGTTATCTCCATGTGCCTCAGTTTTCTCATCTGGAAAATGAGGATAATAACAACACCTACCTCACGTGATGGTTGTGAAGAGTAAATGAGTTAATATCTGCACAGTGACGCAGTGGTGCCTGGTGTGCAGGAAGCATTCTGTGAGTGCTATCTCTGCCTGTTGTTTTCTCTCACATGGAACCGTCGTACGCTTTGCTCGCTAGTCTTGGAATTTATAGTCAGGATGGTAAGGAGTGGTGATAAAATATTTCTTCTCCAGATTATCCCTTTGCATGATTCAGATGACTGTATTTTGAAAATAGTTATGTTCTCAACAGTTGGAGGAGAAATATGTGGTCACAGCTGTTCAGTCAGCTTCCACAGACATTGACTTCATTTGTCTAAAGATGATGGTGATGGCAAGCATGCTAACCTAGGATTTATCATGTTCTGAGCACTTACATAGATTAACAGCCCTCTGAGGTAGGTGTAACTACTGTCCCCATTTAAGGGTTGAGGAAACGGAGGCATGAAAGGTTTTGTTCTAAGTTCAAAGCTACACAGCTTTTATATGGCAGAGCCAGGGCTCTGCACAGCCATTCACTGGTCTGACTCCTGCACACCTCCAGCTCTATCGTCTCCTGCGTCTCCTGCTCTCCCTCCCTCTGTGCTCCAGCCACACGGTCTTCTGCTCCCTGAAAGCCCTGCCTCAGGGCCTTCGCATGTGCTATTACCAGGCCTCAGTTCTGGACATGTTTGGCTCTTTCTCATCATTCTGAGCAAACTCGAAGTGTCACCTTTCCTGACTTGTCTAAACTCTGTCCCCATCCCATCCCTCCTTATTACGTTATCCTGCCTTCTTCACTTACCAAGGCCTGCCTGTGCTAGAGTAGGGAGAGACCTCCCCTCTTCGCTATTGAATATCTGGCACAGTGTTCCTTAAAATTTGTGAGGTGTGGCCAGGCACGGGGTTTCAGCCTGTAATCCCAGCACTTTGGGAGGCTGAGGCGGGCAGATCACTTGAGGTCAGGAGTTCAAGACCAGCCTGGCCAACATGGTGAAACCCCGTCTCTACTAAAAATACAAAAAAGATTAGCTGGGCCTGGTGGCATGTGCCTGTAGTCCCAGCTACTTGGGTGGCTGAGCCAAGATAATCGCTTAAACTCAGGAGGCGGAGGTTGCAGTGAGCCAAGATCATGCCATTGCACTCCAGCCTGGGCAACAGAGTGAGATTCCATCTCAAAGTCTCAATCTCTCTCTCTCTCTCTCTCTATATATATATATATATATTTAACATATATATGATATATATGTCATAAGCGTATATAGATATACATATATGAAGCGAGCGTGGGCATGATTGATTTTAACATCGATTTAACTCCTCTTATGTACATGGATAGGTGACCCAATTCTAACATGTGTATGTTTGTGTGTGCATGCACATGTGTGTGTAAATGCAGGAATGTGGAGAGACGTGTTCTAATCTTAGTAAAGTGGTACAGAATCACAACGTGTTTTCTCTTTGAGTTTCAATCCTAGCTCCAACAGTAATTCCTGTTGTTTCTCTGATGTAGAAGTGAAGTACCTATTTATGTTTGTCTCCGATGAGACATGGGTTAAAAGAAATGTGGGGCTGGGCGCAGTGGTTCATGCTTGTAATCCCAGCAGTTTGGGAGGCCGAGGTGGGCAGATCACGAGGTCAGGAGTTCAAGACCAGCCTGGCCAACGTAGTGAAACCCCGCCTCTACTAAAAATACAAAAATTAGTGAGGTGTGGTTGCAGGCATCTGTAGTCCCAGCTACTTGGGAGGCTGAGGCAGGAGAATCACTTTAACCCGGGAGGCAGAGGTTACAGTGAGCTGAGATTGCGCCATTGCACTCCAGCCTGGGCGACACCATGACACTCTGTCTCAAAAAAAAAAAAAAAAGAAAAGAAAGAAATGTGGCTGAGTACGGTGGTTCACACCTGTAATCCCAGCACTTTTGATTCCTTGAGCCCAGGAGTTTGAGACCAACCTGGGCAACATGGTGAAACTCCATCTCTACAAAACAAAAACAAAAACAAAAATTAGCTGGGCATGGTGGTGCACACCTATGGTTCCATCTGCTCGGGAGGCTGAGATGGGAGGATGGCTTGAGCCTGGGAAGTGGAAGTTGCAAATAAGCCTAGATCACACCAATGCACTCCAGTCTGGGCGACAACGTGAGACTGTCTCAAAAAAGGGTGTAACAGTCTCAGGCACTGAATGATGCTATTCCTGAAATAAATTATAAAAGCTAGAGCTTGGCTCAGGAAATAAAATTTAAAACAATTTTTTTTTGTAAAAACTCAGTGTTTTGGTAAAAGATATACTACCTTTTTTTTTTTTTGTCTAACATACCTTCCTTTCTTGCTGTGATTGCTTTCTTCTACTAGTTTAATTTAAATTGTATTTATTTATTTTACTTGCTCTAGAGGGCTCTCTACCAGATCTCATGTCAGGGTTTCCGTTGGGGAATTTGACAAAGAAACTAGGGGGCAGGAACCTGAACCTCTTTTTGATCTTTGACAAAAAGAGAATTTCTGGTCTTTTATCCGAGAACTTCGGGCTGCTGAAGGTGCCACCATCCTGTGTGAGGTGGTGACAGATTCACGATCGTGCTGGGGAACTCTGGCTGGCGGAGACCTCTCTGGTTTGGTGAAGTTACGGACGGCATTTGGATGCTGGTCCCGCAAGGCTGGCGAGGCCACGTGTTGACTGCTTTTCTTCCAGAACACAACCTCACTCTTCCTCCTGCTCTGCCCTAGATAACCAGTTCAGGATGTCCATCCTGGAACGACTGGAGCAGATGGAGAGGAGGATGGCCGAGATGACGGGGTCCCAGCAGCACAAACAGGCGAGCGGAGGCGGCAGCAGTGGAGGCGGCAGCGGGAGCGGGAATGGAGGGAGCCAGGCACAGGTACGAGGCGGTGCTGATGCTCAGCTCCCATTTCGCTTCATGTTTATGGATTGGCGAGGCAGTGGATGGATCACAGGCCTCTTCTCTGCTGCTGATGCGGTCCCTGTATTCAGGCAGAAGGCCTGAGGGAGTACTTTACGGTACCTGTGCTTTTAAGCATTATAATCTGTGCAGTATGGAAGAAGCCTTGGAATGTGGAGCTTCTCAGTTGTTTACCCCCCTAATCCTTAAGTTATCTCTATTAATCTCAGAATTCACTACTAAATTACAGGGCAGTGGGAATTAAGGACAACCAATTGAAAAATAGAGGCTGGCTGGGCATGGTGGCTCACGCCTATAATCCCAGCGCTGTAGGAGGCCAAGACGGGAGGATTGCTTGAGCCCAGGAGTTCACGACCAGCCTGAGCAACATACTGAGACCCTGTCTCTATAGAAAAAAAAAATTTTTTTTAATTAGCCAGGCGTGGTGGGACATCCCTGTGGTCCCAGCTACTCAGGAGGCTGAAGTGGGAGGATCACTTGAGCCCGGGAGGTTGAGGCTGCAGTGAGCCATGATCACTCCACTGCACTCTGACCTGGTCAACAGAATAAGACCCTGTCTCAAAAAGAAGAAGAAGAAAAAAAAAGGCCAGATGGTGACTTAGACCTGCTAGGGTTCAGAATTAATTTAGAATCTTCCTACTTTCTATTCTGTATTTTATCCCTATCTTAAGTGTAGGTATAAAACATAATTGAATTCAGTAATTCATAAGCCTTTTATAAACTCAAGGTCAGTATGAAAAGAGCCCAGAGAAAGTGTTTATGTAATGATTCAGTGTAGAATGACATTATACATTACAGCCTCTTTCACAAACTTTCTGTAAGTTCCATAAAGAATGTATGATATTGCCAAGTACGAGTAAATTACCAAACATTGTTTCAGAGTCCCATTGGTCTTGAAGGCTTTATATACATTTCATTTAGGAAGTTCATTTTTGGGAAGTCTCCCAGGGAGAAATTATTTCTCAGGGGACCCTAGAGATAAATTTAAAGGAACTGATGGTATTTCTTATCTCCACTACTCAGTCGTTGCAAAAAAAACCTCAAATAATGCCCCCTCTTTCTCTTCAAGACAAATGATGATTTCCTTTACACAGTTAAGTTTTTAGGTGAATATTTTTGGTTTTATGAACCTCATAAATATCAAGTTTAGTTATATTTTAAATAATAGGTTAAAAGAACATCATATGCCACACCCAAAAGGCTAGCCTCCTTCCTCCCCGTGTTTTCATATTGCTCCCCTGTCTTCAGAAATCAGCAGGAAAGAAACAACTTGGCACGCAGTAGAATATTATTAAGGCTAAGATAGGCTTCTTTTTTTTCTTTTTGACACGAAGTCTTGCTCTGTCGCCCAGGTGCAGTGCAGTGACACAATCTTGGCTCACTGCAGCCTCCGCCTCCGAGGTTCAAGCGATTCTCCAGCCTCAGCCTCCCAAGTAGCTGGGATTACAGGCATGGGCCACCACGCCTGGCTAATTTTGTATTTTTAGTAGAGACGGGGTTTCCCCACCTTGGTCAGACTGGTCTCGAACTCCCAACCTCAGGTGATCCGCCTGCCTCGGCCTCCCAAAGTGCTGGGATTACAGACATAAGCCACCGTGCCCGGCCGATAGTACTAAGTTTTATAAAAGAAGTAATCATTGTTTAATTTACCTCATGGCTCACATAAGAGATCTCCTTAAAATACTTTTCCTTTCACCAACAAAAGTGGCATAAAAGGAATGGTATGTAATGTCATTTTAAAGCTCAGCCACTACGCAGCTGGCTCAAACGCTATGCAACTGGCCTAGAATCTCATCCCATGTTAACCACTACTGAATATCCTTTCATCAGTTTAAGTTGCCTTCAGTAAATGTCCGTGTTTGCCATGCGGGATAGAGACATGACTGTTTTTGTTTAATACAAAAAAAAAAAAATTCCCTTTTCGTTCACTCTGGCCATTTCCATGTGCTCATGAATGTGTCTTGTGTGTGTAGAATGGCTGTGCCTTGGCCTTTTGAGTCAAGGTCAGTTTGCGGCATGTTGGGATCACCTAACTCTGCTCCTGTAGGTGTTTTTACAGCTTTGATGAGGCTGAGATAACAATCCCATCATCTGCCTTTTTTATTTTGGGAGGCATTTTTTCCACATTTAAAAATAAAAATCAGCGAGGAGCCATAGTATTTCTGTAGTAAGTAAAGTTTATGGAGTTTATTGCCAGAAAAAAAAAGTACTTTTTAAGTAACACCAGAGATACAAATTAGCCTAGAGGTGCCATTTATTTGGGGGAGTGTTAAACATAAAACTGCTATCACAGAGACTCACATAAGCTGTTGAAGTTACTAACTTTCATTTTATTTTTCTTCCATTACAACTGGTTCATAGGAAGTAACCCATGTGGTTAAAATTAGTAAACTTCTCTTTCCTATAGCCCTTATTGTTATTAATAACACTTAAATTTCAGGATCTCTAAATGCTTTTCTCAGTATTCTTTTTACTTTACATAAAGGACTGGATTATTGGATACTTCTAGTCATTTCTTTAAGGAAAAAACAGTCCGCATCTAAGTGATCTAATTCTCCTTCAGAAGAAGCAAGAGGCTGGGCGCGGTGGCTCATGCCAGGAACCTAGCACTTGGGAGGCTGAGGCAGGCAGATCACTTGAGATCGGGTGTTCGAGACCAGCCTGGCCAACATGGTGAAACCCTATCTCCGCTAAAAATACAAAAATTAGCTAGAAATTGCTTGAACCTAGGAAGCAGAGGTTGGAATGAGCCAAGATCGTGCCACTGCACTCCAGCCTGGGTGACAGAGCGAGACTCTGTCTCAAAAAAAAAAAAAAAGAAAAAAGAAGAAGAAGAAAGAGAGTGAAAGAGCCGCTATACCCGCCAGTGGAAACATTAGGAAAGCTACTCTGCTCCACTGTCTCACAACAGTTTACTGCCTACAGGAAGGCTAGAACCACTTTTTTTTGTTTAAGGCTGTGTACACTTTCCCCAAGACGAATCGGCATGAAGTTCCTAATCAGAGTGTCAGCCCTAATAGATAGACTCGTGTCTGTAGAGCTGTGGACTTCAGAGAAGTGCTACTGAGCTGAAGCTAAGCACATTCTAGTCTCAATTTCATGGATGGTTCTTGGGGGTTTGGGTTTTTTGTTGTTGTTGTTGTTTTTTGAGACAAGGTCTTGCTCTGTCACCCAGGCTGGAATGCAGTGGCGCGATCACAGCTCACTGTAGCCTCAACCTCTCCAGGCTCAGGTGATCTTCCCACCTCAGCCTCCCGAGTAGCTGGGATTACAGGCACCCACCACCACGCCTGGCTAATTTTTGTATTTTTAGTAGAGATGGGGTTAGGGTTAGGGTTGGCCAGGCTGGTCTCGAACTCCTGACCACAAGAGATCTGCCCGCCTCAGCCTCCCAAAGTGCTGGGATTTCAGGCATGAGCCACTGTGCGCAGCCTAAATTTTGTACTTTTTGTAGAGACAGGGTCTCACCATGTTGCCCAGGCTGGTCTCAAACTCCCGAGCAATCCTCCCACCTCGGCCTCCCAAAGTGCTAGGATTTCAGGCATGATCCAGCATGCCCAGCCAATGTTTCTTTATTTTCAGTGTTTTATGTTTTCCGTTGTGAGTTTCTAATCGTAAAGCATTTGTTTCCCCTACATCGAAGCGCTGATGGGGTCGAGGGCCTTTAGTCCTGAGGTCGTAACGTGCGCTTTTTTGTGACAGTGTGCTTCTGGGACTGGGGCCTTGGGGAGCTGCTTTGAGAGCCGTGTGGTCGTGGTATGCGAGAAGATGATGAGCCGAGCCTGCTGGGCGAAGTCCAAGCACTTGATCCACTCAAAGACTTTCCGCGGAATGACCCTACTCCACCTGGCCGCTGCCCAGGGCTATGCCACCCTAATCCAGACCCTCATCAAATGGCGGTAAGGCTGTGGTGCAGCTGGCTGGGGGTCAGCCTCGCACATCCTCGCTCACATTCTTCCTGAGCACTGCCACCCGTGGAAGAAATCTACCCATTCAGTCCACTTTATAGCCGGCGAGCAAAGGGCTTTGTCCTTGGACAGTTTCCAAGGGAGTTTTATAAACTTCTTCCCAAGAAATACCCAGAGAGATAAGAATTAAATGTTGGACTTGTCATTTTCTTTGGACCCCTAGCCAAATGGAGCGTCCACACTGCCCTGGGACTCTGTTTCTTCACCATGGGGATGTTATATACCCAGTTGGGTTTCATCTTGGTGGGGTTTTATAATATTCTGGTGTTTCCTTTTAACGGTGGTGAATAGTGTGGTAATTTCTGGTGCTCTCCCTTATAGTACAAAGCACGCGGATAGCATTGACCTGGAACTGGAAGTTGACCCCTTGAATGTGGACCACTTCTCCTGTACTCCTCTGGTAAGGAATGGATTCCTGTAGCCCCCCCTTGCTGTTCTTCCAGTCTGGCATAGGATTTGCCTGGTTCCCACCGTTGTCTCTTGCTGACACATGGCATGTTTCGGAGATACTTTGGGATGGGAATCTTCAATGGCCCCACCGAGATTGCCAGCAAGGACCAGTTTGTCAGTTGGCAGCAATGGCAAAAGTCAGGTCTGGTCTTGACCTCTGATTGAGAACGCTTGCTGTGTCTCCCTGTCTTCTAGATGTGGGCGTGTGCCCTAGGGCACTTGGAAGCTGCCGTCGTGCTGTACAAGTGGGACCGTCGGGCCATCTCGATTCCCGACTCTCTAGGAAGGCTGCCTTTGGGAATTGCCAGGTCACGGGGTCATGTGAAATTAGCAGAGTGTCTGGAGCACCTGCAGAGAGATGAGCAGGCTCAGCTGGGACAGAACCCCAGAATCCACTGTCCTGCAAGCGAAGAGCCCAGCACAGAGAGCTGGATGGCCCAGTGGCACAGCGAAGCCATCAGCTCTCCAGAAATACCCAAGGGAGTCACTGTTATTGCAAGCACCAACCCAGGTAAGAATTCAGAATCATGACATCTCAGAGCTTGACAGAGATCCCGTTTGCTTTCATGCAGCTGCCCTCAGCAGAGTCCATAGGATAGTCACATACATTTCAGTTTTTTTGTTAATGTTTCTGATTTTTCTTTAAGAATGCCTAGTGCTGCCCCCTCCCCCAGTACAGAAGAAAGTAGCAAAAATTCTATGTTCATGCAAGAAATACATAATTTTGGAGGAGGAAGATCTGAATCTGGTGTATGCTACTGGGGATATTTAAATGTTAGGGACGTGTCTTGAGTTCCGGCTTTGCACTTTGTGTCTCTCAGGCATAGAGAAAGTGTTGATTCTTGAGGATTCCTAGTTGTATCTCCTGTCCTGACTATCCTTTCTACTGTACTTTTCAGAGCTGAGAAGACCTCGTTCTGAACCCTCTAATTACTACAGCAGTGAGAGCCACAAAGATTATCCGGCTCCCAAAAAGCATAAATTGAACCCTGAGTACTTCCAGACAAGGCAGGAGAAGCTGCTTCCCACTGCACTGAGTCTGGAAGAGCCAAATATCAGGAAGCAAAGCCCTAGTTCTAAGCAGTCTGTCCCCGAGACACTCAGCCCCAGTGAAGGAGTGAGGGACTTCAGCCGGGAACTCTCCCCTCCCACTCCAGAGACTGCAGCATTTCAAGCCTCTGGATCTCAGCCTGTAGGAAAGTGGAATTCCAAAGATCTTTACATTGGTGTGTCTACAGTACAGGTGACTGGAAATCCGAAGGGGACCAGTGTAGGAAAGGAGGCAGCACCTTCACAGGTGCGTCCACGGGAACCAATGAGTGTCCTGATGATGGCTAACAGAGAGGTGGTGAATACAGAGCTGGGGTCCTACCGTGATAGTGCAGAAAATGAAGAATGCGGCCAGCCCATGGATGACATACAGGTAAAAAGCAGGGACAGGGTAAGCCCGCAGAGGCTGGTGCGTTCCAGTTGCTGTGATCTTTATGGTCCATTTCCGAAGGTTGTGTCATTTTCCTCCCCGTGAAGCCTTCGAAGTTGGCTTTGTGCAGAACATCGTTGGAGTATCTTCTTTCCTTGGGGCCACATTTTCATTCGGTGAATCGGGCACCGGGAGTAGGGCCTGAATACCAGTGACCCCGGTCTCAGCAAAGCCTTCCCTCTTTGTACCAACTTCTCAGAACTCACTGAGGACCCTACAGTACGTCATCTGCTTCCTCCTTGCATTTAGGTTGATTGATTTCACTGTTTTAAGTACTAGTTACTAGTTAGAATATAGTCAAGACCTAAAAATAGCTAGAACAGGAAGCCCGTGGATAGATTTTGAATTATCTGAGTGACCTTGATCGGCATAGCTATCATCTAGCCATTGTAAAGGGCATATATGGCGTGAGGCTCTCACGAGGGCAGCGAAATATTCCTGAAGCTGATAATTGATTGCCCTTATAATAAATCTAAAAATTCCAGAATCTTTTCAGGACCTTAAACTTGTTATGGACTAAGAGAATATATACCAAAATAAACTTGACATTAGGCTAATAAGCAAATTCCATCTATTAAAATATGTAGGGGAGGACCATAAGGGCAGCCTAAAAACATGTTTGAATTCCTCTCTTTCCAACTTCCCATTGATGCAACCTAAAACAAACGTAAAAGGGAAAAAAAACGACTCAGAATTCAACAGGGCACCCATGCCTGTAGAAGTGATACAAGGAGAGGGAGGTGTGTGGAGGAGATCATATGTCCTGGTCAGCATATCTTGGGAGAGGCCTGATTTCTGAGCCATTCCTGCTCATTGCATCCCAGGGACCCCTTCATGCCAGCCCTCTGCTGTTTGCAGAGGATGAGAAAGAAGCTTGCATGCTCACCAATGTGTTCCCATTTCTGGGGAGTTGCCGGGGGCACCACTTCTGACCTACCGTATTAGTCCATTCTCACGCTGCTGATAAGGACATACTCCAGACTGGGGAATTTATAAAGAAAAAGAGGTTTAATGGACTTACAGTTCCACGTGGTTGGGGAGGCCTCACAATCATAGCAGAAGGCGAAAGTCACATCTTATATGGTGGCAGGCAAGAGAGAATGAGAGCCGAGTGAAAGGGGAAACCCCTTATAAAACCATCAGATCTCAAGAGCCTTCTTCACTACCACGAGAACAGTATGGAGGAAACCACCCCCGTGATTCAGTTATCTCCCACTGGGTCCCTCCCACAATACGTGGGCATTATGGGAGCTACAGTTCAAGATTAGATTTGGGTAGGGACACAGCCAAACCATGTCACCTACTGACCACCGCAGTTTCCCTACCACAACACATGGGAATTATGGGAGCTACAATTCAAGATGAGATTTCGGTGAGGACAGCCAAACCATATCACCTACCGACCACTGCAGTTTCCCTACCACAACACATGGGAATTATGGGAGCTACAGTTCAACATGAAATTTGGGTGGGGACACAGTCAAACCATATCACCTACCGACCACTGCAGTTTCCCTACCACAACACATGGGAATTATGGGAGCTACAGTTCAACATGAGATTTTGGTGGGGACACAGCCAAACCATATCACCTACCAACCACTGCAGTCATAGGGAGGACTGCCCAGAAAAATCAAATAATGTTTTAGACAAGAGTCTGGTACATTTCTTCTATAAAGAGCCAAGTAGTGAATATTTTTAGGTTCTGTAGGCCATACAGACTTTGTCCTAGCTACTTAATCGGCCCTAACAGCACCAAAGCAGCCTTAGCATTAAACGGAGGAGTGTGGCTGTTTCCTAGTAAAACTTTATTTACATAAACAGGCAGCTGGCTGAATTCAGCCTGCCATCATTTGCCAAATCCTGTTTTACACAATTCCTGATGGAACCCACACCAGACACCAAAACTGAGCAATCTAGAACTATATAAACATAAATATCTAGGAATAAGTTAGATTACATCGAAAATCAGCAGCTCAAAAGAGGGGAACCAACTGAGCATCGAGAACAGTACCATCCACTAGACCTTCCCACAGTGGTGGACGTGCCTTCTATCCATACCACGCACCGTGGGAGACACTTGGTGCCACATGTGGAATCGGGCACTTGATCAGCATGGCTGTCATCTAGCTATTGTAAAGGGCATATGTATGAAATATAGCCAGTGCAACTCAGGAACTGGGTTTCTAATTTTATTTAAGTTTAAATAGCCATTGGATAGAGCAGCTTTTTGAAAGTGGCCTTCACTGAAACAGAGTTCATGCAGGAAATAGAAAATAACCTTTAAAAAATCCACTTCCTATTTTCACAGATCTGTTAGAGAATAACATCTTGCCAAATTAAGAGCATGTGTCTATGAAAAAAGCAGCAGTCTAAAGAAAGTTTTTTAGCCAAATGAGAAGATAACACTTAAAAATAATGAAATAATTTTAGAAAAAGTGGCAAAACCGTTCATAGAGGAGTGAACAATCAAACAGTAAAACTGAGCAATTATCGATAGTGTGGTATATGTGAGAGGAATTTGTTAGGAAGGGACTCTTTAAATAGAAGACGAATAATGTTTAAACTATCTCCTAGAACTAAAATTCTAAATTATTTTAACAAAACCAGGGAGTGTAGGGAAATGAAGAGAGTAAAAGTGTATGAAAGCTCTCGGGTTCAGGGACAGTAACAGATTTTGTTCCACTCGTGATATAGATAGATGTGCGCTGGATAGGCTGAAATATGCTAGTTAGAAATGTTGGCCGGGCGCGGTGGCTCACACCTGTAATCCCAGCACTTTGGGAGGCCGAGGCGGGCGGATCACGAGGTCAGGAGATCAAGACCATCCTGGCTAACACGGTGAAACCCCGTCTCTACTAAAAATATAAAAAATTAGCCAGGCATGGTGGCGGGCACCTGTAGTCCCAGTACTCGGGAGGCTGAGTCAGAAGAATGGCGTGAACCCAGGAGGCAGAGCTTGCAGCTAGCCGACATCGCACCACTGCACTCCAGCCTGGGCGACAGAGCGAGACTCTCTCTCAAAAAAAAAAAAATGTTAAGTTGGTAGGTAGCATAAAAACGGGCTACAGAAGGACAGGTGCGGTGGCTCATGCCTGTATTCTTAGCATTTTGGGAGGCCAAGGTGGGAGGATCACCTGAGTTCAGGAGTTCGAGACCAGCCTGGCCAACATGGTGAAACTCCGTCTCTACTAAAAATACAAAAATTAGCCAGGTGTGTTGGCAGGTCCCTGTAATCCCAGCTACTCGGGAGGCTGAGGCACAAGAATTGCTTGAACCCTGGAGGTGGAGGTTTTGCTGTGTTAGCCAGGATGGTCTCGATCTCCTGACCTTGTGATCTGCCTGCCTCCACCTCCCAAAGTGCTGGGATTACAGGTGTGAGCCACCATGCCCGGCCTCGGGTTGTTTTTTTTTTTTTTTTTAAATAAAAGCAGGATATACTATATGCTACTTGTAAGAAATACAATCAAAATGAAATGAAAGAGAAACAATGAAAATGAAATGATAGATAACAGCTATAATAGATAAACGAGTATAAAAAGAAAGATAAAAAGTACAATTCAAGGCAAATTAATGTGTGTGTGTATATATACATATATATATACATACAGTTTATCTAGAAGATATGACAGTTATAAACTATTGTGTACCTAGCACCATAACCTTGAAACATTACAGCAAATACTAGTAAATACAAAGAAATGTGGACCCATAATCACAGTGTGCTACTAACACACATAGCTCAGAATTTTTCAGATCAAGTAGATATGAAAAGCATATGAACAAGTTGAACAACAAAATCAGAAGGCTTGATTTCATATATATTTACTATATGATAGATTTAATATATGATATACTTATATATAACTATATGTGTGTATGTAGTTAATACACATAGCAACTACGTATATAATTGTTCTTTTCAGGTGTCCAAGGCATGTTTATGAAAACTGCTCATATACTAGGACACGAAGAAAATTTGAATAAAAATCCAAAGCTACCCATTTAAAGGCCGTCTTCTCTGAGCACAATCCATGAAATTTAGAAATGAGTGACGTGACTTTTCAGGTCCAACTACTGAGAACGTTACTTAAGATGTTTTTACATTGTTACATGTTTATAAAATGGAGGATTTAGGAAAGTGATTGTAGAGTGATAACCTTTTAGGCTTCAGAAATTCCACCTTACTTTTAATATATTTGAATACTTTCATGGAAAAAGAATAAAGCAAGATTTACTTCCTACCGTTTGAGTCACAAATCAAGACGGCCAATAGAGAAGGTGAAAGAAAGCTGCAATTTTTTTTTGAGACAGAGTCTTGCTATGTCACCCAGGCTGGAGTGCGGTGGTGCCATCTTGGCTCACTGCAACTTCCATCTCCTGGGTTCAAGCAATTCTCCTGCCTTGGCCTCTCTAGTATCTGGGATTACAGATACTGTAAGAAAGCACTAGGCCTGCACCACCATATCTGGCTAATTTTGGGGGTTTTTTTGGGTAGAGACAGGGTTTCGCCATATTGCCCAGGCTGGGCTTGAACTCCTGAGCTCAGGCGATCCACCCGCCTCGGCCTCACAAAAGTGCTGAGATTACAGGCCTGAGCCACCACGCCTGGCCCAATATATTTTTCTTAAATTTTTTATTTTTATTGTTATTACAAAAACGAATTGTTCTTTGATGAAAATTTATAAAATTATCCACAATAAGCATTTTTAACAGCTTTATTGAGGTATAATTTACGTATGATAAAAAATTTATAAAATTATCCACAATAAGCATTTTTAACAGCTTTATTGAGGTATAATTTACGTATGATAAAATTTACCCATTTTAAATGCTCAGGGGATGGCTTCTAGTAAACATATACAGCTGAGCAACCATCACCATAGTCCCTTTCTAGAACACTTCCATCTCACTGCACGGTGCCCTGTGCCCATCTGCAGTCCGTCTCTGCCCAGCCTTAGGCAACCACTGATCTGATTCTATCCCCAGAGGTTTGCTTTTTCTAGACATTTCATGTAAGTGGAATCATGCACCATGCAGCCCACTGCGGCTGTTTCCACTTAGCAGGATGTTGTTGAGGCTCCTTCGTGTTGGCAGGAGAAGCATTTTGTCACTTTGTATAGTTCCATCGAGAACATTTTCAGTTCACTTAAGAACCCGAAGTGCTGTGTTTCAGTTACCACTCCTAAGAGGTATGCAAGGACATTTTTAAGAATCAGTCCACATCTCTGATTCTCATAAAGAATATCTTAATCCAGACCAGCTTTGAGGATTCTTTTTTTCTTTTCTTTTCTTTTTTTTTTCTGAGACGGAGTCTTACTCTGTCGCCCAGGCTGGAGTGCAGTGGCGCGATCTTGGCTTACTGCAAGCTCCACCTCCCAGGTTCATGCCATTCTCCTGCCTCAGCCTCCCGAGTAGCTGGCACTACAGGCGCCCGCCACCACGCCCAGCTAATTTTTTGTATTTTTTAATAGAGACGGGGTTTCACCGTGTTAGCCAGGATGGTCTTAATCTCCTGACCTCGTGATCCGCCAGCCTTGGCCTCCCAAAGTGCTGGGATTACAGGCGTGAGCCACTGCGCCTGGCCTCTTTTTTTTTTTTTTTTTTTTTGAGTTGGAGTCTCGCGCTGTCGCCCAGGCTGGAGTGCAGTGGCGCGATCTTGGTTCACTGCAACCTCCACCTCCCAGGTTTAAGTGATTCTCCTGCCTCAGCCTCCCACGTAGCTGGGATTATAGGCAAGCACCACCATACCTGGCTAATTTTTGTATTTTTAGTAGGGACAGGGTTTCATCATGTTGGCCAGGATGGTCTGGAACTCCTGACCTCAAGTGATCCACCCACCTCGGCCTCCCAAAGTGCTGGGATTACAGGCATGAGCCACTGTTCCCAGCCTAGACCGGGGTTCTCTAGGCCAGACAAAAGGGGGTGGTTAGATATTGGTTATGTAACTAATAGTGACACCTCATTAATATTACAGGTTACTCTAGAACTGCCCAGTGTCATTAATTGGTTGACCCTGAGAGTAGGGAGTACATACAAGCCAGAAGTTCTCCAAGACTGGACTAAAGGTTTGGGGCCAGACTATGACTTGGAGATAATCAGGTCTCAGGATCTCAGCACATTTTGGTGTGTTATGTTATAACCTTAAAATGGTATTTCATTGCATTGGATTGAGGTGGAAGTCTGCCCTCCTGCCTGATTATTTTTTTCTCTCCAAGGCGAGGCAGGGAGGTAGACCTGGATAACTTGTAAGGTTCCTTTCTAACCTGAGTGTTCTGTGAACTTCTGACTTCAGGTGAACATGATGACCTTGGCAGAACACATTATTGAAGCCACACCTGACCGAATCAAGCAGGAGAATTTTGTGCCCATGGAGTCCTCAGGATTGGAAAGAACAGACCCTGCCACCATTAGCAGTACAATGAGCTGGCTGGCCAGTTATCTAGCGGATGCTGACTGCCTTCCCAGTGCTGCCCAGATCCGGTGAGTAAAGTTACGGAGGTCACTACCCAGCATAGATTCCCGGATGTAATTGGAGGCAGGGGAGGCTGATTGTATTTGATGAATGCCGTGTCATAGAAGACCATACCAAGGAAGGAAGGAAGCATGAGGACAAGCTCTGTTGCCACTTTCAAGGCCCAGCTCCTATTCCTACCTCTCCCATTATTTTTTTTACTGCTATCAGAGCATAAGAGATCGTGTTAAGCTGGGCGCGGTGGCTCATGCCTGTAATCCCAGCACTTTTGGGAGGCCAAGGCGGGTGGATCACCTGAGGTCAGGAGTTTGAGACCAGCCTGGCCAACATGGTAAAACCCCGTCTCTACTAAAAATACAAAATTAGCCGGGCATGGTGATAGGCGCCTGTAATCCCAGCTACTTGGGAGGCTGAGGCAGGAGAATTGCTTGAACCCAAGAGGCGGAGGTTACAATCAGCTGAGATTGCACCACTGCACCCCAGTCTGCGCAACAGAGCAAGATTCTGTCTCAAAAAAAAGAAAAAAAAGAGAGATAATGTAGCATAATGTTTCCCCCTAATTCAGCTGAAGTTTTCTAATGGCAGTAGAGTGTACTGCTACTAGGTTTTAGTATTTAGCATAGTACTAAAGTTATGATAGGTGTTGAGTATAAACTTACTCAATCGAAGGACACTGGGTATGTTTAGCAACTTGCCTAACTGAATGAAGGCATGTTCCTAATTGCCCACAGTGGCTTCTGGCAGATACCATCTTGGCTCATTCATTAATATCTAATGGGTGGTGCAAATCAATCATTAATCTGTCTCTCCTTTTTCTCCTCTTGTTTCAGAAGTGCATATAACGAGCCTCTAACCCCTTCTTCTAATACCAGCTTGAGCCCTGTTGGCTCTCCCGTCAGTGAAATCGCTTTCGAGAAACCTAACCTTCCCTCCGCCGCGGATTGGTCAGAATTCCTGAGTGCATCTACCAGTGAGAAGGTAGAGAATGAGTTTGCTCAGCTCACTCTGTCTGATCATGAACAGAGAGAACTCTATGAGGCTGCCAGGCTTGTCCAGACAGCTTTCCGGAAATACAAGGTAAACTAGAACAGAACCTTCGTTTTGTGACATTCTTAAGATCAGAGAGGACAGATGAAAGTCAGAATCATGCGAACAAAAACATTTACTATTTCTTTTTTTCCTCTGAATTTGTAGAATTTTTTTGGAAGTCTCCAATTTATTAAGATTCACTATATAACATATCTGTGTGTGTATCTGCTTTGTAAAAATATTTTAT